>NC_000014.9:84611713-87111713 GCF_000001405.40 Homo sapiens
GAGAACCCAATGTGATAAAAGAACTGAGAGTGGCCTCTGTAGCATAAGCCAGGGAGTAACTTAGACCTTTACTCCAGCAGCCTACAAAAAACTGAATTCCAAAAATAAAGATGTAGGTCGGCTTGAAAGCAGATCTTTCCTGTGTTGACCCTTCAGATGACATTGCAGCTTCAGCTGACACTTTGATGGCAGGTTTGAGAAAACCTGAAACCAGTGGACCCACCTACATTGTTCATGGATTCCGATTTTACAGAAGATGGGAGATAACAAATGCATGTTGTTTCAAGCCAATAAGTTTAATAGGAGATTGTTATGCAACGATAAATGATACAGATAAACAACATAGCTAGAAATCAAGGGATAATTTTGCTCTGCCATTTCCCTGACTAATCATATCCAATATTAAATTTTGTCTACTTTACTCTTCTGGATATATCTCAGCCTATCCAACCACACTCTTACTGCCTTTTATAACCCCTAACAACATTGCTTGAAATACTTCAATGTTTTCTAAAGTTATCTCCAGACTGGTGTACTTCATTCCAGCCTCTATAACAACATTGCCCACCATAATGTTCACAGGTATTTTGAGACAAAAGGTTTCTAATGAATCCAGGAAAAATTGAGTACTATGCTCCTTTATGCTCCTAGGTGAAGTAGTGATATAGTCATATATAGTTTTCTTCAGCAAAGAGTTCCTCAAATTCATTTGACCATAGGACCACCTTTTCACTCTTATACATATACGGTTTTTAAAAAATAAATAATAGTATTCCATGGTATCTATGGTGTCCAGAAACTTCTCTTTGGCTAATACTGCTTTAAATTTCTGAGTTTTTTTTCAATGCACATCTGATATGGTTTGGGTCTGTGTCCCCATCCAAATACATCTTGAATTGTAATCCTCACATGTCAAGGGAGGGACCTGGTGGGAGGTGATTCGATCATGAGGGCAGCTCCTCCATGCTGTTCTCAGATAGACAGAGTGAGTTCTCAGAAGATCTGGTTGTTTGATAAATGTCTGGCGCTTCCTCCCTCTCTCTCTCCTTTCTCCTGCCACCATGTGAAGAAGGTTCTTGCTTGCTCTTTGCCTTCCATCATGATTGTAAGTTTCAAGAGGCCTCCCCACTCATGCAGAATTGTGAGTAAATTAAACCTCTTTCTTTTATAAATTACCCAGTCTAAGGTATTTCTTTATAGTAATGTTAAGAGTGGACTAATACAACATCAAATTACATTTAGACAATCTTATCTTGCTTATAGAATAGTGCAGAGAGGAAGCAAATGAATACATAAATGACCTGGCTCTACCTCTCTGGCCTTTCTTCCTAATCTCTTACCTGATTCACTCCCCTGCCCTGCTGCCTCTACCTTCCATTCCAGCTTTACTGAACTCTAGGTAGTTTGCAAAGGGTTTTTATCTGTCTCCAGACTGCTGGCCTCCATTCATGTTTTTGGATGAGAGTAGAGAGACACTCTTATTTGTATGTCTGCCTCTATTTCCTTCAATGGACTGATGATCTATAACCAGTTTCTATATTCACTTCAAGAGTCACTGAATCTAGGAAGCGGTTGTATAGTTTGAGAGCTGTGGGAAATGAAACTTGTTTAATCTCTGAGCACGTTCATCAAAAGTAAGACCGACTTTTATTACAAATATTTACAGAAGTTAAAGTATATTACCTTTATGTATCTTTGTAGCTCTAATGGTGGACTCAAACCAGGAATCATTTTGGATTCTCATTACATTAATACAATTTATTTCTTTCTGCTTCTTTCCTATTTTTTTCCCATTCCTTTTCTCTTTCTTCTCTTTTCTTTCTCTTCCTCTCACTTCCTCTATACACTGTCTACAGGAATACTTCTATTATTTTATTATACATAAGTCTTTGTATCTTTCTACTTATAATAAACAATACTTTCACTAAGTCAGATCACAAGACATTTATTTCTATACCCTGACCATGTTTAATAAGTAATTGATGATCAAACAATAACATTCATTCATTTACTAACTTATTTGTCAGCCAATTTTGAATTCTAAATTGAAAATATTCCTGGTTTTCTCTTCCTTACATATACTTTGATCAATTATTTTATAACTTTAATTCTAGCTACCTCAATCTACTTTCATATTTTACAGGCAGATGTGAGGATTGGTCCTTTTTAGTAGTTTTTAGTTTCCTACAATCTTTTTTTGTTTGTTTGTTTCCTACTATCTTTTTGTTCTTCTTCATTATGATTCTCAGAATTTTCTGATAATAACTGAGCTCTACAATGTACTCTCTTTTGTATGACAACTTTAAAAATCAAAATCTCTGCAATCTCTTTAAGTAAATTTATAAAAATGTTAAATTTCCAATGCTTGAGTTTTACTAGTAAGGCACAATGCATAAATACAAATCAAAGCAATTTATCTGAATTATGATTTGCTAATCACCGACCTCTATGTATAGTTGTCACAAGTAAATTATTATTATTATTATTATTTTTTTTGAGGAAAGATCTTGCTCTGTCCCCCAGGCTGTAGTGCAGTGACATGATCACAGTTCACTGCAGCCTCAAACTCCAGGTGTCAGGCAATCTCCCACCTCAGACTCCCAACTAGTTGGAACCACATACACAAGCCATCATGCCCAGGTAATTTTTGTACTTTTTGCAGAGACAGGATCTCATCATGTTTCCGTGGCAAGTCTCAAACTCCTGAGCTCAAGTAATCCACCTGCCTCAGCCTCGCAAAGTGCTGGGCTTACAGGTATGAGCCACCTAACCCAATCTTCACAAGTAAATTCTTTATCCAATATATAGGCCCAGATTTTTTAAATAAATAATATTTCCTAGATTATAAATGTTAAAGTATATATTCAAATGGAATTTTGATGAAAAAGTCTTCATCTAAATAGTGGAATAAATAACCATAACTATAAATATTCTTTATAGCTTTGATGGCATCAGTATTCTTTAATTATGAAATTGGTTTAATTTTTATTGTCTTGTAACATGTCCAAGATCTAGAAAAAGAAACAATAGCAATTATGTTATTTACAAAGTTGATTTTATATCGTATTATCTGACACAATACCATTTACTTTTATTAAATTAATTTCATTGTTCAAATCTTTTTATATACCTCATGCTTCACCAAAATTTTATTCACTTTAATAATTAAACTTACATAATGAGAAATAGATTTATGAAATTATTCGAATAAAAAAATCATTGTTATGCTATTTCCATTTCAATTATATCATAGTAACCCATGCTAGAATATGTTTACAGGACAGGATTAAATTTTCTGAATGGTAATATTTAATATATTTTCTTCTATTTCCTGAATAAATTCATGATCTTTTATTTTTGTAAAAATATTATTATTTAATTGGTAACACTAACATTCCCAGACTATTGCAACAAATGCCTTGCACTTGAACAAATTTTATGATAACAATTCACAAAATTTTATTGGTGTAGCCACATCAAAGGCACATCAACTAGTGAGACTCAATCAGCATCTGTCCTTCATGTCTTAACAACACATAGATTTCTCCTTTCAGTAATGGCATTCCATACTTTCATCAAGCTTTCTTCTTTTTCGCCATCACAGTTGCCCATCACACTATCCCATGTCTTGACACAGGCTTGGACAGATGACCTAAGCTAATTATAAAACTTCATCCCATAAACCACAAGAAATGAAACAGGTAGAGTCAGGTAGTACAAGCAGGCCAATCTAAATCATGCCTTGGGATTTTTCTTATTGAAATTGTATGTTCAAAGAATTGAAGAAAACATCCTAGAAGTTGTCCCCAAAAAGAATATATTTACTAACTGGTTCAAATTTAATGTGAGTCAAGGTGCTACCCCAAATTGTGTATACCTTAGAGACTTTAACATCATTCCCAGCATGAGTCTTCATGTGTTCTAACACAGTGAGTCTCTCAGTGCAGTTACAGTGATGGTGTGTCTGCAGTGTATTATAAGTCAACTAAAAATCATATAAACTGGCCGGGCATGGTGGCTCATGCCTGTAATCCCAGCACTTTGGGAGGACAAGGTGGGTGGATCACCTGAGGTCAGGAGTTCTTGTCCAGCCTGGCCAACATGGCGAAACCCATCTCTACTAAAAATACAAAAATTTAGCCAGGCATGGTGGCAGGTGCCTGTAATCCCAGCTATTAGGGACGCTGAAGCATGAGAATCTCGAACCCAGGAGGCAGAGGTTGCAGTGAGCCGAGATTGTACCACTGAACTCTAGCCTGAGCGACAGAGGAATACTGCGTCTCAACAACAACAACAACAACAACAAATTCATATAAACTTCATACATGGAAGAATTACAAAGTCATTCTGTTTGCAAGATAAACCGATCTATATTAGCCCTAGTTGTTGGATAAATGAATTCAGGGTACTATGAATAGATCTAATTAAGTATAAAAAAAAACACTAAATTTTATTCCAGATACTGTTTATTTATAAAATATCACATTTCATCTAGATGTTCTTCAGTCACTGATTATAATAATGCTGAGAACCAGCAGCCACAAGTCTCAGTGACTTAATAGAAATTTATTTGATTTCAGGTCTGCAAAGTAGCTGAGTGGTTATTCTTCTCTCAGTTGTGCTAATTCATACCTCTGTCGATGACTGTCGGTAGCTTGGGTAGCTTTGCTGATCTTGGCAAGGTTCTATCACAAGTCAAGGGCTTTGGCCGGGCGCAGTGGCTCAAGTCAGTAATCCCAGCACTTTGGGAGGCAGAGGCAGGTGGATCACCTGAGGTCAGGAGTTCAAGACCAGACTGGCCAACATGGTGAAACCTCGTCTCTGCTAAAAATACAAAAATTAGTCAGGCATGGTGGCAGGCACTTGTAATCCCAACTACCTGGGAGGCTGAGTCAGAAGAATCCCTTGAACCTGGGAGATGGAGGTTGCAGTGAGCCGAGATGGTGCCACTGCACTCCAGACTAGGCAACAAGAGCGAAGCTCTGTCTCAAAAAAAAAAAAACAAAGAAAGAAACAAAGAAAGTCAAGTGCTTTGTACAGGATAACTTGGTTTTGTTTTGCATCATCTCTCAGCCTCCAGTGGGCTAACCTGCATTGGCTGTCATAGTGGCCAGCTTCTAAAAAAAAAGAGCGAGCAAGAGAGCAGAAGTACACACATTCTCTTCTGGACTCAGAATTGTAACAGTATCTCTTATTGTGAATTTGATATACCTAAACAGGTAACAAATCTTAGCTTTAAGGGGAAAAAAATTGACTTCACCTTCAAAGAAATAAGTTGCAATGTGTCATTAGAAGAGGCATATATATATATATATATATATATATAGAGAGAGAGAGAGAGAGAGAGAGAGAGAGAGAGAGAGAGAGAGCGCACGCACGTGAGAGAGAGAACCGGAGCCATGTTTGCAACTGAGGTACACAGATGACCTAGGTGTATGCGTGTGGCGTATATGTGCATTTGTCTTTTAATTCCTGATGTTAGCTCAATCTATTATCACATGTACTTCTCCAATAGCAGAAAGTCATTCTTACCAGTGGTCCTGTTTCTGCTTCATATTCAATCCTGTATTCCACTCAGAAATATTATTGGAAATAAATCTTGATCACATTAAAATTTTGAATTATTTCAAATATCGATGAATTCTCATTGTAAACAAAGTTGGATGCAATTTATTCTGCTTCAGGAGATTATACATTGATTCCTAAGAATCAATTCTCATCCACTTCCAAATGGGAAAAGACAAAACTCATGGTAAAAATCCTAAATTTTATGGATAAAGTAAATATTTTTTACAACTTTTCAGGCTGAAAGAAAAAGTTTATTATGAAGCGAAAACAAATACTATTAGTATCAATCACACTATCCATCTGTATTATTATATGTTATAAAATGGCAATACAACATCAACATACATGACAGAGACAAAATTACTAAACCCAATAATTTTCTACCAGCAAATAAATATTATTTATCTGTTCAGGATGAGAAAAAGTTAATAAAGAAGTTATTAAATCAGAACTTACCTGATGAAAATGCTAGAAATATATAATAAACAGTAAATTATAACAGAAACTTCTAGGGAAAAGTAAGGGAGCACAGTGTAAATAATAAAACTTAAAACATATAATTAAAAATACATAAGTAATTATATTGTCTGGGAATGTCTAAATATGAATGAAATAGAATAAACAATGCAAACAACTTATGTAAATAATAATTATTATTATTAGAAATAATGATAACTTATTATTACTAATAATCTGAAATAAGTGGCACTAAAGTATCTCAGGTTTGGAAGGATATAGAGGGAGAATGGAGATGTGTCTACTCAAGGTATTGTGGGTGGTAAATTGAAAAGCAAATTCTCTCATCTTGAAGAGGGAAGAAATAATTAAAATGTATTCTAAAGATCACCTGGTATGGTAGGGGGCAGTGGGAAAATACAGCTCCAGGAGAAAAAGGAGGCATAGTTAATAATGTGTTTCCTTAAAATAACAAATAAGCATATATTTAACTGTAAGAGATAAGATAAGGAATTTAAGCACAAATAACATTATAAAACAACAAGGGAGTCTAGACTAAATAATATCACAAAATAAAAATAATTTAATTACTTCAGTCAAAACGACAGACTGAGAGAGAAAAAAAGGACACAACGACTAAGTATAAATGGGCCAAATTCTCCCATTAAAATCAATAAATTATTAGATTGAAAAACTAAAACCAAAGTGTAAACAAGGGTAAGCAGGGAAAATATAAAGTCTTAGATGACCTTGTTATTGTAAAAAAAAAAAAAATTAAAATAATTTAGCAACTATCTAAAGAAACTTAAAGAGAATCAAAAACACAAGAAAAACTGGAAAAAATAGTTACAAATAGAAAAAGTTAAGTTACAAAGTAGAAAAAAAGGCCAGGTGCAGTGGCTTATGACTGAAATCCAGCACTTTGGGAGGCTGAGGTGGGCGGATCATGAGGTCAGGAGTTCGAGACCAGCCTGACCAAGATGGTGAAACACCATTTCTACTAAAAATACAAAAATTAGCCAGGTGTGGTGGCACGTGCCTGTAGTCCCAGCTACTTGGGAGGCTGAGGCAGGAGAATCGCTTGAACCTGGGAGGCAGAGGTTGCAGTAAGCCGAGACTACGCCACTGCACTCCAGCCTGGGCGACAGAGTGAGACTCCGTCTCAAAAAAATAAAAAAAAAAGTAGGAAAAAAAAAACAAAGGACACATGAATCCAAAAGCTATGCCTGTGAAAATGCCCACTTTAAAAAAAGTTTTTTTTTGTAATTTCTACTAGATAAATAAATAAATAAATAAATAAATAGAACATGTAAACTTGAAAATGAGGAAATGAGATATAACCACAGATATATGATAACATCATATTTAACCTAATGCTACGTGTGAAAATAAAAATGAAGGATTTATTTCCATGGCATAACTTATTGTACTTGACCAATAATGTTGTAAAGAACATAAATATTTGATCCATCATATTTTATCAAATATATGTAATTCAAAGTGGTGAAAGTGTTGGTATAGAATATATAGAATTTGGCTGAGCATGATGGCTCATGTGTAATCACAGCATTTTGGGAGGCCAAGACAGGAGGATTGCTTGAGGATTTGAGGCCAGGAGTTTAAGACCAACCTGGGCAACATAGTGAGACCCCATTTTTACAGAAAAGTAAAAATATTAGCCAAAAGGGTGCATGCTTTTATTCCTGGCTACTCAGGTGGCTGGCTGAGGCAGGAAGATCGCTTGAGCCCAGGATTTTGAGGCTGCAGTGAGTTATGATTATGCCACTGCATTCCAGGCTGGGTGCCAGAGTAAGACCTTGTCTCAAATATATATATATATATAAAAAATAAAAATATATATGCAACTTTTAAAAAATTTAATTACAGAGTAGGAATGCATATAATAAACAAACCCAAGATGAATCTGTTAAAACTTGAGAAATAAATATATTTGAATATGAAAATATTATCAGCTAGCCAGATGTGAAAATGAAAAAATATTTCACACATTATCAATAATCTAAACTCTTTTAGAATGCATTAAAAATGAAGATATACACTCTATATGAAGAAAATAAAATCTTTCAGGACAAGGATCAAAATGTTTTAAGAAGTGAAAATATATACCATATTCATCAATAGGAAGATGTTGTATTTAAAAGCATAAAAAGTATTAATTTAATGTAATTCCAAGTCAAAACTTCAGTATTGTTTTGAATTGGTATCTCGAAGTTTTTATAAAATATAAAGACTTTAGAAAATACTTCTTTAAACTGTGAAAAAAAGTGCAGTGGAAATATTTTTAAAATTTTACCATGAACAACAATAATATAAATTTCCTATATTTCAAATATTATGACTACTACAGAATTCACTATGACAGAATAAAGAACTTGTAATTTATAATATTTAAGAGAATTAAATTATGACAAAAGTAGTACTTCAATATAAAAAAGATGTTTTCTTATACTATGCTGATACAATTTGCAATCTATCAAGAAGAAAATCAAATGTGGCCCATTTTACAAGCATTAAAAGCTTTAATGAATTAAAATAAACATGTTAGAAACATAAGAAGCCTAAATTTAAGGCACTTTATTTATAAGTGAAATAGAACTGAAAGAAGACATGGAGAAACAATATTTCTATAAAAATTATAGACATGTTTGACAATATTAAATTTTAAATGTATGGCAAAATGCACCATGTATCAATTCATATAATAATATTTTCAATGTATATAACATAAAACATATTTTTATCTGAGGTGATGTTTGGGTTGAAATGATAAATGAGCAAGACTTCAAGAGGCTTTTATTCAGTAATTTGTTTATCCATTAATTTAAAAACTTATTCATTTTAATTGAATGAAGTGAATCACTGGATCATCTGATAGTTCTATCTTCAATTTTGGGGGAAACTCCATACTGTATCATTTTGTATTTCCTCCCACAGTGTGCAAGGATTCCAATTTTTCTACATCTTTACCAGCATGTGTCTTTTTCTTTTCTTAATAATGGCCACACTAAAGGTGTGAGGTGATATCTTATTGTGGTTTTGATTCATATTTCTCTGATAATAAATTATCTTGATCATCTTTTCATATACCTGTTGGCCATTTGTATGTCTTCTTTGAGGAAATATCTATTTAAGTCCTTTGCCCATTTAAAAAATCTGCTTATTTGTTGTTGTTGTTGTTATTGTTAATGAGTTGAGGGAGTTCCTTATATATTTTGGATATTAACCCCTTATAAAGTATATGATTTGCAAATACTTTCTCCCATTCTGTAGGCTGCCATTTTACTCTGTTGTTTCCTTTGCTGTCTGTACATCAAAAACTACAAAACATTGGTGAAATAAATTGCAAATAACAGAAATAAATGGAAAGCAATCACATGCTCATACATTGGAAAACTTAACATTGCTAAAATGTCTATATTACCCAAACCAGTCTACAGAGTCAATGTAATTCTCTATAAAAATCCCAATAGCATTTTTTGCAGAAATAGAAAAAGCAATTTTAAAATTCCTCTGTAACCCCACATAGCCAAAACAATCATAAGAAAGGAGAACAAAGCTGGAGGTGTTGTATTTCCTGTCTTCAAAACATATTACAAAGCTACAGTAATGAAAACATTATAGTATTGGGATAAAGACAGACATAGCCAATAGAACAGAATAGAGAGCCCAGAAATAAAACTACTCATATATATGGCCAGATGATCTCTGAATGCCATGACGACACAAGGGGGAAAATACAGTCTTTTCAACAAATAATGTTGAGGAAACTGGGTAGCCACATGCAAAAGTATAAAATTGGACCCTTATCTTATACCATACACAGAAATAAACTCAAAATATATTAAATATTTAACTGTATGACCAGAAACTACAAAACTCTTATAAAATCGAGGAGAAATACCTCAAAACATTGATGTTGGCAAGGATTTATTGGATTTGACACTCAAAGCTCAGGCAACAAAAAGTATTTTAGTATTTTAAGGATGTTTCCTTTTTGTCTGATTTACATGGTTTATTTTTCCTCTAAAAGTTTTATTTGGTTCTTTTATTATATATTTACTTTTCTTTCCATTCTGTTCTTATCTTTCTTTAAATCTTTGAGCATAATTATCATATTTATAACAGATTTTTAAAAGCTCCCTTTTCTGTTAATTCCATCACCTCTGTCATGTATTGGTCTATTTTAATTGATGGATTTTTCCTCTGGTTATAGTTACAATTTTCTGGTTCTTTATTTGCCAGGCAGTTTCTTTTGGATGAAGGGCACTGTAAATGTTACATTGCTCAGTGTTTGAATTCTGATGTCTGCTTTGATTTTACAAAGAATTTAAATAAATTTTTAAAAGGCTGTTATGTTTTTTGTGGATTACTATGATTCTTTCAAGGTTTCCTCTTAAGCCCATTATAGTAGCATTGAATAGTATTTACTTTAGAACTGAATAGTCCTTTTAAAGAGTCACCGTTTGGGGGTCTCTACTGATAGCTCTAAAGGATTAGCAAGGTCCCACAGCTCTGGGTGGAAATCAAACATGTTCTTAGCTCTTTGCGAGCTCTGGGTATGTTTAATGTTTTTTTTTTTTTTTTTCACTTCTACACATATTTGTGTAGCTAAATTCTCAAGCAAACCTCTGTGCAGATTTTTGAAGCCCGTTTTTCTATGTAGCTCCTGCGTTTACAGTACTCAATGGATATTTCCATCCATTTTCACCTCCCTGACCTCCAATCTTTATCAGCATGACTAATATATTTTACTTGGGATTTCCTTCCCTCTGGTGTGGTCTGGAAAGGGCTTCTAGGCAGAAAACCAGAATGTAGAGATTACCATCTTTGTTTTCCTTCTTCTAAGTATCACATTTCTGTACTACTTGATGTCCAAATGTCTGAAAATGTCTGGTTTTACCGTTATTCATGGTGCATGGGTTTGTTCAATCCTGACAACTCTGTCATGGTTGGAATGGGAATTCTCAGCATTTACTCTAATATGGGGCATAATAAGAACATCTTGTTCTTAATAAACATCATGAAGGTTGTAAAAGTGTCTCTCATTTTCTTTTGACTCTTACCACCTAACATGGCATAGAGTTGGCCCTCAGTATATATTTGTTGAGTGAATAAATTAAAAATAAAAAAAAACCCTGCTAGACTATTTAGAGAAACAAGCCAAAGCTTCTTATCAGAAGGACAACTTCTGCTTCAATGAAACAGTGAAGACAAACGTTTATTATGCAGATTTGTATAGCGTTTTGCCAATGGTTGAGGGAGTTATGTGACAGTGATGTGCATTCAAATATGTAAAGATAATGGGGCTCAGACAATACCCCAAAGTATAGAGCTTGATCTGTTCAGCAATTTTATCTAAAGGAAATTAAAAGGCCTTAGAAGCAATCTTAGAAACAAGGACTTTCTGACCTTCTTTTGTTCCTCCCTCTCCTACCCAAAAAACACAGGATGGAACTCTCTCTGAAGTTTCCTTCTCTGAAGCTCCTCCAGAAGCAAACAACTACCTTTGTTCCCCACCATGAAATTTCATTAATCAGAGAGGATTAAATTCATATCTCAGGAAGGAAGGCTGAGAAGTGTCATTAAACATGGACAGACTTTGTCACAAGCTATTGTCTGTTCCTCAGGTCTCAATCAGTTTTACAAATAATCCTTTACAAACTCTTGTTTGGGCCTGATCAACTCTCCTAAAAATAATTTACTACCCTCAAAATTGCCTGCCTTTCCCCATCTTCCTCTCTTCTATGAAGAGGATACTATTTAAGCTTCAGCCATCTGGCCCTTCTTTGAGCCTCATATTTGATGTGTCTCCCATGCACATGTGCATGTTAATAAATTTGTATGCCTTTTCTCCTGTTAATCTATTTATTATCAGTTTATTTAAGCAAACTCCATTAATCAAACCTTCAGAGGGAAGTTTAAACTTCTTCCCTGCACAAAGATGATGTCCTTTTTTTTTTTTACTGCACCAACAGACAACTTAGGCAGGTCGAAATTTTTCTCTCTGTTTTAACGTGCAAAGGAATTTGAGGAAGTATTTACAATAAAATCAATACTTTTTGATAAGGAATATCAAAGATCCCATGAAATGTAAGCTGTTGCTCTAAAAGTGTATGAGTCTCATAGTCTTGGAGAAATCCTGTAATAGTCTCATCTATCATTAATAATTTAAACTTACACATTTCACCTAAAGTGATTGGAAAAGACTGAAAAGCTCTCGTTGCAATATGCCAAAATCATTTTTGGTCCATAGTTGCCCTCAATGAACTTTCCATGTTCTTATGCTTTAATCTGCAGGTCACAGACATTGATCTTCCCTGATAGATGAATCCAGTCCTATATATGAATACTATTTTGCTAAGTCTGACAATTTAACCCCAAGGAACCTGAAAACCTGCATAGGAATTGGCTTCTCTGACTGCTGGGAACAATCAGACATTTGGCCGTCATTACAGGAACCATTGCTAATTTGTGTTCTAATTAACTTTCCAAACCCATAATGATGGCTTGTTTTGTTCTTCTGAATCTCCATTCATTTTTTATTCTTAAGGAGTGTTTGGCTATATGGTAGGGAGCTAAAACTTAATTTTACTTTGGATTAATTAGTAATAAATATGTCCTATTAAGAAAATGTTCTAAGAAAAGCAAAGGAAAGTCATGAACCTCAACTAGTAAATGACCTATAGAGGAAATTCCTATAATCACAAATGTAAGTCAGTCACCAATTAGAAATTTAGTTCCCACAGTGGGCACACTATTTAAGACACTAAAGCCTTTCAGCTTTAAGACATATGGTTTCAAGTTTTGATGCAAATCTGAAGGTGAGGCATTCAATTTGAATAAAAGAAGAACAAAGTTTGTTTAAATTAGGCCAATTCAAACTTGTTCTGTGAAATGAATGTACTGTCTTTATTGTTTCTTTTCCTTTATGTTGTCCATAGCTTTTTGCATATTCTCTTAGAATCACAGAACTTTGAACTTGAGAGGATCTATACAAATTATGCATTTGACTCTTCTCACACAGGGGGCTTCTTAAAACTATAGACTTCTGAACCTCTTTTGCAAAAATTATAATTCAGCTCATGAGGAATGGTCCCAATAATCTGAATTTTAAAAAATGACTCAGGGCTGGGTGCAGTGGCTCATGACTGTAAACCCAGCACTTTGAGAGCCCGAGGCAGGTGAATCACGAGGTCAGGAGTTCGAGACCAGCCTGACCAACATGGTGAAACCCCATCTCTACTAAAAGTACAAAAATTAGCTGGGCGAGGTGTCACACCTGTAATCCCAGCTACTCAGGAGGCTGAGGCAGGAGAATCGCTTGAACCCAGGAGGCAGAGGTTGCAGTGAGCTGAGATCGCACCACTGCACTCCAGCCTGGGTGACAGAGTGAGACTCTGTCTCAAAAAAAAAAAGACTCAGATCAAAAGCACTGATAGTTTTATTTTTCATTTTATAAATAATTAAACCAAGAAAGGTTAAATAATGTACCCAAGTTTCTACAAAAGTTGGTGACCAAAAAATAAAAAAATAAAAAAATAAAAAAAATAACTGTCCTGGAATGCTGTTTTCTACTCCAGATATTTTTTTTAGACTTATAACCATTTCTTCCGAAAGTGAGAACACAGTTTATACAGTTTTAAATGGTAGAGGGTATCACTCAGATTATTTCTTCTTATACAGTTTTCTTAACGTGCCTTTCAAAAAATTGATCAATTTCATCTAAGTAGTCAATATTTTAGCCATGAAATTGTCCATAATATATGTTTATTGTCTCTATAATGTCTGTCTGTAGCATAGGTAGTTTGCCTATTATTTAATATAGGCCCAATCTTCATAATTAGTGTCATCTCTTTAGAAAATAATCAGGCTTTGGTTTCATTAATTTTCTTCATTATTTGCGCAATTTCATTTCTTTAAATTTCTGCTCTTCTGTTTTCATTTTCTCCCTTCTACACACTGCAGGTTTGATTTACTCTTCTTTTCATAGCTTCTTAAAGTAGAGCTTAGATTATTGTTTTTTGAAGCTCTTCTTTTCTAATATAAACATATAAAATACATTTCTCTCTAAAAAATGCTTTGAGTTGTATCCTGCAAATTTTACTCTTTGGAGTTGTTATTTTAAAATATTTCAGCCTACTTTGTAATTTTTTTGTGTGATTTCTTTTCTGTCCCAGAAGTTATAAAGAATAGTGCTGTTTACCTTATGAATATTTATGGATTATCCAGGTGTTCCATTATTGTTTTTAATTTAATTTTCTATTATTTCCCTTTTTTGAAATTTATTGAGACTTGATTTATGGTGGAGAATATTATCTGTGTTTGTGACTATTTTATGAGTACACAAACAACTTGTGTATTTCAGTTGCTTGGTATAGGGCTCTATAAATATATTTGATGTCAAAATCATATATATCCACATGCTTTGTGTGCCTATATTTTGTTTAGTTTCAGGTTCTTTTCATAGCTCTTATATGTCTAATGAAAAAATCTTAATATTTATTTGACTGAATATGTGTCTTTTATATTTATAGTGAATTTTTGTTGAGCTAACCTGAAAATTTTTTGTTCCATTGCCTTCTGTCTTACATTCTTTTCAAAAGTCATCAGTAATTTTTAGCTTTACTTCATGAAGATGATATATATTTTTTTCCTCTGACTTTTTTTGAGATTTTTTAAAATTTCAATTTCTATCAATTTGATTTTTATAAGCTTTGATGGTGTTTTCTTTCTGTTTGTTTTTTAATTAGCATTCATGATAATTATTTTATCTATATATTCATAGCTTTTATTGCATTTGGAAAAAATACATTTTATTTAAGTAGTTGTATCCACATCTCTTTTTCTTTCTTTTTTGAATTACAATTATGCATATTTTAGACTACTTGATACTATCCTTCAAATAACTGAGGACCTTTTCATTTTTTAAATTTTTTTTCTATTTTTCAATTTGGAAACATCTTATTTTCTTATCTTTGATTTACTTATCTTTTCTTTGACAATATTTAATAAATTGTTAAGCCCAAAGTGGTAATTTTAAAATTTTAGATATTGTAGTATTCATTCTAAAATTTTTACTTGCTGCTAATTTTTATTGTAAATTGACAAACTATAATTGTACACATTTCCTTTTAGTGATCACATCTACATCCTATGCTTTTTGTTTTTCATTATCAATAAATTGATACTCTCCAAGGAGTCTGCCTCTATTTTCCTTTTTGCCCTCTTAAGGAATCATTTTAGATAGCCTAAAGAGTTAGTGAGCTACTCAGATTAACATTTATCTGCCAAGCATTACTATTGCTATAAGGGACCTCTTTCTTCTCTCCTGAATTGATATTCTTTTTTTTTTATTCATTTCCAAAATAAATTATTGTTTGTTATTTTTGTTTTCTAATTTCTAGCCAAAATGTGTGTGTAATGCAGGAAAACCCTGTTCAAATAGATGTCATGATAAAGAGACCCCGCAGGAAGAAACACTCCAAGTCACTATTTGAATGCCACTAGAGCCCCCACATAGGAGCAAAGGATGTCATCCTGGGACATGGATCTGTAATTCATCTTTAATCTGTGGAAGTGCCTCACACCTCTCTGTGTAAAGACACTACACCAGCTAAACTGTAGTGCATTTACCATAAGTTTTGCAAACCAGAGGGATAAAGAAGAATTCTGAAAACAGGAGCAGAGAATATGATCTGCCAAGGACTAGGCAGGATTTATTGGGTCCCTTTATATTGTAAGAATACAATTACAAAATATGTGAAGTTGGTAAATTAGCTCAATGATTTGCTCAGCCGCATTGAATGAATGAGTGGTCTGCAATAAGGAAATTCCTCTGGTGTGGTTTTTAACAGACCCCATCTAGTGAGACCTCAGTAAGAAAGTTTCATACAAGGTGAATGAAGGAATGGTTCTCAATTTTCACTTCACTGGGTGAGGCATAACTTAATGAAAGCAACTGTCTGTCAGCATTTGAAAAAAACAACATTAATCTAATTATGGATTTTCCTACCTGATGATTTGGCTGCCAGAGTGAGAGCCTCTTAATCATTCTGAAGACTCAAACACAAACCCTAGAATCCTGGAAAATTTAGGCCATGAGTCAAGGAACTCACAGAAGTCCTAGATCTGCTCTATATTTGGGGAAAAAAAGGGTTTTTTTAGTAATAACACAAAATAACTGGTAATTGACTGCAACATAGATGTGTGGAACCTTTTTATGGGTATCATACCAGTCACTGCAGTGTTCAGTGTGCCAGCTCTGCTCATGGCTGGCTCTATATTGCTGGCACTGGATGGCTGTTAAGTTGCCATGTTTTGTACAGCAGTTTTACATTTTGATATACAAACAAACAGGTTTTTGCTGCAAATGGAAAAAAAAAGTTTTTTTTTGATTTATTTGTTTCGGGGGGAAAGAATAATCATGATTTGCAATACTTCACACAATAACTACATTTCACTACTATAATTGACATGTTGGATGCCATCTAGCTGTCTACATCTGTCTTCTGGCTTTCATATTCCTATTGTTTATTTGTAATTCTATCACACCTATGACCTAATAGATTTGAGGTCACTTAATCAATTATTTACAATGTGAAATGAAACAGCTTAGTGAAACTTTGTTATATTCATATGTACATATGTGTGTAAATGTATAAATGTGTTTGTGTGTGTATCTTTGTATGCAAACATTAATATCCTTAAAAAATTGGCATTCTCTGACTTTACAGAGATTTAAATAGAAATACAAATGTGATAAATTAATTTAAATAATTAAATGCAATAAGATTGAGGGGAAATTTTTAACCTACCATCAATAACCACAACTCAGTAATTAAGTCAATATTATGTCAATCACATAATAAGCATATACTGAGGTGCTACCATGTACTTGGCGTAATGGGGCATACAGAGATGATAAAGATCAAAGCCTATAGCTCTTGGGAGTCATGAAAACGCCTACCATTTTAATTAATACCTGGATATCACTATATTTCTAACATGATTACTTTATTCTTTAGAAACTAAGCTTAAAGACCAGTTTATTAAAAACAAAAGAATTTAGAGATGAAAAAAACTGAAGTTAAACCATGTTAGGTAACTTACCCAGGGTCAGTCAATTCATTGTGGAGGAGACCCACCATGTGTTGTCAATAGTCAACAAAATAAATAATTCACCAAGCATACAAAAAGGCCTGCATTTTTTGTACAGTGTCATTTAAACCCTAATCAATTACTTCATCTTATATTTAGCAGAGAAATCGTGACCTCTTTCAATGCTGGAAGAAAAACTGGCCAAATTAGATTTATTAGTGCATTAATAAAACATTCTGCATGACTGAAAAGGATTCTCTAGGCTAATTTTGATATTACTTAATTTAGCTCTTACATACTGAACTTAGGACGTAGACCCTGGAAAAAACAAACAAACCAAAGCCCTTGCATCTTTACTCTTCGGTCAAGACCTGAACTCAGTTCATACCTGTTGACTCTCAGGCCTTCTGTGGTTTCATGGCAAACAGGGCCAATGAGACATTGACCAGTGCTGTCGATGAATTGCTGTGTGGCTAAAGGTCAATTACGAATCCACTCTACAGATCTGTTTCTTCAAAAAGAGCATGAAGAGGCTGGATGAGATTATACTTAAAACTCAACAAACTTGGAATTATATAACATTAAAGTTGGGTACTCAGATACAGACTTTATTCCTGAATTAGAATGCATCTTTTCTATCTCAAAGACATTCTGGACTGCCTTGGTTAGTAAAGTTTACGCCCATCATTCTTAGATTTTCTGATGTAGCCATGTGCAAAAGATATTCATATGCCCTGGTCTTCTAAACCTCAAACATCAGAAAAAAAGCCATGAGTGGGGAAAATTATACTTATCTCCTGTTTCTCAAGCCACATCACCAAACAGGATGACTCAACCTCTGAAATCCTTGAATGTAGCCAGTTACTCTTCAATGCTCATTACTAAATTCTTTCATGAAATCTTTATTAGGAGAGTTTCACTCAAGAAAGCCCCCTCAGTTTCATATAATTACAATTATTAAAACTTTTTCAAAAGTTCTTGTCAGCCAAGTGTGGTAGCTTATGCCTGTAAACTCAGCAGTTTGGGAGGCTAATGTGGGAGGATTCCTTGAGCTAAGGACTTGAGACCAGCCTGGGCAACATGACGAAACCCTATCTTTACAAAAAATTACCCAGGAGTGGTGACACACACCTGTGGTCCCAGCTACCCAGGAGGCTGAGGTGGGAGGATCACTTGAGCCCAGGAGGTCAAGGCTGCTGTGCACCGTGATCATGCCACTGTATTCTAGCCTGGGCAAGACAGCAAGACCCTATCTCAAAAAAAAAAAAAAAAGTGCTTGACACTATTGGTGAAATGCAGATAATACAGGTTTTTTTTTTAAACAGGAATATATATATATATATATGAATATCTTATGTATATGTAAAGATATATATATCTTTTTACATGATCTATATATATAGTGTGTATGTATATATTGATGGGGTGTGTGTGTGTGTGTGTGTGTGTGTGTGTGTATGCATTTTATCTTTATAAATGACTGGGACAAAGTCAAAACTGATTAAAACATTTGGTTATTCTGGAGTTTCCTAATACAAAGATCTGGCAAGATCTGAGTAAATAGGACTGTTTAACTGTACTCAAAGACATATTTCAAAAAAGTATTTGAAAGTTTATTGATGAAAAATTTCAATGCAGAACCTCTTGTCATTTATCCTTGTTTTTCATTGTATTAAAAAGTTGTATAATAAAGAAAATAATTGAGTAAATTTAATCATTTAGCTGAGTTAAAACTGAATTCTAGATATTATATAATTATTAAGCATCCTGTTGGTCCGCATGAACATGTGGGCTACTGAAAAATTATATGGTGCTCCTCGGTTTTGAATCTCTCTCTGCCAACTGAAATATATATAGATGCTAGATAAATTCAAACAATTAATGTTTTAATGCCTTGCTAATTTATGAGTCATTAAAAGAATTCCTATTGAATTAATCACTCACAACTGATTGACAAAGGGGAAAGAATGCTCATGTTTATTGTGTTTGATCTTAGATCATCAATAGTTAAGTAGCTCATTCATGCATTCAGGAAATATTCATATGCATGTAACCATGAATATAATTACCTTGGCTCAGAATATCACCCATGCTCAGAATTTTCAATTTGACCTTATCTTTGAGTCTGTAGGCCTGGCCTTAAAATTCAACTAGTAATGTACAAGTGTATCCAGTTTGAGCTGGAGACTGGTTGCATTCAAGTCTATTATCTTCCCTAATTTTGCACTTAGGAGCTTTTGAAAGGATAAAATTTTGTCCTATTTCTCAGTAAAAATGACATAATTTTCCACTTACCAATCATTTTTCTTCAATTAGCTAATATTACAATTGTCCCAGGACATTCATTAGAGCCACCAAATTGTTTTGAAAAGAAAGATAACATTTCATGCAAAATTTTGTTTAAAGAATAAAATGTTGATAATAATCTTTCTAAGCCTGCTGCCTCTTCCATGATACAACTCTGTTATATTACTTCACTCCACAATTTTTAGATGTAAAATGAAGCTTAAGGCATGAATACTCAGAGACTAGAAATATGTTAATGACATCAAAATACTACCATGGTCACCAAAAGGAGGGAGACATGAAGGAAGGAGAACTGGGAGATAGCAGGGAAGAGCAAAACGAGAAGCCATGGTAATATTTAAAAATCTCTCATTCTTTCTTCTACTTTAATGAGTTTTGTGACTGAGGAAGCCTGTGATGAATTTATTATCCACTAAAATTTAAACTTTTATTTTCTAATTTTGTTGTACATTTTATTTTTCTTTAAAGTGCTTTAATATTAGACATTCCAAGGCTTAGATCTTCCATTTATCTGTTCTAGATCCTCTTTAACAGTAATACTTAAAACAAATTGCACATAGTAAATTATATTTATTCAGGCATTAGTAAAGCAGATTGAACATTCAAATAATCAGAGCACATATTACTTACAGAAAAATAAAACTATCCTTTAGTTTAGGTGTTGAGCCTCTTCTAAAAATTAACATGAAAATAATAATTTTTTTATGCTTACAAGACCAAATCTACTATCAACTCTTTTCATAATCCTCTGACTACATTTCTCTATTATCTGAGATTGTTCATCAGATTTATTTATCAAGAACACCAACCATATGCTTTCTTACTCTACTCAGAGACAGTCTTCCCCTTAATGGCACATCTCCCCATAGTGTTTCGATAAGAAATTAACATGTTTCTTTCTCCTGTCATTCCCGCCATAATAAATCCAGTGCTATGCACTCCTTCCACACACCTTCTTTCCTAGAGCTATTTCTACCCTCGCATTGATGATTAGTTTCAAAGGTATTGATTTTCAAGGAATTTATGATAAAACTATATAATATTTTGCAGTTAAGGAAAAAAGTAATACAGCAGCCTATAAAATGTAGTTTATAATATCTGTTTCACAGAATTTTAGGAATTATTTTCTCTATTTTCACACATTTGGATACATTTCTGTGGAGAATATATGGATTGTGAAAATGTCTAAGTATTTCCATAAATACGAATCAGGAAAAATGTTTTCAGTTCATTTGGCCACTTGACCACTGCTATGGTATGAATATCTATGTGTCCTCTCCAAAATTCATATTGAAATTAAATTTCCAGTATAACAGTATAAAGAGGGGAGGCCTTTTAGGAAGTGATAAGGCCATGAGGACTTCATCCGCATTACGAGATCGGTGTCTTATAAAGGGCTTGATGGGGTGAGTTTCCCCTTGTATGTATTCTTCCACGTGAGGACACAGCATTTGTCACCTTTAGAGGACACAGCAATATGGTGTCATCTTGGAAGCAGAGACTGAGTCATCATCAGCCTCTCAACATGCAGGTCCCTTGATCTTGGAATTCCAGCCTCCAGAACTGTAAGCAATGAATTTCTGTTGTATATAAATTACCAAGTCTATAGTATTTTGCATAGCGACATGAAGGGTATAATACAATCATATTTTATGTCATTTATGTTATGGATTTATATATGTATATGTATTTATTTATATACTTACTTATTTACCAAAAGAACAACAAGGATTCAATAACTTCCATTTCTAGGCACTTTCTTGAGCCAAAAACTGATATATTTTTTATGATTTTGTTTTGTTTTACAAAATTGTTTTCTTGTTTTTAGTTTTTTATTTACTATTTCCTGTTGAAGAAAAAATGTTTATTTACAGAACTATGAATTACCATTATATTCCTAGATATTTAAAAGATATAATAGATAACATAATGGAACATCTTCAAAGTTTTTTTATTTGTATTTCTTAACATTGACAATCAAAATCTAATTCAAATTCTTCTCAGCTTTAATATCTGTTATGGTAGATTGGTCTGCTTCTTTTTCTCTTTCTTTCTATACTAGGTATTGCTCTGATATGGGCTTCCATTTGGCAGAAGCTAGAAACAAAGTGAGGGGAAGCTATTAAAATAAAATCTAGATCTGAAATAAAATGTCTCTGATGGTGAGAGGGGCACAGTGAAGATCAGAAAGCAGCAGGAATAAGATGCTTAGTTCATGACATCCAAAATAGATAGGACTTTTCAGAGTACATATTTCTAGTTAAAAATAAAAGACCCCGTAAGGCCTAATTCTTTGCTGTCTTGCAAACCTTCACAGCTTTCTACCTAATGAAAATTATGAACTTCATCCCCTTCACTTTTAATTGTTGACTATGTTATTGTTAACTTTCCCTGCCAGCCAGCATTACCATAAAAGGAATTGGTGCAAGTGGATTAGCAATGAGATTTCTAAGTATTCATT
Organism: Homo sapiens; assembly: GCF_000001405.40. Taxonomy (NCBI): domain Eukaryota; kingdom Metazoa; phylum Chordata; class Mammalia; order Primates; family Hominidae; genus Homo; species Homo sapiens. Next base: position 84,633,624 of record NC_000014.9, read on the forward strand.
CTTCATTCATTCATACATTTATTCTTTCAGAGTTCTGTAGAGAGATCTATTTGAATGGTGAGTTTAATTCCAGAAGCTGTGAATACATATAAAACTCAAAGCAAGTAGAAAGAAGAAAACAGTAAAAATCACAGCAGAAATAAATAAAATGAATACAAAAAATAAATAAAATTTATAAACCCTAAAAGTTAGTTTTTTGAAAGTATCAATAAAATTGGTGAACTTTCAGCCTGAATAACCAAGAATAACAGGAGATATTACAAATTATTAATTTCTGTATGCTTTCATAATGTAAGAAAAGACTAAAAAAACTAGAAATAGTAATATAATCAATATGATAAAGGATATTTAAGAAAACCCACAGTTTCTATTGTATTCAATGATGAAAGATTGACAGCATTCTCCCTAAGCTCAGGAATAAGACAAAGATGTTAATTCTTAGAACTTCTATTCAAAATTGCACTGAGGGCTTTAGCTAAGAGATTTAGGCAAGAAAAAGAAAGAAAAGCCAGACATGGTTGAAAATAACAAGTAAAACTATTTCTCTTCTCAGATAACATGATCACATATAGAAAATCTTAAGGCATCAACAAAAAATTATTATAGCTACTAAATCGTTTTAGTAAATTTACATGATATGAAGTTAACAGGTTAACTTTAATAAATGTAATTAGTAAAATCTATTGTCTTTGTACTAAAAACAATAATACACACAAATTATTAAAAATCACTTAACATTAAAGATAATAAAATGCTTATGAATAAATTCAACAAAAAAATTGCAGGATTCCTATACTAAACACTACAAGTCATATTGAAAGAAATTAAAGAAAACTTAGTTAAAAGGATAGGCATCCTCACAAAGAGAAAACAATATTGTTAAGATGGCAGTACTCTTAAAAATTGATTACAGATCCAAAAATAATCCTTCTCAAATTTTGCAGTGTCTTTTTTTGCAGAAATAGACAAGTTAATTCTAAAATTCACATAGTATTGCAAAAGACCCAGAATAGCCGATTTTTTTTAAAAAAAGAACAAAATCAAAGTTGAAGGACTCATATTTCCCAAATCGAAAACTCACTATAAAGCTACAACTGTCAGGTCAGTGTGGTATTAGTATAAAAATAGACATATAAAGCAATGGAAAAGAATCGAGAGTACAGAAATAAATGCACACATTTTTTGTCAATGGACCTTAGACAACAGTGTCTCATGGTCTTCTTTTCTTAACTTTCATTTTATTTTCGGGGCTACATTTTTCTGGCTTTCTTATATAGGTAAATTGCATGTAACGGGAGTTTGGTGTACTGATTATTACCCAGGTAGTAACATAGTACATATTAGATAACTTACTGATCCTTATGCTCCTCCCACCTTCATCTCTCAAGTAGATCCCAGTGTCGATTTTTCCCTTCTCTGTGTTCATGTGTAGTCAATGTTTAGCTCCCACTTCTCAGTGAGAACATGCAGTATTTGGTTTGCTGTTCCTGTATTATTTCTCTTAGTATATTGGCCATTAGCTCCACCCATGTTCCTGCACAGGATGTGATCTTATTTGATTTTATGACTGTGTAGTATTCCATGCTATATATGTGCAACATTTTCTTTGTCCAGTGTAGTGTTGATGGGCACCTAGAATGATTCCATGTCTTTGCTGTCGTGAGTAGTGCTGTGATGAATATACATACGTATGTGTCTTTTTGGTAAAACAATTTATTTTCTTTTGAGTATACACCCAATAATGGGATTGCTGGGTTAAAGGTAATTCTATTTTAAGTTATTCGAGAACTGTCCAACCTGCTTTCCACAGCATCTGAACTAATTTACATTCCTATTTGCAGCATATAAGCATTCCCTTTTCTCTGCAACCTCACCAGCATCTGTTATATTTTGACTTTTTAATTATAGCCATTCTGACTGGTATGAAATGGTATCTCATTGTTGTTTTGATTTGCAATTCTCTAAAGATTAGTGATGGTGAGCATTTTTTTATATGCTTGTTGGCTGCGTGTATGTCTTCTTTTGAAAAGTGTCTCTTCATGAACTTTGCCCACTTTTTAATTGGGTTGTTTGGTTTTTGTTTGTAAATTTGTTTAAATTTTTAATTTATAAGTATAATTAATTATAAATTAAATTTATAAATAAAAATTAAATATAAATTAAATTTATAAATATAAAGTTGCTTATAAGTTCTGGAGATTAGACCTTTGTTGGATGCATAGTTTGCAAATATTTTCTCCCAAAATACAAAATAGTTGAACTTTTTGAACTTTCTGTAGGTTGCCTGTTTTCTCTGTTGATAGTTTATTTTGCTGTGTAGAAGCTCTTTATTTTAATTAGTTCCCATTTGTCAACTTTTGTTTTGAGGCAGTTGCATTTGGTGTCGTCATTATAAAATCTATACCAGGACCTGTGTCCAGAATAGTATTTTCTAGACTTTCTTTAAAGGTTTTTATAGTATAAGGTTTTATATATTAAGGTCTTACTTCTTCTTGAGTTGATTTTTTTATATGGTGTGAGGAAGTCATCCAGTTTCTATCTTCTACATCCAGCACTGTTTGTTGAATAGAGAATTCTTTCCCTATTACTTGTTTATGTCAACTTTGACAAAGACTAGATGGTTACAAGTGTGTAGCTTTATTTGTGGGCTTTTTATTCTGTTTCATTGAATTATATATTGCTGTTGGTTTTGTTTTTTTTTTTTTTCCCTGTACCATGCTTGTTTTGATTACCGTAGCTTTGAGTATAGGTTGAAGTTAGATGATGTGACGTCTTCACCTTTGTTCTTTTTGTTTGGGATTGCTTTGGCTATTTAGACTCTTTATTGGTTTCATTTTTTTTTTTTCATTTTTTTCATTTTTTTTCTCATTTTGTGAAGAATACTGTTGGTTGTTTGATAAGAATAACAATAAATCTATAAATTGTTTTGGGAAATATAGTCACTTTAACAAATTCTTTTGGGAAATATGGTTCTATCCATGAGCATGGAATGTTTTTCCATTTGTTTGTGTCATCTCTGATTTCTTGCAGCAGTCTTTTGTAATTGTCATTGTAGAGGCCTTTCGCCTCCTTGGTTAACCATATTCTTAGGTGTTTTATTCTTTTTGTGGCTACTGTGAATAGGATTGCATTCTTGATTTAGTTCTAAGCTTGGATGTTGTTGTCGTATAGAAATGCTACTGACTTTTGTACATTGATTTTGTATCCTGAAACTGCTGAAGTTGTTTATCATATCTAGGAGCTTTGGGGCAGAGAGTATGGGGTTTTCTAGGCAAAAAAAAAAAAAAAAAATTATATGATCTGCAGCGATAGTTTGACTTCCTCTCTTAATATTTGAATGCCTTTTATTTCTCTCTCTTGCCTGGTTACTCTGTGAGGACCTCCAGTACTATGTTGAATAGGAGTGGTGAGAGTGAGCATTCTTGTCTTTTTCTGATTTTCCAGGGAAATGGTTCCAGCTTTTGCCCATTCAGTATGATGTTGTCAGTAGGTTTGTCATAGATGGTTCTTATTACTTGTGGAATCTTTCTTCAATGCCTAGTGTGTTGAGAATTTTAAGATGAAAGATTTTTTTTTAATCGAAAGTCTTTCTTCATCTGTTAAGGTAATTATGTGGTTTTTGTTTTTAGTTCTGTTTATGTGATGAATAACATTTATTGATTTGCATATGCTGAACCAACATTGCATGCCAGGTATAAAGCCTACTTGATTGTGGTGGATTAAATTTTTTATGTGCTGCTGGGTCTGCTTTGCTAGTATTCTGTTGAGAACTTTCAAATCTATGTTAATCAAAGATATTGGCCAAAGTTTTCTTTTTCTGCTGTGTTTCTGTCAGGTTTTAGTATCAGAATAGTGCTGGCTTCATAAAATAAGTTAGAGAAAAGTTCCTCCTCCTCAATTTTTTAGATAGCTTCAGTAGGGATGCACTATCTCTTCTTTACACATCTGGTAGAATTTGACTGTGAATCCATCTGGTCCTGGGCTTTTTCAGGTTGGTAGGATTTTTTATTATTATTAATTCAATTTGGGATCTCATTATTGTTCTAGTCAGGGTTTCAATTTCTTTCTGGCTCAATCTTGGAATGTTGTACATTTCTAATAATTTATCAATTTCTTGTAGGTTTTCTAGTTTGGGTGCATGGAGGTGTTCATAATAGTCTCTGAAGGTTTGTTTTATTTCTGTGGGGTCAGTGGTGATGTCCCCCTTGTCATTTATGATTGTTTTTATTTGGATCTTCTCTATTTTTTTCATTAGTCTAGCTAGTGGTTTATAAAACCCGCATTTGGTTTTGTTGATCTTTTGCATGCTATTTTTCATCTCAAGTTCTCTCAGTTCAGCTCTGATTTTGATTATTTCTTGTCTTCTGCTAGCTTCAGGGTTGGTTTGCTCTTGTTTTTCTAGTTCCTCTAGGTGTAGTGTCAGGTTGTTAATTTGAGATTTTTCTAACTTTTTGATGTGGGCATGTAACACCATTAACTTTCTTTTTAGTCTAGTTTTAACTGTGTCCCAGATATTCTGTATGTTTCTATCTCTAAAGACGGTCTTATTAACAAATAATGCTCATGCAACTAGACATCCACATGAAAAAGAATAAGGTTGTACTCTTCCTTCATATGGTAGACAGAAATTAATCAAAATGAATTGTAGAACCTAACTGTATGAGCTAAAAGTATAAAAGTCTTAAAAGCAAACATAGCAGTAAACCTTCATGACCTTGATTTAGGTAATGGTTTAGTTCTTATGAATCCAAAATTATAGCAACAAAAGAAAAAAATTACAAATGTGGCCCTATCAAAATTAAAAACTTTTGGGTTTCAAAGCACACTGTCAGAAAAAAAAATTGAAAAGAACAAACAGGATGAGAGAAAATATTTGAAATCATGTATATTATCATGGACTATTATCAAGAAAGTATAAATAATTTCTACTACACAACAATGACAAGACAAATACCCAATTTAAAAAATAGACAATAATTTGAATAGATATTTCTTCAAAGAAGATAAACAAATGACAATAAGCACATGAAGAGATGCTTAAAATAATTAGTCATTAGGGAAATATAAACTAAAACTACAATAAGATCCCACTTCATATCCACTGGAGTGGCTGTAATTAAAAAGTGGGACATTAACAAGTGCCACATGAATGTGGAGAGATGAGAACTCTCATATTGCTGATGGAAAGTAGTGCAATCTCTTTTGAAAATAGTTTGGCAGCTCCTCAACATACTGAACATACAGTTACTATATTACCAAGCAATTTTTCTCCTAAATAGCTACCCTAGAGAAATGAAAATGAATATTCAGACAAAAACTTGTGTACAAGTGTTCATAGCAGCATTATTCATAATAGCCAAAAAGTAAAAACAACCCAAATACCCATCTAATGAATAGGTAAACAAAATGTGCTATTTCTATGCAATAGAATAATATTCAGTAATAGGAGTGAAGCGCTACAAGCTACCACATAGATCAACTGAAAACATTAAACTAAAGAAAAAAGCTAATCACAAAAGACCACATAATACATGATTCTATTTATGTTAAAGATCCAAAATTGGCAAATACATAAAGTCAGAAAGTAGATTAGTGGTTACTAGGGCTTGGAGGAAAGAGGAAATGGGGAGTGACTACTAGTGGAGATGAGACTTCTTTTGGGGGTGATGAAAATATTTTAAAATTTCATAATGGTTATCACTGCAGAACACTGTTAATATACTAAAAGACACTAAAATGTAACTTTAAAAGAATGAATTTTATGATGTGTGTTATATCTCAATAAAGCTATTCTAAATAGGAAAATAACCCCCTGATAATCATGTAAAATTTAATTTGATAAGAGCAAGGGCTGTTGCCAGGCTGTTGTTCATTGCAGGTGGCTAGTGAAATAAATCAGGCCAATGAAGACTATGATTTAGACAAAATCAAATTCTTATTTCTCTGAGATTACTATAGCTTTCAGGAAATACAATATGGGCAAGAAATTCATTGCAATTGTCTGAAGTAATTTCAACATTGCCAAGGTCCTAAGCATTGACATCTACCTGGGCTAATTTTCTTTAGGGAAATGGAAACTTCTGTTGCCACTGAGTAAGGGCTGATTTAAGATTAGTAAGCAAAAATTCTCAAAGTATAGATCATCCTTAAATAACACTCTAAGAAAGGATCAGGAGTACCACAGAAGCTCATGTATTTGTCATTGATTCTTTTATAATGTTAATGTCTATGTATTTTTAATATAAATTTATTCTCCCATTCCTGATTTGTGCATCATTCCAATTGACAATTGTTTTCTTCAGTTTCATGATCATTAGATGTTCTTGCATCAGAAAACAATAGGATATCCTGAGATCATCAGTTCCCTAAACTATGAGAACCATTGTCCAACCACCCCAATCTGATCACATCTTTGAAAAGAAAGGGGGAAAAAAGTTTGCAAAGCCCCTTATTCTACCCTCTGAGAACATCTCCTTCATCATACAGCTAATCTAAAACCTCTCTGCTGTCTCCCACTATCATGTGTATCTCTTGTCAGCAAGATCTGCAAATTACCCTCTAACCATTCAGTTCACATCTTGTAATGTTTAATGTCATCTTTTTTGTCTTTTCTGTACATTAGCTCCTGCCAAATGCTTTCTTTGAAGGGAGAACAAAATAAATTCTGTCCACTATGAAAGGCCAGATATAATTCCACCTTCAAAATGTTAAAAGTGATGAAATTGCATTTTACTCCTTTTGGGTTATACTTATTGGAAAGAAGCAGAAAGTTTTCTAATCCACATAAACAATGCCATCAACCACACAGGGAAAGGAGCCTGAATAAATGCATTGGTTCTGGCATTCTTAGAGCAGAATTACACCTTCCCAAGTTCTAGCTAGGAGCAAAATAAGAATTTGTGTGGGGTAGAATGTTTTTATTCTTGGCAGCCCTTAAATTTCTGTTAAAAAAAATAAAAATGGCTTTGAAGTCTTTTTGGATTCACTATCACCCTCAGCAAACAATATTTTGATGAGTACAGAGTCAATGAATTATAAACAGATGGATTAAATTTCTAATAAAATACTCACAAGTTTTAAAACTTAGACAGCAGTATGCTGTTTCCTGTTATTTTAAACCTTATGGTTTCAAACTAGCGAAAAAGTTGTTGCAAATTATGGGTCTATATTAAATTTCTCCCAGGTTTTCCTATTCTTTAGTAAGCATCTCAAAGTAGAGACCTGAAGTAACTGTTTCACATTGTACTTTTATTTCTTTTTCTTTCTATCAAAAATCTGCCAGAAGTCTCCATGAGACAGGAACAGTTTTGTAAATCTGAATATAGATGTTCAAAGAGAACACCTCTAAGAAGACATCATTATTTTTCAAAGCAGTCACACCAACTATTTTCATGTTAGGGGGAAAAACGAAAGAAAAAATCCTGAAATTATAATACTATTCTTAGAATTCAATAGGGTCACTAGGTCCCATGCTGTGCTCCAGCTATTAACTTTCTGACTAAGCATTTCAAACTCAAGAAGCATTATGACATCCTCTTAGGCTATCTATCTATCTATCTATCTATCTATCTATCTATCTATCTATCGCTCACTCATGTGGCAATCTTTTCTCAGGTGATAAGAATGGAGTTAACATATTCTGCTTGCTTTATCTCTGGGTGGGAGAGAGAGATCGAAGTAGATAGAGAGAGAAGGGTGTATCATAGGGGTAAGAATGAATGAAAAAAGGAGATGTGAGGAGGGGAAGAGTGAGTCCATGTAATGAGAGAGGTAAGTCAGTCAGTCACTGGAGAAGTCAAAGTGAGAAAGAACAGCTGTATAACACAGACTTACACAAGCACTGCTATCTCATTAGGGTTTATTAGCTGCAAGGAAATAAGGCGTGAGAGAAAGATTGGTTCTGTGGAAGAGAGGAAATCACTCATTTATTATTTGGAGGGATAGAGTTTCAGTGTTCTCAGCCTCCCCTTCCTTTTCCCCCTTCTCCCACCACCCAAGCAACATTACCTATGCTTGATTTACATACTTCTCAAGACTCAGTGAGTATTTTTTGTATTATTTGTGGATACAGCCAACCTAAACCATACATCAGAAAAGCATGATAAATATTAATGGAGGAGAAAAAAGTATATATGGAAAATGCTGCTATAAAGATGTGACTTAAAATGTTTTCCTCCAGATTGAGAATAAATGGGTAATAAAGTGAGGACAACGTGATGTGAGAAAGCAAAACACAAGACAGTTAAGTCATGTTTGCGTGTGACTGGAGTCAAGAAACGTCAGCTGGCTGAACTCAGGAAGAATTCAAAGGAGTTTTGTACTTTGGAATACCAGTATAATGGTAGCAAAATCGTTCTGCCAGCTTTGAGGACAAAGGCGGAGTTATTGGAGTTACTATACGGTACATGTGTTGGGAAAGGAGATAAAGATATACCAAAGGCAAACTTTACTAATACTAAAATTTGTCTAGGACACAAAAAAAGAGAGGTGACAAATCCTTGAAGAAAAGTTTCACCTGTGCCAAGAGTGTACTTTAAGCTGCCTTTAACCAGCAAGCTCTTAATCACTAACAGTAATGAAATGCAAGCTATAGGAAAAATATATGCCGTATATATAACATTTGATTATTTTTTTCTGCTGGACAACCAGAGGACATTGGGGATGAAAACCCTTCATAGGTACTGTAAAATGTTCATTGCTTTTAAAACGCAGGTGACAGTCTCATGAGGCTGAGACCAAGACAACTTTTGAACACACTAAGTGCAGGAGGACAGGTCCCTACCACCTTGGCTGATCCAGCTTTTGCCTCGGTAGAAAAAGAATAACAATTTCTTCTTCAACAATTGGTTTTTAGTTGGAATGAATCCCTGTAATAAAAGACAAATTAGCAATAGAAAAACAGAAGTACGTTAACATGTATATTTCATGTATACATGGGAGACACCAGGAAATAAGTACTAATAGTTCTCAAAGAGGTGGCTTCGAATTCCAGTTTTTACAACATCTTCAACAAAGAACAGTAACATTTTAGAGAAGAGACAAAGAAAAAGGCCTTTGATTCTCTAGAACCATGATTTGGAGAAAGACAAATAAATGACATAAAGGCTAGTTAGTAAAGTTTATTAATGTAAATTCTTCTGGTATCATCCGAAGATGATAAGGGTCTAAAGTTGTCTTCAGTGGTTAACTTTTGTTCTCCTAGTTAGAAGAAGGGCAGGGTATCTTTTGTCTTTTAAAATCTATTTCCTGCTCTTAGCAGATAGGGGAAGGATGAGGTTTTTCTGTATCTGCTATTTCTTAAAATGCCTTCAGCTCAACAACTGTTCATATTTGGAGGTATATTCTAGTCTCCCATACACTCTTCCTTGCAATTTTCAGGCAGAATGCACTGAAAACGCAGCATTCTAAGACAAGGAAGAACTGTCTAGAACAGCCTTGGTTCTGTACTCATCCCTCCTTAAAAAAGGATGTACTGTAATACATCAGCCTAATGGCCCAAGTATCACCTAAGATATAAAACCCAGAGTAGAATAATTTCAGTCAACTGTTGTAAGACATTGGGCACAGACGAGACTCTTTCCACTCTGGATTGCTTTCCTGAGCCTTGGGGTACCAGCTTGCCATGAATCCTAGTCTTGTGTTAGTTCTTGCTGCCTATTTGTAACAAAGTTTCTTTGCCTAACTTTAGTGCAAGTCTTCTGTCTTACTGGATTCATATTCTGGCAGCTGGGTTTGTGCAAAACCTCCTGCCAGACTTAGACATTTAAGCAGAAATTGGCAAGGTGTTTAAAACCCTCCCCTGGGATTGGTAACCAATGCAGGATGCCCCCCTCCTAGGAATTGATACTGGTGCACGGTATTTCTGCTTAACAATAAGGGTGACCAAATTACAGTTTAAATATTTAACATAGCTATGTAAAGCTTGTAAATAGTAGCAATAGCTAAACTTTTGATGACAAAGTTATGCAAACACATCAGGCAATAGACAATTGCCTACTGGTTGACAACAGTGGTTAACAATAAGCGTGACCAAATTACAGTTTAAATATTTAACTTAGCTATGTAAAGCTTGTAAATAGTAGCAATAGCTAAACTTTTGATGACAGAGTTATGCAAACACATCAGGCAATAGACAGTTGCCTACTGGGTGACAACAGTGGTTAATCTGCTGTACTTGATAAGGTTACTTACAAAACAAAACAAAACAAAAAAAAACGAGACTTTGGAGAGACACAACCTGACACAAGCCCCAGGTTCACTACTGACCAGTAGCGTGATTGTGCTCAAATTTAATGTCTCTGATTGTTATGAACTAGAATTTGCATACAAAGAACCCAGATATGAAGATAATAGAAGCATGCTTATCTATCTCATAGAGCTACTGTGACATTCTAATACTGTTCTAATAGCAAATGGGAAAATGACGTTCTAATAGCAAATGGGAAAAATTTTCTAGGTGTGAAGTGCTATGGAATTGTAAGCTATAATTGATCACTAATTAAATACCTCCCTCCCACTCGGACAGTTCCAGCAGCCTCCTCATCTATGAAGGGCAACTTCAAACCCATGGTACAAATTTGCCACATTTTATCATATTCAGTACTTAGTTGTTTAGACCTCTATGTATCCTGGGAATGACTTCCATCCTTATTAAAAGAGGATTTGTTTAATGAAGAACTTGTTACTATCATAATAAATTGTGCTATTTGTTTTGAAGATCTGTCATCAGATACGTCACTGTTAGAATAAAGACTCTTAAAAATGAAAACATTTATATCAAATTAACAATGTGTGATGGAGAAACATGCCACTAACAAACACAAAATGAACTGTTTTGCTCTGTTTAATAGATCTGAACTTTTTCAATGTGTCAAATAACTACTATTCTTTAAGATTCAAAGGTTATTGAATTGAGTTTGTGATTTAAACAAAATGTATTGTTAAATCAGATAAGTATTGTAAAAACCAATTGTGTATATAGAAAATGACCCTACAGTATAATTGTCTAGTAATACAAGGGTCATCATTTGGATAACACTATTGAAATGACCATTAAAAATAAAATATATTCTTGTTAGTACGTTTCAATACAATTTGTTCTGCATTTCCATCTTAACAACCACAAAAATTTACATCAATTTTTCTGTGCTAGAGTCCTTTAAAAAGCAAATTGTTTTTGAGACTAGTACTTTTCCAGTTCATTGGAAACTAAGGCTATGAACTGAAGACAATTATAATATAACTCTTAATTCTCCGGGCCTGGATGACTGACAGGTCCCAAGTGCTTTCATCTAGAGATGATATTCTCCGGGTGGCAGAACGTGGGTCCAGGGTAGATTTCACAGACCGTTAGGTTGATGGCTCTGCAATTGCTTCCTGGTCTGTCACTTGTCTGCCTGTTGATGGTCTCCGATGGGCTCTACTGGTCCCCTTAGGTATAATTTTGTCTTGACATCTTTTTGATCCTGAGGTAATGGAGCATTTTATCAATTTTAGTGAGTAGGTCTTGACCAGATTTTTTTTTCCCAGAAGATCAACATTCTCAGCTGTTTGGTCAGGGAGAGCAGGAAAGAGGTAGACAGAAGCCCTCTTTGCCTCTCTCCTGTATGCTTGTTGTGTGAACTTTCATAATGCATTCCAGATGGCAGCATCCCTATATTCATCCAAAAGAGAAAGTTTTAAGTAACACAGCAATGCCCAGTTAACTCTAATTAGAGTAAAAGGACCCTCATCAGAGGTCTGTTGGCAGGGGATTTGAATGTTGAGTTTCTGTAACATTACCTATATTGTAGTAGTGTGATTTTGGCCATTTCTGGATTTCTTAATGAGCTTTAATATAAATCATCAAACCAGCAGGATGTATCTATCCAGCAATTTCCAGGATAAAAGGAGAATAGAATGGTAGGCTCTAGAAAATTCTGTAATCTTCATATTGAATGTTTGAAGAGATGTTACTTTGCTGACATTAGGTTCATCAGAGAAAGGAGGAAGGTGATGAATGATTCTTTTTTTCAAATTAAACACAATTATTAGAATGTTATATTCTAATAATAAAATTGAACCAGATTTGTTCCTGGATCCTCATTAGCATTAATGGAATTAAATTGATTTTGATATGACTTAGAAGAAGTGGAGAAGAGCATCTATTAAAAATAAAAATGTTATTTACCCAAAATTACTAGTTATAAGACTCAGGTTAAGAAATTATGGTCTTTGAGATGAGATATTTCTTTAAAATCTTATACATAATAAATCTAAAGCTCTACAGTTCAATTAATACCATTTTATTAATCTTGTGTCACTTTTGCAAATATACATTTTCTACAGAAGCAACAATGCCAACGATGTGTAATTGATGTTTTGAGAGAGTTCTGATTGCATAGTGTTTGATTTTCTTTTACAGATGTTTTAAAGACATAATAAATGTGATTTGATGTCAAGTGTTTCAAATTTTAAAATAATCACATGCTAATTCAATATGCACTTATTGAGTGCCTACTTGCACTCAACAAATATGATGTTTGGGACTGGGACTACAGAGGCGAATAAAATCGTGGCCCTCGTGGGGCAGATCATCCCATGGAAATAAATCATGTAATCATGTTCTCAGTTTTGTCTTCACAGCTATGGTTACCATGACATCTCTAAGTTTTCTTTTCTCTGGCTGTTCGCTCTTCTGGCTGCTAGAAAATTCGAATTAGTAGTTCATCACCAGCTTCTGTTAAGGGCTATATAACTGATTTTATTATTCTTACCAACTGTTTTTGCTTCATTTTTTGTCCTCATTTCCTCATTTATTTAAATCTATTTTTCTCATAAGCTGCATGTATTTTATTTAAAAATGAGTTGTGGTATCAGTAAATGGGGAAAAAATAAACACATTATTTTTCTCTCCCAATGAGCATTAATAAAGCTGAATGTGTGTTGTTTTTAATAAATATATGTTGAATGATTGGTTAATTACAAACCCACAACCCAATGTTTTTCACTGAGTATTAGGTTTCATTATTGTTGCTGTCTTGCTTTGTAGGATCAGGAAAGATCTAAGACTTTCTTTGGGAAAGAAGTGTCCTGCTACTCACATTTCCATAGCTGGGGCTTTTTAAATAAGAGCTAGAATGGCATTAAGGAACGGTGCCTAAGAGAACATAGGGAAGAAAATTGTGGAAAGATAATTTTAGGACCCACGGTGTTTGTTAGAATAAATAACATTGGATTGGGGCCAGATCATGAAGGATCTTACATAACATATCTATTTACATTTTATTTCAAAAATACTTATTGTCTGTGCCTTTCTTGTAGAGCTCTGTCATAAAGATGGAATGTAGTACATTCTGATGCTCAGAACTTTTCCCACACAGTCTGTTGTGGTTTCTTACCATGACTGACTATCTATTAGCAAGTGGAAACATAGTGAGAGGTTGAGATAAGACATTAAGTAAAGACTTGAATACTTTTATTACATTACATTATTAAGACCACCTTGAGTGTTATTCAATTAAGGTGGTCTTAATAATGATATGACAAGCAGCATTTGTGAATATTTACTCTGAATGTAACAAGATGAATGACGTGCACCTCCTCTGTTTCAGCATCATCAATCTCTCCATTAGTCATGGTCTTGATAACTCCTATTATCTGTACCTTTGTTGGATGAATGAACGAAGGCACTGGGCTTTATTACACAACAGACTCATGGACTGATATGTCAGTGGGTGTTCTGACTGATGTATCCATGTATACTATTTGCCTCCTCACAAGTTTGACTCTCTGCTGCTTTCAAGGGCTTATAGCATGTAATCCTGACGGAGAACCCACATTCAAATTATGAACAACAATTGAATAGAAGAGATAGGAATATCGCTGTCAAACGCTTACCTAATTATTTTTCTAGAAGAGTTACAAAGAAATACAAAGAGTATTGACAAAGTGTACATAACATTAACTAGGCACCAGAAACATTTTTAAGAATGTAAGTAGAATACATCATTATTAATATTTAAATCTTATGAGAACTCTTTGAAGTTGGCAGTTATTATCAACATCATCTCTATTCTACAGAAGAGAAAAAACAACGTAAAAGTTTAAATTTATTGCCTAAGAGGACATAAAAGAGGACATTAAGTGAATATTTTGGGGGATATTTTTGATAGAATAAATAAAATTGGATTGGGGCCAAATCATGAAGGATCTTACATAACGGATCAATCCACATTTCATTTCAAAAATATTTATTGTCTTAGGTACTGAGGAATATAGCAGTGAAATGAGATATTATAAACACAATTTTCTTCAACTCCTTATTTTACTGATTTGAGTTTCAGAGGACTGAGGCCACATGAAAATCTTGCAGTTAGTAGAAAAAAGTAATTTCTACATTTGTTTATATCATTATCAGTTCAGTTATCTCACCTCAATGTCACTCTGCCTTTTTTATATTACTTTAACTTTTTTTATATCTGGAATTAAACATTTTACTCTGTCTTTATAAAATGTCCTTCCTTTTCTTGAGGTCAGTTGTACAGAATTACAATCTCTTAGGTGGACGGTGAATGCTTATGGAGTAAATTAATGAAAGTTAATGAAAGTTAAAGGCAGATTTAGCCTTAGGGATTTTGCACTTACTTCTCTCTTACCCTGAGACTCAATTCTGCCAGATATTTTCTTGGCAAATTTTCTTATATACATTTTTTTAAATTCCTGTTCTGACCATCTTACTGAATAATGTCACCTCTCCCTCCTTGACTTGTCCACCCCTCTTGATATTCTTTACTCTGCTCTACTTTCTCTTCTATCATTAATAATTATCCACTTATAACAAAATAATTTACTTATATATAATTTTTAATATTTTTATCTGTAATGCCTCCTTAAGAAAGTCAGTAACATAAAGATAAGAAACTTAATTTTGTTTGCTCCTGTATCCAAAATGCCTAGATCATGGCAGGCACTCAACATGTATTTATTGGATATATGAATAAATGAATAAGCAGAAAGTAAATGTCAGTGGAAAAAAGAAATTGGCTTCTCCTACTTTTGTTTTGTTAGTTGTAATCTCTTACAACTCTGTTTCAGGTCAAAAAAAGTCAAAAGAGGATAAATTTAAAACAAACAAACATGGTAATTGCTTGTGAAAGTCTCTTCAAATTTGGCATCTAGATCTGAATATAGACATCATAGAATGAAAATATTCATTGTAACTCATGTTGCTATGGGCAATAGTTTAAGAGTTGTAATGCAAGAGACATGTAAGTTAATTAGCTTGTATTATTTCTGAAATTTGTTGGTAAACATTGTAAATGTACAACGACCAGGATTTTCAGTCAGGAGTTTATTCAGGGATCTTTAAAGATCGAGGTTTGCAATTGTCAAGAGATATTTGGTTTATTAATAGGATGTACACACAATCCTCCAGAAGTGCCCACTCCCAATGGGAAACATTTGAGCTGAGATTCAGGATAAAATCTCAGCCCGTCATTAGGTAGGTTGCAATCCTATTAATGTCCAGAAACTATTTTGTTTCCTGCTCTCAAAAGATAAGAAGTGACAGATTGCAAGTGTACTATAGAATGCATCCAACCCAAGAATTCATTTTCGGCCCAAAGCATTTCCAATGGGCTTGGCATTTCTTTATCAGAAAGAAAACGTCAAGAACATAATATTGTCTTCATACATTTTCTATTTAAAATGTACACAACTATTTTAAAAAGGGATGAGGAAGTAAGTTGACTAAATTATAAAATCCCATGAATATTTCCATAGTGAAATGAGTGTAATTACCAGCACCTCAAGGATAGATTTCTATGCATTTTAACAAATATTTACAGTGACAAATTATATTAACTTATTCAGATATTGACCATTATGATTACAGAGTCTAATCACATAACCTGAATATGTCTGGTTTGGGTTTTTACTTTTGGTTTTGATACACTATACTACTTTGAAGGCTTTCACTTGTCAATTCACTGTAAGAGGAAATAACAGGGCAATATATACAAATTTAATATGCAATTTTTTTTATTATAGTTTAAGTTCTGGGATACTTGTGCAGAACGTGCAGGTTGGTTACATAGGTATACATGTTCCATGGTCGTTTGCTGCACCCATAAACTCGTAATCTACATTAGGTATTTCTCCTAGTATCCCTCCCCTTGCCCCCCACCCCTTGACAGGCCTCAGTGTGTGATGTTCCTCTCCCTGTGCCCATATGTGCTCATTGTTCAAGTCCCACTTATAAGTGAGAATATGTGTTGTTTGGTTTTCTATTCCTGTGTTAGTTTGCTGAGAATGATGGTTTCCAGCTTCATCCATGTCCCTGCAAAGGACATGAAGTCATTCTTTTTTATGTCTGCACAGTATTTATTCTATGGTGTATATATGTGCCACATTTTCTTTATCTAGTCTAACATTGATGGGCATTTGGGTTGGTTCCAAGTCTTTGCTATTGTGAATAGTGCGGCAATAAACATACGTATGCATATGTCTTTATCGTAGAATAATTATAATCCATTGATTATATGCCCAGTAATGTGATTACTGGGTCAAATCGTATTTCTGGTTCTAGATCCTTGAGGAATCGCCACACTGTCTTCCACAATGCTTGAACTAATTTACAGTTCTGCCAACAGTGTAAAAGTGTTTCTATTTCTCCACATCCTCTCCAGCATCTGTTGCTTCCTGACTTTTTAATGATTGCCATTCTAACTGGCATGAGACATTATCTTATTGTAATTTTGATTTGCATTTCTCTAATGACCACTGATGATGAGCTTTTTTTTGTATGTTTGTTGGCCACATAAATGTCTTCTTTTGAAAAGTGTCTGTTTATACCCTTTGCTCACTTTTTTATGGGTTTTTTTTTCTTGTAAATTTGTTTAAGTTCCTTGTAGATTCTGGATATTAGCCCTTTGTCAGATGGAGAGATAGCAAAAATTTTCTCCCATTCTGTTACTTGCCTGTTCACTCTGATGATAATTTCTTTCACTGTGCAAAAGCTCTTTAGTTTAATTAGATCCCATTTGTCAATTTTGGCTTTTGTTACCATTGTTTTTGGTGTTTTAGTCATGAAGTCTTTGCCAATGCTTATGACCTGAACAGTACTTCCTAGGTTTTTTTCTAGGGTTTTTGTGGTTTTAGGTCTTACATTTAAATCTTTAGTTGATCCTGAGTTAATTTTTGTATAAAGTGTAAGGAAAGGGTCCAGTTTCAGTTCTCTGCATATGGCTAGCCAGTTTTCTCAACTCCATTTATTAAATAAGGACTTCTTTCCCCATTGCTTGTTTTTGTCAGGTGTATCAAGGATTAGATGGTTGTAGATATGTGCTGTTATTTCTGAGGCGTCTGTTCTGTTCCTTTTGTCTGCATATCTGTTTTGGTACCAGCACCACGCTGTTTTGGTTACTGTAGCCTTGTAGTATAGTTTCAAGTCAGGTAGCATGATGCCTCCAGTTTTGTTCTATTTGCTTAGGATTGTCTTGGCTATATGGGCTCTTTTTGGATTCCATATGAAATTTAGAGTAGCTTTTTCTAACTATGTGAAGAAAGTCAATGGTAGCTTGATGGGAATAGCATTGAATCTATGAATTATTTTGGGCAGCATGGCCATTCTCATGATATCGATTCTTCCTATCCATGAGCATGGAATATTTTTCCATTTGTTTGTGTCTTCTCTTATATCGTTGGGCAGTGGTTTATAGTTCTCCTTGAAGAGGTCCTTCACATCCCTCATAAGCTATATTCCTAGGTAGTTTATTCTCTTTGTAGCAATTGTGAATAGGAGTTTGCTTATGATTTGGCTGTTTGTCTATTATTGGCGTATAAGAATGCTTGTGATTTTTGCACATTGATTTTGTATCATGAGACTTTGCTGAAGTTGCTTACCATCTTAAGGTGATTTGGGGCTGAGACAATGGGGTTTCCTAAATATACAATCATGTCATCTGCAAACGGAGACAATTTGACTTCCTCTCTTCCTGTTTGAATATCCTTTCTTTCTTTCTCTTGCCTGATTGCCCTGGCCAGAACTTCCAATACTATGTTGAATAGGAGTGGTGAGAGAGGGCATCATTATCTTGTGTCAGTTTTCAAAGGGAATGCTTCCAGCTTTTGCCCATTCAGTATGATATTGGCTGTGGGTTTGTCAGAAACAGCTCTTATTATTTTGAGATATATTCCATCAATACCTAGTTTATTGAGTGTTTTTAACATGAAGGGTGTTGAATTTTATCGAAGAACTTTCCTGCATCTATTGAGATAATCATGTAGTTTTTGTCATTGGTTCTGTTTATGTGATGGATTACATTTATTGATTTGAGTATATTGAACCAGTCTTTCATCTCAGGGATGAAGCCGACTTGATTGTGATGGAAAAGCTTTTTAATGTGCTTCTGGATTAGGTTTGTCAGTATTTTATTTAGGATTTTCTTATTGGTGTTCATCAGGGATGTTGGCCTGAAATTTTCTTTTTTTTGTTGTGTCTCTGCCAGGTTTTGGTATCAAGATGATGCTGGCCTCATAAAATGAATGAGGCAGGAGTCCCTCCTTTTCAGTTGTTTGGAATAGTTTCAGAAGGAATGGTACCAGCTCATGTACCTCTGGTAGAATTCAGCTGTTAATCCATCTGGTCCTGGGCTTTTTTTTGGTTGGTAGGCTATTAATTACTGCCTCAATTTCAGAACTTGTTATTGGTCTATTCAGGGATTTGACTTCTTTCTGGTTTAGTCTTGGGAGGGCGTATGTGTCCAGGACTTTATCCATTTCTTCTAGATTTTCTGGTTTAATTGCATAGAGGAGTTTATAGTATTCTCTGATGGTAGTTTGTATTTCTGTGGGATCACTGGTAATCTCCTCTTTATCATTTTTACTGTGTCTAATTGATTCTTCTCTCTTTTCTACTTTATTAGTCTGGCTAGTTGTCTATCTATTTTGTTAATCTTTTCAAAAAAACCAGCTCCTCTATTTATTGATTTTTGAAGGGTTTTTCATATCTCTATTTCCTTCAGTTCTGCTGATCTTAGTTATTTGTTGTCTTCTGCTAGCGTTTGAATTTGTTTGCTCTTGCTTCTCTAGTTCTTTTAATTGTGATGTTAGGGTGTTGATTTTAGACTTTTCTTGCTTTCTCCTGTGGGCATTTAGTGCTATAAATTTCCCTCTAAACACTACTTTAGCTGTGTCCCAGAGATTCTGGTATGTCATGTCTTTGTTCTCATTGGTTTCAGAGAACGTATTTATTTCTGCCTTAATTTCATTATTTACCCAGTAGTCATTCAGGAGCAGGTTGTTCAGTTTCCAGGTAGTTATGGAGTTTTGAGCGAGTTTCTTAATCCTGAGTTCTAATTTGATTGCACTGTGGTCTGAGAAACTGTTTGTTATGATTTCTGTTATTTTGCATTTGCTGAGGAGTGTTTTACTTTCAATGATGTGGTCTATTTTAGAATAACTGCTGTGTGGTACTGAGAAGAATGTATATTCTGTTGATTTGGTGGGGAGAGTTCTGTAGATGTCTATTAGGTCTGTATGGTCCAGAGCTGAGTTCAAGTCCTGAATATCCTTGTTAATTTTCTGTCTTGTTAATCTATCTAACTGCCTAAGCTCTTCTTGTTGCATTTATCCCTTTACCATTATGTAATGACGTTCTTTGTCTTTTTTGATCTTTGTTGGTTTAATGTCTGTTTTGTCAGAGACTAGGATTGCAATCTCTGCTTTTTTTTTTTTTTTTTTTTTTTTTTGCTTTCCACTTACTTGATGAATCTTCCTCCATCCCTTTATTTTGAGCCTATGGGTGTCTTTGCACTTGAGATGGGTCTCTTGAATATGGCATACCAATGGGTCTTGACTCTTTATCCAATTTGCCAGTCTGTGCCTTTTTATTGGGACATTTAGCCCATTTACATTTAACATTAATATTGTTATATGTGAATATCATCCTGTCACTATTATGCTAGCTGGTTATTTTGCCTATTAGTTGATGCAGTTTCTTCATCGTATTGATGGTCTTTACATTTTGGTTTGTTCTTGCAGTGGCTGGTACCAGTTTTTCCTTTCCATATTTATTGCTTCCTTCAGGAGCTCTTTTAAGGCAGGCCTAGTGGTGGAAAAAAAAATCCCTCAGCATTTGCTTGTCTGTAAAGGATTTTATTTCTCCTTTGGTTATGAAGCTTAGTTTGGCTGGATATGGAATTCTGGACTGAAAATTCTTTTCTTTAATAATGTTGAATATTTGCCCCCCTCTCTTCTGGCTTGTAGGGTTTCTGCAGAGAGATCCACTGTTAGTCTGATGGGCTTCCCTTTGTGGGTAACCCAACCTTTCTTTCTGGCTGCCCTTTACATTTTTTCCTTCATTTCAACCTTGGTGAATCGGACAATTATGTGTCTTGGGGTTACTCTTCTCAAGAGGTATCTTTGTGGTGTTCTCTGTATTTCCTAAATTTGAATATTGGCCTGTCTTTCTAGTTTTGGGAAGTTCTCCTAGATAATATCTTGAAGTGCGTTTTCCAACTTGGTTCCATTCTTCCTGTCACTTTCAGGTACACAAATCAAACATAGGTTTGGTCTTTTCATATAGTCCCATATTTCTTGGAGGCTTTGTTCATTCCTTTTCATTCTTTTTTCTCTATTCTTGTCTTCATGCTTTATTTCATTAAGTTGATCTTCAATCTCTGATATCCTTTCTTGCTTTATTTCATTAAGCTGATCTTCAGTCTCTGATATCTTTTCTTCCACTTGATCGATTCAGCTATTGATACTTGTGTATGCTTCATGAAGTTCCCACGCTGTGTTTTTCAGCTCCCTCAGGTCATTTATGTTATTCTCTGAGCTGATTATTCTAGTTAGTAATTCTTCAAACCTTTTATCAAAGTTCTTAACTTCCTTGCATTGGGTTAGAACATGCTCCTTTAGCTCAGAAGAGTTTGTTATTACCCACCTTCTGACGTCTACTTCTGTCAGTTCGTCAAATTCATTCTCCATCCAATTTTGTTCCCTTGTTGGCAAGGAGTTGTGATCCTTTAGAGTCGGAGAGGCATTCTTGTTTTTGGAATTTTCGGTCTTCTTGTGCTGGGTTTTCCTCATCTCCGTGGATTTATCTACCTTTGCTCTTTGCTTTTGGTGACGCTTGGATAGAGTTTTTGTGTGGTCATCTTTTCTGTTGATGTTGATACTATTGCTTTCAGTTTGTTAGTTTTCCTCCTAACAGTCCAGTCCCTCTTCTTCAGGTCTACTGGAGTTTGCTGGAGGTCCACTTTAGACCCTGTTTGCCTGGGTATCACCAGCAGAGGGTGCAGAACAGCAAAGATTGCTGCCTGCTTCTTCCGCTTGAAGCTTTGTCCCAGAGGTGCACCTGCCAGATGCCAGCTGGAGCTCTCCTGTATGAGGTGTCTGTCAACTCCTGCTAGGAGGTCTTTCCCAGTCAAGAGGTACGGGGATCAGCGACCCACTTGAGGAGTCAGTCTGTCCCTTAGCAGAGCTCGAGCAATGTGCTGGGAGATCTGCTCTCTTCAGAGCCAGCAGGCAGGAACATTTAAGTCTGCTGAAGCTGCATCCCCCAGCCGCCACTTACCCCAGGTGCTCTGTCCCATGGAGATAGGAGTTTTACCTATAAGCCCCTGACTGAGGTCGCTGCCTGTCTTTTGAGATGCCCTGCCCAGAGAGGAGGAATCTAGAGAGGCAGTCTGGCTACAGCAGCTTTGGGGTGCTGTGGTGGGCTCCGCCTAGTCTGAACTTCCTGGCGACTTTGTTTACACTGTGAGGGGAAAACCACCTACTCAATCCTCAGTAATGGCAGATGCCCCTTCCCACACCAAGCTTGAACTTCCCAGGTTGACTTCAGAATGCTGTGCTGGCAGCGAGAATTTCAAGCCAGTGAATCTTAGCTTGCTGGGCTCTATGGGGTTGGGATCTGCTGAGCAAGACCACTTGGCTCCCTGGCTTCAAACCCCTGTCCAGAGGAGTAAACGGTTCTGTCTTGCTGGCATTCCAGGTGCCACTGGGGAAAAAACAAACAAACAAACAAAAAACTCTTGCAGCTAGCTTGGTGTCTGCCCAAAGGGCCTCCCAGTTTTGTGCTTGAAACCCAGGGCCCTTGTGGTGTAGGCACCCAAGGGAATCTTCTGGTCTGTGGGTGGCAAAGACTGTGGGGAAAATGTAGAATCTGGGCCAGATAGCATTTTCCCTCACAGCATGGTCCCTCACGGCTTCCCTTGGCTAGGGGAAGAAATTCCCCAACCCCTTGCACTTCCCAGGTGAGGTGATGCCCCACCCTGCTTCGGCTCACCTTCTGTGGGCTGCACCCGCTGTCTAACCAGTCCCAGTGAGATTAACTGAGTACATTAGCTCAAAATGCAGAAATCACCTGCCTTCTGCGTTGGTCTCACTGGGAGCTGCAGACGAGAGCTGTTTCTATTTGGCCATCTTGCCCAGGAATCTGCAATTTTTTTTTTGGAATTACTATAGGATTTTAAGAAAAGGAGAGGATAATAGAGATGCTGAATTTAAAAAAGGACACCAAAGTAAGGAAGCATTTTAAGCCTCATAATGCTAAACAAGCACATCTGTACATCAATATAGTTTAATGGATATTACAGTTAATATTTTAAAATTTTGGCTGCTGAGCAATTCTATAAAGTTCCTACTACACAAATATACCCATAAAGTCTAAAAGTTGACAGTTTTTAGTAAGGACACTTTCTATCAACGTATGATTAGCAGTGTATAGAGTTGAATATTCCATACAATTTCTGGACTTTTTCCTTCAGTCAAAAATAACCTTCTTTTAGTTTTGTCATTATATATTTTGCTTATTGTGAGTTCATAAGCACCACTAAATTGCATAGTGATACATATTTGAGTCATCACTACTCTTTGATCAATATTTTTTTCCAATAACTGGATCTTAAGCCAGTCTGGATTGTAATAATTATCCCCCACTCATATTCCTAATGTGTTTTTACATCCAGGTAGATATTTACAATCTGCCAACTCCTAGTTTGCTTGTAAGTTTACACTTTATTGGAGATATCTTGCCAAATAATTGTGCTTTTTAAATAACTTTAATACGTTATCAAGTCCAGTGTCTAGGTAATTTTATGAACGTTGTCAGCTAATACAACGTCACATAACTAAGCTTGTTTTCTCTTATGATGTAAATAATATGCAATCCTCATATGTCACTAGAAGCAGTTAATTTTTTTTTCTAAGTACTTGTCATAAAGGTTTTTTTAGTTTTTGTTTTTATTTTTTTTAAAAATAGATAATGGGAATGGGAGTAAGTTTAAGTAAAGGGTAACCAGCTCCCTGGGCTTCATCTAAGTCTACCTTGCCCAAATATTTACTGGTTGCTGCTTCCAATAACCATCTTTATTGGATTTAATGATTTATTTTACTGTTACTTCATGTGATTCCTAGACGTTCTTCAGATAAAATAGCCCTCCTTTCACGTCTCAAAATATACAACAGCAGAATGTCCCGTTCTGCTGTTGTTGAAAGTACAAAAGGTTTGTTCTGTGATTCCAGACTCAACATCAGTATACTTTGTTCAGAAAGACACTGACTTTCAACCTAATTTTCACCAATGCAAAAAGGAATGGAAGGAGAGAGTATGAAGTGCCATGACATTCCTGGCCCATTTACATATATTTTATATGTCACAACGCTGCAGTAAGGAAATGGAACTCATCCAAGATCCATTTACTTCCCAGTGGCAGCGTTTGGCTTGGAAGCCAAAATTATCTGATCCAATGTCCATGCCTTTTACTATACTGTGCTGCCTCTATAAGCATGCTCATTCCATTGGGACTCTGACATGATTCCCTGTGATCAAATCCTCCCTTTCCACCTCAGTACCAATATCTACATCCCTGCTTTCTGCTCCTACATGAGAGCCCTCCCTCAGATTGCTGCTGTCTTTCCACCTTTTCATAATAAGGAATATAAAATGTCTATGACATGGGCTACTTACTAGTCAATAGATAGTGTCCTCTGTCAACTATAAAGCAAAGGAAAGATAGACATTTACATCATCTAACATGTAGTGGTAAAAACCAGGTTTGTGCAATTTAACATACTGATACTTCATGTAAGGAGGATAATGATGAATTTCTTGTGATGCCATATGGCAGGCCAAAACCTACTCACACCACACCTACATAAACAAGTGATTCTTTTCCAGCTGGTGCCCAAAGTTATTTCAGATGATTTCAGCATCTCTTATTGAAGTCCAAATTTGAAGTCCCTGCAGAACTCATGAACTTCAGAGTCTGCACAAAGGGACTTTTAAAGTCTCATATCTTCCTTAGACTTTCCTGCACCAGCTGTGAAAATCAATTAGCCCTGGTGAAAACTGAGCTGCTCTATGTTCTCAGTAATGAAAATGGCCAACTGCTTGCTAGCAATTTTCTCTGTCCTTTACAAAGGCAAATGGAGACTTTGAATCTTTTTTCACTGCTCCATGGAATTGCCTTTTACTTCTATTTTGAAAGTTGCCAGGCATGCCAGGAGATTAACACAGAAGAATCTTTGGAGCAGCGGGAAAATTATATCATCACACACCAGTGACATTTGTGACTCCCTCAGGCTGGTATGCAGCCATCAGACAGTCAAAACAAACACCTCCCAAACACATGCCAGAACTCAACTCCCCCTCATGTCTGCTCCCTTGATAAAAACTGAAATGGCTGATGGTACCTCATCAATTTAAAGACCCAGTGAATAGCTCAGATAATGCTCCAAGAACATAATAATAGGAAAATGCTGGCATAAAGATGGATAAGGAGGAGGCCACTGAGATGGTGAGCCAGCATAGGAAGCACAGGGAAATGCCAGAAGGACAGGGGTTCACAAACTGCCTGGAGATCTAGATTGCTTTTCACCTTCCCATCCTTTATGGGAAAGTGGTCACTTCCAAAGAATGAGAAAAGAAAAGAATCCTCCTCCACATCCCTTGTACTTCTGCCATCATAGTTCGCATCATTAACTACCTTCATAATAAAATAATAACATCTCAGTACATTATTTACTCAGTTAAAACAGGGATTCCCAGACTTGGTTATTGACATATTGGGTGGAATAATTCTTGTTGGGCAGATGGAGAAGCTGTAATGCACATTTTAGAATGTTTAGCAGCATCTCTGGCCTCTAATCACAAGACACAAGTGCCCATGCCTTCCGAGTTATGGCAATCAAAAATATTTCTAGACATTGCCAAATGTACTCTGAATGGCAAAACCACCTCAGTTGAGAATCACTAAGTTAAAGTGATGCTTCCATTTAAGTCCAAAAAGAACAAAAAATTGTGAAGACTCCGAGAAATTCATGCTGTTAAAGTGGCTGAGTATATACCCAAACTGCCTCTGATGTGTACTGGCTTCACATTTTTAATGCAATTAATCAAAAGGTCATTGGTTTGTATTACAAGACTATAAAATGCACACAGAAATAGATAACTGGATAAACAAAGTCTCATTTTTAAAACAATTAGGTCCAAAGATATCCTTTGGTTAGTTATTATGAAGACACTTTGTCTCACTTTATAATTGATGTTACATTCTGTCACATGTTGCATCATTTGACTGGTAGGTAAGAAAATCAAACCAGTTTCCAAATTTTATTGTGAAACCAGATACAGTGAATTTTAATGACTTTCTAGAGAGCAAATTTTAAGTTTACTTTAATTAAATTATTGTGTTCTCTACATGACAGTGTTTCTATGTACCCCCCAAAATAGGAGATATTTTTTACTTTAAATACAGTTAATTAAAACAAGTATGTTAATTACAAGTGTAAATTATAAGAGAAGAACTACCTGATGAAATTTAGATTATTTCTCTTTAGTCAAAATTGTATATTCAATCAAGTATAACCAACAAATATCATGAGCAAATCACTACATTCAAGGATGACACTAAAGGCAAAGAACAGCAGGTTTTAAATGGGATTTAGTGCTAATTTTAGTGATGAGTAGCTATTACATAGAATGTGGTAGATTGAAATACTAAAATTTCTCCCAATTCCTCCCGTCCCTATATGAATGATCCATTGACCTTGCAGCCTTTTTAGCAAGTGGTGAAGCGTATTTTTCCATTCTCTGAATCTAATTGCCCTCATCTGAAACATGGGGAAAATAGTAATACCCATTACCTAAAGGTATTATATGGAGGAAATTTGGCTCAAGGAGTTGTAACTTGTCTAGAATCCCATAGCTGATAATTTACTAAGTTAGATTTTAAACTCAGGCCTTAATCATTCCATAGGTCATGTTCTCAGTCACTGTTTTCACAACTTTGCTTCAATTGATTCTGTTGAATTTTTCCATCCATCGAGTCATTAATTCCCTTATGCATGAATGGATGCATTCAAAGATCCCAAATGCATAGGTTTCATATATTATTAATGCAGAATTGAAGAAACCATACAAATTTCAAGCTCTTGTGAAGTTGATACACCTTATTTACTTTCATTTCTCCACCTTCTACCTTGTTCACACTACCTACCTAAACCTTATTTTTGTTTTCTCTATTTTTAACACATTGATAAAGTCTTCCTTTTATAATCTTAACATACTATTTTTTATTTCAATAGGCTTTTGGGGGAACAGGTGGTGTTTAGTTACATAAATAAGTTCTTTAGTGATGATTTCTGGTATTTTCATACACCCATCATCCAAGCAGTATACACTGTACTCAGTGGTAGTTTTTTACCCCTCAGACCCCTTCTACTCTTCTCCCCAAGTCCCCAAAGTCAATTGTATCATTGCTATGCGTTTGCATCCTCATGTCTTAGCTCCCACTTATGAGTGAGAACACACGATGTTTGGTTTTATATTCCTGAGTTACTTCACTTAGAATAATGGCATTGAATGCCATCCAGGTTGCTGTGAATGCCATTATTTCATTCCTTTTTATGACTGAGTAGTATTCCATGCTCTGTGTGTGTGTGTGTGTGTGTGTGTGTGCATATACATATATATCACAATTTTTTATCCAATTCTTGATTGATGGGCATTTGGGCTGGTTCCATATTTTTGCAATTACAAATTGTGCTGCTATAAACATGCGTGTCCAAGTATCTTTTTCATATAATGAATTATTTTCCTCTGGGTAGATACCCAGAAGTGGGATTGCTGGGTCAAATGGTAGATGTACTTTTACTTCTTTAAGGAATGTCCACACTGTTTCCATAGCAGTTGTAATAGTTCAGATTCCTACTAACAGTTTAAAAGTGTTTCCTTTTCACCACAGCAACGCTAGCATGTATTATTTTTTGATTTTTTGATTATGACCATTCTTGCAGGAGTGAGGTGGTATCACATTGTGCATTTGATTTGCATTTTCCTGATAATCAGTGATGTTGAGCATTGTTTCATGTTTGTTAGCCATTTGTATATCATCTTTTGATAATTGTCTATCATGTCCTTAGCCCACATGTTGATAGGATTGTTCGTTTTGTTCTTGCTGATTTTGGGTTCCTTGTGGATTCTGGATATTAATCCAATGTTGGATGTATATTTCACGAAGATTTTCTCCCACTCTGCGGGTTGTTGGTTTACTCTGTGGATTATTATTATTCTTATTTTTTGCTGTGCAGGAACGTTTTAGTTTAATTAAGTTCCATCTATTTATCTTTGTTTTTGTTGCACTTGCTTTTGGTTTCTTGGTCATGAAGTCTTTTCCTAGGCCAATGTCTAGAAGGCTTTTCCCAATGTTATCTTCTAGAATTTTTATGGTTTCAGGTCTTAGATTTAAGTCTTTGATCCATCTTGAGTTGCTTTTTGCATAGGGTGAGAGATGAGGATCCAGTTTCATTCTTCTATATGTGGCTCAACAATTATCCCAGCACCATTTGTTGGATAGGGTGTCCTTTCCCCACTTTATGTTTTTGTTTGCTTTGTCGAAGATCAGTTGGCTGTAAGTATTTGGGTTTATTTATGGGTTCTCTACTGAGTTCCAGTTGTCTATGTGCCTATTTTTATACCAGTACTATGCTCTTTGCTGACTGTGGATTTATAGTGTAGTTTGAAGTCAGCTAATGTAATGCCTTCAGATTTGTTCTTTTGCTTTGTCTTTCTTTGGCTATGTGTCTTCCTTTCTGGTTCTATATAAATTTTAGGATTATTTTTTCTAGTTTTGTGAAGAATGATGGTGGTATTTTGATGGGAATTACATTAAATTTATAGATTGCTTTTGGAAGTATGGTCATTTTCACAATTTTGATTCTACCTATCCATGAGCATGGGATGTGTTTCCATTTGTTGCATCATCTATTATTTATTTCAGCAGTGTTTGTAGTTTTCCTTGTAGGGGTTTTTCACATACTTTGTTAAGTATATTCCTAAGTTTTTTTTTCTGCTCTTGTAAAGTGTGTTGAATTCTTGATTTGATTCTCAGCTTGGTCACTGTTGGTATATAGCAGAGCTACTGATTTGTTACATTAATTTTGTATCCTGAAACTTTGCTGAATTCATTTATAAGCTCTAGGAGCTTTGTGTATGAGTCTTTAGGATTTTTCTAGGTATATAATATTGTTATCAGCAAACAGTGGCTGTTTGATTCCTCATTACCTATTTGGATGGCCTTTATTTCTTTTTAGTGTCTGATTGCTCTAGCTAAGACTTCAATATTATGTTGAATAGAAGTGGTGTAAGTGGGCATCCTTGTCTTGTTCCTGTTCTCAGGGGGAATGCTTTCAACTTTTCCCGATTCAATATAATGCTGTCTGAGGGTTCCTTGTACATGGCTTTTATTACCTTATGGTATATCCCTTCTATGCTGATTTTTCTGAGTGTTTTAGTCATAAAGGGATGCTGGATTTTGAGAAATGGTTTTTCTGCATCTATTGAGATGATCACAGAATTTAAAAAAATTCTGTCTATGTGGTGTATCACATTTATTGACTCGAGGATGTTATACCATCCCTGTATCCCTGGTATGAAACCTATGTGACTATGGTGGATTATCTTTTTAATATGCTGTTGGATTCAGTTAGCTAATATTTTGTTCTGGATTGTTGCAACTATATTCATCAGAGATATTAGTCTGTAGTTTTCTTTTTTCGTTATTTTTTTCCTGATTTTGGTATTAGAGTGATAACAGCTTCATAGAATGATTTTGAAGCTATCAAAGAATCATTTTGGAGCTTCTTTCTCCATCTTGTGGAATAGTGCCAATAGGATTGATATCAATTCTTTAAATATCTGATAGAATTCAGCTATGGATCTTTCTGGTCCTGGACTTTTTTTGTTGGTAATTTTTTATTACCATTTCAATCCTGCTGCTTGTTATTGGTCTGTTGAGAGTTTCCACTTCTTCCTGGTTTAATCAAAGAGGGTTGTATATTTCTAGTAATTTATCCGTCTTCTCTAGGTTTTCTAGTATATATGTGTAAAGATGTTCATAGTAGCCTGTTATGGATCCAGAAATCTTTTGGATTTCTGTGGTGTCAGTTCTAATATTCCAATTTTGTTACTACTTGTGCTTATTTGGATCTTCTCAGATCTTCTTTTCTTGATTACTCTCTCTAATGGTGTATCAATTTTGCTTGTTTTTTCAAAGAATCACCTTTGTATTTCATTTATCTTTTATATTGTTTTTGTTGTTTGTTTGTTTCAGTTTCATTTAGTTCTGCTCTGATCTTGGTTATTTCTTTTCTTCTGCTGGGTTTGGGTTTGGTTTGTTCTTGTTTCTCCATTTCCATAATATGTGACCTTAGATTGTCTATTCATGCTCTTTCAGACTTTTTGATGTAGGCATTTAATGCTATGAGCTTGATTCTTAGTGCCACTTTTGCTGCATCCCAGAGTTTTTGATAGGTTGTGCGATTATCATTCAGTTCAAAGAAATTTTAAATTTTCATCTTGATTTCATTTTTGACCCAAAGATCATTCAGGAGCAGGTTATTTAATGTCCATGTATATGCATGGTTTTGAAGGTTCCTTTTGGAGCTGATTTCCAATTTTATTCCACTGTTGTCTGAGAGAGTATTTGATATAATTTTGATTTTCTTAAATTTTCTGAGATTTGTTTTGTAGCCTATCATATAGTCTGTCTTGGAGAATGTTCCATGTGCTGATGAATAGAATGTATATTCCACGGTTGTTGGGTAGAGTGTTCTGTAAATCTCTGTTAAGCCCATTGGTTGTATAGTTTAGGTCCATTGTTTCTTTGTTGGCTGTGTATCTTGATGACCTGGCTAGTGCTGTCAGTGGAGTATTAAAGTCTCCCACTATTATTGTGTTGCTGTCTATCTCAGTTTTTTGGTCTAGCAGCAATTGTTTTATAAATTTGGGTGCTCTAGTGTTAGGTGCATACATATTTAAGATTGTGATATTTTCCTGTTGGACTAGTCCTTTCATCATTATATAATGTCCGTCTTTTCTTTTTTAACTGCTTTTGCTTTAAAGTTTGTTTTGTATGATACAAAAATAGCTACTCCTGCTTGGCTGTTGGTGTCCATTTGCATAGAATATATTTTTCCACCCGTTTACCTTAAGTTTATGTGAGTCTTTATGTGTCAAGTGAGTCTCCTGAAGACCACAGATACTTGGTTGATGAGTTCTTATCCATTCTACCATTCTGTATCTTTTAGGTGGAGCATTTAGGCTATTTACATTCAATGCTAGTATTGAGATGTGAGGTATTATTCTATTCATCAGTCTATTTGTTTTCTGAATACTTTTTTTTTAAAATTTTTCATTGTGTTATTGTTTTATAGGTCCTGTGAGATTTATGCTTTAAGGAGATTCTATTTTTGTGCATTTTGAGGATTTGTTTTAAGATTTAGAGCTTCTTTTAGCAGTTCTTGTAGTGCTGGCTTGGTAGTGGCGAATTCTCTCAGTATTTGTTTGTCTGAAAAAGACTATCTTTCCTTCACTTAGGAAGTTTAGTTTTGCTGGATACAAAATTCTTGGGTGATAATTGTTTTGTTTAAGGAGGCTAAAAGTAGGACCTCAATTCCTTCTAGCTTGTAGGGTTTCTGCTGAGAAATCTGCCTAATCTGTTAGGTTTTCCTTTATAGGTTACTTGATATTTTGGCCTCACAGCTCTTAAGATTATTTTCTTCATCTTGACTTTAGACAACATGGTGACTATATGCCTAGGCAATGATCTTTCTGTGGTGAATTTTTCAGGTGTTCTTTGAGCTTTGTGTATTTGAATGTCTAGATCTCTAGCAATCCCAGGGAAGTTTTTCTCGATTATTCCGTCAAGTATGTTTTCCAAACTTTCAGATTTCCCTACCTGCTCAGGAACACCAGTTATTCTTAGGTTTGGTTGTTTACCATAATCCCAAACTTCTTGGAGGTTTTGCTCATTTTTTAAATTCTTTTTTCTTTGTTTTTGTCAAATTGGGCTAATTCGAGAGCCTTGTCTTTGAGCTCTGAAGTTCTCTCTTCTGTTTGTTTGATTCTATTGCTGAGACTTCCCAGTGCATTTGGCATTTCTCTAAGTGTGTCCTTGATTTACAGAAGGTGTGATTGGTTTTTTATTTATGCTATGTATTTCACTGAAGATTTTTCCATTCATATCCTGTATCTTTTTTTTTTAATTTCTTTAAATTGGACTTCACCTTTCTCTGGTGTCTCCTTGATTGGCTTAATAATCAACCTTCTGAATTCATTTTCTTACAATTCAGAGATTTTGTCTTGGTTTGGGTCCATTGCTGGTGAGCTAGTCCAATCTTTTAGGGGTGTTAAAGAATGCCGTTTCATAATATTACCAGAATTGTTTTCCTGGTTCCTTCTCGTTTGGTTAGATTATGTCAGAGGGAAGATCTGGGACTCAAGGGTTGCTGTACAGATTCTTTTCTCCCACTGAGGTGCTCCCTTGGTGGTGCCCTCCCCTTTCTCCTGGGGATGGGGCTTTTTGAGAGTCAAACTGCAGTGATCGTTATTTCTTTTTGGGTTCTATCTACCCAGCAAAGCTACCAGGCGCCAGGCTGGTACTAGGGTTGATGCAAAGAGACCTGTGATGTGATCTATCTTCAGGTGTTGCAGCTGTGATTACCAGCACCTTCTCCAGTGGAGGTAGCAGGGGAGTGAAGTGGACTCTGGGAAGGTCCTTGGTTGTATTTTTGTTCAGTGCACTGGTTTTGTGTTGGTTGACCTCCAGTCAGGAGGTGGTGCTTTCAAGAGCACATTCACTGTGGTTGTATAGGGAAGATCAGCTCTATGGGCAGGGTCATAGAGCTCCCAAGGGATTATGTTCTTTGTCTTTGGCTACCAGGGTTGGTAGGAAAGATCATCAAGTGGGGGCACGGTTAGGTATATCTGAGGTCAGACTCTCCTTGAGCAGGGCTTTCTGCGGCTGCTGTGGGGGATGCAGGTGTGGTTCCCAGGCCAATGGCATTATATTCCTGAGGGATTATGGTTGTCTCTGCTGTGTCACACCTTTCTCCAGGGAAGCAGGGGAAAGCTGGCAGCCACAGGCCTCACCTAGGTCCTGTGCAGCCTACAGCCCAAAAGGCTAGTCTCACTCCCACCTTGCCCGCTGACTGCATCAAGTTTATTTCCAGGCAGCCTGTGAGCAGGGCTGAGAACTTGCCCCAGGCTACAAGCCTCCCAGCTGAGAAAGCAAGTGGGTTCACAGTTCTCGACTGTCTCATGGAGCCTGCAGCAGTGATCTAGTTCCTTCAGATGCTCTGTGGATTGTCTACGCTTTCCTGGTATGTTCCTGCAATAGTTCTTGGAGCAACAGTTCACAATGTGGCTCTCTACACACTGCTCTGTCCATCCCAGTGGTTGCTGCAAGTTAGTCCTGCCTCCTATCCACCATTTTCCCAGCTAGTTTCCATAACAAACTTTTAGAACTGTAAGGGAACTTTAGAGACAGTGCTGTAGAAGTCAACCAGTGATCAGATTTGGAAGCAGAATCTTAGAGATTTTACATTTTAGATGAAATATATCATATAATTATGTGCACATTTGGTGTCCACATACACAAATACACAGGGAGCATTTACTTTAAATAAGAGAGAGGGAGAGACAGAGATACAGAAAGGCATGCCTTTATTTATGCTTAGGGGCAGGGTGAGAGAACACAGACACTAGAACTTTATTTCAAAAATGAAAGGGTACCTACTGGTATCATTCCCTCCTCTGTCCCTGATACATATATTTTGTATAAATTATTTAATTTATATATCATAACGACTTGTGAGAGAGAGGTTCATTAAAGAATGGTATTGTGGTACAGGACTACAACTTCAAGTCCTATACTATCTGCTCTGTATGCTTTAAGTAAGTAAAAACATCTAGAAATGTTATTATTTTTATTAGTTTTAATTGGCATGTAGTAATCATACATATTTATAGGGTAGATTGTCATATTTTGATATAATATACAAATGACATTGTATGATATACAATGCATAATGATCAAATTAGGGTAAGCATATCCATAACACTTCCAATATTTACCACTTTTTTTGTTGTTGAGAATAATCAAAATCTTCACTTTTAGCTATTTGAAAATATACAGTAAATTACTGTTAAATAGTGTCACCCTACAGTGCTATAGAACACTAGAACTTATTCCTCCTATCCTGTATTGTATCTGTTAACCGAGCTCTCTGTATCTCCCTACCCCCTATACATCCCGGCCTTTAGTAACCACTATTCTATTCTCTACTTCTATGAGATCTACTTCTTTAGATTCCACATATGAGTGAGAATAAGGGGTATTTGTCTTTTCCATGCCTGGCATACTTCGTTTAGTACAATGTCCTCTAGGCTTATCCACACGGCCATGAATGACAGGATTTTTTTCAGGGCTGAATAGTATTTCACTGTGTATTTCTACCACATTGTCTTTATTCATTCATCTGTTGTTGGAAATTTTGATTGATTTCATATATTGGCTAAAATGAATAGTGCTTAAATAAACATGGGAATGCAGATATCTTTCACATATTTACTTCCTTTCCTTTGGATATTTGCCCAGTAGTGGGATTACTGTATTACACAGTAGTTTTGTTTTTAATTTCATTTGTTTGTTTGGTGTTTTGAGACAGAGTCTCACTCTGTTGTCCAGGCTGGAGCGTGGTGACACATTCTCAGCTCACTGTAAACTTCGCCTCCAGGGTTCAAGAGATTCTCGTGCCTCAGCCTCCCGAGTAGCTGGGATTACAGGCACCTGTCACCATAGCAAGCTAATTTTTGTATTTTTAGTAGAGACATGTTTTTACCTTGTTGGCCAGGCTGGTCTCAAACTCCTGACCTCAAGTGATCCCCTGCCCATGGCCTCCCAAAGTTCTGGGATTACAGGCGTAAGCCACTGTGCCCAGCCTGTTTTTAATTTTTTGAGCACCCTCCACATGGCTTTTCATAGTGACTATATTAATTTACATTTCCACCAACAATGTTTAAGAGTTTCTTTATCTCCTTATCCTCAACAGCATGGATTAATTTTTGCCCTTTTGATACTAGCCATTCCAACTGAAGTTGAATAATATTTCATAGGATTTTGATTTGCATTTCTCTTTTTTTTCTTTTTTTGAGATGGAGTCTTGCTCTGTCACCCAGGCTGGAGTGCAGTGGCAAAATCTCAGCTTGCTCCAACCTCCACCTCCCCGGTTCATGCAATTCTGCCTCAGCCTCCCGAGTAGCTGGGACTACAGATGCCCGCCACCATGCCTGGCTAATTTTTTTGTATTTTTAGTAGAGACGGGGTTTCACCATGTTAGACAGGATGGTCTTGATCTCCTGACCTCGTGATCTGCCCGCCTCGGCCTCCCAAAGTGCTGGGATTACAGGCGTGAGCCACCACGCCCGGCCGCATTTCTCTCATAATTAGGGATAATAAGCATGCTTTTTTGGTAATTGTTGACATTTGTGTCTTCTTTTGAGAAATCTCCATTTAGATCATTTGCCTATTATTTAATCAGGTTTTTTTGTGTTTTTGTTTTTGTTTTGTTTTGCTATTGAGTTGTTTCAGTTCCTAATATATTCTGGATATTAATATCTTAGTGAATGAATAGTTAGCAAATATTTTTCAACATTTTGCAGGGTGTCTCTTCACTCTATTGATTGCTTTTCGTTATGCAGAAGCTTTTTAGTTTTATTTAATGTCATTTGTGCATTTTTGCTTTTGTAACCTGTGCTTTTGAGGACTTATCTATAAAATCTTCACCCAGACCAATGTCTTGAAATATTTACCCTATTTTTTTCTAGTAGTTTCATATTTCACTTTCTACATTTAAGTTTTTAATCAATTTTGAGTTAATTTTTGTACATAATGAAAGATAGGAGTGTAGTCTTATTCTTCTGCATGTGGTTATCTAGTTTTTCTGGGATCATTTATTGAAGATATTGCCTTTAGTAGCTTGGATCCCAGGGAGCAGGGGAACCCAGTGTGAGTTCCTTCTCTGGAAAAGTGCAGTTGCATGGATTCCAGGTCAGTCTCTATACTGGGTTCAGAACCCACAAGGACTGTGGCGCTCTCCTGTAGGTAGGACAGTGGGCATCCATCTTGGTAATGGTGACTGCTAGAGATCTCCCACCTACCTTTTCTCTGCAATGAGGAGTCTCTGTTCATTTGAAACTAGTTCTGGCCAGGTGTTTTTCTTACCTCTCTATGCTACGATTTCAAGGTTCCATGCTTCAGAGGGTTTTCATGTCTTCCTTGCTCAATTCTAGTGTTTTCTTGTAGAGTATCTACTCAAAGTGCCATTATTTATTTCTTGTTTTGGTCTTTTTTGTGGAGGAGGTGAACATTGGGCACCTCTAGTTAGTCATCTTGATGATAAAGCAGGTTATCTGTAAAGTATAGATAAGGTATCTGCACAATTATAAGCCTGGCCCTATACCCCACAAAATGGTACAGAAGGTAAGTCACAAAGAAGCATTTAATAATGGTTAATATTTACATGAAAAAAAAATCATGTGATGTATTATCAGTTTAGCACCTGAGAGGTCTAATATAAAGTCTCCACATTCATTCTTATTTGAGGTATTGCTTCTGATTTCATAATGTTTCATAATTGCTAATGCAGGATTATCTGATAAATACCTCAATAATTCATAAGTTATATGTTCTATCAGTGGCTGAGAGTGGTGATACTGCCCGACACCAGCATCTGTACTTGAGATTAGAGATTGTATTTAAACCAACAAATTAACATCTTTTGCAACAGAAGTGTAACATTAATGATTTGTGAATTTGCAAACTGACTTTCCCTGCTGGGAGCAGTAACTAGTTTTACAGCTTATGCTGTAACAGGGCCACATACAAACATGTAAATATAAAATATGGCTTGGTCTTGATGACATAATATCTTTTTCTGACACAAGTTATTTTATTTTTTTATCCTCCCATAAACATTCTATTGTAGTAAATTAAGAAAAATGAATTAAACATTTTATAAACTTCTCCTTTGGATAGACTATGTCAAACCCAATATAATATGTTTGTTTTAAAGCACTTGACAAGCAAAGATTTCTAAGAATTCAAAATCACACCAATTGTTGGGCATTTTAATCAGGACTAAAAACATTTCAGACTACATGTTACAAGAATTGCTTTTCCCACAATTATTTTCAGGAGCACGTGAGGAAACTCTTGTGAGGCCCAACAGGTCTGAAGATTCCATAAAATAGTTACTATTTGGGAACTTTCCAGGTAGATAGAACTTCGGTCAGCATCTTCTGAAATACTTTTTTCAGGGTTGGTGCATAAGGGGTGTGAGGATGCGCATATGTGAAAGAGGGAGAAAGATATGGAAGTACACATATTTCCAAGTTTGCAAGAAATTAATATAGCAAGTGTGCTGTGTTGTTTTGCTTTGTTCCTTGCATGTAAACATGCTGGCAATTTATTAAACAACTATTGGTCTTTTTAATCTTTTTTTTTTTCAGTTTGAACTTCCTCCCAAAATTACAAGCATTATTTTTTAAAATGCTGTTAATCTCTGACCTCATTACACCTCCTCTCTGAAAGATTCTGAATGAAATCATAAAGCAGAAATCATTGCCCTGATATTTTAAATGCCATCTTCCATATACTTTCCTGTTAAAAAAAGACACTATTTCATTGAGTATATACAGGAATGCCATGTTAATCATTAATAAATGATCAATTCTGAGGCTTGTACCTCATTAGTAAACAAATGATGTTTTTTCATGCCTCTAATGAGAGACTGGACAAAGAGGAATATTTCTGCTTCACCTGTGTTTCTGATTTGACTCCACTTGTACAGTTTTGTGCATTTGTACAAACTCCATTGTACAGTTTCTTATGGCCTCATTGCCTTGTGATGAAATGTTAGCATCTAGCAGAGAACTTTATGAAAGGAATGGTATTTTGAAGAAGAAATACATATGGGTTTTTCCCCTTATGAAGTAAATAATGACAGTATCTTTCCATCACTCTTATTCTGAAGTTATGCTTTGTGAATCCAACAATAAAAAATCTGTGACTTATTAAGGAAGAAAAATGCATAATTGGCAGTGTATCATATGGTAGTTTCTCAACCTTGGATCCAGTTTAAAATATTTGTCAAGATCCAAGTCTTTTCTATACTAGTAGTTACAAATTATATTTCTTTAAATTGACATTAAAAAATAAACATACTTATTTAAAAAATACATTTTTTTCTATCTGTATATATAGAAAATCAGCAATGCCATAAACCTAGCAGGAAATGCAATGAAGACTATGCTACCAAATTTATCAAAACTTTAAAACCAAAAGATAAACCATGAAATGCAAGTATTATTTATTAAGCTAAGTTTCACTGTAATAATTATTTTACATGCAAAGTCTAATTTAGTTGCTATAATCATCAAAATAAATATTAGCCTTATTTTAACCAATGGGGTAACTGCAATCCAGAGAAGTAAAATAACTTATCAAAGGCCATTTAGCTTGTATGTGGAAGAGCCAGGATACAAACTTGGGTTCATTGGATAAGAAGTCACAGATTCTTATTTCATTATACTCCCAAAACACTGCTTGACTGCTTTCCTGTCAATGAAGGATATTGTCATTATTCACTGATCTGTCATTAAGATAGCAGAATGTTCCAGATTACTTGCCACGTCCTCATGCCACTATCTTGTTCCTTGTTCTTGAGACCTTTCCCAGGATAGTCAACGATGGGAACTGGTTTTTTTTATCTGAAATATGATTTGATTTTCTATTCTTTTCTGCTTGAGATTTTAAAAGTATATGTATTTCAGACATGGAATTACATTGTTACTTGATTGATGTGAGAATGTTAATTGAAGGCTAGAAACAAAATTGTTCTATAAGTGAAAATGGATGGGACTGACTGAAGCCAGGGAGCTGCTTTGGGGGAAGAATTCTAGGTAAAAGGCAGAATCCTGTGAATAGCAGCAGATGGAGAATTTGGAAGCCTCAGGAGGGCTGCCTTATGGGAAGCGTTGCTCTAGAATGTTCCCAACGCTAGGAATTTAAGTTATGCCTGATAAAATCTGAGAGGGATTTCAGATTTCAACCTAAACCTTATTCTGGGAATCTTCTCCATCAGTGCAGAATCCTTGGAGACTGCAAATGTCAATTAAATTTCTGAAGATCCTCCAAACTGATAATAAAATAAGGAGACCGAAAACCAAAATTTTAATATCTTTATATTATACTTTGATGTATTTTATAGGTATTTCATAAACCAGTAAATGTATTCAAATGTTCAGCAGGAATCATAACAGAAAACAATCTAAAAGTAGTTCTCCTATACTATGGTGAAATCATTATAAGTGTACATTTCCCTTAGAAACTTCATTACAAATGCATTTAGAGTGAGTTTCTGAGAAACTCATGCCACATTATAGCAAGTTATATTTCAGCCCTTCTGTGTAGGACTTATGAGGTCATGTGGGGTGAGGTGAAGATTCTTTTATATCCCTCACATCAGTATAGTTATGTACATAATTACCGGCCTAAGCAAATATTCATAATAATTAATAAAAAATAAAATCAATTAGTTTCTTCATCAAAATAGAAACATAATGAGCTCCTGTATTCAGATCATGAGAAATACTTCAATGTCACAGATCAATGTCTTTAAAAGAGTGTTCCAATAACTCTCTATATTAAAATGACCTTGGATATTGTTGTAAATGTAACTCTGAGCTTCATCCCAGACTTACTGAATCACATTCACTTGAGTTGGATTCTACTTTTGATGGTTAATAGTTAATTTTTACTTATCCTAAAACTTAAGAATCTTTCCAAAAAGATATAATAAGAATGAAATGTACTTACTATCTGTTTCTATCATTTCTTTTCCAAGATTACTTTAAAGTAATATGAATAATAACAGGCAAACTAGTTTTGGTGCTTTGATATAGGTCTCTTTAATCCATCCCTCTCATGCCCCTGACCTGAATGGCAGCAGTGATTTCAATAGATAATAAGCATATAATATATCTGAAAAGGGATTGGTCATGAGCTTTTAGTATCTGCCCATT
The DNA here is from genome assembly GCF_000001405.40 of Homo sapiens. Lineage (NCBI taxonomy): Eukaryota > Metazoa > Chordata > Mammalia > Primates > Hominidae > Homo > Homo sapiens. Next base: position 84,673,036 of record NC_000014.9, read on the forward strand.
TCTGCAAGAGTCACTTCTGAATCACTTCTCTGCCACTATACAATGTAAAAGTCTCTGACAGTAAGGCTTGTAGATAATAGTCTTGGCTCATCAGGCCTCAAAGTAGGACCATAAATAAAACAAACTAAAATATCCAAGAACTGGCAACTTTTCAAAAATTTGCTTTTTTTTTTTTTTAACTCTCTACTGAAATCTTAAAGAGAGAAGAGCAATTTACATAGGATACAAAGAGCTGTATCATTCTTGAAGTTACACCTCTGAACTATATCTGATTTTCACATATTTGGGCTTTTTAAAGACAGTATAATGATAAGTCATCCTCATATGGTACACACATTTTAAAAATATGTATTTCATTGGATTTAAATCTTTTTGACAGAAAGAAAGAAAAATCAAATGATTTTCATTATTCAGCAGTGGTATGATCTCTAAGACAGCATTTTTTCAGAAAACAGAATGCAGTTTCTTTGTAATTTTCTTTCAGACAAGCAGCTTATAGTACACATCAAGGTACAGAGCTACTAGGTAGCTCCTAAACACTAATGACGTTGAAATCTTAACCTTTATTTTATAGTAATGAAGAAATTAGAAGTTAGAAAAGTCAGAGTTCAGCTGAGTTCTGCTAATGTTGAATTCTCCAGGCACCCATAGCTTTCTGAGCTTCTAAAAATCTCTCTTTAATTCATCAGGTAGTGACTTTTTGCTGACCTTCTTGAGATCTGGCGATTTGGCTTTTTCTGGCTTCTATGACACACAAATAGTTGAATTTGTATTACTGGTCTTTTGTCATCATCTTTCTTCTCCTCTACCCATTCAATCAGTGATATTCATTGCTTCAATAGGTAAGTGAGATGAAGAAAAAAAGAAAAAATAGAAGGATCCTTGATCCCTAATGATGATAGAGTAACCACACCAATTTGGCAACACCTTACTGCAGACTTGTTTTATGAGAGAACTCACTTCTTATACAATGACATTTATTTAGATATCTCTTTACATGTAGCAAAGTCTAATTTTAATTGATACATTCACCAATGCTTTATGCAATTAATTACTCACTGCACCCCTTTTCTTATCCCAAGTCATATTTCATGAAAGGTCCTATTTAACTCAAGAAGTATGCCTTAAGTGTAATACTTAATTTATAAACCTATTTCAGTGATTTTGCCACTCCCATGGCAATATAGCCTCATGTCAAAGGAAACTGGCTGGACAGGTATAATATCAGACATTAAAAAAAAAATACACACCCAGCCAAGCATATGGAGAGGAAAAAACTTAAATTTTTATTATTTAACTACATCCAGTTGCTTTACATGAAAATTATAGCTCTACATGACTCATGCTCTCTGAGTCTTGTCCAGGCCTATAGATGCTTTCAGCAAAGTACATATGAGTCTTTTTGATTATGGTGTTTAATTTCTGGAACTCCTAACACCTTTCAGTAATGTGCACTTAATTTTGGCATTGAAAGTGGTTCTTTTTTTCTCATTTATCAGGTTTTCAAATGCCTGGTTAAGAGAAGCATCAAAAAGAGCATGAAGAACTAAGGTGGGAAATTCTACCACAAAATTTAATTTACTTCCTTTCTAATATTCATCCCAGTGATTTAATCCCTTAGCTCTAAGGAAATGCAACTTAGCAAACTAAAGCAAATTTATCACTTCTGAAAACTGCTAGAAAACCCCCAAGACAGAACAATTACTCCCAAAATTGAATTTAAATAAAAGTAATTAGTTTTATCTTGTGTTTTAATTCATTTACCTCTGCATAGAAATCCTCCTGGAGTTTTGAAACTCATCAGTGATTATCCCTGGAGCTGATCCAGTAATGTGAGAATAAATACACCATTAACCAATTATACGTAATGACTCCAAGACATGCCAATAGTGGAGCAGTTCAGGTGATTTATAAGGCTCACTTCAAACAGCCTATTCACAATTCACTTATTTTATAAAAAAATACATTAAAAGTTAAGTAAGACTTTAGATCTGCTTACATTCATCTCTTAAGGATATGAATAAACAGAACTAGGCAATTTATTTAAATATTTTTCAGTTTGTCACATGAAAATTTCTGAATGTAGGACATGAAATATTTTTTAGAAGTCAGCAGAGTATAATTCAGAAATTGTTTGGCTTTATTTAAGTTGGTCTGCTGATCTAGTTATATGTGCTGAGATAACATACAAGCTACTGAATTAAAAGACAAATTCTGGATTTCATATCTCAACAATTTGAGAAGCTACATATATTATATATATATATATATATATATTTTTTTTTTAATCTTTTATTTTTTTAGATTGAGTCTTGCTCTGTCGTCCAGGTTGGAGTGCAGGGGCACAATCTCGGCTCACAGCAACCTCCGCCTCCTGGGTTTAAGCAATTCTCCTGACTTAGCCTCCCAGATTAGCTGGGACTACAGGCATGGGCCACCACGCCCTGCTAATTTTTGAATTTTTAGTAGAGATGATGTTTCTTCATGTTGGTCAGGCTGGTCTTGTACTCCTGACCTCAGGTGATCCACCTGCCTCGGCCTCCCAGAGTGATGGGATTACAAGCGTGAGCCACCACGCCCAGCCAGATGTTACACTTTTAACATTGCAACAAACATTCTCCTTAAAATAGAATTTAACCATGTACCGTATGGATAATAACAGATAATAACAGATAATTTTTTAAAATAATCACCTACTTGTAAAATATAAGAGGGTAAAGATAATTTAAAATTAAACTTGAGAAGTTTCAGTTAAAAAATAACAATTGCTAGAGACCCTTTAGAGTTTTCGCCACTTTATGGTATTTGACCTATTACATGTTCTTAACACCTCTTACAGCAGGATGTAAAGAGAAACTGTAGATTAGACTGTAGAGTCAGAGTGAGTTCATTAAAATCCCAAGTCCACCAGACTCCACCACTGATCAGCTGTTGAATTTTGGGCAGGTTTTAAAAACTTTCCAAATTTCCAGGCCTTCATTTGAAATGCATAAGACAAAATGAGAGCTGATTCACTGGGCTTTTGAGAGGTTCTGGTAAAAAATAATAATCAACTTATAATCATAACAGAAGGCCAAGCATACAGCTAACTATCAATTTTGTTCGTAACTATTATGTAATTAGGTAATACTAACAATTTCTGTTTTATCTTCTGTACTCTACAGGTATTACAGCAGGCAGGAAACAGCTGTGTGTATTCTTTTGCTTCTACCAAAATGAACTAACCTTTTATTTTACCTGAAATAAGCATGTATGGAGGAAAATATGAATCATTTTATAACATCAACAACAAAAACAAATGCATATATTAGAAAAGGAAAGAAAGCTACTGACTGTACTAAACATTTAATAGTACCAAGTTCTAAAGTGGATTTTTAAAATTTTTATTTAATTTTAAAAGAACATGTGAGGGAATCAGAAAGTGATAAAATTTTCTGAAGTTACTTTGATAGTAGATTGTACAGAGTTGAAACTCGAGTTTCATACCCTTGTGTTCTTTTTATTGTGTTGTGCTATGCTTCTTTGATTTGGCAAAACAGCAGTGGAAAAAAAGTTGGATTGGCCATGGATGCTGACATTATATAATTGTAGATGTCTGGCAAATGCTGAGCCATAAAAATATAATTTTTAGATGATTTATTGCATGACAAGATGGTGTCACATATTTTTTATTCTACATGCCTTTTCTAGTGGCACAATGTATGAATCATGCAATGTCCTTTTATTATCACTATAGGGAATGATGGGAGGGCAAGTAGATTCACACAGCGAGGCTAAAGAGTTGATAAGACAAGTGATATGTGCGATAATAGAGATTAAAAAAAAAAAGAAACTCCACCAAGATTTTGAAGACAGAATCAATAAGTTAAAATGGTTTATTTACATAAAAGGAGATTTCTATATGTTTTAAACTATCTTAGGCTTCTTTTTAATATGATCAGCTTGGCACTCTTGTCAAAAAAGTATATCATATTTGTAGGTTTAGATTAATAAAAGCAAATATGTTTATAAAACACTAAAAATATTTTTTGGAAGAGACCTTGAATCACATAGACATATACTGAACTGAAGAATCAGAAAGCCAGAATACTGTGGTTTAAACAAATAGTATTTTTTGTCCATAAGTAATCTGAGAGTAGATTTTAGTGGAATTTTGGGGGGCACTCAAGCATTAAATTAGACAGGTAGGCTACTACTGTCTTCCCACTTTGTCACCCTAAGCATATTGGCTTTCTCTGCTTGCCTCTCTCCCTGTGGTTCTATGGGCATGTGACCCCTATGAATGTCACCTATTGTGAAGGCAACAAGAATGGCCAAATCTGGAAAATCCGCCACGTCCTTTGTTATTAGGGAAACTTTTTTTTTTTTTCAAACCGACTCCTCCGCACCAGCATCATTCTGCTTATTATGCAGAGATTGAGACTGGATTAAATAGCTACTATAACATAAAACTTCCCTGGGAAAATAATTATTTGGCTTTCCAGCCACTTTTGTGGAGGGAGTAAAAGAGAGAAGGATGGGAAGTCTTTTATATAGTCAATTAAGAGGATCTGCCCCGAATGTCTAAAAAAAAAAAATCCTGTTTTGCTCTGATTAAGCTAGTGGTTGACAATCTGAGGCTGAAATTTAAGAGTTGGCATGCATTTAGAGTTTTTTTCATGGTGGAAATATGTCTGTGCATAAATATTGATGTTATATTAAATTAGGAAATGCATGAAGTTTCTTTTTAAACACTCATCTCTTTCTGTTTTATATATCTAACTATTCATGGTGTGTCCTTCTAAAACACCTTTAACTCTTGCACTTACAAAGGCCTAATTAGCAACCTATCCCTTCTTTACTATTTCTGCACTTTGGGACCTGACTCCTTGAATGGTATGGCTCTAATAAGTCATTGAGAAAATTATTATTGATGCTCATCATTTTATAGAGCTGGGTTAGCTAGACAATGTAAAAGTTCATTGGCTCTCCATACCTGGAGGACACTAGAATGAAAACATGCTGATTCAAGGTTGCAATCAATTCAGAAGGAATTTTCACTATTTATACTGGGTCATGAAGAGTATACAGCTCCCTTTTCACTGTAGCTCTCTTACTTTGCATGACACTTTGCAATGATGGTGTCAGCTCATTTGCTTGTGACATTCAAAGTAAGTATAGATATAGACAAAGACTGGGAGGAAATTTTTGCACACATTTGTAAAACAATTATAAAGATTTATGTTATTATTAATGCTTGGAATCCATTCGCTATTTGTCCGATGGTCATTATTTTATATATCCTTTCAAGAAAATGTATTAATTGACTCACTGCCATGATTGTAGATGTGATCTCCATTCTGGAAGAGGATAGAATGTTTGAGAAAACAGATAGATTCATCTTGGCTGTCAAAACAAGAGATCATGGAATTAATGATACTAACCTTTTTATTAACGTGAATACTTTCACGTGGAACCAGTTTGTTCTAGAGGTCAATGTATTATTCTGAAATGTCTTCATTCCTCAGCCTCATGTTTTGGCCTCTTCCCTGTGTCTGCCCAGGGAATAAAAGAATGAGGGTAAATACTATCTGGAATTCCTCCTTTGTTATGCAGCTCATCAAATTTGATTAAATGTAGTGCAAGTTTAGACAACGTAGGCCATGGGAAAGGAGACTTAAAGGTAATATGGGTTCCCCTTATAAAATAAACAATACAGCAACATTTTTTAGGAGACTCCCTTAGTTAATCCATTAACAGCCAGTAAGCTTTCTTTCCCTCTTTGTTTTATCCCCATATGGGCTTTTAAGTGAGGAACACTAATAGAATTTCATATATATATTTAATTTTTTCTACTTTCTCTCTCTTTTCTCCCTTTCTCCTTTACTTCTTCCTTTTCTTTTTTGCTGCTTCCTTCCTCCACTTACTTCCTTTCCTCCCTCCATCCTTGCTCTCTGAAATTTTTAAAATTCTTCCTTCACAGGTAACAATCATTTTAAGAGCCAAAGTCTAAAGTAGAGCATACATTATAATACAGCTCTGCAGCAGGGACTCCCATCAATCCTTTAAAGCTCTTTCCCTTTTTCCAATCATTAGAGCATTTAAAATATGATGTTTTACGCTAAAGTGAATTTTTAAAATTTTCTTTATAGTGGTTTCAGTATTAGGAGGATATAATTTAAAGTAGGTATTGAAAAGTCACCTTAGCCTGAGACATTAATGGTGGAAACATTTATTATTTGTTTAGTCAGCATCATCAACAAAATTGCTAAGTGGATGAGAGTTGCCCCTCATATCCTCACAACATAAGACTATAATCATTCTCCACTTTCTAACATTGACCACACATAGCACATGTTGTTTGACTATTATTCTTATTAAAAGATAAATAAGGGAAGCTATGATTTATTCTTACAGAAATCAGAATATTTTGCTTAAAAGCCTAGTACTAATGTTGACATTTCAGGTATCAGGCAAGGGATAATTCACGAAAAGGACTTCTACTCTTCAGAAACTAAAAACAAAAACAAATAAAAAAAATCCTAATTAGCAACTAATCTTTTTTAAAAAATGAGAATAAGGAAAATCTCCAGGTATAAGCATGAGAAACACTAGTATCTGAAGTATTGACAGAGAAAGAGAATCTCATAGGTAAATATCTAAAAGCAGATTAATAGGAAGTTAGGAAGTCACACAAAGAAAGAGAAGAGTGTGAAGCTCAGGAATAAGAAAGCTACTGAAGTAAACATCTAATGGGAAAAAAATGAAGCAGAAAGTGCAGTCATTTAAAAGGCCACTGTAATGACTTTAGCAACACAGATTTAGTTTCCCTTGAGTTGGAGTGAAAAAAAAAAAGGTAGAAAAAATATGAATAGAAAATGAGAAGGAAGGCATTTTCAGAGAACTTGGCTATCAAAAGAGATGAACAATATGAAAGAAGCTGAGTGGGGGTGTGGAGTGGAACACAGCGTCTCTTTAGTTATTCCCCAGATGGGATTTGAGCACAGTTTACAAGCAGAAGGAACCAATAGGGATATAAGTTGTGTGTGTGTGTGTGTGTGTGTATATATATATATATATATATATATATATATATATATATATGGAGAGAGAGAGAGAGAGAGAAATGACATCACCAAGATGACAAAATAAGAAGTATCAGGCTCCAATTCCCCTGCAGAAAGTTCAACTAGCAACTATCCACAGACTAGAACATCTTTTTAAAACCCCAGCACTTGGAAAAAAGCCTCATATACTAATGCGGTCTGTAGAACTAGATGGAATCTGAATTAGAATGCTCAAAAGAACAATCTTACTCCAACTGCACCATTTCCCCATCCCACAAGTTGGCAGAACACCAGATGGAGAGGATTTTTCTGTACCACAGTTTCTATGGGGAGAAAAAGAGGACGAGAGGTAGTAATTTAGTGTCCCTAGCATTTCAAAATTTTTCCAAGGAAGCCCACTCTAGTCTCACCTCAACCAGATAGGGAGACTCCTACTTCCTACGTATTTCAGAGAAGCAATGAAACTAGCCTGGCTTGACCCAGAGGCGTCTCCATTTTTCAGTCATTAGGCTTTCCCAATGACTGCTCAGGAAGAGAGACTTCCACTCTCATGCATCTTGAACATGGATGTGGGCTAGAGTGGCTTGACCCAGGAAGTCAAGCAGTAGTACTACTCAGCCAAAAAGCCTGCTCTATAACCCTGCCTAGGGAGTGATACTCTCACCTCCACACAGATTTTGGAAAATTATAGAGGCTAACTCTACCAAAAAAGCTAAACAGCTGCTCAACTCAGCCAAAAGCCCACACCGTGGCTTCTCTTGACAGGGAGGCAATCCTCAGTTGAGCATTTCTAAGGAGCATAGCCTCTTTCCTGCCTTTCCTGAGCAATAATTTCGCCTAACCTTAAAGCCCAGCCTATAGCCCTGTCCAATAGAAGACCCCAAACAGTGGAATTGTCCAACCCTAGAATACATCCTGTGATTGACCTGGCTAGAAGCCCTCATAATACCCAGCCAGTAGCTCCACCTGATAGTGGATAACTGCCAACAGCCTCACTTGACATCAGAGGAAAGGCAGCACCCCAGAAACTAGAGAATTCACAACAAATTCTGCTAGGCTGGGGTCATCATCAGCTGGCCTTTCAAGAATTGCAGGCTAAACAAAATAGTGAAGCTCTGTCCCTGCCAAGGAACATGTATAAAGGACAGAAGGAAGGACTATCTTCTCAAATGTGCAGAAAACAATGCAACAGATGATACAAAGATTACGAAGAATTAAGGAATTAGCACACCTTCTAAAGAAACTAATGAAGTGGCCGGGCTTGATGGCTGACGCCTGTAATCCTAGCACGTTGAGAGGCCGAGGCAGGTGGATCACCTGAGGTCGGGAGCTTGAGACCAGCCTGGCCAACATGGAGAAATCTCATCTCTACTAAAAATACAAAATTAGCCGGGCATGGTGGCACATGCCTGTAATCCCAGCTACTCAGGAGATTGAGGCAGGAGAATCTCTTGATCCCGGGAGGCAGTGTTTGCAGTGAGCCAAGATCACGCCATTGCACTCCAGCCTGGGCAACAAGAACAAAACTCTGTCTCAAAAAAAAAAAAAAAAAAAAAAAAACAGAAAAGAAAAGAGAAAAGAAACTAATAAAGCTCCAATAATGGAACACACAAAGAAATTGAGATCTATAAAATGACTGACCTAGCATTCAGAATAATACTTATAAAGTGGTGTGACCAACTATAATATGCTTACTGAAAATTTAATGAAATTTGTAAAACAATCCATGAAATTTGAGAATATTGGCAAAAAAAAGGAACAATAAAAATAAACAGAAACTCAACTAATAACACAATGAATTAATTGAAAAAAATCATTAAAATTTTCAATAGGAAACTCAAGCAGAAAGAATCAGCTGCAAGACACCCATTTGAAACTGTCTAGTCAGAGGGGCAAAAAGATAAAATAATTTTTAAAAATGAAGAATGCTTATGGGAATTATGGGACACAATCAAGGAACTAAATATTCAAATAATAGGAGTTCTAGAAGAAGATAAAGCTAAAAAACCAGAAAGCACATTTAAATAAAATGACAGAAAAATTTTCTAATTTGAGGATAGATGCCAACACCCAAGTACAGTAAGCATGAAGATTCCCAATCACTTTCAACCCAAAGAAGTATATCTAAGCACATATTCAAACTATCAAAAATCAAAGACAAACCATTTTGAGAGCAACAAGAGAAAAGAAACACATTGCATAGAAACAAGTGTCAGTATGACTATGAGTAGATTTAGTGGGGGAAAAAAAACACAGCAGGCCAGGACACAGTTATATAATATATTCAAAGTGCTTGAAATAAACAAAGTAAAAGTTTTAATGAGGAATAATTTTTCAAGCAAAGGTGAGTTTCAGAAATGGGTAAGAAATAAAAAACTTTCCCAGACAACAACAACAACAAAAACACCTATGTGAGTTAATCACCATCAGACCTGCCTTACAAAAATTGATAGAGAGTTCTTTTTTTTTCCAACATTTATTTTAGATTCAGGGGGGTACATGTGCAGGTTTGTTTCTTGGATAAATTGTGTGTCATGGAGGTTTGGTGTACAGATTATTTCATCAACCAGATAATAAGCACAGTACCTAGTCGGTAGTTCTTCAGTCCTCCCCCTCCTCCCACCTTCCACACTGAAATAAGCCACAATATCTATTGTTTCCTTCTTTGTATCCATGTATACTTAAGGTTTAGCTCCCAATTATAAGTGAAAGCATGAGATATTTGGTTTCTACTCCTGAATTAATATGCTTAGGATAATGGCCTCCTGCTCCATCCATGTTGCTGAAAAGGATATGAGCTCATTCTTTTTTGTAGCTGCAAAGTATACCATGGTAGATGTCTACCACATTCTCTGTCCAGTCTACCTTTGATGGGAATTTAAGTTGATTCTACGTATTTGTTATTGTAAACAGTGCTGAAGTGAACATTTGCATACATGTGTCTTTATGGTAAAATTATTTCTCTTCCTCTGGTTATATATCCAGTAATGGGATTATTGGGTCAATAATTCTGTTAATTCTGATAATTCTGTTATTAGCTCTTTGAGGAATCACCATAGTACTTTCCACAATGGCTGAACTAATTTACACTTCCACCAACAGTATATTAGTTGTCCCTTTGCTACTCAACCTCACCACTATCTGTTACTTTTTGACCTTTTAATCATAGCCATACTGACTGGTGTAAGATGGTATCTCATTGTGGTTTTGATTTTTATTTCTCTAATGATCAGTGATATTGAGCTTTTTTTTCATATGCTTATTGACCAAATATGTGTCTTCTTTAGAAAACTATCTGTTCATGTCCTTTGCCCACATTTTAATTGGGTTGTTCATTTTTTTGCTTATTAATTGGTTTAAGTCCTTATAAATTCTAAATATTAGACTTTTGTCAGATACATAGTTTGCAAATATTTTATCTCATTCTCCACGTTGTGTGTTTACTCTGTTGATAGTTTCCTTTGCTGTGCAGAAGATCTTTAATTAGGACTCTTTTGTCAATTTTCGTTCTTGTTGCAATTGCTTTTGGACACTTTCTCTCTCTCTCTCTCTCTCTCTCTCTCTCTCTCTCTCCCCCTCCCCCTCCCTCCCTCCCTCCCTGCCTCCCTCCCTCCCTCCCTCTCTCTCCCTCCCTCTCTCCCTCTCTCCCTCTCTCCCTCTCTCCCTCTCTCTTTTTTTTTTTTTTTGAGACGGAGTTTCACTGTTGTTGCCCAGGCTGGAGTGCAATGGCGCGATCTCGGCTCACTGCAACCTCTCCCTCCAGGGTTCAAGCGATTCTCCTGCATCAGCTTCCCGAGTGGCTGGGATTACAGGCATGCACCACCACACCAGGTTAATTTTGTATTTTTACTAGAGACAGGGTTTCACCATGTTGGTCAGGCTGATCTTGAACTCCTTATCGCAGGTGATCCACCCACCTTGGCCTACCAAAGTGCTTTGATTGCAGGCGTGAGCCACTGTGGCAGGCCTGGACACGTTTTCACACAATCTTTGCCAGAGACTATGTTCAGAATAGTATTTCCTAGGTTTTCTAGGGTCTTTATAATTTTAAGTTTTACAATTATGTCTTTATTCCATCTTGATTGATTTTTGTATGTGGTGAAGAAAGGAGTTCATTTTCAATCTTCTGCATATAGCTAGCCAATTATCTCAAGAACATTTATTGAATAGAGAGTCCTTTCCTCATTGTTTGTTTTTGTTATGATCTTATACCTAGAAAACCCCATAATCTCTGACAAGAATCTCCTAGATCTCATAAACAACTTCACTAAAACTTGAGGATACAAAATCAATGTACAAAAGTAGTAGCATTTTTATGCTACATGCACATGGACAGCGTCCATGCTGAGAGCCAAATGAAGAATGCAATCCTATTCACAACAGCCACACAAAAAGTAAAATATTTAGGAATACAGCTAACTAGGGTGGTGAAAGATCTCTACAATAAGAATTATAGGCCAGGCGAGGTGGGTCATGCCTGTAATACCAGCACTTTGGGAGGCTGAGGTGGGAGGATCACCTGAAGTCAGGAGTTCGAGACCAGCCTGACCAACATGGAAAAACCCCATCTCTACTAAAAATACAAAATTAGCCGGGCTTGGTGGCACATGCCTGTAATCCCAGCTACTCTGGAGGCTGAGGTAGGAGAATCGCTTGAATGCGGGAGGAGGAGGTTGCGGTGAGCCAAGATCGCGCCACTGCACTCCAGTCTTGGCAACAAGAGCAAAACTCTGTCTTAAAAAAAAAAAAAAAAAAAGAATTACAAAAGCCTGCTGAAGGAAATCAGAGATGACACAAACAAGTGGAATAACATTCCACGCTCATGAATAGGAAGAATCAATATTGTTAAAATGACCATACTTCCCAAAGCAATGTACAGTTTTAATGATATTTCTATCAAACTACCAATGACATTCTTCACAGAATTTGAATGACCTATTGTAAAATTCATATGAAACCAAAAAAGAGTCTGCCAAAGCAATCCTAAGCAAAACAACAAAGCTGGAAATGTTGCATTACCTGACTTCAACCTATACTCAAGGCTACAGTAACCAAAACAGCATGGCAGTGGTACAAAAACAAACATGTGAACCAATGGTAAAAAATAAAGAGCCCAGAAACAAAGCCACACATCTATAACCATCTGGTCTTTGACAGAGTTGACACACTACCCAACTTCAAATATACTAAAGGGCCACAGTAACTGAAACAGTATGGTAATGGTGTAAAAATAGGCATATATGCCAATGGAACAGGTTAGAGAACCCAGCAATAAAGCCACACACCTACAACTATCTAATCTTTGAGAAAGTAGAGAGTTTTTTAAACTGAAAAAAAAAGCTGCTAATTAGTAACACGAAACACACAAATGTAAAAACTCAAGGATATAAGTAAAACTGAGCCATGTTAAGAATATCTTAGTACTATAATAATGTTGTGTAAGGCAAGTTTATTTATAGTACAAAGGTTAAAAGATAAAACTACTGGTAATAAGTATAGCTAAAATAAATTTTAAAGGAAAACAAATTATGAAATAACGTAATTATGAAATAAAAAACAGTGTGGGGGAGAAATGTCATTAGTGACTTTGAATATAAATGGATTAAATTCTCTAATAAAAAGAATAGGGTGATTAAATGAATAAGAAAATAACTAGAAAAAGAAAAAATTAAGCCAAAATATAGCTGAAAGTAGGAGATAATAAAGATCAGAGTATAAATAGAGAAAAACAATTAAAAAATTCAAAAAATTAAAAAAAGTTATTTTTTGAAAAAGATAAGTAAATAATTTGAGGCTTCTTTTTAGTTTTGCTAAAGGTTTTTAAATTTTGTTTACGTCAGAAATGAATGAGGACACATTGCAAATGAGTTGGAAAACACAGAAGAAATAAATAAATTTATTGACCCATACAACCTACCAAAACTGAATCATGAAGAAATAGCAAATTTGAACCAACCAGTAAAGAGCAAGAATTTTGATTAAGTAACGAAAAGTCTCCCATCAAAGAAAATTCCAGGACCTAGTGATTTTATGGCTGAATTTTATCAACCATTGAAAGAAAAACTAATACCAGTTTTCTTTCAAACTCTTTCAAAAAATTGAAAAGGAGGGGATATTTTCAAATTATTTTAAAGAGGGCAGCACAGTAGATGGTCCCTTACTTATGAAGGTTTGATTTACAATTTTGAGACTTTACAATGATGTGAAAGTGATAGACATTCAATAGAAATTGTTAACTCATTGTAAATTGTTAGGAGGTCTTCAAATTGTAATTCAGTTATGTCCTGATAAACTCATCGTAAAATTGAAAAATCATACATCGAAGACTGTCTGTATGTTGCTAGGAGAGTACATTCCTAATGTTCTCAGCACAAATAATGTTAAACATTTGAGATAATGAATATGGTAACTAGCTTGATTTAATTATTTTACATTATATTCATAAATCATAATACTTGTACTTTATATATTTATAAAATTTTAAATTGTCTATTATATACGTGTAAGTGAAAAAAAATCCAAGAGCCAATGAACCAAAATCATCTGGCACTTAAGAGGAGATGGGAAGCAGAGTAATGATAGAAAAATATGCCTTATACAAAATTAATGAGAGCACACATTAGAGTGATGTAATTTAGTTGAAAGTGTGGTGAGATAAGGATGTTGAAGAATTCCTATCTTATGATTCTTAATTGTGTAGGGGAAGTAAGGGAGTGTTCAGCAACAGAATGAAGAGGTAGGAGGTAAGGTAGTTGTCCTAATAACAGCCCATAGTTCAAGTGTATTGCAGTGTGACGACTATATTTATTATTGCTGAACTTCGTAAGATTTTGAGATTGTATCAATATTGCTATGTATACTGGATTCTTTATGCTTGCAAAATATTATAAAATGTGAGAGTACTGCAAACCATGTCCATTCCAAAGAGAACCGATCAAAAAGGAAAAGATACACATATAAAATAATAGCTATAAAATGGGTTAGCTGAGAATGATTTAATATCGGTACTAATTGTTCAGTTAAGACAATAAATGCAAAAGAATCCTAACAGAAGAGTTTATAGGGTGCTGATGGTAATGTTAGCATATAATGAGGCAATGTTATGTCATGGTTGAGAATGAGACTTCTGGAATAATACTGCTAGGTTATTGCTTATTCTTCCTACTATTTATTAGAATCTTGGGTAAGTTACTTGATTTTTCTGTGCACTTACAAATTTTAGAATATAATATTAGAATGCTTTCACAAAGTTAAGAGGATTAATTAGTAAATCCACGCAAAGTACAGTCAGAAAACAGCATCTGGTATCTAGTAAAAGCTCCACAAACATCAATGATTATTATTATAAAGTGGTCTAATTTAGTTGAATTTTGAAGAATGGGTAGAGAGAACTGTACATTAGAAGGACTTTGGCTACAAGTAACAGACCACTAAATACAAATAATTTAAACAAAAAGGGACTGTTTTGGTATTGGGAAGTCCAGAGGTAGGGAAGGCTTTGGGGTTGATCAAGTTTAGGAATTCCATCTCCTTTTTCTGCAGTTTCTTTTGACTCTCATTAAGTCTGATTTGGTTTCTTGTTAAGCAAAATGGTTGGAACAATTCTGGAGCTCCATCTCTGCACAAAAGTAACTGGAGGAAAAGAGGTCATCTCATCATGTGGCTTTTTCACATAAAGAAGGAAACAAAATCCCCAGCACACGCTCTTAAATGTCTTTAACTAGGATTAGGTCTTCTGCAGTTTCTTTTGACTCTCATTAAGTCTGATTTGGTTTCTTGTTAAGCAAAATGGTTGGAACAATTCTGGAGCTCCATCTCTGCACAAAAGTAACTGGAGGAAAAGAGGTCATCTCATCATGTGGCTTTTTCACATAAAGAAGGAAACAAAATCCCCAGCACACTCTCTTAAATGTCTTTAACTAGGATTAGGTCCAGAACATTTACTGTAACTGAAGAATATTATGCCCTACTTGGCCTAAACATGGCTGCTGAAGTGCAGAGTCTGTCTCTTAGAGTTCACCCTTGATATTGGTATCCACATCCTAATATGGTACCTTTGCTACAATGAGATAGAGGTCAAATGGATATTGGTGAGATTATCATACAATCCTTCAGTGGGGAGGGTACTTCAGGCGTAAGTAAAATATGCCGTTAGGTTTGCTGATGACTTGTCTAAGGTCAATGTTGTGGGCTTGATTGATGCCTTGGATTTTAGGGAAGGTTAGAGAAATGACATGTGGATAGTTCAGTCAGATACTTTTTCAGTCCGGGGAGAGCACTAAAAGTATCCCAAGAAGCCGAGCCTAAATTCAGTACAAAGATGAAAAAATGTAAACACTATCTTCGATATGATGAACTCCAGTTTATAGTCTCTTTGGTCCATAACCAAGAGAACGTCACATTTCACATAGCATGCATTAACTTCAGTCCTTCTGGAGCCAAGTGAGTATGAGAAAACTGCTCCAATAAATTCATCTCACTGGTTTGCTTTTTTTTTTTTAAACTAAACATCAACCCAAAAGCCCTGAAGTTCTCCCTTAAGAGTTTTAAAATACTAGGATAACGATTCTGCTGTACATTTAGATGAAACTGGAATTTTTTTATGAATAAAACATAAAATGTATCACCATATGATTATTGAAATTATCTTTTAAGATAAGGAGTCATCTTATAGAGAACTTTAAGTGTTATATCCCTCTCTGACAGCTCAGTTTTCCACTGGACATAATTTACATTACTCTCCTCATACCCTTCATGATTTTTAAGGAAAAAGTGAGCTAAACTCGGTCTCGACCTCTCAGTGGGACTGACAGTCACAATTTATAGTGAAGATAATATCACTGAAAATAGTATGAAGATGCCAGTAACTATTCTTTATTCATAAATCTTCATCATTCCAAAACATGTATTTGTATATATCACCTTTTTTTAGCAAGAAATCTATCATAATGTCCTATCTCACAATATTGATGAAAGATTTTTATAGCAAATATTTTGTCACAAGATAAATTAAACATCTCAAATATTATAAAATGTTTTGGCATTTGTACAGTGCCTTTTTAGTTTATTTGTTGAGTCATGTATCATCTGTTTTGTCTGCTGAATACCCAAGTGATAACTTGTGCCAATTAACAAAACATAAAATCAATCACCAATCTTGCATCCTGTTATCTGATCCATATGCAAGGCAAAAGGATAAAGTAGTCATGATATCAAGGAAAACACATGAAACATTTATTCTTTGAGACAGTATGTCTTCTGGGGATCTAGCACTTTTAAAATCAGCAGAAAAGAAACTTTAAGTAGAAACATAGCATTCTTCTTCTGCCTTTTATCATGCTTCAGGGTCCATGGCTTTTGTGACCTTTGAGTTTCATGCAATAGCAGACCAAACAAAATCATTCTGAAGACAAAATATTGACTGCCATCAAAATTGTACTTAACATTAGCCAGAAAATAGAATAAATCAGTTTGGGTTGGTTAAAAAAATGAACTGTTAATTCTCATTGGATCTGAATAAATATTGATTTATGAGATGGCCAAATGATATCTCAACCATTTCTGCGAACACTGTGAAGAAGTATGTTCCTTAGATTTCAATATTATATGTGCTTTTAAAATTCAGAATCAATTTTTAATCCGCCTACACTTGGAATTTATTATTTTTAGCAAGTTTGGCTGAATAACAAGAAAATTTCATTCACAAAGCACTATTTTTTTAAAAAAAAATTAGAAAATATAAAATATATAAAAGGAAGACAAAATGTGTCTGAGTATTTTACTCTAATATTTAAGCTACCTTCCACCTTTTTGCAGTTTCTATGAGTGATTACTAGAGAAAAACAGGTATCTTTCAAATATAAAGTATATACTTTGATTTTTTAATCACTTTTATTTTCTTAGAGATTTTTTTTCTTAGTAATTTTTAGATGTGATGAATGTTCAGCTTATATATTTATAAAGGAATTATTCATTAATATCAGTTTTAATGCTATTATGAGCAAAAAATGCAATAACATAAAAATAAAAATTAACAAAATACTAGGGAAATGTAGGTTAATAATTCTGTTCTGGAATCTAAGAATCATTTTTCTACATACAACATTAAATTCTTATCTTTATGATTTATGATCAATAGTTGAGCATGGTTTATCTACTTGATGGTTTTACAGACACTGATCCAGAAGGGCTGCCTCAATCACTAGAACTAATCAACTTGAAATTATATTAGATGAGCTCAACCACAATTTAAGGTAAGGATTTCCATAATGATTCTGCAGCTATGAATGTTGAGTACTATGGTATTATCTGAAAAGATTCACAGTTCATCTAAATGTTTGACTTACATAAAAGGATTTGATAAATTTTTTTTTCTCTATGATCAATTATGTCACAGTAATTACCATAGAAACATGAAGAAAAATTCAATAAATTGATGAGATGCCTAAAACACAATCTATATACCATTTATGTTGACATAATTTTTATGGCAAAGTTAAGAAGAAGCCTTAGAGATAATTAAGGAGTAATAAGGAGGACTTTTAATTTTTTAATTGAATGATTAAGACAGTTATAGATTCACACAGAGAGATGCACACACCAGACATAACCATGATGTTGTACAATCCACTGATTCTATTCAGATTTCCCCAGCTTTACTTGTATTCATTTGTATATGTATATATGTATTCAGTTCTACACAATTTTGTCATATTTGAAGGTTCATGATGAATTCACTACCAAGTCAAGTTATGGACAATTCCAACACCAGGATTCCTCATATAGCATCACTAATCAATCCTTTATTTCTAAAATGTCATCTAAAGAATTTCATATAAATGGAATCCTGCAGTATATATCCTTTGGGGAGTAACTTTTTTTCACTCAGTATAACTCTCTAGAATTTAATCTAAATTGTTACCTGTATCAAACTATCAGTAGTTTCTCCTTATATTGCTTAGTGGTCTTACATGGAATGTTGTACCACAGTTTCTTTAATAATTCACCTGCTGAAGGACATCAGGGTTGTTTCCAGTTTTTGCTTACTCCAAATTAAGCTGCTCTGGGCATTTTTGTACATGTATTTTTGTAAACATAGTTTTCTTTCATCTGGGATAAACATCAAAGAGTTCAGTTACTAAGTCTCATGGTAATTGCATGTTTACTATTATAAGAAATTGCCAAACTTCCAGAGTCGCTGTACCATTTTACATTCCCATCAAGAAGATGTGAATGAATCAGTTTTTCCTCATCCTTGCCAACATTTGGTGGTATCACTATTTTTTTTTAATTTAAGCCATTTTAAAGGTGTGTAATGATGTCATTGGGGGTTTTCTTAGGTACATATCCCTGGTGGTTAATGATGTTCAACATATTTCCATGAGTGTGCTTTTCATCTGTTTATCATCTTGGTGAAAAGTCTGTTCAGTATTCTGTCAATTTTCAGGTTTTTATATGTTGAATTCTGAGATTTCTTAGATACTAGTCTTTTTCCTAACATTTTCTCCCAATGTGTAGCTTGTCTTTTTGTCTTCTTCACATGGCCTTTCATGGAGCAAAATATTTTTTATTTTGTTGAAGTCAATTTATTAATAATTTCATTCATGGATTATTCCTTTGGTGTCAGTCTAAATACTCTTGTTAGCGCATTTTTTAAACAAGTATTTATTTTAAAAAACTATTACTTAGACCAGTGGCTCTTAGACCTTTGCAGGTGTAACAAACATTTATTGAAAAACTGACTTCTGAGATCTACCTCTAGAATTTCTGATTCGGTGGATTTGGGATTGGGGCTGAAGATAAGCATTCGTAATAAGCTTACAGGTGATATGATGCTGCTGGTTCACAGGAAGTATTTTGAGTATCCATTTTTTAGATTTCTAGTCTTTCAGGTTTCATCGGAGATCAAGAATGGGAAAACTGAGACCTCAAATGTGATAACACAAAACAAGCAAAACATTCTTATAGTTTTAAAGACATTTAATTTTTTAAAAAAATATCCAACCAAGACATTTGTTTGGAAATCCCCTTATTTGGTAAAGATTACTTAGATTAAAAACTGATTGTATTTATATTTTTATATATTATCATCTTGTCCCCAGATAGAATTGCCTTTGGTACCATAGAGAATTCACCTGAGTTGCTATATGGTTCACAACTACTGTATCTCCTCTAACTTAAAGCTGGCAAAAAACATTACCTCAATTTGTCTTCTTGCAATATGGATCAAGGAGAACATCACCTAACATTTTATAGAGCTTATTATGTGTTCTCTGCTAGATTCTTTATAGCCTTTATGTCAACGAATCCGCACAATTCTAAGTATTGTTCTATGTATTCTAAGTATTGGTTAGTGTGGAGAATACAGAGATTTAGAATGGGCTAACAGGTGTCTTCAAGGCCACTCATCTGATAAGGAATAAAGCAGGATTCATGCGTATGTGTTACTCTATTCTCCGTGCTCTCTTTAATATATTATGTTACATCGCAATTTTTTTAATTAAAAAATCGCGAGAGAAGTTTAATAAAATGTTAACATTTAAAAAAATTATAAAACAACTTTAGAATAAAAAGTATTATGATCTCATTGTATATACTTCTTTAAAAAAGTATTGATAAAGGTAAAAGAATGTGGTAGATATAATCAATTTACATGCTACAACCTTCTGCGTCCTTATAAAGTCAATGTCGGATAATTCACACATTGGACCTTTCCCTCATTTGTGTTGCCATAGACACTAAACAATAGGTTTTCCTGGCACTTAGCTTTTGCTCTGATTTAGGGGTGCTGTGTGGACACAATATTTGGACTTTGGAATCTCAACAGAAATCTAGAATGTCAGAAATAAATCTCAGAAGAAAATATAGAAATATTTCAGTCTTGATATTTCAAAAGTGTCTGAAAAAGTTTTATTACCACCGTCTCTTGAGAAACACCAATAGGCGTCCTTAAAAAGATTCTTATTGTAGGAAGGGTAATGTTCTCAAAATTTTTAATCAATATTACATTTTTAGAATAAACATAAATTGCAAATTTCCCTTTTAGAACTCAAACTTATTACCATCATATTGACAACACAGGAGCTAGATAGTTTTTATGACAAAGCTCTTATCTATAGGAAATTAAAGTCCACACATTCTTTGATTCTTTGCATTATCTATAATCAAAAACAGTCCCTGCCCATCTTTGTTTAGCTTGTTGAATAATATTCAATAAAAAAGAAAGATATTTGCAATTTTAAAGGTGAGTAATAGCAGGTAAATTCTATACTAAATTATATAGAATAAAAGAGAAAAAATTAATATTAAAGTTTTCTGAAAAAGACATTTTTAAAAATTTCAAAGTGACATACAACTTAATTTTCAATTAGACGTGTTTTTGGGAAGGTGAAACAATATAAGAAAAACCATTGAGAATAGTTTTCAGGAAAATAATACTATCTACAATATAACTTCCTCAATTAAGTTTACCAAGCAATTAACTGAAGCAAAATGCATTTTAAATTGTCATGATTTACTACAGACAAAATAAAACACTATTTTATTTTAATATACAGAACTAAAGAAAAAATGTTATTTTTGTATTACTGATTTGTAATGAACTGAAAGATGCCTATGAATCTCATGAATTCTTAACCTGGAAAACTCTGGAAAATATTTCACAGTATTCAGAAGTCATTTTTAAGAGCAGAATGTGGATTAAATTTTTTATCTCTTTTATGAGCACCCTCCTCATCCTCCAAGCACTGCACTCAGTAGGTACTTAATAAAATATTCAACATTGCAGAGAAAATTTGGGCTAACAGAAAGCCTGTTAACTGGAGATCTTTTCCAGATAAAGTTAAGGGGTCAATGAAGATCATGACATGTTAAAAACATTTCAAGATGAAGGAATTTTTCTTAAGAAAAAAAAAATCAGTTTATAATTGCTTCCAAAATAATAGTCTCTTTCACAAAGATTTTTTTTAAATCTTCCTTTGACACTCCCATTCCAAATACAATGGAAGTTGTATTTAAATGTTCCTATGAAATTTGTATTGGTTTTCATCAAAATAAGCTTTTTTCTCATTAAAGTGAACTGTGGCATTCCAAAGAACTAACAGAGAGAAGGTGCCATTCTTACTCTTTACTAAATTCCTTTTCCAGTTTCTTAATTTGAAGCTTTGGATCTGAATACATTTGGCAACAACTCACAAAACATGAAATTTGTTGGCTGAGAAGTAATGCTATCTATTCCAGCCTAACTACAAACAGAAGAACATTTCTTTGTGTGGCTGCTATGGAGAAGATATTTTGAGCAGCTGTAACAAAGATTGCAATAAAAATTGGAGGTCAAATTGTCTTTATTCCAGATTAGAGAGCTCAGCATTTTTAATGTTCAGCACTGAGAAACAACACACCATAATAAGCTTTAGGTTTCCTGTTTGCAATTTCCCACAGTACCAATTACCATCAGTGCAGTGGTGCACTCAGTGGATTATTTTGGGGCTATTTTAGAGCCAGCCATTAAGAAACTTTTGCTGAATTTGAACTTCTCTACCTAAACCATAATACTACTACTAATAATGATACATAATGCTTAATATTAAGAATAGCAGCACATATTTTTGAGCACCAGCATATTGTATATTACATAACTTAAACCCATGAGTTAGTTTAGATTGATATCCCTATTCAAAAGATATAGGACCTGCAGCTAAAAACAAAGTAAATTGATTTGTCATTAACAAAAACAGTCACATTGATAATGTGCGACATAGTTTAGAGTGTAGTCTATGTGTTTTGGTATTTGTTTTCTATTTATAAGATACTTCCTTCTTATCTACTTTGATGACCCCCTTCTCTGAACTTCTTTGGTATATATGGGCAGACACTTTGTGTAGTTGCTTAATCACAAGTTGTTCTTTTCTTTCCCTGCATTCTTTGGGTAAAGACATACACACACACACACACACACACACACACACACACACACACCCCACACACACACTCTCTCTGTCTCTCCCTCTCTCTACTGCAATTCTTGGAGTATGGACTAATAATAATAGGAGGGCAAGGGAAAGCATAAAACTATGTTTTAAGGATCAAGAGTAAATATGATATATCATGTCTTTCATCATATTAAGCAGTAGTAAAAATATGTCATTTCTTTGGCTGTCCAGCACATCACCTTCCTCCTAAGCATCTTGATCTCCTCGGGGAAGTTTCCTTTACTTGGTTGGCATGCTTTCCTGGTGGAGAGTGGTCAGAGCAACTGGATCTTCCTCCTCCACACCTTCAGAGGAGTCACAATATCTGGGATTTTGTATTGTGAATGCAATGAGACTCTATTCTTCAGAGCTTATTTTTTGCAGCAGCCAGGAAGCTGGAGTCTAGATAGACTGTTCTGTTGCTCTTTTGTTCTTCAGAGCTTGATTGGTTTTTATCCACCTGAGTTGGTTTCTCCAGCCTCCCAGGGACTCTCTGAAACACTGATAACTTTACAATAAATCCCCCTAAGCTCATATCAGCCACAGTGAAGCCAGAATCCTCTGGTGTGGCCCTGATGGGTATGTGCAGCAGACTTTTCTTCTGCTTTATCAGATCTTGAGCCATAATAATAAAAAGCTTAAACCTTGGAAGGTTGAGGTGGGTGGGCCACCTGAGGTCAGGAGTTTAAGACCAGCCTGGCCAACATGGTGAAACCACATCTCTACTAAAAATACAAAAATTAGCTGCGCATGGTGGCATATGCCTGTAGTCCTCAGGAGGCTGAGGCAGGAACATTGCTTGAATCCAGGAGGTGGAGTTTGAAGTGAGCCGAGATCGTGCCACTGAATTCCAGCCTGGGCAACAGAGTGAGACAGTGTCTCAAAATAATAATAATGATTATTATAATAAAGAGCTTGACTCTCATTAGCAATTACAAGTGTGCTGTTAACTCGGGGGGTGGGGCAGAGGAACCACAATATACGGGTTCCTTAACTTTTCTTATGAGCTTGAATAATAAAAGGAATGTACTGTTTGTCAGGAGACATATAGTTGAAGGTCAAAGAGATATTTTAAAGCAGTAAAGAGAGAGCACGTGATTAGCAAATAGCAGTCTGTCCTCAAGTCAAAGAATTGTCACTTATTCCAGGATAGAAAATTGGCAAGTCTTGTTATTGCTTGAGTGCATTTCATAATCCACGTAGTGAGAGGTGGTGACATAGTTTTTTTTTTTTAATCTCAGGCCTTAATAGATTTATTATTCATTATTAAATGTATACTGAAGAAATCAGACTATGTTTTTACCAGTGGAAGAAAAATGAATATAAATTTATGAAGTATATTAGGTATGCTTACAAAATAGATATGTTTGACTGTTGAACAACACAGGGCTTAGAAGCACTGATTCCCTGAAGAGTCAAAAATCTACATATAACTTATCTCACCAAAAACTTTATAACTAATAGACTACTGTTGACCAGAAGCCTTACTGATAACATAAGCAGTCCATGAATAAATATTTTGTATGTTTTACGTATTATATACTATATTCTTAAAGTAAACTAAAAAGAATGTTATTAAGAGAATAATAAGGATGAGAAAATATATTTACCATTTATTAAGTGGAAGTGGATCACCATTAAGCTTTTGATAAATCTTGACTTTCTATAATAAATTATATGGATTTTAAGGCAATAAATGATAAAAAAGACTAGTATCTACATGTATTTTATGCATTCATGACATAATTTAGTAGTTTAGTCTTGGTACTGTATATAATGAGACAATTTGTAGGGGATTTCAAAGTTAATCATCAGCCTTTAAATTCAAGTTGAAATATACTGTATATACTGACAAATTGTCATGATTTCAAGCAGGTTTGCTAACTGCTTGGATTCTGGATGCCTGATGCAAGCTCTTAGTGCTCAGTGCAGCTGGGCACACTTCCATGGGATCATCTGTCTCCACTGAAGACCCCTTTACAATGATTTATATTTGAAGCTAAATGATGTCTCTTTATTAACAGAGAATACCAGCCTTTGCAATCTATTAAGTGAATATCCTACTTTACACATATATTTCTGTGAAAGATCTACTATCATCTGTGGAAAAATGTGAGAAATCAATTTGATCATCATATTTAATATGTATTTATTAAGGCTTATTTTGTGCTGGTCATAATGGAGAATCAAAGGTGCTAGACTGCGTTCTTGCGCTCAGTGAACGTATCTTCTATTTGGAGAGGCACCCAGGATCACAGAGAGCCTAATAAGCCAAAAAAAAGGAATCCTTAATGCTAACTCACAGGATTAAAAGAAGGCTTAGTGGATGAAGGACAATTAGAAGTAGGTTTTGAATGGGTAGAAATGTCATGGGAAGAGACAAAGTATAAGGGAAACAGTCATTAAAAACACTAATACATAAAGACACATGCTTATCTGGGATGCAACATAGTTCTAAGATGATGAACAATAGAATTAGAGGAGTAAGTTTTAATAAGATAAAGTTTTTGAACACAAAATAACAAGTATATCTTATATGTAAAAGTTTAGCTTAGAGAAAGAGGTAGAGTTGCTGAAGATCCGTAAGACAGTTTTTAATCTAGTAGGTGAAACAGTGTTGAGAGGATTTGTTAACCCTCAAAATTGTATGCAAAAATGTTTTCTATGAATTTTTCAACTTGAATTCTGCTATGAATTGAATGTTTGTCCTCTTCCAAGATTAATGCTGAAACTTAATCCCCAAAGCAATAGTATTAAGAGGTGGGACCTCTAGGATGTGAGGACACAGTGTTTCATCTCTTTTGATCTTATGTTATGTCAGGACATAAGGAAGCTGCCATCTTTGAGGAGCCAGCCCTCACCAGACACTGAATCTGCTGTAGCCTTGATGTTGGATTTCCAGTTTCCAGAACTGTGAGACATAAAATGTCTGTTGTTTATAAATTACCCAGCCTGGTATTTCGTTATAGCAGCCTGACAAACTAAGACAGTCTGTGACTTCTCAAAATTGTAAATATTTGCTCTAAGGTCATCCAGAATCCATAAATGGGAAAATAAAGTCTCTATTTTAGTATATTAAATGTTTGGCAACTTAGTTGTTAAAATCATACATTTGAGAGTAAACTCTGACCCTATGTTCTAAATCACTAAATTTTGTCCATGCTATTTTCAAAAACAAACCAGTAAAGTCTTTATGTCTTTGCATCTCTACTGATAACCCGCTTACCTAAATCCCCATTTTTCTCTCACCTGGATTAGTTAAATTATCTCCTAATGGTTGTATCTCTTATCCATTTTCAGTGTACTTTTTAAGGAAATAAATCAGCTCCTACCTTGCTCCTTCTTAAAATTCTTCAATATCATTCTTTGATTTACAATGCAATTCAAGGTCTGCAACAGGATGACCTATTAATCCTACCTCCCACCACTTTTTCTCTCTCTACTCCAACTCCAGTAGTAATCTGAGTTAGTTTTCATTTTCTCAGACACAGACGCTGATAATCAATATAGGAAGTTCACATTTTTTGCTCCTACCACAAGCACTTTTCCTAGTTTAAACGTAACATCCTCAGAGGCTCTACTTTAAGCCCAAGTCTAAATTACCTCTTGTTATGAATCAGAACACTCTGCTATTTATCTTTATACTATACACCATAAAATGTACTATTGTTATGTTTGTCTCTTTCTAAAAGAAGGCCAGGTAAGACAGGGTATCATCGACCATATTTCATTCATCATTTGATATCCAACATCAACTATATTGCCAACTACCCACTAGATGCTCAGTAAGTGTGTGTGCACTTGAGATAATTGATAAACTTGCCTTCCCAAAATTTCTCTAATTACTATATAGGCAATGTACATTAAGAGGCAATATCATCCACTTGTAATACCTTTGAAAAAGGCAAGGAATCCCCTAAAGATGTCCATACACTAATCCACAAAATCTGTAAATATGCTACATTAGATGGTTAAAGGGACTTTCTAGCTGTAAATAAGGGTAGGGAACTTGTGGTGGGGAGATTATCCTGCGTTATTCAGATATGTCCAATATTATTACAAAGGTCCTTAAAAACGGAGGCAGAAAAGGACAGTCAGAAGAAATGTAACCTCAAAGAATGATTAGAGACAGAGAGAGAGAGAGAGAGAGGCCTTAAGGATCAAGGAAAAAATCATGAGCCAAGGAATGTGGGCAACTCTTAACAGCTGAAAAAGACACAGAAATTGATCCCCTAAAACCTCCTGAGAGAAATGCAGTCCTGTCAATATCTTAATGTTAGCCCACTGATACCTATATTAGACTTCTACCCTCCAGAACTATATGATAATAAGTGTGTTTTTTGAGCCTCTATGATTGTGGTAATTTGTTACTGCAGTAATAGAAAACAGAAAAGGCACCTTTAATTAAATGCTTTCTGAGTAGTACTTTATTACCATATATAGGAGTTCCTGAACCTTTTCTCAGTCTCTAAGTAAAAAAATACTCAGCAATAGAGCTATAGAATCATTCTAAGTCTCTAAGTCTTGCTTTATATATTTTTTAAGGTCCTGGGACAGGTCACACCTTGGCCCTAATTGTTCACACTCAGTTCATTTCAAGGCAAATAAAACAAGTTACTAGCTCATTAGCTGATTGAAAATTAGATGCCTATTTATTAGCACCTAGTTTCCAGGTTGAATTATAGCTGTTTAAAAGAGAGACAGCCAGCAGCTGTAATTCTGAGCACCTCTTGCTATTCAGAGAAACCATGGCTTATCACTAAGCTATCCTTGTCAAGAATGACCATCAAAGTAATCAGCCACAGAGTACTACCTACATTTTAGAAAAGGTGAACTATTTGGGTCAACAGCAAAGGGGAGCTTGGGATCTATTTGCTTTCTTTTTTCTCCTCATTTTGGTTTTTTGTTTGAAAATTCATTGCATTGTTTTCTGCTTTGATTTACCACGCTTTACAAAATAAATTTCAAAGAAAAATTGATAGAAGTATTTCCATGCCTTCCTCCTCAGAGGAGTCTTCCGAGATCTCTATAAAGTACTTCCTCTGTGGGAACAGAGCACACAATATAGATCTTACTGTACTCCACTGAAAGAGATATTTCAGTGAAGTCTCACTCTCAACTCCTGTTCCTAAGTGTTAAATTCTTTATGACATCTTTTCTCTTAAGCCCCTTCTAGCCATTCAACAAAGTTAAAGCTTCTGTAAAATGAAAATTCTATGGCCTGAATTAAAAGAGGCCTTGAAGAACATCTAGTCAGCCCCATGAGGACTTCTAATGACTTTTCCATTTAATTACACTTGATGAGAGGGAAGAGTCTAAACCCACAGCTCTGTTCCGATATTTCTAGAAAGGCTTATATTTTCCTCAAAAATTTAACTACACTTGTTGAAAGAGAAGAGTTTAAACCCAGAGTTCTGTTCTGATATTTCTAGAAAGGGTTATATTTTCCTCAAAAATTTATAAAAACTTTGACATCCTTGACAGTATACATTTGTGTCTGCTATATTTTAACTATAGTGCCTCCTCAGTCTCCTTCAAAATTTTAGGTTTAATAGTTTCTAAGATGACGCATCACATTTTTCTTACATTCCTTGATGTATTACTGAATTATTCAATTTGAAAAACATTTCCTTATATTTATATGTGTCATGAACTGACAACAAGTAGTATGTATGACTGAGTAGGTTGTGTACATCTGACCCATAATATAATTACAGAATAATTGAAATATGTAACGATGTTAAAAAGTCTGCCATTGCAAACCTAACAAAAACAAGCAATGGGGAAAAAGAATTCCCTATTTAATAAATGGTGCTGGGAGAACTCGCTAGCTATATACAGAATTTTGAAAGCAAACCCATTCCTTACACCTTATATAAAAATTAACTCAAAATGGATTAAAAACATAAATATAAAATGCAAAACCATAAAAACCCTAGAAGAAAATCTGGGCAATACTATTCAGGGCATTGTTGTCCGCAAAGATTTCATGATAAAAATGCCAAAAACAATTGCAACAAAACGAAAAATTGACAAATTGGATCTAATTAAAGAGCTGCTGCACAGCAAAAGAAATTATCATCAGAGTGAACAAGCAACCTACAGAATGAGAGAAAATTTTTGCAGTCTATCAGACAAAGGTCTAATATCCAGAATCTACAAGGAACTGAAACAAATTTACAAGAAAAAAAAAGTGGGTAAAAGACATGAACAGACACTTCTCAGAAGACATACGTGCGGCTAACAAACATATGAAAAAAAGCTCAATATCACTGATTATTAGAAAAATGCAAATCAAAACCACAATGAGATACCATCTCAAGCTAGTCAGAATGGCAATTATTAAAAAGTCAAAAAACGACAGATGCTGATGAGGTTGCAGAGAAAAAGAAATGCTTTAGGTGGGAATGTAAATTAATTCAGCCATTGTAGAAGACAGTGTGGCAATTCCTCAAAGATATAGAGGCAGAAATAACATTTGACCCAATAATCTCATTACTGGGTATACACCCAAAGGAATAAAAAACATTCTATTATAAAGATACATGCATGCTTATGTTCATTGCAGCAGTGTTGACAATAGCAAAGACATGGAATCAACCCAAATGTCCATCAATGATAGACTGGATAAAGAAAATGTGGTACATATACCCCCCATGGAATACTATGCAGCCATAAAAGAAATGAAATCATGTCCTTTGCAGGGACATGGATGGAGCTGGAAGCCACTATCCTCAGAAAACTACTGCAGGAATAGAAAACCAAACACTGCATGTTCTCACATATAAGTGGGAGCTGAATGATGAGAACACATGAAACATGAGGGGTAACAACACACACTAGGGCCTGTCGGGGTTGGGGGATGTGGGGAAGGACAGCATCAGGAAAAATAGCCAAAGGATGCTGGGCTTAATACCTAGGTGATGGGATGATCTGTGCAGCAAACCACCGTGGTACATGTTGACCTATGTAACACACCTGCACATACTGCACATGTACCCTGAACTTAAAAGTTAAATAAAAAGTCTACCATTCAAGGATGAGCACTCAGTACTAAACTAATATATGTCTCCATGGGCCACATATTTCAATGTGAATAATTTTTACAAATTGGCATAAATAGAGTAGTATGGTTGCATTTTTCAGAATTAGTGTGAAGCAATGAGCAGAAAAGATTGGAACAGAATGTTGAGGAAGGAAAGAGGTGTCTAGCGGTTTGAGACTTTCATACAATGGCGTTGGAAATTCACTGGCAAGTGAAGGAGCCATTTTAGTTTTGACAGTTAAGCACCTGTGATACTGACCTGCAACAGCGATTCTCACACTATCAGAATAGATCACACAGCATCAGAACTGCTCAGGGGTCTTGTTCCTGGATTCTATCCTGGGGTTTCTGATTCAGTAGGTGTCAGGTGGAGATGAAAATTAGCATTTCTCATGAGTTCTTAAGTGGTGCTGACACTACTTTTCCAGAGATAACACTTTGAGAACTACTAAGCTAAAGGAACTGAGCAGGTGAATTTGGTCTGGTTTATTTTTAACTATGTAATTGGGAACTCCAAGAAAGAAAAAAGAAGGTGGTAGCACTGTTTTTAGGCCAAGGTGGTAAAATACAGTTTGTTTGTTTGTTTGTTTGTTTTTTATTGAGACGGAGTCTCGCTCATTCACCAGGCTGGAGTGCAGTGGCATGATCTCGGCTCACTGCAACCCCCACCTCCCAGGTTCAAACGATTCTCCTGCCTCAGCCACCCAAGTAGCTGGGACTACAGGTGCCCACCACTATGCCCAGCTAATTTTTTGTATTTTTAGTAGAGACAGGGTTTCACTATGTTGGCCAGGATGGTCTCGGTCTCTTGACCTCGTGATCTGCCCACCTCGGCCTCCCAAAGTGCTGGGATTACAGGCATGAGCCACCAAGCCCAGCCAAAACACAATTTTTATAATCAATATTATAGATTAGTATCACACTAAATAGAATAAAATAGACCCTCAGTGATATATATATATATATATATATATAATATATATACACACACACACACACATATATATACACACTATACATATACACACATATATACTATATATACACATATATATATAATGTGCTTTTGCAAAGGCTGAACTAGACCATGTAGGATGATTTCATTGTTTTATCTTTTCCAAGTTTACTTTCCATAAGACATGTCTTTGTCCAAGAGGTGGTATATCTTACCTCCTTTCTTGTACAGTACTTTAAGGTTAGTGGAGGAATATATTTCAAACCCTGGGTTCTCGTGGTAAACATCTCTTTGGATGTATTTACAAAATGCCAAGTTCTAACTGTGGACTTTAATATTCTAATTATCCTCATAGATGAATGAATTTTTACCACTACTCACCCAGGACTGTACATTATTAACAGAAAAGTTTCATCTTCAAGATTAGTTAGTGATACGTTAATGTTTTCTATTTTTTAATGCTGCTTGCAGAACTTCAATAGCCTCCCATTGTCCTATACCTATAACTGAAGAACTTCAGACATACAGATGCAGTCCCCCTCTTTCTGTAGGTTCCTAAGGGAGGTATGTAATGAAGCCCTCAAGGTAGAACATACCCTAGTTTTCATAACACACTCACAGCATGGAAGCCAAGACAACTCCCTCTCAGATGCTAATCCACCATGTTGACTTCTGAGGAAGCCCAGTTCTGAGACGGCCTCTAAGATTTCCAGTTTATCTGTTGTTCTTTATGTAAGAGCACATATTTACCATAAATCCTGCCCTTAGGTTAGGGCAGTCTTGATGTTATCATATTTCAGTTGTCTTACACATCCCTTCTGAATCACCCTTTCTCTATTATATATAAACCCAGGGTCTGGGGGTATCAGCATGGAGATCATGGGGATCCACCATCTTGTCTCATTGCAGTCCTAGACACAGACATGGCCTCTGTTTGTAAGTCCCTATTAAAGGTTTATTTATAAGAAACTGAGTATGTCACCCTCTTTTTCTGGCCCCTCAGTTTCCTTGGACTTCGGGGTAGGTTTGCATAGACCTGGCCACCGTGGAATATACGGGAATCTATCATATCTAGTGACCAGCAATAGCCTATTAGCAAAAAAAAAAAAAACAAAAACAAAATAATTGGTTTACAGTATACAGTAAATAAAGGGAGACATATTACCTCTACTTTCCACTTTCCCTCTCTTCAATATCCAAAAGTAATCTTGGAGTATAGTTGTTAGTTATTGCTTTTATTTAGTACCTAGAAACAAACTAAAGTTGTGACCTTAGGTAAGCATAGTTTAACTGTTTAAAACCATGTTAGAATATTAAAAATTAATTGACTTCATATTCCATTATGTAGATATGTGTATAGTCATGTAGGCACAAATTTATTTTTCAGAGCACCTCTGTGGAGTTGAGGCACAAGAGACAATTCTATAAATCATATTCTCCTAAGACTACATTGATACGGTCTTCCTTACATGATTTTTTTCTGTTTTTCCTTTGACCACTTTTCTTATCTATCTATATTTTATCAGTTAAAAAATTAATTTTCTCTTTTGGGCAATTTTCATACTTTTCCCAATATTAAAGTCATTAACCCTGTAAGTATATACATGAAAGATGATATATTCACATATACCAATCTAGTTTTTCTGCTAATGATGATGAACTCATAATGCTGGCATGAGTTTGCCTTCTGGGAACATAAATTCTTCATATTTACATTTTAGAGAACATTCTTTTATAATTTGAAAGAGAGAAAAATTTAAAATATTTTTATTTTTAGGGTAGAGAAAAATATTTAGAATTGCTATCGCATGACCATGAGGTGAAACCGAGGAATTCATATAGGGGATGAAGGATCAGAGTGGATGTTAAGTAACTGTGTATGCAAACATGTCTGTTTTCTTCTGCTTATGCTCTAAAAAGTCATTTTAGATAAAATCCAAATATATTCAAAGCCATTTCCAAAATCTTGAATTTGTAGTTATTTTTGTTTCTCATTTGAATTGAACCTTATGAAATTCTAAACTATTGAAGATTCAAAAATGCCATTCTACATAAAATCTGTGGCTGTGAGATTAAAATGAATTATATAGATTCTAAGAGTTTATGTCGTTCAATTGTAAGATAAGTAGTTATACTATTGAAAAAGATTCTAACAGAACAATTAATCAGGCACCAATTATCATATGTGTGAGCTCCATTGCCTCTAAGTGATTATATGAGGAAGGTGGAAGGTGAAAATAAAACTGGAAGAAATATCCCCAAATATGTATTTTGTTTCACTAATTCAAAAAAACAAAATTAAAATTAAATGGTCTCTATCCAGTTTACTTATATCACCATGTTCTGATGTTTTAAAACTGTAGATATATTATAGCCTAATTATCATCATATCAGTAGCTACTATCTGGGTCTAGAATAAAACTGGCTTTTCAGAAATTTTGTTTCTAATATGCAAGTTAAGTAGAAATCATTTACTGTATTGACTTTATTTCTTCTACATTTGTACTGAATATTTATATGTAGTTAAATCACATAAACACTAAATTCAGCCCTCTAGAATTTGAACCTTGTAATCTTAAAGCATCAGTGTGAACTGTAGTTCTTTGTGTTAGTTTAACATAACATAAATAACAAGTCACACTAAAATAGGATTAAAGTTTTGCATGCTTTACACTCCAACAGTCAATGAATACCACAAAATGAAGAATAAAAATAATCAAACCCCTGTTATACAACAAGCTCCTGTAAAATAGACTCTCTTTTGGTAAAGTAAAAAAATGTGATTTATAATTTCATTTCTGGCCAGTTATTGAATGTCAATTATTGTGTACTCTGTATTAAAAAAAATCTTGTCTATCAGTTTAAATTCAAGTTCATTGATTGCATAAATAGTGACTGTGCCTTAGATATATGTGATCAATGATCTAATTTACCCAGGCTATGGAGAAACCACCTGAAGGAAAAAAGAAAAATCCAGGTTTTAACAATAAAGGATACATGATGGTCTTCTGATTTGAATAAGAAAGCTTACTTTCTATAATGCACTTATTTAAGAGCTTCCAGATTGAATATTTTGATGGAAATGACTGGTCTATTTTAATGAACTAGATTAATTTATCCAAATATTCAATTTCTATTATTATTTGCTTATTGATCAGTAATTAGAGAATGATTCAATTATGGAGAATGCCAAAGAAACCATTAGAGATGCAAACACATTCTTCACAACGTATTTTTAAAAACACATCTAAAATGAAAAACAACATAAAACTTTTGCCCACCCTACTTTAAAATGTATGTTTCCTAAACTTTTTTTCTGGTTTTAATGCACATCACTAATGCTAATGTGAAATTAATCGCAGTTTTTTTTAAACTTTAGCATTCAGGGTATGTTTTCTGCCTTAAAATTACATATAAATAAAATATTAAAGTTTCACACACTCACTTGCAAATTAGCATGTGTGTATGTGTTACAAAAGGAATTTACATAAAACTTACTTATGAAAAAATCTACCAAAATTCTTGAGGTAGGCCACCCTTGTTTACTGAAAAAATCTAAATGTAAAGTTTCCTGTGTTGAAATAATTATCGAGACAAATATGAAAGAGTCATTTCATGTTGGTGAAACCTATTTGTTATCACAAATCTTTCTTTAAAATAGATTAGGCTGAAAAAGGTTGAATTAGAATTTTAGTTTTTAGCTTATGCCCATTTCCTCACAATTACTAATGTACTCAAACAGGAAACTTGGTCTATTCAGAAAAAATAGGGTAGACAACAGTTATTGTTTTGTTAGTAGGAACACATTGAGAGCTAGCTAGATGATCAAACATACACATGCCCAGATTTCCTGAAAAATGGTTCAATATCACTGCCCTTTTATCATACAAATTCAGGCACGAATTTCCTTTAAAATTTCCCTTTCTTTCCCTGTATTTTTAATTGGCATTGTTACTTGAACTTTCCCACTGTTGCAGGACATCAGTAAGTACAGCATCAGCTACTGGTGGGCTCAAATATTGATAATATCAAAGCACAACCCTGGTGTAGAGAATCCCTCCATTCATAGATTTCCTCACTCCTCACCATCTCCTTCACCTGAACCTCATAGCCACTTTACCCAACTTTTGTTCATGTTATCTCAGTTTTTCTGTCTAGACTTCTTCCACAGATAATAATTGACCACCAGTTCCAGAAATCTTGCCCTAATTTCTATTCCACAGGAATGGGCTTCTGAAACGTAGTCCTAATCACTGGTTGAGACTTAGCCCTCATTTTCTTAGCAATTGGCATCTTAATAGATGAGTCACCACAAACAGTACCTGACTCTTAATTACTGTCAAAATCTTGAGAGAGTCTCCTAAATTCAAATAACATGTTTTGTCCTCTATATCGCTCTCCTTTTACTTGGTGACTCTTCCTCTGGTCTCTAGATATCTATCACATCTTAGAAAGACACCCATTTACCCCTTTGAAAAACAGAAGGAATCTAAGGATGATCACAGATAAATTTGTGAATCTTTCAATATTGATCTTTAGTAACCTTCTAGCTGCTGCCTTTGAATTTGAAACTGGTGGCCTGTCTCTTTGGAAGGCTCCATCAACTTTCTTTCTTTTGCTACTGCCAGTCACAGACAATGCTTTAAACTTACTTTCTTCATTTCCCCTTCTGGAAGAAAATACATTAATAGTAACTAATATTTATGGATTATGTCATAGTTTCTAAATGTGGATATTGCATCTATATTGGTCTATTTTCACGCTGCTATAAAGAACTGTCCTAGACTGGGTAATTTACAAAGGAAAGAGGTTTAACTGACTCACAGTTCAACATGGCTGGGAATGCATCAGGAAACTGACAATCATGGCAGAAGGCAAAGTGGAAGCAAGGTCCTTTTTCACATGGCAGCAGGAAAGAGAAGAGTGAGTAGTGAAGGGGGAAGAGCCCCTTAGAAAACCATCAGATCTCCTGAGAACTCATTATCATGAGAACAGCAGGGGGGAACTGCCCCCATGATCCCGTCACCTCCCTAGACATGTGGGGATTATGGAGATTACAATTCAAGATGATTTGGCTGGTGACACAACCAAACCATATCAGCATTTCTACTTTTCTATTGAGTATAATTCTTGCACAGATTTATTGTTATTTTAAAGATTAGGTAACAAAAATGCACAAAAAAATTATTTTCTGAAGATCTTAATGATAGTATGAGAGAAATCAAAGATGAATATTTGGTCTTGTCTTTGCTGATGTTATGCTCTTTTCATTACACATTCCATTACTAATTATATTCATGTTAATAAATGTTAATTAAAGACAGGATCTCAGAGGTGTTGGTTGCCTTATGTTATTAATCTTTTATAGTTCACCTTTCCTCCCACACATTCCTATCCATCTCCCTTCCCCACATGTGGGAAATCTCAAACATTTGCAATATGTCAGCAGCATCAATTTTATTTTTTTTTTCATTGGGGGCCATGATGTTTTACTTGGAATACCATATTTAAATTCAACTTCAGGCAAAAGATTATAGTTTTAAATTTTCTAAACCAATTATATTCTTATTCCGCATGAGTCTTATTCTAAAATACCTAGAAATTAAAGAGACAACACCTTAACAGAACAAGTAGAACACACTGAACATTACTGATGAAATAATGGGGTGCAGAAAGTGCTAGTAAAAAGGCTTGTTTGGACTTTTAACATCTTTATAAAACTGCTCACTTTAAGTGCAGAAGTAAAAATATAAATGATAGGGTCCTGTGTCCTTAGGCCTTTGTCTATCCCCTGGCAGGGACATTCTGTCTGTCTGGAAGTACTATTTGGTGGATTTCTCCTTCAATACCTCTTTCTGTCTTCATGAAAGTACAGTATAAAGAATCTACCGGCAGTAAGTGATGCATGGGTAAGCCCTGTAATGATGTACTACACATTCCAGGAACCGTTCATCTGCTCTTATTGCTTACAAGCTGAACCAATTTGGGGATAAATATTTCAACACTTCTTAACACAGTTTTGCTGAGCTCAACAATTTACCAATTTAAGCATACCAGAGACTCAAATACTTTGTATATATTGGGTGGAGGGAGCAGAGAGAAAGAAAGAGACAGACACAGAATGGGAAAGGAAGAAGGAGAGGAATGAAAGCAGAGAGAGAAAGAGAAAGAAAGAGAAATATTTCTGGAGGGAAATGACCATTTCCATGAAAGAAAATACATAATACTTTCTCTATTGCACTGTACTTTCTGGAATTCTCATTCAGATTCTTTTTCAATCATTTTCTCAAGCTGAGTGTCCAGGGAACATCTTTCATTGGCTCACATGTTGGTCTGTTCGTGCTGCACAAGTTATAAGACTGAAGCTCCATTAATACCTCAATTACTTTTCAGCACTGGATGGCCATGAAAAATTCAAGAGATAAGAAATACAGCTCCATGATGGAATGAATATAAGGATGTGTCCCCTAAAAAAAAGTTCTAAAAATTTCTTCTAAAGATTTTTTTCTTATGCCTCCATATTTTTCTTTTATTTTTATGTAAAAACATAACTTTTCCTTTCACTGAAAAGCGATTATATTCTCAGGTGCAATGAGAGTCAGTATCTGTTTTTTTTTTTACCTTTTAAAATATAATTTAAATACAATATTTTATATTTTCTATTTATATTAAAACTATTTGTACAAATAATTTCAAGTGATGAATGATACCTCAAGGCTTGTTCAGAACAGAGTTGGCACTGCTTCTCCTTCTCCATGTCTCATCCCTTACAGCAAACCCCTTCTTTTAGATTATTTTGGTGTATTCTCCTGTATTTGCAAAACATGTAATTATGTCACTCTGTGTATCTCTCTGTGTGTATCTCTCTCTCTCTGTCTCTGTCTCTGTCTCACTATTTCTCTCTCTGTCTCTCTTCCTCATTCTTCCCAATTCAAATCAATCTGTTAAGTTTCCACTATGGATGTTGGAACCTCCCCAGTTATCACACATGCCCTTTCTTCTTCCATACCTCCCACTATAATAATTGTACAGTTTTGGATTAGAAAATGTTCATTGTTTTTATTATGAACATGTAACCATCACTCACCACTGAGGCATGCAATATGCATGATACCTTTCTAACCCTGTGCAACGTTTTCTTATTTTCTTGTTTATTGTTTGCATACTTATGTCAAACTCCCCTTCAGTTATCTAGATCTTTTCCTAATATGCTCTACCACACTGGAGTTGTGATCAGTTTCTCCTTTTTGAAAAAAAAAAAAAATCTATCCCAAACTTGTGTGCTGACTGCATTGGGTCTTTTCCAGGCATCTCAAGGGTCACCCTTTTGGCTTTGGCCTTCTTGGAAATCCAAGTGAGACCCTTCAATTCTATGCTCATTTAAAAATCTCCTCTTTCCTCTATTTGGTGTTTTTGTTTTCTTCCTTGATTTATTCCCTCTTTTTGGTCGAGCACATACCCTAATAGCCTTCTGAAGAAGAATGCACAACAGATTAATTATTAGAGTCTTTGTCTGCAAGTATGACTTTTCCTTTGGATATTTGAAGGTTTGTTAAATTTCTAGCTTTGAGAGCTTTGAGTGTTGCATATGAACATCAGAATCATTACTATTTCTTATCTTTAAGTGTGATTTCCTCCATCTCTGAAAGCCAAGAATTTGATTTTCTTTGAACCAAGTGCTATAAGATGTCATGATGACTATCTTGACTTATGTTGATATCCACCTATTGGTGTGAGCATTCATTGATCTCTTTCAGTCTGAAAATTCATGACCTTCAGATCTTAGACATTCCTTGAATTAATTTTCTTGCTTTTTTTTAATAATTTCATTTGCTGATCTTTGTTTTTATGAATTTTCTTGCATTCTAATGCTGGATCTCTTGCAATAGAATATTTGGTGGTTTTTGCCTTTTGGGTTTTTTTAAAAGTCTAATATTTACCTTTTTGTGCCTCTACACTCAGATTTCTAGATTTCTTTAACTTTACCTTGCAAAAATTCTCAAAAGTTTTTCATTTCTCCTGTTGTATTTTGAATTCTCATAAACTCTTTAAATGTGGTTCACAATGATCTTCTCTGTACCCTCTTGATCATTTTTCATAGGTACAATATTGGTAATTTTCTGACATTATTTTCTTATAAACTGTTTGTGCCTTTGGGTTTTTTCTTTTTGTGTTTACTTAGGCTCTGCCTTTGATATTTAAGCTTTCCTCTGCTGCATCTTGATTCTTGACTGTCTGCTTATGTTTAAGAAATGTAAGATGCTTGATAGGAAATCCAGTAAGTAGGGGTGGGCTTGGTAATGGTGGTTCCCATTCTAGGAAGATAAGTATGTGCTGTTCTCTGCTAAGTTTCTGAAATTAATATCTTTGGAATTTTTTTGTCTAAATATCTATACTCTATCAAGTCCCTACCCATTTTATGCCTGCTTGCATTTTCTCTTATCATCATCACCTTCATCATTTTCCTCCTCTCCTTTATTATCTCCAGCTTCTAATGCAATGGCTAACAGAGTATTTGCAAAACAAAAATGAGTTGAGTGTGTCTTATATATATTACATATATAAATTTATATAATATTTATTACATTACATATTATATATACCAGGAGAGAAGAGAGAAAGGAAGATATTTCTTTAACTTTTATTTGACAACAAAATGAATCAAAATAATTTTAAAGGACTAGGTTATATATTACTCAGTTTATCTTTAAAAGAGTTGGGATATGTTTGGTGACAATAACAGAATTCCTGACTATAAAAGTGGCTTAGTTACAAATAATGTATTTTTCTCACATCACCAGAGATAGCTGCAGGTAGACTGTTCAGGGCATGTTCAAGGTCTCAGTGATGCCAGGGTCTCTTGCATCTCTCTACCTCTATTCATGGCTCCATGTTGGCAGCAGCATTTCCTAACATAGTTACAGAAAATGATGTCCAAGTAAGGAAGAAAGCTGAAGAGTGCTGGGGACATCCTTTTGCATCTCTCTCTCTCTCTCTCTCGTTTTCTGTCTCTCTCTCATACAGGGGTGGAGGTAGCAGACAAGATTTTCTTCAGAAGCCCCCTTAGAATTTTTATCATGTCTTATTGGTCAGTATTGAGTCACATTGTAAATGCCAAGATGTTGAAATTACCAAGAGGATTTTCTACTTTCTGGACAGAGGCTTTACTGATATAATGGCTGTTCTTTCTGTCCTTTCACATCTACACTCACTGTCTCACTGCATGTGTCCAGGGTCCTTTGCCTCCAGCCTCCATTCTTTGATGATAGAAGCAATCAAAAACATATTTAAATTAATGAATACATGGATAAAATAGGTTGCAGGTTTAAAAAATGCCATTTTGATTGGTGTCATTTAGCAACAGGTGTGAAATGCAGGAAATTCAGCTTGAGTAACAGGGCCATTCTGGTGCCCCTGACATTGCCTTACACATAAGCTTAAACTTAACAATCAAGATATATTTGTATGAAGTCACAGGACATTAGTATGGGTAAATCTTGTTACATATTTAGACAAAACAATTTTTGACCAATTCATTCAAATAAGAAATTCTTAATGAAAAAAATTACTCTCAAAGAAGCAAAAGTATGACTCAACAAATACACATTTTGGACCTACTAAGTTTAGGAGATTCTTTTTGTGGCAAAGACAAACTTAAAGGAATTTATAAAGGTTGGCTTCTATGAGGAAGTCACTAAGTGATAGAAGAGCTGACCCAGTGAGTGATATATTTGAGTGTGTGTGTGTGTGTGTGTGTAGAAATACTATATATAAATGTATATATACTAATATATATGTATTTACTTTGTTCTTCTTTCTACCTATTTTCTGCCTACTAATTGAAATTTGTGGCAGAGAATTATTAAACTCTTTGCCAGAGGATAATAATGCATATTCCATATACATTCCTTGCAGTATTATTGAGAGGATAAAATGAAAATGCACACGACTCTCTTCATTAAAGGTATTGTTATAAATAACATCTCTGTCCTGGCTGGATGGTGTTTTCTATTTAATCCCTTTACTTGTAAGAGTAGGTGGGCAAAAATTGCGAGCATAAGAGATCCCTCAAAGACACAAGAAAGAGGGAGGGAGAAGACTATTTTCATGTAAAGATAGGATTCAAGAACTGGGAATATGTAACAATATCAATGACAATTCAAAAAATAGTATTTTGCTTTTAGAGTAAGCAAAATACTATTAGTATGTGTTTTACTAGAGTTTTTTTAGTTTAAATTTTTTTTAACTTTTAAAAACTTTTTTTAACTTTGAAAAGTTTGGAAAATTCTTGTCCAAATTCAAAACTAAAAGAAGGAGAAGAAAAAGAAAAAGAGCCTCGTTGCTTGCATGTAGGAAATGAAGAAAACATAAA
This sequence comes from Homo sapiens, assembly GCF_000001405.40. Classification (NCBI taxonomy): domain Eukaryota; kingdom Metazoa; phylum Chordata; class Mammalia; order Primates; family Hominidae; genus Homo; species Homo sapiens. Next base: position 84,713,423 of record NC_000014.9, read on the forward strand.
GAGCTTCCTGCAACTAGATGGATGAAACTTCAGGTAAGGGTGTTGGACAAGGTTTCCGCAACCAGACTTTCCATACAGACTGACTTCCCTTAAAAGACCACCTCTGCCTTTCCCTCAGATATGATTCATCTTAAGGTATTGATGTTTTTCCTTTTTTTTTCCTTTTTTTTTTTTTTTTGGCTGGAGTGTAGTGGCGCAATCTCAGCTCACTGCAACCTCCACCTCCTGGGTTCAAGTGATTCTCCTGCCTCAGCATCCCAGAGTAACGGGGAGTGCAGATGCCTGCCACCAGGCCCAGCTAATTTGTGTATTTTTTGTAGAGACTGGGTTTTACTGTGTTGCGCAGGCTGGTCTCAAACTCCTGACCTCAGGTGATCCACCTGCTTTGGCCTCCCAAAGTGCTGGGATTACAGGCATGAACCACCACGCCCAGCCTGTTTTGCCTTTTTGAGAGTGAGTACCCTAAATGTTAAATAAAGAATGACATTATTTGAATAAAAAAGCGGTATTCATTTTGTTTTATTGTTTTTAATTATCTAATTTTTTCATTTTTTCTTTCTGTTTATTAGTTCCACTTTGTTCATAGCTAAATTTAACAAAATATATAAAAATTATATTCTGGTTAAAAACACAGCTTCAAATAAAATTCATGCTTTAGTGATTGACATCCAGTGGCTTCTGGGTAGTGTTTTCAGCTCACACTGATTAGGAAAAAATAATGACTATTAAGTGAGTGCACTGATTTTAAATAAAATAATTTCCCACTTAGTCTCATTTTTAAAATGCTAATTTAATGACCTCTCAAGTTTTTTGATACATGAAACACTACCAATGACATGGAAGGTACCAATAAAATGGGAGGAAAAAAAGATATGGGAAACTGATATTGACCTCTATGGTTAGCATCATGAGAAAAACTTATTTATAGGACATTGGTTGGCAATGATGAAATTATAAGTTAGAGGAGATGAGTATTTGTTATCTGCCAGTTTCCTTAAAGATTTCCATTTGTACAGTGTTTTAAAGTATGTAAGTTGCTGCTGGATGCTATCCCATATGGTTTAAATTTTGACAAATATCCTGGGAATAAATATGGTGACTACAGTACACATAGTAGACAATATTATCTTTATTTTCAGAGGAGAAAGCTGATGCTTTGAGATATTATGCTCTTTGTTTGGGTGATGTGAATACTGTGTGAAGATTGGGGAATAGAAGCTTTGGATTCTGGGCTTCCTTTTCACTGACTCTGGGTGGAAGGGGTATGGTTATGATAATACTGAACATCAAAATATTCTCTCTCTACATTTTCTGGATTTCTATAGCAACTATCATCTGCTTGAGAAACTTTCTGAGAATATAAACATTGTGAATATCATATAGATCTACTTAGCTTCAATAAAGCCGTTATTTATTGAGAATCTATGCTGTGCAAGGCAATGAATAATGAGTTTTTCCTGCCCTCAACAAGCTGTCAATACAGCAGGGAAGATAAAAGGTAATTAAAAAAATAGAAAAATGCAATATGGTGATTAAAAAGTAGAGGAAAAGTCATTTGCTGTATGCATAAGATGAGGAGGAAAGAATCTCCAAATAAACAAGGAAGAGAAATTTTATTAAAAGATAAAGCATCAAAACTGAGTTTAAAAAATAGAAAATATAAACATGGAATATGATGACCATGTTTGCAGGCTGAAAGAATAACAACATAAACCATGAAAACAGGAATACCTGAGGACAGTTTAACATGAACATATAATAGTTGAAGGCAAATAATGGTAAGTAAACTTAGAAGCAGTGGTCAATGCCGGTATGTCTTAGAATATCAGGGTGAGCTTACATTCAAGGAGGGATGGATAGTTGAAGTTTTCTGTTTTTTGAGGGTTTTGTTAATGGGAAGTTACATGATATGGTTTGGCTGTGTCCCCACCAAATCTCAACTTGAATTGTATCTCCTAGAATTCCCATGTCTTGTGGGAGGGACCCAGGGGGGAGATAATTGAATCATGGGGGCTAGTCTTTCCCTTGCTATTCTAGTGATAACAAATAAGTCTCATGAGAGCTGATGGGTTTATCAAGGGTTTCTGCTTTTGCCTCTTCCTAATTCTCCCTTGAGGCTGCCATGTAAGAACTGCCTTTCACCCTCTGCCATGATTATGAGACCTCCCTGGCCATGTGGAATTGTAAGTCAAATTAAACAACCTTTTCTTCCCAGTCTCGGGTATGTCTTTATTAACAGCATGAAAAACAACTAATACAGTAAATTGGTTCCAGTAGAGTCGGGTGTTGCTGAAAAGATACCCAAAAATGTGGAAGTGACTTTGGACCTGGGTAACAGGCAGGAGTTGGAACAGTTTGGAGGGCTCAGAAGAAGACAGAAAAATGTGGGATAGTTTGAAACTTCCTAGAGACTTGTTGAATGGCTTTACCCAAAATGTTGATAGCAATACGGACAATAAAATCCAGGCTGAGGTGGTCTCAGATGGAGATGAGGAACTTTTTGGGAACTGGAGCAAAGATGAATCTTGTTATGTTTTAGCAAAGAGCCTTGCAGCATTTTGGCCCTGCCCTACAGGTTTGTGGAACTTTGAACTTGAGAGAGATGATTTACGGTATCTGGTGGAAGAAATTTCTAAGCAGCAAAATATTCAAGAGGTGACTTGGGTGCTGTTAAAAACATTGAGTTTTAAAAGGGAAACAGAGCATAAAAGTTCAGAAAATTAGCAGCCTGACTATGCGATAGAAAAGAAAAACCCATTTTCTGGGGAGAAATTCAAGCTGGCTGCAGAAATTTGCATAAGCAGCAAAGAGCCTAATGTTTATTCCCAAGACCATGGGGAAAATGTCTCCAGGCCATGTCAGAGACCTTCACAGCAGCCCCTTCCATCACAGGCCTGGAGGTGCAGGAGAAAAAAGTGGTTTTATTGGCCAGACCCAGGGTCCCTGTGCTGTGTGCAGCCTAGGGATTTGGTGCCCTGTGTTTGAGCCACTCCAGATGTGGCTGAAAGGGGCCAGTGTAGAGCTCAGGCTGTGGCTTCAAAGGGTGGAAGCCACAAGGCTTGGCAGCTTCCACATGGTGTTGAGCCTGCAGGTAGACAGAAGTCAATAATTGAGATTTGGAAACTTGCTTAGATTTCAGAAGATGTATGGGAATGCCTGGATGCCCAGGAAAAAGTTTGCTGCAGGGTTGTGGCCCTCATGGAGGATTTCTGCTAGGGCTCTGCAGAAGGGAAATGTGAGGTCATAGTCCCCACACAGAGTCCCTGCTGGGGCACCACTCAGTAGAGCTGTGAGAAGAGGGACACCGTCCTCCAGACCCCAGAATGGTAGATCCACTGACAGCTTGAACTGTGCATCTGGAAAAGCTGCAGACACTCAATGCTAGCCCATGAAAGCAGCCGGGAGGGGGCTGTACCCAGCAAAGCCACAGGGGTGGATCTGCCCAAGACCATGGGAACCCACCTCTTGCATCAGTGTAACCTAGATGTGAGACCTGGAGTCAAAGGAGATCATTTTGGAGCTTTAAAGTTTGACTGCTCTGCTGGATTTCGGACTTGCATGGGCCCTGTAATCCCTTTGTTTTGGCCAATGTCTCCCATTTGGAATGGCTGTATTTACCCAATACCTTTATCTGCATTGTATCTAGGAAGTAACTAGCTTGCTTTTGATTTTACAAGCTCATAGGCAGAGGGACTTGCCTTGTCTCAGATGAGACGTTGGAATGTGGACTTTTGGGTTACTGCTGAAATGAGTTAAGACTGGGGGACTACTGGGAAGGCATGCTTGATTTTGAAATGTGAGGACATGAGATTTGGAGAGGCCGGGGGGAATGATATGGTTTGACTATGTCCCCACCAAATCTCAACTAGAATTGTGTCTCTTGGAATTTCCATGTCTTGTGGGAGGGACCCAGTGGGAGGTAATTGAATCTTGGGAGCTGGTCTTTCCCATGCTATTGTGATAGTGAATAAGTCTCACAAGATCTGATGGGCTTATCAGGGGTTTCCACTTTTGCTTTTTCCTCATTCTCTCTTGTTGCCACCATGTAAGAAGTGCCTTTTGCCCTTCACCATGATTATGAGACCTACCCAGCCATGTGGAACTGTAAGTCAAATTAAACCACCTTTTCTTCCAAGTCTTGGGTATGTCTTTATCAGCAGCTTGAAAATGAACTAATACATTACATAGTATATTACTTTGTCAAAATAGAGAAATAAAAATGTTCAAACATTGTTTTAGGTTAGAAAATACAAATACCTTGGAATTAGAGAGCCATGTTAGGAAGCAATTGACACTTGCATTATAATAATCTAGGCCAAAGATCACCTTTCCATACTAGAAAATGGAAACTGTAAAGTGAGAATGGAATTGCTCCTGCTGTTGAGGTCCAATCATGCACATTTAGGAACTGACTAGACATCAGTTCAAGAAAGATGAAATCATTGATGATTGATTTTTCTTCTCTGGTTGAATGGAATAATTTCTGCTTTTAATAGGAACTAAGGGTTTGTTTGTTTGTTTGTTTGTTTTTGTTCTGTTGTTTTGTTTCCAAGATAGTGGATTAGAGGCTTTTAGCATGCTTCAGCTACTTGGAAACAGCAAGATAGTGAATGAAAGTCAACTTTGTGAACTGTCATTCTAGAAGGAAAAGGAGAATCCACTGCAATTGTAAAGGACATCCCCTGATTCTGGGGAGGAGAATGTGAGCAAAGAGCTCCTGTGATATATCTAGCTGATACAAGTCAGTGAAGCTCTAGTACATGAGAGAGGCAGAGAGCCTCCCTCTGCAACTCACCTCTTCAGTGGGGATCTGAGCAACCCCAGTGGAAAAGTTAGTCGCAGAGGGATAGAGGTGAGTCACAGAGCAAGGGAGAACACTTTCTTTCTCCCAAGCAATGGAGCTAACTTGGGGAGAGGCTTGGAGATTCTGAGAAGGGAAGAAATCAGGAAAACTTGCAGGCATTTTCCCAGACCTGGGACCAAGACCCAGAGGCCATTTTTAATCTGGGCACATACAAAGTCAGTCAGTCTTTAGTGACCTGGCAGTTTGGCTATGTAGGCACTTTAGGCTTGAGCCGGAGATTGGAGTGCCTGCTCTGGAGCAGTGTAGGTGCTTCCACAGCCAGAACTGTGGAAGTGCCTCAACAGTAGGCATTGGGATCATTCTCTCCCCTATCACAGGCTTAGGGCAGGAAGAGAACTGCTAAGGCAGTTTCTCCTAGAAGATGAGACCTGCAGCCAGGTCCAGCTTGGTGACCTAGAACTGGTCTGCATGTGTCATTGCTGGGTGCTCCACCCTGCTCCCCTGAGATCATGTTGCAACAAGACCCTCTCTACTCCAACCCCAGACAGAAATCCAAACTTCTGGAGTACCTGCTTGCATGGACCAGCAGCCTGAGCCACCCAACCCTTCATAGACATATATTGTGGTGCAGTGGAGGCCCTCTCTGTTCCACCCCAAAGTGAATCTTTAAGTATTCTGAGCACCCCCTCACCTGGATAAACAGCCTGACCTGCCTATCCCTTCCTGTGCAAACGTTGTGGTGCAATGTGGCCCTCTCCACACCACACATAGGCAGATCTCCAGCCATTTGGATTATCCACTCACATGGACTAACAGCCTGAGTCACCCAACCTTTCCTAGGCATAGGCCAAAGTGCAGCAGGGTCCTCTTTGCTCCATGCCCAAGCAGATCTCCAGACATTTGGAGCACTTACTTATCTAGATCAGCAGCCTGAACTGCCCCATCTTTCCTGTTCATAGATCATGGTGTATGGGGCCCCCCTCCACTTAACACCCAGGCATTCAAAGCCTGAACTGGCAGCCTAAGCTGTCCCACCATTCCTGTGCAGAGATCGTGGTGCAAGGGGCCCCTCTTCATTTCAGGCCCAAGCAGATCTCTAGGCATTTAAAGCATCTGCTTTCTTGGTTCAGCAGCCTGAATCACCCTACCCCTGATATGCGGAGACTTTAGTTCAGGGGCATGCTCTCCACTTCACACCCAGGCAGATATTTAGACATTTGGAGTACCTGCTCTCTTGGAACAGCAGTGTGTGAGCTGCCCCATCCTTCCTGTGCAGATATCCTTGTACAGGAGGCTCCTCTCTGCTCCATGCTCAGGCAGATCTCTAGGAGTCTAGAGTGGCCACTCTCCTGGATTAGGAGTTTAGACTGCCTGCCATCCCCATGTTGAGAACCTGGGGCCAAGGTATTAGTTCCATGCCTAGACACATTCTGGGTGTTGGTGGCCACCTAATAGATTCTCCCTCAGTGAAGGTGCTTGTGTCTGCCATTGGTGGACCTGTAGGTGGACCTGCCCAAGCCAGCCTGGCCCATCTTGCCTTGTGCTCCTTCCTGGGGATAAGCGGGGAGTTCAGATCACTTGGACACCATGAACTAAGTCCACTGCCTGAAGCAACAAAAAGCTTCTCCCAGCAAACAAGGATCAAGTGTACATCCAGCCATGTTAGTCACAATTGGATTTTACCCATAAGCTCCATCTACTGACCTGTAGGTCAAACTTCACAACCCCAAAAAATAAACAAACAAACAAAAACACCTGCCAACTGAAGTGCTTAGACCTATAGAAGCAAAGCCAAAAGAACCAAACCAGCATCCTTTACAGTCACACCCCCTAGGGAGTGGGGGAAAGGCAAAAGGAAAGTAGAAAAAGACAATAATATTATAGGGAAAGAGAGGAAAAGAAAAAAAAATACCCGCATGAGAATAATTACAAAAATTAGAAGTGCCAATGTCTCCAGAAGAGAAGGAAACAATGTCAAATATTCTGTCACCATGAAGAATCCGAATGCGGTGACACCACCAAAGAACCACACCAGCTCTCTAGCAATGGTCCCTAACCAAAACGAAAAAATCAGAAATGACAGATAAAGAATTCAAAGCATGTATTGCAAGTAAGCTCAATGATATCCAAGAACAAGGTTGAAATTCAACACAAAGAAACCTCTAAAGCAATCCAGGAAATGAAGGAAGAGATAAACATCTTTAAAATAAATCAGTCAGAGCTTCTGAAACTGAAAAACTCACTTAAGGAATTTCAAAACACAATTGAAAGCTTCATCAGTAGACTGCACCAAGCAGAAGAAAGAATTTCAGAGCTTGAAGACCAATCTTTTGAACTAACCCATTCAGATAAAAGTAAAGACAAAAAGCATTTTGAAAAATGAACAGTGTCTTTAAGAAATAAGAGATTATGTAAAATGACCAAACCTACTAATGATTGGTATTCCTGAGAGAGACAGAGAAAAAGAAAACAACCTAGAAGACATATTTGAGGGAATAATTTAAGAAAATTTTCCTCATGTTACCAGAGAGATAGACATCCAGATACAGGAAATCCAGAGAACACCTGGAGGATGCTATACAAAATGAACCTCACCAAGGCATGTATTCACTAGATGGCCCAAGGTCAATGCTAAAATTAAAAAAAAATCTTGAAGGCAGCTACTGAAAAATATTACATCATGTACATAGGGAATCCCATTTAGTTAATAGCAAACTTTTCAGCAGAAACCTTACAAGACAAGAGAGTTTGGGGGTCAACTTTCAGCATTCTTAACCTTTTCCCAGTTTAGAAAAAAAAAAAAAAAGCAGTGCAGCTCTCTGCCAGCAATTATTTAATTTTACATAAACATGTTCTTTGGAGCTGAATCAAACTGACTTTCAATGTGGAAATAAAATATGAATACTGTTCTTAGAGTTATTTTGAAACAGAACCAACATCAGAATTGTCTGAATCATTAGAATCAACCATTTCAGAAAAATCAGATTTATTAAATGAATCTTTGGGCAACAGCTGTTCAAGAACAATGTTAACATTATGTGTAGAAATGCTATGTTTTCTAGGATTTGACATTTTCAGTAATTGAGAATCACTGTATTTTGTAAATGGAAATACCACTACTAAATACAGGGTGATATAAATAAAATGATGTCTTTTGCTCCCAAAGTCAATATACTAAAGTGATATGAAAATAATAATAAAAGCAAGATATTTTGTGGCAAAGTTTTCTCAGGGTAAATGTTGCAGGTGCAAGCACTGCTGGCAAGTATTCTTGGGGTAAATGGGAAAAGGGTTAAACAAAATAAATTCCAATCAATAATTGTATATCCCACCAAATTAAGTTTCATATCAAAAGTAGAAATAAAACCTTTTTCCAGACAAGCAAGCTATAACGAAATTTGTTAACCTCTAGAACAACTTTATAAGAGATCCTTAAGGGAGTTCTAAACAGGGAAACAAAAGAATAATATCTGTTACCACAAAAACACACTTAAGTACATAGCCCACAGACCCTATAAAGCAGTCACAGAATAGAAACTACAAAGCAATGATTTAACAACTTCGCAAAGGAACTGAAACCTTACATATCAATGTTAGCCTTGAATGTAAATTGCCTAAATGCCCTGGTTAAAAGGCACAGAGTGGATAGCTGGATAAAAATATAAGATCCATCTATATGCTGTCAAGAGAGTTATCTCATACATAACTTTATCCATAGAGTCAAGATAAAAGGATAATGAAAGAACTACCATGGAAACAGAAACAAAAAAGATCAGGGGCTGCTATCCTTCTGTAAGGTAAAATAGATTTTAAAACAACAGAGTAAAAAAGAATGAGAAAGCGCATTACATGATGATAAGGGGTTCAATTCAACACTAAATATATACACACCCAACCTTGGAGCAGTCAAATACACAAACATGTATTTCTAGACCTATGAAAACTAAGATACCCAAATGATAATTCTAGGCAACTTCAACACTACACTGACAGTGTTATGCAGATCATCAAGGCAGAAAACTAAGAAGAAATTCTGAACTAAAATTTGACCCTTGGCCAATTGTACCTGATAGACGTCTACAGAACACAGCATCCATCAACCACAGAATATACATTTTTCTAATTTGCACATGGAACATACTCTAAAATCTACCATATACTAAGCCATAAATCAAGTCTGAAAAAATTAAAAGAAAATTAAAGTAATGCCAACCATACTGTGAGGCCACAGTGGAATAAAAATAGAAATCAATACCAAGAAGATCTCTTAAAATCACACAATTACATGGAAATTGAATAACTTGCTCCCAAATGACTTTTGAGTAAACAGTAAAATTAAGGTAGAAATCAAAAAATTATTTGAATTAAATGAAAACGGAGACACAACATGCCAAAATCTCTGGGATGCAGCAAAAACAATATTAACAGAAGAGTTTGTAGCACTAAACATCTATCTGAAAAAGTTAAAATGATCTCAAATTTATGACCTAACATCACATCTAGAGGAACTAGAAAATCAAGAACAAACTAACCACAAACCTAGCTACAGAAAAGAAATAATTAAAATCAGAGAAAAAATGAACAAAACTGAGGCCCAAAAATTCATGCAAAGAATCAAGGAAACCAGTGTTGGGTTTTTCAAAGGATAAACAAGATTGATAGACTGTTAGTTAGATTAACAGAGAAAAAAAAGAAGAGAAGATCCTAATAAGCACAATCAGAAATGACAAAGGTGGCACTGCGACTGATCCCACAGAAATACAAATGATCTTCAAAAAGTGTTATGAACACCTCCATGCATACAAACTACAAAATATAAAATAAATAAATAAATTCCTGGAAACACACAATCTCCCAGGATTGAATCAGAAAGAAATAGAAATGCTGAACAGACCAATATCAGGTTCCAAAGTTAAATCAGTAATATAAAACCAACCAACTAAAAAAAACAAAACAAAACAAAACAAAAAAAAACTCTGGACCAGATGGATTCACCAGGTGTACAAAGAGCTGGTACCAATCTTACTAAAACTAGTCCAAAAAAATCAAGGAAGAGGAACTCCTCCCTAATTTCTTCTATGCAACTAGTACCAGTATCACCTTGATACAAAAATGTGGCAAAGACACAATGAAAAAAGAAAACAGGTCAACATCCCTGATGAGCATAGATGCAAAAATCCTCAGCAAAATACTAGCAAACTTAATCCAGCAGCACATCAAAAAGTTAATTCACCATGCTCAAGTAGGCTTCATTCCTGGGATACAAGGTTGCCTTAACACATGCAAATCAATAAATGTGATTCACCACATAAACCGAGTGGAAGGCAAAAACCATATGATCATCTTAGTAGGTGCGGTAAAAGCTTTCAGTAAAATCCAACATCCCTTCAGGATAAAATCCTTCAAGAAACTAGGCATCAAAGTAACATACCTCAAAATAATAAGAGCCATCTATGACAAACCCACAGCCAATATCGTACTAAATGGGCAAAAACTGGAAGCATTCGCCTTAAGAACTGGAAGAAGAAAAGGATGCTCACTCTCACCGCTGCCATTCAACGTGGTACTGGAAGTCCTTGCCAGAGCAATCAGGCAAGAGAAAGAAATAAAAGGCATTCAACTAGAAAAAGAAGAACTCAAACAATCTCTTTTCAATGATGATGATTATTCTATACTTAGAAGGCCCAGGCCGGGCATGGCGGCTCACTCATGTAATCCCAGCACTTTGGGAGGCTGAGGTGGGTGGATCACGAGGTCAGGAGTTTGAGACCAACCTGGCCAACATAGTGAAACCCCGTCTTTACTAAAAATACAAAAAAAAAAAAAAATTAGCTGAGTGTGGTGGCAGGCGCCTGTAATCCTGGCTACTTGGGAGACTGAGGCAGGAGAATTTCTTGAACCCGGGAGGCAAAGGTTGCAGTGAGCCGAGATTGCGCTATTGCATGCCAGCCCGGGCGACAGGGAGAGACTCCGTCTGAAAAAAAAAAAAAAAAGAAAACCCTAAAGATTTCACCAAAAGGCTCCTGGAACTTATAAACCATGTAAATAATGTTTTAAGATATAAAATCAGTGTACAAAACTCAGTTGCATTTCTATGCACCTATAACGTTAAAGCCGAGAGCCAAATCAAGAATGCAACCCCATTTACAATAGCTGTAAAACAAATAAACAAACAAACAAAAACCTAAGAATGCATCTAACCAAGGCAGTAAAAGATCCCTACAAAGAGAACTACAAAACGCTGCTGAAAGAAATGATGCATGACACAAACAAATGGATAAACATTTTATGCTCATTGATTAGAAGAATTAATATTGTTAAAATGGCCATACTACCCAAAGCAATGTACAGATTCAGTGGTATTCCTATCAGTCTACCAATGTCATTTTTCACAGAATTAAAGAAAAACCCTTTTTTAAAATTCATATATTACCAGAGGAGCGCACATATCCAAAGCAATTCTAAGTGAAAAGAACAAAGCCAAAGACATCTCTTAACCTAACTTTATACTATAAGGCTACAGTAACCAAAAGAGCATGACACTGGTACAAAAACAGATATATAGACCAGTGAAACAGAATAGAGAACCAAGAAATAAAGCTGCACAGCTACAGTCATTTGATTTTTGACAAGCTCAACAAAAGTAATCATTGGAGAAAAGATTTCCTATTTAATAAATGATTCTTGGATAACTGGCCAGCCATATGCAGAATGAAACTGAACCCCTACATTTTACCATATACAAAAATTAACTCAAGATGGATCAAATATTTAAATTCAAGACTTCAAACTATAAGAAACCTATAAGAAAACCCAGGAGACACCATTCTGTTTATCAGCCTTGGAAAATAATTTATAGTTAATTTAAAAGCCATTGTATTAAAAAATTGACAATTGGGACCTGATTAAACCGAAAAGCTTCTGCACAGCAAAAGAAACTAACAACAGAGTAAACAACTGACAGAATGGAATAAAACATTCACAAGCTATACATCTGGCAAAGGTCGAATATCCAGAATCTATAAGGAACTTAAACAATTGAACAAGCCAAAAATCAATAACCCCATTAAAAAAATGGGCCAAAGACGTGAACAAACACTTATTGAAAGACATGCAAGTGGCCAACAAACATATGAAAAAATTATCTACATCACTAATCACCAGAAAAATGCAAATCAAAACCACAATGAGATACCATCTCACACCAGTCAGAATGGCTATTATTAAAAAGTCAAAAAAACAAAGATGTTGGCCAGGCTGTGGAGAAAAGAGAACACTTATACATTGTTGGTGGGGATGTAAATTAGGCCAGCCACTGCGGAAAGCAGTTTGGAGATTTCTCAAAAAACTTAAAACAAAACTACCATTTGAACCAGCAATTTTATTTTTGGGTATTTACCCAAAGAAAATAAATCATTCTACCAAAAAGACATATGCATATGTACATTGCAGCACTTTTCACAATAGGAAAGACATGGAATTAACCTAGATGCCCATCAATATGGTTTGGATAAAGAAAATGTGGTACATATACACTGTGAAATATTATGCAGACATAAAAGTGGTGAAATTATGTCATTTGCAGCAACATGGATATAGCTAGAGACCATTATCCAAAGTGAATTAACGCAGGAATAGAAAACCAAATACCACATGTTCTCACTTGTAAGTAGGAGCTAAGCAATGTGTACTGGTGGACATAAAGATGGAAACAGTAGATACTGTAGATTGCTGGGGGTGAAGGAAGAGAGGCAATGGTTTTTTAACCACTGGGTAACTATTGAGTACTGTGCTTAGTACCTGGGTGATGGCAGCAATTGTCAGTATCATGCAATATAACCAGGTAACATACTTGTACATGTCTCCTGTGAATCTAAGGTAAACATTGAAATTATTTTAAAAATCTACTACTTCACCACTATATTAAAATAAAATAATTTAAAATAAAAAATAGGAACAGAGTAATAGTAATAGTAATAGGAACATGTAAATCTGAATTGGAATGGAAAATGATGGACTACATTTTTAACAAATTAAAAATAGAATATTTTTAAATGTGACAGGATTCATTCACAATTATTAATTAGTATTTTTCTTTAAAAGGAGGATATTTTAATTAGGCAGCAAGTGAGAAAACTGAATTCTGACTAGTTTCAAAGGAAAGTATCATCCAGTTGTATTTCTACAGAGAGGACCTGGTAATGTTAATTGATGTTTTTATTGACAGACCCAAAGTAAATGCACCATTTATCTAATGGGTGATTGATGAGTTTGCTTTCCAAATCTAAATTAACTACTTCCCACATTCTACTGCATTTCTGTTTTAGATTTAAAGCACAGAAGTGTATTTCATTTTTTACCAGTGTGCCAAATGGGGCTTATCGGAACATGGCATTTGGGATCCATGCCACGGGCCCATCTTATAGGTGAAAAAGCTTTATAATGAGGCGCTTCTGCTGCCAGGAATATGTTCTTCAATGAGGACTAAGCAGAAAGGCATAATGCCAAATTTCACACCAATTCAAATCGTATTTGGACTAACCTTTAGGGATGGAATTGATTTTCTGTAACAAAGTTTTACCACCACTGAGAATATTCAAAAGAAAACACTGTAAGCAATTCTAAAAAGAAATTCCTGAGCTTTTTTGTGTGCAATGACAACCTGATTGGAATAAGTTTAGAGCTTCCCATGGTGACTATTTTAAAGAACCCAATAGTCTCTGGATGTAGAATTTCTAATACTTCTGGTAAAGAGTTTATTTAGTGATTTTATTATAATATGTATGCATGCAAATCCAAGTCTGTCTGTACATACATATGCCCCTGAAAACAAGCTGCTCCATTTGATATTTGACAGATGTCATATTATTTTTTCAAATGTTTTAAGAATAGCAAACTAAAACATATCTTTTTTAGCATTCATCCCCATGTGAATTTTAAGGAGTACAAAGTCTACCTTTGATTCATCTATACTTTAACTCATCAAAATGTCATGCTAATAAGAGACATTTGATGTACAAAAGACAGCTGGGTATCTCTCTGGTCTTTTGTTTCTTAGACACAGAATAAAAATCTTAGCTAATTATAAGCAAAACTGCTTCTTGTAAGATTTAGAGCAATTCAAAGCTCAGGAAAAAAAAAAAAAGATTCTTTAAATGTGCTCTACAGTGTGAGAGAGAGACCAAAAAAGGAAAGTAAGTAGAGAATATCACAATTGAAGAGTTACCTAGTCCCATGCACTCAATTATTAGATGAAGACAGCAAGAAAAGAGGCAAAACTAAAGATGGGGTGATTTATCCAGGGTAATATTGCAGCTGTGAGTCAGAGGCAAGAACAGAGTTGAGGCCTCTGCTTCAAAATGCAGTTCTCTTCCACTGAATAATAATGAGTTTTTAAGGAAATCCTTATATATGTACACATAGATAACCACACACACACACACACACGTTTGTGCAGATAGATAGATAGATAGATAGATAGATAGATAGATAGATAGAACTATTGTCTCTCTCTCTCTCTCTCTGTCTCTGTCTCTTCTATACATGAAGGCCAGAGAAAGAGGGAGGATATGTATACGTGTGTATGAGTAGCCAGATGGATTGATAGACTCACCTTTAGGGGTGAAATTTATTTTGTGGAAGAAAGTTTTACTACCACTGAGAATATTCAAAGGAAAAGACTCTACGCCTTGCAAGCAATTTAATGTATTTATAGAATTCATATAATGTTCCTATATTCATATGATATGCATATAATTCATGTAACGTTAATATAATTTCATATATGTGAATATAAAATAATTTAAAAGATAACTTTTTAAAACATTTTCTCAAACCATTTTACTTTCAAAATTTAATGAGATTTTATCTAAGCCAAGTTTTTTTTGGGTGGGGGTAGGGGACAAGTGTGTTTGTGAAAATCTTAGTAGTATTGCTATAATCTTTTTTTTAATGAAATGTGGTATTTCTGTCAGCCTTAGAATACAGTAGAATGCTTCCATTTGTTTACATTGTGTGCCTTTCCCACTCCATACTATTACCTACCCTGACACATTACACGTTTGTAGATCCAGGGTTAAGATTTTAACCTTAAATATGCTAAAGAAGGCCTAAATGTTGGCACATTTATAAACTAATTTTGTTTCAATTTCAAGCAGAGTGATTTTTCAGTTTTGATTGAGGTCTCAGTTTTTTAAAGTTGAGGTCATTACTGCTTATCAGTGGAAATGAACATGATTTAATTCATGAAGTAGGTGAGAATACGGTCTTTCCCCAAAACAAAGCATTAGCATGAGAATAATAGTAGACCCAATTTCATCAGAACTAAGGGGTTTGGCAAATTACAAAATCTTAATTGAACCACTTTAAAATTATGTAGGTTATCAATGAAAGAAATCCCAAAGGTTGTGCTATGGGGTGAATGTTTATGTCTTCTTCAAATCTATATGTTGATATTCTGATTCCCAATGTGAGGATATTAAAAGGTGGGGCCTTAGGAGATAATTAGGTAATAAAGATGGAGCCCTCATTAATAGGATTAGTGCCCTCATAAGAAGAGACCCAAGAACTTGCTCTCACTCTCAGCTCTCTGCCATGTGAGGAAACAAGGAGAAGGCAGCCATCTGTAAATGGGGAAGTGTGATCTCACCAAACATCAGATTTTGGATTCCTCAGCCTCTAGAACCATGAGAAATAAGGTTCTGTTGACCACCCAGTCTATGGTGCTCTGTCACAGCAGCCTGAATGAACTAAGACAGGTTATTATTTGATCATCTATTAGAAGATTATCAGTCTCCCTCTCATTCCTCTCCAAATAGTGATCATAGTGATAATCCTCCCCATGGTGTCCATGAGAAAGAAAGAGAATTCTTTCTTAAATGCTTCCTGTTGTTTCCTGATTTTTAGCATTTATACTTCAGTAAAATCTGATTTGGAAACTTTAACTTGGTAATTTACTGTTGGTTCAGATCACGAGCTTTAGAATGAGGTTATGTTTGGTCTAAATTCTAGCATGGTATTTATTAGCTACATAACCAGAGCAAGTTTTATAACAAGAGACTAGCTATCCCCAAATGTGGAATGGAGAACGAGAATTCATTACTTCATGCTTTATTCAAATAATAATTTTTGCTTCTACTGCATGCTTGACATGAGCTAGGCTCTCAAGATAAAAGGGTGAAACATGAACACACACTGCAGCCTCCCAGAGATTCCCCTAGGCAGGGTGATAAACACGCTCCAGGAGTCCTGGGAGTGATTGTCAAGTTGCAATTGGGGTAAGTGTGACAAAGGAGAGCTACTCACGATACAAGGAAATGCAGTAAGAGGATTGCGAGGTGATTAGGTGTATTGGGCAAGGTATTTATTATTGATTTCAACAATGAGCTGAGATCTGGAGGAAAAACAGGAGTTAACCAATAAAAGGGAGGTAAAAATCTTTTGTTTTAGGCAACAACCACAAAGACCCTTACAAATAGTGTTGGCAGACATGAGGGATAGAAAGTAAACCAGCATGCCTGAGAGAAGATATACATGTATGTGCCTGTGAATGTGTTTTTACACTTTCATTTACGTGAAACATATGCAATTTAAGCATAAAGTAGAATCAGACTTTATAAATTTTTCTGCAAATTGCTTTAAAATATATGTATATATATCATGGATATCTTTCCATGTTCATTCATATATATCTACTTTATTAATTTTAATGGTTGCCTTGGATTTCATTGAGTTCCATAATTTAACTGTCTCACTACTGATAAAAATTTAAGTAATTTTCTAATTTATTTTATTACAGCAGTGCATCAGTGAATGTTCTTGAATTTTTTTTTTTTTTTTTTTTTTTTGAGACGGAGTCTCACTCTGTCGCCCAGGCTGGAGTGCAGTGGTGCGATCTCCGCTCACTGCAAGCTCCGCCTCCCGGGTTCACACCATTCTGCTGCCTCAGCCTCCTGAGTAGCTGGGACTACAGGTGCCCTCCACCACGCCTGGCTAATTTTTTGTATTTTTAATAGAGACGGGGTTTCACCGTGTTAGCCAGGATGGTCTCGATCTTCTGACCTCGTGATCTGCCCGCCTCGGCCTCCCAAAGTGTTGGGATTACAGGTGTGAGCCACTGTGCCCGGCCATGTTCTTGAATTTATATCTTAGCTTAATATTTTCATATTTTAGTAAGATAGAGTCCAACTCTTACTTGTAAATACACTCTGAACATAGAAGGCATTGTCTGTGCCCTCTTGGACATTTGGGTTTATGAAAGGTAAGCAGTCATATAAATAAATTTATAATTAAAATATTGAAAGACATTCTGAAGAAACAGAAAAAATTTTATAAGGCTGCAAAACTTGCTATCGCAGGTGCAATGAGCCGAGATGGCCTCTTTTAAGGTGAGGCTTAGAGTAACAACAAGTCGCTGGGTTAGTTGGGATTTGTGGAGGATACAAGGAAGAGAGAAAAGACCCTCTTATCTGCAAAGGGGACTGAAGATCTGAGCAGGAGGTGTTGGATTAGAGAAACATTTATACCAGGAGTGTGCTGCACCTAATTAAGAAGACAGAAGCAGTTCTCAGCCATGTGAAGTCCTGTAATCGCAGTTTACTCTTTGTATAGCAAATACTCGTTCTGTTTTATGCTTTGCTGTCCCATTTCAATCATGGAAGTTGGCTACCTAGACAGCTGTTTTGTACGTGTTCTGCATCATTTCCATGTTTACACTTTCTTTTAATTCACCCACTTGCAAAGACCACAAGCTGTACATACAATTACCAGGGCATTAAAGGAAACACACACACACACACACACACACACACACACACACACACAATACTGATGCTTTGGTCCACCTTCATAAATTCTGATCTATTCAGTCTAAGGCAGATACGGCATTAGAAAAAATTCTTTGATGTGATAGTTATTTTTATCTGTCAGCTTGACTGGGCCACAGGATGCCCAGATGTCTGATTATTTCTGGGTGTGTCTTGAGGGCATTTCCACATAAAATTAGTGTAATGGTTAATTTGAGCTGCCAACTTGGCCAGATTAAGGACCACATAGATAGCTGGTAAAGCACTATTCGGGGGTATGTTTCTAAGAATGTTTCTGGAGGAGATTTGGTGAACTGAGTGGGGAAGATCTGCCCTCAATATATACCATCTAACTGACTGAAAGTCTAGATAGAACAAAAAGACAGAGGAAAGGGGAATTCTCTCTCTTTCTTTTCTAAAGCTGGGACACCCTTCACCTGCCTTTGGACATAAGAACTCCAGATTCTCCAACCTTAAGACTCTGGGACTTGTTAAAATAAAAAACTTCAGTCAAATTAAATTTAAAGGAGTTTAATGACAGCAGATTCAGAGAGACTCCAGGGATGCCTCGTGATCAGTACAAATTTATGGACAAAAACAGGAAGTGACGTACAGAAATCGGCAGTGAGGTTCAGAAACAGCTGGACTGGTTACAGGTTGACATTTGCCTTATTTGAACACAACTTGAACACTTAGCACTCTATGAGTGGTTGAAGTATGGCCACTGGCATTGGCCAAGAACAGCCATTCTTACATGTGCATAATCCTAAATTTTGGGGTTTGTCGTTGTAGTTGTGGAGACACAGTTTCACTCTGTCCCCCAGGCTGGAGTAGAGTAGCACTATCTCAGCTCACTGCAACCTCCACCTCCCAGGTTCAAGCGATTCTCCTGCCTCAACCTCCCGAGTAGCTGTGATTACAGGTGCCTGCCACCATGCCTGGCTTATTTTTTGTATTATTAGTAGAGGTGGTGTTTTCCCATGTTGGCCAGGCTGTTTTCCAACTCCTGACATCATGTGATCTGCCTGCCCTGGCTTCCCAAAATGCTGGGATTACAGTAAATTAGGTTTTCAGTCTTGTCTGCCTATTAAGCTAGGTCACAGTTCCTCCCCAAGGACTCACCTATAGAAGTACAGAGTCCTTCTCAGGCCATATTTAGTTTGCTTTAACAGACTTGTACCAATGTCCTGGGCTCCACCCTGCAGCTCCTAGGCTCTCAGGGTTTTGGCCACAGATTGAGAGTCATGCCATTGGGTTTCCCGGGCTTTCACACTTGGACTGAGCCACACTAACAGCATTCTAGGTCTCCAGCTTGCAGACAGCCTGTTATAGGACCTTTCAACTTCCATAATCATATGAATCAATTTCCCTAATAAATGCCCTCTCATCTGTCTATCTACATCTAACTATCTTATTGGTTCTGTCACTCTAGAGAACCCTGACTAATACAATTACCATTTAAGTTGGTGGATTCAGTAAAGTAAATGGCCCTTCCCAATGTGATTGGGTATCATCTAATCTGTTGAGAGGTTGAGTAGAACAAAAACGTGAAGGAAGTTTGAATTCACTCTCTGCCTGACAGATTGAGCCGGGATGTTGATATTCTGCTCTCAGTGTTCCCTGTCCCAGTCCTGCAGACTCAGTATGGAATCTATATGACTCTGTGGCTCTCAAGACTTAGAATACACTACCAGCTTTCCTGGGTATCCAGTTTGTAGATCAGATTGTGAGACTTCTCAGTCTCCGTAACTGCATGAGCCATTCTCTTATAATATGTCTCACTCTATATATCTATATCTATATTATTGATATCTATACTATGGATTTTTTTTAACTCTGACTAATACCTAGGTTTGAGAACTAGTGCTCTAAGACAGCACTTCTCAAACTATAATGTGCCTAAATGGATTATCAACAGATCTTGTAAAGTCGGGACTCTGATTTTGTAGGTTTGGGGTGAGCCTGAGATTATGCTTTCCTAACATGCTCCTTGTAATACTGAAGATGCTGGAATGAGAATCACAATCTAAGTGGCAATTTGGTCTAAGGGACTCAAAGTTGAGCTCACTGCCACATAATCAATAACCCCACTGATCTCAGGCAGAGAAGGGGAGAGACAGAAAAAGATGGGATATAGCATCCCATCATATTGACTTGTTTACTTATTAATAAATTATAAATATTTGCTTATTAATTTACATGATTTATAATTTATATTAAATAACCTATTTATAATCTACAAACTTATTATTTTTGTCCAAGTCACCTTAACTGTCTCAATTTTTAACTCCCTAATCAAAGGTGAAATGTCTTAATTTTTTACATGCAAAATGAAAAAAAAATATGCATTTCCAAGACCTCTCTGGAAGAAAAAGTGAGATACAAATATAAATATATTTATAGTATATTGTTATTACTACTACCACTAATAAGAGTAATTCTTACTGTCATTAGAGAGATCAATTCCTGATCATCTACTGTGTACCAGACACTTTTCCCACTTACTGACTTTAACTTCATTATCCCCAATTTTGCAGAGGAATTATTTGGCCTGCATAGGTTAATTTACTTACAGACTGCTTAGAATATGACACATTTATTTTATCATTATCATCTTCTTTTGAGGTTCATGGATCACTTTGATTTAATTGGCTACCATATCTTTCTGACTTACAGCTAGGATTCCTTGCATTTCCATTTTTATAATCTGGTCAACTATTGCTCTCCAAAAGGGGAAAGTTATCTTTCACCAAGACTTTCAGGATGAAAGAAGGGATAAAATGTATCCAAGAAAATGATTCTCATAAGAAAAAACAAATCCCCTCTGCTTCCCTCCCATTTTCTGTATGTGTGTTTGTGCACACACACATGCACACATTAAGATTTAGCTCCAATTATTTCGACTGCTGTTAGCCTCACAGCTGTGGCCTTTAAACCAAATTCTCTTTCCAACATTGTCCAGAAAAATTACTTAACTCTTTTCTATCACTACGCATTGAGTTAAACAAACCATTTGTTTCAAACAACAATTTGAAGAAAGACCTGACATACACATATACTTCCATCATTTATTCTACATTTACTGACACTTAATATTAGCTCAATTGTGGCCTCTTTCTAGTCAAACTATGTAGGTTTAAATGATTTTAATGAATTATTTCAATGTGTCTATATTTTAAAGTGTTGCCATTTAAAGGAATAAACTAACAGTACTTAAATAGACTTCACAGCAAAAAGGCAAATGAAGAAAATTCTGACTTTTGGAATTCTTTGTTTCCTTCTTGCCTGGTTTGCAGGTGTTCCGTGGCATTCAGATTCTTGTGGTCTTGGCATATCCTCAGAGCAGAGAGAATTATTGTTTTGTAGAATTGAAAGCACAAAAATGTCATTAACAGTCCTGTTTTACAGTGTTAGTGATAGTAGATAATTTATTATTTTTATTTTAGGCGTAAAATTATATATTAAGTTGTTTTAAAACCTAAATGGAAAAAGAAGCCTCTAATTTCTTATAGTTACTAAGTGATGTTTTTATACATTAACCTATTCTCCTAATAAAATAATTACTTTTTTCTTTGTTTAAAACCCAAAACATAAAAAATACTATTATTAGCATGATTCTATGTCATTCTCTGCCTGCTTCCTCTACCTACTATTTACACCTCAGCTTGGTTTCACACAACTTTACAAGCAAGAGAAAAAAATACTGAAACTATGAGAGAAGTGAGTATATTGATATGAAGGTTATCCTTTTTTTAAAAAAAAAAAAAAAGAATTTCACTTTACTTGATGACAAAACATTCAGATATTAATTTTTTTAAAAATCACATTTCCATGTTTCTTTGTGTTTTGAAGTGGCTAGATAGCCATAAATATTTCAAAAAGTAACTTAATTTTCCACTTTTTATTAGGGCATTTAACAGCTTTTTAGACAAAAAGATGCATTTCTTGTGGGTTTTGTTTTTCAGAAATAAAAAATGTTCCTGAAGGTAGGATATCTTTAGAAAACATACATTTCAAAAGAATTTTACATACAATCTTTACAGAAACACGTACACGGACAAAGAAAAAGAGACAGAGAGAGAGAGAGAGATCACATTCATAAATTATTCAAGAATTAAGCAGATATTGTAGCATAAACTGAAGTGCTGAAAGATTGAAATGCTGTCTAACCTGTAATAGCATTTAACTTTAGCTTCTAACCTAAAGAAGTGATAGGAATTCCATCTTCTTACATATTTTCAGCATGTTTGAGCACGTTGAGAAAATGAGATTTTCTTGATCAGGTAAGCAATTATAAATAGGGAACTAAGCTGAAATTATGCCAATTTTCTTTCAGTTAGGGTACACATTTCTGTGCTAATGTGAACAGGAATTCCTTTCTTAGGGTGTAAATATATAAAAGTTGTTATTGGTTCACTTTGGGAGGTTGGAAGACTGTGGCAAATAACAAATTACAAAAACAAACAAACAAACAAAACCAAAAAGAAACAGAATCTGTTTTCACCAAGCTTTTTACATGTCTCAGTATCAGGAAAAGGGAAATAAACTATTATTTAGAGTTTTGTTCAATGCATTTGACCAGCTGGTCAACAAGTTGACCTCCCAGAGCAAAAGGCATGGCATAACCACAGAGTGAACGCTCATAGGTCAAGAGGCACCCCAATTGTAGAATTAATGGGTGAAGCAAGAAGGATTGTTGGACAGAGATCAGGGTGAAAATGAGCAAGATAAAATAAAGAACAGAGCATTTCCACCAAGAAATTAGGAATACTTGAAGGTTCCTTCAGGAAAGAAGACAGAACTGATCCATTTGACAAAGATCTCAGATAACTAAACATAGACTTTTGAGTAACAAATGCAGAATGTGGTGGGGTGGGGGGGAAATGAGGCTCCCAATAAAACAAACGAGAAAATGCAGACCGGGCACTGTGGCTCATGTCTGTAATCCCAGCACTTTGGGAGGCCAAGGCAGCTGGATCACCAGAGGTCAGGAGTTCAAGACCAGCTTGGCCAACATGGCAAAACCCCTTCTCTACTAAAAGTACAAATATTAGCCGGGTGTCGTGGTGTGTGCCTGTAGTCCCAGCTATGAGGGGGCTGAGGCAAGAGGATCACTCAAACCTGGGAGGCGGAAGTTGCAGTGAGCCGAGATCGTGCCAATGCACTCCAACCTGGACAACAGAGCAAGGCTCCTTTTCAAAAAAAAAAAAAAAGAAAGAAAGAAAGAAATGAGAAAATGCAAATTCCAAAAGAAAGAATATGCTTTTGGCAAATTACAGTTCTTTTTGCAGCCAGTCCAAAAATATGAAATAGAATATGTATAATGGTTTATTTCTTCATTCTTTCTTGTCCCTGAGAATTTGAAAATACTTGCAAGTTGTAATTTAGGTTTTGCTATTTTTTAAGATTCATCATCATAATCATCAGTATAAGTATATTGAGTCCCTGTTGTGTTTGCCATATCATCTGAATCATAACTTACGTATAATAAAATGCAATAACTAATCTGGCATTAATTGCATATTCAAGGTTAAGCTAATATTCTTGGTTTACTCCATTATAATCTGCTCACTTCTTCAGTTTAGCATATCTTAGAGCAGTTTACAAGTATATTGGTCTGGAAAAAGGGGTGTGAGCCAATTCAGCTAAGGGCCTGTCTTCAAAGCCAGTCCATTCATGGTATAACGTGTCTAAACTTCCTTCATATTAGATCTTGAATTTGGTAAACAAAACACACTGAATGAAAGGAGGAGTAGAAGAGGGGATGAAGGTGGGGATTAAGGCATTATCTATAATTTGGCTGCCTGTATAACCAGGAGCAAAATGAGGGAGAAAAGTGCTGGCATATGGAGAGCAAAGTCTGGCAATAATTGATTGATATAAAACAGCTTTGCCAAATTGTCAGGCCTTTCAGTATCTGTGTATTCAAAGGGAGACTGAATTTTAAAATGATAGCAATTTATTGTGTGTCACACGTCTCACTTGATCACACAATATGTTAATGTTCTAAAACACGGACAATTAAAAAAATATTTTTTTAACTTTTCATTTACTTCAAATAATTTTCAAGAGTCAGTTTTTAACCAAAACCAGCTGTATCTTCAAGTCCCAATCACTATTACTGAGCAAATTCTAAGAGTGCTTTGATTGCTTTAATGTGGTTTAATTTTGAACATTCTAGTAAAATCGTATATAGTACACAAATGGAAAAGCCGAGTCAGTCTTAGAAAAGCCTTTAGAGCGTTATTTTCATTATTTTTCTTTTGCATCTTTCCTTCATATTGAAGTTCCTGAATTCATTTAAGGCATTTTCCACCAAATAACTTTCTTCAAGGTCCTTATGAACAGCAGACAGCCAATCAAATGTTTGATTCAGCAAATGCATGTTAAACACACTCCTTTAGACTTCAAGTACCCGATAATGGTAGGAGAGTAAAAAGATATATTCTTTTTCTACTTGGAAGGGGAATTGAAAGGTAAGTAATTTTATGATCAATCCAAAGTATGCAATTGATGCATCCTATATGCCACAAGTGTCAATTGGCCAACAACTTTCCTATTTTTTTTTCCTTTTTTTATTCTAAATACATGGAAAAAGAGGGCGACATAATTTAGTGAAATAACATAAATTGAAAGTTAGATATGGGCCTGGATATTGTTTCCACGTTGTGAGAAATTTAATTAGCAGATTTTCATTTCCTTCCTCTATAAAATGGGAATACATCCAACATTTTGAAGTAGTTCTGAGGATTAGAAAGGGTGTAAGTGATAATAACATACTACTGTTGTTAAAGTAAATTAAAACAGAGACCAGGCATGAAGAACTCCTGAGCAGACAAAAACAGTTAGGTTTCATAAGTGACCTAAACATTGCTTGACTTGCAAACATAAGCAAAACTTAACTTGAGTTTTTTCTTGTAAATGCCTTTATTAAAGAAAAACAGAACATAAACTCAACCAATCAGAAGTAGCCAACAACCATAATTATATAACCAGAGACGTTTCAATGGGGCAGACCAATAAGGCCACTTTATAACTGTAACCAATCAAATATTTTCTTTGCTTTACTTCTGTGTCCATCCTATAAAAGCCTGCTCCTTGCATTCCCTTGGTGGTGCTCCTGAACCACTTCTGGTTTGGAGTTGCCCCAATTTATGAATTGCTTCTTACTCAAATAAACTCCTTAGCATTTTATTGTGTCTCAGTTTACTTTTTAACACTGTTTATTATTCATCTGGCACACAGTGATGAATATCATCTGGAATAAAAGTAAATATGTAAAAAGTAGAATTTCAGTAAAAGGAAGATGTGATTGTATTTTCAAAAATCCACTTACACAGTGCTTTATCCCTAAACAAGAGTGTATCATATGACTTACTTATGACTGATGCTGGACTGTTCAAAATTGTATGCTAACTTCATTCAAGTTACCAATTATGTTTTCTGATGTCCCAGGAAATAAGTTTTACTTGTTTTACCAATGCAATATTGTGAAATATATATTTGGTCTTCATCTCCATTTCCTGGCATATAGTTCCTAAAAATGCTTAGACTCTCTGGAGTGATGGGGGTCTTTTGTATGCTAATGAGATGACTGGGGGCAGGGAGCCCCTAGATGACCTCATAGTGGGGGCTGTCTGCCAGGGGAACCAACCGTGTGATTAGAGGGTTGGAACTATCAGTTAAATCCCCAAATTCCTGGGAGGGAAAGAGGGCTGAAGTTTGAACAAACAAACGAATGACCAATGATTTAATCCACTGTGCCCACTTAATGAGTGTCCATAAAACCCCAAAAGGACTGAGTTCAAAGAGGTTTTGAATGGCAGAACACGTGGAGGTTCCTGAAAAGTGGTGTATCTGGGGAGGACATACAAACTCTGAGCCCCTTCTCCCGTACCTCTCCCAATGCATCTCTTCCATCTGGCTGTTCATCTGTATCTTTGTACTATCCTCTACAATAAACCAACAAAGATAAATATTTCCTTGAGTTCCATGAGCCACTCTAGCAAATTAATCAAACCTGGCTGGTTAGAAGCATATGTCATAGCCCATGCTTGCAACTGGCATCTGAAGTGGAGACAGTCATATGAGACTGAGCCCTTAACTTTATGGGATCTGATTCTATAATCTCTGGTTAGAGAACATCTAGCTAGTGAAAGTAATTATTTGCCAGATAATTGCTTGCGGTATGTGTGGGGAAAATAACATACACATCTGGGAAAGAAAACCTACACACCTGGTATCAGAAGTATTGTGCTATGACTGATAGATTAACAAAAAATATACTTTTTTCTACATCTATCTCTAGAACTATGTAAGTTATTCACATCTCCTTGCAGTCCACAGCCCAGTTAGGGACTGTCCTCATGATAACTTCACTGAAGGAACAATCTTCTGTGGATGACAATGAAATAAGAAATGACAGCCAGGCAAGGTGGCTCACGCCTGTAATCCCAGCACTTTGGGAGGCTGAGGAAGGTGGATCATGAGATCAGGAGTTGGAGACCAGCCTGACCAACATGATGAAACCCTGTCTCTACTAAAAATACAAAAAATTAGCTGGATGTGGTGGCACACGCCTGTAATCCCAGCTACTGAGGAGGCTGAGGCAGGAGAATCGCTTGAACCCGGGAGGCAGAGGTTGCAGTGAGCCGAGATTGCGCCACTGCACTCCAGCCTGGGTGACAGAATCAGGCTCCATCTCAAAAAAAAAAAAAAAAAAAGAAAAAAGAAAAAAAAAAAATGACTACCCTATAAAGCAACAGCTCTAGTTACTGTATGCCAAAGCAGAATCTCCTCATAATAGAAGGGTCTGAAATTAACCAAGGACTCACAATTTTTATCTATTTAAATGTACATTTTTGAATTGACTTCTATGTGTTCTGGCATCTGGAATCTTAAGAAAGTCTTCTGTGCTCGCTTCGATAGCACATATACTAAAATTGGAACAATACTGGGAAGGTGAGTATGGTCTCTTTAAAAAAAGAACAAAAAATCTTCTTGGTTAGGTGTAAGAAAGTTTCCTAAGCAAGTAAAGAAGATTTTTTTTTTCTTTTTTACTAAAGCAGTCCCAAAGAAGTTCCATGTATTTTATAAGGTTCAGTATTGACCTTAAAACTTTTGTTACTGGAAATTTAGTCATAGACCCAAATATCTTCTTCAGAAAAACCAAGTGACTCCACTCCTAGCTTCTGACCATAGTTCACACTAGAGTACCCAATGCTATGACAAAGCTCCAAAAGATAAGGTTGACTAAGTTTTCTCTCAGGATTTTGACCTAAAAATACAGTGGAACGACTAGCTGTAGAGATTGAAACTAACAAGAAAGGTGGGGTGAGTAGCTTTACAGTCACGAGATGGCATGATAAGTCAAAGTCATGAGGACTTAATAACCATGAGGAAGTAAGATGAATCTATGAGATCATGCAGTAAGGGAGCAATAGGCCATTGAGTCCAGCCAGACCTTTGCTGGCCACATTTTTAGCCATGATAAGGACACAGGTGAATGGGACACTTCTTTTCAAAACTGACCCTACTGATAGGTGATAAATTATGTAGTTCATTTACTTACACACTGCATCGTTTTTCTAATTCTTATTAAGATGGTACTGATGAGAAGAAAAGTGTGTACAACAAAAGAAAAATAAAATGACTGAAAAATGAAACAATATGCACTTTCTGTGGGGCTAGGGAACAGACGCAGTCAGAAGGGCTAAGTTACATTCTTGATGAACCCTGAAGTGAAGGTCTTCAATTTCTTTTGACAGTGCTCCTGGAATTACATTGGTTCATTCCTGTGATGGTTAATTTTATGTGTCAACTTGGCTTGATGACAGTGCCAAGATATTTAGTCAAACATTATTCTGGATGTTTCTGTTGAGGGTGTTTTTTAGATGAGATTTTCATTTAAATCCCTGGATTTTGAGTTAAGCAGGTAACCCTTCATAATATGGGTCAGCCTCATCTAATCAGTTGAAGGCTTGCATATAACAATAGACTACTTCCCCAAGCAAAAGGAAATTCTACAGAAGCTGCCCTGTGGACTCTAACTCCAGCTTGCCAGCCTACCCCATCAGGTTTTGGAATCGCTAAGCCTCCAAAATCACATGAGCCAATTTATTAAAATAAATCTTACATACTTACACACATGTAAACACACACATATCCTATTTGTTTTGTTCTCTGGAAAATCCTAACACACATTTTGGTACTGAGGATGAAGGGCAGAATCACATTCTTGATGAGCCCTGAAGTGAAGATCCTTAATTTCTTTTGACAATGTTCCTAGAATTACATGAATTCATTCATTTTCCCAAACTACATCCAATCCTCGATGACAATTGGCTGTAACAGCTTCCTAGTTTCTAATTATAGTTGTTTTCTTTATTTGCTCACATACACATTCAATAACTTTTTCTTACTAACCTCCATCATCTTACTCAAGTTAGATGTAACTTCGTTCCCCTACTACAACAATAACCTAACTAGAATACCAATCTTCACTGATTCCCACAACAATCTTTGTTCCAACTCCAGGTGTGTGTCTCTCTCTATCTCTCTCTCTCTCTCTCTCTGTGTGTGTGTGTGTGTGTGTGTGTGTGTGTGTGTGTGTAAAGGAGATCCATTCTTTCTCACCTGGGGAATTATTATGAGTTTCAATCAATAGGCCTTTTATAATATATTTTGTTTTTCGGTCATGTAAAATTCCTTGTATGCACATTTTACCATGCCACCTGGCTCATCAACCAACTTAGGCAAAAACAAACCTTATCTTAAAGGAGCTGTAACACTGACAATCAGGTTACCTTTTGAAACTTAATCAAATTCAGAAAATAATACATGATCAGAAGGAATTATAAATTTAATTGTTAAACTATTTTGCTGTTAACAGTATATAACTTGGAGATCAATCAGAATAAACATACTCTGGAGTCAAAAGCTACCGGGTAAATTTGACTCAGAAAAATAAATGATATAATCAGCTTCCACATTTGTAAAGGGCTAGAGTTGTACCAGATAGCCTCTAAGAAATTCCTTCAAATCTAAAATAAGGTGATATTCTCTGCATTTAGAACAAGGTGAAAATCAATCAAGGCAAATACTGGCAATTAATTTATCTGCATTATTATAGTTGAAAAAAATCCTTAGAGAACTGGCTTACAATACTTATTATTATCCTAAAATAAAATATGACAAGAATAAAATGTTTCATTGCTCTGAAGCTTGTTGTAAACAGATTGTATTCTACAGGGATTAAGATAATACTTGAGACTGATATCTGTCTGTAGAAGACATGAACTAATGAGAATATATGCAGAGTGTCCAGCTTACAATATTTTTCTAATAAAAATGCACATTGTCTTCAAGGGAAAACAAATATTGGGAATTTTACAATACAAAATAATGGGACCTGAAATGAGGTGAGTAGAGTAGAACAATTTCAGAGCAGAATAGGCAGTAGAAGCAAATAAAAATAAAATGAATCAATAATTGAATATTCATTAGGACCCACAATGTGCTCAGCATTTATGTCCATAGAATTCCAGGGCAAGTATAAAAATTGGCCTCTGCATTTCATGAGATTATATTCTATTAGAGAGATGATTATGATGATTATAATGATAGTGATGATAATAATGATAGATAACAGATTTGAGTGCTTATTGCTCTGACAAACACCTTTTATACACCAAGTTATTATTACTCACAATGAGCCTACCAGTTAGGTACAGTCACAAAAATGAAAAAAAAAATCAATACATAAAAATGTAATTTACTTTAGGGTTATGCTAGATCAATGATAAAAACAATATTTCACAGTAGATGTAACTAGAGCCTATACACTTAGTCATAGTTGTACCGTATTGACTAATAAAATGATAATATAAATAAGTAACATTTAAAATAAATACTAATAAAACAAAAAAACATTTTTTCCATTATGCAATATATTTGGTAGCATATTTACTGCTGAAGAAGTTTACAAAAGACGAATGCTATTATGTACCATTATTAGATCATCCAGTGAAGATTTCATGGGAAACATGAGCTATGAGCCAGCCTTGTATTAATGACTGTGATTCAGACCATATGATTTAGACTATGGTTTTTTCCATCTGTGGAAGAAGCCAGAGTATTCCAGAGTGAGGGTGGGAGGACTAGTAACAAGGTTATAGATAAATTGATATGATATGTATGGGATAGAAAACTAGATAGCATGTTTCAAACAAGGTTGGGGACAGTTAATGTGAATTAGGCTAGATGAATACATTGCAGCTACACAATGGAGAGGTTTGAGAGTCAGAGAGAAGCCTGCATGGCAGGCACATTCTTCGATCAATTTAAGGAAGGGTACACGTGTGTTCTTAGAAGAGTAGTACCGTGTTTCAAGTCATGCTAAGGTACACAAAAGAGTTGGCAGCAGAAGGACCCAAAGTTAGAGAAAGGAGTTATAAATTAATTATAGCAACTGAGGCATAAGATGATGAACGAAAGTCTTGAATAAGAATATGGTAAGGTAGACAATAAAGATAATTTTAAATGAGTTTTTAAAATGTTTTTTGCTGTAGAATATTTTTACAAAAAAGATTTTGAAATGGATGTAACATTTACTTTATCCCCATGGAATTCTGTCATAGCTGGTAGCTATAGACTAGTAGGAAAGAAAACTTTCAATAATTGGAACAGATTCCACTCTTTTTAAGACACCATAGTTTTCAGTGAATCATAATATTCTCTACCATACCAAATTTTCTTAAAAAGTAAAGGCCTCTTGTGTATATTAGACATTTCTGGAAAAGGCTGGGATACTACTAGCTTCATAGAATTCAGTGCTCATTTTATTGAACAGAAATTATAATTTTTCAATTGCTATTGTATCAACCTGAAATAGTCCTAATGACTTTTATCACCAGAGAATAGTTTGGAAGAGGGTGAAAATGAGTTATTATTATGAATTCAGCTTTAACTGGTATTTTATCTTAATAAATGTGCAATATTTTAGTTTGATAATTGTTATGTGCTTTACCCCTCTTCATCTGCCTTAGTTGAAAAGATTCTAAATTAAAAGGCAGAAAAAATTAGTATTATAGCATGAGAACTTGTGTTGAATTGTGAGAAAACAAACCACCCAAAACAAAATGGGGATAGCAGCAATGTTTACATGTAAATTGGATATGAGGCAGATGTGTTAGCAGATGTGTTTTGTCTTTTTCAGTAGCCTAAAAAATTTAAATTCAATTTGGTCTTTAAATGAAAAGCCAACAAAAGGTTACTATTTTTCTGTTATAATGGATGTCTTTATCTTAAATGTAATTTGTCGTTTCAAAATGGCTTTATTTTATAACTAATCCATTATTATTGTTTAAAGATGCATGAGAACGACGCTTATCTTTAGTTAATACAAAAATATTTTAGTCAGATTTTCTACAAATCTGAAAGAAGGAAAATAAAATTTTTAAGCGTATAAAAAAACAATTTGCCGTTGTACTTTGGACATGGGTGAGAAGTGGACCATTGCTGCAGTGGTGGAAATTCTGCTGCATTTGCCTAGTAAATTCTGCAAATTTTAAGAGGAACGTGAATAATATGGAACTGCACATTTTTTATTTCTGACACATTTCCAGGTGATACTGATGAGGCTGGCTTTTGGGCCTCACTTCCACTGATGAGGCTTTAAAATAGAGTTTCTCAGTCTTGGCACTATTGACATTTTGGATTAAATAATTCTTTGTTATTGGGATTGTCCCGTGCACTGTAGGATGTTTAGTAGCATCTCCGGCTTTCAATAACCAAAGTGTCTGTAGACATTGCCAAACATACCCTTGTTGGGGGTGGGCTGGCAGGGGGCACATAAAAGCCTTATGAATTGAGAACAAGGACTCTAAAATATTCTTTCACCCTGTCTTCTAGACCAATGTATATCCCAAGTAGTAAACAAAGATTTTTCATGACATAGATAGATCTAAACAGATCAATTGCAGGTACAGATCTTCCATGTGTACTCTTCCTAAGCATGATCTAAGAACATGCTTATCATATAAGCAGTAGGCAGGTTTTCTTTTCCTATTCCATCTCACATATATCCTCTATCATTTGATAAAAGGTCCCTCTCACAACCATCCTGAATCTTACCATGTTGCCTCACTCCATAGATAAAACTGTGGGACACCAAACTAAGTGATGATTTTAGAATTTAAAACCTTGGTCACAAGAAGCCTACTACGACCAAGGCACCTTGTTGGGATACATGTGTTGATTTTTTTGACATTATTCTAAGGACAATATATAGTGTTAGAAACAGTAAAGTTTGGCTAACAGTGACGTATTCTAAAATCAGACATATAGTAATGTATTGTAAATGCTGTGGCAGAAGTACTGGCAATTTTTATATAACTACCTCACCTCTTTCTCTTCTTGCTATTGTCAAAGAAAGAATTGCTCCTGAGGGACTGTCTCTTGACACTGAGTTACAGTTTTGTAAGAAATTGAAGGTGGCATTGCCTTGTTCATCCAAAGAAAAAATTTATGGCAAGAGCCTATGCCTTCTATTTATGTATCGTAGAACTAGAACTGAGAATGAAATAGGTGTCACAAGAATATGCATTAAATGTATGTTTGAATTGAAAAATGAAGTCAAAATTTCCTGAAAAAGATATGTCAGAGTTGAATACTTGGTTAGAAGATGAAAACTTTTATGTTCAATTAGATTCCATGATTATGTTTCATAAACTGTATGAACTAAAGCTATAGCTATAAAGTTTTGATGCAAATATGTTTAAAATGAATGATTATAAAAAAAAATTCTAAGTTTAGTGTAAGTCAGGTGTGGTGGCCTGCACCTGTAGTCTCAGCTACTTGGCCGATGGAGAAGGATGGCTTGATCCCAGGAGTTCCAGGTTTCAGTGAGCAGTGATCACGCCACTGCACTGTAGCACCTGGGTGACAGAGTGTCTCTCTTAAAAACAAAAACACAGCCGGGCGTGGTGACTCACACCTAAAATCCCAGCACTTTGGGAGGCCGAGGTGGGCGGTTCACAAGGTCAGAAGATCAAGACCATCCTGGCTAATATGGTGAAACACTGTCTCTACTAAAAATACAAAAAATTAGCTGGGCATGGTGGCACACGCCTGTAGTCCCAGCTACTCGGGAGGCTGAGGCAGGAGAATCATTTGAACCCGGGAGGCGAAGTTTGCAGTAAGCCGAGATCGTGCCACTAAACTCCAGCCTGGGAGACAGAGTGAGACTCTGTCTCAAAAACAAAACAAAACAAAACAAAAACACAAACATGAAAAGAAAGGAAAGTTATTAAGTTAGAGAAGGGGTGACTACAATAAAATATTTGGAATTTTTCAATTTTTTTCTCATGATTTAGGTTCAACATGGCAAGTCTCGATTACAAAATAGATATATTTATTGTTATTTGATGAATCTTGGTGAAACATTTTTAGAATATTTCTTAGACACTGAGAAAGTGAAGGACACTAATGATTTGCGAAAAAGAAATTGCAACATGGATTTTTTCCAATCCTTTTAATTACAACAAAATTAAAGGAATGCCTAATTGAGCTGTCAGCAGATAGATTTTTAGATACAATTCTCAATTATTTAAAACTATTTGACGTTTGATACATATTTGAAAGGAGGTACAAATACACTTATTTATGTGAACACGGTTTCTTAAAGTTTACCAGCATCAAAAATGTAATGGATACTGAAACCTAAATCATTCTAATAATAAAGTAATATTTATCCATACATAATACATTGACTTTGAAACAAAAAACCTGACCACTTTGTCAAAAACATATTTTCAGTAACATTTTAGCTTTTATGTCTGTGGCAGTGACGGAAAAGTGCTGCTTGAATCTCTTTTCATGGAGGAACTTGCTGTTGAGCATCACAACTTGCAGCTATTGGTCAGCCTGCAGCTGCCAGTGCTTTCAGGAGCAGATGCTTTATGGTCAGCAAAAACCATGCTTATCCTAGGCAGCCCTCAGCCACTGACTGAGAAAGATGGTTACTGGGGCTTGGCCTTTGCTGCTTAGTGCAGACTTTCTCTCATGGGAAATTTTTGCTCTTTATTCCCATTGGTTTGGCAAGACTTTGTCAGATATACACTGTGGTATGAGGCTCTCCCACCCAATGCTTCTTCTTCTCCTTTTTATTTTTCACAGGTGTTAGCTATTTACCCCATCCCCACTTCACCCCCAAGAAACCTCTTGTGATTTTATCCCAGTCATGGTGTCTCCTTCCAGAATGCTCTGATACACTGTTTGATAGTTATGTAATATAGTATATATTAGTGTATATATATACTAATATATACATATATTAGTATACATACATATATACATATACTAATATATACATATATATACTAATATATACATATACATATAGTATATGATAAATATATAATTTATTGTCACATTTAACAATTGAATAGGAATACTTTCAAAGTTCTTTTATTCCAGGAGAATGTCTATACTCTTGAGTTATAGCACAGTAAGATTTTTTTAAAACATTTCTATTTGTGTACTTAGTTTTCTTATAGAGAAGTATAAGAGCGTGAGAAACAAAATATTTTCAAGCCTAAGCATATCTCCATAGGTTAAACTTTTGGAGTTCCTTTTCAAGGAGAAATGAAAATGATGTTAACATTTCTGATAGAGAAAATATTGTTTATACTATACATTTTTAAGTGGTGAATGAAGGGTTTGGAATAGCTGTATTATTTAGATTCCATTGAATGTATTTTTAAAGTAATGAAAAACTTTATACATGTCCATCTTATGCCAAAAATTTTTCTTTGCCATGTTTAAACTTCTAATGGAAAATTTTCAAGGTATGTTAAACTTTAAAAAGTTTAAGAGGAATCAACAGTGTTTCTTGAAATTCATTTGTAGGGGAAATCCAAGCAACATCATAAATGTTTTGCCTTGGATAATTATTGGTTTTCAAATTTCCAGCTCCTGCTCTTGTTTTCATTAGCTGATAAATGTAATTCCATCTTCACTGAGAAAAAATAAGCAAACAGAAAATTGTTCCCAGCTCCTTCCATTGCATTTGGTGCCCATGCATTGGCTTTCCCTCCTGTGATCATGCATGCTGTGTACTTGCTCTTATCTGAGCCCAACCCCTCCACTTGTGCACTAGATATCACTTTTTAATATCTTCAGAAATTTCCTTCAGCCATCCTACTCTTTTTCTCTGTGTTAAAAACAAACCCCAAAACTTCTTGATCCAACAAGCCACTACAGCTACCATCTCATTTCTCTGCTCCTTTTAATATTCTAATGAGCTTTCAACACCAGACTTCACCAAGGCTGCAGTAGTCAGTGTCTCTAATAAGCTGCTAATTTCAAAGGTTGGTTCTCAACCCTCAGTACTTGATTTATCAGTGCATTTAACACAGTTGATCATTCCCCTCTTTTTGAAACACCCTCTTCTCTTCCCTTCAGCTCAATAGACTCTACTGGGCTGGTCGCTCCTTCTCTGTTGCATTGGTTTTTGTCTTCTGATTTTCTGAACTTTAAAAGCTTGAGTGACCCAGGGATCACTCTTGATCCTCTCCTCTTTGCTACCTTCAAGCACTAGCTCAGAGAGCTCTCCATTCAACCTCATGGATTAAAATAAACAGATGACTCTCAATTTAAATCTTCAGCCTAGAATTCAGCTCTGACTACAGATTTATATATTTAAATTCCTACCTACCATCTCCACTTGACAGTCTGAGAAGCATTGCATAGACAAAGATCAGAAAAAACCTTAGATTAGCTCCTGGGCTAATATCCCACTTTAAATGTGTCTGCTACTTAAGTTTTCTCTATTTTCAAAATATATCCAGAATTTCACGACTTCTATAAACTATGATGTGGGTTCAAAAAAGTGTCATCTCTTGTTAGGATTTTACTGCAGTGGTTTCTGCCTTGGTTCTCTAACAGCCTGTTGCTAACACAGCATGTAAAGTTAGTTTATTAGAACAGAAGTCAAGTCATGGGTCTACTCTGCTCAAAATCCCTCCATGTCTCCTTGTAGTGAGCTGAGATCGCGCTACTGCACTCCAGCCTGGGCGACAGAGCGAGACTCCGTCTCAAAAAAAAAAAAAAAAAAAAAAAAAAAAAAAAAAAAGAAAAGAAAAAGAAAAATCCTTCCATGTCTCCTGATCTGGCTCAGATTAAAGGCCAAAGTCTCTCTAAGCATAAACTCTGCCTTCCCCCGGCAAACTATTCATCTCTCGGACACCCCTAATCCCATCTTTCTTGCTCAGTCAGCTCCAGCCACATTGGTCTTCTTGCTATTCTGTATTCATATCAGGCTTCCATTCAAGAGCTTTGCGATTGCTATTTCCTGCCTGGAATAGTCTCTCTTTAGATGTGTGGAAGACTCACATCCTCTCTTTATTCACATCATAAATGCCACTTTCACAAGGAGGAATTTTTTGGTCACCATATTTAAAATTGCAGCCACCCACCACCACGCTCATGATACCCTTACCTTCTACCTTGCTCTATTTTTCATCGTGACAGTAATCTTGACTGATACATTATATATTTTATTTATATAATTGTTTATACCTGCCCTTAGAATGGAATATTCACGGGATCAGCTATATTTGTCTCCTTTTACACAATACTGCAAGAGTATCTGTCCTGTAGAATGTGCCATTTAAATATCTTTTCAATGAATAAATAAATGGAAATCACATGAGCAGACCCAGAAATGACAACTCATTCTTTACTTCCTTGTGAAAACTTCACTTACAGAAATTCCTTTAAATGAATCAGATTGTGTCTTGGGTGACCAGAAATTAACTGTGAAGGAGTTTTGTTGGTTTAAAGTGATGTCTTTATTTCTTCAAGTAAATGCATAAAATAATTATACATATACATATACATATATATAAATGTAGTTGGTTGGCCTTTTGGAGTTAAAAAAATTTAAAAAATTCAATTAGATTCAAATGTAAACAATAGAATATTAAACTCATACCTGGTTTTCAGGCTTTTTTCTTTTTGCAGTTTTAATTTTTACATGTATATCTTGGTTGTGTGTATTTATGGGGTATATGTGATATTTTGATACAGGCATACAATGCATAATAATCATATCAAGGTGAACTGAATTTCCATCACCTCAAGCATTTATCATTTCTTTGTGTTACAAACATCCCAAATATATTCTTCTAGTTATTTTAAAATGTACAATAAATTATTATTGACTGTAGGCTATTTTCTTTATGCAACTAAATCTATTCTAAGATTGTGTAGGCAGGAGTTTCCTTACAGAATTATCTTAGTGTTTACTATGTAAATGTTAATTTTCATTGTCTGTCTGGTGCTAGTTTAAGTAGTTTTAAGACAATGAAAGATGAAATCAGGGAGATAAAGTGTCACTGACCTCCTGCTCACTCAAAATGCAATCTAATTTCCTTTTCAGCAGTCTCTGGTGGAGGAAGGGACTGCAGCAATGTCTGTGAATTTCCAGTGTAATGATTTGTATGTGATCATGAAAAGACAGCCTTTTCCTTTGAAATAATTTAGCTACCTCTGACGTTAAAATGTGGGATATTGAAACACTGGGCACCAAAAAAAGTTACTTAATAGGTTTCAAGAAATGTTGCAAGGACCCTTTACTATAACTGGTGATAGGCTTGAATTTCTCCTGTTCTACCAACTAATCCATTCTTCATTAAAGTTTAAAGAGCCTGTTTGGCAGTTGAAGTGCTATTGATTTTGAAACCATGGCACATGCAGAAATTGTCTCACTTGTGTTGTTTCCTGTATTTGCTTTAAAAAGTTGGGATACAGAAAGTAAAGCACTTTAATTTAAGGAGTAGATATAGCTGAGTCAACATTTATCCAGGGTACTTTGCTCTAAGCCCAGGATGACAGAAAGAAAACACAAAATTCTAATCATTAAGCTCTCGAGTACATTCCAATGAACAGTGACTAACTTTTAACACCGCAGGGTGAAATTTCAGGA
Organism: Homo sapiens; assembly: GCF_000001405.40. Taxonomy (NCBI): domain Eukaryota; kingdom Metazoa; phylum Chordata; class Mammalia; order Primates; family Hominidae; genus Homo; species Homo sapiens. The sequence continues at coordinate 84,751,017 of NC_000014.9, forward strand.
CTTTTAAAGTACAAAAAAAGAATCAGCTTCTTGAGTAAGGAATGCAATGTTTTGAAAGTGAATCCTGAGTCAATTTTCCCACCACCATATGAAAGACGTATGTGTGGAAAGGGTGGAAAGGCACGAACCCATTCCCTAACTCGAACGTGAAGAAGAATGATCTTTGATTTCACTCTATTCTAGCTCTATCCTGAGTTAGTCTTTCTGGTTCTCTGAGTACAACTTTTCCAGAGAGAGAAAGAAAACTATAAAGCAGATCCTTTAGAATCATTCTATATCCCAGAAGTGAATCGTGCTCAGCCAGTATATTGTGCTTGTAAGGTGAGTGGAGAGGGAGCAGTTTCTCTAACAGCTGGGGAAAGGGGATCATCTCTAAAGCTGAAGGGGAAGAACTGCTCCGTAAACCTCACCATTCCGCATTCCCAACTAATGGGCAAAGAATTAGGTAAGCTTTATTTTAAACAGCACCTGGAAATCTTTCTCCCTTCAGTAAAGTTCAGAACGTATTAAGAATTTGTCATTTTCCATAGACATTTAAGTTCTTCACTTTGAATCTAAAAAGAGAAAGGAAACCAATGATATTTCTTATAAACAAAATGTATTAATTAATCCATGTTATAGGACAGTTCAGAACTGACACTAAAGGTTAATTCTGCTTGCTTTCTATTCCAGAGTTAAAGTTTAAATATCACTTGAATAAAACCACTTATGTCAATGAAGCTTACAGGTAATCAAAATCTAAAGTCATGCTGTAAAGCTGCAGTCTTCAGTGTGGTAGCTACTAGCTATGTGTGGCTGTTTACATTGAATTTAGTTAAAATAAAATAAAAATAAAAATTTTGTTTTTCACTTGAACTAGCCACATCTCAAGTACTCCATAGCCACGTGTTAGCTAAGTGGCTATCACACTGGATAGCACATGTACAAAATATTTCCGTTGTCATCAAATGTTCTTTTGAAAAGCACTGTTCAAATACACATACACACACACGTACACACACCATATGTGTGTCTGTAAAATTGCCAAATAATACAATTATTGGCCAAATAATACAATCATACAATTGGGAATACTAAAAAATGAATGAGAAAGAGTTTGTTTCATATAAAAAGGCAATTTAAAGAATTCATATATGTCTTTAAGACCTCCAGCTAAGACAACTAAAAAATCTTCAAGCATTGTCTAGATGTCAATATGTAGTTCATCAGGTTTATAATAGTTTTGTAAAGTGTTAAGTTTATAAAGGAAAAAACCAGTTATTTCTACTAGATGAAACAAAAAAGATAAGTTATACTTAAGGACTATTATTGAAGTATGTCTTAGCTTTTTTTCTGTTTCAAAGTAAACAGACTTAATATTATGAACTAAATTCAGAAAACCACTTTCTTGTTGTTATTTTTGTCATAAAATCCATAAGTAGATATGATATTTCAATCAATATTTTAATTAGGAAGGAATACCTGACCTATCCTGGCAACTTTTCAAAAGCAGCATGCTAAGTCTTAAATTATTCATCCTAATTTAATATTTGCACAGCAATCACATATTTTCACATTTAGGTGGCTTGTCTTTGAATATATAGGTCTGTGTGGAGGCCACTTTTAAAGTTTGTAAGTGGCTGTAGTTAGAATTAAATTAAAATATGGATTTGATCAGTTGAACAATATTCTTTCCCATTACTTTATTGTAGAAGTTACTCTGGGATAATAGACGAGTTTTAATAGGAGTCATATGTCTTTTCTTCCTTCTCTTTGTCAATCTGGGTCTTATGAAGTAAATGAATGGAACACAAGCAGTAGAATTGAGTGTAAGAATGAAGAGACACAACATTGAAGGCTAAATAAGACACGAGTCATCCTTCTTATCAGATAAATATATCAAATAAATAAATAAATATATCAGGTAAATAAATAAAATAGATAAATAAACCCCTTATGCATATCATATAATACCATCCAAACAGAGGCCTGGGAGACAGAGGATTAAGAGCTTATTAGCTTATCCAAAATATGGACACTGAAGCCTGGTCTTATCCAAGCTAATCATCTGATACATTATCATTGACCTCGTTCCCTTTAGAGCAGGCAGGCAATGACGCAGTTTCCGGTCTGGATCCAAAACTTCTGCATATAGGAATCTCTCTACATATTGACACACCTTTGACACTGGCCTCTGACTTTTTCTGTTATATATTTGGTAAGAAGTAGTATTACTTCTTTTCTACTTGCAGTGTCAATGCTTTGACTTTGAGATGGACTAAACAGGAGTTATTCTGAATGCAACAATAACACCTATTTTCCAATTAAAGATTTAAAAGATCTGATATGGTTTGGCTGTGTCCCTACTCAAATCTCATCTTGAATTTCCATGTGTTGTGGGAGGGGCCTGGTGAGAGGTAATTGAATCATGGGGGCAGTTCTTTCCCATGCTTTTCTTGTGATAGTAAGTCTCACAAGATCTGATGGCTATTATAAGGGGGAGTTTTCCTGCTCAAGCTCTTTGTCTGCCACCATCCACTTAAAATGGAAGTTGCTCCTCCTTGCCTTCCACCATGATTGTGAGGCTTCCCCAGCCACATGGAACTGTGAGTTCTCCATTAAACCTTTTTTCTTTGTAAATTGCCTGGTCTTGGATATGTCTTTATCAGCAGCATGAAAACAAACTAATACAGTAAATTGGTACCAGTAGAGTGGGGCGCTGCTGAGAAGATACCCAAAAATGTGAAATTGACTTTGGAACTGGGTAACAAGCCGGGGTTGGAATGGTTTGGAAGACTCAGAAGAAGTCAGGAAAATGTGAGAAAGTTTGAAACTTCCTAGAGACTTGTTGAATGGCTTTGACCAAAATCTTGATAGTGATATGGACAATAAGTTCCAGGCTGAGGTGGTCTCAGATAGAGATGAGGAACTTGTTGGAAACTGGAGCAAAGGTGGCTCTTTTTATGTTTTAGCAAAGAAACTGATAACACTTTCCCCTGCCCTAGAGATCTGTGGAACTTTGAACTTGAGAGAGGTAATTTAGAGTATCTGGTAGAAGAAGTTTCTAAGCAGCAAAGCATTCAAGAGGTGACTTGGGTGCTGTTAAAGGCATAAGTTTTATAAGGAAACATAGCATAAAAGTGTAGAAAATTTGCAGCCTGACAATATGATAGAAAAGAAAAACCCATTTTCTGAGGAGAAATTGAAGCCAGCTGCATAAATTTGCATAAGTGACAAGGAGCCAAATGTTAATCCCCAAGACAATGGGGAAAATATTTCCAGGGCATGTCAGAGGTCTTCACGGCAGCCCCTCCCATCACAGGCCTGGAGGCCTAGGAGAAAATGATTTCATGAGCCAGGCCCAGGGTCCTTGTGGTGTGTGCAGTCTAAGGACTTAGTGCCCTGTGTCCCAGCCACTCCAGCCATAACTAAAAGGGGCCAAGGTACAGCTTGGGCTATTGATTCAGAGGGTGGAAGCCCCAAGCTTTGGCAATTTCCATGTGATATTGAGCCTGTGTGTGCACAGAAGTCAAGAGTTGAAGTTTGGGGACCTCCAGTTAGATTTCAGAAGATGTATGGAAACATTGGGATGCCCAGGCAAAAGTTTGCTGCAGAGGTGAGGCCTTCATGGAGAACTTCTGCTAGGGCAGTGCAGAAGGGAAATGTGGAATCAGAGCCCCCACACAGAGTCCCTACTGGGCCACCACCTAGAGGAGCCACTGTCCTCTAGACCCCAGAATGGTAGATCCACTGACAGCTGGCACCATGCACCTGGAAAAGCAGCAGACACTCAATGCCAGCCCATGAAAGCAGCCAGGAGGGAGATTATAACCTGCAAAGCCACAGGAGCAGAGCTGCCCAAGACCATGGGAACCCACCTCCTGCATCATCATAACCTGGATATGAGGCATGGAGTCAAAGGAGATCATTTTGGATCTTTAAGATTTGACAGCCCCACTGGATTTCAGACTTGCATTGGGCCTGTAGCCTTTTTGTTTTGGCCAATGTCTCCCATTTGGAATGGGTGTATTTACCTAATACCTGCACTTCTATTGAATCTAGGAAGTAACTAACTTGCTTTTGATTTTACAGGCTCATAGGTAGAAGGGTCTTGTCTTGTCTCAGATGAGACTTTGGACTGTGGACTTTTGAGTTAATGCTGAAATGAGTTAAGACTTTGGGGGACTGTTGGGAAGGCATGATTGGTTTTGAAATGTGAGGACATGAGATTTCGGAGGGGCCAGGGATGGAATGATATTGTTTGGATGTGTCCCCACCCAAATTTCATCTTGAATTCCCACATGTTGTGGGAGAGACCCAGTGGTAGGTAATTGAATCATGAGGGCAGGTCTTTCCTGTCCTTTTCTTGTGATAGTAAGTCTCATGAGATCTGATGGTCATTATAAGGGGGAGTTTTCCTGCACAAGGTCTCTTTGCCTGCTGCCATCCACATGAGATTTAACTTGCTTCTCCTTGTCTTCTGCCATGATTGTGAGGCTTCCCCAGCCATGTGGAACTGTGAGTTCTACATTAAACCTCTTTCCTTTGTAAATTGCCCAGTCTTGGGTGTGTCTTTATCAGCAGTGTGAAAACAGACTAATACAAGTTCCATATCCACCCTGAGTAAAGGCAGTTGGCTTATACTTGGAATTAATGTATGCTAACATTTTTTTTTCTGGGGAAGACCTGGGAAGATGAGTGTCATATGACAGAGCAAGAGTTTGAAAAGATTTATTTGCTAAAATATAGTTTTCACCTAGTTCCTCAGTAGAAAAATGAAACAATGATAAAGAAGTTAAAGAAAAGTAACAACTAAAAAATGCTGACCCTATGAAGCAAATGTCAGGAAATAAAGCATCAACTCTTTCCTTTATCTATCATCCTGCTTAAACTTGACATAGCTTCTAGTCCAGTAACTCATGATTCAGACTGCACTCTCTCTTTTAGATACCACTTCCTCAAATGTCAGATGACCTTTTAGGCAATTTTGTTTAAAAAGTGTTTCTACAACTACTTTATTCCTCTTATTTGGGCTTAGACTGCCAAGTATGCTTTCTAAACCTATTTCACATGCCATTGATTTTATTGAAAACATAGGCAAAGACCAATAACTAACTTTGTTTTATTTATATATATATATATTCAAACCCAAATAACTCCATATGGGAATGGGATATATAAATAGGTAAAAAGGGAAAAAAGTAACTGATCCTATTACAATAGGTCATAAAGGAACACAAAATCAAGCACCATAGGGTCTGGAAGTTAGTTGCTTGACAGAGAAAGCATGAGATGTCCTTAGAAGGAATTTAAAACCATGAACTTAGGACACTGGTGGGGGCTAAGGAGGAAGATTGCCTATGAATAAGAACTGTGAAGTGATCTGTATGCTCCAAGTTTATTATGCTTTGCTATAAGTTAGCAATCAGTTGCTATTCAAGACTGGAATCCACCTGAGTATTGAGGGAAGAATTGAGATTGCTGCTTTGTGTGCATGCAGGTTTTTTCATTTTGACAATGAGTTAAAGGTGTTGCCTTGATTTTCAATGTGAAGTAGAGTTCAAATTACCAAATGCTGAATTGAGAGATGAGAGTAACAATTCTTTTTTCTTTCCTGCATTGATCACTAAATAGCCTTACATTATTTTATGTGTTAACCAGGAAAATTAATATATATACTTTTAGTGATATCTTGTAATTTTTTAACTTACATCCTCTATATAAGTTTTCTGACTTTGGTCCTCGAGATATTGGTACACAATACAAACTCACAAGTATAGTGTTCATTCATGACTCCTAGAGAATGCTTTGATCCTGGTCATTGAAAACACACTTTCCTCTGAATATGTATGATATTGAGTACTGCACTGACTTACTTTAAGGATAAATTTTCATTGTTTATTTCAGAAACAAAAACAGTTTGGTGGTTGGAGGACTGATATCTGTATAGCACATTGTTATTATACATCAGAATTTTACAGGACATATATTTGTTCAGGATTTGAAAGGATAGCTAATACATTTTTTCCTATTCTAGTATACAATAGAAAGACCTGAAGTCATTTGCCTGGAGTAGAGGTATTACATAAATGTTAGATCATGTTAATAACTTTATAGTCCACATGACTGCCACATGCTTGGGCATATAGACTGTTTAAAAACTAGACAGCTGATCAGCCTAAAAAAATTATTAAAGTGAATTTTATTATATATGGACACTCAATTCCCTAGCAAATTTATTTTATATTGACCAAGGTAACAATTGCATTAATAAATTATATAAATAAAGATGTGTAGACATTGGGAACATACAAAAAAGGAGAAAAAATGTGTACACTTTGATCTACTTTTCCAAGGTCACCATTGTTACCTGCATGATCTATTTTCTAGAGATTTGAGTTAAGTATTCTCTCACCGAGACTGCCTTGGTTCAAACAACTATCATCTTAAGCTTGGGACACCAACACAGCTATTATTTGTTCTCCCTTCCTCTGGGATTTTGCCACTCTAAACCAGCCTACAAGAATACAGAAGGGTATTCTTAAAATGCTATTAGTAACTACTCACTCAGCGTTGGTCTGAATAATGAAGAATGACAGGTTTAGGCAAGGAAGCTACAAAAAAGAAAGGGTGGAGGTGTCTTCGATGGTATTTTATTTTCAACAAAGATCACAGGAAGATGTTTACAGTACAGCAACCTCTGATTTGGACAGATGGTTTCCTGAGATTTGGTACAAAATGAATTTGGTTATTGGCCAAAGCATGGAACTAAGTAGACCAAGGTGTGGGTTATGTCTGGACCAGTTGGCTTCATTTAGCAATAGCAAATGCCTACATGTCATGCTTATAAACTTTACCCTGACATCTAGAGAAACATCTTTCAAACACCTGCTGCTATTCCAAAGGAGGCAAGAGATTAAAAAAACGGATATTGATCAAAGATGCAAATCTCACTTCACTGTTGGAACGTCACTTTGAGGATATATGCCACCATCCATCAGCGGGCAACATCAAATCTGGATCTCAGTCTTCATGCATTGGCTCTGAAAGAGAATGGAAATAAGCAAGTCCTATTAATTACTGTGGATAGTAAATGATTAAAAATTCCTACATAAATAGATGGAGTTAGCAACAAAAGATTGTGTCCCCTACATCTTCACTGCCGAAGTCATCTCACCTCTCTACTTTAAATTCCCCAGTGCCTCTTCTTTTTCTACAAGGTAAATACCAAGAATAATATATAATGCCCTTTACAGCCTATTGATCTGTCTCTCAGGCTTCATCTTCTACCATTCACATTTAATTCTAAACTGATTGTAGTTCTTTGCATACATGGCACTATAACCTATCTTTATGCCTTTGCTCATGTTTTCTCTTATTCAGCTCCTTTTCAAAAATCAGTTTAGTTGTCTCTACCTCCCAGAAGTCACTTGGTCCTCCTCATACAGTGGATTCTGATGGTGTCCTACCCAGATCCCCTTCACTGCCAGTGTACCATTACCCATCATCTGCTGGGAATGTTGGCCAATAATAGCTCAATTACAGTCTTGTTTAGAGATGTTCTTCAGCCAAATGAGAGCCAGCTTTACCTACAGCAGATTACAGCAAAGTACAACTAGCTTGTAGCTCACATTCAGTCCACTACTAGTTTTTATGAATAAAGTTTCATGGAAACACAGCTATGCCCATTTGTTTACATGTTGTCTTTCACACTGCAATGGCAGAGCAGTTGCAACAGACACGGAGTGAACTGAAAAGCCAAAAGCATTTACTAATTAGACTTCTACTGAAAGATTGTGCAGATCCCTAGAGGGAACAAAATGTGAGACTGATTTTGTGGCGTTATTTGTACTCCAGCATCGATAATTTTCTCATACTATCATAATAAAACTGATCTCCTGCCAAGACCACATCATTGTTTCACTTTTTCCTGTGTCCTATTCTGTTTCCCTCATTCCTCTTTCCTGAGGGCATTCCTCTAATGAATAATTTAAATAAGATTCACCAGCTCAGACTCTACTCCTAGAAAACCTGACCTAAGATGTTTGATATTTGGGATGGTCCTAGGTAGCAGATATTATATATGGGATTATGGAGTTGATTTCTCACTTGATGGATGGGAATTATGACCCCATCCCTGATAAAGCATGGAGTTTTGATAGTCTAATGCTAAAGCTAAATATTATTAAAGCTGTGTAATTGATAGGATTTTTCACATGTGGTGGGCTGTGATGGGGACAGATGAAAGGAGCAGCACTAGCTAGTACAATATTTTGGGTATAATGAGAGGTGCTTTCATCTCTATTTCTATTTCTATTTAGAAACAGAAAGCATAATGATTATGGGATTGGGTGGCTAGAGCTAAACACCATTGATTCCATGAAAAAAAAAATTAGCAGGCTTGGATATAACAATCAATAAGGAAAAGCACAGTGTGAGAGTTGGAGAGACTCCTTAGAAGCACTTATAAAGGATCTCTCTCCAACAGGTGGTGGAGAGACACAGACGAAAATCAGACAGCTAAAGGATGGGTACAGCTGAACATCAGAAGTACTAAATCATGAGCTTAGGGAAGACTCATATGGCAAAGTTATGATGCTGATAGAGAAGGAAAGGGCCCTAAGACTAGAGATGTAGATACTGGAAAAGGGAAAATTTCCACATTCAAGAACCTTGCTGCTCCAGTTTGCTCCAAATCTCCTGGACTGCAGAAGTGGCTCACCCACCCTATTGGAAGAAAGAATCCTCCCCTTTTCTTGGTGATTATGCAAAGGCCTCAAAGGGACCAACGCATTACAGGACAATGCTGGTACTACTAAGAATCTGTCACCATCTCACATCCTGGGTAATATTCCCATAATCAGAGTGATAACACAACAAACTCAACTGGGGAGTAGCTAGGCCTGTTATATGAAGGTAATTATTTGCCAAAGGAGCTATAGGACTGGCCGGCATGTATGCAAAGGAACCCTGAGGATAACCTTATGAGTGGATCCTAAGGGTGCTGGTTCAAAAGAAGTAGAGAGAGCAAGGGGAATTCATTGATATATGGACACTCAATTCCCTGGCAAGGATTTTGTGTGGTGTCTAATATGTTGTTGGGATAGCTTAAATGGCTTAGCTGGTTGGTCAGTGACCTGGCTGGAAGAGCAAGATTGGAGATCTAGGAGAGAGGCATGTGGAAGAATCTATGGGAGTGGGCACAAAGAATGAGCCTTGTTATACTAAATACTAATGCCCACCAGTGAACAACCACCCCAGAAGTGGTACCAAATTAAGTGGACAGAATGACTCAGTGAGAAAATGTGAGCCAGTTCTTGTCCTCACCGAACTAATGCTTTCACAATGAACTTTTGAAAAGTAGCCATGGCAGCAGAGATTGAGACTTAATCATGGGTTCAACAATATAGGGAACATTTCACCAAGCCTCAGATTCTAGAAAGGCAAAAAGTTCAGAATGTCATTCCCTCTTCTAGTTTATACTCAGATCTTCATCTTCCACAAAAATAGCCGAATTTAATACAGATGTTTTAATTGTGTTTGTTTAAAGATACAAGGAATGCATAGTCTAACCCTCTCTAAATATAACTCTGGTACAGTCCTTGACGCATTTGTGAAAAATGATTCTCAGCTTAACCTTCAACATTTTACTAATTCCTGCAACCTTACCCTGAGGTCACATCATAAAATTAAATCTCAGGTTACGTGTTCTTTTAAGCTTTATTTCTTTGATAATGTGGCATTTCATAAGGATACTAAGAATTTCCCTGTAATGAATTACATTTGTGTTGAAAGCGTCTGCAATATTTCTGTCAATAGACAATAAATTTAAGAAGATGGTGCTAGCCTTGAATATTTACACAGAATAAAACATAAGAAGGGAATGGAGAGATTCTGTTTTTATTAATCATCATTGTTCTGTACAAGTGTCAACTCTCCTCCCATCTCTATCCCATGTGGACTTTATCACAGTCCTCTGCCTTTCATCAAATGATCCTACACATTGGTCCTTATGCCCTAAAATGAGTCAGCCAAGGTCACGTCCAAATTGTAATGGGGGCACAGGGACAGAAGGAAGCCTGCTCTGTATCTACCTCCCTTCAACTGAAGGTTGAAAGGATATTTTCTTCAAAGCAATAATTGCAAAGACTCTAAAGATCTGGGTATAATATGTTTTCCTCATTATTTAATTATAAAATAAATAGAAGAAATCCACGGTCTTCTGATATAATTTAAGGCAATGTTGCTTTGTGAGATACAGAACAAAAATAAGGAGCTCACATACCTGCTTTTAAAATATAAAGCATTTTAAGAATTGCATATTCTAAACCTAGATACAATGGGAAATATCAGAAGAAAACTGCTATGCTAAAAACCGAGTTCTGAATCATCATGTGAGGTATACATTACCTTTTTAACTTTTTGTCTCTTTTTTGATAATCATTGGTTTGGGACTTTGTAAAATGTGTAAATGTAATAAAATATTTCAATGAATTTCTCTGTCATTACCAACTGTGATAATTCAGTAAAATTAACCCATTTCCAAATATGGATGAAGCAAGGATTTTGAAATTAGAATTTATTTTGAATCCAGACTTAACAAATTAATACTTTCTAACTAAACTCCCTCTCAGCCTCAGTTTCCTCATCTGTAAAATGGGGCATTCTACCTCAAAAAGTAGTAACTATGAAATTGGATGATATATATGAAAGTGCCTAATATGAAAATGGTAGGATATCACTTGATCTTTATTTTTACTTCTCTTATTCTTCTCTTCCTTAAGAGAAAAAAAAAACTAAAATAATTCTCAGATTATCAGTGAATTAATATGTATGAGTTTTGCAATATTTGTATAGTTTTCTGAAAATCCAGTTTGGATTATTTTTGTTTCTACAACATAGTCACTCTGACTTAGATATATGAAATATATTTTATGTGATACTGAAGTTCAGTTTTGGAAATGAACTCTCTCTCCCTCAGTCTATCTGTCTGTATGTCTGTCTCTGTTTCTCTTTCTATATATATAAGTATGTGTATATATATACATATACGTATATACATATGTATACATACATATATGTACATATACACATACATATATACATATACATATGTATACATATATACATATACATATATACATACATACATACATATATACGTGTGTGTGTATAACACACATATATATAGCAATAGTTTCTGAGGATTTTGCTTTTTGAGGTAGCTATAATAGAACAATAGAAATGATCTTGGTCTTCTATCAAGGCCTGGGTTTGATTAATAATCTGCATAAATTACTTAGCTTCAAATTCCTTATCCTGGAAATGCATACAATACAGTTAGCATTTAGTCAAAATAAGTTAATTATAAAAAGTGTTAAGAAAAATTATAGAGTACTAGGCATCATTGAAATAAAATCTAGCTACCTAAGTATAAATTAATTTCCCCAGATATTTTAGTCCAAAGTAGTTATTAAACTGTATACTTTTGAAACCTCTTAATATTTTGCTGTTATTTCTTAGTTGCTTCTTTCAGTCTCCTAAGAATACCTGAGCAGGAATGTGAAGGAAGAAAATAATTGTCATTGCTTTTTACTTTTGAGTTCAAGAATCAGTAAGATAGATTTAAAAATAAATTTATTACAAAACAATTCAGAATACAGCTGCTCTAACTCTGATTATTGGGCTAAACACATATCTCAATAAATAATAAAACATATAAAAACAGTAGAGAAAACTACTATGCTAGTATTCTAGAAAATATTGAAAATATTGAATTAAATTAACTCAAATTAAAATTTTCACTTATGTGTACCCATCTAGCCAATAATTTTCTTTTCTTTTCTCTTTTTTTTTTTTTAGACAGGGTCTCACTTTGTCACCCAGGCTAGAGTACAGTGACACAATCACAGCTCACTGTGGCCTCAACCTCCCAGGCTTAGATGATCCTCCCACTTCAGCCTCCTGAGCAGCTGAAACCACAAGCGCGTGCCTGGCTGATATTTTGTATTTTTTGTAGATACAGGGTTTTGCCATATTGACCCAACTGTTCTCAAATTTCTGGGCTTAAGCAATCCTCCTACCACAGCCTCTCAAAATGCTGGGAGTGTGGGTAAGCTACCACCCCCAGCATATCCAACAATTTAGAGAAAGTATCTGAATTACAGTTTGAGTTGTTTTATTTCATTTTTACCTAAGAATTCTAACTGATGGAACATCAACTATTTTTATATTATTAGTAATCTTAAATAGATACCCACTATCCAGATGTATTATGCAGCTGTTATTAAACTCAGTCAGCCTCTCCTTCTTGGTATATGGACCCAAGAACCAAAAGGTGCACTTCTGTAGGATTCTGGGAAACTTCTTTTCTTCTTCCCAGAGGGAGTTGATGAGGCCAAAATTTTTTGATGTATAACCATATGACTTTTATTTTCATTTTGAAGTGCACACCAGACCTGATTTCAAATTATCTTGGGTTGCACTCATTATACACTAGAATCAAAACAGAAAAGAACTAAAGTATATACTTTCTTATAAGACATTGGAGAGTCAAAATGGTGGTTAACAGGTTGGGTCATTGGTTAGAAAACATATTTACAAACTCTTCTCATATTTTTTATTTTTAAATTGAAGGTTGAGATAAATTGAACTCAGATCCAATTACATTGCTGAATGTGATAGAAAACATAGCTACATTATCAGACACTACACTAAATTTCCCGAATAATCCCTAATGTAAATACTGAGCACAATGTAACAGGTTTCTTCAAAGCCATCCCTATCTAAGAAGTAAGGAGGTAACCCTAGAGCTGGAAATGAGCTCTGCCTGATAAATATATGACCTTTTGTTCAACAAAATCTTGGGGTATTGGTGGCAGCATGTATCTTATAGCTTTAGAAACATTCCCAGGTCATTATCACACTTTTATGACTAAGAAACACAATTTTAAATGATTCTGTATAGATTCCATCCAGAGTAGAGGCTTATTAGAAATAAGTGAACTATGTGCAGCTAGCAGACCTAGACACAGAGAAAGCATAAGTAAAGGCATAGCTTAGAGAAAGTAACACAACTTGGAGAATGTCATATTTCAAAATTCATCCTTAGACTTTTCCTGTTCAGGAAGTGGTAGGGAAAACAACAGTGATGCTGCTCTCAAGTGTTATCATTCTCACCTTCTCATTCTGGCAGAAGAAAGCCCACAATGGTCTATACCTTGCTCAGCCTCTTGGGATCATCCCATCTCTCAAATTCTCTTCCTACTTTAGTAGTTCTCAAATTTGACTGAATGCCGATGTAGCCAGGGGATATTTTAAAAACACGGATACAGGTTTTACCCCAGAAATTAAATTGTGTGGGGTGCTGATTTGTAAACAGTAATTCTGTCAAGTAATGTCAGCAAGAATGGCAGAGAAAAGAAGAAGCCTAGACATTGGACTTACTAGACAAATACTTTAAATCAACTATTTTAAAAATATATTAAAAGAGCTAAAGTAAACCATGTGTAAAGGGAAAGTATGAGAATGGTATCTCACCAAATGGTAATTACCTATAAAATAATAGAAATAATAAAAACCAAATTGAAATTATGGAACTAAAAAGTAAAATATAATAACTAAAATTAAAAATTCCCTGGATGGGTTTAGTAGCATATTTAAGCTGGCAGAAAACTCGACCTAACTTGGAGTTAGGTCAATTGAGATTATCCAATCTGAAGAACACAATGAAAAGAGAACAAGGACAATGAATAGAGCCTACAAGACCTGTGGGATATCATCAAGTATGCTGCCATATGCATGATGAGAGTCTCAAAAGGAGAGGAGAAAGAGAAACAGGCATGAAAAATATTCTAACAAATAATGGACAAAAATGTCCTAGTTCTTATTAAACACATTAATTTACACATACAGGGGACCCAATGAACTTCAAATAGGATAAACAGAGGTCCACAGTGAACAACAAATCATAATCAAACTGGTTAAAGCCAAAAAAAGGACCTGGAAGGTAGCAAAAGAGAAGTGATAAATCATATACAAGGGATACTCATGAAGACTGTCAACCAATTTGGCATCAGAAATCATTGAGGTCACAGGCAGTGAGATGAAATACTCAAAGTACTAAAAGAAAAAAAAACCTGTGATTCAAGAATTCTATGTGTGACAAAATTGTTCTTCAAAAAAGAAAGAGAGGTTAAGATCATCCACGATAAATAAAAATCAAGATAATGCATCACAAGCAGGCTTGCCTTAAAAGAAATACTAAAAGGAGTCCTTCAAGCTGAAGGACACTAGACAGTAATTCAAATCCACATGAAGAAATAAAGAGCACTGCAAAGGCTGGCCTCCAAAATTTCTGCTGAGAGTCTCAACTTGCTATTTCTCCTTGCATGCTGACTGGTTGAATAAAGATAATTCAGTGCAGGTTTTGATTCATAGGAAATGGCAGAGCCACAAAATTGAAGTAACCTAGATCCCAGGGTTATTATATGGAATGCTGTTCATGGAACTCCTGCACCAAATAGTTAATAAATAAAAGATATGGCTTTCTTGGTTTAAAAAGAAGGAAAGGTATCAAAATGGATCAAAGACCTAAATGTAAAAGCTAAAATTATAAAACTAGTAGAAGAAAACATAGGAAAAAATATTTATTTTGGATTTGGTAATAACTTCTTTTGTTGTTGTTTGAGATGGAGTCTCACTCTGTTGCCCAGGCTGGAGTGCAAAGGCATGATCTCAGCTCACTAGCTCACTGCAACCTCTGTCTCCCAGGTTGCAACAGTTCTTCTGCCTCAGCCTCCCAAGTAGCTGGGATTATGGATACCCACCATCATGCCTGGCTAGTTTTTGTATTTTAATAGAGATGGGGTTTCACCTTGTTGGCCAGGCTGGTTGTGAACTCCTGACCTCATGTGATCCACCTGCCTTGAGTTCCCAAAGTGCTGAGATTACATATGTGAGCTACCATGCCCAGCCTGGTCATAGCTTTTTAATATATATCACCAAATGCACAGGCAACAAAGATAAAAATAGATAAATTGGACTACATCAAAATGAAAACCTCTGTGCATCAAAGGCACAATTATAGCCTTCCTGAGCAAAAAGGAAACCTATGAAATGAGGGAAAATATTTGCAAATCGTATATCTAATGAGGGATTAACATTCAGAATGTATAAATAACTCCTGTAACTCAACAATAAAAACAAAAATAAGACAAAGAAAAAACAACAAAACTTTGATTAAAAAATGGACAAAGAGCTTGAATAGACACTGATTTAATGAACATACACAAATGTCCAACAAGGACACAAAAATAAGCTCAATGTCACTAATAATTAGAAAATACAAATCAAAGCCACAATGAGATACCACCTCGCACCCATTAGGATGGCTACTGTCAAATAAATAAAATAACAAATGTTGGCAAGAAAGCGAAGATGTTGAAATTTTTGTGCATTGTTAATGGTAATATAAAATGGTGTAGCCACTATGAAAAATAGCATCGTGTTTCCTCAGAAAACTGAAAATAGAATTATCATGGGATTTTCCAATTTCACTTTTGGGTATATACTTACAAGAACTGAATGAAGATCTGGAATAGATCTGAAACATGGGTCTGTGTACTCATGTTCACAGCACCAAAATTACTAATAGTCAAAAGGTGTAGGCAACCTAACTGTCCATTGACAGATGCATGAATAAAGAAAATGTGGTAAATACATGCAATGGAAATTTATTCAGCCTTATAAAGGAAAGAAATTCTGATACATGCTACATGGATGAACCTTGAGGGGGATTATGTAAAGTGAAATAAGCTAGTCACAAAAAGACAAATACTATATGATTACCCTTATATGAGATTCCTAGAATAGGTAAACACACACAAAGAAAATATAGACTGGTGGTTTGCAGGAGCTTGAGACAAGAAAAACAAGGAGTCATTTTTGAAACTTTAAGTTCAGGGGTATATGTGCAGGTTTATTACATAGGTAAATTTGTGTCATATGGGTCTGCTGTATATATTATTTTGTCACCCAGGTATTAAGTCTAATACCCATTAGTTATTTTTCCTGATCCTCTCCCTCCTCCAACCCTCCACCCTCAGATAGGCCCCAGTGTGTGGTGTTCCCCTCTATGTGTCCATGTTTTCTCATTGATTAGCTCCCACTTATAAGTGAGGACATGTGGTATTCAGTTTTATGTTCCTGTATTAGTTTGCTAAGGATAATGGCCTCCAGCTCCATCCATGTTCCTGCAAGGGACCATGATCTCATTCTTTTTTATGGCTGCATAGTATTCCATTTCAATACCTACTTATCACTTCCTTTTCACTCCTTGATTCAGGGAATTTGATCAATAAGGCCTTTGTATTTTTGTATTTCACTTTCTGTTACCATTAACAATTCTTTTTTTTTTTTTTTTCGTTTTTGTCATCCTACGCTAGCACCTAATGTTTCTGGAGCTCTCCCTAATAGATTTGGCACACCTCTTAGCCTCTCTCCTCTGAATCATAATTTTACTCTGGACTGCATATTAGAATCATGATTAGAGCTTTAAAGCACCTCGGTCCTTCCCTCAATCATTTGAATCTGAAATGTTAGGGATAGGGCCACACTAATATCATGTTTAAACTCTTATCACGTGACTTACATGCAGCGTGTGGATTGAAAACAACTGTTCTGTCTTTTCTTATTTTTCTTTCCATTTAATTTTACCTTCCTTTGTTCCAGTCCCTCGAGATCTCATTAACAAAAAGGGAAATTAGTATTTTATTAGACCATTCTCAAGAGTTAATAACTGATATTATTAAAATGAAAGTATAAAACATAACCCATTAACATAAAAGCATTTTATCTTTCTGAAAAACAAAAACCTAGACAGAAACATCTGTCTTAGGTAAAATATAATGGCAATTATGGTAATTGCTTGCATCGGAAAAATGCTACATTCATTTGGCTTCTAATAAAATGGAGGGCATTTTTTTTTTTTTTTTGCTTCTCCACACAAATATGGTGAGATGGTTACTTATCCCATCTATAATTGGGCCCACCCTAAGATATATGTTTCAAGTTTGTCAGATTTGTATTACTGTCTTTTAAGTAAAGAAAAGAGTTACTATGCATATGCAACAGCCTTTTCTAAACCACAAATTCAGATTCCTTGGTCAGATAAATATAGGAAAGCCTAACTCCTATAACACTCTCCTGGAAATTACCATTCTTAGCTTGTAAAAAGATCCACAATCTCAACCAAACACAAACTTTTTGGTATATCACTTAGCATTCTCCCAATGTGTTTCACCAGTATAATCTGTTACTAAAGTACATCTGGATACAAGTGCTCAGCAGACTATAATTTGGGAAACATTATTATACAGTGTTGTTTGCTGAATAGTTTCTCCCCTAAATTCATATGCTAAGGCCCTAGCCACCCCCCACCAATATCTCAGAATGTAAGTGTATTTGGAGATAAGATCTTTAAAGGGGTAATTAATGTTAAATGAGATCATTAGGGTGGGACCTTATCCAGTCCCTGTAAATGGTGTCCTTAAACAAAGTCAGACAAGACCATGTAAAGACAAAGGGAAAAGACAGTCATCTACAAGCCAAGAAGAGAGGTCTCAAAATTAAATCAGTCCTGCCAACACCTTGATTTCAGACTTCTAGCTCCTAGGACTGTGAGAAAATATTTTCTGTTAAATCATCCAGTCTAGGGTGTATTTTGGCAGCTCTAGCAAAATAAAGTCCTATATTACACATTTTTAGGCACTTGCTACTTTTAGCAGAAATATGAATATCTATAATTAGAATGCAGTTAGTGATACTTTAATGTCAACAATTAAGGCATTAATATCACTGTATATTCCTGGTGCACTACAGCCTACAAAACATAACATTCATTTATTAACCCCAATAACAAGGTAGCTAGTATTGTCCATTTCATTAATGAGAGAAAAATCTCTTACAAGTTACAAAATTTATACAGAGCTATATGTCCATAGAGTACTGTTGATAGGCCCAGAATTTGGGTCCTCTTATTCTATGTCCAAGGCTAAAACAGAATAAAACCATTATTTTAGAATTGTCTCACAATAAACCATCAATAAAACCTTCCCAAATGGCAAATTAACATCCTACTTGATGTTGGACTGAAGAAGCAGCACAGTAAGAATAGTTAACAGGCTTCCATCTGTGGGAATGTTTTTCTGGAAGCAATGCATCTCTAAAATGTTTTAATGTCTAATTTATAGCTTAGATAAGAAATACTGTGACTTCAGATTGCTTGCTCAATATACAACAGAATTATTTATAATAGATTGATAAGTATTTCGTGGGAAACTAGAAAGTACAGTGCACAGTAAATGTATAAAGCATAAAATGAGGAATATGACAAAATTGAATCTATATAACATGATGCCCTAAAAGAAAACAGAGAATAAATCAATTAGGTATATAAAGAATCACAGAGATTGCATGAGTCTGGAAAAATTTTCTATCCTATAATATTAAATATGGGCTATCACTTTATTTTGCCTAAAATATTGGGGACTTGAACTTATTTAGTTCAGCATGTAATACTTGAAAATATTTAACCAATTAGGATATATTTTAGTTAAACAAAGCAAAATCCAGTAGTTTCATTCTAATAAAAAGAAAGCATATGTACAATGTGGTTTTCATTATAGCATCAATTTGCCATCATGATCAATGCAATTTGTCACTCTGATATGTCCTATGAAAACAACCCCAGAGGTGACCAGTAATGCTGATATCCACATCTGAACTGGGTGGATCAATAAAGGCATCATACAATTTATTAATATCTTGGTACCAAAATAATTAAATGGCTGATACAGTTTTAAGTCATGGTAAGTTACACAAGCCAAATAACCAATATATCATGTGTAAATAAAAGAAATGATGTCCCCTTCTTCCCTATTCCTGTTAGTTTTAAAAGAATGACTTAATAGGATTGTCTTCATTTAATTTCCCATATTTATAAGGATTAAAATTTCTATGGTTTTGAAAAATTGCAGAAGGAAATTAAAAAAAACTATGAAGATTATAAATGGTCCTAAATATACCACCTGTCTTCAGAGTAAAGGTTTTCCTTTAGGTGAATTTAAGTCATACGTTTACTTTTACCATAATAAGTCATCATCATTACCTACTCAGTCATCTGCATTCAAATCATGACAGGATGAGGTGTCAGTGACTACATAAATATAAATATTGTACACATGATCAAAATTGCACCATAGTGACTAACATCATGCCTAAAGGGAAAAGCAAGACTTCCAGAAAAAGATCCATGAAGGGCTTTCAGTCACATTTTAACTAAAAAGCCAAGGTTATTTCTGAAGAGATCAGCCTTAATCATGCTGAAGTATTTGTAATCAGCATTAGACTATTTTTCTGGGCCTGCAATTGAGTATTGAAAAACGCTGGCCTCAAAGCACACTTGCTGTTTTATCATTATAGAACCCAGCAGCTTTGATTTTAATTCAGTGAAATATTGCCAGTTTTCCACCAACTAATCTAAAAACTGGGCTTATAAGAATAGTATTTCCCTTACTCCTGATTGTGTCAACTTAAATGGCAAATATAAAGAAGTACTACATAATTTTAAAAATATCTTGCATATTAAAGCATTGTGTTTTAACTGTTCAAATGTTATAATCAACATGTTCATTACAATTTTATTCACAACAAATGTGGAACAATCTAAACATTGACAGAAGGGTAATAAATAAATATAGAGTGTTTATATACCATATGATAATATTGCATAATCATAATGTGTATGAACTAACTCACTTTAGTAAATTGTAAATATGCTCACAATAAAGTGTGAAAAGAAAAACAGAGGAAACTATAAAATATGGGTTCAATTGTATAAGGCAAAATGCAGTTGGACATACATCCAATATATTTTTAGTGGTGTCTCTTTATAAAGGTTAAAGATAATTTTGTTTTCTTTTGAAATATTTTTACATTTTTCAAATTTTGCTCAAGGGTCATAAATTACTTACATAATCAGAAAATGTGTCTCTTTATTGATAGCTCACTTATGTAATCTTGGGCATGGTCTATTTAAATTCACTGAAGCACCACCAAAATTGAGTAACCATACATTCTTTCATGCTCTGACAAAATTCCAGTTCCTTAGAAAACACCTTGAGCTTCACCCCACTTTGCATTATTTTCATTCCATATGCCATGAGCAAAGATGGGATGTAGGAAGACTTGTCAGAGCCTGATCAGCATCAATGGCTTTATTCTATTCTTTTTTAGTTTCTCTTTTCTTGGTCCTGTACTAACTGCATAACTTTTCTTGATGAGCATCTAACAAGAGGAAGATGATGGCCATGCAGCAGGAGAAGCAGTCAGTTATAGTAAAAGCTTGATATACTGCAAGATGAGGCCAAAAGTCTGTGAGGAGGAGCTAAGAGATGGAAGCTTAAGCCTTATCCTGGTACTTACCCAGCCATGTGCTTGAGAGTACATTATTAACCTCTCTCAGCCTGATTTCTTTGTGCAATATTAGGAAAAGGTCACCCATATGACATGCACTGTTTTGGTCCTATCAGGACATGCCTGACACTGGGCAACGTATTTCTCATGTAGGAACAAACAGCTCCCACAATCACAAGGCTGTCATTTTGTAGCAGGCAAATGGGAGGCTGATTTCTTGCCTTTTACCTGCAATTTATCATGCTGAGAATAGCTATTTAATATTAATGAAATCTGGCTTTCTGACTTTCCACTGCTTAATTTCATCTTTAAAAATAAACAAAATTATTCAAATCTTTTAACAAATTTCATCAACCTTCATGTTTGATGACTAACTCTGTCCCAAATATATGACTGCGTGTAAATGGTTCCAAAACTATTAATTTGATGAAGCCAAACAGCATTTGATGCAGATATAAAGAAACAAAGGCAAAAATGCAAAAGAATTCAAATGAGATGGGAAAAAGTATCTATGAAGTAATGTAACTGCTCTACTAACAAGGAAATGCACTGATGAAACAGTAATCTACTAAATATGTTACTTAAAAGAAACAACACATTAGTTGTCTGGCTTCTCATAGACTTAACAATTTGATTGGCAGAAATTTTAATGTCCAATACATGCTCCAAGTGTCCTGACTCTGCCTCTCAACTCACTACACATTTCATATAAGACAATTTTTAAATTATGTGTTAGACTAATTAATTTAATCATACTTCATAAGAGATAGAGAGTGAGAAAGACAGGAAGATAGAGAGAGATTTAATGGCTGTTGTGTCTAGATTACGAGGAGGTATTTAATAAAAGACTTGGCAGTGAGCTGAGACTGCACCACTGCACTCCAGCCTGGGTGCAGTCAGAGTGAGACTCTGACTCAAAAGAAAAAAATAAAAAGCGTTGAAACTTGAAATTATTTGTTTGAGACTGCAAGTGACTACAGCAGGGGATCACCATATTGGTAATATTTTCACCATTACTACAAATTTTGGTCATTTTTTTTTTTTGAGGCAGAGTCTCATTCTGTTGCCCAGGCTGGACTGCAGTAGTATGATCTCAGCTCACGGCAACCTCTGCCTCCTGGGTTCAAGTGATTCTCCTGCCTCAGCCTCCCGAGTAGCTGAGATTATAGGTGCTCACCACCACGCCTGGCTAATTTTTTTTTTTTTTTTTTTTTGGCAGAGTCTCGCTCTGTTGCCCAGGCTGGAGTGCAGTGGCACAGTCTCAGCTCACTGCAGCCTCCACCTCCTGGGTTTAAACGATTCTCCTGTCTCAACCTCCCAAGTAGCTGGGACTACAGGCACACACTGCCACGCCCAACTAATTTTTGTATTTTTAGTAGAGACAGGATTTCATCAGGTTGGCCAGGATGGTCTTGATCTCTTAACCTCGTGATCCGACTGCCTCGGCCTCCCAAAGTGCTGGGGTTACAGGCGTGAGCCACTGTGCCTGTCCATATTTTTGTATTTTTAGCAGAAATGGGGTTTCACCATGTTGGCCAGGCTCGTCTCAAACTCCTGACCTCAAGTGATCTGCCCCCCTCAGCCTCCCAAAGTGCTGGGATTACAGCCGTGAGCAACCATGCCCAGCCTAATTTTTGGTCTTTTATTACTGTCATAAAGGTGGCATCAAAACTTCTATTGGAAAATTGTTATTTCACATTCCAACTACAGCATCTTGTTCAGTATATGGGAGAGTGGTACAGCCTGTAGTGTGTTCTGTTATCTATATTCTTATTCTGGTTCATCTCATACTGTTTAGAAGATAAATAATATCCTATGTTCATCATTCTTAAATTTGTCTGGTCATAACTTTTCTCTGATGGGACTCAAATGTCCAATGCCTTTTTAGATGTCTCCATTTGCATGTCCGATAGGTGTCTCAAAGTTAACTTACTTCTCACCCTACAAAGCAATAATGTTCCCATACCCACCTTCCAAGTTGTTGCCATCTCAGTTATTGGCAATAACTTTCACAAGCTGTTCAGGTCAAAATCTTGCAATCGCTCTTAACTTTCTCTTTTCCTTGTCTTCATACCATCTTCCTCCAGGTTATGACCTAGTTCAATTATTTTTTTCCTCCCAACTTTGTTGTCTATTCAGGTCATTTACACACTTTTAAATGTTTTTTGTTTGTTTGTTTTCTTGCTGTTAAGTTGTTTGAGTTTCTTATATATTTGGATATTACTATATGTGATTTGTAAATATTTTCCACCATTACATAGGTTGTCTCTTCACTCTATTGATTGGTTTTTTGTTTTTCTTTTTTTTTTCTTGAGACAGAGTCTCACTCTGTCACCCAGGTCACAGTGCAATGGCATGATCTTGGCTCTCTGCAGCGTCGACCTCCCAGACTCAGGTGATCCTCCCACCTCAGCCTCCCAAGCAGCTGGGACTATAGGCACACACCACCATGCCCGGCTAATGTTTGTATTTTTTGTAGAGATCGGGTTTCACCATGTTGCCCAGGCTGGTCTTGAACTCCTGGTTTCAAGTGATCCACCAGCCTTGGCCTCCCAAAGTGCTAGGATTACAGGTGTGAGCCACCACACCCAGCCATAATTGTTTTGTTTTTGTTTTTGTTTTGCTATGCAGAAGCTTTTTAGTTTGATCATTTGTTGTTTTTATATTTTATTGCCTGTGCTTTTGTGATCATATACAAAAAATCATTCACCAGACCAACATCATGAAGCTTTTCTCCCATGTTTTCTTCTGTATTGTAATTTTAAAACATCAGATTGTATGTATAAATCTTTGATCCATTTTGAGTTGATTTTTGTATGTGGTATGAAATAAAGGCATGAGTTAATTCTTCTGCATATGGAAATTCAGTTTTCCCAGTATCATTTATTGAAAATACTGTCCTTTTCCCATCATGTGCTCTTAGCACTTCAAATGTGTGAATTTATTTCTAGGCTCTCTATTTTTTATTATTCTATGTTTTTATGCCAACGTCACACTGTCTTGATTACTATGGCTTTGTAATATAGTTTTAGTTCAGGTAGTGTGATGCCTTCAGTTTTGTTCGTTTGCTTAAGATTGCTGACTATTCAGGGTCTTTTGTGGCTCCATAAACATTTTGTTGATTTTTTTAATTTCTGTGAAAAATATTGGAACTTTGATAGAGATTGCATTAAATTTGTAATTTACTTTGAATACTACAGAGATGTAATAATATTAATACTTCCAATTCATGAACATGGAATATCTTTTGAGTATTGGTGTCCTTTTCAATTTTGTTTGTTAGTACTTTGTATTTTTCAGTGTACAGATCTTTCACTCCCTCAGTTAAATTTATGAATTACCCTTATGCCAAAGATGGGCAAGGACATAACAAAAAAAAAAAAAAGAAAACTACAGGCTAACATCCTTTATAAATGCAGATGCAAAAACCCTCTACAAAATATTAAAAATTCTATATTGAACAGCACATTAAAATGATCATGCACTATGATCAATGAGATTTATCCTGGGATTCAAGGATAGTTCAACATATGGAAATCCATAAATGTGACACACCACATTAACAAAATGAAGGTTACAAATCATATTATCATCTCAATAAATGCAGAAAAAGCATTTGAAAAGTTTCAACATCCTTTCATGATAAAAACTCTCAACAAATTAGGTGTAGAAGAATCTCAACAGAATAAAAGGGGCTGTAGATGACAAGACCACATGCCCGAAGGAAAAAACTGAAAGCTTTTCTCTAAGATAAGAAATAAGACAAGAATGCCTATTCTAGATACTTCTATTCAGTCTAGTATTGGAAGTCCTATCCAGAGCAATTAGGCAAAACAAATAAATAAAAGGCATCTACACTGAAAAGGAAGAAATTAAATTGTTCCTGACATGTAATGTGGATGACATGATCATATATATATATATGTGTTTGTGTGTGTGTGTATCCCTAAAGACTTCACACACCAAAACGTAGGACTAACAAATTCAGTAAAGTTGGAGGATACAAAATCACCATACAAAAATTAGATTTTTTATTACACAGATATATTAATCACATTCCATGTCTCCGATCATGTTCAGTAATGTTTCTTTACACTAACAACAAATAATCAGAAAAATAAATGAAGAAAACAATTTCATTTACAATAGCATCAACAAAATAAAATACTTAGGCATAATTTTAAATAAGGAAGTGATCATTATGTTTATTTTATAATGGAAAATCTAGACACTTTCTCCCCATGTCCATTACTAAAAGTGCAAATAATTTGCAGGCAATATTATTAACTATAAGTTTTAAAAGAATAGGAAAATCAAATCAAAATAGTATTTATAAGGGGATATGGCAAAAAAAAGTCTGAAAAATAATTTTAGGACCATGGAATTCGTCAGCTCCCTTTGAGAACAAAAGGCTTCCATGATCAAAAAATATTTGAAATATTGAATTTAACAGTTCAAATAAGTTCATTTATATTGAGTTTCTCAGAACCTTTAATATGGAGATATTAAGAATTTCACAGAAGGTGATACAGTATGAAGAATATTCAAAATGTATTTGGGCATAAAATTATTTTATTTGAGAAGAATCCTACATCAGATTTGGGAAATAGCACCTTAAATTAAAGTTTTAGGCTTAAACTTCTGTACACTTCCAGCTTTGTTGTTATTGACATTGTTGCTGCTGCTATTGTAGTTGTTTTGTTGTTGGGTATTTTCATCTTCTCAAACCCTGAATATTTGAATATTCTAGGGCTATGTTCTTCAGATTCTTTCTTCTAATCTCTCAAGTAATTATTTCACTTCCATGGTTTTAAACACTATCAATAAACAGAGAACTCTCTCTCATATGTCTACCTCTAATAACTACCTCTCATTTCTTACTGGATATCTCCACTTGGATAATCAAAAAGGATCTCCAAGTTAAATTTTATTTGCCCTCATTTGAACCAACTCTTTGTCTTGGCTTTCCATATTAGCAAATAGCAACTTCTTTTATCCAGTAATGTAGGCCAAATAAACACTCGGGGTTATTCTTGACTTCCCTCCTCTTTTCTCATGCTGTATATCCTATTCAACAATTGCCTTGGTAGTACAATATATATTCATTTCTGCCTAGGCCACTAATTTATGTCATTTTACTACTGTAAGCCATATGTATCCTCTGCTCAGCACTCTGCAGTGGCTCTCTAGATCACTTACAATGAAAGCCATAGTACTTCCTGTGGCCTAAATATTCATAGACTATTTTGTCACAGCTATTTACCTTAAGTCCTGTCCCTATCTCTCCCTTCTTTTTCGTATTATTCTTTAACAGAGATGTTCTCTTTGATATTAATTATATTAACCATTGCTCCTGCCCTAGGGCCTTTTGCTTAGTTTCTTCTTGGTTAAATGCTCGGTCCAACAACTTCTCCATAGTTAATTGACGAGGTTATCAGGCCTAGTTGTTTGGTAAAATACTAGTTAGATCCTGATATAAAGGCATTTTGATGTGGTTAATATTTACAGTCAATTGAATTTAGGTAAAGAAAATTATCTTTAGTAATGTTGGTGAATCTCATCTAATTAGTTAAAGGTCTTAAGTGGAAAACTTGAGGTTTTCTAGAGAAAGAATTTTGTCTCAAAACAAAACAGCAGTTACTTTATGAAGTCACCATGTACATTATGTAATTTTAACAAGTATTTATAGGATGCAAAGTATGTATGTCCATAAGCAAAGTGTAAAATTAATTAGCAGTATCATCTGCTGTATTATGTCATTTAACCCCACAATCTAACTTTTAGTGTATTTAAGAAATGCCAAAAATTTCTACATTTGTGAACTTTAGTAATGACAAACATCTTACAAATAATCATATTGTATTTAAAATATTTTAAAAATTAAGACTCACAATGATAAAAGAAGGTACTAGTTTGTTCTTGCATTGCTATAAATAAATACCTGAGTTTAGGTAATTTACAAAGAAGAGATTTAATTGGCTCACAGTTCTGCAGGCTGTACAGGAAGCATGATGCTGGCATCTGATCGGCTTCTGGGAAGGCCACAGGAAACATTCAATCATGGTGGAAGACAAAGAGGAAGCAGGTGCATCTTAGGTGCCCTGAGCAGGAGGAAGAGTTGGGGTTTGGGGCGAGGTGCCACATACTTTTAAACAACCAGATATTGTGAGAACTTTATCATAAGAATAGCACCAAAGGGATGGTGCTTTACCATTCATGAAGGATCCACCCCCATGATCCAATCATCTCCCTCCAGGCCCCACCTCTAACACTGGGGATCACCATTGAACATAAGACTTGGGTGGCAGCATGGATCCAAACCAAAGCATCAGAATAAAATATAGTTTTGTTGTAGTGTTGAGTGGAATATATTACACTTAATGGAAAGTCAGATTAAAACACATACTTTGTTATTAGAGTGAATGTAAATAATCAGAAAGAACAAGAATTCTTGATTTTTATTAGACTTTCAGTGTAACTGCATGGATTCTGGCTTGGTTCATCTATAACAAATGAACAAAAATATTATGGGTTAGGGAGGTTGTAAAGTTTCATGATGTAATTTACATGACAGCTCTTATCATAATTCATAACAGATGTAGAATTTGAAAATTATACACTTTTAATTCTTAATTCATTTTTAATTTTAAAAACTAAAACCAAAGATGCAAGTTTTAAATTGACACAAAACTATGAGAAAGGAGTATACCTATTGATATATAAATACATGTGTGTAGAAGTGCAAAATCTGAAGCATATTTACTAGTTGATTCCATTGATATCATTAAGAATATAATTAGCCTTGGTGTTATGATGATTACTTCATGCCAGCTTTATACTTATTCAGTCCTAAAATTATAAAGTTTATAAGAAGCTTTTGTGTGACTTTCTACCTTCACAATTCATTATTATAAACCACTTAAACCTAAGACAATAGTCCCTCTTTATTTTTGTAGGGAATTATACTTACCCATTTTTGTTTGCTTTAGAAAATTTAATTTTATTATATTTAGCTCATTATAACTTCACTGATTTTGTTATGACAAACTCAAGAGCCATAAAATCTCTTGGTAACCACCATTTTCTTTCATGTATCAATCATACCACAAGAAAAAAAAATGCTGATTGTGGTAGAGACATTTTCATAGCCCCAAACCAAGTTTTGACTTTTTCCTTGATATTACGTACCACGTTATGAGTGAGCAGAAAATGCGAATTAAATGTATATTAACTCTAAATCTGAGTTCACCATCTTAAAGAAACAAATAAAATGTTTATAAATGTCACAAAATTGAGGCATTAGATTAATTTTTGTTAGTCATTTATAAAAATTGTGCATATATGTGAATGCTAGTGTTAATTATCCTGATAATTTTGTTCACATTGGCATTTAATTTACCATTGTATTTGGGTGTGTTTTTAAATATCCAGCTATTCCACTGCAAAAATTGGTAGCCTGTCTGAAAATCTGAACTTGCTTAAAATTCTACTAATGATTGTACTTGAAGCCAGGAATTTATCAAATGCTTACATTTTTCTCATAGTGTTTGGCAATATTTGGAAAATATTTTACAATCTCCACCATTCAAAAGAAAACCTTGTCTTTGCCTTTAATGACCAAAGCATTTACTTTTTCTTGGAAATGTTTTCAGCTGCAGAAAAAGGTTTTCATTTAGAAATGTAAACATTTCGGCTGTTAGGGTGGTACCAAATAAAAGATTCCCTGATTGCCTTAAATGAGCCATTTAGGAAACCCTTCCCAATGTAGACATAGTCAGTCGGTATTCTACAACGTGTCTAAGTGTTCCACCTTCTTTGGTGCTTTGTAAATCACACCAGGGATTTGAGTAAATTAAGTTGGCTTTTTCACTAGAAACCAGATGTTGCACCTCCACTGAGTTTTACTTGAGAAAACAATTCATTATTAAAGTGACTATGAGCCATGCAATCAGGAAGAAATATCGCATCTGGCTGTCAAAATGTATGCCAAGTTTCAACCTGCTGCAATAGAAAGTCTTCAAGGTGACACTCAAACCCCCAGAAACTAAAATCTGGAATGACATAAGATGATTACTAAATTTTCTAGATTCCAGGGGTGTGTGATAAGCCATAGAGTATGGTCAAAAAGACCCCTAGTAGGGTTAGAAAATAGGATGAGGCATCTAACATGAAGCAGGTTGTGTATGTATGTGTGGCAAGAAGCCCACATCGCTAAATCCCAGCTGAACCAGAGTCCTAACTCTTAACCAGTGCATCTAGATTCTAGGGAAAAAGTAATCCAACAATATAGAATATAAAAGAATGGGAAAGCAAAAAAGAAGGGAGGTTAGCTATAAGGAAGAATAAAGGAAAACAAAGACAACAAAAGAAGGGAGAGAGGGAGTGAGGGAGGAAAGAAACACTTTGAAGTTGTAGGCATATTTATAAACTTTAATGCATAGCCAAGACCTCCTGGACTGTGGCTATAAATAATTGCACTTTTTTCACCCACAGGATTCCTAATTACTAAGAGATTAATCATTTAAGATTACACCAGTTTTTCTGAACGTTCTCAAAGGAGGGTCTTATGTGAGCAAACAACTTGTCAACTGCAGTCACCACATAGGGACTGCCCTGTTTCCCTCCTCTTGCTTTTATATCGTTAGTCCCTTGCAATGTCTATGACTCCAAGTGCTGGAGCCCTCCTGCCACTGTCCATTATGTGACCTCTAATGTTTTGTTTCCTAAGGATGGTAATTAATGTTCTACAAGGTATTGATGGTTTGTAGGAAAGATAGGAGAATGATTTTTTTCTCTCTCATTCAGTTTCATATTTTATGGGACTCTGGGCACAAGGTGATTGTCAGCCAAGGTGACATATTCTTTCTTGAATGGTTAAATCAGCTTTTGGCCCTTCCTTCTCTACCATAGAAAATCAGACCTAACTTCGGGGGCTGGCCGTGGGATACACCATTTCTTATATGTCACTTATTCTTTCACTATTAGCATCATCCCCTGTTATAGTTGATTTTATGTGTCAACTTGACTGGGTTAAGGAATACCTGGGTAAACATTTTTTTCTGGGTTTGTTTGTGAGGGTGTTTCTGGATGAGATCAGCATTTGAATAGCTGGACTCAGCAAAGTAGATTGCCTTTCTCAATGTGGGTGGACATCGTCCAATCCATTTAGGACCTGAACGGAACAAAATGTGTAGGAGGAAGGAATTTTCCCACTTTTCCCTGCGTCATACTTGACAGGAATAACTCGTTACACCTACTCCTGCACTTGGACTGGGATTTAGACCACTGGCTTCCCTGGTTCTTAGGCCTTTGGACTTGAAATTTGGATTTGGACTAACACTGGCTTTTCTAGATCTACAGTTTGCACACGGCCAGTTGTGGGACTTCTCAGCCACTTTCTCACAATGTCTTGTCCTCTCTTTCTATATATATCTATCTCTCTTTCCCCCTCCTCCTTCTTTCTCAAACCCTAACACATCCCCCAATTACAAACTATTTCCTCTTCCAAGCTTTCAAAGAAAAAGTACCTCATATGCTAGTGCATACATAAATATACTGGGGAAAATATGCTTATGTGCCTGTAAGTTTGTAGTAAGAGCATCCCAGATCAGGTAACTCCACTACATATATATTTATATATAATTATACATACATGCCTAACTTCTCAATTCCATTCTGTTTATAATTTCAGTTATACATAAAGCACTTTTCCTAATTGCCCACATTTTATTTTTATAATTTTTCCTAAAATAATCTCACAAGATTTTATGAAAGCCAGAAAATATTTCAGGCAAACTACCCATTTTGAAGGGAACAAAGATATTGAAAATCAACGTTTTTTAAAAAAATTTTAAATTAATGGCTTTATTGAATTCATTGATTATTTTGGTGGATGTATTAGTTATCTCTTGCTGAGTAACAGATTACCCCAACACATAACAGTTAAAAAAATAAACATTTCATATTGCACTCTTTATGTGAGTCAAGAGTTCAGGTGCCGCTTAGCTGAGTGAGTACGATTCAGGTACTTTCCTGAAATTGTACTTAATATGCTGGTCAAGGCTGCAGTCATCTAAAGGCTTAGATGGGGCCAGAAGATAAGCTTTCAAAATGGTTCATTAACAACGCTGTTGTCAGGAGATCGTCTTTTCTTGCCATGTGGACCTGTCTATAGGACTCCTCCAGGATCATCATAATATGGAAGTTGGCTTCCTCAAAAGTGCTTTAGCCAAGACAGAGCAAGAAGGAAGGCACGATGCCTTTTACTACTTTGTCTCAGATGTAACACATCATCACTTCTACTACTTTCTCTTCATTAGAAGTTGGTTACTAAGTTCAGCCCACACTTAGAATAAAGTTGTATCTCCTGAGAAAAGAAGTATCAAAGACTTTTTGAATGCATTTAAAAACCACCACAGTAGGAATATTTAAAGTGTTTGATAAAGGTTCAGAATCCATGGCCAAGGCTGAATGAGTCCTTCCCATCATTAGCACATCAGTCTAAAATATTATTCTTTGAGAGAAGGAGGAAAATGTCTTACTGTAAAACAATTTTATTTGGCTGATATTTGGATATATGTGGAAGGTTTTATTTTATTATCTTATTTTGTTTATGTTTTAGTGACAGGATCTCAGTATGTTGCCTAGGCTAGTGTGCAGTAGCTATTTACAGTTGTGATCTAGTGCACTACAAACTTAACTCTTGGTCTGAAGCTATTCTCTTGCCTCAGCTGAGACTACAGGAATGTGCCACCACACTTCACGCTTACTCTATTTGAAAGTTCTTACTTGACTCAGGAGAGACAGATAGACTCTGTTCTCAATCTCTTGGTCCTTTTTGTGTCCTGGTTATTTTGCCCACCATTTCTTTCCTACTAAATGATGAGAAACATCTTCATTTGAATGATAGTGCCTATACTGACAGATGGTACTTTGGAATGGCTTGGACAGAATGCTTATATGAGACATAGGAATAGCATACGTGATTTTCTGATTGGGAAAACATAATACTACAGATTGAACATATTGCTGTTGGCAGAACCGTTCAAAGTACCCTAATGGGCTAGAGGAATGTTAGAAGTGAATATATACCAATATAAAAAATTATATTATGATAAAAAATCTGCCTCACCATTACATCTTAGGGATTCTTCAATGTAACAATAACAAGAGAAATAGGCTATTTAATTTTTTTACCCCTTAGATTAGCAGTTTAATGTGTATGTGGCAAGATGGATAATAGACATCTGCTTTAGCAGAAGTGAGCATCCACAGTAGCAGCATGGGCAGCAAATTTTTATAATATTAGCAATTCAAATTCACGTATCAGATTAGTGTGGTATTGGAATCATTCATTAAAATATGCTTGGAGGCCAGAAGTTTTCTCAGCAAAACTTCCAATGATTTTTAAGCAGAATAACATGGTGTTTGTTAATGTATATATCAAAACATGTTGTCCAATGACATTAAGATGATTTGATCTTCAGCCATAAATTTAGTATCACAATATCAAAATTTATTTGAACCATGGTTTAAACAGAACATTCTAAACTTGCAATCTCACTGCTGTTCTTTCAAACTTAATATGATCATGGCAAATCCTGTGATGTCAGCATTTAAGAGAAAGGCTTTCATCTATTCTAACTCAACCTCTAACTATTCAACTTGGAACTTGTTTTCAGTTAGTCACTCAAATATACCTTTGAGGTATATAAAAATGACTCATCAAATTCGATTATATTAAGATAAATTCTAGTCTTTCTTCCTCTGTCAAATTCTTGAGGCATTTTATTAATGAGGTCTTTAAAAGCAGCCATTGCAAAATGACTTTTTTGCATTTGAGTGCAATATTGACACTTTAAAAAGCTACGTAAATTTATGAAAACGCACAGTTACAGCAGTACCTGTTTTATTTTTTTCCATATAGCCTCAGTATCAGTTCAATTTTGCCATGTAACAAATTGCACCAATACTTTGTGATGAAAAATAGCAACCATCGTGTATTTTACTCATACTTTTTTGAGTTGGCTAGATGGTATCTCTGGACTGAGCCAGCTCAGCTGCTGGCTTCTGACCTCAATCATATATCTGTGGTTATTTCGTGGGTTGGCTAAAGGCTAGATGATCTAGGATTGTGTCATTCCTATATAGATGGTAGTTGGTAGCCAGTCACCTTGGTTAATGTGGGGACAGGGCCACATGTTTCTCATCATGGAATAGAATGTCTGAGCTTTTTGCATGGCAGTCTCAGTGGTTTCCAGAGTAGCAAGAGAAGAAAAGCTTCTTTGCTGGTATGTTTGCCAATGACTCATTGGCCAAAGCAGGCAGCATGGCTGACCAAGATGCAAAGGGTGGAGAGATAGTCTCCACTTATTGGTGGGAGGATCTGTCATGTCACAATGCAAGGACAGGAAGATAAAGAATTTACTGCTATATATAGTGTACAGCCAACCCTCTTGCCTTTGTAGGGGCCCAGTAGGGTTCATTGGATGAGTATGAGTAGTGTGTAACAGTGAAATGACCATAGGTTTTGGAAGTCATTCAACTATTAATTCATTGCTTTATTCTTCACACATTATACATTTATTGAACATGTAATTATACCAGATAATTCACTCAATAAACATTGATTCATCAAATATTTATTGAGTTGCCTCATGTTCTAGTTGCCATTCTGGACCCTAAAACTTTACAGAGGACAAAACAATAATAAAGAGGACAAAACTGTGCTCTAGTGAAATTTGCATTCCATGTGGACACTCACAAACACACACAGACATACACACAAACAAATATTAATAAAATAATCCCTTTGCCACAGTTGATCTGAAAAATGCACTTTGAGGAGTTGATGTTTCAGTGGAAACCTGGACATAGGGAGGAATCCAGTCTTCAAAATGGAGATTCTGGCACTGGAGGCAGACAAAAAACATCTGGTGCCACATTCTGAGGCAAAGATGAGCTGGGTGTGTTCAGTGAATAAAATGAAATAGGTGCCTGACCACTTTTCTTGGTAGAGGGTACCAGAAAAGCAGTCAGGGGCTAGATCATGCCCAGACCTTAAATTCTGGATTCAGGTGTTTACGCTCATTTTCAGTCAGTAGAGACATAGTCTAGGAAGGAAAAGGGCGGGGCCTGGGTCCCAGAGGGATACATCCCCATAGCCCCATAAACTTTCTACTTCATAAGAAAGGTCAGACCTGAAGCAGGGCCAGTGTAGGGTCTTCTACAGCACAGAGGCCTAGAAAGTAAAACCTATCATCAGTCTAAGGGTACATTCCCTGCCTACAAGGATTTCATATTTTAGTTGAGGGACCAGCATTTTGAATTCAGGGTGAAAAATGAGGAATATGCACGTATTTCTTGACTCATAAAAAAAATTCATAGACAAAAAAAAATTTAAGAGTATATACTTTACAGGATTAGTTTGAGAAAGACACTACCCATAGCAAGAGCTAATATATGTTATATTCCTTCCTTAAAAACAATAAATAAAAAAATACATGTGAATTACACTGTCAAGCCCAATGGGGCCCACAAAAGAAGATTTCATAAAATCTAGTCATTGCCTTAATTCCCAAAACTGCTCTTAACACTGTACTTTGACTTCCAGCCTTGTCATTCCCTAATCTTTGTGTCTTTGGTATCCACACTATTGGAAACACAGATGTCAGCTTAATCTTTTCATGTTACACATATGTCCAGTATTTCAGATCACACTTGCCAAAATTAGTGTGAAAAATCTATTTATGATTACATTAATAAGACAGGTATCAACCCTCCTTTGATTAATTATTACAGCAGTAATGTGACTGAAAAAGTACATGCCAAGAAAAGTGGTCTAATTTATGGTGCATGTTAAAAGGGTAAAGAAAAATTATTTATTAATCCATAAGGAAGATAACCACAACTCTACAAAATAACCAAAGGTCAAAATGTCAATTTAATTTTGGTAATCATTCCCTTTTTATTAAAAAAAAAAAAAAAAGCAAATTGCTCATTTTAATTTAGTTTTGTTAACTTTTTTAAGTTAAAAAAAACAATTTGAATTTGTATTTATCATCCTTTTCCTTTAAGATAAATGACTGATTTGATGAAATTTTCTATACTATATGGAAGATGTCAAATGCCTTTTGAGCCCACATTATTGTTAAAAAAAAAATTTAGAACATATCTGACTTCTTTTAAGAATCTTATTTCCCTTTCTCTCTACTGTGTTTGCCATTCCATTGCTTATCCCTCTCTCCACCAAAAAAAAAAAAAAAAAAAAATCTAAAAACACATGACACAGAAACTATTTATAAATACACAAACAAATCATTTCTCTTTACTGTTGTGTAGACTAAAATAATAACTCATCAAGAACAGCTTAGGCAAGCAGTTATTTGCAGGGCTCAAAGCATCATGTGTACTAAATGATGATTTTATTATATGATGTGCAAATTCATTTTCAATATTGCACTGTTGGTACATAAATTAATACTTATCAGTTTTAGGGAAAAAAGAACAACAATTAAATAAATGTATCCATCAAATATTCATAATTTTTATATGTATTATATCCATGATTATTGATATTTACTCATTTGACACATACAGATGAATCTTTTACTATGTTTCACATACTGTATTGAACACTTGGAATAAAAAAGTTATATATAATATAATAGGAGAGACAACCTAGTAAAGGATTGTGAAGGCCAAAAAGATGAGTCATCTTACTGATGCTTGGGATAGAAAATACCAATGAAGTTTCCTCAGAGATGGTGATATGTGAATACAGACTTGGGAACAAACTAAAAGTTTACCAGTTTATAAAGAGAGGAATAAACAGTAGACAAGGACAGCCACAGGCCTAAGCACAGAGGTGGGAAATATTCCCATACACCCTGGGTCCAGTGAGTGGTTTTGTTCTACTGGATCTTAGGGCTTTCAATAGCAATGAGGCTGAAAAACACTAGTAAGGACCAATAGATTCAAAAGTTTTTAAATTCCATGCTAAAGAGTTTAAAATTCATCTTAACCAGATGGAAAACAATTGGAGAGTTCTGAGCATGGAGGGGGTTCAGAAAAATTAATTTGTGAGCAGTGTAGATAATGGGCTGAGCCACAAAGAGATAATTTAGAAAGCTCCCCTGCCTGGAGGTCTGCGTGAAGTCCACACACAGGAGGACAGGAAGTTAAGGTTGGCTCTGCTGACATGGAAGGTAGAAGGAGACATGCTCCTAAATTGAAGTCCCAGAAATAACACTGGGGAATCCCAAAGGTATAGGGCAGCCACAGTGGGAGCTTTTTATCAGCTTTTCTATGATGCCATTAGCATCATTGCTTAGGGCAATGTTATTCCTCTTTTTTTTTTTTTTTTGAGTCAGAGTCTTGCTCTGTTGCTCAGGCTGGAGTGCAGTGGTGCAATCTCAGCTCACTGCAACCTCTGCCTCTCAGGTTCAAGCAATTCTCTGCCTCAGCCCCCTGAATAGCTGGGATTACAGGCGCCCGCTACCATGCCTGGGTAATTTTTATATTTTTAGTAGAGATGGGGTTTCACCATCTTGGTCAGGTTGGTCTTGAACTCCTGACCATATGATCCACCCACCTTGGCCTCCCAAAGTGCTGGGAATATAGGCATGAACCACTGTGCCCGGCCCATGTTATTCAATTTTTAAGTCTCTACTCACATTTAGAAATACATTTTACTTTCTGAAACTGTACACAAGTCTCCATGGCTCCCCATTATCCAAACTTTTCCTCCTCCACACAAACCTATAATTCAAACAAACATTTTCATCAAACTTTTCCTCCTCCACATAAACCTATAATTCAAACAAACATTTTCATAAAACTACAGTAGTCCCCCCTTTTCCTCAGCAGATATACTCCAAGACCATCAGTGAAATGCCTGAAACCACAGATAGTACTGAAACCTACTATGCACAAATTTCTTCTTCCTTCTTCACAATTTCATTGATAGAAGATTCATTCTTGCCATAATCTTAACAATCTCAGCATAAGATTTTTTTTTCTTTCCTTAGTAAGTAAAAAACTTTCACATTTTCACTTACAGGAAGCATTTTATGACTTCTCTTTGGCACATCCCAATTGGCAGCATCCCTACTCTTGCCCTTTGAGGTCATTATTAAGTAAAATAAGAATTATTTGAACACAAGCACCGTGATGCTGTGACAATGGATGTGATACCCAAAACAGCTGCTAAATGACTAACAGACTGGTAGCACACACAGGTGGAGATGCTGGACAACCCAGGTCCGGAGAGCAAGGCAGTGTCAGATTTCATCATGTTACTCAAATGGCATGCAATTCAAAACTTATGAATTGTTTACCTATGGAATTTTTCATTTAATATTTTCAGAGCACGGTTGATCTTGGATAGCTAAAATTGCAGAAAGCAAACCTCACCCTTAGTTCATGGGACACATTTGGGCATTGCCTGTTCTTTTTATATCTATTTCATTTAAAAAACGTCTATAGACAAAGCCGGGTGTGGTGACTCACGCCTGTAATCCCAGAACTTTGGGAGGCCGAGGTGGGCAGATCACTTGAGGTCAGGAGTTCGAGACCAGCCTGGCCAACAGGGTGAAACCCGTCTGTACTAAAAATGCTAAAATTAGCCGGGAATGGTGGCAGATGCCTATAATTCCAGGTACTCGGGAGGCTGTGGTACAAGAATCGCTTGAACCCAGGAGGCATAGGTTGCAGTGAACTGAGATCATGCCACTGCACTCCAGCCTGGGCAACAGAGCAAGACTCAGCCTCAAAAAAAAAAAAAAAAAAAAAAAAAAAAAAATATATATATATATATATATATATATACACACATATATATACACAGAGAGAGAGAGAGAGAGAGAGAGAGAGAAGACTCCCAAAACTGCGTAACCTTCTACAACACTGAGATCAACAGTCTGAACAACTCTTTTTTAGAAATGAAAATGGTCTTGACACTGGAGCTTATGGTTGCCTGTGTCTGGATCCAGCCTTGTGTCTGATAGCTTAAAATGCTGTTAGCTGTAGATGATACGCAGACAAAGTCAACTGTTTTTGAATTAATTCCACTCCCTCTATCTCTGGCTACTTTATCTCTAGGTACTTAAAGTACCAGCAGTTACAACAACATATTTTCTGTTTCTAATAAATCTTCCCTGGGCATATCAGAGCTTTGATTTCTAAAATGGTTTAGCAGTAACTATAAAGCTACTAGGTGTCACACGAATTGGATCCAGTTCTAATTGCCTTTCCTCACACACCTCTTAGAAGATACTCCAAAAATTTACATGATTATCTTTTTTTTCTTGAGATGGAGTCTCACTCTGTCGCCCAAGCTGGAGTGCAGTGGCGCGATCTCGGCTCACTGCAACCTCTGCCACCCAGATTCAAGCAATTCTTCTGTCTCAGCCTCCCAAGTAGCTGGGATTACAGGCACCTGCCACCAGGCCCAGCTAATTTTTGTATTTTTAGTAAAGACGGGGTTTCACCATCTTGGTCAGGCTGGTCTTGAACTCCTTATCTCGTGATCCACCCACCTCGGCCTCCCAAAGAGCTGGGATTATAGGCATGAGCCACTGCACCCAGCCAATTATCTTATTTCTACTATTCGATCAAGAAAAGTCACATGCTTTGGCTGCATTAGGGCATATGTCAGGAGATTTGTCATGGATTTTTTCTATAGTTTCAAGAAAAGAATGTTTCTTTCATACATCTGTCATAACACTTGATGTGGAATATGGCATATATTTCCATGATAACTCCATTGTAATTATTACCTTACATTCCTAGAAAAATTGTTGGAAGAGCTCATAGAATTGTAACCTATATTCCACTTCAACCTTCTTGCCCCATATTCTTTTCTGAGCATACTTTGTGACTCATTTGATGTATCTTACCACAAACAGAACTTTAATAATAGCTTAAAACTTTCCACATCAAAGGATTTGCAGGTTGTTTGAGAAGCACTGGTATTGACAGGAGCTCGAGGGGAACCTTCCTGGGACGCACGGTGGGTCTTCCTCAGATCAACTTGAAAGGTAAAGCCAGCACCAGATTTTATGAGTGGATATTGAATAAAATCATCTGATCCTTTTCAAACCGATTTATATTTCCTCTTCTCATAAAAAATATATTTTACTATGTGGACTAGTACTTCTTACTTATTTGTACTTAATGCCACACACTCTCATTTTAAATGAAGCCTTAAATTTGTTTTCAGACTTTGATTTTTTAAATGTATGAACTCAGAGGACTGACTCTCTGTTGAAGAACAGACACTTACCCTGACCATGGCCAGTTTGGCAATCTCTCTGAGGCTCAGTTCCTTTTTCTAAGAAGTAGAAACACAATTATGCTTTCTATCTTACAGGCTTGTTGGGGAATGTAAATGAGAGCAGCTACACCTTACTTAAAAGTCCACACAGAATAATTAGGAATATTATTATGATAATTGATCTTTTAATCTCCAACCAGAAGATTGTATTATATGCTTTTCACTGTCACCTTTGCAGAATCTTCTTTGTCTAATTTTATAGAGCACTATTCTTGCTCCCATCTCATCTGTTTCACACTTGCTTTGTATATCGTTTTATTTTCTTGAAACACAGAGACCACAATCACACACATTCTTACAGGTATATATATATATATATATATATATATATATATACACATACACATATACCTATACAGGTGTGTGTATATATATGTATATATATACACATACAGGTGTGTGTGTATATATATATATATATATATATACACATACAGGTGTGTGTATATATATATATATACACATACAGGTGTATATATATATACACACATACAGGTGTATATATATATATATGTATAAAAATAAAACTGGTGTATGTGTGTGTGTGTATACACACACACACACACACATATATATATACACACACAGGTATATATATGTATACACATATATATAAAACCTGTCTCTTGATGGCAGGATAATGCTTGATATTCTTTCCAGTGTCCTTCCTTTCAATGTTTCATGTTTTGTGGCCTACTGACAAAATTATGTATAGTGCTGAAGTGACTTGGGAACAATTTTGCTCAATTTAAAAAAAATTTCTTGATCCATTCAAGCCAATGGGCTAGACCAAATTATCCAATGATAAATAAGGACAATATAGGGAAAAGAAAGACTCTTGGCAGCAGGATAATCACCCTGCAAGGCAAATGCTACAAGCACAAACTATGAGCCAAGAATGGGAAACAATAGCTCAGCAGCTTTTCTTTCTGCATACAGTTCAACTGTTTTATTCTTCACCACTTTGTGCTAGCTAACACCAAAACACCTCAGGCAGCTTTCCACTTCCTCACCTAGATATTTTGGATATTTTTATAATCTATTCTTACAAAATCAATTCTGTCGTTCTGAAAAGAGCTTAAGGACAAGGTTAAACTCAAAGCTTCCACTGGTTCTCCAGCCAAAATGTGCAGTAATTTAAAAGATATTTATTAACACTTATCTCAGTGTTGACAATTCCTAATGCAAATAAATACAATATTATTACTATTTTTTATCTAAATCAATGATGTCCCTATAAAAGTAAAACAACCAAATCAACAGACATATTCTGTCCCTATTCCAGGAATATGCAATTTAAAAAATTTATTTTTAAGGAAGAGCATTAAAGCATATTTTTGCAAGTAGAAGAAGATCCTGTATCCTATTTCACATTAATCTATACATGAATATCCTACCTACCCCCAATTATTGCAAAATATAAAAATATTAGATAATTAGAGCCTTACCTTGAGAAAATAATGTGACTTTCTGTATAATAGGTTAATGAATCATAATTATAATAGGGTTCATGGAACTGGTTAAATGGTTGTAAATGGAAGAAAGCAAGATTTGGCCTCAAATCAGCATGAGATTGAATCTTCGCTAACATTTATTAGATAACTATTTCATAAAGTCAGGAACAGTCCCGATCATTTGCATTTCCACATTAACATTACCAGATATACAGCATCTAAACACTTTTTTCCTCTTTTTATTCACTCCCTTCCTTCTCTTTTCATCCTATTCTTTTTTCTTTAACCTAGTCTTTTTCTACTCTCTTTTCCTATCAATCCTTCTATAATCATCCTCTCAGCGCTCTCTAAAGTTTGCTTCCCCAAAGACCTATATAGATTTTTCTCTCTTACTCAGTTGGTTTGAAATGTTGAACTCATTTCCTCTTCCGTGAACGCTTTCCAGTTTCATAAGAAGTTTGCACTTTGCTCCTGTCTACTTTGCAGTATCATTTGAAATGAAACTTGCTTTGGAGATTGCTCCAAAATGCCTTCCCAAGCAAGCGGTTGTGACTGATGGCCTCCAGCTTGCAGCAAAGCTACCCTGTCCACCAAGCCAATTGGTTGGAGTATTCAGACCTGAGCTTGTTTGAGTTTGTTTCACTTACTGTGGTCTTTCCCACATGTGCTTCTCAAGTAATAGAGCAAAATGTACTACATACAGCAAGATTCAAGAAGTGCACTGTGTCCACCATGCCTCAAGTTAATATAGACACCAATATTTTTGATGACTATTTCTCTTGAGTTTGTAACTTTTTTCTTAGCTAGTTTCACTGCCCCCAAGTTGATAAAGTTGTTACCATTTTAAGGAATCCTTAGCAAAGAGTGTAGGTGAACCTTGAACTTCATAAAAGAGGGCTGTTTTCAAGGTCTTTTTATACGCTATCCTTAAAATGGTTCATTTTGAAAAACAAATTCTCTGTCACTAGAGAAAATCGTACTTGACCATGTCTCCTCAAATTCAGTCACATTTAGGTAGGTTACGATCTTCATGTGTGTCCTTCATAGCACAGCAGTTTAAACTTGTAGTAAATCTAATCCCATTATTTAACTCTTTAATAGCCTCCCATGCTCACTCCCCAACTGAATATATTAGTGCAGGTTTTCCCCTGCACAACTCAAGGGGGTGTTGTCATCTGTACAACTGTAGCCTGTGGGCTGGTTATGAGAGTGGCAGGAGGCAGCCAAATGTCTAGGCAGATAGGGGCAGATCTCCAGTGAAACCTCATCTCCAAGCCAGAGACAATTTAAAGCCTGAAAGTCAAACTACAAGTTAAATTCTCTACCCAGATTGAGAACTCGCCTTGCTATTTTGCTTGCTTTTATCTGATTGATCCCCACCGTTCACCTATTTTACATATACCTACCATTTCCGGATTGATTTTTCTATACTGTCATGCCCACCTTTGAGTGGTATGTTTGCTTTAACCTTTTTTGCATACTCACAAACCAGTCAGCATGCACTCCCCATTCTGAGTCCATAAGAAGCCCAGGACCTTGCCTCACAAGGGAACTTTTCCACTTTCAGGTAGGGGAACCTCCCACAGCTTTCCCTCTTTGCTGAGAGCTTCCCTTTTGCTAAATAAATTCTACTCCACTCACTCTCTGGTGTCTGCTCACCTAATTTTTCCTGGTTGTGAGACAAGAGCTCAGACCTAACTGAGCTAAGGAACAGAAAGACTGCAACAGTCACATCCAGTGATGCCCTTTCCTTCATGATTCTCCAGTTACCTCTCCAGCTTCACCTTCCTCTATCTGTCCCCTTCCTACACAATATATCTGTGCCACTTTTAACTATTTTTTCCTGAACTTGCCACATTCTGTGATTTTTGCAGAGATGACTGGTACTGTGTGGAATGTTGCTATAATCTTATCTGCCGCTCTCACCCAATCTTTAAGTTTCAGTCACCTGCTGTGTGATAAATTGCCCCACAGAGATTAACCACGTCTTCTCTCTGATTATCTTATGCCTGTGTCAAACTTGCAGTTTGTCTCAGAGTTTGTCTCTCTTCCCTCTGGACCCGAAAGTTGTTTGGAAAGTTTCCCCTTTGACCCACAGTGTTTGTCATGGATTAGGCACAAGGGAATTCTGAAAGGGCTAATACGGCAAATTAAAAATCAGGCTCCCTTGGTTCTACTGTCAGCTCTAGCCTCTGCCACTTACATGCTGTGTTACATTCGATAGATTACCTAACCTTTCTGTACTACATGTTATTTAATAGCAAAATGGAATTTGAAGCAATGTCTACTTCACGGTGTAATTGTGACTAGTAAAGAAGTTAGTGCATGTAACATGATTAGAATGGTGGTAAATAAAGAGCACATTTGAAATGTTAGACATCAGTGATGATACTGTTACCTTTTTATAGTTATTGCATTATTGCCTCATTCACAATATTGCAGAAGAATAGTTATCAAAATTTAGCATATGTAAGAATTATTAGAGAAACTCTGTTTTGATTTTTTTCTTGTTTTGCGTTTTGTTTTTGTTTTGTTTTGTTTTGTTTCCCAGAGCCTTGCTCTGTCCCCCAGGCTGGAGTGCAATAGTGCAAGGCTCACTACAACCTCCACCTCCTGGGTTCAAGTGATCCTCCTGCCTTAGCCTCCCGAGTAGCTGGGATTACAGGTGTGTGCCACCACACCCAGCTAATTTTTGTATTTTTACTAGAGACAGGGTTTCGCATTGTTGGCCAGGTTGGTCTTGAACTCCTAATCTCAGGTGAACCACCTGCCTTGGCCTCCCAAAGTGCTGGGATTACAGGCATTAGCCACTATGCCCAGCTGAGAAATGCTTTTAAAACCCAGAATTCTAGACTCTTGAGTTCTGGAAGCTGGATTCTTATGAAAAATTCGACATTCTTAGACACACTTCAACACTGTGAGGATGTGGGGGTCTCAGAATGCCTTGAGTGATTCTGAGATTCTAAGTCATCACATAAAAATTACACTATATTCCCTATGGTTATTAATACACATCCATACACGTACACACACACACACACACATACACACACACACACACACCCACCATCAGATTAGAAACACTTTTATCTATTCAAATTAATGCAACTTTTTTATAATACTCAGTAGTCAAAGATTAATATTTACCTACGTATTCATTCTCTTTCTTTACTACAGTTAGTTTTTAATCTACTTTTGGTGTCAAGCATTTATAATAATAATAATGCTGTCTCATATGCTTATTTGAAGTACTTTACAATTTCAATTCGCTATTTCATTTGCTAGTTTTTAAAATCATGTTATACAACTTTTATATATAAATCCAGTCTCTCAATTAACCAACAACAAAACCAGATTAATTTTGGGGATGTTGATGAGAAAACCTGTAAAGAAAACCAATTAAGTATTATCTGGGTGACAGAGCAAGATTCTGGCTCAAAACCAATAAACGAGTATCTCATGGATTTTCTTGTATTATAGGTATAACAATAAATTATCCTCCCCAATATTAGCATTTTAATTGGAGTTGTGAAAAATTCTATTTTCACCATTTATTGGATTCAAAGCAAGTGTTGTTTGACTTAAAAGCTGGCACATGCAATACCACCAGGCGATTATAATGAAGAGGGAATTTGCAAAGTGGACAATTTTGAACAATTATGGACAGAATTTCATATTAGTTTTGATTTGGCATATCAAATCAAATACAAAATTCAAGATTTTTCCCAATATGATATAAACACTCTACTGTTTTTTTGAAAGTAAATTTCCCTCACATTTGAGTGTGTTTGTTCTTGTTGTATGCTCAAAGGGATTCCCAGTAAATAATTAATTAAGTAGAAAATATGGGAAAATGAAAAATAAAGTTCAACATT
Source organism: Homo sapiens (assembly GCF_000001405.40). NCBI lineage: Eukaryota > Metazoa > Chordata > Mammalia > Primates > Hominidae > Homo > Homo sapiens. Next base: position 84,795,134 of record NC_000014.9, read on the forward strand.
GTGACTGAAGAGTTATTTTTAATGTATTGCATTTCTACTTATGTTGCTTTTGAGCTTTCACAACATTTCCAGGTCATTGTTTCTTCCTTCATAGATTCTCGTAGAAGCCTTGAGTTGAAATGATGATAAATTAGGGACTACCATACAAGTCAAGAGAGCCTTCATACTTCATATTAAGCCATAATTCTGCTTATGCTGATTTCCAATTTAAAATTATTCATTAACTATCTAGAAGAGACTACAAATCTCGCTGAGATATAAAATGCAAGATACAATGTAATACTCCTTTTAAGTGAATAAAATTAACTTTTTTTTTTTTTTTGAGACAGGGTCTCACTCTGTCATCCAGGCTGTAGTGTGGTGGCATCATCATAGCTCACTGTAGTCTCAACCTCCTGAACTCTAGCAATCCTCTTTCCTCAGCCTTCCAAGTAGCTGGGACTACAAGCTTGTGCCACCATGCTTGGCTAATTTTTGTACTTTTTCTAGAGAGAGGGTTTTGCTATGTTGCCCAAGTTGGTCTCAAACCCCCGAGTTCGTGTGATCCACCTGCCTCAGCTTTCCAAAGTGCTGGGATTACATGTGTGAGCCACCGCATCTGGCCAAAGTTAACTTTTAAGAGTTGTTTTTATTGTGTTTGACAATCTACTTTAGACTCCATCTTATTGGATTGTTGATCCTAAGAGCATATCTAAGACATCATCTGTAAGATTCCTTCTCTTATTTAATACATATCTTTTAAGTAGTGCTCTGTACCCAGGACTGTTGTAGGTGCTAGAAAAGACGGGAGAAAAAGCCAATCCCCCTGTTCTCATGGAGCTTCCATTGTAATGTTGGAGACACATAATAAACTAATACATAGATCAATGTCAGATTCTGATAAGTGTTATGAAGGAAGCTAATTCAGGATAATGAGTAGTGAAGTGAGGGGAAGGTGGCAGGCAATATTTTAGGAAGTGGAGTCAGACTGTCCAACTAGGTGACATCTTATGGGGAGAAAAATGAAGTGAAGCAAATCTGTTCTGTAAATATCTGTGGGGAGAGCTTTAAGCCATGTGACTATGTGGGAGAAAGCAAATGAAAAAGTAAATGCAGAGGACATGAAGGAGACTTTTGCTTGTGAAGTTCAAAGCTTTGGCTCTTCTGTTTGCTGCCTCTGGTCACCCTACCTGCTTTGAAGCTTGGAAATATTAATGTCATTTTTGGCTTTGCATTTTCCATGTCAAAGACCTAAGTTTTTTTCTCTTTTATCTTTTTATAATTTGCTAAAAATAATTACAAAATCAGTACGTGATTTCTGGTAAAAAGTTAAAATTATGTAACAGAAGTTCTCTCCAGGTCTAACCTACTTCGCATGGTCTAAGTAATGACTTAATTTTTTTCATATGCTTTATTCTTTTCCTTTCTTTTTTTTTTTTTGCATTTATATGCATCTCTGTGCTTACAGCAATGTATCTAGGTGTTTTTGCGTGTGTTTTGACTTCTTTTTCTTTTACTCTTCTGCTTCATTTTTTAACCTGAGACTATATAGATATCGTATTCTTGAAGCTATGTATATTCTAGAATTAGCAGTTATTTCTGTTCATAATGAGATACGACAAATAATTTCCACTTCTCAACCCCTATTATTTCTATCTTCTTAGTTTAAACACTGAATTCAAGTTCAAACAGTTACTAACCTGAATTATCTAATGTTACCCAGTGACAAAGAAAATTTATTCTAGGCATTTCACAATTTGATTCCCCTTGATTCAGTTTTGCCTTCAGACTCTAGTGACTAACATCTATTAAACTATTTCCTTTCAGAAAATATGTTCATTTTCACAATGCTTCAAATAGTGTGACTCCATGACTCCATTTCCCGTGACTTTCTCTGTCTTTTCTAATGACTGGTAAACTCTCCCTTGTATTGGTATCTTCTCCTGCATCTCTACAATCAACTTAAAGCAGCCAGTTTCATTTTATTCTGATGCTTATAAGCTTGAGAACACCTAAAGTAATTTTACATCTTTTGTTTGTTTGGCTCTCTGAACTGCCCAGGGCTTTGCAAAACAATTTTAAAGTATAGTTATGGTGGTTTTCTCAGAGTACATTTTAAAGTTTGTCATAAACGGCTTTTCAGATTGTTTTGCCTAAGATGGAGAAACAAAAATAAAGAGATCATTTTTTAACTCTCATGACATAAAAGTTTTAGATTTTTGTAGGCTGAAAGTTTCTAAAAAGTTATTTGAGCTTTTCTTTTCTTTCTAAGTTTCATGAGCAACGTGCAAAGGGCTCCTACAGTATTCACAATTATGCTTACAATTTTCTTGCCGCAACTAATTGAAGATACAAAACTTACACCCACAAGCAACCATAATGACCACAGAATGACGATGAAGTGGCCTATGGTCTGCAGTGATTCATTATGTCTAAAATGTTTGCAATTAAACTTAATGGAGGGGAAATAGGCCTCTCTTTACAAGTGGTCACCTCCTTTTTTCCATTGATTTAACCACATTATTAAACACAAATAAGAATATATTTCCCCTAAAATTCACAATTTAATTCAAGTGTCTGTCAACACATATTAACTTTACTGTCTGCTGTCAGCAGTATACCAAGAAAAGAAAGATACTTGTTGATTTTGGTTTTTGAAGCCAAAAAGATGTTAATTTGGAATAGGGTGGAGAAAGTCAGAATAACAGTATAGCTCAGTAGAAAGGAAGCTACAATTACAACTACTGCAAAAATTAAAAATAAAAAAATGAAAAATGACAAAATTACACAAAAATTAAAAATTTATTAAAATTAGAAAGCTATAATTATCAAAACACACTGGCAAAATTAAGTTCATCAAACATCATTGTAGACACCATAAACTATAATTTTTTAGCATCTGAATTCAGCTGTTGTAATCAGATAGTCCTCCCTCCTGTGCATACTTTAAAGAATAGAAGATAAAAAGAAAAATCCAATAGACTAGAATATCAATAAATATCAAAAAATATTAGTTAAGTGGACCCCTTTAAATTGCCTTAGAAGATTTTAGGATAATGAAGATCCTATTAAACCAGAAAATAAATGTAAATCACACCATGGTTGCCTGTGTCTCCTTTTGCCTCACTTTGATTTGGTCACACAACATGACATTAAAGCACCATATATTATACTGGAAGAAATGGCAAAAGTGTCACTCTTTTTAGCCCATTGCTGTGTTCTCATGATTGCAGTTCTTCAAAGGTTATTAGAATAAGAGTCTTCTTTTATTTTTCATATTTGAATCAACAGCCTTCTGAAAGGATAGCATTATATCTAATTATAAAATTATTGATTTATCTGAGAAGGTAAAAAGTTTTCATAGTTTGAAAGCTTTTCAGTTCATCTTATTAAGATACAAAAGTAATTTTCCACAGTTGAAGTCAGTTAAGGATTTTAAACGCTTATTAAGTACCTCATAAGCTATATAAAATATTTTGCTTATACAATTTTAGGTATTTAAAAATATTAAATTATATCATTATGATATAAACGTCTTAAAATTATTTCAGACACAATAGTTTATAAAGTCCAGCTTTCATATGAAACAATACAAGATTCCAGTAGGAAGCCAGTAGGAAGAATCAGGGTGGATTCTTAGATCTTCTTAGATTATATTCTTTATCCTCCCTTCTTATTTTCCTGTACCATATTTTGTTATTCTATTCTAACTTGTTTTATTAATTTACTTGTTCAATAAATGTTTACCTAACACCAATATTTTATGCTAGGCATTGCTGTAGGCACCTTGGATACTGTAAGGAACTTAGACAAAAGTTTTTGCTATTACATTTTAATGTAAACAAAGGAAATACGTACCATGATACGTCAGAAGGTAGTAAGTATCAAGAAGAACACTAAAGAAAGGGGCTGAGCAGGGATTACAGTGAAGGGGGTGTTGGTTTTAATTATAATTCTTGTTGTTTAAAGACATTCTTTGCCCCATGGGACCAGAGAATTGGTTAGTTCAACTAAGAGAAACCGAACATTTTTCTGTGATCAGAGGCCCACCCTTGAACAGATCCATTTCACCTTTACAAGTACACAGAAAAGGATATTTATCCCACCCGGCTGTTAATTACATGTGACTTTCCCATAATTAATTAAATGTGGCCTTGACCCTTCGCCCTTACTTTGCTTCATGTTACAATCTTCGCATGAAGCCATATCGTTTTTTTTAAAGTGGATTCTTAATCTCCCTTTGGTGCTTTTGGTGGTATTCAATTACATTTTTCAATTTTCTTGTTTTTCTACTTTCAGTGAAAGATACTTAGCACTTACATAAATTCACTATCCAAAACATTATTTGTTTTCTTATCAATCTCCTGTAGATGACAGGTTGTCACATTTTGCAGTCGAACACATGATTTTACAAAATATGTCTTGTCTAGTAAGGTCAACATAGAGCTTGAACAGAAATCAATTATTACCTGGTACAGTTGTTCTCAGTCCTCGCTTCAGACTTTAAAGATGTGATGTCGGACCCCACATCAAGAACTTCATTCAGCTGTTTTGAGTAGGATTCAGGTTTTGGCATTTTAAAAAATCTCACCATGTGCTTCTATTGTGTAGCCAGGGAATATGAGAAGATTAGACATTTTGCTCAATGTGGGCCAACACCATTTTAAACTGGAAGTTTTAGGAGATCCAGAATCCTAGAACTACTGAGTCAGAATCTGCATTTTCAACACAGTCCCATGTGATTTGTGTACATATTAAAGTTTGAGAAGCACTGCTCTAGACATACACTTTCATTTTGTAGATATTAATTGCTAATAAGGAGTTTAAAAGCTCATTTTCCCAAAGTGAGTGCCACTAGCTAGGAGAGAGTGAAGTGGAGAAGCCAGGTGTTAGGTTTCTTGATCTTGAGCTGTTTCCCTTTGCCACATATGCACAAAAGACTGTCAGTTTTGTAAGGGACTGGAATCCTGATGCAAATTGAAAAAAAAAAAAAAAATATATATATATATATATATGCATAGATTAATTTTTAAAAGGTGCATTAATGTTAAAATATAAATTATAAAATGCATTGAAATATTATTTAATATAGCAAAAGACTGTGTAATGAATACTAATAACTTGATCCTTTTTTAAGAAACATAGAAATTTATTATAAAGATCTTATAAAAACTTTCAGAAATACTTATGTCAACTAAGTAACACATCTTCTCAAGTAGATGCCCATATCGTATTTCATTGACTTACTTTTACTTGGTTAATCCTTTTATCACAAATTGAGCAAAAGTAAACTTTTCTTATATATTATCATAAATTTCAAGTAGAGTAGATTTGGCTTAAATGTTGTCTCATTCTTTCAGGAAGCTATTTGCTTAATGTTAAACATTTGTTAGGGCATATAATGCAGTGTAATAGCCCTTCTTACAAAAAAAAAAAAAAAAGAAAGAAAGAAAGAAAAAAAAAGAAAACCTGGAAGAATTTTTAGCCTAATCTTCCCCTACCTAATTTTATTTATTACCACAAACTTAGACCTTTGAGTTGGGAGCAGGTGGCCTTGTTGACAACTATTGGGTCTAATAGCTTTTTGTGTGCGTTTCAGTATGTACATCTTTAAAGAGGAATAAAGGCTACCTCTTACTCAGTACCACAACCAAGAAAAATAGAAAAACAAATGTATTTTCAAAGAAAAGAAACATGCATGTTTTAGTCAGGTAAATCCATTTAAAATGAGAGTGAAAGCTTTGTGCATTATTGATGAGAATGAAAAATGATGTGGCTGAAGAAAAAAACTGTATGATGATTCCTTAAAAAATTAAATGTAGAATTACCATATAATATAGCATTTCTACCCCAGCTATATAACCAAAATAAGTGACAGCAGGAACTTGGAAGAACTTTTTGTACACCCATGTTCATAGCAGCATTTTTCATAATAGCCAAATTTGGAAGCAACCATCTATGCATCAGTAGATTAATGGTTAAACAAAATGTGGTGTATTCATACAATGGAATATCATTCAGCCTTAAAAAGAAGAAAATTTGAACACATTCTACAACAAAGATGAACTTTGAGGTAGTTATGTTAAATGGAATAAGCCAGTCACAGAAGGACAAATACTGCATGATTCCACTTATATAAGGTTCCTAGAATAGTCAAATTGATAGAGAAATAAAGCAGAATCCTTTCTAGCAGGGGCTAGAAGTAGATGTGAATGGGAAGTTATTGTTTATCGGGTACAGAGTTTCAGTTGAAGATTATGCAAAAGTTGTTTAGATGGATAGTGGTAATTGTTGCACAACACCGTGAATATATTTAATGCCACAGAAGTGTATCCTTCAGGTAGTTAAAATGGTACATTTTTATCTATAAAATAAAGCAGTAGTTATATTATTTATCACAATTTAAAAGTATAAAATATCATATGTTTGCACAGTGTTTGTGGTCTATTACATATTAGCATTTTCTTTTTTAACTTTGATCCATTGTTAAACAAGCAATTATTTGAGCCCGTTAGTGCTGTGAATTTTTATTTTTTTCCCAACAGCCTTGACAAATAAATGTTCTCTAAGACAGTGTCATTTGTGTCTTATTTGGGCTATTAATCATATTCATTGATTTTTAGGTGAGCTGTCTTTTTAGCAGTCACACCTATGCCAAAACAATTTCATATTAAATATGTCTTTCTGAAAGGATATCTTTCATATATATTCTTGACTATTGATTTATATGATTTTATCATAACTTATTTTCCACTCACCCTCATACTGACTTTTTTTTCTCACTCTCACAATTGAGATATGTTTTGATTGAATCTAAGCATTTTATTAAACTGTTTCTAAGTTACATGTTGCAAATCAGAACTGGTTGTGCTGAATTCAGAACAAGTATAAAATGTCCCTGAGGGGAGGAAAAAAGATTATGGACACAGCTGATTACTTTAGCTAATATGTTTGAAATTCCAAACTGGATATTGAGATCCAAATTTTATTCAATATTTTTAAAATAAAATGTATATAACCAGTTTTAATATGCAAGCTGTCACTTTAAAGACAACTTGAAATTTTTTCACTCCCTTTCTTCAATAGCGCCCTTTGCTAAGTAGGAAAATAGGAAAAGTGGAAGAGACAATAACTAAGAAATGGAGAGAGAGAAAAAAATAGACTCGTGGGAAAAGGGGAGAGAAAAAAAGAGAGGGATTGAGCAGGTAACATTTCAATATGTAAAAATTCGATATTTAAAAGCATACATTAATGACATATAAACATCCTTGGATTACTGTGGGTGGAAGAAAGGGGGATACTTTAAACATCTCTGCTTATATATAATGGTCCACACAAATTACATTAAAAGAATATTACAGCTGTTTCAGGAAACTCACAGTTCAGGGTGAAATGTACCATATGTCCTCCAATACCTGCACACAGCAGGGTGCATTAAGACAGCTATTAGGCTGACTCCCTAGTTGCCTAGGTACTGGAGGACATATGGTGCCTTTCACTCTTGACTAAGGTTTTCTTCCTTTCATGGTTTCCTGCAGCAACTTGAACGTGTTCTGAACGTTGTTCTTTAGTCTGCAAAAATTGGGTCTTCAGTTCTCCACTACAACACACACACATATGCCTATGTTTCTTCTTGCCTAAAGTGATTTTTCTCTATATAACACACTGTTCTTGGCAATATATACCCGTGACTAATCAATCTGGAACAAGTTAAACATATGATGACAATAAAATTGCTATGTGTGGGCTGCAAAATGGAAGAAGGTGTTGTCTCTAAATTAAAGTTGAAAATATTTTAGATAATGAGAGAGAAGAAAAACAAACAAGAAAAAATGGTCAACCAGTATGCAATATAAGAATCATCTCTTCGTTTTCCTGTCATGCAAACAGATACTAAATCTATACAATAAGTCCTCACTTAACATCATCAACAAGTTTTTGGAAACTGTGACTTTAAGCAAAGTGACGTATACCAAAACCAATTTATCATAGGCTAACTGATAGAGAGTTAAGTTTCTACAGCATATTTCTGGTCACAAAACCTTCACCAAACTTCTAAATAAAGAACCAAAATACGTCTACTAGGAACATTGAAATAAATGTGAGCTATGCATACATTTACAAAAGATGAATAGGAACAAATAAGATAATTATTTACTCAATTTTTGGTGAATCAGTGAGTAAAGGTGGCCATAGTGGTGGTGAGTTAAATCAAGAAATAAATATTTGCAAAGCAAATATTGTATGGAACACCCTCTACCACTAAACAGATCAAAAACAATCACAAATGGGGCAGGCTCGCCATGTGCTTTCATGCGGCATCATTTATTTTTGTGCATTTGTATGACTATTATGATTATTGTGTACCTGATTAATTTATATTTTACAATGTGTATTCATTCATTTTTTTTTTTCATTTTTCAATCCGTTCACCTTAGTTCAAGGTCTCAGGGAGCCCGAGCCCATCCAGCAGCTCAGGGCACAAGGGGAGGACTGACCCTCATGGGACTCCATTACCTTGCAGAGTGCAATCATATACACACACTCACTCAGACTAAAGCCATTTACACACACCAGTGAACCCAACGTGCGTATCTTTGGGATGTGGGAGAAAACCAGAATACCTAGAGAAAACTCACACAGACGTCGGGAGAATTTGCAAACACCATGCAGTGTCCTCAGCTGAGAATCTATTTTTTTTCCTCACCAACATAATAACAAAACAACTTTATTGGAAGACCATCTCATGAGTTTCTGCAGGAATGGCAACAGAAAAAAATGTAATAAATAATCAAATTCAAATGCTGTAGCAGTCATTTTTGCTTACCTACACAGTTTGCTTGCCCTGCTTTCTTATTTACAGAACCTGATGTAGTTTATATACATATCTATAAGAAAGGCTGGCCCTATTCCAATCTCAGCAACGAATCAGATTCAATCTATTTTGTTTAAGCATGAGGATGGAATGTGATGCAGGCCAATAAGGTCTTAAGGTTTCTGTAGAGGGTGCTCCTGGGAGAGGTTGCTTACTCTTAAAAAGTAAGTCAATCGAAAGAATGGTGTCTTTTGTTGCACTACATTGCCATGCCTAGATATGATGCATGGAACTCTGGCAGCTATCTTGAATGCCGGATTATAGATAGACATTAAAGCAGAGAAAAGGAAAAACAAGACAAAACAAAACACTTTGGTCCTTGCTGTCATTATTTAGGTCCTGATTAAATTAAATATGGAACTTCCCATTTCTTGACCTATTTTTAAATCAGGGAACTAAATCGTGATTTTTTTCCCTGCAAAAGATATGCTAAGGAATATGAACATACCTTCTGACTGTATTTGTTGGGGATTGAAGTTTAATGTAAATCTCATGTAAATGCAGTGGTAGATGTTACCTAAATAGCCAGGGCTTAAAATGTCTACATTTCACAATTATTCATGGTAGGGAATAGTGTATAATTCTATTCAGTTTTTCTAGTGTGTGAGACTAGACTAATAACTTCTTTGCTCATGTCTTTCACAATCGGGAGCTTTTTATAAAGAGATAAGAGATAAGTTCTACTCTGTTTAAATTGCATTTTAAGAAAGTACATTTATCAGATGTTTCACCACTTGGCCTTCAGAAATAACACAAAGCTACCATCAATCATACTTATTTCATTTTGTTTGGTCAGAAGAGGAGAAGAAAAACTAAAAAGCTTCAGCTTTCTTCCCTCACTTACTTACCCAATGATCTAATTCTAACTCATTTTCCTCTCACCAATTCCCTAAAGAAATAGTGCTAAATGGAGAAAGTACAGGGAAAGTGGGAAAAGATAGAAGGGGAAAAGGTAGTGTATTATTCCATTCTCACATTGCTATAAAGAGTAATTTATAAAGAAAGAGACTGAATAATTTATAAAGAAAATAGGTTTAATTGACTCACAGTCAACAGGCTATACAGGAAACATGGTTGGAGAGGCCTCAGGAAACTTACAATGATGGTGGAGAGGCCAAAAGGAAGCAGGAAGCTTCTTCACATGGCAGAGCAGGGGAGAAAGTGAATGGGGGAAGTGCTACATGCTTTTAAACAACAGATCTCGTGAGAACTCACTGACTATCACAAGAACAGCAAGAGGAAATCTACCCTATAAGCCAATCACCTCTCATGAGGTCTTTGATAGTTAATACTGAGTGTCATCTTGATTGGACTGAAAGAAGCAAAGTATTGTTCCTGGCTGTTTCCATGAGGGTGTTGCCAAAGGAGATTAACATTTGAGTCAAAGGCCTGGGAGAGGCAGACCCACCCTCAATCTGGGTGGACACCATGTAATCAGCTGCCAGCATGGCTAGGATAAAGCAGGCAGAGAAACTTGGAAGGACTAGTCTGGCTCAGTCTTCTGGCCTCCATCTTTCTCCCATACTGGGTGCTTCCTGGCCTCCAACATCAGACTCCAAGTTCTTCAGCTTTTGGACTCTCAGACTTATACCAGTGATTTGCCAGGGGCTCTCAGGCCTTCAGTCGCAGGCTGAAGGCTGCACTATTGGCTTCCCTACTTTTGAGGTTTTGAGACTTGGACTGGCTTCTGGGCTCCTCAGCTTCCAAACAGTGTATTGTGGGACTTCACCTTGTGATCGTGTGAGTCAATCTCCTAAAAAACTACCCTTCATATATTCATCTACTCTATTAGTTCTGTCCCTTTAGAAAACCCTGACTAATACAAGGTTCCTCCACCAACACTGGGGATTACAATTCAACATGAGATTTGGATGGGGACATGCAGCCAAATCATATGAGATAGCAAGAAGCAAAACTGAAGAAAGAGAAAGAAAAGTAGACCAATGAGAGGGACCAGAGAAGGCACTAAATATCTTCAGCTGGAAATAATTGTAGGGCAAGCACGTACTGTATATAACCTGCATACCTGTGCTTGGTCAGATAGGGCGAATGTCCACGTATGCCCAAAGTACTAAGCGTATATTATCCTATGTGTTTTAAGGGAGAGTCTAGTGAAGAGGAACATAAGGCAGCTTGTAGCAGAAGGAACACATGACACTTGGAGGATAAAGAACAGGTTAAAGTTCTATTAACTTTTTCTCCTTGTGTGGTCTTGGCCAATTTATCTAACCTAACCTTCAATTAGTTATGAAGAATCTTTCATAAGAGGAATAATACTTAAGTCATGGTATTGCAGAAAAAGTAAATGAGATTGCTCACATGAAAAGCATATTGAAATGCATTATGCATATGTTCCATAAATCCTCCAGTCTCCTGTCTCCACAGCCCTGAGGTGAAAAGCTTTTGAGACTCACCATTTCCTGAGAGCTAGGGAAGTTTTCCAGCTGGGGTGCAAAGACTCTCACCAGGATTGGCCCAGACTATTTGCTGAAATAAAATTACAATGAAAATATCCTAAGTTTATTTAGCTATCTTAACTTTCCAAAAAAAAAATTTTCCCTGTCTTTATTCCTAAACACCATGAAGCTTCAAAACCAAATATTATCTCCACTTTCAGAGAAGAACCCAGTCGTGAGAAATCAGACATCTTACTTAATACAATCTACTTATTGACTCAGAAAGAATTAGCACCCTATCAGCTGATTCTCAGTCCAGAAAAAGATTAAATAAGTACTTTTCATCTGGGAAGAGAGAGTTGCATTTAGTCGTTGATATAGAAATAGATCAACATCACCTTTGCCAAATTGTCCATCCAGTAGCTGCCAAATTCCATTGCTGTTATTCACCGGAGGTGACTAGAGAAATGTGAATGCTAGATTGGCTATAGCTCCTCCTCCTGATAGCCTTATTACCAAATGGTGTGAGGTCCTTGGGTATGCGGAGTAAGAAACAATTCCCAAATCTCAGAGGCTAAAATAATAAAGGCTTGGGAGGTCCATTTAGAGGTCGCTAAGATTTCTGGCCTTGTCCTTGTTGTCCTCACTCTGTGATCCAGAGTAACAGCAATTAAACAAAACATTGCCTGTGACCATGGCAGAGGACAAAGGGAAAGACTCCTAGAAGGTTTTCTAGCAGCAATTAAAAACCCACTTAAGAAGTGGCTCTCCCAACTTATTAACAACAAACACCAAGAGATTAAAAATGCAATGTGTCATGGCAGGTGAAGAGCCAGTATTTAGTACAAAGCATGAATGACTATCTGCATATTTCATCATGGAAGCAAGTCTTGGGACAATTTTCCAAAAAGGCAAATGTTTATTAGCAAGTTGACTCAAAATTTATCATGTGATCATTTATTTATTTTTATTTATTTGTTTATTGTAATCTAGTCAGTCCCAGAGTCAGGATGGGAGACATAGTAGGAGACATACTTCATAGACATGAAGTAGGGAGAACATGCCAGGAAAAAGCGGGTCCAAAGGCATTAGCTTGCTAAGCTGGGTAGACTGGCTGTGTGGTATGACGCAAGTAATTTCTGTGGTAGGACCAGTGACATATTTTGAACACCCCTTATTTTATGTGTAAAAGGTTATTTCTAACAAACGTTATGCTAACTAACAAAACCTTTGTAGTAGATTTCAATAAGGATTTCTGAAAAAATGAATAGCCACTTCTGGCAGTGGATTTCTATTTAGAGCAGTCTAAATGCAGACTAATTGCTCTTGGCTGCTAAAAATGTCACCTTAAAACTCAGTGGCATAGGACAATAAACTTGTATTTCTCATGCATCTATGGAGTACAGCTCATCTTAACTGAGTTTCTCATCTAAACGTGGGTTGGCTCTCCTGCGCATGTCTTTCCTCTCTCTCCCAGGAATAACAGGCTGCCAGGAATGTCCTTTTCTGGCTATGGCAGAAGCACAGAACTCAATTAGAGACATGTAAGTTCTCTTGAAGCCTAGGCTCGGAACTGGAGCACTGTTTCTTCACTTTCCTTTATTGAGCCAAAACAAATTACATTGCCAAGCTCAGATAGAGAAGTTCTCCCTAATCATTGCAGGAGGTTATTACAGTGTTACATAGGAAAGGCATAGATATGAGAAGTGCAGAATAATTAGGATCATTACTGCAATCTAACACATGCCTCTAAAGAATAGATAAAAGTTAAGTCATGAACTCATACATCACATTGCTTTTCATACTAAATAGCTTTAAGTTTCAAAATTCCCATTGCTTATGGTGAATTCTGGTATGAACAGAAGCCCACCACCTGACTTCCAGCCAAAGTCTCTGACAATTACTGCTAGAGTAAAAAATCAGTGTTCTCTGATGTCTCTAATGTGTGTTGAGCAGAATAAAGGAAAGGAATTAGACCATGCTTCCAGCAACTTAAAACAGAAAAAGGATTCAAGATAAAGAGCTTAATTCTATAGCTATTTTGAATCAAGATCAAACAAAGTCCATTCTCAGAACATGGAAAATAGTGATATACATTTTGTCCCCTTCATGTATAAAAAATTATACAGATGACTCACAGTTCTTTGACCATACACCTGCAGTTCTTACTTTGCAGAGACCAGGTTAATAGAAAAAAAGATTGTTTCCCACTGAGATGGTAAAAGTCAGTGAGCTGGAATGTTGTTATAAAGTGAGTAAATTGCAGAAAGAATAAAAATATTCTAAAGAGAATTTTAGCTGTGCTTGAGATCTGGTCAAATTGTCACCATAAAAGTGTGTTCATAGAAAATAGGTATGGTGAATGACAAGGTGCTAAGTTCCCCTGAGCAGAGAGTCTCAGAATAATGTAGAATAACACATATATTTATCTTGGTAACTGTTAGATACATCATCATTTTCTCTGAATGTTACTAAGTAACTTTAAAGTTTATTGGCAGCAGACAAAAGCTGGTATCAGGACCGAGTCCATGTTGGTTTCTACCATGCAAAGGAGATCTAACAGTGATTTTTGTACAAGAAGCATATGCCCTCTTAATTACAAAAAGCATTAAGTTACTTACAGAAGAATTGTGAACCATATGGCCCATTAGAACCAGAAGTCAGAAGGTAATGGAAACTAGGATTTCTGTTCTTTCTAACTACATGGAGATGCCATGCAATGGAGGATTCTTTTTATAAGCTGGGAACCAGTGCAGAATTTCATCTTTTCATTTGATTCATTCAAAAGCATTATTCTAAGGAAGGCTGGAAGAGTGCAGCATCCACTTTAATCATTTTTACCTAATTTATCATATCTCTGAAACAGCACTTACTAGACAGCATTATATCACTATTTGTTTATTCGCAGAAATCTGGGCTTTTCTAGGTCAAGGGCTTTATTTTATGCAGCTGGGTTTATCTACTTCTCGTCTTAGCCAACTCTCACTTGAGGCTTAGTTGAGTGTTCTAATGTCTCTAAGACTAGATAAAGTTTATCCCAAAGCAAACATTATATTCCCATAGGAAAAGCTGACATTTCATAAAAAGAAAAATCTTTATGAATACTATTTGCCTGCTGTATATATTGGATCCTAATAATGAAAATAATTGAATGACCAAAAAGTGTGTGCTTTTTTAGAGGATAAAAATGAACCCGGGGCTTTACTTTGAAGTTAATATCTGTACCGGGGTTAATTTTTAAGACCTACTTTTCAAAATGATTTGAAAGTCATTTTAATTGCTAAATCACAAGAACTCTACATTTACTATACATTCTCAAGTGCATGATGCTGAACCAAGTTTTGTTCTAGATTTTACAATATGTATTTAGTGTAGTCCTCATGAAGATGCAGCTACAAGAAAGAAAGTGACTCTTGATTTTCATCCTGAGAATGGTGGTGGAGAGGTAAAAATGGTCAACGTCGCAGACTTCCATTTTGCTTTGGAAAGAATGTCAGTATAGGAGATAAGGGAGAATTTTAAAACCATGTTTCACATCACATGAAAAAATTCTACTTCATTTCTTTATTAAATTCAAGGAGATATTAAAAATGCCTTCCTGTGCTTTTATCTTACATAATAGGCTTCTTGAAAAAACCAAATGTGTCCTAGTTCTGAAACATCAGAATGCCATTTTTAAACAAAGAAGAAGATTTAAATGGATATCACTAATTCTTTCAGCAAATAAAAATGAAAATCATTAAAAATAATTTTGTAAAGCTGTGAGATTAAGTAGGCTTTTTAACATCAAAAATGTGTCATGGGCCCTCTCATGTAATAATAATAAGAATAATTTTAATATGAATTAAATGTGAAAATGGATGATGAAAAAGTGTATTATGAAATCAAAAGCTCTTTGAAATAAGTGTTTAATTTATTAACTATCATAAAATATGTGTTTAAACATTTATAAAAAGTGTGTGGGTGTGTGTGTGGGTGGGTGGGTGTGTGTGCTATATACTGTATATACAAGCAGACAACTTTTAGTATTTATCCGCTTTTGGAGAATACTTTTAATAATTTTAATATCTGTCCCCTCTCACATGTGTTAAGAGTCATTGAAAGGGAAATGTATGAGAAAGTAATACAAAGACATCATTTTGTTTACATGTGAAACTTTGTGGATTACATTTTATTGTCCTTTGCCAAATGTGACCACTTTTAGTAATTCCATTTCACTGGTTTTGGGGTTATGAACAGACTGTCTTCCTGAAATGAATTCCCAGATTCACTGAGACCATAACTACTCCATGGAAGCCTAGGGATCTCCAGGTGTAGCCGTGTGTGTCACGTTTATGCACATATAAAGGAGAATGACAATTTACAGGGCAGTATCAATCCACAGTGACTTTACATATGGTCTCCACAGTTAGATAAATGAGGAAAGATGGTGAAGAGCTACAGAGGAGTACATGTGGAAAGGGCTTTCTCAAATATAAATAAATAAACATATTATTTAGTATTAGCATTCTTCTTTAGAATGAACAATTTTAAGAAAGATGTCTTTGAAATTTAAGTAATTAGAAGACAAAAATGAGACCAAGTAAGCACAGAATTTAAAGCGTATGACACCTTTATCACAATAATATTTTGTAGGTGTTATTGTATAATACAAATATTTAAGGTGTGTAAAGTCCTTCATAAAGTGAGCTGAACCCCGTGGTCCATTTCTGCTAGTATCTGCCATATTCTTTATTTTGACTAGCCCAGACTACAAGCAGATACCAAAATTAACCTCCTTATCCAACCTTCACACTTCCTGTGCCTGGAATTCTTTTGATAAACTCCTATTCATATTTCAGTCCCAGATCAAATGGACCCATTTCATGAAGCTCGTCCACACTTCTGCAAGCACTAGCGGCTCTCCTTTGCCACACAGCACCTTATGCTTCCTCTACTACAGCTTTAGTGACAAGTCAACTAAAGATTGTTTATTCTCCTGATTCCATTGTAAGACTCTAAATGTAAAGAACATACTTCATTTATTTTTGTACTTCCAGTGCCTAACCCACAGTAACCTTTTAGAAGCCTATTGAGTAAAGTGTATGTATTTGAAAATGAACTAGTCGATTTGTAATAGATAGAAAGTGAATATCAAATATATACTATTTTTAACAAATTAAAAGTGTGCAGGGTCAGCTAGGGTGTATCATGCTTGTAACCCAGCATTCTGGGAGGCTGAGGCGGGTGGATCGCTTGAGGTCAGGAGTTGGAAACCAGCCTGGGCAACATGGTGAAACCCTGTCTCCACCAAAAAATACAAAAATTAGCCAGACATGGTGGCACACGCCTGTAGTCCCCAGCTATTAGGGAGGCTGAGGCAGGAAAATCTCTGGAACCCGGGAGGCAGACATTGCATGAGCCGAGATCATGCCACTGCACTCCAGCCTGGGCAACAGAGCGAAACTCTGTCTCAAAAAAAAAAAAAAAAAAGTGTGCAGAAAATTTTCAACTCTTCTATTATAATATAAAACAATATTTTTCAAGGAAAGACATCTAGCTCTTTAAATCTGCACACAAGTAAGGAAATCAGACTATCAAATTATGCCTCTGTAATATAATTTTAATTGACATTTATCTTTCAAATGTAAATCCCTAGCCTCATCCAGCCTATAAGGCCCCTGAGAGCATCATCCATGACACAGAACTCTATATCCAGCAAACTAACTCAGTAACCCACAAAAATAAACACCAAAAATACATAATGATATTGCTCTTGATAATATACACATTGACTTTATTCTCTAATAAATAAAGTGTTCTCCCCTTATCTGCAAGTGGGGAAGGCAAACCCCAGTAGATTCCTGAAAACGAGGATAGTACCAGACTCTATGCATAGTATGTTTTCTTTTTTTTTTTTTTTTTTTTTTTTTTTTTTTTTTTTTTTTTGAGACGGAGTCTCGCTCTGTCGCCCAGGCTGGAGTGCAGTGGCGGGATCTCGGCTCACTGCAAGCTCCGCCTCCCGGGTTCACGCCATTCTCCTGCCTCAGCCTCCCAAGTAGCTGGGACTACAGGCGCCCGCCACTACGCCCGGCTAATTTTTTTTTGTATTTTTAGTAGAGACGGGGTTTCACCGTTTTAGCCGGGATGGTCTCGATCTCCTGACCTCGTGATCCGCCCGCCTCGGCCTCCCAAAGTGCTGGGATTACAGGCGTGAGCCACCGCGCCCGGCCAGTATGTTTTCTCCTATACATACATACCTATGATAAAGTTTAATTCATAAATCAGGCACAGTAAAATATTAACAACAATAACCAATAATAAAATAGAACAATTATAATAATATGCCAGCATGTCTACTCTTGCATTTTGGACACATTATTAAGTAAAATAAGAGTGACTTGTACACAAGCACGGCAATACCACAACAGCCGACCTGATGACGGAGACAGCTACTAAGTGACTAATGGGCTGGTTGCCCACAGAGCATGGAGATGTTGGACAAAGGGAGAATCCACATCCCATGCAGGATGGAGCGAATAGTACAAGATTTCATCAAGCTACTCAGAACAGCATGCAATTTAAACACGAATTGTTTACTCCTGAAATTTTCCATTTAATATTTTGGACCATTGTTGATTGTAGGTACCTGAAATTGTGGAAAGCAAAACCATGGATAAGGGAGGACTACTCTATAAGATAAATTATTATATGATGTTGTAGTTCTCTTACTCTGATGCCTCAGTGTTCTCTAGCTTAGTTAATTGTCACAGTGTATTTGCTTTGTCCCAATGACTGTTCTAGCCCATTTTACTGAGAACATTTTACTTATATTTAAAGGTTTGATTTATGCCTTCCCAAGCAAATTGTCTCCGGCCATTTCCACCTTCCAACCCAAGCTAAATTAGGCACTCTCACCTCTGTCTTCACACTGGACTTAATATTCAATATACACATCACATTGAATTGTAATTGCTATCACAAAACATGACTTACTTCCTTCAAAAAGGTCATGAATTCTTCATTTGTATATTCCCAGAGCATAACACCATACTCTGCACATTGTAGATTCTCAATAAATGTGCGTTTCATAAAAGGATGATGTTAACTACAAGCACACATGTCAGTCACACCACTGTGCTCTGGTTGATCCAGTAGCATCATAGGAGCATGTAATCAGAAAACCATGCACAAGATCAAATGTATAAATGTTGCTCTCAAATTACTTTTTGATGACTGCGTACCACCTGAGTCTTAAACATAAGCTGAAATATCCTGAACACTTTAGGAACTCAATACATAATTAGAAAAATAATTAAAAAGTGATTTAACCAATTGACTATCTGAACCTTGATATTGTTGAGAAAAATACATTCACATCAAAGTAAATATCATTGATGTATTTAAATTCAAAGATCAAAAAATGTATTCAGGGTTAGGTTATTACACCCTACATTTTTTTTTATTATACTTTAAGTTCTAGGGTACATGTGCACAACGTGCAGGTTTGTTACATAGGTATACATGTGTCATGTTGGTGTGCTGCACCCATTAACTCGTCTTTTACATTAGGTATATCTCCTAATGCTATTCCTCCCCCTTCCCCCCACCCCATGACAGGCCCCAGTGTGTGATGTTCCCCTTCCTGTGTCCAAGTGTTCTCATTGTTCAGTTCCCACCTATGAGTGAGAACATGCGGATTACACCTTACATTATTAAGATATAAATACCCTTGCTTGCATGGTGTGCTTATAGAAATTGGGAAGGAAGTTCACATTTACATATCAATATCAATATGTGAGTCACCAAAAGGAGTAGTTATAGGAAAATAATTTTATTTATCATAAGAGGAAAAATAGAAATTCTTTGAAGCCATATTGTTTAGTAGAAGTCTAGAACTAGGTGAATAAGATGGAATGCAGTTTTTTCTCAAATATACTTATTGTTAAAAAAAAGTAAATAAAAACATTGTAAGTGTGGCCCAATAGCCAATTTATCTTTAATCAACTTGGAACATACCTCATGACAGAAGTTAGACAATTTTTCTGTTTTATAAATAACAGAAAATCTTTGACTTAAATCAGAGCTCTCAAAGTCATGACCAGCAAATTACAGGACTTAAGGAAACATGTATTTTTGCTCTTTGTTACATCAAATAGTTTAAAAGAGTCTTGAAAGTAGACAAATGGCAATACAAGCAGCAAGCACCTACTGTCTTATAACATGCTGCTTCATCTGCCCATCCCTGGCATGAATTTAGATTTGTGATTCTCCTTCCTTCCTTCCTTCCTTCCTTCCGTCCCTTCCTTCCTCCCTCCCTCCCTCCCTCCCTCCCTCCCTTCCTTCCTTCCTTCCTTCCTTCCTTCCTTCCTTCCTTCCTTCCTTCCTTTTTTTGATTGAGTCTTACTCTGCCACCCAGGCTGCAGTGCAGTGGTGTAATCTCTGCTCACTGCAACCTCTGCCTCCCAGGTTCAAGCAATTCACCTGCCTCAGCCTCCTGAGTAGCTGGGATTACAGATGCATGCCACCATGCCCAGACAATTTTTGTATTTTTAGTAGAGACCAGATTTCACCATGTTGGCCAGGCTAGTCTTGAACTCTTGACCTTTTGATCCACCCGCCTTGGCCTCCCAAAGTTCTAGGATTACAGGTGTGAGCTGCTTTCATTTTTTTAAAGTTTATCAATAATAAGCCTATTACAACTTTTCTGTTTTACCATTCTCCTCTACCAGACTACTAAGTGTTGCAATTGTGTGCGACAGAATCCTGAGTGCTCTTTTCTCTGTTGATATTCCACCACTACTTTTATGAATTTATGTACCTGTCTATGCAGATGGCTTCAGCTGGATTTCTCAATCCGAGACTTCTGTTTTGGTCTCTGGACCTACACACCTAACTTCATACCTATGTCTCTTGAAAACATTGTATGCGTCTAGAATATAGTATGTCTAAAACTGAGCTTTGAGTTTGTTTTCCTCAGTTCTCTCTTATCTCCAGTGTTCTTCCTATTCATAAACGAAAATTTCATCTACCAAGGTGCTTGTGACAAAACTCCAGGAGTCGCCCCATGAATCTCACTCTTCTTAAGCTTCTATATTCAATTCACCATATCATATGGATTCCACTTCTAAGTAGCAGGCAAATTCATTCATTTTTTTAAATTTTTTCTATCTCTAGGTTTCTCTGCCTGCCACAGTGTCTCTTCCAGTCAGTTTGTAACTACCCAAGGAGTTACCTTGTTTTCGCTCCCCCTGCCCTAGGCCAATTTCTACATGGCAGTCAGAGTGACCCTTTGTAAAATGCAGATGAGATGAAATCACCCCCTCCTGCTTAAAAAATGTTGAAATAGCTCTCCTGGTTAGGAACAAATTAAAGCCCTTCTAGGTATTTCCGGTCTGGTTCTGCCTACCTCTTCGTTGTTGACTTCCTCTATTTTCTCCCTTGAATCCAAATTTAACTCCATCAACATCACTCTCAAAGCTTAGAATGCTGTATATTATTTCCTGCCTCAAGACCTTCCTATATGCCTTTTTTGCGTGGAATGTCCCTTCACAAACCTTCCCCTAGTGAACCTTGACTCATCTTCCAGTCCTTCATATCTCCCGTTATACCACATTTGTCTCTATCTAGCGTTATCACAGCTCAGAATTACATTCTGCATTTATGGGATCACTGATGCCTCTCACCACCCACATTCCCCTTTTTGTGCTAACCCCCTTCACTCACCAGCACAACATGGTCAATTCCATGAACAAAACATAGGCTGCCTCTTTTTCCTTCACCATGGTACGCCAGGTGTTTGGCATAATATCTAGCAGGTAATAAACATTCAATATGGTCTTTGAATAAGTGGTTAAAGACATCTGGGGAGAAAGAAATGTTTAGTGAAAAACTAGTATTTTATATCAAAAATTTTTGGAAAATATTACAATAAAAATGACTTTTCCCTGTAATGTACTACATTTGCATATATATATTCCATTTGTATGACACCTTTTATCCTAACAGATAAGAAATTGTGATGTGGGAAGATTCTTACTTGTCTGAGGTGGCAGAAAACTTTAAAATAAAGAACATCAACAAAATTACTACCCACAGTTGTAACCATCAGTCACAAACAAAGCAGAAATCAACCTGATAATGGTGAATATTTATTTCTAATGATAAAGCTCTAGTAAAGATATGGTCAGGTATATTAGCAGAATATAACTGAATTCTGAGGCGAGAAGGTGATGAATGGCGTATTTCCACCTGCTCTGTCATTCAGGTAGTCTCAGTCTCACCAACGTGTGGCCAAATATGAAGTCCTTTATTTTGCCACAAAATGATAAAGAAACATTTTTAAATTCTGTCATTTTAATATAAACTTTAGCAACTTAAGTAAAACCTTAAATGCATCTCAATACATATACATATTTTTTTTCCTGTTGGTCTTAAAGTTATATGTTAAGCAAAAATATTCTTTACATATATTTCTCATATTTCTTGTTCATGTAAATCAGATAAGATGGAATTTGACTAACATTTACCTCAATGCCAAAAGGAATGAATCCAAAGTTTTTGAATAAATGTTATCAGAACTCAGATTCTATTCAGAGAGAGAAAAATAGGCTTGTTGGCTTAATTATAGAATAATCACTTGCTGATATTTAAGTCCATCTTTAACAATTTGGTTGAAAGCACAGTTTTAAAACATATATATTATATTCTGCCTACATCTTAAGATTGGAATGAGTAAAATACTACAGCAGATATACATATTTCCAAACCAGGAGTTGTTTGCTCTTTGCTGTGTTTATAAATGCTTTGTTGGCAAATATTGAACTTATCATAAATATTTCTGAATAATACAGTGGCAAGATTGTATTTGAGCTATTTATGTTAAAGTTTGCATTTTTTTCTCTGCATCTATTACAACCAGAAAGCCAACTTTTTACTACTCCCTTGCCTCAGAATGTTCTGTAAGAAAAGCAGAAGAAACTACGTATGACAATTTTTCTCCACATCCCCCTGTAAATACATAAACACGTTGAAGAGACTAAGCTGGTGTCTCAGAATGGGAGGTAATAGAAAAAAAATGCTTTCAGAAATAGTGAGAAAATTTTAAAGAGAGAAAGAGATATCTTCCTGGTGTAAGCAGAGTATAAGATGACTGGTGGCTGGCAGCTGGGGAGATACACTCCAAGGATGTAAGATTTCTGATCACAAGGAACTTTCCACAGGCTCGGTGAAGAATGAGGCTATAGAAGAATGTACACTGCTAAGTGTAGGTAGGGAGGTTATCCCCAGAGCTGGAGCTTCCAACTTTATAAAAAATCCCCACAGTCCAAGAATGGCCCAAAGCTGCCAAACTGATGAACATGAGGAAAAATATGGAAGACTTCCAGGGAAGGCACTGCTTTAGATTATGAAATTCAAAGTAAAGATAACCAAAAAATGGTTATACTTAAATTAACATGTAATAGTTAAATTTCTAAGAAAACTTAATGCCACATGTTATAGACTGAATATTTGTGTCCTCCCAAAATCCATATGCTGAAACCTCCTCCCCAGTGTGATGGTATGTCAGGATGGGGTCTGTGGGAAATGAGCAGGTTCAGAGAACGGAGCTCACATAAATAGAATTAGTGTCTGTATAAAAGTGGCCCCCCAAATCTCCTTTGTCCCCTCCATCATGTGAAGACACAATGAGAATAGGGCCTTCTATGTACCAAAAAGTAAGCCCTCACCAGACACTGAACATACCAGGGCCTTGATCTTGGACTTCTCAGCCTCCAGAGCTGTGAGACATAAACTGTTGTTCACAAGCCACCCAGTGTATGCTGTTTTTGTTATAGGAGCCCAAATAAAGACACTACAGATATTGAGTATCTAACCTCAATGAAGTACTAGTTTGATATCATTTTGAACATTATGCACAAGTAATACTGTATTGGAATAGAGGATTCACATAGATGTTTAATAAGACAAGAAGCAAAAATGCTGGTAAGAAGACAAGACTAGAATTATGCATCTGCAGGATAGCTAACCTGGATAATTGATTTTTACTTACTTTATTAATAAAAGTAAATAGAGTCACCTGACCTTGAATCCATGTAGCCTATAGATAGAGGACATTGCAAAATTATTAGTGAAAATTAAAATTTAATTGGCAAATGTGACCCAAATATGATCTGGATCTCTATTTTCCCTATGTGTTGTTTTTTTAAAAAGAATTCTGGATTCTAAATGAATTGATTGATGTATCCCTTGAGCATTTCTGCACACTTTGATTTTTTAAAGATGTTTCTCCTACAGATCTTATTTGTGGACAAGAAACACAGGCACTCAATCAACATATATTTAAAGAATAAGTAAATCATGCTGATAAATTATCATTGTAAAATATTCAAACACCTTCTAAATACTTAGGGGAAAATATCAAAGCTTCCCTTCATTTCTCCTAGAGGAAAGCACAGTCAAATTAGTGTTCATGTTTCTAGTCTCATCCATGCTTTTGCAGAAATATGTACACACTCTCGTGTACGTATTTTTATTTAAATGAGTCGTGCTATGTATTTTTTTCTGTAATGCTGTTGTAGGTTGAATTTTGTCCCCAAAAGATATATTGAAATCCTTTGGAAATAGAGTCTTTGCAGATGTAATCAAATTAAAATGAGCACATTAGGGTGGGCCTTCCTCCAAAAAGACTGGTGAAGAGACACAGGCACAGAAGTGCACAGGGGAATGTCATGTGATGATAGACGCAGAGATTGGAGTAGCAAATCTCCAAACCAGGGAATGCCAAGGATTGCTGGAACTACCAGAAGCTAAGAAGAGGCAAGGAGGAATCCTCTGTAGAGTCTTTGGAGGGGGCATGCCCTGCCCATCTGCTGATTTTGACTTCTGGCTTTCAGAACTGTGAGACAATAAATATCTATTGCTGTAGGACACTTAGTTGTGGTCATGTGTTACTGCAGTGCTAGGAAACTTGATTTTTCACTAATAATACATTTTGACTATTATTTCTAGTTTCCATGAGAATGTATACAGATCTTATCTATTTTTTTGTACAATTACACTTCCAGAAACACATGTTTAACACTGTTTTTTGTTCAAAGCTAGTGAATGACAACACACACTGGGCCCTGTTGGTGGGTGAGGAGTGAGGGGAGGGAACTTGGAAGACTGGTCAATAGGTGCAGCAAACCACCATGGCACACGTATACCTATGTAACAAACCTGCACGTTCTGCACATATATCCACTTTTTTTTTTTTTTAGAAGTAATGAAAAAAAAAGCTAGTGAATGGAAAGCAGTTTTTAAGGGTTTTTTGTGAACATATTTCATGGTTTAAAGAAAGCATGCTTTGCCAATGGGGAATGTAGTTTAACATCAAACATTGCAAGTATGCATCAAAATTCCTAAGTCCCAAAAATGTGAACACAGCCAAATATGTGCTCCCAGATATTCATTTCAATAATGTAAACTTATTATATCTGAAATTTGAAACATTGCATTGGATCAGCCTATCACTAGTAAATTATTTGTGGACAGTAATAATTCTCTTTCTCTTGTCTATTTCTTGTTATTTTAATTTTTTGTTGAAGTATAATACAAAGGTCATAAGGCTACCACTGAATGGATTTCCATGAACTGAGCACAGCCATAGCCATATAGAGAGAACATAGATCAAAAAGGGAAATGTTACCAGCCTTTATGGGTGGGAAATATTAGGGGAAGAACCATTATTCTCTTCCTCTCTTCTAGTAATTTCCATCACCAGTCCAAGTTTTATGCTTTTTCTGTTATAACCAAAAATTGTTCAGTAATTAAGTCTCATCTGAACGTCAATGTTTCTAAGTGTATTAAATTCTAATCTGTTGGCCCTCATGGGCTTGCTCAATTCTCCAGCTCATTCCCTGCCCTTGGCCTCCTGTGCTCTTGCCAAACCAAGGCCACTATAATCCCAGAATCCTGCTTTGCTCAATTTTACCCTTAAATCATGGCACATGACATTCTTTGTCTTGTTTGTTTGTTTGTTTTTGAGATGGAGTCTTTCTCTGTTGCCCAGGCTGGAGTGCACTGGCACAATCTCAGCTCACTGCAACCTCAGCCAGCAGGATTCAAGCGACTCTCCTGCTTCAGCCTCCCCAGTAGCTGGGATTAAAGGCACGTGCCACCACACCTGGCTAATTTTTAATTTTTAGTAGAGATGGGGTTTTGCCACATTGGCCAGGCTGGTCTTGAGCCTCAGGTGATCCACCTGCCTTGGCCTCCCAAAGTGCTGGGATTACAGGCTTGAGCCACCATGCCCAGCTCTTTCTTTCTTAAACATATTTCCCCAACTTCGATTCACCTCATCTTATTCTTTTCTTATTGCCTCACTGATTCCTATAGATACTTAAGCATCTCTCCTTTAGAAGGTTAGCTGTGGTCTCTATTCTTTTCTTAGTGTTATGTCAGCGGTGTACTTTCTATGTTCTTCCTGAGGACAATTTTCTTTACCAGTGTTGCAGCACTTACACTTTTGGAAAACTGCCTTGCTCCTTCTGTTGGATGTTAACTCTCCCAAAAGCCTACCAGAATAATTTGTTGACCAAGGGAAGCCAGAGTTTTTGACATTTGCAATAAAGGAGAGTTCCACTTTAAGGAGTCTACCTTGTGTCTCAGGAATGTAGTTATAGAGTTTTGGAATCTGGGCTCAAGTAGTTTTAGGCGGGTCTTCCAAGAGAGGGAACTGATTTGGATTAGACAAAATTTGTGATCTAATAGTTTAAAAGTGATGAACACAGAGGTGCCAGGGTCTTGTCATTTGCCTTAATAAGTAAACAGGTATTTGATAAGTTACCTTTTTGCCAAAGTGGGAAACCTATTATCCTGAAATGCAGGCTATATGCCCAAAAATGTAATCTCTTGATCAAATAAATTGGGTTTCAGAAATTTCTTGAAGCAAGCAGCGAAGTTATGTATTGCCTTGCAGTTAGTATTTTATTTCCAGGAAACACATCTTCTGGAAAAATACTAGTCTTGTTGACATAAGTGCTAGTTTTCAGTGCTGACACTCCATAGAGGCAGATATCTCCGTTCTCACTTTGCCCTTTTCTAACCTCATGGTCAGCTCCTTGAGGGCAGGCACTGTATGATGATCACTGTGGCACATTTGTTTAAACTCCTTGTTCATGAGTAAATTGATAAATATTACAAACATTAACACTCTGAGAGGTAGGGTGTGAAGTGAGCAGAGCCTCCTTTGAGGAACAAATTAACCTGGGAACATTTATTGAGAACCACTGTCGATATCTGATTCATCCCTCACGTGTGTTGAATTGGGAAAAAATGGAGTTCATGTGACTATTAAAAAAGCCGAGGAAAAGGCTGAGAATAAGAGTCAATGCTTATAGAGAGGGTCGACTGAAAGAAAGTGCCTCAGACATCAGAGATCAAGAGTGACCATGACAAGTTGACAAAGCCAACCAAATCTAGGGAATGTGTAGCAACTGAAGGTGATCACCTCCCAGCAGACATAAGATCAGGCAACTATTAAAATGTATGACAGCAGCCATCATTCCATGCAAATGAGTGGACCTAGAAATCCAGGGCAAGTTGGCTTTAATAAAAATGGTCTTTTACTTTTTCTGCTCTAGGTATTGTTCATATTGTAACAAAGCTATGGCATATTCTTGGGACTTGGCCCTAGAAGGCCACGTGACTACAGCACCATATCAAACACTGGCCTAAAGAATGTCAGGTGTCCTTGCAAAGAAAATTTCTCCAGTTTGCTCTAAATCCTTCATGATTAAAGCTTTTAACTCAGTTGGCTACATTTCAAATGAGGAGGATTTTTGAGACCCTAATAAAAACCTGGGACATGTAGGCTGCAGAGGTAATTTATAATTTTAGTTTTTGATTCACAGAGAGGAGAAGAAAATGTCTCAAAAGCCAATGTTTTACAAGGAACTGCACATTTTGTAACGTCATTTCCCACAATAAATATAAGAAACAAAATCTGAGCAGTGAGTGACACTTTAGAGTTGGACATGTATGAAGAAGAACAGAATCTGCAGTTTTATTAAAAATGCATATTAAACTGGATTAATGTTACAGTCCTCTTGTTTCAGAGAGTATATTGAATGCCAGCTGGGTTCAAAGAAAAAAAAATTACATTTCCTCTCCCTACCAAGCTCTAATGTTGCATGGTTCACCAGGTGCATGAGGGACCTGATCTGTCCCTGGGGTATGGAGGACAGGCCACAAACAAAAGCTAGACAATCTGAACTGAGTTCCAGGTTGGCTCAAAATAAGCTCAACTTGCACCACAAACTGGAAGCAAATGTTTGTGAAGGTATGGTTGTGTGTGCTCACAGCTATGTATCTTTCTCACCATCCTGTTGATTATCCCAGAAAAACAAACAAACAAATGCAGTGAAGCCACAATGCCATATGGAAGTCAATTGAATTCATGCAGCAGACAAAATGAAGTCAGATTGTTGCTGCAATTAGATAGCTGTGTCAGGTAAAGAGATTTGTTTAAGCTTTTAAGTCAATTACTTGAATGTGCAGAAATAATTCTATGCTGAATAGCCCAGCCAAAGTTAAGGCATTTTTATCTTTAATTTAAACTAAAAGTTAAGAAGTCTAAGTGTGACACTTAGATTTGATATTTTGATTTGTATAATGAGGCAGGAGCTTTGTTTCATTTCCACGATGTTAAATTTAACTTTATTGAAACCGAAGGGACTAAAATTTTCTGATTCAAGTAAATAAATAACAATCATAGAACTAAGATTTTAAAGTTTAAAAACCTGTGAAACAATATCACTTGAACTTCTATAATAGCAGACTTGTCATTTTTCAACCCCTTATTTATGTAAAACATTGGTGAAATGGACCCAAGCACATAAAGTATTAGACAATTAGTAAAAATGGTTCAAGTACTGTTTCCTCTGGATAGAATGATTAAAATTGCTTCTCAGACTTATAGACTTTCTCTGATTTCTCAGTTTTGAGGTTTCAGGAATCTAATATTCTAATAATAAAAATGTTTCATCTAATAAGACTCCCATAGTGTCCACACATTTTGTATTTCGTGAAACTTCTTTCATGTTACGAATACTCCGCAACTTCAGCTAAACAAAATAACCCTGTAGGGAGAAACAATATTTTTTAAATTTCTCAATTTTTTGGAGTATTTGGGAAGGTAATCAATACTGCCTAATTACATTAGTATCAAACTTTCTAGAACAACTGATATTTTTCAGGATATTTTTATCATTCTGAGTCTTCTAGTATAAAGGATGTGTTTTCTTATTTCTTTTATCTCTTTCTCTCTCTCCTTTCTCTTTCTCTCACGCCCCCACCCACAATTAGACAACTTAGTAGCAGTAATAGTGAAGCTATGAAAAGACTTGGTACTGTTGAAAGTCATCAGTTTTTAAAAGTCTATATACACAAACGTAAATCTGACTCCATACTCTCCCTAAAGGAAGAAACGTTGGCCTAGACCAAATGTTCTCTTTTTAAAATCAAAACTACAGCTCCTATCACTTGGAGGGACCATGATAGAAAGGAGAAAACTTCAGAAGTTCTTGTGAAATGACAGATAGTAGATCATTAACTTTAAATTTACCTAACTGAAACTCGAGATAGATGTCACCACATATGTTATCCTAGATAGCACACTTGCATTTTGTGACCTTTAATGGCAGCAATTAACATATACAGGATTTTTCAAAATGACTTCTGAACCTTTAGTTCCTGTTTAAACTTTTCGGAGACAGCCTGCTTTTAGTACAGGTGTCAGACTTCTGGCCCCTCACGTGTTTTTTGGGGGGTGTTCCAGTTATGGTTAGCACTTGGGGAACCTCTGTGTTAGATGATTGATTGATGGCAATAAAGCATCTTGGGTATTACTATGACAAATGACATTATTTTTTCCCTCAAAATTTCCAGTGCTTATTTACAACACTGTCATTAATTCATGATTTAAGTGAAATGTGGCACTCCACGGAATGCCCCAGGGCAGCCCACCTTTTATCTTTTTATTAGCATATGCCTTCCTTTCTTGTCTCCCAAGGTCTTCCAAAAGAGCTGAGTCATAATTTTACATAACACATTCCTCTTAATTAAAAAGTTACCTGATTAGCACATTCCTTAAACTTAAGAGCTATGAACTACCTCTTAATCCAAGATGTAGACTATCATAAAATACAGGTTTTGTCATAAACAAAATACATAATTCACACCTACACCCACCCCCACCATTTGGCGCTAACTCGGGAGCCAATTCTCCTCTAATGGAAATGTGAAATATTTTACAAACGACATTGCTTTGTCAGCCCCATTCTCATTTTCGCTATGCCAGAAAAATCCTAATACATCAATCCTACTCCCTTCAATTTGAAAACAAAACGTGCACTCCCAGCTAAGTGCAAAAGTTTCCGGACCAATCTTTCAGTGCATTTCATTATGAGTGTGTATAAACCTCTATATTTGACAAAAATTAAAGTTGGACACTCTGATATAAATTATTGCTGAACACAAGGAGGGTTCATAAAAGCTAGAGAATATCATTAAATTATAAAAGTGATTTTATAAGAGAGATGATTCCTCTGCTTTAGATGCCTTGTATACATCTTCGTAAGCACAAATATGATTTTAACATTTATTTGAGGAAACATCTATTTTTCCCAGTTCTGATTTTTTTTTTTAAGTTCCTGATAGGTTCATGTTTCTTTTTGTCTTTGTTCTGGCCTTTAGCTCTCTGGAGTCATTATTCAAATGATACTTAATAGCCCCAATAAGAAAGCAACATCTTTCAGTAATGCACATGACTGCTTAATGATGGAAGATCATCTCATTCCCTCTCCTTGTGTTTTATTTTCCTTTAGGGGGCAACAGTTCTAAAAGCTTAACTCTGTCTTAGCTGGTGAAAGTTGAATTGCCCTGCTGAGTGCTGTGGCATTCTTTCTCTCCTCAGTTGGTCAAAGGAATAAAACTCCTATGCTCTTTTGAAAGTGAGCCATTTGAAGAGTGTTAGTGGTTTTTGTCTAAGATTTTGTTGCTTGGAGAATTGAGTT
This sequence comes from Homo sapiens, assembly GCF_000001405.40. Classification (NCBI taxonomy): domain Eukaryota; kingdom Metazoa; phylum Chordata; class Mammalia; order Primates; family Hominidae; genus Homo; species Homo sapiens. The sequence goes on from NC_000014.9 coordinate 84,825,421, forward strand.
AAACACAAGGGGACAGACAGGCTGCTGTTTCCAAAACCTCCTAAAAGACGTAAAATCACACCGAACGATATGTCATTTTACAGATTTCTCTCTTTAACACCATTTTCCCAAAGGCGGACCTGCTAGTTAAATTAGGAAAAGGAAGTATGGCCGATCACTTTGAATATAAGAGGAAGAAACCCAGAGAGCACAAGAGTGCTGAATTCCAGGTTTATTGCCAGAGAATGAGTAATGGGCACACTGCAGGCTTGAGCAGCCTCTGAGTCACCTTTCTATGGATGTCCAATTGCTCTAGCCCCAAGCGTTGTGTGTTTTACTATTGGCTCCCCTCCTCCCCACCAGGATTTTGGCTTTCCAGTAATTCCCAAGTTCCCCAGTAATATTCTATTCAGTCATTATAATCACTCCCCGGCTGCTGAAGCAGGAGTTGACATGCCCATTGAGGCCAGACTGAAAACTCAATCCTGCCCCTTTTCCCCTGGTAGGTAGAGTAGCTCCAAACCTGAAATCCTCCCAGGAAACAGAGTAGATGAGAAAAAGACACTATGCTTAAAGCTCCGGCCTTCTGTTTTTCATGGGTCTCTAACCAGGCTACAGACACTCTCCCACACAGAGAGGATCCTTGTTGGTGGCTTACCTCATTGTCTGTAGTGCTGGTACTTGGATCTTTTGGGTGTGTGCTGCTTTTGCCAGGCCATTCTGAACAAAAGGCAGCTTTTCCTACGTGGTTGCCTTTTTTTGTCCCAAGTGTGAAACAGACTCAACCACTGAGACTAGGTTTAACTTTACAAAAGCTATTATGGAAGTACTTTTGGATAGGATCTTTTCAGATCCCAAAGGCTTAGGGCATCCTCATGTGTTGCTTTACAGCACCAAGTACAGACACCTACCTCCCCAACCCTAGCTTTCATTGCCAACACCCTAGAGCATGCCTATGTGAAACAGTAATTATGGATATGTGCAGAATTCAGTTTAAATGCCTCAGACGAGGGAAAAGAGATATTTTTAAAACTTCCCCCACACTCTTCCTGCTCCTACTAAAAAGGAAACAAATGAAGTGCTACAGCTCTGTCTCGGTCATACACAAGTTCTCATCACTACACAGCTCCTATTTTCTCAGTCAGAAATAGCTGCTGCAGGTTAATTATGACTCATGAGCAGGAACACTTTTCTCCTCTGCCACTCTGATTGCCTGTGAAGGAATCTCTGTTTGAATAATATCCCAGGCCTCAATCTACTCCCTCAGCACTCACTCAGTGACTGCCCAAATTGGTGAGTTACGCACACGGGAAGGGAGAAGGTGTGGCTCAGCCCGTCTTGGATATTTCAGGTGCTGACCCGAAAATTTGCCGAGCCCAGGCCAAAATGAATAGCCAGAGCTCTTGTTTAAAGAAAAGAAAAACCATATGTGCCAGTAAAGCTACCAAAGTGTGTGTATATATATATATATATATATTTTTTTTTTTTTCTTTCTGTTGTGGTATTTCTCCCAATCTATTATTGTGTCTTCTATGTGCCATTTAATAGCACATATTTAAGACCTTCAGATTATGAGGTATTCATGGACCAGCACAGGCCCTCAGCAGCTCCCGGTGGCCCAGTTCTACCTTGTGCCTTCATGAGTCCACACAGCAGCACGTGGTTTGTGAGGTTTCCCTCTCCCCTGCTGCAGGATTGATGCACTCTGCCCTGGAGGGAGGTAGAGAGAGAGGGCAGCCAGTCACTCCTTTCCATGACTCGCCACCTTCTGTTTTAATTCATGTCAAGGGGTGACCAAGAAATATCTGCAAGCTCTGTTAAATTAACTTAAATAAGCAAGAGACCATTGCCCTGAGACTATTTCTATACTTTGAGTTCCTATGCAATAAACTGTAACCTAACTCAGGAGGGTATAGTGGACAGCCAACCTTCAGCAAATCACACAGGCAGACAACTGATCAGATTGCACCCAAATACCCATGCCCAAATGAGGCTAACATCTAGCTGTAACCTTAGCTTTCTCTACCTTGCTTCCATCTTCAGCCTATAAAAGCTCACTTCTCACACCACTGGGCTGAGGTCTCTGAGCCTCTTCTGGTTCTGAGTGCTGCCTAATTCACAAATCATTCATTGCTCAAATAAACTCTGTCAAATGTACTTCGTCTAGTTTTTCTTTTAACAAATCCAACCTCCACATGTGATTTTCCTTTCTTCTCCTAGCACATTTACCAAATAACCAACCCCTATAAGTTGTATATTGAGTATTTTTGGTGTGTTTTTGTTTTCAGTATGCCCTTTTCTTTCTATTCCCTTTATATCATCTTCATTATATAAGTGTATACTATCCAATTCCTTATTATTAAGAGGTTGAATAGAGAAGGTCATCAAGAGATACAAATTGATCAATCATTTACAAAAAGACTTATTCTCAGTGTTGCTATCTGCTTAGAACTAGTGTCTTGGTCGAGTGTGGCGGCTCATGCCTGTAATCCCAGCAATGTGGGAGGCCAAGGCAGGTGGGTCTGCTGAGGTCAGGAGTTTGAGACCAGCCTGGCCAACATGGTTAAACCCCATCTCTACTAAAAATACAAAAATTAGCTGGGTGTGGTGGTGCACGCCTGTAATCCCAGCTACTCAGCAGGCCGAGGCAAGAGAATCGCTTGAACTGGCAAGGCGGAGGTTGCAGTGAGCCAAGATGGCACCATTGCACTCCACCCGGGGGAACAAGGGCAAAACTCCCTCTCAAAGAAAGAAAAAAAAACTAGTGTGTTATGCTATACTTTACATTGTCTCGTTTGAGTAATTAGTTTTTCCATATTTAAAATAGTTGTGAATATCTGGAGATACTATGCAAATACCATGCAAATTGATTCCAAAATGATGTTGCTTACGTCCCAAAAGAAAAAGGTTTTCATAGAGCAGATGAAAGTATTCTTGAAGACTGTTTCTAATATTCTGACACTCACAAAGAGTTGGGCAGGTCATATGTTGCATAATTGTAGGAGTGGTATTCTCTGTGATTATCATAGTTATGCATTTATTATGAAAGTTCTCTCTTCAGAAAGGGGTGCTTTCCTTTTTTCTAATTCAATATGAAGTCTCATGTGAATAAGAGGTGAGATCACAAATCATACACAAAGCCATTTCAGATGAGAATTGGTCAGGCCTAAGTCATTTTGCTATTTTAGAAGATAAAATTAATGAAGATTATTAAAAATGATGTGAAAATAATCATTTCAAATAGATGAAAAAAAGAATAAAACCTTAAGGTATACTTGCAAATTTGACCCACTTGAGGATAGTAATATTACAGTCAAATGTAAATTTCAGGGCTCAAAATATGTGATCACATAATTTTATAGGAAAAATGTATACCACAAGTATTAAGGTTTACAGTTTTGTTAATTATAAGAATTACTACATAGCTAAAAAAAAGAATGTAATTTAATATATAATGAAATAAACTTATTTTATATATTTTATTTTTAAGATAGCCACTATAAAATTGTTCCATTAAATATGGCACTTAATTAACAATTTAAGTGGATTAACTTGAATTAGCCATTTGTTTGAACTAGTTGTCATCAGCTAAGGAGGATTTACTCACTTAATGAGCTCCCTACAGTGATTTATGTTTAAAAAATTGACACATCACTCCATCGCTTAAGTTCCTTAACTCGCTCATAAATGGCTTGTGGGTAAATATCTAAGTCCCTTGGTCTAACACATGACAAAGTTCTCATGACCTGATTTTATTCACTTTCCATGGCCCACTTCATGCACCACTATACCTGCAGTGAGCTGAATGTTTGTGTCCCTATAAAATTCATATGTTGAAACCCTAATTCCAGTGTGATAGTATTTGGAGGTTGGGGGTTTATTAAGTCATGAGGATGGAGTCTTCGTGAATAGGATTAGTGCCCTTATAAAAACAGGCCAGAGAGTTGGCTAGCTGTGTTTCTGCCATGTGCGGACAGAGCAAGAAGGTGGCCATATCTAAGCCAGGAAGAGGATCATTACCAAAATCTGACTCTACTGGTACCCTGTTTTTCAGAGTTCTAACCTGCAAAACTTTGAGAAATGAATTGTCTTTTAAGCTACTCTATAATACCTCGTTATAGCAGCCCAAACTGACAAAGACAAAGCATCATCTTTTACTCCTTAGCAACAGCCACCTACTTATGATTTCTTGAACAAACCATACTGAATCAGGAGTTAGCATTTGCCTGTGCAATTTATTTTACTCAGAATATTTTCTCTTACCCAAAGTCTACATTCATCATCCTTCAGAATCATGTTAGGCTTTACTAGCTCTGAGAAGACTTCCTTGATATGCTGAAGCCACAGGTCCTTCCCTGCAACCATCCCACATGAAGCTGTTCATTCAGTCTTCAGAAAAATATCTACACTCAGCACCTGCTCTTTTTGCTGCATTTCCACCTTGTAAACCAAATATCTCTTTAGATATTTTTTTCCCTGCAAATCTATGAACACTTTGAGTAAAGTGATTGTATGTTTATACACTTGAATGTCTCCAGTTATTTTAATGGACCCACAGATAAATGGAAATTTGTAGTGAAAAGTCTAATGTTTCCTCTAAGTGTGTCAGAGCTGACACAGATCAGAGGAAATGCCCTGCTGTGTACATCTACTGTTGTTTCTCTGGGAGACCAGCAGATCCTAGATGCAAGATTCTGTAAAGAGTGGACTGAGGAATTCTGGGGAAATAGGGATTGCTGTAAACATGGAGCAAGAGAAGCACTGTGCTTGATTTAGGATGAAAGCTTTATTTCAGAATACCCACAGGCCACATCCTTGACAGACCACAAAACAAGATTGTTATTTTTTTATTCTTGCTCTCAAAATAATTGTTAACACATTTCCAAGTCCAACTTTGTACTGTCAAAACAGGATAATGTATTGTAAGTTTGATATTTGCAACAATGGGTTAAAAGAACATCACAATATAAGTTATTTGTATTTTTAGCATCTTTATAGAAAAGTTTATGAAGGTATATTTTTGCTTTTAGTTGAATTCAAAGACAGCTAACTTTTGCATGTTTTAGCCATCTGAGAAAATTTGTCTCCTCTCTTTTATAACTTCAACAAAGACACATCTGATAACTTAAAAATGTACAGCACATTATTCTCAAAACTAAGAGGGGTAAAACTATCTGCATAAAGTTGGTCATGCCCATCAGCTTGGGGTACGTTCCTGGGAGATACCTCATCTCTCTGGTCTGAAGGCAGAGGAAAAGTCTCAGTAAAAGATTAGGGTCAATATTAAACCTGAGCCCAATAAAACTTTTGGCAACATAAAGGAAGAGGAGAGAGCTCCATAATTTAATCACAGATGCTGGTTGAGGTTTCTAAAAATGGAATTGAGGGTCCAAGATCCATGATTTCAACTGGTCAAGGAGGCAGACAGTCAGCTAGATTGTCAGTTGGAATGTGGGAGGTCACAACACCAACCATACCTTAGTAGAAATTTCCCAGTCCCTACAGAGGGCTAATGCCAGGAAAAAGATCAGCCATTGCTAGTGACGAATATGAGTTTGAAGCAATTAAATACAATGACTAAGATTCAGAAGTCAAAGCAGAATCCCACTTACCTGAATTGTTGTGATAATAAATACAGGGTAATTTTATAGAACAAAATGAGTTAGGGTTAGCAAAATTGCAAGAGTGGTTTGCTTACATGCATGGGATAATGTGGGAAATGACAGAAGCTAATTAAATATCTTTCACCAAAACTCGGAATTTGCTCTAGAGCTTGATGTACAGGTTGAAACTTTCCAGTACATAAGGTTTGAACTGTGTGAAAGAAATAGAAAAGAAATGAGAGAGAGAAGTCACAGTTTAGAATTTGGTTAATGTCGTCTGACATTTTCTTCAGTGTCAGAGTCAAGGATATTTTATAACAATGATACTGAAATACTGAAGGATATTGGAATCACCAGTATGTAAATAACTACAATTGGACTAAAAAATAGTTTATGCAGATTCAAATTAATTAACTCAATATATTCAGACAAAGGATGAACCAGAGAACTATAGAAGATAATGGATCGAGTTGGTACTCAAGAATAAGGATAATCAGTAACATTACCACTTTCATGAATCTGTTCCTCCCAGCCTCTTTTTCTGTGTTCTCCTCTTGCTCTCAGCTTACATCTTTCTCAGTGTAAAGCTTCCACTTCACAGGGGAGACACAGAGCCACAACACCTGCTGATCTTTATATCCTAATCCAGCTGCTGTTATCATGGAGAACATACTTTGTCATATTCTGGTTTGAAATGTTCTGGGGGAAGAAAACTTGAATTGGCAAAATTCAAGTCAGTTGATGATCCTTGGACCAATTTGGAGAGGCAGGCAAGGGATACCTTAGGCTAATTGACTCTACCTGGATAAGCCAACTGTGGCTAAAGAGTTGAAGTCAAACAAGAAATCAGCTCCTATTGCAGCAATAAGAGTGTGTTAGTGCAATCGTTGTAAAAAAAAAAAAAAAGGTGGTGCTGTTCTAAGAATAAAAGGTTTGTTGAGGGCGTTAAGTATAGAAAAGAGGCTATGCTGGGCAAGTGAAAAAAATAATATCCACTATAGGAGTTTAGCCAAAATTCTAAGACCTATCACTGGAGCCCTGGTTGTTTACATGAATGCATCTATATGGTTAAAAGTTTTACAGGTGATTCTTATCATAAACTAGATTAGGAATTGACAGTTTACAGTTCACACAGAGGTTATTCTCTATGATCTACTGACTGACAGAAATGCCTTTATCATTGTTTTCCTTCAATTGGTGTGAACAGCCTAGAATGTACTAATTTTAGGTTAACAATGATAGGTTAATTTCCAAATTAAGACGGTAAAAATGATTACGCTTCAGAATGAAGCGTAAAGTAGGATACCTCTGTGAAGTGTCTCATGAGCTTGGCATTGAGATTGGCAGATGTACCTTGATGTTCCCTTCAAATTTGGCTCTTCCTAACTTCCATCTTGTCAGGAATTTAGGTTGAATAGACATTCAACAAAATATCTTGAAGAATAGAAAATAACCAAAGGCAATAAGGAAACAAGTCTTTTTTTATCAGCATCATAGAAAACAAAATACAGCCATAGAGGCTGACAAAGCACCAATTAATGATTAAAATCCTAAAATTACTACTCATGTTTAAGTCAAAATTGCTGAGATAAATGTCCTACCGATTTTATAGCTTAATAATAAAGAAATTGAATTTCTAGATAGCCTCATGCGGAGAAACATGATGTTATTTTAGTGAAAAAAATCAAAATTTTTATTAAACTATTTTTACATATTTTTATCAGGGATACTTTTTTTTTTTTCTCTTCCTTTCAGGCAGAGTTTAATCATTCATTATATTCCCACCTTTTTACTCATGAATATTTTATGTTTATAATGGGAAAACATTAGGGAGTAAAACATTGAGAGCAAAGTAAATGAAAAGAAGTTCTTATTCATCAGCACTAAAATGTAAAATAAGTTAAATAAATAGTTCTGCAAAATGTTAAATGGTACATAATTTCTGCATCTGGGTAGTAAACATGAAAGCAGAGTTAGAAACTCAAGTTACCTAAGTCACTGTTTAGTGGAACGGCAGGTTTCTGTGGCCCCGTTTTAATGCATGTGGCAGACCAAAGGCAGCAGATTTTGTGCTACAGAGCACTGTGTCCAGGTGCCCTCACCCTGGAATTGCTGGTATAGACAGACTGGGTAGGGAAAGTGGCTGCAGCATCTTGGCTCCATTGAAGCTGCAGAATAGGTGTGAAGTAACATCCATTGAAAACAAGCATCTGAGGGCAACACTAATTAGAACCTTACAGATGAGAATAGGGAGGGAAATGATACGATGAAGAAATGCAGAAATTCTCCATTAGTGGAGTGGGCCCTGCTGCAAATTAGGTATGAAAAACTTCCTAGTATTCGTGAGTTGTTTGTCATGGAGAATTCTTACTAATAATAGAAAATTACATTCCCCAACAATAGGAAGAAAGTCGCTACTAACCGTAGAAAATAAAAATGAATCCAAGGTAAGTTACATTATGTTGAAAGTTTAGAGATACTTTCATGTATCTCTTAACCTACTGCGTTAGTCCATTGTTGCATTGCTACAAAGAAATACCTTGGTAATTTACAAATAAAGAGGTTTAATTAGCTCATGTTTCTGCTGGCTGTATGGGAAGCATAGTGGCTTCTGCTTCTGGGCAGGCCTCAGGAAGCTTCCAATCATGGTGGAAGGCAAAGGAAGAGCAGGCAATTCACAATGTGGAAAGCAGGAGCAAGAGAGAGAGGGAGGGGGGAGGTTCTACACACTCTTAAACAACCAGATCTCGTGAGAACTCACTGTCGAGGGATGATGCTAAATCATTCCCGAGAAACTACCCCCACCCCCCGCCGATTCAATTACCTCCCACCAGGCCCTACCTCCAACATTGAGGATTAGCATTCTACGTGAAATTTGGGTGGGGAGACAGATATAAACCACATTACCTACCATGGTAATGTGGGTTATGCATTGATTCTAGGTAGCCATAACCTTTGGGACATGGAAAGTTTTGCAAAATTGCTATCTGCAATAGACACCCACAGCTTAGATGGGAAGGGATAACCCCACCTGATGCAAACTTCCCTGTTAGAGCATTCAGCAATCGCACTTGGTTCTTGGTACCATGCCAGCATATCTTAGGGGATCAATAAATAATGCATTCAATTAATCCTTACGTGAATCAATGAAAGATAAACGAGTGAATATCTAGAAAAATCAGGAAGTATCACACGAGATTATGAAGCCTTAGGCAGCAAACTTGAAATCATAAGGGCAAGGTGATATTTTAGCTTTGCTTTGAATTAGTACTGACTATAAGAATAGTGAACAGCTGGCTGAACAGATGTTTTTGAAGAATCGAATTTAGATTTCTAACCCAACCATAAACTGGGGATTGCAATGATGGGCTCTTGGCAAGGCATGAAGTAAATCTCAGGAGAATGTGGTTGAGCATATTTGTCCAGAAACAAACTGCCATGCTCACCAGGCTTTGCACTGAGTATAGATGGGAGGATTCTTCCGTTAGATGAGTAAAAACAGTCACCATAAAACATTGGCATTCTCATATATCGTATCTGTGTTTCAACTATAATAAAGTAATGCAAAAGTCTAATTTATGGAGATTTTACATATTTGAGGTACAAATATGAAGTAATAGCCTTTTGAATTGCTGAGTGGCTCTAAGTCACTTACCTTATGAATGAGGCAAGCTCCCTTGAGAGCCAACATCTCAAGAGTTCATTTTCCTACTTCCATGAGGCAGAAAACAGCATTCTCTTCAATTGTAGGCCATGGAGCTACAGCCTATGAAATAGAGCAAAAATAGCAGAAAAATCCCTTCATATCCTTAAACCTGAAAGAAAATTTGCATTTTTTCATTAAATAATTATTCAATGCATAATATATAATAATCATTATTATAATAATTAAGGATGATACAACACAATAAGACATGATGTCTTACTGCATGGAAATTAGGTTTTAATGATGTGGTATAAAAAGAGAAAAATATGTGTAATATGACAGATAATGTATTACAGTCCTGGATGGGAATTTTTTTCCTAGATAGCAATAAAGAAGGCTGGATAATGAAAGTAGTATTTAGTGAACCTAATAAAGAAGGCTGGATAATGAAAGTAGTATTTAGTGAACCTAAAAAAAAATGAGTAGTTTGATTTTGCAGAAATTATAATGGAAGCTATTATTTATTATGCTCTTACTGCGTGGCAATCACTGTTCTTCTAGACTGTAAGGTAGACACTTGTGTTAGTTAAGTTGGGCTAAGTTATTGTAATATAGAGACTGAAAATACTTAGTTTTTTAAAGACCAGGAAATTTCTCCTTCATGACTTTCAACATCACATTAGTTATCGCACTTCAAACAGAAGCTGAAATCTGCATTTCTCTGTATAGGGCTCAGAGCTCCTCTGCCTTGGAAAACTTGCTTATCATCTCTGTGCCTCAGTTTTTCATCAATAAAATTGAAGTAATAATGTACAAAAAGATGAGATGATTTCCTTGACTAGGGTGGCATTACTGAAATGGAGAGAAGAAATACACACACCCAGACACACAAACACACACACATATGTATAAAATTTTATTTGGCAGATATCATACATATATTTTATATAAATATTAAATATATGTATTGTAGCTGTCAAATACAATGATTCAAGGAATAAAATGTATACGTACATGCACATTTTAAGTCCAAACTCATGGCTAATACAATGCAGGGTATACAGAAAAGAAAGAAGAAAGCATGACCATAATTTTTGAGAAACGTAGAGGTATATTGGTAAAACTGCCAAAATGAGTAGGTACCAAATAACTTTATAGTAGATGTTTCTAATTTAGTAAGTGAAAAATAAATTGTAAATGAATGAAGAAATATGAATGGATGATGGGGGTTTATTATTCATAACATGAATATAATTCTTATTATTCAAATATGAATGGATGAGTGATAAAGGTAAAACGATTTTATGAGGATAAAAATGCTGAGGGTAAGATTCTCATGAATGTTCATGGGTGGTATTCTCCTTTTAAGAAAATATTTTAAGTAAAAAATCTACATAAAATTTCCAAAAGATTAAAATTTTCCATTTACAATTTGCTATTTTAGAATTTATTTTCCTAAAACTAGACACCACCTTCTAAATAATCTGGTTTTTATTTTTACATATTTGAAAGAGTTCATTTAGAGTAAAACCTATTTTGTCAAATAGCCAAGAACTTTTCCCCTTATTAATTGCTTGAAGTAAAAACTTCAGAAATCTACATTTCATAGCCTTTTAATGGCTACCTAGTACTCCAAAATAAAGCATAACTAAATCAACATGCTGCAAAATTAGAACCCACTTGAGCCATTTCTAAACTAAAATAGTTCAAGAAATAATACAAGTAATAAAATCTTCACATGCCTCTCATTCTATAGGTTTAATGTCAAAAGTTATTTTACACTTCGTGTTACTGCCCTTTCAAGAAGCAATGAAAAAAATGACATCACGCTTTGGGCACCTTTGGGGGATCCAAAGTGTCTCTTAACTCTACAATTTACAGTTTTGATTGCTTTAACACTGTCTTTTTTAGAGCTATTACTGCACTGGTGGGTGAGTTACAAAGGCTCATGACATAAGAATAGCTGTTCTGCAATTTCAGAAAGCTCGAGGCAGTCACTCTTAGCAGCTTCTAAACAGATACTAAAAATCAGCAGTATATTTCAGTACTGAATTTAGGATTCTGAACTACTAAATTTAGGTAAAGCTCTCATCCCTTAAGTTCAAGAGGCAACTGATTAGGAATGAAAACAGAGAAAAGGAATTTGAAATCCAAAGGAAAAAGTGAATTATGTGAAAGAGTCAGGGGGTTGGAAATCACGTGTTATTTTTCTTGACCCCATCCCCAAGGGAAAAACAAATGTGCTTCCATAGTTTCCAAACAAACTGGTTGAGAAATGAATAACTGATTTTCTTAGATATGCAGGTAAAATATTTTAAATGAAGTTTTACTCCCTAATTCATTGGGCATTGTGTAATACAGGCAAATGCCATATAAAACTATGAAGGGAGAAATTAAACTGATGATAAGGACTTATAAAACAAAGTGATAAATTGACAAAGTTGAGAACTAAAATAAGCAAAGAGGAGTGTCTTGGAAAAGAAGAGACAGTCAAGAAATAAATAAGCAAAACTATGGCTTCTAGTAATGAGTCAAGAGAGACCGATTCCTTAGTACATTTACAGGGTAATATAAAGTCACACATTCAGTCAGCTAAAATATTAACTTCTATTGACAACTTTGAATCATTGTATGGTAAGATACTATATCTATCAAATAAAATTATGCAAGGAAGGACCAAAGTTGAGCATGGGTGAGACAAGGAAAGAAGAAAAAAGTTAGAAAGAAGATCCCTAAATAAATGCAGAAAGTGGCATATATACTGCCTGCAAAATGAAGATGGATGAAGATTAATGGTCTGCAGATATTCTGCCAGTGCTTTTCAGGAGACGGTTTTGCTTTATTTATCTTGGCTGCCACAAAGAAGCAAGACTCAGGCACATACAGACATATTCCACATGGCAGGAGAAAGCATCTGCTTTCGGAAAAAAACCTCCGTATTCACATTAAAGAAGCATATTATCTACATACATATCGCAATTGCAGGTAATTATGTTTTTTGATGTTAGTTTGAACCTTTTATATGACATTGATTGTGGTTTTGTGCTTTCCTTGATTCCTTTGGACAAACCTCTTCTCACAATTAAAAGCAATCCCAGATATTTATACATTGCAGATACATAATATGCAGTGCTGTGTCTATAAAAGCCATCAAAGGGGATCATTAACAGATTCTAAAATGATTACTCTGCTGAAGTGAGCAATCAGTTAAAAATGAATAATATGAAACTGTTATCCTAAATCTATAAAATGATTATCACCCAGAGCCTGCAGAATACAGATGATGAGAAAAGCCGACAAGGCCCAAAACTGTGTTATAAGAATCACAACTTTCAAAGAAGCTGATTCCAGGATTATTTTAGTCTAAACACTATATTCTAAGAGTAAACAGAATGGATTTGAAGGTATCCATAAGACAGATGTATCAGCCACCAAATATTAATCTGCATATTAATCATTTTAAGCTTCATTTTATAGACAATTTTGAAAGTAAGAATTCAGTTATAAAAATAAATCACATGCATATTGCCATATGGATTACAAAGCATTAAAATTAATTTATCTCATTTAATCCTTAAAAAACAAGTCTGTCAAATGGGAATTATTAGCTATCATATCTTTGGGGTAAGAAACTAAAACTAAAATTGACCAAAAGACTTACCTAAGATGTTTTAGGTAAGAATTTGAGGAGTTAGAATACAACCCAAGTTTGTCTAAGCACCTTCGTGAGTTAAGTTGAGCAAATCTGAATTCCTACCATAGGGAAGGTACAATACTATGCCCAGGTAATAGCATCACGACAAAAGTGATAATGTCTATTGCCTAGTAGGAACTATATCTCAGCAAGCATTAATTAAGCATTTATTTAAATATAATATTGAAAAATATCACAAAAGACAAGGGCAATAAGCCAGTTTTACAGGAAAGGAACCATCTTAATTTGTTAAGGTTAAGAAATGCCTCCTTGAGAGGAAGCTAAGGTGAAAATTTTTATGACAAATTGTTTAGCAGAAAGATGGGTACCTGTTGGGGTAAAGAAGACAGGCTATAAGAAGACCCTGAAGCTGTCATAAATGTACAAATGTAGAATGAAAGGTAGCCCATGTGGAAGGGACAAAGAGAAGCAGCATGTGGTTGGTGGCAGCTGAGCCAGGTGATGTGAGCACAGCCAGATAGTGTTGGTCTCTATTCCTAAGAGCAGTGGAGAGCCACTGAAAGGCTTTACTCATGGGGGTGACATAGCAGTAAGATCAGATTTCAGTGCAAAGCAGAAAATGCGCTGGAGCAGAATAAAAAAATGAGCAAAATATGTAAACAGTCACCAAAGATGATATACAGATGGCAAATGAGCATATGAAAAGGTTCAACATTGTATGTACCTACAAAATTGAAAATTAAAGTAACAATGAGATGTACCTAAACAGTCTATTAGAATGGCCGAGATCCAAAATCACCAACACCACCAAATGCTGGTGAGGATGTAGGTCAACAGGAACTCTCATTCATTGCTGGTGGGAATGCAAAATGGAAATGGTGCAACCGATTTGGAAGACAGCTGGACAATTTTTTGCTTTTTTTTTGTTTTGCTTTTTGAGGCAGGATCTCACTCTTTTGCCCAGGCTGGAGTGCAGTGGTGCAATCATAGCTTACTGCAGCCTTGACCTCCCAGGCTCAAGTGATCCTCTCACCTCAGCCTCCCAAGTAGGTGGGACCGCAGGTGTGCTCCACCACACTGGCTACTTTTTTTTTTTTTAAAGATGGGGTCTCCTGCTATGGCCCAGGCTGGTCTCAGACTCCTGGCCTCAAGCAATCCTCTGATCTCAGCCTCCCAGGGTGCTTGGATTATAAGTATGAGCCACTGTACCTGGCCTGGCAGTTTAGTTTATAAAACTAAACATACTCTTACCATGCCATCTAGCAATAATGCTCCTGGATGTTTACTCAAATGAATTGAAAATGCGTGTCACACAAACACTTGCACATGAATGTTTTTAGTATTTTTATCATAATTGCAAAAAAAGGAAGCATCCAAAATATCCTACAATAAATGAATGGATATATCAATTGTGGTACATCAGACCATGGAATATTATTAAACAGTAATAAAAAATGAGTTATCAAACCATGAAAACACATGGAAGATGCTTAAACGTATATTACTAAGTGAAAGAAGCCATTCTAAAAATACTACATACTGACATTCCAACTAAATGACATTCTGGAAAAGGCAAACCATGGAGACAGTAAAAGTTGAGAGAGCAGGAACATTTAGGAGGCTGGGATGGCAGCATAGTAAGAAATGGTAGTGACCCGAACTAATTTGCCCCTCTAGGGGAGTAAATTATCTAAACATACTCCTCAAAACCTCACCATAAAGCATTTGCAAAACTAGCTTCTTAACTCGAAAAACAATTGTGATTAAGTCACTGCCTGTTTTATCACCTTAACTGCTTTCTGCTTTTAAAAAGAAACCCTAAATTTTTAAGATGAATACTTTCTGCAACCTATCTCTTGCCACTTCTCCACCTTACCTCCTCCATCTCTGCCCAAAGATATTCTCATTCGGCTGCATTTCTCACTGTTCCCCAAGCATCCCCACACAATGGTGGTCCAGCACATTTTCATACACCATTGCTTCTGGCTAGAATGCCTCCCCTATCTGGAGATCTCCTCCAAGATGAATCAGTTCAAATAACACCTTTGCACAAAAAACTCAAAGGCTTCTTCCATATAATATATTTTTTCTTTTCTTAGAACTTCCATGATCTTACAGATATTATTGTACTCATCCCGCTGAATTATAACAAGGTTGTTTCATATCTTTTCTATTCTACTAATTTTCAACTCCTTAAAGTCAAGGTCATTCTTACTCAACTTTCTCTACTCAGTAGGTATTCCATTGGCTGTTATGACTTCAATAAATGTTTGTTGATTTTGTAATATTACTGTTTGTTCAGCCAATGCATGGAACAGATTGCTTAGAAGTAAACAAGTGAGCTAGGTGTTATATGGATCTGGTTTTTAAAATGGGATTTCTTATCCTGTATTTCAGATATTCAAGGTTTGACTTAAAAATACGCTTTCTAAGGAAAAGTAGTGGTTGTCATAAAGTATAATGGTGGAAAGGGGCTCATGTTGGCCCTCTCTTATAAAACAATATTTTTGTAGTGGTGCAATACAATTTAGGACCTGCATAAATGGTGCCATGCATCAGCATATGTTTTTACTTTTGTGGAGCAGGGGCTGATAAACTATAGTCCATGAGCCAAATCTGGCTCACTGCTTGTTTTTACAAATAACATTTTATTGAAGCACAGCCACACTCATTCTTTTACATATTGTCTGTAGCTGCTCCTGTGCTACAAAGAGCCAACTTGAGTTCTTTCGACAGAAACAGCCCAGCCTATAAAGCTGAAATATTTACTATCTAAAACTTTACAGAAATAGTTTGCTGCCCAAAGTATGGTTTCTAAGATGAATTTACCTGGATTTCAATTCTGTTCTATCACTTAGTAGACAGGTGATCTGCAGCGAATTATTTGACCTTTCTACTTATCAATTACTCATTTAAAAATGAAATAGTAATACAATCTAAGTCATGAAGTTATCTTAAAAAATAAATGATAGGCTGGGTGTGGTGGCTTACGCCTGTTATCCCAGCACTTTGGAAGGCCGAGGTGGGTAAATTGCTTGAGCCCAGGAGTGTGAGACCAGCCTGGGCAACATGGAAAAACCCTGCCTCTACAAAAAATACAAAAAATTAGCTAAGCTTGGTGGTATGCACCTGTGATCCAAGCTACCCAGTAGGATGAGGTGGGAGGATTAATGGAGACTGGGAGGTCAAGGATGCAATGAGCCGTGTTTGTACCACTGCACTCCAGCCTGGGTGACAAGCAAGACTTTGTCCCAAAAATAAATAAATAAATAAATAAAATAAATAAAATAAAAATTTTAAAAATAATGATAAAATTTTTGAAAAAGTACAATATAGAAGTTGTCAAAAAATGTTATCCACTAATGTAGGTGGCATTATTTTAGTATTTTATCTTTCAGGACTTATAAAAAATGGACTAGGATGGTAGAATTAGGAGCCATTGTAAGACATGTAAAATGCTGAGCACAATGTCTGGTACATGGTAAATTTCAATAAGTGTTAGTTCATTAGTCTCAAAATTTGGAAATATGCTCAAAATAAAAATAATTTTATTTAGGAATCAATTATTAATCAACATGTATTTCTCCAACATTTAAAATGTTTATATATGTAGTTAGAAATACAATCTGTGAGCACATTAATTTATATGAGCTTATTATTCACAGTTTAAGAGTTTCATGAGCTTCTAGACAAATATGGAAAAAGATGAAGAAGTTGATTCAGATCACTTTGTTACATTTCCTCACAAGAATGGAACTTATTTGCAGGTCAATTTGGTATCAAGATCTGATATTGCCAATTCAGTTCTGTTTTCCCTATCCCAGCCTTCTAGGGGAGGAAACTGTAACAGCTGGAGGTAGAGTGTATTACAGTTTTGGGCTTCTCTAGATCAGCAGTCCCCAAGCATTTTGGCATCAGGGATCGGTCTTTGTGGAAGACGATTTTTCCAAGGATTGGTTTGTGGAGGGGAGGTTTTTGTGATGATTCAAGCACATTTTACTTACTGTGTAAGTTATTTCTGTTATTATTATACACTCACCATAATGCAGAATCAGTGGGAGCCCTAAACATTTTTTTCTGCAACTAGACGGTCCCATTTGGGGGTGATGGGAGACAGTGACAGATCATCAGGCATTAGATTCTTATAAGGAGCCCACAACCTAGATCCCTAGCATGCACAGTTCGTAACAGGTTCCCGTTCCTATGAGAATCTAATGCTGCAGTTGATCTGATGGGAGGTGGAGCTCAGCTTGCTGCCACTCACCTCCTGCTGTACAGCCCAATTCCTAACAGGCCACAGACCAGTACCAGTCCCTGGGCCAAGGGTTTGAGGCTCCTGTTCTAGATGACGCAAAACTCTTCTCACTTAGACAATCTAGCACTAACTTATACTTAAGTTAAATCCAGACTCTCTTTTTCTAAGCAACTGAACACGTTGAAAGCTCAATCACATCCCAATCCTAAAATTCCCAAACTTAATATGCAAAGAGTAGCCTAAAACCAAGGCAAGTCACTCGTGGAGGCAAAATGTACTTCCTCTAGTTAAATTTTATAATGCTGTCTCACAGGGGAACAATGAACTCCTAGCCTTTGCTCACAGTATCTTTTTTTATTCCATTTGAAATGCCCTTTCTATAAATTCCTCACGGTCAAATCTTATTCATTTTTCAAAGCTACCACATCTGGGAAGCATTTGCTCATAAACCTCTCATTCTTCAGGATTTTAAAACTTAACAAATAATCAATTCTGAGTTGTTTTAGGGCATATGGGATATAATATATGGACACAAAGAATATAATAAATGCTATGTATGTATACATAGGTGGAAATACATGTATGTGCACATATATGTGGGGGTGGGTGGATGTATTCTCCAAAAGTCACACTGAGAAGAAGGAGAACATGACCTTCTAACACCTAGAAATTGATCTTGGCCTAAATCCCAACAACTTGAGCTCTGGAAGTCCATAATGCCACCTACAAACCTATGCTCAGTCCCAGGGGGCCAGTCTCTACCAGGTTCTCTCTTCTTAGCCATAACTTTCCATGACCTGCTTCTGTGAATCATTTTATGTGCCATCTCAGATAATGAACTCAGTTTTTGGTCACTTTCCAACCACATTTAATCCCACTGTGTGTTTGTGAGTTTTATAGCATTAAAAAAAAAAGTTAACTTGAAGGAATCATGAAGAGAGTTCATGATGAGCTCCACTCAGTCTTCTATAGCTTCCATGTCCCCTCCAGCTCTGTCTTCCTTCCATTTCTGTCCCCATCCCTACTTTATTCTCTTCTTCCCACTTAGTCATTGGGGAAAACACATTCTTCTCACTCTTTTAATGAGAGAAACTTGTATCTTTCACTGTTACTGTGAAGCACAGGGTTTAATTTTCAAGGGCTCGGCAAAGCAAACACACTTCATTTAAAAGGATTCAAGGTGACCCTGTCTTAGCAAGTGGTCATGTACTTAGAAAAAAATTCTTCCTACTTGCCATACCAATCATCATGCTACAATGACATAAATGCTCGCATTCAAGTTTAAGGGATCAGTATATCCTCCTTTAGCAGCACAAGGCACACTTCTCTGAAACTGTGGCTGTCAATCTCTCAGTGTTTGTTGATTGACTTTGACTAACAAAATAAATGAATGAACTAATAAACAAACTACAAATTCCTTAAGGCCAGGGAACAGCTGTGTATTCATTCCCTTGACACACTACTGGGCTGACATGAGTAACTTTAGAAATGTTTGATGTGGCTGAATACAGAACTAAAAAATTGGAGCTTTTATTATTTGTATTACTAGACATATTTTTGCATAATTTGTAAATGTTTATAGACCAAATTAACTGTTAATGTCCCTCCACACAGTGGGATTTCATTGAGCTCTTTAGTTATCATGGTTAGTTATCATTTATTTAGTTCTTTATGTTAAAAAGGATTTAAACAGAATAGCACCCTGCTGTCCTGAACATTATCAAACATGTGCCTCTTTCTTGAAATTGTTTGCAATCTGTAATAATCCAATCTTTGATAAGTATCACATAATAAAAATGATAATTGTGCTGTTAGTGGTTTTATTAATGTCATTGAAGTTAGAGCAGGGAGATGAATTACTTTATGGAGAAAGAAGATAACACATAAGGACCACGTAGATAAAATGACCCTAGGATTAAGGCCTTAGAAGAATGACATTTCCAAATGTGAGCCTGGTTTTACACAGTATCAAGATACTTGACTGGAAACCTTATTTTTTAAAAAAAAACTTTATTTGGGAATGATAAAATAATACTTTATATGAAACTTTAAATAAGTTATTTTTCTATAAAATTAAGGGCAATCTTAGACGTAGTGGACTTTAAAATATGCAACATTATTTACTCCCAGTTTAAGTTGTCAAAGGTACTTTAAAGTTACAATACCTTGATGATATTTAGCAGGGCAGGGATGAGGTAAAAAGGCATAGAAGAAAGACTAAATTTGACTGACAGTGGTAGAGTCAGTTTCATTGAATATGCATGTAATTTCAAAATTAAAAATACTGGGAGCTAAAGTTATTGTAGGGGCCATGGGAAAACTTTCCTTTTGCCTCTGATGATTCACTCAAAACTCAATAAAGGGCAGATTAATTGCAGAAACAGCATACACATGTATTTAATGTTTACACAGGAGCCTTCAGAAGGAAGACCCAAAGCTACAGGGAGAATTGTCCATTTTATGCTTAGATTCAACAAAGTCTGGATAACTATGTAGAAGTATGATTTCATGCTAACAGACTGACTGGAGAAACACAGCAAGGCCTGTTTGTCTAGGTTCCTCTTTCCTCTCTGAGCATGCATTCCTTCCTGCAGGACCCTTTCTGAAATGTGGTCTTATGACCTACAGTCAGACAAGGTGGGTCAGATCATTTCTTTATGGCCAGTGGAGAGAACCTTAGAGTATTATTTTTAGGTTTTATGGCTGGCTTTGGGGAAAAAGAGTTCTGATTTCTATGACCCGCCTTGGGGAAGAGGGATTTTAGTTTCTATGGCTAGCCTTGGGGGAGAATGAGACTGAGAGACAGGAAAGCAGAACGCCAGAGAAAAACTTTGCTTTTAGGCTTGCAGCTGAGGGTATTATTTTCTGAGTCCCAACATTATGTATGCATCAATTACATAATAGAAAACTGAAAGCAGTCAATTGGTTAGGCCTGGTCTCTCCCTCTGTAAGGAAAATCAAGGCTCAGAGGGAAGAAAAGGAACTGAGTACTGAACTGAGACAAAGTCTATAAAAGATCTGCCATGTGAAGGTACAGCAGGAAGTCAGACGTCTATGAACCAGGAGAAGGGCCCTCACCAGACACCAAATCTGCGGATGCCTTGATTATGGACTTTCCAGGCTCCAGAACTCTGAGAAGTAAATTTCTGTTGTATGAACCATAAAGTCTATGGTATTTTGAAATGAGGAAGAAAAAAATATACGTATATGTATGTGTGCATGTGTGTGTGTGTGTATGTGAATGTGTGAATATATACAAAAATGCAACAATTGAAGAACAAATAATTAAAAGCCCAAATACATTTTCAAAAACAAGAAAAAGGAAAGTACTGGCTAAAAGTATGGAATAGGGCATTGCAAGTGGAAACATTAGCCAAAGCCATTTTCAGAATAAGATATTTGAGAGGATTATCAGAGCTGCCACTATGGCTGAGGAGAAGTGATTGTACTGGGTATTTTATAAATCTTAGCTTAAAATATAAGTATCATATAAAGGAAAAACAAGAAATTATAGGATACCTTAAATGACATGCCACAGAGTTTACAATTGATACGCTAGGCAGTATATACAGATATTAGAAAATATTTATAACTATTATCTTTAAAATAGTTTTAAGACCTTGGAAGGACAAGCATCCTGCAGCTTTCCTTGTAAACTCTGTTCAGATTGGCTCAGGGAATATGTAGTCACTTGAGTTAAAATGAACTTAAAAAGCATAAGTAAAGGGTATGGTTAATAGGTGCTGGAGCCTTCTGGGGGAAATATTGAGTGGACTTCTTCAGTTTTAGTGATAATGATCTGTAAGAGGGTGCAGACAGAATGCTAATAACATTTTTTGATAACATTAAATTAGAAGAGGCCAAAACACGTGTCAGATCAGAAAATTCTCTGTTAGAGGCGTGGCTATAAGAAAGTTAGGAATACAAAGAAAACAATAAAATGCCACCCAGGGACACTAAATTCTATGTAGTATACTATAAGATTGATTTTAAAAATATCCAAAGTAGAGGACATCAGTGAAAGAATAACTGGAACTGCCTTGGAACCTAAGAATGAAAAAAAAAATATTCATAAGCATGTGAGCAAGGCTGTTCTATATGACTCAGGGAAGGAACTGAAACTATTGGGTACTCAAAAGAAGTGAAATATTTTTGAGATGCATGAAGGCCTATGGATTATATTGGAAGCCATTAAAAGCAAGGAAAGACTGCTGGAAAAGGAAATATCAAATTTATCTCCTAGAATCTTTCTTACTCTATAAACATATGCATACATTTATTCCAGTGAGGCAAAGTGGAGAACACTGGCTCTATGAACAATCGTTTGTGTTCAGGGAGAACTATAGCCTCCTAGAAGAGTAAAGCATCATGAGGTAACTGTGTTTTCATATTATGATAATCTGAAGCCTAAAAAGGAGAGAAAAATAGCTGGGCTTATTAATATAAATAAAGGAAGTAGAACAGATTACTTCTCCAGAAGTCCCTAAGAACAGAAAATAGCATCATGTTAAATTCCATTGCATTTCTTTTTTAACTACAGGCGTTTTAACATTTTTCTTCTCGTAAATAGAACAATAGTGACAAACATTTGTGAAGCAATTCATTTTTCACATACAAAGAAATATTATTTTATTGTTAACAATATAATTTTCAGAAATCTTGAGTTAATATAGCATTGTAATTAAAAGTAAAAGTTCTGAAGCCAAATATGAACTCAAACCCTAGCTCAGAAATTATTTGGATATATGATCATGGGCATGTAATTAAATATGTGCTGCTCAATGTTTTTATTTGTGGACTAATAAGATTATTGACCTCCAAGACTCAAAGACTTTTTGGATGACATAACAAATGCATATAAAACCCTTAGCATAATTTATGGACTAACATAGATGCTCAGTAATGTTTATTTAGATTGTGTTTACTAAACATAGAATCATCCTATGTTAAGGTTAAGAGAAATTTTAGCGATTATAAGCCCAACCTCCTCAATTTATAGGTTAAGAATTTTATAATAGAAATGAAATCCCGTCTTCACAATTATGGAGATACTTGGAAAAAGAATGGGGACAAAATGTAGGCATCATAATTCATTATCCAGGGAGACCTTACTGCTCTATTATGAAACATGCTCCAGTGATATTTATGGGTAATTTTGAAAAGTTTATATGGATGAAATGCATGAATTTTATTCTTTTCCGTGGGTTCCTCTGATTTTATCTTCTATTTCAACACTAAGAAATAAACAGCTCAATAGACCAGCAAAATGGCTTTTGAAAATCTCAGTTAAGGCATCAGCTCAGGGACAACATTCTATGGAAAGAGTGCATCGTCCACAGTGCAGTGTATACACTGAGCAAATGGACAAAAAATGATGCTCAGGCTCTATAACAAGAATACTCATGTCCAGGAAGCAAGAGAAAGGTGTAAGACTGACCTCTTACATTGTGATTCTCAGTGGCATACAGTGGAATTTATGCTTTCTTTCTCCACCTTGGGTTCAGCTGGGCTACACAAATGCATTTCCATGAAATTCTTACACCATGAGACACAGTAAGTGTCCCATTGAACTTGAAATTAAAACTATTCCTCAACATTGAGGTTCCTCTTTCCAGTGATCCCACAAACAAAGAAAGGTCTTTTTATGCTGGTGGGAAAAATCAATCCTGATTACCAGAGAAGACAGTGTTAGCATATGTAGACAAGAATGGCTATGTCTAAAAGCCAGGTAATTCACAGAGCTGTAATTTTTTATGTTCCCAGTAACCGGTGAATGGGCTGTTGCATGGTCCATGGTCCAACAGGTGCAAGGCAACTAAGCTTTCAGACCCCTCAAGACTGAAGATCTCAGTCAATCTTTCAAGCAAGCAACCCACATCTAATGAAATAATGATCTAGGTTGAAAGAAAACTATAAAAGAGAGGAAAGTGGATGATGAAGAATATCAATTATTACTTCAGGATCAGCTCCATCAATGGGAAGGATGTTTCTTCACTAACCCTTTTGCATTAAGTATTTGCAGAGTTTGCAACCTTGAAGGACTTCTAATGCACAGTGAATTTAAGGGAGACACAAAAATATCAAAGTTGTGAAAAGCGTGGTTTCTTTCCTCAAAGGGGTAATAATATGACTGATGTAATAACAGGACGTTTATGGAAACCCAGACCCATTCACTAAACATGCATGCACTTTCAGAAGCCAAGAAACCCAAAAAGTGAAACCTCAATGACAAAAGGGAACGGCAACCCATGGGTATATGCTTACTCTTTCCTCTCCCAGACCATATCACCCCTAGATAAATTTCAAGCCATCGCTCAGATCAAGAAACAAGTGATCTTTACAGGTGGCCAGTTAAGCAGTGTATTGAGTTTTCCCTGCTCTTTTCTGTCTCCACTATTGTTTCCTGATCAAATTATGTGAAGTTACTTGCCCTTTCATCATTTGTGCAGTTTTACCTTCTGGGGAATCCAGGCTGAGACAATATCTGAAAACGAACTACAAATATAGTTCCACCTCCCCTTTTCCTTAGTCTTCTCTGTTTCACAACAGAGCAACTCCAGCTTTCCTATTGTTTATGCAAAGAAATTTTGGAATCATCTTTGCCTTCCCTTTCTCGTAGCTTATATCCAATTAGTCATCAGATCTCATTGGTACTACCTTAATGTATTCAGAATATAACCACTTTTTACTCCTCCACTATTTATGAGCCTGGTCTGAGAAACAAGGATCTCTTATCTGGACTAATGGAAAAGTGTCCTAACTAATCTCTGTGTTTCTAACCTGACTCCTAATAATCTACTTTCAACACAGCAACTAGCGTGAATATGTAAGACTGTAATAAATTGTTTCACTCATCTCCTGAAAATCTTCCAAGGTCTTCCCACATTGTGTTGAGTGAAGGGAAAAACCCTTTTGGTGATGCACATCTACAACTTTGATTTCATCCTCTCCTAGTTTTCCCCTATATCACTCCTCTTTAACTAGATTGGCCACCTCCTCCTTCTTCAAACAGTCCAAGTGCATGCCTCCTTCATGACCTTTGCTGTTTCCTCTGCATGTAATATTTTCCCCCGATAGCTATATGCCTCGCTCCTCTATTTCTCAAGTTTTCCACACATCAATTCTTGTTTACTAGGGTTCCTTCCCATTAATATGGCATCTGCTATTTACTGGGGTTCCTTCCCATTAATATGGCATCTGCTGTCTTCTTCCTTGCTTCATTTTCTCCATAATGTTTATTGCTATCAATCATAGAGGGTTATAAAAAATGGCCACAATAGTCTATACTATCCTTGTATGCATGCTCATTATCAATAGTACTTTCATTTTTTTTCATCAAAGGTGGAGTCTGTTTCTCCATTCATTGAATATGGGTGGGCCTTATAAATTGTTTTGACCAAAAGAATGTTGTAGAGGTGATCTTTTAGGAACTCCTATGCTTTGGCCTCAAAAGCCTTCCCAGCTTTACTTTTTCTCTCTTGGAATGCTGCCTTGGATTTATATGATGTGAAGAAGACTACTGGAGAATGAGAGGTCTTACAAAGCACGAGCAAGCTTTCCAAAATAAGGCCCCCTAGACCAGAAGGCAATAGCTACCACCAAAGACAAGACATGTGACTCAGATCATCATATGCCACACAGTTCAATTTGAGCCATGAGATGACTACAGTGTGCATTACTGACTTCAGGGGAGAAGAAGAACCACACAGCTGAGCCCACCCAAATTTCTAGTCCACAGAATCATAAACAAAGATGATTGATTCTTTATGCCATTACGTCTGTGGTGATTTGTTACACAGAAATAGAAACTGATACTGCCTGAATTACTATATCTTTTATATTTGCAAATTATTATACCTCTCTCTTCAAAATAGAATGTATCACAAACAAAAATTTTTACCTGTGTGTTTATTTGCTTAGCTTCTATATCATCAGAACTTAGGCTAGTTTTTTATACATAATATGTATAATATATATTGATTAAACAAATACATGTTTAATTTTTTTGTAAGGACACAACTTAATGATAAGAGAAGAAATGCCTAGATGCACTAGAAAGTATTTCATAATATATTAATATTAAATTAATATTCAATAGTATTAGTCTAGTAATATGTTAATTGACCAATAAATTAATAATCTATCAGTATAATCTATTAATGGAATATATTATTAATCTATTGATTAATAATATTGATTATCTATAGATATTAATCTATTGATAAATTAATATATTATATTATTTATTAATATTGAGTGAATATTCAGTATTCTATGATGACTCTTGGTAAGGAACAGAGTGGAGGGTCTCCTTAGTCTTGCTAATCAGTGAAGTGGAGAAGGTTTTGGGGAACTTCTCTTGTATTTATGGCATTTATGGCATGTTCTTAAAATCTCCAACTGTAAAATATTCACTTAAACAATTTCTGGATTATTGTTTTTAAGTCTAATTTGTCCTGCATATGCTTTATGATACCAACCTTTTTCCATAGCTGTTTCTAAATAGCTATGTCAGTTTTTGAAAAACAATCACACGAGAAACGATGCATCTTTCACCTGTTATCAAGTTGAAACATTTTGTTTCAGTTCAGAAATCCATAACCATCTGAATTAAGTAGAATGAAAATTCATTCACCAGTTACATCCCCATTGATTAGAGATAAAGATACAAACTAGGTAAATAAAGTCATTGATCTCAGGCCTCAACTAAGTATTAGTCTCCATCAATCTGTGGAGAAATGCTAGAAACATAGCTGATTGTTGAGAAATTTCTAAATGTGCTTGTTTCTTACGCCTAGATAAATACTGTTTATCTATTGTTTTAGATTTTTATCAGTAGGGTTGGTCTCATGAAATACAGATATGTTTATCTCACACAATTAAAATCTTACTTTATTGAGTTTTAACTGCACTAAATATTCATATAAATATGTTTAACCTTAACCAAACATGTGTTTGGTTTACATATGTTACATTGGAGCTATAGCCCATGTAATTGAAAGGATGATGGTGATGTCAGAATAGCAGCTTTGAGGGATACGTGTTTCTATTAGTATCATATTATTTTCATCATTCTAATTTCAGTTGTATTTAGCACTGAAATTATATGTTGAAACTGTATTCCCTATAGAACATAATTCTTACTTTTTATTTTATAGAAACTTATAGCTGAGCCTGAGCTTTCAGGCCATTTAAATAATTCTTGTATTTCTTCAGACAGATTTTTGTCAAATTATCTATTGCAAATAGTACCAAAGAGCAATTTACCTCAAAAAGAATGTTTCCCCAGAGTCAGACATGTGTATGCAATATTTGTTTTTATGAAATCTGCAAAGAAGGAAAGGAAATGTTCAATGTGGTAAAACTGTGTTTCCAGGAAAGGGTGGAATAAAAATAGAAACAATGAGCAAATACTTTAAAAGTATTTCTATAGGCTAAATTTTGAGGAAAAAATTAGCATAAGAAACTCAAATTATCAATAATCACCTAAGAGGAATAGTGAAAGGCTCATCAAGCAAATATTAAAATGCCGTAAAATGCTTGACAAAATTCCATTTGACAGGAAGTACATTATAAAAGCACATCATTCTTTTTTTCTGACATTTTTGGTCCCAATGAAAAGGAGGAAAACAAGAAATAAAGGTTCAGAATTTATAGGCAAAATTAAATAATAATAATTTATATTATTCCTCAATACAGACATACCAACTTCAATAATTTTTTGTTTCTCTGTTTACTTTTAGCAATAAATGAGTCACAGCTTAGGAAAAAAATCCATCATTAGTATCATTAATGGTAGCCTCTTGCAGCAACATAATATGTCAGTCATCTAAAGAAGAGGTGTGGTTTTTACATTAACGGTAGAAATAGCTGCAGCTTCTGTCTGATAATGCCTCTACCCCTATTATATCCTTTTGTATAAGTTGCCATTTGTATTTTACATAAAACTTCCAGTTGAGTAGTCATTAAATACAGCTTCATTATTTTGACAAAGTATCCCTCTATTTGGGACTCTACATGAGTGTGTTACCTTGAACAGTTCAATGATGTGATACAAAAGCCAGGTGTAGCTGTCAGGTTTACTACCATGCCCTTCATATTTACTATCCTGTATATATAAAAAAGACCCATTTGCCTAGTTAATTTCAAATCAGAGAGAAAAGAGAGCTCTCTTTCTAACTGCATATCACAAAATACACACGTGTATCAGAAATACGCTTGCACATTTGTGTATGCTTGTAGATTCATGCTTGGATAAACAGGCTCAGGTTGTTTCAAATGATTAACTGGTAGCATTCACCGAAGTTTTCATACAAAAATATCAATAGTAAATAATTTTGTCAGACAAGACCAAGTCTATTTGAAAAGGAAAACCACACCAATCCAGATAAAGAATATGCCTTTCTTCATTTGGGAAGTTTCCTCCCTATTGGACATTTAAAAGTTGCAAACTGTCTCCTCAGTTATAAAGACAATGCTAGCTGGGCGTGGTGGCTCACACCTGTAATCCCAGCACTTTGGGAGGCCGAGGCAGGCGGATCATGAGGTCAGGAGATCAAGACCATCCTGGCTGACACGGTGAAACCCTGTCTCTACTAAAAAATAGAAAAAATTAGCTGAGCGTGGTGGTGGGCACCTGTAGTCTCAGCTACTTGGGAGGCTGAGGCAGGAGAATGGCGTGAACCCGGGAGGTGGAGCTTGCAGTGAGACAAGTTCGTGCCACTGCACTCCAGCCTGGGTGACAGAGCGAGACTGTGTCTCAAAATAAATAAATAAATAAATAAATAAATAAATAAATAAATAAATAAATATAAAGACAATGCTGTATACTTGGCAAAAACACTATTCCTAAGTATATAAAAAGATAGTACTGAAATATTAAAAATAAATAAAATTTACATTGTAAAGAAACACTGCAAAAAGATAGGTTTCAGTGAACATAGCAGTTAATTGATAAAAGTAATGTTACTGAAGAACAATAAATGGTAAGTACTATAACATGTCAGGCAGTGTGCTCGGTGCTGTATAGATATCATGGGGTTGTAGTCTCACAATAATCCTATAAAGCAGATACTATTGAAACTATTGTCTTTATCCCCATTATACAGATAAAGTCATGAAGTAGTAGAAAACTTTCTCAAAGCTGCACAACAGTAAGTATTAGAACTGCACTTTGAATGTTACTATTGAAGTTTACATAACCAGGACAGGAATTCTGGCCTTTTCATATATTAATTACTTTACTCATCTAACCAGTATTTATTGAGCTTATCCATTTGGGGTCGAGCACTAGGGACCTAGGGTGAGAACTTGGAGCCTGGCTACAAGCCCAGACAAAGGCAGCAATATCAAATTGCTCCTATCACAAGTGCCAACTCTGATAAATTGGCAGGAGTTGCCTGTAAAAGCATCTTAAGAAGAGTACTATGGCTCAGGCCAGGTCAGAAAGGAACAATGAGGTAGACAGATGAGCAATGTCTATGATGCATGAGGAGGTATGGCAGTAGCAACACAAGTATCAAATAATTGATTTCCTTGGGCTAGTGGGTAAGCAAAGAATAAAAGTAAAGCTCAGAAGCCACTGGTTAAATGAAGTGGGGTAAATTTAAAAAATGTGAGTAGTTTTGAATTGATATAAAGTAATATGGAGAATCATTAAAAACAAAAGATAAAAACAGGACCCAGCATGCAAGGTCAAGTTAAGGGTAGCCATAATGGAAGGCAAATAATGGTTCAACACCAGATAGATAGAGGCAACCAAGAAATACAGATTATTAAAGAGGATGGCAGAAGTGCAGTCAGAAAATTAGCTGTCTCTAGAAACTTAACAAGCAGAGTCAAAAATTCCAGAGAGATGTTTTTTACAAAAAAAAAAAAAAAAAAAAAAAAAAAAAAAAAAAACTTGGATAACTGAGGCAATGTGCCTGCTTCAGGCTCAAGCGGCAAAAGCAATCACTGCATGATTTGCCCAGACTAGGAGGTAATGGTACACTGGGCAGAGGTGGAAGAAAGAAGAGTGGTCGGGTTTTGTCAGGCCTCTGTCAATATTTCCCAACTAACTTAACTAAAAAGTTGACTACAGCCCAGCAGTGGCCAACTTTGTTCTCTCCAAAACTTTTTGACTGAACAAGTTTCCATGTTTTGAAATGTTTTTTGGTGATGCCCCACTCTCTTCTCCCAGGCAGATCTCAGAGTTGACAGCTGTTAATCCCACTCCACTATGAATGAATCCTGCCAGGGATGACAATGAGCAGGTGCAGGCATTTCCGTTCACCTGCATCAAACCACAGTCTCCTGAGAATACGATTTGTGCAAACAGCCCTTATCCCATTTGGCAATTGGGGATTTAGCACAAATTGTAGGACCTGGAGCCTACAGTTTAAGACAAGTGGCTTGGAAGAGAGGTAAGCACACACTTCTGAGATGCGTGTGGTAATTAGCTCCCAGCAGCATAAAACATTCAACTCTGAATGATGAATTTTAATTTTATTTCAAAAGCCTTTTCAAGAGGAAGATGTCAGAGCTTAACACTTGCTACTAGATTTAACATAAATGGCTACCTGCCAATTAGAATCTGTTTTCCAATCATTTGTGATCTAATATATGAAAGTGAATTATGTGGTTCAAGATGAAATGAAATCTATAATTCTCTGTACAGTGTTGAAATATTAAATCATGTTGAGGGTGTGAGCAGCAAAGGGGAACACATTGTTGATTTATACATAAATAATAAGTGTGTCACTCAACCAGATTTCAACTTGAGCTAGCAAAACATTTGGCTCATCTTGCAGTGGTGAAAACATGGATTTCTAAAAAGTTGAGAGGTAAAGTTTCACATCCAGAAGATCAAGCCCAGCTATGTTTCTGGATAAAAGGACTAAAATGGTCAGTCCAGCACAGTGGGAAAATTGAGGGAATGAAAGAAGGAAAAACTATCAGTCTGCCTTCACTTCTTGGGAAGTGCATTGAGTTTTGTTTTTTTGTTTGTTTGTTTTTTCTATAGAAGGCATCAAGCACAAAGGGACAGGTGATTTTGCACCTTGGTCCAACA
Organism: Homo sapiens; assembly: GCF_000001405.40. Taxonomy (NCBI): domain Eukaryota; kingdom Metazoa; phylum Chordata; class Mammalia; order Primates; family Hominidae; genus Homo; species Homo sapiens. The sequence continues at coordinate 84,855,610 of NC_000014.9, forward strand.
TATTCTAAGACAGATCTATTATTCATTAAGGCTGGAGGAGTAGCTACATTTAGCTACATCTAGGCCATTTAACTAAATAGAAAAACTAAATAGAAACTAAATAGAATACCCCCAGGACTGTATGGGTTTGGGGGAACGTATTTTTTAATTCAGTTACTTTGAAAGTCTATTTTAGCCTTGGATGCTGTTATGGGTTGAATTATATACCCCTAAATGAAATGTTGAAGTTCTGACTCCCAGTACCTGCAACTGTGACCTTATTTGGTAATAGGGTCTTGGCAAGATGTAATCAAGTTGAGATGAGGTAATACTGAATTAGAGTGGGCACTTACTCAAATATGACTGATGTTCTTAGAAGAAGAGGGAAATTTAGACTAAGAGACGGACAGTGGGCTGTGGGTTGGAAGGAAGAACACCACATAACAACAGAAGCAAACACTGACATGCTGTAGCTGCAAGACAGGGAACCCCTGTCACTGCCAGAAGCTGGAAGAAGCAAGGAAGTATTTTTCTTTAGAGTCTTCAGAGAAAACATGGCCCTGTAGAGCTTGATTCTAGACTTCCAGCCCACAGAACTGTGAGGCAAGAAATTGTTGTTCTAAGGTCACCCATTTATGGTACTTTGTTGAGCACCCTTAGGAAACAAAATTCTCACATATTAAACAGATAAATACAAAGTTGTTCTGATCAAAATTGGAGTGAAAAATCACAAAATACCACCTGGAAGATATTCAATCCACTGCCCAGTGTGCCACCAGAGGTCCCTCTGAGGAACTCTGAGCTCTCACAAGGTTGGGGATTGACACCCGCTAAACCTATTCTAATCTTTTTAAATGGCCACATGCCATGAATGTTCATCTAAGCAAATTTTAATACACTGCAGAAACCCATGTAATGAGCATTCAAATTAAGCAAAGAAGCATCACTAGCACCTCACAGCCCTCGCGATTCCCTTCACACCCCAAATTACGTCTACTCTCCACTGCTAACTGTCCTGTCAGTTTTTGAAATAATGTGGGTCTCTTACATCATTTTGAGAGGGAGGGTTATTCTCCTGTTTAAAAATTCAACTGATTCTCTGTCAAGTTTCTTAAATACTGAGTAATAATCTTTGTGTTATTTATAATACTTAGAAATGTTGATATCAGACGGCCCTTTGCAATGTCAATGCCATCTGTAAATTAAATTGAAATATATGACAATGTCATATAAAAAACTTTCAATAATGATTTAATACCATTTTACCCTTTTATTTTCTTCATTTTAAATTCTTTACACCAACAATGGGTTTTGCCTGTTGTATCTCAAAGAAGTTACTATCTGTCTCATTAAAGTTGGGATATCATCCAAAAACACTTTTTAGCTTCCAATTTGTTCTTTTTAGAATGCTTTGCATGTAAGAAAGTTATATGTAAATTAAAGAGAATGAACCTAATTGACTAATTTTTAATCTTTTTTTATCTGCAATCTCCTGTCTCCATGAAATTAAATGTGTATAATAAAGTAATATTATTATTGTATCTACATTTTTTTACAAAATTAATGAGGTGACTTCTAAAACTCTCCAGCACTTAAGTAGTGTTCATTTGTGTCAAGTATTACTCTAAATGCTTTTACATATTTTAAATTACTTAATTTCATAAAAACCCAATGAGATAGGGTAGTTATTATTCATATTTTACCAATGAAGAAATAGGTCACAGAGAGTTTGAGTAAATTCCCCAAGGTCACAGGGGAGTGAAGCCCAGATTCAAGTCCAGGCTGGCTGACAGAGTTCATATTATCTTGTTATGCAAGATTTTAACAGAATGATATTCAATAAAATGATAATATTATAGAATTTCAAATAAAGACAAGAGTGAAATAAATATTAAAATATTCAACCAGAAAAGTCAGTAAATTTCTGGTGTTGAGCTCCAAAATGTTTTTCTCTGTGTCTTTTCAGAGTAAACATACACATGAACCAAACCTATCCAAACTACTTGCTACATAGATCTTTCAGAAACATTGTTTTTAAAAATAAAAAGAATAGTAGCTTTTCAAAAAGCTGTTCCAAATATTGAATTTGAGGGTTAATTCTTCAAATTACAAATATGTTTATGCTTTGACCCAGGAATCTTGCTTCAGGGGATTTACCTAACAGACCTGCACACATTCAGAAGTGACTCATGTGTGAGGTTAATCATGAGAGCATTAAGCTTAGTAACAAAAGGCTGAAAACAACTTCATTTTCTTAGGGGGGACTAATTAAATGTATAGACACAAAAAGGGCTCCACTCATATTCTTAAATAAAATGAGTAAATAAATGTCCATAAAGTATATGGTATGATACATTTTGAAAAATAAATTGCAAAACTAAATATACCTATTTATATATTCATGAAGATACATTGGAAGGATACAAGAACTTGATAAATGTTGTTAAGCAAAAAAAAAAAAAAAAAAAACCCAAGTAAAAGCAAAAGACTTTTTTTTTCTCTCACATGACACATTTGCAAATTCCATTGGTTCTACTTTCAATACATATTCCAAATCTAACCATGTCTAACAAGCTTCCACTACTACCACTCTGGCCTAAACCATCATTATCTCATACCTGAATGATTATAATAGCCTGTATCCTTGAACCTTCAAATCATTTCAATATGGCAGTCACGGTGATCTTCTTAAAAGGACCTGTCATTCCTGTGCTCCAGATCCTCTCATCTCAGAGTAAAAATCAACCCACATTATAACTTACAGAGCTCTATATCATTTGGGGCCAAATTACTCCTTTTCTCTCATGTGTCCATGTGTATGTATAAGAATAAGATACAAACAGAGAAATCATCATAAGTTCAAGCACAAAATAGTACTACATTTTGTTTTTAGGACTACGCGAAAGCCTCTTTGGATAGGCAAAACCCTAAAAACAACCTAGAGAATAAAATTAAATAGCTGAGTTTAGAAGAGTTATTGTCAAATGTTAACAATTAATTGTTTGAGGTTTTTTTCCTCCCTTTCAACTCTTTTGCTAAATCCCCAATGCTTCCAGACATGAAGCCACATAGAATTGTGGGATGACATTGAGGTATAATTTCTCACCTTATATCTTCTTCTGTGTGGAAATATCAAACCAAATTTTTCTGCTTGGGAAATAACTATTTTAAATTCTGAATATCTCTTTAGTGAAACAAAATAACATATTTCTGAAAAAATAAAACCTAAATGAAACCCCTTCTCTAAGTTAACTTAATTGACTTAAATATTTCTTCGCTTGCCTATGCTGAAAATAGGCAAATGAATAATAACAACCATAAGGATAAATTGCAGAAAATGCTTGCTCCAGACACAATATGAACTTTCAACTAAAATTATGAGTACAGGCCATTCTAGATAATAAAATTCATACTGAGGAATATTCCAATTTAGTGTTGTTTAATTGCATGGAATCCTAATAAAGCCTTATTGTAAATAAGTAATAGTGCCAGGCCTACATGGGGCTGGGGCTGAAGTGTGGTTCTGGACCAAAGCAGCTCTGGGGATCCCCCCAATAGCAGTTGGCAAATCTTCCCTCTAGCAGTTCCCTATTAATAGGAGTCAGACTTCAATTATTTTTTTCCTCATCTCCATGCCTCCAAATGATAATTGTCTAAAAGTAAATATTCTGCCTCAGCTCATCTTTTATAAGCTGCATCTCACACGCTATGGTTTTCTGTCCATTATTCATTCCTTTTGATCTTGCTAGCTACCACCAGGGAAGCAAGATAACACGGATCATTGCCCAAATTATGGCATAAGCACATTGTCTTTAAAGGGGCCGTAGATTAAATAAAAAGCCTAAATCTTATTTAACACTCTGCAAACAAATACACCTAATACATGTTTCCTCCTACGAAGGAGAGTATCAATCATATAGGTTATCAATAAACCTTTGTATGATGAAAATTAAATTCATGCATGCTAGGGTGTATATGCCTATGTTCCTAGGACATCTATTTAAAGCTGTTAGTGTGCAACATATTCCAGTGCTGGTAGGCACAATTACAATGTAATCAGCCCTTTCACAATAGGGAATCACAATCATGTCCAGTTTCTGAAACATAGACAATGCCACAGTTTTGTTCCAAGAGTCATTGTCAGTTACTGAGATTTCCTTCTAATTCAGGGGCTGGTAAACTTCATCTAGTGGGCCAAATCCTTCCCACTGACTGTTTTTGTAAGTAAAGTTTTATTGGAATGCAGCCATGCTCATTTATTTATGTATCCTCTATGAGAACTTTCCCAAAATATATTGGCAGAGTTGCGTAGTTGTGACAAGGATCTTATAATCTGAAAGCCTGAAATACTTATAAATTGGCACTTTACAGAAAGTGTGTGCTGACCAATGCTCTAATTCATTCATTTAATTTGTTCAATTAATATTTAATGATTAGCTACTATAAGCTAAGCATCAAAGCATTAGCCTAGGTGCCAGAGATTCAAAAGTCAACAAAACAAAGTCTTTGATGTTGTGCAGCTTATAATTTGAGGTAGGAGGGTAGACAAAATATAAAATACCATTATGTATTTTAAGGAAGCTTTGAGTGCTATAGATAAAAAGTAAAACATATTAAAGCAGTTGGGCATCCATGGGAGCTGGGGTCTTATTTGTTGGGTTGTTGCTCCTTCACCTTGTGTAAGGCTAATTATGAAAGGATCTTCCAGTAGGGTGATATTTGAGAAGAGGCCTAAAAAAAGAGAGAGATCCCTGTGGATATCCATAGAATGTGTGTTCTAGGGGAGGTAATTATGAATTCCCTTTCTAACAACAGAAACCCAGAATACTTGAAACAAGACTGGTAGAAATCAAGGGAGAGGTAGACAACTGAACAATAGGTAGAGAAGTAAATACCCTACTTTTAATAATGGGTAGAACAAAGTGGAAGATCATCAAGGAAATAGAAGACATGAACATTGTAAACCAACTAGACTGGAAAGATGTCCATAAACACCCCAATCAATAGAGGCAGAATACATATTCTTCTCAAGCACACCTGGAATATTCTCCAAAATAGTCCATAAATGAAGCCAGAAAACACATCTCAATGAATGTAAAGTACAAAATCTGTTAGCCCGGAAAATTTGAGACAGGTTTCAGTTAATTTAGAAAGTTTATTTTGCCAAGATCGAGGACATGTGCCTGTAATACAGCCTCAGGAAGTCCTGATGACATGTGCCCAAGGTGGTCAGAACACAGCTTGATTTTATACATTTTAGGAAGACATCAGACCTCAATCAGTATATGTAAGAAGTACATTGGTTCAGTCCAGAAAGGGCGGGGACAACTTGAAGCAGGGAGGGGGCTTCCAGGTTACAGATAGGTGAGAGACAAATGGTTGCATTCTTTTGAGTTTTTGGTAAGCCTTTTCAAAGGAGGCAATCATAATATGCATCTATCTCAGTGAGCAGAATGGAAGGCAGATTTGCCCTGAGCTGTTTCCAGCTTGAATTTTCCTTTTAGCTTAGTGATTTTGGAGGCCCAAGATATTTTCCTTTCGCAAATCTTACAAAGTATGTTCTCAATAATAATGGAATTAAAAATTGATAGCAGAAATTTGTGAGTTTCACTAATGTCTGGATAAATATCTGGATATTAAGTAACACATTGCTACATAACCAAAGGGTCGAAGAATAAATGAAAAAATATTAGAAAATACTTTGAGATAAATGAAAATGAAGACATATTAAAACTTATGATAAGCAGTTAAGACAGTGCTTAGATGGAAATTTATAGCAGTAAACATCTACATTAAGAAAGAAGAAATATCTCAAATTAATAAACTAAGTATTTCTCTTCAGAAAAGAGGAAAAGAACACCCTAAACCCACAGCAAGCAGAAATAAGAAAATAAAAACTAAAGCAGATTTTTAAAAAATTGAGAGTGGTGAGGACTAAGCTCTGATTTTTTTTATCTTGCCCAAATTCCTATCTAAGGGGTGTGGGGAGTCATGTCCTACAAACCAGAAATTCTCATCAGATGGATTTTATTTACCATGTATATCGTGACGTACATTCCAATCTGTCTCTGGCATAATAAAGAAGAAAATCAAAATATTTTACCCCAAAATGTGTTTCTCTGCCATATCTTGAAATGACCCTGCAAAGCCGTCCTTTGTGGGGGAAAATCTGCATCTGTACAGAACCTTGATTAAGTGCAGCCACTATAAGACTTCAAAAGAACCTTGGTCTCCACAATCTTTTAGCTTAATCTGAGCATTTTCTTTCTATCAATCCCAGGTCTTTAGACAAACTCAACCAATTGTCAACCAGAAAATGTTTAAATTTACCTACAGCCTGGAAGCCCCTGCTTGGAGTTGTCTTGCTTTTCTGAACCAAACCAGTGTATTTCTTAAATGTATTTGATCGATTTCTCATGGCTCCCTAAAATGTACAAAACTGAGCTTTACCCTGACCACCTAGGGCACATGTTCTCAGGACCTCCTGAGGGCTGTGTCATAGGCCATGGTCACTCATATTTGGCTAAGAATAAATCTCTAAAAATATTTTACAGAGTTTGACTCTTTTCATCAACACTGGCAAAACAATGAACTAATGAGCCAAAGTTTGAAACTTTGTAAATATCAATCAAATTGACAAATCTTTAGCTAGTTTGACCAAGATTTTTCTTAAATAAGACTTGAATTACTGAAATAAGAAATAAAAGAAGGCTGTATTATGAAACCTTAAAACAATGAATTAGAAGGGAGCACTATTTAACAAGGGTATGCCAACAAATTATATAACTTAGAAGAAATAGAAACATTTCTAGAAAGACACAATTGCCATAAATTACTCCAGATAAATGTAAAATGTGAATACATCTAATGGAAGTAAAGAGATCAAATCAGTAACTAAAAACATCCCACATGGAAGTTCCTAGGACAGATGGCTTCACTAATAAATTCCATTAAATATTCAGAGTAGTTAATGCCAATCTTTGACAAGATGAGGAAGAAACAACTTCACAACTCATTTTATGAGATCAATATTACCCTGATACCTAAACCTAAACTTGGCAAAATTGCAAAAGAAAAGGAAGTTATAGACCAGTATTTATTTTAATATAGACACAAAACTTCTTAACAGAAACTTGTCAACCAAATCCAGTAATATATAGACAGACTTATACAACATGACAAATTGAGAGTTATGTCAGAAATACAAGGTTGGTTTAATATCCCAAGTCAAGAACGAAGTGCTTTCTCTTGTCCCAGCTGTAAAAGAAAATTTACCTCTGAGGGCTTGAAAACAATAGAGTCCAAACAAAAGACTCCAAAATATTAAAGAGTTACATTCCAAGTTAATCGTGATTTACTAATTATTTGCAGAGAAAAAAACTAATTATGTCAGAAACATCATCTGCTTTCAAAAGTCTTACCTGGTTAGCCGTAAGTAATCCAATGTCATTCTTGAGAATCCAACAGTTTCTTGCATTAGGAAGATTGGTATGCAAGTCTATTGTGGTGGTGCTGATACCTTCAGATCTTTCAGGAATATTTTTTGTCTAATTGGGGTAGGGTGGAGGTAAACAATTTTCCAAGTTTTATATTTGACCCTTTGTCTATAAGAATCAATATTAGGATTTACAATACCTGGAAAATGGATGATATAGTTTGAATGTTTTTCCCCTCCAAATCTCATGTTGAAATGTGATTTCCAATGTTGGAGGTGGGGCCTAGTAGGAGGTATTTTGGTTATGGGGGCAAATCCCTCATAAATGGCTTAGTATTGTCCTCCTGGTAATGAATGAGTCTCACTCCATCGGTTCGCATGAGAGCTACTTGTTTAAAAGAGCCTGGCATCTCTCTATGCTCCTTTTCTCTGTCCTGCCCTTTCTTACCACATGACACACTTGCTTTTCCTTTGCATTACACCAAAATTGTAAAGTTTCCTGAGCCCTCACCAGAAGCTGAGCAGATGCTGGTACCATGCTTGTAAAGCCTGCAGAACCATGAGCAAAATAAACCTCTTTTCTGTATAAATTACCCAGATTCAGGTATTTCTTTATAGCAACACAAATGGACTTATACATTGAAGAAATCATCTATGTTAGGTGAACTTAGGATGGAAGTTTACTTATAACTAGCACTTGATGTATAAACTGATCCTGACCTCGGTTGGATTGCGGTTGTGTTCTGGCCTCGGAAATTGTGTTGTCACAATCATCAGTAGATGGTTTATTTCTCTTCCTCCTGACGAAGATTCTTTGCTTGGCCAAACTTTGGTCGGGATTCTGAAACTTCCCAGGGCCTATCTTCACTTCTTTGTAAAATTCAGTTTTAGCAATCCTTGCTAAGTCAATTTATTAAGAACCTCCTACACTCAATGTCAATTACCCCTAATATCTGATCAGGTTCCTCATTCTCCACCAATCCCCAGGTAAAGTCTGATCACCTGGCCTTTCTTCAGCAAGAATCCTGTTAGGTCAATTTAGCCAGAATCCCCCTGACCTCTGATGTTTCCACTAAGTGATTTTCTATCCACAAACCCAATTCTGCTCCTTGGCTATAAATTCTCACCTGCGCATGCTATATTTGGCACTGAACCTAATCTCTCTCCCTCGTTGCAAGACCTCATTGCAGTGATTTCTGTACTTATTGTGGTAGTCCTGAATAAAGTCTTTTTCACCATGTTTTAACAAGAATTATTGAATAATTTTGTCTTTAACCCCCTAAGAACAGACACAAAGATAAAATATTACAGGTCATACCAGAAAAGGCTACAGGGAAGTTTCATGTATTACTCTTGTAAGATTGGTTGCCATTACTTTCACAACGGCTCTCGAGATTGGCTTGTATCCAAGGATTCTAGGACAATACATTAACTTTTATCCAGAAACGATGAGGACTCAGTGACTAGCATCCTGACTTGAATCAGAGGACCTGTTTTCAAGCCTGGAAAATTTCTCATTGAAAAAAAAAAGATAAAACAAACCATAAACCTTAGAGTATAACTCTACTTAATGTAGTTTTTACCACTGATAATACTATAGTCCAAATGGGAGTGCCAGAAATCTCTGCATGTCTGGCCACTCCCTGAACCAAGATTACTGTATCATTGCTATCTTGACGGTAAGTGATCACATCCACTTTACATGTGCCATTTACTTGCTTCTGCTGGCCCAAGAAGCTCTTGATTCCACTTAAATCTGTTGATTCTGCCATTAAGTTGTTATCTTCCCCGCCAGCATTCCTGACTGAAAAAAAAAAAAAGAATTGAAAAGAATTGAAAGAGTCAATTCCAGTGTGGCAGAGGCTTCTTTGACAATTGCTTGTAACAATGAAGGAGAAAATACTGTGAGTAACATAATTCACAGGCCAATGGACAGGGTACATAGGGTAGATCAGCCTAACACTCATCACTCCTGAGGTCTTTGAATTCCTTCATTTAAATTGTGATAATGTGTTCTGGTCTTTTGATGTCAGCTATCATAGGCCAGCCTTGGATCCAAATTTATACCAATTGACTCAGCAAACTCTTCAATCCACAGCTGGCTGCCTACACTAGCACAGTGAAGGCAGAATCACTGGCATGAGACACCACTAAAATTAATTTGGCTGAATCTAAAATTGTGGTCTGCTTTGGCAGTATATGTCAAGATGTAAAAGGTATATTCTCTTTTGCCAAGAAGTTCCACTTCCAAGGAGTCATTCCTCAGATATTATAAGATCCCAAAGATAAATATAAAAATCTATTCACTGAAACATTTTTTTTGTGATAGAAAAAACATAGGAGCAAATAGTAAATATGTTTAATAAATTATGATGTGTCAATATAATGAATTACAAACTGTTTTTAGAAAGGATAAAATAAATGTATATATACTGCTTTGGTAGGTGCTCATAATAAACCTTTTACTAGGAAAAAAACTTTTTAAGTTAAAACCACTAAGAGCAATATGCAATAATACATAAACAGTATAAAATTATATCAATAATGTAATATATGTGTTGCATATCAACAATGTTAGCAATGGCTACCTATTTCTGGTAGTGGGATTATAATCAGAATTTTTCATTATGTAAGTTCTCTACTTTTATATATTTGATTTTTACAAAAACATGAATTAATTATATTATTAATTTATTTAAATGTGAAAATAAAACAATAGAAAATAACATAGAATTATGGCCAGTTTTTCACTGTAGAAGAGACATGAAATTTCTTATTCATATATTTTACCTCTATACCTATGCTCCCCACAATTTTTCTTAATTGCTATTGCCTGTCTCACATTTTTGTAAACTAGGAAATTTCTCTGAGTTTAGGGGTGCATTCTTGGACTCTGCACAGACTGAAGACATTGATCTCTTATTGTTTGGCTCTTTGGAATTCTGCTTTAAACAGCCAAGCTAGCGAGCCAGCTCCAGATCTAATCTCTCTGAGATCACTTTGGATAGATCACATAATCGGAACTGGTTGAAAAACTGCCCTATATTATAAATGAAAAATAATCCAGAATCCATAGAGGAATGATAAGTTTATTTGGCAAAAGATTAATTCTAGTTAATTTACTGAAGATGAGTAATTGGAGGCTGTATCTCATAACTGAGCACATGAAATCATAAACATGACAAATGGGGCATTTTTATAGTGAAGGTTTGTGCAGAGATACCCAAAACTTCTGCTGAGCTATAGGCTTAGAATTAGATTCAACACACTCTCGGTCTGAAGAACAGCTGTGTCAAGAGTGCAGCTCTGGCCGGTCATGGTGGCTCACGCCTGCAATCCCAGCACTTTGGGAGGCAAGGTGGGTGAATCACCTGAGGTCAGGAGTTTGAGACCAGCCTGGACAATATGGTGAAACACTGTCTCTACTAAAAATACAAAAATTAGTTGGATGTGGTAGTGCATGCCGGTGGTCCTAGCTACTTGGGAGGCTGAGTCAGGAGAATCGCTTGAACCTGGGAGGCGGAGGTTGCAGTGAGCCGAGATCGTGCCACTGCACTGCAGCCTGGGCGACAGAGGAAGACTCCATCTCAAAAACAGAAAAAAAAAAAAAGTGCAGCTCTCTAATTGGGCTCTTTTACTTACTATTTATATAATAAAAGCCACGTTCCTAGGCTGTATAATGGGGTTAATCATAGTAAGTACCTTGTAAAGTTACAGTGATAACCAAATAAGTGAACATAAGTAAAGCATTTTACATGTGTGCAGCTTAATAAGTTGGAGTTGTGACTATTATTTTGTTATTATTTTAGATATAATGAAGCCAGAGTCTTGTGGGTAGGTCCTCCAATTTCAGTCATGTATTCAATTAACAAAAATTATCAAAATGAAAACCCTGTTGTCTCATTATTGACACACCAGAATATTTTCATGATATTATAAATATGCACTTGAAAACATAAGTAATGATCTCCATATGAATTTTCTAAAACTTATAGAAGTTCTTTAGCAAGTAAGAAATCCTTTTCCATTATATAGTAGCATTAATAAATAGTTTGGCATCCAGAAGAATATGTTCTGGCAATCACATTTGCTTTCTTGAAGCAACATTTGTTGAACAACATTCAATTATGTCATTTTGGCTGTGAATTAATTGCCACACACTAATCGTGTCAGAGAAGGCTGTTAAATATTATTTGCCTTTCTGCCTATATTGGAATAGCCCAAGATAGGCCTCTGTAATAATTATACTTCAAAATCTCAATGGCTTATAAAAACAAAAGTTATGTGATTGATTTATTGATTGATTTACTTGCCACATCTTAGACAGCTCTTCTCCAGCTTCAGCTGCCATTTCTGAGACAGGTGGCTTCTGGATTTTTCGGAGAGAATTCTAGATGATCATTGAAGATGTTTCTAAAAAGCAAGGCAGGCCTAAAATCTGTCTGTATCGTTTTAGCCACATGTTATTTGTCTGAATTTAGTCAAGCAGCCTCACTGCATGGAAAGCTGCTGAATTAACCCAGCTGTGCACTTAGGAAGAACAAGCAGAATGGAGAACTCAGAATCTTGTCTCCACCTTGCAATCTATATGAACAAGTGATTTGGAGTTCTGCATGAAGAATAACCTCAAAACCAAATAACAAAGTTATCTTATTGATGACTAGAACAGAGGTTGGCACACAGCAAGAGCTCAAAAAATTGATAGATTCTCTAATGTAGAACTACCTATTATTTAAAATACTAAGCCAAGTTGAACTGATTATCTCAAATGCCAATTGATTACAAAAAGTTTTTCTCATTCAAGAATTTGTTTTAGGTATAATTTTTTTTTCTTTTGAAAACAATTTACATTTAGTTATATTTGCATTTCATTTTTTATTTTTAAATATAGCACATTGTGTTTACACTGAGATTATATTTACTCTTACCTCCAATTTCTGGGAAGTGATACAGGTTTTACACTTTTGATAGTGTTATCTGTATTCCTTTTATAACAATTAAAATAGTACAATTTATGTGTCACACATATTGTAATATATTAAATAGGTAGACATATAGGTGGCACACATACATGGCAAAAATTGGGAATGCATTCCTTAAATAACTGAATTTTGGAAATTGCATGTCTAAAAAGCATTAATTCAATAACCACATATTAGTCATAACTTTAAGAAAGGGATAATGCTTGCATGTAACCATTAAAAATAGAGTAGCACATTTAAAATATAGCCAATGCTAAAAAGAGCAAATGAATTCACAACTCATTTCACAAATCTATCCTTACCATTATGTAAGTTAGTTGCCTAAATTTACACACAGTTTTCAGGATTAGTTACTGTTTATGCTAACAGTTAAATTTAAAATAAAATGAATAAAACCAGTGAATAATTTGGCTATTTTTCTCTACTAGTCCTCTACAAGTCAAAGTATTTAGCATTCCTATTGTTTATATCTGTGTATATATTTGTGTGAGTGTGTATGCGTATATGTGTGTACTTATGAAATGTTCCTTAAATAAGAATGGAAAGATACTGCTCTCAAGAAACCATATTTCAAATTAAATAGACTTGATACCTATTCACAATTATTACTAAGAGACATGTATTATTGAAAACTGATCCAACGTAGTATTGAATTATTTTAAGTAATATATACTATTGTATTTCAGGATAAATGTCAGTTTTCAACAAATATTTATTATTTGACTGGCATGTGCTAGATTCCGAGATTACAGAAAAACAGGTCTTGCCCTTCAGTATAAGGGAAATGGCATAACTTACAAATCAATATGCTAAATGTCAGAGAAGCAGTGGCCACTAATTAACTTGGAATAATATGGAGGTATTAGCTGAATCTCTTTGGTGGAATAAATGTGAGGGGTGCAATTTTATCAGAGGTAAATTTATGATTGCACCATGTTAAGAACGAATAGGACTTCTCAAGGTATTCATGTGGGTTAAAATTTTACAGGTAAAAGAACACCACAAATATACAGAAATGGTATATTTGAGAAATTCCAAATACAATATTTCAGTATAGCTAGTGGGTAAGCAGAGGATAAAGAACGGTCAGAATCAGTTACATAATTTTCAAAGCTCAATGAAAATGCAGGGCCTTTGCTGAGAGTGTGTGTATGATAGTGAGTTGAGAGAGGGTGAACCTCCCTTTCCCACTGGGCCTGTTGTCCTATCCACCCAGGGAATTAAAACCCCCTTGCTGCCTAGATAAGCTGGGTGCACTGAATACCTGGATCCCTAGTGGGTGAAGATCCCCACAGAGCGAGTCATCTGCCAAGTCATTTGGGCTGCCAGCCCAGAAGGGACAGTCACAGTCTTGCTCTGCCCTAAGTGCCCTGGAAAGTGTGTTTGACCCCTACCTTTTTCTACTTTTCCTATACCCACACCCAGGACACTGCACAGGGCCCAAAGCAAAGGAGGTAAAATTTAAGCCTTGCTCTGATGCTGCAACCCAAGCATGATTCCACACCGTGGGTGGCAGAGTTCACCAGGTGGGTGTGGGGAGGGAGACGCTAAGAACCTGTTCCGGAGATGGCAGGGTGATGGACTATATATGAGCCTACTGTCCCAGCCTTTGGCATATGCTCCACTATCCCATGGGACTTTGCTTACAAGAATAAATTCTAAGATAAAATTAGCAAGAATTTTAAGAAAACAATTACAGAGGATTGAATATGAAGCTACACTGGTCACAGGCCAAGTAACTGTTTTTATGCTAATGTGTTTGGACTTTACATTATAAGTAAATAATTGATGTTAAGGAATTATTTATCTATATAAATAACAAATAATAGTATTACAATCATGTAACTAGAAGTATAGATTAAGGGTCAAGAACATTGTGGAGTTCTCAGATTAAAAGCAATATTAAAGTTGGTGAATACTAAGTTTGTTTCAACCATCAATTTTTATGACTGAATAAAACTCACAATCACTACTTCAGATCACACTTTTATTGGGTCATATTAAAGGAAGGATCTTATGATTTGATTTCAAAATTGTAGAAGGCTGGATCCTTGAGGCTGTAATAGGTTGTTCCCACATGTTTAATAATATAAAACTGGGAAATGAATAATATTAAAATACAAAATCTCAATGTATCATCATCTTATGAATTGATATTTGAAATGGAGATTAAAGACTTTCTGTTATAAAATGTGTACAAAACAACTTTGTTAGAAACCAATACCATAGAATCCTTGGCCATGTGCACCTTAGCAATTATCTCCTGGAAAGTGCAAATGTATATTCCTCCAGAATTTTGTAAAGTCAAGGTCATGATATTATTAAACAGCTTTGATAACAATCTTGGCACACTAACAACCTGATTGCTCCAAAATTATATGTGAAAACATATATGCTAAATTTAAAGTTATCAACATCACTGAGCCAGTCACCTCCTCTTTCTAGCATTTAAATGTTTTTTTTTTTTTGCAAATATGGCTATAAAGACTTATTGTCAATATTTAAAAAACATTCCTGAGCCAGATTTCTTTCATAGAATGTCAAGCTTAATTTAACTGGTTCTACAAGCAGACAAATAAAACAATATCATTTACAACAGGAAAACAAAGACGTGAATCCAACTCATGTTTCAAGACCATGAGTTTAAGCAAATTTTCTGTGGTCTTGGTGGCCCATCCATGCAGCTTTAATTATGAGATAATACGGTGATACATATGAATACATCCTTTTCTCTCATCTCATTCTCTCACTTACTTCTCCAGCTGGCAGATAAAACTTTTACAAAGTCAATAGATGCTTTACTAGATCTAGACCATCACTGCTCAGTCTCTTGCTGTCATATTTAACTTCATACTCCAACCAGTTAGTCTATATTTTCAAGTCTACTAACCCGTATTTAAAATGTTCATGTATACCCATGTATTGAAAGATGATGTTAATCAGACAAATTTCATCTTGCAGAAAGAATCAACTTATTGTCTAATTTTTCTTTAGTCAGAAGTTTTAAATACTATTGAATTAGGCTCTAGTTGATGAGAGCAGATAATTTTTCCTTAGAGCCTTTAAAATAAATTGTTCATGGACATTCTGATACACCATTTCTATCACTCTGGATTCTAATGACTAAATCAGTATTCTCTAAGCTATGCACAGAAAACTAATCCTTTTGAGAATAAATGATGGGAGAGTCTTAGTATAAGACAAACAAGTATGATAGAGAGATCAGAAAACTGGAGAATACATACACTGCTTAAATTGATTTAAACTGCATTTAAAAAGTGTAGCTACCTCATTCTACTAACACTGGTAGTAGTAGATTGTTTTTAAAGATGGCCATAATGATATCTTACATTTTGCATGCTTCTCATAATAAAACTTTACTACTTTCATGATCAAAAGTGGTATTCTCATCCCTGTCTCCCTTTAAATTTGGTCTGGCTCTCTGGCATGCTTCAACCATTAGAATGCAGCAGAAGTGAGACTGTGTGACTTCCAAAGTGCATCTTTATGCATTCTTTTAGTTTCTGTTTTCATGCTTTTGAAATACATGTAGTCCTCTCAGAGTACTGCCTTGAGACCTCCATGCTGTGAGGAAGCCCAGCTAGCTACATGGAAAGACCATAAGAAACAGAACTAATGTGCCCTACTGACAGCTACAACTTATGCTCTCTCTTCCTCCATCACACTGGTGAACCCAAGTGAAACCAGAAGGACCATCCAGCCATATCCCTAAGAAAAACTAAATCATTGTCATCTTAAAGCACTGAATTTTGATTGTTTAACCATTGATAACTAATACATCTACCAAACTTTATCTCCCACAGTTTGTGACTCTCACTCTAAACAAATACGAAACCCAATTAAAACACTAAACCTAGTAGAATAAAATTTAATTGTTTCAACTCAATTTCTTAATGCTTAGGCAGCATTTTTTTCCAGCCGTTACATAAGTTCTCATAACATGCCAGGTAAAAATTCATTCCATATAGAATTTTTTTGCTGTACACCAATTAAAATTTCTGGGCATGCTTTGCAAATGATAAATGACAATTTTTTAAATTTTGTTTTACTGACAAATAGCAGAGTTAACATAGTAATTTGACCTTTTGTTATAAACTCACATATATTTCATATTGTTTGTTTTCCCATCCTAATTGGGGATGGGGAAAGCAATTCGAATTCAACTTAGATTTTAATAATAGTTTTAATGTAAGTTTACATACTAAATCTCATTGCCTTAAGCCAAAACCTAGTTACATAAAATATTATATAGCAAATATCTTGTATTCTGCTTATCCCATGTACATTCAGCAACACATTCTTTCTTTCTATTCCTCCTTGCACTCATACATATGGTGATCTTCTTTCACCCAGGGGTCATCTTTCTGCCACTGCCCAGACATGATGGTCTATCTGGCAAATTCTTACTTACCAGCCAAGATGCAACGTGTCAGCTCCATGAAATTTTCACTAATTCATCTAGGCAAAATAAATCACTTCCTTCTCTGTGTGCCACTCTGCCCTGTACTTGTGTCTTTATAGCACCTATCATATTTATGCCCATGTGTTTTTAGCATGTGTGCATCCTTCCATATACATTTCCTAAATTGAACTACCACTGTTTTATTCACCTATTAATACAATCTCTGCAATACAACACAATACTTGGTCCACAGTTAAAACTTAATAAATGCATTTTAAAGGGTGAATATATTAATCCCCCTTTTATTTCTGTGGCTATATAATCTTTATTCACTTTAGCCTTCATCTTAATATACCTTAGATATCTTTAATTTTGTCTTCTAATCTGCATAATATTACATGTAATATCATTTCTTTGAACGTTATAAATTTGATGCCATCACATCATGGCCCATACAGGATGCAATCTCAACACTATTCTGGGAATTTCCAGGTGGGTTAATTTTTTTTTTAGCTTGTTGTAAACACTGTCTTAATTATTTTCATCAATTCTCACTTACTGAATTGTCACTTCATAAATATATAACTGAATGAATAAGTGATATAGTAGGTCAAACAAAGCTCCAGTATTGTACTTGTTAAGTACCTAAGATATATACATGTACCTGTTTTAGATGATAGCATCATCATTGATCAAAAATCACAGCCTTAATATTATCCTATTGGAAATTGTAAACCCTTTGACAGTTATCTTTTTGATATAATTTACTAGATAGAAGTACAGCAAAATTCATCTCTTTATAAAAGAGAATATTATATATTACTTTTCCTGCTTTTTATTACCTTTAATTACACAAGGAATACATGACTTTTTCTCACAAAAATGTAATCCGCGCAAATTCCATTTTCCTTACCTCCTCTCTAGATACAGCTACTATTAAATTGTATGTATCTTCATATAGCTACAGACTTATATGGTTAAGTTAAATTAAACTCTTTGCAGTTATCTACCTGTCATTTTGCCCTGAGGAAAAAAAAGCAAAAATTTATTATTATTATTATTATTATTATTAATTTGTTAGAGATGAGTGTCACTCCGTCACTCAGGCTAGAGTGAAGTGGCAGGGTCATAGCTCATGGCAGCTTCAAACTTCTAGGCTTAAGTCATCCTCACGCTTCAGCTTCCTGAGTAGTTGGGACCACAGGTGTGTACCACCATGCCTGCTTGGCTAATCTTTAATTTTTTTAAGGACAGGGTTTCACTATGTTGCCCAGGCTGGTATCCAACTCCCAGCCTCAGGAGATGCTCCCAGTCAGCCTCCCGAGTACAGAAGTAAAAGTTTAATTCCATTAATGGAATGAGAAAACATCAAATCTTAAATGTGTATTTTCCTTAAGCACACAGTTAAGATTAAAAAATCTGCCAGTCATAATTCGGAATAGTGTTTTTTAAAGCCGACTTCATTTCTAATTACATCTATCAGATAAAAGAATCCAGCTGTTTATGTTTTGTGATAGCTTGCTTGGATATAGTCCAAAAGGTGAAGTTGGTGAATTTATAATCTTCTGACTAGTAACATATTGAAACAGCATGATGTAGCAGCAGCAATTTTAAGTATACTTGCTTGTTTTGCTTTCATCAGACGTTAATATCTTTTGCATTGCAAGTAGAGCCTCTTAGGATTTAGAAGGACGGCTATTGTTTACATTCCCAAAGCTCCTTCCTCCCACACCTCACCCTCAGATATCCACAGAAACCCTTCTTCCGAGGCTGCCTCCTTGGCCTTAATTGTGAGAACAATGAGGCTGTTCATAAGAAACCACTCACTCCAGCAGCCTGACGAGCTCCTTTATGGTTTCTATGCAAGCCTGATTGATTACCCAGGGAACATATACTACACCTTGTCAGAATTCCTATTAAGGAGGCTGGGACTTGATTTTTAAAGAACTGAGAAGAATATTTTTGAGTCTTGCCTGTTCCATGATACAGTTCCTCGGGCACCCATTATGAAAGACTCAAGGTGAGGCAAGTACCAGATTGCATTTAGGCACAGGGAGAAAGCACTACACATTGTGATGAAGTGCTTTTAACATTTCACAGTTTAATATAATTGGATCCTAATAGGAGGTTTCTGTCAAAGTCTTTTCAGTCAAGAGTCCTATCAAAGAACTTGGTTTCACTTACATCTCTATTCAAAAGACAGATTGTATTCCAAATGCTATCCCTGGGGATAGCTAAATAATGAATGGATACATTGGCAAACCATCAGCCCAGCAAGGGCCCTATGGTAAATGTACTTACATGGATTTTACAGAATGTATGTATATATAAATACACACACACACTGTCACACACATGCATACACACACGTATTTGGAAAGTATGCCTTCTATTACTCGACAATTGGTGAAGAAGAGATGAATACTGTTCAGTTTTTCGTTTCATTATTTATAAAAGTAAATGACCTTAAAGTATATAAGAAAGATACATGTGGCCGGGCGCGGTGGCTCACGTCCATAATCCCAGCACTTTGGGAGGCCGAGACGGATGGATCACCTGAGGTCAGGAGCTCGAGACCAACCTAGCCAACATGGTAAAACCCCATCTCTACTAAAAATACAAAAATCAGCCAGGTGTGGTGGCACGCAACTGTAATCCCAGCTACTCGAGAGGCTGAGGCAGAAGAATCACTTGAACCCGGCAAGCGGAGGTTGCAGTGAGCCAAGGTTGTGCCACTGCACTCCAGCCTGGGCGACAGAGTAAGACTCCTTCTCAAAAAGCAAAAATAAAGATACAGGTTAGACATGTGTTAGATGTGATTTATACTGTGTCAGCATAAGCATATATTTGCATGTGTTTTTCCCTGTTAAATGGAGGCAGAGGAACAGAAGGTTCAGGGTAGAGTTAAAATTCCCAGGCATGTGTGAATGTATTTTAGATTTTGACATCAGCCTGCTGTGTGGCCTTTTGCATCTTCATTAACTTTCCTCCATCTCTTCATGATTCCTCAACTGTAAAATGGGATCCAAATAGCAGATAGAGGTTGGCAAGTTCTGCATGAACCACTATATATGGCTTCTATAAAAGTGGAGATTTTCACTCATAAAAAACTTTAAGTGCCATACTTAATAAAAATTTTATGTACTGTTCTATTTCTCTCAAGCAAATAAAAAGATGTCAGGTAAACAGTCATCTGATATCAGTCTCAACAAGCCTCTTTCCACCCGTATACAAAGTTGTGCAACTTTTTAATGTATTTGGAAAATTACTTTACTTTGCACATTTTGTAGTTGGAGAAACTAAGATGATACCGAGGAGTTCTTATACTTTTTAGGCCTTAGAGTAAAACAGTCAGAGGAACTGATGTTTTTGGAACTCAGATGGAGACCCAGCTAGGGATACTTGATGAAACAAGAGTATTTAGTTGAAGATTCTTTAAGAAGAGTATTGTTTACTCTTGTGGGGGCTTTTTACTACTTATTCACTTTTTAGAGATTGTTAATTCTAAAAACTGGGAGAAAAGTAAAAAACATTATGTCACCAAAGTCAAAAGCTTACAGATATTCATTATCAATATAAAATGTATCATTTTTTACTCTGTAATTAAATATGACAGATATATTGAATACCAGCAAAGAGAATATCATTTTAATGAATCCTGCAAAATTTTAAAGAATCATGTAGTATTTTTTTACCTAATCAGAAGAATGTACAATCATGTAAAAGACCAGTAATATCATAAACAAAAGAGAATAATCAAGATTCAGTGACACAATTTATTTCAGATTTATTAGAATTTTCCGGATAACATTATTTATCTACAAACTATGTATATTTTAGACAGTATGTAACATTGTCATCCAAAGAAACATGGATTCAAGTTGTATGGGATTCAAGTTATAAGACTATTATTTACTAGCTTTGTGACCTTACAAGAAGTATTTAATCCCATAGATCCTAAGGTTCTTCATTTTTTAAATGGAGTAGAAATTGATATTAGACTACATTAAAACTGTAGGTCATTTTTCTCCCAGAATTGGCTAAGAAAAGAAACCCAATATATTTAAGAAGAGCAAACAAAATAAATGAGACTGATTTATCTTTTAAAACATTCTAGAGAAAGGGTAGAACATAAAGTAAAAAGAGAAGATCTGGTTAAACTGCAGAGAGAAAAAAATAGATTAACTTACAATATATATCAATTAGTCTGATAGCAGACTTCTCAATAGCAATAACAGAAGCCAAAATAGAGTCAGATAATATCTTGAAAATTCTCAGAGAACATAGCTTTTACTTTAGAATTCAATCTGACTAAACTGTCATTCAAAATGACAGTGAAATAAAGGTACGTTTCACAAAGTTCGACTGAGTGAATATGACTAAAATCCTTATTAAAATAACTTATTAAGAATAAACTTCAAAAAAAGAAAAACTAGAATAAGATATTAAGAACAGTGATGAATTTTAAAAACTCATTACATGTACCAGTAAATTTAATAAAAAAAAAAACAAAACAGACTTCTAGTTTCAGTTTTGACATGTAGAGCTTGGAAGACATCACTCCTGTCCTAAAATCAAGCAAAAGCTGAGCAAACCAAAATTCAACCATGGATTTATCCATGCAGAACTGAGACTGCAGAGCAAACTACCACCCAAACCTGGAAAGAGAGACTAATGCTCAAAATAATAGCCAAGATTTGCTTATCGGGAACAGAAACCACTATTGACATAAATGGTTAGGAATTACCATTTAAATAACTGTGATTAATTGCTAGAGGAAGATTGTGAACTAGCATAAGGATGAGGTAACTCCCCATGATTTTGGTCTTGGAAGAATCCAGTTACTTTTGTGGGTTTTACCTTCAGGAATTCCATTATTTTTACAATGCAGATCCCAGAAAGATACTTCATGGCTTTGCAGGGAATGAGGGTGGGTGGTTATACTTACTGGTAAGAAACTGTTATTTGTTCCCCTAAGACTGGGATCAAGGCAATAATGTCATCTGTCATCATTACTATTCAACATCATACTGGAAGTCCTAGCCAATGCAATAAGATGATAAAGGAAATAAAAGACATACATATTGGAAAGAGAGAAAAAGAAATTTTAACTATAGTTATTCAAAGGTAACATGATTTTTCCTGGAAAAAATTCCAATTAAATAATGGACATACACACACACAAACATCCTAGGGCTAATATAAGCAAGGTCACATAAGACAAAGTTAATATACACAAGTCATTTGTTTTCATGTATGCCAATAATGAATAATTGAAATTGGAAATTAAATAAACAATACCATTTACAATAGCCCTCTCTGCCCCTCTCATTTATACCTAAGATAAAATACTTAGGTATATATCTAACTAAACATATATACAATCTGTATATGAACAATATAGAAAGACATTTTTTAAAAATCTAAACAAATTGGAACATATTTCACATTAATGGACTAGAAGACTCAGTATTATTTAAATGCTAATTCTTTCCAAATTGATCTATAGATTTAATAAAATCTCTCAGCAAGGGATTTGGTAGATATTGACAAATATATTCCAAAATTTATATGGAAAGACAAAAAACCTAGAATAGCTAACATGATGCCAAAAAGCAAAGTTAGAGTACTCAAACTACCCACTTTCTAGACTTTGTATAAAAATACAGTTATTAGACAGTATGATATTGGTTGAAAGAACTAACATCAGTGGAATAGAATAACATCCAAAAATAGACCCACACAATTATAGTCAACTGGCCTTTGACAAAAGAATAACAGCAATTCAAGAGAAAAATTATAGTCATTTTAACCATTAGTACTGGAAAAATTGGATGTCCATATGCAAAGTAATGATAATAATAATACAGATAAAGACCTAACACCTTTTACAGAAATACGCTCAAAGTGGATCATATAGTTAATGTAATATACAAAACGATAAAACTTGAAAACATAGGAGAAAATTTATGGGAGTTTGGGTTTGATGATGAGTTCTTACAAACAGTATCGATAGCATAATAATACATGAACAAATAAATTAATATGTTGGACTTCATTAAAATTAAAAAAGACTTTTGCTCTGCAAATACATTGTTAAGAGAATGAAAAAACAAGCTACTGAAAAACATTATTTGCAAACATATATCTGATAAAGACCTTAGATCTGAAATATACAAAGAATGCATAAAACTGACCAATAATAAAACAACCCAATTAAAAAAAAAACAGGCAAAAGATCTATACAGATGTCTCACGAAAAAAGGTCCATAGATAGCAAGCAAGTAAACGTATAAGTAGATGTTCAACATCATTTGTCATTGAGGAATTACTAATTAAAACAACTAGATACTATGTACATATGAGAATGGTTAAAATTCAAAAATCAAAAACACACATTGCTGGCTACGATGTAATGCAATGGAAATTCTCATTTATTGTTGGTAGGAATGCAAAATGGTATAGCCACTATGGAAGACACTTGAACAGTTTTTTACAAAGTAAAACATATTCTTACCATGTCATCTAGCAATTGTGCTTCTTCGTATTTATCCAGCTAATTTGAAAGTGTCTACACAAAAACCTGGACATGAATGTTTTGGCATCTTTATCTATTATTGCCAAAAACTGGAAGCAACTAAAATGTCCTTCAACAGATGAATGGATAAAGCAACTGCGATGCATCCATACAATGTAATATCATTCAGCAGTACAAATAAATGTGCTAACAAGTCACAGACTAACATAGATGAATCTTAAATATTATTAGTGAGTCAAAGAAGCCAGCCTCAAAAGGCTATTCTTCCAATTATCTGACGTTCTGGAAAAAGCAAAACTATGTGGCCAGTAAAAATATCAATGGTTGTGAGAGGTTCCAGGGTAGGAGATGAGAGCTGAAGTTGTGAAACACATGAGATGTTTTAGATCTGTGAAACGTAATACTGTAATCGTAGGTACATGACTCATTTGTTAAAACCAATAGAACTTTACAGTTCAAAGAATAAAGCCTAATGCATGTGAATTTTTAAAAATGTACATGTGTAAGGTTATGATATACCTTGATACACTGTAGAATGTGACAAAACAATCTAACTGTATTACAAATGTATGAAAGAACCTCACTGAAGGGTATTTGGGAAAAAGTTGTTGAGCTAAGTAAATTTGGGAATAAGTAGGATATTCAAGATTAAAAGCAAAAGAAACTATACATAAACATTGTACTCTAATTGATAAAGAGGTTTTTCATGAGAGTGTGGGTTAATTCTGATACTGCTACCCACATCTACTGAGACATTGAAAATTCTGTAAATAGAAGGCAGATTGTAGGAGCCAGATTTCTTATTGCTGGAATCCAAGTTTACAGATAATCAAGGGACAAAGACTAGAATGATCCATGTGGTAATGTGCTAGAGTTGGAGACATCAGGATTAACTCATGTTTAAATGAACTTATAGAGATATAGATAGTTACATATAGATGTATGTGTAGATATGTGGGTTATTAGACACACATACATTTATCTGCTCTGTCAGCTGAGAGGACATAGAAGCAAAGAATATCTTAGTAGCAATGAGCACACACAGCATCCAGATCTTGTTTTTTTTATACCATTCTACAGAAAAAGTAACCAGAGACTTTTGAAGAAATAACTGATTCTAGGACTGGGAAAGAAAAGGGCAAGATAATCCCAGAGTATCTTGCAGTGACAGAAAATAAGCAAGTGTGAAAAAGAAATACACACCAATATATGAATAACTTTGGGAGGCTGAGGCAGGTGGATCACTTGAGATCAAGAGTTTGAGACGAGACTGGACAATATGGTGAAACCCCGTCTCTATTAAAAATACAAAAATTAGCTAGGCATGGTGGCACATGCTGGTGGTCCCAGCTACTCAGGAGGCTGAGGCAGGAGAATCGCTGGAACCCAGGAGGCAGAGGTTGCGCTGAGCTGAGATTGCGCCACTGCACTCCAGCCAGGGCAGACAGAGCAAGACTCCCTTAAAAAAAAAAAAAAAAAAAAAAAGAATAAATACAGAAGTCAGGGAAAAGAGACAAATCTGCTTGCAGAAGACTTTGAAATAATTTATACTGCTATTCCACTCTCAGAGAGGTGGAGCATAATTCCCTATTCCTTATGTGAGGGTTGCACATATTGACTTACTTCCAAAGAGTACAGTGTAGAAAATGGGAGGAGGAAAGGGTAACTTTTCAATGGAGAAACATTACCTTATATAGGTGATCAAAGTTAACATCAAGAGTGATAAATTGGCCTGGAGCAGTGGCTCACGCCTGTAATCCTAACACTTTGAGAGGCCGAGGAGGGTGGATCACCTGAGGTTGGGAGTTCAAGACCAGCCTGACCAACATGGAGAAACCCCATCACTACTAAAAATACAAAATTAGCTGGGCGTAGTGGCACATGCCTGTAATCCCAGCTACTCGGGAGGCTGAGGCAGGAGAATCACTTGACCCCGGAATCAGAGGTTGCCGTGAGCCAAGATCTTCCCATTGCACTCCAGTCTGGGCAACAAGAGCAAAACTCTATCTCAAAGAGAGAGAGAGAGAGAGAGAGAGAGAAAGGGCCTTAGGTAAAATAGAATAAAATATGAATAAAGTATTAACATGAATTAATAGTAATATACAAATGTGTGTTCACTTATTTTAACAAATGTCAGATACATGAAATGCAAGATGTTAACAGCAGAATAAACAGGGACTGGCATATAAAAAACCTCTCAGCATTATCTTCATAATTTTTCTACAAATCTAAAACTTCTCTAAAACAGAAAGCTAATTTTTTTTAAGTATTTACTATAGAAACAATAATGATAATGATGACAATTTAGGGAGTATAAAACAAATAACAAATAAAAGAATAAAATGAAAGGAGTCAAGTCTCTCGAGTTGCAGCAGTCTAAGGTATCTGAAAAACCCGGAAGAGAATAAATATTAACACATTACCTGGTCAAGTAATTTTAAAGGTAACTACTATACAATAAATAGGATATATAATCTCAAAGATAGCAGAGAATAAAAATGGAAAATAAAGATGGTTTCACTGGATCATTTCATCAATCAAATGAAAAAGAAGAAAAAAAGTAACGAAGAAAGCATAGCAATTATAAAGCATAAAGTCAGATTGCGCATAAAAATCCAAATAAAAATAGGTGACATTTGGTAACAGAAAATACAATGTGAGATTTAAAAAATACAGTCTTGCTATTGATTGCCTAAAATATGCTCACTTAAAATGACAAGAAATGGTTGATGCTTCTAGAATGCAAAAAGAAATTATACATTGTAAATGCTAACAACAAAAAAAATGGGAATGGCTGCATTATTATTATCTAAAGCATACTTTAAAATTAAAAATATCTCTGACAAAAAAAGATTAATGTGTAAATGTAAAATGCAATATTTAACAGGAATAAATAAATTCTAAATTTGAGTGCATTGAATAACATAACCTAAATATATACAATAAATATTATCAAAACAAAATTTTCATAATATTAAAAGTTGAATTTTTTTAAGTCACAAATTAGTGACACCACAGAAACACTTGAACAACAGAAAATTTTTAAAACATTGTAATTCCAAAGAAACTTTCAGAAAGTAATAAAGACAAGAACAAAAATTAGTGAATGAAAAAGAAAAAAAAGAAATAATAAGGAAAATAGCTGAAGCTTGTTCTTTGAAAAGACCAGTATAATTGATGTTCTAATAGTAAGAGTATTGAAGACAAAAGATTGAAAATATGAACAAAAATTATAAAAATAAAAAAGTGTATAATTAACAAATATAATGTACACTAAAAATGTAATGAGACTATCTTGAACAACTTTATGTCCAAGCACTGAAAAACTTAGATAAAATACATAATATCCCAGAAATATGTAATTTACCAAAAGTAACTTTAAAAAAGCAATCAGTCCCAAAGAGGCAACTGTTGAAAGTTTGAGTCAGTAAACATATACCGACTAAAAGAGAGGAAGAAAAAACACCCACCTCAATCCAGATCATTTTTGAAATTATCTCTTTTTCATAATCCAATATTTATACAAAGTCTTCCTGAAAGTATAAAAAGAGAGCTTGCCTTTATTTATTTTATGACAATCTTACAATATTGACAACAAAATCAGGCTAATATAGTATAGCAAAGAAAATAGCTAAGCTAGCATTAGTAAACTGAATTTGAAATTATATACAAAACATAATACATCTTTACCATGTTGAGTTGGTCACTTAAATCTAAGATTATCTCACTTCACAAAATCAGTTAATATCAAATAACATATTAAGAGCTTAAAGGAGGAGGTCTATCTATGATCATCTCAGAAAATGGAAAAAAATCATTTGTTCAATAGCCATTTATAAACAGTGATCTAAAAAAAGAAATGGAAAACAATTTTTTAACTTGATGAAAGTTGTAAAGAACTATCCAAGAGGATCTACAAGAAAACAATAATAAATCCTCAACCCCTAAACCCCTTAACTGAAGTACATAGGTCCATAGGTGTTTCAGAATTCAGAAATATTGAGTTTTAGAAAGGCAACAAGGTGCATAACCATATATTATGTAACTTTCTTAGCAGATCGGGAGCAGTATTGCATAATCAAACACATTAATTTTGTCAATGAAACTTATGAATATTCACAGTCATTAAGATAAAGACTGTAAATAGCCTCACATCTGTTCAGATCAGATTTGGCTTTGGAGTAAGATCTGGTGCCAGACTTACTTTAAAAAAATCTCTGTTTTTAGAGTTTTTTTAAATTTCAGAATGATGTATAAGGGATTGTGAAACTCTTGCAAGTAGAGAGTTTAGCATAATTGCTATATAAAAGTTAAATATTAAAAATAAACATTTTTATATACTGCTTACAAAAAACATAAAATATAATTTAAAAAATTATGTACAACAAAAAGCGATAAAAATAACTAAGATAAATCCAAAAAATTACCAACACATTTTACAGAAAAAAAGTAACATTTTAATCACAGAAAAAACGAAGTCCTCCTGTGCGCGGTGGCTCACGCCTGTAATCCCAGCACTTTGGGAGGCCCAGGTGGGTGGATCACGAGGTCAGGAGTTCAAGACCAGGCTGGCCAACATGGTGAAACCCCATCTCTACTAAAGACACAAAAAATTAGCCGGGCATGGTTGTGCGTGCCTGTAATCCCAGCTACTCAAGCGGCTGAGGTAGGAGAATTGCTTGAACCTGGGACGCGGAGGTTGCAGTGAGCCGAGATCGTGCCATAGCACTCCAGCCTGGGTGACAAGGCAAGACTCCGTCTCAAAAAAAATAAATAAATAAAAATAAAAAAGAAGTCCAATTGGATTCTTTTAAATATAACATGAAAAGACTTATTATATTATGTATAGAAAGACTTGATGGTGCAAAGATCTTTTATACCAATTATCCTATGAATTCAATAAAATTCAAATGAAAATGCAAAGTGATTTTTATAGAACTTGATAAATAGATTGTAATATTTACATTAAAGAGCAAAAGGCTTTGAAGAGGTAAATCTATTTTGAAGTAGAAAAATGTGGGAAACTTGCCAAAGCAAATAGCAAAACTTAAAAAAAGAAATTGAGCAGTTAAAAGGTGTATAGATTGACACATAGGTACCAAGTAGAGAGGTCAGAAACCAGTGCCCATAAGGAGAAATGTGGCTGTGTGAAGCAGGGAGAAAATATGGATTATTCAAACAATAATGTGAGCAAAATTGCTTATATATATGAAAAAAGTTGAATTTAATCTCCCAACATCCACACATTAGGGAGATAAAAGATGAAATATTAAAGGCATTTAGAACACTAGGAAAAATCTATAAATACATCTTTACGACTGTGAAATGAGAAAAGATGTTATTAGTCTGATATTAAAAGTATAACACAATTGCAAACAAGAATAACTATAATTTCATTAAAATTAAGATTTTCTGAATTTAAAACACTCTGTAAACAAAATTAAGAAGCAAACTGCAAATTAAGGGTTGATATTTAGGGAGAGGAGGCAGAGCAAGATAGCTTACTAGAACCCTCCAGCAATAGTGCCCCCGCAGGTCACAGCGTGGTGAGAGAGAATCTGTGTGCTTGGGGAAGGGAAGGCAAAGTGATTATAAGACTGTGGGCCGGGCGCGGTGGCTCACGCCTGTAATCCCAGCACTTTGGGAGGCCGAGGCGGGCAGATCACAAGGTCAGGAGATCGAGACCATCCTGGCTAACAGGGTGAAACCCCGTCTCTGCTAAAAATACAAAAAAATTAGCCGGGCGTGGTGGCGGGCGCCTATAGTCCCAGCTACTCGGGAGACTGAGGCAGGAGAATGGCGTGAACCCGGGAGGCGGAGCTTGCAGTGAGCCAAGATCACACCACTGCACTCCAGCCTGGGTGACAGAGCGAGACTCCGTCTCAAAAAAAAAAAAAAAAAAAAAAAAAAAGACTGTGCATTAGAACTCAGTGCTGCCCTTTCACAATGGAAAGCAACACAGGGTAGAATATGGCCAGCAACCAAGAAAGGAGCATTTAGACCAGCCGTAGCCAGAAGCGAGTCATTTGTCTCAGTGGTCAGTACCTCAGTTACAGCTAGACTTATCACTGAGGGCTAAAGTACTCTGGAGTCCTAAACAAACTCAAAAGGCAGTCTAGGCCACACTGACTGCAATTCCTGGGCAGATCCTGGTGCTATGCAGGGCTTGGATCCAGGGGATTTGGGGTACACATGACCCAGGGAGACAGCAGCTAGAGAAGTGCTTGCATTACCCCTTCCCCAATTCTAGGCAGTGAAACTCACAGCTCTGGAAGGAGAGATGAGTGTAAAGAGGACTTTGTCTTGCAAATTGAGTACCATCTCAGCCAAAGTAAAATAAAGCACCAAGCAGAGTCCTGAAGCCCTCATTCCAGGCCATAGCTCCAAGGTGAAATTTCTAGTCGCCCTGGGTCCAAAGGGAACCTACTGCCATAAACGAAAAAAACGCAGTCCCTGTAAGAATTTACTGCAGCTGATTATTAATAATACCCTGGGCCTTGAATATACATCAGCAGTAGCCCGGCAGCAGTTGCCACAGGCCTTGGGTAAGACATAGTACCTTGCTGACTTCAAGTGTGACCCAGCACATTCCCAGCTGTGGTGCACATGTGAAGAAACTCTTTCTGCTTAAAGAAAGGAGAAGGAAGAGTAAAGAGGACTTTATCTTGTAACTTGAGTACCAGCTCAGTCACACCAAAATAAAATACCAAGCAGACTCCTTAAGTCCTTGATTCCAGGCCTTAGCTCCTGGAGGATATTTCTAGACCTGATCTGGGCCAGAAAGAAACTTGCTGTCCTGAAGAGAGAGACGCAAGCCTGCCTAGACTCAGCCTCTGCTGACAAAAGAGCCCTTGAGCATTGAATAAACATCAGTGGTAGCCAGGCAGTAGCCACCATAGGCCTAGGGAGGTGGTGAGAAAGTCTTTCTGCTTAAGGAAAGGAGAGGCCAAAGTACAGAGGATTTTGTTTTGCAAGCTGGGTAGCAGCTCCATCTCAGTAAAATAAAGCACCAAGCAGATTTCTAAAGCTCCTGATCCCAGGCCCTAGCTCCTGAATGGCATTTATAGACCTATGCCAGGACAGAAGGGAACCTGCTGCACTGAAGGCACAGATTCATTTCTGGTGAGATTCATCACCTTCTGACTAAAAATCCCTTGAGCCTTGAATAAACACCAGCGGTAGCCAGGAAGTAGTCACCACAGGCCTTGGGTGAGACCTAGCACTGTGCTGACTTCAGGAGTGATCCAGCATTGTCCTGGGTTGGTGGCCACAGGCGTTTTTGTGTCACTCCATCCCCAACTTCAGGCAGCTCAGCACAGAGAAGGAGAGACGTACTTTGTTTTTGGGAAAGCAGGGAAGATAACAAGAGACTCTGTTTGATAATCCAGGAAATTCTCCCAGACATTACCCAAGATAACCAAGATGGTGCTTTTGTGAGTCTGTAAGAGTCATAGTACTTCTAGGCTTAGGGTGCCCCTCAATGCACACACAGTTGCAGTGACCAAAGACTTACATCACTACACTTAACTCTGTTTGAATACTTGGAAAGCCTTCTCAAGAAAGACAGGTAAGAACAAGCCCAGACTCCAAAGATTGGAATACATTCCTAATTCTTCAATTCTCAGATATCAGTGACCATCCACAAGCATCAAGACCATGAAAGAAAACATAACTTCACCAAACAGACTAAATAAGGTGCCAGTATCCAATTCTGGAGTGACAGAGATTTGTTACCCCTTGCACAGAGTATTCAAAATAGCTGTTTTGAGAAAGCTCAACAAAATTCAAGATAATACAGTGAAGAAATTCAGAATTATATCAGATAAATGTAACAAAAAGATTGAAATAATTTAGAAAAAAATTAGAAGTTCTAGACCTGAAAAATTAAAGTGATAAACCAAAAAATACATCAGAGACTCTAAACAGCAGAATTGATTAAACTGAAGAAAGAATTAGTGAGCTCAAAGACAGGCTATTTTTGAAAATACACATCCAGAGGAGGAATAATAATAATAATAATAATCATAATAATATAGCTTGCCTACAGGATCTAGAAAGTAGCCTCAAAAGGGCAAATCTAAAAGTTTTGGCCTTAAAGAAGAAGTGTAGAGAGAATTCAGGATAGAAAGTTTATTCAAAGGGATAATAACAGAGAACTTTGCAAACTTAGAGAAATATATTAATATTCAAGTACAAGAAAGTTACAGAACACTAAGCAGATTTAACATTAATAAAGATATTCAATAATCAAACTCTCAAAGGTCAAAAATAAAGAAGGGATCCTAAAGGCAGCAGGAGAAAATTAAAAAAAAAAAAAAAGATAATATAGTGTATAAAGAAGCTTCAATACATCTGGCAGCAGACCTCTCAGTTGAAACCTTACAGGTCAGGAGAGAGTGGTATGATATATTTAAAGTACTGAAGGAAAAAAAACCTTTTATCGTAGAATAGTATATTCAGTAAAAATATACTTCAAACATAAAGGAGATCTAAAGCCTTTTCCAAACAAACAAAAGCTGAGAGATTTTGTCAATACCAGACCGATCCTACAAGAAATGCTAGAGAGAGTTCTTTAGCCAGAAAGAAAAGCAAGTTTATGAGCAGTAAGAAATCATCTGAAAGGACAGTACTTACTGGTAACAATAAGTACACTGAAAAATACAGACTATTATAACACTATAATTGCTGTAGATAAATTACTCATAACTTGAGTAGGAAGACTGAAAGACAAACCTATCAAAAATAATAACTACAAATTTTTAAGACATAGTATAATAAAATATAAATAGATGAAAAATGTTAAAAGTGAGGAAGATAAATTTAAAGTATAGAGTTATTCGGTGCTTGTTTTAGTTTGTTTTTGCAGAGTTAAGTTGTCATCAATTTACAAAAATGGTTTATGTGATTCGTAAGCCTCATAGTAACCTAAAATCCAAAAACGTACAACAGTACATTGTGCAATTGTATAAAGTCATGCTTAGTATTATTAACACTGAAATAAGGGTGTCCTGGTCAAAAGACCCCTTTATCTCATCTAGGTAAAGCTGTGATGCCACCTCAGTCTTTTCAGGTCCTTCTTTGGATGTCTCACTTATCTTGAGTAAACAATCCCCCAGGTCAACTTGACTTGGAACTGGCTTGTCCTTCATCTTTCACTTTTTTTCCCATGGCTTTATCCACTCCCTGTTCCTTATTTTTAAAATCATATCCCATGCACTTCTCCAACCGTAAGTAAAGCAATGCCTTTGTGTTATAACTATGTTGTTATAACTATGGCATAAATGCCTATGTGTTATAGCGATGGTAAAAGAAACAAACTCAGTAATTACTTTGATTTGGAGTCTTAATGCAATTTTACCCACAAATTTACTACTTCTGACTCTCCTTGTATCTTTGTGTAGATTCAAGTTTCTACCTGCTATTATTTATTTTTTCTTTCTTTTCGTTCTTTCCTTCCTTCCTTCCTTCCTTTCTTTCTTTCTCTCCCTCCCTCCCTCACTCTCTCTCTCTCTCTCTCTCTTTCTTTCTTTCTTTCTTTCTTTCTTTCTTTCTTTCTTTCTTTCTTTCTTTCTTTCCTTCTCTCTCTCTCTTTCTTTCTTTCCTCTCTCTCTCTTTCTCTCTCTCTCTCTCTTTAATTTTGTTGTTTTTCCCCCTGAACAGTTTCTATGGTGAAATTTGATGGCATTCTTATTTTTGTTCTTCTGTTTGTAGTGTGTCTTTTATTTTGACTACTTTTAAGGTATTTTTATTGCTGTTATCAACAATTTGATATTTCTTACATTTCTTCTGATTAGGGCATGTTGAAGTTGTCATCTATGCAGGCTTATCATTTTCATTTGATTTAGACATTTTTCAGCAATTATTTTAATATTTTTCTCCTCCTCGACTCCATTCCCCTCCTCATGAATCACCAATTATACATATGTAAGACTTTTTAATATTGTTCTACAGCTTACTCTACCTGTTTCATTTGGTTTCAGTCATTTTTCTTTCTGTGAATCATTTAAAATGATTTTTAAGAATAGAAAAGAGCCAAGTAGGTTAGCTTCTTAGAAGTGTTTTAAAATATGTCTTAGCAGAGGTGGAAAGACAGAAGAAAGTCTAGCAAACAGGCACCAGTGCTTATAATCATTAACTCTCACAAGTTCCACAGGACACTGACCTTATACTCTACTCTAATGGTAGTATTAAAGAAAGCACATATTTCCATATTCTGCTGTCCAGGACATCTCTCCCAGATGAGTTGCCATGCACTTTTCTTGTAGGCACCCAATCTCTGTGAACTGTTCTTTTATAGAACCATCTCCATCATCTTAGTTTGGGTAGGTTGTGGGATACCACTCTCTATGAACATTGACACCTACACAAAATCAACACCACTGCCCCTCTCTATGCCCAAGGGAAAACATCCAGTTCAACTATGGCCATGCACTATAGACAAGAGAATTCTTAGCATTCCTTTGCCCTCACATTTGAATACAAAAGGCTAATTTCCACAGAAGTTCCACTACATGTCTGATAATTAAAATCAGCTTTTAAAAAAATTTAATGCTGGTTTTCTCAAAAAATGTTGAAATGCTATTATCAAGATGATCAGTATTTTATTTTTCTCTAAAAGACATTGACAGCATTGCTGTTTTTTACTTCTACCTGAGGGAAATCCAAGTTAAAGTGTATGAATTACAAATATCATTTAAATGTGAAAATTTTAACATTTGATTAACTAAGACAGGAGTCAGTCCCTAATTCATAGGCTTCTCAGAATTAGTACTTTGGAAGTAATCAATGATCGCTATATAATAATAATTAATCCCATGGTACAAATGCAATTCCCATTCAGCTTATTAACAATAAAAACATTTAATTTAACAATCATCTAAAATGCCATTCAGCTAACAAGAAGTAGCATCATTTATTATTCTCACAGATATACATGACTAGGAACTTATTATAGGAACATCAGGTAATCCTTTAATCAATGTATCATCAGCCCTATTTATATAAATCTCAATTTGGCCTATGTTGATTAGATTTAATGAATTTCATTTGACTTACATGATTAAGTAATTGATAAATTATTTGGTTACTCCTTTATGGTTTATTTCCTAACATGCCATGGACTAATCAGAGTACAATATTGTAATCTATCACCTTATAGTCTAAATGTTTTTAAGTAATAAAGGAAACATTTTACTTCTACACATTTCCATATCACCTTATAATGTGCAAACATCATCAAATGCATATTAATGAAATAATGTACATCAATGAAAGTCAAAATGATTTTTCATAAATTATATATTTCATATTTTTGTTTTTCTTTATTCTTCACAAAACATGAGTTATTACCCTTTGGCTTCATCACAAACTTAGGAAGGATAACATATTATTCCCAATTTACAGATAGGAAAGTGAAGCTGCCAGAGATTATAATTTGCCAAGCTATTGAGTGATTCAGTTGGGATTGAATAATAGCTTATGTTATTTCAAAGTTTACGTGGAGTATCATGGTTTTTAAAAATATTTTGTAGTAAGCGTATGTCTTAGTTTGGTCAGTCTATTATTACAGATACCATAGACTGGGGAGCTTAACAACCAAGCATTTATTTCTCACGGCTCTGAATGCTGGAAGTCCAAAATGAGGATGCCAGCATGGTCAGGTTCTGGGTGAACATCCTCCTCCTAGTTCACAGACAGCTGCCCTCTCCTTGTATTCTCACGTGGTGGAGAGGCAGAACTTTGGTAACTTCATCTTATAAGACCAGTAATCCCATCATGGGGACTCCATCCTCATGACTTGATATAAACCAAAGTAACCTCCCAAAGTCCCCACCTCCAAACACCGTCACAGTAGGGATTAAAGCTTCAAAATAGGAATTTGGGGAGGACATAAACATTCAGTCCATACCAGTATACAAATGAATTTATTCGTAGGAATTTCAGGAAAAAAAAAGAATATAATTTTTTTCTGGGTTAAAATACAGTATTAAATTGTTAAACAGTTCTCAAAAACTCAGAAACAAAAGCAGGAACAGGAGCAAGAGGAGGAGAAGGAGACAGAGAAGGAGAATTAGAAGAAGAAGAAAAGTTCTTCCATCAGTTTATCCATATCCGTATCTTCTTTGCAAATCCAGACTAACATAATTTCTCTCTCTTGTTTAAAAATAGGCATCATAGCTTCATAACCAATTTTTAAATGAACTTATTTTTGCGTTATTTCTTTACCTCTACCAGTTGTTTCTACATTGAGTTAACCAGACATGGTGAGATCACGAAGCTTAAAGACTTGTGTTTTAGAACAAAGTTCCCAGGGGTAATGTAATATGCTGATTTGAAAACAGAAAGGACTTATTCTGGAAACCTGATAATATTTCCCAGAGTACTATTACATTATGTATATACTAGGATTATGAAAGTCCTACTCACGACTTTACTTTATTATAGGAGAGTGGCTTGTAAAATAGAATAACAATAATCACTAGCAAAATTATAACTCCTTATCACTTATTGTATATCAACATCCTTTGAAAATAAAATTTTGTTTTCCACATTTTTATTAATGTAGACATTTACTATATTTCTCATGAGTAATCCAACAAGGAAAGTTAACAGATACTCAATGACTAATATTTGAACAATTTAAGACAACTATTGACTTCTGTTTCAAGATCTTTATATGGAATATGTGACTAACCTAAGGTCATGCCAGAAACCAATTTAAAAAATTAGCAAGCAAATGTCTAATGCTGTGTTTGATCCAATATATTAGCTATCTTAATTGAATTTTAAAGGTTACCAATAGGCAGGAATCACTTTTAAATAAATACTATCCACCCTCTAAAATAGAAACAAAAATAAATAAATAAAATAGAAACAAACCAATTTCTTAGAGGTGAAAAGATTCAAATCACATCCATAGCATTGACCTAGGTTCAGATGATTCTGTCTTAGGACAAGGACTTTGAAGTGAAAACCTGACAAGTCATTATATTACCGATTTAGAAAATAATTTCACCTGCTATTGAAACAATGCCAACCTGTCATCTTACAATACCTTTCTTTTATTCCATCAGATCATTCAGCACAACAACTGCTTCCTCTGAGTCTTCCAGACTTTGGGGGCAAGAGTTAAGGGAAGGCTATTTTTTTTATGTTAGAAATCCTTTATACCTCTTTTGAAAAATAAGATAGGAAATATACAGTTTATAAGCTGGAATGTACCCAGGGCAATTCTCAGTCGTCTTTAGTTGTAAGAGTGGAGAGTCTTCCAAATTCTGAGAAATAGAATACTGGTTTTGTCAAATCAAATATGATTTTTTTGGCAGAATGTGGTTGTGATTCCATTTCTTCCTTAGAAACACCATCTTACTTTTCATGAAAATAATATTCATTGTTATATCACAGTTTGCAATTAATTCTATACATGCCTAGCTTCCCAACTAGATCCCAATATTCTAATATTATTGAACCTCCCCTAAGCTGCAGCGTTTTGTATTCAGTAGGGGCTCATTTTTTTTAAATGAATGTTTAGATTGCATTCTTTTTTATTAAAAAAGACACTGCTTTTCTTGCTATCTGTTTACTGATATTTTTGAAAGCAACTGAGATATTCAAGCTGATCTGTCATGCAAATACACTATATACGTAATACATTCTCTGATAATTTTTCTGCCACTTCCTCACAAGTAAATTTTGCATGAACCTTGAGTGAGAAGACTGGGAAAGCATATGTGCTACTAATCATGCACATGAGCTTTCCCATTCAATATTAGAAAAAATATTCAGAGCCAGGATTTCTGTCACGTTTTTTTTTATGATGCATGAGCATTCAATATTGTAGGTGAGAGTGTGGACGTGGACATGTCTGTTTGTATGTGGCTTACTTCCTGCTGGATTGTGAGTTCTTTGAATGCAGAGGCCACGCTGTGTAAGTCAGGGCTCTCCAGAGAAATAGCCAATAGCAGAGAGAAAGAAAGATGGATTGATATTAAGGAATTGGCTCATGGGGTTAAGAAGAACTAGCAAACGCAAAATCTGTAGAACAGGCCAGCAGCCTGGAGACCTGGGGAAGGGTGAATATTGCAGCTCATGTCCAAATGAGGTCTGGAGAGCAGAATTCCTTCTTCCTCAGGGGACCTCAGTCTTTTCCTCTTAAGGCCTTCAACTGAATAGATGAGACCCATCCATATTGTGAATGGTAATCTGCTTAACTCAGTCTATTGATTTAAGTGTTAATCTCATCTGAAAAATACCTTTATAGAGATATCTAGACAGGTATTTGACCAAAGCTTTGCAAGCTTTCACTGGGTCTGTTGCAATGACTCACCTCAATGCATACATTCTAAGTCAAATACCTGTATTTAAATGTTTTTAAATGAATAGAAAGAAAGAAATATGCAGAAAGCAGTCTTATTATTTTCAGCTAAATGTGAATAAGTAATAAGTAAGATTAACTCCTATTTGAAGACATTATTACTGGTTATAAATTAATGATATGTATTATTAATAGTAATACTATGTAATATGACTTGATTGGTTTTAAGATGGGCTCATGTTGGTCTTCTATAATAAAAATGCTACATTATAGTGGTTCCATATAATGCAAAACCTGCATTAGATGGACTCGGTTTATCCGTTAGTCAGGAAAATTAATTATTATCCCTCTAGTGTCTCAGGAACTATGTATATATATGAAAAGTAGTCAAGATTTTCTAGTGGTCAAAAATGACATATTGAGAGTTCAGAGATTTCTGACTAAAGTCAACATAAGGATAACAAAGACATGATTTTAGAGGTATTCTGAAACTTCTTAAACATGCTTTTGATTAAAAAAAATAAAAGTCTAGTACCATCTCAAATATTGTGAGTAGATCCTTGCAGAGTAACATAGTTGAAGCATCAACAGGCAAGATATGGTTAGGGTTTTGTAGTTTGCTTGTTTTTATTTGGTTTGGTTTTTTATTGTAATGTATTCACAGAGACTCAGAAGTCAAAAACAGGACAATATTTTTTTTCTTTTTTTTTTAGATGGAGTCTCACTCTGTTGCCCAGGCTGGAGTGCAGTGGTGTAATCTCGGCTCACTGCAACCTCCGCCTCCCAGGTTCAAGAGATTCTCCTGCCTCAGCCTCCCATGTAGCTGGGATTACAGGTGCCTGCCACCACTCTCAGCTAATTTTTTTTTTTTTAATTTTTAGTAGGGACGGGGTTTCACCATCTTGGCCAGGCTATTCTCAAATTCCTGACCTCATGATCCACCTGCCTCGGCTGATATATTTTTTCTACCCCTCAAGGTGAAAACACATTTACACAATCAGATAATACAAATAATTAAAAATACTACATGTTGTCCTACATGTTGTCAAAATTGATATAAAGGTGACTCCTGTAGGAGCTGGAGAAAATCCTGCATGCTCATTTGCAGGGAAAAAAAAGGTAATCCTGTTTTATGAACCTCTGTTCAGTGAGATTAAAGCTGTGTAAACATACTCTAAGCATTTCCTTTCAACGTTAGGTAGCATGATATACTTAGCCAGCTCTCTAGGAATACATGGAAACAAGACAGATGGCATGAGGTATTCCATTCTTCCCTCTTATTAAAATAAAATAGGTTAGAAAAATAAGCTATATTTATTTTTTCTCATGGGTACTATCTGCCTATCAGAACTTATGCTACCAAATTCTCTATCCAACAGTGACTTTCTTACAAAACTAAGGCATAACTCAGTAGTTCTACAGCTATTAATTTGTTGGATTTAACTCTATTCCAACCTAAGGATGAAGTTATGTCTGTCCTGTATAGGGGGAGACTGAATGAGCAACTCGGGGCATCTGGATTGAAAATTCCTCACCAAACATGTGAAATGGTGTTTTGTTCCACATTAGAAGAAATTTCCTTTAGTTTACAGTGCAAGATGCACCAATGGAATAAGATAATATTGAATATTAGGAATTAAAAAAAAAAGCAAGACTAGGACAGCCAGTAAAAATATTACATTGGGATCACTTTACCGTCTTACATAGCATAGAAAGCTAGTGTAACTTTACATGAAGGTGCATATAGATACCTGGAGTAGAGTGTGCGTAAGGGTCAGTGACCAGCAAAACTCAGCTTTCAAGGTTCAAAAATTTAGAGGTAGATGTGAGTAGGAAAATCAGTTGCAAGCTAATGGCATGGTTACGACATGGCCATTTAACTGTTCAAAAAATGTTGGTAGTTGTCATTCTGTGCTTGTTGGTGCACTGAGTTGAGATATAAATAACATGCATTTCCTACCATCAAGGAGTCTGCAGCCTAGGTGGGACAAGTCAACTAACGGTTATTCATCATGGCAGGACTAGGAGAGGGTGCTAAAGGAAACTGTAATGCCCCAGCCTAGCCTGACAATGCTATTCAGGAGTGAGTAAAAGCTCTGGTTACCTGGATGAAGATGCTGAGTGGTCAGGGTGCAAAATGTTTATTAGGAATTGGCATCTGTGAAAAGAATGGAGAGTATATTTGTCTGTTTGGGCTCCCATAACAAAATACCAGAGACTGGGCAGCTTACACAACAGAAAACTATTTTGTCACAGTTCTAATGGCTAGAAGTTCAAGATTGAGGTGCCATTTCTAGTGAGACCTTTTTTTAATAGACTGTAGT
Source organism: Homo sapiens (assembly GCF_000001405.40). Lineage (NCBI taxonomy): Eukaryota > Metazoa > Chordata > Mammalia > Primates > Hominidae > Homo > Homo sapiens. Next base: position 84,895,605 of record NC_000014.9, read on the forward strand.
GGGCTACTTCTTGCTGTAATGCTTATATGGTCTTTCATTTCTGCATGCATGAAGAAAGAAAGATCTCTGATGCCTCTTCCTCATCTCATAATGGCACCAGTTCTATCAGATTAAAGTTTCACCTTCATGATCTCATTTAACCTGGATTACCTCTCAAAAGACCCCTTCTCCAAATACAGTCACATTGGGGCCTAGGGCTTCAACATATCCATTTGAAGGAGAAAAAGTTCATTCCATAACAGGAAGAAAACATGAAAGAACAGAAAGATTGAAATATCATGTAGATTTCAGAAAGCCACGGGGCAAGGAGCTCTGGAGTGAGTATCCAACAGGTTGTCCCCCACTGAGCTCGAATGGCAGATTTCTGTACCCTCATTTATCTCTGTCTCATATTCAGGCAGACCTAGAATGGACATGACTTTGGACAAAGCAGCTCTCCATAGCTGAGTAGAACATGAAGTTGCTAACAATTGGAAGCCATCTGATGACCACATTCTCTACAGCTGGCTATCAAGTCCTTCCTTTAGATGATCTGGGCAGCATATCTCTGTGCCCAACACAGGGCACTCTCAACTACTTCATTAGATATTTAACTGAGTTAGAAAATGAAACATTTGATCTGAGACTTCAAAGGCAATTAGTGAATCAGGAGAGAAAGCATCAAGGTCTTCAGCCCACTGACTTGCTGCGTTCACTCTATCCAAATTTTTCCTGTTACCTTATTTTTTTTTCAAATCTAGCTCAGGCTCTGCAACTAATTATTATAATAACTTGCAAATACTTTAACTCAGTTTGTTTCCTAGCTTATACCCTAGACTCTGGAAAAACTGTTATATGCATTTTCTTTCAGCCTGAACTCAGCTGAATGCTATTAAAGAAAAATCCTGGGTGACTGGTGTCACTAGCTGCATTTGAACACATTGCAGCCTGTCAGTCTGACTGGACTCTTTCTCTGGTGATTATTCATATCTTCTCATTGATCTTCAAATTCCCCATCCTTCCTCCACTGCTTGAGCTCAGCTGATGAGCCTGTCTTGAGGAAACAGGCACCATTAAATGGGAGTTCTCTTAACTCCCCACTATAAAATCAACACCCATTTACTCTCTTGTGTTGAAATGAAAGAATTATCTTTCTTTCTAGGCCAGAAGAATCTGTTCATGTGTACCCTAAATAACATTCTCAAAAACTTTGTTCTGGCAAAATTCCTTTTCTATCTTGTGTCAATTATCTCTTCTTCACTCTTGGATCATTGTTATCAAACCACAAACGATGCAGAATCTTTTATTCTGAAATAGCACTCCCTTGACTCCACTTGCCTCTGCAGAAATTGTTTTTTTTCTCTACTTCCTTTTTAACCCAAATGTCTGAAATTAATACGTCATGCTCTACCTGTGCTTCCTCACCTCCCTTTTATACCCACTCCACTCCAGCCTGGAGTCTGCCCCTCACTGCACTGAAACTGATCTTGTTAAGGCCACCACTGAATTCAAGTTGTGAAATGGATATTTTCTGGTCTTTATCACTCTTAATGTTTTAGATACATTCAAATTGGCCACTCCCTTCTTCCTAAACAACCTCTTGGTTTGACCTCTGTGATATCTTCTTCTGCAACTTCCTCTTGAGACTCTCATCTGCTCATTTTTTTTCATAGTCTCACTTTGCCCCATTTTCCTCATCCTTAGCTTTCAGTTTTGGAGTTTCTCTTGTTTCAGGCCTGGATTCCCTTCCTTTATCTTTATACCTCCCTAGAACAACTCATCCATTCCCATAGCTTCAAATAATGTCTTCGTTTAATGATACTCTATTTTTTTTTTTTATTTTGAGACAGGGTGTTGCTGTCACCTAGGTTGGAGTGTAGTGATGTGAACATAGCTCACTGCAGCATCAAACTCCTGGCCTCAAGAGATCCTCTCATCTTACCTTCATGACTAGCTAAGATGATAAGTGTGACCACCATGACCAGATATTATTTAATTCATTTTTATTTTGTAGAGACAGAGTCTCTCACCATGTTGCCCAAGCTGGTCTCAAACTCCTGGCCTCAAGCAGTCCTTCTGCCGTGGCTTCCAAAGTGCTGGGATTATAGGCGTAAGCCACCTCGTCTAGCCATGGTCCCATCATTTATAAACTCAGCCTAGACCTTTCCTCTGAGGTCAATTTTATATCACCGACTGCTTCCTTGATTCCTCTACTTGCATTTCTCAGTGACACCATAAATTTCACACATCCAGAACTGAACTCCCAAGCACAGCCCCTAAAACCTTTTCTTCTTGATGTCATCATCTCAATAACACCACTTTTATCTATCAAGGTATTGGTCACAGAAAGCTGGGATTTAACTTTGAGTTAAATGCAGGCTACTAGAAAACATATATATATATATATATATATATATATATATATATATATATATATACACACACACACATACACACACACACACACGTGTGTGTGTGTGCCTGTATTTACATGTATGCATTTATTTTTGTTTGTGTTCTACATACTTTTCATAATGAGTATTTGCAAAATTCTGTACCATAATCTTCACATCCAACTCATCATCGGGGCATGCTAATGCTCTTTCTGAGATCTGACTAAATCCATCTACTGTTCTTTGTCACCACAGTTACATTCTGAGTTTCATCCACCAACTGTGGCCACCTGAACCAATGTCAGTGCTCCCTAACTCATTTCCATTTCCAAATGTACGCCCTTGAACAATTCCCCGCCAGGGTAACCTTTTAAATAAGTAAATTACACCAAGTTAAATTATGGTACTTCCTTGCTTAAGGTTGCTAACTACTTATAATGATCATCAATGAGGGATTTTTACAACTCAGTCTAAATGTCCCCTTATATCTTCTCTACACTGAATTCAGCCCCCACCCAAATTTATATGTTGAAGCCATAACCCCCAGTGTGATGGGATTAGGAGATAGGACATTTGCAATTAATTAAGTTTAAATGAGATCCTGAGGGTAAGGCTAACATGATGGGATTAGTGCCTCTATAATAAGAGGTACCTGGGAGTTTTTTTTTTTTTTTTTCTTTTTCTCCACAATGTAGTACACAGCAAGAAGGCAGCCATCTGCAAGCCAGAAAGGGAGTCCACATCAGGAACCTAACTGGCCTGCACCTTAACTTGAATTTCCCAGCCATGAGAACTGTGAGACATAATTGTATTTTGTTATGGCAATCTGAGCTAAGATAGTATATGTTATGTCTATCTATATCTATATTATCTATCCATTTTTGTTAAAAATCAAACATACATATGTGATACATGTAATAAGCATCTATTTCCAGTAGTAGATTCTAACACTCTAAGTTTCATGAGGATTGGAACTATAAAGGTTGTATTCATTTTTTTTTTTTTCTTTTTGGGACGGAGTTTCGCTCTTGTTGCCCAGATTGGAGTGCAGTGGCGCGACCTTGGCTCACTGCAACCTCCACCTCCCAGGTTCAAGTGATTCTCCTGCCTCAGCCTCCCAAGTAGCTGGGATCACAGGCATGCACCACCACACCCAGCTAATTTTGTATTTTTAGTAGAAACAGGGTTTTACCATGTTGGCCAGGCTGGTCTCAAACTCCTGACCTCAGGTGATCCACCTGCCTCAGCCTCCCAAAGTGCTGGGATTATAGGCATGAGCCACCGTGCCCAGCCAGTATTCATTTTTAATATTCATTCCTGGCTAGGAACCCTCTTATGTAAATGTTTCTTGATTATGTGAATGATAGGCACTAAGTTGGTTTCAAAAGTTAATGACAGACACAGTCCTAGTTGTCATATTGATCATCATATTGTTAACAGCCCAGTCTTGAGAATGCACATCAAACAGATAAATGCATGATTATAATAAAAAATGTTAGGAAGAATAAAGTTGTGTGTGTGTGTGTGTGTGTGTGTGTGTGTGTACTCACATATGAGTATATCCACACAAATATGACCAGGAGGAGAAGAGAGAGGAAAGAAGGGGAGAATTCCATAAAAAAAAAATAACTAGTAGAAAGTCCAGAATCTTAACCAGGAAAGAGATAAATATAGATGAAAGGAACATAGTAAGTTCTACTTCAAATGTCACAAGGGCACATGACTTGAGTCAATTTTTCATGAGCTGGGATTCCTAAGAATCCTCTACCAAGAGTCTGCTAGTAAATTTATTATGACAAAGGGGGTTGATTTTACAAGTACAAGAGTTGAGGGCATTGATCAGGAATATCTATTGACCATTGATAAATAAAAGATTCATGATATTCTGGGGTAACAGTTGATTTTACTTAATTGATATACTGTATAATTAATATTGTCTTACATCCAGGGTGAATTTTTGTTACTAAAATATATTTCCTCTATCTATTAACAAAGTTATACAAATTATGGAAGCCTTGTTGCCCAGTATATGAATTAGTAAATACAGTGATTCAAGTGATTCAGAAGTACTTAAATACCACTGGCGCACTCAGGCTATAAACAAGGAAGAAAAAATGCTTATCAAAGACTCTAAGATGAAGAGATGATTTATATTTTTTCTTTCATTTCCTTTAACCAAAAATGTTATAAATCAAATTAGACTGTGTAGCCATTTTACAGAGTCAGAACACAATACATGTGGTGAGGAGAAAATATTACTTCTTTTAAGTTAAAGCATCACTCTAAGACTTAGAATCTTCATTACAAAAGCCATATTAATTAGTATAACTACTAAGTTTCTAAAATTATTATTCGATTGGATCCAGTGATTCTCTTCAAGAGACAGATTGAAAGAAAAACCCTCTTATGATGGGGATTCCCGGCTATCAACAACTTAATGCTTAATTAAACAGCTGAAGCAGAAAAAATAGAGTTTAAAGCCTGAGCAAGGTGATTGGTTACAGTCATCCATAAGGAAAGGAATCCAGGAAATTATACATAGAATTCTCAAAGCTCATTTAAATATTGCTTACAGACTAGAAATATCATTCCTTACAATACAGAAAAATATTCAAATCATCTCTAGATATATTACATTTTATATTTTTTCTGTGTGCATATTTAATGGTGTGGGAAGAACATTCGTGTAGACAAAGGTTTAAGCAAAGGGAAGCAAAAACAAGCTGAAGACTTCATATTCTCAATCATATTTAGCAAAAGTAGTATCAAAGTTATAAACACTATAAATGTACATTGCAAGTTTTACTAAAATATGCAGGCTACTAGAAAACATAAATATATGTGTGTGTGTCTGTATTTACATGTATGCATTTATTTTTGTTTGTGTTCTACAAAATTTTCATAAAGAGTATTTGCAAAATTCTAGGAAAGCAGGCATGTTCTTGGATACAAGCATGCATTGATAAATAAGGAACTGCATAAAATCTGAGCCAACTGCTTTTGATTGCTGGGAATTATAAAGGAATTTATAGGTCTATGAGGTCATATGAATGACTTTGAAGACAACAATAATAGCAACAGTGAACACTCTCTGAGTAACAATTATGTTCAGTTCTTCTTTTAAATGTTTTATATTTAACCTTTAATACAAAGAAAGTGGTGCAATATTGTCTCTATTTTATAATTGAAGAAATGAAAACAGAGATGTTAAAAACCTTGTATAGAGTCTCATAGCTATCAAGTGATGAGACTGGGATCAAAAATGGCATTCTGGCTCTAGCATATGTGTTCCTTAACCACAGTGCTCATGTAAAAATGGGGTCAGGAGATAAATGGGTGTAGAGGAGCATTTTAAAAAATGAGATAATGTGTAAAAACATAGCATAGTGCCTAATATATGATATTTAGGAGCAAATTCAACCTGGATTGCATTTTATCATGCTGTATTATGGTGATAACAGTCCAGCAAATAGTAAATATAGCCCCTAGAATGTTCTCTTAAATATAGTGAGTACAAAAAGACAATATATTCAACAATTAGCTAAAATCTTGTTCTAAGGACATAAGATATATTAAGCTGTTTAGCTCTCACAACAATCTTATGAGGTAGGTAATGTTTTTATTCCATTTAATGGAGGGAAAATTAAGGCATACAAATGCTAAGAAATTTGACTCATGTCATGTTATTATTATGTTTTTTTTTAAACTGGGCTTTAAATTAAGGTGTCCTGGCTCTAGAGTCTGTGCTCTTAACATATACTGTACTGTCTGGGGCAGTCTAAGTTTACAGCCCGTATTCACTAACAGTTTATTTGTTTTCTTAATCAAAGTGAACCAAAAGTCCTTGTAAGCTCACAGACTTATGACTGGCATCAATCAGAAGCTATGGGCCCAGATTTCAAATTGTGACCTACTTATCACCATGAATTTATCCCCAAGAACCTGCCTGATTTCCTAGGAGTTTGTAAAAATGCATTAGCTCTTTCAGAAGCTCTTCTGCCTCCATTCATAGTTTGCTGCAACCTTCTGCTAAGGCAAATTGTTTTCAGAAGTATTTATCTATGAGTTCAATCACTCCTGAATACAAGGCAAAACAACAGAATGTATTAGACACACAAATTCTCAGAAGATAGATCCATTCTCATGCAAAGTTCGCATAGTCCCTTATTTCTTCATTCAGTGTGATTTTGGAAAGCAAAGTATCCATGAATCCTTTGTCTGCTGATGTATGCTTTCTAAAAATACTATTGTTAATTTATAATTTAGTTTAATATTTGTATGTGATACGGTTTGGCTCTGTGTGCCTAATAAAATCTCATGTCCAGTTGTAATCCCCACATGTTAGAGGAGGAGCCTGGTGGGAGGTGATTGAATCATGGGGGTGGACTTCCCCTTTGCTCTTGTGATAGTAAGTGCTCACAAGATCTAGTTGTTTGATAAGTGTGTGGAACTTCCCCCCTTGCTCTCTCTCTCCTGCTTCTCTTTCAACTTCTATCATGATTGTAAGTTTCCTGAGGTCTCCTAGCCATGCTTTCTGTACAGTCTATGGAACTGTGAGTCAGTTAAACTTATTTTTTCATAAATTACTCAGTCTCAGTTCTTTATAGCACTGTGATAACAAACTAATACAGAAAATTGGTGCCAGGACAGTGGGCACTGCTATAAAGGTACCTGAAAATGTGGAAGTGACTTTGGAACTGGATAACAGGCAGAGGTTGCAACAGTTTGGAGGGCTCAGGAGAAAACAGAAAGACGTGGGAAAATTTGGACTTCCCAGAGACTTGTTGAATGGTTTTGACCAAAATGTTGCTAGTGATATGGAAAATGAAGTCCAGGCTGTGGTGGGTCTCAGACGGAGATGAGGAATTTATTGGAAACTGGAGTAAATGTCACTTTTGCTATGCTTTAGCAAAGAGAGTGGCAGCATTGTGCCCCTGCCCTAGGGATCTGTGGAACTTTGAACTTGAGAGAGATGATTTAGGGTATCTGGCAAAAAAAAAAAAAAAAAAAAAAAAAAAAATTCTAAGAAGCAAAGCACTCAAAATGTGGATGGGTTGCTCCTAACAGCATACAGTCATATGTGTCCACAAAGAGATGGTTGGGAATTGGAACTTATGCTTAAAAGGGAAGCAGAGCATAAAAGTTTGGAAAATTCACAGCCTGACTATGTGTAGAAAAAAAATATCACTTTTCTGGGGAGAAATTCAAGCTGACTGCAGAAATTTGCATGAGTCAAATGGTAATAGCCAAGACAATGGGAAAATGTCTCCAGGGAATGTCAGAGACCTTTGCAGAAGCCCACCTATCACCGGTCTGGATCCCTAGGAGGGAAAAATGGTTTCATGGTCCAGGCCCAGGGCACAGCTGCTCTGTGCAGCCCTGGGACAAGGCACCCTGTGTCCCAGCCATTCCAGCTCCACTGTGGCTAAAAGAGGTCAAGGTACAGCTCAGGCCATTGATTCAGAGGGTGAAAGCCTCAAGCCATGGTGGCTTCCATGGTGGCCTGTGGGTCACAGAAGGCAAGAGTGGAAGTTTGAGAACCTCCACCTAGAATTCAGAGGATGCATGGAAATACCTGGATGTTCAGGCAGAAGTCTGCTACAGGAGTGGAATCCTCATGAAAAACCAAGGACCATGTGAAGGATAAATGTGGAGTTGGAGCACCCATACAGAGTCCCCATTGGGGAACTGCCTAGTGGAGTTATAAGAAGAGGGTCACCATCCTCTAGACCCCGGAATGCAGACACTCAATGACAGCCAGTGAAAGCAGCTAGGAGTGGGGCTGGACCCTGCAAAGACACAGGGGAAGAGCTGCCCAATGTCATGGGAGCCACCTCTTGCATCAGCATGACCTGGATGTGAGACATGGAATCCAACAAGATTATTTAGGAGCTTTAAGATTTAATGACTTCCTCACAGGATTTTGGACTTGCATGAGGCCTGTAGACCCTTTGTTTTGGCCAATTTATCCTATTTGAAATAGGAACATTTATTCAATGTCTGTACTCCCATTGTGTCTTGAAAGTAGCTAACTTGCTTTTGATTTTAGAGGCTCATAGGCAGAGGGGGCTTGCCTTGTCTCAAATGAAATTATGGACTTGGACTTTTGAATTAATGCTGAAATGAGTTAAGACTTTGGGGAGCTGTTGGGAAGGCATGATTAATTTTGTAATGTGAGGACATGAGATCTGGGAGGGACTGAGGTGAAATGATATGGTTAGGCTTTGTGTCCCTACCCAAATCTCATGTGGAATTGTAATCCCCACATGTTGGAGAAGGAGCCTGGTGGGAAGTGACTGAATCTTGGGGGCAGACTTCTCCCTTTCTGTTCTTGTGATAGTGAGTGAGTTCTCATGAGATCTGGTTGTTTGAAAGTGTGTGGCACTTCCTCCTTCATTCTCTGTCTCTCCTGCTCTGCCATTGTGAGATGTGCTTGCTTCTCCTTCTCCTTCTGCCATGATTGTGTTTCCTGATGCCTCCTATCCATGTTTCCTATACAGCCTATGGAACTGTGAGTCAATTAAACCTCTTTTTTTCATAAATTACCCAGTCTCAGGTAATTCTTTATAGCTGTGCAAGAATGGACTAATACAGTGTGATATATTGTTCACTATTAATATAGAACCATTTTTCCCCATCTATTCACATCCCTCTCTTGGAGGGGGACACAGTTCTGAAAACCTCAACACTACATTTCCCCAAATCCTTGGCAGCTAGGTTCAGGGTTAGATTCTGTCAATGAGAGTTACTTTCAAGTGATGGGTCAGAAGAGACGCAGAAGCCATCATTGCTCCCAAGGCAGATGTAGGCTGGCTGATGAGCTTAGACCAAAACAGAGGGTTGGCTAGGGGATTCCAGGTGTCCTCCTGCAGAGCAACTGGTTCTGCTCTTGCAGGCATTTGAGATCAAAACCACTAACTTCATTTGATTCCTGAAACTCTTTGGCATCTTGAAGACCATTGGAAGCTTTCTTGACCTTTGATCCTCTAGCCTTCAACAAGCCTCAATCCTCTTATATTCGTTTTTAAATCATTCTCTTAAAATACTTAGGATGGTTTTCATTTTCCTGATTAAACCCTGACTTAAAAATGCATTTATTCATTCTAAGAAGACTAGCATTACTATTACCTCATGTTTGTTTTTTACATATCAGCATACAAAGTACTGTCATACAATTTTTTTCCTAATTTATCCTGTAATATATATATGAAGTGGATAGAGTAATCATTATGTCCAATTTATAAATAATTTACCTGACCCCCAATTTCCCTGTGGTTTTTGTAAATATTAAAAGAAAAATATTAGATAAAATGAAGAGAGTTTAATTAAGAAAGAAAACAAACAAAACACAACTACTTACAAATTGGGTAGCCCCTGGAATAACAGCAGATTAAGAGAGACTCCAGGGATGCTTCATGGTTGTAGAAAATTTAAGGACAGAAAAAGAAAGTGATTACAGAAAAACGGAAGTGAGGTACAGAAATGGCTGGTCTGGACACAGCTTGACATTTCCCTTCTTTGAACATGGTTTGAACAGTTGGCTGCCTGTGAGTAGTTGAAGTATGGCTGCTGGAATTGGCTGAGACTCAGCTATTATTGCAGAAGCATACTCCTAAAGTAGGTTTTCAGTTTACTAAGTTAGGTTACAGTTCATTTGTAAGGATTCACAGATGGAAGTACAGAGTCTTTCTCAGGCACAATTTAGTTTGATTTAATATAAGGAATGACTTCAAGCAAGCTGGTAACATAATCAGTATGAGAACCACAGTCAGAATGTTCCGCATTAAGAAGAAAACAAATTATAAGGTGTAATTTTTTAAAAAAGAAATAAAAAAATGAAGCACTGGGAGCCAGTGAAATTTGGGGATCTTTTAAAAAACTAATATAAACTCTAAGGCCATTTCTTAGCCCCACACTGAATCTGTCCAGAAAGATTTGTAGTGTGAGTTACACCTGCTTTAATTAAACACAAAAAAGCCAGGCTACTACCTTAACATTTTATTTTTAATTTCATATATTAATATTTATGCTAATGTGATGCAATTTCCCTTTGAAAACAAAAATTAAAAAAGAATTGAATATGAAGTCAGCAGTAGCATTTCTTAAATATGGCATCTTTGAAAAAAAGTTTCTCCTTTTAAAAATATTGTTTGATTGCTTTCCTCTTCCCACTGTTTTAAATAGAAAAAAACAATGAAATTGAAAGCTTAAAAAATGACTTTTAATTAGCAAACATTTCTTGTTATTGTATTTAGCATTTCCATTAGAAGAGTAAGTCCCTGTGGAAATATTTTAATGCATATTTGTTTTTCCTTTAAAATGTATTTGACTATTATAGGAAATGATTTTTTAATAATAGCATTGCTTTTAAAATTATACTGCATATCAAATTAGAGACTTCACATCATACTTGTTGTATTTTGTTAGCATGAAAAAGCCTTATAAAATAGATTATCAATTATATATTAAATTTTCTGCATTTATCAATGAAGAGAACTGGTAATTTTCTTCTGCCTGTAAGTTCATCATTTTATCAGTTGTATGTTCTTCCTTTGTATATCCATTTATTTTTTCTATTATTGATATATTCATTTAAAATAATTCAGATAAGCTTTCCCTGTATATACCTTTAGAAGCAGTGGGAAGGAAAACATATTTTCCTCCTTATTTTTATTGATTTGTGTATAATATAGGTTATAATTTCATTAATAGGTGGTTTTAGTTCTTTTAGTTCTAAAAGCTGAAAACTACTAAGTCTGTCATCACATTGCATTCTTCTGTGTCTTTTTGTGTGTCTCTGTGTGTCTTCTCCTCTAAAGCTACTTTTAAAAGTATAGTAAGAACCGGGAGGCAGAGGTTGCAGTGAGCTGAGATCACGCCACTGCACTCCAGCCTGGCAGCAGAGTGAGATTCCATCTCAAAAAAAGGTATGGTCGAAAGAGTCACTGAGTCAGTAAATATTTAGAACATTGAATATTTTCATAGAAGTGACATCACAGTGACCATTATCAACCCTGCAGTTTTCACAAAGTAGGTCTGTGCTGCTGTCTTTGACTAACACCTTTAATCCAGCTCCTGGAATCATAGCCTCATTAACTATTAATTGAAAAAGTCCAAAAGTGGGAGTATATTTGGTAAATACTGCAACTTTACATAAGGGCTCAAATAGGCTTGGAAAACTCCATGACATTGTTATTTAGAAGACATTGACCAGACTATTAGCAATTACAATAAAAGTAAAACCACCACTCCCTCTGCAACCTCCAAAAACCAGCAAAAAAATACTTATCAAGTGCTTCTTAACTTCAGCCTCTGACCAAATGCTTTACATAAATTTACATCAATCTTTTGTGTTTTTTACAACACTATAAGGTAGATGTTCTTATCATCCATACTTTACAGAGAAGAAAGTTGAGACATTGGAACATTAGGAAATTTTCTCTGAGTCCTTCAGCTGTAAGTAGTAGAAGGAGGGTTTGGATCTAAGTGCCTGATTTTGCACTTACCTGCTCTGGTATCTTGTCTGCAATTTGAGATGGTTTTAATGATTAGCTGTGTGGTTATTGTTGCTATTATAGATGATTGCCAATTCCCTGAGTTGACTCATTCATTAAAATTATCCCCTGTTTTTCAAACGGACCAAGGTGGAGAGATCAATAAATCTATCTACTGTCTTTTATTCTAACACTTGAGGTATCTAGCTCTCTCTGCTGACAGTAAAGCCCAGTGTATACAGGGCATCAGAAGATGGAACATACAAATTTTCACATCTCATGAGTCCATCAATAAAGTCGTACAAATGAGTAGAAGAGGAATGATAAAATGAATACATGAGTTTCCTAGGATTGCAATATCAAATTACCACAAACTTGGTGGCTTAAAATAGAAATTTATTCTATCATAGTTCTGGAGGCCAGAAGTCAATCAAAGGTGTCAGTAGAGTGGGTTCCCTCTGGCTGCTGAGGTGTGATCTGCTCTATGTCTCTCTCCTAGCTTCTGGCGGCTGCCAACAATCTCTAGTGTCCCATGGCTTATAGTTGTATCACCCCAATTTCTGCCACCATTGTCGCATGGCCTTCTTCTCTGTGTCTTTCTGTGTGTCTTTCTGTATTTTCTCCTTTTTCTGTATCTTATAACTACAATTGTCATTGGATTTGGGGCCAGTACTAATCCAGGACAATCTCATCTGAAGAACTTTAATTATATCTGCAAAGATAATTATTTCAAATAAGCTCACATGCTGTGGTTCTGGATGGACATATCTTTTGGGTAGCCACTATTCAACACACTATAATGAATATATAATTACATAATTTATTATATTCATTGACTCAATCAAAATCAGCAGAAGAAGCAACAGGCCAACCATAATCATAAGCTCTCTTGAGTATACCTGCTCAAATTAATTTATTTTTTATAATGATTTTATAATGTATTTTATAATTTATTTTTTATAATGACATCATTTCCCTTCATTGTTTCACGCTCTTTGAAAGCATAAAGCTTTCCCAAATTTCTTTTAACCTCCTTCCCTCTCCCAAATGAAGCTACATAAACAAGTGATCCCTGGCTTTAACTCAAGTGACTATATTATTTGAATTATTTTACCATTGGAAGGATACCTTATTGCTGTAACTACTGAGAGTGCAATATGTGCAGTTAAGTGTGAGTTGTCTCCTCTGTTCCATTTCTTCCAGTGCCAACTGGATTTTGCCTCCTTCTATTTTTATGATCAAGGAATGTTAACAGTCTTCCCATAGACCCCATCTATAAACTTGTCTCTCCCTAAGCTCTTGGTAACCTGTAGCCATGCCTTTCTTTTCACTGACTTTACATACTTTTTCTTTTAGCTTTGATAATTTGCTTTCTCTTTCCTTCCTTCCTCCCTCCCTCTCTCTCTTTTTCTCTCTTCTTTTCTTTCTCTTTCTTTCTGTCTTTCTTTCTTTCTTTCTTTTTCTCTTTCTTTCTTTCTTTCTCTCTCTCTCTCTCTCTCTTTCTTTCTTTCCCTTCCTTCTTTCCTTCCTTCCTCTCTTTCTTTTTTTTTTTTGAAATGGAGCCTCACTCTGTCACCGAGGCTGGAGTCTGCACTGTCTGCCACTGGAGTCTGCCACTACAGTGGCATGATCTTGGTTCACTACAACCTCTGCCTCCCAGGTTCAAGCCATTCTCCTGCCTCAGCCTCCCAAGTAGCTGGGATTACAGGCATGGGTCACCACACCCAGCTAATTTTTTGTCTTTTTAGTAGAGACGGGGTTTCACCATGTTGGCCAGGCTGGTCTCGAACTCCTAATCTCATGTGATCCACCCGCCTCGGCCTCCCAAATTGCAGGGATTACAGGCGTGAGTCACCGCAGTTGGCCAGATAATCTGCTTTTCCTAAAACAATAGATTCTCTTTCAGTCAACTGTGAGAAACCATTCTCAGCACAGAGATAGATAAAACAGCACAAATACTGCCTTGTGTTTAAAAATGTTTTTTGAACTTTTAAAGTGTTTTTCTGTCCCCTGACAAAAATAGTATTCATACATTAAAATAATACCTGAGTTCTCTTGGTCTATCTATAAATATCAAATGTAAGTGTGCAAACAAACACCAGCTGTGGTTTTACATTGCAGTCCTTGTGAACTTTATAGGTTTTGATGAGAATTGAAAGTTTATTGTATTTAGTGTTTTTTTTTAAATTTGAGATCTATTTAGAATGCTGACTTTAAATGTGTTGCTGATTTTTTTAATGTAATAATTATTATTTAAAAACTCCAACTAGAAAATAAGTGATATGATAATTTGTTGATTTTTCACTTGACATAAAATAGTTCTATCAAGCTACAAACTGTAGAAACATTTAAAAAGTATTAATAAACAACAAATTGTATATGAATTAGACTAATTTATGATATTGAAAAAAATTAAGAATTTTACTTAACATCACTTTTTTTTGTTTGTTTGTTTGAGACAGAGTCTCGCTCTGTTGCCTAGGCTGGAGTGCAGTGGCATTATCTCAGCTCACTGCAGCCTCTGCCTCCTGGGTTCAATGATTCTTGTGCCTTAGCCTCCCGAGTAGCTGGGACTACAGGCATGTGCCATCATGCCAGGCTAATTTTTGTATTTTTAGGAGGGATGGGGTTTTGCCATGTTGGCCAGGCTGGTCTCAAACCCCTGACCTCAGGTAATACACCACCTCGGCCTCTGAAATTGCTAGGATTACAGAAATTATCTTCTTATAGTATATTTTACATACCATAAAATGCACCTGTGGACAAATCTGGGCACATGTGTTAACTATCACCATAATAAAGACTATCTCCATGGTCTGAAAGAGATTCCTTATGCCTCTTTGCAGTCTGGAAGCCCAGTTCCTGCCCCAGAAAATTGATGATCTGCTTTTTGCCACTAAAGACTAGTATTGCCTATTCTAGATTTTTATATAAATGGAATCATACAGTAAGTGGTCTTTTTGTCTGAATTTTATTCAGCACAATGTTTCTGAGACACATCTGTGTTGTTCCATCTGTCAGTACTTGCTCCTCTGTGTCACCAAGTAATATTCTGCTGTGTAAATATAACACATATTGTTTATTCATTTACCTGTTGATGTGTATTTGGGTTGTTTGAAGCTTGTCACTATTCTGAATAAACCTGTTGTGAATATTTGTGTGCAAGTTTTTTGAGACACATATTTTTAATTTCCTTAAGTGAATACATGAGGGTAAAAGTCATAGGTTACATGGTAACTGCATGTTGATAAGAAGCTGTCAAACTGATTTTCATTTACAATCCCACTAGCAATATATGAGTTTCAGTAGTTCCATATATTTTTTAAAAAATTAGAAAAATTAAATTTATCAGAGTTTATTCAAGCAAAAAGATAATTCATGAATTGGGCAGCACCCTGAATCCATAAAAATTCAGAATGCTTCACTCAGCAACATGATCAGGCAGTATTTATTGAAAGGAAAAGGAAGTGACATATGGAAATATTCTCATTGGTTATAGCTTGACATTTGCCTTATTTGAACATATCTGAGCATTTTGCAGCTTGTAACTGGCTGAAAGCTTGGCTGTTATAATTGGTTGAGCCCAGTTTACTTGTAACAGTAATATGCTGTCAAGTTATGTTGCAGTTTGTTTACTTATTAAGTTACATAATGCTACATATGAAAGCAGCTTTAGGCCAAATTTAAAGTAATTTAACAATTCCTCTCTTTTGGTCAGCTTCTGAATATTGAGAGGCTGACCAAACCATTGGGCACTGACCCTACTTTCTGTTTCTGTCATAATGAACTTCTTTGGTCTCGGTATGGAATTTACAATTTACAATGTCAACTAGTTGAAAGACTCTTTATGCTTTGTTCATGTTTTTGTTATTCTAACCACACATTTTGCAGGCATCATTAAGACAAGTTTTCTATATTTGGTAGCAATTAGGTTATTAATTGGAAAGGTCTGGGTATTGTTTCCATCAAGTGTAGGAAAGCAAGTAGCAGTGATGTCTAGAATAACAAGGACAGCTTTCCACTCTTCCTTTGGGGAACACTGAGAGGCACTGGCATTAGTGACATTGCTTCCTGATTTTTGAGCATTAGCCCACAAACCCAAAAACTGCCTACATAAGGTTTCTTGCTACAGCTTAAGCCTTTACTAAAGCTATCCACAAGTTATGGTCTCATGGATTTTTCTGTAAGGATAGAGAAGAGATTAGGACAGGAGGAAATAGGGAGGAAAAATAAGGCTTTCATGATGGTAGAGAAGTCTTGATCTGCAATCTTGGGAAAGTTGTCTGTCTCTAGAATGCTGTCTGCTTCTGGCAAAAAAGTTCTCTGGCCAAATTTACATAAGGGTCTACAACAGGTATACAGTTCCAGGAGTCTTAATGGCCTTTTTAAGTTGTAGTATTTAGACCCAAGGTACAAGTCCCTGAAGTTTTACCACAGTGTGGGGGCGAGAAGAATTTGGCATGGTCTCTTCCAATGGAGTTTAAGGGCAATCTTTCTCTGTTGTCATTTTCAAAGACCCAATCTCTCAGTTCTAGGTCATGAAGGATCTGGTTGCCATCAGCTGATAGATCACAGAAGGTTTTCTGTACTTGGTGAAAATACACTTTAGCATAATGCATTAATGTTTTGTATTAGTCAGTCATGTCAGAGTTTAAAATAGTGAGAGATACATGGGGAATTTTATTACTAGAAACGTAAGTCTTTCAGTATTTATTTTATAAATGGTCAGTTTATGTTTTCTGATGGAAGTCAATCTTATTGCCTTTCTAGAAGACAGATAGTGATAGGGACAATGATAGTGCCACTGTATTTGTAACACTTTATTTAACTGCCTTATAATTTTCCAGTAAAATGGGTTTCTTGGTTGCTGGAGACACATTTTCTTATAACTTTTTAGTTACCATCGTAGCATCAGCTTTAATACATGGGAAAACTTTTATCCAACCTGAAAACATGAAAACTATTATAAGAACATAGTGATACCCCATTGAGGGTGGCAATTGAATGCAAGTCCATCTCTACACATTCACATGGTTCATCAGGTGGTGAAAACACACCACCTGAAGTTTTGATTGTCTTCCCAGGACTACAGTTTGACAAACCAAACATCAGTTGTAAACAATTTTAGCAGTTCTACAACAGTAACCCGCCAATATTTTTTTCCATAATTTGGATTATTTTTCTCATTCCTTGATGAGTTGTAGAGTGCAGAGCTTTTAATAGTGGAAGCTTCAAGCACACAGAAGAATCAGATGGTTGTCTTGGCCCTCTGTGAGTCCAAGCTTAATATTGAGTTTACATCTTTTTAAAAACTAATTTTGTTTTTCCTATTCAGATACCAATTTTGTTTTTCCAGGTGAATCGCACAGTTTATTAAGTAGATTATCATAGATAATTTGACTTGGATAAATCCTATGAAGTTTGTTCTGATTACATATCTTAACAATGTCAGTACTGAGTGACTTAGCATGAAAATCTGCCAAATAGTTTTCTTGTTATTTAATTAAGTTTTATTCTGCTTGATGTTGGCTTAACAGTTTTTAAAATCAGTCAGTTTCTTTGTTAGAGTTCTGGAAATTCTTACGGAGTTCAGAGGCATGATCTCAAATTATCAGAAACCTGTATTTGTCAGAATCCTTTCCGTGAATCTCCTTGAAGATGAAAGTGTTTAGGTTTATCATTGCTCAGGAAGGTACCAAAGTAAACAGTTAACCATCTGTGAATTACAAGACTTGAAATGGCCATGATTAAAGATCTGGTGAAAGTTCATTGCAACAATTACACAAATTGACAAGGAAATTTGGCTATTTCTGTTGCATATAACATTTTATGGTAACTACTAGAATTATGACTGATAGCATTATACCAGGACTATTCGATTTCTGTGAATTTCATACAATTTCTAAAATACATATTAATATCACATCCATACAAATATAACCCAAAGAAGGTTTACCATTACTTATTATTTGACAAGGCTTTCGATATAATTTAATATACTAAATAAGCCACATTATCTCAATATCTCTGTTTTTGTAAGGAGAGTTATCTAATTGAGGTATCCTATGCATCTATATGGAAAATTCTAAAGTTAATTCTAGGTCAAGACAAACACTTGAGTTTGAGTTGGAGAAATTCACACACAAAAAATAAAAGACTTGAAATACTTGATCAAAATAAAATCTTAGGTCACTATGAACAACAGTCATTCATTTAACCAAAGTAATAATTAAAGGGCTTTAAAGGTAAATACAGAATGTAACCTGGCTGTAGAAAAACCTTAAATCCTTTTAAAAAAAAGAATTCAGCTTTTTCACATGATCAAAACCTAATGAAGACATCATTAATCATAGAAAATTATTTAGGTAAAACAGTGAATTTTTATTTCCTAGCCAAATTACTCAGAAGTTTAAAAAAAATTCAACATTTTCTATTAAGGGAAGACCGGCTGGGCGCGGTGGCTCACGCCTGTAATCCCAGCACTTTGGGAGGCCGAGGTGGGCAGATCACCTGAGGTCAGGAGTTCGAGACCAGCCTCAACATGGAGAAACCCCGTCTCTACTAAAAATACAAAATTAGCTAGGCGTGGTGGTGCATGCCTGTAATCCCAGCTGCTCGGGAGGCTGAGGCAGGAGAATTGCTTGAACCTGGGAGGCAGAGGTTGCGTGAGCCGAGATAGCGCCATTGCACTCCAGCCTGGGCAACAAGAGTGAAACTCCGTCTCAAAAAAAAAAAAAAAAAAAAGGGAGACCAATACTCCAAAAAACCCTGTTGTTATAATAGCGAGAACAAACTTCTGGTGTTGTATCGGTACATTTTTGATACTGATAGTCATCTTTTATAAAAGTTTATAATTTACTTCTAATCTTAGCCAGTTTGATCACACATAAAATTCCTTTCATAAGGTTCATCTTCCACAAGCCTTCCACAGCTTTCTCATCCATTTAGTTTTTGTCTTATACTTTCCCTTTCTCATTTGGGAACCATGAATCATTCTATTTTAGAGCAAAAATTATGCTTTTTACCTTAAAGATAATAAAACATCCTCATATTATATCACTATTCCTCACAAAAGCACATTTTACCTTCCTTGTATATTTGCACAGTGTTCTTTTCTTATTATTTCTAGTGATTTTAGTTACATATATTAATTATAATTTTTACCCTTAGTGATCTTAATTTTCACTGAACATCAGTAAGCAACCAAGTGTCAGCTGTCTGTCACATTAGCAATCTATAGTTTGGCAAAATGTATGAATTATAATTTCTAGAAGCGTGTGGTTTCTCACAGTGCAAATTTCTTAATGCGGCACAGAGCACGTTTACTAATAGTCTCAGATATCTTTACTCTCTCTGTAATAAATGAGGAAAACTGATATCTCTATCCTGTTAACTTTTTCTTTTTCTTGGTGGTGGGGGCTAGGTCTGAGAATTAAATTGTTTGTACAGATTTTTCTTGGCCTCAACTACCCATTTTCAGTGATAAAAATGTAAAATGCTTCTGGTATAGGAAGGACATCTCTTACACGGAAAGTTTATCTTACATTTATATAACTTACTTATTTTTAATAATTATGCTTGGATTTCTGATATTGATAAAACACAAAACAGCCAGCCATTATGTTTTTATAATTATTCTTATTTTACCAATGAATTTTTTAAGTATAGAGATAACATAAGCTTATTTTACCAGTAAACTTAGGTAGGAAAAATTGTGAGTATGTATTATATTTAATGTTGAAAACGCTGAAGACATGCCTATTTTAATCAAACAAACTTTTTTTTTTATTATCAAAGATTACCCAAGTCACATGAACTCGAAATGCATTTGGGTTAGATCCTATTTTTTGATAGAATATTTCATTTATATAAGCCTTATTTTTCTTAAAGACAACTAAACAGAGCTCCTTTGTAATTTAATCTGACAGTATAGTAAGATAGACAAATATCACATATACATGTATGTATATATACATATCATACAGATATAGATAAACATATAGAAAGAGATTGTATAGCTTTCATTTTAAAATTTTGTCCATGCACCAAGTACAATAACACAAACTCACTATTTTATTTAAAACTATCTGGATCAAAATTATTTTTCTGGCCAATGGAACAAGATTTCTTACCCAGATGGCTAAAAGTTTTAACTAATATTTGTGAAAAAAATACTTTAAAGATTTTTAAACTTGCCTTCTGTAAGGAATCTTTTAAAGAGGCAAGCTTTGATTCATTTCATCTCTTAGATGCCTCTGCAAACCAGTCAAAATTGCATCCCATTGTTTTTGCAGGGTCTTTGATCCCTTCTTTTCTAATTTGCCCGATGAGTAAACAATTTTATCTAAATTAAAACTTCCTCATTGTGGCTGTTTTAATTCTAAGTCTTCTCTAGTAAAGTTAACTCATTTTTCTAAAAATATACAAGTTGTGGGCCCATAATTGTTATATGTAAAATTAGCTAGAATCCCATAAGGCAGAGTCCCCAGACTCCTTGGATTGAGACAAACTTATTTTCAAAAAGGTACCAACCTGAAGCCTCTAACTGGATCCACTCCAGGTAATTATCAGATTCAATCCAACCCTGGACCCATCCAGTTTAAGAATTGTTCAAATAAACTCAGTGGACTCAAAACACGCATTTGTGGAGCTCAGACTCTGAACAAGAACTCACCTACAATCCCAATTGCTATGAGAGATTAATGAGCACAAGGGGTCCTGGGAGGTACCTTTGCATGGTCACTCAGTGGTCCTGGGCATCACTGAAGGTCTACTTTTGATTCTTCTTCTGACGATGATGATAATAATAAGAAACTAAATAGCCCTTACTCTGTGGCAGGCACCATTCCAAGCACTTTACCACTACAAACCCATGTAATCCTCACCACGCCACCATAAAACAGTCACTATGATTAAGCTTACGTTATGTAAGAGAAAACTGATGTTAGAAAGATTTAGTAACCAGCTCAAGTCCACAGCTAGCAAGTAGCAAAGTCTAAATTCAAACCCATGCAGTCTGGATCCAGAGACTGTTCCTCTAACCACTATGTTCTACTATAAATTCAATCAGATTTTAATAAATATCTAAAATAAAAATCATTGCACACATCTAGGGTATATATGAAATGAAGTACATTTTTACAAAGTTATTTGAACATCATTATTTATTCTGTGACACAAATTTTGTTGAAACTACAGTCTTTTCCAACAACTACATTGGTTTTTAATTCTTAAATCCTGTCTGCCATTTTCCCTTCTGCTTTTCTCCATTTTTCTTTTCTATCTCCACCTTATTCTTCATATCCCCAACGTAATGATGTTTTGCATTAGGACTGAGGAGGTATGCTAGACTGGTACCTGGTGGGCTACAATGAAACATGCTTCCTGATATTCACACCTTGCATAATCTCATTCTGTATTGACTCTTGCCTTGCCATGTGACCTGTGTTGGCTAATGGGTCTGTGTAATGTGTGATGCAAGTTAAGCATCTAGTGCTCTGGTCCTTTTAGGATACTCGCTTTTTGAACCTTGACACCATGTCAATGTCTGGTCTAGGTTGATTGATGACCATGTGGGAAGAAAAACATTGAGATCACAATGAGAGAGATGTTCGGCCATCCTGACACCCTAACTGAGCTCAACTCCCAAGAGATCTACTAACTGAAATCAGGCACACAAGTAACTTCAGAAGAGAACAGCAAATGAAATTCCCAGCTAACCCAACATTTTTGTGAGAAATAATATGTGTTGCCTTATGCCACTATATTTTGGATTGTTTTTTTACATAGCAATTTACAACTCAAACAGGAGGCAAGGCACGATCTACCTAGAGGAATTTTGCTGTTACTGGAGAAGTTAAAGAAATTGCTATATAGTCACCTCATCACTGTTTTCTGAATTTTCTCACACAAATCCTACCCCTAATCATGAACTAGCCCTGCAAGAGACATCTTTGTCGCAGAACACAGAATACCAACTCGTCTTGGGAATACACATGACACAGAACTTGCTAAAATAAGTAACCTAGTTTCCTTAAACTCCAGAAATCTGATGTTTGGGATAATGTCAAGACAAACTGAGGAGTTTTTAGTAATAATCATGGAAGTTTGATTACCAGTGGGTATTTGACACATTTGTCCTCATTCTTGGTCACATGTTGCTAAGCCAAATCAGAGGCATTGTTTAAATGGCTCCTGATTAATATTCTGGACAATGCAGTAATCAGCTACCCAAATGAACAGTTAATCAGAGCAGTGAGAAATGCATGGCATCTTTAGACCACATTTTATTGCAGTGTAGGGTTTGTCTTCAGAGCTCTGATACCAGAAACAAAGTCACTGTTAGCCATGAAACTGCACCATCAGTCATTAAACAGTTGACCTTTAGAAACAGATACATTTTCTTCAAAGAAATAAGGCAATGTGTTTGTAATCACAAGGAAAGAAGTAAGAATGTTAATAAATACAACTCCACATAGCCAGATGCTCAAAAATCCAGAGGTGGTGTCTGCTGCTGCTGTTTCTTATGCTTGCTTCTTCTTCTTCTTCCTTCTTCCTCCCCTCTATTTTCCCCATTTCCCTTTCCCCCCTCCTCCTTCCTCCTCCTCCTCTTGGCATCTTTAAACCACATTTTACTGCAGCCCAGAGTTTGTCCTTAGAGTTCTTATACCAGAAACAAAGTCACTATTAGCCATGAACCTGCACCACCAGTCATTTAACACTTGACCTTTACAAAGAGATACACTTTTCTCAAGGAAATAAGGCCATACTTTCGTAATCACAAGGTATTTCTTCTTCTTCCTCCTTCTTCCTTCTTTTTCTTCTCCTTCCTCTTACTCCATCTAAGATAAAGTCTTAATAAGAGTAGGTTGCATGAGAGTAAGGGTTGCCCTGTTACATTTGCTCTTCCCCAAAGTCTCTTCACGTGTCAGAATAGAGCCGTTCTTGCCTCCTTTTTAACATCACCATGTTTTGTCTTGTGTGCCCTTTGTAGCCCTGTTATATGCCAGGAATTCCAGAAAGATTTAAAGTCTCAGAATATCGGAACTCCTGCAGCTGAGTAATCTTTCCGCTGAGTCAGTACATTGGTTCCAAAGACCCCTAGGACAACAGGGCCCAAAGCACAGCAGATCAGGCCAATCTGAGAGAAAGATTGGCACCTCCTTCACATTCCCAAGTATCAGAATCAAAAGACCTTAACTGTAAACCTAGGCTTGTGGCCAAGTACTTTTCAAACTTCAAGCAAATATGGTGGAGGCTTGATATTGAATAAACATTAATCAAAACTTTTGACTCACCTTTTTAAAGATGTGTTTCCTTCATCAAGCGCTCTGTCTTCTCTATGCTTCAGTGTCCTCAGGTATAAAACAGGATAGTAATATTTATCACACAGGATTCTTGGAAGCAGCAAACAAAAAAAAATATTTAAAATAAAATATTTACCACGGAGTGTTGGGTTTAGACTATTAATCAAGTTATAAACCCTATAGAACATAAACACTACCACAGATAAAGCATATAAAATACCCTCAAGCTCTAAAAATGTCTGTACTTTCTCTGCATCAGAAGGTACATCATGGATCTGCATTGCTCAGACCCACAACTCCAGGGCTACTGAAGGTTGCAAGCAGAGCAGAGCCCTCAAAAGTTTCAAATCAACCTGACCCAGTGATCCCATGTCTGTATAAAAACTGAAACTTCCTTAACACCAAGATGAAACTCTCAAATACTTAAATCAGTGACATCAGGTTACCAGAACTATGTAACAGTAAATTGTGATAAAAGTGTGAAATATCAAAGACTTTTTTTTTTCAACTTTTATTTTAGGTTCAGGGGGTATCTGTGCAGATATGTCACCTGGGTATATTGCACAATGCTGAGGTCTGGGTTACAAATGATCCCATTGCCCAGGTACCGGGCATAGTTCCCAACAGTCAGTTTTTCAACACTTCTCCCCTCCCCCTTTACTCCCTCCTCTGTAGACCCCAGTTTCTGTTGTTGCCAAGGCATTTTTATACCTTACATTCTCGATCTCACCTGACTGAGACACTACTTTCTCGATTCACCAGGTTTTGGATCAACCAGGGCATAATCTGTCTCATGGCCAAGGTTTTGTTGTTTATCCTAACATCAGAATGGAAGCTGACAAGGTAATTGTGATCCTTCCATTACCTAGTTAAGAAGACATGTTTCCCTTTAATTTCCTTCTTCTGAATTGGTGTTTATTTACTGGCAGTTCACATCAGAATTATTTCTGTGGCTTTTCCAGGATGTATCTTCCTTTTCCTGAATCAACAGATGTGAAATGGGAGTTTAGGCATGTACATTTTGAAAAAGGTCCACATGAAAATACGAAGTGCACCCTTGATTAAGAGCCACTTCTAAATTTGAATTAATCTAATATTTGTAAACAATTTTTAAAAGGGAAATCCAGTTATAATTTCATGCAGTTCCCTTCATAATAATTGCATGCTGTATATATTGCAAAAATATTTAATTTTCAAATTTGATTGTCACCATGATTTTACTCTTGATTAACCATAAAAGTTCCAAAAAATTGAGTCATAGCACTGCAGAATTACAGAAGGAAGATACTGCTACGAACTCCTGTACCTTAGAGGGTCACAAAACCCTAGATCTCTCTTTAACTCTACTGCAATAATATTGACCTATATAAACTGCATATATTTAGATTGCACAATTTTATAAGTTTGAAACCACCATCACAAACAAAATAAAAAACTTATCTAAAATTCCAAAAAGTTTGCTTTTGCCCTTTTATAATACCTATCTCTAGCTTCTCTCTTTCTGGAGTAACTGCTGATTTATTTTCTGCCAATATTTGCTTTATTTTCTTGAAAGATATAGAAATGCAATCATACAGTAAGTGCTCCTATTTTCCTGTTTTCTTTCATTCAACATAATTATTTTAAGACTTATTTATGTTGTGTTATGAATCAATAGTTCATTCCTTTTAATGTAAGTGGTATTCTATTATATGGAATATACCAGATTCTGTTTATTAATTCATGACTGCCATTCGGGTTGTTTCCAGCTTTAGGTTATTACAAAGAAAGCCACTATGAACATGTATATGCATTATTGTTTGGTCATATGCTTTCTTTATTCTTGGGTAAATATCTAGGGGTAGAATGGATGGGTCATATGTTAGGTATGCATGTAGATTTTAGAAATCTGCAAAAACAATTTTCAAAAATGTGTGATTTTACATTCCCATCAGCAGTGTATGAGAGTCCTAGTACAGCACCTCCACATTCTCATCAACACATGATATGGTCAGTCTTTTTCAGTGTAGCTATTTTGATGCCACATTCATTATGGTTTTAATTTACATTTTTCTGCTAACAAATGATGTTGAAATCTGTCATGTTTATATTTGCCATCCATCTATCTTCTCTGGTGGAAATGTCTGCTGAAACCTTTTATCCATTTACAAAAAAATTGTTTGTTTGTTTTTTATTAAGTTTTGGAGGTTCATTATGTATTCTGTATTCAAGTCCCACATTAGAAATGTCATTTGAAATATTTTCTCCCAGTCTGTGGCTTGTCTTTTTATTCTCTTTACTGTTTTTGGAAGACCAGGAGTCTTAAATTTTACTAAAGTTTATGTTTTTCTTGTATACATTCTGACTTGATATACTGGCGAAGAAATCTTTTCTTAATTAAATATCTTAAAAGCGTTCTCCAGTGTTTTTTTTAGAAGCCTTATAATTTTATATTTTATATTTAGGTGTTTGATCCATTTTGAGTTTCTATTTAATACAGGATAAGATATGAATTGAAGTTCATTTTTTGGTTTGCAAATAAATATAAAATTGCTCTAACACTATTTGTTGAACAAAGCCATTCTTTCTCCACTTAATTATTATAAATAATTTTTAAGTAAAAAGATTTAAATATAAAACATTATAGCAACATAAATTTTAAAAATACTTTTTTTGATACAAATGCCTAGATTATTGAGGAAAGATTTTCCTTCTACTCCAAGCCACAGCTGATATTAAGTACAATGTAAAAATTGAAACATAAAAACAAAGCAAAGCAAACAAAAAACAAATTGCTTTGAGGTGTCTTTTGAACCTGTGGCCAAGCTAAATGACTAAAACAGATCCACACCTACTTCTGCTGACTCTGTTCTTTATCATTTAGTAAAATACCTACCTGTTGTAGATTCTGGTTGGTAGCTTGTCTGTTGCTGATGACTAGGGACTTCCTACATTATTAAATTTCTTTTCAGGGCATAGGTTAGTAACTTGGGATCACTAGATGATGAAGCCAAAATGTCAGAGGACTGTAGAGAGGATTCTTTCTCCCAAACAGAGATATATTCCATATTGAACTTCATTCTGCATATGAATTCCCAAAGCCCAACTAGGCTTTCCCTCTCTTCAGCCTGTTTTGAAAGAATAAAATATATGGCATGTAACACTTTTAACTTGGAAATTTCAAAGTCTTTGCTGACTCTATTACATCCTTTTATTACCTACTTCTATAGACATGCAATGATATTTGAATTGAAATGTTATGTTTTTCAGATTTTACTTTATAAACACTTTGAAAACATTTTAAATTTAATCATTTTGGTACATTAGAACATAGTATTCTGGCCGGGCGCAGTGGTTCACGCCTGTAATCCCAGTGCTTTGGGAGGCTGAGGCAGGTGGATCACGAGGTCAGGAGTTCAAGACCAGCCTGGGCAAGATGGTGAAACTCTGTCTCTACTAAAAATACAAAAATTAGCCAGGCGTGGTCGTGGGCGCCTATAATCCAAGCTACTGGGGAGGCTGAGGCAAAGAGTTGCTTGAACCCAGCAGGCAGAGGTTGCAGTGAGCCAAGTTCACGCCACTGCACTCTAGCCTGGATGACAGAGTGAGACTCCATCTCAAAAAGCAAACAAACAAACAAAAAACATAAAACATAGTATTCTGATGTTGAAGAGAAGACTTCATTATAATGTAGGCAGTGAAGGCACTTGCACCATATGGCTTTCTGAGTCTACGAAAACGTCTAGCAATTTAATCCTATGTATTTGGTTAAAGGAGTATCTAAGTAACTAACTGCATGAGGTAACTTTCCCCCCCTGCTATAGACTGTCAAAACAGCCTGAGCCTTCTCACCACTCTAATATTACACTTGGCTGCAAATTACCTCCTTAATGCTTTTTATAACTCCTTATGCCAAAAGTACCATGGATAGCAGGCTGTGTCTGTCTCATGTACGTATAATGCCTGGCATGAGTAGGTACACACACAAAAAACTATGTTGAGTGGATATCTATAAAGAATCAAGTATTCCAATTGGACATTAAGATGTTTATTCCATTATTTAGCAAATTTTAATAAATCCCTATAATATCTTGCTCATGGAGCTAGATTCTGGAGATTCAAAGAAAGTGAGACCCAATTTCTGATTTCAAAGAGATTAAGAGTCAATTTAAATTTGGTTAATACTGCAATAATTATTTTAAGATGATTTTTGGAAGCAAAGACCAATAAATATCACCCATAAATTGGCTCGTCTTGGGAATTTTTGCAGTTTTAGAGCCTGTCCATAGTGTTATAAATGTTATGTGGTAGAGACCTTTAGAATTCTCTACCACACCTGGTTATCATCACTGTCATCTAAACGTTAGAGGGCTTTATAAGGTTCAGGCTCTATTTAGCCTTGTTGAATGTCAATATACGTAAAAATAATGAGGTTTTCATATTCATTTAAAGCAAAATAAGCAGTGGAATAAATGCTTAAAGAGTTATTTTCTTATTAACTTCTAGCAACAGTTTTAAAAGTTCATTTTTTCAAATGACACAAAACTACAGTGGGTTAACATGCATTCATTTTATAGACAAGCAATAAAATTGAGTAAAATTAAGTGGTTATATATAAGCACTACAATGAAAGGAGAGTGGTGCTGCCATATGGTAAAAAAGAACTACTTCTTTACATAACTCTGCCATGATCAGAGAAGAGCTTTTGGCCTTTGTTTATTGCTGAGACATTCATGAGAGTATACAGAAATTGCCCTAATTAATGTAAAGACCTTAATGGTAAATTTTGGACTGTGTATTGCTTTATGTGTTGAGTACCAGTAGGAGCTTGATCCATGCTTTTAACTTGACTTTTAATTTAAAAAATCTAGACCACCAACAAAGGTCTGAAAACCTCACTGCAGGAGACAATGATAAGTTACTCTTTTTAGTGTTACAATGTTGTAATAGGTTTATCAAGGCCAAGTTTACAAGAAAGGGACGCTTAAGAATACACAGCAAAATTTCAAAACAGGAAAGATTTTAATAGAAGTACAGAGTCAGAAGACATCTGAAACATCATTGTGGTTGCTCACATCATTTTACATCCCATATAATGATTAAAAGAGTTTCTATAACTTGTCAGCCTCATTTAGTGAGTTGTAGACAAAGGCAGAACAAAATCACAATTCCTAGTTCATGATTCTCTCCAATATTGGAAGCTGATTATAGAATATTCTCCCCGCTCTTGATGCATTCTGAGAACTGAGAATTTTTAAATAATATGCAATTTACATTCATAGAGCCCCTGCTTCAAAGAACAAGTTCAGGGGAGGGGATATTTATACAAAGGAAAATAAATATTCAAGCTCTTATATAGCCAATTTAATATTTTTGTACTGAAAAAGAAATTTCAATATTTGTGAATAAAAGAAACTCTCTTCTTTACATCCATCAAGAATTTCATTAAATATTCCTTATTGCTTGTGAAATAAATTTGTCACTTCAATTCTAGCAGCGTCCTCAGTTTTCTTTGCCTTTCCCTCTCCATACTATTTTCTGTACAATCATCCATTTCCATTGGCTTCAATTATCATCAATATGATGATAGCTCTTTCCATGTATATTTCTGTTCCCCCATTTTTGCTTTTGTGTTCCAAAATCAAGTGGATTATGCTCCTCTATGTAGGATACCTACAAGCACCTAAAGTTGAACATGTTAGAAATCGATCACATTCTCAACTGCTTTCAAAGTTCCGTTCTCCTGGCATTTTCCACCCCTTTGGACGGCATCAGCTTGCACTTCTGCTACTGCCTCATGCTTTACATCCTTTCCTGTTAATGGTAGCCCTAAAAAGTTCTCAGAGTTCTTCTCTGCTTTTCACTTCCACCACCCCTTCATGACTCCCACCTGACTTCTGAATTTACTTCCCATTTTTCACAACTTTTCATTCTTTTTTGTACCAAGATTGGAGCTAGGATGATCATGCCATGCCGATTATACAAGGGTTAGTCTAGTCCCTAAGGTTGTCAAAAGGCCTTCCCCAGGTTGGACCTTGGACTTTCTCACTGGCCCCATCTCACATCTCACATCAATGACTCCAGACTTTAAGCATTCTGTGTCTCAGCCATTGTAACATTTTTTCAACAATTTCTAAATGCACTTGGCCCTTTTATGCTCCGAGAATGCTCGATATGATATGTTTCTTGTTTTATGTGATGGAATTATATCTCTCCTGTAAGATTTGTGATATTTTTTCTTTGTAAAGCCTCTATTAAATCTCCAAGATAACTAATGGAGCTGCTTTCTCCCTTTTTATGGTCCTGTAGCAATCTGTTTATGTATCTATTGTGACACTCATCACATTACACTCTAACAAACTATTTGTGTGCCTAGTTTTCCCAAATACTGGGAGGTCCTTTAGGGCAAGAATTGTATCATATTCCTCTTTGCAAACAATCAAACCAGAAACAAGCACAGTGCTTAGGGACCAGCTAGCTTTTGGAATATATCTGCTGAATAAAGGAATAATGATGAATGAGTTAATGCATGGATGAAGGCAGCAGTGATGAGTGAATCAAATGTGGCCCCTTGGTTTCCTATCTTGGGAACCAAGTGCAATGGGAAATTAATAGAAAATATACCTAAGGCTGACAATGTAGACATAACTATATAAAGGATATAATATCAAGAAATTACAAGAACCATTGCTTACAAATACCTTCCTGTGAGCTCAATGATGCTCGTAATTCTTTAAAGTAGGAAAAATATTTTTATTATATAATTAAAGAAGTTAAACTAATTAATACCTCAGTTACCAACTTATAATGCAATTTGGAATCAGAGGTCAATGTCATTGAAGCTAATTTCTGCTCTTTATGGAACAATAGTAGAGATCCAGGCTACCTGAGTTTAAGACCCAACTCATCAATGTGCTAGTTTTGCAAATGCATAGATTTCCTTATGTCTTGGCTTTTTCATCTGCAAAACAGGGGCTATAATAATAGGACTATTATCTTAGGAGTGTTGTAATGACAAAACTCAGTAAGTTAATATAGGTGTAATGCTTAGAAGAATGCCTTGAACTAAGATAATTTAAAAAAAAGTCTCAATAATTTATGACTGACATCAGTACTTCTCTGGAGGGAAAAGTATAATAGCAGTTGGGGTGAAGTTTACCAGAGGGTAGGATGGGATGCTACAGATGGAGGAAAAGGTCAAGAAAGATAGGACTCGGACTGTTAAATGCAGTCACTTTCCCCTGAAGTGTATTTTGAGCCTTTACCCAAATAGTAATTTGGCACAGCAACTGTTATATCATTGCTTTGTGAGATAATAGTTTGATGCTTTTTATAATAAGAAGACTAGATATTGATGGAAAATGCCTGAGTCCGTTTTAAAGTAACTTGAATTTTCCAGAGAAAAAAAAATATTGAGTAACAAATTTTAAGACATTCTTTCATGATTGCAAAAACAACAAAATAGCCCCTGTTAAAACAACAACAACAACAAAACCCGGTAAGAACATCAATCTATTAGCATATTGTGGAAAAAGGAAAATAATCCCTCACCTAAGGAGCATAATGCTATGCTCAGCTCTTTACTTTAAAATATATAGGTATCCAAATAAAGCAGAGGGAAGAAAATAAAAGTAGATAGATAATATTGGAATTGAACAGTAAACTCAGGCACTTTGCAGCTGACTGGGCTAATTATGGTAACGTGGATTCTAGAGCTATAAAATAACTTGTCAATTATTATTACTTTTCCACCATTCTCATTTACACAAATGAAGAAACAAGACATAGCCCCCAACACCCAGATAAAAAGGCCAGAATAGTTGTCACGAAGTTCATGTCTTAAGTTAGTGTTTATCACACATAGAAAATCCTTTCAGAGAACAAATTGCTTTAACTTTAGATCCTTGTTATTAACACAATTGGGACTTGTTTGCTGTCTTCTCATCCCATGAGAGGTAGATTAACATGAAATTATACCACAAGTTGGTGAAAATATATAAATAGAATCCATATAATATTTATTAAATGTATAATATTCCATAAACTTATATGCAATATGATATATATTAAATATAAAAATCTGAAATATATAAATGTAAAATATAACAAATTAATTCAAGAAAAAAACAAAAAATATTCTACAAAAATAAAAATACAAGACACATAGCAGTCTTTAAAACAGGATATTTGAACTAGCACCTCTAGCTCCAGAAGGGTAGTATAATACTATTTATTTTAGAGAATAATACGATAATGGATATTCACACTTATAAACTTAACACTGCATGAAAAGTTCAAATTATAAAGAAAAAAGTCAACATATTTAAGAAAGACTACTTTTCATTGTAAAGTTTTTTTATTGTCTATGTAAGTTTTTGTTTCTGTTATTTGTATTGTCTGCTCCCCAGATAAGCTTTTTTAAAAGGGAGAAGTGTAGATGGTTAAAGGAAAAATTCCATCTGGTATCAAAGTCACACTGGCAGTACTTTCAAATAACTATTTGCATAAAGGAGAATATCAACATTGTGATTTCACCTCTTACAGGTCTCAAGTACACTTGACTTAGATTCACTAGCAGTATGTGAGAGAGTGAAACAAGCAAGACCTTTCTCCTCTTTTTCTATACCTTTCAATAATAAATTATAACATGGCTTTGTCTGTATTCTTCTTTAGTTTTATTAGTGCTATTTTGGATCGCAAGAGTTTCATCCACCCTACCAGCTCCCCCCACCCCCACCCCTTTGCCTTTTCTTTCTTCACCATTGTTCTTCTCAACTACAAGACCATCTGTTCACTTGGCAGATGTAAGTCAGTTTCATAATTGTTGTCATTCTTAGCATAGTGCAAACCCCGCACAATCCAGAGGACGAGAAGTACTACATTCATGAGTTAGCCAAATGTATATTGTTGTCGAAATTACTTGTCAAAACGTCAAAGGGAACAATATTTGATTTTCAAAGCACAGCAGACATGTATCCAGATTACAATATGAGGGCTCTATTATGTTGTTACTTATGCAACGCATCATTCAGATTTTGACTAAAGTAAATGGCATGAGCTCTTGCAGCCTTTGATTTCTATTGTGTAAAAGGAAGATAGGAGTTAGTTACAAATTCCTTTGTTCAAGGAGTGAATTGAAAGGTTTTCTGAAGTATATCAAATACATGAATTTGGAAGACAGAAATCCCTGGTATGAATGCACCTCACTTTTAAACAGCCCTAATATATGATCATTGGAATTTAAACATAAGATATATTAAAATAGGGAATTAGAGGATTTTCAAGACCAAAGACAATGAGACATTAAGTCGGTTTTCTCATTGCTGCTGTAACAAATTGCCACAAATTTAGTGGCTAAAAACTACACAAATGTATCACTTTACATTTCTATAAGTCAGAGGTCCAATACAGGTCACATTGGACTCAAATCAAAATGTTGATAAGGCTGCATTCCATTCTGGAGGCTCTAGCAGATAATTCATTTTCTTGCTTGTTCCAGCTTGTAGAAACAGTGCCCATTCCTTGACTGTAGCCTCCGTCCTCTATCTTCAAATCGTGTAACTTTCTGATCATTCTTCCATGGTCACATCGACCTTTGTAACAACAGCCAGGACAGGTTCTCTGCTTTTAACAAATTATGTAGGTCGGGTGTGGTGCCTCACACTGTAATCCCAGCACTTTGGGAGGCCGAGGCAGGCGGATCACGAGGTCAGGAGATCGAGACCATCCTGGCTAATTATGGCGAAACCTGTCTCTACTAAAAATACAAAAATCGGCTGGACGTAGTGGCATGTGCCTGTAGTCCCAGCTACTCGGGAGGCTGAGGCAGGAGAATTGCTTGAACCTAGGAGGCAGAGGTTGCAGTGAGCCGAGATCACGCCACTGCACTCCAGCCTGGTGACAGAGTGAGACTCCATCTAAAAAAAAAAAAATCATGTAATTAGTTTGGGACCATCTGGATAATGCAGGATAATATCCCCAGTTCAAGATCCTTAACCTTAATTGCATCTGCAAAGTCCCTTTTTCCCATAAGGGAACATAGTCACAGGTTTCAGGGATTAGGAAAGGGACATCTTTGGGGCTATTATACTTCCTACCACAGAAATCATCCATCTCAAGTTCCTGTTTTACAATTAATAAGTGAGAGACATAAAATCATTTATATCAGTTCAAAGTCAAACAAATAGTGGCACATTAAGACTATAACCACAAAACTCCAGTTCCCTGCTCTTGTAAATAAAATATACCACTTATTTTCATCATTTTACATCACTCTCTTATGTTAAGGAAATGAACCAGAGTTCCTCTAAACAGTTGTTTGTGCTTTGCAGCTCAAATAGCAGACTGAAACTATTATTTGATGATACAAGTCAGTTATACACAGAACTTTTCAACAATGCATATACCACCCAGAGTTAGAAAGAGTAGGTGTTTAATTAACATAGTATAGTTGATGACAAAGATGATGATGATGCCAATCACAACACATTCCTGAAGGCTTTATAAACTGCTTTTAATTACCAACTGATTTATGAAGTAATCTGAGCATACATACATTGAAGACAGATGAGTAAGAAACCAACCAATTAGGATGTCTATTCATGTGAACCTTCACCAAACACTTATTAAGTGGTGACTCTAGGCTAGATGCTGGAGATAAAAGATAAATGGGGCATGGAATCTGCCCTGAATCAACTCACGGTGTAGTTGGCAAAACATATATACACATATATGTAAATTACCATATATTATGTCTTCTCATGTGCAAGAAAAGAAAATAAAGGAGGAAGCTGCTATCACTAGAAGGAGTATCAAGGCAAGATTACATAAAGAAGGTAGCATTTGAGATTGATTTTGAAGGATAATTAGGGTTTTGAATATTCAGATAAATGGTAATAAACTTTATTTTTTCAGGAACCATAAAATGGTATCAGGTTAATCAAATTGAAAAAAATCTAGCAAAATTAGCTCCTAGGAAATTTATATGCCAAATTATCATTTTTCTTCTCAAAATTTTCTTCTGCATTAAAAAATGTCAGCCTGAAGACAGACAACAAAACACCTCACAACCGGGCCAAAGGATTGCTTTCCATGGTGAGAAGTCAAGCTCTGGACCTAAGTGTGTGGTGTCTTCACACTAAGTGCTTCAGGGATGCAAGCCCTCGCACCTACAACTTGCAGTCATATAAAATAGAAGCTTCAGCTCTGGAGAGTTTCCAAACAGATGCCCCTTAATAAAATGTTGACATTTTCAAGAACTGCTAAGCCATATCACAAGTAAGCACTTTAATTTGGGAATATTAAATTAACAGTAATCTAATTTTAGACATGCCAGAAAATGACTGATTTTCTTAAAGCAGATAAAGCCCACGTTTCTCTACAGAAATTCATGGTGAGCTTAAATTCCATAAATCTCTTGTCTTTGGCACTATTCATAGCTTTCCATTAGAACCAAACTTACAAGCAAGGTAAATTCAAATCGAGGGTCCTAGAATTATTTTATTGTGAACTAAGTTTCCTTCCAACTTTCTGACCTCAAGTGGGAGGCATAAAGGGCCTGAATTGTGGCGTATTACTGGAATTAGAGTCAAGGCATCAACAATGACATCTGTATACGAAGTGAGCCATAATTCCATGACCTGTAGAGCTGAAATTTTCTAATGTGTTATCCAGATAGTCATCAGAACAAAGTAAGGCAAGCTTTATATTTGCTGCTGCAATGATTGCTGTGCAAGACCAACTCTTTGTAACTTGAATCTGTCCATGTGTTTACCTTTGGGCAATACGGACCGCACTTCACTCTTTCATCACAGCAACAACCTTTAAATTATACCTCGTGGACTTATTTATTCACAATATACCCTAAGTATTATGTCCTCAGTGTGTGTGTGTGTGTGTGTGTGTGTGTGTGTGTGTGTGTGTGTCCTACGTGAGAATACTCAGATGATAAATCCTTTATATTAAGATTTTCTTTGCATTGTTTTTAAACCAAAAGATATTCTAATCCTTTATTCTCAAAAACTTCCCCAAATCTGCCCCTTCTTAAAATTATCGGTCATCTTTTAAATCTTCTTAAAATCCTTCATTCCTGCACACGGAATCCAAAGCATTTATATTATATTAAATAAATATATTTTGAAATGTATACATTGAATGTAAAAAAGGGAAAATATTCCCTTGAAATTTGGTCTTACAAGATGTAATAGCTGATTATATGTATTACTTTGGATTGAAAGAATTGTGAGAACTTTTAGTATGAATGAATTTTGGAGCCTATATAAAATTTATGTTAATATGTTCAAAAAATACATACCTTAAATTTTAAATACAATATAGCTAACATTAGCTGGCATTTCACATTTTATACAATTACACATTTAACTGGATGAACCATTGTATTTTATAATTTAAGTGGATAAACCATTCTATTTTAAAATCTATATAGGAAAGAATATACATATATATGCACACAATATGTGTGTGTATATATACACATACACACAAATATCTATAACTTTTAAAAGGCGATGCACATATTTCCTGTTTTAATTGAACATGTTAAGTGTATAGAGTAAAAATGCAAATAATCTTAATCATTATATGTGTTAAGAAAACAAATATGTGTGCATGCATATATTTATACTTTAGAGAATTGGCTTTTTCACCTACACACACAGAGAGATAGATCAAGCGAGAGAGGTGTATGACTTGAAGAAGAGACACGATGATGTAACTGAAAAGCATGAAGCTAGAAGATTCATGGAAACCTGAGTTCCAATTCTGATGCTTCTGTGTACTGGCTATTTGGTCAAGGCAAGTCAAAATGGAGCTGGACTTGAGTCTCTACTTTGCAAGATGAGTGGATTGAGTTAGGTGATATCAAGCATTTTCTCTAATTCTTATACATATTATAATTCTAAAACATTTCCATGATTATTACTCTTAAATACTTTACTTGTAGAAGATTCTATGTAGGAGTGGGTATTTTGGTTTTCAGAGCTGAATTGTTTTCTCATTGAAGCACTATCTTCAGATTTTAACATCTACACTTTATCATTGGGCCTGTTAGTAGAAAAATACATTCATGGGAATTTTTCATGAATAGGTGAATGCGGTGAAATATTTTTTTGTTGTTGTTATAACAACCAAAAGGATTGGCAGGATAGGCTGCCATCATTTTATGAAAATCTTAAATGCTTTTGAGAAAGTTTTGTAAGAAACAAAATGTGTATGTTTGGGGAATCCCATTCATTGCTTGAGTGTCTTTTTCTCAGGTTTACAGAATTCTATTGATTTGAGGAATATTCAATAAATAATAATATGGCTGTTAACTAAGACTTTATGAAAAATTTTAAGTAACAGTATTTCAATGTGTATTCACATCTCTAGCAAGTACTTATTAAGCTACTGTGTGCCAAGCACTTTTTTATGCTCTGAAGAAGTAAAGAAAAGAGTCCCTACTCTCCAAGAGAGATGAGTAGAGAGTATGGCAGGTGATAAAAAAGCATTATAGAGAAAATTAAAAGTAGAATAAGGTAATAGCAAAATGATACAGTGGTGTTATTATACACAGGGTGCCTAGAGCAGCTCTCTCAGGAACGTTGAGCACAAGACTGAATGAAGTGAGGGAAGAAGCCATGCTAAAGGAACAGAAAAAACAAACGTTTTAGGGAAGAGCAAACACGGTGCTTCTGTTGGACAGCAATCAAAGTAGGAGGGCTAGAACGGTGTAAGTGAGGAGAAAAGTGGTAGAAGATCAGGGCAGAAAAGTAGCTGAAGATGCTCCCATGTAGATCCTGATGGTTTTGTTCTCAGTGTGATTGGAAGTGAGATGGAGCAGGGACCCTTTATTTTAGGGGCATGCAGCCCTCAAGCATGAAAATAAAGGAAAACCTTGGATTCCTTCAGAAGAAATTCTTGAATTCCTTCAAAGGAAATTCCAGGCGTCTACCTATCCCAGAGATAAGCAAGAAAGTAACAGTACCCTAAAACAATAGCCAAGCACGTTAAGAGTCAAGAGATGTTTGGTTCCCTATAGAAACTAAAAGTGACAACTTAAAATATGTCCCTGAGTTGTTTTTCAGAAACCCAGATCCTCACTGAATAGATCCACTGGCCCATAGACCTCAGTTAAGAGGGAACTGAAGACTGAACTTATGCTGCCACCATTCTTTTTTTTCTAAATTTCTTCCTATGGGGCCTTGAGGGAGTCACACTCATGAGCCAGAGATAACATTCTTTTCTGCTGACCCACAATTTTTAAACAAAGCTTCTCTTCCCAGCCAATAGCTAATCAGAAATTCTTTGAATCTATCCACAACATGTAAGCCCCTCGCTTCAAGATATCCAACCCTTTAAACCAAAGCCAATGTGTAACTTCCATGTATTGCTTTACAATTTTGCATATAACTTCTGATTTCCTGAAATTTACCCCTGCCTTTAAAAACCCTTACCTGCAAACCCTCAGAGATCTCTGGACTTAAGCATTAGCAACCTGGCCTTTCTTGCTTGGTGCCCTGCAAATAAATGCTTTCCTTTCTATTGCTACAAAACCTTGGTGTGGAATCTGGTCTTACTGTGCTGGGCAAGTGACCCAGGTTAAATTATATATAACAGAAGTTACCGATGAGTTTGAAACAGAATTGTGACATGATCTGACTTACATTTTAAAGGGAATTATCTGGTTTCTCTGTGCAATAGACTATAGAATGGCAAGAGAGTAAGCAGAGAGATCATAAGGGAGCCTCTGCAATTATTCAAGTGAGATATGAAGATGCCTCCTCCATCAGTATTAGTTGGAAAACTGGTTAGATGGAAAGTTTATTCCTGCAATTTTTCTTTTTTTTTTTCCTTTCTCCATAGGTTATTCGGGGGTACAGATGGTGCTTGGTTGCATGAGTAAGTTCTTTAGTGGTGATTTGTGAAATTTTGGTGCACCTATCACCCACGCAGTACACATTACACCCTATTTTTAGTCTTCCATCCCTTGCCCCTCTCCCACCCTTCCCCCCAAGTCCCCAAAGTCCATTGTATCATTCTTATGCCTTTGCATCCTCATAGCTTAGCTCGCACATATCAGAGAGAACATATGATGTTTGATTTTCCATCCCTGAGTTACTTTACTTAGAATAATAGTCTGCAAAATCATCCAGGTAGCTGCTTATGCCATTAATCCATTCCTTTTTATGGCTGAGTAGTATTCTATTATATCACACTTTCTTTATCCACTCATTGATTGATGCCATTTGGGTTGGTTCTGCGATTTTGCAATTTCAAATTGTGCTGCTATAAACATGAGTGTGCAAGTATCTTTTTTGTATAATGACTTATTTTCCTCTGGGTAGATACCCAGGAGTGGGATTGCTGGATCAAATGGTAACTCTACTTTCAGTTCTTTAAGGAATGTCCACACTGTTTTCCATAGTGGTGTGCTAGTTTACCTTCCCACCAGCAATGTAGAATTGTTCCCTGATCACTGCATTCATGCCAACATCTATTTTTTGTTTTTTTTTTATTATGGTCATTCTTACAGGAGTAAGATGGTATCACATTATGGTTTTGATTTGCATTTCCCTGATCATTAGTGATATTAGCACTTTTTCATATGTTTCTTGGCCATTTGTATTTCTTCTTTTGAGAATTGTCTATTCATGTCCTTAGCCCACATTTTGATGGGATGTTTGTTTTTTCTTGCTGATTTGTTTGCGTTTGTTGTAGATTCTGGAAAGTAGTCCTTTGTCAGATGTATACATTGTGAAGACTTTCTCCCACTCTGTGGGTTATCTGTTTACTCTGCTGACTGTTATTTTGCCATGCAAAAGCTCTTTAGTTTAATTAAGTCCCAGCTATTTATCTTTGTTTTTATTTTGGGTTCTTGGTCATAAAATCCTTGTCTAAGCAAATATCTACAAGGGTTTTTCCAATGTTATCTTCTAGAATTTTTATAGTTTAATGTCTTAGGTTTAAGTCCTTAATCCATCTTGAGTTGATTTTTGTATAAGCTGAGAGGTTAGGACCCAGATTTATTCTCCGACATGTGGCTAGTCAATGTCCCAGAACCATTTGTTGAAAAGAGTGTCCTTTCCTTTATGTTTTTGCTTGCTTTGTCAAAGATTAGTTCACTGTATTTGGCTTTATTTCTGGGTTCTCTATTCTGTTACATTGGTCTATGTACCTATTTTTACACCAGTACCACGCTGTTTTGGTGACTATGGCCTTACAGTATAGTTTGAAATCAGGTAATGTGATGCCTCCAGATTTGTTCTTTTTGCTTAATCTTGCTTTGGCTATGCGGGCTTTTTTGTTTGTTTGTTTTTTGATTCCACATGAGTTTTAGAATTGTTTTTTCTAAATCTGTGAAGAATAATGGTGGTATTTGGATGGGGATTACACTGAATTTGTAGATTGCTTTTGGCAGTATGGTTATTTTTCACAATACTGATTCTACCCATCCATGAGCATGGGATGTGTTTCCATTTCCTTGTGTCAATTATGATTTTTTTCAGGAGTGTTTTTTAGTTTTCCTTGTAGAGTTCTTTCACCTCCTTGGTTGGGTATATTCCTGAGTATTTTATTTTTATTTTTTTGCAGCTATTGTAAAAGGGGCTGAGTTCTTGATTTGATTCTCCATTTGGTCATTGTTGGTGTATGGAAGAGCTACTGATTTGTGTACATTAATTTTGCATCTGGGAACTTTGCTGAATTCTTTTATCAGTTCTAGGATCTTTCTGGAGAAGTCTTTAGGGTTTGTGAGGTAAACAATCATATCATCAACAAGCAGTGAGAGTTTGACTTCCTCTTTAGGATTTGGATGTCCTTTATTTCTTTCTGCTATGTGATTGCTCTGGTTTGGACTTCCAGTATTATGTTGAAGAGGAGTGGTGAGACCGGACATCCTTGTCTTATTCCAGTTCTCAGAGTGAATGCTTTCAACTTTTCCCCATTCAGTATTATGTTGGCTGAAGGTTTGTCATAGATGGCTTTTATTACATTGAGTTATTTCCCTTGTATGCTGATTAACCAAGAAAAACAGAGAGAAAATCCAAATAACCTCATTAAGAAACAAAACAGGAGATATTACAACTGACACCACAGAAATACAAAAGATCATTCAGGGCTGTTATGAACATCTTTATGCACATAAACTAGAAAACCTAGAAGAGATGAATAAATTCCTGGAAAAATACAACCCTCCTAGCTTAAATCAGGAAGAATTAGATGCCCTGAACAGACCAAAAACAAGCAGCAAGATTGAAATGGTAATTAAAAAATTATCAACAAAAAGGTTCAGAATCAGACAGATTTACAGCAGAATTCTACCAGACATTCAAAGAGGAGTTGGTACCAATCCTACTGACACTATTCCACAAGATAGAGAAAGAGGGAACCTTCCCTAATTTATTCTCTGAAGCCAGCATCACTCTAATACCAAAACCAGAAACCACATAAGCAAAAAAGAAAACTACAGACCGATATCCCTGATGAACATAGATGCTAATATCCTTAACAAAATACTAGCTAACCGAATCCAACAACGTATCAAAAAGATAATCCACCATGATCAAGTGGGTTGCATATTAGGGATGTATGGATGGTTTAACATACGCAAGTCAATAAATGTGATATACCACATAAACAGAATTAAAAACAAAAATCACATGATAATCTGAATAGATGCAGAAAAAAAAATTAGACAAAATCCAGCATCCCTTTATGGTTAAAACTCCCTGAAGTTTTTCAAAATGGAGATTGCAGACCTTTCTGTTCTGGGGTGAAATGATCATGAAGTTAAATCTCTGTGTCCAAGAAAAGTTGTAAAACTTCTGGAATTTTGATCAACACAATATGATTCTTGATTATCACAAAGATCTTGAACATTTTTAGATGTAAATTATTACAATCATTAGGATAGGAATTATTTTTAAAAATTCCTGCCTGCAGTCCATTAAATGTCACACACTTTAAATTAACTTCCTTACTTTAAATATTTGTACCAAATGATTATTCCTTAGCAACCATACATATTGATTTATTTATTACATTTAGTAATATGCTTATTAGAAAAATTGTGTCTTAAAAACTACTGCAACTGATATATGTTTCTAGATAACATGTTCAGATATAACAGTCAATTTTTTTTTTTGAAAAATTAAGGTTAACCAGCTATTATCGTAATGCTCAAACCCTAAAATATGGCTAATATGTATTTATATAAGTAAAATAACATCCAGACATGTATACTTTTAAGATATTAAGTAAGTCTCTAATAACTTCATATATTTAAAATCCCCTTTAGAGTCTAGTGAAGTATTTTTTACATTTAGTTTCTGGACCATATGTACAATCACTTCAAAAATCTTTTGGTGACATAATTTTTTTTCGGTTTGAGTATTGGTTGCTAAGGTAACGTGCTTTTTTTCTTTTTTTTCCCCTCTGCTAACAACTGACTACATTGGGTATGTAACATGAGTCTCCTGGGCACTTAGAACCTGATCACCCCCACTCTCATTTGCTGGACCTTCTTTGTATCCAATGTCTAATTTTCAGATTTCTGCCCTTGTGTCAGCTAACCCAAGTCCTCTTGCTAACTGTATATGTATACCCTTGTTCTCACTGAATAAGGACTTGATTGTGCATTGATTAAAGTGGCTTATTTTACCATTAAAGCAAATTACACAGAAATGGCATTTCCTATCAAACAAAGAAAAATAATACCATAATAACACAAACTTGACACTTCCCTAATCCTTTAATCTGACAATCTCAGCACACTTAACAAATAGTAATTAATTAACCCTTACAACATTCCTGTCAGGAAAGCTGATTACACCCATTTCACCAACAAAATGCCAAGGGGTAACATAACTTGGGCAAGATTACACAGTCTGCTTGTGAACAGACCGGAGACTAACTCAGCAGCTGTGACCCAGGCTCCCAGCCAGTCAGCAAGCAGTCAACAAGTACTAATCAGGAGAACATATTGTTTCTGCTTACACCACAAACATTCCCATTTTGTAAGAAACCCCTGCATGGCCATTCAGACAAAGGTGTTACTATATTCAGTCATCATTCTCATTGAAGGTTATCACCGAGAGGAAAGTAACTTGAAAATTTCGAAGTGCATCTTGTTGAGGGTACTGATGCGATTAAAAGAAGAAGAAGCAGCAGAAGAAGAAGGAGGAGGAGGAGGAGGAGGAGGAGAAGGAGGAGAAGGAGGAGAAGAAGGAGGAGAAGGAGGAGGAGAAGAAGGAGGAGCAGAAGAAGAAGGAGGAGGAGGAGGAAGAGGAAGAAGGAGAAGGAGGAGGAGGAGGAGGAAGAGGAAGAAGAAGAAGAAGAGGAAGAGGAAGAAGATGAAGAAGAAGAAGAAGAAGAGGAAGAAGAAGAAGAAAGAGAAGAAAGGAGAAGAAGAAGAAGAAAACCCTGTTAAATGTTAACTAGTAAAATATGACCAAGGAAGAGATTTGACTTGATGGGGGAATGCTGGTGCCTTAGGGTGCCGTCTGGATGGGTTACAAATTGTAGTAGTCAATGAATTCAATGGCTTTTTATTTTCCTGATAAATTTACATGCATGTCTCTTAATTTCAAGAAGATAAAACTTTTTTTTTTTTTTTTTTTTTTTTTTTTTTTTTATGATTTGCCAGCCTGTGAAGAAGACATAAAGCCATTTGGGAATATTGCTGGGTATATCCATCCAGTTAGGAAGTTCTTTCTTTTTTCTGTAAACAGTAAGACTGTTCCCAGTAACATGGCCTCGTCAAAAACTGTTAAATTAGATCCCATAGTGTTTGTGGGGATGGTAAACGTCACACTGACATGGTACTTAGTAAGTCTGTAATCACAAAACTGCAGTCAGTTTCTGACATGAAGGGCAGAAACCCCACATCATTTCCCTTCTCATGCTGTTCCAGAATATATAAACAAATCAAGCCCCTCTTTAAAAGTTAGATTTTTTCAGAAGTGTCTTTAATAAGATTTTGATTTTTAGCAATATTTCATATGGCATTCCCTGCCTGAGACTCCATGCTTATTTTGGCTGCAAATGGTCAACATCTGATGTGCATTTAGGCCATTATCTTAAACACATAATAGAGAAATATAATCAAACACTGCCATTCTTCTTCTTGACCACAGCTCCCTGTATTTCTACTTATCCTTCTGCTTTGACCTGAATGAGTTAGCTTTTCTACCTCTATAAAGATTTCAATTCTCACCAGGCATGGTGGCTCATGTCTGTAATCCCAGCACTTTGGGAGGCCAAGGCAGGCGGATTTGCCTGAGGTCAGAGTTCCAGACCAGCCTGACTAACACGGTGAAACCTTGTCTCTACTAAAAATACAAAAATTGGCCGGGCGTGGTGGCGGGTGCCTGTAATCCCAGCTACTCAGGAGGCTGAGGCAGGACAATCACTTGAACCCGGGAGGTGGAGGTTGCAGTGAGCTGAGACTGGACCATTGCCCTCCAGCCTGGGCAACAAGAGCGAAACTCCATCTAAAAAAAAAAAAAAAAGAAAAAGAAAGAAAAAAAAGATTTTAATTCTCATGGTAATTTCTGATTTTCCAAGTTCATCAGCCCCTTTTGGGGGCCATGCACACCTTCAGACCACCAGAATCCTAAGCCCAGCCATTTCAACAATGTTGTCTCCAGTATGCTACATTCTCTCATTCTCCTGGAGATACTGCTGCGGCTACTTT
This sequence comes from Homo sapiens, assembly GCF_000001405.40. Classification (NCBI taxonomy): domain Eukaryota; kingdom Metazoa; phylum Chordata; class Mammalia; order Primates; family Hominidae; genus Homo; species Homo sapiens. The sequence continues at coordinate 84,939,448 of NC_000014.9, forward strand.
TCCACTCTCCAACCTCAAGGAAACACTGTTATTTTCTGCGTTCTTTTCTCACCTCTTCACCTGTTCATTCTCTGATCTTTTCTGCTTTCTTTTCTCACGTCTTCACCTGTTCATTCTCTGATCTTTTCTGCATTCTTTTCTCACCTTTCCACTTGTTCGTTCTCTGATCTTTTCTGCATTCTTTTCTCACCTCTCCACCTGTTCATTCTCTGATCTTTCGTGAGGCATTTATTCATTGTCTTTTACATGTCAGACCCTGAATTGTGACACTCGGGGGATTTAGTGATGGATCTGCCATAGACTGCACACAGGAGGGCACACAATTCATACATGGCAGAGTGTTATAGAGCAGCAAGTATAGAATCCCTACATCCAAGTGACTCCACAGAGGCTATTCCAAATACTTTCCACTTGCTTGGATCCTTCCTCTGCTGGTTATGAATGCTTCCTACCTGTTGATACAAGCCACAGCCACAACGTTTCTTCTTTCTGTTTCATAATTTCTCATATTTATTCTTTGTTTTCCATGCCTCTGGTGCATCTGGTATAGCACCTTGTACATAGTAAGGTATAAATAAGTGGGAGCTGATGCCACCTTCTCAGTGAGATCTTTCCTAATAACACTGTTAGCACATCCCAACAATCCCAGTTTCACTCACCCAGTATTTTTTCCTTGCCAATTCTCCCCATGCAAGGTTCCAAACATTTGTTTTGCATATCACCTATATCCTCTGACTAGAATGAAAGTTTCACGAGGGCAGAAATTTTGGACTGATTTGTGCACTGTGTGTATGCATGATGCAGTCATAATTTAAGGAGAACTTGCTGCATAAACTCTGATCCTATTTCTACCTCTGACTTTGACTCAATCTTGCTATACAATTCTGAAACCTTAACACTTTTCACTGCCTGATAAGCGCACTTGCTAAATTGCCCTAAACTTAGAGAAAGCAGAGAATTTTTTTTAAAACAGAAAATCAAATAAGTATACAATAACTAATAAATAGAAGCTGTAAGATCAGATAATGATAAGTACAACCGTGAAAATGATTCAGGAGAAACAGATATGGAGGAATGAGTTTTGCTATTTTTCCTGAGGTCGTCAGAGCAAGCATCAATAAAGAGGTGATATTTTAGTAGTCTCAACAGATACAACTCAGTCTGTCACAAACTAATGTTCACACAAGTTAGCTGAGGCTCAGGCTGAGATAAAGTTTCTGATTCATTAGGTCTGAGGTGGGGCTGGAGAATCTGCATTTCTAACAGGCTTCCAGGTTATTCCCATACCTCTGCCTGTGGAACTGGGATCTGACTTACACATGAAAGAAAAATAGATTATGAAAAAATAGAAATAATGTTAACACAGTAGCTGAAATTCTTACTAGATGCATTGAAAAATGGAATATAACTTGAAGTCCATTTGAACAGAAATAGGCTATTTTAATTATTTAATGCCTGTTTATCCTAATAACCATTTGATCATATTTTTTAAATAACATGACTTTATTATTTATTTTTGGTTTATTATTGAAACCTTAAAAGTATAGATTAAAAAAACCAGAATAAACTATTTATAAATTCACCTTTTAGAGGCAACTTTTGGTTTATGTACTCCAGACTGTTTTTCTTACATCTTAGAATTATGGTACGTAGACTGTTGTGTAACTATCATTTAAAATGTAATATACCATGGACAATTTAATGTCAATAAACATTAATCTACATAAACTTCTTTACCATAGCAACTAACATCTTAATTACCCAATACATGCATGTTTATGATAGGAAAACAGAAAAAAGATAAATATAAAGAGCACACTAATTAGAATATCGCTATCCAAATATATAAGAATTGTAATCTACATATTCACATATTTCTAGATTTTTTCCATGCACATCTACCTAACTTAACTTTTAATTATAAAAAGAGAAACTTACTGTACATATGGTTCTCAAGTGTGCTTTTTAATTTCTAAAATATTATTGCCAAGAAAATGTTCCATTATATGAAAGTACTATTTTGATTCAAACTTTTATTTTTAGATATTCAGAGTGGTTCTGTTTTTTATAGACCCATCTTTGCATTTGTAATTTACTTCATTGCCTTGTTGATGGTACCTGTTTCTGTTTTTTCTCTCTCTTTTTTGAATTGATCATGAAAATTTGATAATATATTACATGGATACATTTTTCAACAATCACTGATTTTACTGTCAGGCACAAAATTTTCAAAGTTCTGAAATATATAAATGTTAGTTACATTTTTGTCTAGTGCTTTTAAGATTTAATTTTTTTGCATTTAAATTTTTATTCTATTAGAAATGTATTGTGGTATATGATGTGGGGAGAATTCTGGTTTTTCAAATAATTTATCCCTTCCACACTGATCTGAGGTGATCACCTGTATTATATTCATAATTTTACTAATAATTATTTGTTGTCTTAACTATATCTTCCCACCCATCAATCTTTATAATTCAATATGTAGTAGAGCAAATTTGCCAATGATTCTTTTTTCTGAAAATTATATTTTTATTTTATTTTATTTTATTTTATTTTATTTTATTTTATTTTATTTTATTTTATTTTTAGAGAGAAGGTCTCCCTTTGTGCCTCAGGTTGGAGTGCAATGGTATGGTCATAGCACACTGTAACCTCAAACTCCTGGGCTCAAGTGACCCTCCTGCCTAAGGTTCTCAAGTAGCTGGGGCTACAGGTGGCTGCCACCACACATAGGTAATTTTCTTTTTTAATTTTTTTGGTAGAGACAGGGCCTCCCTATATTGTCCAGGTTGGTCTTGAACTCCTGGCCTCAAGAAATCCTCCTGCCTTGACCTCTCAAAGTGCTGGGATCACAGGTGTGAGTCACTGTGCCCAGCCTGATTTCTTAAATATAAAAAAGTGAAAATAAGCTAAATTTATCCATTAATTTGAAAAAAGGGATATATTTTTACTATGATTTTTTAAATCCAGAAACATTGTTGATCGTTCTACTTATCCAACTCTTTTATTAAGGAGCACAGTTATATATTGCAATTTTATGTTTTTCATTTAGATTATTCCTAGCTGTTTATACTTTGGGTTGTTATTATGACCAACTTATTTTCTTTATCAATTTTTACTTTCTTCTGGCTGCTCTGTAGCAAGAGAATTTACTTTCTAAAATAAATTTTACAATCAGCTACCATTCAAATCTCTACAATATTTATCAGTTGGCTATTTCAGTTATTTTTAAGTTAGGCCATACAATTAACAAATTATGATAAATTTATTTTCTTCTTTGCAATTCTTATTCTCTAATTATATGAGATAGAAGCTCTAAGGTAATGCTGAAGAAGCTGGGGATAGCAGACATCCATATTTTATCCACGTCCCTGGTGGTAAAATGTAGTGTTCTGCCACTGAGCCAATGGTGGCTATTTGATTAAGACGAATAACCTTTATCATTTAAAAAACATTCCCCTGGCTGCAGAAATGAACAATTGAAATAAGTAAATAAAATACAAGGAATTTACTTTTATCATACATTTTTAAATTAAAATTCTAAATTAAATAAGAAATAATTTTTATATTTAATTACATTTTAGTACTAAGATGATACTTTTTCCTGTGATCTTTGTAATATAATAGATGATATTAATATACTTTACAGACATTAGACCACCTGACAATCCACAGAATAAATCCTATTTACTAAAATTTATTAACACTTAAAGTGTTAATATAGGTATTCACTAAATTACTGCATTTACTAAATTAGTGTTAATTCAATATTAGCCATATTAGATTGCTTAGATTGTTAATATATTTAATATATTTGTATTTATATTTATGTGAGGTTTTTTGTTTGCTTTATTATTTGATATCATTAAATTTATTTATATGGTTAATTGGTTAAAAGGCTTTTCTTTTTTTTCCCAAAACCTTAAACATCTCATGGGATATATCTCTTGAGTTTATTTAAAATAATCCATATTAGTTTCCTAAGGCTGCTGTAACAAATTATTACAAACGAAGTGGCTTAAGACAACAGTAATTTTTTTCGCTCATAGCTCTTGAGGCTTTAAGTCTGAAATCAGTGTTAGTAAGGTTATGATCCCTCTGAAGCCTCAAAGGAAGACTCCTTCCTTTTTTCTTCCTACCTTATTGTTGGCTCACAGCAGTCCTTGACATTCGTTCGGTAATACTCAAAACACTCTAATATCTGCCCATATCTTCACATGGCTTTCTTCTCTGTGAGCCCTCTTTTATAAGGGCACTAGTCATTGAACTCAGGGCCTCTCTTAATCCGGTATCTTCTCATCTTACCTAATCACATACGCAAAGGCACTATTTCCAAATAAACTTACATTCTGAGGTTCTACGTGGACGTGAATATTGGGGAAACACTCTTCAACCCGTTGTGTAGCTGATAAAATCTTACTGATCGGGCATCTTGTCTGTATACAGATGAAAATAATATTATTGAAAAGAAATTTAAAAGCACTTGGGGTCAATATATTTACTCTAGACCATCCATGTTTATTGTATTAGCCAATAAAGTAATTAATTTTAAAATAATGCAAAAGAATTGGCATGGCTTTAGTTTAGAATTCATTATACTGTCAAAAATGTAAAATTATTCAAACTGGTTTGTAAATGCCAATGGGACATAAGTCAAAAACATGTTAAAGTTGTGCTTAGAATTTGTTCATTTTATTTGCTCAGAATTTGATAAGGAAAAGAAGCTGTTATGGTATTCCAGATATAAGGGTGTTGATGTTAATTAGTGCTTACATATTCCCTTTAAGAGCTGAAGGAGTAAAGTCCAGGAAAACTATCACTGAAGGTCATAGGAGAATTGCCATCAATGGTCACAGGAGCTGGCACTAATAATTTCAGCCTGAAGCACCAAAGTGTGTGGTTCTCAAGAGCTTGCTGGAAGCCTCTGTGATTCTTTGCCTGCAAGCCTGGCTGTGATCACCTCAAGGAAATAATGACTTTTTTTCACTTCTGCCTTTCAAGTTTAACATGAGCTCCTCTTATGGGCATTTTTCAAGCCACAAGCATATGAGGAAGATAAATCTGGGAAACAGTTTCCATCCCTCTAAGAAGTGTTGGTGGTGCCAAGTTAACAGTAGGAAATCTAGTGTATTTGGTGTCATGTAGATTAAACAAAGGGTGGACAGGGCTTTTGGTTACTGGGCTCTTGGTCATTCTTTGTGCTTTTACAAACTGTAAAGAAACAGTTGAGAATCTTACTCTTGGTGGCTAAATCAAACAGACACATTTATTTTAAATCAAACATTCAATATTTTGCTGTTTGAAATACTATTCTATATGCTGAACCCTTCAAAGTGAGATACCGTTAAAAAGGCAGGAAAGAGAGGTTCTAGGATTTTTCTTTTTTTCAGAAACAGTCTCACTCTGTCACCCAGACCGGAGTCCAGTGGTGTGATCTCGGCTCACTGCAACCTCCGCCTCCCGGGTTCAAGCAATTCTCCTGCCTCAGCCTCCCAAGTAGCTAAGATTACAGGTGTGTGCCACCATGCCTGGCTAATTTTTGTATTTTTTGTAGAGACAGGGTTTCACCATCTTGGCCAGTCTGGTGTTGAACTCTTAACCTCAAGTTGTCCGCCTGCCTCGGCCTCCCAAAATGCTGAGATTACAGACATGAGTCACCGTGCCCAGACGGTTCTAGGATTCTAAAGTGTGTAATTCCTTTCTGTATTCTCACAATTCTATTTGTAGACATGCAATGAGACAATAAGAGCTATGACACACTAGTCATAAGACATCTTTGATATTTATACAATTTCAGGGCATCTATTTGCTGAAGTGTAATCATTATCAACAAAATTATAATTAATATTTATTATATACACTTACTATGTACTAGTCACTTACGGCTTACTATGTACTAGTCACTTATTTATGGTCCCATAAATAAGCCAATGGCTTATTTAATTTATATATACTGAATTTCAAACCTACCTTTTTGTTATGAAGGTTGGGAGGATGGTAAAAAATAAAATGAACTTAAATGACAGTGGAATTAATCTTTCTATTTATTGGAGATAGAACTACTATTCATTAAATTGCAGAGCTTCTGTTGTAATGAGTTAAAGGGTGAGATTGCCAAATATAATTTAATGAAACTCTTCTTAAAAGAAATCTTGTGAGGAATGTGTCTAAAATAATTATATTAAGGTTTATTTATTCAAGAGTTTGTTTATTATATACCCATTCTTTTACAAACTGAACAAATTCATTCTACCTGTTCTAGATAAAGAACTCTTATTCAGTTCATTTTATCCTGGTAAAGAGAGAAGAGACTCAAATCATAAAAGAAATTTAACTTCTTATTTTGAGGTCTTGCCCTTAGTGGAATATAAACAGCTGCTTTTAGCAGAGGAAAGTGAAGAGCTCTCATAAGCTAATGTCAGGTATGTCGGTTTAACTGGAAATGTTCAAATCTTACTAGACTGTAAATAAGGAGATCCTATAGCATAGTAATTGAGTTAACGTTAGCCTTTCACCTTCATGGCTTGGGGATATATCTGACCAAGGTTAAGAGAAAGAAATTCTATTAATTTTTCAGGTGCCTACTGGTCTTTGACCCGAAATTGCATTAGCCCCCACTTTGCTTAGAAATGGCTTATAGTTAGATGATTCTAAACATGTTGAGTCAATTTTAAAATCATTCATAATGTACTGACAGTAGAAAGTATTAAGAAATTGAGGAACATGAATTCAAAGCTCATCATGCACTTTTAAAGCATATTTTTAAATGAATTTAGAAACATAATTACTCAACAGAATTTAAAGGTAAGTTTCTAGCAAATATAATGTATCATTTTATTGTATTGTTTTATAGTGCCAGCATTTAAAAATCTTTAAAATTATCACTTTTTTTAATTTTTTTGAGACGGAGTCTCACTCTGTTGCCAGGCTGGAGTGCAGTGGCATGATCTCGGCTCACTGTAACCTCTGCCTCCCGGGTTCAAGCAATTCTCCTGCCTCAGCCTCCTGGGTACCTGGGACTACAGGCACGTGCCACCATGCCCAGCTAATTTTTGTATTTTTAGTGGAGGCGAGGTTTCCCCATATTGGCCAGGATGGTCTCCATCTCTTGATCTCGTGATCCCCCCGCCTCAGCCTTCCAAAGCACTGGGATTACAGACGTGAGCCACTGCGCCCGGCCGTAATATTTAATTTAATGGGTAGAAGGTATCAAATAAATGCCTGCAACAAAGGACATATGAACCAACAAGTAAGAGGAGAATAAAATGGACTAAAATCACATGTGAATATCTTCAAAGTTATATGTTATCAAATAAATGCAAATTTAACCCAAAGGAAATACTGTGTTTTAACAACAAGCTAATAATAACACTCACTGGTATCTGAAGTTATAAAATACTCACTGGTACCTGAAATTATAAAAACAACCAGTTTCATAAACGATTTTTATAAACTACTGAAATCCGTACTCAAAAATGTTAAAACCTTTTGAAAAAGTAATGTAACAGTATATATCAACATAAATTGAAAATTTCATACTCTTTACCAAACTACTTTTAATAGGGAATTTTCTTAGTTAAACTATCCGGAATACATACATATATGTGCGTGATACTGACACACACCCACCCCCGCCACACACATATGTAATGTTTGATTCAACGTTATTATAATGTTAAAAGCATGCAACCCCCTAAATGTTCAAGAGAAAATTAAAATTAGTTAGTGTACGTTTATACAATAAGGTATGTTGCAGCAAATAACAAGGAGTTAAAAATATTTAATAAAAAGAAAAAATACTGGTAATACAATAATCACTATAAAATGTAGAATAAAAATTACTTAAAATTGGGTGCAGTGGCTCACACCTATAATCCCAGAACTTTGGGAGGCCCAGGTGGGAGGACCAGGTGGGAGGACCACTTGAAGTCAGGAGTTTGAGAGCAGTCTGGGTAACATAGCAAGATCTCATCTCTATTAATCTTTTTTAATTAGCTAGGCATGGTGGTGCATACCTATAGTTCAAGCTACTTGGGAGCTGAGGTGGGAGGATCACTTGAACTCCAGAATTTAAGGCTGCAGTGAGCTGTGATGCTGCCACTGCACTCCTGCCTGGATGACAGAGCAAGACCCTATCTCAAAAAATAAGATAAAATAAAATAAAAAATAAATAAAAATAAAAATAACTTGAAAAACATGATCTCAAATTTGTATATAGAAGAATTCAGCCTCTTTTAGAAAAAAACTAAAGGCAGCCAATTAAATTTTTAATAGTTACTATCTCTGATTTGCCAGATTTTAGAAATGTTTACACTTTCTATTTTGTTTCAGAATGCCCCATTAGCTGAACTAAATATCAAATGTAGCATGATACTTTTGGAAAATGTACGTGTAGCAGCAGGTGAAATTTTATCAAAATTAGTCAACTCAAAATAAGGGTTATCATGCCAAAAAGAGTGAGTAATGTTTCATAAATAAGATTACATTTTCTTTATTCTAAATTTATTATAAACTAAGTTAAGTTTATAAATTATAAGCTAAGTCCAAAAACTGTAATTTTTTTTGGTTCATTTTGTATATTCAGTTTTGCTTTTCACATATGTGGGAGAATTCTTTGCCCTCCCATCCCTCCTTAACTCAAGAGTTGCATAACAAACTTAGAGTGAGCTTCTACTATTTCAAAGACAAAGACTGCTAATTTTAAAAAAGGATAAATCAGACTCCATGACTAATTCAACCATGTATTTTGGTGAGGCACAGGACAATTTTCTTCTCATACAGCAGAGGGTATATTGATATTATGGTTAAATAAGTGCTATTAGCCACAACTAAGAGTGGCATGGCACTAATTATGATGCTTCCAATAATATATTTTATATCTAGTTTGCAGACATGAACTACCCAGGACTCAGGATACAGATTAGAAGGTCAGAAGCCAACAGTACATCTGGGTAAAGGACTCCATAATGATTTTTAAAATTACATTTACTCCTTTCACCTCTGATTCAATCACTGGAGAATAATAAACCTGTAAAGGAACTCACATGTATTTTCCATATTTAGCCATCAAGAACATTAACTGCTGAAATGGCAGTAGTGATGATATTAATGACAACTCTTGAAAAAGAAGAAGTGGGCATGGAGAGTGGGTATAAGAAGAACAGTGTAAGCCAGAAAAACAGAAAACTCCTTTTACTTTTTCACCTCTTGACATAAGATTTTGAGAACATGGATAAAAGGGAGTTGGGAAAGAGGGGTCTCCATTGTAAAAAGGGTGATTGAAAGAGTCCAGAAAAGACTTTTCTGGAGAGGAGAATGCTTTTCCAGCATATGCATATTTGAAAAGCTCCTTTTATCTTTTCTGTACCTCAGAGGGCTTTTCAAACAGCTCAAGAAACTGCCTGGATGCACTTACCTGGTAACAGGTGGACAAAATTAGACATTAGTCTCAGAATGTCACTGCATATTATGTTTCCAGTCTGCTCTTCTAGTTTTAGCAAGTCAGCTGCAATGAGAGTGCAAAACAAACACATTTTAGTCTGTCTCTGATTAAACTAATGATAAACCAATAACTGCTGTTAGGAAAAGAAAAAAGAAAAAAACCCTAAAGTTCATGCTGTCAGGACGCATTCTATCTGCAATTAAAGATTTTCACGCCTGATAAGATTTCACTTAAAGCAAAGATTAAGCCATATGTCACTTTAGTCATTGATATTTTAATTTGCATATGCTGATCTCATGTATAGGAAACTGTTCTAAATCAGTAGAGTAGGTGGTACTTAGTAATTCAAAGGAAATGCAGATTGGTAGTCAAATGATTTATACCAAATCGATTTTACAGAAACCCAAATGTTGTTGTGATTGATTTTGCCCTCTGTTCATGCAATTCTCCTGCCTCAGCCTCCCCAGTAGCTAGGATTACAGGCGTGTGTCACCACCCCAGGATAATTTCTGTATTTTTAGTAAAGATGGGGTTTCACCATGTTGGCCAGGCTGGTCTCAAACTCCTGACTTCAGGTGACCTGCCTGCCTCGGCCTCCCAAAGTGCAGGGATTAGAGGCATGAGCCACCATACCTGGCCAGTGCTCTCTTTCTTTGAGTCCTGTGCCTAACCACTTCCCACCAGAGCTGATAAAATGGGAGATGATGTGGTGCTCCTGGTAGAACATGTGCACCCATTCCATGCATCCATTCATGCTTCCATTTATCCATCCATCTATCTACCCATCCATCCATGTACCCAACCAACCAATATGTATTGAGAGCATATTCTCTTCCAAACATCATCAGAGTTAGTGGTTGGAGATGAAAAAAAAATAAATAAAACACAATTAATTAGAAGACTTATTTAAGGTAAAACTGCTTCTATAGAAGGCTGGACAATGCAATGAGAAAAGAAATGTGGCACAAGCAGATCACCTCAACAGTTCAGATCTGCACTAGTGTTAGCAAATGTCCAATTACAGAAAAAATAAAGGGTTCTATGTTTTTAGCTGATGAAGCTATAACAACTTACAAAGTTTGGGGTTTCTGGCTGTTTGAGAGAGGTCTGCTTTTTATTTTACTACCCAAACATGGAATTCATCTCCCAAGAGATGAGAAAAGGGCTGCCATATTCCTCTCAACCCTAGAGGCCATAGTCTGTCAAAAACAATGTTGACATGTTTATACCTCCAGTGATAAATCATAAATTTAAAATATAGGTACATATATGCATGTTCTTATACTCATGTATCTATGTGTGTGTATATCTATTTAAATGTATTCACCAAATATTTACGTGCATACCTGAATGTAATAAATAATGTTCCCTGAATGTCTTAAAGCATGATTTCAAAGTGTTAAACTTGAGGAAAATATGATTGTTTTTAAAACCATCCTTAACTAATAAATGCTTTTCTTTGGCCTCTCCATGTTTAGTTATATAATTAAGAATAATGGGCTCACTCATGCACTTACATGGTTCTGTATGGCTTCATTAATAGAAAGTGCATGCTGTTTTATGTAATAAAGTTGTGTATACAATCCTCACAACATTCATGTTTTCACAATTTCCTTTATTTGCATATGCAAATAAAAAAAAAACAGGCAAAAAGATGAAAACCTACTAACACTATCATAGACCCTACAAAATATGATTTTGTTTTTCCCTCAAGAACGTATGACAAAGAAACGCTTTCCCCATTGGCAGAATGAGAAGTACGCTGATCTTTTTCTGTTTAGACACCTGTGTTTTCCTGTATTGATGAAGTCTGAGCTGTTGTCCTTAATACTAAGCAAACTTTAATTCAGTATGACCTCCAGCTGGTCTGCTTTCTAATCTGTAAAAATGCCAACCATAAAATCCCTTACTAAAAGACCTCTGTTGGGGGAAAAAAATAGCCACCTCATAGTCAGGATAAATGGTGCAAAAGAATACCAAAGACAGTTCCTATATATCAAAGACCAAGTAGGCACAGAAACATTGGTAACAGCTTGTTCCAAACCAAGTCTGATGGTCAAACATTTGCAACAAGAATTTTTTTCTTAAAATATTAATTCATTTTACTATTAAGTAATGCATAATTATAGTAGGAAATGTAGAAAATACAGAAAAGTAGAAAGGAAAAAAATCATCATTTAATTCCAACAGGCAGAGAAATCCATTATAAATGTATATGTGTGTGTATATAGATATATGCATCTAGTATAGAAATATATGTTTTATATATATATATATATAATGCCAGGAGTATCTGGCTCACAAGGTTGGCTAGAAGTATCAGGCAATGACAGCTACCCTGGAGGAGAAGAGAAATGAGAAGACCAAATTCCACTACCATAAGAAACAGCTCATGAGGCTACGGAAACAGGCCGAAAAGAACTTGGAGAAGAAAATTGACCAACACACAGAGGTCCTCAAGACCCTTGGACTCCTGGTCTGAGCCCACTAAAGACTGTTTATTCCTCATACACAGGAATTTTTACAATTTAATATGATATGGTTTGGCTCTGCCCCAAATCTCATCTTGAATTGTAGTTCCCATAATTCCACCCATGTAGTGTGAGGGACCCTGTGGGAAGGGACTGAATCATGGGGGCAGTTCCTCTATGCTGGTCTCAAGATAGCGAGTGAGTTCTCATGAGATCTGATGGTTTTATAAGTGCCTGGCATTTCCCCTGCTTGCACTCATTCCCTCCTGCTGCCCTGTGAGGAAAGTGAATGCTTCTCCTTTGCCTTCCACCATGATCGTAAGTCTCCTGAGGCCTCCCCAGCAATGCAAAGTCAATTAAACCTCTTTTCTTTATAAAATACCTGCCATTGGACAGTTCTTTATAGCAGTGTGAGATGGATTAATACAATATATTTGCCCATTTGTCAAATGTTTTCTGTATTTGTCTCACATTTTTTAGTAAAGTATTTCTTTTCCAAAAGACTTAATAATGCAATTGTTGAAAGACTTTAAAAAGGATACTACAAAAATTAAGTAGTTAGTGAGGCAAATTTAGAAATACCAAGTAAAGAGAACTGCATGTTGATTTCTAGTTTTAAGATTTATATGGTAAAATCTATTATTGGCTCATGATCTCTCATCTCCGTTACATTTGGAAGCACGATTATCCTCTCTGTTGGGCAATGACTTCTTCCCCATTCTTTCCCTCTATGTCAAGTCATTCTCTGTCTCCTGATATTACTTACAGATAAGTTTTCCATCATCTCTATTGCTTTCACCATCCTATTTCTTTCCCTCCTTAGACCCTACTGGTCTTACCAGTACATTTACTTTCCTTGTTCCTTGCCTTGTCTTCTTCACAGAGTTACCAGAGTGATAAGGAGAACACAGACATTTACTTTCCTTATTCCTTGCCTTGTCTTCTTCAGAGTTACCAGAGTGATAAGGAGAACACCTGAAAAGGTCTCTAAAGCATATCAATGCCTTCCCGCTTCCAAAATGCTAAATTTCTTCAGATGGCAACAGACTTTTAATAATCTAGCCCTTGCCTACCTTTGTAACTTTATTTTCATAGTTCTCTGAATTTCACCTTTTATAGTAGAACGTCATTGAACTGAGTGTAATTCCATGTCTGGTTTAGTTACTCATTCTTAAATGGCCATCTCTCCACTTGCTTTTATTATTTTTATTACTTCTTTTCAAGAGTGAGCTGAAAGTAAACCCTCTCTGATTTACTTCACATTAAATTTTAGTTAAATTGCCTTCCTATGTGTTCTTATAATGTCAAGTGCATCCCTATCACTGAATTTTGAGCTTGGATGTCTGAGCATTTTGAAAGCATGGATTTGTTTCATTTGTTTTCACAATTACAAGTAAGAGTTTCTTGAAAGAATGGATTTCTTCATTCTGTATTTTATAAGGTATATTTTCTATTAGTCTTTAATTAATAAATAAAATTGTTAGAGAAAACTCTACCTACAGTGAAAAGAAAAGACCACAATTCAACATCTGAAAGAAAAATCCGAAATATAGTACTTGATATCTAAGGGAGATCCAGGCTTGTGTGTAATACTTTCTCTTAATGAAGCAAGTAACGTATATAGCACAATTGGAGTTGAAGAATTTATGATCTTTCAGAAGCAAGAACGTGGTTCCTGGAGTCAGCTGTTGCTGATAGGTTGACTTTCAAGCCATGGGCTTTTGGAAGTACGGTAAACTTTGTGAAGTCATCACAACTGATTAGGATTTAAAATCAGTAAATTCTCAATTCTGGTGATTATCTATTGCTATGGTTCAAAGTCAACCAGCCTTTTCCTCTCTTGAGTAGATGACTGTTTTATTCTCACTACTGAAAATGTCTTTTTCTTTTTTACACCTGCTTAATAATATCAAAGTCTGTGCTTTCAGTATTTTACTTATAGGTAATCTTCATCTATACACTTTGATAAGTTTCCCAAAGATAGCTAAATGGGTGATAATGACTCTATTTTGCTTTGTATACTTAAATGCAGTATTACTACATTTTAAGAATGTAAGTAATAATGTGTTTACAGCTAATTCAGGTTACATCTCTTCATTATATTCTTTTATTTGGTGAGGTTTTATTGTTTGCCCATTGTTGTTATTTGTTGTTGTTTTTACCCTCAATACAAACCTACGTTTCTACTTGTCTCTATGTTTTTATTTGTTGTTATTGTTCCTCAATAGAAACCTCCATTTCTACTTGTCCCAGTGTTTTCATTGGTCACTTGCAGCAGAACTGACATGTTCCTCACTCTTATTTTTTAATGACCGTATCCTCCATGTGAGGCTCACCTCTCCAGTAACTCATGCTTCTTACTTTTACAATTCACCTAAACGTGATTTTCTTGTGAGGCTTTCCTAGGCTAAGCCAACTCAATCATATGTAATGTAGCACAAAACTTTTGGTAGCGAGAGAAACATGAAGCAGAGATAATCACATTTGAAAGAACTGCTGCAATTGGAAACTTTTGAGAAATCCATTATTACCATTTGAAATCATAAATTCAAGATTTGTTGCCATTTAGGAAATCTTTTAATTTGTTATTCTTACTTTTATCATTTTGTTGAATTTACTATTGAATTTGCCATTCAAGATCTCTTGGTTGTGCTACAAATAAAATGTGGGATTTGGAACAAAACAAGGGAAAAAGTCTTTAGTAAATCTCATACTTAGATGTTTTTCATTTTTGCACTTATATTTCAAAAAAGAAAACTTTTTATGCATGAGGTCTAGAATGGATACTTTTTGTTAACCTGTAAGTCAAGATCTGGAAGGCTTTCTCAGCCTTAGACAACCAAAATAACCCAAACCATCTTCTAAAATATAACAAGTGTATTTACTTACAACAGAGTCATTCCACTTAATAAGACAAGAATTACAAGGCAAAAATCGAGAGGTCCTATTAATTCAGAAAATCTGTTTTGTAATTCTTCCAGCTACAGAAATGTGTGTATTCCATCGTGATTTAGTTTTCTTTTAAAGCAAATAAATTTTAATAAATTAATCAACATACATGGCTTCAAAAGTCATCGAGGGCAAATTTTGAATATGGATTCTTGCTTTGCTGCTTTTTTGCATCTCTGGGAAAAATGCATGTGAAGAAATTGAAATTATCTTTTAAGCAAAATGTGAACACTATTGGCATTTTTCTCTTCCTGTCTCTATACTGGGATGGTGAGATTTGACAAGCCTAATTTAACTTGTGTTAATCTCCTCCACATAGAGTTTGGTGGTTCTAACTTTATTCCTTGCTCACAAGCAAGGAGAAATGCACGCTATTTGATACTAACTCCCTGAAAAACTTGAATTGTTTAGGTTTATCTATGGTACCCGTTGATATGTTCATAATGTAGGCCCTTCATCTGCCACTAAAATGAGGCTGAAATTAGTTTGATCACATAATAAATTCACATAATGCTTCCCTCCCTTCCCCTAGACACCACTCGACAGAAAAAGCAAATTTGAAACAGGTTCAAGTTTGATGTCTTTAATAAGATGCCCCAAAAAGCAAATGGTTACCTCAGTTTGTCCAAATTATTTTCCACCAAAATGCAACATAATCTTGAATGTATGAAAGAATGTCTTTTCGCCCACGATTTTCACACATGCTGTGCCCTAAGGAGGAAAGATGAAAAGGATGAGGGTGAGAAGTCCGGGATCTGTTAGTTCCCTCACTTGGAAAAGCCTCAAATCAAGAAAATGACACGTAGCTTCTTTTACAGTGGGATCAAAAGAAACCTACAGACAGCTGTGTTTGCATGCACGTGTGTTTTTTTAAGCAAGTTTATAGTTTGAATTTTAGATCTTGAAGACCAGATGTTGGTGATAATAAGAAACTCCCACATGTCCTTGAGAGGAAGAATGAAGACAAAAAAGGTACTTTACCAACTGGAAGTACATTTATTAAAAATAAATCATAAACCACAATACTAGAATATTACACAATAAACAGTCATTTAAAAAATTAACTCTGGGTTCCAAAAAGTTTATAGTCAGAGACAGATATGAAAGATAGGAGGCTATTCGTCATAATTTAAGCAGGTGAGCAGAGTGGTCAGTGAGCTTGGTGTGCAACTTGCGCATAGAAAAAGACACATTTAACATTTTATTTGTTTGTTTGTTTGGGGTTTTTTACTACCAAAGAAGGAAAAAGATTTGTTAAGATTAGCAGAGCTATCTTTCATATTTAGGGAGTGGCATGAGAGAAACTGGGAAGTGGGAGAGAGAAAGAAAATAAAATGACATGCTTACAGTAATGGAGTTGCAAAGGAGAAATATGACAGATGGAAGATAAAATGGAAGCAGTGTTTGAAAGATAAGAGTATCAAACCCCACAAAGGATCAAGAGTTCGAATACTAACACCTTTGATATATATATATAGCATGGCTAGTTTTAAGATGGAAACAAAGAAATAACTATTTTCTGAAACCTTAACAGTAATTTTTGTTTCCTCTCTTAAAAATATTCAATGTATCCTTACCTAATTCAATCATCAGTATAACTCAAAAATGAAGAAAACATATAGTAAAAAATACTCCTGGAATATATTACAATTTTAATTAGTATCACACCCTTATAGCTTCACTTTGTCTTTCCTTGTGTGCATATAAAATATCTGTGAAAATATGCCTCTTGGTGAATTAAAAAATTGCCATGTAAAACTATTTTTAATGCTAGACGACACGTTAGTGGGTGCAGCGCACCAGCATGGCACATGTATACATATGTAACTAACCTGCACAATGTGCACATGTACCCTAAAACTTAAAGTATAATAAAAAAAAAAAAAACATTATTCCAAAAAAAAATAAATAAAAAATAAAACTGTAATAAAATGAAAAAAAAAATTATAATATTTTCATTGGAGGCCTGAATTCGGAATGAATTATTCACCCAAAATTATGTCACTGTTTCACTTAGGAGCTAGAGAGAAAACAGCACTCTTCAGTAAGCACAAGTCAATACACTTGATTTTATGTGTTTCCAGCATCATTAGCTTTGTTTGTCAAACTAGCTCCTATAACTCTCTGAGCTTCAGTTTTGATATTTCTCGGTTTGCTTAAAGGACACTGTATATACCAAGCAAATTTGTTGCAAAGAGTAAGGTTTTTAAAAAATCCGTGAAAGTGCCTTGGAAGCAGAAACCATTGTTATATTAATAACATTACTTATAAGGCACTTTAAAAATAACAAAGAAGAATAGTCACATATTTATTGAGTAGCTTTCATGGGATAAGATGGATGGATGGACGGATAGATGGATGGATGGATGGATGGATAAATACATACATTGATATATCAATATATGCATAGATGGATAGATGACTAAATAGATGGATAGATGGATGAATGGATAGGTGGATGGATAGATGAATAGATGGATAGATGGATGGATGGATGGATGGACAGATGGATGGATGGATGGATAAATAGATGCATTGATACATCAGTATATCCATAGATGGATAGATGGATGAATGGGTAGGTGGATGGATGAATGGATGGATGGATGGATGGATAAATAGATGCATTGATACATCAATATATCCATAGATGGATAGATGGATGAATGGGTAGGTGGATGGATGAATGGATGGATGGATGGATGGATGGATGGATACATAGATACAAAGATTGATGGATGAACAGGTGAATAAATGAATAATGGACAAATAAATAGAGGGATAGATAGATATTTATATAGATGTGTGTTATTTAACTCACATATATTATGTAGAATTTCACTGGGGAAACTAGAACTTAGGAGAGCTCAAGTCCCTCATTTATATCACACAGCTGAGAAATGAAAAACTATTCCTCATTAAAGCCTACTCTTTTCCCTCAATAGTATGTGAATCTGAAACTAGCTTTAAACTACATATGCTCATTATTTCTCATGATTCCATGGGTCAGCGTCGTGGCTCTTCTGGCCTGAGTTGGCTCAACTGGCATAAAGCTGCAGTTCAGCTGGCTCACCTAAGCACACTGGGCCAGCTGCAATATCTGGGTGCTCCTTTCATGTGGTCTCTCTTCCTCCTGAAGGGCAGCCTGAGCTTATTCACATGATGGCAGAAGAGTTCCACAGAAGAGCAAGACAAGCGAGCCCCAGTACACAAACACCTCGGAGAGACTCTGCTTCCGTTACTTTTGCAAATGTCTCAATAACCAAAAAAGTCATATGGTCAAGCCCAGATTCAAGGACAGGGAAATCAACTTTACCTCATGATAGGAGAAGTGTCAAATGGAGATAGATGCACATCTAGAGATGGAAGGATTTATAGTCATTTCTGAAATCTACCACACCATGAAATGTACAACACCACAGAAACCACACATATTATTTATATTTATATATGGATGTTGTACATTTGAGTTTACATATTATGTGTCTATGTGAATTTTACTTTGGTGCTTAGGAAGCAATAAAAAGAAACAAGGAAAATATTTCTTCTATCTTGTCTTAACCTAAATAAAAAAAGCAAAAACTATTTAAGAAGCTCAAACATCATGCATGGTACTTGATATGCCCTTATAAATGTTTCTATGCAGTTTGTTTTTGTGCTTTTATTATTTTGCCCCAGGGAACTGGCCCTCACACTGTTTTAAATCTGAATTATTGCTAACATTTAAAAAATATGGAGCATGCATGAAAAAAATCTGGATTCCTGGTTTTTCTTGACATATCAAAAGCACTTGCAACACTAGGCTCATATGATCACATGACAAGTCACAGAAGATGAGGGTTCCTTATATGAGGCAGGAGCTCTCCAGCTTACCAGTATCTACATGCATCTCCTTGCATTTCCCTCCTGACACTAAGGCTGAATGTTCAGTGAAAGGGAGGATACAAAATGAATGACTAGAGATTGTTTTTAAACTCAGTATTTCTAGCTTCAGTGATCTCTGCTATAATTATGATCAAGACAAAGAGCCACTTACCTCTGACTTAAGAAGTATTACTACAAGGTTAGTAATTAACATCATTAACATGTCTTGAACTTGGCATCATCAATTAATTAAAAGTAAGTTTTTTGTTCTCTTGGGAATTTAGTTAATTGCATATAATATTTGTGGTGTGTATATGCCAGTGGTAGGGGGAAGACAAAAACGACTTTATAAAGAGACAGCAGATGGGAGTTTCAACTAAATTCTGTCTCTAAGTGTCAAATCTGAGCAAATCACTTAACACCAATTTATTTCCCCAACAGTTAAATAGGAAGAATAAAAGAGACTTCATAACCTTCCAGGGATGCCTTTGGTCTTTAAAACTAAGACAGAGGAATGGACATATTTTTCAGGGGGAGGAAGGGAGCGGAGTTGAGGATCTTTTAAAGTATATCCTAGGTTCTGCTAGGTTTAGTCATGCCATTTGGATTTAATAGTAGAATCAACACTAAGAATCTTTAGCAGCATCTTGGCTTGTCAAACCTGTACTAAGCAAAATACTCAGACTTATCTGATTGTACTTAGACTCAGGTGCACAGGTACCGAGTTGCCAGACAAGATCAAAGATAATTTTTTTCTGTTTTAGGCACATGACATATAAATGGTCAGATAATTTCTCACCACACCTCACTTTTTTTAAGCTCTGCTGTTTCTCATCTTAATATTAAAGAGAGATGGCAACATTCTAAGCCTAATGTGTGTGAGCTCATCCTCAAAGTCTATCTCAGGGGGAGAATGTATACATACTGAAATTTAAAAGATTTTTGAACAATGCATTTATCCCATTAAAACAAGCCTTTAAAAGAATAAGACAAATAATATCTATTACTTTGAGTCCTTGAATTTGAGTATCTCTACATCTTGATTCCATGGGCTCTTTGGCTCCTTAGTGTCTAGGGAAGTATCTACTCTCATCATTCATGGAATGCTCCTTCTTGAAAGCGAGCTGCCATGCTGTGAAGAAGACAAAGTAGCCATGTGAAGGAGAATACAGGCTTAGTCTGAAATGCCAGCCCGTCACCAGCACCATCTGCTAGGTATGTGAATGAAGCCATGTTGGAACTTTCATCCATCTCAGTGACACCATATAAAACAGATGAACCACCCAGTTGAGCCCTGCCCACACTCCTGGCCCAAAGAATCATGGACAAATAAAATAACTGTTGTTTTAGGTCACTAAGTCCTGGAGTTTGTCACACAGCAGTAGACAATGGAAGCACTTCCCAAAACATAATTATTGAGACTAGTGGGAAACTGGTGACAAGTGGCATATGCTTATTTCCATAAATATGGATGACAATTAAGTTTTATGTTTCCTTCTGGTGATCTCCTTAAAAAACGGGCAATCCCTACAGGCTCAGTCTTAAAGTTAAGAATCTGACAGAGCTGGTCCAAGGAATTTTTTTGAGTTATGAAGGATATTTGCTTTTATTGACTCAGTCTTTGAGCAGAGACATTCTTGTGTTACGTGAACTAGTTAGTTTTGGGGAGAGGGTGCATGTGGGTGGGAGCAAGTTTGGGTTCAGCTCGCTCATTTCCAAAGAGTAGCTAGTTTTCAAAGGTCCTCTTAGCACCCATCTGCAGTAACATGAATGGGACAAGCAAATTCAGAAACGGGCAGTCTTGTTTTCCTGTGCATTCTTTCGGCAGCAGTTAATGAAACAAAGAGTCTTGTTAGTATTTCCTGTTTGAAATGTGTAAGTCCATTAAAAGGAATTCAAAGCCCAGCAGAGGTGTGCACCAGCTCTGAGTACTAGCATATTCTTTAGTTGCAGCCAGTAAAGGAAGTACATAATCATCTTTCCTTTCATATGAACATTTCAATTAAGAATAAAACACACAGGGGGCCCAGGCAGAAATTCAGGATGTAACATTTTTTAAAAACCCAGTATTTTCAGCCTTCGTTGTGGCATCTGTGTTCACCAACTCAAAGCATACTTGGCAGTGAACACAAACACATTCGCATATGCAGACGAAGCCACAAGCCTGAGTAGGCTGATGCAAAAGCAGGATTTTCAGTTAATGGGTGTATTTGGCATAATGTTGACATCTACATTGTAGTAGAAACTGTCTTTGAAATTACTTAACTTCCTTATCGTTGCAAACTCTCTTACTTTGCAAAACTCTCAGAGTGACAGTACTTTTAAAGTAGGTTTCAGATTTTAACCACGCCTTGTAAATAATGGGAAGCAGCATCATTTTCTAAACCAGAAGGGTAAGGCACACACAGATACCTGAAAAATGACCTGATGGTAGCAGTGAGGGCAAACTCAGGGTGCTTATAGCAATTAGCATTCCTCTACTTCATTAAATCTCAAAACTCGTTTTCCAATCAATCATTTCTGATTCAAAATTGTGTAATTATTGATTGATGACTATAAATAACTTTCTTACTATTTTTTTTCTTCCACCAAATAATAAACCATTTTATCCTCCCCACCCCAGGTGCTGAAATCCTTTTCTCTATCTTTCATCATCAACAAAACTGAAGTTAAAATCAAGGATATAATTAGTCCTGAGCAATGTTTTAGTTATAAAGTAAAATAAAACATCAAAAAGGGAAAGAAAAGTTTAGCTTAGTTTTTACTTCTTTATGTTTTTAATTTTTAAATAAAGAATTAAAGAAACACCCCATTCAAAGCCACACATCATTTAATTATGTTGCTTAGGAATGCTTTAGCTTAAGAATTTATGATAACACGTAACTTTCCTGACTGTTTACTATTTACCAGTCACTGTATATGCTTCTTTTTCCCCTCTTGAATTTCTAAGAACTCTCTTATTTAGATACTATGTTTATCTTTTTTTTTATCATTGAGAAAACTGAAGCTTACCAAGCTCAAGTAGCCTGGCTAAGTTACATTCAGTAAGCCATGGAATTGGAATTTGAACCCAGGCCTTCCTGACTCCTAGAACTTGCTGTCCTAAGCCTTGTATTTACTGCCTCCCCATTGCTGATACTGACATTGTAAATAACAAGAGTTTTGCAGGTTCGGTCAGCAAATGAAAAAATGAAAGCAGCATTATTTTCCACCAAAGATTAGCAAAAAAAAAAAAAAGCATCACTGTTTGCTTAGGAGAACTTGAAGAAACCTGAGAGGAGTGATTCTAAAAAATAACCCTAAATTCATTAAGAGTGGAGATACTAAGTAATTTGGAGACATTAGATTTTGAAAGTACAATTTCAATAACCATTGCAGTGATATTTGTGAGCGCAAACGTATTTTTTGAGTTGTTTCATGAGTTTACATGCAAGCGCCATGTGATAGAAGGCTTGAAGCCTGCTGCTGGAATTCCCACAGACACTGTCTCCAGGCTCCATCATGCCACTGCAGACATCATTCTAACAAGCTGCTGTGCAGCTCCATGGCCCTGCTGTCCTCCTATTCCCAGGGCTAAGAACCACTTCTGTGTTTGACATCATCATTATTTTAGGCTTGGCTATTTTTAGAAGGATGGGATTAATCCGGGGAAAATTAAATTGAGTATGTCAGGAATCTTGGCATCTTTAGGCACTTGAAGGGAGGAAAACAGACCAGCTTTGTAAAGTCTGAATGGCCTGGTGATCTCTTTCTCTTTCTCTCTCTCTCTTTCTCTCTCTCTCACTTTCTGTGTGCTTGTCTGTCTCAAATGGAACGCTTGTCCTTACTTGCTCCCTTAATTGCTTCTCATCAGCAACATGAGCTTTTGTTCATCAGCCTCTTCTTATTGTCATTGCCTACAAGTAGAGCATCCAGCTGGCAATTCGTAGCGCTTGCTGTTTATAACCAAAGTTGTATTGCTCTTTGATGAGAGACAAAAAATAAATAAAAGAATAAAAACGGAAAAAGAATGGCATGTGGGAAACTAGTAACTAAACAGAAGGGACATCCATTTTCGGTGATAGAATACAGCCCAGTTCTCAATGAATAGTCAAGGTAGAAAGGCCTGAGAATACTAAGTTAAATATGTACAATCACATACTTATTCTCCTATGCTAAACATTGACATGATTTTATTGTATTCTCATTCTCCAACCTTAATCCTGAGACTCAGATTCCCTGACATGCTTCTATATTATCTAAGCATCAACCAAACACTCAACTTGTCTCCAGTCTCAATCTCATTTTCATCCCCAAACTAGCAAATAAACTTGCATCAGCGGGCATGAGTTCTTGGTCATAGTTTTATTTGGGGCCATCTGCAATTTTAGGGCTTCTATGCCCATCCACGATGCTGCGCTTGCCTTTGCTTCAGGCAACTTCAGTTCTATAGTTGTCTAGGTGTTTGGGTGCTCAGTGTTTGACATACTGGTTTAGGTACTCAAAATCCAAAATGGCAACCCTCAGATTAACTAGTAACTCTTAAAATGAAGACCAAAATAGAATTTGGCACAGTGCATGACACAATTAAATAATTTCAAAAGTACAAGTAGGAAATAGTTGAATTTACAAGTGGGCAAATAGGAAATTGTCCTCAATCTTCTCTGAAAGTGAGAGGGGAAATGAATGAAAGTAGAAATGGATACTTTGCAAACAGCAATTTTGGAAAAACAGACAGCCAGCTTGCCAGAGGCAGACATGGTGGAGGAGGTGAAGTGTAATAGGCATTGCTTAAATCCTTTGTGATTGGACAAATCTGACTCCTTAATATTCCAGAAAAAAGAAGACACCTAACAATGGTAGATTTAGGGATAACTCAGCTAGATGTATGTGAAAGGATAAGTGGAGCTTTTCTGTTTAAATTTTAAAATGGGATATAAAAGTAGAGGTGCTCCATGACTTACAACAGAATGACATCTTGATAAACCCCATTGTAAGTTGAAAATATTGTAAGTTGAAAATGCATTTGATAGACCTCACTTACCAAACATCATAGCTTAGCTAATAAACCTCACCTACCAGTCATCATACCTTAGCTTTGCTGACTTTAAACATGGTCAGAACACTTACATTAACCCGTAGTTGGGCAAAATTATCTAACACAAATTCTATTTTATAAAAAAAGTGTTTAATATTTTATGTAATGTATTGAATACAGAAAGTACAAAAAAAAGAAGGTTGTATGGGTATTGGAAATATAGTTTCTACTGAATGTGTATTTCTTTCACACAATTTTAGTGTCAATTTGTAACTGCGGCCTGGGCAATGGAGTGAAAACTTGTCTTTAAAAAAAATTGTAAGTTGAACTATCACAATTTGGGGACCCGCTGTAATTGGCCCAATGCTATAAAACTCAAAAAGACCAGAATAACACCATGGGTTATCAAATATTTGCTTTTACAGAGTTTTACCATTTTCAATGAGCTAATGTGTATTTTATCTCAGTTGACGTTCAAGTAACACAGTGAGATAAGCTGGACAAACATATATATCCTGTAATATGGGACAAGGAAAGTGCAGGTCAAGAACTTCGGAAATGACAGATTTGTGTTACGTTGTAGCAACAAGGAAAGTATGAGTGGTGCTCTACTATTCATGACCGGAATAACAGGTGCTGGAACATACATTAACCCTTGGAAATACTTGAGGGTATTTTAAACACAGGAGATTTTTGATATTCAGATGTTGAAGGCCACAAAAATAAAATAAAATAAATGACATGCTGGATCAAAAATTCAAGGTGTTCTTTCCGAGGAATTCCTTAATCAGGAATAAAAAAAAATACAAAACTTTGTCCTGCTTAATATGTATGTTGGATCTCACCATTTCTCAACTCAAACCTATTTTGGTTTCTCAACTCAGAGAGAAAGTAAATATTCTACAGATTGGGTACCTCTTGCCTTTCTGAACCCATCTTCTGGTTCTATTCTTTATTTTTATGAGTACCAAGCAGTTGCAAATATAAAACATTCATAACAACTCAATAAGGTAGGCACAATTATTGCTCCCATTTTATAGATGAAGTATTTGAGACACAGAGCAATTATGAAGCTTGGCAGAGGTCACACAGCAAGTGAGTGGTTGTCACCAAGCAGTATGTCTGCAAAATTCACTCTCTTATGGACCCAGAAATACTGTCTCTGCTGCATTCAGCTCACTTCAGCTACCCTAGTATTCTTGCTCTTATTCAGACATATTGGGCTCCTCTCATCTCAGCTCTCATTTATTATGCCTGGAAAGTCCTTCCTTTTACATATCTTACTGGATTTTCCCCTCTCTTCCTTCATGCCTTGTCTCTATGATACATTCCTTTATTATTTTATTTGAAATTGAAATCTCCTCCTCCTCTTCCTTCTAATTGTAGTCCCTAACCCTTTGAGATGCTTTATTTTTATCCATAGCACTTACCACATCGGACATTATAATTACTTTTAAATTAATTTGTTGTTTACTTGTCTCCCATCAAATAGAATGTAGTTTTCTGTGACAGGTAGCAGTTGTGGTTGTATCACTAGTCCTATAACAATGGATGGTACATGGTAGACACTGAGATGTTTGCTGAATGACTTAACGAACTTACTGAAAATTCTTCAATAAGAGTCTCTCTCATAGAATTCCGATTCACTATGTCAGAGTCCACATATATCTGAGTTAAAAAATAAAACTGAACAAAAAGTAATCAGCTCAAGTGATTCTGATGCAAGTGGTCCATGGAATGTTGTAAAATGTGGCATTAAGGTAATAAACTTTTTGAAAAACGAAAGTATATCAAATACACTTAGTTTTCCACACCCTTAAGCTTGCATTGTCTTATATTGTATTTTTAAACCAGAATCTGATATGAGGAATTTATTGCTATGTACTAATAAAGTTATAGCTCTTGATTTGACACTTTCTGGAGAAAGTACATTCCAAGTTTCTACTTGAATGAGTAAAATCTATGTAGTTACTTCTCAAAATTATTGAAAGTCAATGTAGACATGCAAAAATTTCTTAGGACTAACTAGTTACATTGACTATCAAATGACAAAATCACAACAAATCTAATTTAAAGATCTAGTTGGCTTTTATTTGTGATTCTAGAATCGGGCAACAGTTCTTTCTACAAAGTAGAATGAGTATTACAATAAGTCGAGCAGAAAAGTTTAGCTTTATAGCCAGAAAATGGCTAAAGAAATCAGAAACAAGGAACAAGAAAATTGTTCACGTCAAAGGTACTTTCCTTATAGGCTTAAAACAGAGGAAAGTGCCTGATTGTGCTGACTCAGGTTCACTAGAATCTCCTGGTTTTTAGAAAACAAGCTTATTTGAAAATTCAGTTTGATTACATGACACTTTGCAAAAGTGACTCCATTTTGGTTTGATCTGGAGTCAACCTTAGGTGCTAAGGCCTAGAGCAGGAGCCTCATCGAAAATAATGACATCTTATAAACTTTGTCTAACAAGATTAAAAGCTAATTCCACTAGTGATTATATTATAAGAACATTTTGTATTAAAACTTAAATGCATCTAATAAATTTACAGTCTAGATTTCAAATCCATATTGTGTGAAATTGTTTGCAATTATATGAACTTACATTCAGATTTTCTCAAAACATGTAAGAGGAACATGTTTGAATGTATAATCAAAAGAATACTATACCAGAATTAAAAAAAATATCAGGAGGAAATGAAAAAGAAATTTAAGTGAGTGGACTAGAGAATGAGCAGACTAAGGAAGACGAATACCAAGAACTAAAAAGTCTACTAGTGGAGTTTTTCTTAACATTATTTAAACTCAATCACAGTTTAATTCAGTAATATTAGGATATCCAAGTATCATAAGAAATACGATCTGACCCATCTCATCAATTTAAAGAGAATACAGTTGCTAAATTGTTGCTCTGGATCTGAGAAGCTAGGTGAACAGGAAAAGATTTACCATTAATCTCAATAAATGATCATTTTTCTTTGCATTTGCCCAATCGCAAACAGGAAATGATGTTTCTCTTCAGCTCCGTATGTAAGGATTTCTGATCAAGCCAGACATAACAAAATTGGGAACACAGAGTGTGTATGCAACAGGAAGAACAAAGATCAACAGAAACAGAGAAAGAGAGAGAGCCCTGCACTGGAACATACACATTTCTTTTATTGAGAACTTACTGAGTTTAAAAGCATTTTTATATCACATAACAGAATGCAATTCAAAACTTCCATAACTAGGAACTGATGAATACTTCATAATTATTGAGCAAGTGTACAATTTTAGAGAAAGTCTTACTAACAATGTCATTTAAAAAGTCCCTACTCCAAACAGAAGAATAGGGGGTGCTGAAACAAGACAAAGATCATTATTATTATTTTTTTCTCCAGACTGGTTAAGAGAGATAAAAATTCAGTAGGGAGGAGAACCTAGAGAGATTAGTATCAAGGTCCACTGAAGGTTTATTTTATGTTTATAGATAAGTGTGTGATCTAAAATGTATCTATGATTCATTCCAGAGTTTGACTTCTGTCTTATTCTACAAATCACCCTAGTAGCTTCTTAATTAAAAAGAACTTTTGCTTTAAGTTTCTAAGCTGGGTGTGGTGGCACATACCTTTATTCTCAGCTACTCGGGAGCCTGAGGAGGATTGCTTGAGCCCAGGAGTTCTAGGCCAGCCTGGGCAATGAAAGGAAACCCATTCATTAAGAATATAAAAATAAAATATTTCAAATTGTCTAAAAAGGTATATTTCAGAGGTGGGTATGTTATATATACATATAACAATATGTTTATACATTTTACATATATTACATTTTTGTATACATTATCTATCAATCTATCTAACATTAAATTATCTTTTCCTTTCTAACAACTTAGCCTAATCCAAAATGAATTCTGTCCACAACCAATGAGGTTCAAAAGGGACCCCAAGAGACTATAGTATCAACTGTCACCTTAATTTTGGTCTTATGAGACCTTGTTATGGGTTGAATTGTGTTCCCTCAAAATTCCTATATGAAAATCCTAGACTCCAGAACATTAGAATGTGACTATTATATGGAGATAGGGATTTAAAGGGGTGATTAAGAAAGAATGTGGTAATATGGGTGGGCACTGGTCCAATATGATTACTCTCCTTATAAGAGGAGGTTAGGACACAGGTGCAGACAGAGGAAAGGCTATGTGAAGACATTGGAAGACAGCCATCCACAAGACAAAGAGAGAGGACTCAGGACTATAGCTCATATGTATTGGGTGGTTCCACGTGCCCAGTAATGAGCAGAAAGCTTTTCTTTTTTAATCCTGCTGCCCATAAGCATATGGGTTTGACATCATTTATATCCCCACTTCTCAAGTGAGGAAACTGAGTTTTAGAGAATTTAAGTAAAGTTTTATTGCTGGTAGGTGGTTATCCATGTATTGCCTCCATCTCTGTCTAATTGCAAAGGCCTGATCTTAATGACAAGATCTTTGAAAACTGTAGATATTTGGAAGCTGCCAGAATCTAGAAAATGCATTCGTTTAGATGATTACAAGTCATCCAGAGTTTGGTACTAGGAAAAGTAAGCATCTGAACAGTTGGTGAGTTGCTCCAGATTTTACTTGATCATTGGCTTTTTGAAAGCCCAGCACATGAGACCCCATTAAACCAAAGGTTACAGATCATTGTTCTGCTTTTAAGGAGGAAGTTTCAGTGCATCCAGAAGGAAGGATATACCACCTGACTCATCCCAGCTCATCACAACAGTTCTGAGAACTGCAATATCAGTTACCTGGAGACTTTGGTACTCAGACAGCCACTGTAAAACAGGATGCACCTTTCCCATGAATTGGTGAAACTAAATGTTCTATGTGCAGAGACTTTATAAGATCTGGCTTTGAAATTTGGGTTTTTCTTGTATCACTTTTTCAAATTATCTCTTTCCTTTCTTTTGTTTGGAAAAGGTGATACAGACACTGTTCTACAGAATTTATTTCCCCCGTAAAACTTATGAAGTTTTACCAACTAGAGGTGTTTGAAGGAAAGGTCATCCTGTGAAAGAAATAATTGTTCCCTTGGAAAGAAATAATTGTTCCTTTGAAAGATATTTTTTTTCCAAAATTCTTTATTGTAGAAAAAGCTCATGGAGCGCTAGCTTCTCTCTCAAGAAATTAAAGTGTAATAGCTTATGAATTCAAATGCAATACAGCAGACTTAGAGAAATTTTAAGATCCATTAGGTTATCAAGACTGTCCTTCTGTAGCCTACTTTAAATTCTCTCTGCAAGGTGATTAAAAGTAACATTTAATAACAGGTCAGTTGACAAGTAGTTATTTAGCACCCACAGGGTATGGAGCTTTCTACAAAATGCTCAGAATTAAAACCTCTAAACTTACAAAATGAAAAGGGAGACAGTAATATCTTTTTCTCTGAGCATAGAAGCAATATTCAGTCCTATTTTCTCCCTTCCTCCCATATTTTAGAAAGATAGGCTTTCAACAATTATGCAAAAAAATTAATAACTTACATTTTTACAATATTCCTTCCTTGGTCAAATTGCTTTTTCATTCTATTATGTGATTAAAATATTATTCCTATGAAGTAGAGAATGCATTATGTTTTCATATTTCAAATTAGGAAACTGAGGCCCAGAATGATAAAATAACTTGTAAATACACACAGTTGGGGGAACAACCTGAATGCTTGTCTAGTCTCAACTTCTCCTTCAAATCGCATTGGACTATGCAAAGTGATAGTATAACAGGAATTTGCAGATGCAGTGAGAGTCTCATTTAACTTTTGCAATGCTTTTGGGACATGATCTTTGAGCCTACTCTACACACAGCAACTCTGGGAAATATACCTCTGGTCTGTGGTTCAGCAATGCTCTACGGACGTCCCTGCTATAGCAAAGATCACCCTCATTCCTATTGCCACAACCTGTATCTGAGTTTCCTGCAAAAATCTTTAGCCTATACCCTGCCTTCAATCTAGCTTTCCTCTAATCCATTCTTGCTTCCATGCTGGGGGGAAAGACATCTTTAAAATGCAAATTGGATTTCCAAGCCTTTCTGCATGAGTATTTAATGGTTTCCCAGAGATTTCACGAGAAAGACAACATCCTTAAGGAAACTTTCCAGGCCGTCTT
Organism: Homo sapiens; assembly: GCF_000001405.40. Classification (NCBI taxonomy): domain Eukaryota; kingdom Metazoa; phylum Chordata; class Mammalia; order Primates; family Hominidae; genus Homo; species Homo sapiens. Next base: position 84,969,315 of record NC_000014.9, read on the forward strand.
TTGCCTGGGTTTGCCGATCCTTCTATTGCCATCTTGCATCCTTCACTCTGCTCCTTACAGTTCCTGGAGCAAGCACTTCCTCTTGACAGAAATCCCCACCACCAATAATAATGAAACAGGATAGTTTCCTTGATGCTTTTGCGGGACTTGTGAAGTGGGTGGCTCGTTTACTCAGCCGCTGCACTCAATCTCTTATGGCAGGGAGCACATGAGTGGATGGTTCCAGCAAATAAATGCACCAGCTCCTCTCTGATGGGAACAGGCACGGTGAGGGCCCCGTGGCAGCATCCAAGTATGTTACAATGTTCTTTTAGTTCTGCCATCTGGGAGTGGGTGTCTGCGAACCCTGGAGCCCCAGAGGGCATGTGTCACAATCAGTGCTCTTTTAGCATTTGTCATCCACAGATGACTAAGTGTTAACCAGCTCAGTGGAGGGGCAGGATGACAGTCTTTTACACCCTGCCCTCTTGGTACCCGAGTTCTTGTCTGGCATCCAGGAAGAATCAGGTCACATGAATGAATTGAAGGCTGGTGAATGTGGAGGTCTTTACTGAGTAGTGGAAATGGCTCTCAGTGGGAAGGGGAGCTGTAAAGGGGGTAGAGAGGGAAGATAATCTTCCCCTGGAGTCCGGCCATCCCCGGCTGAACTCTTCTCTGACCGTGGTCTCTGACTTCTAGCTGCTACTTCTCTTCTTGATGTTCAGATGTTTCTCTCTTCTGTGTATGTGTGTGTCTGTGTGTGTCTACTGAGTCGGGGATTTGGGATTCTTATGGGCACAGGATAGAGGGCAGCATTCGGGTGGGAAAACAGGGCTAGTTCTCACTTTGGGCTGCAGGTCCAGGCTTGAGGGTGGAGCCCTCGCCAGGGACACCACCCTCTTCCACCCAGTATTTCTCTGCCTCCTGTCCATATCCATAACACACTCACACAGCTTAATCTAGTTAATTCTTACCCAACGTTTAGTTTGCTGAAGTCCAAAAAATTATATCGGATCTTTATTTATTATAAGTTCCTTTAACACTGCATTTTTTTGACGTATTGATCTTGGTAGATAAATTTTGAGTTTATGTGACTAAGGTCAATCTGAACTTCTAGAATATGAGAACAGGGATCATGTTCTATGTTTTGCTCACTATTGCCTCTCAGAGCCTAGCACAGCACTTGAAGCATCCTAAAGGTTCTGTAAATGTCATTTGAATGTTAAAACAATTTTTTTGGCTATGTTGGCTTTCACTCCAATTGGATTCCAAGTTATTTGAGGGCATAAACACCTGTTTTACATGTTCTATTGGCATATCTCCTGGTGTTCTGCACATTAAAAAGACTCAATAAATATTCAATAAATGAACTAATGCTGAATGCCTTTTACACATATTAATAAAACACTCTAGTACTCTATCAGAAATGGACATGTGGCAAACTCGTTTGTGGTGAATTTCCCGATAGTTATTATTTTCTTGTTTCAGTTTATTTATTTATTTATGTATGTATTTATATTGATTTGAACAATATGAATTTAACTTTCTGGTAGATAAAAAAGTTAAACGTAATCAATTTCATGTAGTTCAACCTAATACTTCATACCACCAACTTCTTCTACGTGTTATAGCATATTTTGCAATGAAATAGAGAAATATATACCACACACTTGTTAGAACTCCAGGAATTGAAACTAAAAAGCTATAGGTAAGGAGGGGAACTCTAGTGTAACAATAAACTCTGACATTATATTGTCATTAAGAATATGGTTTTAGCATTCCAACACTTTGGAAAGCTGAGGCGGGCAGATCACCTGAGGTCAGGAGTTCGAGACCAGCTTGGCCAACATGCTGAAATCTCATCTGTACTAAAAATACACAAAATTAGCAGGGCGTGGTGGCAGGCGCCTGTAATCCCAGCTACTCCGGAGGCTGAGGCAAAAGAATTGTTTGAACCTGGAAGGTGGAGGTTGCAGTGAGCCCAGGTCACACTATTGCATTCCAGCCTGGGCAGTAAGAGCAAAGCTCTGTCTCAAAAACAAAACAAAACAAAACAAAACAAAACAAAAAAATAGAATATGGTTTTAGTACAATTAAACTTAGCTCTGAACTTAACTGAGTAGGACAAGAAAGAAGAGCAATATAGATTCAGACTCATTTTATGTAACCGAGTTTAAATGCTTATATTTTATTCAATTAACAACCTTTGATGAAATGTTGTGATGTTTGAATGTGAAGTTTATACATCCATAACCTTTCTTTTTCCACTAAATTTCCCGCAGAAATCAGGTTCTGGTTCTGCATATAAGGAAAAAAAAAAAATGAAACTTGAGGTAATTTGATACATATATATGAAATATATACATTTTAAATAGCTATTTAAATATAAAATATATACACAAACATCACAGTAATTACATATAAATAATTATAGATTATATATTATTAATATATTTATATTAATATAATTATGTGTGTTAATATATATTAATATTATTGATATATTATCTAAAATTATAATCTGTTAGCACTATAAAAATGGTTTTACTAATAAATAGGTTTATTTTCAGATGAGTTGATTTAGTTTTCCTGTCCCCATGGGTGACATTCACCAAATAACTTTGTAATTCCACTTTGTCTTGTAATCTTTATTCAAATATTTTAATGCAGGTAGAAAATATCCCCTAGCTTTCATGGATTAAACAGCTGTGTTTTCACACCCCTTTCAGTAGTACTAAGGCCTTTCCATCCCCTCCAACAGAAATTTATTTCTTCTTTCAATGTAGATTTTAACCCTCTAGTTCTAGTTTTCTGCCATGATTCATTTTCATACTAAAATAAAAGAGTTGGGATTCTTCCTAATTTGTATACTTTCTGATAAGAAATTCAAAGTTTTGATTGGAAAAATCAGTTATAAAGGAGGCTCAAGAAAAGAGAGAAAAACAATCCACAGAAGTGTACTGGTTTTAATGGTCTCTCAAAAGCATGTCCACCCAAAATCTGCTTGGATAACTGTTAACAGTGGAGGGTGTCCAGGTTCTTGGCATTTTGAACAAAGAATGTGACAAAACGCACAGACAAAGCAAGTAAAGAACGAAGCAACAAAATCAGAGATTTATTGAAAAATGAAACCACACTCCACAGGGTGGGAGTGGGCCTGAGCAAGTGGCTCAAGAGCCAAGATACAGAATTTTCTGGGGTTTAAATGCCCTCTACAGGTTTCGCATTGGTTACTTGGTATACACCCGAGTGTAAATGAAGAGGCCGAACTAAAGTTATGAAGTTATTTACTTGGCGTATACCCTATATCTGTTAGCACTATAAAAATGGTTTTATTGATAAATAGGTTTATTTTCAGATGAGTTGATTTAGCTTTCCCGTCCCCATGGGTGACATTCTAATGCAAATGAAGTGGATGAAGAGAGGTTACAAAGTTACTTGCTTGTTGTACATCCTATGCAAATGAAGAGGATGTTTTCCATCATAGCTGAAGTAGAGTTACGAAGTCATTTACTTGGTCTTAGAAAGTTGGGGTTTTTACCTTTGATTTAGTTCTAGGAAGCCTTTCAGTTCCCTGCCTCCAGACCCTATTCTCCTGCTTCATAACTTCATTTCAGAGTAGGATCTTTGCTGATGTAATCAAGTTAAGATGAGGTTACAAGGCATTAAGACCGATCCTAATCTAATGACTTGTGTCTTTATAAGAGGAGAGGAATGTGGATACATGTATACACAGAGAGAAGACAGCCGTGTAAAGATGAGGGCAGAAATTTGAGTTAAGCTGCCCCAAACCAAGGAACACAAAGCATTACTGGCAACCACCACTAACTTGAAGAGAAAAGGAAGGATTTTACCTGAGCAGCTTTGGAGGGAGTGCAACTGGGTCAACACCCAGATTTTAAACTGCTGTCTGCCAGCACTGTAAGAGAATACATTTCTGTTGTTTTAAGCCACCAGTTTGTGCTCATTTACTACAATAGTCCTAGGAAACTAATACAAGGAGTAAAAAAGTAGAAACTCTGTTTTTCCTTTCCTTTACTCAGGTTCTTAAGGATAACATAATTCTCTGGCATGCCAGATCCTTCTCCATCTCCACTCATGAGAAGGAGCACTGAGAGTTAGAAGATGGCAAAGCAACAGAAAAAAATTTGACCTAAAGGTTAAAAAAGTGGATCTTAGAAGCTGTTTCTTGGATTAATAACAGTACGTTACAATTGGGAAGCACTTTCTACTAATATGACCCTCAAGGACCCCTTAGATGCAGATAAAGCAAACGAGAAAGCTCTCAAATGGCAAATGAAGAAATTTAGAATCTGAGAGATTTAATAACTTGTTCAAGTTGTTCAACAAATCAGTACAAAAACTTGAATTGGAGCCTAGATCTCCCTACCCAATACTTTATTTTTACTGTTCTGCCATGAATCTCACAAACAGATATCACTAGCTTCTGATTTTCTGACATGATATTTGACCTTCTGTTTAAAACTCGGTACCAGTAACCCCATGGGCTGAGTTACTTCACCAGAGAGGCATTTGTGGCGCTGCTGGGGGATTCAGCTTCTGTTAACTAGCACGTATGGAGTCCTTTTTATAAAATACACTTGAAAGCCACAGAAAATGTATGTGGGTTGGGAATAAGATCCCTACGACAGGCAAAGGGCATTGAGGAAATGAGAATTTAAAAGAAATGAAAGAATAGAGTCTAAAAGTTGCTGAAAGTGCTCTTGGGAATATGATTTATGACTTGAAACATAAAAGGTCCAGAACAAACTACAGAATAAAGAACAGTGGCTCCCAACTGTCAGGCCACAGGAAAGAGCCAGGCTGAGAGCAGAAGAATCCTCTGAAGAATTTATTAAAAGGAGCCAGACCAGAACTTCTGTGGAGGAAATTCTGACTAGACAGATCCAGAGCAGAGTTCTCTTGAGTGATTATGAGGTCTAGGCAAGTTTGGGGATGATTGGTTCTGAAGAGATGTAAGGTTTGTACCTGGAGTTTACCAAGTGATATGGTTTGGTTGTGTCCCCACCCAAATCTCATCTTGCGTTGTCGCTCCCATAATTCCCACGTGTTGTGGGAGGGACTTGGCAGCAGATAATTGAATCATGGGGGTGGTTTCCCCCTTACTATTCTCATGGTAGTGAATAAGTCTCATGAGATCCGAAGGCTTTATAAGGGGAAACCCCTCTCGCTTGGTTCTCATTCTCTCTCTTACCTGCTGTCATGTAAGATGGGGATTTCACCTTCTGCCATGATTGGGAGACCTCCCCAGCCATGTGGAACTGTAAGAATATTAAACCTCTTTTTCTTTATAAATTACCCAGTCTTGGGTGTGTCTTTATCAGCAGCGTGTAAATGGATTAATACACCAAGTTTTCTCAATAGTCAAACTCTTCCTGCCCTCATTAATACTACCCATGTTTGCCTAATATCTCCATAAGAAGGGGCCCATGGAATGCCAGATACTTAATATAGAAGGATGGGTACTCTGAGGCTTAGGGCTTCATCTGATTCCTCTTAGATCAGGTAAAGGCAAAACTTTCTGGTGTTTTTTGTTTGTTTGTTTGTTTGCAGTACCTTTACATGCTTTTGGTCTCTGTATCACTAGGAGTCTCTTTTTACCTGAATCTGGAGTCTGCTGGCAAAATTGTAAAGCAGGAAATATTCAGGATTTGTCCATGACCCCTTTCAGTGCAGTTCATCTATCAAAATATGCAGCCTGTTTGGGAATACCTGATCAGAAGGCAAAGCATGGGCAGAGGACACAATATAGTCAGCTCAATGAATTAGTTCAAAATATGCAATGGAACATTGTCAGCATTTGGAATTTCCTTGATCTATGTAATAGATTTTTTTTTTTTTTTTTTTAGAATTACATATGATACTGGTGCCAGGATCTTTGCAGTTTTGGTGGCTTCTGAATCTCCTAATCCAGCCTATTCTTTTACTTTACATTAGTTGCCAATCACATCTTCTTGGTTGCTCTCTTTCTCTCTTTTTTCAACTCCTGTTTAGGTATTCAAAATATTTCTACTCATTCCCAAATTAATGTTGGTTTCAATAGGACTTGATAAATTCACTTGGAATAAATGTTACAGGCTGCTTCTTTCAAAATGTGTTAAATCTCAGAATTTGGCATAAGTGGCAAGTTCATAGTAGAGCTATTTTGGGGCCCTGTAGCTTTCCAACTTCCTCTCAAATTATACTCAAAGACAGCTATCTATTCTTGCTGCTTTTGAAGACACTTCTGACTGCTGTAGCCAAAAAAAAAAAAAAAAAAAAAACCCGTGTTGCTCTAACTTTTTTCTTCAATTTTCAGTTGTCCTATTACTAATGAGCTAGCTTTAGCTGTGTGTTGGTTTATTGAATGCTTAAATTGCTCCAGTTGAAGCTATGTACTACATTATTAATTATTAACCTCCTTCACCCTCCTTCAAAGTTGCCTTTTCAAGGATTTGAAGTGATTCAACGGGCATTCAAATAGTAATCTAGGGACTTCCAAATTTTCTGAGAAACCCCTACTGCTTTGATGTTCTTCAGAACTTATGGTATGCAGGGTCTGTCTCTCTTGTAAGTTTTGTAGTATCCACAACCTCATTGGAAATCAGAATAATTTATCTTGTAGATTTTCATCGCCTTTGGCTGCTGGTCCCAGTTAGATCAAGAAAACAAAGAATAGAAGATTTAATTTGGTGTCAAGAAACTCAAAAGGGCATTTGGTATGATATTACAGATACAGTCAGGGTTTTTTGTTTGTTTTTCTTTTCTTCTTTGCTTTTATTCAATTACACACACACACACACACACACACACACACACACACACGCTTTACAGTCAGGGAAGAATGTAGTTAACATCTAACTGTAGCATGGACTAAAATTACTGTAAATATTACTAAGAGAATAAATTTGTATCCTGGATCTTCAAGTTTTGGAATCTCTCCAAGACCAAGTTAGCAACAGAACAATAGGTAATACTCTAAGGATGACTAATTAGCCCCTGCTTTGGAATTTCAGTTCCCATAGGATGTCTCTAATGATTATTTTCCACTGGTATTACCTGTGGAGGCTTGTATAACTTGAAGAGCTGAATGTGATGAAAATAGCTCCTTCCAGACTCTCTGACTTTATTATTATCAATGGGTATTTTATAGAAGCAGAGAACACCTTTTCCTAGCTCAAATTTGAAGAAATAGAACAAGGTGTTTTTAAATGCACATACATAGGATCCCTCCAAGACACACATAATTGGAGTTAACAAAATGACCTGTAAAGAAGACTGGATAGCCTAACAAGTAAGGATGACAGGCACATATTTTGCCCTGTATATACAGTGGAATTTGCCTCTTTAGATCAGAACAGGACAAACTAGTTAACCAGAGACCGTATAATTTACAATTTACAGTAGTTGTATTTAATGAGGCCACTGAGAGATTGGAGAATGTGTGCAGAAAGCAGGGAGAATGAAAGTCATTCTATAATAGAAAACAGAGGTTTCCAAATGTAATTTCGGAAGACAGAGAATGGTATAGTAAAAATCAGCATCACAGCCATGTCTAGAGAAACATTCTTATTCCTTCAGCTTCCATTAAATCAAATACTGAGTGGCAATTACTGAAATACAATGGGCACAGTCAGGATCTGACCACCCTTAACCTTTCTGGGTTTTAAGAACCATTTGTCCCTGGTCACATGGTGCCTCCGTCACATGACGTGACTGTTATACCATAGACTTCAGTGCCATGTGGAAAAATCTACCATCTTCTGAATGGTTCAGTTATTCCAAGGTAATTCAAGACATCTTTATTAAGACATCCAGTATTCAGTGTGTGTTTAAATAGACTCTTGGGTCCTGAAAAGCATAACCTTAAGTAATGTCCAGGTTGTCATCTGTTTAGGAGAGAATGGGGTATACTTACGGATTCAGGACTGTTAAATTGAGGGCACACACTTAGAACAATGTACACAATGAAGCCCAACACTGTAAATATTTATTCCACAATGGGGTTCAGAGAAGCCTGCACTAAGGAACTAAAAATTAGACAAGCGGGATCAACTGGCAACATCATTAACATTTCATATTTTTGTTTTCTAGTTATCGCTGCTATGTTGTTAAATGTATAATTATTTCAAATGATTCTTAAAATGTCTCACAGTCTTATCAGGTTGTTTAGCAATTGCATTTGTATTTGATCAACTTGGAAACTGGGGCTCAGAAATAAAACTGGCTTGCTGTGGATTTAGCCCTAAATTAATGACATTTCCTGGAGGTTTAAAGAAAAAGTAAGATGGAGTAGAGAAGAGGACAAGTTATCTCACCAGGTCACAAATCACCTTGATGTTTCCACCCTTGGGGTGTTTTACCAAATAGGTTATTCTACATGCTATCCATAGAAACTGGAAGTATCAGACACATTGGACAGTGCTTCATAGGGACAGTTAGAGAGGCCCAATTCAGGAGAGGGTTCTTGTCAGAGACTGGACATTTTAAATGGCCAGATGTAATCTGAGTTTGTTTTCTAAACCACCTATTTATAAACACCCACATATACCAATAACAGTTTTCCAATTGCCAGCGTCAAGGTGAACCAAATCAGAATAAACCTCTCCATGGTGTCTGAAAAGTGTTGCACCCATTATATGAAAAAATATTGTAATGGTCAGGGCTTTTGTAGGTCTTATGATGGTTTTTGACTTTAGATGATAAAGAGGCATCAGATATGCCACTGGTAGGAGTGAAGGGAGTGAGTTGGGAGGATTGGAAACAAGGTGTATCACTGCTTGATCCTAAAGAGACATTGAAGCTTAGACACATGTCCTTAGGACTTAAAACCCTGCTAGCATTTTTTACACATACCGCTTCCTTTCTTCACAAGCCTGGCAGACTCTTCTGTTGAGAATTATTTTCTCATTAAGACGAAGCTTCATGAGCATATTTAACCATCTTTATAAAAAAATTCTTTTAGGGCCCTAAATAGACTTATGGAAATGAGAGTCTTAAAATATAATTGAATCAAGGTTTTGCAACACTCTACATGTCCTTGAATTCCAGAAGAATCTTTCCATCCTTCCTGTGGTCCTACGTCCAGGATCCACGTTCTTTCATTTCATATGTGTGCCTGTTTATCTCCAATCCAGCCTAGTTTAATTAAGCCCACCAAATCTCATTTAATCAGTTATTTAAGTATGTAGTATTATATCAATTGGTGGAATGAGAAGAGGGAAATGAGGGGAATTATGAAAGGGTTTCTAAAATAAATATATTACAAAGCCCTTCAAAGACTTTTAAGAACCTTAAGAGAATCAAATAAAAACAACATACCACATATGCTGGCCCTCCTTATCTGTGGGTTCCACATCTGTGGATTCAACCAATCAAAGATCAAAAATATTCAGGGGATAAAATAGATGGTTTCATCTTCCTAACATGTACAGATTTTCTCTTGTCATTATTTCCTAAACAATACAGTGTAACAACTATTTCCAAGGCAATTACATTGTATTAGGTATGCAGAAGGATGTGCATAGGTTATATACATATACTATACCATTTTATATAAGGGACTTGAGCATCTGTGGATTTTGGTATTGAAGGGGGGCTAATCCCCCAAGAATCCCAACAGATATACACATGCACACACACACACACCAACATAGGTACATACGGATAGTAATTTCTTTAATCATGAAATAAATAAGTAACCAAATTGTCTGGATAAGTCCGCTCTTAACTCTAGTGTGACCAGATACTGGATCTCTGTCTTTTCAGAGCCTCCCCCAGCACCTCCTGGAATTGCACTCAAGGTCAAGCTTAAAGTCAGCTACTGATGTTACTCCTGTCACAGCAAATTCTTCAAATCCATGTTCCTATGTCTTAGCGTTCTTACTATGCACCAGTAGTCACTTGCAAAAATATAATCACTTGAGAAGCTTTAGAAAATTATTGAGAAGTTCAAGCATATACAAAAGTATAAAGAAATACTAAAATGAGCCCTGCTCCCCCATCACACTGCTCCCATAATTCAATTTATGGCGAAACTTGTTTCTTCTAAACTTCAACTCACTTTCCAATCCCCCAAATATCTCAGATATTTAATGACTGTTTCATCCAAAAAAATATATCTAGGAATACTTTAGAAAAGGCAAATTTAAAATATAGTCACATATCATTATCACACCTAAATTTAGCATTAACTCTGATATTATCAACTAGTTTTAAAATTAACTTGACTGTATTATAAACCATTATTTTACAGTTCACTTGATTGGATAACAATTAGAATAAAAACTATGTATTCCAGTTGGTGGTTGATATCCCTTATGTGTTTTTAATAATTTTTTTAAAATATATTTTTAGTAGAGATGGGGTTTCACCATGTTGGCCAGGCTGGTCTTGAACTCCTGACCTCAGGTGATCCACCCACCTCAGCCTCCCAAAGTGCTGGGATTACAGGCTTGAGCCATGGGTGAGGTGGCAGTCACCTGTAATCCCAGCTACTTGGGAGGCTGAGGCAGGAGAATTGTTTGAACGTTTGAACCTGAGAGGCAGAGGATACAGTGAGCAGAGATCACGCCACTGCACTCCAGACTGGGCAAGAAGAGCTAAACTTCATCTCAAAAAAAAAAAAAAAAAAAAAAAAGATATTTTCTCTCTCTCCCCTTACTCTGTCTCTGGGTGTCTCTCTCTTTGCAGCTCCCTGCCCCTTTATTATTAAGTTGTTGATGAAATTGGATTGTTTCTCTTGTTTCCCACAAACTAGATTTTGCTGATTATCTTCCCAAGATGTTATTTTATACATTATTTTGTTTCCTGTGTTTCTGAAAATAAATCTAGATGCTCCATCAGTTTCAAGTTTGAGATTTTGGAGGGCAGAAGGCATGTCATGTTTGGTAGTTTTCCTTTTGGTAATGTTAGCAGTAACTAAAGATAATTGCCTAGATTCATTGTGTCAGTAAGAGTCACAAAATGATGATAGTCTAATTCTAACCTCCCTTCTTCCTTTATTGGCTGGACTACTTCTTTTAAATGAAATTCCTTCATCCAGCTAATTTGTCATTCTGAGGTACAATACATATGGGAAAGTTAAGGTTAAATGTCTGATTTAAGATCTCTTTCCCTTTCTTACCAATTTCTAAAATAATAAATTGGTGCCCTATCATCATTCTCAGATAACATCTAAGGTGTTATGTTTATATTGTTTTGTGTTTATCTTTTAAAAAGTGGGATTAAGAAACAGATTTGGAATTCAGCCATTTTTCCAGGGGGTCTTTTCTTGGTAAATGGTATTGAGACATCAATAATTTGATACTGGTAATGTTAATTGCTGCTTTTTTGCTTTAATTTTCAACAAAGTTAGAAAATATGTAATTTTTAAAGCTAAATACATCATAACTGAGATAGAATTTTTACTTAGCTGACAAATTATTTATCTATATCTCTTATTTTTACATTTCCCACGTCCCAGACATAAGAATAATTATGTATTTACATTAGCTTATAATGCATATACATCAGTCTCAGAGTAGCACTGTGATCACCAATATGATTACCAAAGCCACAGTTCCACTGGGTACATATAGTTATATTCCTACATGGTAAAGTCACTTGGAATGGATTCTCTTTTATGCCACCAACTCAAAAAATAGGTAGGTGTATTGTTGAACTTGGCCTTAGATTTTTAGAAGATACTATTTTATTTTTGTTTTTGTAATTATATAAAAAATATTTTTGTGAATCTCAACTGAATGATGTAAAACTAGTTATCATCACAGGTTAAGTGTCCCTCTATACTACTTCTTCCCCAAATAGAGAGAGCCATTAAACATGTATTGCTTATCCTTTCAGAGAGTATATTTAAAGAGACATATTCTTGGAACTTACTTTCAATCTACCAATTTAAAATATCCCAGAGTGGGACCAGATGTTTCTGATGCATATCTCTGATTACAAACCCTATATGCTCTTCTTTAAATATCTCATTCATTCCCTGGTCTCAACTATAACTTAAAATATATTGACTCAAAAACCTATTTCTAGCCTTCAATCTCTTCTAGGTGACAAACTACTGGAGATCCTGATCGGATAATATAATGTCATCCTATTTTATTATATTCATAATGATCTTATTTGTTAAGGGCCTCTATGTTAACAAATTTTTAGAGATCCTTAATTTTTCCTTTTCCTTACATTCTATATTAATCTTTACATTTCTTCAAAATTGTTCATCAAATTCAATCTTCTTCCCTGTCTATTCTGTCACAGACTTTGTCCAGACAAAGTTTCTCTACTAGGCACTATTGATATTTTGGATGAGTTACTTTTTTGTTGGGAAAGCAGAATGTTTAGCAGCACTCCTGGCCTCTATCTAGATGTCGGTATCAGCTTTCCAGGTGTGACAAGCAAAAATGTCTCCAGACATTGCCAGACTTCTCCTGTGTATAGGTGAGAGGGATCTCCCTCAGTTGAGAACCGCTGGTTTGGTATAAATCTTCACCATATTGTTCTTAGACTACTGCAAACGCTTGTGCCTGATTCTGCTTTTAATATCAAATCTTCTACATTGCAGTTAAAGTTATCCATTATGTTGCTGAGTATATTCTTGTTACTCCCATACTTTGTTTTCTATAGGAAATCCACAAGTTTCATATAAGGCTATAAACTGTACTTCAGTGGGAATGTTTTATACTGTCATATTTTGTCCCTTATCTTTCCATCCCATTCTACATAGTTTCATTCTCTACTGTAGTGACAGCTGATTTATTCCACTTCTTTAAATCTTCGATTTTTTTTTGGTCTTATTCTTCCATAGACATGATTTTCCTTTTGTTATATGCCACCTTTTTCTTAAGATGGAAAGCCCCTAATCACTCTTCAAGGCAGTTCTCAAAAGTTGAATAGTGAGTAGAGCTTTTCCTGACACCCCACATCTCAAATATTACACTCAACATCTTGCATGGTAATTGTTTGTTAGGCTCTATCCCTCTTATTTTTCAGGCAGCTCGTGGAGGAGAGCTGGATTTATTCCAGTGCCTATCACAGTGCACAAAGGAGGCATCCACCTGTATCTTTACTAACACTTTTTCCTACTGTATCTTATGTCCATAGCCATGGAGAAAGGACTTCAGCAATGGAAATATTCCCTTGAGGCAACTGGGCTTAAAGTGTGATTGACCGAATGTGATCAAAAGTACAACTTATAAAAAAAGAAAACACTTCTTTCAGGGTTACTCTTAACTTTAAAATGCATTTTATTACTGCTGGAATTTGAAATAAAAGTTAGTAGTCCTTAACATAAGAAAATGGTACCCATGGCATTTCTAGAACTGACTGCAGAGGGCTCCTTGCGGTGCCAGAAAAGGTCTGTTCCTCCTGACAGCACAGCCTCTGATCTGTAACTCTGAGCCTCATTACTCAACTGAGCCTTTCAGGGGTGGCTGCTGTCTGTTGGCCCATGCACACCCTTGCAAAAATTCAGGAAAGAACCAGAGTAATATTGAGACATTGGCTCTGCTAGCCTGTCTGGAGAGAAAGCTGCACTTGATATTAGGGAAATTATTGACCAGAAAGACATAGAGAAATGGGGAAAAATAAACAGCACTTGAGTCCCTTGTTCAGCTTTATGTGGAAAAGTAACATCTGTAAAATGTAGGGAGAAAAATGTTAAAGAAATAGGGATTGACAATTTGTAAGAGCTATCTCTTCCTATCAAAGTTTATTCTTAATTTGAGCCTTTGCTCTTCTTGGTATAATAAGTTATATAAGCTTCTTACTTTCTAGATAAAATAGAAAAGGAAAAATAAATGAATGTTCACTAAATATATACTATATTTCAACCACCCGGCTATTTGATTTTTCATATATGAATTTGTAATAAAGCTGCAAAGTAAGTAGTATTTTTGTTTTAGCCCACTCCAAAGCTGTGGCTTTGAAAGAATGTGCTTATGGACACAAAACTAGTAGGTCTTGATGTATAATTCAAACATGATTTCATCTGACTCAAAGCTCATGTATATTGCAGTTATCTATTACTTTCCTTTATACTTAATATTTTTGAGACTTAAGAGTAATCCTTTATTTCTATTATGTGTTTAGTATATAGGCCTGTGTTTACTATGTCATATGAGTAGACATTCAATTTTAAGAAGTCCTCTTCAATTGGTTGACATTGTTCTTCAGACCTGGCTGGGGTGGGCAAAACAGGTGAAAAGTTCCAGTACTTGTTATCAATTAGGGAATTATAAGGATTGAGAAACACCTGTTCAAATGCAAATATTCTAGAAATTGTTAAATCTAGAGTAGAATATGTTAATTGGAAATGGAGTGGTTTTTGTATTATGATGTATTTGAATTTTTTGCTCACTGAAAGAAGCAGAGGGACATTTACATGAAGGGCAGGATCCAATCCCTACAAATTCTTTCTTTGTTCTAAGTAAGACTAGGCAATGCACAGGTGATATAGTACAAGATCTGGGGAGCTAAAATCAATCTTGGAGACAAAATTCTGGCATTGGGGTTTGAGAAGGTGAATTTTATCAGCCTATAGGGAAAATTTTTATCTTGTATACATAAAGAGAAAGGTAGATGAGATAAAATAGGACCAGGGAAGAAAATGTATAATGGAGGAGGCTTAAGACCAATATTTTTATTAATTTTTAATTTTTTCTAAAGCTTGATGAAAACCATATGTATTAGTCCATTGTCATGCTGCCTAATAAAGACATACTCAAGAATGAGTAATTTATAAAGGAAAGAGGTTTAATGGACTCACAGTTCCACATGACTAGAGAGGCCTCACAAACATGGTGGAAGGTGAAAGAAGAGTAAAGGCATGTCTTACATGGTGGCAGGCAAGACAGCGTATGCAGGGCAACTCCCTTTTATAAAACCATCAGATCTCGTGAGACTTATTCACTCCCATGAGGACAGCATGGGAAAAAGCCCACCCCCGTGATTCAGTTACCTCCCGCCGGGCCCCTTCTACAACATTTGGGAATTATTACAACTCAAGGTGAGACTTGGGTGGGGACACAGTGCCAAACCTTATCACCTTAGTATCACTAAGAGCTATCTAGTGTGATGTGAAGTTTTTAAATATGGCTGCCTCCCCATCTCCACTGCTCTGCCATTAGTCAATGTACATTGGTAGAATGCAAAGGAATATTTCCGCCTTTAAAAAGTTATTGCTTCATGTAGTTGCCTGTCTCAAATTATTTTACCATCATTGGTTAATCCTTCCCACATCTCAGAGTGTCTCAGATATTTGTGAAAATTTCAGATTCCTTTGCTACTCCCTACTGAATCAGACTATCTGATAGCACTCCAGGAATCTACGTGATAGTAAGCTTCCCTGCTGATTCTAGAACACACAAATATTTTAGAGCCACTAGTTCAGTTGATCTCTTCGCTGGGCTTTTCTAGCTCTGTTATTTCCTTTTAGAAGTGCAGTTATAAGACATCTACATATGGCCCAGGGTTAGCCTCATCAGCACACCCCCAGTAGGAAATTAGAGAGGTTTGGAAAACTTCACTGGACATATTTACGTGGTAGATTATCTCACACTTCTGGAGGTATTTAGTGGACTTATGAATAATTGGCCATATTAGAATCTAGGCATTCTCATTAAGACTAGCATATCCAGCAAACAGAATAAATCAAGCCTAAGGAGAACCAGGTCAACTCTGTATTAGTTTGTTTTTACACTGCTATAAAGAACGACCTGAGACTGAGTACTTTATGAAGAAAAAATCAATTCACACTTCCACATGGCTGGGGAGGTCTCAGGAAACTTACAATTATGGTGGAAGGCAAAGGGGAAGAAAAGCATATTTTCTCATGGTGACAGAAGGAGGACATAGGATATGTGCCACACACTTTCAAACAACCAAACCTCATGAGAACTCACTATTACCAGAACAGCAAAGGGGAGGTCCTCCCCATGATTCAATCACTTCCCACCAGGCTCCTCTCCCAACATGTGGGGATTGCAATTCAACATGAGATTTGGGTGAGGACACAGAGCCAAACCATATCAAACTCTAAGTTTGGTGGTGGAATTACAGCAACAACAGTGGAGATGACATATGGACATAGCCATGGAGATGGATGCAAGATCAACTCATGAGATCACCACTACCATTTCGAGATATGTATATGGATTCACACAAAAATGCCTGTGCATATAATTATCTCCTTTTTATAAAAGCAGAAATGGAAAGCTGCAGAAATCATCTCAGAAACAAATTGACCTTCACAGAATTATATAACTATCAAGGAGAAAAGCCAAGGCCCTTTTCCATTTGAATACTGTTATTTCATACAACTGAAAAATTGTATTTCTGTTTGATGTGCCTCTTCCCTCCTGATGATGCCTGATATTGTTGGACTTTTGGAAAATATTAATAGAGACAGATGTCTCTAAGAAACTGGAGTTCCCTAGGACTCTGGTTCTTGAGTTGTTTACCAAGAATATCAGTTACTTGCTAATTATATTTGGGGAAAAAAGGAAATTAATCTACAGGAAATAATAACAATAATATCACATCTTTTGATCATTGGTGGGACTAACTCTAATGTTCTAAGGAACAATTCTCTCTTGATTCATTCAGAATTTAATTTTGTTGAAAGTCCCATTGAATCATAATTAATGCTACAAAAGCACGATTTAACAAGAGCTTTGGGGTAGCCTTTTAAATATATGGTAGCTAATTAACTATAACTATACAATTTACAAACACATCTATTGAAGACTTGAAACTATGAGTAGATATATCCATCTTTTTCGTGCAGTAGCTATTACATCATAAAATTATTTTCAGTCGTTTGCTGATATTTTAAGACTTTCATTATAGTTAGATAATGTGCTTAAGACAAAATTTTTCTTCCTTTAAAATGACAGGAAATGACATTTAAGCTTTTGATAAATGTTACTTTATGACACTTGGAAACTAAAACTGACTGGGGATATAAAATGCTTATAAAATTCAAACAAAAAGTTTCTTCCAGTAACTGGCACTCTTTCCCAGTGCAGAAAGGCCCTAAGTTTTAATGATATCAACAGACAGAACACAATTATCTGTGAAGAAAAAGCTTAAATAATGACTCTGCCTTTTGCATGCCAAAAGCCACTATAATGAAAAAATTCTCACATTGTGTGTGTTTCTGTGTGTGATTTTAGTTGCTTATTGTCATTGTATTTTCAGCACTTGAGAACAAGGATTTAGCCTGGTTATTCTTTGTGGGCACAGCTCCTTACTTGTGCCAGCTCATAGTTTATGTTCAATAAACATGTGCCATTTGATTAACTGGTTATTAACTTGGCTGTTATTACAGTGTATGGTACCATTCAGCACCACTCAAAAACTCACATGAATGGAGGAAGAGTTGGCGTAGTAGTGGCAATGCACAGACATTACATACCTAAAGAAATAGACCTCTAAGTCTGTGCCCCAATTTGGCTGTATCAAACTTTTTGTTTGCTTGTTTTACTTAAGGGTAAATATTGATTTATTGAGTTTATAACCTGTACACAGATCCTGAGTGAAGTGTGTAAAATATATCCTTTCACTTAAATCTCACAGAAACCTCTATGGGAAGTATAATATCCTCAGTTTTATAGGTAAAGATACTTATATTCAAAGGGGCTAAGCAATTTGTTCAAGGTCAGAATCACTTAATTCAGGGGAAAAAATGACAGCAAGAGAAAATTATGGTGGCATGGCCAGCCCACAGTTCTCTTTACAGTCCATCAATTTCACCTCTTTATGTTAGCATAACATTTTCAGGCTACGATTCTGAAATGAGAGGTCAAAAGAAGAGTTGATAATAAAGCAACCTGAGATTTTTAAATTCACTCTGACTTCTAGTGTTTGCTGACTCTGACCATATCTTATTCTACTTGTGAGCTTAACTTCCTGGGTTCCCTGGTACACCTTCCTCCTAGATTTCTGAGATCATTTTCCTGTTATGTCACCTGAGGCCCTTCAGATTAGAACTTCAATCCCATGACCTTCACCAATTGCTCTGACATGGATTCATTTTTACTGCTTTGTGTAATGTTCTGCTTTTGTTCTTAACATTGAGCAATGCACCAACTACAAGGAATTTATTAATTTAATGCAAAGTATTGTGGTTTTTGCAATGAAAAGTAATAGCAAACCTGCAATTATTTTTTCACCAATCTTTACGACTCAAGAGAAAGACTCGAAGTATTTTTCCCTAAAACAAGTAAACAACAACAAGAGCCCCTGGCTAACACTGAAATTGAACGTTGACTTTATTTCTGTATCTGGGGGATTCTGATTCTTGTTCTTAGTTGTATGTTCACTTTGAGAAGTGCTTGCTTCCTCTCTGCTCTTCTTCTCTCCCTAACATTTCATATGCAACTATTGTGTTTTACTTCCATCCTTAGTTCTCTTCTTTCCATATGACTTCTCCCTTTTTTGTGCTATTCGCAACAGTTTAAATTATTCAATTTTAGCAATAAAGCCCAAAATACCAGGAGACTACTTAATAAAATAATTTTGTCCCTAGAAAGAATTTTCCTGAGCTAAACTCTAAAGTATTTACAGTGAGTCTTAATACTAAGTAAGAATAGGAGAATGGTGGTGATAGTAATCTAATAAACAACAAACATTTATTCAGTGACTTAATAAGTGCCTGGCACATTGCTAAGTATTTTATATGCATTCTTGTTTTTTTAATTTGTATAACTTTCAGATAGATACAACCACTGTTCCAAAAATGTGGAAACAAGCTGAAAAAAAAATCTAGTTCATTGTCTAAGATCATCCTATTGAGTCAGGATTCAAACCTATGCTTGTCTAAATCTAAACACAGAGCTATTAGCCACTAAAAGTGACCTCCTGGATCTTAGTATCCCTCTCTATACCAGTGTTTTTCTTTCTTTTACTGGAAGAAAATAAGACTTGTGTATTTCTAGAAACACGTCCAAGACCACACAACTAGTACATAATAGGGCCAGGATATCATCTTGGTTGCCTGAATCATTTCAGAACAGCAGGTAAAAATATCCTAGAAGGTATGACACATAAAGACATCATTGTCTTTATAAATTTGGGAGACATTGCTATAAAACATTGTACATTCCCTAAGAATGTCTAGCTTTGGTTCAAAGAAACAACTTTTATCACTCCCAAGAGCCACGTTACTCCACAGGCAACCTGAGTCGTCTTAGTGAAGCAGCGGAACCTGCCATTCCCATGCTTGTCGCCCAGTATGAGTGTCTTTTACAGTCTAGCTGAGCACTCAAGTCAGAACCCTGCCAGACATGTTAATAGGCAAAGCTTCTTTGGGGGAGCCAATAGGAGACGTGTGAAAGATTGCAGAGCCTCAGCCTCACATTGCTCTAAATTGTCTGTCACAGTGAGTCAGCCTCATCTGCCAGAAACAGAAGATAGAAGACCTAAGAAGAGACAACAGAGTCTCACCCTATAAATATGATATGGCAGGCACGTTCTTTAGAGACCTATAATGCTTATTATATTTCTATTTGGGGTGTGTGTGTGTGTGTGTGTGTGTGTGTGTGTGTGTGTGTGTGTTGGGGGGGTGTCCCAAGGACCTCCAGAAAACGTTTTGCTCTAGAATATAGATTTTAAAATACACACACACACACACACACACATATATATATATATATATATATATATATATATATATATATGTATATATATAAAATTGTCTCCAGAGAAATTTCTTAATAGCAAGCAGCCACCAAGTAAACATCTGGGGAAATTCATAGCGTTTGCTTCTTTCAGGGAATAAGAAGATTATTAAATAATTTCACACTGAAATTGAAAGGCAGTGGTCCTTGTATTACATCTGTTTATTTAAAAATAAAATAAGAAACTTAACCACAACTTCACTCATTTTATCTTCTCATGATACTAAAGTAAGACATGAAAAGGTTTAATGAATCAATGAGGATCTCAAATTTAGAAAAGGGCTGATTTGGCCCTTTAGATATAAGATGTTTTAAGACTTTGGGCAGGACACTTAATCTCTTTGAACCTCAGTTTTTCTATCTCTAGAAATGAAAAAAAAAACATTGTCTTGTGTTGACTGTAAGGAATTGTCCTCTCTCTAAGGCAAGCTATGATTTTTTTTGTTTAAAATGACCAGCTCAAGCCTAGGCATATCCTGACTAGTCTAGTCCTTATAGCTACACACATGGGTCCCAGTAATACCTGGCACTCGCTGTGCCTCTATTTCCTCATCTATAAGATGAAAATAGTGGTATTAATTATCACATAGAATTGTTATGAAGATTAAGTAAATTAATATGTGTAAAGATATTAGAACAGTTCCTGAAAAACCATGTAAGTGCTTCTTAAATAAACATTAGTACAGTCATAGTTCCATGTCCATGGATTCAACCATGTATCAAACATATTGGAGAAAAGAAATGGTTGGTTGTGTCTGAACATGTAGAGACTTCTTTTCTCATCATTATTTTATAAATGATACAGCATAACAAATATATACATAGCATTTACATTGTATTAGGTACTATAAGTAATATAAAAATGACAACACTAGAGGAGGTACATAAGTAATATGCAAATGCTACACCATTTTATATCAGGGACTTGAGAATCTATGGATTTCTATAACCATGAGCAGATCTAGAACAAATCTCCCATGGACACCGAGGGATAACTATATATTTTCCTAGTTTCTGGAGAAAGACCTATGTTTCATGAAGCTGGCAGAAGTTCTCAGAATCTTTCATGGAACATGGACCAACATGTTTTCCAACACCAGCTCACTTGACTCTTTCTAGTTACTTTCCTGATGCTTGGTACCTACAGGTGTTTGAGTTTATGGTTTCTGCCTAAACTACTGCACTTCTCCAAAGACATTGCATTCTAACTGAGGGAGATGTGCTAATATGGCTCACATAAGAAAAATGAGACTCCTGTGATTTCATAGATAGTTTCTACATATGGTGGACTTCCCTGTCCATAACTTTGCAGCTCATGGGCTGACAATCGCATAGATCGTGCTCACACCTATTTTGGCTTCCACTCTGCACAGGGAGTATAGATCATTAGCCCCCACCTACATGCTCATCAAGGTGGTAGGGAGGATACAGGTGGGAAGTGGTGAAGCAATAAAACACTAACAGAAAAACTATGAGTGGTTGTTAGATAGAACTTCCATTCTGATAAACCGGTTGAAAAATCATGATGACAACTCTTTTATAACACTTACCAGATAGTGGACTCCATTCTGTGTTTTTCATTTGTTGATCTTACAACTCCACGAGGTAGGTGTTCTAATTATCCCTATTTTACAAATAAAGTCAATCAGAAATCTTAGCATAATGTGCCAAAATCACACTGCTGATCACCCTGATAAGCCAGGATTCAGGTCCAGAAATTCTGGTGCATGTGCACACACACACACACACACACACACACACACACACACAAAATAAGAGGTAAATTGGCTAAGTTGGAAATTGGTGTCGCCAACCTGGCTGGAACCCAGATACCCTTCTTATTGACTGTGTGCCTTGTGCAGGATACCTAATCTCTCTGAGTCTCAGTCTCTCCCTTTGTAGTGATTTAAAAAAAAAACTGTCTGACTTTTGATTCCAGTAAGAATTCAGATGATGTACATACAACACATAGTAAATGCTCAAATGAATTTTTGCTATGACAATAAGAAGAAAAGTATTAATAAAAATAATAACTATTACGTAAGTTACATGTTTAAAGCAATGCTCAGCTCTTAGCTAGCTATCAATATATATTACTTTCACTACCTATTCAAGGGACATACTGAATATCACCATAACAGAAATGTTTCTAACCAGGATTATAGAATAACCTGAAGAAAACAGACCAAGCATCCCAAGGGGAGACAAACAGATGAGGATGCAAGAAAGGAATCACTTCCCCAGAGAGAATTTTTCCATGGTGTGATATGGAAATAAAGGAGCTAGCTATTCATGTTTAGCAGATGCAAGAAATTTTTCAGAATGATGCAATATTGGAGTCAATACCTCTAATCTCTCAACGGGTTTGCATTCTTTTTCAAACTGTTACATTCTGTTCAATTACTTTCTTTTCTTTCCAGGGTTGAGAAAATCTATTAAGATTTCACAGGGTTTGGAATGCCAATGCTGAAGACGGAAACCAAGCCAAGATAGCTGTCAAACCCCAAAGTGAATCTTTGCGATCCAATTAATAGCACAGTTGTTCCTCCATTCTGTTGGAATCCACTTATAACTAATTTCATTATATTCTAAAGTCCTTTAGGAAATGGCCTTCATAGGTTAAATGCATTTTGGTGCTCTTTGCCCAGCTGCGTTCTTGGTGCTTGGCACAATGACTTTTTCAAAGTACGTGTCAATAAATCATATTTATATTCACCAGGTGGAAAAGAGAGCCAAATACTCTCTTGGATAGAGTAGAAAATAAGTCAATCAGAGCTTAACAAAACACTAAATTTTAAAATTTGTTAAATTATATTAAAATGTAAAACATATTAAAATATATATTTTTTACAACATATCTTCTATTAGCTATTAACATTTAGAAATTAGAGACGAGGAAAAAGGACGAGTTGCTGAATTGTTCAGAAACTGTGTAAATAGAATGTGTTGAAGTTAGTATATAATTTTCTACCATCCGCCCCCACGGTGGAGTGGAAGCAGGTAATAATTTTTTGTGACGGAAAGATACGTTTAATGACCTGTTAGCATTTGGAAGCTGTATTCACCAAGGGTAGGATGTTGGAGGTCATTTCAGAATTTTACCAATCAGGTACCCATACAGCTTTGCCAGATTCAGATTTTTCATATCAATTGATAAAATACTGCTTAAGAATCCCTTAGCTACACGACCGAATATTCACATTCAGTGATTGAGTCTGGCAGTCTGGCAGCAGCTGCATTCTCGACTTGATTTGGTGTTCTTTATATGCCTTCTTGAATTGAGATGGGTAATTTGCTCATTGATTCTCAGTCTTTCTTTCATTTTCTATTTTATGAAATTAAGTTTATACATTTATCTCTAAGCATAGCATTGGCTGCCTTTCATTTGATTTGGTATCTCTTTATCATTTGGTCCCTACCTATTTCCTAATTTCCATTATGAGTTCTTGTCGACCTATGTATAATTTAGAAGTATATATCTTAATTT
Source organism: Homo sapiens (assembly GCF_000001405.40). Lineage (NCBI taxonomy): Eukaryota > Metazoa > Chordata > Mammalia > Primates > Hominidae > Homo > Homo sapiens. Next base: position 84,992,460 of record NC_000014.9, read on the forward strand.
CCAAATATAAGTGAAATTTTCAATCATCTTTTTGTTTCTTATTTTACCTTAACACTGTGATCAGAGAACATACTTTGTATAATTTCAACTCTGTGAAATTCATTACAACATGCTCAGGTCCAAGTATATCGTCAATTTTGTAAATGTTCTATTTGTATTTAGAAAGAATATGTATTCTGCTTTCATTGAGGTCTGTATATGGCAAACATATTTATGCCAATCAGGTAAAATTCGATAATTATAACATTGAACTCTTCTTTATCCTTAATTATTTTTGCTTGCTTATTCTATCAATAACTGAATTTTCTCCCACAGTGATTGTGGATTTGACTTTTTTCTGTTATTTATTTTAGGTCTGTCAGTTTTTGCTTTAACCATTTTAAGGTTGTTATATCTATACAAATTTAAATTTGCTAGGTGTTCTGGGTAGATTGAATTTTTATGATCATAAAGTTTCATTCACTAACCCTAATAATGCTTTCTTTAGAAATAATGTCATAAACTACTTTAATATTAATATAGCTACATTTTTTGTTAATGTGTACGTGGCATATATTTTTTCATTTACCCTTAAGTTTTTATAATTAATATTTTAAATATATGTTTTTTAAAGAGTATGTTAATAAGTTTTTCTGTCTTAATTTGGTTTTATGTATGACAATCTGAAATACTTTAAGTTCTGTATAAATTATATATATGTATAATTTTTTCAATTGCTTCTACCTGTTTTGTGTGCTTTTTTCTTTTTCTTTTTCTTTTTCTTTTTTTTTTTTTTTTTTGAGACGGAGTTTCCTCTGTCACCCAGGCTGGAGTGCAGTGGCGCGATCCGGGTTCACTGCAAGCTCTGTCTCCCGGGTTCACGCCATTCTCTGTCCTCAGCCTCCCGAGTAGCTGGGACTACAGTCCCCCGCCAGGACGCCCGGCTAATTTTTTGTATTTTTAGCAGGGACGGGGTTTCACCGCGTTAGCCAGGATGGTCTCGATCTCCTGACCATGTGATCCGCCTGCCTCAGCCTCCCAAAGTGCTGGGATTACAGGCGTGAGCCACCGCACCCGGCCTCCTTCCTTTTTTATCTTCTCTAGAATTAATTGTATGGATAATGATGATTATAAAGATGATGACGACTCGATTCCTCACATATATTAAATTGACAGTTTTATATCCATGTGCCATTACTTTAGAAGTTACTCTAGTGATTACACTGCATCCTTGTCTTCTCAAGAATAAATATTACTTGCTCCTTTTACTTTCTTTCCTAACAGTAAAAGCCTTGTAGATCCCATAACTTTGTGTTCTATTTCACTTTGAATTTTAATACTTCATATTTTGTAAACTTCACATTATTGTTTTATATAGCAATATTTCTTAAAATTTTAAACCTGTTTAGCTTTTTCTATTGCCGTTTATTGTCTCCTGTATCTCTGACTTTCTATTTGGGATGATATTCATTCTGCCTAGAGCACCTCCTTAATAATTCTTTCAGTGCAGATCTGCTGATTTCCAATCCTTCTGGTTTTTTACTGTGTGAAATGTCTCCATTTTACCTTTATTCTCAAATTATATTTATGCTGGGTATAGATGAATACACTGTTATTTCTTTTCATCACTTTCAAGATATCTCATTTTTTCTAGTTTGCACTAATTCTTTCTGAACATCAGCTGACAGTCCAACTGTTCTTTGAACACATTATGTTATTTTTTTCCCTGAACGCTTTCAATACTTTTCTCTTTGGCTTTTGTTTTTAGCAGTTTTACTAGCTATGTCAAGTGTAGTTTTCTTTTCATTTATACCATTTGGGTTTCATAGGCCTTCTTGAATCTGAAGGTGAATCTTTCCTAGTTCCCAGTGATCATCACTTCAGACATTTTGCTGCTGTTTTCTTTCTTACGTTTACTTCTGAACATGAGCTACGCGCGTCGAGCCTTCTTGTATGTCCTCTATTTTTTATGCACTCTCGTATCTTTCCCTTTCTTTAAAATCTCCATGTTTCATTCTGCAAATTTTCCTTATGATCTATTTTCTTTTCTTTTTATCTATGTTAAATCCACTTTAAAATATATCTTGTATTTAGGTTCCTAGAGTTAGCAGATAAAAGTAAAAAATTCCAAGTTGTTTTAATTTCAGATAATATATACATTTCAATATACATATGTTCAAAATATTGCATGGAGAAAATTTTTTAGTTCAAGCATATCCCGAGTAATACATAGGTCATTCTAAAATAGTAAGTTGGTGTTTTTCTGAAAATCAGATTTTACTTGGTGTTCTAAATTTTGTCTAGTAACACTACATATACCTGTTCTTAATTTTTGATTATTTTATTTTTAATTTTCAGAATTTACATTCATTTCTTTTCTATGTTTGTTAGCTTTCAGCCAAAATTTTCAGCTTGTCGTCTATATCCTTAATCATATTTTTGTTTTATTTGGACTCCTTGTATATCTATTCATAGTTTGTCCTTTCCTTTGGGTTTTACTCAAGTCAGTTCTTTGAATGCCTTCTTTTTTATTTTTTTGAGACAGAGTCTCACTCTGTCGCCAGGCTGGAGGGCAGTGGTGCAATCACAGCTCACTGCAATCTCTGCCTCTCAGGTTCAAGCGATTCTCCTGCCTCAGCCTTCTGAGTACCTGGGACAACAGGTGTGTGCCATCATGCCCAGCTAATTTTTGTATTTTTAGTAGAGACGGGGTTTCACCATGTTGACAGAGATGGTCTCAATCTCTTGACCTCGTGATCCGCCCACCTCGGCTTCCCAAAGTGCTGGGATTACAGGCGTGAGCCATGATGCCCAGCCTGAATACTTTCTTATTCATTTTTTGTCACTTTAAAATTTTACTTTATTCTTATTGATAAAAGATCTCTCAACTTTAGTTTTTGACATATCACTCTTATAAATGCATAAAAAGTACAATTGTACTAAAACAAATTGGTTGAAATAAATCTTTCTATGACAATGCAAACTACATCACTTCAGGCTGTCTTGATTTGAAAACTGTTAATGTGTGATGTGTGAAAAATATTAAAAAATAAATACCTATGAATTGGCCACAATGTTTATGAGACAGAACAATTCCTAACACTGTTGAAGCTCTTGTGTCTACTTCCTGGATGATATCACCCTCCTTTTCATCATAGAGATACTTGTTTATCTCTAATTTTGCCAAGTATTTTCATTAAATAATTTGTTTAGTCTTGTTTTTGAAATATTATGTAAATCAAATTATGGAACAATTTCTGTGACTATTTTTTACTCAACTGTATGTGAGATTTTTCCACATCAATGTTTATGACTGTCACTGTTGTATAATATCTGTCTATCCACCTTTCTATCTACCTATCTACCATATGTATGATAACTTATGATGTATATAGTAGTCCCCATTTATCTATGGGGATACATTCCAAGGCCTCCCAGTGGATGATGAAACCACAGATAGTACCAAACCCTATGTATACTATGTGGTTTTTTTTCCCCGCACATACATGCCCATAATTAAATTTAATTTGTAAATTGGGCATGGTAAGAGATTAACAGCAATACCCAATAATAAAATAGAACTATTATGACAATATGCCAGCATCACTACTCTTGAACTTTCAGGCCATTATTAAGTAAAATAAGGGTTACTCAAACACAAACACTGCAATACCATGACAGTCGATTTGATGAACAACACGGTTACCAAGTTTAAATGAGTGGGGAGTATCAACAGTGAGGGTACACTAGACTAAGAGATGATTCATATTCCTAGCCAGTATGGAGCAGATAAAAAACTTATCAGTTGTTTATTTCTGGAGTTTTTCATTTAATACTTTTGAACCATGATTGGCTGTGTGTGCCTGAAACCATGAACAGAGAGGCCTTTGATAACTTAAAATATATAATATATATACGCATGTATATATATATGTGTATGTGTGTGTATACAACATGCGTATATATGTACATGTGTATAAAACACATACATATATATGTACATTTGTATAAAACACATACATATATATGTACATGTGTATATATATGTTATCAATTCTCCAGTTGATAAATTGATGGACATTTGAGACTATTTCCAGTGTTTTATTCTTATAAATTATTTTCATACAAATATTCTCATAGTTGCCTCTGAGAACACATGTTAGACTTTCTCCAGCATATATACCTAGAAGTGGAGTTGCTAAGTCTAGATGAGAGCTCTTCCTATTCTGATTACCCAAAAATGCTGCTTTACCCATCTTCCCTCCCTTGAATATCTTGAGAGAGCATGAGTTCTGTTATTGCTTGTTTATGGAACAGACTATGTCTAGGTTCTCTCAAAAAGAAATAGAAGAGGAAAGGATGATGGTAGTGCTTCTCAGCCCACCCAGAATGTGACTTCTGGTCATAGCTTGTAGAACCCATGACTGACGTGTTAAGAAAATGCTACTGGCTCAGTTGAAGATGAATGTGAGGTTGGTCTCTGCTGACTCTAGACTGGAGTCTCCAAGTACAGCCTGGTTGATGTGACAGAATCCATGATGGAGTCTATACTACCCATGAAACATGTAAATTCAGAAAGAAGATTTTTTTATTTAAAAGTAGGAGGACTAAATTAGAAATAGCCTCGCTTACATCCTCTGGCCCCTTGTTGATAGGCTTCAAAGATTACGATCACCTCAGTCTCAGGTATTACGGCCCCAGTGATGTCCAGCCATTCTCCATACTCTGTTAGCTTAATAATGGACTCCATGCTGCTCTCCTCTACAGTCTCAGACACAATATCTACCTCTGTACCACACACAGCACTGTGGGCTTTGGGGTTCTTTAATAAAGAGCAAATCCTGCTGGATCTTTATCTTGCAGGACATTGGATTAGTGTTTGTGTAGTAGATCTGGCTGTGCAACTTATTAAGAAAAACCTAGAACTTCTGGGTCTTGTCTTTGTAAAAGCCAGGACAACATTTTATGCAGTGGGATAGACATTGATGTTTTTTAGCAGTGATTCAATTCAGTTTAATCCCTTATTTTCAGAATCTGGGGCCATTGCTTTTGTAAAAGGACAGGCTTTGAAGTTCAACAATGAGCCAATCCTACTATTAATAGATCTTACAATCACAGAACTTAGAATCAATGTTTATGTACTGAATATTGAAGCTCATATAGAAGGAGTTAGTTCTGCTCAGATTCTTAACCTGAATACCCTGAGCTAATTATAATTGGTTCATCTCCAAAATTTGAGATAACCTAGACTCCTTTGCAAGGGACTGAGCTTGGTATTTTTGTTAGGAGGAGCTGTGTTGTCTGCCCACTAGGCTGCTCTGGACGTCTCTTTTCCACTGTTAGTAATTCCATGGTGGGCTACCAACTAACAGAAGGAGTATATTAGAGTTGACTTGTCTCCAGGTCTCATGATAATGGGAATGTCTTTTAGAGGGAGCTCTTTCCCACTGTGATTCAGCATTACACTGGGGGACTGATATGGTTTGACTGTGTCCCCACCCAAATCTCATCTTGAATTGTAGCTTCCACAATTCCCACGTGTTGTGGGAGGGACTCAGTGAGATGTAATTGAATCATGGGGGTGGGTCTTACCCCATACTGTTCTCGTGGTAGTGAATAAGTCTCACAAGACCTGGTGGTTTTATAAGGGGAAACCCCTTTCACTTGGCTCTCATACTCTCTTGCTGTCGCTATGTGAGAAGTCCCTTTCACCTTCCACCATGATTGTGAGGCCTCCCCAGCCACGTGGAACTGTGAGTCCATTAAACCTCTTTTACTTTATAAATTACCCAGTATTGGGTATGTCTTTATCAGCAATGTGAAAACAGACTAATACAGGGACTCTCTGGCTTCCATCCCACTCACTTATATAGGCTTCACCTTGCAAGATTGATATGAGGGAGTCCCCCTACTGGTTCTTTAACAGTTTCTGCCACAGGCTTGCAGGCAGTCTCAGCTCCTGCAATGACCACATGCATCCTATCTTCTGGGGAGAGACTGGCAGCTTTTGCTGATAAGCTGGAACTACCCTTTGAAGACAGGGACAGGCTTGTTCCACTTGCTGTAGCCATGTTAAGACTTTCTGAGTACATAGCAAAAGTGTCCACCATTCCCTGCTGGCTCCTTTATCTCCTATATCTGTGGAGGCTGCTTCTGTCAGTGCTGGGTTTATCTGTCTGGAGTATGCAGACTTGGTTGCTGGCATGTCCACAGTGCCTGCTTTGGTGACAGCCATGCTGCTGCCCCTTTGCGAAGCACTGCAATGTTGTGACTCCGAGAAGGAATGTGTTTCCATGTGCAGGAATGTTGATTTTCTTCTCCATCAGTGTAACCAGAAGAGGGGTCAACAAACAGAGGCCATAAAAAGATTCCTGCTGTTTACCTGAACTTTATAACCTTCTCCATGGACCTCTATGTCCTCTGGACTCTTCTTGTCTTCTGCCTCAAACACAGGTATGTCCATTGTGTCTCCAGCTGGGATGGTCTACACTACCTACACTACTGGAAGCTTCCACCAATGGTCTTAGGAAGTAAACAACTTATTCTCAGTAACTTCAAATGCCTTTTCTCGTGTCTGAAGGGGGACAAATCTGAGGGTAAAAAGAGCAGCCAGTGGCAAGGTTTAGAGAGAGCTCTTGTTTATGATAATGTACAGAGATCTGAACAAGCTTTAAAGGAAGCATTCAGATTAGCTTTAAATTCTTTGTAGGCCTTTTCCTTCTTCCCTGGGTGGCATGGTCATACCTGGCATACTCTTAACAGCTTTCAGCTAGTTCAACCAGAAGGATGATGTCACATAGTGCAAAGTTGGGGGCTGGTAGATGTGATGCTTATGGTCATCATTTGAACATGATTGTATGGCACTGCTTACCAACCAGTCAATCATTTGTGTGACTATCTAAGAGACTATCTAAGTGCCTGGATCCAGAAAACAAAAATACAGAAGCCATTCCAAACAAGTTATTCACAAAGCCTGACATCCCTGTTCATTGCCCTTCTTCTTCTTAGCCAGAAGCTGCTCTTCTCTTTCTGGGGTCTTTATCTTGGCCTAAATAAGAACATCACCTTCCTGCTCAAAAGCAGTATCACTCACCCCACTGAGGGCTGGCCCTGTTGGGTTTTTAAAATTACTATTATTGTTATTATTATTATTAAATGTTGGACACTGAAAAATTATGGAGATAATTCAAGGCTCTTGATGTTATAATAGCTCAAAGATGATTGAACTTTGATTCTGACAAGTGGTCAGGCTAAGTCAGCCTCAGTCCTTGCAAATGTTCTGCATCTCCTTTCATCTACCCTTACTTCTATGATGTAGCCTCAGCTCAAAGTAGAGGCCATTTATCAGATTCCTTCCACCATTAGTGGGCCCTGAATACTAATGCTTTTTCCCACCTTTCCCTGTGAGACTTCCAATGCAACTTCTCAGCTTTTTCACCTGTAAGGCAACTTTTCCAGGGTAAGCAAATGCCACCAGAGGAAGAGTTCTCCAAATCCTCCTCTCCTCTCACTGTCCAACCTTCTCTTCAATCTTGATTGAAGTCACCACCACCTTGATTTTCTTTATTGGTGGCAAGCATTTGCTTATCTTAGAAAAATTAAGTAATTTAATCATCCAGTTTATAAGTGGGAGAACTAATGTTAGAACTAAGATCTGCCTGAGTCCAAAGCCTATGTTTTTTTACCGTCACACTACAATACCTAAGGGGTAAGGTGAAGGCACCAGAAAAATGTGTCCAGCTATAATCAAGAGCTCCGGACAAAGTTTTAGGCCTATAGATCTCCTTAAAGCACTATATTAAAAACAACTTTTCTAAAAAGCAAGCTGTACCCCTCAGTATGGTTTAAGTAGAGAAAATGTCAGTGATTATCTTTGCAGAGTGACTATTCTACATCTGTAGTTTATCTATGGATGATGGAGAACAAACTGTTATTGCTAACAATTCCACAAAGATGGCTTAAATTCAACTTGAACAGCAACCTTCTGTTGAGTATTAAAAGGGTGTTCAGGACAACAGTGACAAAAGCGAGACTGGTATAAAGGTAATAAACATCATGAATAATAATCACACTCAAATCCTTGTCATCTTCAATACATTGGAGAAATGGATATGGAGAAGAGCTAACAAAATACCAGGAAAAACAGAACTAGTTGATAATGTAAGTGAATCAAATGAACAGTCAACAACAAAAGTCATGTCTAATGCCCCACTGGCTTTACATGAACAAAAGAAAATTATCATGTTGAAAAATTGGGTCCAGAGGTAATGTGCATTGTTATTGGATATATTATTGAATTCATGAAAAATGAAATCCTTCTCAAACACACATAGAAAAATTGATAAATGTACATTTGCGAAAAAGAAAAGCATTAAATCAACGAAGGGAACTGATATTCAATTTCCAAAATTTTTTCCTAAACAATGAAAATTAAACAAGAAAAAGTTTAAAGTAGAATAAGGAAAGAAGACTTGGCATGAACTCTTAAGCTTTTCTCAAAACCTTGCTGCTCTGAGAACCAGCCTCACAGCTCTACATCGTTTTAAATACTTATTTTTAAAAATTACGAAGCATAATGTCTTAAATTTTCAGTTAAATATAAACTGAATGAATGTAAAATTGTATCAAAACAAGATTCCTCTATAAAGACCAGAACTCTTTCTTTCTGTGCTGCAGAAGACTAAAAACAGAAAAAAAAAATCAAAAGAATTTGCAAAGTGAAACCATCAGTAAAGCATTTTTCATACATTTGTTGTGGTATTTACTTGGCATTTTAAACATTTTCTCTTGGTGTGACATACTCATTTTGCACATATGGGTTATTTTATTATTAACACATAATAGAATAGTTAAGACAGGCAATAAAATAGCATTTCATGCATAAGCATGTGAACATTAATCTAGCCTTTCAAATAAATCTATGCTTGTGCTACAAATTCTTCTCCCACCTTCTAATTCCCATCCCTGCACTTGATGTTGACTTTAAGTTTTGTCCTATATTTTTACAGACTCAAATAAAAATAAAAATTACTCTATTTCTCCCAAGCTGGAAAAACCTATTTTATCTATTGGGCTACTCTTAGGCAAAAGCATATTCATTTATTTACAATTATTTTTAAAAATCAGTGGTCTTGAATATAATTTTATAAAGCAGTACCTTCATTCTCTAAGTACTCTGAATGACCTTATCAATTTTTATTCATTTAGACTTCAACGTCTGCATCATTATATATTTGATAGATTTGAATGTTATCAAAAGTTAGTGTTGCAGGTCTTTCCCTTAGTTTAGCTAGAGACGGGGTCCTTGTCCATCCCATAGCCACAAAAATTGAGGCTTACAGATGGCTCGAAGGATGCGTAAAGCTGTGTTTTATTGGGTGAAAAGAATAAAAGGGGGAAGAGGGTCTCTCCGGAAAGCCAGAGTTCCGGTTGGTGTGCTTCCTGCCTCGCCCTTTGAATCCCAGGTTCCACACAGGAAGAGGAGGGGCCAGGCTCCTCCCCTCTGCAAACCGACTTATGTGTCTCCACCCCAGTGCGCAGGCAGGTTGGAGTTTTGCCAGGGCCCCCCTCCCACCTGGCTGTCTCATTAGCATTTGTCAAAAAAAGATTTCTTCCACATTTTTGCCCTATTACTATAAAAGCTTACTTTTGTTTTCCCTTTTCACTAATGGTTTGTCTGTGGAAGACCATCATTTGAGAACACCTGGGGAAAAAAGACAAGGTCAACTAAGTCAACAATTAAGGCATGAATATATTAACTGAGAAATATTTCTCAGATTACTTACAACATTTAAAAGGATGATTAAGAGAATAAGTCTCAGAGCTTGCAGGTTGTAATTGCCCTGTAAATACTGGGACCTGGGACTTAACGTTTTGTTCCAGGATTGAAATGGTGAACTTGTACCTGTTGTTATCCTGCTTAAAATTGCCTTCAGGCATCTCAAAATTTATTAAGTTCAAGTTCTTTCACATGGCATAAAGACCCTCCAAGATATGGTTCAACCCACTGCATTCCCTATCAATTTGTATGTCAGCATTAAGCAACTTAACACTTTAGTAATATACTGTTTGTTGTTTTCTTCATAGTTTGATCCATGCCTCCCACTCTGCTCTCTGTATTCTCTGCCTGAAGAATTCTTCTCTCTTTCACTTTTCGGAAAGACTTGCTTGTCCCATCGATGCTGGATTATGTATCCTTTTATACATTTCCATAGCTTTTAATGAATATTTCTGTCCTGGAAATTACTATATTTTATTATAGTCACTTGTTTATTTGGTTTCCTCCCCAAAAATTATGAGCATGCTGAGAAAAGAGGCATTCCTTTCTGCCCTGTATCCCTTTGAGGGATAGTTTACAATTGTAAGGAGGTGGTATTCTAGGCTGGTATTGGCAAAATTCAAAGACAGAAGTGAAGGGGAAGATAGCATTTTGATTAGAAAGCAGGGAATATGTGACTCTAAGTCTGTTCAAAATATATATTGTACCCTATATCTTGCTTGGCAAGATGCTATGCTACTTACTAGCAATAACAGAGACAAAGTCTTGCCCTTAGGAAGCTGTAACTCTTAGAAGGAAACACTAATAAACAAAGCTGAAAAGGCAGGATAGGAACAAGCTGGCAAAGAGCCAGAAGGGTTAAGCAGTAAAGTGAAAAACTGAGATTCATTTTGTTGTTGTAACTGTGGAAAGGATGTACCGAAGTGAAAATAATATTTGAGCTAAGGTAATTCTAATGAAAGCACATGTAATAGATTATGAAAAACAAATAATTCAAGTGTTAAAGTATGAGCTTATTTGATGTGTTAAGAATAGAAGAAAAGAGATAATTCTAAAACATATTTTACAAGAAGAACATTTAAAGGAAATGCCAAAAGAGAAGCAACTTTAAAAATTTTGTTCTCGACAAGTAATTGTAATCTCATGGGCAGTGAAATGATAGTTATTGAGAGAAGAAGAGCAGAGGAGACATGAATTCATTTTAGGACATCCAAGGTATTGTTTGGTGTGTACAAACAAAATTAAATGTTTCTGAAAAGAAGAAAATTTAAGTAAAATGTCTAAGTGGGTATAGAGAGAAGAGTAGAGGATAATTGAAAGGTTGTCTTAGGGGGTTGGGGAGCTTGTATGTGAGAAAAAAAGTAAAGATGAATTTTTAAAATGGGAAACAGAGGAGATGAGAGAAAAATAACAAGTCTAGCACATTATAACTTAGTTGAACTGACAGTTCCAATGTTTCCTGGTCTCTACACATCTCTCTATGTTTTTGGTGGTGTCCTTTACTCTGACCCTGGGTTGAGCCATATGACTTGCTCTGGCCAATGGGATAACAAAAAATTTCACACAACACAGGCTTGAACAAGCACTGTGTTTGCACCTTCCTTCTTGCTCCTCAGCCAAGCATGCTCTAAGATGAGATAAGTGGAGCAGAACCAAGCAGCTCAGATGTTCCAGTCACCATTCAAACATGTGAGAGAGTCCAGCCAGAGTCAGCAAAGAAAACTAAATATTAAAAGAAATTTAAATATTCAATTTTACTAAATTCAATATTTAATAATATCAAATTAATATAATATAAAAATATCAAATTTGATATTAAATAATATTTAATATCAAAATAAAAGATTAAAGAAAATTAAATATTGTTAATTAAGTTGCAGCTGACTTCAGGAGTCTAAGTGAGAGTGGGACCACAGAGCCCAGCTCAGGTCAGCAGAATTGGCCAATCTTCAGACCTATGAACCAAAATCCATATTTATGATTGCATGTTATGAGGTTTTGTGATTATTTGCTACACAGCAATATTCTGGCTATAATTTACTGATATAAGCATCATGGATGCCAAAGAAGATATTTCTATAGAGGCATATATTATGAGTTGAATTGTGTACCCCCAAAAAATATGTTGAAGTTCTAATACCAGTACCTGGAATGTGACCTTACTTAAAAATAGGACCTTTGTAGATGTAATCAAGTTAACATGAAGCCATTAGAGTGGGCCTTAATCCATTATGATTGGTGTCCTGATAGGAAGAGGAGAGGAGACACAGGAAAGAACACCTTGTGAAGATTAAGGTAAAGAATGTCGTGATGCATCTACAAACCAAGGGTTGGAAAGAACTACCCACAACCACCAGGAGCTAGGAGAGAAGCATTCAACAGATACTCCCTCAGACTCCAATAGGAACCAACCCTATTGACTCTTAGTCCGGACTTCTAGCCTCTGGAAGAGTAACGGAACAAATTTTTGTTGTCTTCACGCAGTTTGTGTTCATGTGTTATGGCAGCCCTAGGAAACTAATATAACATATGCTCAGTGATCAACAGGTTCAGAAAAACCAAGGCTTTATAAGACAAGTCTAAAATATAGGCACAATATTTGGCTGATGCCTGGGAATTCTTTTTTTTTTTTTTTTTTTTTGAGACGGAGTCTCGCTCTGTCGCCCAGGCCGGACTGCGGACTGCAGTGGCGGAATCCCGGCTCACTGCAAGCTCCGCCTCCCGGGTTCAAGCCATTCTCCTGCCTCAGCCTCCCGAGTAGCTGGGACTACAGGCGCCCGCCACCGCGCCCGGCTAATTTTTTGTATTTTTAGTAGAGACGGGGTTTCACCTTGTTAGCCAGGATGGTCTCGATCTCCTGACCTCATGATCCACCCGGGAATTCTTATACATTATCCTAAAGAAAAAAAAATGTATATATATATATATATATATATCATACCTGACATTATCAGGAAGGACTCTAATCTCTATAACAAAGAATATATATGTATCATTTCTTCTTTGAAAATTCAAATTATGCTAAGAAATGAGATATAACCAGAAATTTCTACTCATATTTTCCCTTATTTTTAATATCCCCAAATCCATCTACCTTGATTCTATTTTATTGAGGTTCTCTTCTTTTGCATACAAATCTTACCTCAAAGTCTGAGCTATAAGCTATGTTTAAGTCCCCAAGCCATTTATGCACTTGTAGCATTAAAAATTTTATAATTGATACTTTAATTTGTCGATTTTCTCCTATCATGCTCTAAACTCTGTGAATTCAGGACTATGCCTATCTTCCTCTCTTAGGGCAATGCTTCAAACTCTCTCACATGTTTGAATGGTGACTGGAAGAAGTGCTCAATAAAGATTTATTGAGTGAGTTATGTTATTTACTTACTACCCACAACGATTTTCCTTTAGAAACCTCTAGTTCTAAACTTGAATTATTCTTTCCTCTTTTACTGTCAATCTATTAGATTTTAAATATGACAGGAGAAAATCTTGAATAATTTTTAGGGGTGGAAACCAAGCTTCTCTTCTGGCTTTTCTGAAGCTTTGCTGAAATGAGTGACGGCAGACAAACTAATAGGAGAAAACAGGTACACAAATGTATTTAACCTATGCAAGTTAAATAAATTGAGGGAATTCCAGCAGGGTGATTATGCATTAATTTAACAAGGTCCAGATGCCTGTGTACTCTTTTTCACAGGGTAGGGGAAAGGAGGGTTTAAAAGTAAATAATGTTCATGGGAAATAAATTAGCTTATAGGACAATGGCCTGGAACAAAGTTCCTTTGAGCTCTGGGGGAGGTGGCAGAAAGATGAGGGGCAGAACCTCATTATGAACAAAGGTTGTTTAATTATGCAGGTAAAGTTTCCCAGGTAAGCTTTCAGAACTACCTTTAGAAGAATAGTTGAAAAATCTGTCTGGGTGATATCTTGACTCCCAATTTCTTCTCTTCTCGGGTAGTTAATCTTTCCTGGGTACCTGATGAGATTACTAGGGACAGGGTTTTAAGACAATCACATTTCTTTTGGAAAGAAGTTTTCTTAGTCAGATAAGGAACTTCCAGAGATAGTCGTTTCCAGTGCTTTAGGAAAAAAAAAACAAGAGGATCAAAGAGACAGAGAGGGCTGGGAAAGGTCAGAGAGAGACGTTGGTTTGGAGGTTTATCTCTGAGGCCTCTTAATTTCCTTGAATTCAAGTACTCAGCAAGCTGAAATGCCATATTTTAGGGTATCATTGCCTGAGCCCTAACAACTTCAATTAACTGAAATAATATTATTTCTAGCAAAGACTTTGAGAGTCTACCATTTGAACTACTCATTGCCAGTCTTTTTGTAAAAGGTAGGCACAAGTAAAGATTGCATAGTGATTAAAAGAAATGTTTGAGAGTAAGAGATATCTAGTTTTGATCTTTGGCTCAGTAATTTATAAGCTGTGTGAACATGGCAAATTGCTTAAGCTGCCTTTGCCTCTTTTCATCATAAATTCATGAATTAATAATACATGAATTATGAAGTAATAAGAAGCAAATAATAAGATGTCTTGACCTGAAAGGAAGGAGCTTGGGTAAAATTAATGTAAGTCAAGAGTTTACTGGGGCCAATCTTGAGGATTGTAACCCAGGAACATAGATTCAAGTTGCCCTGAATATATGTTTCCATTAGAGGCAGTTACAGATGGATTTTTAAAGGAAAAGAAGAGGCAGTTTCTGTACTGTTTACCAAGAATTACATTAAAATAATATAAGCTATTGATTATATATTGTTCTTTGTATCACAAATTCCAGGAACATGAAGATTATGAGTGAAGCAGCAAGTCAGGAACAAACTGACCTTAAACAATTGCCCCAAGTGTGGATGGGGAAGTACGTGACAAGGCCCATACTCATGTGTCTCTGGGCCTGTGTACCTCACGTATCTCAGACTGCTCTGAGCTATCTTCTTTTCTCAAAACTATAAGAACAGTGCTGATCTGGGTCAAAAGAGAGAGAAAATGTTAATCACTGTGATAATCAATAAAAACCATCTTCGTACAAATTCACCTTTGTAGAATTCCATATACAAAACTGAATTTGAGAGAAAACATATTTTGTAGAATGCAAAAATACTGAAGAAAATTATGCATTAATCTCATTGTATTAATTTGCTAGGGTTTCTATAACAAAGTCCCACAGACTGGGTGGCTTACACAACAGAAATTTATTTTCTCACAGTTCTGGAGGCTAGATGTCCACAAATAAGGTGTTGGCAGGGTTGATTTATCATGAGTCCTCTCTTCTTGTCTTGTAGATGGCTGTCGTCTCCCTGTGTCTTCACATGGCCTTTCTTGTGTGTGTGCCTGTGTCCTAATCTCCTCTTATAAGGTCACCAGTCATATTGAATTAGTGCCCACTCATATTAAATCATTTTACCTTAACTATCTCTTCAAACACCCTATCCCTAAATATAGCCACATTCCAAGGTATTAGGGGTTAGTACTTCAACATGTAAACATGGGAAGATACAATTCAGCCCATAACACATCATCTTAGCCTATTTGTGCTGCTATAACAGAATATTTGAGACAAGGTAATTTATAAATTTTAAAAATGTATTTTCTCACTGTCTGTATTACCAGCGGTATTAGGGGTTATTACTTCAACATGTAAACATTGGAAGATACAATTCAGCCCATAACACATTATCTTAGCCTATTTGTGCTGCTATAACAGAATATTTGAGACAAGGTAATTTATAAATTTTAAAAATATATTTTCTCACTGTCTGTATTACCAGCGGTGCAGATCTGCACAGGTCTGCAGCAACCTAATTTTTGCCTTCTCAGAAGAAATAATTTCACTGAGGGGCATAAGGCAGATTTAGAGACTGAGGCAAGTTTTAGAGCAGGAGTCAAAGTTTATTAAAAAGCTTTAGAACAGGAATGAAAAGAAGTATAGTACACTTGGAAGAGGGACAGGCAGGTGACTTGAGAGATCAAGTGCCTGGCTTAACCATTAATTTATGGTTTTATATGTTGGTGGTATGGTTTGGCTGTGTCCTCACCAAAATCTCATCTTGAATTGTAGCTCCCATAATTCCCATAGATTGTGGAAGGAACCCGATGGGAGATAATTGAATCATGAAGGCAGTTCCCCCATACTGTTCTCATGGTTGTGAATAAGTCTCACAAGAGCTGATGGTTTTATAAGGGGTTTCCACTTTCACTTGGCTCTCATTCTTTCTTGTCTGCCACCATGTAAAATGTGCCTTTTGCCTTCCACCATGATTGTGAGGCCTCCTTAGCCAGGTGGAACTGTGAGTCTTGGGTATGTCTTTATCAGCAGCGTGAGAATGGACTAATTGCAGTTGGCATACTCTGGGGTCTTGCACCTTTTCTCCCCTGATTCTTCCCTTGGGGTGGGCTCTCTGTATGTACAGTGGCCTGCTAGCACTTGGGAGGGGCTGCATCCACAGTGTGTTTACTGGAGTTGTGCTCATGCTTACCTAAGGCGTTCTTCCCTTACCATTCAAATGTTCCTACAAGGTCATATACCAGCTAAACGCCACCATTTTGTCTCAGTGCACATGTGTGAGCCCACTCACCCAACTCCTGAGATCTTATCAGGAAGCCTCTGATCACCAGTTTCAGGTGTTTCTGTCTATTTAGATCCTGCCTTTCTCTGGCATTGGCTATGACCAATTATCATTTTAGAGAGACAGTTAACATCTGCTTGATCATCACCATCACCTGATGGTGAGGATAGTGTGTGCTGGTGCGGGGAGCTGTCTCCTGTCTCCTGCCATGCTTATCTACCTACTGTAACAGCTGGAGGCTGAGAAGTCCAAGACCAAGGCACCAGCAGGTTCAGTGTCCAGTGAGGCACCATTGCTCATTGATGGTGCACTGTTACTGCATTTTTACATTGCAAAAGGCAGAAGGGAAAGAGAGCAAGATAAAGTTAGGCAACTGTCTGAAGCCTCTATTATAATTACATTAATCCAGTCATGAGGGTGTAACCCTCATGACTTAATCTCTGCCCCCAAAGCCCCACTCCTTAGTACTCTTACATTCCGCATTACTTTTCAACACGTGAATTCTGGGTGGGACACAGCTTTTAAACCATAGCTCATCTATGCTACAGTTTCACGTTGTCAGACCAAAGCAATGTTTCTTAACATTCTATATCACACTTAGTTTATCATCCTAAAGTTTTGGTTCCATATTTAAAATGAAAGGTGTTTAGCTATTAATCTGTCATCTACTTCAAAAACTAACTTATAGGGGATATAACCTTCATTTTTGAGAAAAATTCAACTCTAATCTTCCACTTTAAAAATAGATTTGGACAAAAAGTTATATAACTGCTGTTAGAATATTATCACTATACTTTATATGTCCCTATGGAAATAGAGTTTCTCTCTTTCCTTTCTATTTCCATCACATTTTATTTATGCCCTTCAATACTGTGCACTGGCACAATACCCATTACAGGCAACATGTGTCCCAATGGGCCGCCTGCCTGTTTAGTTCTGCAGAATTTCTCTCCCTAATTCCCCTAAGACATTGCAAAGAATGCTTCTGTTTGGCAGCCAAGTCTAGGTGCATGCACAGATTGTGAATGCCACTAAATCTGCTGCATTTGGCCCGGCGCAGTGGCTCACGCCTGTAATTCCGGCACTTTGGGAGGCCGAGGCTGGCAGATCACGAGGTCAGGAGTTCGTATGGTGAAACCTCGTCTCTACTAAAAATACAAAAATTAGCCAGGCATGGTGGCACGCATCTGTAGTCACAGCTACTCGGGAGACCGAGGCAGAAGATTTGCTTGAACCTGGGAGGCAGAGGTTGCAGTGAGCTGAGGTGGCGCCACTGCACTCTAGCCTGGGCAACAGACAAAGACTCTGTCTTTTTTTAAAAATCTACTGTATTTTAACACTTTAAAATCCAAATGAACTAACATCAATACCTAGTTGAACAAAATTCATAAATTGCCTATTCCTGGCTAAATGTTGTTAAGTAAGGTGTAGCTCTAATAAAATTGAGACCTGGTGTCTTACCTCAGGATGTTGGACTGTGTCACAACGGGGATTATTTAGCAATTTTCTTTGTTATAGTCAGGGATTGAATTGCCAAACCCAGCCATGTGAATTCAATCAACTAGAATGCCTTGAACATCTACTGTGTTCTGGCTTTCAGTTGCAAGGTATGTGTGGCAAGGGAAAATGACTCAAAGAAAATCCTTTTCCATCACATAACAAATGAAGTCAAAGCCCATGCCTAGCACATGATGTGTCAATAGCCTCATCTTAGTATTCCCATGACTGGACTTACCAGTAGTTTGTCAATAATTGTTGCAAAGAAAATCATCCTTTAGGACATAACATAAAACATTTGTGAATGCAAATTTTTTCCTTTAAGGAAAACTATAGCTTTTACTGAAATAAATTTTCGTCTTAGGAATTTAATTAGCATACACAATACAAAAGTCCTGACAAGTTGAAACAGTAGTTTTAAATCTTTAAAATGTTAGATAGTTGTTTGTGGTTATGGGTTGTTTTCACTTGGGCTATTTTGTTAATTATTTAGTACTACCCACTGAAGAGGCACGATAACTTTATTGGTAAGATAACTGATGCTCTGGGTGCTTAAGAAACTCTCCTCAATTTAACACTTCCATTCTCTAGAGAATGAAATAAAAGGTGTTGGGAAAACAAGCTAAACATTTGGAGAAAAAATTAAACTTGCTTCCTTTTCTGCCTTTCTTAGGCAGAAATCAGTTTTCAATGAATTAAAAATGCACATGTAAAAACAATGCTACAAATAGAAAATAATAGTGTTTTTTTTTTGTAATCATTGTTTAGGATTAGCCTTACTAAGCAAAAATAAATGCCAAATTGTCTAAAGGAATAAAATCGGTTAAATTTTATAATTATTTTCAGTTTTATGTGCATACAAAATATTTCCTTCAAAACATCAGAATGTAATTGAGATAATTATTTAGCTAGTTACTTTTCAACATTAGCATTTTTGCGCTAAGAATTTAACCTACAGGTAAACAAGTATACAGGATGCGCACTGAAAAACTGCTTTAAATAGAAAATTATGGGAAATTTCTATCATAATTAAACACCAAAAAAAACCTTTAAATAACCCCAAAGAACAAAAATTTAGACAAAATTTTATTGGATACAACTGATAAACATCACCTTTATTTTCTTTTTCCAAGATATGACATGAATGACTACTAAAATGGAAAATACTGTTATGTTCTGTAACACCCTCACATTATGTAAAAAAAAAATTAAAATTATCTCTTAGAGAAAAAAAGAGATCTTAACCTTAGAAATTATTTTCTTCTTTCTTTACAGGCATGCATAAAAGTAGAGCTACTGTAAGAGTGGGTCACCTTTTTGCATTACACAACATAAAAAAATACCTTCACAGCAGAATGAAATATATTTCCTTTGATCTTGTTACAGTAAGAAAGGGCCAGAATGGACGTAAGGTCTCATTTATCATATATTTACGATGAAGGCATTAATCAAGATAACACCATGTCTCCTGTAGTGAAATCTGTGGATCAAGAAACATACGGAAACAGTTTCAGAGGAGTACATATTTTCTTGAGATCCTCTGCATTCACAATCAAAACACCCGCTGCTCAATACACCTCGTATATTTCCAACCCAACATCTCCATTTGTGTTTCCCAGAACTGCAGTTAAAATGATGTATTAGCTCATGTTGGATGATGTGTAAGAGTACCCCATGAAATATTCTGGCAGTGGTGGACCTTCTAAGACAGTGTGGGGAATCATAGCACCTACCCCTGGGGAAAGAGTCAACTCCAGCCACTGCAGACTGCTTGTGCTGTTGGCAACTTAAAAAAAAAAATTGATGATTTTACTTGCCAAATGTCATTCATTTGAGGTTCTTATGAGGGTGGTCAGAATGGGGCATCATTGTTCACATGAGTTACCAGACTTCGTAATATGAATAACATTCAGAGCCCAAACGCCAGGGAAACTTCTACATCTCTATGTCAATAGTCACAGCTTATTATCAGCTCCAATCTAGAAAAGACATTCCCCACAAAATCAAAATATTATTACAGGCTTTCCAGTTCCATTATTGCATTATCATCAGCTTCTCAGATGAGTTGTTGGTACATCATTTTCAACAGCTTAGAGAAGCTTCAGCTCTTTGTCTGTCTACCTTGGCCCATACCAACTGTTTAGCTTTTGTTTGGGCAATGTGCTCTTGGATGCCACCAGTATAGGACAATAGCCTCTAAAAATTGAATTTAACACTGTGTTAACATGATATCTCTATTTTAGCATCACAGTTGATGATCTGGTTAGGAAAAGCTGCCTCTTTGGGCTTTTTATTCAATAATCTTCTATGAAAATCAATTTTAATTGTTTTAAAAGGCCTTAATGTGAAAGTAGTTACTGATAATGAGAATTTAGGACTACATTTTATCATTTCATCCACTTTTTACTAAATTAGTTAAGGAATTAGAAAAATGTCCAAGAATTATTAAAAGGTATTCATCTTACTCTCACACTAATTACTGATATTTTAAAATCCATTATTAGTGTTAGTTGACAAATTATAATTGTATGTACTTACGGAGTACAATGTGATGTTATGATATAGGTATATGATGGGGAATGGTTAAATCAAGCTAATTAATATCTTGAATACTTATTTTTTGTAATAAGAACATTTGAAATTTATGCTCAGCAATTTTGAAATACATAATACATTACTATTAACTGTAGTCACCGTGCTGTGCACTAGAGCACAGCCAATATATTCATCCTATCTAACTACTTGACACCCTTTGACCAACATCTCTTGATTGCCCTGTCATCCTCTAGTGTCTGATAAATACCATCCTACTTTCTGATTCTTTGAATTTGATTGTTTTGGGTTCTACATATAAGTATTTGTCTTTCTGTGGCTGACTTATTTAATTTGGTACAATGTCAACTGGTTTTATTCACATTGTTAAAAATGACAGAATTTCCTTCTTTTTAAAGGCTGAATAATATTCTATTTCATATATGTACAATATTTTATTTTTCCATTCATCCACTGATGGACACTTAGGTTGATTCTACATCTTGGTTATTGTGAATAATGCAGCAATGAACGTGGGTGCACATATCTCTTCAACATACTGATTTCAAATCCTTTGGATGGATACCTAGAAGTAAGATCAATTGTATACCATCGTATATATATATACCACAGTTTCTTTATCCACTCATTGACTGATGGGCATTTGGGTTGGTTCCTCGATTTTGCAATTGCAAATTGTGCTGCTATAAACATGCATGTACAAGTATCTTTTTCATATAAATGACTTCTTTTCCTCTAGGTAGATACCCAGCAGTGGGAATGCTGGATTAAATGATAGTTCTACTTTGAGCTCTTTAAGGAATCTCCCCATACTGTTTTCCATAGTGGCTGGACTACTTTCCAGCAATGTAGAAGTGTTCCATGATCACTGCATTCACGCTAACATCTACTGGAATACTACTCAGCCATATAAAGGAATGAATTAACAGCATTTGCAGTGACCTGGATGAGATTGGAGACTATTATTCGAAGTGAAGTAACTCAGGAATGGAAAAGCAAATATCGTATGTTCTCACTGATATGTGGGAGCTAAGCTATGAGGACACAAAGACATAAGAATGATAAAATGGACTTCAGGGATTTTGGGGGAAGAGTGGGGGTGGTGAGGGATAAAAGACAATAAATACGGTGCAGTGTATACTGCTTGGGTGATGGTTGCACCAAAATCTCACAAATCACCACTAAAGAACTTACTCGTGTAACCAAATACCATCTGTACCCAAATAACTTAAGGAAAAATAAAATAAAAATAAATAAATAAATAAATAGCTCATATTAAGTTCTAGTATTCAATAGAACTATAAGTAAATTACACTTAACAATTATTTATTGTATAACTCAAAATAGAAGAGAAGAATTGTAATGTTGCCAACACAAAGAAAAATGTTTGAGGTGATAGATATCCCAGTTACCCTGTCTTGATAATTACACATTGTATAAGTGTATCAAAATATCACAGGTACTTCCAAATTATGCACAGCTATAATATGCCGATGAAAATACAAAGAAAAATGAAACCCTTGAAAAGTTTAGATCAAATAGGATTAGCATGAGTAAATTAATGGAGCATCTGTTTTTAAGTTAATGAGTATTTCGAAAATAAAATAAAATCTTCTGCATGGTAAAGGAAACAAGGGAGTGAAGAAACAACCTATAGATTAAGAGAAAATATTTGCAACCCTTGTATCTGATAAGGGGTAGATATCCAAAATACATAAGAAACTCAAACAACTCAGTAGCAAGAAAACAACCCAATTTCAAAAATGATTGCTGGATTTTTTATTTGTCAAACTATGATAAAGTCTCCAGTGTTGAAAGAATGGGTTTTTGCACTTACTGACCTAGGTTTGATTCTTACTTCTACGACTAATCAGCCATGTTATTTTGGATAATATACCTACCCTCCTTGATTTAAATAGGAACAACTCTTCTAATTGCAAATTGCAGAAACCTGACTTAATTACCTTGAAAATAAAAAACAAAACATAGTGGATGACACAACAGAAACACAAAACTGCAGAGTTTAAGCTGAATTTAGAAACGACATAATTCAAGGGCTTCAGAGCATCGATTTCTCTCTTTTCTCTGTCTCAAATTCTTTTGCTTTTAATACATATAGACTTTCTCAAGGCAGAAGAAACATGCCATGAATCACTTCATTTGTACAAACATAGAACTTGCGATCACAAATGTGGGAAAAAAATCATTCCCTACCAACTCACACCCAAGAAATTCATGGGAATGTCCCTGATCCAGCTGGAGACAAATGCCTATCCATAAAAAAAAAAAATTCAGGAAAATGGGGGACCATAATTAGCCCCACCTAAGTCCTGAAATGCTTATGTCTAGTAATGATGCATTTTCTGTCTCCTAAAGAAAGACAGAGAAAGAAGTATTGGGTTGAGACAATTTCTATTTTTCTTTTACCTCAGTTTTCTCATCTGCAAATTGCAGATAATGGTACTTATTCTATAATTTTCATGAGATGTCAAGGGCACAAGGTATGTAGTCATTAGAACAATTGTTGACCAAGATAATAGAGTTAATAAACTGTAGCTGTCATTAAGGTACTTATGTTAAAAGAGTCATATAAAATCATTGTTAGAACACCAGCTCTTCTATTACATGGGATGGTACCTAAATATTTAGTTTTTGCCTACATTGCATCATTTGAATTCCATCATAAAAGACACATTTCTCAGTCTTAAATATTTTTATTGACTAAGCATGTTCTCATGCTGTCATGTCATTGCTGAAGTTTACTAAATTTCAATAATCATGAAACAGTTGATTTTGGTTTTTATTCCAATGATTTTATTTAATAATGTTTAAAATCATTAACACATTGAACAAATATTTCTTTAGGAATACAGTTAGCAGCTGGGTGAGGTGGCTCACGCCTGTAATCCCAGCACTTTGGGAGGCCGAGGTGGGCGGATCACTTGAGGTCAGGAGTTCAAGACCAGCCCGGCCAACATGGTAAAACCCCGTCTCTACTAAAAATACAAAAAATTAGCCAGGCGTGGTGGCACGTGCCTGTAATCCCAGCTATTCAAGAGGCTGAGGCATTAGAATCGCTTAAACCTGGAGGTTGCAGTGAGCCGAGATTGTGCCACTGCACTCCAGCCTAGGTAACAGAGTGAGACTCTGTCTCAAAAAATATGTATATATAAATATATATAATTAGCACACCAAAAAGCAAATTAATATTTTAACATCAAATATGAAACAAAAAGCTGATGTATTAGTATTTTTAATGAGAATATAAAACATCAAATAGACAAATCATTCAAATAAGGACAGAAATGAATGGCTTGCTTATTATTAATGAATACTATTCGTTATAAATATTCATAATTTGGGGACAGCAAATATTTAATCATGTCTCACTACACACAAGGAAATAATTATAATGAACAGTTATAAAACTAGTGTCATTTTTAGTAAGCATGCTCTATATTTCAGAGGCTTTACACATATTCTCACATCTTTTTGTCTCATTCCTATGGTTTTAGGTGTTGTTATTATTTCTCCATTTTAACATTCAACAAACTGAGGTACAGAACAATCAAGTAAGTTGTTAAGCTCATATGACCTAGTTGATAGTACAGCGTGTGCTTGAACATAGCTTATTTGAATTTAAAGCCTATGCTACTGACTACTAAAAAACACTAAGCATAAATGTATAGATCAAAACCATCAGGGCTTGTACATCTGTGTATTTTTTGCAGCACTTTTCCTATAACCAGTTCTGACTACCTCTCAATTCAAAGCACTCTGGCTCCAGGGAAGGTAATTAAAGAGTTATGGCTTCAAGGGACTTCCTGCTAGGTCACCAGCTGAATTTCCACGTGTTAACAAAGATAATGTGAGATGTAAATACACAACATAATTAGGCAAAAATGGGTGTTTAAATTAGGAGCAAAAGGCCCAATTTGCTGGGAATATGCACAATGAAAACCAATTACCCATGTGGAATGTGCTGACACTATTATTTCCTACCATATCAGACACATGCCATTGCTTATAAAATTGTCTGTTCTTCAGTTTTTACATTGTTTTAAGCTGCCATTGCTGTTTAAATCAAAGTAACACTGACGTAATGCTTACCATTTCAGGATGGTCCTTCCGCTTGTAAAGTTCCTGTGTATTCTTTCTCTAATTTCCTTTGACTACTGACTTGTCTTTCTTTTCCTATTACCAGCATATTAGCCCAGTAAAGTAATAATGTATGGCTAGCATTATGCAAAGTGTTTTTTATAAAAGTTCTATAGGACACAATTGATATTACATGAGACCTATATGTAGGAATTTTTAAAAGGACTGGGAGATGTTTTGAAATATTTTGAAGAACTTCTCAAGGATATTGATATGCAAACAGGTTCAGAAAGAAGATGAAAATGCAACGTTTTCTCAATATGTTTGATCCAGAAACACTGTTCCTGGGAGCATGTCTCTAAACTAGTGGTTCATTACACACGGGGGGACACACCAATAGGAAACATTTCAGTATACTATTTCTGCCTCTTGTTCATTCTTTTTCTGTCAACAGATATAGTTGTCTGTCTGATATTAATATGCATCAGTACGTGTACAGCTAACATTTATTACATACCTACCTATGTGATGAAGTCTGCCTAAGAAGCTTTACTTGATTTAACTCAAAGCAATCCTTTGAAGTGTTCTTATTAAACCAACTTTACAGATAAGAAAAATGAAATCTGAGAGGTATGGGAAGTGCCTAGGGTTACTTGGTTATTTAATGGTAGAACAGAGGTAGGAACTCAGGCTATCAGTTTCTAATGTTACAGTTCAAACTTTTTAGCAAAGGATGTAAAGAAAGGACTTCATGTCTCAAACAATGTTTGCTTTTTTATTTTAATACTGTATCACCCAGCCTTCTTATTCTGTTCCCTCTATGAATTACATGGTAATGGAACAATTTATAGACTTTTTAAAACCACGTTACTAAATTTGATACTACTGTAAGATAAGCAAGTTTATGCTTTAATAAATAAAAAAACTAGAAGTTTTTAAAGTCATCTGGATAAGCGATACTCCTAAAAATATTTTTACTGATATTTTATAATAATGTTAATATAATACCCTACAAACTAATATATATGCAGAAATGTAAGGATTTGTCTACCTATGGAAAAAATGGCAAAAAAGGTGTGAACAAAAGCATCGAGATCATTTTCTTGATCTCATCAGCTTTAACCACATTGGAAACAAATGCAGAAAATACTGTTTAATCCAAGTTTTCAATAAAACAAATGGCAACATTTCTAGCCATGTATTTCCCACATCAGTTTAAAACCCTCAGGTATTTAAAAATACCTGATTTTAAAATATCAAATATTTCAGTTTAGGATAACATTTTTATATGGGGCAGAGAAACTACAACCATTATCTGTGATACTGCTTAATATTTACAGAGAAAGAGGCATTTGAATATAATTCAAAGAAATATTTAACAAATGCATTATATGTCTTTGTCTGTCATGAGATTTTTTTTCAGGACAGAAGATATGTTTATTTCGTTTCAATGTGTGTCCTCCTTTTTCTTTCTTTTTTTTTTTTATTATACTTTAAGTTCAAGGGTACATGTGCACAACATGCAGGTTTGTTACATGTGTATACAAGTGCCATGTTGGTGTGCTGCACCCATTAACTCGTCATTTACATTCCGTGTATTTCCTAATGCTATCCCTCCCTCCTACCCCCACCCCACAACAGACCCTGGTGTGTGATGCTCCCCTTCCTGTGTCCAAGTGTTCTCATTGTTCAATTCCTACCTATGAGTGAGAACATACGGTGTTTGGTTTTCCGTCCTTGTGATAGTTTGCTGAGAATGATGGTTTCCAGTTTCATCCATGTCCCTACAAGTGACATGAACTCATCCTTTTTTATGGCTGCATGGTATTCCATGGTGTATATGTGCCACATTTTCTTCATCCAGTCTATCATTGATGGACATTTGGGTTGGTTCCAAGTCTTTGCTTTTGTGAATAGTGCCGCAATAAACATATGTGTGTGTGTCTTTATAGCAGCATGATTTATATTCCTTTGGGTATATACCAAGTAATGGAATGGCTGGTCAAATGGTATTTCTAGTTCTCGATCCTTGGGGAATTGCCACACTGTCTTCCACAACGGTTGAACTAGTTTACAGTCCAACCAACAGTGTAAAAGTGTTTCTATTTCTCCACATCCTCTCCAGCACCTGTTGTTTCCTGACTTTTTAATGATTGCCATTCTAACTGGTGTGAGATGGTATCTCATTGTGGTTTTGATTTGCATTTCTCTGATGGCCAGTGATCATGTGTCTGTTGGCTGCATAAATGTCTTCTTTTGAGAAGTGTCTGTTCATACCTTTTACCCACTTTTTGATGGGGTTGTTTGATTTTTTTCTTCTACATTTGTTTAAGTTCTTTGTAGATTCTGGATATTAGCCCTTTGTCAGATAGGTAGATTATAAAAATTTCCTCCGATTCTATAGGTTACCTGTTCACTTTGATGGTAGTTTCTTTTGCTGTGCAGAAGCTCTTTAGTTTAATTAGATCCCATTTGTCAATTTTGGCTTTTGTTACCATTGCTTTTGGTGTTTTAGTCATGAAGTCCTTGCCCATGCCTATGTCCTGAATGGTATTGCCTAGGTTTTCTTCTAGGGTTTTTATGGTTTTAGGTCTAACATTTAAGTCCTTAATCCATCTTGAATTAGTTTTTGTATAAGGTGTAAGGAAGGGATTTCTACATATAGCTAGCCAGTTTTCCCAACACCATTTATTAAATAGGTAATCCTTTCCCCATTTCTTGTTTTTGTCAGGTTTGTCAAAAATCACATGGTTGTAGATGTGTGGTATTATTTCTGAGGACTCTGTCCTGTTCCATTGGTCTATATATCTGTTTTGGTACCAGTACCATGCTGTTTTGGTTACTGTAGCCTTGTAGTGTAGTTTGAAGTCAGTTCGCATGATGCCTCCAGCTTCATTCTTTTGGCTTAGGATTGTCCTGGCAATGCGGGCTCTTTTTTTGTTCCATATGAACTTTAAAGTAGATTTTCCAATTCTGTGAAGAAAGTCATTGGTAGCTTGATGGGGATGGCATTGAATCTATAAATTACCTTGGGCAGTATGGCCATTTTCATGATATTGATTCTTCCTATCCATGAGCATGGGATTTTCTTCCATTTCTTTGTGTCCTCTTTTATTTCATTGAGCAGTGGTTTGTAGTTCTCCTTGAAGAGGTCCTTCTCATCCCTTGTAAGTTGGATTCCTAGGTATTTTATTCTCTTTGAAGCAATTGTGAATGGGAGTTCACTCATGATTTGGCTCTCTGTTTGTTTGTTATTGTTGTATAGGAATGCTTGTGGTTTTTGCACATTGATTTTGTATCCTGAGACTTTGCTGAAGTTGCTCATCAGCTTAAGGAGATTTTGAGCTGAGACGATGGGGTTTTCTAAATATACAATGATGTCATCTGCAAACAGGGACAATTTGACTTTCTCTTTTCCTTGAATACCCTTTATTTCTTTCTCCTGCCTGATTGCCCTGGCCAGAAATTCCAACACTGTGTTGAATAGGAGTGGTGAGAGAGGGCATCCCTGTCTTATGCCAGTTTTCAAAGGGAATGCTTCCAGTTTTTGCCCATTCAGTATGATATTGGCTGTGGTTTTCTCATAAATAGTTCTTATTATTTTGAGATATGACCCATCAATACCTAGTTTATTGATAGTTTTTAGCATGAAGTGCTGTTGAATTTTGTCAAAGGCCTTTTCTTCATCTATTGAGATAATCGTGGTTTTTTTCTTTGGTTCTGTTTATATGCTGGATTACATTTATTGATTTGCATATGTTGAACTAGTCTTGCATCCCAGGGATGAAGCCAACTTGATTGTGGTGGATAAGCTTTTTGATGTGCTGCTGGATTCGGTTTGCCAGTATTTTATTGAGGATTTTTGCACTGATGTTCATCAGGGATATTGGTCTAAAATTCTCTTTTTTTGTTGTGTCTCTGCCAGGCTTTGGTATCAGGATGATGCTGGCCTCATAAAAAGAGTTAGGGAGGATTACCTCCTTTTCTGTTGATTGGAATATTTTCAGAAGGAATTGTACCATCTCCTCTTTGTACCTCAGGTAGAATTTGGCTGTGAATCCGTCTGGTACTGGACTTTTTTTGGTTGGTAGGCTCTTAATTATTGCCTCAATTTCAGAGCCTGTTATTGGTCTACTCAGGGATTCAACTTCTTCTTGGTTTAGTCTTGGGAGGTCGTATGAGTCCACGGGTTTTTCCATTTCTTCTAGATTTTCTAGTTTATTTGCATATAGGTGTTTGTAGTATTCTCTGATGGTAGTTTGTATTTCTGTGAGATCAGTGGTGATATCCCCTTTATCATTTTTTATGGCGTCTATTTGAGTCTTCTCTCTTTTCTTCTTTATTAGTCTTGCTAGCGGTCTATCAATTTTGTTGATCTTTTCAAAAACCATCTCCTGGATTCATTGATTTTTTGAAGGGTTTTTTATGTCTCTATCTCCTTCAGTTCTCCTCTGATCTTAGTTATTTCTTGCCTTCTGCTAGCTTTTGATGTGTTTGCTCTTGCTTCTCTAGTTCTTTTAATTGTGATGTTAGGGTGTCAATTTTAGATCTTTCCTGCTTTCTCTTCTGGGCATTTAGTGCTATAAATTTCCCTCTACACACTGCTTTAAATGTGTCCCAGAGATTCTGGTATGTTGTGTCTTTGTTCTCATTGGTTTCAAAGAACATCTTTATCTCTGCCTTCATTTCTTTATGTACCCAGTAGTCATTCAGGAGCAGGTTATTCAGTTTCCATGTAGTTGAGCAGTTTTGAGTGAGTTTCTTAATCCTGAGTTCTAGTTTGATTGCACTGTGGTCTGAGAGACAGTTTGTTATAATTTCTGTTCTTTTACATTTGCTGAGGAGTGCTTTACTTCCAACTGTGTGGTCAATTTTGGAGTAAGTGCCATGTGGTGCTGAGAAGAATGTATATTCTGTTTATTTGGTGTGGAGAGTTCTGTAGATGTCTATTAGGTCCGCTTGGTGCAGAGCTGAGCTCAATTCCTGGATATCCTTGTTAACTTTCTGTCTTGTTGATCTGTCTAATGTTGACAGTGGGGTGTTAAAAGTCTCCCATTATTATTGTGTGGGAGTCTAAGTCTTTTTATAGGTCTCTAAGGACTTGCTTTATGAATCTGGGTGCTCCTGTATTGGGTGCATATATATATTTAGGATAGTTAGCTCTTCTTGTTGAATTGATCCCTTTACCATTATGTAGTGGCCTTCTTTGTCTCTTTTGATCTTTGTTGGTTTAAAGTCTGTTTTATCAGAGACTAGGATTGCAACCCCTGCTTTTTTGTTGTTGTTGTTGTTTTCCATTTGCTTGGCAGATCTTCCTCCATCCCTTTATTTTGAGCCTTTGTGTGTCTCTGCATGTGAGATGGGTTTCCTGAATACAGCACACTGATGAGGCTTGACTCTTTATCCAATTTGCCAGTCTGTGTCTTTTAATTGGAGTATTTAGCCCATTTACATTTAGGGTTAATATTGTTATGTGTGAATTTGATCCTGTCATTATGATGTTAGCTCATTATTTTACTCAATAGTTAATGCAATTTCTTCCTAGCATCGATGGTCCTTACAATTTGGCATGTTTTTTCAGTAGCTGGTACCAGTTATTCCCTTCCATGTTTAGTGCTTCCTTCAGGAGCTCTTGTAAGGCAGGCCTGGTGGTGACAAAATCTCTCAGCATTTGTTTGTCTGTAAAGGATTTTATTCTCTTTCACTTATGAAACTTAGTTTGGCTGGATATGAAATTCTGGGTTGAAAATTCGTTTCTTTAAGAATGTTGAATATTGGCCCCCACTCTCTTCTGGCTTGTAGAGTTTCTGCCGAGAGATCAGCTGTTAGTCTGATGGGCTTCCCTTTGTGGGTAACCCGACCTTTCTCTCTGGCTGCCCTTAACATTTTTTCTTTCATTTCAACTTTGGTGAATCTGACAATTATGTGTCTTGGAGTTGCTCTTCTCAAAGAATATCTTTGTGGCATTCTCTGTATTTCCCGAATTTGAATGTTGGCCTGCCTTGCTAGGTTGGGGAAGTTCTCCTGTCAAATATCCTGCAGAGTGTTTTCCAACTTGGTTCCATTCTCCCCATCACTTTCAGGTACACCAGTCAGATGTAGATTTGGTCTTTTCACATAGTCCCATATTTCTTGGAGGCTTTGTTCATTTCTTTTTACTCTTTTTTCTCTAAACTTCTCTTCTCACTTCATTTCATTCAGTTGATCTTCAATCACTGATACCCTTTCTTCCACTTGATCGAATCTACTACTGAAGCTTGTGCATGTGTCACATAGTTCTAGTGCCATGGTTTTCAGCTCCATCAGGTCATTTAAGGTCTTCTCTACACTGTTTATTCTAGTTATCCATTCATCTAATCTTTTTTCAAGGTTTTTAGCTTCTTTGCAATGGGTTCGAACATACTCATTTAGCTCGGAGAATTTTGTTATTACCGGTCGTCCGAAGCCTTCTCTCAACTCCTCAAAGTCATTCTCTATCCAGCTTTGTTCCGTTGCTGGTGAGGAGCCGTGTTCGCTTGGAGGAGAAGAGGCTCTCTGATTTTTAGAATTGTCGGCTTTTCTACTCAGTTTCTCCCAATCTTCATGGTTTTATCTACCTTTGGTCTTTGATGATGGTGACATACAGATGGGGTTTTTGTGTGGATGTCCTTTCTGTTTGTTAGTTTTCCTTCTAACAGTCAGGACCCTCAGCTACAAGTCTGTTGGAGTTTGACCGGCAGAGGCTGCAGAACAGCAAATATTGCAGATGGGCAAATGTTGCTGCTGATCCTCCCTCTGGAATCTTCATCTCAGAGGGGCACCCGGCTGTATGAGGTGTCAGTCGGCCCCTACTGGGAGATGTCTCCCAGTTAGGCTACTCGGGGGTCAGGGACCCACTTGAGGAGGCAGTCTGTCCATTCTCAGATCTCAAACTCCGTGCTGGGAGAACCACTACTCTCTTCAATGCTGTCAGACAGGGACTTTTGAGCCTGCAGAAGTTTCTGCTGCCTTTTGTTCAGCTATGCCCTGCCTCCAGAGGTGCAGTCTACAGAGGCAGCCAGGCCTCCTTGAGCTGCGGTGGGCTCCACCCAGTTCAAGCTTCCTGGCCGCTTTGTTTACCTAGTCAAGCCGTAGCAATGGTTGACACCCCACCCCCAGCCTCACTGCCGCCTTGCAGTTCAATCTCAGACTGCTGTGCTAGCAGTGAGCGAGGCTCCATGGGCGTGGGATCCTCCCAGCCAGGTGTGGGATATCATCTCCTGGTGTGCTGTTTGCTAAGACCATTGGAAAAGTGCAGTGTTAGGGTGGGAGGGTCCCAATTTTCCAGGTACCATCTGTCATGGCGTCCCTTAGCTGGGAAAGGGAATTCCCCGACTCCTTGTGCTTCCCAGGTGAGGTGATGCCCCGCCCTGCTTCGGCTCACACTGCGTGGGCTGCAGCCACTGTCCAACAAGCCTCAGTGAGATGAACCCCGTACCTCAGTTGGAAATGCAGAAATCACCCATCTTCTCCATCACTCACTCTGGGAGCTGTAGACGAGCTGTTCCTATTTGGCCATCTTGGAACCTGGGATCTGCATCTTTTTTCTAATAAACATTAGTTGAAATTAAATTAATTGTGTGGAATAAGATTGCTGTGACTACAGTATCTTTCTTGGGAACACTTTTCAAATTAAGCATGAAACATACATTTAACTGACTATAAACACTACGTATAATCTCTGTGAGGGCAGGAAATTTTTTCTTGTGTTTGCTTGCTTCATTAGTTAATGAATCTCTAGCTCCTAGAATGGTGCCACCATATAGTAGCCTTGCCATAAATGTTTGCTGAACTTGAATATTCAAGGTAGAAATAGCAGATTAAGGTAAAAATATAGAAAATGTGAAAAAGTAAAATTATTAGTAGTGACAGGATTTGTACAGAAATGTAAACTTTGGAGGTCTGGGAATAAAGGCATCCTTAAATGCAGTGTTTCTCATATTTTAGTCCCCAGACCAGTGGCACCAGTAGCATAACATGGGAGCATATTAGGAACACCAATTCTTACTGCACCCTCCGACACTGGATCTACTGAATCAGGCACTCCAGAGGGGAGGACAAGCAATTTGCGTTTAACAACCCAACAAGTGATTCTGATGCACAAACATTTGAGAATCATTGCCTATTTAGGCCATAAACAACAACATCCCCAGGGAGCTCCAGCTTCTGGCAGCAAGTGTGTGAAACTGAATCATCCCTAGAGAATGTCACTTGTCATCAGCTAAAGCAGAGATCTATGGTTGGCTTTAGGACTCCACAGTGAAATCAATCATGTGACTCAACATTTGACCTGAAAGTCTTATCATTTAATGATTCTGTAATTATGTTTTGGATAAGGACCAAAAGTCACTAAATGTTGATCAGTCTACTCCTTAGAAGAACTTCATAGAAAAGATATATCTTTCTGTTTCTTTGGAGAAAGATTCCCAAAGAGATATTTAATGTTACATTGTGCACATGCATTCAGGATATGTGATAAACAGTCATTAAACACAGTTTACAGGTGCTAAAATTGTTCGCCATGTCTATTTTATTTTTTACATCCATTCACTCATTTAATCAACAAGTAAAATATTGTGTGCCTGCTATGTCCTATGTGTAGTGCTAGGTGCTAAAGTTAGAATTTTACAAAAAAAAAGCAAACATGGTCTCTACCTTCAAAGAGCTTATTATCCAATGGTAAAACCAATGCCAATTGAATAATCAAATAGGCACATGTAAAATCTCAACTGCTGCTACAAATTACAAATGATCTGTGTCATGAGAATATGTGGATTTCCCATTTAAAGGTCAGGAAAGATTTTCTTGAGAAAAGATTATTATTCCGAGAACTGAAGGATAAAGTTTTTTTTTTTTTAAATTCCTGGACTCATTAACTCCCCTTTCTCTGAACTCCTAATCTATTTGAGTTCAATAATACTCACAGCACTTTTCCTCGACATTTTGTGTATGAGTTGCAAGTTACTTAGGGAAGTCTCTTAATTCCTATTCTTTTCCATATTCTTCACCTCCCATAATGCTTGATGTATCATCTGATAGGTTAGAGTTTCAAGAGGAATGAGATGGTATGCTCATTTGGTATTATAGAGGAAAATATGTATAATAAAATAATTTCTTAAAAATAGTTGTGCAGCATTCCAGAATTAACAAGAGCTGGGAACTGTTACCAAATCCAAGTCCGAATGAGAAAAGAGGAGTGATCATTGAAACCCCGACAGAATGATGGCACTATAGGATAGGTAACAGTCTTCATTGACTGGAAACACAGTCCATGCCAACCTATGACACAGCAAGTTGTGGACATGGGACAATATCCCCAACTTTATTACTTCACTCCCTCCCACTTTTCAGTTTACTACCAGGGCTTTCCATTGACCATTCCCAACTGCAAACTAGAAGACAGGAAATCCAGGTGACAACATCCATAATGATTAAATGAGCGAATAAATGAAAAAAAAAATACTACTTCCAGGAACACAGTACAGGATGGAGAAGGGTAGGGAGTGAGACTGGATAGGCAAATTAATAATATCCAATATAATCAATACACATATACTGGATTATTAGAAAAAGATGGAAGGAAGGAAGGGAGGAAGGAAGGAAGAAAGGGTTCTTGTGACTTGGACAGCATTTAATCATAAGCCAAGGTCAGATGTCAGCCAACTTCTCTGAACTCATGAGATTTATGGCGCTAAAAACTCTAGAAATTGTTATTTTTTAACTTTTTTTCAACTGACACAGAACTTTTCTGTTCCTGGGCTTCAAATTTTATCACTTAGCTAGATTGCCAGAATTTGTCTTTCAGTAATGGGTGGTGAGTAGGATCATTATTTCATACTTAAGAAAAGCAAAATAGGAAAATAGTAGTAAGATAGATTCATTGTCACAATCATGTTAAAGCACAATAAAACAATACTATAATTTTAAAGTAATTTTAATTTAATACCGTAATTTTAAAATTCATCCAATTCCCCATAATAGTCGAATACAAAAGTAATTGCTTTATAATCATGTAATAACGTTCATCAGAAAAAAAATTTTTCTATTTGATAAAATACAGAACCTTCAAAAAATATAGAGTCTCTGCAATAACTCAATCAATAAATTCAAGCCTATGAACAGGTAAAATGTATTCCATGAACCTAATTTCCCATAGCACTTATTTCCAAAGTTGATATTTAATTTCAGTTTTCTTTTTTAATATTACAGCCCAACAAACCACTGTCTAATAAAAAAGTTTAATATTTAATTTAGACCTTCATTCAACAAATACATCTAAAATCTACTGAGAATTACTTATGTACTAGATAACCATAAAAAGTGCTGTGTGACAAATTCAAGAAAGAGTGTCCTGAAGTAATATGAGAAATCTATCAGAATTATTTTTTCCTTTAGATTATAGGACATTTCACAGATATCTAGTATACAAGATGAAAAGAGCAATCAGACCTTAAGTACATATGAATTAAGAAGTCAGCTTTTATACGTTATTAATTACTAGTGTTTCAATAGTTGTTAACAGTTTAAAGATGTTTCCGTATTTACTGTCTCATTTGTACTCACAAGCATTATAAGATGAATTCATTTATATATCATCTTTTGTAGATGAAATTATTTTTGTCATTTTGTAGATGAAAAAATCATGACTCAAATTAGGGAGTCAGTAAGGGGTTGAAACCAGGCTTTTGTTATATTTTGTTTTAGTCTATTAATTTATCCTAATTCAGCATGCTGCTTCACCTCAAAGAAAAGAAAGACAAGATCTGCTTGTGAGGATGAGAAAACAAATAATTATGATAAATATAGTGAATGGATTCATCCAGATTTGAGCCTGCCTATGTTGGTGGTAAAGGCTTATCTATTCTAGGTTTTCTAAAACATTGGCCAGTTTCCCTCTCTTGTCTGGAGCAAGAAACATTCTCCTCTGTCACTTTGCACAAGAATGGGAGTGTTAACCATATGTCAGGACAAATTCCAACAGTAGTAATTACATTTTTGTTTCTGCACATCCATTAAATTGCTGCCATGTTCTCAACCAGGGTGGCAGTCCATCTAGTGAGGGTGATGAAATGACCCTCAGCTTTCTATCTGTCTGAGTTTGTTACTTATAAGAGTGCTTGAGGCACACTTGCAGGTGGCAAAGCGTGTGTGTCAGGACAAGCTCATTTATTGTCAGCAATCAAGGGCATGGAAGGCCCTGTGCTAAGATTTCCACAGAGATAGTCTCCTTGGTAAAGAAAGTGACTCCCTTCCCGCTGTCCTCTGCTTCCTGTAAATGTCTAGGGAAACTGGCATCTGGAAGAAAGCTTGAGTGGTATCTCTGAGCTCTCCTGGCTGGTGCCCTAATCCTTCTACCAGTGGGGCTCCTGTCACATTAATTACAGCCTTTTCAGTGGCCTTTATGTTTCCTAAGGCTCCAAGGAGCAATTAGCACTGTTCACTGCCTCAAACGGATTCTCACTCACAGAGTCCTCGTTTCTAAACTTGTTTGTCATTATTTGATCTTAAGACACACACTTTCCCCTCTTTGATTACTGAAATTGGCAGAAATATGAAGTCTACTGCAAGGAATTCAATGGCAAATAATTGAATATGATTTTTTAAACAAGCTTTTGATTGAAATTTAACATACATTTAGAACATTACACAATTCTTCCTATCACCAAATTAACAGACACTATGTAACCACCACCAGGGTCAAGAAAGGAAACATTACCTGCATGCTGGAAGCATTCTTGATGTTTCCTCCCAGTGACTACATTTATGGTAATCACTATCCTTACTTCTAAATTCGTAGATCATTTTAGCTATTTTTACCTTTATACAAACAAAATAATACTGTATGTCCTCTTTTGTATATTGTTGCCTTTGTTCAATATTGTATTTGTGAAATTCATTGATTTCTCTTGTGTAGCAGTTAGGGTGTTCGCTCTTACTGTTAAATATTGTGGGGAATATACCAACATTCCATTACAGGAATATACCAGAATGTATTTATCCATTTGACTGTTAGTGGTCATTTTGAGTAGCTTTCAGTTGGAGGCTATTACAAATAATGCTACCATGAACCTTCTTATGCATGACTTTGGTTAATCATATGTGTGCAGTTTTGTTGAGTATATAATTAGGAATGGAAATAGTAGAAAAGTGAACATATGTATTTTTAGCTTTAGAAGATTCTGCCAATTTTCCAAAGTGTTTTTACTAAATGACAGGCCAACAACAGTTTTATGAAAGTTCTAGTTATCCACCTTCTGTGAAGACTTGGTCTGGTCAATCTTTTCTCTTTTAAGCTGTTCTGTGTGTTGTGTGGCGATATTTAATTGTGAATTTAATTTGCATTTCTTTGATGATAATGATATTGAGTATTTTTTCATATGGCTGTTGGCATTTATGTATCATCTTTTGTAAACTGTCTTTAAGATATTTAACGTATTTTTATGGTGAGGGGAGGCGGTTGGCTGTTTATTAATAAGTAGAAGTTCTTTATATATTTTAGATAGAAGTCCTTGTAGGATACATGTGTAACAGCTTCCCCCATGCCTGATTTTTATTGTCATGACAGTATCTTTTGATAAGCAGGAGTTCTTCATCATAATGTAGTCCATGTTTATCACTATTTCTTTATGGTTTATCACTATTTCTTTATGGTTGGTACTTCTCAATGTCCTATTTAAGAAATGTTTGCTATCCAGAGTCATGAGGATGTTCTCTTATGTTTTCTTCTTAAGTACAAAGTAGCAGTCAAGAGTTTTCTTCCTTTAGCGTAAATTAAAGGTCAGCATTCACTTTTTCCCACATGCACTTCTAATTTTCTGATTGATTCAGTCCTGTTTATTTAAAAGAAAAAAAAAATCCCTTCCCTGGAGCACTTCAGTAGAGTATTTTTCATAAATCAGGTGATTATATGCATCTGAATCTGTTTCTTGACCCTATTCTTTTTCCATTGATCTATATATCTCTTTGCTCCAATACCACATGTTCTTCATTTCCATGGCACTATAGTAAGTCTCAATATCTGAAAAGTCTTTCAATGTTGTTATTCTTTAAGATTATATTGGTCATTTTGGCCCTGTTCATTTCCATGTGTACGTTAAAATCAGTTTATTAATTTCCACACACAAATGCACACAATATATAGTTTATAAGATATCCTCCTTAACCACCTCATAATTATTATAATTATTACTAATGTTATTATTCTGCTATTGCTGTCCTGTATAGGGATATTTGTATATGCTCACACATTTACCTTTATCATTGCTTTTTATTCCCTCACGCCTTACTATTTTTCCATCTCAGATCATTTTTATTTGCCCGATTAAAAAAAATTTTAGTATTTGCATTAGTGTAAGTACACAGATGACAAATTCTTTTTTTTACATCTAAAAATGTATTTACTTTGTTGCCGCTTTAAAATTATTTTATTGTATCATCTTAGAGATTAATAATAATGATAATCCCACTGACTTGTTTAATAAGATTAATTCTACTTTCTTATACTCTTTACTGTTTCTATTGAAATGTTAGATGTCAGATTGGTACTGATTTGAGGCAATAAATCAATCTTTTCTTCCAATGGTTATTTGATATTGGAAGTCAGCAGTATTTCTCTAATGCCTTTGGGTGTGAATATTTTCATGTTTAATCTGCTTGGATTTTAAAACAAAATTTATAAATTAATAAATTTGCAAGTTAATGTCTTTAGTTTTGGAAAAGTTTTTTTTTTTTCAAATATTGCTTCTGCCTCTCATTTTTTCTCTCCTACACATCTGGGACAGTAAGTACAAATATATTACATATATCTTTACTGACCCCATATTATCTATTGTGTCCTTTTACATAGCTATTACCTTTTCTGCTCTCTATGCTTCAGGCTGTAAATATTCAACTGCCTCATCTTCTGTTTGTCTAATAACATCTGAAAGTTATCATTCAACTCATGTATTAAATTTTGAATGTTAATCAATATAATTCTTTTAGATTTAGACATTCAATATGATTCTCTTTCACTGGTTTTAATTCTCTAGGGAAAACCTATCCATTGTGTATTCATTTTCTTGAAAACATTAAGTTATTTTAAAGTCTGTATTTGATAACTCCAATAACCAGGTCATCTGTATTTTTATTTTCCTCTTGGCCTTATGTTTTATATTCCTAGCAATTTTTTATTGAATGTCAAATATTACATATGGTAACTTGTAGAATCTCAGAATGTTGTTACCTTTTTCTGTGAGGATTCATCTTATTTCTTGTAGATCAGTTGGAGTAAGGGCAGATAACCTTAATTTGCTCAAGGTCAGAACTGACTCTAAGCCGTTTTGTAGTTTTTGTTAAGACTAGATCTGCCTCTGATTCTCCACTACTCCTAAGTATAAGGGTTCCAACTAAGAGCCTGCATTGTTTTTTTTTTTTTTTTTTTTGAGCTTTTTTTTTTTTTTTTTTAATTATACTTTAAGTTTTAGGGTACATGTGCACATTGTGCAGGTTAGTTACATATGTATACATGTGCCATGCTGGTGCGCTGCACCCACTAACTCGTCATCTAGTATTGTTAATAGGCTGGGTCTTGAACTACTTTCCATGTAGCAGTACCAAGCACCCCTCCTGACTGGAGCTATTAAGGATTTATTACAAACATCCAGACCTCTAATATTTAAATAACAATAGCAGTATAAACATTTTGAAACAAGGGGTCAGTAGTTAAGGTCAGTTTCATATTTTACTATCAACATAATGATAGAAATGTGAGTCATCGTATAAGGTAAATTAACAACAACAACAAAAAACTCTGGTATATTGATACCAATCTATGGAATTTACTTATTTAAGTGCAAAATAAAAAAGATTAAATTTTTCTTGATTAGCTCTAAACATATAACAATGCAAATTCATGCATTTGAGTGATTTTTCTGTAAAATTATTGTATCAAAATCTGAGCTTGTAGAAATTTAAAAATTGACTTTGATCATGGCATTTTGTAATTTCAACATCTTTTTTCCTTAAATGAAAGGCACAAGAGGTTTCTTGTTTGTTTCATTTTTGTTTATTTGTTTGCTTGCCTTGTGTTTTTGTTTTTTTTTTTTTTTGTCAAAACCAGCAAGTAAAACTAAAATCCAAATTTCAGCGTACTTCTTAAAGTTTCATATGTCTGTCGCGACTAGAATAAAAAGATGCAGGAAAAAAGGCACTGCGCTGTCAAAGCTAATTCATCCAATAGTCAGAATGTATTTTATAAATATGTAATTTGTGTCTCTTCGAGATTATCCTTGGGTAAATATAATAAGGTGACTAATTATTTGGAAGATTTATAAAATGAGATGCAGAGATGTCAAGAGACCATTCATGGAGAATGAGATTGTATGGCCAAAGGCCCTTTAATTGCTCTTGTATATGTGAAATTTTAGACTTAATTTGTTATCTTCTCTAAAATTAATAACTGCTTTTCACATAACAAAAGCCTTTTATATTGTAGATAATGATCATTGATTCTCATCACTACAATGAGGAGAAGATGAAAAATAATAGATTTCATTTACCTGAATAAGGAATTAAATGAGCTAACATGTACGACCTCTCAGAAATAATAGGAGATATGTTCTCAAAAGAACAACCTAATGATGGTTTCAGAGATCTTTAAAATGACAGACTGATTTATATCCTGAATGAAAGAACGTAATTTAGTGGATGAAAGCATTTTGGGTGGGTTGGGGAGCCTGGGAAGGGGAAGGATATGCATTTGATTTTGAAATTTTGTTCCACTATTTAAATGTTGAGTGACCTTAGGCAAATCACTTAAGGACTCTAAGTCTCAGTTTCTTCTATTATAAGATAGAGGTAAAAATGACTTCCTTGTATGTTTGTTGCAGGGCTTGATATATGATCATAGCTAATATAAAAAGAACTTACATTTAATCCTCATAAACATATTATTGAAAAGGTAGTATTAGTTTTTTAGGAAGAAGTAAGACACATGCCCAAGGCCACACAGCTGCTAAGTAATGAGGCCAGGATTTAAGGCAATCTTTCAGGCAATCTTGCCTTAAAGTTTATGTTTCATACTGCCTCTCTGAATAAACACTTGTTCTCTTATTACAAGTATGCTAAAAATAAAGGCACATGGATTGATTGATGGCAATATACCAGTTGGTCGTTGTTACAAGGGGATCTTCTTACATTTTTGAGAGGAGGTAGTCCTATGCTGTTATTTTTCTCTTGTAAGGAAGACATAACATATTCATTCACTCTCTAAGCTTATTCAACCCTGTATCAATAACTATAATTATTTGTCACTTCTTTCTGTTATTCTATTTGCTTTCATACCCCCCCCTTATTTTAGAGAATTAAAGCTAAAAATAGGATTTCAATTCCAAACACACAGTAACACTCACCATGTTATTGCCAAGGCTTACCTTCTTTTGTTCGTGTTTTATTTTCTTGATGTGTGACATTTTACTTTATAAAATGTCATTGGAGAACTTAGTTGTCTAAAACAGTGGTACCCAACCTTCTTGGCACCAGGGACCAGTTTCATGGAAGACAATTTTTCCACAGACCAGAGGGGCAAGGGGAATGTTTCAGGATGATTCAAGCACATTACATTTATTGTGCACTTAATTTCTATTATTATTACATTGTAATATATAGTGAAATAATTATACAACTCAACACAATGTGGAATCGGTGGGAGCCCTGAGCTTGTTTACCTGCAACTAGATGGCCCCTGATATTGTTTGGCTGTGTCCCCACCCAAATCTTTTCCTGAATTGTAGTTCCCATAATCCAAATGTGTCATGGGAGGGGCCTGGTGGGAGGTAACTGAATCATGGGGGCAACTACCTCCATGCCGTTCTTGTGATAGTGAGTGAGTTCTCACAAAATCTGATGGCATTATAAGGGGCTTTTTCCCCACCTTTGCTCTGCACTGCTTTTTGCTGCTGCCATGTGAAGAAGGATGTATTTTTTCCCCCTTCCACCATGACTGTAAGTTTCCTGAGGCCTCCCCATCCATGCCGAACTGTGAGTAAATTAAATAAATCTCTTTCCTTTATAAATTACCCAGTCTTGGGTATGCCTATATTAGCAGCATGAGAACAGACTAATACAGTCTCATCTAAGGGTGATGAGAGACAGTGACAGGAGCATTAAGTCTCACAAGGAGCACACAACCTAGATCCCTCATATGCACAGTTAACAATAGGGCTTGCACTCCTATGAGATCTAATGCCATTGCTGATCTGACAGGAGGTGGAGTTCAGGTGGTAATGCAAGTGATGGGGAGCTGCCGTAAATACAGATAAAACTTCTTTCGCTTGCGCACAACTCATCTTATGCTATGGGGCCTGGTTGCTAACAGTTCCTAATAGGTCTGTGGCCTGAGGATTAGGGACACCTGGTCTAAAAGCATTTCATGCCAGGGCATTTATGAATACTTCAGTATTTATCATGTACTGGGTGTAACAATGCTTCAACATCCTGTGAATGTTATACAAACTTTTTTTTTTTTTTTTTTGAGACGGAGTCTTGCTCTGTTGCCCAGGCGGGTGCGAGCTCTGCTCACTACAAGCTCCGCCTCCCAGGTTCACACCATTCTCCTGCCTCAGCCTCCTGAGTAGCTGGGACTACAGGCGCCTGCCACCACGCCCAGCTAATTTTTTGTATTTTTAGTAGAGATGGGGTTTCACCATGTTAGCCAGGATGGTCTCGATCTCCTGACCTTGTGGTCTGTCCGCCTCGGCCTCCCAAAGTGTTGGGATTACAGGCACAAACATTTTTTAAAACAAACTCGTATTGAAATTCATAAAGTGAACACTCTTGTAACCAGCACCCAGATCAAAGAAGGGAACATTACCAGCACCTGAAGACACAAGACCCCTGTGTCCTGACCCAGTCACCTCCCCCCAAGGGTAAGCACGCTCTCCTGTCTTATAATGCTACAGGTTAGTTGTAGGAGTTTTGATTTTATATAAATAAAATCATAGTATACACTTTTAAAAGAAGTTTTCTTTGCATACTTTGTTAGGTTTATTTATGTTGTGTGTAGCTGTAGTCTATTCATTCTTATTAGTACATAGAGTTTCACTGTAACTATACTACAGTACATATATATTCATTACACAATTTAAAGATTTTAGGATTATTTCCAGTTTGAAGCTTTTAAGAACAGTAATGCTATAAACATTGCTGTTCATTTATTATATGAATATATGTACATATTTCTATTTATTATATACCTAGAAATATTATTGCTGAGACATAGGAGGGCTCATTATTTTTCAATATATT
The DNA here is from genome assembly GCF_000001405.40 of Homo sapiens. NCBI lineage: Eukaryota > Metazoa > Chordata > Mammalia > Primates > Hominidae > Homo > Homo sapiens. The sequence continues at coordinate 85,035,238 of NC_000014.9, forward strand.
TCATTTTTCAGAACAGTTTTAGATTTTTAGAAAAATTGAGAAACTACTACAGAGAGTTTCCATATACTCTGCATCCATTTTCCCACATGATTAACATTTTATTATAATACATTTGTTACAATTAATAAATAATATTAATGCATTACCAAACTTTCATGTGGATGGTTGTTGACTTGCTGTGGTTTGACTTAGATGTTTTTCACTTTATCATGGTGCAAAAGTGGTTCACATTCAGGACAAATCATACTTTGAGTACCTACATAGCCATTCTATTTTTCACTTTCAGTAGAGTATTTTAAAAATTACATGAGATATTCAAAAATCCATTATGAAATAGGCTTTGTGCAAGATGATTTTGCCCAATAGTAAGCTAATGTAGGTGTTGTGAACATGTTTAAGGTAGGCTAAGCTAAGCTAAGTTGTTTGGTAGATTAGATGTATTAAATACATTTTAGACTTACAACATTTTCAACAAAAATGGGTTTATCAGAATATAACCCATTGAAAATCAAGGAGCATCTTTTTTTCTTAATATTTTCTTAACTCTAACCTAATGTATTTTTTCTGTTCCAGGTTCTCAGCCAAAATATCAGATTATATATAGTAGTCATGTCTATTTATGTTCTTCTTGGCTATGGCAATTTCATATACTTTTTTTGGTTGTGTTTTTGAGGACTATATTAGTCTGTTCTCACATTGTTATAAAGAACTACCTGAGATTGAGTAGTTTATAAAGAAAAGAGGTTTGACTCACAGTTCTGTAGGCTGTACAGGAGGTATGGCTGGGGAGGCCTCAGGAAACTTACTATCGTGGTAGAAGGGCGAAGGGGAAGCAAGAACCTTCTCCTGACAGCAGGAGAGAGAGAGAGTGAAGGGGGATATGCTACACACTTTTCAAACAACCAGTTCTCATGAGAACTCACTCACTATCAAGAGAACAGCAAGGGGGGATGTCCGCCCCGTGATTCAATCACCTCCCACCAGGCCCCTCCTCTGACACATGGGAATTACAATTTGACATGAGATTTGGTTGAGGACACAGAGCCAAACCACATTAAGGGCTTTGAGTATTTTGAGGAGTAGTAGCAAGTATTTTGTACAATACTCCACACTGGAATTTTTCTCATGTTTTTCTCATGATAAGGCTGAGGTTATGGGTTATCTGGAGAAAGATCTCAGAGGTAAAGTGCTATTGCCATCATATCATATTCAGAATACATACTATCAACATGATATGACTGTTGTTGGGCTTTATCACCTGAAGTATGTAGGGTTTGTCCTTTTTCTCCACTGTAAATTTTCTCTTCTTCTCCTACCCCACCCTAATTTTTATATGCTTTGGAAGGAAGTCACTGTGTTTAGCCCACACTTACAGAGAACAGAATTAATCTCCCCCTCTTTGAAGGCAGAGTATTTACATAAATTATTTGGAATTCTTCTATATGGGAGATTTGTTTCCTTTCCTCCATGTATAAATTTACTCATTCATTTATATCAGTATGGACTCATAAATATTTATTTTATACTTTGAGTTATAATGAGCATGTTATTTATTAATGTGCATACTGTAAGAATTTAATATCCACCAACTCAATGTGGGATTCCCAAACAATACTCTGATGTCCTTCTGGGAGACAGTGCTCTGTGAGTCTCTCCATGAAATTCTACATATATGTCAGGCAGAGACACTGTATTAGTCAAGATTCTTCAAAGACACAGAACCAATAGGATGAATGGATGGATAGATAGATAGATAGATAGATAGATAGGGGATAAAGGAGATTTATTAGAGGAATTGGCTCGTGTGATTATGGAGGTTAAAGAGTCCCATCAAAAGCTGTCTGTAAGCTGGGGACCCAGGGAATCCAGTGACATGGTTCAGTCCAACTCCAAAAGCCTCACAACCAAGGAAGCCAATGGTGTAACTCTCAGTCTGAGGCCAAAGGCCCAAGACCTCTGGGCAATTGCTGGTGCAAGTCCCGTAGTCCAAAGACTAGAGAATCTGGAGTCCTAATGTCCATGGGCAGGAGAAGAAGGGTGAACCAGCTTCAGAAGAAAGAGCAAATTTGCCTTTCCTCTGCTTTTTATTCTCTCCAGGGCCCCCGCTGATTGGATCGTGCCCCCCAACATTGAGGGCTGATCTTTCATACTAAGTCCACCAACTCATAGGCCAATATCTTCCAGAAATGCCCTCACAGACACACCCAGGAACAACGCTTTACCAGTTATCAGGTATCTTTTAATCCAGTCAAGTTGGCAGTTGAAATTAACCATCAAAGACACTAACTCCCTTTTTGCTTTAGACTAAAATGTCAGGAATGTTTGGGTACCAAACAGCCTTACATGATAGAAGTACTATGTACCTCCAGGGCAGAAGGCAGTTGTTTTTACTGCTCTATATAAAATACTTGGGTCCCCTAAGGTCAGAATTACTCATGTATGATGCTAACCCATTGTGTGGGTGGTGTCTCTGTAGACTCCTCTACATTGTCCTTATGGGATTCGGGAGCAAGGTGAATTGGTGCTCATGATTGTTTTGCTCTTAGTGATAAACTCCTTTGTCTTTTACCCTGCAGTCTAATGACTTTTTTAATGACAAGCATTCAAAAAGTTGTGCTGTACTAACTTCTTAGCTTGCAAGCAAGGTAACATCTCAGGTCCTTCAGAGTTCTTGACAACCCCGCATAAAAAACTCACCAAAAAAAAAAAAATTAATGCTCACAAACAAATATGTCTACCACTCTCCCATGTCAAAGTTTTAATGTAATTTACATTCAACTGCCAGCGTCCCCCACCCACCTCCTTGCACTGATGGCACCTGCACTCAAAGTCACTTGTAAGAGTCTCACCTTTGCCCTGGCATATGAAGCCACATAGTAAGCCAGTGTCTGTGCCAAAGGCACTGAGTCTCATTGCTCACAAAGCTCAGACTCCTGGAGTGAGACTAGTGCTGGCTATGAGAAGCAGCAAAGAAAATATCTCCCCCTCCAATTTGATGTTCCACACAATCTGATACATGAATCCAAAGTACTTCTTTAACCTAGAATCGAGAAACCCTATTTTTTTTAGAGAGTCTTGCTCTGTCACCAGGCTGGAATGCGGTGGTACAATCTCGACTCACTGCAACCTCTGCCTCCCAGGTTCAAGTGATTCTCTTGCCTCAGCCTCCTGAGTAGCTGGGATTACAGGCACCCACAACCACGCCCGGCTAATTTTTTGTATTTTTAGTAGAGACGGGGTTTCACTATGTTGGCCAGGCTGGTCTCGAACTCCTGACCTCAGGTGATCCACCGGCCTCGACCTCCCAAAGTGCTGGGATTCCAAGCATGAGCCACCACGCTGGGCCCAAAAACACTTTCACGTGCATGTGGTTCTTCTTTCTGCATCTAGGTTTCAAAAACATTTGGGAATTTCCTAACTAAAGTTACCCGTAATGGTTGCAGATATCTCTTACTCAGTCTAAAGGTTTTCTCTAAACAAAGCAAGGGTGTGAAATTTGGTTTCTGCAGATGTAGGTTTTGTGCAACACTTAGGGTTATTTTGGTCATGAATAATAGAAACCACAACCCAAATTGGCTTATGTTAAAAAAGAATTAATTTCCCTTCTTAACAGATTGAATTAAAAAGAAAAAAGGCCATGCAAAGCTTGATCCGGTTTACACATGTACTTAGCCTGTTGTTCTCAATGGCAGTATTTTTTTCAGCCTGCAAGGGTACGGTTTCATTGCAAAGCAGACCATGTGTGGCTTCAAGATGGCTGCAAATAGCTACCAGGAACAGATGCTCTCTCATTTCTCATTTTCTGAATGGGAGAGAGTATGTCTCCCACTACAATCAAAAAACAAAAACCTTAGGCTTCACTTCATTGTCTCTGTACATCTTGAACCCATCACTTTGACAAGGGTCATTTGCAAAGATCATTTTAGATTGGCAAGGGAATGTGTATAATTCCATGTAAACCATTGGCAGATACATAATGACACAATGCAACATGCAGCTAATGAATACTGGAGAAGCACAAATATGTATTAATGTGATAGAAATCACTGGGAAGTCAGGAGGCTCAGTTTCTGCTACTAACTAGCTGTTGAATTGGACATTCATCATTCAAACTCAGCTAAATGACCCCATTTGTGAGATGGAGATAATAATTCCTGAATCCCTCTTTGTACACACACACAGACACACACACACACACACACATACATCACTTTCTCACCAGAGTGCTCAGTGCTGTTTCATATATCAAATAATCTAGTGAAGGTAAAAATATATTGAAAATGATGAGGCATTATATGCATTTCACCTCCCATCTAGCATTAAAATATACTCCCCATTTGCCAGATCTATATTTAAATGAGGCCAATTGCTCATAAATTATCTAGTAATCATCAGTCAGCTTCAAATGTTGCAATATCAAAAGGTTTTTTTTTTTTTCTCCTTTCACCGTCCTTCTGAAATCTCCTGCAATTATCAGATATTTTCTACTCAGGCAGTAAAATCTGTTTCTCTAACACCAAGGCAACAATTATTTAAAGCTCACCACACACACTAAGAGACAACATGCTTATGTATGAGATGGGTAGAAGGTAGTATCAATCAATATTATAATGCCAGGCACACAGGAGAAAATAAATATTAGGTGATTTGATTACTCTTTTCTTCCAAGTATCAAATGCTCTTTAAAGTTTCTTACTGAAATCACTCTTTATCTTTCCCATTAGATAAGGTATGGGTGTTAGCCAAGAAAGTAATAGTTTTGTATGTGTAGCCCAATAAATAGAGCTTAAAAGTTTATTATCAAACATATTGTATGCTGCAATAAAAGTGATCTGTGCTCCTGAAGCCCATTCAGCACATAGAAAAATGCTGAAGGGCCAAGATGGGTGTTTGTCAACCCCTTGGAAGGGCAGCTCCACGCAGACGGAAACATCAGCTTGCCAGATTACATTCTTCTTTCACTCTCAAATACAGAATCAGTTCCAATTGAAAATGCTTTAGAGAACATGCTATGCAAATGGAATGGATTTAGCATTTACCAAATGAATCAAATCTGGGCTCTGTGTAGGAGCCTGGATCTTGAACCACATACTGAACCTGAAGTCGAATTCCTTTAACTTCCTAAAAGTTCTTATCTTTGCAATCATAAGGCACACTTCTCTTCTCCATGAGAAATTGTGCTCTGGTGGCTGATGAGGGCATTCTTGCCTATAGATGTGCATTGTTTGGCTCGCAGTGTTTCAAAAACACTAGCAGCTGCTCCCGTAGACAGAGAAACAGCCCAGGCAGGCTGGTTCCTTGTGCTTAGTATTGCCTCATGATGGGAGGTCGAGGATCAATTATAGTTTATCTACATGTCTGCCCTGCTGCTTTTGGCTTTGTTTCTTTGTTTGTTTTAAGGGAGAAATAATACTGTGACCCTGTGTCACAGAGAGGAGAGGAAGGAAAGATGGAAAATGAAAGAGGTGTTTTTCTTGTGGAAGTGAAGAATAGTTCACCTTCTTTAAAAATAAGCAAAATTTTTAAAAAATGATAAAGTATACTCCGCAGCTTGCTCTTCTCAGTTCCATTACCTGTTCAACCCACGAGGAATCCGAGATTGCATTTTCTGTACTAGATCAACCAGAATTCAAGTGATAGTTGTCATCCTGCCATCCTCAGCATGCAACTTGTATTTTCCACCAATTATTTACACTGTTCTTGGGCCTTGGCATGACTTCCTTGCCCCTCATCCTCTTAAATTGAAAGCCCCTTCACTGACAGGTAATATCCCATTTCCTCTTTGAAGACTCTATCATGCCCATAATTGTAAAGCAATAGTTAACAAGGTGACATCTCTTATTGCTATGCTTTAAATATCCCCTCAAAAACTCATGTTGAAATTTCATCCCCAATGTGGCAGTGTTGAGAGGTAGAGCCTTTAAGAGGCAGTTAGGTGGTGAGGTTTCTGTCCTCATGAATGAGCTAATCCTTTCATAAATTAACGGGCTAATCAATTAATAGGTTAGCACAAGAGAGAAAATAGTGGCTTTATAGGAAGAGGAGCAGTGACCTGAATTGTCACATTAGTATGCTCAGTTTCCTCACCATGTGCTGCCTGGCATTACCTTGGGACTTTGCAGAGAGCTTCCACCAGCAAGAAGGCTGTCACAAGATGCACCTCTCAACTTTGAACTTCCCAGCCTCCAAAACAGTATGACATAATTGTATTTTCTTTATAAACTACTCAGCTTTAGGTGTTCTTACACTCATGTGGATAACTTTTGTGTTATTAAATTCTTGTCTTATCACACCATCAAAATTGTAAACAGACAACAAGCTCCAGTTGCTCTGTGTTTCCTACCTGCTTTGTACATACCTAATATTCTTCCATTGGCTTCCTGATTGATTTTTATCCAAGCAGCAAAGAGCAAAGATGTTGTCAGACCTCCAGAACTGCATTGGCAAGTTTATAGCAGGGAAGTCACTCAGCATAAATTCTCTCCTTTCTTTTGTTCATTTCCCTCCCTCTTTGAACACAGGCTGAAATACCATCCAGACACTAAAGCCCCACACCCACATCTTGAACCAGTCTGGTAAGCCACCTGGACCCAGACCCATGTGCATGGTATGAATTTTCTCTTTACCAGACAATACAATGAGTAGTTAAACATGTGTAAACATATAAATCAACTAGAGAAAAGCAATCCTTAGGGATATAGACTGCTCAGTGTGTTTTGAAAACATTCATCAGGAAGATAATGCCAAAGGGATTTCACTAGAAAACTACACTTTATTTCTGTGGCTTCTTGAGTAGCTAGGTTTTAAATATCTGGGTTTGGAGGCTTTACTCTTAACTCTGTGGCCTGCTATGTTTAGTGTCTGTCTTTTTATAAAATAATGTCAAAAAGAAGTTGTCAAGTTCATCCTAAAGTAAGCACATCCAGTAATTTTCATCTTTTGCTGAAGGTTTTGTTCAGGAAAAGAGCCTGCAAATCTCATAAGATGAAGAACTTTTCAGAACTCATAGATCTCATTTAATTCTTTGATCTAGAGAACAATGGCATCCTTTTTACTGTATTTGGGTATTTCAGAGGATTCCATTCCTGGTTCCAAACAGGAATTATTGACATATGCAAAAAAAAAAAAAAAAAAAAAGGCAACACAACTGAGGACCTCCCAAAAAGTTTGTAGTTTGGTTCTGTGTGGTTTATTTTTATTCATGTTTTACTCAAGCTGGTTTGCCTATTTCACAAGCATATGCACCATATGCGAGCAAAGACTGCTAAAAGCTTTTTTAAACAGAAATCCTAAGAAGGAAGAAATGAAACTAAACAGAAAGAAAATGAAGTTAGCAGTTCTTTGCAATGTATGCTTAGAAAGGAAGGCTGACAAAAGAGGATTCATGTTCCTAAATTCTTAGTAGATGCAGCAATACATTTATAAGGAGTGGAGGATTGAAGAGATAAATTTAAAATTATGTTTCATTTAAAAACACAGCTCCCTAAATGAGAACCAAGAATAAACACAAATACCCACTGCCTTGTTTTTTCTGATAGTTGCACTTGAAACGGAATCATCTAGTAGAATACAAAAACACAAATTGAAATCATCTGACATTTTTCTTTGTTCCTTAACATATTGAATATGTGCAGCTTATGAATACAGATTTAAAGATGCAGAAGAAACCAGATTTTATCTAACAGTCCAATAAATCAGGACCTCTTTGTTTTTGTCTTATGGTCAGAGAGGCAAGTCATACAACTCACTAACTTTTAGTCCAGCTTGTTAAAGGAGAGAGGAGAAATCAATTTTTAAGGAATCTGTGAAGATTAATAACACTCGGTACTGAGTAGACCCTCATTAAATGAGTTTTGAAATGTATTTTAGATGCGTGAGCTAATATTTTATAAATGCTTATCTTTTGAGAAAATAATATTTTTTACAGTCATCATTGTGTGGTACAATCAATAGATTTCTTTTCAAGTTGGAAATTGAATAAATTTTTCCCAATGTCACAAAGAAAACTGAGGCACAGGGCAACATGTGAACTTTCTAAGGTCATTCAAATAAGGATAGTACCACTTTCAAAAAATAAATGTTGCTACTTCCAATCTATATCTGATCCTATCCACCAATTACACTAAATATTTCTAAATACGAAGTAGAGGAAAACAACTAGCCTTTTTGTCATTCCTAACCTCATAGGCACCTTGTGTTAGTCTGTTCTCACATCGCTATAAAGAACTCCCTGAGACTGGGTAATTTGTAAAGAGGTTTAATTGGCTCATTGTCCCACAGGCTGCACAGGAAGCATGGTTGGGGAGGCCTCAGGAAACTTACAGTCATGGTGGAAGATGTAGGGGAAGCTGGCATGTCCTATATGGCTGGAGCAGGAGGAGGAGAGAGCAAAGGGAGGGGTGGTACACACTTTCAAACAACCAGATCTCGTGAGAACTCTGTCATGAAACAGCCCTTGAGAGATGGTCCTAAACCATTAGAAGCCCCACCCACTGATCCAGTCACCTCCCACCAGGCTCCATCTCCAACACTCGGGAAATGTGAGATTCAACATGAGATTTCAACATGATGAATTCAACATAAGATTTGGGTGGGAACGAAGACCCAAACCATATCACACCTGGACCACAGAGTACACAGCTGTACAGCTGTGTATCTATAGGATACCAGATACCAAGCTGCATCTCTGAGAGGCTGGATGTCACTATAAATGCAAACTTGAAAGCCAGACTTCCTGAGTTCAAAACTCATCTTCATCCCTGTATTGGTCTTCTGCTGCTATGTAATAAAATACCACTGGCTTAGTGGTGGAAAATACCATACGATTATTGTCTCCCAGCTTCTGTGTTTCAGGAGTCCAGGCACAATGTAGCTGAATTCTCTGCTCATGGTTTCACAAGGCTGCAATCAAGCATAAGATAGCTGCATTGTCACCTGAAGCTTGGTGTCCTCTTCCAAGGTCATTTAGGTTGTTGGCAGGTTCAATCTTTGTGGCTACAGAGTTCATAGCTTGCTTCTTCAAGTTCAGCAGGCAAACTGCTTGCTAAAGGAAAGTTCCCAGTACCTTGTTTAAAAGCTTTCACTTGATTAGACTGGGCCCACCCAAGAGAACCTGCCTTTTTAATTAACTCAAAATAAACTTACTAAAGACCTGCATTAAATTGGCAAAACCCCTTCACTATTGCCATATGCCATTGGTTAGAAGCAAACCACAGGTTCCACCCATACTCTAGGAGATAAAGTTGTACAAAGGTATGACTCATTAGGGGTAACTTTAGAGTGTGTCTGCATCAATCACCTCTAAGACACTCAATTTTGTACAAGCTATTGAACCTCTCTGAAGCTCCCCTTTTCAAATCTGTAAAAGAGAACAGATGAACCTGCCTCCTAGGATTGCTTTGAGGATTAAATAAAAGCTTACATGTAGAGCACTTAGCACAATTACAACACATTCTTAGAATGTGTTAGCTATTATTTTTCAATGAGTATATTGTGCAGAAGATAAATGAACCATTGTAAAACAAGTTTGAGCCACCTTGAATTATTTTTAAAATAAGAAGGGTATGTATAGTGAATTAATAGAGTGTGTGTGTATGTGTTTATGTATATATACACATATTTTTTATGTGTGTGTAGGTGTGAATAATTCATATATCCCTCACATGTATATGAGGTAGTCTCAACAAACCTTTAAAACATACATTCTCAGGTCCTGCTTCAAGAATAATTATAGAGAGAAGTGAATCTTGAATAACAAATTACCACCTCTTTAATTTCTAATTGCATAGTCTTTCAAATAAGTGTTAGAACTTCATTTATAAGAATCTGGTAAAATTAGTGTTTCCAAATCATGTTTTATAAAACCCTTATTAATAATAAACTTTTATTTTACTGGATGTATTAGGTCTTGAAAGGATCGCTTAGTCAAATAAATCCACAATATTTTGTTTTAAGTAATATTTTAAAGTTTATTTCAAAATTTTTAAAGTGTTGTGGAACATGGAATCTCTTTTTTCCCTTGTAAGTTCTTCTAGGTCTCCTATTTGTCAAAAGACCCTCCAGGTTAATTCTGAGCTAGAAGTTCACACCAGGAGGAAAAAATCTCAAACACATGCCTTTGATCATAAATGTTTTCCCTCTTCAGCTCCTATCCATCTCTGCGTGACAATTCATGTTTCTTTTTGTGTTTGCACTCTTGTGTACCAGATTTAATCCATAAGATATTTCACTTCATTTTCACAATGCCACTAGGAGATAAATAATCCAGGCTTCATTTTATGGAGTCTCATGAAGGTTAATTCACTTAACCATGTCCCACCCTTACTAGAAGCCAGTTGTCGAACTCAAGTCTTCCCAACTCTGTGTGATTTCCATTCCACTACTGATAGTTTTCTAGGCTAAAAGTTAGTGTGGGCTAATGCTCAGATATAGCAACAAAGAGCATGCACAGCTAATTTAATCATTAATCTTTACTAGGGAAGAAGCATAAAAAAATTTGAACTCTTGAATCACAAATACATACCTTGGTAAGAATTTTCTGCATACTAAATTCCACTATATAGCTAATAATATTTTAATGCATTTTAAACACATTTCCATATGAATGAGGTTTGGCATGATTGCCCTTGTAATAAGAAGGAAAGAGTGGGAAAAATTAGTTCACTAAATACAAGTCTTCAATTTTCAAAATTTCATTGTATAATAAAATAACCTATAATGTTTTTAATTTTTTCTAACTTAGGCCTCATGGGAAGGAATATGCTTATATATTTAAGAATAGAAAGTCTGTTACTCGACACAAAGAAAAGAGCAGTATTCAAGATGTCTTCTCTGAGAAAAAAAACAAAAACCAAACAAAAATAGCATGCTGATCGCTTTTTAAAAATTAAATAATTTCTCTTTTTAAAAAAATTTTTATTTGAGGTTTGGGGTACAAGTGCAGATTTGTTATATAGGTAAATTAATGTCACAAGTGTTTATACCGATTATTTTGTCACGCAGGTACTTAGCCTAGTACCCAAGAGTTATTTTTTTCTGATGCTCTCCCTTCCTCCACCCTTTACCTTCAAGTAAGCCTTAGTGTCTCTTGTTCCCCTCTTTGTGACTATGTGTTGTTGGGAACAGGCCCCCAAATCTGGCCATAAACTGACCCCAAAACTGGCCATAAACAAAATCTCTGCAGCACTGTGACATGCTCGTGATGGCCATGACGCCTACTCTGGAAGGTTGTGGGTTTACCAGAATGAGGGCAAGGAACACCTGGCCCACCCAGGGTGGAAAACCACTTAAAGGCGTTCCTGAACCACAGACAATAGCATGAGCGATCTGTGACTTAAGGACATGTTCCTGATGCAGATAACTTCCTTTTGTTTCGGCCAATCCCTTTATTTCCCGTAAGGAATACTTTTACTTAATCTATAATCTATAGAAACAATGCTCATCACTGGCTTGCTGTCAATATATATGTGGGTAAATCTGTGTTGGAGGCTCTCAGCTCTGAAGGCTGTGAGACCCCTGATTTCCCACTCCACATGCTGTATTTCAGTGTGTGTGTCTTTAATTCCTCTAGGGTGGCTGGGTTAGTGTCTCCATGACCAAGCAGGTCTCGGCAATGTGTTCTCATTATTTCATTCCCACTTATAAGTGAGAACATTTGATCTTCACTTCCGACATTAGTTTTCTAAACATGATGGCCTTCAGCTCCCTCTATGTCCCTGCAAAGGACATGATCTCTTTCTTTTTTATGGCTGCATAGTATTCCATGGTGGATATATATCACATTTTTTTAATCCAATTTGTCATTGATGGGCATTTAGGTTCATTCCATGTCTTTGCTACTGTGAACAGTGCTGCAACAAACATGTCTACATGCGTCTTTATGGTAGAATGATTTATATTCTGCCCAAGGCTGTGGGAGCCTACCTCTTGCATCAGCATGACTTGGATGTGAGACATGGAGTCAAAGGAGATCATTTTGGAGTTTTAAGATTTGACTGCCTGCTGGATTTTGGACTTGCATGGGGCCTGCAGCCCCTTTGTTTTGGCCAATTTCTCCCATTTGGAATGGCTGTATTTACCCAACACCTGTGCCCCCATTGTGTCCAGGAAGTAACTAACTTGCTTTTGATTTTGCAGGCTCATAGGTGGAAGGGACTTGCTTTGTCTCAGATGAGATATTGGACTGTGGACTTTTGAGTTAATGCTGAAATGAGTTGACATTGGGAGACTATTGGGAAGGCATGAATGGTTTTGAAATGTGAGGACATAAGATTTGGGAGGGACAAGGGGTGGAATGATATGGTTTGTCTGTGTACCCACCCAAATCTCATCTTGAATTCCCATGTGTTATGGGAGGGACTTGGTGGGAGGTAATTGAATCAATTGAATCATAGGGGCAGATCTTTCCCATGCTGTTCTCACAATAGTGAATAAGTCTCATGAGATTTGATGGTTTTAAAAACAGGAGCCTCTCCGCACAAGCTCTCTTCTCTTGTCTGCCACCATGTGAGAGGTGCCTTTCACCTTCCACCATGATTATGAGGCCTCCCCAGCCATGTGATACTGTAAGTTCATTGAACTTTTTTCTTTTGTCAATTGCCCAGTCTTGTGTATGTCTTTATGAGCAGCGGGAAAATGGACTAATACATATTCCTTTGGGTATATAGCCAGTAATGAGATGGCTGGGTTGAATGCTAGTTCTGTTTTAGATCATTGAGGAATAGCTACACTGCTTTCCACAATGGTTGAACTAATTTTCATTCTTAACAACAGTGTATAAGTGTTCCCTTTACTCCACCACCTCAACAGCATGTTATATTTTGACTTAAAATTAAATAATTTCTTAGTGTTTTGTTGTTATGTTACATTTGCTCTTTGTGAAAATATACTACACTCCTGCAAATGGAACGTATGTGGTAGTCAAAACTTCTGGAAGTTCCACCATGTTGTAACGTTCAGGTGCTCTAAGCTCTTATGGTGGGAAATAAGGTATATGGCTAGAAATAAAAGGAAAATTAAAAAGAAAGATAAGGAAAAAACATTACCATAAATATGGTAAGTTCTTATGTCTCTTATTATACCAAAGATAACTGAATGCATTTGTCCTTCACAACTTTATTTTACTATCCAAGAGTTGAGCAAGATATATTTTATGCTTCATCTCCACTTCTTTACCTTTTCCCTGTGGGCATCCTTTAAATCCCCTTTCACCTGAACTCATCAGTGTGAAAATTGTGGAGGATGGAAGGGTTCAGAATTGTTTATTCCAGGTCCTGGATTATCCCCTGAAATAAGTTCCTATCCATGCCAGGAACAGTTATATTATTTCTTGTGATATCTTTCAAACATTTAATTGTTTCCAAATTTATTATACATATTTTATCTTTTCATGTATGTATTTGATTTATACAGTTAACTCAACATGCAGGGTATTTTAAGATAAAGAAATGAAAAACTTTTAGTGTATATCTATTTGGTTACAATGAAGGCTAACCTAGGCCTTGCCCTCTAGATCAGTGCTGTTCGATAGAAATTTCTGCAATGAATTGTTCTACAGTTTCTTCAGTGTCCAACAAAGTAGCCATAGGGATTATGGAGCACAGAACATGTGGCTAGAGTATCTCAGAAACTACATTTTACATTATATTTATCTTTAGTTCACTTAAATTTGAAGAGCCACATGTGGCTAGTGGCTGTCATGCTGGAAAGCACAGACATGTACTTGTAACATGCTTGCATTATTATCACTCTTATAAGTTAAGATAACGTTTGGTTCTGTGGAATAATTGATTAAACAAGGTAGGAGTTTACTTTCTTTCAAGATCAAAAATTTTTAGTGGAAATCTCTCTGAAAGGAATATGAAATGATATTTCAGAGATGTTAGACATCCTTACTCCATCTAACATTTGGTTCCACCCATATGTGATTCCTACTCCTAGGACTATATTATAACCCAAGATGTATGGAATTCCTTGTACCAGCTAGAAATTAGGTAGCGATTTTAAAAAGGAAGAAAATAAGGCAAATTGTTATTTCCATCAGTCTTTTAAATCTCATTCCCTGGTTCTCAGAACCTGATCTTGACACCTGCTCACATTATGTTGTCTACAATTAGTCTCAAGATTACATGTGACTGCAAAGGAAAATTGGGAATGTGCAGTCATTTGTTCAGAAAAAAATAAAATTAGGGATTTTATTGCTATGGAAGGAAGGGGAGATGGAGGTTGAAGTGATCATCTGCCTGTTCTTCATCACTTAATAAAAGGAAATATAAACTTAAAAAAGGTAGAGAAAGAGCATTTCACGGGAAAGGCTGACTGCTGAAGGAGAAAGGAAACGTTCCAAAGATGAAATAGTATCACTCAGTGAAATTCCCTAAGATGGCTTCCATTTTATATTTGTAGGGTTCACAAAGATGAATTTGGAAACAAGTAGATGTAATTGCCAGCATTTCAGGGTATATGTATATTTTGATGTTACTTTTGAAAATTTCATGCAGATCCCAGTATCCCCCAGCCTATGGGCTATTGTTCAATATAGTTCTGCATGCACACAGACAGACAGACAGACACACACACACACACACACAGACACTCACATATAAATATAAAGCACTTTTTCACCTCTGAGTTCCATCAACAGCTATTACCTTACTGCCTAGGGGACAATTCTCTTATTTTAGATAAATCAGAAAGCAACTTGTGTTAGTGCAGAGAAATAGTGGTAGCCCTGACTAAGCAAGGTGTTATATATAGATTTCTTTAAAACTGTGTCATTTGCTCTGGGATTTCCTGACTGCTTTCAGAATCCTCTAAGCCAGTGCTACTCCAAATGTGGTCCAATGACTAGAGCCTTCCTCTGAAATGTAGAGAAAGAAGTAAAGAAATTGTGAGTAAGCATTTAGGAACCTTTATAGCAGCTTGACAGACAACAAATATGCCTGTGGAACTGATAATAAAAATTGGATTCTTATGGTTTGCATGTCTTGTTAATTTTTCCAGTAACTTTTATTATATTTTATAAAAGTAGTGGTCCTAGATATATTGAATTCTTTTAAAAAAGAAAACAACTAGTTATTCACCTCAAATTGTCAGAAGCACAGATCTAAGGCCCTCTTCTCACCTTTCATTTTTGCTATATAATGCAAATGCTATGAAACTTTTTCCAGCAAAGTTTCAGTTGTGACCACAACCACAATCGAAAGGCAATTGCTGTTTCACAAATGTTAAAAAACATAAAACAATCTCTGCACAACACTCTTGAGTTGCACACTGAAAGAAGAGTAACCTTGTCCTATCTCTATTCCTGGGAATGTGCTCAGTGGCTGGGAAACCTTGCTTAACTTGGGACTTACTCTGAAAATTACAAGGGGAATGGAAAAATTCAGATTAGCAGGGTTGTGATTGTTGCACAGGTTTTGTGTGGTGGTTTTACACATTAAAATAGCACTGTGGAAAGAAAATCCCCGGAGCTGGCTGCTTACTAAAGGAAGACACTACCAATATGTGCCCTAGTTTCAGGACGGTATCACAGCCTTCAATCCATCCTCTGTTGACTCATTCCACCACAGATTAAACATATGTAAGTTACAGAGACCCAGAATTCCCACAAAGTGCTCCTGCATAGGCCTAATTTCTCATTATCACTCACAGCTTAGAATTCTCCTGCTTAAACCCTAAAATAAATTAAAGACGGTAGAAAATGGCAAGTCTAAAAACACTTCCAAAGGCATAAAAGCAAAAATACAATTTAAAATGCATCATTTTCATTAAAGTGAAAAAAATGTAAATCAATGTGCAAGGGTAATGAATTTACATTTCACAATCTTATAAAATTTCTTTCTTCTATCCTCTTTTTCTAAATATGTATTTATCTTTATTTGTATATGAATATTATATAAATATATGTATAGAAATATATTTATATATGAATTATATACATGTATTTCATATATATATGAAATGTAAGAAAAGTAAATCTTTTCATATAGATTTATGACTTTGTTACTTTTTTGGTTATAGAAAAGAAACAAAAAAAGCATTAACATCTTAGTTTTATAATAAGTCATTCTAGAAGTTGGCTCCAATATATTTTTCCAACCTCTCATCTTCCATATCTCATGTACCATCGCATCCTGGCTACTTAATACCGCACAAGCTTGTTATAAATGTCTTGCTTATGTCTTCAATTCCTTATTCTGAATGAATTCTTGAGGACAAAGACTAAGTCTTCTTTATCCTTGTCTACCCAGAACACTGAACGGGGAGTAGCTCATAGAAGGCATTCAGTGACTATTTTTCAATTAAAGATTTTCCTTATTTTCTCTTCCTCATTGAAGTGGTTAGACAATTGCTTCTGGGATAACTGAATTTTCAGAGAACCTCTTCTAACGTATCTTTTTTCTTCAAATTATTAAAGCAATTAAACATACACACATACAATCCCACTTATTAGATGTAAATAAAAAAACAAATTAAAATATCACAAATTTTCCCTCTCTGTCTTGATAACACAGAATAATATCCTTCTATTCTAAGCATAGTTTTCTAAGAAAAGGTTGGTACAGGCAAAAATGGTGATGTTAATGAACTTAAGAACATGATGGGTGGATATCCATTTTTAGTTGCTTGGTTTATTCCTAGGGGAAACTTGCAAGGGGTAAAAATGTTTTTTGGGCTATTCTTGGGACTGCAAGTTGTTTACAGCATCAGTATTAATTTCTTCCTTTCATGATACATTCACTCCTATCTCTACAGCTTGTCCATTGGAGTTAGGTAGCTTAATACTGGTCCATCTCCCCAAAAGCAATTAAATCAGACAAAGAAAACTTATCTCTCCTCTGGTTTATTTCATTCTAAGACATAGTAAAAGAACAAGATGTGCTGCTAATTTTAGCTGAAATATTTTAACTTAAATAGGGAGGCACATTTATTAAATCACACTATTCCGAATGAGTCATTTTCATCAGTTAAAAATTATTTTTTGATTCATAATATAGCCTGAGTCAAAACATATTAACTATTTGAACACTGACTATTAGTTTCATCTAGATTTTATCAATCAATATGTTTAAAGGTGAGTAGGGAGACAAAGGAGCATAAAAATTTCTACAGGAAAAAAAAATCCTGACAGTCATGACCATTTTTTTTTAACCCAGCCCATAAAAGTAGAATATGCAATCAAATGTTCAATTCATATCTTCAAAACAACCAGATTACTTGATTATTTGATATCCAGTTCAATTTTTAATTCCTACATATAATTTTAAAGATTTGTTGTTATTTGCATCACTTCAAGGACTTTGCTTGCTTTCTAGCTTTTAGCATGTCTTTATGCAGAGAATGCCATCTAGTTTTCAGTCATGGGGTAGGTATGGAAGACATGGTGGTCTCCTAAACCACTTAGCCATCTTGAAAAACCAGGCTCAGAAAAACTGTGTTTACTGAATGCCTGATGCAAAATAGACACAAAATAAGCATTCCAGAAATGGTGTTGACAGAAGAATATAAGCCAGTTATCTGGCCCTCTTGTTCACTTCTGACTGAATGCCATCTGTTCCTTAGTTATAACACTCACTAATGAGGGGAGTGACTGGATACCCCCACAATCCAGAAAGTACAAAAATATTGTTATTTTACTAACAAATTAAGAATATCGCAGGGTAAAATCATGGGCAAGAGTGTCAGACAGCTTAATGCCAACGTGTTTTTCTACCACCCACTAATTGGCAGATCATCAACTGATTTCACTTCCCTTTGCCTCCATTTTATCTTTAGGAAACATGGGGAAATTAATAGTATGTCCCTAAGAGGGTTATAATGATTAAGTGAAATGTTTGGAACATGTTTAGAATCATGTACAGAGTAATCTCTTACAAAATTGTTGAGATTATCTGAATTAGTTCATTCTCATGCTGCTAATAAAGACATACACAAGATGGGGTAATTTATTAAGGCAAGAGTTTTAATTGACTCACAGTTCAGCATGGCTCCTTAGGCCTCAGGAAACTTACAATGATGGTGGAAGGGGAAAACAAACACACCCTTCTTCACATGGAAGCAGCAAGGAGAAGAACTGAGCAAAAGGGGGGAAATTCCCTTATAAAACCATCAGATCTTGTGAGAACTTACTCACTATCATGAGAATAGCAGCATGGAAGTAACTGGCCCCATGATTTAAGTATCCACCATGGGGTCCCTCCCACGGGATTTTGGCCCCTCCACAATCTCATGTCCTCACATTTCAAAACACAATCATGCCTTTTCAACAGTGCCCCAACGACTTAGCTCATTCCAACATTAACCCAAAAGTCCAAGTCCAAAGTCTCATCTCAGACAAGGCATGTCCCTTTCACCTATGAGCCTGTAAAATCAAAAGTAAGTTAGTTACTTCCTAGATACTATGGAGGTACAGGTATTTGGTAAATACACCTGTTCCAAATGGGAGAAATTGGCCAAAATGAAGGGGCTACAGGCCCCATGCAAATCAGAAATTCAATGAGGCAGTCATTAAACCTTAAATTTCCAAAATGATCTCCTTTGACTCTGTGTCTCACATCCAGATCACGCTGATGCAAGAGGTAGGCTCCCACAGCCTTGGACAGCTCTGATCCTATGGCTTTGCAGGCTACAGCCCTGCTCCAGGATGATTTCACAGGCTGGTGTTAAGTGCCAGTGACTTTTTCAGGTGAATGGGTGCAAGCTGTAATTAGATCTACCACTCTAGGGTCTGGAGGACCATGACCCTCTTCTCACAACTCCAGTAGGCAGTGCCCCAGTGGGGACACTGTGTGGGGCCACCAACCCCATATTTTCCTTCTGCACTGCTCTAGCAGAGGTTCTCCATGAGACTTCTACCCCTGCAGCAGGCTTCTGCCTGTATATCTAGACGTTTCCATACATCCTCTGAAATCTAGGCAGAGGTTCTCAAACCTCAATTTTTGACTTCTGTGCACCTGCAGGACCAACACCATGTGGAAGCTACCAAGGCTTAAGCTTTGCACCCTCTGAAGCTTTGGCCTGAGCTGTATTTTGGCAGTTTTTAGGCATAGCTGGAGCAGCCTGGACTCAAAGCACCAAGTCCCTAGGCTGCACATAGCAGAAGAGCCTTGGGCCCAGCCCAGAAACCATTTTTTCCTCCTAGGCATCCAGGCCTGTTAAGGGAGGGGGCTTCCATGAAGGTCTCTGACATGGACATTTCCTCATTGTCTTGGTAATTAACATTCAGCTTCTTGTTATTTACACAAATTTCTGCAGCAGGCTTGGCTTTCTCTTAAGAAATGAGTTTTTCTTTTCTATTGCATCATCAGGCTACAAATTTTCCAAACTTTTGTGCTCTGCTTCATTTTGAATGCTTTGCCACTTAGACATTTCTTTTGCCAGATACCCTAAATCATCCCTCTCAAGTTCAAAGTTCCACAAACTTCTAGGGCAGGGGCACAATGCCACCAGTCTCTTTACTAAAGCATAACAAGAGTCATCTTTGCTCTAGTTCCCAACAAGTTTCTTATCTCCATCTGAGAGCACCTCAGCCGGGACTTTATTGTCCATACCACTGTTAGCATTTTGGTCAAAGCCATTCAACCAGTATCTAGGAGATTCCAAACCTTTCCACATCTTCCTGTCTTCTGAGTCCTCCAAGTCTCTAGGAAATTCCAAACTTTCCCTTATTTTCCTGTCTTCTTCTGAGTCCTCCAAACTGTTCCAGCCTTTGCCTGTCACCCAGTTCCAAAGTTGTTTCCACATTTTGGGGTATCCTTATAGTAGCACCCCACTCTACTGGTACCAATCTACTGTATTAGTCTGTTGCTGTGCTGCTAATAAAGACATACTCGAGACTGGGTAGTTTACAAAGGAAAGAGGTTTAATTGACCTACATTTCAGCATGCCTTGGGAGGCCTTAGGAAACTTACAATCGTGATGGAAGGGGAAGCAAACACATCCTTCTTTTTATGGTGGTAGTAAGGAGAAAATTCCAAGCAAAAGGGAAAAAAGTCACTTATAAAACCATCGTATCTCGTGAGAATTCACTATCACAAGAATGGCAGCATGGGGGTAAATGCCCCCATGATTCAATTACCTCCCACTGGGTCCCTCCCACAACACGTGGGGATTGTGGGAGCTACAATTCAAGATGAGATTTAGGTGGAGACATAGCCAAACCATATCATTATTGTTGTTGCTGCTGCTGTGGTTACTTTGCTCTCTGAGGAATTTAAAGTGCATTCTGCTCTCTCATCTACTAGATGCTCTTAGCCTCCAATTCTATATCTCCCAATTCTTATCACAAATCAGATTATAGGACCGTATCTAGAAGGTGCTTCTTGAAGAAGGTACAGTCAATCTTTTTCCAGGTTTCATTCTTTTTAAATTGCAGCCTTTGGAATGTTGTAAGTCAGTGTTCACCACATCGTCTCCTCACCCCAGTCCCCAATACCAATACTCTCGTTTTCTCAGGTGTTGCTGTTGTTGTTGTTGTTAATTTATATAACAAGGCTTTTGGTATGATTCTATTAGAACAATGTATTACCTCGAGGGAAACTTTATGAAAAATTATTTTACATAGTTTGTGGTATTTTGAAATCTTTTCAGAGATCTGTGTAACTGCTCTGCAGTTTGGGAGGTTTTCATAAAACCATGTTTAGGAATTTTTGCTTTAGCATTTTGTCACTGTCCTGAACTGAGGGACATTATTATTAAACATCCTATTAAACTCCCTACTTTATCCATTTCAGAGGTGTTGTTTATCAGAGCACACTTGATATGTCAGAAGCTGTGCTAAAAGCTTTACTTATATTAGTTCTAGTAGTCCTCACTACAGGTCCGTAAGTTACAGAGTAACATCATTGTCCTTCTTTTACATATAAGGGAACTGATGTTTAGAGGTATCAAGTATCTTGCCCAGCATCTCACAATAAGTGATATGGCCAGGATATAAATTCATCCAGGGTGTACTAGGTTGAATAATGCTTGTCCCTTCAAAATTAATGTCCACTAGGAACCTCAGAATGTGATATATTATTTGGAAAGAGGATCTTTGAAGATATAATTAGCTAACATGATGTCATACTGGGTTGTTCCTAATCCATTGACTGGTATCCATATAAGAGAAAACAGAGACAGGGAGAAACATACAGAGGGAAGACAGCTGTGTGAAGACAGAGGCAGGAATTGGAGTGCTACAGCTGCAAGTCAAAAAACACCCAGGATTGCCAGCAACACCAGAAACTAGGAAAGGGCCAGGAAGGATACTGCCCTAGAGCCTTCAGAGAGGCCCTGCCAACATTTTGATTTCAGATTTCTGGGTTTAAAATTTTGAAAGAATACGTTCCTGTTATTTTAAGCCAACTGGTTTGTGGGATTTGTTACAACAGCCCCAGGAAATTAAAGCATGTGTGTACAGAAAACAAATAAGCATTTTCTGTGTTATAAAAATACCCAGGATAAATTTGATTGCTTATATTTTAGACATGTTTTGTCAAATATGCTTTGTTGATTTGGGAGCTGGAATCATTCTCCTTGCTCAGTCCAAAAGCTAATAGTAGTTAGTTATTTATTCTATAAATACATACTGAGTATGTATTTCCTACAAAGATATATATAAAGTACTGATGATGCGAAGATGACTAAAACATTGTGTGTTAATATAACAGAGTGGAAGGGGAAAAATTCTGAATATTGCGTTCTATAAAGAAATGCAATCTATTTAGCACTATAAGCAACTTATTTTGTACTCTTCCGTGGATACCCTAACAACAAGATTTTAACAATGACACAACCAAAAAAAAAATAGATTTATCAGGCTGAATCGCCTTGAATTAATGCTACTCCACACACAAATAGGCTAGAGCATTAATTGATTTTCTATTTTTGAAATCCCATGTACATCCTTCCAAAAGTATTAGTTTGTTCTTTTTTCTTTTCTTACACTCACTGATGCATAGTTTTAGCTTTCCTTTTAAGGAAATGAAGTCCTATTTTGTCCACTGTTCTTACTATGGCAAACAAAATGAGAATAAATCCTAGAGTAGTTAGTGCTCCATTTTTCAAGGGACTCATTAAAAATGAACGCTAGAGAAGAAGCAATTACTGTTAACAAACATAGGCATAAAACACAAATAAAGGACCATTAACACGGAAAAATAATTACTCAATCTTTCATCCAGACGCTTTTGTCAGTTACATGCGCTGACACTGACTAACAATTTCGTGAGAGGCTGCTGCCGGCTGCAGTTCATCCGTTCAACATTTCCCCTCTTATGTCTCACAGGAAGAGAAAAATGATCAGTACTGTTAGTGAATTCTACTAAACTCTGTTTAATACATGGCACTGGCTCCTCTGCTTTTCTTTCTTTTTGTTTTTCAGATTTTATGCTTCTTATGAATACAAAGTGGTGATTTAAAAATTATCATTATGAGAGCTGTTATTAATGAATGTATGCAAAGGTAAAATAAATGTTCTTCCTTTTTAAGGATATGGGGTTTGACAGAAGAAGGATTTGAATGTGGGAAAAAGCACAGAAAATAATATGCAAGGTATGTTTCATCACCCCACAGTGTACCTTTGCAATTGCTTGACCTGACATACCTTGTAATTAATCCTCAAAAGCTACATGTGAGTGTGAGTTTGTGTGTATGTCTTTGAAGAAAAAAAGATAAGAAGGCAATATATTCATGTTAACACAACTCTATCTGGATTATCTGAGGGATAAAAAACAATATGAAGTAAATGTTTTGGTTCGTTTAATCAGTTCAGCGAAATGAACTCATGCAGATGTCACAGAATACAGTGTTATTAAGAATTACACTGACACACTGAAGGTTCAATCTGCCAATCCCTGTATTAAAATCACCTTCGTCATTGCCACATCACAAAGCAGAACATCCTGTAAGAAGAAACTCTTGTGCAAGTCTCCAAGTGATGTTATATCAAGACTTCCTAAGATTTGGGCACTAAAATATGATCAGCAAAGACATTCATGATTTATTGATGAAAAAAATGCCAAAACTTGTGATAAAAATAATAACTAAAACACACATACTATGTGTGCTCATTGTACATACAGTTGTGGTATCTCTTTTCTCTAGCACACATGACTCACACTGAGCATGAAATTCAAGTTGAAAAATTAGTCAGACTTTTTCTCAGCATCAGTATAGTACATATTTCCATAGAGAATGGAAATTCACTAGGAGTCAAGTGCTCTGAACTGTACCACTAGCTTATGATGTGGTCTTGAAAATGTGCCTTACCTTTCAGTGACTGAGTTTTCTCCCCCAAATAAGAAAATTGATTAAAGGGATCTTCAATTTTTTTCTAAGTACTGTATTCTGTGATACTAACTTACAGCTATGTATACCTCCAACCCAATCCTCTGCCCATCTTTCTGGTTCCTGTTAACAGCTAATGAGCAACTTACCAGGAGATTGCTGAGGCCTCATGATCTCTGCTTCAGGGCTGCCACTGCTTAGAGTAGCGGCTGAATGAGTAAATCTACACATTCAATCAAAACTTAAATGTTTATAGAAAATGAAAATGCAGGTTACTTTATATGCCAGTTAGACTTAAACCTACAATAAAGGGTAATTGAAGCTTTTTAAAAGAAAAATATACTTTGCACATGCTGCTATGAAAGAGGTCTATGTTCAGTCAAATAAACATCAGCCCTACTCCAACGAAGCACTTCGGCCAACTTACCATGGCATGGTTTTGTCAGTTATTCTACAGGGTAGTATGGGAAAAAGCAGAAATTGAGTTTGAATCCTGGCTGAACAATTTACCATCTCTGTGACCTTGAGGATGTTACTTATTCTCATATATTTTCATCTATATATCAGGAATTATTACAGCACGTATAGTTAAAGATGACTTTGAAATAGCAAACCCTCAATAAATGATAGCTATTATTGTCACTCTAAGTCTCTGATATGGCTAGAAAAATGCTGTTTGAAGTCCATTTACTCAATTATGGACCATGGCACAGTTTTATTCTTCATGCCCACAAAAGAGTTATCCAAAAGTTCCTGGCATGTCAGGCGATTCTTTTCAGCGTTATTAAGTGATCATCTGGTACATCAGAAATTATTTTTTGTGTCTTTGACTTCAGAATAATGGACTATAAAAATCATCCAGTAATTTCCTGGTGCGATTTATTTTTTATTGTTTTCAACGTTTCATTTTACTTAATGTGTAAGAGAGAATTTTTAGTCTGATAAATGCAAAGATAATCTTTCAACCTAAGGATAATGGAAATCAGGTTGGTAAGTTATTTGAGAGAAAAGTGAATGCAACGATTTAACCAAATTTCTGTACCATTATGGCTATCCAACAATAGAAACAAAAGAGTGAAAGAGGAAGAAGAGATATTACATGGTAAATTATATTCAGTATTTTCACAGGTTGGAGTTGTCATGAATGCTTCCTTTGCATTGACTTGATGGTACATAAAAATGGGGAACTGTCTTCAATGTGCAGAAGAAAAAGAAAGGGAGAGAGAGAAAAAGATAGCTAACATTGGGTAAAATCCATATGACTATGGAATTTATTAATAATTCATGCTTGAAGCTTATGACTATTATATAAACTCAGAAGGAAGTTGCTGAAGGAACACTATGCCTTTGTTCAGCACCATCTCGGTGGAATGGACAATTTGTTGAGTCTAATTCTTCTGCTAGAAATAAGAAATCATTAGGCTGTCATTTGTACTTAGAATTTTCAGTTATGCAGACATATCACTAGTAATAATTAATTTAAAATAGTGTGTAAAATTATTTTTACTACTACCTCTAGCACATTGACAAACAAGAAATTAATCTTTGCCTCAATTATTAGGCAATAAATAAGTTAACAAGTAACGCCATAATTTTTAAAGCTACATAAGATTTTCTTCCTTAAGAAGAATTTCAAAGTGATGTTCTTAGGAGGCTCTATTGTTCTGAGGAGAGGAAGAAAGAGTAATCGTGTCTCAGTTCTGAGAAATACTCAGTATATCCTCAAGTAAGTCTCTCTCAATCTAAACTAAAATCTTATTTCATTGTTCTAGCAACCAGCGAGTTTCTCAATCAGTACCAGAGTCAACGTCTTAATATTCTCTGGAACAAGGATGTTCAGGGACTGACTCATATGGCTCTGCCCACTTTATAATGAAGAAATAAAAGTGTAACAATAAATTGACCAGATCTGGCCAACAGACACAGGAGAAAGACAGATAAAGAATCTTGCATGGGAGAACTTAAAGGACTAGTTTTGAAAGTGTCAGACGTCACTTTCGACCACATTCTACTGCTCGCACTTTCTAAGGCCACACCTATTTGCTAGGGAGACTGGAATAGGTAGGATGGCTGTTTGTTAGGAGATGGGAAAACCGATTCGGTGAGCTTCCATTCAGTCTCTGCCAGCATGGTGTTCTATCATTTCTTTTATTAAAAATAATCACCGGGTATCTAGTACAGGCTGCTGATGCCAAAGATCCAATACTGAGAAAAACCAGCCAGTTCTTTTCTCGCCAGAGAGCTCAGTAACAACAAAAAATATAAAAATCCTTCACAAATTCTCTCAGACGTTTGGATTTCAGGAACAAGTAAAATATAAAATTTGACAAGTTCAAAGGAATAGTGCTCCCTGGACTAGCAAATATTTTATAAAATAAAGGGGGCATTTTAACAATTGCGTACTTGAAAAACAGAGCTGCATAATAAGATGTGGTCCTTGAAATTGAGTAAATTTAACTTTATGAAAAAGCCACTTTGTTTAGTTTCTTGTGGGCCAGTGACACTTTACTGTAGACATCCCCTGGTGTCCAGTCCTAAATTGGAAAATTACAGCTCCAGAATTTGCCATTTGAACCAACCTTGTAGAGGTTCTCCTATGACAAGTACAACACAATCTTCCCAGAAGTACACTATATTTTTAGACAATTCACTTATGTTTTTCTGCATAGTTATCTGATAGTTATTCTGTATAGTAATCTGTATAGTTTAACTGTAGGTGAAGAGCTTTTCAATCTCAACAAATTATATTATTGGCCACCTAAGAACTTGCTGGAAACCTAGTGATCCTCCGAGATTGTCCCTTTTCCTGTCTTACTACAGGCAATCAGTTATACAGTCTGTTAGAACTTACATTTTTAATAAATTTTGTGAATCATATCCAGTAATATTTCTTTGTGGTCAGAAAAGTTCATCTGTAAAAATTTTCCCTTGACGCATTTTTTGAGGTTCATTTGAATGCCAAGTGCATGATTATTTGTGTGTGTCTGTGTGTGTGTCTGTGTGTATGAACACTCTATCTGCTTAAAACAGTGTTTGTA
Source organism: Homo sapiens (assembly GCF_000001405.40). NCBI lineage: Eukaryota > Metazoa > Chordata > Mammalia > Primates > Hominidae > Homo > Homo sapiens. The sequence continues at coordinate 85,061,544 of NC_000014.9, forward strand.
ATATAGTAATGTTCAAAAATATCCACTCCTCTTTCCTCTAACTCACTTCCTTTGGAGGAGTTTACTTTCCTGCTTCATCGGTCTTGAGCTTGGTCGTGTGACTTGCTTTGGGCAAAGTGGGTAGTGTATGCTTGCCAGTCCTCTTGCATTTGGAATCACTCTTGTCTGACTTGGCTAGTGGAAATCAAATGGAAATGGCAGCAAGATAATTCCATCATGTGTTCCCATTTGCTGCTTGTGCTACTACCATTGCCATGAGAAGAAGATGTGCTGGCTGGTTTGTGGGTCCAAGGAGAAGGAAAGATTTATGAAACAGACCTCACTGTTTGAAACCTAACTGTTTCAAGTTGCCAAGCTCAGTCAAGCTCAGTCTAAATTTGCCAACCTAACAGATGTATGAAATCCATACAGCTGAGATTAGCACCATGGCCCCAAGTGGTCTAAAGAAACCTGAGAAATAACAGCATATTTTAATATAACACTGAAATTTTGTCCTGGTTGTTAGGCAGCAATAGCTTACTGATAGAATGCTGCAATGCTCTATTTGTGGGGTAGAGAGTTTTTTTACATACAGCGTGTCTTGTTTTATTGTACTTTATTGCATTTCACAGATACAGCATTTTCTACAAATTGAGGTTTCTGGCAACCCTGAATTGAGCAAGTCTATTAGTGTCACTTTTCTAACAGTATGTGCTTGCTTACTTCATGTCTCTGTGTCACATTTTGGTAATTATTGTAATATTTCAAACTTTTTAATTATTATTATATCTGTTATGATCTGTGATCAGGGATCTTTGATGTTACTATTGAACTGAACTGATAAATGTAAATGTTCTCACTGTTCCACTCATCAGTTCTTTCCTCATCTCTCTCCCTTTCCTCAGGTCCCTCTATTCCCTAAGACATAGCAATATTGAAATTAGGCCAGTTAATAACCCTACAGTGGCTTTTATGTGTTCAAGTGGAAGCAAGAGTCACATGTCTCTCATTTTAATTCAAAAGTTAGAAATAATTAAGCTCCATGAGGAAGGCATGTTGAAAGCTGAGATACCTGAAAGAAACCTAGGCCTCTTGCACAAAACAGTTAGCCAAGTTGTGAATGCAAAGCAAAAGTTATTGCAGGAAATTAAAGATGCTACTCCAGTGAATACATGAATGATAAGAAAGCAAAACAGACATATTGCTAATATAAAGTTTTGGTGGTCTGGGTTGAAGATCAAGCCAGCTACAATATTCCCTTAAACCTTGAAGCCTAATTATTCCCTTAAAGCCTAATCCTTAGCAAGGCTCTAACTCTCTTGAATTCTATAAAGTCTAGAGGTGAGGAAGCTGCAGTAAAAAAAGTTTAAAGCTAGCAGAGGTTGGTTTATGAAGCTTAAATAAAGAAGCTATATTCATAACATAAAAGTGCTAGGTGAAGCAGCCAGTGCTGATGTTGAAGCTGCACCAAATTATCCAGAAGATCTAGCTAAGATCATTGACAAAGGTGGCTACACAAAACAACAGATTTTCAATGTAAATAAGACAGCATTTTATTGTCAGAAGATGCCATCTAAAGCTTTCATAATTAAAGAAGAAAAGTCAATGCTTGGCTTAAAAACTTTAAAAAACAGGCTGACTCTCTTATTAGGAGCTAATGCTGCTGGTGACTTTAAGTTGAAGCTCATACTCATTTACCATTCTGAAAATCCCAGAGCCCATAAAATTATAATAAATCTACTTTGCCTGTGCTCTGTGTATGGAACAACAAATCCTGGATGACAGCACATCTGTTTATGGCATGGTTTACTGAATATTTTAAGTTCACTGTTGAGATCTACTGCTCCAAAAAAGATTCCTTCTAAAATATTACTGTTCATTGGCAATGCACCTGGTCACTGGGGAGGTCTGCTGGGGATGTCAAAGGATATCAGTGTTGTTTTTATGATTGCTAACACAACATCTATTCTATAGCACATGGATCAAAGAGTAATTTCATATGGCTATAAGATCAAGAATTAAATTTCAAAAGGCTATACTGCCATAGAGAGTGACTCCTCCAAGGGCTCTGGGCAAAGTAAATGGAAAATCTTCTGGAAAAGATTCATCATTCTAGATACCATTAAGAACATTCATCATACATAAAGTTACTGAAATGGCAGAGATTCAATCTGGGTCTCACAGCTCACCACACAGAATGCCAATCACTGAGATAACAGGTTGCTGAGCATAGGAGATCAGTCTCAAATATGTCTCCCCAACCAATCAAAAGGAGGGCTTTTTATAGCAGGGAAAAAGTTGTAAATAAGTATGGGAAAACAGAAATTAGTGGTGGGTATGAAAGAGAAGTTGGTCACAGGCAGCAGGTGAGCAGTTAAGCAATCATGACAGGCGAAAGTTCTGGTGTTACTGTCTAAATGCAGTGACCTGGTAAGTTTCAGTTCCTTGAAGAGAGACATGATGGTTGGTTTCCTGAGAAAGGAACCCAGATAAGAAAAATGTAAGCTTTGAGCTTTTAAGACTAGGATAGTCAATTTCTCTATTTATCCAAAAAATCCATAAGCGTCAGTTCTATTGGAGAGTTCAGCCAATTTCAATGGAAGAAGGTAAAAAAATGAACATTAGCAGGAGTTTGAAAGAAATTGATTTCAACCCTCATGGATGACTTTGAGGGGTTCAGCACTCCAGTGGAGGAAGTCACTTCAGATGTGGTAGAAATAGAGAGAGAAGTAGAATTAAAAGTTGAGCCTGAAGATGGAATTGAATTGTTATCTCATGGTAAAACTTGGATGGTTGAGTTGATTCTTATGTATGGCAAAGAAAGTGTTTTCTTGAGATGGAATCTACTGGTGAAGATAATGTGCACATTGCCAAAATTACAAAAAAGGATTTAGAATATTACATAAACTTAGTTGATAAGGTAGTAGCAGAGTTTAAGAGGATTGACTCCAATTTTGAAAGAGTTCTACCATGGGTAAAATGCTATCCAACAGCATATTGCACCCAGTGGGAAAATCTTACTCAAAGGAAAAGTTGATCGATGTGGCAAACTTCACTGTTGTCTTATATTGAGAAACTGCCATCTAGGTGCAGTGGCACATGCTTGTAATCCCAGTGTTTTGAGAGGCTGAGACAGAAGGACCACTTGAGACCAGTAATTTGAGACCAGCCTGGACAACAAAGTGAGACACCATAATCTCTATTTTTTTTTTAATTAGCTGGGTGTGGTGGCACATGCCTGTAGTCCCCTCTACTTAGCAGGGCGTTATGATAGTGCCACTGTGAGGACCTCCTTCTAGATTTGTCTGGGCTGAAAATTCCCTCTAGGCTTGATTCATTGATAATGCGATCTTCCCAATGTTTTAGGTGGAAACACCCACGGTCTTAAGCAAAAGACACTTCCATTGCTTAGAATAAAACAGATTCAGGGTGAATCTGGTTTCAATGTATGTGCCTTATGGAAGAAACCATGAACATCAGACTGAAGTTTTTGAAATTATTTTAGTTTTATATGATTTGTTTCCTTTTAAATGACATAGTGCCTCTTTCTGTCCAATAAAAGTTACTGATACATTTTCAGTATTTTAATTCTTAATTTGAGAAAAAATAGAGTCCATGCTTTGAATCTGGTAAGGACGAAGCCCTAATCACTCTAATCAGTCAGCAGCCATCAACATCAAGGAAAGACTCTCCACCAGCAAAAAAAATCACAACTCCTTGCTGAAAGCTCAGATGATTGGTAGCATTTTAATTAAAGTATGTCCATTGTTTTTATAGATAATGTTACTGCACACCAAATATACTACAGTATAGTGTAAACATAACTTTTATATGCACTAGGAAACCGAAAAAACTGTGTATGACTTGCTTTATTGCAGCAGTCTGGAACCAAACCCTCAATATCTCCAAGGTATGCCCATATATTAAATAAAATGTACTAATATGATATTTAAATTCTCTAAATTAACTTTATATATTTTATCTATAAGGGCTAAGAAAGCTATATAAAACTCTTTAACATGTTTAAGATTATTTCATATGCACCTCACATTTCTAAAAGTTTTGCTTTATGAATTTTTATGTCCAAATGTAATCTCTTAGAGGTATTTCAAAGATTTTGGCCAATCTTAATTGTGTAAGTTGTAGACACTAACCTAGAGAGATATAGTAATATTATACAAAATTCCCTTTATTATTAATTGCAATTTAACAGTGATTTTTGAAGCATTATGACTATAAGTCAAGAATAGACCTAAAATAATGCAATTTTAGAGACTCTGGGAGGCAGATTGAAGATTTATTTTAAGGGTAGAGCCTTTCAATATCAGATTTCAAATTATATTAAATATATGACTACTTAGCTTATCTTTTGGGGCAGTCCTAATTATGAAATCTGGAGACATATGTGAAATGGGACATTTTGGAAGCAGAAATTCATTTACTAGATAAAATATAAAATTCAGTTCTATTAAGTACATATTGAAAATGTGGGCATTAACAGAGTATTGTTTGTTTTTTCACATGTCTACCTATTTTTGCTTTGTGCATATTTCATTGTGGCATTATAAATTAGTAATGGAGCTATCTTAAAATTAAAAATTTAGTACTACCGAGTTAATTTTTTTGGTGAAATTTTCTCTTTAGATCTGTTTTACTGTAAGTTATCATGTATATATTAGATATATATTGATTTTTTTCTTGAACTGTTGGCTTATGTGTTTAACTAGGAGTCTGTATTTGGGGTCTTGAAATATTTTCTGAATTTTTGACATAATAAGTACAGCTTTCAGAAATGCAAAGCCATTCTACATGAATAATATTTATTAAAACTTCATAAAATTATTACAGCTTTTACCAAATAGCATTTTGGTTGAGATTTATTTTAGTTTCAAGTGATGTAAACATTTCATATTTGTTTATAATGATGAAGGATTATTAAAGCACTCACTCATGTAATTATATCTAAGCACTCAAAATATAGATATTATTTCAATATGTAAATTGGACCCAAAATGTAAATGCAAATTTGACCATGTATTTTATAAATAGAATATTTCTGTTGTATTACTTTCCAGCACAGCAGGTAATGATTACGAGTTTGTGAAACTATAGTTAACTGTTCTCTTTGCTTTAGAAAATCAAGCTTGTCTTACTTATTAGGAAGTTTACAGTCTATTTTTTTCAATGCTCTAAAGCAATAGCATATTCAAATTTTATAATTCTTATTCTAGGTTTATAGTTTTTATTTAAATATATGAAGATGAGTTTTCAATGGGCTTTCTTATTTGATATGTGGCTCTGGGAAATAGCAGTAATTTGGGACACTCTTGTGGGCATTCAAAATTACTGAGGTGCACCTTGTGCCTTTCAAATGATAGGTATTCCTAGGGGCAACTAGGCTGCTGGCCCACTCAAGGTTCTATACTCTAATTACCAAAAAAAAAAAACCTAAAAAACAAAACAAAACAAAACAAAACAAAACAGAAGATGAAGAAGACACAGAATGACCCTAGACCCAAACTTCTGCATGATCTATATCCAAAACTGTAGTGGGAGAGACTATTCCCTGATTGCTACAACAACTTCCGATATATGCAGTTTTTTGGGCACAGCAAGATTACATTACCATGCCTCTTTTTCAGTTAAGAAGTGGCAAGATGATGTTCTCTTCAATGGAAGGGGAATTTTATTCACTAGAATAGTGAAAACTATACTTTATGAAATCAAATGTTTTAATCCTAAATTAAACATCGATGCTCAGAAATCTTACTGTGCCAAATATTTGAGCTTTACATTTTGACAAATCTTGGCACACATTGGGAATTGAGTTTTGGATGTTAAAATTATTATTCATTAGACAGTGTTATTATAATCTTAAAACAAAATGAAACTTTCTGTAAATAATAGGAAAAAATGGAAAGCAATTTTGAGCACTTGTTGGACTGGCCCATGAAAACATCCAAAGCACTATCATACACATTATACTCCTAAAGGTGCAGGATTTCTGTTGGCTCATGCTGAAGTGATATAGGAAAATGATGGAATTTCAAGAAGGAAAAAGCATAAGTTACCATTGGAAGAGATTCTCCCCATTACACGTGTCCATGAGAATTGTGAACTGCACAAAAATAGGAAAGAAACTTTCGGTCCTAGATTGCTTCGTAATCCCTTCCCAAGTCTTCCCATGTGTAGATACACATGCAGTTTTAAGAAACTATACAAAAAAATTCCTTGTAGATTTTACCATTTCTCCCAATGGCAACATTTTATAAGATTATGGTATATCACAAGCAGGACATTCACATCAATATAAACAAAAATTATTATTCAGATTTCATCAGTTTTACATCTATTCGTGTGTGTGTGTGTGTGTGTGTGTGTGTTTAGTTGTATGCCATCTTATCACATTATAGACTCATGTGTCCACCACCATAGTTGACATTCAGAACAGTTTCATCGTCACAGGCATTGCCTCGTGTTGCCCTTTTATGACACAACCACCTCCCCTCTCTCAACTTTATCCCTAGCCTCTGGAAACCATTAATCTGTTCTCTATTTCTCTATTTTGTCATTTTAAGGCTGTTTTGTCAATGGAATTGTACAGGAAGTCACATATTGGCAGTGGCTTTTTCACCAGTATAATTCCCTAAAGATAGATCTAAGTTGGTGTATACATCCATAAATCCTTCCTTTTATTGCTGGCTAGTACTGTATGGTGTGGGTACAGTTTGGCCAGTCACCTGCTGAAGGACGTCTGGTTTGTTTTCAATTTTTTAGTCATTCTAATAAAGCTGCTATGAACATTCTTGTACAGATTTTTGTGTGAATGTAAGTTTTCATTTCTCTGAAATGTATACCCTGGTGTGCAATAGCTGAGGAATACAGTAAATTCATGTTTCATTTTGTAAAGAATATGCAATACTTTTTTAGAATGGCTGCACCATTTTACCTTCCCATCAGCGATTTATGAGTGAGGCAGATTCTCTGCATTTTTGCCAGGATTTGATGTTGTCACTATTTTTTTTATTTTAATGATTGTGATAGATATGTAGTGATATCTCTTTGTGGTTTCAATTTGCATTTCCCCGATGGCTAACGATATTGAACACTTTTCAAGTGCTTCTTTGCCATCTGTACATCCTCTTCAGAAAAATGTCTGTTTGGATAGTTCTTTATATATTCTAGACACTAGACCTTTGTTAGATATATGATTTGCAAATGTTTTCTCTCAGTATCTAGATTGTCTTTTCTTCCTCTTCAGGCTTTTGCAAACCAAATGTTTTTAATTTTAATGAGATCCAATTTATAACATTTTTCTTTTATAAATCATACTTTTGGTATCAAGTCTAAAAACTTTTCTCCTAACTTTTGGTTTTAAAGATGTTCTCCTTTTTTTCCTAAATATTTTATAGCTTTGTGCTTTATATTTAAGTGTGTGATTCACTTTGAGCTGATTTTTATAAAGGCATGAGATTTAGATCAAGGTTTATTTTTTGTCTTATGAATGTCCAGTTATTTCAGCATCATTTGTTGAAAAAGCTGTCCTTCCTACATTGAATTACTTTTTTACCATTGTCAAAAATCAGTTGAGCATATTTGTGAGTGGCTATTTCTGAGTTCTTTATTCTTTTCCACTTGTCTATGTGTCTATCCCTCTGACAATAATACATTGCTTCAATTACTGTAGCTGTATAGTAAGCCCTAATATTAGGTAGTGTGATTCTTCCAACTTTATTCTTCTTTGCCAAGATTGCTTTTGCTAGTATACAGCCTGTGCTTTTCCATATGTATTTTAGAGTCAGTTTGTCTATGTCTACAAAAATTCTTGCTAGAATTTTGGTAACAATTGTGTTAAACCTATGCATAAACAAGGTAAGAATTGACATTATAAATCTGTTGAGGCTTCCACTTCATAAACACAATATGCTTCTCCATTTATTTAGGTCTTTGATTTCTTTCAACAGTAGTTTTGTAATTTTAAGCATATAGATCCTATATGCTTTTTCATTAAGTGAATACCTAAATATTTTATTTTCTTTGGAGAGCTTGAATATGGCATTATGTTTTCAATTTTGGTTCTTATATGTACATTGCTGATATACATAAATGTGATTGATATTTGCACATGGATCTTGTATCTGACAACCTTGCTGAGCTCATGTATTTGTTCTTGGAAGTATTTTTGTTGATTCCTTAGGAATTTCTACAGAGATAATAATTTCATGTGCAAATAGAGACAGTTTTCTTTCTTTTCAATATATTCACCATTTATTTATTTATTTATTTACTCTACATTATGAAAGTGGTTGGAACTTTCAGTACTATGTTGGATAAGAGTGGTGCCTTATCTTAGGAAAAAAAAATTTGTGCCTTATCTTAGAAAAAAACATTCGTGCCTTATCTTAGAAAAAAACATTCAGCGTCTATCTCACCATTATGTTAGCTTTAGATTTTTTGTACATGTTCTTCATCAAGCTGAAGAAATACCCTTCCATTACTAACTTGCTAAGTGTTTTTTGTGTGTGTGTTTGGGTGTTGGAAATTGTTGATGGTTAAGACTTCATGAGTTTTCTCCTTCAGCTCATTGATATGATCAATTGCATTGATTAGGTTTTAGAGGTCCAACTGGCTTTGTATACCTAGAATAAATCCCACTTGGTCATAATGTATAATTCTTATACATTGTTAGATTTGGTTTGTTAATTTTTTAAAGGATTTTTGTCTCTAAACTTATGGGAGATATTGATCCGTATTTTTCATTTTTTTCTGTATTTTCTCTGTTTATTTTTTATTTTTTTTTTAGAGTAATAATGCCCTCATAAAACAAGTTGGGGAGTGTTCCCTACTCTTATATTTTCTGAAAGAGACTGTGTAAAATTTGTGATAATTCTGTAAAAATATTTGGTAGAATTGCCATGAAAAAAAATCTGGTCCTAGAGATTAATTTTTATGAGCTTTTAAATTATTTTCAATGTTTTACTAATTCTAGGGCTATTCTAATTATCTAATTCAACTTGATTAAGTACTAGTACTTTGTGGATTTCAGTGAATTGGTTTATTTTACTCTAAGTTGTCAAATTTATAATTGTAAAATTATTTACTATATTACCTTTTTACCTTTTTAATGGCTATGGAATGTAGTGCTTTCCCCTTTCTTTTCATAATATTGATTATTTGTTTCTTTTTTTATTCAGTCTTACTAGATGTTTGTTAATTTTACTGATGTTTTCAAATAATGCCCTTTTTGTTTTACTGAAATTCTCTATTGCTTTTTAAAATTCCATTTCATTCTCTCTTCTCTGATCTTTACCATTTCCTTCCTTCTGCTTGTGTTGTGCTCTTCTTTTCTCTAGTTTCTCATAGGAACATAAAAAGTTGAATTGAGACATTTCTTCATTTCTAATGCCCCTTTATGTCCTTTTGTAATGTAGTTTTATCATTTCTGCCATCAAGAATAGGAGTCTAGTTTCTCTCCACATGAGCCTCAACTCTCAACTGATTCTGTGACTTTCTTGGGCCAATGGAAAGCAGCAGAGGTGACGTTCCGTGCCTTTTGGCACTAAGCCTTATTATAAAGACTATCAGCTTTGTTTTTACTGTCGTAGAAGCCAGGCACCATACAAAGAAATGTGAGCCAGACCACAGAATAATGAGAGACCAGTTGGAGAGAAAAGCCACTGGGGGAGAAATGGGGTACCCCAAGTGGTAGCTAAAACCAGGAACCCAAAATATGAGTCAGCCATCTGTTTGTGTCACCCCAAAATTTATATATTAAAACCTATCTTAGGAGGTGAGGCTTTGAGAGTTAATTATATCATGAGGGCAGAGGCCTTATGAATGGGATTAGCGCCCTTGTAAAAGAAATCCCAGACATCTCTCTTGCCCTTTCTGTCATGTGAGGACATAGCACAAAGATAGTTGTTTCTGAACTAGGAAGCTGAAGCTCACCAGATACCAAACTTGTCAGCACTTGATCTTGGACTTCCTAGACCCTGAAATTGTGAGAAATAAATGCTTGTTGTTTATTCTTAGTTTACGGCATTTGTCATGGCAACCCAAATGGACTAAGTCAACAATTTAGATCCTCGAGCTGCAGCCAAGCTATCCCAGGCAACACCATGTAGAGCAGAAGCGAGGCTTGCCATCTGGAACCTGCCAGAATTCTTGACCCAAACGATAGTGAGCAATTCAATGGTTGTTATCTTAAGCCACAAAGTCACTGAGTTGTTTTTTACTCAGTAATAGCTAACCAGAACATTTTTACTTGTTAAACTACTGAGATTTGTGGTTTGTTTCTTAGTGTCGAACATTTTCCTAACTCGTGGAAAGGTCAGTCAAGAAATCCTCCAAAGTGAAGGTTTTTTTAATAGATAAGATAATTATGTAATATAGATAGTAATATTCATATATTTTATTCATTTTATTTTTTATTTTTTGAGACAGAGTCTCACTCTGTTGCTCAGGCTGGAGTGCGGTGGCATGATCTCGGCTCACTGCAACATTAGCCTCCTGGGTTCAAGCAATGCTCCTGCCTCAGCCCCCCGAGTAGCTAGGATTACAGGGATGCACCACCACAGCCAGCTAATTTTTGTATTTTTAGTAGAGACAGGGTTTCACCACGTTGGCCAAGCTGGTCTTGAACTCCTGACCTCACGTGATCCACCTGTCTCAACCTCATAGAGTGCTGAGATTACAGGGATGAGACACTGTGCCCAGCAGATATATTTTACAAATTTTAAATACAAATGGTTCCCAACTCACCATGATTCAACTTATATTTTTTGACTTTTTGATGGGTTTATTGGGGGTGCTAATGCATTTTTGACTTATGGTATTTTTGACTTATGATGGGTTTATTAGCATATAGTCCCATTATAATCCAAGGAACATTTTCATTTTATTTACGGTGATGGTAAAAACTACACTTTCAGGGCTGAGTGTGGTGGCTCATGCCTGTAATCCCAGTACTTTGGGAGGCAGAGGCGGGTGGATCACCTGAGATCAGGCTAGTTTGAGACTAGCCTGACCAACATGGTGAAACCCCATTTCTACTAAAAATACAAATATTAGCTGGGCGTGGTGGCAGGCACCTGTAATCCCAACTACTTGGGAGGCTGAGGCCAGAGAATCGCTTGAACCCCGGAGGCAGAGGTTGCAGTGACCTGAGATTGCACCATTGCAATCCAGCCTGGGCAACAGAGTGAGACTCTGTGTTGGACAAAAAAAGAGAAAACAAAGAAACAAAAACTACACTATAATCCCAAGATACTTCAAATATCTTAATTTTAAATTAAACAGAAAAAATGTTACTGTGGCAAATCTTCGAGTCTCACATATTGATCAGTGCTTGGCATGCTTTTGGAACTGAGTTTCAAGAACTCAAATTAATATTATATTTTAGATACTGACATTATTACTGAAAGATACTTAATTCTCAAAATAATATAAAAATAAAAATAAAGCGTAAAAAAGTATTAATTTCATGATTTGACAAGAATCTTGAAAGAAGGAAGGGGTATGGAGAACTGGATTTCCAGTACCATAGGTACCATAAGTAAAGTCCCATATCTGCTGTTCATTCCTACTTAAGCCATCAGTAGTCCTTTTTACTGGAAGTAATTCTGTAGAAAGAATGAAATAAAGAAAGGGTTAACATTCAAAAGTAATTCACAAGGTGTTGGTTATAGTCCTAGCTCTGCCATTGTTTTCTTTTCAGCAAATTACTTCATCATTTTGACCTCAATTTTCTAATAAGAACTTCATAATCTTATGTTTCTAAAATAATTCTCTCCTAACCCTGCAAAGGTCACACATCCTTAAAAAAGGCTATAGAATCTACATTTTTCTGCTCATAATTTAAGAAATTTTTGGAAAGTGCCAAGTGTGTTGGAGCTTGCTTATTCTTTCCTATTTAATATGATTCTTATTAACAAAAAAGTTTTTCAGATACCCCCAATGTATATTTCAAATTTAATAAAATGTTAAGGTCTGTTTAATATATGGCATGATGCCATCAATATTTTCTAATTATTTGTGTATCATTTGAGCCTCATATTCTTGCATCCTTGTAATTTGATAAAATGGATATAGATCACCTCACCTAAGAAAATGGAGGCCCATCTGTTATATTTTAAATGCATCTGTTCATCTGCTAAATCCATTTGTCAAATTCATGTAAGTTAACAGAGATTTCTTCTAAGTACATAAAATGATACGTGAGGAAAAGAATTAAGACGGAGTTCTGTTTTACTAGATATGGGGGGGCGACAAATGCTTATCCAAATCCAACTATCTTTCCAAATGTTTCAAAATGTTTTTAATATATTGTAACTAAATTTTATAAAGCATATTTAATCTGCTTTGAAAACCATCCTCAAATAAGTTAAAGTCAGAGTGGATAATTTTTCTGCAATGGAACTGTTTTAACTTTTAAGTATATTTTTAACTTTAAGGAAAAATTAAAATAAATATTTGTATTAAGATATATAGGGGAGAGAAGATTGAAAGGAAAGGATCTAGTTAGCCTTCTGAAGATATTCTGCACTTTCATTAGTTTTCATTAGAAGGAATTTATAAAACAATATGCATTTGTAGTGAATTCTACCTCTTTCACTTTAACATTGAGCCTTGGTCAGAATGAGTATTCTACCAAGGTTCACAGACTTTTGGAAAATATTGAGAACATAGGTTCAAAAGATACCTGAGGCAGTGAAATTGATCAGCTGTTCAAAGCATCTCTGGTACCTTAAGCAAATGGCCTCTCTTCCTATTTCATTCACATTGATCTCACCCAGGGGAAATTTCTTTCGTATTCTTATCCAACTTTGTTAACATGACATTTAATCTAGACCAAATCAGCCTCTTCATATTGTGTATACTTCCTGTATTTTTTACAATAAATCTGAATCTTTCTATTATTTATGAATAATGTAAACCATTATTTGTAACTCTCTGAACCTCATTGTCCTCATCTGAACAATAGGATAATATTTCTACTACCACATTAGGCTGCTATAAAGACTTAAAAAAATAAAAAACAATAAACAGTAAAATAATGTATAAAGTCTAAATTTACCACATAGAAATGTAAGGAATTATCTCTGATTCACATAATTTACATAACTTCTTTCTTTGCAGAATTTACCACTGTTGTCATAAATCTAAAACTGTTTTGAATGCTCATTTCTCTGTTTGGATTATTCTTACTCAACCTTTCTCCATGTTTTTTACCTATGTAATTCTTACTTACCTCCAAAGACCCAGGTCTCCTGTTAACTAACTCCATTTGAGAAACCTCTAAGACTGGACTTCTCTTCTCTTAGCCCGACTTGAGTGGTCTTTTCCTGGTTCTCCTTTACCATATTACTTGTAATTCTTCATTTATGTATAATGTATAATCCATCTCTCCCCCGACCCCTGTGCTGTGAACTGCAAAATGGTGGAGAGACTTTCTAATTCAACTTTATATTCCCAAATGTGCAGCATCTTAAAGGTATTTAAGAATTGTTTTCCAGAGAAAAGAAACGATGAATTATATTATTAGGCCATGTTCTTTTTATTTTAAATGTTTCCCAGATCTGGAATATTCCCTCCAGACTTTAAAGTGTGTCTTCTTGTCACTTCTTGTGTCAAACACACCATGATTTCTCAGCAGGAAGTGAAAGGGCCTCTCTTGTGTGCTGATAATATTCTGTTTACAAATTTTATTGTCACTTCTGTATTTACCATATTCCCTGTTCCCACTATTTTGTGTCTTTTTAAATTTCATAATTCTGAAGATATGTATCCCATATTTGAATGCCAAATGGGTCAGAAAATCATGAAAATAAAATGGAACAGGGTGGTGTTATAATAGTTAACATTTGTTTAACTTTTAGTGCATTCCAGATACTGGAATTGATTAACTCTTTTAGCCTCACCCCAATTCTATGTGCTGGAGAATATTTTTATGCCATTTAAAAATAAACTGAAGCACAGAGAGGTTCAGTAATTTGCTGAAGTGAAAGAGGCAGGATTTGAACCCAGAGAGGACTCCTCCAGGATCTGCATGCTTAATCACTAGAGTACATAACACTGTGAAGTAGGAAAGTGAGGTAGGCACTGTGGCTACTGAAGAACAAGCACAAGCCCTTTCTAAACAGCCCCCCAAACTCACTGCCTTAACACAGTAAGTTATATTAATGATCATGCAAAGTTTATGCTAGTTGGGTGATTTTCCATGTGACTTAGCCTACCCCAATTTAATTAATACACAGAAAATAACATCTTCTTATAAGGGGGGGAAAAAACCTATTCTGAACTCAAAATCATAGGCTAATTATGTAAAGTGCCAGTGCAACACCCAGGCATATATAAATGCTCCCATATGTTGTATGAAACATTCCACTGTGAATTCAAAATTCATTCACTCCCATGAGTGAAATTCTTACACTGTTTCTTCTGTTTTTGAACAGTTGCAGATCTATAGAAAGTATTACAAAGTTTTTAGATGAATACATAAATTAGTAGTTAGATAAAAGGGGAATGTTAAGGGTAATGTAGTCTATCCTAAAATTTTCACTCATTATTATTAGAATCAAATAATCTCTAGAATACCATACACTCCTGGATTTGGCGGAGAATGATTTACAAAAGAGCTGCTGTTCCACCATTAAACATACTAAACACAGATGTTACAATATGGTGAAAAGAAATTAAAATAAGGTAATTCCTCAACATGGCCTTGGTTCAAAAGTCTTTTTTGAAGTGGTAGAAGTCACACCCAACCAATGAATTATGGCAATTAACTCAATGCCTCAAGGGAAATTTCTCTCATACTTTATCTGTTACAACACAGTTTATCCAAGATTAGTCACAGTTTACAAAATGGATTTTGGATAGATAATTATTATTTCTGGTTTAATTGTTTTATTTTTTAACAAAGAAGATATTTGAAGGAAAGATATATGTAGAACCTAACAAGGCTTTAGGCTTATTTTTATGTTTTTTTCCCCCTGAAATCTTATTCGAGGGGGGAAAAAAAAACCAACACTTTCCTGAACTCAAAATGGGATGTTTTATACTAAGGAAAGATAAAAACTAGGACAGCTTTCTACTATAAACACTAAGATGGTCAAAAGTAGTTCACGTATCTCACAGGCCATTTTAACCTTTAAATTAAAACAGCAAGTTAAATGTCAAAATGTCGATAATTTAGATAAATTTGTGATCATCATTCTGATGTCAACAAATCATCCAATAATTAAAATATCCATGCATTCTTTTGGTTTAAAATCTACTCCAGCAATTGTCAATTCTTGATAAACAAAAATTAATGGACTTCTTATTCATTCTAGGTTTTTTTTTTTTTTTTTTTTTTGAGGCAGAGTTTCACCCTTGCCGCCCAGGCTGGAGTGCAGTGGCTCAGTCTCGGCCCACTGTAACCTCTGCCTCCTGGGTTCAAGTGACTCTCCTGCCTCAGCCTCCCAAGTAGCTGAGATTACAGGTGTGCACTAACACACCTGGCTAATTTTTGTATTTTTGCAGAGACAGGGTTTCACCATGTTGGCCAGGCTGGTCTTGAACTCCTGACCTCAGGTGATCTGCCTGCCTTGGCCTCCCAAAATGCTGAGATTACAGGCATGAGTTACCTTGCCCAGCCATTCTAGTTTCCCTTTTATATCTTGTTTGGAAATTTCTATTTGTTTTTCCTTCAAAACATTTGAAGGAATTCTATTTCCAGTAATATCTCTAACTTATTATTGTGAGAAATAGCATTCTACAACAAATTCTATTTCACACATATACACATAATTCAAATATTCTGGATAAAATGTAGACAAACATTTTTTCTTCAACTTTTAAGTACAAGGGTACATGTGCAGGATATGCAGGTTTGTTTCGTAGGTAAACGTGTGCCATGGTGGTTTGCCGCACAGATCAACCCATCACCTAGGTATTAAGCTCCAAATGCATTAGCTATTCTTTCTGATCCTCTCCCTCTCCCCATCCCCCCAACAGGCCCCAGTGTGTGTTGTTTCCCTCCATGTGTACACGTGTTCTCATCGTTCAGCTCCTATTTATAAATGAGAACATGCGATGTTTGGTTTTCTGTTCCCGTGTTAGTTTGCTGAGGATAATAGCTTCCAGCTCCATCCATGTCCCTGCAAAGGGCATGATCTTGTTTCTTTTTATGGGGGCACAGTATTCCATGGTATATATGTACCACATTTTCTTTATCCAGTTGATGGGGATTTGGGTTGATTCCATGTCTTTGCTATTGTGAATAGTGCTGCAATGAACATACACATGCATGTATCTTTATATTAGAATGATTTATATTTCTTTGGATATATACCCAGTAATGGGATTGCTCAGTCAAATGGTATGTCTGCTTCTAGGTCTCAGAGAAATCACCACACTGGCTTCCACAGTGGTTGAACTAACTTACACTCCCACCAACAGTGTAAATGTGTTCCTTTTTCTCCACAACCTCACCAGCAACTGTTTCTTGACTTTTTAATAATCACCATTCTGACTGGCATGAGTTGGTATCTTGTTGTGGTTTTGATTTGCATTTTTGTAATGTTAAGTGATCTTGAGCTTTTTTTCACATGTTTTTGGCCTCATGAATGTTTTATTTTGAGAAGGGTCTGTTCATGTCCTTTGCCCACTTTTTAATGGAGTTGTTTGTTTGTTTTTTTTCTTGTAAGTATGTTTAAGTTCCTTTTAGATCCTGGATATTAGACCTTTGTCAGATGGATGGATTGCACAAATTTTCTCCCATTCTGTAGGTTGTCTGTTCACTCTGATGATAGTTTCTTTTGCTGTGTAGAAGCTGTTTAGTTTAATTTGATCCCATTTGTCAATTTTTGCTTTTGTTGCAATTGTTTTTGACATTTGCATCATGAAGTCTTTGCCTATGAGTATGTCCTGCATGCTATTGCCTAAATTTTCTTATAGGGTTTTTTTCTAACAGTTTTCAGTTTTACAATTAAGTCTTCAATCCATCCTGAGTTAATTTTTGTATAAAGTGTAAGGAAGGGATCCAGTTTCAATTTTCTGCATGTGGCTAGCCAGTTCTCCCAGGACCATTTATTAAATATTCTGTTAAATATTTATTAAATATTATATTCTGTTCCATTAGTCTATGTGTCTATTTTTGTACCAGTACCACAGTGGACAAACATTTTTTAATAGACTTTACTTTTAAAGCACTTTTTGGTTCACAAGTAAACATGTTTTTTCATTAAATCATACAGGAGCTCTGATGAAAAAAAGAAAACCCTCAGGTTGTCAAAAGTTAAGAATACACACACACACAACAAGCAAAGGCTGAAGTTATGAGTTTTCTGAGGGTACCTGTCAATTTTGGCAAATTGGGATTGGGTTTTAATGTTCGTATAAAGGATATAATAGCAGCCTTGGATCTAAACGAAATATATAATTAGAGTTAGTATATCCCAATTCTCCACAAAACACACACAAAAAGCCAGGGTCCTTGAAATACTAAACCATGAGTAAAAGAGTAGACTAAAAAAACATTCTTCTATATGCAAAATGAGCCACTGAAGAAAATGAGTGTTTCTGCCACAACCTGTGATCTGGATGACAGAAAAAAAAACTTCCTGAATATTCAAAATCTCAGAATAACAAAATTTAAGGCACTCTTGGAAAAGCAAAGGCAAATTCTACCTAGAGGAAGAAATTTCAGTGTTTATCTCACAAGATTCCCATGTTAAGCCCCACCAAACATGAGTTCATATTGCTAAATTACAATACAAATAGGAAAATAAATTTTGCGGAGTTGAGATTCAACAGTTAAAGAAAAAGTTAGTAAACTGTAAGATCAAGCTTGGAAAAAATAATGTGGTATGCTTTAGAAGGGGTTAAAGAAATAAAAAAGATGAAAGTGAAGAGATAGGAAAAACTATGCATATCTAATCAGAATTCCACATGGAGAGAAGAGCAGGAACATAGACAACATAACATTTCATAAGATAATGGCTGATGATTTCTCAGAATTGACAAAAATCATGAATCCTTAGATTCAAGAAGCACAATAAATCCTAAGCAATATAAATAAAAGGCAATGATTCTACATCTATTTATATAATGGTAAAACTGAGGAAGAGTTAAAGAGTTGGGGAAGCATAAATGTATATACACAGATCAACTGAGAGAGAAAGACTGTATGAACATGTTAAATAGTAGAAGAGCAGTGTGGCAATAGGTGTCTGGCTACAAAACTATTTCTCCAAACATCTATTTTTATAACTTTGAAAACTTTAATTAGCTTATCCCATTTCTGAAACGTATTAGATGTTTCATAAGTGGAGTAAGTTTAAAGATAATTAAAGGTTAGTTAGATGTCTTCTTTCATATTAGATGTTTTCCATGAGAGCTCATTAAATTTTATTTCTTATGCCTTGTCCTCTTTGAAAAATAAAAACTTGAAGAACATACAATTGCACAATTTTTTTGATAAACAAGATTTTTCTCATTCCAAAGCTATATGAACTAATTGGTAACACAACATTGTCTGATATTACTCCATCCTGTTCCAGGCACCTTAATCAAACCAGCCATTGGCTCTGTAGTTCAAGCTGTTTTTAAAATTATTATTCTTTTTGACATCTGAAAGGAAATAAAACACTTTTTGTGACAAGTCCAGAAACTTAAGTACATTTGAGCATTCTGAACTGCCCTGCTGTTAAATCTTACCTAATACACTGCCTTACATTTCCACACCTGACCTCCTGGTTTTTTTATCTCTCTGTGTGCTAAGGGCACAATGCCCATCAAACACTCTGGACTTGTTGTAGGAAGTAAGCTCCAAGGTAACTCCTGGGTGGTAGATGAGGACGCCTCCAAGGAATGGATCAACATTTAAGTTGTTGTAAGGAGACACAAAACAAAGCATCCATCCATCCATCTCCAAAAACGTTATGCCTCTTGACTGTGCTTCCTATGGTGATGTCTTTTTGCTATTAAATGGCTGCACAGCCAGGGAAAGCATGACAGGTTTTATCAGCCTTGACAGCCGTCTAGAAGAAACAGCAGGCAACCTAAAGCGTCAACGGCTGTGTGCAGCTCTCTCTTCAGGTCCTGCCAGAGCTCGCAAAGCTGAGTCTGATCAGCACTCAAATTGAAGCCCTCCCTGCTGAATTTCTACAGGCTTCCTCAAGGCAGAGTTCTTTTTGTGCAAGATTTAAGGTTATGGTGAGGGTGTATTAATTGGGTTTGGGTGATGACATTTAGAGCAGTTAAAAGAGCCAACCCAACTTCATGTATTTGTCCCTGGTATGTCTATGTGCCTGGTACTGGGTTAGGCTCTCCATGCAAAGGGAAATTGAACAGCAATCATGCTAGTTCTGTCTTTAGATTCTGCCAGGCACCTTTGTGTAATAGGAATGGCAGAAGCTGCAGAGTTAGAGTTTTAAGAGCCCTGAAGGTTATTCTTGGTACAGACACTAATGACCTGTGGTGTAACTTAACTTCGCTAAGCCTGAATTTTCACAAAGTATGAAAACATTTTTGACACCGCCTTTGGAGAGTCACTGTGAATGCACTGAGAATGCATTTAAAATGACTAATTGCATAGTGACATTGTTTATAGGTTTGCATATGTTTTATTTATTATTTATCCTCTGTCTCTCTGTCTCTCTTTCGCTCTCTGTTTCTCTCTCTCTCTTCACTTTTTATTGTCCTGCTTTTTTGCTTATTCCTGAGTATCTTGAAAAATAAGTGTGTCATCCAGGACAAGTGTGTGCACTTCAGAACCAGAAACAACTGGGTTCCAATAAAGCACTACTTTTTGAAGATTATTTTAACATCCTTTTTGAAATAATTGAAGACTCCCAAGAAGTTGCAAAAAGAATACAAAGGAGTCCCATCTACTCTTTATCCAACTTTCTCCGAAGACGATATCTTTAAAAACCATAATACAATACTCAAAACCAGGAAATTGACATCAACACAACTACACACCTCATTGGTATTCCACCAGTTTTTACATGCATTCCAAACACTGCCATTAACTGCTTTGGTACCTATAAACAATATATTTAACCTGTCTGAGCCTCAGTCTTCAAAATAGAAATCGTTTATCAGCACCCAACTCATATTGTATCCCTGAAGATTATAGGAGGCTCCAAACATAAATTCATGTATACTTAACCTATTGTTGGTTGTAGCCTATAGCTATTGACTTACCAGTAGTGTTCTGTGGTCAGGAAGAGCATATGAGCTCTCTGCTGCCTAATTGGTAAACTCTAAGACCCTCAGTATCTTCATTGGAGAAATGGGGATAATAATAGCACTTGTACAATTATAGTTTTTGCTAGATGGTTAGATAATATTTCAAAAGTATTTAAACGGTGCCCGATATCTAGTAAGCACTGAATGTGTTAGATCTTATTATTGTTATAGTGCCTGCCACTTAATAAGAGGGTAATAAATGTCAGCTTATATTTGCATTTTATTCTCCTTCTTGTTCTCTCTTTGTTTATTGAGTTCTTCCCTCAGCTGTCTTCTTTATTGAATACAGAGAATACCTATAAATTCTCACCCCCTTTCAGGATTTCACTGATTCTCAGGTCAATAGCTCTATCTTACATCCTGTCTTCTGTTTCCAGACCTGCACTAAAGCTGCAAACTGACATCTCTAAGTGAAACTCATTTTCTTTGTCTCCGAAATACTGTGGCCTTGGTAAGTGTTCAGTATGAGCTAATGTGCAGACAGGGAAAGGAAGTCTCCCTGCAGGCCTGGGACAATGATCCCTCTACCCCAAATTTTCCACCTTTCCCTGACCTCCCCCACCACCCACCCTCCCCACCACCTGTAGCTCCCCACCATCACAGTTATGGAGCAAGAAGCCATGTTGATCAAAAGAAAAGGTGAGAGAGAACTAATAAACCCAGAAAGAAGGGTTGGTAGGATGCAAGAGCAGGAGCTTGGGCAGCAGAACATGACAACTCAGTGTGTGCCGTGTGGGTATTGATGATTTCAGGTCAACAAGAAGTTCTTTAGTCTGTCCTTGAAGGAGCATTTATTTGTTTCCTAGGACTGTCATAACAAACACAAACTGAGTGGTCTGAACAACAAACATGTATTGTCTCACATTTCTGAAGGCTGGAAGTGTCAGATCAAGATGTCTCCCGAGAGCTGTGAGAAAGAATCTGTGTCATGCCTCTCCTCTAGCTTCTGGTGGTTGCTGGCAGTCATTGGTGGTCCTTGCCTTGTAGAAACATTACCCCAAGTTCTGCCTTTATCATCACATGATGTTCTCTCTGTGTGCTTTTCTATCTGTAGTTTTCCCCTTTTTACAAGCACACCAGTCATATTGAATGAATGAAGGCCCACCCTAATGACATTTTAATTTGACTACCCCATAAAGACTCTATCTCCAAATACAGTCACCTTCTGGAGGGCTGGGAGCTAAGACTTCAACACAGGAATTGGTGGTAGGAGGAGGGGGTGCAATTCAACCCAAAACAGAATGAGCCAGCAAGTGGGAATGAAAGTGTTTCTTCTACTTGCTTCTCTTGGTTTCCAAATAGAAGAGCTCTTTCTTCTCTTCGTTTCTGTGATGATTAATACTGAGTGTCAAATTGATTAGATTGACAGATGCAAAGTATTGATCCTGGGTGTGTCTGTGAGAGTGTTGCCAAAGGAGATTAACATTTGAGTCAGTGGGCCTGGAAAGGCAGATCCAATCTTAATCTGGGTAGGCACCATCTAATCAGCTGCCAGTGCAGCCAGAATATAAAAGCAGGCAGAAAAACCTGAAAAGGTTAGACTGGCTTAGCCTCCCAGCCTACATCTTTCTCCCATGCTGGTTGCTTCCTGCCCTCAAACATCAGACTCCAAGTTCTTCAGCTTTGAGACTTGGACTGGCTTCCTTGCTCCTCAGCTTGCAGATGGCCTGTTGTGGCACCTTGTGATTGTGTGAGTTAATACTACTTAATAAACTGCTTAATAAACTACTTTATATGTATATATATTTATACATATATAACTGCTATTATATGTGTGTGTGTGTGTGTGTGTGTGTGTGTGTGTATATCTTATTAGCTCTGTCACTCTAGAGAGCCCTGACTAAAACAGTTTCCAAAGACAGTACTTTCTTGGTACTCTTAAGAGTAAAATATTATTTCCCAGAGGCAGTGTGAGTAAGTGTTCATGTTACAAATACTAGAATTTCTTTCTGGGAGATTCTGAACCTCTTTATAAGTATTTTTGTATGAGAAAAAGAGAACATTAAACTTTTTGTTAATGAAGGTATAGAGGGAATTAATTGAAATAGAGATGGGGAGGAGAATTGAAGGGGTGGGTCAGGATTCAGATGTCTGGGCCCCAGAGTGAGCCTACTGTCAACTTGTAACCACAAATTCCCAGAGAAGTGAATAAAAAAAGGGGCTGCTTTTGTGGGACACTCTTTGTGTCACCAGGAAGTGTGATAAACAAAATCATCTTGAGCAAGTACTAGGGATGACTCCCCTGAGAAGGCTGCACATTTAAGTGGAAGAAACCATTATCCTGCCTATGTCTTGTGTCCATACCTATATATATATACATACTTGACACTACTCTTGATACCGCTTCTGAATCTCTCCAGCATAATCCTGTCCCAAAGAAGCCTCCAGATTCCTTGAGAATCAAGCTAGACATTTCCTCATTTGCCACTTAGAGTTTTTCTCAAATACCCAAAGAGAAGACACTCATGTGATAACAGCATTAAATAGTCTGCCTGTGACAAGCAATTTGGATTTTATCAGAGTTAATGCAAGGGACATGAAAGTTAAGTGGAACACTGAGGAGGGGAGGGGCTTAAGGGATGTAGGTAACTGTCTTAGTCTGTTTGGGCTGCAATAAAAAAAGTACAATAGACTGGGCAGCTTAAGCAACAAACATCTATTTCTCAGTTCTAGGGGTGGGGAAATCCAAGATCAAGGTGTCAGCAGACTGATGTCTGGTGAGGGCTTTCATCATAGTTTGCAAATGGTCATCTCTTTCTTTGCCTCCTCCCATGGCAGACAGCCGAGAGAGAGAGAGCAAGCAAGCTCTTTCCTGTCTCTTATAAAGGCACTAATCTCATCAACAGGCCTCCACCCTCATGGCACAATTGTTTCCCAAAGGACTGATTTCCAAATACCATCACATTGGGGATTAGGTTTCAACATATGAATTTTGGGGCTATGCAAACATTCAGTTAATAGCAGTGAGAAAATAAGATCCTTCCTATTTTTTTTTTTTTTTTTTGAGATGGAAGTCTCGCTCTGTCACCCAGGCTAGAGTGCAGTGGTATGATCTCAGCTCACTGCAACCTCCGCTTCCTGGGTTCAAGCAATTCTCCTGCCTCAGCCTCCTGAGTAGCTGGGATTGCAGGCAGGTGCCACCACGCCTGGCTAATTTTTGTATTTTTAGTAGAGACAGGGTTACACTATGTTATTCAGGCTGTTCTCGAACTCCTGACCTCGTGACCCGCCCACCTCGGCCTCCCAAAGTGCTGGGATTACAGGTAAGAGCCACTGCACCCGGCCGATCCTTCCTATTTTTAAGAGTTGAGAATTTGGTTCCATATTAGAAGAATGCTTTGGAACATTTGGACCTGAGCTAAATGCAAATTCGGAGAAGAATAGCATGATGCAGGGAAGACTTGGTATACTCATGCTTACTAAGAGAGTCTTCTAATGAAGGAGGTGTTACCCTCTCCAAATGGAATCATAAGTATTCTTAACCCACAGAGCAGTTTCTGAACTATACTCACACAGCAGACTAATTCTGTGGGATGCTAGTAAGTATTGCATGAAAACAGAATTTGATGGTCAGGAAAATGAGTTGATGGGTTAAACAGATCTTTCTAATGCAAGATATCTCATAACATTTAGATACTGTGGGATTAAATTCATATACCACAATTCAAATGTGCAAAAATAGAACTTTGAGTGCTTGTTATAGCTTAATCTTGTATTATTCTTGTAGCAGGTTTTAGTTAGGGGTTAAAGTGATGTTCAGAAAATGAAATTAAATGATGCAGAATCCTGTCTGAGAGGCATGTCTTGAAAATGTAGTATGCCTGAGTTCCCAGGTGAATGAGGAAATGGATTTGGTAAATATCAACCCAATCACTGGCATAGTCTGCCCTTTTAGGCACCATATATCTTTACCCTTCTCACATGCATAGAATGCACACCTTTTTCCCAAATGAGATAAATCAAATTCCTATCCAGTCACTACCTTCTACTCAAAGTCCACAACCTCTGAGTAACCACACACTGCTTCATCAAGCTCAAATGTGACTCCTCCTGACACAGTATACAAGAAGGCAAATGATCTGTACCTTCCCACTCTATGATGGCAAATGGTAGAAAAAAGACAGGGTAACTATGATTGATACGCGCATCTGAAAAACAGAATTATGGGAGACACATAGTGGTCATTAGCCCACAGCAAGATGAACCTGTTCCAGGCTGGCATCATGAGGTGCCTGTGCCCTAATGGTGGAGGAAGGTCCTGATTAGATCCTGATCCTGCTCTCTGGAAATAACTCTCTTGTCTATTGTTCTTTGTGACCCATGATCTCACTCTCCAGAAAGTTTTTTTCCTCCATTCTTCTATATGCCCATACCTGAGGTGGTGGTTTATAAGTGTCTTTCCTTTTGGTGATCTGTAGCTTTCACAGTTGACTTCTTGATACTGTAAGTCTGGGAATGTAAAAGTTGTGTTAATGATGAATCAGTCAGTAGTTTCTGTAATTCTTTAACTCAGGTTCATGGAGCTTTTGGAAATACCTTTAACAGACTTTGTATCTATTTGTTTCTACTTGGTACCTTATGCCAGTGACTAAACCCACATTTTTTCTATACATTTTTCTGAAAGTTCCCTCCTTCCCTCCCTCATTTCCTTCCTCCCTCTCTCCCTCTCTCCCTCCCTTCTTCCTTCCTTCCTTCCCTCCTTCCTTCATTTCTTCCCTCCCTTTCTTTCTTCCCTTTTTCCTTCCCTCCTTATTTCCTCTCTTCTTTCCCTCCTTCTTTCCTTTCTTTCTTTCTTTTATCTTTATGAACATCTTCTTTGGTATAATATAGGTAGCTGGAGACTACCTGAAATAATAGGTAAGAGGCCTATGCATTTAATTTTAGTTTTTCTAAGGAAAAAATATGAGAAGTTATTGAAGGCATTTGTCATTGTCTTTATATCCTACAGTTTAGGATCTAGAAGTGATTTGTATTTCTGATGTCGAGGCCCTAAACTTCTAGACTCATTCTATGCTCTTTAACTCTGCTTACCAGATGGTCAATTCTTTTTTGGATTAGCATTTCTAATAATACCTTGTTATAAGCAAAAATAAAATAAAAACAATATGACACAGACACCTTACAACCCCATGTCTAAGAACATAAACTCATAGATAAGTAATTTTTCTTATAGATGTTAATTTCTTGTGTTTTGACACCACATACCATGGCTGTTCATCTTTTCAGGCTCCAAAACCAATGCCCTTGCTTTCTGTCACCTAACCACTAAGTCAGGGATACAATTTCAAGTTTTTAGTTATGGCAATATTCCACTACTTCTAGGTACTAATTTCTCTGTGAAGTACCCTAGGTACTATAATAGATACACCCCAAAATCTAAGTGGATTAATAAGTATAAGTCAATGCATCTCGTAAATTCCAAAACAGGTGACTATGAACAATATGTCTCCTTCAGATAGTGATTCCAGGATTCTATTAGCTTCCACACACACATTCCAAGGAAAGAACACAGTCAATTAGGCATGGCATGCTTTTATGAACTAGGCCTAGAAGTTGAGTATTTATTCATGCTTTTATGAACTAGGCCTAGAAGTTGGCCTAGAAGTTGAGTATTTATTCATGCTTTTATGAACTAGCCTAGAAGTTGAGTATTATTCAGCTCAGGATTACTCAGCTTGGTATTAGTCAGCTATAACAAAATACCATACCCTGGATGTCTTAAATAACAGAAATTTATTTTCTCATGGTTTGGGTGGCTGGAAGTCCGAAATCAGAATGCCGGTGTGTTGAGGTCTGATGAGAGCTCTTTCCCTTGTTTGCAGATGGCCACCTTCTCACTCACTGTGTTCTCGCTTAGTGGAAAGAGACAGAGAGAGAGAGAGAGAAAAAAAAAATAAATATCTTTCTTTTCTTATAAGGCCATAGTTCTATCAGATTAGGGCCCATCCTTATGATCTCATTTAATCTTAATTACCTTTTAAATATCCTATCCTTAGATAGAATCACTTTGAGAGTTAGAGCTTCAATACATCAATTTGGGAGAGACATAATTCAGTCCATTGCAAGTGGCAAACATGAAGATTGTTTACGTTCAAGAAAAATAGTATCTCCATTATTAAGTCATGGATTTTATAACTTCCTTCAGCGAGCTCCTGTAAAAATGTATGTTATCACAGGTATGGTCAAATAAGAATATATTCCACAAGAACTAAAAAAAATAATGTATAGGAGTCACTGACATGTAATATTTAATTGATATATTTTTCAATGTACTTTTCTTACTTTTAGTTTCCCCAAAAGCAGATACCGAGGCAAGAATTTTGGAACAAAGATTTGGTGAAGAATTTAGGTTGGCATGTAAAATACCTCCTGAAATAAAAGAAACCAGCTATATAACATAAACAAACAGAGTTGTATTTACTTACAGCACCAAGAGAAAACATTACATAGACAACTTTGAAGTGGGGTATCATTAGGGAAATGAGTGTACAATATTTATGACTTTATGGGTTGAACTCGAAGGATTTTTGTGTGTGACATCAGAAGGAGATAAGATTTTATATTGATCAATTTTTCAGAACAGTCTAGTGCAATCTAGCAAGGATCTGAGCAAAGAAGAATGTGTAATCAAGTCACAAGACCTTTTGTGATAATTGCATAACTCATAAGAGTGATTTTTAAATTCCCAGAATTGCATAACCAATGGGAGTGGTTGTTTTGGTTCTCCCACAGAAAGAAGGAAAGCCGCACAAATGGACAGAAAGGAGATGAGGCTTTGTGCTCACAAAGGTGACTGCTGCTGTGGCTTTGCTGTGGCTTTTAGGGAATGTCAGATGTGACCTGCTTCAATGATGTGTATTCAGTAGGGTCGCACAGCCTGAGGACCTATCGAGAGCATTGTATTCAATGTAGCACGTAACATGGCTAGAGTTGTAATAACTCAGGTCTTTTCACTGAAAGGAGGTGCTTACACAGGACGCTCATACAGAACCTCTTTTGTCTGATGTGGGCCATCTCTCTGCCTCTGACATGCAGGGGCTGCGTGGAAGGGATCAGACTCAAGAGGATCCTCCCTTTAGAGAGCTCCACCAGGTGTTCCAACATGGCCACAGGGAGGGAGCTGAATCCCCTGAAATCTGCCACCAGTTAACCATAGAATCGATGTCTTGCTCTTAGGAAGCTCTGAGATTTCTCCATGTCTGCCTAAGTATTAGATATACTAATCCATGCTAACCCAATTTGGCTTTGAGAGAAATAGTTTTGTCATAATGTATCATTTTAAAATTTAAAAAGAAAAAAAATAAAGCTGACCATGTCACGTAGAGGAGTGGCTTGTTGATCTGACACTATATAAAGTTTTGGGAAGCAATCATAGAGCACCTTAAAACCAGTTTTTGAGCAGAATTTCTAGAAGCTGGTTTAGAACTGCACAGCTATGGATACAATTGATGGAAAACAGAAAAGGATACTACACATGCAGAAATGTTACCAGAAATCCTGAGAGCCTTAGGGTACCCTAAGGAATTTGAATATTGCACTCCATTTACATGAACAGTGAAAGCTAATTTCACTGGAATTTTTTTTCTGCCTTACGTTTACTGAGTGTCCGAGGATGTGTGCTTTTCGCAGTGTCAATTTTATGATGCTCTAAGATTGAGCAGACATCAGACATCTGCACAGGGTACTGGGTTTCAAGTTGTGTCGTCTTGGTATAAGTTCAGTTTTCTGAATGTAAACCTATTTTCACTGCCATTTCTAAAACTCCAGTAGATTTCTGGATATTGTAAGGATATTGAATACATGTATACTTGTGTAAATTTCATAGTGTTTTACTTTGAGGTGAAAGTTTTGTTACAGTTTACAAAAGATATTTTCCTATTCCAACCTCAAGGCTATTTTGGGACCTATAAAGAAATGTGACCCTTAGTAGTTTCAATTCTTGATATTCAGAAGGGTAATAATCCTTAAGTTAAATATCATACAATATTATACAACAGAAAGAACATGTTTTTCTCTTTTAACTTCTAACAATTTCCATATCTAATGTTTAAAAAGCATTTAAAAACAATTTGATAATGTAAAAATGTGAGGAAATTGTGGCTAAAGAGTTAAAAATTCACTTGCAAAATAAACACACTCTATAGTTAAGAAAAAAAAGTAGTTTAATGCATAGGTTATCCACCCAGAGGCAAAGAAACTTGTATCTGCTCCTATCTCTTATTGGTGAAGGACAGCTTCTAGGGTATTAGCTTCCTGGAAATTGACTGTCTCTCTTCCTGCTCTTGCAGGCTAAGGAGACAAGAAGACATTCTGAGGTACAGAGATACAGAATCCACAGATATGTATGGTAACTCTCCCCATTTTATGTCCAAATTAGACTGGGCACCCATAGCATTTGCTATAGTATTAAAAGATGATTCTAGAAGAGTAAAAACAACTTAGTTTTTAATTATATACTTACATTTTATATTTCCTCTTCAGTGCCTAATTTGTAAAAATAAATTGTACCAATTCAGGGTGAGAAATTATTTTGTAGTGATCACAAAAATTGTGGAATGGAGGGATAATAACATCTCAGTTTTAGCTAATGATACCTTTTACTGTATGCTTTCTAAAGCGTTAAGTATGGCAAAACACACTTCCAGGCTGTATATTCTAATGCTTCATCTATCGAGAGGACTAAGTTTGAACAGATCCTAAACATTAGTTTACCATGCTTGTCAAGTATATGTCTAGAGGTTAGTCCACAGTAGAAACACTAACTTGCCATTCCACATGTGAGTGAATTTTATTTTGCTACATTGAAAAGAAATCTGGAAAATTATTTTTTAGAAACAAGAGGGAAAATGAGAAAAATATTCCAAACAGAAGCATCAAAAATGAGGCAGAATAATTTTACTAATCCTTTTTATTTTAATCTTGAAAAAGAACATTAAAATCTAAAGTAAAAAGCAGGACTAAAAAGTGCTAATAGTTGAAAAACATAGAAGTGCACTGGTTATAATTATTGGTATTGTTGATTGAATACAGTTTTGCTCTGGATTAATTACATGGAAATTTCGCATAGTTGCTCTGTGAGATAATGTCAGTGGAATACCATGGACAGAAAACCTTGAGTAATCACATTGCACAGACATTCCATTATAGATGTACTACATAAATATTTCCCAGGTTGCTCTGGACAGCTGAGATATAAAATTTGAAAATCAGTCTCAGATTATGCTTAAGAGGGAAAAGCAAATACTGAATCAAACGAAGTCTTGAAAGTTAGGGGAAGAAAGGCTGATTCTCAAATGACTAACCCTCAGTTCAACAATGAGGATTTTGACATAAAGACATGGTTAAAAACAAAAAAGTATATTTTGCAAGCATTTTACAAATAGAATCTATGAAATAAAAGGTCATATGTCAGAAAAGTGGGCTGATATTTTGTCAATGCAAAGACAAAAGTTAAAGAATAAGTCTTAGTAATAAATGGAATCAAATAATAAACAGGCAAATCTGAAAAATTCTTAATTTCATATGATTCTAAAGATTGGTCTAAAGCTTGTGTGTAATCATAATTACCTTCATTGAGGGAATCCTCCATTGCAGAACTCCCATTAACACTAAAAAAACTTGACTATATCATTAAGATATGAAATATCCTGTGGAAGAGTCAACCAGAGGGAGAATTAGCACAAGAATATAAAAAGATCCCCCTCAAATATTTCCTTCTTCATACATAGGGATAAAAGTGGAGTCGAAATTTTAAAAGAAATAATAACATCACATAATTAAATCTTCCGTATAACATGTTGCATGGTGCACTCTTGAGGTTCTCTGAAAAGGTATATATTTTTTCAGAATTATAATTATAAATGGGAATTTGAAGCAGTCATGACAAATGGAGAAAAACAAGATAAGAAAACTAAATTAACTATGTTATTAATTACGTTATTTACCTGTAATTATAATTTTTCCACTAGTAGAAACATCACTGAAACAATTTCCTAAGTGTTTTTTCCCTAGTTTTCTACGTGCTATGTAGGAATATTGAGCAGTTCGTAGACCCACGTTTCAACCAATTTCAAGATTTTAAATTTCTGAATAGCTGGCATATATTTGCTTTAAGCCCTGTCACAATTTCCATTATTTTTAAACTTTTTGTTTTGGAATTTTAAAATCATATATAAAAGTGTAGTTTGGCATACTATAACTTCCCTTTGTATATCTAGCTCTAACAGATATCAATATTTTTCCAGTCTTGTTTAATCTGACTCATTCTTCACTTTTAAAATTATCTGGGTATTTTGTTAAATATTTCACAAAACAGAAAAACTACATTGTGATAGTTAATCTTATGTCTCAATTTGACTGGGCCATGGGATGCTGATACCTGGCTAAACATTGTTTATGGGTGTGTCTATGATGGTGATTCAGAAAGAGATTGGCATTTGAATTGGTAGACTGAGTAAGGCACATTGGTCTTCCCAATGTGAGTTGTCATCATTCTATTTGTTGAGGGTCTGAATGGAAAAAAAGTTGGAGAGAGGTTGAATTTCCTCTCTGCCTGACTGCTTGAGCTGAGGCATTGATCTCTTGCTTCTACGTTCCTGGTTCTCAGGGCTTCTGACAAGAACTGTTATCTACATAGTGCCTTTTTGGCTCTCAGGCCTTGTAATTACACCACCAGTTTTCCTGGGTCTTCAGCTTGCAGATGGCAGATGGTGGGATTCCTTGGTCTCCATAATCACATGAGCCAATAACTTATAATAAATCATATATATATAGACATATGTGTGTGCATATATATGTGCATATATACATACATGCACATATATATACATACATGCATATATATATACATGCATGCATATATATATACACATACATACATGCATATATATATATATATATATATATCTCCTATTGGTTGTGTTGGAAAATCCTAACTAATGCACACATGATATAAATTTTTAGCTTTATGAATAATTTAAATAGAAGAAATCTTCTTTCTACCATTACATGTCAGGAGATAGAACCTCGGCAGCCATTCTGCATGCTTTCCTCATGACGCCTTGCAAACAAAAAATTCTTTTCTCCTAATAGAAATGACTTTTCTGACTTTTATAGCAATCAATTTTTTGCTTCTTTTCACAGTTTTGTCACCAATTATGAATGTTTATGTTTTGGTTTTGCCTATTCTTTAAATGTATAATTTAAATCTCTTTTACTACATATGGTATTCTTTTACCTTGCAATTTATTTGTTGAAAAGAAATCATATTGTTTATCCTGTAGAGTTTTCATGATTTGGATTTTGCTTATTGTGTTCCCAAAATGAACTATAGCACAGTCCCAGAAAAGACCTAGAAATAATGATCAAGCCAGTAGCAATAGATAACCTTACCAGCAATCAAGTGATTATCTTGGAAAATCATTTTAAACTAAAACAAGCCAGGATTTTATAGAATAATGAGTAACGTTAGATCTGGGTCATGAAATATGCAAGATGATCTTGGGTCATCTTTCATTACAAGATTACAAGGAAGCTATCAGATACTATTAAAGTCATGTCAAAATGACTTTGGAGTCATCTTAAAGGAGCTCCCTCTGGTCCAAGATGGAATTAAATGAGTATCAGTAGAGACAATAATTTTAATATATTTGAACTCATCAATTCTGTTTAAATTCCATTTATTCATAATAATACCCACCCCTGCCTGACAAAATCTAGTGGATCCCTTTGGATGATACTATGGAACCCACTCTTTATGTTGAAAGTGATAAGTGAAGGAAAAGAAGCTAACATTTTTCATATCTTTTCTATACAAATTACACAATTCATGACCAATTCGTGAATGTGAAGAAGTTTCTGTCAGTTATAAATAGAAACTTCCTCACATGTACTAATTAGTTCTAAATTTACTAATTGGTCACAAATGGGAAGAAGAAATAATACCATTTGCAATCCCTTGTTTTGAA
This sequence comes from Homo sapiens, assembly GCF_000001405.40. Taxonomy (NCBI): domain Eukaryota; kingdom Metazoa; phylum Chordata; class Mammalia; order Primates; family Hominidae; genus Homo; species Homo sapiens. The sequence continues at coordinate 85,093,727 of NC_000014.9, forward strand.
TATCAGTGGGTCTAACATTCCACAGGAGAGACAACCAGACATTACGTGCCACTTGATGAAAGACACAACGCCATCTATGAAACAGTCTTGCCAAAAAAATCAAACCTCAGTATGATCATGCCTCGAGACTCATCAACCAATTTACAGGAAATCCCAAAGGCAGAGGAATATTCCTAATGCAAAATGTCTCCTTTTTTGCTAAGAACCATCATTTTCTTTCATTTCTTACTCATCATTTCTTTAACAAGCACGAACATTGGCTTTCTTTTAAAAGACATTTTCAGAAAAATAAGGCTTTGTTTTCTTACTTTGTACAAGGTATTACATAAAGTAAAATAGGGAATAGCAATACCTCCTTGAGTTGTGGTTGCAATGTAGTCGGCCAGGCTCATTCATTAGCTGTATTACTCACCAGCCTTTCAAAATACTTGGTTTAAATGTGTGCCATAGTTCAGTTATAAATTGCTACAGGTCATGGACCTCTGAAATCATACTTTATTAGCAGAAACTACAAATAATTCAACAAATTTAATTGGTCTTAGTTAATATGTGCTATAGTTATAAGGCCAAAGAAGCATAGTATCATGTGTGTTAATGAGTCTTGTCCTCCATCTTATAAGCAAAATCTGAGTGAATTCATCACTTGGAGTAGGTCATTGTTAATTAATCTCATGGACACGGGAAAAAAAAGAAATATATTTTTAAAAATAGTCTATGTGGAGGTACATATTATTGCAGTGAATCAAAATTTAGAATTAACCAGGTTTTCCCTTAACACTTTCTTATTGCCTGCTCTATTTATACTCATGTGAACTTCATCTTTGGAATTTCTTTTAAGAAGACCAAAAAAAAAAAAAAAACCATAATATTTTTAGGTCTACATTCCAAAATACTCAAAGCAGAGATATTATTCATAAGGAAAAACTTGTGATTTTCAAGAGACAGTATTTGACATTCAAAATTCTAAGTTTTAAAGGGATGAAGGCATAAAAGTTTAAACCATAAGTAGCAGATTGGAAACATTAAAAGAATCATCTTTTTTCCTCCTTGTCTCTTCCTATCCTCAGTTTAACAAACTGATGAATGAAATTTCATTCTAAACAAAGTAAATACTTGCATAATATTCTATCCAAAGAAATTGAGTTATATATCTTAATATACAAACACTGAGCTATTCCTGTAAATGTCAAAGACAACTCTACTTCACTTTCTGGAATAACCATGATCCTACAATTCTACATATAAAACAACTCTTTTTATTTTAAAAAATGAATTTGGTAAACAGCCATTTAAACATATTAAAGCAAGTATTTTTAACATTACAATAATAATAAATGAAAAATATAGTTCATATATTTTAAAATTTAAATATTAATTAGCTTAAATGTAAGAGCTGAAGGACTAAAGACAGTTTTTTTTTTTAATGGGCTAAAAGAACTTTTGTTAGTGATGATCGAAGGCAATTTGTTTTCATTCAAGAAAACACAAAACTGACAGAGGCAAATACACACATTCGAACACATACATACACACCCATTCAGCCATATCTCTCTCACACACACACACACACACACACACACACACAATTGGGGTATCTCGAAGAAAATGTAAATACCTTGGTTTCAGAAAAGATGGGAATCAGGGAAACTCTGAGTACATTCTCAGCAAAAATTTGTGAAATTTCTCTTTAGGATCTTGCCCCACCTTGCAATTCCTTCTGTCTCTTTGTGCAAATTCTCATAAGCCAGAGACGATCTTATCCACAACTGACCAACCCATTGATTCTTCTTTCTTAGTCAAGGTTTATCTCTGCTCCAATCAGTGTTGGCTAAAGGAGCAGAATCTCATAATATTAACAGGGTGTCAAGTGCTCAACCCACATAATATATTTTACCACCACACTCAGAATTCCTTTTGGTGATGCAGATAGTTTTCAGAGAACAAGTTATGATTTGGTAAAACTAGTTCTGAAAGTTCTCATTAGTAAAACCTTATTATATGTCTATCTTTATTTTGTCATTATATTTTTATTTTACCTTATTAACACATTTAAATGTCAGTGATTACATCAAACTATAGTTAATTTTTCACCTATATTTTTATTCTTTTACATAATGAGGAACTTCATTAGAATTAGCTTTCACTTATTTTTGTATTTTCACAACTTAGAGACTGACACATAATTGTTAGTCATGGTAAATATATCTTTAATGAGTGAGTAATTTTTATAAAATGAAAAATAGATATTGAAAAATTAATTTTCAAGGTCTACTGTGATATAGTATACAGTACTTATATCATTCCACATACTCTTATTACAATTTAACTAACCTCCTCTGGAATATTTCAGCTAGTGTTTGTAACTGCTCCAACCAATGAAAAAAGGAATAAATGAAGCTATGTAATTTCATCCAATTCTAAGTAATTTAAAAAGTAGAACTTCAAGATTCTCTCTCCTTCTTATGATGCTTTCCTTACACAACAGTTACTTGTTGTAAGAAAGCCCAGGGCATACAGACAGAATATGTGTGGATAATCCAGATAGCGCCAACTTAAGTCTCAGCTAACAGCCAAACATGTAAATTAAGTAAGGCTTCATATGAGCCCAGCCCCTGGCCTTTCAATCCTCGAGCTGAAACCCCAGACAATGTTGAATATAGAAAAGCATCCCTACAGTGTTCTGGCTGAGTTCCTGACGCACACAAACCATGAGAGATAATAAATTATTATCATTGTTTTAAGTCACTAAGGTTAGGATAAATGTTAAACAGTAATAAATGAATGCTTCTATATTTAAGGGAAGACATAGATATTAATATTAGGTGAATATGTGGATCTCCACAATGTAGCACAGTGCCTAGTAGAAAAAGAGCTAGAAATATATGGAGTTAAATAATGAATAATAAAACAAATAAATTTGCATAAGTCCATTACATATCAAGAATTTTCTTGCATGTGAAGCAATATACCTAATTATTACATAGCTCTATTCATCTTTAAGTCCTTGTTTTTGTTGTGATTATTATTTAATTCAATAATTCTGCATTTCTTATACCCATTCACTTTTTTCTCCCCACTGATGCTATATATAAAACACATTCTAATTTATTTTATATTACAGCACTTGAATTAGTAAAGACTGTCATTTGTATCGCTTCTAAACCCCCTCATTTTCTATGGCAAATATACCAATTTTTTCAATTTTCTTTATATTACGTAGGCTTTTGTCTTTCATCTATTCCTGTCATATCTTGTCAGATGATAGTGCTTGAATTTTTAAAATATACAATTAAGTTTAGATATCAAATTGAACTGAATATTTACAGCATACATTGACTAACAGAAAGAATATGGGGATTATTAGCCACGTTGTCATATGAGCTGCATTACATCAGTTTACTCTAGTTCCATGTTAAACATTAGTATGCATGATGTCAAAGGTTCAAGTTGAGCTTGCCATCAAATAACAACTTCACACACCTTCTTCAGGTTCTTCTTCAGGCTCTTCTGTACTTTGTGAGCTATTGTGAAGGATTCCGGCAGGGCTTTTTATTATATGTGATTCTGATTTATAGCCTGCAATATCTTCTTTAAATTATTGTAAGTATCTTCACACAATGTTACCTTTCACTTTGATGTTCAGGACATCAATACAGTTTTATGAACGTCATCAAAGTAAACGACAAAATTGTAAGTAGGGCTCGGACTCGGTGATGAAAGAGACTTATGATATAATTAACTTTCCCTTCCAATTGATATTGACTAGTTACACTATTTGGCATGTCTAGGCAAACCTATACATTTCTCTAGTTGTTTTTCTGCAGACCTGTCTTCTTTTACACATCCATGGGAGTATTTTGTAAAAATTAGTAAATGACTTTATAAAAGGAGGTACCTTATAACTACAGAATTCCTTTGCTGTACTGTTCCAACACATTTTTTAAAAATGAATTTATTTTGGACTGTTTTACTCCCAGTAAATTCCTGCTGGTCCTTAATGTCCATAACTGTCTTCACTATGTGTTTACAATTAGTCTTTTAAGAATATACATATATATCTTTTATATATCTCTCAAGAGATCAATATGAGGGTCTCTGGCACATATTTTTACATCTACCTAGTTTCTGTATCACAAATACCACTAATATATTTGCATCTTTTTAGCTTACTAATGCCCCTCTAGTTTTCCATGATGTCTAAAGAATCAGTAAGGATACAAAGTTATATCTGCAAATTTTCCCCACACTATAGATTATCGTTTGAATGTACTCAGTGAGTTGAATTCATTCAGAGCATTTAGATGGCTTTAATAATTTCCCCACACACGTTTTTGTTTTAATATATTCTTTCTAATAGTTACTTTAGCATAATAGTATGCACTCCAAATATACTTAGTGAATGAATACATAAATTCATTGCATTAACTGATTTAAATCTCCTTTAAAAAATCCCTCAAAAATGGATGTGAAATTTGTGGTTAAATTGATGGGGAAATTCTGAAGTATTCATGGAAACTTCCATGCCACCATTTGAAACATTTCTATTGCTTATTCACATGTTTAAGAATTTTTCTCTATTTTTGTAATCTCTTATAGCTACTGATATTAAGTGATGAAGATAATTTTAGCACAAGAAAAAAATAATAAATCTTTTTAAACTAAGTTCTACTTGACTAGCAAGCTCAATTTAATTTAAAATCTCTAAATGAAATGTCCTAATAAAATTAAGGACTCATTAAGAAGAAGTTACTCAGTGGATCAAATAGATTATTTATTTATAAGGTTTAATTCTTCAATTTTTTACATATTTGTCATGGAGCACACTACAATACTTTTGCTTTATTTTTACACTATAGGTGAACATGAGAGGGAGAAAAAAAAGATGGTATCCATTTATTATAACAGGCTTTCCATCACCCCCAGGGGAAGGCCATGCATTTATTGCCTCCATTTCTTTTACTCTGTCAGACCCAGTCACAGTGAGGGATTTCAAACAGTTCAAGAACCTTCTGTGCCACAAGCCAAGGCCTTGGGGGTGTTTAATAGAAATAGATAGAATAATCAATGAGTAAATGTACACAAAAGAGTGACAAAATATGAAGGCTGAAGTATTTATGGGCAACTTTTTCTTTGTAATCAAGTATTAAATACTGATCTGTAATCACAAACAGCCAATTCTTCATACAATTCACCATGGATCCTGAATGCAAACAGTGACATCTTCACAGTGGTTATTCCTTTTATTTAAATGGAGTTCAATATAAATAATTGCAGGCAGCAGCATGTTGGACCAAACATCAAATAATATTTCCTAAACTTGTGCTGCTTATGCAGGCTAAGGGACATTCAAGTGGTGGCCTCTGCAGCAATCTAACCCCACATACAGGGGTCGCTGGCTTGTACTGTTTGAGGACCAGGATACAAGCCCACAGAATAGCTAAATTATATGTGCTCTCAATATTTATGTTAAATCACCTACTTAAAATAGAATATTTAGTATTACAGTAAAATAGACATTATGGCAAAACAGGAATAAAAAAGGAAACTTAAGGAAGAAGAGAAGGGAGAAGAGAAGAGAGGAGAAAGATGGAGGACAAGAGAATGGAAAGGGAGTGAAAAGGAGAATGAAAAAGGAAAATAGAGGGGAAGGGAAAGAAAGGAAAGAGAAAGAAGAGAATGGAAGGGAAAAATGTTTATTAAACATACTTTGAATATTTCTTGGTGCTTTTCCTATGGAATGGATATACCACTTAAAATTTTCATACTAAATATGGACTCATATGAGTTCTGTATTTCCACCAAGAACTCTATGTCCCACCTCCCAATATGACCTTAAATTACAGCAGGTGAGATCTCAACGATTCTAATGGAAGATATTAAAACCCATAACTGAGTGTGGATTTTTATGTTTATTGATGGTTTAAGAAGATTGCCATTCTGCAACATTTGATATGTACTCTTGCCCAAATAGAGGTGGACAGATGAGATTAACTCATGCATATTTTTGTCCAGTCTATAAATAGATATAGTGTGATTGATGTTTGAGATGTATATATATCTCTCTCTCTATATATATACATGTATATATCCTATCTCAGATATATATATGTTGATCCTGATATATATATATATACATATATATGTATATGTGTGTGGGGGGTGTGTGTGTATATATATATATATATGTTGGTCCTCAAACAACACAAAGTTTCGGGGCATTGATTCCCCAAGCAGCCAAAAATTTGCATATAACTTTTGACTCTCCCTAAACTTAACTACGAATAACCAGCTATTGACCTGAAGCCTTACTGGTAACATAAACAGTCCGTTAACACATATTTTGGGTGCTATATGTAATATATACTGTATTCTTACAATAAAATAAGCTAGAGAAAGGAAAATTTTGTTAAGAAAAATGATAAGAAAGAGAAAATATATTTACTGTTCATTAAGTGGAGTGGATCACCATAAAGGTCTTCATCCTCATTGTCTTTACATTGAAGGAGGCTAAGGAGGAGGAAGAGGGAAGTTGGTCTTGCTGTCTCAAGAGTAGCAGAGGTGGAAGAATATTAATGCAGAAGTGGACCCACACTGTTGAAACCTGTGTTGTTCAAAGGTCAACTGTATATATTATTTCCTCTCTCTTTGTCTAGTGTTAAGAATATGTCCAGCTGCTTGTAAGAAAACACCCAAATAATAAACAAGACTTTTTTATTTAAAAAATGTTTGAAATAACCACTCTCATAAAAATATTAAGGCATGCCTAATAGAGGCCTAAACTCTACGTCTTTTTCTACTAAATTATCCTTAGTGCTTACATATCCAACATTACCTTAAGATCCAAGATAGCTGCTGGACCTCCAGCAACCCAGGAAAGTGTGCATTCCAAGAAGAAAGAAGGAGAAAGTGGAGACAAAATAGAAAATAAAGTTCCTACCACTTAATTTCTTTTTAATTAGACATAAAAATTACTTGAAATGAAATGCATAGATTTCAAGTGTACAATTTTATGAATTTTGAAACATGCATACACGTGTGAAACCATGATCTCCAATTAAAAAAAGACTATTTTCTCACTCCAGAAAGTTCCCTCATGATCTCTATCAATCCTTACATGAGATAGACCACACTCTTCTTCTTAGGCTATAATTTATTTCATCTGTTTTTTGAACTTCATATAAATTAAATCATACAATATCGAATGTGTTCGATATTTGTTTATGTGGTCTCATTTATTATCAATACATTGCTTTTAAGTCACTGAGTAGTTTTACATTATATAAACATATTACAATCTTAATCTATTAATCTATTATAATAATAGATATTTGGGTTATTTCCTATTTGGGGATATTATGAATAAAGGTGTTACAAGCATTCATCAACGCATCTTTTTCTGGACATTTGGGTAAATATCTAAGAGTGAAATTGCTAAGTACAGCATGTTTAACTTTATAAAAACTGCCAGTTTTCCAAAGTGGCAGCATTATTTTGTGTTCCCAACCACAATATTCCAGTTGTGCCACATCCTTGCTAACCTTCGGTTTGGCAACTTTAAAATTTTATTTATTCTGGTGTATCACATTGTGATTTAAATTTGTCTTTCTCTAATGATGAGTGAAATTAAACAGCCATATACTTTTTGTGAGGTGCTTTTTAGTTTTTTCCCCATTTTTTACTAATTGGGCAATTGTATATTTATGTATGGATTTGTCTTAGCTATTTACATAGTCTAGAGAGAAGTCTTAGATATGAGTGTTTCCAATATTTTCACAAGTCCTTGTTTCATTTGTTCATTTTTTAATTTGTTTCATTTGTTCACTTTTAATTTGATAATGTTCAACTTAATAATTTTTTTTTTTTTTGAATCGGAGTCTCGCTCTGTCACCCAGGCTTGAGTGCAGTGGCGCGGTCTCGGCTCACTGAAACCTCTGCCTCCTGGGTTCATGCCATTCTTCCGCCTCAGCCTCCTGAGTAGCTGGGACTACAGGCACCTGCCACTATGCCTGGCTAATTTTGTTTTTGTATTTTTAGTAGAGACAGGGTTTCACCGTGTTAGCCAGGCTGGTCTCAATCTCCTAACCTCGTGATCCACCCGCCTCGGCCTCCAAAAGTGCTGGGATTACAGGCATGAGCTACCGCGCCCAGCCTCAAGTTAATTTTTTAAGGCTAGTATGTTTCTCTTAAGCAATCTTTGCTCATCACGAAGTCATAAAATTATTCTAGGATTTCTATCAAAATTTTAGGCTCTTTGCATTTCTCTATTTTGAAATTAATTTGTCAAGTTCTATTTTTTAAAAAAAGCCTGCTGGAATTTTATTGAGATTTAGCTGAATCTGGATATCATTTTGGGAGGTGCTGACCTCTTAACAATATTAAATTTTCCACTCTACTAATATAGCACATATCTCAGTTTTTTTAAAGCTTTTACAATTTCTCTCAGCAGTATGTGTAGTTTTTCCATGTAGGGAAATTGTGTATATATTTTGTCAAATGTGTGGATATTCATGAAGGATATTGGTTTTGTAGTTTTGTTGAAATGCTGGAAATATATTTTTCTGCCTTAATTTCCTTAAAGAGTGTTGTATTAGTCCGTTTTCATGCTGGTGATAAAGGCATACCTGAGACTGGGAAGGAAAAGAGGTTTAATTGGACTTACAGTTCCACATGGCTGGGGAGGCATCAGAATCATGGTGGGAGGCAAAAGGCACTTCTTACATAGTAGTGGCAAGAGAAAATGAGGAAGATGCAAAAGCAGAAACGCCTGATAAAATCATCAGATCTCGTGAAACTTATTCACTACCACAAGAACAGTATGGGGGAAACCATTCCCATGATTCAAGTTATCTCCCACCAGGTCCCTCCCACAACACGTGGAAATTATGGGATTACAATTCAACATGAGATTTGGGTGGGGACACAGAGCCAAACCATATCAAGTGTGTTTAAGATTGGTATTATTTTTCCTTAAATGTTTGCTAAAATTTATCACTGAAGCCATTAGCCTGGAGGATTTTGCTGGAAGGCTTTTAATTACAAATTAAATGTATTTAATAATTACAAGTATATTTAATTATTAATTATATTATATAATTAATATATAAGTATAATTATATATTATTTAATATATAATTATGTATATTAATTATAAGCATATTTAGACTGTTTATTTTTGTCTTTATCAATTTGAGTAGGTTTTAATCTTCAAGAATTGTATTCATTTCACCTATGTTGTTGAGTTGATTGCCATAAAGTTGTTCATAGTTCCTTATTGCCATTTTAATGTCTGTAGAATCTGTAACAACATCTTTCATTCAGAGTGCTGGTAATTTGTTCTCTCTTTCTCATTTATCTGTCTTGCTGGGGTTTAGTAATTATACTAACCATTTAAAAAATAAATTTTGTCTTAATTATTTTCTGTATCCTCAATTTTTTTTTATTTTGTCATTATGGGGCACATTTTCCTGCTTCTTCATAGGTTTAGAACTTTTTTATTTTGTACTGAACATTATGGATAATATGTTTGTAGGGAGTTGGGATTGTGGTGATAGTCTTTGAAAGGCTTTGTTTTTGTTTTTGTTTGTTCGTTTATTCTTCACAGGCAGTTAAATTACTATAGGGCACCTTTAGTCCTGTCAAGCCTGGTTTATTCTGTAAAGCTGGTCTGTCCCATCTTGGTTTTGTTCTTAATTCCAGGGCATGGCTCTAGACAATGTTTCTTAATTCAAATGCATGTCCTCTTTGAATGTCCAAGGTCTCAGCAAGCCCTCTGGACCCTGGTGGGCCAGAATTCTAAAACCTCTCAGTCCTATGCTATCTCTAATATCTCTTATCTGCTCACAATTCCATAGATCCTATTCTCTGTTAGGCTTTGTAGATGTAAGACCAAGACCTGGGGCATGGACCTTCATTGAACTTCCATAAAGACATGGAGGCCCTCTCCTCTCTGTATCTCTCTCCTTTCTAATATCCTGGCCCCCCACATTGAGCACTACATGAGGCTGAAATTTCCGTCTCTGCCTCCTCAAGTCAGGGACACTACATTGCTACTTGAGCTCCAACTCTCTGCACCACAGTAAAAAAGTGTCCCCATGGCTGGGCGCAGTTGCTCACACCTGTAATCCCAGCATTTTGAGAGGCCAAGGCTGGTGGATCACGAGGTCAGGAGTTCAAGACCAGCCTGGCCAAAACAGTAAAACCCCGTCTCTACTGAAAAATACAAAAATTAGCCAGGCATGGTGGCAGGCGCCTGTAATCCCAGCTACTTGTGAGGCTGAGGCAGATAATTGCTCGAACCCACGAGGCAGAGGTTGCAGTGGGCCGAGATCATGCCGCTGCACTCCAGGCTGGGCAGCAGAGCAAAACTCCATCAAAAAATAAAAAAATAAAAAAAAAAAATAGGTGTCCCCATTCAGAGATCTTGGGAAAATGCAGCAATCACTTCCTTTGTCTTCTCTCTCAAAAATTACAGGCCTCCTTGCCCTATTGTCCAATATTTTATAAGAGCTGCCTGCCGGACACATTTTTTAATGCTGTTTGGGGTAGTGAGTTTCATAGTCTTGGGTAGTGAGAGGGCAAGTTCAGAATCAAGTTAGTTAGGCGTGGCCAGAATGGCAGCCTCAGCGAGGCCTCTTATAAAAGAGTCTTCCCAGAAATACCACCCCCAACTTGTGCTCCTATATCATTGGCCATCCCTATCTGCAAAGAAGGCACAGAAAGCAATATTTCAGGCAGACTCATTGGCACCTCCAACAATATCAAATCCTGTTCCTCAAGATGAAGGGAAGATTGAATATTGGAGAGCTAACTAGCTGTCTGCAGTGCAATTGACCTACCATCCACAGGGTGTAAATGACGATAGCGAGCACTGAATCAATCATGTCTAGTATACTTATAAGAGAACATCACTTAGAATGAACAAATATTTGGAGGACCAAAAATCCTTGCCTGAATCTTTCAAAAAAATCTCTATAATTCCTTGCATGTGCACTAAAATATTATTTTTTACTAAATGAGCCAAAAGCTGACTGACTTTTAAAAATGTAGTACGGATTAGTATTCTCAAGTGAAAGGTACTAAATAAACAAATAAATGAAACAAAAAATCAGAAATGAAACACTTTCTCTTTAGGGTGGCATTAAATTTGAGTTTGAGAAAAAAAAAACTTTCCTTGAAAATAGGAGAAACAATTGACCCAGAGTAATTTTGCAATTTGGAGAATACTATGTAATGATAGATACTTTGGAAGATGTCTGCCTATTCCATACCTTTGGAAATCTTCCCTTTGCCCTGTACCATGGGAACACCACCTGGTCATTCATCATGTTCTTTACATGCAATTCTGAAATTTCCTGTTAGATAATGGGGAAAAGAAAACACTACTAAATTTGTCCAATAATATTATTTCTTCAAGTACTTTTAAAATGAGAATCAGAAATGCCAGTTGTGCTTTTCTGGTTGCTTAATATCAGTGGCTCTTTTGTAGTCATGGCTACAGAGAAGCAGAGAAAAATTGGCCATCAATAAGGGAAAGCCAGCAAATATAAAAAGATGATGATAGTCAGGAATTTTGCCTTTTCGAAAATGACAGTATATATTTCCTGACCTATGATTGTATAAGACAAGCTCCGTGCATTCTAATAGTTTCTCCCTTTTTAGCATAACCTACTTGGAGTCACTTTGTCACTTTGAACCAAATGCCTTTGATTGAGAGCTATTTCTCATATTACCACAATGTTCTCTTCTAATGTGATTGATAAAATTTAAGCATTAAACAATCTCACCATTTGTTTTTTATGTGATTTTTTTTCTTAATTCAGGTATACATAATTCATTCCTTTTGGTAGCTCAAAATTTAATTTTTTTAACTATTAGATTCAGGGGTACATATGCATATTTGTTACACGGGTGTATTACATGATAATGGGGACTAAGCTTCTAGAATACTTGTCACCCAAATATTGAACATTGTACTGAAGCATAATACATTTCTATCTTTTCTCAAGATGCTACATATATCAATTTAATGACAGTCAATGCTCAATGAGTTTATGATACTACAAAATGCAACTTGTATATCAATAGAAGATATAGTGTTGCCTTCAAAAAGCAACACTGAATCTTATTAGAGTATGAAATACTTAACAACAATTAGGCAAAGGTATATTCTATTTGGTCCATCTACATCTAGTCTTAGGTAAAATTGAATTAAGATAAGATGATATGTCTTTTCTTCTTCATTGAATTTTATATAAGGTTGTCATGGTTTCTAAAGATAACAATAAGACTACATTTTAATAAAATTACTTACAAAATCCAATCAGTAGAAACACCTACTAAGCCACTCCATGCAGAGCACTAAAGGGCATTCTATTACCACAAAGATGACTTTTTTAAAAATGTTATTTTTCTATTCCTTATTAAAGACAAGAAAATAAGAAATTGAATTTCATTTGAGAAAATCTGGCTTCATTTCTACTGACTATATCTGTTACCATGGGAAACTAACTTTAAAAGTCTGTGTTTGAGTTTTATCAAATAAAGTATCAATCAGTGCCACCTTATATGGATGATGTAAAAATCACAGGAGGTAATATATAACATGCAAGGCCATTTGTAGAAAAGAAAAATACTTTTGACTGATTGGGTGTGTGTTATGGTGGTTGGCTCTGAGTTTTTCAATTTTCATACATGCAATCTCAGCTTTATAGTAATTTTTTACTGAATACATGAAAAAATGAGTCTAAGAGTTACATTTATGCTGCTTTAGACATTTTTTGTAATTTGTTTCTGCAGAAAAACTTGGTATTAATGTCTCTACAATAAGAATGTTATAAATTTTGACTATCCACTCTGGGAGGAAAATCTATGATATCATAATGAACTATAATTGTAAGTAATCCCTTTGAATATTCTTAGAAAACTGCCTGTAATTACATGAAAGAGCATAAGGCATCTTGGGGCCTTTTACCAGCTGTTTCCTGTCATCATGTCATTCCTTGGAATTAGAAAATTTTAGATTTAAGTGGATTTGAACAGACGAGGATATAGTGAAACAAATGGAGACTTTGATAGACTTCTCCAATGGCGACAAGATGAATTTCATTCTTGCTACAAGATCTCACCCAATTGTATTCCAGACAAGCTGTGACAGGTGGACTCAACTTACCATGATACAGCCTGATGACATATTTGAAAAGCACCATGTCTTCCCTAAATTGGTTTTTAACATAAATATGAGTTAGAAAAAAATATTTAATTTCAAATTAGTGAAAGAGACGATAAATTATACTTCCAACCTTACAGGATGATACAGAACAGTATGATTAATTACATTATTTAGCTAATAATCCAAATTATTTCATGTTTTAAAAACAATGTGAGAGCAGATCAATGGGACTATATGGGACAAAATATTGGTAAACACATATAACTACAACAACTCTCATCGCCATTTCCCACCAACACTTTGCATATGAATTTGTGCATTATTCTAGGTTACTGAGTTACTAAAATGATCTTGTAGATCAAATCTGATCCCATCCCTTAAATCACAGCAGTGCTAGGATGAGATTCTACTGAAGAAAACACCTGATACCATAAGTCATCTGGTAGTAATTCTGTCACAAGTTAAATGTGAGAATGGTAAAGCATTGGAGATGCTTGAGTCCAATTTTTAAAATTGACTTTTAAAAAGTAATCATTATGTTAGTTTTGTTTTTAATTTAATTAACTGTTCTTTAAGTAATTATAGGTGTATTCTCAGTTTAATAGCAAAATAAAAAAATCCAGTGAGGATTAAGATTATACATAAAGAATAGAGATTGTCAATTTACTTCACCTCCTCGTGTAGTATAACAAGCCCTTTATCTCTGTATAATTATGCATGTGACAATAGTTATTCACTAATTACTAAGAAGAATTAGGAATTAAGCTAGATAGGCTGCATAAACTTGCCTGATGTTATCCTATTGTAGTAGGATTTGAAAGTTAAAAAAATCAATACTGGCCAGGTGCGGTGACTCAAGCCTGTAATCCCAGCACTTTGAGAGGCCAAGGCAGCGGATCACATGAGGTCAGGAGTTCGAGACCAGCCTGATCAACATGGCAAAACTCTGTCTCCACTAAAAATACAAAAATTAGTAGGGTTTGGTGGCACATATCTGTAATCGCAGCTACTAGGGAGGCTGAGGCAGGAGAATCGCATGAATCCAGGAGAGAGAGGTTGCAGTGAGCCGAGATTGTGCCACTGCACTACAGCCTAGGTGACAGAGTGAGACTCTGTTTCAAAGAAAAAAAAAATTAATGCCAATAGTTCATCTTCATATAAATAATAATAAACATAACAATGACAGGCAAACAGATCTAATTCCATTACTTGGTTTTAAGTTCAATGTCCAAATCACATAACATGTGTACACAAAATGTGTTTAGAAAATAAAAGTTCTCTGGAAAAATCCCTGTAAAATCAACTTAGGATAGGGCTTAGGTCTCTCCTAACAAATATCACATTGAAATGAGAATTTCTTTCTTTGGCCACTTGAAATTAAAGCTTTTCAGTGAAAGCTAGGTGATTCTAATATCTGATGATACTGTAGGTCCCAGTGCTGTATTTGGAATGGAAGAATGTGTCTGGCTTACAGCTTTGCATTATTTTTGCCTGGGAAGATAGTCCTTTTCCTGATGCACATCAAAGTATTTAAGCAGACAATCTCCAGTTAGGTCAGATACCACCTATCAGCCCTGTAAGATTGCTTGAAGACTCCTGCTCTGGAGAATTTGATTTGACCCTAGTTTACTGTCTTGGGATTTGTAAAGTGACTGTCTGTCTCCTTAGCTGATGTGACTGTTGCAAAGTTCCACAAATTGCTGCAGACTATCAGTAAGACACTCATGATTCTCTTCTATCATTTCTTCTTTCCAACCATGAGATTCTATTCTTTCCCTGGACTTGAGAGATACCACAGTATCCAACTCCATTCTTTAAAAAAGGATAGCCCATTTCTCCCAAAACTAGTTTTGCAAATATAGGAGGTAGCATTAAAATATTTACTTAAGTTTTTAAATATTTTTCATGCCTAAGTTTTTGTATTAAGTTTGACTCATCAAGAGAGAATAGAATGTATTCTAAATTCCACTTTGGGGGATTGAAAAGGTGTTTTTTTTATGAGAACTTTTATAAATGTTATAGTTAAAATGTAAAGGAATAGCCTTAAAATTTCTTGTACTAAATATTTGAATCAGCTCTCAAAAGTAAGAATTTCCCTTTAGTACCTTGCATGGTACTTGTAAGGTAGGGTATATTCAATGCACATTTGCAGAAAGGCATCAAGGAAAACAAGAAAAGAACAGAGACAATAAGGGAAGGAGGTGAAGAAAAGAGGCCATTAAAGCTAGGACTAGGTCAACCATTTCTCAGACTCTTCAGAGCTTTTGCCACAATGACAGCCTGAAACAATGAGAAATGTCAGTCCCCTGAAAAGAATGGCATTAAAACTGTGACCATATAGTGAGGAAAAAAATATGAAAAACACATAACAGTTAGATAGCTTTATAGTTGGAAATTATGTGTGGTTGACCAGAGAAAATGTTACCCAAGCAAACAAAACAAAATCAATATTCTCTCATAATCAAAGGATTTTAGAGATCAGTGAAAATACACTTGAGTCACTTAGGAGCCAATTACATATGAAACTTAATCAAGCGCTAACATGTTGGCTGCAGAATTTTAATCTGGACAAGAACACGAACAGGGCCTGCAACCTATGCACGTACACAAGATCCCTTGTTTAGTAGGGCAGTGCCCCATACTTGGTAGGGCATTGCGTTGATTTAAAGTTCTGCTGTTGGCTAGGCACCATGGCTCACACCTGTAATCCCAAAACTTTGGGATGACGAGGCAGGTTGACTGCTTGAGCTCAGGAGCTCAAGACCAGCCTGGGGAACATGGCAAAACTCCATCTCTACCAAAAATACAAAAGTTTAGCCAGGCGTGGTGGCATGTGCTTGTGGTCTCAGCTACTTGGGAGGGTGAGGAGGGAGGATCGCTTGAGCCTGGGAGGTGGAGGTTGCAGGGAGTTGATATAGTGCCACTACACTCAGGCCTGGGTGTAAGACCCCATCTCAAAATACATACATACATACATACATACATACATACGTACATACATACATACTACATACATACATACATACATAAAATAACATAACGTCCTGCTGTCATGGTCTTGACATTTTTAAGAAGTTTTGAAAAGAGGTCCTATATT
Organism: Homo sapiens; assembly: GCF_000001405.40. Classification (NCBI taxonomy): domain Eukaryota; kingdom Metazoa; phylum Chordata; class Mammalia; order Primates; family Hominidae; genus Homo; species Homo sapiens. The sequence continues at coordinate 85,109,992 of NC_000014.9, forward strand.
TTTATTTTGGACTGGGTTTCGCAATTTTGTAACCAATCCTAAGAGTGAACTACACAACTATGAGGACAATGATATCAACACCCTTTGGCACAAAAGGATCCACTGCATTGACTCTTCATAAGGCCAATGTGTCCTATCAATGCTGGTTGAAAGAAGTCCGTCAGCAACCCAGCTGATATCTCCATCATTACAAAATCAGTTTGAAAAGGTATTCCTCAAAATCCTTTAAAATGACATAATAATTTCCCTAACAGTAAGTAACTTTCAGGCCTGGGAAGATTTAGAAACAAGTATAGAAATTGCTAAGATGATGAAAAAGTAAAGGAACTTGCATACTGGATAATTTAAGTATGTATAATATTCAAGAGAATTTCACCTGTGAGAGTTCAAACACAGCCTTGTGATTTTAGTTAAAAAATTAATTCAGCCTTGACATTATCATGTTAATTTCATACCCAATATTAAAACATTTAAAAGCACATAAGAATCACCATATTTACTAATTAGTAAGGTTTCGATTTTTTCCAAGTAATTGCTATTACTTGTTAGGCTTAGAAATAAAATGCAAAACAAAAAATTAAACTGAAGATAAACATTTTAGAAAGACCTGTTGTTTAAAAAAAACACTATATTAAGTCACATAATAATTTTAAAAATGAAGTAAACCCTTGAGTAACATGTTTTAAATGCAAAAATAATGAGAACATAACAATACAAACTCACATCATCAAATGCCTGGAAAATGAAGTAATTGTGTCCATTCAATCACTCATTCAGTTAACAAATATTCATTCAGCAGTGTGCTAAGTTTACAATGGTGAAAAAAATAGAATTGATCATACACTGTTGTTAATTAGTTCTCTTGGTTTGGAAAGTTAACATTTATTGTAAGCCTGACTTATGGACAGGAAGCAAATGCCCCAGATTGCTAGGGACTGTCTGAAAAATTAGAATGTCAAAATTTTTATCTTATGTGGAACAGAATGGAACCCCAGATCCTAATTTATGCCTATTGTTCTGGCATAGTTTCTAATAGTCCCCTTTTTACACTCAAAATTTGGAAAATATTTTATGTGGCAGGCTCAATTCTCCAGTGATGGCTTAAACTTCTAACTTAGCAAATGCCACAGTTGCATACACATACTTTATAATTTAGAGCATCCCTGTTCCCTAGAGATATACTGTGAATCACAAGTGCAATTTTAAATTCACTAGAAACCACAGTTTAAAAAGTGAAAAGAAATAGGTAAAATAAATTGCAATCATGTATTGTATTTAACCCAGTATATCTGATGTACTTACCTTTTTAATATGTTGTACTAATCACATTTCAGGTGTTCAGTGGACATATGTGGCTAGTGGTTGCCATATTGGGCAGCAAAGGTCAAAATCTTTGCTTTCCTGCCATGGCATCAACCTGTACATAAGCAGTATCAACATCAAAGTACCTTTGTACATGAGTAGAAACATTAGTCTTCTCTTATCACTTGTCTTCAACTGATACAAAGCCTGTTCCACAAGGCTTTCCATGGCTGAGTTCAGTGTGTTTCCATTTTGAGGCTCTACATAAGCTCCTACAGCACAAACCAGATCCTAATGTAGTGCTTTCCTTAATGAAGCAGGCTTCCATCCTGTTCAACATGAGATACACATTGTTTGCCATTGAAGTAGATGAGGCTTTGATGGTCTGCTGAGTTGATGGAGGTTCACAAACTGAGAGTAGTGGTCATGGATCTTCTCTGTATTAGTCTTTTTTCATGCTGCTGATAAATACATACCTGAGGCTGGGTAATTCATCAGGAAAAAGAGGCTTAATGGACTCATAGTTCCACGTGGCTGGGGAGGCCTCACAATCATGGCGGAAGGTGAAAGGCAGACCTTAACATTGGTGGCAAGCAAGAGAGAGAATGAGAGCCAAGTGAAAGGGCTTTCCCCTTATAAAACCATCAGATCTCATGAGACTTGCTCACTACTATGAGAACAGTATGTAGGACCTGCCCCCATGATTCACCTATCTCCCATTGGGTTTCTCCCACCCACATGGGAATTATTGGAGCTACAATTCAAGAAGAGATTTGGGTGGAGACACAGACAAGCCATATCATTTCGCCCCTGGTCTCTCCCAAATCTCATGTCTCACATTTCAAAATCAATCATGCCTTCCCAACAGTCCCCCAAAGTCTTAACTCATTTCAGCATTAACCCAAAAGTCCACAGTCCAAAGTCTCATCTGAGACAAGGCAAGTTCCTTCTACCTATCTGCCTGTAAAATCAAAAGCACCTAATTACTTCCTAGGTACAATGGTGGTACAGGTATTGGATAAATATACCCATTCCAAATGGGAGAAATTGGCCAAAACAAAGGGGCTAAAGGCCCCATGCAAGTGTGAAATCCAGCAGGGCTGTCAAAACTTAAAGCTCCAAAATGATCTCCTTCGACTCCGTGTCTCACATCCAGGTCACGCTGATGCAAGAGGTGGGTTCTCATGGTCTTGGCCAGCTCTGCCTCTGTGGCTTTGCAGGGTACACCCTCCCTCCTAGCTGCTTTCACGGGCTGGTGTTAAGTGTCTGTAGCTTTCCTAGGTGCACAGTGCAGGCAGTCAGTGGATCTACTGTTCTGAGATCTGGAGGATGGTGGCCCTCTACTCATAGCTGCACTACGCAGTGCTCCAGTGGGGACTCAGTGTGGGGACTTGCACCCCACATTTCCCTTCTGCACTCTCCTAGCAGAGGTTCTCCATGAAGGCCCCATCACTGCAACGAACTTCTGCCTGGACATCCAGGTGTTTCCCTACATCTTAATTCTAGGCAGAGGTTCCCAATCCTCCATTCTTGACTTCTCTGCACTCACAGGTTTGACACCACATGGAAGCTGCCAAGGCTTGGGGCTTGCACCATCTGAAGCAACAGCCTGAGCTGTACCTTGGCCCCTTTTAGTCATGGCTGGAGCAGCTGGGATGCAGCATAGTCCCTAGGCTGCACACAGCAGGGAGGGTCCTGGACCTAGCCCATGAAACTATTTTTTCCTCCTAGCCCTCTGGGCCTGTGATGGGAGCGGCTGCCATAAAGGCCTCTAACATGCTCTGGAGACATTTTTCTTATTGTCTTGGCGATTAACATTTAACTCCTTTTTACTTAGGCAAATTTCTGCAGCTGGCCTGAATTTCTCCCCAGAAAATGGGCTTTTCTTTTTTACTGAATCATCAAGCTGCAAATTTTTCAAACTTTTATGCTTTGCTTTCTCTTAAAAGCATCTCTCTCAAGTTCAAACTTCCACAGATCTTTAGGACAGGGGCAAAATGTTGCCAGTCTCTTTGCAAAGCAAGGGTGACCTTTACTCTAGTTCCCAAAAAGTTCCTTATCTCCATCTGAGACCACCTCATACTGGACCTTATTGTTCATATCACTATCACCATTTTTGTCAAAGCCATTCAACACGTCTCTAGGAAGTTCTAAACTTGCCCACACCTTCCTGTCCTCTGAGCCCTCCAAACTGTTCCAACCTCTGCCTGTTACCCAGTTCCAAAGTGACTTCCACATTTTTGGGTATCTTTACAGCAGCACCCCACTCTACTGGTACCAATTTACTGTATTAGTTTGTTTTCACACTGCTGATAAAGACATACCTGAAACTGAATTTATAAAGAAAAAGAGGGTTAATGGACCCACAGTTCTACATGGCTGGGGAGGCCTCATGATCATGGCAGAAGTTGAAAGGCATGTCTTACATTGGCAGCAAGCAAGAGAGAGAATGAGAACAAAATGAAAGGGGATTCCCCTTATGAAACCATCAGATCTCATGAGACTTATTCACTACCATGAGAATAGTATGAGGGAAACTGCCCCCGTGATTCAATTATCTCCCACTGGGTCCCTCCCACCATATGTGGGAATTATGAGAGGTGCAATTCAAGATGAGATTTGGGCGCGGACACAGCCAAACCATATCATTCTCATTGTGTTGTTGATTTTCTCACAGAAAAATGACTCATGGAACACTGTTTGGAAATTGCTTCAATCTATCATTGTAGTTATAGGAACATCTAGGTATGTGTTGCATACCATTATGCATAATTTTTATCAATGGCCTTTTGTTTCTGTTTACATATCTCATCCTCTAGTCCCTGGGAACTCTGTTAAACAAAATGTTGCAGAAGCCATCAACATAACCCGAACTACCGGATCCAAAGTAGGTTGAGAAGGAAGGAATTGGGATAACCTAATTTCAGTGTCTTTCTTCATGCCCTGACCTGAATATGTGAGATCCTGGAGAGTAGAAAGCACAATCTCTGGCTAGTCTTCCCCAAGTGTTCCCTAAACAGACTCTGAAGGACTAGCTATTGATGGAAGTGCAAATTGTGCATTTATGCAGCACTTTGGCTCCAGGATCCGAATATCTTGGATTTAATCCTGAGAGGGTACATTTTCACATTTTACCTTAGCAAGAGACAATGAAGTATAGTCAGTGCTCCTCAGATTGTTCCACAGAAAGAAACTAAGTGGTGGAGATCTATGAATATAGCCTGGAGGAAACTAACACATACCAAATATATTTAAAGTCTTCTGTTGTATGCTAAAAATGGTAAGTTAATTTGTGTCCTATTACATATTGGTTTGTTTCAATTATAAATGGTATATTTCCCTCAAAGTATTTGAGGAACAACTGTGCTAAAGCAAGATGGACCATATCTCGCTGTTCAGACCCACTTGGGTTCTTGTCCTCATATGTGAATGTGGATAAGTCACATAAACATAAAGAACTTTAGTTCCTTCATGGGTAAAGTGGTAATAATTCCAAATTCTCAGGGTTCCTGGGTGATTACATAAGATTTGAATGCACAAACTTTCCTTTGGAACAAAAAAAAATACATAAATTTTTGTGTGTGTCTGCTACTGCTCCCCTAGGCTCTACCTCCTTCAAACATGCATTTCTTTGTTCAATAAATAGTTATTAAGTGCTTAGCACATTTCAGACTCTGTGCCTGAGAAAATAGTGTTGTTAGAAATAGATCTGTTCTCTTTCTTGTGGAGTTTGCATAAAAGTTTATCCATAGAACTGCTGGCTTAATATTCTCTACCAAATAAGATATATTATAAATGCCTGCTGGATCAATGAAAAATAAGTGGTGAAACAAATACTAATTAAAGTACTGAAAGACTGAAACAGTTATGTCATTTTAATCACTCCCTCTGGAATGTCCTCCTCCTAATAATGGAATAGAGAGGGAGGCATTAAGCTCTCCATTATTTGAAGTGGTTGCTTCACTTGGTGATATCAATATTGGTGTGGTGATTCCCACAGAAGTGCATCCAAGGTAAATCCAGGCCCTCTCTTGAAGAATAATGCAAAGGTTGACTAAGAAAGGTCAAGAGCTTTTGCACATTTTAGGATTCAGTGAGTAACATATATGTTTGTCATGAACATCAACAATGAACCTCAATTGCAAGAAGAGCCTGTTCTCAACACGCTTTTGTTAGCTCTTAGAGAGCTCAGTGGATAAGCAGTTACCTTGCTTCAACATCAGCAGTCAAGATGGATGAAATGAAATGAAATGAAATGAAATATTTAAGAAAATTAATGGGAAAAACTCTGGAACTCATCAAGCCCTGATGTCCAGAACTAAAAATGAATAAGGTAGTGGTATGTCAATGGTTTCCACAGTGGACTTCTCAGCAGTCTGCAACAGGGCCACAGTTTTATGTCATATACAAATATCTTCTGTGAATAAGATTTCATTTGCAAAAACAAACATCTCTATAGTTTAAAAAAATGAAGTCTGCAAACCTAGATGATTCTAAGTTTTCATCGTCATCTAAGTCTGTTATTTTGATGATGAACCTGCAAACAGAGGCAGAAAAACATTCGACCAATCTTTCTGTAAATTTTCAATTCTATGGAAAAATGCTTTCTTCTTAAGTCATAATTAATGAAGGGAAATTATAAGCCCCTTATTAATTTTATTTAAGTCATAGTTGTCTGAACTACTTCAAGTGAATAAAAATACTCACTAGCACACAGTCTTAACTGTTGAAAGCTATTAGCTCAGTAAAGATAGATATTCACTAAACAAACATTTAGCCCGTCTGTGCTGGAGTTCCTCCAGAATGAGGTGTGACTTGCTCCTTAAGTCAAACTTAATTATTTAATGGGGCAATTTAAAATAGTGGATGTTTTAGATTATGATTTATGAGGTATGAAGTTACATTACTGTACAACTATGTATCTAGCAAGGCTTCCTTCTGTCCATAAAGGGTGATTTAATCTTCTTATACTTTCTCCAGCCAAAGCTGTGGAAGAAAACTTATTCTGCCTTCAGAAAACAGAAGTTATTTCTTTCGAATAGCGTTAAGTTTTCATCGTTCTAGCCTGTCATTTTTGTCTTTAGGCAGCAGTAATTTCTCATATTAAAATAAAAAAAGACTTAAGTTACAGAAAATAAATGAGCTACTTCTTTCCAAGATGACAAGTTGAATGACAAATTTACTTCGAAGTTGAACTAAACACCAAACACTGACAAAATTTAAAACACACTTAGACAGAGATATTCTCTGGTAAAACACATGATAAAATATTGATTGACTTTTCGTTTTAAATATTGGAATTCATTTTTCACCCAAAAGAAAAAGCAAGCAAATATCACCTTAGACACAATAGGCAGAAGAAGAGCGAAATGACACCTTTCTCACTTATTTCCCACTGCCTCTAGCTTTTATTTTGAATTCTTAGCTGTGTTTCCTTAGTCAAATGGAGGCTCTCAGTGTGGGTCAGCATGTGGCTAAATTCTTTTACACATAAGCAGGTAATGAAGTATGTTTTACTTGGATAAAGTGGTAACTGATATATTTCATTTTACCACTTTGAGGAACGACAAGAAAAATGTAACCTCTTCTAATAATCAAATTAATATGACTTTGATCCTTATTTTAGTTCAAGCCTTTCTTTTCTATTAGAAAAGTAGCAAACACAAATAGGGTTTCCATGTGTCCTAAGCCCTTTGCCTGTGTAAATTAAGTTGATCCTCTCAAAGCTAAAAGATAAGTCATATCATTATACCATTTTACAAACAGTGAATCTGAAGCCTAAAGAAATAAAGTGAAATTTACCAAGAAAAATACTCATGGAAATGCCCAGCCACTGAGCACTGCAGAGCTGGGTGCTGGAAAAGTTATCTGTGCTGAAAGAGCTGAGGACTGGTGGAACTGCATGTGTTGCAAGATCTGGGTGCTAGAAAAGCTGCACGCTGCAGAAGCCTGCTGAGCTAGCAAACAGAACAAGAAAGGGTAGCCTCCTTCACCTGCACTGTTTATTCCATGCTCTCTACTGACAAAGCCAGCTGGCAAAGGAAATGTATTGAAAGGGCCCACCTCCATTTTCAAAGAGCAGGTAACGAAATATGTTGGATTTGGATAAATTTATAACTGGCCTGGTCGTCCATGATATTTTCTTATACATTCCTTCCAGAGCCAAAGGAGTGAGCTGGTGGAATTGAAGCATCATGTATTGTATTGATGTATAGACACTGGGGGAGAGAAATTTCTTTTTTCTTTATGGTACTGTAACTAGGGGATGTGAATCTAGGCTGCCAGATGACATATTCCTTGCCATACAGTAAAAGCTTCCTTGAAAAAATAACAGCACAATTACAGACCCTGTGAGAAAGACAGAAGCAACGCCTTAATAATATCATAGAAGCCCCTGGATCCAGACTTACCTAAAGCCAAATTTACCCCTGAAATTCTTACACATTCCCATTTTTTCTTTGTTTGTGTCGAGTTTCTGACACTTCAACAAATATTCTGTCACAGCCAGTTGTTTATCTATAGTGAAGTGTATTTTTCTAGATCCACTCTCCAGCATGCTCTTTGAAAAGTACCCTGTCTGAAGTAAAGTGAACTTGGTTTGAATTCTGCTACCTCCATTTATTAGCGGTTTCTTTAAGTGCTCTTCAATTTCATCTTCTCTAAATTGAACTAAGCTCTCTTATGGTGTTGGGGAAAAACAGTCAGTGTTCAAATAACGTCACTTGATTCTCTTAGTTCAATTTCTACATTAATGGATTGAAAAGAAAGGAACTTGCACAGTGTGGAACTAAACCATACTTCTCCAAGTTTAGAGGGTCAAAAAATGCACATCCAACAGACTCACTTAACACAAAAGTCTACTAAAGGAGACCCTTCTGTGTTCACCTTACTGTTTTCTCGTGTAATTTCCTCAATGTAGCTAGACACAATCTTTGTTATGTTGAAATCTCTGACAATAAATTCACCCCTTTCCAGAGTCTTGAAATTTGGAGAGGCTTTGTCCTTCACTTGGTTCTTTCACTTTTCACAAATAATCTTCTGAGCTATAGAAGACTGGGAATTGAAAGTCACGATACTAAGTCTTATGTTTATGTACACCTTTTATCCCGAGGAGTTTATTGACGTTCTAAAGGTCAAACAATTCTGGAGAAGCCTTTTGACCCTTAGCCTCATTCCTGTCCTCAGCAGATTGCATGGTTTCCTGTCATGATACAGCAAATGTTTTCTTTTTCTGCAAGCATCCCAACCTCTGCCTTCGCAAGCTGTAATGTTATTACCACATGGCCTTACCAAAAAAAAAAAAAAAAAAAAAAAAATGGCCAAGTCTTCTCTTTGCACAAATTCAGATAGTTCTTGGAATTTAGGCGAACTCATCTTTTTTTTTTCTAGTTACCTTTAGTGAAGTTGCACATTGGAGGAATTTAAAATGTAACCCAACTATTTCCTAGAGTTAAAAAATCCAATTGTCTTTTAAGCAATCAGCTAATTAATTATAAACACTATAGAGCTTCTTTTTTCCCCACCCTTAAGAAGCCCTTTACAGGAAAGGTTTGATTTTTTAGTGTTTGGAATGGCTTGTCTTTACAATTTTCTTACTGTGTTTAAGACTGAGATGCTTTGACAAGTATCGGATAGTGTTTGCCTTTGCAGCTGTGTAGTAGTACCAAGTCTCTTGCTTTAAAGATAAGCAAAAGCACTTACTACAGAATTCTTAAATAGTGATAAGAAAAAAAAAAAACAGTAAAGACTCAAGCAACTCAAATGTTTTTCCCATTAACTTATAAGAGCGTCTCACATGGTTCCCAGGAACTACACAAGGTAGAATAGGTACAGAATTTAAAAATAAAATTATTTGAAATGACTTAAAGAAAATAACTTCAAAATAATTAAGATCTATTAAAAACCAAAACAACTCCTTCCAATCTTAAACCTACATATACAGCACCTAAAGTTATGGTTACACATTCAGTCGTACGTTTTTATCTAAATTCCATTTTACGGTATTGAGTTTACAGTTAAATCAGATAAACATGGTTTTTCTCTTGATTCTTTTTAAGTCTATGGTCATGATTGTTATTGAACTAAAAGATTTTCTCACTAATTATTTGCCAACTAAGGGCTTTGGCTATTGTATGTGGTGACATAAATAATCTCATAAGGAGTTGGCAAGGTTGAATTTTCAGCTGCCCTTATGTTTTTATCACTTGTGCTTTTGGATTTATGATTTAGCTTTAATCTCCAAGATGTGGTGGCTACACTATATTTATGATGTAGACTTTCTTTTTCTGACCTCATAATCATGTCATTCTTCCTAGATATTACCCTAATGCAAAGGCATTGGAAGTCATTTTTTGAGATGTTAATGAATGAGAGAACAGATAATATTAAGTAATATTTGTAAAATGTATAAATAGTACATTTAGTATGTCAATGGTGATATCAAATTTTATGCAGATTCCTGAAATAGAACATTTATCAGATCAAATACAAAGTTTAATTTACTGTTAAAGGAAAAATTGTTCACCGCACTTGTCAAAAATGGTAAGGAAGAGTTTATTCAAAGAGAGCTGCTGCAATGGAGTCTTATAGTAAGGGAGAGAAATTGAGCTCAACACCAAGTACAGTAAGGAAAAGAGAGTTTATAGCCAAGGAGCAAGGCAAGGAGTTAGTAGATGGAAAATTACTAAAAGGTAGATTAATTCTTTGTTAAACTGACTTAGTAAAACTTCTGCTGAAGGCAGGCCTGAGCGATCAGATATCAAGAGTGGTCTGACCAAAGGTGGGGGGGATTTTCACTAAACTGTCTCTGCAGGATTCTTGCAAAAACAGAATAATGTAGTGATGAACACGGAAGTCCAAGTCAGGGTTTATTTGAGAAGAGAGATCAGGAAAGACTGACTAGAGTTTGGTCAAGGAGAGAATTTTTGTCAATACAAAGTACTCCTACATAAACTCTCAAAATTCCCACTTCATTCCCCACTCACCAATACTTCCCAGGCCTGTTTTATCTTTATGCCATTAAGTTAATTCTCTGGTAAGATATCTTTGAATGGTAGTACCAGTGATGGAGGCAATTCATGCAAATACTAATTCGACAGTCTTTTCTTTCTTTTTCTCTTTTTTTGTTCTTCTATTTGCAGAGCAATGATGGCAGGCATGGAATACATACAGATCATTCAAACACACACCTTTAGCAAAGGTTTAGCAAAGACTAATAAATGCACATGGTTAACTATAATTTTAAAAAATAATTTTTACGTGCTATACAAAAAAGTAAAAAGGTAGCCCACTAGCTGCAAGGAATCACAGAATCCTAATTGAAAGAGATAATGTAGACAAGATTACAAGATTCAGTCATGTGTATATAGAAGGCAGGGCAGTCTAGACAGAGAAAGTCACATCATTTAAAGAAGGTAGGTAAGCAATTATTATATGTTTCTGGGGAAGGATTAGGTCTTTCACTAGTTTGAAAAGTTTTAGAAAAGTAGACCCTGGTTTTCATTGTATCTTTGTGCCTGGCCATCTAGTATCTTATGAATAATTCATTTAATGAAGGAAGGAAGAATAAATGAATAATAAGACGGGAAAAATAGATTGGACCAAGTTGTAAAAAGCTCTGAATGCCAGACTACAGAGTACTGATTTTATCTATAGATAGTACAGGTGTCCCTGAAACTTTTCTTAGCAGGGAAATTTCATAATTAGCACTTTAAGTTAGAGAAATTCATCTGAGAACAATGTGTAAAATGTGAAGAGAGAAGAAAGGTGGTAGCCACCAACCTACAATTTTTATGTGATGGAGAAAGTTAGTTACCCAAAAAGCTCTGGGAGAATGAGATGGTCAATTTGTTGCTTTCACTTTATATAAGTGATCAGAAAATGTCATAGAATACTTAGAGTTGTTCTTGGAAGGAAAGTCTAGGTATCTGTTAATTAAAAGGTAGACACTGGATGAGGGTAAAAGATATTTATTGTGTGCTCACTATGTGCTTTTTCCGGCATATTAATTGCACTGGACTCAGCTAATCTTCACAACAACCCTATGAGTTAGATATTGTTATAATCTTCACTTCTCAGGGAGGGAAACTTAACTTATGAAAGCTGCTTAAAGTCGCAAGGCTTGTAACTGGCATAAGCCCTTGTGTAGCAGCTGACAGAGTAGACAATGCACTATAGCTGTGTTAGCTCAATCTAGCCCATTACTAATTATCACCTCAATATTGGTTGATTTATGTGAACCCTCTAGAATGTGTTTCTTCATCTGAAAATGATAGAATTAAATTAGATCACCTCTTACTTCCTATTCAGCTAAAATTTTTTATCATTTGTGAACTGATTGTAAGATTATAAATTAGGATCATTAAAAAAATACATTCCTGTGTCTCTTGATTCAATCCCAGTGTATACAGCGTCCACAATATCATTAATCATCCAAAAACTCTCTGTGCTCCCTACTTTATCTTATTTCTGAATTTGAGTAGAGAAGGGAGAAAGTTAAAAACCAAACTAACCAACAAACAAAAGCCCTTAGGAAAAAGAAAGGAAATAAGATAAGAGGTCAGTATCATTATTATGATTATCTCTTTTGACTTTGGAGATCTCTCCAAATAAAATTTTCCGCTTCATTTCCTTCCTCTTACTTTGGCTTGGTGTCTACTATTTTTCTTTTTCCTTAAACCTATTTTACTTTTCCTGTATTGATGCCAACTTGAATGGATGCATTTTGGGAAGAGGATGGCTAATTTAATTCCAGTTTGGCCATTAGGATTCCTTGGTCTATATTCTTTAGGCTAGGCCTTATCTTACCTATGAATACCAGTTCTATCAAGCCAAGATTCTTGCTTTTGCAAGAAGATATTATTTCTAAAATGTGAAAATAGAATTTAATTTCTCCTAAAGTTTTCCTTTTTGCCTGACTGCTCCTCACCTCAATTTCTAATATTAGGCTTTTCTAAATTAAATATCTCACATCTCAGGAAACCTTACTCTTTTTGGAAAAGAGGGCTGAAATGGATGATGCCACATGCCTTACATCACCCATTACGACTGAGTCACTTATTCCTTAAGCTGTTAATGGCTCACCTGGTGAACCCTTCCTTCTTCCCTGGGACTTGTCTCATTCCAAGGGAACTCTTCCTTGGGGACCAACCAGCTTCTAATGACTGGGGATCCCCTTTGTCGGAATACAAACACCCAAACTCCTTACCTCAATTCTAGACAATTTTGAAGGATCACCTCAGGTCTGCTGTCCAATCCTCCTCTCCTCTCTTCCTTTCACAGATGCTTTTCCTAAGAGCAGTATCCAGTAAATCTTCCACACACAAATTTCTTGCTCTGAGCCTGTTCCCTGGCCAACCAGATCAGAAACTTTGAGGATTTGGAACTATCTCTAAAGTTTCTGGTTTTCATGTGGTTCTGAAGGCAAAAACCACAGAGATCAAATGCCACAAAAAAAAAAAAAAAATGGTGGTCTGAATGAGAAGTATCATTTGCTTTTGAAAAGAAAAACCTCCAGAAGTTATGTGATTTTATAGGATAACCCTGCTCATTTGTTTCAAATGTGGTCTGGAAACAAGCCAGATGATCTGAAGCAAGTTTGAAGTATAAACAATTTTAATGCTTGCTCATCACTAATCCAATTTCCATAAAACCAGTATTGAATCTATTTGCTCTATGACTGAGTTTATTTATCAGTAAGGTGGAAGCAAACACTCCTAGTGTGGACTGATTCATCTTGTTTGCTGAACTCAAATACCATAGTCTTAAATTACTCCCAAAGATATATATTGAACTTTGATTGCTTTCATCACGAGGTTTCAACTAATTTTGTACAGGCTTTTTTTTTTTCGCTTCAATATACAAAATGTAAACAATTGTACTGCAAAGAAGTTTGCAGTCATTGTATCACTTTGTATGATAGACAGTCTTGTTTCAAATCGGATTTTAAAGATGACCTAAAATACTAATTTTTGTATTTTCTCTTGCAAATTAGACCAATAGAAATTTGACTCCTCTGACATTACTGGAATCATATAGACATACAACCTTTCTAAAAGTAAGATACTTTTAAATTCAAAAACAAAGAAGATGAAGTACCCACATTTCATTACCCTTACCTATTGCCAGTTGCTTTTTTTTCTTTTTAGAGACAGCGTCTGGCTGTGCTGCCAAGGCTGGAATACAATGCCATGATCATAGCTCACTGCAGCCTTGAACTCTTGGGATCAAGCAACCCTCTTGCCTCAACCTCCCAAAGTGTTGGAAAAACAGGCATGAGCCACCACACCCAGCCCCATCCTTTTTTGAGAAGCCCTATGTTGCCGTTTGTAGGCTGCCTCGATGTCCAATTCAAAGAGGTGTATCTAATATCATATATCAAGATGAACCCTCATGTAAGAGAGAAATTTTAGAACTCACTAAGAATGATCAATTAAAAAATAAAATTTTAAAGCTCATAAAGATGTAAGTGGAAAGTGTTTTTAAAAATAAAATGTAAACACATTGGCCATGTAAAATAATAAATACCCTTTGACCTTCTTTAAAAGCTAGCATACACAAGACACATCTCCACTGTTCCTTTTCAATATGCAGAAATGGAGAAAATGTGTTCACAACTGACGTTCCACCTCAATCATTTTAAACATCCAGATATATATCTCAGTATGTGTACATACATGAAATAACCTAAGAATTTCAAAAATGTATCTGCATGTGCAGATAGCAGGCAGTTAAGATTGGAGTGAATCGTGTGTATAGTACCCTTGCCTCTTAGCTTATTTTATAATTTAAAAGCATAAGAAATGTTAACATTAAGTGGTAAGATTTTTTTTTTCTACAATGTCTCCCTGACATTCCTGGCCATCCCTTTTTTCTCATCCAAGGCTAATTATTTTAAGATCTGGCCTTTGCTAAAGAAAACAAGCAAATGTGGGTGAGGCTACGTGGAAAGGGATTTCATATAAAACAGACGTCCTGTTTTTAGGGAAAGGAATCTCAGCATCTTTGGAGCCGCCCTGAAGAGGTAATAGTCTTTAAACAATGAAAACAAGGGAGCTCATAGAGAGAAGAAAGGTAAAAATAGACAGAAGTTAATGCCATTTACAAAAAAACCTGATGGGCCTGAGCTGGACCTCAGTAGTAACTAACAGAACGAAACCCCCCAAACTACACATGTGGTTCAGCTCATTACCCAGGGCCTACTTCAGGAAGGCCTCCTGAGTTCTCTTATCAACTTGGGAGTCCTTTTGCTCTAATCCACAAAGGGGATTACAGCTGATAAATTATGACAAGCACCCACTGGAAACCCAGTGAGCCAAGAAGGGCATCACCCCTTTTGGCATGTGCATTCACATTACTTTGGCACTTACTATTATCATTTAAATGTAATCTCACCTTAGAAGAAAAAAAAAATTCCCCTCTTTGCTGCGGACTTAAACCTTACAAGGTAATTGAAATCACTTATTAAGGCTTCTAAATGAGAAGCTCCAGATATTAGAACTGCCAGTGTTGCAGAACGGAAACATCACATGCCTCCCTTGGTGACAAAACCTCATTAAACAGTGCACACACACATACAAGCACACATACAAACATGCACACACACACACAAGCCCACACACATTCACACACACACACACACACACACACACACAGAGGAAGAGGAATAAAAAGAAGGCAACAAATCCCAATTCAGACAGAAAGAGGCCGGTTCATGCCTATATTGCTGAACATGTAGACTAGAGCCATGACACCAGAGCCCAAACCACAGCTATTCTCCTTTCTTACAAAGAGCAATGTGGCCAGCTAGGCAGAGGAGGAGGGAAAAAGAAAAGTACAGATCACAGATAAAGCCTGTTAATAAAAGTGACCTCTACCTAGAAATATTCATGTTCTAAGAATTTTCTTTTTCTCTATTAAAAAGAAAAATCCTGATTCAAGCATAGGCAACAGAAAAAAAAAAAAAAGCATAATGCCTTTTTTTCTTCATCCTGACAGGGTGAAGTGACAGTAGGGACTAGTGGATATGTAAATGTGAGAACAGCCATGTGTTGGGCTCCCAGTCAAGGGGCAGATCATGCCAGGTCTGCAAGTAGCGTCTACTACAACATGTGCCCCCTAAAGCCCGGCACTGACCTTATTACTCCACATCAGCTGTCTAGACTGACTCAAGAGGAGGAGGGATGCTCATTAGATGCAGAAAAGTTATCTGAGGCAACTTGAGCAATTGCTTCTTTTATCTTCCTGGAGGAGCATGGAGGCCATGTGTAATATCCTTAAGCTGCTCATCCATTGTTAAGATGACATTTCTTTATCTCTTCAGTTTAAAGGCTTATTTGAGAGTTCAGTGGTTTTCTAATCACAGGCTAACAGTTCTTCAAATGTGGCTTTTCTGTCTCTCTTTTTTTTTCTTGCAAGTATTACAAACTTGGACTTTGTTTTCCCCTTCCTATTCAAAGGTCTATTTATGGAGTCCTTTGGAAGATGAAACAAATATTAAAAGGTCAAATGACAAATATGTACTGAGTGCCGACTATGCATATGATACCAGGTATAGCACAATGAAACTCTAGTATTGGTCAAAATAATAAAGAAAATAAATGTTGATAAAGAACTATGTAAAGATGTCTGTATCTTTATAATTTTAAAATAGTGCACACCTTATTTGTCTTAAAATGTAAAGTCCTGTTATAGGTTAAATTATGTCCTTTAAAAAGATATGGTGAAGTGACCTCGTTTGCAAACAGGGTCACTGCAGAGGTAATTAGTTAAGATAAGGTCATACTGGGGTAGGGAGGTCCCTTAATCCAATATGACTGGTGCTCTTAAAGCAAAGAAAAAACACAGAAGGGACACAAGAGGGAGGAATGCCATGAGGACCACTACAGGTTTTAGAGGGAGTGTGGCCCTGCCAACACCTTGATTTTAGATTTCCAGCTTCCACAACTGTGGCAACAAATTTCTGTTGTTTTAAGTCACCCAGTTTGTGGCACATTGTTATGGCAGCCTGAAAAATCAATGCAGATGTGTCTTGACTGACAATGGGATTACCTCTCACTACAACTCTTATAAGTTGAAAGTATCTTAAGACAAAAAATGCGTTTTATCCACCTAACCTACAAAACAACATAGCTTAGCCTAGCCTATCTTAAATGCGCTCAGAGCACTTATATTGGCCTAGGGTTGAGCGACATCATCTAACACAAAGCCTATTTTATACTAAAATGTTGAATATCTCATGTAATTTATTGAATACTGTACTGAAGGTAAAGAATGAAGAATGATTGTATAGGTACTCGATGTGTGGTTTTTATTGAATGTATATTGCTTTCACGCCCTCATATAGTCAAGAAATTATGAGTTGAACTACCGTAAGTTGGAAACCATCTGTACAGGCTCCAGGACTCAGACTCTGTTCTTCTTTTCTATCAGTCACTCCCTTGGTTACGTAACCAGTCTCATCATTTTAAGCTGTTTCAGTGACTCCCAAATGTGTATCTTTAGGGCAGAACTCTCTTCGGAAATCCAGCTGCCTACTCAGAATTTCTAGTTGCATGTGCAATAAATAGTTCAAATGTTAGGTGACCATAATTTCACTCTTCATCTTTCTCCCCAATTTTGGTCTTCTAGCAACCCTACTAGAGTAATTGGGAAGCAAATACTGTTGGCTTTACCATGAAAATGCCTCCAGATTCCATCCATTTCTTACCACCTTCCCTGCTAGCACCCTGGTCCAAGCCCCCATTATCCACTGTATGGAACACACAATAGTGTCATAAATGGTATTTCTACTCCCACTTGTCACGCCTATAGTATATTCCCATCACAGTAGTTAAACTGACCATCTAAACAGCAAGTGAAATCACATCACTGGTCTTTTCAAAAATCTTCCATAGACTGAGGTACTACTTCACTGAGAGTAAAAGCCTTTAATGGTCCTTTGGGCCTTTTGCCTACACCACCTCGTCCCCTTATCTATCAAAACTCATCTCCTCCTACAGTCATGCATTGCTTAACAAAGGGGTGATAATTCTGAGAAATGTGTCTTTAGGCATTTTTCTCTTTGTGCGAACATCACAGTGTATACAGTCAGCCCTCTGTATCCATGGATTCCACACCCATGGATTCAAAAAACCATGTATCATAATTTTTTTTAAAGAGTGTTGTCTCTGTACTGAACATGTACTAACTTTTTTCTTGTAATTATTCTCTAAGCAATACAGTATAACTATTTGCATAGCATTGACATTGTATTAGGCATTATAAGTAATCTAGAGATGATTTAAAGTGTACAGGACAATGTGCATAGGTTACATGCAATTATATGCAAATATTACGCCATTTTATATCAGGAACTTGAACTTCTGTGGATTTTGGTACACATGGGAAGTCCTGGAACTAATCCCCCACAAATACTGAGGAGCCACTGTACTTACACAATCCTAGATGTCATAGCCTGCTACGCACCCAGGCCATATGCTATATCCTATTGCTCCAAGGCTACAGACCTGTAAAAACCTGTACACCATGTTATTGTACTGAATACTGTAGGCAATTGTAACACAATGGTAAGTATTTTTGTGTCTAAGTATAGAAAAGATACGGTAAAAATATTGTATATGGTACACCTGTATAGGGCCCTTTCCATGAATGGAGTTTGCTAGACAAGAAGTTGCTCCGGGTGAGTCAGTCAGTAGAGTAGTGAGTAAATTTGCATGCCTAGGAAATTATTGTACACTACTGTAGACTTTATAAACACTGTATATGTAAGCTACACTAAATTTGTTTTACAAAATCATAATTACACCACGATGTTACAACAGCTACTAGGTCACCAGGAGATAGGGATTTTTCAGCTTCATTTTATCTTATGGGACCACCATGGTAGACTGGTTTGTCATTGATCAAATAGTATTATGTAGTTCATGGCTATATTTGTCCTGTTGGGCATTTACTTTAATCCATATTGGCCTTCTTGGTGTTCTTCAGATACAACAGGCACACAGTGTTTTCTCTGTCTATTCCTGTTATGTGGAATATACTCCCTCCTCATCTCCTTAAAATCTTTGCTCAAAAGTTATTTTTACAATACAATTTCACTCTGACTGATCATTCTAGTTAAATAGAAAGCGCTTTGTCTTCGCCTCTCCATTCTTATACTCCTGAGCCCCTAATTCTTTTCTCCAGACCACTAAGCTTGTTATTCTCTCTATTTACTTATTAGAGTTTATTGTCTATGTTTCCAACAAGAATGTTAGTTCTAGAAGGGTAGGGATTTGGGCCAGTTTTATTATTTGATGCATCAAGGGAGCAGAGAGTAATACCCAGCGTATGCTCAGTAAGTAAACAATTGCAGACACTCTTTATGTTTGCTCCTTATGCACAAACTCGTTCAGTGATAATGCCTTGCCATAACACGTAGTTTTAAATGAAATTTATGCCCTATATTCATATATTAAACTTAATTCTATCCTCCATCCACAAAAATAAATAAATTCACATTAACATTTGCATTTGAGAGCAGTAAACAACTTGATGTTTGAGATGAAGACACTAATTTCCAAAGAACACAATGTTAGTTCAGTGGCACAATCATAAGGCAGATTTCCAATCTCCATTTCTTGTGCAGTTTCCCACTCACAGATAAATGTTGGATATCTCACCAATAGACAAGCCCACAAATGCATGTTGCATGTTTATAAAATATTCACATCCAGTTTCTCCCTACTGAGTCTGTCCCTATGGTAGATTCTTGTACTTCCTATTTAACTGGAGGTAGGTTCAGGCACATGACTAGCTTTGGACAATGTAATGTGAATGGAAGTGATGAAAGTCCCTTTTGTCATTTCCAAGCACAAGTTTTAAAGGTTATGATGTGGTTTCACCATCTCTCATTTTTCCCTGGCTACAGTAATGCCAATGTGCAAAAATATGCGTACTTCTCCTTTGTCCCTAGATGCCAGCATGAAAAAGGTATGGAACACAGCCCATGTTAGCCTTTGAACAACATGAAATGTGAATAAGAAATAAACCTTTATAGTTGTCAGCAAAAGTTGACTAATAGACTGCATAAAACTTCCTACTAATAAGTTAATTTCTTGAGTGCTTCCTATGTGCCAGGAGTTTGGCTCACAATATTTTCTTGGTTTTCACAACAACTCTATAAAGTAGATATGATAAATTATATTTCCCAGGAAACTTCAGTTCAGGGAGGTCAAGTTTTCTAAAGCTACACAGCCAGAAAATTGCAGAACCAAAATTTGATCCAAATGTTATCTGACTCTCAGACATAAGCACTTAGTCTTTTCCCCTAACATTTAATGTTAATTTTTAAAAAAATAATAAGTATCTTGGCTGGGTACAGTGGCTCATGCCTGTAATACCAGCACTTTGGGAGGCCTAGGAGGGCAGATCACCTGAGGTCAGGAGTTCAAGAGCAGCCTGGACAACATGGTGAAACCCCGTCTCTGCTAAAAAATACGAAAAACTCAGCCAGGCAAGGTGGCACATGCCTGTTGTCCCAGCTACTTGGGAGGCTTGAACCTAGGAGGTGAAGGTTTGCAGTGAGCTAAGATCATGCTGCTGCACTCCAGCCTGGTCAACAGAGCAAGCCTCCATCTCAAAATAATAATGATAATAAATAATAATAATAATAAGTATCCTAAAGTTAAAGCTTGTGTGGATAGAAGAAGTGACCATACAGATCGTGTCCAAAGCCCAAATATCAACATGCAGCTTCTTTACTGTCCCCTGCTCAGATTTTCCAATGAAATATACAGAATGCCTGGAAGAGGCTTTTGACTAATCACGTAGGCCAAAGCAGTAACTCCCAGCATGGGTGGCCATGGACTTTGGTTTTGTTTGTTTTACAATATGTTAGAACACTGCCAGCTAACATTTTAAAACTTCATTTTTCCTTTTAGCCAAACCAATTCCAAATGTTTCAAAAGAAATTATGGGAAGAACTAAGATTAACTGGCAATAGAATCTTTTTTCTTTTATTAAAAATAAACATTTTGTAGAAAAACAAGATTCAGCTCCTCATTTCAGTGGAGAAGAGAGAAAGGCAAATCATCACTCAACCCAGATATACTGGTGTAAAAAAAAACCATAGTTTTTCTCAAATTTTTCAAGATTTATTTAGATATCACATAGCTAGAGCTATAAAATAGGCCAAAGTTACAATGGAATGTGACCTGTGTCTGTATTAATTAAGAAACCCTTTAATTGGAGTAAAAGGAAGTTAACTGTTTTAGTTGTGCTATTGACCACAATTCTTCATTCTTCACAGTATCTCTGTTCTCTGCCATATAATAATGTAGCACCCTCTTACTATGTACGGGGTGTACTTTCCTACCTCTGCATTGCTCACGGAGACTTCCATTGGCTGATAAAACTAGGAAGTGCCAGCATGCAGGCTCACAGCCTAAGCTTCGGGAAGCCTTGCTTATTCCATTTGTTCTCTTGTTCCTCTGCACTTTTCATGAGAAGAGTATGCCCCGGCTAGCTTGCTCAGCCCAGGAGGAGACCAAGAAACAAGAAAACACATGAACTCCCCATAGTCAAATCCAACTTAGATTATCTCACCTTTGGCTAACTTGCATACTCCGAGGTAATTAAATGCTGATTCACTCCTGAGACATTGTAGTTATGATATAATAATAGATAAGAGGTCAATTCAAGGTAGCTTCAGCAAAAATGAATGTTTATTGGAAGAATAAGAAAGTGGGTCACAGAATCTGAGAATTAATGAACCTAGGGAAGTATCAAGGCCACAACCTTAACTAGATCAGATAAATCAATGCGCTTTCTCTATAAGGACACTAATATGTCTCAGCTCCCAACTCCCTGTCTCTGTCAGTCACAGCTTCTCAGAAGGGTTCATCCAAGAGTGATGACAGCAAATAGCAAAATAGGAGCTTCCAGTCCAGGTCTTCTCACAGGCACACTAATTTTACAACCATACACACACAAAAATACCTTCACTACAATTCCAGAATCATTGTAGGAGATTATAGCACATTAGGTAAAGCAAATAATGAAAAAATATGCATTGAAGAGAATAGGAAGAACCCTGACAATTTACCCAAGTCACCCCTCCCCCAAGTCTTCAGCACAGTGTCAAGAAAAATTCCTTCTGCCTCAGTGCTCTCCCATGGGGAAAAGATAATAAAGTCAGCATCTGGTTTCACTATATATGCAGGTTTCAGGCCCATCCAGTGGACTCAGTTATAATGCCAGGCCCCACATATTGGGGTTTCAAGCTGCCACCAGTAGTCAAGAGTACAAGGCTGTCCTTGCAGACCCAGGTTAGGCCAGAATCTGTGAGCCAAGTCCAGTCTTGCCCCATGGGACTCCAGTGACAAGAAAGACACTATGAACCCACGCACCTGGCTAGCCTACCTGGGAAACCTGGCCGCAGACTTGGTCATGGTTGCCACCTGCTGGCCCATACAGAATCTCCAGATGGGCTGATTGGTAAAGGACTTTCTCTGCAAAACCAGTTTGAGAAGACTGGGAAGAGGTGACTACTTCTTCAAATGTGTCCCTAATTAATAATATGAAACATACAAATGCACAAAACTCAGTGGTATAAGTAAAACACAGCCATATTTAGAACATTCTAGGACTGTAATGATGGTGTATAAGGGTTAAAAGACAAAACTATTAATAACATCTATAGCTGAAATAAATTGTTAAGGGATCATATTTTTAAAATGATGTAATTCTGCCATCGAAAACATAAAGTGTGTGTTGGGGGAAATGAAAGTGTAGAGTTGTTGAATGAAATCAAAGTTAAATTGTTATCAGCTTGAAATATGCTGTTACAAGATGGTCTATGTAAGCCTCATGATAACCACAAAGCAAAAATCTTTAGTAGAATCACCAAAATGAAAATAGAAAGGATTCAAAGCATACAACTGCAGAAAACCATCAAAGCACAAAAGAAGACAGCAAGAGCAAAGGAAGGAAACAAAGTTTCTACATAACTACTAGCAAAAAACTAACAAAATGGCAATAAGTTATAACATATCAACAGTTACCTTGAACATAAATGGATTAAATTGTCCAATAAAAAAAGAAGTAAAGTAATTAAACAGATAAAAAAAGACCCAACTATAAGCGCCTAAAAGAGACTAACCTCAGTTTTACACTAAAAGTGTATACATATACACATATACACGAAATATGAAGGGATGAAAAAAGATATTTTATGCAAATGGAGATCAAAAGGGAGCAGAAGTGGCTAGACTTACATTAGACAAAATAGACTTTGAGTCAAAAACCATAAAAAAGACTAAGAGGAACATTACGTAATGATAAAGGGGCCAATTCATCAAAGGATATAACAATTGTAAATATATGTGTGCCCAATATTGGAGCATCTACATATATAAAATAAATGTTAAAAGATCTGCAAGGAGAGATAGATTGCAATCAAATAATAATAGAGGAATTCGGTCCTTCACTTTTAAAAATGAATAGATCATTTCATACAGAAAATTAAGAAAACATTGGACTTGGACACTTTAGACCAAATGGATCTAATGGACAAATATGAAACATTCCATACAATCTCAATAGAATACACATTATTTTCTAGTGTGTGCAAAACATCCTATAGAATAGATCATGTGTTAGGGCACAAAACAAGCCTTAACAAATTTAAGATTAAAATTATATCAAGTATTTTTCCTCCAAAAATAATATCAATGTAGAAATAAATAACAGAAGGAATTTTAGATAATTTACAAATATATGAAAATTAAATAAAATAGTCCTAAACAACCTATGGGTCAATGAAAAAATTTTAAAAATAGTTTTTTAAAATTTTGAAACAAATGAAAATGGAAACACATCATACCAAAACTTTTGGAATATATAGCAAAAGCAGTTTTAAGAGGAAAGTTTAAAGCAATAAAAGCGTACATTAAAAAAGAAGAAAGATCTCAAATAAACAACCTAACATTACATCACAAAGAATGAGAAATAGGGCAAAGTAAGCCCAAAGTTACTAGAAGAAAAAAATAATAAAAATTAAAACAGAAATAAATGAAATAAAAACTTAAAAAAAAACAGACAAGATCCAAAAAACTGAGAATTGTTTTTTGTAAAGATAAAATTAATAATACCTTAGTTAGACTAATTAAGAAAAAAATGAGTGAAGACTCAAATGAATAAAATTGTAAATGAAAGAGGGGGACATTACAAGTGACACCACGTAGATCAAAGGACCATCAGAAACTACTATAACAATCGTATGCCACAAACGTGGATAACCTAGAAGAAATGGATGCAGTCCTAGAAACTACAAGCTACCAAGACTGAACCATGAAATAATAAAATACATGAACAAATTAATAATGAATAAGGAGATTTAATCAATCACCAAAAATTTCCCAACAAAGAAAAGCTCAAGGTCAGATGGCTTCACTGGTGAGTTCTACCATTTTAAAAAGAATAAATGTCAATTCTTCTTAATCTATTCCAAAAAATTGAAGATGACGGGATACTTCCAAACTAATTTCATGAAGCCAGCATTATCCTAATAACAAGCCAGGCCAGGACACCATAAGAAAAGAACATTGCAGGCCAATGTCCCTGATGAACATAGATGCAAAAATCCTCAACAAAATGCAGCCATTCATCTATATCCATAGGGTACTGTTCCCAGGATCTTCCACAAATATCATAATCCACAGATGCTAAAGTCCCTGATATAAAATTGCATAGCATTTGCATATAAGCATATATATACCTGCCTGTATGTTTTGTCCTCTGAAGCTTGTTTATAATATCTAATACAATGTAAATGTCATGTAAGTAGTTGTTATACTATATTGTTTAGGTAATAATGACAAGAAATGAAAGTCTGAACATGTTTAGTACAAATGCAATTTTTTTCCAATTTTCTTCATCTGTGGTTGGTTGAATCCATGGATGATGAACCCATGGATATGGATGGCCAACTGTTCTAGCAAACTGAACTCAATAGCACAATAAAAGGATCTCACAACATAATCAATGAGACATATCCCTGTAATTCAAGGATGGTTCAACATACATAAATTAATCATTATGATGTACCCCATTAACAGAATGAAGGATAAAAATTATATAATCATCCCAATAGGTGGGAAAAGTCAACATACGTTCTTAATGAAAATTTTCACCAAAGTATTTATAGAGAAAATGTACCTCAATATAGTAAAAACCATATATCAAAGGCCTACAGCTAACATCTTACTCAATGGTAAAAAGCTGAAAGCTCTTCCTCTAACATGAGGAATAAGGCCAGACACAGTGGGTCACCCCTGTAAACCCAGCACTTTCGGAGGCCGAGGCAGGCAGATCACCTGAGGTCAGGAGTTTGAGACCAGCCTGGCCAACATAGAGAAACCCAGTCTCTACTAAAAGTACAAAAAATTAGCCGGGCAAGGTGGCAGGTGCCTGTAATTCCAGCTATTTGAGAGGCTGAGGCAGGAAAATCTCTTGAATCCAGGAGGCAGAGGTTGCAGTGAGCCGAGGTTTTGTCATTGCACTCCAGCCAGGGTGATAGAGGGAGACTTCATCTAACAACAACAACAAAAAAAAAAACGAAGAAGAAGAAGATAAGAATGTCGATTCTTGCCACTTCTATTCAACATAGTACTGAAAGACCTAGTCAGGTCAATTAGTCAGGAAAAAAAATTTTTAAATTAAAACATCAAAATTAAAATAAAAAATAAGTAAAATTATATCTGTTTGCAGGTGGCATCATCTTATATATAGAAAACCCTAAAAACTCCACATGAACAAAACTCGTTAGAACTAAAAAATGAATTCAGGGAAGTTGTAAGATACAAAATCAACACAGAAGAATCAGCTGCCTTTCTATACACTAACAACAAAGTATCTAAAAAAAAATGAAGAAAGCAATTCCATTGATAATGCATCCAGAAGAATAAAATACTTAGGAATAAATTTAACCAATGAGATTTAAGATCTGTTCACTGAAAATTATAAAACATTGACTAAAGAAGTTGAAAATATAAATATATTAAAAGATATCCTACAATAATGAATTAAAAGGATTAATATTGTTAAAATAGCCATACTAACCAAAGTAATCTACACAGTCAGTACAATCTCTATAAATATAAAGTCCAATGGCATTTTCCACAGAAATAGAAAACGAAAACAAAAAATTTGTGTGAGACCACAAAAGCACCAAAATAGTCAAAGCAATCTTGAGAAAAAGGAACAAAGCTAGCTAGAGACATCACACTTCTATATTTCAAATTTTATTACAAAGCTGTAATAATCAAAATTGTGTGGTATTGACATAAAAACAGACACATAGACCAATGGAATAGAAATGCCTATCCAGAAATAAACCTACACATAAACAGTCAATTAGTCTTCAACAAGAGCACCAAAAATACTAAATGGATACATATAGTCCACAATAAATGATGCTGGGAGAACTGGATATCTACATGTAAAAAAATGAAAATGGACCCTTATCTTACATCAAATACAGAAATTAACCTAAAATGGATTAAAGACTTAAATGTAAAACCTGAAACCACAAAACTCCTAGGAGAAAACATAGAGAAAAAGCTCCTTGACTTTGATTTTGCCAGTGAGTTTTTTGGACATGATGTCAAAAGCACATGCAATAAAAACAAAAATAAATAAGTGGGATTATATTAAAATAAAAATCTTCTAAACATAAAATGAAACAATCAACAAAATCAAAAGGCAACCTACATACTGAGAGAAAATATTTCCAAATTATATATCTGATAAAATTTTAATATATCCAAAAATATATGAAGAAATCCTATATCTCAATAGCAAAAAAATAAATAAATAAATAAAAAATGGAGAAAGTACCAGAATAGATGTCAATGCATAGAAGACATACAAATGGACAATACGTTTATAAACAGGTGCTCAACAACATTAATCATCAGTAAAATGCAAATCAAAGCCACTATGACCTATCACCTAACATCTGTTGGGATGGCTAAGATTGAAAAAACAAAAGATAACAAGTGTTGGTGACAATGTGGAGAAAAGGAAACCCTGGCACACCGTTAGTGATAATTTTAATTGGCATAGTCTTTATGAAAAGCAGTACAAAGGCTTCTCAAAAAATTAAAAATAGTGTGGAAGTGTGGAAAAATTTTTTTTAAGTTTTTTTTTTAAAAGAAAAAAAGTAAAAAATAGAACTACCATCAGAACTACGATCCAGTGACCCCACTTCTAGGTATTTATCCAAAGGAATTGAAGTCAGAATCTCAAAGAGATACCTGTACTCCCATGTTCATTGCAGCACGATACAAATAGTCAAGATATGAAAAAAACCTAAATGTTTATCAGTGGATGAATGGGTAAAGGAAATGTAGTATATACACACAATGAAATGCTATTCTGTCTCTAAAAGAAGGAAGTCTTTCCATTTGCAACCACATAAATGGAGTTGAAGGATATTACTCTAAATGAAATAAATCAGATACAGAAAGACAAATACTGTATAATCTCACTTATATATGAAATCTAAAATATTCTAACTCTTAGAAGCAGAGAGTAGAATGGCGGTAACCAGGCTCCAGGGACATGAGGAAATGGAGAGATGGTGGTCAAGGAGTACAAAGTTTCAGTTATGGAAGGCAATAATGTATTGTATACTTAAAATTTGCCAAGAAGGTAGATCTTATGTTAAGCGTTCTTACCAATGATAATAATAATAATTGTAATTAACGGAGTAAAGGAAAACTTTGGGAGGTGATGGATAGGTCTATGGCCTTAATGATGGTGATGGTTTCACAGGTGCATACTTATCCCCAAATTCGAGCTGTATACATTAAATATGTACAACTTTTTACATGACAATCATATTTCAATAAAGTATATCTTTTTAAGGGTTAGTGTGATTAAAGTGTTTTACTTGACCCTACTTCATCTAATGGCATGGCTTATTGGCTTTTAGAGTTCCACCCCTCTACAGCAAGCAGTTCCAAGAAACTAGCGACTAGAATGATAACCTAACTGAGGTCCAACCTAATTAACTTAAAGAAGAGAAAAATATAACTTTTTAAGAGTTTAAACAAAAGTAATCCCACATTGTGTTTACCTGGTTCAGTGTTCCACCTGAAGGAAACGTTTATGAAATACCTCCCAAGATGCTTCAAGTCAAGGATGCCCATGAATTGACTATGCTGTATTTCTTATCCCGGTTTTGCACTCCTCTTTTCCATCACCCACTCTTCTCCAGATTTTCAATGTCCACAAACAAATAGAATTTCATAGCTAAGGCCAGGCACGGTGGCTCACGCCTGTAATCGCAGCACTTTAGGAGGCCTAGGTGGGCAGATCACGAGGTCAGGAGATCGAGACCATCCTGCCTAACACGGTGAAACCCCATCTCTACTAAAAATACAAAAAATTAGCCGGGCGTGGTGGCAGGTGCCTGTAGTCTCAGCTACTTGGGAGGCTGAAGTAGGAGAATCGCTTGAACCCAGGAGGCGGAGGTTGTGGTGAGCTGAGATAGCGCCACTGCACTCCATCCAGCCTGGGTGGCGACAGAGTGAGACTCCGTCTAAAAAAAAAAAAAGAATTGTATAGCTAAAACCTTATTTTATTCCTTTCTGTTTAGAATTCAATTGCCACCTGGACATGAATTTCTCAAGCTTATCATTCTGGGATATATCTGTACACACACATTTCATAGTCAATCTACAAAAAATTTACCTAGTGTTCTGGTTCTTAAGGCTGCTGTAATAGCTTACCACAAACCAGATGACTTAAGACAACAGGAATCTGTTCACTCAGTTCTGGAGGATAGACATCTGAATCCAGGTTTTGGCAAGGCCACGCTCTCTCCAAAGGCTCTGGGGTAGAATCACTTCCAAGCCTTTCTCCTGATTTCTGGTGTTCCTGGTAATACGATTTTCCGTGGATTGCAGATGAATTTCTCTACCGTTTGCCTCTGTCCTTACGTGGTGTTCTGCCCTCATGTGTCTCTGTGTGGGAGTGTATTATCTTCTTCTTGTAGGGACACCTGTCATAATGCATTAAGAACTCCCCCTATGCCAGTATGATCAAATCTTAACTATTTACTTTTGCAAAGCTCCTATTTCCAAATATAGTTACATTCTCAGATTCTAGGGCATGATTTTTTTTCTTTTTTTCTTTTTTTCTTTTTTTTTGTGGTGGTGGTGGTGGTGGGTGGGACACTATTTTAACCCGGTACACTTAGAATATAGAATCTTGTGGTCAAAAATAATCTCAGAGTTGAACAAGTCACACTGCTATCTTACGATTACTTTCATTTGTTCTCTCTTGAATATCTTTCATTAAAGGAGTGCTCACTTCCTTGAAAGGGTGTCAGGTCCAATTTTTAGAGAATAAACTCAAATATCCATCAATAGGAGATTAGGTAAATAATTTGAGCTATGATCATATAATGGGATAATATTCAACTATCAAAAATTATGAAGACCCATAGATATTGACATATAAAACTATCACAATGAATTGTTAAATAAGAGACTGGTAATAAAATAATATGAAACAAGTTAATTTTATTTTTTATTTTTATTTATTTATTTTTTTGAGACAGAGTCCTGCTCTGTCGCCAGGCTGGAGTGCAGTGGCGCGATCTCAGCTCACCACAACCTCTGCCTCCTGGGTTCAAGTGATTCCCTTGCCTCAGCCTCCCAGGTAGCTGGGATTACAGGCATGCGCCACCATGCCCAGCTAATTTTTTGTATTTTAGTAGTGACTGGGTTTCACCATGTTGGCCAAGATGGTCTCGATCTCCTAACCTCTTGATCCTCCCACCTCGGCCTCCCAAAGCGCTGGGATTACAGGTGGGAACCACTGCACCCGGCCAACTTAGTTTTATTTATTTAGAGATATAAGTACATTATATTTGAAAAGATAAAATGTGAGAAAGATTGAAGTTTATCTCTAGATGTTGGGAGTGACGATGATTTTTTTCTCCAAATTTTTCTGTAGTGTTTGATTTTTGTTTGTTAAACAATAGCCTGGGTGACAGAGGAAGACTCTATCTAAAAAAAAAAAAAACTTTTAATGAGAAAAAAATAATGTTCAATTTGCAAAACAAAAAAGAAGGCTTTTTTAGAATTTTTATTAGAAAGTTTTTTTAGTAACTTCCATTATCCCTTTACTCAGTCTATGACTTCAGAGCATTGTGAGGTAACATCTTTATCAGGCTTAAAAAAATCCTCAGTAAGATATTACTTTTAAAAAATAACACAATTTGTTTATTTTATATTGTGCCATTCCTACCTTTACACTGTAGCAAATGCAAGACCTTTAGCCCAGGAAAGAATAGAGGAAAACAGACAAGATTGTCAAAGGCCATTTTCTATAGTACTGGATTGTGTTATTCTTTTTAAGTCTTACAAATTTAAAAAGCAATGTATCTCATAATATTTTGAGTTTTTGTTATTAGTAACATTAAATATCTTTTCTTATGCTGATTAATCATTTTGAATTTTTTCTATGAATTACCTATAGTTCATTTTTGTATTTTTTACCCATTTACAGAAACTATAAACTATACTTACATAAAATAATCCTGACATATAAAATATATGTATCTCAAAACCAGGATTCTTTTATGTAACATAGATATATGTATATATATCTATATATATCTATATTGAGATATATATATCTATATCTCAATATAGATAAAATAATCTTGACATATAAAATATATGTATCTGAAAACCAGGATTCTTTTATGTAACATAGATATATGTATATATATCTATATGTACATGTATCTATGTATATATATCTATATGTATATATATCTATATATATATCTATATTGAGATCTACATATATCTATATTGAGATACATATATAGAGAGAGATATATATATATATCTCAAAGCCAGGGTTATTTCATGTAATAAATAAATAGTTCCTATAAATATATTTATATATTTATATTATATTTGTTGTATAATATATGATTTACATTTAAATTATATAATTTATAATTATATAATTACATATCATATAATAAACATATTCCTGGAGATTCCTTTTCCAGGCTGAGTGACCTAAAAATAATCAATATAGTTAAAGCAGAATACCCGTGCATAAGAGTCAGCAACCTTCACAAACTGAATCTTCATAAACACTAGGTTTAGATTTTGACCAAGGTAAGGTAAATCTAGTCTTTTGTTCCTTTAATAATATATATATAATTATATATATATAAAATTCATCTTTACTATATATTATATATTTTATATATAATTATATATGATAAATATATGTATTTATAGGAACTATTCATATATTACATAGAATAATTATATATATAATTTAAAGTTTCATCTTCAGGTATATTAACCTGTCAATATTTTCTATTAGATTTCTGTTTTTCCTGTCCTGCTTATAAAAATTTTCTCCCTTTCCAACATTATGAATAGTATTTGTTTATATTCTCTTCCTAAATATCTTTACTTTGAAGTCACAATTAATAAGGTAAGAAAAGTTACGTTAAACCACGCAAAGTTCTTTAGTGCCTCTGGTTTACTTTTCACATCCACAGAATCGTTTTATCAGAATTCATTTTATCACAGATAGTGAGTAGACAGGAGCCAGCACAAATTTAAAGGTCAGTAAGTATAGAAACTTGCTAGTCCAACAAACTCACAAAAGACACTGTGAGATCCTATTCAGTACAATATTTTTAGCCACTTTCACAGTTTTCCAGTTGTTCATTCTGGCAAGAATCCACCTTCAATATGAAAGACTATTGAGAATATCTTTGATGAGATGTTGCTTTAGGAAGACTTGGTTTATTAGTATCGCATTCACGTGTACCAGTTATATATGAGAGAGTTTGTATAAAATATTACTACCTACAGTAGATCTAGAGCAAATGCCATTAGAATTACCATCATATGTACTGACGGATACCATTTTCTGAGTGATTGCTATGATCCAGGCACTATACTAAGAAATTTAAAAGAATTGTCTCAATCTCAATCCTTACAGTAATCAAAAAGGAAAGAGTTATCATTATCTCCATTTTTCACAGAAAATATAAGGCATAGGGAGTTCATTTTGTCTATGGTTCAATAGCTGGTAAATAGCACAGTCAGAATCAAATATACATTGGACAAAGCAACTTACGTACCTATTTTAGAATCTGAAATAGATGGTATATATGTAAATGATGATAGACCAAAATATAGTTGTCAATAAAAAAGGAATGGTGTTTTTAATGGACAATTATGAGCAAAGTTGATCCATTAGTGAGTACATAGGGTTTATAATTCCCTACTGAGAGTCAAATGGTTACAAGGTTACAGGAAATTACATTCTACAGTATAAAGTAGAGAGGAAGTTAGCATTTCAATGCTTACATGTGTCTAGGAGGAAAATTACTAGAACATACCTGCACCATGCCGCACAAGCTGCTGACTGATATTCAAGTAAATGAACAAGTGCCATGGTCCTGGGAGGCTCCTCACATACAACTATCCTAGCCAATACATCCTCTTCGTTCAACTTCTGCAATCATCCTCCTCCACGTTTCCAATTCCCAGTCCAAGCTTCCCCACATTCATGAAGCCTTTAACTTAACACTACATTGAATTTCTGTGGACTATTTCTTTTTACAATCGATTGCATATTGTTTTTACATTTTTTCATGTATTAGATCTGTTGGTATAACTCTAATTTTGTAAAGCATTTACCCATATATTTTTTTCTTTAACGTCTCAGGGTTTTCTAATAAAGTACAGACAGAAAAGTGGTACTTTCATTTTATAGATGAGAAAATATTACATAAAAAGTCCTTTCACAACGTGTTGACAATATGCTTCTCCAACCTCATATCCTAATACAAACCATGTCAATAAATAGTTCAAGACAACTTATCTGCGACATCTCTATGTCTTTGGTCTTATTGTGACGACAATATTTCTCCCATCCTGACCTTCTAACTCTAAACCCTGATCCTTTTTTCATTAAAACATAACATTTATTTAAACGTATGTTTTTACATGTGTAATTATTTTTATTTTGTTTATTTATTTATTTAGATGAAGTCTTGCTCTGTCGCCCAAGCTGGAGTCCAGTGGCACAATCTCGGCTCACTGCAACCTCTGCCTCCTGGGTTTAAGCGATTCTCCTGTCTCAGCCTCCCAAATATCTGGGATTACAGGCACCTGTCACCACACCCCACTAATTTTTGTGTTTTTCATAGAGATGGGTTTTCACCATGTTGGCCAGGCTGGTCTCGAACTCCTGACCTCAGGTGATCCACTCACCTCTGCCTCCCAAAGTGCTGGGATTACAGGAGTGAGCCACCGTGCCTGGCACATGTGTAATTATTTAAGCATCTTAAATACATTGACAATTAACTCCAAGTAAAACACTGTGTCTCCATCCCTTTAATTTTAGCATAATTCAGTATTAAGGATAATAGTCAGCAAACAGTGTTCATACATATGAAAATTTGGAAAGATATTTTGGTCACTAGAGTAAGTTGGAATATCGCAAGTCAACTACTTTGAAGCAAAGCTCCTGTTTGAATTATTTTGCTTTCTAAAAAAGTTTTATTGCTCTATGTTTTTAACTCCAGTTAACACTTTATCTGTTTGATCAGCACAGTGTCAATCTGTTAGCTAGTCTACATAGAAAAATGGAAAAAATGGAGAGAGATGCCGATTATAAACACCAGTTCTGTGCTTTATGATCTTTGAACTCCAGAAGCTATTTCTAAGGAAGAGGATTCACATCTGAGGCACATGAGACTTCCATAAAGGAAAGCACATCTGCATAAACAGTTCATGTTCTCATTCAGTGTTCCTGCCTGAAGGTTTCATCAGTTCATTTTTCCTTTGATGTGATGCTTACTTCTATTGCTCTTTAACCACATTCTCTTTTTAAGTATTTCCTTTCTCTTTCCCAAGGACATGCCATTTGGTAGACTTAGAGATTGCTTTGCAGGGAGAGTCATTAAAAACCCATGCAACTATGCTTCCCCCACCCCTTTCTCTCTTTAAGAAAAGTTATTAAAACTTCTTAATTAGAATAGATCTGGATCTGTATTGTAGAAGATGCTTAATGGCTACCTAAACATTCAAAAACCTAATGTCACACTATTTTCTTTTTAAATATTCAGTATAGCTTATTTCTATCCTAATGGTGACTAAATTTGAGAAGACAAAACACAGTAGGTATAATACAAAATTTTCTATTAGCTTACACCCTGCTGATGAACACATCACCTAATCCTATTCATTGCATGTAACTAGTGTAAGGTTCATTAGATAAGGAGTCTGACTCTCTTCCCTCTCTCTGAAAGAGCACAAATGATAAGTTTTCTGAAGTGCAGAGAGAAATGAAGAAATAAACATGTTCCTGGAGATTCCTTTTCCAGGCTGAGCGACCTAAAACAAACAAATATAGTTAAAGCAGAATACCCAAGCTTAAGAGTCAGCAACCTTCACAAACTGAATCTTCATAAACACCAGGTTTAAATTTTGACTAAGATAAGGTAAAACTAGTTTTTTTTTTTCTTTTTATTCACCTATGAGAGCTGCTCTCAATGACTAGAAACGTGTATGGTGCTAAACATATACATTGCCATTCATCTTCAAGGTTTAAAAAGATTGATATTTAATTCATAGTCAGAGTATCCCTGGGCATTATGTTCTCTTACAATGTGAGAAATTTGGATATGTTGTGAAGCAGAAGAACAAAGAAAGTCTTACAGAACAGTTTCTATAGCATTACACGCTCATCTATATGTACATCTGCACTTTGACCTATACCTATCATGAAATAAAGTCAAGTAATAATCAATCATTTGGTAATAGAATACTTTAAAGTGAGTTATTGCAAGTATAATCTGCACAGATAGACAAGTATTTTTCCTGGCAGTTATGCCATTTTTTTCAAAGAACTTCAAAATCCACTCGAAGAAACTCTGTATAAACCTATATCTCTTGGGACTCCTTTGTATTTCTTCTGTTTCAATTTCCTGGGCTTGAAGATTTGACTTTGAAAAACCAGTATGTGCCTTCAGTGTCTCTTTCTTGATATCTGCATGAGGGCATTTGTCTGTGTGATCCTGAAACATTACCTTTCTCTGGGATGATTGGGTTCTCTGGGCAAATTTTGTTTTATTTGATTTTGCTTTTCTTTGAGAGCATGAAGTTTTTCATCAGCCTTCATTCATTTTTTTCAGTGAAATTTATGGCTTGAATAAAATTAGCTCACCCAATGGGTGCTCTACAAGTAGCTTCCTTTGAATTCCCACGGCCGATTATTTTCAGTATACCAGTAGATCATAAATCTTAGAGGCCATAAAAGTGTTTCTTCTTAAGGTATGTTCCAGTCTGTAAATTCTAAGGTGGATAGCCTTCACCTCAAATTCTCAAAGTTCATTTTATCTTTCTTCTTTTATTTTTCATAAATGATTTCTTAGTTCCTGAGAGTTGTATTTGATGGAGAGCAACAAATCTTGAAATTTTTAATTTTTCTCTAAAATAGAAAAGTTGTGGAGAGTGAGCTCTATCCAAGCTTTACTTTCTAAATACCTTTAGGTTTCCCCCACCCCACATCCAGAGACAGGGTTTCAATTATAGTGAAAGAAGGAATGATTCATATAGTGAGGAAAAAAGGAGAAAGCAAGAAAAACTGTATCTCATCAACTCTCCCCAAGTTACATGAAGAATCAAGGTTTATCAACAATTACCATATTTTTTATTATTGAAAACATTTTTTATCTTTACATTTATGAAATCAGAATATATCTTAAATCAATGTGTACTTTAAATGAGTCAATATTTTATTTTTTCTTATTGAGAGGAAGATAACTAATAGACAATGTCTTAATATAGAAAAAATGATGTGTATAAGTTCTATTTTTTTCCCTAGACTTGGCCACCAAATGCAAAGGTAGAATATTAATGCTTGTCTTATAAGCCTGGAAAGCCAAATTCAATATTTATAATAGTTCATGGCATTAAACTAGGAACCTTATAAGCTAGGAAGGAAACATGGAACAAATAAGTAAATGTGATAAATCCCAGTCTGGGGGATGGAGGATAGAGAAAGAACTTCTAGCTGGAACTAATACCAAAAAGAGGTGTAGGCTGGTATGGTGGCTCATGCTTGTAATCCCAGCACTTTGGGGACCGAGGCAGGCAGATCACCTGAGGTCAGGGGTTTGAGACCAGCCTGGCCAACATGGTGAAATCCCGTCTCTACTAGAAATACTAAAATTAGCTGGGTATGGTGGTGCATACCTGTAACCCCAGCTACTTGGGCGGCTGAGGCATAGGAATCACTTGAACCTGGGAGGCAGAGATTGCACTGAGCCGGGTTCACATCACTGCACTCTAGCCTGGGCGACAGTGAGACTGTGTCTCAAACAACAACAACAAAAAGTGGTATAACTCTGCTGAGGAAATGTCTCCCTGAGTAGGAGGATGGATATATTTTATTCTTGAAAGCTTTTTGCTCCCTTGCCTCATGACAGCGATAGCTCCAATTATGATTCCCAGTTGGTGGTGGTTTTGTTATGAGGGAATTGAAGTCAGATCCTCAAAGTAACACACAGAATGCTGAGCAAGGATTGAATGGAATAACCCCCAAAAAGCACTTCAACAGTAAACCAAAGACATTCAAACTCTCTTTTTAAGAGTGAAACACTTGTCTCAAAATTTTGAGTATCCAAAAAAGTATTCAATAGCAATAAAAAAGAAATTACAATTTGATGAGTAATTATGCTTGGTAAAACAGAATCTAGGAATCCATTGAAATATACACGAGAGAATATGATCAAATATTTTGCATATTAAGTTATGTTATTAACTGTTTTAAAAGACACACTTCACAATATGATACAACTTTAAAAGGCAATTTGAGAGAAAATGTTTAGTCTCAGGGTGGGTTGCTGGCATGAAATCACCCAAAGGCAGCAATTATTTCTCTATTCTTATTTACTTCATTTCCACTTAACTAGTAATAGTGTGGCAATTAATTTCTAGTTTTCCAAGGAGTATTATTTAAGGTTTTGCTTTTTTAACCATCGCTTATAAATAGATAACTCTGTGGTAGTTAGTATGAAATGTGGTTTTAAAACTTATCAACAGTGGAGTACCTTTACAACCATTTTTAATATGGAACATTAAAAGTAATTTTTTTCTAAGGGTATAGAAAATGCTATGAAGGGTTACAGACTGGCCATTAAAAGCAAGAAAGTAAAACACCACAAGAGTAATGTACCTCTTTATTCATTTAAGTTTTCCATTTATTTTCTTGTTTCTTCTGCTTTTGCTTTTGGTAGTGATGGGGAGGGGTGGGTACTCAGGTGACAGTTTAAGCCCAAGCATTCTGGGTATGATTATTTGAACCACTTTACCAGTCTTATTTTATTATTATTATTATTTTTATTATTATTATTGAGTATAAGAACTAGCTGCTAATTCTCTCTAGACTTTAGGTGAATGACTCATGATAGCAATACATGTAAAAAGGAAGAGAAAGAAAAAAGAAAAATAAGCAGGAAAATAAGCACAGCTCACACATCTGGATCTATGGAGCTACGCTGCCTTGTTTGGCTGCTGGTTGAGAACCAGTCTGGAATCCCACTGGCTAACCTCTGAACTGCTAGAGGCAGGTCTGCTCTACTCACTGTGGACACAATGGACCCCCTCCTAGTTAACAACACTCCTTAAAGCAAAAGCAAGTGAAACGATTCTGGACCAATTAGAGAGGGCATTACTCATGTTCACACATACCATCCTGAGTCTGTATATAAATTGCCACCTTTTACATCATATACATTGACAGTAGCCGAGCAACATAAAGGATAAAAAAATAAAGCTTTGCCACTCCGAGGTGCCTACACATCTGCTGTCTTAGTTCACATTCTAGAATGTTATCGTGGATTAAACATATGGTGACTCCTAAATGTGAAATAAATGAACGTGCAAAAAGGAAATGGAGGACCAGTTTCTCAATTCTAGCAGATGCTCGTAAAAGCACAGGGAGCCCTCCCCAAAAGTAACTTTGAATTAGACAATACAGTCATTTAAAAAAATCTAAGAAAGGAAGTTGTTGACTTTCAAGTTTATCATGGACTTAGTGACCATTGTGAATATGAATTACACTGATTGCCCTTGAAATGTGTTTGAATAATTCTTGGACTTCTGAGACTATGATGAAATTGTCTTTTTGTGTTTTATGGAGTCCTGATTCTTCCCATGCTGCTGAAAATAAAACCAAATTTTATTGAGTGTCTGCCCTGAACAAGCACTATTCCAAGCCTTAGGATAAGCAGTGAGTAATTGACATAAATAATTACTTCTATAAAGTTTACATTTAATAAGAGAAGATTGAAATAAAATAATTGTTCTATAGTGTGTTATAAAGTATTAAGTTTAATGGAAAAAATGAAACAGGTATGAGAGCTTTTTAGAAAAGAAGTCTGTACTGGGTACACCAATCAGAGTCTCTTTAAACTTGAATCTGGATAAGACCACCAAGAAGGTGTAGAAGCTATGGAAGGTAGATAGAAAAAAAGGCCTGAAAAATGATCTGTAGGGTTTTAAAAATTCAAGATGTAAAATTCATAAGGAGGATCCAGCAAAAGAGATTGGAAAAGAGTAAGAGTGATGGTTGAATTTTTGTGTCAACTTGACTGGGCTAAGGGGTGCCCAGATAGCTGGTGAAACACTCCAGATGCCTTTGTGAGGGTGTCTTTGGAAGAGATTAGTATTTGTATCAGTAGGCTGAGTAAAGAAGATCAACCCTCGCCAAGGTGGGTGATCATCATTGTATCTGTTGAGGACCCTATTATAACAAAATGATGAAGAAAGAGTGAATTTCCTATCTCTATTTGAGTGGGACATCCATCTTTTCCTGCCCTCACACCTCAATGCCTGAGATTCTCAGGCATTTGGACTCTGGACATGAACCAGGACTTATATCACACCTCACCCCAGTATCTCAAGTTTTCTAACTTGGATTGAATGACACCACTGAATTTTTTCTGGTTCTCCAGCTTGCGGATGGCAGATCACACAGCTTCTCAGCTTCCATAGTTGTCAGAAA
Organism: Homo sapiens; assembly: GCF_000001405.40. NCBI lineage: Eukaryota > Metazoa > Chordata > Mammalia > Primates > Hominidae > Homo > Homo sapiens. The sequence continues at coordinate 85,148,407 of NC_000014.9, forward strand.
CAATTCCTAGAATAAATCTATTTTAGTTTTGTTTCTCTGGAGAACCTTGATGAACACAGTCAGGTAGCATGAAAACAGGAGAGTGTGTTGCCCTGTAAGTCAATTTTGAAAGTATTTAAAGGAGGTAGTGATCACTATGTCAAAAAACATGGAGAGTTTAAATAATATGAGGACAGAGGTTAAAAAAGAGAACATACTGCGATTGTATTATGTACCACTTGAGTCACTACATGATCACAGAAACAAAGTAAAACTATAAAACACAATGTAAAGAAATAGTAATTTTGTTCGACTTTTCGGGTTTCTGCAATTACTTATGGCAAAGTGTCTTGCATTTCTGTCAACAGGTAAGCTGATTTTTCTTGTCTCCTGTCTCTCCCTGGAATGCTGTTTTCCTCTAGAATCGCCTTTTTTTTCCCCCTCTTTTAGGCAGAGAAGGGTATTTCCTTTCTTCCTCTTGCTTAACTGTCTGCCTTCTTGTCCAGGGAATAAAGCCAATGAGAACAGCACTATGTGATCCTGATCTTCATTTACTCAAAACCTGTGGTGTCTTGGAAAAAGTAAGGGCTCATTAGTTTTTATTATTTTTAGAAAGAGGGAAGAAGGGAGATAGAGGGGAGGGGTAAGATGAGAAAGCGGGGGGGAGATAATAGGGGAAGAAAAAAAGGAAATAAGAAAAACATAGATTTGTCTACTAAAATTGTCATTAAGCAAATTTACACAGCATTTAGACATCTGGAGAACTCTTCAGGGAAACAAGGAATGATACCAAGAGCAACCCACATATTTAAAAAACTGTCCTTATTCCCAGCAGACAGCCATTTGTTATCTACTTTATAAGAGTTCCCTGTTAGCACTGCAATTAGTCAAGGGTCAGTCTGTGAGGTCGTTTTAAAATCCCTTCAGCATTAGAAGCAGAATGTTTAATCTTAAACATGTAAGTATACCTGGCAAAAATGCTCTGACTTTACCTTGAACTTCTTCATTGCTTTCATTGTCAAAACAAAATTCAAAGTCTACCTAAAAGAACTATGAAGCTTGTGTTTTTAATGAAGTTACATAAATTAAGAAAAGTTATTACCAATGCTCAAGAATGAATAAAAAAGACAACAATTCTTTCTGAAATGAACTTTCTGAAAAAATTCTATAAATGATTTCACTTTTCTCTGTATCTCACCTCCCCAGTACCCTTCTCTTCTTTCCAACTAAATTTCTGAAGGAAAGTTTATCCATAAAACCAAATAAACTACTTTTCTATTTTTTTCTTATATAAATTAAAGAAAATTCTGTGCTGCCAGCCAAGGTGAGGCACCATATTCAAGATGTGAAATTATCCAAATTCTACACCATCTTGAAAAGTTTCCTTCAAAACGTAGACAATAGCATTTATGGGACTTCTACCCCAAATTAGTTTATAGGCATATTTCCAGATTACAGGCATGATTGTCTAGAGAGGTGAGAATAAAATACGAATGAGATTCTTAACTTTCTTAAACCTTCTCAGTACTCATTTAGCAAACATCTATTGAGCATACACTGTGTACTCAGCCTTGTTCTATGCAAAGGGAACTTTATGCTAGGAAAATAAATACAAATATATAGCTTATAAATTCATCACAATCATCATCAATTTTATTGTCGACATCATTGTTAAAACAGGTAGTATTTATTGATCATTTAATTTGTGTTAAGTAGCATGTAACATATATTAAATCACGTTTTATCTTCCCAAAATAAGAAAGCTAAAACTTGGACAGTTGGAGTAACTTGGACAAGGTCACATTTCTTGTACAAATGGTGCTAAAATTCAAATCCAGGCACTCTGCTACAGAACCAGGATTCTCATTCACAGTGTTCATTGCCTTCTAAGATAAAAGCTTGAAGTCACACAGACCTAGTTCTAAAGTATGTTCTGCCATTTATTAACGAGTACACTCTTGACAGAAAAAATGTAGCCTTTAACCCTAATTTTTTTCTGTAAATGAGGACAAAGTATCAACTTCTTGTGTTGTCTTGAGGGATAAGTGAAAATGGATTTTCAAAGGGCGCACCATAGCCTCTGAAACACAGGAGGTATTCAGTAAGTAGTAACTGTTGTTACCATCTTTAATGGTGGTACATCTCTCCTAATTGTCAAAGTGAGCTCGGTAGACGGTTCCTGCTTTTTTAAAAAACATAAATCAGTCCTCCCATAATTTCAGAGCTGAATCTGAAGTAAACACATTGAATTCCCACATTCCCCAGCAATCCATTCTCATCTACTTTTCCAAAACCTGCCATGTACTGTATTTATTTCATGAAGTTCTTCCTTCAGCACTAAAGTAACTAATTCAACTGCTTTAAATTTAAACTGGTTGACATATTGATTTATAATTGCTCCGGTACAATTTATCTGTGTAAAATTGTTTTCAACAAATAGATGTTAACAAGTCTATCTTAGAAAAATCACATCTAGATTTTCTTAAGTTGGCAAAGAGGGCAAATTCTTCAAACGAAGAGGGGCTTTATTATATACGCACATTACTGGGGCAGAAATTGTAAAGGAAGGAAACACGAGAATAACATACAATCTATTCTCCAAAAGGATTACAATTTATGATGAGGGAGTAAAATAAATATAACCTGAATTACATGTAAAGGCATTTGTTATAGGAGAGCTGAAATTAAAAAAAAAAAAACACTTTGTCATCATGAAATCAACACTCTGTAGCAGGAAGTGTCTGGATTTTAAAGCCATGTGGGTTTGAGTTCAAACTCTGACATAGGTATTATACGTGATATGATCTTGGCTGAGTCACTTATTTTCTCTGAACCTGTAACCGTGTCTGAAAGAGGAAAAGTGTGGAACTTTCCTCAGATTGATCTGTTGATGAAATGAGATCTAATAAGGTGGATTAGAAAATATCTTACCCATTATACCGGACACCTAGCAGTACTCTGCTCACAAAATCAGTTTTTTTCTTTCTTTTACAATTAAAAAATATTGACCCAATATATTCTTGCAGATTATTGGACTTAATAGGAATCATTTATCTGGGCTTTCTGAACTTTCTTCCAGACCTAAAAGCAATGCACAGATATTCTTTAGCTGAACTGCAATTTGCTCTCTCAGCTTTAGCACTTTTTGAGGCTCACCAAAACACAAAAGCAGCCATATGAAAAATACATTTATATCTTCTGCAAAATCTCTGTTGAAGACATTTTCTATTATGTCCCTCAAAGTACCTTTAGTTAATGTCCATCTATAAATTGTGTGTAGAATTCAATGCCAAGAAAGTGTCTACTCTGAAGGATTGAAATACTTCTCTTTGTCTATCAAGAGAATGATCTGAAAGAGATGATGCCACAATGGGTGGACAGGGAGTATCTTTACTTCCTTCTCCCCCTGCAAGAACCTCTATCTTCCCCTTAGAAAACCAACTCCATGGCCGGGCATGGTGGCTCACACCTGTGATCCCAGCACTTTGGGAGGCCGAGGCGGGCGGGTCATCTAAGGTCGGGAGTTTGAGACCAGCCTGACCAACATGATGAAACCCTGTCTCTACTAAAAACACAAAAATTAGCTGAGCGTGGTGGTGCATGCCTGTAATCCCAGCTACTCGGGATGCTGAGGCAGGAGAATCGCTAGAACCCAGGAGGTGGAGGTTGCAGTGAGCCCAGATCGTGCCATTGCACTCCAGCCTGGGCAACAAGAGCGAAACTCCATCCTCCCCGCAGCCAAAAAAAAAAGAAAGAAAAAAGAAAACCAACTCCATAAAAAAAATTATGATGATAGTTCTTAATATGGAAAATGTTTGTTTTCTCAACATTATTCAAAGACTAAAAAAAGTCTCTTTATAAATCTTGCTTAGCATATTGATGTGTAGCAAACAATTGAGGTAAAACAGTGTATTTCCCAGGCAAATACAATTTCTAAGGAAAGGTTTTTAACTGGGTAAAAGACATTTTACTACTTCTGGTTTGGTATATCCAGAACTGTTCCTCAAAAGATGACACACAAATGTCCAACAGGTATATGAAAAAAAATGTTTAACATCACTAATCATCAAAGAAATGCAAATAAAAGCCATAATGAGATATAATCTCACCCCAGTTAAAATGAATTTTATCCAAGAAATGTAATAATGGATGTTGGCAAAGATGTGGAGAAAGGGGAACCCTCCTACCCTGTTTTTGAGAATATGAATTAGTAAAGCCACTATGGAGAACAATATAGAGGTTCCTTAAAATAACTAAAAATAGAACCACCAAATGACCCAGCAATTCTACATCTGGGTATATATAAAAAAGAAAGAAAATCAGGATGTCAAAGAGACACATACACTTCCATGTTGATTGCAACACCTAGATAGATGGATAAATAAAACATGTTACATATATACAATGGAACATTATTCAGCCACAAAAAAAAAGAGTGAAATCTTGACCAGGCACAGTGGCTCACACCTGTAATCCCAGCACTTTGGGAGGCCGAGGCAAGTGGATCACCTGAGGTCAGGTGTTTGAGACCAGCCTGGCCAACATGGCGAAACCCCGTCTCTACTAAAAGCACAAAAAAATATTAGCCGGGTGTGGTGGTGGGTGCCTGTAATCCCAGCTACTCAGGAGGCTGAGACAGGAGAATCGCTTGAACCCCGGAGGCGGAGGTTGCAGTGAGCTGAGATCGTGCACTGCACTCCAGCCTGGGTGACAAGAGTGAGACTCTGTCTCAAAAAAAAGATCTAGTGTTTCGTAGCAAAATAGAGTGACTGTATAGTTAATCAATCAATCAATCAATCCATCTATCTATCTATCTATAGATCTATAATAATATAGTTTATTGTATATTTCAAAATAACTCAAACAGTGAAATTGAAATGTTCCTAACACAAAGACGTGATAAATGCTTGAGGTTATGGATACTCCAATTACCCTAATTTGATCCTTACACATTGTGTGCTTGTATCAAAATATCACATGTACACCATGAGTATATACAACTATTATGTAGCCATAATAATTAAAAATAATACAAATTTTAAAACTTTTAAGAAGAAATATTCTCCATTCTAACCTTTGCTGTTTAGCCCAACTGTCGTTCTGCATCTTGTCACACAAATGACAAAAATCTAGAGTCACAAGTCGTTATAAACATGTTTCTATTCTTCCCTCCAGTATTAACATGCTTACAAAACTTTTTTACTTGTAGAAAACATTTTTCTTTCCTGATTTAAGTCACAATCAAATTGCACAGAATGGCATAAGTTTCTCAACTATATTTCTCAAAACAATAACCAAGTTGGGCTTTAGTGAGAAAGTCTCAGAAAGCTCCTTTTTTTTTCTTCCTCCTGCCCTCAGTGTAGAGAATGTTAAGACTTTCAGATATTACTGCCATAAATAAAAGTACATCTAATTTAATGCCCAACTGAGGTAACTATCTTGTTTCAACTTCCTGTTACAATCACCTACTTACTTTTTAGTCTGCTAGACTAAATAAGTCCTTAGGACAAACCATATCAAATCATCTTTTTTTTGGCTAGGTGAAATTAAATTAGAATACATAAATGGAGGAAACTATAGAAGATTATTAGAGATTTAGGGTTGGAAAAAATGTTAAAAGTCATCTAATATAATCTTCAACTTGATTTATGAGTCCCTTCTAAAAACTCTTAAGTTTGTTGAGGGTAAAGGTCCCCATCATTTATTTTGTTTTGTGTGCCCCCACAGAGCATGACGTTCACAGATCTGCACACAATGGGGTCTCAATAAATATTTTTGACAATTGTTGAAACATATAATACATAACCTTGTTGGACCTAACCTGTCAGTGCCTATTGGTGGATATAAATTATTTCCCATGCGGAATGTCCACTTTGGTAAACCCTACATACTGCAAGCTGATGCTCAAACCAAGAATAGAAACTCCTTCCCAGAACTTACTAAATCATGGTGGATGTTAAGTCAAGAACCGTAATGTTACTTTAATGTAGTAGTTTGCATGTTAATATGATATATTTCTGCTATTAAATTTTAAGAGGCTTTAGGAGAAAAGGTTTTAGCTCTGGATAGAAGACATTTTACTACATCTGGTTTGGCCTTTCAAGAGATATTCCCCAGAAAGTCCTGCAGTCCTCTCATGAAAATCTAGAGAAAAATGTCTTGTTTTGTTCTGACCTCTATTAAGTGAGAAGTTTCACGTAAGGCTAAACTTGCCTGTCTCTGATTCAACTTTCTCACGGTAAAATGCATAGAAGAATGTGGAAGGAAATGAGGGAAGTGTAGTGGGGTTTAAAGATATAAAAACGAAAACCAAAGACTGGTCTGAAGAGAAATGTTTGTTATTAAAGATATTAAAAATGAAACAATGCATTTATTTCAGTGCATTTACAATTACTGTTTTCTGAAACAGCATCACCTTGACAAAAATCTCCACGAGCCCTAAGCTATAAACACCAATCTCCAAATTTGCAAGTGTGGTAAACTGGAACATACCCACATAAAGACAATATAGGTGGCTTGTGACCACACCTGTTACATCTTCAACCCCATGAACAAAACAGAAACTCATTGACCACAGAATTCTCATCCGGAGCAATATTTGCATCTCCAAAGTGCTTTGAGCAAAGTAGAATAGAATTTCACGGCTAAATTGATAGAATATCCATTTGTTTTCATTGCTGAGTATTGTTTCATTGTTGAGTATTTTTGTTTGTTGATCTCCTTGTTGCCCCAAGGAAAGTAGCCAACTATCGTACTAGAACCTCATTCTAAAGTTTCCCTCAGGGTCCATATGAAGGTCTCTATTATAGATTTAAATATATCAATAATGTTCAGTGCTTTCCTGTGGAGAAGTACCATAGAATCATAGAATAGTGGTTAATTTTTTTTTTTTTTTTTGAGATGGAGTTTCTCTCTTGTTGCCCAGGCTGGAGTACAATGGCATTATCTCAGCAGCTCACTGCAATGTCTGCCTCCCAGGTTCAAGTGATTCTCCTGCCTCAGCCTCCCGAGTAGCTGGTATTGCAGGCATGCGCCACCACGCCTGGCTAATTTTTGTATTTTTAGTAGAGATGGGGTTTTGCCATGTTGGTCAGGCTGGTCTCGAACTCCTGACCTCAGGTGATCCACCCTCCTTGGCCTCCCAAAATGCTGGGATTATAGGCGTGAGCCACTACACTCAGCCAATAGTGGTTAATTTTATTAGTTCAGAATTAGACAGGCAGTTCTTTATTAATTACATAAATTTGGACAAATTTAAACTCTCTGAGCTTCAGTTTCCTCACCTGTGAAGTACAAAAGATAACAGCCATGTAGTTGTTGTCAGGATTAAAACATATAATGCATATTAAATGGTTCATGTATTTATTGTCCCATTTTAGGAGCCTAACAAATGTTAACTAATTGCATTGCTATTATTAAAGTTTAAATGAGGTATACTTTTGAACTGTGCATTCTATACATGGTGTGCATGTACATATGTTTGCCATTGTTTCTGCTGTTATGAAATAGAACGGCTGACATTAATTAACTTGGACCCAGATGTGGAACTTTAAAATTTTTAATTTACAGTTTGTAATCCTTCCTCAATCTGACAAAATGACCTCTTATTCTGATATGTCGTTAGATACCCAAAGAAGAAGTTTAAACATCCGAGTTATGGTTCCAGATCCGCCACAGCAATCTTTATTTGTGGTCTCAGTTTCCTCATTTGTAAATGAGTACAGTAACATTTACTCTACAAACCAAATAGGGTAGTTTAAGATTACGATTGGACCAGATTATAAAGGTGAACTCACTCTGATACTTTCTGTCAGTGGAAAAGTCATGGGCCTGGAAATCAATGTGGTTTGGCCCCAACTTCTATCTAGTATTAATAGTATTCAATATCCAGGTTACCGGCTTCATGTTGCTAGGAATCCCTAAAATGAGAAATAAGATGGAGGACTGACAGCAAAATGTCTGAAATCATCTCATTCACTAATATCCTTATTTACTGGTGTGCACCTTATTGGAAGCACTATCTTTCAGTTATTCATTATCTTGACTTTTCCCCACCATGTTTCTAAACTGTTCTCATTAGCTGCTGAGCTAAGCTCTCTGCAGTAGATATTCAGGGGAAGGTGGTTTTCAGCAGATGATGGACATTTACTCCACACCATGACTTTCATCTTTCATTTTCTGCAACTTTGTTAGTGAAGTTCAGGGAAATCCCATTCACAGCATTGAACACTGACTTGTATGCAATAATTATGCAGTACATATTATTTTGATGAAAATGAATTCAGACTAAAAGATTCCAAAGACAAGACATAACTTTAAAAATTATACTTTTTTTTGGAAGGATTTTTGCTCTGCCACCCAGGCTGGAGTGTAGTGGTGTGACCTCGGCTCATTGAAACCTCCACCTCCTGGGTTCAAGGGATTCTCCTGCCTCAGCCTCCCAAGTAGCCAGGCCACTATGCCCAGATAATTTTTTTATTTTTAGTAGAGACAGGGTTTCATCATGTTGGCCAGGCTAGTCTCAAACTATCCTGACCTCAGATGATCTGCCCGCCTTGGCCTCCCAAAGTGCTGGGAATTTTACAATAACTATTAGTGTTGAAAATTTGCCATTCTACAAAAAGTCAGTAGATGTTTTTATTTTGATATATTTATGAATTCCTTTAAAAATTGCATTTTGGCATAACAATTATTTGTACTAAATCAAACTTCTGAGGTAGTATAGTGCCCTTGGTTACATGTTTATTTTTAAAAAATAAAACAACAAGTGTGATTCCTTTCTTTCTTTTTCCTCCCTGGTAAAATTATATGCAAGAAAATGCATAATTTGTTTTATGGTTTATTGCCAATCCAACCATAAGTATCTCTTCCTCTCACCCTCCTGGCCTCACCTTGCTTCAACCTGCTGAGTATTTTCTGTAATCTGTTTATTCATCATGTACAATTGGCAAATGAGATCACTAATTAGTTTATGCATTAATTACATTTCCATCTGTGTTCCTTTTAGAGAAACAGCAACAGCAATGGAAGCTAATTAAGACTAAAGCTGGCCCATTACCTATCCACTGCTTCATTCTCCTTTTAATCCACATGCTCTTTCTTGCCAGATATGTGTGGGAGAACCACACCTTGCAAGTAGTTTAAATGAATCCTTGTGAAGTAAACTTTCACTCTGATTCTCAGTTCCAGTTCACTTTAAGCAGCCAACTGTTAAATGTAGATATAGGTAAGGGTATAGATAGATGCAAATATAGATATCAAGCATTGAAAGTATATAATACAGTGTTATATATAGACAAAATATGTATATGCAAAAGCAATGAAAATTACTTATATGTTACAAATATATAATCTTTTATTGCTCATTTTAATAGTTTTCCTTTGAGAAAAAATACATTTCAAATTTAAATTAAATTAAAATTTATTTTAATTATTGAAAACAATTAAAGGAATAACTTCCTACGTCTAATTTCAAGGATCTGAACTCAATATGCTCAGCTTTCCAGAAAGAGGTATGTAAGTGTGTGGGGGGGGTGTGTGTGTGTGTGTGTGTGTGTGTAGAAAGAGAGAGATGTTGCTGAGATACATTAATTTTTAAAATTCATTTATTTCCTCCCTAAAAAAGCAAAAAAAAAAACCCAAAAACCCCAATAATACATAGTCCTTGTAAGCACTATAATTTGAAACTTTAATTTATCACTAAAAGTTCTCCTCACTCCATTTCTACTCACATATGGCAGAGTAACAACTGCTTAAATGTGATTTGTGCCTTAGAATTTTTTCTGCTTTACCCAACAGGATAATAGATAAGTAGGTATATAGGTAGATACATACCTACATACACTAATCCGTACACGTATATGCACATGTTGTTAAAACGGAATTGGCCAAAAACCACCAGCAATAAACTAGCGTTCTGAGAAAATCAAATTTCTTGACTGAAAGCATCGAGGGCAGACACTCTGGAGGAGCCATGATTTGCCATGTGACCAGAGGGGGAGAGGGAAGCCTCTAGCCATCAACCTGGGCTCCCACTGACCAATACTCAGAAGGCTCTAAAGGACGCTGCTATCGGTTCTAGACTGATTGCTGTCTCTGAGACAAGGTTAGAAGTGGGATTTACCAGATACTAGAAGCTATCGAGAGGCCAGATGAGTTTGCCACTGGGACTCCTCACTAGAAGGTCATCAGGCAGGTCTGAGGGCATCACGAGAAGGAATCAATGGACACTCAAAGAGGAGTCATTGTGGCATTTTCCACATGAATGCCAAGGCTGCATGATCTTAGGAGAAACAATGCTTCCTGGCAACTTGGCAGCAGATTCTATATGCACCTGTCCTTCCAGCCAGCCTGATGTAACAGCAGGGCTGCTTTTCTCTGTTTCATCCAAGTGGATTTTTACCACTCTCTCTCCTCAGTCCCAGATTTTTATTCTTGTAATATATATATCACAAGAGTATATAAATATTAAATATAAATATTTAATGGTCATTAATAATAACCAGAGGCCTTTTTGTACACCTTAGTGAATTCAGATTGCTAAATATAAAAAGTTGCACAAAATATGTATAATATGACCTAATTTCCTATTTTGTAAATTAATAATATAGAGTATGCCTTATATATACAAAGTATTAAAAAATATGTGTGTATGTGTATATATATCACGATTAAAAATCTTTATATAAAATGTATTTATAATATGTAGATATAGTTTTACTCTTGTGATATATATACACATACACATATATGTTTTTACACTTTGTATATACAAAGTATACTCTTTCTATATTATTAATTTACAAAATAGGAAATTAGGTCATATTATATATATTTAGTGTAACTTACTTTTTATATTTAACAATCTGAATTCACTAAGGTAGTACATAAATCCCTGTAGTTATTATTAATGGCTATTTAATATTCAAGAGTAAATTAAAACTGTTTTCCACATTTTCTCCAATTGATTTCTATTTAAAATCATACTGATATGTACACTAAATCATTCATATATATATACACATACATATATACACACATATATATATACACATATACAATACAAACACACGTACATATCCTTAAACACTTCAGTAAGTATTTTTAAGTTATAAATTTTTAGAAAGAAATTACTAAGTGAAAAGAGGCGTATTTAAGTTTTGATTACTCCTGAAAAGTTTTGTAGCCATTATGTTTCCCCTAAAAATGATGGAAAGACATGTTCGCAAAAATTGGATTTTATAAATCCTTTAATTTTTGGCAATCTGATGGGTGTAATTTGTATTTTATTATTATAATTTGGATTGACCTGATCACAAAAAGCTTAGCATCTTTTCATGCTTATTATACAATTATCTGCTTGTTTTCTTCAGCCACTTGCCTTTAATATTTCACTAAAGAAAATTAAGTTTCAAAGAAATAATTCAAGTAGCCTCATTATTACTTACAAAGAAATGTAAATGTTCAAGTAAGATGACCTCAGGTCAAATAGTAAAATCCTGCTTAAGTGATTTTTCTTTCAGTGGTCACAGTCCAAGGAGAAGTTTATTGTTTATAACCCATGCCAAGATCAACATGTTTTATGTTTAATCTTACCACTTATTCATGGTGCAAATTCAGTTTCTCCATTGCAAAGTGGACTTGATACAAATTGCTTTTATACAACAGATAATCATAGGATAAAATAAGATTAGAAATGTGAATTGCTTTGGTGGTGAAATATTGTAATTATTTTAATTTAATTGTAAATTCTATTTGTATACAGTTTTATAGAATATCATCCTATAAACCTAATAGAAGCCCTAAAGATCTCATCTCAAGCCAAGGCCATCTTATACAAATTGTCTTTAAACTTTCAATACAACTATTGGCCATGCTTTTCTTTGTGTTTCTTATGGCTTTAGATTATGTCTTCCTTCTTCCATTTGTTAATTCATATCAAAGTATCTAAAACACTCTAATATATGTAGTAGATACCCTCTAAAGAGATATAAACTAAACAAAATCTTCTCCTTTCCAGAGGTAAAAAACTATTTCCATTATTTGACACTTATAATTGAGAATAACTATTGTCAGATTTTTTTTATTTTATTATTCTTATTCTATTTTTCAAATCTCATCTAAAATCAACTTTTAAAATACAACTTATTACTCTTAATTTACATTCTTTTCAAGTAATATATTTCACTTAATTTATTATCTGAGTTTTTTTTTATTTGGCCCACATTTATTAAAATTGGCAAATTTTAAAATGTTACAAAATAAAATTTAGCTCTGCTCAATATTTTGGGATGCAATGTGTCTCCCATCTCAGACTGTGAGTATGCTGGATTTTCTTCAAAACTTTCTGTGTTTTTTTACTTTACTTTACATTGGTCTACTATCTCATTTAAATGTTAGATGATCCTTTTAACCTTAAGATAGTTAGAGGTTAATTAAATTTAACAAACTCTAAATGATCTTTAACTGCATTGAGAAGAAGGATAGATATGAAAGAAATATTAGTTCTCAAAGATCCTAGATTGTAGATGACAAAATATTAAACTAAGAATAGTTAAAAGTTAAATACTGAAACCCAGGTATTCACTGAAGTGATGTATGTGGCACATTATTGCAGTTGATCAAAATTAAGAGGAGACCTGCCCAAGGAGAATCTGAGCTCAGATGCACCTAGCCCGGCCTCCACCCAGTGGTCCTTCCCTACCCAACCTGGTAGCTTAAGACAAAGGGCATATACTCTTGGGAGTTCTAGGGTCCCACTCACAGCTGGTTCCTCTCCATACTACCACAGCTGATGCTCCCTGGAAAGCACCACCAGCACAAAAATAGGGCATTAAATCACCAAAGCTAAGAACCCTCACAGAGTCCATTTCAACCCCCTGCCACCTCCACCGGAACAGGTGCTGGTATCCAAGGCTGAGAGAACCATAGATGGTTCACATCACGGGACTCTGTGCAGACAACCCCCAGTGCCAGTCCAGAGCTTGGTAGACTTGCCGAGTGTCTAGACCCAGAAGAGAGATAACAATCTCCACAGCTCAGCTATCAGGAAACCACATCCATAGGGAAAGAGAGATAGTATGACATAGAGAGAACAGCCCATGGGACAAAAGAATCTGAACAACAGCCTTCAGCCTTACACCTTCTCTCTGACAGAGCCTACCCAAATGAGAAGGAACCAGAAAACAACTCTAGTAATACGACAAAACAAGGCTCTTTAATACACACACAAAAATCACACTAGCTCACCAGCAATGGATCCAAACCAAGAAGAAATCCTGATGTACCTGAAAAAGAATTCAGGAAGTTAGTTAGTAAGCTAATCAGGGAGGCACCAGAGAAAGGTGAAGCCCAATGCAAGAAAATCCAAAAAACGATACAAGAAGTGAAGGGTGAAATATTCAAGGAAATAGATAGTTTAAAGAAAAAACAATCAAAACTTCAGGAAACACTAGATACACTTACAGAAATGCAAAATGCTCTGGAAAGTTTCAGCAATAGAATTGAACAAGTAGAAGAAAGAAGTTCAGAGCTTGAAAACAAGATTTTAGAATTTACCCAGTCCAACAAAGACAAAGAAGAAAGAATAAGAAAATATGAACAAAGCATCCAAGAAGTCTAGGATTATGTTAAACTACCAAGCCTAAGAATAATCTGTGTTCCTGAGGAAGGTTTGGAAACTATATTTGGGGAAATAATTGAGGAAAACTTGCCCAGCCTTGCTAGAGACCTAGACATCCAAATACAAGAAGCACAAAGAACACCTGGAAAATTCATCACAAAAGGACCATCACCTAGGCACATTATCATCAGGTTATCTATAATTAAGACAAAGGAAAGAATCTTCAGAGCTGTGAGACAAAAGCACCAGGTAACCTAAAAATGCAAGGCTATCAGATTAACAGCAGGTTTCTCAGCAGAAATCATACAAGCTAGAAGGGATTGGGGCCCTATCTTCAGCCTCCTCAAACAAAACAATTATCAACCAAGAATATTGTATCCAGTGAAACTAAACATCACATATAAAGGCAAGATACAGTCTTTTTCAGACAAACAAATGCTCAGAGAATTTGCCATTGCCAAGCCACCACTTCAAGAATTGCTAGAAGGAGCTCTAAATCTTGAAACAAATCCTGGAAACACATCAAAACAGAACCTCTTTAAAGCATAAATCTCACAGGACCTATAAAACAAAAATACAATAAAAAGCAAAAACAAGAAATAAGAAACCAAGGTATACAGACAACAAATAGAATGATGAATGGAGTGGTACCTCACATCTCAATACTAACATTGAATGTAAATGGCCCAAATGCTCCACCTAAAAGAGACAGAACTGCAGAATGGAAAAAAAAATTCACCAACGAACTATCTGCTGCCGTCAAGAGACTCACCTAATACGTAAGGACTCACATAAACTGAAAGCAAAGGAATGGAAAAAGGCATTCCATGCAAATGGACAACAAAAGGGAGGTGGGGTAGCTATTCTTATATCAGACAAAATAAACTTTTAAAGCAACAGCAGTTAAAAAAGACAAAGAGGAACATTACATAATGGTAAAAGGCCTTGTCCAGCAGGAAAATATCACAATCCTAAGCATATATGCACCTAATACTCAAGCTCCCAATTTATAAAAAAATTACTACTAGACCTAAGAAATGAGATAGACAGCAACACAATAAGAGTGGGGGACTTCAATACTCCACTGACAGCACTAGACAGGTCATCCAGACAGAAATTCAGCAAAGAAACAATGAATTTAAACTATACCTTGGAACAAATGGACTTAAGAGATATATACGGAACATTCCACCCAACAACCGCAGAATACACATTCTATTCAACAGCACCTGGAGCTTTCCAAGATAGACCATATGATAGGCCACGAAATGAGCCTCAGTAAATATAAGAAAATTGAAATTATATCAAGCACAGACCACAGTGGAATAAAACTGGAAATCAGCTCCAAAAGGAACCATCAAAACCATGCAAATACGTGGAAATTAAATAACCTGCTCATGAATGATCATTGGGTCAAAAGTGAAATCAAGATGGAAATTAAAAAATTCTTCGAACTGAACAACATAGTGACACAACCTATCAAAACCTCTAGGCTACAGCAAAGGCAGTGCTGAGAGGAAAGTCCATAGCCCTAAATGCCTACATCAAAAAGACTAAAAAAGCACAAATGGATATTCTAAAGTCACAGCTCAAGGGACTAGAGGAACAAGAACAAACCAAACTCAGCAGAAGAAAGAAAATAAACAAGATCAGAGCAGAACTAAATTAAATTGAAACCAAAAAAATACAAAAGATAAGTGAAACAAAAAGCCAGTTCTTTGAAAAGATAAATATAGATGACAGACCATTAGCAAGATTAACCAAGAAAAGAAGAGGGAGAAAACAAATAACCTCAATAAGAAATGAAATTGGAGATATTACAACTGACACCACAGAAATACAAAAGATCATTCAGGGCTACTATGAACACCTTTACACACATAAACTGGAAAACCTAGAAGAGGTAGAGAAATCCCTGGAAAAATACAACCTTCCTAGCTTAAATCAGGAAGAATTAGATACCCTAAACAGACCAGTAACAACAGTGAGATTGAAACTGTAATTTAAAAATTACCAACAAAAAAAGTTCAGGACCAGATGTGTTCACAGCATAATTCTACCAGACCTTCAAAGAAGAGTTGGTACCAATCCTATTGACACTATTCCACAAGATAGAGAAAGAGGGAACCCTCCCTAATTCATTGTATGAAGCCAGTCTCACCCTAATACCAAGTGAGCAGAATAAACAGACAACTCAGAGTGGGAGAAAATCTTCACAATCTGTACATCTGACAAAGGACTAATATCCAGAATCTACAAGAAACTCAAACAATCGGATCATAAAGTATGCTAAGGACATGAATAGAAAATTCTCAAAGAAAGATATACAAATGGCCAATAAATATATGAAAAAAATACTCGACATCACTAATGATCAGAGAAATGCAAATTAAAACCACAATACAATACCACCTAACTCCTGCAAGAAAGGCTACAATCGAAAAATCAAAAAACAGTAGATGTTGGCGTGGATGCAGTGATCAGGGAACACTTCTACACTGCTGGTGGGAATGTAAACTAGTACAGCCACTATAGAAAACTTTGTGGAACTAACTAACTCAAATGCCCATCCATCAACGAGTGGATAAAGAAACTGTGGTGAATGATGGAATACTACTCAGCCATAAAGAGGAATGAATTAACAGCATTTGCAGTGACCTGGATGAGACTGGAGACTATAATTCTAAACGAAGTAACTCAAGAATGGAAAACCAAACATTGTATGTCCTCACTGGTATGTGGGAGCTAAGCTATGAGCATGCAAAGGCATAAGAATGATACGATGGACTTTGGGGACTTGGGGGGAAGGATGGGAGAGGGGCAAGGGATAGAAGACTACAAATAGGGTGCAGTGTATACTGCTCGGGTAGTGGGTGCACCAAAATCTCACGAATCACCACTAAAGAACTTACTCATGTAACCAAACACCACCTGTACCCCAATAACATATAGAAAAATAAAAAAATTTTAAAAAGAAACAAACTATGGATACATGCAATGTAGTAGACAGAATAATGCTCCCACCTCCCCCAAAAAGATGTATACTCTCTAATCCCCATTACATGGCAAAGAGTCTTTGCAGGTTATTCTGGATTTTTCAGGTTGATTCAATCTAATCACAGAAACTCTTGAAAGCAAAGAATTTTCTGTGGCTATAGTCAGGGAGAGATGCAGCAGAAGTCAGAGGGATCCCAAGCATGAGAGATACCCTATCTGCCATTGCCGGAGGTGCACCACATTAAGTATAGGAAGGATGTAGGCAGGCTCTAGGAACAAAGACTGGCTCCTGGCTAACAGCCAGCAAGGAAATAGAGACCTCTGTCCTACAGCTGCAAGACACTGAACTTGGCTGACAACCTGAATTAACTTGGAAATGGATTCATCCCAAGTCTCTAGAAAGGAACACAGGCCTTGTTTTAGGCTTCATGAGATCCTAATCAGAGGGCCCCATTGAGCCACCGTTCCGAGACTTTTGATACTGAGAATGATAACTAAGACAAGAAATGTGTGAGACAATAAATGTGTGTTGTTTTAATTAAAAAAAAAAAAGTAAAAGGAGACAGCTGAGTTGGCAGAGTTAGGGAGCAACTGTGATCGTCTTGGATTAGTCTTTGAGTAGAAGAACATTAGAGGCACAAAATGTATGGAAATTCACTTATGGAAAAAGTAGAAGGTAGGTACAGTGATAAAAGTTAAGTATTTGACATGATAGTAAATTAGAAAATGAATATGACTAGATTTAGGAAACCTAGGTTAAAACCAGGAAGTTTTCCTTTCAGTTGTGTGACATTAAGAAACTCTTAAGTATATTCAATCTCAGTTTCTCCAGTGTAAAAAGAAAGGAAATTTACAACACATATTTGGATAGGTAGCTCTCATACACTGCTAGTGGGAGCAGAAATTAGCACAATCACATTGGAAAACTATTTGGTCACATCTACTAAAGCTGAATATATGCATACTACCTGAGCCAGCAATTCTTCTCATAAGGGTACACTCGAAAGAAATGATTCAATGGGTTCGCAGGGCAATACATACAAGAATTTTTATAGCAATATTATTCATAATATCTAAAAACAAGAAACATATGTAGTTAACAGTAGAATGGGTGACTTGATAGATTAATAAATGGAATACTGCACAACGTGAGAATGAATAAACCCTACTACATGCCATGAAAGGCTAGATTTTGAATTAATCTCACAAACACAATGTTAAACAAAAGAAGCCAGATGCAAAAGTACAGACTATGGAAATCTATTTATGTAAAGTTCAAAAGTAGACAAAAATGCTCTATGGTGTCAAAAATCAGGAATGTGACTATCCTAGAGGTCTACGTTATGGGGAGTACGAGCAGGGGTCTAAGCAGTCTTCGGAGATTCGTTACATGCAACAATTTGGATAAATCTCAAAGGCTGTAGGCTGAGTGAGGGGAAAAAACTAATCTCAAAAGCTCACAGACTATATTAATCTATTTATATAGCATTTGTGAAGTAACAAAATTACAGAAATCAACAGATTAGTGGTTTCTAGGGATTAGACATGGAAACTGGTGGTCAGAAGGGAGTGGGTACAGTAATAAAAGATAAACATGAGATATCCTTGTGGTGATGGAACTGTTCCTGTATTGACTATGGTGGTAGATACACAGATCTACACCTCTGATAGAATGCGTAGAACTACACACACACACACACAAATGAATACAAGTAAAACTGAGAACATTTTTTGTAAGATCAGTGGATTGTACCAAAGTCCATGTTCTGGTTGTGATATTACACTATAATCTTGCCAGATGTTACTATTGGGGGAAACTGCATAAAAAGTATAAGGGATCTCTTTGTGTAATTTCTTACAACAACATGTGGATTGATAATTTTCTCTAAATGGAAAGATTAATCAAATTTTGTGGCAGCAAGAGTTTGATAATATACTAATATTCTTAGCAACCAAAAAAATGTTTTTTCAGTTTTAAATTGATGAGATCCCTCATTTAATCTAAGTCTATTAATGCATAATCAACAAAAGCGTAAAATTCAATTAGGATTTAAGTAATATATTAACATTAGTATTTCTAAAGTTGTACTTCTATGCTATTAAAGAATCTTGAAGAAAGAATGTGTTTACTTAGGTGTGAGTCTGGGAATGTGTGTGTTAGGGCATCACTTATTACAGTAAACAAAGGGAACAGAGAAAAATTTGTCTGTGGACTTCCAGCCCTATTACAAGGAGTGAGTACACTGTCCAGCCAACATAAATATGTCCAGTCCATCTGGTAAACATATCCCTTTAGTGGAAAAAGTGCCTTAATTTAGTTTTTGAAAACTACATTTCTGATTATAAAGTAAGAAGTAGTAGTAAATTTGGAAAATCAGAAACATAAAAGGATGTTTAAATTGACCTTATAAACACTATTTTCATACTATTTTGTTTTAGATATGTATATTTTTGCAATGAGTTTTATGTTGTATGCAGTACCTCTTTCACTTATTCTGTTTGAATATTTTTCCCTGACATGAAATTGATTTTTTTAATGTTATTTGTAATGGTTATATAATGAACCCTATGACAGAAATATCAAAATTAACCAGTCTTATATTTCTTGAGTTAAGGCTACTAAATTTCTGTTTTCAAAAGTAATGTTCCTCATTCCTTAAGTATGAGCTGTACATAGTGACTTCCTTCCAAATAATACAGTATGCAAAGGGAGGGAGAAATGTGTAAAAAATAGAAAAACCTGAAGAAAAAAACTACCTCAGCCAGGTAATAAGATTGACAGCAAGAATGGTAACTCATCTTGATAGAGTTCACATTTGATATGATGTGGTGAAAACGATACTCTGTCTTTGTGGTCTTCCTCACAAAACCAATAAACCCGGTCTAATCATTACAAAAACATCACACAAATCCCAGTTGAGGTTCATTCTGCAAAGTTCCCAACCAGTACTTCTCAAACTATTCAAGGTCATTCAAAAGCAAGGTGAGTCTGAGAAGTCACCAGAGCTAACGAGAACCCAAGAAAATATGACAACTAAATGTCATGTGGAATCCTGGAACAGAAAAAGGGACATTAGGTAAAACTAAGGAAAAATAAATAAAGTATGTACTTTAGTTTATAATAATATGTCAATATTGGTCCATTCATTGTGACAAATGTACAATACTAATTTAAGATGTTAATAATATGGAAACTGAATGCAGGATATATGGGAACTATCTTTGCAATCATTCTCCCAGCCTAAATAAAAAGCCTGTTTAAATATAATGTGAAGACTTTAATAAAAAAAAGTTTTCTAGCAATTTTTCTAATGAAAGTTGCTCGAAAGAATACCATTTGGTCTGTAACTTTGAACATTGTACTTCTCTGGAAACATGTTAACAAATTATTTTTCAAAAGTTAGTACTTTCTAGACTTGTGCTTTCATACAATTATGTGGACACCTTTATCATCACATGTACAGTGCGTGTTTTCTTTGGAATGACAACAAACAAATTGCTCTTTTTCAATGGTAAAGATGTCAGTCAGGGTAGCAATTTATTGAAATACTTCATAGACATTTGTATTTCTTTTTTAATATTTTTTTGGTCACCAATATAAGTATGTTTTAATTTTTTTTTCCTTTTTTTCGGCTTTTAAGTTCAGGGGTACGTGTGCAGGATGTACAGGTTTGTTGTACAGGTAAACGTGTGCCATGGTCGTTTACTGTACAAGATCATCTCATCACCCAGGAATTAAACCCAGCATTCATCAGCTATTTTTCCTGATATTCTCCCTGCACCCGCCAACCCCACAGGTGCCCAGTGTGCATTGCTCCCCCTGATGTTTGTATTTCATAAGGTATAAAGTATTGTTTCTCCTCTACTTCTTAAGTTTGCATTTAAAAAAAAAAAAACTCTCCAAACATATTAAGGCTATTCTTCCTTCATTTGTTTCAAAACATTTTCTTTAATTTCCAATTGCAGTTATGGTCCTTTCTGAAGCACAACAGACTTAAATTTCTATATAGGCTAATTTATAGCATTTTTTCTTTGTGAATTCTGATATCTTTACACAACCGTGCTTCATCCTTAATTTAAGTAAATTTCCATCTATTTTGTTCTGATTTTTATTTTATTCATTATATTTTATTTATAATTGTTTCTATTTGTATGTGGTTTGTGGAGCCTTTAATTAAAGAAATTAGCAACTTTGCGAGTGTTAAGTATAAATAATGCTTATTTTCCTACAGAATCTGCCTCCTGGTTTGTTCACAACATTGTCTATTTTGTGACTGCTTTATTTGATAGATCTGTAGATTTTTGTTTCAATACTGAAATCCTTTAATTTTTATAGTTTCATTATACATGTATGTAACTGGTGATAAATAGTAGAGTACAGAGTAGTTTTTATACTTACAAATTTTTCTTTACAGTTCTCAATAATGGAGTCAGTCACAAATTCATATTGGTGAATTCAAAAAAAAACTATGATTTTTACTAGATTTGCATAAGATCTAAAAAAAGAAGAATTGGTTTATCATATTCAATTTTCCCATCTGTGGACTTGATATGTCTCTCCATTTTTAAGTCTTCTTTTGAATCTCTCAGCAAAAATATTCAGATGAGTTCAGTTTAGAAGCATTCTTGTTAAGATTACTTCCAAGTATTTAAATTTTTGCTCCTGTTATGAATGGACTCTTTTTCAACATTATATTCACTAACTGTTGGTGATATAAGACACCTGTCAAGTTTTGCACCTTTACTATTTATATAAATAAATTGAATTTACCTCTTAGTTCCAATAGTTTGATTCTTTTCTATTTTCCAGAAAGAAATTCTTTTCATATACAAGTAATGATAATTTTGCATTTTTCTTAATGTTAACCACAGATAGGATTTTAGTTTCCTGGTCTATTACACTGCTAGACAGGCCAAAACATATTTTAAAGCAATAAGCATTTTTTGTCTGATTTTAATGGGATTGCTATTATGTATTCGAAGTAATAAATAACCTCGTATGTTGACTTTGATAATTGTATTAAAATGCTTTCTCTCTTTTTCTCTGCCCTGGAAAAAATGGTCAAGCATGGGAATCCCTTGTAACACTAAAGTCTGAAAGAACATATCTCTGAAACTGTCTTTTAATCTTGTATTATTAAAGGGCTTATAGTTCCTTTGACACATTTTTACCGGTCTCGATACCGTTATTGAGCCCTTTTAGTCTACCTAGAATGGCTTTGTTTGCTTGGTTCTTGCACTTCCTACAGAGTTAAACTCTGTATGACACCCTCCAGAAAGCCGTTAGAGATATGCTGTTTCCCTTACCCAGCACAAGACTAAAACTCTTTCTGCATGGTCTGAAATATCTTATAAATAGAGCTAACCATGCAACACACAACTCTGAAATTATTTGCCCACCTGTCCCTAAACATCACCTCTTCAAGGGATAGGGACTTCATATTATTCAACTGCCTACTGGCAGGGACAACCACAGTGCCTGACAAAATGTTTTTAAACTATTCTAAAGCAAAAAGTTATCCTAATACTGGAAAGGTACAATTCTAAAGGCAAGTCATAGATATTATGTTCTATTTGTCATGTGTCTCCACTTGAGTTTTCTAATTACAATTCATCCTCCTGTGGATAGCTTTTATCCCCAGTTCTTACATTTATAAAAGAAGTTTCTACCAGTTTACTAGTTTAGTAATTACAACATACTAAGGATTTTGGAAAAATAACCAAGCCCTCATAACAAACCTATAAAGTAGATGTTATGATTTTGATTTTATAAATGTGGAAATGGCTCAGAAAGTCTTGGTGAGTTGGAGAGCTCAGAGTTGAACCCAAGATTTTTCTGACTTCAAAGCTGAGACCTGTGACTCCTCTGTTTGTACACTCTTCCACTGTAGTAAAAAAAAAAATTTTACTCCCAAGATAATGACTACTTGGAGTTCATTGTATCAATATAAAGTAGACCAGAGATGACACTCCCAGACTGAAGTCTAGAGAAAACCTCTTAAGTTCTTGGAATGTGAGAGTGCACAAGTCAGGGGCCAAGAATATTCATGTTGAAGAGATTGTTTGGAATTGTATTGAAATGATCTACTGAGCTCCAAGAAAAAAAAGCTGTAGTAATATTTAATCAAGTTAATTTAGAGATTCACTACATAGACTTCTATTTAGGAGGCTAAACTACTGGCCCAGATAATTGAGAAGAATTTCTACCTTTAAATTTCTTCTCTTTTAAATTTAAACAGGTACTGGCTTCTTGAAATAAACTTTATTGTCTTTCTAAAACCGAAACTAGAAATTCTTAGATCATTTAAAACCACCATTTCAACTGTGAGCGATCGCAGAATTATCCCGGTACCATTCAGAATTGACACGCATCACTGAAGTTTGGGACTGTGTCATGGAAAAGAAGCTTGTCCCCAGCTACCACCTGCAATCAATCACTTTTCTCATTTTGGTTTAAATTACCAGTAGAAATAGCATTTTTAAAAATTTCAACTGATCTTCATATCTTGATATTCTCAATGTAGTCATTGTCTTTTCTGTATCCTAACTCTGTTTAGAACAAGTTGGATTTTCTGCCAACTGGTTGATTAACTTAAAAATCCTGAAATACCACTGTTTTTCAAATTTGTGTTTCATGTTTTCATTTCTAATTTACTATTGAATAATTTTTTCCCACTGACTTCTAACAGTTCCTAGGCACTGACAAACTTTGTTGACATTTTAAATCTTTGGTCAATTGTTTTATTCTATCTACTTCTAAAAAAAAGAAAAAAGAGAGAGAGACAGAGCAGAATACTACTCTGGAAAACAGATCATTTTATTTCTAATATATACTGTTCTGCTTTACATGAGCCACCTTTCTTATACTTCTCTTCTGCACTCAAACTGTATCTAACATCCTGCTGTCTATTTAGTTTTTACCATTGACCTGGCAGAAAATCCTCATAGGAACAAAAGATTTGTCATGTTGGATCAGATTCATGTTTCATCCCAGTCCACATTGTTTCTCTTACTAGAGCTAAATGATACTTTATCTTGAGAAAAAAAAAAAAAAATGAGGCTTAGGGAATACAGGATATCTTTTAATATGTAAAAGACTCTCATACAATAGATAGAATATGTTCATTCCATGATAGTGGAGAGCTGGTCAAAATACAAGTTACAGGGAGCCAATTTTTATTTGATAGTAAAGAAGAACAACAAGAGCTTTAAGAAATGCACTGTGCTGCCTCTGAAAATACAATTTGTCATGACTAAAGTTTTAAGCCCACTTGGATAGACTGCTTTTCAGAGATCTTTGCATGTACGTTCAGACTGTAAGTTAGTCTGAACAGGGATCCTGCCCAGCTCTTGTTTCTGCTTGTCTGTGCTCTTCTCATTTTGTCTAACCATATCTCATATCTCTCCATGTGGTAGAGAACTTGGTTGCTGCAGGCCCAGGCATAACAATCCAGTGGAGAGAGTATTTCTTTTTGCCATTGGATGTTCATATTTCACTTCAGGTAAAGCCCTCAGGCCCTACTTGGTTCTTGAGCTCCCGTCTTGAATCAGTTGCTATTGTCAGGTGGATGATTGGCTAACATTGGTCCATACCTGTGGCTTAGAAGGAAGAGGTGAGGCTGTGATTGGGAGACTACTGACAACATGGCTCATGGAAAGCAGGTGCTAGGCAGATAAAAACAACATAAACCAACACAGAGAGATCAGACTAATATTATTTCCACATAGATTTGAAAAATTAAAATTAAAAATATTTTTTCCTTAAGAACTAGTAAATAAAAAATTGCTCTTTCCAAACAGCCACAAGAATTCAGACACACTACTAGAATTTGATTTCAAATTACTCAAGTTTGAGCAAACACAGAACAGACTGAGCCCTCTTATTATATACCCAATGCCAGTTGCTGCCAGTATTTAATAATATTTGTCTACAACATTTTAGTCTGAGAAAGAATTCCCATCTTTCTTTTATCTAAACTCCTTTAAAAACTGCTTTAAAGCTTTTACTTCTCTGTGTGTCACAGGTGTGCTGGAGGCAGGCTTAAGACTGAAAGCCTCTCTCTAAAACTGTCAACTCCTGCTTTGCTCAAACCTGCTGACCCTGGGCCAACATAGAGAGGGGGGGGGGAAAAAAAAAAAAGCAAGCCATCTGATTATTTTGGTTTTCTCCACCAGGAAATATAGCACTTTGCCTTCAAATTAACAAATGATTAATCAAGACATAGCACTATTTGTGAGAGTTTAGGGTTTTGGCTGACACTGAGTAGACTAAGAATTGGAAATGACCCAGTACTAGAAAGCTTGACTTCAATGTCCCAGGATTTCTGGTAAGTGGCCAGGTTGAGTGAAGGACAGAGTAGATGAGAAAACTAGAAAAAAAATAAAGACTGTTGAGTATTCAGGAGCTCAGTTTTTGATTGAGTAGTTTCTTGACAGATTTGCTAAAGGGGACGTTTTAGAGCAAAGTTCCAAATTAGCTTTCAGTGAAAAGTGCCAAAGTTTGTATTTAAGATATACAAGAGCTACCAAATGTGTTAACAGTTTCAAAGGTATCAAGAAAATATTAGCAATATGGAATAGCGGTGGATTACTTTATTTTTATGGTTGATAATGGTGTCAGAAAAATACAGGAAGCTTTGTGAATGTAAAAATCCAGTTATCCAAGAAACATAATTTGTTTACTGCCTTTGGATTCAGCTCCTAATAGAAGAAACTGTTAATCCATTAAAATATTATCTTTTACACTTGGCAATAGATAAATACATAAACCTTCTTAGGTTCTTTTTCTTGCTATTCACTAATAGTTTTATATTTCTGAGTTTGTGGTAAATGCAGGTTAGATGGGGGCGAGGTGAAGTAAGTATGATGTCCATGCAAAGTAAGCATTATTATTTGTTTATTGACTAAAAATATTCAATAATTAGTATTTTATCTTTTCAAAAAAGCTGACATTTTATGGCAAAATTTGTGGTTTTGGTGGGAAGGTTTTGGATTGTTGTTTTAGAAGGCACATGATAATGGTCTAGGACTCTATACAGGCAAAATTTTTGAACAATTCTATTTTTTTAAATACTAATTCAATATTATTCAGGTACTATGAAATTCCCACAGGAGCTTCAGTGCTCCACTTTTTCGTTAGGGTAAGCCTTTAAAAAATGGCTTTAAACACATTTAAGAGTGAGTCATATACAGAACCCTATAAATGGTCTGTCTCTTAGTATTTTGCACTGATCTGACCCAGGTTACCCAGGGCTTCACCCTTGCATTGTAGGGTAACTTGGAAATCTCTGGAGATGTGGCTTTTGTACAGATCAGGATATGCTATATATCAAAACTGCCAAATATAGTTTCTCTGATCCTAGGGTTTCATTCTACTAGAATGCGGGTAAAGAAAACCTTGATTTACAGTCTCAGAAATGTGGAGGGCTCCCAGGGAACAGAGTGGCTTATGCCAGACCCTCTGACCTACAGCTGGACCTCGTTTAGGCAAACAGACTATAACATTTGCAAATGGACAATGATCATGAGATGTTCCATACTCTTTGTATTTTTTTAAAATGATATTAAGATTTTGATACCCTCTAACATCAATGAGGAGTCATAAAGTTAACTTTAACTGGAAACTACTGAAAGGTTGAAAAAAGTGATTCCAAATATTTATATCTAAATTTACCTTAATATTTTGCCATAGTTGAGTGTATAGCTCCCTGAATTCAGATTAATAAACAAAGCATTACTAGCACCCTGGAAATCCTCTGTTTTAGTTAGGGTTCTCCAGAGAAACAGAAACAATAGGATGTGGGTACATTCTTTACATTTATAAAGAGATTTATTGAAGGAACTGGTTCATGCAGTTATGTAGGCTGACAAGTCCTAAGATCTTCAGGCTGAGTCTTCTAGACCAAGGAGAGCTAATGGTGTGGTTGCAGGCCAAAGGCCAGCAGGCTCCAGATCCAGGACTAACTGATGTTTCACTTCAATTCCCAAAGTAGGACAAAGCTGGTGTCCCAGTTCAAATGAAGTCAGGCAGGAGCAATTCACTATTTCTCAGAGGAGGGTCAGACTTTTTGTTTGTTTGTTTGTTTGTTTAATTTAGGCTTTCAACTGATTGGATGAGGCTCACCCACTTCAGGGTGGGCAATCTGCTTTACTCAGCTTACTGATTTAAATGTTAATCTCATCCATAACCACCCTTATAGAAATACCCCATATAATGTTGGGCCATTTATATGGGCACCCCATGTCCCAGTCAAGTTGACACATGAAATTATCTATTACACCCCCTCAGCGTAAATGCATAAACACACACATACACACACACACACACACCCCACCCCCCACACACACCCCTACCTTACAGTATCTACATTTTTTTGTTTGATCTTTTTCACTCAACAGTATACTTGTGAGTTGTTGCAGTCATTTTATTATTAGTTCTGTACCCTATTTCATTTTGGGGAAATATACCAAAATATACTTATCTCATTTTACTATTAATGAGCATTTGGGGAGTTTGCAATTTGTGCTGCTCATACTTTTTTTTTTTTTTGGTTGACCATCTATGGAAATTTCTATAGGCATATACTTAGGGATGGAATTGCTGGGCTATGACAGTTGATTATGATCAGCATTAGTATATCTTCTGTAAACAGACCATTCAGTCCAGGAAAACTTCCATATTGGATGATGTAGCAGAATTTCCAGGATGTCTAAGTTTCTGTTGCTCAATCCTCTTACCAAGAAAATATGTGCATGAGGATAATGCCAAAGATTACAGAACAGATGCTCATCTCCCTGGATTATCAATTTTTATGTCATAAAGACCTCAGATACCAAAGCCCACAGGCCAATGCACTTATTTGGAGGTTGTTAAACTGATATCATATGTTTATGCAGGAATATCGCCAATTTGTGGTCCTTTGCATTTTTTGACTAATTCAATAGGGTTATTTTTTTCTAACTGCTTTAAGAATTCAAAATTTATATAAGTACTATTCAGTGTCAGAAATTTAGAAAATATAGATAAAATGAAATGAACGTTAAAAATCTTCTGTGAATTTATAAATTAAAACTTTAATCATCTTGAAGCCCTTAAATGGCCAAGGGATATATCCCTTGCCTCAAACTATACTTCTGGTTCCTTAGCATGGACCTTTATGATATGACCTCTGCCTTAATGTTTTTCATTTATGGCCTCATTCTCTGTGAACCACTTCTATTTCTAGGACTATTTCAGGCTATTTCTCATTCTGGGTATTGAACACCAACCTTCTCCCCTTCCTGTGAGAGGGTATTACAAGCCCTATTTTACAAGACAGAAAAGAATCAGAGAGAATAAGTCACTAGCAAGCATCACACAGGAGAGCCAAGTTCCAACCCACATCTCTCTCTTTCCATGCTGAATTATTTAGCCATTCTTCTCCATTACTCTTACTGTCCCTGGTAAAGACTTCTCTGGCCTCCCAAAATTGTATAAGACATTTTTTCTTTGTGTTCCAATAGCCACCTGTGCACATAATCTTAATACATTCACTTCCTTGCTTAAAGTGTTACCATCATTTCATTTTAAGCTGCATGAGGGTAGGCTCTGCCTTCTTGACAGAAATCTCAAATAGCTGCCATTCATCATCTCATCTTGTGGTTTTGCTTTTTCTATGCTCTTTACTCTCTGAAAATTATATCAATGGCATGTTTACTTGTTTATTATCTGTTATGCAGGCTCCTCACTGACTGGGGATTTTGCTGGCCTGCACACCACTGTTTCCCCAGCACTCACAGATGTGCTGGGCACATGGCAGACCCCAGAGAATAATTAAAATGAATAAATAATGGGCACTAATATATTTAATGGGTAAACACACTATGCACATTTATATTTGTACTCTTTACGAGGGCCCTAGATTTCATCCTCATGCAAATAAATCATTGAAGGGATGGGATTTACATGGTTGTTTACCTTTTCTAAAAAGAAAAGGGCGGTAGTCCCCATGCTGTCCAGAGGCCATACTGAATGCTTATTTTTGTGAGTCTGAGATATGAGTGTCTTTCTTGACATTAAAATATTAATTATTAATGTAATTATCCTTGAATAATGCTCAGTGGAAACATGTATTAGTCTGCTCGGGCTGCCACAATAAGATACAACTGGGTGCCTTAAACAACAGAATTTTACTTACTTATAGTTCTGGAGGCCACAAGTCCTCGAAAGAGGTCCAGCAAGGTTGGTTCCTGGCCAGAGCTTTCTTTCTGGCTTGCAGACAATCCCCTGATCACTTTGTCCCCACATGACCTTCCCATATGCATGGAAAGAAAGCAAAGGAGCTCTCTGGTGTCTCTTCTTTAAGGTGGCTAATCTAATTGAAGCAGGCCCCACCCTGTTGACCTCATTTCACCTTAATTACCTCCTTATGGATCCTGTCTCTAAATATAGCCATATTTAGGGTTTAGGGTTCAATATAAACATTTGGATAGAACACAATTTATTCCATAGTCGAAGGCATACTATTGCAATCTGTCAGGCATTCCAGTTGTGATAAAATCCTTCCTTCTTGAGCTAAGTACAGGCATTTCATGTGAAAAATCTTGTCTAAGAGACATTTGAAGGATTGTTTGATGTGTTAGAAGCTCTTTCAGTATTAATCTGCTTCAAGTACTCCTGCATGTCTGCCTATTGCCCCAAATCACTGGGTAATATGGGAGGTAGAATTTGTGGTCTTCTATGAAAGATGGAGATTTAACGAGCCCCAGAAAATTAGTCATTTCAACCATGTCGTGGAGGAAAGTGATGAAATAGACATTTCTGGGTGGAATGGCATAATTGATTTCCCTGAAATTGCTTACTGAGGCTATTGATCAACAATAATAAAGGGAAGGGAGTAGGACTGTTGGCTTAGGTAGGATGCTGAAATCATCTCTTTATTTAAAGCATTTTGCAACTAATAAGACCTTCTTTAGAAAATAGAAGGTTGTAAAAAACAACAACACTTACAAACACCCATTCTCAGCAGTACAATATTGTTCCATTGTAATCATCTTTATTTCATGACAAGGTTATTTATCACAACTTTGCTTTCCAGCCAATAAAGCAAGGCCAAAATAATGTTAAATTGTTGTTTTTCCTCGAGGAAATAAGAACAATGAAACAAGATAAAAGTATTTCATCTATCTTGAGTTGTCAAATTATTTTCTACCATTTTTAGAATTTTAATAAAATATTTTAAATATGTTATCCTGTTATCTAGAGTGATTAATTTATCAATTCTCTTTCTCTTTGGAATACTAGTCTGTTCTCCCCTAGATTTTTAATAATACTAAATTTGTATGGAATTTAAATGTTTGATAGTATACATACTGTGAATTTTATATTTTTATGATTCTTTTAAGCATTTAACACTTACTGAATGCCTATTAAGTCCCTTGTATTGTATTGGGATATTCACAGGTAATATCTTATCCCTACATGCATGACAAGCCATTAAAAAAAAAAAAGTACTAAATCATTTACAAGACAGCAAAAGAAATTCATATTTAGGTATAAACAAAGTAACATTTAAATTACTATAATGGATTGAAATAACAGAGAAGTCTTCACAGATGAGGTGATATTTGAGCTGAGTGTAGAGGAAGAATAAGATTTCACTATGCTATAAAGGTTTGGAAGAATATTTAAAATTGGTGGTATTAAGGCATGAATTCCTGAAAGAGAATAATACACCCAAAGTGAATATAATGGCTTACAGAGGAACTTGAATGAGTAGGGAGTGGCAGATGAGATTTGTAAGAAATCAGAATCTGCCACCCCAAAATATATCTCTTTGGCATAAGGATTATTTTGAATTGATTATTTTGAGAAACTACAGACAGGAGAAGCTCTGAATATAGAGTAGAAGTTACTCTTTGGTAAAAGAAATTTACATTTAGAAAGAAAATCTCCATTTGTAACGATGTCTCCCTCTCTGTACCAGGAAAGAAGAATGACTAAATCACTAGAGACTCTTACCAATAGAGAAAGCTCTTAAATCTGCATAACAAACCTTACCCTTGTTTGCCCTGCTTTTCCTGGTCACCTCCCCATCACTGGCTCCCACAACACCCTTCTTTCTTTGTTTCGGGGAACAATGGTAATACAAGGTTGAGTTCAAAGCTGCTTCTCTGAAATGCACTGACTTCTCTGGGTATCACCAATGTATACATGAGGTATACATGTCATTAAACTTGTTTGTTTTTCTGTGGTTAACCTGTCTTTTGTTAAAGGGTTTCATCCCAACTAATAAATATGAGTGTTGGGGAAAGAATTATTTGCTTTCTCCCTTACAAATCCAAACAGTAATTAGATGAAAGGCTGTGAAACGTCTTAAATGCCATGTAAATGAGTTTAAATTTTATTCAATAGACCAGGAGAAATAACTGATGAATTTTTTAAGTATGGGTAATCAACCATGTTTCATATAATCTTTAAATGCTAAAATAAAACTTTAGCTTTAATTTTAAAAAGTGTGTTGGTGGGGTGCTTGTGGGAAGGAGAAAGAAAGCGGAAAGAAAAGTCAGGTGGTGAGTGTGGTCCTTCACATGAGAGATAATGAAGGACAGTTATTCCAAATGTAAAAGTACAAATGTTAGAGTAGGCAAATGTGAGCAGGGCAGGAGAGGTCCCACCGAAAGAATGTCAGGCAAATACAGAAGTGTTGGGCTCTTGGCTAAACTTCACCCTCAAGCCTGGAACTTTGGCCCTGGAACCTCAGCTCTATGGGAACTGCTGACCCATATACTGAAGGGCTGGGCTCCCAGCTAAACTCTACCTCAAGCCTGGACTCTCAGCCCTAAATGAAAGCATCTGACCCTATTTTTCCTACCCAAATGATTGGCTTTTTGGCCTGCCCCACTCCCTATCCTGTGCCCATAAAAACACAGGCAGCTGATGCAAGTGGTCAGGGATGCAAGCTGCTGAATCTCAGGGATTCAAGCTGCTGAGTGCTGGGGATACAAGCAGATGAGTGGTAAGTAGAGAAGGAATTGAGGGTCAGTGACTACACATAACATGGCTCACTTCAGATGGCGCAGTTTCACAAGGGAGCCTAGCCAGAGACAGCTGGGCTTCAGGGAAAGATCACCTTCTTCCTGCACCATCCCCTTTCTAGCTCCCCTTTCACCAAGAGCCGCTTCCACTGCTCAATAAAGTCTTCTGCATTCATCATCTTTTAAACAGTTCCTATGACCTGACTCTTCCTGGACACTGAACAAGAACTCAGGCGTCATAAATGGCAGTTGCAAGAGGCAATCAGCCTGACCCTTCACTGAGCTGTTAACACTTAGCTGTCCATAGACTGCAAGCTGAGTTAAATGAGCCACTCTAGTTCCTGCCCACGGAGGGGGTCAAGGTCAAGGGAACACATACCATCTCAAGTCAACCATTAGGTAATGGTCATGCAGTTGTTAAGCTATCTCTCTAAAATAATAATTGGTCACATCTGGCATCAAGGAAAATCAGTCTCCCAATAGACAGAAAACACCTGAAGCTGGTGATCAGCAGCTTCCCAGTAAGATCGCAGGATTTGGGCAAGTGGGTCCAAAGCATGTGCACTAATAAGCAAAATGGCAGAGTTTAACTGGTATATGACCTTTCTCTAGGAACACTCGATTGGTAAGGGGAAAAATCCCTCAAGTGAGCATGTGCACTACTTCAGTAAACACACCATGCATGCACTCCCCTCTTAAGTGTTGGCAGGCTACTGCACATGCGGACAGCCTGCCCCAAGGAAAAATCAAGGGAGGAGAGATGCAAAACTCCCGAAGCATGCCAATGTATAAAACCCCAAGTCTAAGGTCAAACAGGGCACTTGGATTGCTCAAGTCGCCTGCTTGGCCCTGTTCTTTTCTTTCGTTCCTGCTCTAAAACTTTTTTAATAAACTTTCACTGCTTCTCTAAAACTTGCCTTTATCTTTCACTGTGCATTATGCCCCACAGATGAATTCTTTCCTCTGAGTAGGCAAGAATCAAGTTGCTGCAGACCCATAAGGATTTGCTGCTGCTAACATAAAGACCCCAGAAGACTTGCCAGAACTGTTATTCTCAGAGTCAGCCAAAAAAATCTGAAATATGAGACAAATAGTTGAATTTTCCTAGGAAATATATCCCAGCATTGCTGCAGGACTTACAAATATTGTACAGTGAGGCTGCTAGACTGGCAGTTCTCTCTAACCACCAAATATCCCAGATCCATAGTTCTCACTCATTAGGATATATCAGAATCACCTGGAGTTGTTGTTACAACTCAAGTTTCTGGACCTCACCACCAGAATTTCTGATTCAGTAGCTCTGGGTGGAACCTGAAAACTTGTCTTATTAAAAAATACCCAGGTGACGCTGATGCTACTCTAGCGATCACACTTTGAGAGCCACTAATAAGCAAAACATGGAAAATGGGAAACTATATATTTTTTCAAAAGTCATATACTTTAACAAAATATAGCGATGTTTTAGAAGAATGGTCTTCATAATTTTTTAGTAGAATAAAATAATGAAATATAAACATTCAAAAATAGAGGATTTATTAAGAGAATAAGGTAGCTAAGATTTAATAACATGTAATCATAAAGTATTATAATATTTAAATAAAGGACAAAATAGGATAGTTTACAAAATAGGATAGAATCTATGAGCTCTTTGAAGTAAAAACCTGTTTCTGTTTACATATATGTACAAATATAGACACATAACTAGAACAAAGAACCAGAAAGATGTATCTCAACATGTTAATAGTAGCCATCTCCCGTGTGGTGGGATTATGAGTTATATTCATTATTTTCTTTAGACTTCATATATATTTTCCTAGCATGTCAATAAATATAACACATTTGGGGTTAACAAAGATATGTTTTAATATTTATGCAGGGGATGGCTTTGGATTATTAGCTTCTTTTGGAAGGGAGGTAAGCAAAAGACAAGCATCTTACATCAAAAGTACTAGCTCATCAGGACATAGAACTAGTTCTATTCTAATGAATAGAACTCATTAGTTCTTTTTCTGCCATTTTAGGGATTCTGATGCAGAAAGACCTGAGCCAATAAGGAACACCCCTCTTTGTGTTTAATTGACCATTCATCCAAGCAGCAGAATGAAATCCCAAGGGAAGACCTTACAATCACAAATGCATGTTAGCCATGAGGAGCTTACATTAATGCCCAGAGAAAGTGGAAACACTCAAGGAAGA
Organism: Homo sapiens; assembly: GCF_000001405.40. Lineage (NCBI taxonomy): Eukaryota > Metazoa > Chordata > Mammalia > Primates > Hominidae > Homo > Homo sapiens. The sequence goes on from NC_000014.9 coordinate 85,182,215, forward strand.
GGCTAAAGCCATAGGAAATAGGAAACCAAGCTCCCTGAAGGAAGAGAGAGAGGCATGGGAGAGAGAAAGGAAAAGCCAAGCAACGAAATCCTGGGGGAGATTTAAGGTTCTTGTGGCACTTCAAATTATGTTAGCTTTCCTTTCACACAAGATTGAATTTAGCTGCCAAGAATGAATCTACTATTTCTTTCTTTCTTTCTTTCAAAATAACATTAAATTTATTTCAACAGGCTGTCTGAGCTACTCTGTTTTGTTATGAGCTGATGAAAATACATCATCAGCCAACGACAGACCCTGCCTTTCCCTCACTCCAATTTAAGGCCTGAGTACAAGCAGCTGCAGTATTCCTGTCAAAAGTCAGGCGCGTCAATGGCAAGTCTTCTTCTACTAAGATTAAAACTTGGCCTCTATTCCTGCAGCCCAGAGTCACCCATCAGGAAAGGTGAGATCTCTTACCACCTTTCTCAGTGAAGAGCCATTCATTCCATCAGGGAGGTATGGTAATATCCTCGAAGCCAGACACAGGAGGACTCTGATCTCATCTGTCCCTACAGGGTTATCAGAACCAGACTTAATCTGAACTTGACCGAAAAACTGTGGAGAAGAGTAATTGTTGCTTATGACTCATTACCTGAACTGCACTTTTCTTGTGCAGGACTTTAGCAGCAGGAATTTTCCCAAAATGCTATATCCTTCTCCCTATGACTGTTATCATATGGCATTAGTGTAGTCTGATCTAACAAAATCTGTAGCAAAATGCTGTATATGAACTGTCTGCTTTAGAAATCTAGGTGAGGTGAACAGCAAATAATTGAGCCCCACTCTCTGCCCACTATATCTGAATTTCTGGTAATAGGGCCAGATAATCTAGAATTTGAAAAGACACCCCAGGAGATTCTGATGCAACTACATTCTAACTACTGCTGACAAAATGATTAAGAACCTAAGTGTCCAATTCAGACAATTTTACAGCTTGCTTTTTTTCATGAATTTGGAAAAATTACTCCTTTAGAAACTTAATTTTCTTATCTATAAAACTGGGATGAAAATACCTGAATTCCTACTAAAATGCTTGGCTTTCAACTGTATATAAACCACTCAAGCACATAGTAAGTCAGTAAGTGTTAGTTATTGTTATTTACTGTGATAAGATCATTTTCTTTATGTGCATAGCAGCTGGGTGAAAAAATGATGGACATTGGAGAAAACCAGAGTTCAGCTTTGATCTTTGATAAGTATGCTTAAAGATACCGGGACAAGTTTTGTTTTAGTTTAGTTTTTTTTTTTTTTTAATGTATTGATTTTGTGCCTAATATGTGACAGGTAATATTCTAAATCCTTGATAGATAATGAAGAATGACATAAATAATTTGCTTACTGTCATGGTATTCCTCACCTACTGAAGAAATAAGCAAATTGCAAAACACACAAACGCACATAATGGAATAGTTTCAGATATGAAGTCTATGAGGCAAATAAAGCAAATATTTGGATAGAAGATACAAAAGTTAGGTAAAAGATAACTTTGGATAAGGTAGCCCCAAGCATTTTGTAAGGAGGTCACATTTGAGCAGATCTCCAATGATAAAAAGGAGGTAGCTATGTGGACTTTGGTAAGTGTAATAAACATGGCTTAACATTAAGGATGGTAAACTTCATCACTTGGATAAGGTATATTTGCCAGGTATCCACATTGCAAAGTGACTGTTTTCCCACATCTATATTCTTGTAGCAATGACTGACTAAGCCCTGCTCACTTTCTTCCAGCCGTATTATTCCAGAAGATGCCTCATTCAAATGACAAACAGGCAAGGATAGTTTAAGAAGAAAAGGGTTGGGTGGAAACCTATAGGACAAAATTTCCATCCTGAAATGCTCTTTGGATAATCTTAAATTCAGGGAAGATATTGACTGAATTATCATTACTGAACCCCAGACAAGCTATTTCCTAATCCAGTTGAGGCTTGCTAAAGTAGAAATCCTTGTCATTCTTAAGGCTTATTTCTTCCTATCAATCCAAGTGAAATCATACATTCCACCGGCTAAGCATATACTTAGGACACAGTTGGATAAACCACAGATATGGTTGTTGTCACAGGTGCAATGCCACCAGACATCACCTGCATGCATAGCAGAAACCAGGACAGACAAAGAAGAATGGAGCAAAATCCACATAAACCAAACTCTAATCATGAGTGTGATTCCATTTGTTCTTTTTTACTCCCAGGCCAGTCCTACAATTCTGAAATATTTTGGATAGCTTTTTTCCCCTCAACTATTGAATTATGTTTTCAAAGTACTAGGTCAGTAGTTCTCAAACTTTAGAGTGTATTGGAATCCACTGAAAGGTATGTTAAAGCAGGTTGTCTGGCCCCACCTTAGAGCTTCTGATTCAGCAGTTTTGGGGTAGGACCCAAGAAGTTGCATTTCTACCAAGTTTCCAGGTGATATTGATACTGCTAGTACAAGAACTACTCTTTAATAACCATTGTCCTAGATGAATCATTTGGTTCTAAGTCTTTTAATTTAAAAAACAAAGACTCTGGCCGGGTGTGGTGGCTCATGCCTGTAATCCCAGCACTTTGGGAGGCTGAGGAAGGTGGATCACGAGGTCAAGAGATCGAGACCATCCTGGCCAACATGGTGAAAACCCATCTCTACTAAAAATACAAAAATTAGCTGGGTGTGGTGGCACATGCCTGTAGTCCCAGCTACTCGAGAGGCTGAGGCAGGAGAATCTCTTGAAACCAGGAGGCGGAGGTTGCAAGGAGCCGAGATTGTGCCACTGCACTCCAGCCTGGTGACAGAGCGAGACTCCGTCCCAAAAAAACAAAAACAAAAAAAAAACAAAAAAAAATGAAGACTCCGATATTGGTGTTTTTTATGAGTTTAAGTTTTCATAGGTTATAGTTTGAAAAAAAGAGATATGTGTGGCTGGATTATACTGGAGTCTGTGTGTAGTAAAAGCCCAGTAGCCCAGCATCAAATCTGTACAACTCTTAAGGTTGACCCAGAATCTGAGTTAACCATGGGGGTAGATGGGGCCTATGCTGAAATTGCTTTGCTTTTCAACTTCTTCCTCTACTCAACCCTGCTCCCCTTCATTTCTCCAAAGGAATGACTCTTAAGAGTACACCTCAGTAAAATCCCTGCATGCACATATCTACCTCAGCTTCTTAACTGGGGAATAAAAACTGCTCAACACTTGAATTGATGGTGTCAGTTTTGTATGCGTCCATTGGTTAGTTTTAAAAGTTGCACAGAGTCTAAATTCTTGCAGCTCTGAGATGTGGCAATTGGTTTTAGTAAAATACTATATAAACTCATGTTCGTAGAAAATCCCAGTTTGAGTTGAAACAGTCGAAGTCAAAATTCTATTAGGCTGGTGCAAAAGTAATTGCGGTTTTGCCATTAAAATTAGTGGCAAAAACAGCAATTACTTTTGCACCAACCTAATAGATGATAGCATTATTTTTGCTCATATTATATCTCCTGACAAAAGTAAATAGATTTAGCATATCACTAAACTACTCCCCTCCACTACTTGACTTCATACTGTATAAAGATTTGGCCAGTTTAATAGTTCTTTCTGGTTTAAAAAAAAACAAATTTGGTGGCAAACTGTTACATTATATATTAGGCAAATAGATAATTTTAAGAATATATATATATACACACATAAAGCATATTTATATCTATATATATACATAAAATATATATACACATAAAGCATATATATATCTATATATATAAATATACATAAAACATTTTACTGTTCTGAACAACCCTTGGTATGTAAATGCCTCCCCCTAGTACATACACTTAACTATTCATTCAGCTGGAGAACTTAGTGTGTGTTTTTTAATTGCATTCATATTTATAGCTTGCCTTTCAAAGTTACTTTGGTCTATTAAAATTCTGTTTTATATGCTTGCCAACGTGACCTGTGTGTGACCACAAACCTCCCTAGAGAGGGAGTTTACCTCTGCTGTTCTTTCCTCTTTTTCATTTTTTCCCTGAAAGCAGGTGTCACATCTGTCACGACTTGGCCCAGTAGACTGTGCTAATTAACTTATAAATTACGTCCATGTGGCATTGCCTCTCTCCTGTGAGGCAGTCCTAGTTGTTTGTTATGCTACGTCGGAACAGGGTTAAAGAGGGCCACCGATTTTGCATAATCGCCGACCTAAATGTTTGGACACTGGAGAGCTTGTACTGTGTTTCTTTGTATTCCCCACTGTGTTTTTCCATAACTGGGGGTCCATGTGTACTCGTTGAATGATATGACTAGTTGAGGGAAGTATCTTTGAACACATTGTACAGGGTGGTTTAGGGAGCAAAAGAGGTCAGTTGTAAGCAAGATCACAGGAAACATGTAATCACTGATGATATAGGGAACAGAAATTCGACTTTTTCCCTTTTGCCACGCAAATTTGACCACTATGTGTCCAATCCTTTAGCACTTTGCTAAGAGCCCTTTAGCACTTCGCCCTGAGTTGGGTTGTAGCATTACAATGAAGGCATGTACCCTAGGCGAATGTTTAGTATTTGAGAATTATTACTGCATTTCTCCTTCAAAGGAACAGATTCTTTAGCATGGTATTGGCCATAGGATAGAACGCTGTGAGAGACACCAAATTGGGCCACTTAATTGTCTTTGCTGTTCTAGTGGAATCAGTATGCATTTATATATTTCATCCAAGTACTCACATCAACCTGTTGAATGCAACCTAATAGCAATCCACAGTATGACTCTACAAATGGCCAATTGAATCTTGAAGTTCGACTTTTGGGGAAAAAGTAGGTAACCCTTATGTCAGTTTCAATAAGTATGATAAACTTATTCTAGAATGAAGGAAGCTTAGCTCTTTTTCTCCAGATTGCTTTCTTTGTAACACTTATTTAGAAAAAGGATTATGAAATGCCAAGGGAAGGCAAATATTAAATCATTTCTAAAATGGCTATGTATTAACATTTGTAACCAGTAGCTACAAATTAATATCTTGTAGTCTAAGTTAACATTGAAAAAAAGAAGGCATAAGTACAGCAATTATTCTCTTATTGTACCAGGAAAACAGTATACTGGTCTTTATATACCATTTGTACTAATTGAATCCAGGCAATATTGCAGAAATAATCAGCCAATATGCAAATACTCAAAGAGCCTACCTAACTCCATTTGGATTTAATAATAATTTATTTGAGAATCAACTCTTTTTCTGCCCTGATATTTTTCAATGCTTGTTGAATTAATCTTTTAGGAAGGAATTAACATATGTAGATAGAAGTATTCATCAAGGCTAATTTTGAAACCTTGTCATATTTGACAAGATTTCTATCAATTAAGTTGTCTATCAATCAAAGGTAACCCCAAAATCTAGTGACATTAAGTTATAAAAGCCACCAATCTAATCCACCTTATTTAGCAAATTCTTATAGTGTACGACATTAAAAAAAAAGTACAGGTAGTACAGTAGAGTGTAATCTGAGCTGAGCCAGGAAACAGCTCTATAAACAAAAATGAATCACCCACACTCTCTAAGGCTCTATTTCATTTCAGAATTGGGTATAATAATAGCTACTGCAAGTTTGTTGACTTATTTTGGGGAATTAATATAATAAAGCATTTCAAATATTGGAACCAGATGTATGAATTTATACTAATATAAGTCTCTGCCAATCTACCAATTTTATAGTTTTCAAACCAGGGAATTTTATCATCTACAAAAATACACATTTTATAAAGTTTTACTTTTAGACATTTTTTGCACACGTATTTCCTTACAATCATACTTGGTATGATTTTGTTCTGTGTAGACACCCAAATCTTATCTCAAACTGTAATCCCCTGTGTCAAGGGAGGGACCTGGTGGGAGGTGATTGGATCATAGGGGCGGTTTCCCCCATGCTGTTCTCATGATAGTGAATGAGTTTTATAAATGGCATTTTCCCCTGCATACTCTCTCTGCTGCCACCTTGGGAAGAAGGTACTTGCTTGTCTTCACCTTCTGCCATAATTCCAACTTTCCTGAGGTCTCCCCAGCCATGCAGAACTGTGAGTCAATTAAACCTCTTTCTTTTATGAATTTCCCAGTCTTGAGTATTTCTTTATAGCAATGTGAAAACGGACTAATACAATAATTTCTTTTCCTAAAGATTTTCCCTACTTAACAGTGAGTATCCCTGATGCTCTTGATGAGTTTGTGGTAAACAGGCAGTAGGGTTTGATCTTCAATGATAACTCAATAATTTGAAATTGACTTTATTGCATAAACTATATAAATCTTAGTGCTCTAAATATTTTTAACATCTTGATGACTTTGAAAATATAATATTGAATCTACTTACTCCACCAAATTAAATCTTTACTATATTATTATTCCAGTGATCATGTTCACACTAAAATGTGTCTATGGGACTTTATATACTTCATTTTTTGCAATTTCTAAGTCCATAAGTGTTTCAAAAGGGAAAGTTTTAGAAATAAAACAACAAAATAATTAAGGTAAAAACTCAATCACCTAACAGTGGCTACCATTTTGAAATGAAGATCAGCAGTATAAACTAGTAAAAATGTTAAATTATTAAATATTTTAATAAATTACAATTATGTTGTTTTTTAGTATACTCAATAATATTCTTAAGTAGAAGACTTTGGAACATCCTTTAATTAGAATGTAAGGATATGAGGGAGAGTTGCAGTGACATGTCACCTCATTGATCTCCAGGGTTGATTCAGCTGATCTGGCTGGTTAGGCAAGTGTTCCCTTCCTTCCTCACCTCTCCATGTGCATGCCTCTCAAAGCTGCATGTTTGGTTGAAGAGGATGACCATCCCTGACAGAGGAGGGCTGGTGTTCACTCAAGGGTATACAAGTAGCTCCGCTTCCCTGCTAGAACTTTCAAACAAGCTCTCATAATTAGAATCTAAGAATGTTACTGATATTGCCAGGTTATCAAGTGAAGCTTCCTGGAGTGGGTCATCAAAGTAAGCCAATTTGTCTTATGGAATATAAATAAACATTTGAAAGTAGTTGTTTATGTTTAGCTTGTTTAATTTTAACAAGTTTTGTCTTGGTGAATCCCTGAGATTTGGAGGCAATAGAGAGAGAAGTACTCTTTTTCTTTCATCTTTATTTTCTCGTAACATGCCCATTTCTCTAGTTGTCTCCTCTTTACATCGTTAGTGATGAAGAATTACTAGGAGTTACTCATGAGTTACTATGATCTTCATGACTGAATATGGCGTGCACGTACTTGAAAATGGAATAATGCCTTAGTGGCATGTTTTGGCACAATTCCTAGTGCAAAAGGATGCCAAGTGTAACGTTTCTTATTGTCTCTGAAAAACAAAACAAGAAATGCCAAGTATTCACCCATTCCAAAGCGAGGTGTTAGCTCATGTAGGCATGGAAGGGAGCTTTTCATTCTATTATTAAAATTAAGGTTGGACAAAACCAGTATATATGGTCACCCTACATTATTAAAAACTAATTTTGCAGCCTTTGCTTATCTTCAGTGTTGCAGATGTTATAAAGGGTGAACACTGTACCATTTAAAGGCTGAGAGATTAGAGAGAGAAGACCACTCGGAGACAGAATTACTAATGTGCTTTCAGTCTCCTGCCACTTAGTAGATGAAGGTAAGACATGTGCTACTCCTTTACGTTAAGCCAAGAGAAATAGAAAGAGGTAAACAGGTGTCAAGGTAACTGATTTGAATGTCTTGCTGGTGTCCCCTGAGGAAACTGGTGTCTGATCATCGCTGGAAGAAACCTAAAAGAAGAAGTTGGTTATAACTTGAAGATCCAAGAGCAAAAGGTACGCTAGAGCAAGTTGTCATCCAAAGACAGCAGAACAAGGGCCATGTTTCCAATAAACCAGGTATAAGTGCCAGCGAAGGCAAATGAAACCCCATCCTAACAGAAGATAGGCCCCTAAAACCCCAGGGCCAGCACTGTGGGGACACTTAAAATTGGCTAGCCAGACAATTTCTGGCTTATGTCAAAAGAACCAACAGGAGGATTCCTATGGGGATACACCAGTAATCCATAAAAGCATCCACCACCCACTGACAGCGATGAAAATGGTACTGGTCATGTATGACCTTTTCTGCTTTTTCTCTCATCTCTGAACCCCTGCTTCCCAACCCTGTGGAAACCTATGGCAGTTAGTGAACGGAAGAGAAGATTAAATGAGGGGAGACAGAAGAAGCCAACCATGCATCCTCTCGTAGAGCAAATTCCAAGGATTAAGTTGGCTTAGCCCAGTGCTTGGCACATAGAAGACATTCCATCAATGTTAACTGAATACATTCTTCTTTCATTCTTCATCCGTTTTGTCTTTGTTGGATGCTTTGCCTCTATATGATTTTTCATCGTTAATGTTATTTTTGTTATCCTCATCCTTTTTTATTTGAAAAGAGGGAATAATGCCAGTAAAATTATTGAGTCTTCTTAGAACATCATTGTCTGCCTCTCTGACTATCTAAAACTGGATGAAATACCACAAAAGCCTGAAATGTCATGAGAAGGCCAAGTTTCAATGAGAAGCACTGAATCAAAGAACTGTGAGTTGGGATGGAAGGATCAAGGAATGAAGGTGCCTGTAGATCCTATATAATTAGGCTATCGCTCCCTGGCAAACAGCTTGTCAGAGGTGAGGTGCTGAGCAAGGATGCTTATGGGCAGGTAGGAACAGTGGTGGCCCTGATTCTGTTGCAACTTAACCTGATAACAAAGTTAAGCAACTTAACCTGATGATGAACTATGACCTGAAACTTCTCTCCTTCATCCTCTGTGTTTCTTTTCCCAGCTCAATTCCACCCCTCAAAGTATCTTAGCTAAGACAATATTTAAATGTATTACCTGAGGGAGGAAACGGGGCCAAAGGAAATGTTGGCAGGGCCAGGGCCAGGGCCTGGGCCAGCATGGTTATTTGGTTCTAAATCTATTAATACAAGGAAGATTGACATAGACCAGCAGGGCCTCGGTCTCCTCACAGAACTGTGAGTCTTTAAATTATGCTTTAAATTATGCTGTTTACCTCTTTCTATTTCTCTTGGCTTAACGTAAAGGAGTAGCACATGTCTTACCTTCATCTACTAAGTGGCAGGAGACTGAAAGCACATTAGTAATTCTGACTCCGAGTGGTCTTCTCTCTCTAATCTCTCAGCCTTTAAATGGTACAGTGTTCACCCTTTACAACATCTGCAACACTGAAGATAAGCAAAGGCTGCAAAATTAGTTTTTAATAATGTAGGGTGACCATATATCCTGGTTTTGTCCAACCTTAATTTTAATAATAGAATGAAAAGCTCCCTTCCATGCCTACATGAGCTAACACCTCGCTTTGGAATGGGTGAATACTTGGCATTTCTTGTTTTGTTTTTCAGAGACAATAAGAAACGTTACACTTGGCATCCTTTTGCACTAGGAATTGTGCCAAAACATGCCACTAGATGCAGAGCTAAAAGATGATACACTGGCTCATGCCTGAAATCCCAGCAGTTTCGGAGGCCGAGGTGGGCAGATCATGAGGTCAGGAGTTCGAGACCAGCCTGACAAACATGGTGAAACCCCATCTCTACTAAAAATACAAAAATGAGCTGGGCGTGGTGGCATGCACCTGTAATCCCAGCTACTCAGGAGGCTGAGGCAGGAGAATAGCATGAACCTGGGAGGCAGAGGTTGCAGTCAGCCAAGATTGCGCCACTGCACTCCAGCCTAGGTGACAGAGATAGACTCCATCTTAAGAAAAAAAAATGATACACAGGGGAACAATGTTAACTATATAAGTACCAGCAATCATTTGGAAGTGCTTGTTGGTCTCACTTATCATAGATTTAATAGCCAGAAAAAAATTTAACAAGAAATAGTTTTAAATTCCTTTTTCAGATGTTAGGCATAACAAGACAGGTCTCAAGACAGGTGGTTTGGTATAATGACTAAGAGCTTGGGTTCTGGATGCAGACTGCCTGGGCTCAGGTCCAGGCTTGCTTCACTTACTCTGTGTCCTTGAGGAAGTGGCTATCCTCTCTGAGCTTTATTATCTACAACAGTAAACAGAGATAATCATACTGTTACAAATCACATAGGGTTTTGTAAGAAATTAATTGGGTAACAGAGTTAAGTGCTAGGACTCAGTAATCACTAGTTCTAATCATTACTTAAAATTCAATCATTATTTTAACAATATACTATAGTGGTACTATATTTGCTCTTTGTACTATGTCTAGTGGTTAAGAAAATATATCGGCCGGGTGCAGTGGCTCACACCTGTAATCTCAGCACATTGGGAGGCCAAGGCGGGTGGATCACGATGTCAGGAGTTCAAGACCATCCTGGCCAACGTGGTGAAGCCCTGTCTCTACTAAAAATACAAAAAAATAAGCCGGGTGTGATGGTGGGTGCCTGTTAATCCCAGCTACTTGGGAGGCTGAGGCAGGAGAATCGCTTGAACCCAGGAGGCAGAAGTTGCAGTGAGCCGAGATCGCGCCACTGCACTCCAGTCTGCGTGAGAGAGTGAGAGTCTGTCTAAAAAAAAAAAAAAATCATTTGTCAAAATTCACAGCAAAACCCTTCTTCATAAACCAATTCCAGGAAGCAATACAGTAATGGATCTTCCTAAAACCTGAAGTTATTGGGATAGTAATTCCTTTCTTAAACTCTAGGTAAGACTTATCCCAATTTAGAGCTTTGTAAAAAAAAAAACTTAAAATTCATTCCACTTTTTGTCCTTAGTAAAAGAACCCTGATTTTTCACTAGTTATTTTACGCCCAAATGAAGATCTACATTTCCCAGCCTCTCTTGTAGTAACAGCTGGACAAGAAGTAGTAAGCAGAAGCTGTTGGGTGAAACTAGGCAGGAAGGCTCCTCAAGTGAATGGACAGATGATTTGGGCATTTTTGCCCCCTCTTATTATCCTGTTCCTGCCTCTCTGCCTGGAACTTTGTTGTGAGAGTTGGAGGGTCAACAGCCACAAAGTAACAGTAAGGATTGAAGCCATGCTTGAAGAATGATAGAAAAGACAAGAAGTTGCCTGAACATGAAGTCACCATACCTGATCTTGACTCTGTTCTTTCAAATTCCTTTTATGTGAGAGAGAAACAAATGACTCTCTTGTTTAAGTCACTGCAATTTCTGAATTCTAGGAGCCAATGCAATTGATGTAAGCATTTTACGCACATTTTATGTGTGATGTCACAACGGAAGCTGGCTTGGGTGTAAAACATAACTTTCTGATTGGGCAGGAGAGGAACAAGCTAAGGGATGGGACTGAGCTACAGTGGCTCATGTAAGACACAGTTGCAAAGGGCCTAATCAGTTCCTCATGACATCGTAATCTAGGCAACCAGGAAATATGCAGAAGACAGGCACGCAGTAGCAATAGTTGCTGAAAATGTGACGCTACCTAAAAAGCCTGCTGTCAAAGAATAGAACTTTGCTGGGATATGGTGGATTAAAGATGGCCACAAATTATTTGAGATACCTCCCTTTACGGAGAGGGGCCTATGTTTTTTCCTCTTGAATGTGGGCAGGCTCTTTGACTACTTTAACTGATAGGATGCAGCACAAATGATGTCTCAGTTCCAGGTCTTAGCCTTAAGAGACTGGTAGCTTTTACTTCCTGACTCTGAGAAGACTTTTATTCTTGGAGCCCCAAGCTGCCATGTAGGAAATCTATCTACTCCTCTAAAGATATCATGTGGGAAGGTTATAGATGACATGGAGAAGGAAGGGGCCCAGCCCAGCCATTCAGCCAGGCAGCCATCTCTGGCAATGTGCCTGGCAACTAAATCATGCTACCTTAGACCCACCAGGCTAGCTCAGCTGCCAGCTAAATACCAAGTCAAGACCACGTGGAGAAGAAGAATTGCCCAGCCAAGCCCTACCTAATCTCCTAACCCAGAAACTCATGAAATATAATAAAATGGTTGTTGTTTTAAGCCACTGAGATTTGGGGATACTTATAATGCAGTAACAAAACTGTAACATGGGGTAAGTGAACCACCAAGAGCTAAGGCTTAAGACAGGACCCTGGATATCACTGAAAAAAACAGAAAACTAGTAAAACTAATTTGGTGGTATAATTCTGTTTGGGTCAATTGGACTGGAAAAGTGCATTTTAATTTTGTGGATACATTGTTTTTCAGTTAGTTAGCCTAAAAGGCACCAGAGCCCACCAAGGAAAGCATATATAAATAAGTACATAAAAGAAACACAAGAACCCAACATAAGAATCCAGTATCTGAGAATATGATAATGACAAGACCACAGACCCCAGAAAGGAAATTCTACAAGATATGAGTGAAGAAATGAGAAAAGCCTGCACTGGTCGATGGAAGCCATTAGTAGAATCAGCTGTAGAAACCCCAAAAGGGCTGAGGCAGGAAATAAGAGGCAACTGTTTAAGTATAAGAGATGGAACGAAGCTGGGTGAGGTGGCTCACACCTGTAATCCCAACACTTTGGGAGGCCGAGTTGGGCAGATCACTTGAGCCCAGGAGTTTGAGACAAGCCTGGGCAAAGTGGTGATACCCTGTCTCTACAAACAAAACAAAACAAACAAACAAGAAAAACAGAAATTAACCAGGCATGTTTTCACACACCTGTAGTTCCAACTACTTGGGTGGCTGAAGTGAGAGGATCTCTTGAGCCTGAGAGGTGGAGATTGGAATGATCCATGTTTGTGCTACTGCACTCTAGCCTGACCAACAGAGCAAGACCCTGCCTCCAAAAGAGAGAAAGAGAGATGTAGATGGAATGTATCAGCAAATTAATTGTAAAGGTAAAGTTTACATTAGTAAGATTTAAGTTAATCTTGGTGATGTAATTTGGATATTTGTCCCCTCTCAAATCTCATGTTGAATTGTAATCTCCAGTGTTGGAGGTGGGGGCTTGTGGGAGGTGTTTGAATCATGGGGGCAGATTCCTCACAAATGTCTTGGGCCATCCCCTTAGTGATAAATGAGCTCTTGCCTTCAGTTCATAGAAGACCTGATCATTTTAAAAAGTGTGTGGCACCTCCTCACCACTCTCTCTCGCTCCTGTTCTCACTACGTGATATGCCCTGCTCGCCCTTTGCCTTCTGTCATGATTGGAAGCTTCCTGAAACCTCCCCACAAGCAGATGCCATTATGCTTCCTGTATAGCCTGCAGAATCATGAGCCAATTAAATCTTTTTACTTATAAATTACCCAGTCTCAGGTATTTCTTTATAGCAGTGCAAAAACAGCCTAATACTTGGCAACGAGGTAATGACTTCGTTTTATTTAAATCACTCAGTGACAAAGGATTTACTAGGGTTCTTCTGTCAGACAGGCCTCCTTCACTTTATAAATACATGCCTTCATTAATTAATCTAAGCCTTAGTTTCCTCATCTACAAAATATCCCCTTACTCCTGCCTCAAAAAAATTAAATACATTAATAATAAAAGCTTTTAGCCAGTACCTAATACACAGTAAATTGTCAGTAAATATTAACATTTTCTTAAAAATAATGGCATTCAAATGACCATGGGATGAGTGCCCCAGAGGAGTTTTGTGCAGGAGAGGGAAAGAGAGTTGAGGATACCTGAGGCAGTCAGTTGGGAGAAGAAACTAATAGGGTATGAAAGTAACCAGTGAAACTAATTGACTTCCCTTCCCCTATGTCTGCCGCCTCAACCATTTTCTCACTGCTTGTTCCTGGAGGAATTGTTAAAACTCCTGAGAAACACAGAAACAGAGCTACAACAATCCCAATCTCAAGCCCCAGGGATTCCTGGAATAAGGCAAAAAGAACAGTTCTGCTGTAATGTGAGAATATTTTGTTGGGTTAAAATATTTTGTACCTATTTCCAAGATGACCTCTAGAGGCAGTGCAATGCCATTTACCACCAGTGAAGGTGAACTCAGTGGAACCTTCAAAAAACTGGGAGACTGAGCACTAAAGTAAAAGCACCAAATGTTTCTCATAACTGCCTTGGAAAGAATACTTGGGCATAGGCTGTGGGCAAGGTGGATGGACGGAGGCTGCCAGGAGTATCAAGAATGGGAAAGGGCTTTTCATCTGGGCCCAGAGATGGTCCATGATAGCCTCTTGATTGACAGTTACTTTTCTAAAAAAGAAATATAAGGATACAGGAATGTTTTACGAAACACGAAGGCAGGTAATTAGCCAAACTTGGAGATGGAACAGGAATCTAGATAACACCTCCTGTGTCCTGGCCTTCTCTCTGTCTCATTCCACTTCTTCTGCCCTGATTCAGACTTATTTTCTTTCTCACAGCTGCTGGGTTTCCATCTCCTCAGCTCAAGAGATGGGCTGCCTTTAGGTGTCAATCTCAGTTTCCCAGAAGATGGAACAAGAGAGGCATAATTTAAGGTTTATGTCCACTTCTATCTAATCAACAGTATTCAGAAAGCCCTAACACACACATGGCTGCTATGGATTCAATTCTATGCCTACAATATTACATGTGAAATCTCTATTGTGACACCATGAGCACTATCTTTTAGGAGTGTTACATAATATTGTAGGTGTGAAGTCTTGCATTAACACTGAAATCCACATGAACACCAAGGACAAATTCAACTATGTTTGGTTCATATTATTTTCTATTGCTTTCCACAGGTAGACCAAATATCCAAGCTATCCTAGCGAATTACTTACAATGAAGGGTTGTCTTGTCAATCTTTGTCACTCTTTGGCTTCTCTTCCATCTCAACTGATTTCTTTATTGCAGTTAATTCTTTTTTTCATATTACTTAAGAGAATGATCAAATTAGAAAACATGAAAAGCACTTTCTTGTTTTATTTCATCTTTGCTTATCTTTTATTGTAATCCATATGTTGGAATGACTTACTTGTCATTTTATTTCGTGGATTAGAAGGCTCTCTAATTTGAAGCTACTTCAATCTAAATCTAAATCTAAAAAAAATTTCTCACTCATAAGTGAGAATTGAACAATGAGAAAACTTGGACTCAGGAAGGGGACCATCATATACCAGGGCCTGTTGGAGGGTTGGGTGGGGGCAAGGGGAAGGAGAGCATTAGGACAAATATCTAAGACATGTGGGCTTATACCCTAGATGATGGGTTGATAGGTGCAGCAAACTACCGTGGCACTTGTATACCTATGTAACAAACCTGCATGTTCTGCAAATGTATCTCAGAACTTAAAGTAAAAAAAAAAAAAAAAAAAAAAAAAAAAAAAAAAAAAAATTATGTTAGTCCATTTATAAGAAAGGTGTTTTTTTTTGTTTTTTTGTTTTTTGTTTTCCGAAGTCACTTAAACTGCTTCTGTGGTTTCACTAAAGTGTTTGTAGTAAAAAGAATTCCAGACTCACTCATCTTACCCTGATGTGGTTCTGTAAATCCACGCATAGCTACTACCTTTGGAACCCAAAATTTGTCCCAGACAATCAGCTTTGGTCTTTTATTTAGAATAGCACTATTGCATATGTCATTTGGGGCTTTCGTATGGTTCTATGTATGCAATTCTTCAAATGCACTGTCTTTCCTTGTTCTGCCAATTGAGTTAGAAAATATCCAAGCCAAAATGACAAGATTACACAAGATGATTCATGTGTAGTTCAATGGTTTGAGACAGGGGTGTTTTTGTAACTTGTGAACTCCAAAGATATTTTCAGCCATGATGGATGTATTCAATAGAGCAGTTCATTTTCGATTCAAATTGTGACTTTTGGTGTATTAATTCAGCAACCTGAGACCCTCCAGCAGCTGTGAGAAGTTGGTGAATCCTAGAGAGAGAACAAAGTATGAATGAAGCACCACTTCATGATATATTTATGAACCATCAACTACCACATTCTTCTCCATTTGATAACACTTGAGTCCTTTTGTTTCGCTCGTCTGAATTTTAGACTCTTTATCTGGTTCATGTCTGAGATCCAGGAAGCCTGAAATCTGAAACCCTACCCGGTTCACTCTGTCCTTTTCCTTTCTTTGACTATGAAGGGAAGCCGGAAACTTCAGTAACACCATGTTTCAATTATTTTTATTTTAGACCACATGGGCAGAGACTGCTCACCACTGTTTGACAGGATGTTGCTGTGTCTTCTTAGTGGGGGTCCACTGCTCTTCAAAGAAAGAGAATTGGATTCTTTTGACTCAAAAAATTGTCAGCCACACACATGCAGACAACACCTCACAGGGATACATGTCTGGGTGAGAACTTTTGAATGAGGCATGCTTTCCAGATATTTTCTCTTGTTAAGAGTGAAATGTGAGTTCTAGGGGTTTATCCTCCTAATATTACGAAAGCTATAGATCCATACCCTTATCTAAAACTCCTGAAGTCAGAGGTATTTTGGAATTCAGAATTTCTCAGATTGCATATACTACATGTTACATAAGATCCCAGAAAGATCTGGGCTGGACGATAGTAAAACATATTAATAATTCTGCATTATTAAATATGTGATTATATATATTCTGCATATATATACACATATACAGAGGTATACATATAGTTATATATACATACACATTATATATGTGTATGTGTGTATGTACATATGTGTGTGTATATATATAACTATACATATAACTATACCAAGGAGGCCAGACAAAGATTAAAAATACTCTTATATCCAACTTTTGTCAAGTTCACCACAAAACCAGAAGAGGACAGGTCAGGTTTTGTCCCCACATAGGCTATAACAGCTTTTATGTTTAGAGTGTTTTAGATTTTAAAATTACAAGTAAGGGATTGTATACCTATATTCAGTAAGTTTCAAGTACACTGTAGGTGTTCACAAAATAGTTATGGAAATAATGGCTGGTTAAATGAATAGTGAATGAATGGTCTGTCTCTTGTAAAGTAAAAAATTAAGAGAATAAAATATTTTATTATTTAATAGGATGTCCATATATACAAGCAGACTTAAAGGGGAAAGTTGTCCCAGGTGAAATGATTATTTTTCCTAGGCTACTACTGCATATAGCATTTGGGATCAGCGTACTCGCTCATACTCAAGTTTCATATTAGACGCGGAATATCCTCAATTTGCCCCTCTCTCTGGTTACTTTCCTAACCTTTTTCCTTAATGTAGCCGTTAAAGACAGGTTACATTTTCACCCAACGAAGCACAGTATGTAGAAAAAGACATGATTAAAAGTGCAAGCTATTCTTCTACAAAAACAACTGGTTGTGAAGAGATTTGCCAGTGTTTACTCATAAGAAATAGGTCTTTTGGTTTATGAAGTTTGTCACATCCTTTGTAATTCTCTCAGTTGAAGAATATTCTGTACAATTAAAGGGGTGTTATGCTTTTAAGATTTGTCTTATTGTATGTTTGATATTATTCAGAGAAGGAAAATGACTAGAACACAAAAGGATTCTGGTAAAACTTACATATGTTTTCTTCAACTTGAAGAAGTATCTTATGCCTTAAACTTGCTTTTCAGCCAACCACTTGCAAAGAGAGACCTCCCCTCTGGCCTGTTGACCAAATGAATTATTCTGGGGCTATTTTGGATTATACCTCTTTTGTCAACATATTAATTCACAGTGCTCCCTCTTATTTAAAAAAAAAATTAGTTTGGATCAAAATTATATAACTACCTGAATTAATAAAAATTATCATAATTTTTTTTCTAAAAATCTCATTGTTTTTCCAGCGAATATATGTCTTCTCTTAACCTTAGTGTTCTGTCACATGTTGGACATTTCTGGTTTAAGGACATCTCATGCTGCTGATAAAGACATACCTGAGACTGGGCAATTTACAAAAGAAAGAGGCTTAATGGACTTACAGTTCCACATGGCTGGGGAGGCCTCACAATCATGGAGGAAGGTGAAAGGCACACCTCACATGGCAGCAGACAAGGACAGAGAGCTTGTTCAGGGAAACTCCCATTTTTTAAACCATCTGATCTCATGAGACTCATTCACTATCACGAGAACAGGGTGGGAAAGACCCACCTCCATGATTCAATCACCTCCCACCGGGTCCCTCTGACAACATGTGGAAATTCAAGATGAGATTTGGGTGAGGATACAGCCAAACCATATCAGTGATTATATTTGATCAAATTTTGTAAACAATAGCCTTCTATGGAATGAATTAGCAAGTAATTTTTAATTTACTTGTAAAGCAGAGGTCCCCTCACCTCCAATTAGAAAAAAAACAAATCTCTGTCTTCACTTGCGGGACCTCTTAAAATGTGTTTTTTACCATTTACAAGATCCTGCACTAAAGCATCAATGTCCGTGTGGAAAGAAAGCTATTGGAACTCTAGTAAGAATGTCTGTAAGTTCAAAGTGACAGAGGAACTGAACACTGCCAAGATGTTTGCATTGCAAGGCCACATGAAAAGGCATCTTCTTTCCTTTTAGCCAGCATGTTTCAGCATCCCCACTGTCTGCCAAGATTAATAGAGGTGTAAAAGCCTTGTGTTCAACACTGAGTCTATTTATTAAGGAGGAGGATAGAGAGAAAGAAGTGCTGGGAAGTTATTGAGAAGCAGAGTTGTTCTGTTGCTGATAAAACTGAGAAAAAATATATTTTTCCCACTAGGAAGAAAGCAAAGATTAGCTACACAGACTGATGTTTCCACTTTTATCTAAAGGCTGTACAGATATGTTTACTAGCATGATAAATGAATAAAACATTCACCAGGGTGGGGGGCAGGAGTGGCAGAGTAGCAGTAGCATAGGTATTTCTTTCTTTCTAAAAAGAAAAATGATGTTGGCTCCCAAAATGTCACAAGGTGGCTTCAATCACTGTATCTGTATTTCATCATTAAAACTGGAAAATGAACCCATTGGCTAAACTTCTTGGCTCTCAGAAGGCATCCATTTACTACTAAACAGATTAATCCCCTTACCTGGAGTGGGAGACAGATAGATTAACTATATGTAGATTTTACCATTAAAAACAACAAAATAAGTCTTTGTCCAAAAGAAGGGAGTTTCGTAAACATGGACTCTACATGGAAACATTCCAGACCTCAATCCTCCACATTTGAATCTAGTAGGATTTGCAGACAAGTATTGGCTAGCCATAACCACAATCCCGTTAGCTTTATGGCACAAGAGCAACACTATCCCAATTCTTCTGAGATCCTAAAACATTTTCACGAATATCATAGCTGCCAATGCATACAAAGAAATGATCAAACAAACAAAACAAAAAATCCCAGCTCTCCCTCCAAAGAAGGTCACGGTTTCTCTTTGTTTTAAAATAAAACACGAATAATATCCAAACCTTTCTGGCCTCACAAGGGTCACATTTCTTTAGATCTGGAAAAGAAGATGGATAAATTAGTAATATATTGACCATGCTTTACTATCTCAAAATTAGAATACAGTTTGTCATAGATACATTCACAATTAGAATACAAATATGAGGGATTGTGCAAGAAAATCTCAGACATACGGTGATCTCAAACTGAGATCTTTCAATCCAAACACATCATTTTATTTTAAAGGAGGAAACTGAGGTGAATGAAGTAGCTGCTTATGAACTAAGTTGAAAGCAGCAATCATCTACGAAGACCCTATTCGGTGCTTTCTCTCCTCTCCACCTTACACCAGAGTGGGGAAAAGATCCGAGTACCAATGTCATGAATATATCAAGTAATCAGAGCACCAGGGAGAAGAAAACAGCGTTCACAGCTAGAGAAAATGCAAAGGTAGCACTGCATGTAAATACAAGAAAGACTAGAATAGTATGATTTGCTTCTCAGGCACAGCAGGGAAATTATCTAAGAGGATGTCAAAAGTATGCAAATGTGATTGAGTGCTGAATGCAAAGGACCCAAGACAATCTGAGAAGCTGGTGGTTGGGGTCTCAATGAACTCCTCATCTACAGGACTAAGAGGAAAGTTGTTCTTCCTGCTCAGGCATTTGTAAGGGCTGATGAGTATCAGAAAAGGTCAGTAGATACAAAGGTGTTTGTCATTTTATACTTACTTTTCCAATTCTCCTTCAAAGATTGAAAATATCTCCATTGGAGAGGCCTTATGTTTTTCCCTTTGCAGATTCTTGCAGAAAGTCAATTTTTTAAGTCCTTTTTGACCCCAGTAATATTCTGCACTGGAACGTATTCGTGATTTTCTTGTCATATTTTTCAAGAAGAGAATAGGCTCTGAATAAATATTGTTAGTTGCCTTAATGCTGGGGTCCAGTTATTTAGATTTACAAAAACTTTGAGCCAGAAGGTGGCTTAGAGATTATTAGCCTAGTAGGTCTCAAGCAGGAATGACTTTTCCCCCATTTCCCCAGGAAACATTTGGCCAAACCTGGAGGCATTTTTGGGTGTCACAATTGAGTGGGAGTGGTACAGCATCTAGTGTGAGAGGCCAGGAATCTACTAAACATCCTACAATGTAATGCACAGGACAGCCCTTTACAACAAAGAATTAGCCGCCAATTGTCAGGAGTGTCTAGGCTGAGAAACTCTTCTGAATGATTTTATTTTATAAACAAGTATAGGGTTGCTCAGTGAGGTGAAGTCATATCTCATGATATAGAGCCCAATCCTGAATACCTGTGTCGTGACTCTCTTTGTAGTGCTCTTTTATGTAGCGAGTGGAAGTACCATATGCTTTGTTAATTCTTTGGACTGGTTCAGATTTTCTATTTAGAATTCTCAACATTTTTAAGAGGAATGAACTCCATCCAGTCTGTTCTCTCAGTTGGTTAAGCATCCCTGAAAAATGATTCATTGCCCTTCTTTTTAAAAACATGTAAGGAATATTAAGGGGATTATGTTATACACCGTGGCCTTGGTAGGTTCTTACGAGCATCAAGTGAACATGAATACTGAAGCAATCATGGGCTAATTTGGGGGCCTGGAGAAAATTATATAAGCCCAAAATATAGAGTGAACTTTTCTCAAACTTAAGAAAAGTGCCTTGAGAGAGAGAGAAAAAAAAATCTTACCTTCTCAAAACAACAGGAGTAGGGAATGTTGACTCAAAGTTAATTCTCTAGAAGGTTTTTCATAACCAAACTTTCATAAGGCACAGTGTCGCTTCCTTCCTATCGCTTCTTTTTGGCTTTCTGTGTGGGGAAGATAAATATACAACTCTTTTTATCGTTGGAACTTGAATAACCACTTTTCCTTGGTTGGCATGTGGCCCCAAAACTGTGTAAATTATTAGTTGTTTAAAGAAGACTGAATCTCAACAAAATTATACTATTAGAGGTTTCAAAAAACTAGATCTCCGATCTAAATTTCCTGGATTTGGGTGACCTTATACTTCCGGTTATATTAAAATCATATAGGTCTAAAGGCATTCCCTCCTGTAAAGATTTAACACATTTAAGCAAATTCACACATTCCCTGGTGCCTCATGGTCCAAGGTTCTTCCAGGTATCAACTTGTTAAATTAGAAAGAGAATAATTTGTCTTCTGTTTTGTTTTTCCCTGAGAGTGACTCCTGAATATTATCTAGTCTTCCTTCTTTTTTTTTTTTTTTTTTTTGAGACAGAGTCTTGCTGTCACCCAGGCTGGAGTATAATGGTGCAATCTCAGCCCACTACAGCCTCTGCCTCCCGGGTTCAAGCAATTCTCCTGCCTCAGCCTCCCCAGTAGCTGGGATTACAGGTGCACGCCACCACGCTGAGCTAATTTTTGTAATTTTTGTAGAGAATTGTTTTCGCCACGTTGGCCAGGCTAGTCTCAAACTCCTGACTTCAGGTGATCCGTCTGCCTCAGCCTCCCAAAGTACTAGGATTACAAGCATGAGCCAACGTGCCCAGCCTTAGTCTTCCTTCTTAAAAGATTATAATTGGCCCCCATTTTAGCCTTATTTTAGCTTTTAAACAAAAGCATCGATCATTCACCTAAAACACATATCCCTAGTAAGTGTACTGATTTATCTCTTTCCCAATAAACTAGCTGTCCCTAATTATTTATAATTAGTTTTCTGCAGAAGGTATTATTATTTAATTTTGGAAACGTGGCATTTGCATAGTTTTCAAATTTTCTAAAACACTTTCTTTTTGAAAGGCTCTGTATAATTTAACTAATCTACTTCTGCCCCAATGCATAATGAACTAAAAATGTTTTTGATTACAATAATCCCATTGATAGGGACTGGGGTCAGAGAAATTCTAGACAGAAAACAGCAGGTCCTTGGTGAAACTCTACCCTCAAGCTGAAAAGCCTAAAACCATGGCCCCAAGTGTGAAATTATATCCCTGTTTTCCCACTCAAATGTTGTCTTTTCCTAAACCACCTACCACATGCTGTACCTATAAAAACCCCAGACTCAGCCTGTAGATGGGACTATGGCTGGACGTCAGAGAGAAGTGCCTTGACTTCAGAGGGACAGCTAGACAGAATACCTTCAAAGAAGAATCAGACCAGAGATGGCCAGACTTCAGGGGAAGATTACCTACACACCCCATCCCTGTTTTAGCTCCCCTTCCTCTGAGAGCCACTTTCATAGGCAATAAAATCCCCCACATTTACCATCCTTCAATTTGTTTGTGCAACCTCATTTTTCCTGGATGCTGGACAAGAGCTCAGGGGCCATGAATGCAGATACAAAAACCTGTTGCACTGGCCTTTTGCCCTCACTGGCAGAGGGCAGCCATCTCAGTGAAAAAGGCAAAGGGTCCACTGAGCTGTTAACACTTAAGCCGTCGGTGGATGGCAGAGCTAAAAGAGCACTGTAACACTCCCTCTGGGGCTTCGGGAGTTGCAGGCACCCACACCTGGATGCTGCCACAGGGCCTGCATGGAGTTCGCTCCTGCTGGTGCTAACGTATCTGGCTGGTTCCTGCACCTGCTCCCCTGTGCGCTCCCTCCCATGAAGGGTAGAATGCAGTGGGTCCAAGTTAGTGGAGTTTGATCCCAGTGGCACCAAAGTGGCCAGTCAGTTCCAGCACTCGTTTACTCCCGTTTCCATACTCGTTAGTTTGTGCACTCCTTCCCGCAAGGAGTTGAGAGTGGCGGGCTGAATAAACAAGGCTCCCCTGTCACGAGTCTTGCCAAGGGCCTAGGAAATATCCTGCTTCACCATGATACGCACGGCATTGATATTGTGTACCTTAACCCAAAAATCTTAGGCCTGGCAAACACAGAGAAGAGACATATAGAATAATAGCTACCTATTGATAATCCAAACATAACATAAAAATATGTGTCCCTAGTGGTGTTTTATCTCTAACAAGGATTAAATGCTTTCTCCTAAATGAATGTCATTATGTTTCAAAAGTTTGCTAATTATTGGGCCAGGCGCGGTGGCTCACGTCTGTAATCCCAGCACTTTAGGAGGCCGAGGTGGGCAGATCACGAGGTCAGTAGATCAAGACCATCCTGGCTAACACAGTGAAACTCCGTCTCTATTAAAGATGCAAAAAAAAAAAAAAAAAAAAAAAATTAGCTGGGCATGGTGGCGAGCACCTGTAGTCCCAGCTACTCGGGAGGCTGAGGCAGGAGAATGGTGTGAACCTAGGAAGCGGAGCTTGCAGTGAGCCGAGATCGCACCACTGCACTCCAGCCTGGAGAGCGAGATTCCATCTCAAAAAAAAAAAAAAAAAGTTTGATAATCGTCAAATGCATCCAAGATTTACAACTCCAAATAAACATTCAGTGTTAGAACTGGTCAGCAAAATGAAGATGTATTTTTATGAAATGCATCAAGGGTCATTTGCCTATAAACTATGTGACGTCAGTATCCCATATATATCGTGTGTTGCTTTATTTGATAAAGTTGTTAACATTTATTTTATTACTTATCTCAGCTTTCATTCATGACTCCAGAGAGACCTTTCCTCACTGCTGTGTCTGAAGCAAACTCACATTCCTGCCAACTTTCTCTAAGGATATTACACTGTTTACCTGCCTCTTCAAGATCCTTAGGCCTTACATCCCTGGTGCACTATTCTAACTCCGGTGCCAAACACGTAACAGCACTCAAGAAATGACTTGTTAAAGGAGTAAATCTGAATGTCCTATTTGATGTTGGGCCCTTAGAGGACAAGAGTAATATTTGTTACTTTGTGCATCTTTAGTGCCAAGCAAAATGTTCCACAAATATTTGGAGTACACTTAAATAGTTTCTCAAATAAATTATCACACTTGGAAAAAAACGTAATTCTTCTGAGCCTCTGTTCTCCTATATAAGACCTTGTTTGTTTGAAAAGTTAAAAACATTAAACAATAATAGATTTATTACTTTTTTTGTTTGTTGCAAAAATGTTATATGGTGTCTGAGTTAAAACATCACCTATAGAATGTCACCACTGCCTGCTTCCTAGACCCTACCTTCATCATATTAAATGTGGAGCAGTATCATTCAGCATGTTGAGCCTGGAGTCAGGCTGCCTTGGCTTAAGTCCCATATCTGCCCCTTAAAAGCTGTTGCCATCACATAAAATGTGTAACTTCCTTTGTGGGTAAGTTTTTTATCATCAAGTGGAAATAATGTGTATACCTATGACATGCAATTTACATATAAATATTAAAGAAGGAGTCAATATAGCTAAAGCATAGAATAATACATAGCACAAAATAAATTCTAAATGGGTAAACTAATTCTGAAAGCATTTCAGACAATGTTCCCACAGATATATAAGTAGGTAATTATGAGGCAGTTCCCACATTTAGATTGTAACCCCATGAGGATTATTTAATTAAGAATTATCCTACCTTTATTCCCTCTGCTTCTTGCTCAGTGTCTGAAATATCACACATCCATTCAATGCAACAAACAGTCATTGAACTCTTATGTGCCAGTTACGATCCTAGGTGCTGAGAATCCAAAGAAAGTTGGTGCTAAAATATGTGTTCTTGTGAAGTTCACAATAAATGGAGAGGACAGAAAATAAACAGACCAAAATAATAGATGCAACAAATGTAAATGAAAAGTCTTGTCTTGGTGAGTTCAGGCTACTGTAGAATATGTCATAGACTGAGTGGCTTAAATAACAGAAATTTATTTCTTCCACTTGTGGAGGCTGGGAAGTCCGAGATCAGGGTGCCAGCACAATCGGGTTCTGGGGAGAGCTCTCTTCCTGGTTTGCAGATGGCTGCCTTCTTGCTGTGTCCTCACACGATGAAGAGCAGAGAGGGAGAGAAAGCAAACATTTTTGTGTCTCTTCTTTTTTTTTTTTTTTTTTTTTTTTTGAGGCTGAGTCTTGCCCTGTCACCCAGGCTGGAGTGCAATGGTGCGATCTTGGCTCACTGCAACCTCCGCCTCCTGGATTCAAACAATTCTGCTGCCTCAGCCTCCTGAGTAGCTGGGATTACAGGTGTCCACCACCACGCCCAGCTAAGTTTTGTATTTTTTTTAGTAGAGAAGGGGTTTCACCATGTTGGCCAGGCTGGTCTTGAACTCCTGACCTCGTGATCCACCCGCCTTGGCCTCCCAAAGTGCTGGGATTACAGGCATGAGCCACCGTGTCTGGCTTGTGTCTCTTCTTATAAGGGCTCCAACCTTAAGACTTAATTACCTCTCAAAGACCCCACCTCTGAATACCATCACCTTGAGAATTAGGTTTCAACATAAGAATCAGGGGGTCACAAACATCCAGTCCATACGAAGTGTAAAATGAAAATGAATATGCTACCTGCAAGCTAAGAAGCTAGTCTACTTTGTTGGTGTGTGTTTGTAGCCATACCTGTGGGATGGTTGGGGTGAGGGTTAAGAATAGCGACAAGGGTGGAGGGGTGGGAGGAGGCTGGTTAGGCACAGCTTTTGCCAAAGGGGTGGCCACTAGATTAAATCATTAAGGATTAGCAGGAGATGAGAAAATGATTAATGGAGGTTTTTTGTTTTGGGAGGTATTTTTGGAAGTGGAAGCTTTGTGGAGGAGATGCTTCTCCAGGTGGAGCTAACAGCATATGTTAATATCCAGATTTGAAAACAGAGCATGACCCATTTCAAAACCCAATTCCTCAACTTTAAGTTACCATTAATGATAAAAAGATACAGCAGATTTGGTAACAATTTTCTGGGAGTAAAGATCATTAAATGTATGTTTTCAGTTTTTGTTTTTTATTTTTAAAATGTTGGACAAGAGCATACATTTATCCTTTCAATAACTTTCCACTTTCTTACCTAGTGTTACAATCCACACTTGAGTTTACCCTTTCAACATATTGATAGACCAAAAATCACTTTGGACATTTCTAGCTATATATATCCTAATGATCACACATTTTTTTTTTTTTTTTACCACTCTTGCTTATGATCGTATCTTACACACTTTTAAGATTGCGTACATAATTGTGAGGCACGCGGAAGAATACTGGTGCTTTTTTATTTCCTATTTGTTAAAATATGTATAGTCATGCACTGTGTCATGATGTTTTGGTCAATGATGGACTGCATATAGAAAAGTGATCCCGTAAGATTACAATGGAGCTGAAAAACTCCTATCATCTAGTGACGTTGTAGCTGTCCATTGTCGTAACATAGCATAAGGCATTGCTCACTTTTTGTAGTGATTGTGTTGGAAACAAATCTACTGTGCTGCCAGTTATATGAAAGTGTAGCATGTAAAATTATGCACAGTACATATGCTTGATGATAATAACAAACGACTATGTTGCTGGTTTATGTATTTACTATACTATATATTTTATCATTATTTTTGAGTGTAATCTTTCTGCTTATTAAAAAAGAGTTAACTGTAAAGCAGCCTCAGACAGGCCCTTAAGGAGGTATTCCAGAAGAAGGCATTGTTCTCACAGGAGATGACAGCTCTGTGCCTGTTACTGCCTCTGAAGACCTTCCGGTGGGACCAGATATGGAGGTGGAAAATAGTGATATTTTGATCCTAGTTGTAGGCTAATGTAGGAACAAAAGCTTATAAATTAAGGATATAAAGAAGAAAATGTTTTTGTACAGCCGTGTAATGTGTTTGTGTTTTAAGCTAAGTGGTACTATAAAAGTTAAAAGTTAAAAAAATGTAAAAAATTAAAAAGTGTATCAAGTAAAGATGTCACAGTAAGTAAAGGTAAATTATTATTAAAGAACATTTTAAAAATAAATTCAGTGTAGCCTAAGTGTACAGTGTTTATAAACCTTATAGTAGTGTACGGTAATGTCCTAGGCCTTCACATTCACTCACCACTCACTAACTGACTCAGTCAGAGTAACTTCCAGCCCTGAAAGTCCTATTCTTGGCAATGGCCCTATAAATGTGAACCTTTTTTAATATTTTATGCCATATTATACTGTATTTTTTAATGTTTAGATACACATACACAAATACTATTGGTCTCCAATTGCCCACATTATTCAGTATGGTAACATGCTGTGCAGGTTTGTACCCTAGGAGCATTAGTCTATCCCATTTAGACTAGATGTATAGTACCCTATGCCATCTAGGTTTGTATGAGCACATTCTGTCGTGTTCACACATTGAAAAAATTTCCTAACAATGCATTTCTCAGAACATATCTCTATTGTTAATTGATGCATGACTGTATTTTCATTGCATTTTTTGATTTAATTAAATTATTAGCCTATAGAACTTGAATGTCTTCTCTTGAAATTCAGGTAGAAGCTTTAGACAGATAACTACTCAAGGCCTGAATAATAACCCATCACAGCATATGCAGCATATAAACTGATTATACCAATGTTTCCAAGCTGTGAAAATTCTGATTAATTTGAGATATTACTTCATTTAATTTCATGGCTTAGCCTATAGAGACCCTCATTTATATGCAAAATAACTTTTTGTGTCAATGCTGTTGAATCTTTTTGAAGAGTTTTATTCAATGGGGAGGGATCCAAATTTAAGGTACAATTCAAATGGGTGGAGTTATTTTATCAGTCCAGATCCAACTGAGAGTGAGAAACCACAGAGTAATTTGAAAAGGGAAAGTTGAATATAAAGAATTATTAACTACAACAGTGGAGTAACTATAAGAAAGAAAAAGAGAACACTAAAGAATATTGGATGGCTGAGAGAGCGTACTCAAGGGAGGAACAACTTAGAAGGCAGAGTGGGGTGTGGGAAGGATCCCCAAAGCTGAGATTGAGATACTGTTATAGAAGGTGAGGTTGCAATTCACCTCACCTTCTATAGTGAAGAAGTTCTCTGGGTTGCCCAAACCAGAAATGTTTCAATCATCAGGAAATTAGAAAACGTCCTTTAGGAGGACAGGCAGGCTGAGGCCCACAGGTGCACACAGGCTCATTCAGGTGTTGGAGGTCTGTTCATCAGCAGGTTGTTTCAAATCTTGTTGTGCACAGAGTCTGTTTTGAGAGGACCATGGAAAGGAGATCAGTAGATTGGGGCCTGGGCTGCCAGCTAGTTGAGGTACTGCTTGCCCTAGAACAGAGCACCTCTGGAAGGGGTACAGCAGAAGCAAAAAAAAAAAAAAATATATATATATATATACACACATATATGTATATATGTATGTATATATATGTATATATATGTATATATGTATGTGTATATATATGTATATATGTATGTGTATATATGTATATATGTATATATGTGTATATATGTATATATATGTATATATGTGTGTGTATATATATGTATATATGTGTATATATATATATATAATTGAAAATAGTACCACATCAGAACCAAGAAGAGAACCTGGTATGTCTTTTCATTTCTTACTAATGAAAGTTAAACACTGTGCTATTTGCAATGGATATACGCGTAATGCATCCATTATCATAAAGCAGGTAATGAATGAATGAATTTTGAGCTGAGAGACAATCATGAATAACTAGGACAGCTACCTTCAAATTGCTCAACTGCAGTGGAAATCAACTACAAAGATACCTAATGTGCATTGCTCAGTTAGCACATGTGTAATCTATGGGCACTGACAGTGCTTCCTGACATTTATCGTTTGAGTGGATTTTAAAATATATGCCTTATTACAGAAAATAAGAAAAGACAAAACAACCCGGGTGGCAGTATTAAGAACATATGACATTCTATGTGTCTGCGGCACAGGATGAATTCAGGACCATCAAAAGTTGAATCAGAAAGAAACTTTTAGGAATCAGATTACAAACCGTTTTATTTGTCCTACAAAGGAACGTCAATTTAACTTTAACTACCATAAAAAATAGGGTAGATACTGTTTGAGATCATCAACTATACTTGTAGCTTATTATCTGTATTGCATCTAGCTAGATGGGATAATGTGACTAATTTTTACAAATAGAATTTTAAGTAATGTCATTCTAGGTTGTGGCAATTAAGAGCTTGTGTGTGTTCTGCAACCCCATAGCTTGAAGCAAAAGATTATATTTTTTATTTATTTTTTTTTAATTTTATTATTATACTTTAAGTTTTAGGGTACATGTGCACAATGTGCAGGTTTGTTACATATGTATACATGTGCCATGTTGGTGTGCTGCACCCATTAACTCATCATTTAGCATTAGGTATATCTCCTAATGCTAACCCTCCCTGCTCCGCTCACCCCACAACGGTCCCCGGAGTGTGATGTTCCCATTCCTGTGTCCATGTGTTCTCATTGTTCAATTCCCACCTGTAAGTGAGAACATGCAGTGTTTGGTTTTTTGTCCTTGCAATAATTTGCTGAGAATGATGGTTTCCAGTTTCATCCATGTCCCTACAAAGGACATGAACTCATCATTTTTTATGGCTGCATAGTATTCCATGGTGTATATGTGCCACATTTTCTTAATCCAGTCTCTTGTTGTTGGACTTTTGGGTTGGTTCCAAGTCTTTACTATTGTGAATAGTGCCACAATAAACATACATGTGCATGTGTCTTTATAGCAGCATGATTTATAATCCTTTGGGTATATACCCAGTAATGGGATGGCTGGGTCAAATGGTATTTCTAGTTCTAGATCCCTGAGGAATCGCCACACTGACTTCCACAATGGTTGAACTAGTTTACAGTCCCACCAACAGTGTAAAAGTGTTCCTATTTCTCCACATCCTCTCCAGCACCTGTTGTTTCCTGACTTTTTAATGATTGCCATTCTACCTGGTGTGAGATGGTATCTCATTGTGGTTTTGATTTGCATTTCTCTGATGGCCAGTGATGATGAGCATTTTTTCATGTGTTTTTTGGCTGCATAAATGTCTTCTTTTGAGAAGTGTCTGTTCATACCGTTCGCCCACTTTTTGATGCAGTTGTTTGTTTTTTTCTTGTGAATTTGTTTGAGTTCATTGTAGATTCTGGATATTAGCCCTTGGTCAGATGAGTAGGTTGCGAAAATTTTCTCCCATTTTGTAGGTTGCCTGTTCACTCTGATGGTAGTTTCTTTTGCTGTGCAGAAGCTCTTTAGTTTAATTAGATCCCATTTGTCAATTTTGTCTTTTGTTGCCATTGCTTTTGGTGTTTTAGACATGAAGTCCTTGCCCATGCCTATGTCCTGAATGATATTGCCTAGGTTTTCTTCTAGGGTTTTTATGATTTTAGGTCTAACATGTAAGTCTTTAATCCATCTTGACTTAATTTTTGTATAAGGTGTAAGGAAGAGATCCAGTTTCAGCTTTCTACATATGGCTAGCCAGTTTTCCCAGCACCATTTATTAAATAGGGAATCCTTTCCCCATTGCTTGTTTTTCCCAGGTTTGTCAAAGATCAGATGGTTGTAGATATGCGGCATTATTTCTGAGGGCTCTGTTCTGTTCCATTGATCTATATCTCTGTTTTGGTACCAGTACCATGCTGTTTTGGTTACTGTAGCCTTGTAATATAGTTTGAAGTCAGGTAGTGTGATGCCTCCAGGTTTGTTCTTTTGGCTTAGGATTGACTTGGTGATGCAGGCTCTTTTTTGGTTCCATGTGAACTTTAAAGTAGTTTTTTCCAATTCTGTGAAGAAAGTCATTGGTAGCTTGATGGGGATGGCATTGAATCTATAAATTACCTTGGGCAGTATGGCCATTTTCACAATATTGATTCTTCCTACCCATGAGCATGGAATGTTCTTCCATTTGTTTGTATCCTCTTTCATTTCATTGAGCAGTGGTTTGTAGTTCTCCTTGAAGAGGTCCTTCACATCCCTTGTAAGTTGGATTCCTAGGTATTTTATTCTCTTTGAAGCAATTGTGAATGGTAGTTCACTCATGATTTGGCTCTCTGTTTGTCTGTTATTGTTGTATAAGGATGCTTGTGATTTTTGTACATTGATTTTGTATCCAAAGCAAAAGATTTTAAAGGTAGAATTGCAAAATGAAAACAACCTGGGTCCCTGAGTCACTATGTGGAGCAGTAGAGCTGCAGAGGAGAGCTATCTAACCTACATTGGACTGTAACATTAGTGATAAATAGATCTGTATCTTGCTGGTTAAGTCACTGAGATGTAAGAATTTATTTGTTACTGAAGAACATCCTAGCCCAAAATTGTAGGTAGGAGGATAATGTGATATTGTGATATGGTTTTGGAAAATTGTTTTTTTCTCCAAATAAATGTAAGCTCACTTCAGTAAATTTAACTTGAATTGAAATAGAAACAACTAGCCAACAATATGTGCTGTTCACTTTATCCCTACAAGATGTTGCAATACTGTTGAGTGAGGGCAAGGATAATATAAATGAAATGGTGCCAATGAATGAGAAAGTTTTCGTGATTTGAGAAATTCAGATAATATAAAAGTCCAAGACCTTATATGTAATATAAAAGTTATGTATATTCATGACTCTTCTTGACTTATCACCCTTCTTGATGAACATTAAGATGGTAACTGAAATAAGCTTCCTGGTATTTGCTGAGATTTGTGATTACAGGAAGAGATGATGAATGAGAATGAGAATGTCAGGGCAAGGTGTCTGTACAAGTTGACAACCCATGGAGAATGCTCATAAACTTCTTATCATGCATCTTCAAGTGTGTTCTGTATAGTATCTGTTACATAATGTCATTATATTTATTGTATAAAACTATAATACATAGACATAAATATTCTATAATTTGTCAATATGACCATTGAAATCTGGAAGAAACATGGGTATTTTCAAAGGCCAAGGAGATACAAAGACCTAGGGATGAAATCTTACCAACATCTGGCAAATGAGACATAGGTCAATGTTACAAATATTATTATTATTAATATTCTTTATTTCAAATCACATATGGTTACAATTGCCTTATTGCTATTAAAGTATTTCCAAGATCTTTATGGCTTATTAAAACAGTACACTTGTTGTGTAATTGTAAAAACAATTAATTATTTGAATGGGATTACATCAAGTTAAAAATCTTCTGCACAGCAAAGGCAACAATCAACAAAGTGAAGAGACAATCTACAGAATGGGAGAAAACAATTTTCAAGCTATCTATCTGACAAAGATATAATAACCAGAAAATATAAGGAGCTCAAACCACGAAATAGCAAAGAAAAATTTTTTTTGATTAAAAAATGAGCAAAAGATTTGAATAGACATTTCTCAGAAGAAGACACACAAATGGTTAATAGGTATATGAAAAATGTTAAACATGACTAATAATCAGAGAAACGCAAGTCAAAACCACAATGAGATATTATCTTACCTCAGAATGACTCTTATTAAAAAGTCAGGAACTAACAGATGCTGGTGAGGCTGTGGGAAAAAAAGAGCTCTCCTACACTATTGGTGGAAATGTAAATTGCCAAGGTGGGCTGATCACGAGATTAGGAGATTGAGACAATCCTGGCCAACATGGTGAAACCCCGTCTCTACTGAAATACAAAAAATTAGCCAGGTGTGATGGTGCATGCCTGTAGTCCCAGCTACTCGGGAGGCTTGAGGCAGGGGAATCGCTTGAACCCAGAAGGCGGAGATTGCAGTGAGCCAAGATTGCACCACTGCACTCCAACCTGGCAGTGAGACTCTGTCTAAAAATAAATGAATAAATAAATAAATAAAATAAATGGAGGTTCCTCAAAACACTCAAAATAGAACTATCATATGATTCAGTAATTCCACTACTGGTTATATAACCAAATAAAATATATCAATATGTGGAGAACAACATATCTGTGCTCTCATGTTTAATGCAGCATGATTCACAATAACCAAAATATGGAATCCACATAAGTATCCATCACTGGATGAATCAATAAAGAAAATGTGGTAGATAGACACAGTAGAATATAATTCAGCCAATACAAAAGAATGAAATCTTGTCATTTGCAACAACATGAGTGGAACTGAAGATTATTACATTAAGTGAAATAAGTCAAGTACAGAAAAACAAATATTACATGTTCTCACTCATATGTAGGAGTATTTTTAAGCAGATTTCATGAGGATAGAGAGCAAATTGGGGGTTACCAGAGGCCAGGAAGTAGGGAGGAAATAAAGAGAGGTTGATTAATGGGTACAAATATGCACTTAGATAGAAGAAATAAGACCTGGTGTTTGATAGATCAGTAAGGTACCTATAGTTAACATTCATCACTTGTGCATTCCAAAATAGCTAGAATAATTAGGAAGTGCTTAGGATAAGAAAATATAAATATTTAAGGTGATGGATATATCAATTATTATGATTTGGTTATATGAATGTATCAAATTATATCAAATTATCACTTTTGTGTGTGTGTGACGGAGTCTCACTCTGTCACCCAGGCTGTAGTGCAGTGGCACAATCTCGGCTCATTGCAATCTCTGCCTCCCGGGTTCACATCATTCTCCTGCCTCAGCCTCCCGAGTAGCTGGGACTGCAGATGCCACCCACCACAGCCGGCTAATTTTTTTGTATTTTTAGTAGGGATGGGGTTTCACTGTGTTAGCCAGGATTGTCTCGATATCCTGACCTTGTGATCCACCCACCTTGGCCTCCCAAAGTGCTAGCATTACAGGCGTGAGCCACCGTGCTGGGCCCAAATTATCACATTTACACCAAAATTGTGTGCCTCTAGTATGTATCAATAAAGTAATTAATTAAAATGTTTATTTGGTATCATTAACACTACGATTAAATTTCCTTCTGTGCCCTTTACCTTTGTTTTTCCACTTTAAGTGCTCTTCCTCTAACTCTCTCCATCATAAGTTAAAACTCCAAAGCAATATTTATAAATGTCTTTAAATATTTACATCTTTATATTTATAACTATGTATTTCAATAACATAGTAATAATAATAGCAAACATTTATACAACACTAATTAACACTATGTAAGATGCATATTTCTAAGCACTTTACACATACTGATTTGTTAAATCTTCACAAGAATCTTATAATAATGGGTACTAAAATTATCTGCATTTAACATGTGAAGAAACTGAGTCACAGAGAGGTTAAGTAATTGGTCCAAGTCACACAGCAAAACTAAGCTGATACAAGCAGGATTTAAGTCTAGATAACTTTGATGGCAGAATCATTGCTTCTAGTTACAGAATTTGGCATCTTTGAGATTCTAGTAAAACATTAGTGACATTCTCACAAAGAATTGTCGTAAAAATCTGTATTTAATCATTCTACATCAAAGATTCTAATTATTAAACAGTTGGCTTTTCCAAAAAATATCTATACCTTTTACATTTGAGACACAGCATCTATCTGAATGATTACATGTAACCCATACTTAGGTCATAATTTATTCATCGGAATATGTTAATTTTTTTCCTCCTCAACTCTGCACTTTATTTAAGTCTATAAGATTTGTGACAAGATTTAAAATATCAAATATGCCTTGGTCCAATTGGTTATTTAATGTTTGTTTTTTAAGGGGGTGTCTTACTTGAAAGTAGATTTCCACATTAAATTATTAGATTAAACCAGCAATTGTGATGGTTCAAATGCTTTATCTAAAAGGATATTAGTCAGGACAGGCATCCTCTGGTTACATAACTGTATGGTAAAGTGACTTGTGTGTGTGTGAGAGAGTATGTGGCTGTGTGTGTGTATGTGGGTGTATGTATTTATACACTTCTTAAAGAAAAATAGGAAATAAAGAGTTGACCAGCTGGATTCACACACACACAGAAAAAATAAAATAATTAAATAAAGAGGAATGAAATCTTTAGAAGCAGTAAATACCTTGTGCCAAATTGGGGTAGGAGTTGAGGGCAGAGAGTGGGAGCATATGGTGAAGTGGAGCTTCTCAGTGATGTATCACATTTTTTCAAGTAACTTGTAAGTTTGCATTTTAATATTGGGAACAGCTTATGCTGGGTAAATAAGTTGATATGCATCAACTATTACATCAACAACTCATCGAAGAGACTGGGGTATTAAAGCTAAACTTAATACCTTTTATACTATATTAAAAAAATGCTCTTTAGTAGCCTTGGAGTGCTTACTTTTAAGCAAGGGAAGAATCACCAAATAATTGTGGCCTAAAAAAATTTAATAAGCCCTAGAGAAGATAGATATTACTGACTAGCTTGCCATTTCCTTTTCAAAATGAATGATTGTAGGTTTTTATTGGTTTAGTTTTCATCTGTTTGAGAATGCTTCCCCCATTCTTTGTGGTTGGTTTGTTTGTTTTAAAGACCAGCACCACAGGGAAAGGAGCAAAGCACAGCTTTTCTGAAAAGTCTTTTGTGTTTGCTCATTTTGGCCAAGGAATTAATCCCAGACCTGCCTGTTTATATGACAATGTTGATATCTGATTCTGTCACTCAAAAGAAAATACAAAACTTTCTTTTGGCATCAATAATTCTATTTTTCCCAGATTGGGTAAGACACAGACACTATTCTGAATTCCATTTTTTCCTAGGAAGAACGGTTACCTTTGATGACTTAAAATTTATATATTATTAACATATCTTTGATTATTTATTTGAAGAGACTCCAAAACCAGATGGAATTAAACCAAAAGCTTCACAATCTGGTCTTCTAATTAACCTTTTAAAATTTCAAACTATTTTGCCTGTTATTCACATTTTTTGCTTTTATGGTGGTTCTTTTCCCATTCTTACTGCTTCTAATCTTCTTCTTCATCTGTGGAATTTTAAGCGCTTTTATTTTAAAAGAATGTCACTTTTGTTACAGTGGTATGATGTACATTATAGAAGAGAATAAAAGATGCAAATAAACAAACATATTTTATCCTGTTGTAACTTTGGTTAAGTACTTTTTAACTGCTTTTAAAATTTCAAAAATTAGGTTCAAACACTGCCCACTTTTGTTGTTACAGCTATAAAAGACAACATGTGAAACAAAAGCTAATCTGAGAAATACCTTACAAAAGATATGTTTACAGAAAAGGCAAGTAGAAAGAAGGCTATCCAGGAACATGCATACCCAGATTTGCCTCTTGTCTCATTCATAAAATTAATTTTTTTTTTAATCTAAGCCTAGGCCTCAGAAAGTTTTGGAAGAAGTAATATAAAAGAAATTTTTAAGAAAAAAAATCTTACATAAAGCATAAAACGTTTTTAAAAGTTCCCCTAGTTCAGGTCATGTAAAATATCCATGTGTATATTTTTCCTATAAAAGCTTGGTTGAGGAATTAACTTTTTTAAAGAACTATATTTTATTTCTCTGCACATTGCAGAATTGTATTATTTTATTATAATTTCAAGCTTCTGCTTGGATTGTAAGGTCCTTGAGTTTAAAATCCAAGTTTTATTTAGTAATAGATTATAGAGAGCAATGAACAATATTTGTTGAATGAATAAAAAAAATTATCTTGTTAATCAAGACTTATCTATATCTACCTCTAATTTCTTTTATGTTCTTCCATGAAAGTACTTATGTAAGGGTACCCTCTTTAAGGATAACCATACTTCTTATTGTTGTATGTTGCTTTCATCATATAAATGAAAATAAGAACGTAATTTGGGGGAATAGTCCAGAA
The DNA here is from genome assembly GCF_000001405.40 of Homo sapiens. Taxonomy (NCBI): domain Eukaryota; kingdom Metazoa; phylum Chordata; class Mammalia; order Primates; family Hominidae; genus Homo; species Homo sapiens. The sequence goes on from NC_000014.9 coordinate 85,218,886, forward strand.
TTAAAATATAGACTTAGCATTTGGTGAGTGGTAAGTACTGTTAAAAGCAAAACTTTAAGCAAATTAAATCTAACAAAATTTATTTGAACAAAGAACAATTCATGAATCAGACAGCACTCAGAATCAGAAGAGGTTCAGAGAGTCCACTTTGCAGCATTAGCAGTAGGCTTCTTATAGGTAAATGTGGGAGCAAAGTAAAAAAATTACTTGATTTGCTACAGCTAGGCATTTGCCTTATTTGGGTATAATCTTATGGAAAGTCCCTGCTTGGAGATTAGTTGGTAGTTTCTGATTGGTTAAGCTTAAGTTTCATTTTACTGTTTACCTTGGGTTTCAGTTTGCCCATGTGGGAACCCACAGTGCTGGAGCCATCTCAGCCTAATGGCTTCCCAATTACATTTTGTTAACAGTATGCAATAAATATTTGTTAAATGAATACTTAATAATAATGGCTAATGAAATTGTGGACTTTTAAAAAGCTTTTCACACTTCTTTCTCCAGCCACTGTGCACAGTTACTTAGCTTATAAGAGTGGATAGAGCGGGGCTGCGTAGTAAGTCTTAAGACTTGCTCCTGTAAGGGAAGGAAGGAAATGCTCCCCCTAGGAAGAAAAGCTTTGTCTCAGTATATACATTTCCTTCTTCTCTTGATGCTCCCTGTATTGAGAGTGTTTCTCATGTCTTCTGCCTTTTTGTTAATCATGTTTGGCCAGTACTCCTGGTCCAGACGTCCAGATCCTCTGATGTTCAGGCTTCTTGCCTGTGCTCCTGAACCCTGAATATGTGACGTAGACTATTTAATATCTGCCTACCTTTTGGAATACCACAGTTTGCTGTCTAGACTTTACCATCCTCAACTGACAGGTCTTCTAAGAATGCATGATTCTGACCTACAACCACTCTGATCGTCCCCCTTTGACCTTGTACCACTCTAATTTGTTCCCTCTGTTCCTAGCCAGCTCTCCTTTCCAAAGTCTCCTTGGCCTGTAGTTGGCTTTGTTTTGCTTTCTTTCCTGGCTTTAATGGGAGCTCGGCATGTGGAACTCATAGGAAAATAGTACTAAGTATTGCACCTAGAGCAAGCACCTTCATAGAGCCACACTAATGGTTCACAGATAAAAAGAATCAAGGTAATAAGGAAAGTTAAAGAACAGAGATTATTTAGCCTGGGAATGTGAAGTCTGAGGGACAACTTAATAACACCCTCCAATTATGGGGAAGGTTCTGTGAGCATCTTAAAACTGCACATTGCAGCCAGCTGGTTATTTTTTTTTTAATTTTATTTTTATACATATAGTTCTATTTTTTTTTTTTTTTTTTTTTTTTGAGACGGAGTCTCACTCTGTTGCCCAGGCTGGAGTGCAATGGCACAATCTCAACTCACTGCAACTTCCGCCTCCCGGGTTCAAGCAATTCTCCTGTTTCAGCCTCTTGAGTAGCTGGGACTACTAGCCTGTGCCACCATGCCCGGCTAATTTTTGTATTTTTAGTAGAGACGGGGTTTCACCATATTGGTCAGGCTGGTCTCGAACTCCTGACCTCAGGGGATCAGCCCATCTTGGCCTCCCAAAGTGCTAGGATTACAGGTGTGAGCCACCACGCCCTGCCATTTTTATCTATTTTTTTTTTTTGATTTTACTTTAAGTTCTGGGATACCTGTGCAGAATGTGCAGGTTTGTTACATAAGTATACATGTGCCATAGTGGTTTGCTGCAACTATCAGCTGATTTTAATCACTACTGAGGACAGAAATAATGAACATGAGCATCAGTTATAGCATAATGGTTTAGGGTTAGGCATGAAGAAGAATTTCCTGATAGGGATTGCTTATAGCAGTTTCAATGCAAAGAGAAAATATAAAAAAAAAACAAAACACAATTTAATCCAATATCCTAGACTTTCTTTGGGAAAATTGGAATATAGAACTTTGAGTGACTCAGGTTTTCAACTGGCTCAACAATGTTCAAGGTCATCTGCTTTCCAAGTGATGAGAATAAAGACTGAAGCTGACATGGACATTCTGAACTTTCACCATCAGCTCCTCTAATTTCTCCGCCATCAGTAGGGAGATGACAGTACAGATGATAGTACATCTCACTCCTCATACTATTCTACTTTTCTGCTTCAAGTACTGATTTTGTGCTAAGGATATAAGAGCTGGCTATGACAAGGTACCTATTACTGGCAACAATTAACATAGGGATTATTTTGTAGTGTATCATATCACACAAAATAATAATTTAAAAAGAAAGAGTTGTGCTATCAGTTTTCTTTATCTTTTCTTCATTTGTTTCAATGATTTTCTCCAACAAAGTTTGTTGTGCTAGGTACTGTGCTAATTTTAAAAACTATATTAAGTTGCGGTATCATTATGTAATTACCTTAATTGAAATATTATTCTATCTTTTCTTTTGTCCTTAAATGAATTTATAAATAGAAATATATTTTAATATGTTTTATAAATATAAAAATATAAACATTTATTAGGAGCTTAGCGCTGTAAAGGGGGAGAAATATTTATCTTCTACACCTTAATTTCATTAGCTTAGGCCAAGTGAGACTGATGAAAGACAGATTAGCAAGAGAAAAACGTGCAGATTTATTTAAGTTTTACATGACTCATTTCTTTCATAAGGAAATGAAGATCTTCACAATTTCTTTAAGCATAAGCATTTTTATACTATGTTTGATCAAGAGTGAAAAGTCACGGGAAACTATGATAGAAAAGGAAATGATCTAAGGGCAGTAAATGGGGGAAACTCAGCAGGACCTGTTTTGATTCCTTGGCATCCCTTCATCTTTAGGAATTAGGATGCTCCTTTCCCCTGGGCATAGGGAAGGTACCTCTCACATGAGAGTCTTTCTTTAGGAGAGAAGGGGAAAGCTGGAGAATTCTTCCAGCACCTGTTACTTCTCAATTCCTTCCACTTAAAATACTCAGGCTGGGTGCGGTGACTCATGCCTGTAATCCCAGCACCTTGGGAAGATGAGATGGGCAGAGGTCAGGAGTTTGAGACCAGCCTGGCCAATACGGTGAAACCCCATCTCTAATAAAATTACAAAAATTAGCTAGGTGTGGTAGCACACACCTGTAATCCTAGCTATTCAGGAGGCTGAAGCAGGAGAATCACTGGAACCCAGGAGGCAGAGGTGGCAGTGAGCCAAAATGACGTCACTACACTCCAGCCTGGGTAACAGAGCAAGACTCTATCTTAAATAAATAAATACATAAATACATAAGTAAATAAATAATGAAAGTATTCAATGTGCCAAGACACCATACTTTTAGTAGTGTGTTCTGAAACCCATCAGCTTTTAGTTTAGTAGATGCCCAGCCCCTGTACAAGAACATTCTATAAGCTCCCTGTTTTGCTGGTTGCTTTTGAGGATTTTTCTTCCATCTATGTGATTTCAGAAAGCCTTCTTTTGGAGGATTTATGGTAATCTAATATGTCACCTATAGCATCTGAGAACTTGGCTGGTTATATATCCATTTTCTTCTTCAAAATTACCCATGCAGATTGCACAGAGCCATCTTCCAGAAATCAGTAAAACTTATTTCCATGAATAACCTGAAGGAGCATCACCCGTGAGGTAAACTGCTCTGTTATGCTAATGTTCTTTCTAGTATTCCTAAGGCAGATAATGGTCCCTCTCACTGAGGCAAGTCAAACTGGTGAATAGCTCATTACCTTATAAAGAGGCTTTGCTTCTGTTGCCTAACCCTATCAGAAGCCTTGCTTTTTTTTACAAGATTCTGATTAAATCTATCATTATCAAAAAGCTTTCCCTCTGTTTCTTTTATTTCTGCTGTATACATATTTATGGATGAAAGGATGGATTTCTTTCTTCCAATAGTCCACAACTTGATGGACTGGGGATTATCTGACAACGTGTGACCACCTAACATTTGCCAGAAATCTGACTCATTGGAGACTTACGGTGGGACTTCTTTGTTTACACTTCTGGAGACACTAACTCCCTCCTCACATTGTTGTATTCAGGGTCAGTTTTCCTTTTTTCTCTTTTGCTTCCGTATCTACAGAATACCTCTCTTTTGAGTCTTAACTCCAACCTTTCACTCCTAAGGATCAAGTCCAAATCTATAGAATGGTTTCAAATATTTGGAATTTTTAGTTTTAAGGCAAGAACTGCAACTTTTAAAAATCACTGAATTGGCTGGGTGCAGTGGCTTACGCCTGTAATCCCAGCACTTTGAGAAGCTGAGGCAGATGGATCACCTGAGGTCAGGAGTTCAAGACCAGCCTGGTCAACATGGTGAAACCTTGTCTCTACTAAAAATTAGCCAGGCATGGTGGCTGGTACCTGTAATCTCAGCTACTCGGGAGGCTGAGGCAGGAGAATTGCTTGAACTCGGGAGGCGGAAGTTGCGGTGAGCCAAGATCACGCCACTGAACTCCAGCCTCAGTGACAGAGACTCCACCTCAAGAAAAAAAAAAAAAAAAGTCACTGAATTGTATTGTCTTGAAAGTCTTTCCCAAGTCTGATAATTCATTAAAGCAAACCAACAATTGCTGCTATAGTTAAACAAAAGTGGTGTACCCAAATGTGTAACAAGTTTCCTAGGTAATTCTGGTGATCACCACAGTTTAAGAAAATGAGGCTAAGGAAGTTGTCATCATTTTGTCTCAGAATATAGCACATTAATATGCTGAAATAAAAAAAGCAGCCTTAAAATCCTTTTCTGAACTTCCTTCACCTCCCTGTCTCTCTGATCCCTTTTTTCCCAAAGCACCAGAGAGGATCTCTCTGGAAATTCTCTTATCTGAGTGAGAAAATTTCTACTAAAACAAATGCAATTGTCTTTAAGCCTCCTCCCTGGGAATCCTATTAAATGCCCGGGAGAACTTAACCACCAGAGAGAAGAGACTGAGGGTTGTCACCATGGCCGGACTGACTTTTCATCTGTTCTGCTGAGGGCAGCTTTAAGAGATTACTTGAGGGACTGTATCTGCATAAGAAGAAAACCTTTGCTGGGAAGGCTGTTCTGTCCCTCACCTTTCTGTAACTTGTCCAAATACTATTGTTTGTCTTTCAGTCCCGTTTGGCATCCAAAGAGAATCATTTACAAATCCATGCTGGTCTTTGAGCCCATTCATTTATGGGCTCCCCACCCCTCTCCCCAGTGAAGAGGATATTTAAGCATCAACCATCTGGCTCTTTTTTCTTTCTTTTTTACTTTTTTATATTATTTTGTGGCTGCCATGCATTCTGCATACTAATAAATTCATTATGTTTTTTTCTATTATTAAACTATCTCTTGTTACAGGGGTATCAGCTATGACTCTTTATGATGGGGAGAAAAGTGATTACCCCCTTTCTGTCTATACACCATTGATCATGAGTCCTCTTAAAAACAACTTAAATTAATACAAATTTACTTGGAAAGTTTTATTATAGTGCTTTAAGATGTATTACCATCATCTGTCAGAAATTGCTGCTCTTCTGGTTCAGTTGGGCTTGCAAACATTTCCGTCGCTTCTCTACTCAAATGCATAAATCCTTGCCTACGCCTTGCATTCATCTCTGCATGCTATGAGAAACTATATGCTTCTCTGTGACCTTTTGGGCTTGAGCCACACAGCATTCTTCTTAAACAGCATGCTTTGCAGCATTTAATTTGGGTCAGCTGTTAGACTTCTTCCAACAGCAAAATATAAAGAATGTACAAACATTCAATGTAAAATTTATTTGTAGTAACTTCAACAATAAAAAGGAAGTTTTTTATTGGATATTTAGTCTCTGGAAAAATCAAGTTATCTTTTTCTTTTCTTTTCTTTCTTTTTATTTTTTGTGATAGGGTCTTGCACTGTTGCCCAGGGTGGTCTTGAACTCCTGAGCTGAAGCAATTCTCCTGCCTCGGCCTCTCAGAGTGTTAGGATTACAGGTGAGAGCCACTGCATCCATCTAAAATCAGTTAAAAAAAAGAATTCAGTAAGTATTGCATGTCTACAGTGTGTGAGGCCTTGACACTTAAGTTTGTAACCTTGTTGTATGATACAATAAGTCAGGAAACAAAAAGGTAAATGGCACTTTTATCCTCATCAAAAAAATAATCATTCAATACAACAAAAGATCTGGCACTGGAAATGTAGATATTTTATGTCTGTTAAATGAGAATAAATAAGTGCATGAATGAATGAATATAACTGACAAATAAGTGGTATAGAGAATGCTATCAAATTTTAGGATAAAAGAAATGTTACTTTAGGCTAGTGTGATTCCAGAAACCTTTCTGGAAAAGTTAAAAATTAAGTTAAAAAAAAAAGTCCAAAATAATTGAGAGGAGACAGGTTAAAATATTCTATAATTATTCAAGCTAACAGTAGGACTAGTTAAAAGTTGGCCAGTTTCTTATATTTTACAACTATTTAATTAATAGAAAATAACTATTTAATATTTGAATATAAGAATATCTGAGCAGAGAGTTAGAAAACTGCAAAGAGGCTGGGCGCGGTGGCTCACGCCTGTAATCCCAGCACTTTGGGAGGCCGAGGCGGGCAGATCATGAGGTCAGGAGATGGAGACCATCCTGGCTAACATGGTGAAACCCCGTCTCTACTAAAGATACAAAAAAAAATTAGCCAGGCGTGGTGGCGGGCGCCTGTAGTCCCAGCTGCTAGGGAGGCTGAGGCAGCAGAATGGCGTGGACCCGGAAGATGGAGCTTGCAGTAAGCGGAGATCGCACCACTGCACTCCAGCCTGGGTGACAGAGCAAGACATCGTCTCAAAAAAAAAAAAAAAGAAAGAAAAGAAAAAAGAAAACTGTAAAGATACAGTTTTACGCCAATCTGCAATAGTTTCTTTTCTTAATTTTATTTTTGAGCTAACACACTGTGGCAGAGTGCATATTTTAAAAACAGCATTTGTCTTCTGGGCGCAGTGGCTTACGCCTGTAATCCTAGCACTTTGGGATGCCGAGGCAGGCAGATCACAAGGTCAGGAGATCGAGACCATCCTGGCTAACACGGTGAAACCCCGTCTCTGATAAAAATGCAAAAAAAAAAAAAAAAAAAAATAGCTGGGCCTCGTGGCGGGCATCTGTAGTCCCAGCTACTTGGGAGGCTGAAGCAGGAGAATCGATTGCACCCGGCAGGCGGAGGCTGCAGTGGGCTGAGATCACGCTACTGCATTCCAGCATGGGTGACAGAGAAAGACTCTGTCTAAAAACAAAAACAAAAACAAAAAAAATCATTTGTCAAAATTCACAGCAAAACCCTTCTTCATAAACCGATTGCAGGAAGCAAGATAGTAATGGGTCTGTTGAGGCCCAGAACCTGATATCCTGAAGTATGGCACCTCCGCATGCTGACTACTTTGATCTAAAGGACATTGGAAGGCAAGACCTCATAAGCAAGGTCTCTCTGACCTTCTGTCATCCTCTTATCTCCCACCCGCCTTTTCCACCAATGCTTGTGATAGAAACCAAAATTCCTCTTCTCCAAGTTGGTCATAGAAACTAGAGGTTCTCTCCTCCAAAGCAAGCCATAAAACCTCGAAAGCTCACTGTCTCCCTTCTGTCTTCTCCGTTGATGATCCTCATTCCAGAGGAGTCCTACCGCATAACCTAGAGGAAGGAATGAGGCACAGAGAGGCTAAGGAGAATCTGGACAGGCCTTGCTGGGTTTTTCCCTACTCACTCTCTAACCAGTAGTTCATACCATTTTGTCCAATCCCATTTCTACATGACTGCCTATCTTTCATCAAATCTAAGCATAAAAACAGATAGTTTTCCTGGGATCTTAGCCTTCATTTTCTGAAGGCTCCTGTGTCACATAAAACTTTGATTAAATAAATGTGTTGTGTTTTTCTCTTGTTAACCTAACTTTTGCTATAGGAGTATCGGCCGTAACAATTATGATGGGTGAGGAAAGGTATTAGACCTTTCCAACCCTACAGGTCTACTGATTCACTGGAAGTCAGGTTACATTTGTAGAGAAGGTCACTCCAAATTGCTTAATGACCTACACAAAATAACGTATTAAGTCATTTTTACTTAAGTGTGTGCCTCTGGTTGTGGGAATAAAACAGAAATGCTTTGGTCCCCAAAATGCTAATTTTTACCTGCTAAACACATCCACAATACACATAAATACAGTAAAGAAAAAAGAAAAAAAAAGTGAAACCACAGCATTCTAACAGCTGTTGCTGCTTTCCAGCTAATGGGCCTTATTTTGGGAAAAAGCAGCAATTACATGTTAAAATCTGTGTGTACATGTGTAGGGCAGACTAAACAGTGTCAGGGCTCAGGAAAACACTATTACACCCTCCCCCATCTGTTCAACATAAAGCAGTATTTTTTCTCCCACCTCTACTAACCCACACACAAAAATGACCTGTCTGGAGGAGACAGAAATTAAACTCCCAGACTGAGTGGTCTGCTTTCCTGTCCAGCATAGAGGAACATTGATGATTTACTACATATTGCAAACTTTCATCACACAAAACATCACTTACAGCACTTATGTGATTAACTAATTAAGTCATTAGACACAAAGGTGCTTATCATGAGATAATTACATCTCAGGGATATGAAGAAAGAAACAGAGCCCAGCTTGAAACAGGAGTCCTTGCTATTACAAGGTCTCCTTCATTACAGAAAGGGTATCCAAGTAGGCAGGTGGAGGAGATGAAAGATATGTGTTTCTCCACCAGGAGAGTTGAGGTTAGAGGTCAAAGTGAAAAATCCTTGACATCCAGATTTGACAATTATGTAGACTCCACTAATCGGTACCAGGGTGTCCACAGGACATGTGGACTGGAAAGGACTGGGAAGGTGCACCAGGAGGATGGGAAGAGCCAACCACTGAGCTGAATGCATTTGTTACAACTCCCCTGGAGGTCTAATTGCTGATAAAATTAAACATGCAAAGAGATATCTCTGCATGGCAAACTTATAAATCAAAGGTTTCTTAATGTGGTTTTGAAAACTATCAGATCATATCACTTGATGGTAACCAAGAAGGGAAATATTTTTCTCTAAGTGTTTATCTCAATAACACTGTATATACATCCACAGATACATGTTGAGTGTATATGTGAATACATGCTTCTACAAACAGATATCCATATATACAGGCATATGTAAGAATGAAGATACAGAAGAGCCAACATTTACCAAGATATGCAGGCTTGTAAAATTGTTATCAATCACTAAAGAGGAAGCTTATCTATCATCATTAGCATCATTAAAATATCTTTAATTTTATAACTTGCTACACAAGAGTTTATGTGCAAAAATATATACACACACAGAACTATTAAACTCTGTTCAGGGAAGATGTGGGGCATTCCTTTCTAAACAGGTTTTTTGATACATGTGGTTTTATTTGTATAAGGATGCATTATAGGGTTTGCCATAGCAAATGCAATGTATTGCCTTCGAGGTATAATGATAACTCAAAGCCACATTACCTATATATTTATTTGTTTATTTTTATTAAATTATATCCATATTTTTTATAAATGTAAGTGGTACAAGTGCAATTGTGTTACATGTATGTACGGTGTAGTAGTGAAGCCTGGGCTTTCAATATAACCATCACCCAAACAGAGTCGTAACCTGTAGGCAATTTCTCATCCCTCACTCCCCATTTTTGTGAGTCTCCAATTTCTCCAATTATTCTACTCTCTATGTTCATGTGTATACATTGTTTGGCTCCAACGTATAAGGGAGAACAAGCGGTTTTTGATTTTCTGTTTCTGAGTTATTTCACTTAAAATAATGGTCTCCAGTTCCATCCATTTTGCTCTAAGAGATATGATTTTATTCTATTTTATTACTTAGTATTTGACGTTGTGTGTGTGCGCACGCTCACATGTGTGTATACACAAATATAAATGTATATATACACACACACACACACACACACACACACACACTACATTTCTTTTTAGAATCATCCACTGATGTACACTCAGGTTGAATACATGTCTTTGCTATTGTAAATAGTGCTGTGATAAACATATGAGTGCAGGCATCGTTTTATAACAAATCCTTTTTCTTTGGGTAGATACACACTAGTGAGATTGCTAGATTAAATGGAAGTTCTATTGTTCATTTCTTGAGAAATCATCATATTATTTCCCATAGAAGTTGTACTAAATTACAGTCCCACCAGTAGTGTATAAGCATTTCCTTTTCTCTGCATCCTTGCCAATATCTGTTGTTTTTTGACTTTTTAGTCATAACCATTATGACTGATACAAGATGATAGCTCATTGTGGTTTTAATTTACATTTCCCTGATGATTAGTGATGTTGAACATTTTTCATATGTTTTTTGGCTATTTGTATGTCTTCTTTTGAAAAATGTCTGTTCATATCCTTTGCCCACCTTTTAATGGATTTATTTGTTTTTTTGGTTGTTAACTTGTTTGAGTTCCTTTTAGATTCTGCATAGTAGTCCTTTGTCAGATGCATAATTTGCCAATATTTTTTACCCATTCTGTCAGCTGTTTACTCTGTTGATTATTTCTTTTGCTGTGCATAAGCTTTTCAGTTTAATGAAGTCCCATTTGTCTGTTTTTGTTTTTCTTGCATTTGCTTTCGAGGTCTCAGTCATAAATCTTTTGCCTTAGCCAACGTCCAGAAGAGTTTTGTTTTGGTTTGCTTCTAGGATTTTTAAAGCTTCAGGTCTTACATTTTAGTGTTTAATCCATCTTGAGTTAATTTTTGTATATGGTGAAGCATATGGGTCCAGTTTCATTATTCTAAATATGGCAACTCCATTTTTCTGGCACCGTTTATTGATTAGGGTATCCTTTCTCCAGTGTATGTTTTTGTTGACTTTGTTGAAGATCAGCTTGTTGTAGGTATGTGACTTTATTTCTGAGTTCTCTATTCTGTTCCATTGATCTTTTTGTGTATATTTATGCTAGTACCATGCTTTTTTTGGTTACCGTGTTATAGTAGTGTAATTGGAAGTCAGGTAATATGATGCCTCCAGCTTTGTTCTTTTTGTTTAGGATTGCTTTGGCTGGCTTTTTGTTGCTGTTGTTCCATATGAATTTTAGGATTGTTTTTCTTTTCTTTTTTTTTTTTTTTTTGAGACAGAGTTTTGCTCTTGTTGCCCAGGCTGGAGTGCAATGGCCCAATCTCGGCTCACTGCAACCTCCACCTCCTAGGTTCAAGCGATTCTCCTGCCTCAGCCTCCCAAGTAGCTGGGATTACAGGCTCCCACCACCACACCTGGCTAATTTTGTATTTTTAGTAGAGATGGAGTTTTGTCATGTTTATCGGGCAGATCTGGAACTCCTGACCTCAGGTGATCCCCCTGCCTCATCTTCTCAAAGTACTGGGATTACAGGAGTGAGCCACCACCCCCGGCCCTAGGATTGCTTCTCTAGTTCTGTGAAAAAATGATGTTGGTATTTTGATAAGAATTAACTGAATCTGTAGATTGCTTTGGGTAGTATAAACTTTTTTTCTTGTTTTTGTTTTTGTTTTTGAGAAGGAGTCTCACTCTGTCACACAGGCTGGAGTGCTGTGGCGCGATCTCAGCTCACTGCAAGCTCCGCCTCCCGGGTTCACGCCATTCTCCTGCCTCAGCCTTCTGAGTAGGTGGGACTGCAGGCACCCCCCATCACACCCGGCTAATTTTTTGTATTTTTAGTAGAGACGGGTTTTCACCGTGTCAGCCAGGATATTCTAGACCTCCTGACCTCGTGATCCACCTGCCTCGGCCTCCCAAAGTGCTGGGATTACAGGTGTGAGCCATCGCGCCTGGCCAGTATAATCATTTTAACAATATTGATTCTTCCAACCCATGGGCATGGAATGTTTTCCTATTTGCTTTTATTATCTACAATTTCTTTCATCAGTGTTTTGTAGTTTTCTTTGTAGAGATCCTTTACCTCTTTGGCTAAATCTATTCCTAGGTTTTTGTTTGGTTTGGTTTGGTTTTCTAGCTATTGTAAATGAGATTGAGTTATTGATTTGGATCTCAGCTTGGTTACTATCAGTATATACAATGACTACTGATTTTTCTACATTGGTTTTGTACCCTGAATCCTTAATAAATTTATGTGTTAAATCTAGGAGTCTTTTGGAAGAGTCTTTAGGATTTTCTAGGAATCAGATTACATCAGCAGCAGCAAACACAGATAATTTGACTTCCTCATTTCCAGTTTGAATGCTTGTTATTTCTTTTTCTTTCCTGATTGCTCTGGCTAGAGCTTCTAATAGTATGTTGAATAGTAGTGGTGAAAATGGGCATACTTGTCTTATTCCAGTACTTAGGGGAAATGCTATCAACTTTTTCCCATTCAGTAATGTTGGTTGTGGGTTTGTCATATACAGCTTTTATTATTTTGAGGTATGTTCCTTCTATGCCTAGTTTATTGAGGGTTTTTAATCATGAAGGAGTGCTAAATTTTATCAAATACTTTTTCTGGGTCTCCTGAAATGATCACATGGTGTTTGTTTTTAATTCCATTTATTTGGTGAATCACATTTATTGATTCACCATTATAAACCATATATTAAAACATCCTTGCATCCCTGAAATAAAAGCTACTTAGTCACAGTATATTATCTTTCCAATTTGCTATTAGATTTGGTTTAATAGTATTTTGTTGGAGATTTTTGCATTTATGTTCATCAGAGATGTTAGCTTTTCTTTTTTATTGTGTCTTTGCCTGACTTTTGTTTCAGGGTGATACTGGCTTCATAGCATGAGTTAGGGAGGATTCTTTCCTCCTTGATTTTTGAAACAGTTTTGTAAGATTGGTACCAGTTCTTTGTACATCTGGTAGAATTTGGCTGTGAATTCATCTGGTCTTGGGCTTTTTTGTTGTTGTTGTTGGGAGATTACCATGTTTTCAATTGAAAGTGATTATAAAAAGAGAAAAAAATACCAAGAAAATGCAAAATGGATATTTAGATAGAGAAGATATTTGCTTTAGCAGAGATAATAAAAAATGGAAAACTCGTGAAGTCCCTTAAGTTACTCTGTGGTTCCAATCACTTAAGATTACTGGAATATTTATATTTCAGGTTTGAATCTAAATTGTCAATTTTATCAATCTTTTCTAAATACACTATACATGAATTAAAAATATACATGTTAAGGATGGAGTCTGATGGTATAAAACTAACATTAACCAGAAAGTCAGCAGATCTAAGTTCAGGATCAACATCTCTCCTACCAACTTTGTGTTTGAAGAAACTCACCTAGCATTTCTTTACCTTAGCCTTTATATCTGTAAAATAAATCATCTAAATCTGTCCCTTCTCCTATCCACATACCCTCTATAACCTACAACATCTCTCTCTTTCACACATACACAAACACACACACACACGATAGGTCAAAACTTTTCCAAAATCATTGGGAAAGCTGCTCAATTTTTTTTAAGTCTATAAAATGCTCATTTTCTTTTCAAATAATTGTATTAGAATAGACAATTCATTAGTACAAAGCCAAAGTTAGTAACATGCTCATGATTTTGCGTTATTCTTCCCTGTGTTTCCTTATTGCTTATCCATTGTCATGCAAGAATGTGATTCACAGATGACAGACTAGGACTCACTACGTGCTATGGTCCTTTCCCTTATGATCTTGTAACCCATGTAAGAAAAGTAAGTGAACACACTACTCAAGAAAATATGTAACTGAATATTAATTATGGCTTAAAAATTCAAAGCTCTATAGGCATTTATAAGAGAATTTTTCAAAAATGAGTTGAACAAATGTACAACTTGGACAAGGAGAAGAGCGAGAAGGCTGTCTGAACAAGCAGTGCATACAGTAGTTTGAATAAAAGTGCAGAAGTGGAAACAAGGCACACTCAGGGGAAGTACTCAGCAACAGAGGCTGCACACTGAAGGCTGTGAAAATCTACCTGACCGAAATATGGTATCATCTGCTACTCTTAGTTCATCCTGGTTTTACAACTAGTTTATAAAATGCCATAAAAATATTTGGCTTCAAGATTTTTTTTTTGGTTGTAGGTGAAAGATCTATGGATACTATTAATATTTTTAAATATAGATAAAATCTGGGAATATTCCGCACTGATGAGGTCTTGGAGAAATGAGCACCATTTACAAGTGCTGGTGAAAATCTCGTCAGACCTATATTTCTAAGAAGCATGTTGGCAAAATGTGTCAAAATCCATAAAAGTTTTTTATATTCTTAGTTAATTCTACATTTAGAGATTGTTCTTCAAGGAAAAAAAAATTACATATAAATGCTTTAAGCACAAAGATGTTTATTATGCTTCTTATAGTAGGTGAAAGTAATAATAATAATTTAAAGTGTTTAACAATGGGTATAGGTTATATAAAGTATAATACAGCCACATAATGAGTATTATATGTAGTCATTAAAATATTGAATAAGTGCATTTTCCTATCAATTAAACACAATACATTAATTTGGATATGTATGTGCATGCACACATATACAGAAAAGTTCAAGAATCACTTAAATTCGAAATCTTAACAGCTATTAACTCAGAAGTGGGATAAAAAGTGTTTCTTCTTTTATATGTGTATATTTTATCATTATTTCACAATAAATCCATACTATTTGTGCACTAAAATTTTCTAAAAGCAAGAACATCAATCAAGATCATATTTATGACATGTGAAATATATTTTAATTTGAGGTATAAATATACAAATGGCATACACAATTCATTTGGCACTGTTGACGTTATTTCTCCATGCTGGCTTTTATATGTATTTATTTTTTTGAGATGGCGTCTCGCTCTGTCCCCCAGGCTGGAGTGCAGTGGCACAATCTGCTCACTGCAATCTCTGCCTCCCAGGTCCAAGCAATTATCCTGCCTCAGCCTCCTGAGTAGCTGGGATTACAGGCGCCCACAACCACGCCCAGCTATTTTTTATATTTTTAGTAGAGACAGGGTTTCACCACGTTGGACAGGCTGGTCTCGAGCCCCTGACCTCGTGATCTGCCCGTCTTGGCCTCCCAAAGTGCTGGGATTACAGGCGTGAGTCATGCTGGCTTTTTAAACAGTGTTTCTTCCTGTACTACATGATTCACGTTCTCCTATTCACTTCTCACCTCTCCGGTCAGTCCTTCTGTCTGCATTACTGGCCTTTTTTCTTCTGCTGATTCTCTACGTGCAGATGCATCTTCAAGTTATGCTTTGTTTCCTACCTTTTACTTCGCCCGCTTTTCCCTCCGGAGCTCATCTACTAACACCTGTATATTAGTCATGCACTAAATTTTATCTTCAGCCAGAACTGCGAGGTATTTCCACATGGATATTCCATAATGACTGAAACTGTACATAAGGACGCTGAATTAATCAGCATAGCCCAGAAATCTAATCCTCTTCCTTGACTCCATTTATTGGCCGTCGATCCATAATTTATAAACTGAGCTGAAAACTGGGAAGCCATCATTGACTTTTCCCTCTCCCTCACCCCTGCGTTCTTCTAATTAATCACTGGCCCTGCTGACTTTACCTCTTAAATATTTCTGGCATGTATCACCTCCTCTTTCTTAAATACAACTGTCCTGAATCAGCACATATCATCACTTCTCTAAAGCACTGCAACAGCTTCCCAACTGGTTTTTGTGTCTTAAGTCTTGCTCCTTCTCATGTTCATTCTACAAGGCTTGGCCAGAAGATCATGCTTCAGCCATAAATCTAAATAATTCACTCTCCTGCTTTAAATCCTCCAACAGCTCCTCATGGCCTATAGGATAAATTCTAAGTTCCTTGATGCAGTTTGCAGGATCTTTTTTTTATCACGCCTTTGCTTTCTGAGAATTTCATCTCAGCAAATACAAACCTGCTTATATTTCCATCCACACATTGCCTTTCCCTCGCCGTTATCTAGCCACTTTGCTTTAGCGTTTATCTTCTTTTCCATCCACAAGACCATCGAGCAGCTGATTCCTACTTACCTGTTAAGACTCACTTGAGGTTTCACCTTCTCCAGGAAGTGTTACTCACTCATCAGACAAACAGTGGTGTGCTGACACCAGCTCCTGGAAGCTCATGAGAAAAAATTATCCATCTTCAGGAACTTTATGAGCTGGTAACTAAACACAGGCAGTAATAAAAATTAATTTGTGTGAATTTGTGATTAAATAAATTATATGAAAAACAAAAGCGAAATATACTTAAACCCATCACTTTCTAATTATTTATGCCATTTTGTTTTGTATTTATTCTCTTCAGGTTACTTACACTTATTGTATTTTTATGACAGAAATGTATGTAAAAATGAACACATCTCTTCCTAATTCCACATTCGCTAGCATTACACTGGCTGGAATGAAAGAATTTATACCATAGAAATCAGAAAATATTACAAATGAAGGTTTAATTTTTTGTTTTGTTGATTAGGCTTAAGAAAATGATGAATAAAATTATAATAATGCAAATTAAACTTTAAAACTATAATATATCTATAGCTTTTACATTATCAATAACACAAAAAAAATTAGGAAATATGCCAGTATTTAAAAACCACCATCAGATTCAGCCAAGAAGTTTCTCATGCCATTGACAAGTGAGGGAAGTTCCAGCATACATCTTCATCGTTTCTCTTTCATCTTAATAAAAATATTAACCAACATTTGTGTCAGAATTTTTCATTCATCAACTGCATAGAATTTACAAAAAGAAGCCAGGTGCAGTGGCTCATGCCTGTAATCCCAGCACTTTGGGAGGCCAAGGCAGGCGAATCACCTGAGGTCAGGGGTTCGAGACCAGGCTGGCCAACATGGCAAAACCCGGTTTCTACTAAAAATACAAAAATTATCTGGGCGTGGTGGCGCATGCCTGTAATCCCAGCTACTCAGGAGGCTAAGACAGGAGAGTCACTTGAACCCAGGAGGCAGAGGTTTCAATGAGCCGAGATTGTGTCGCTGCACTCCAGCCTGGGCAACCAAGTGAGATTCTGTCTCAAAAAAAAAAAAAATAATACAGGAAGGAATATGTTATATATTTCATTTTTTTAAATCTCAAGCTATGTATCTATCTTTTATATCTGAATTATAATAAATGTATACAAGCATATACACATGTAAAATTTTTCTTAGCTAGCCACTTGTGAAACATTTACCAGGACACCATTGTCCAACACTCTCCTTTTTGTGAGTAGAAATGCACATGGTTAGGGTTTGCTCTACTCTCTTCCTGTCTGTCTTTTTCACTGCACTTGTTCCCTCGTTGTGTGATCTACTTTGGTGTCTGACTCCTGCATAGACTGTGATAACCTTAAAGTTGGGAAAAAACATACCTCAAAAGTACATAGTGCTCATTCCTGGATGGAGAGATTACGACTATTTGCTTTCAAAATATTTTTACAACTTGATTAATGAGCATACGTCTGTTAAAACAATTATTACCTTTATAGTTTGCAAAAAGCAAAAAAAACTTGTTGCAAAATTCTGGTTTGCTTTTCATTTCAACTCTTAGTACACTCCTGCTACACAGGGTCATGTACTTTCAACCTTTACATCTGTTTCATCTGGTATTTACTTTCATATTTCTGAATATTAGACTTACACTGCTATACTGATGCTATTCCTTTATCTCTCTCTATTATTTGATGATATATCTATTTTTAAAACACCATCCAAACATACACTCATGCACATATGCACATCTTCTCTCCAGCTTCCCAGTATTTAAATTGCAATTTTGAACTAAATCAGCATCTGTCATATTATAACTATGTAAATATTGTTCACTCCTGAACCAAGTAATGTACTTTAATTTTGTTTCCTCTATTATACAAATTTCTGTTTTACCTGAATGTACTACTTGTTTCGCCTGAACTGTCTTGCTGACAGTTGTGGTTAGTTGAAGTAGCAGCAGCAGCAGCGACCACATTAATGATAAGGATCATGGGAGTAGAAATAACAATAGGAACCCTTCTCTTTTCAAAGGCTATTGTCACTGACTGTCATATAATTCAACGATCTTTCTGATCCCCTTCCCTCATCATATTTGTAATTAATATCTGCCACATATACACTGTTTTTTCTGCCTCTTCTTCAATTTGGGAAGTATCCAGTATCATCCTATGTGGCCAACCCCATAATCCTTTATTAAATCTTTTCCTTGATTTCCTGGATCCTGTAGACATCTCTTAGCCCCTCAGAATCGTTTCCAATCAGAATATTCTTACATGCAAAATGGATTGAAGACTTGAAAATGTGACCTTTCTCAGCTTGGACTCTGATCACGCATATTAGAAACAGTGAAAAAAAACTGATGATTTTTATTATTTGACATTAACGTTTAATTTCATGTAGAAACTTTGTGACTGTAAGTAATGAGCTCAAATGCTTTTAAGCAACCTGGTTATAATCTATCAAAGCAGCTGTGTGAAAGTTGGCAATGAAGAATAAAATAAACATTCAAAAATATGAAAGTATACAGCTTTCTATATATTAACATGGTAATGGATGAGATGGTTTTGGAAAAGTAAGTAACTGGGTTACTTTATTTGTCATGAGATATTTATAATTTTAATTTCTGCTGTACTTTTAAAGTCAAATATAATAAATGGGGCTTAAAGCAACTGAATTTGTTTTGTTCTGTTTGTATTGTTGCTTTTGTTTTTAACTGAAGCATTTTAGAAAATGTGTATTCCACTCCCAGTGTCCTCTTTATAGATAGGGTCATTTCTAACACCCTAATTTGGGTTTCATTACATGTTGTCGTTCCATTGTAGAGTACCCAGTCTTATACAGCCATACCTGACCCTAAGCAATTACAGAGAATACACAGAGTTCAACCAAAATAGAAAATAAAAGCATGAATGCACTTGTATTCCCATGTAAGGAAAAATACTTGGGGCAAGAAAAGTAGACTTCAGGACAAAAATATAAGCAGACCAAGATATGAGATCCCATTATTTATTGAGCACCTTCTCTCTCTCTCTCTCTCTCTCTGTGTATATATACACACACATATATATGTCTATATATACATATATACACATACATACATATATACATACATATATACATACATACGCATGTGTGTTTGTGGAGATATACATATGTGTGTGTGTATATATACATATATGTATATCAGTCATTGAACCAGCTGATTTACAAGTAATATCTTACATAACCCTCTCCAAACCAAAATAAGATGTAGAAATATTGTTCCCATTTTATAAGTATGAAAATTGAATCTTGGAACGATTAGATAGGCCAAAGTCACAAAAACTGTGGTAGAGTTTCACTTGGAGTCCAAATTAGTTAGAAACCATTCTAAGTATGTTTAAAACTATTTCATGAACAAATAAAATATTGCTCAGATCAAACACTACCCTGTCCCCTCAACAATAAAAAAAATGGAAATGTTGAATGAAAAAAACAAAAGGAATATGACCCCAAGGAAAACATCCAGCACTTTCCAAATGAAGGCTAACTTGGAGAATGAAAGTAATTCCTATCTTGTTTTCCAAAGAAAACAAGCAGAATATTCAAAGGCTAGAAGAAAATCACATCCAGGACTTGATTAAGAAATGATTTAAGATTCTTCTAACTCCCATATCAATCTGTGTTTAGGTTTAGATGTGCCCCAACTAGTATTATTTCTAATTACACATTGCACTAATATTATTTCTGGTATCCAACAAAAATTTTTTAAAAAGTCAGAAACAAAGCAACTGTTAATTTGCAAGGGGAAAAACCTCTAAAATATTTAGAATTCAGTTAAATGTAATTCATATTGGAAATATTTCAAGTTTTGCCTTTATCTTAAGTTCTGATTTTGACTGTTAGACTTTTCTACATTTCAGAACATTCCAAATACTTGTCAATTTATTTTAACTTCTGGAAAAACGTAAGAGAAAAACCATTTATAAAAGCAACTGAGCAGCTGATAGAGTCTACATTGACTCAACCAAGAGTTCACAAATGTTCTTTGGTAACAGAAAAGGTAAAAGAAGTGTGGAATTTGATCTGAAGATTATATATTTTAATTTTGGGAATATTGATCCATTGCAAATGAAAGTGGAAGTCCCATTTTCTCTAGCTTGACTAAAATGGTTTCCCACAAAGACTCTGGGACCATATTAACATCTTCTATCTTATGTAAATTAGAAGTTAATGAACATAAAAACCATTAGTCTTCACTTATGTTCTAGAATTGAATCGATGCAATTGATTTTAAAGTTCAGAAGCACTCCATGTTTCAGTAAAGCATATAGAGGCTTTTAAGACTCTGATTTAGCACTATAAACAAGCCCATCAGATTGATAAGAATTCCCAGAAGAAACAGAAAGACAGCAGTTACTGAGCTTGGAATTCTACATGCATGACATGAAATCCTGCTTCTTTTCTTAACTTCATTCCTGACCTACTGAGGAGACAGGGTAAGTTATGCAAAACAGAACATAATGAGGTTCTTGTGTTCAAATTACATGAAGTCTCCATTCTTCCATAAAACTACACACACACACACACACACACACACACACACACACGGAGAGAGAGAGAGAGAGAGAGAAATAATCATATAGGTGCTAGAACATATTCTATAACTTACATAAAACAAGTTGAATTTTCATTTGAGTTTGAGGAGAAATATTATGGACCATGTTCAGTGGTGACCCAGTAACTCTTTCTGAATAATAACTCTTTCTGCTCCCCCACTGGGATTTCTGGGAGCTTTGCATTTACCTCACAGTGGTATGAGCCATGTGGTCACATCCTATAAAGTCATCACTTTCTAAGGTCACCAGATGTATGGAGAAAAGGCCAAGCAGGCTTCTTACTGAAGTCTTTAACCCCAGAGTCAACAACAGTGCACCATCAATTTAGTTAGAAAACAAGAATGACTTAGTGTCCCATTTCTGAGCAAAGATTTCTTCTGAATTAAGCCTCGTTTTTATTTAAAACAAGCAAACAAATGAGCAAACACTGCCAGATTGGAGTTGTAGTCTTCTCTTTTAACAGATGCAGTTGATTTCTCCAAACAAGTACTATTTCTTTGAAGTATACTTAATTATCAAGAAATGACAGGGTGTGGTGGTTTTTGCCTGTAGTCCCAGCTATTCAGGAGGCTGAGGCAAGAGGATGGCTTGAGCCTGGGAATTTGAGGCAGCAGTGAGCTATCACCATGCCCCGGCACTCCTGAGTGACAAAGCTAGATTCTATCTCTAAAATAGAATAAATAAAAATAAGAAATAGGAATTCACAGTTTTAACCTCTGCCATCATCATGGGTGTGGTTTCCTGGTTCATCTCCCCACCCCTGCCCAACCATGGCTGCTGAAGGGTCCAAAAGGAACAGTCAGTGAAAATTATGAAATTTGATGATCTGATCATCTCAAAAACAACTACAAATTCGAGAGCTTTTAGTTTCTGTAAATTCTACATAATTTACAACAAAAACTGATAAAGAAGAAGATTAGAAACATCAAAATATTTCTCCAGAGGGCAAAATCTACTAGCTCATCAACGGAAATTATATATGTGAATAAATTTATATAACATATATAAGTATATATAATATAGTATGTCATATGTATATATTATATATTAATATATTATGTGTAATATGTGTATATAATATACTACATGTATGTTGTGTATATTAGATTAAATATATATGTATATAATATACACATTACATAGTAATATGTACACATGTTAATAATATACACATATTACATATTACATAGTATTTGTATATAATATCTAATATATGTATATATGTACATATATACATATATTATTTGTATATATAGTGTATAAACTATGTGTACATTATATATTGTATACATTATATACAGTATACAGTATATTGTATATATTATATATAATATAATGTACATTGTATACATTATATACACATATGTATATATACACAAAATATATATTTATATATAAGATATATTATCCTGTATACATATATTATGTATTGTAATATATATATTTTCTAATAACCATTTTTATTCAAAATTAAGCTTCACAAATACCAATATTTTCATGTTCACTTTTCATTTTGTACTATTAAGAATCTATACTTGAAGCTACAAGCTACAAAGCCTTTTCAAATTTCCAAAGCCACCTCCCTAGAAGTATAGGGGAGGAAAAGTAAAAAATTATGCCAAGTATATGTATCTAGCAAAAAGGAAAGCAAGTATTTCTCTACTATCTGCCTGTCTATAGGTTTCTGACAATGACCGGGGTAGTCACCTACACACTGAAATCAAGCGTCTACACAATGAGATTCCTTCGGCCCTCCCAACTGTTCAGTCCCTGGTATTTGTTACAGCCGTGCATTGCTGTGCCGCTCTGATTTAAACCGCACATTGCTTTTCCCTTTCATTTCTGGCCAGAGCCCAAAGCCACGCAGCAGGTGCTGTCTCAGGAATGTCACCATGTAATAAAAGTATTGTAACATAACACAGAGACAACGGAGTTCTCTTTGGAGGTACTTGGATATTCCTGACAGATTGCATTCTTAATAAGACAGTGTCTCAAAGCTCGAGGCAGAAGAACAGTACATATGTATTTTTTGATTCCAAATAATAAAAAGTCTTCGTATTAGTTTTGCTTGAGCAATGAACCCCAGTGCTGGGTGAAGGGAGTTAAGAAAGCAACTTCCAGCAGCTGCATATCCTCCCTCAGTCTGCACAATGTTGAAGAAATAAGGTTCAGGCAAAGTTCTTCAAAAGGCAGTTTTTTGCACTCCTTTGGTGCTTCATAGAATGACACTTTAATTGCTTTCTTAACGGGGTTATGCGGGACTGACATAAAGAAAAAACAGTTTCAGGGGAATGAGAGATTTCCGTGATTCAATTCAATTGAAAGGATTCTAGAGACTATGAGAGCAGAAAAGTTAAGTTATGCAAACTAAAGGAGTTAGAAACAGGACAATAACAACTTTAAGATTAGATGCCGCTGCTTTGGGATTTAAGGCTTTCAGTTTAAGGACTGAGCCTGGGTGTGTCAAGGTCATGATTCCCTGAAAAACAATAAAGTCCATGTTTTTATGATGTTTTTTGTTGGGCCTGTGATTTGAAAACAGAAAGTGAATGTTCCAAGACAAGGTAACAAGTTGGACTATTTGTTTAGGAACAGATTTCATATTCTAGCAACGGTTATAGTGCACATAC
Source organism: Homo sapiens (assembly GCF_000001405.40). Taxonomy (NCBI): domain Eukaryota; kingdom Metazoa; phylum Chordata; class Mammalia; order Primates; family Hominidae; genus Homo; species Homo sapiens. Next base: position 85,241,981 of record NC_000014.9, read on the forward strand.
CAGATGCAGATAATACTACCCTCAAATTTGAAGAAATAAATTTTATTTTCAGTTAAAACATTGACCTGAACTGTTTTGACTTCTTTAGGTGTCCTTGGGAAAAGATCTTCTTTGAAACTGGGCCAAGGGCATAGCAAGTGATTCAATAATGCCCTCATAAGATGTATTTTACATGGATTCAGTAGCATCTCGGGTCAGCTCATGCCTCTCATAAGGCATTACAATTTTATGCAATAAAAGATTTTAAAACATTCCCTGTGGGAACTGAGTAGGTAATATTCCTAATGGAGAATATCATCATTATCTCCCAAACTCATATGAGTTATATCCCAGAGACATTCTTTCTTCTTTCCATAGATGAAAAAGAACTCAAGCAAGAATTACAATGTGCTTTTGTAATAAGCAGCATCTTAAGTATCTGCCCTTCAGCTGTCTGTTATTTTATCATCCTCATATACAGCTAGATTTGATGAGAAGATGGAGCACCTGCTATACCCCAAAACTTTATATTCAATAGCTCTTTGGTCCCCACAATCTGGTAAAATAATTGGCTATTTTTAGATGAGGAAATTTAAGATCAGTTAGTAACCAGCCCGAGGTCACACAACTGGCAGGCAGAGAACCAGAATTTGAATCTATGTCTGTCTGACATGAAAGCTTATGTTCTTTGCATAATAAGACACTTCCTTTAGCAGAAAATATGTATGGTAAGTTTTCACCCTTAACATACTAATTGTCACACGATAGTATTCATCACTTAAACTCTTGCCCTACTTAGAGATTTTTTTTTTTAAGTTGAACTAAATTAAGCTGCATGAAACTCAGTGTCAAATATATCTCAGAAGGTTTGGGGCTTGAATGGAAGCGAAAATGTTGCCAAGTTTAACAGCCCACTCTAAACCTTCTGGGCAGTAAGTTTAGAGCACAGATTGAGACTTTTAAGATTCAAGATTTCTTGTATTTGACAAGCTGTGATGTCCTGTATAGAAGTAGAAAGACGTGTAAATGAATTATTTGGATATCAAAGGGCTCATAAACTGGGTGATATCAGATAGTTCTTGTACCTATTACACGTATTCCATTAAGTATTTTAAATTGGGTGCATTCCATTCTCTGGGTCTGTATAATGCTTCTTTTCCCCAATCAGATGTCTTTGGAAATTGTATGACTTCATTTACCCATGCATACTCTTTTTAAAAATCAATACATAAACAGAATAGGGATAAAGAAATAAAGGGGTAGAAAGAGAACTGTAGCTTATAAAGGAATGGGATACATTTATGATGAATTGGTAGAGTGTTTTTTTAAAAATTGTGTGTGTGTGTGTGTGTGTGTGTGTGTGTGTGTGTGTGTGTGCACTCAAGACATCTGGTAAACCCAAAACCCAGAACATCCTCTCTTTGTTCAGCATTTAAATTTGGACAGTAGCTTGATTTCAGCTACTTTTCTTAAAGTCTTTGGTTTGACAAGCTGGGCTTTGTGTCCTATGACAACAGCTTTTCTCAAGAAATTTCTGGTACTTTTTGATTCTGGTTGGACTGGAAATACCACAAAAACAACTTTCCTTATGGTATTTTGGCACTTCGACCATCAGGACCAGATGGTACACAGAAGTGCAGAGGAAGCATTGGATATGAATAATGATACATTTTTAAAAATCATCCAGTCTTCTCTAACTTTATTGCATTTCAGATGAAGGTTCATGCCAATTTACACTCTGATCTGAACATGTTCATCCATTTCCAATGGAGGGAAACTGAATGGCAGGATGTAGGTTGGTTTGGATTTAGAACAATTCCTATTCTTGATTTTGCCTGATGAGAATTAATCCCCAGCATTTTTTTTTAGACAAAAAGGCAAAGCCTTAAAATGTGGTCTTCAGAAGAAAGTGTGGGAGAGCTTACAGATAAAGTACTAATTTTGACTATCAAGTTTAAACAGAAGGAAGAATCATCATCTTAACCCCCAAGGCCAACAACAATGATGTAACTGCAGACAAACATTAAATATGATCACAAATGTGCCCAATAAATGCGCCCTGTGTTTGGTGTAATATATGCTAAATTCTCAAGATAGAACTCAGGTCTTAAAGGTGATGTGTTATTTTTCCCCAAGGGAAGTTGAATTGTTGCACTGGATGTTGGTGTGAAGTTTTGCTTCTTTGTTTGTGTATATTCCTTATTATTTTGTCTCAGGAAATGGAATCTGGGGAAGTATGAAAAATTCACCAGTCACCAATCCTCACTAAACCATTTATAAAACATAATTAATAGAGAAATATCTAAATTTAACCTTTTATCTTGTTGGTACCTCTGATGAAAATGCTAAAATGAAACAAAGTAGCTAGTGGTTAAGAAGCAAGGATTAAGATGTAATTAGATCAAAACAAAAATCAAATAGAAGAGGGAGACTGGATATTCTAAACGACTTTTTCCTAAAACTTGTTCCTTAGAACTTTAGATTTGCTAGGGGACTTGCTGGGATAAACAAAATCAAGTAAGCTTTTGATTTCTTTTCACAATATGTTGAAACTCTTCTAGAGAATGACAAACTAGGTAGGTTTTCCAAATACTGTTTGTCCATAAAATCTTTTTTCCAAGGGAGCAACTTGCCAGAAATAATTAACGAAGTTTCAAGGATCAAAAAGATAACAAAGTTTTAAAGGTAACCAACTTTTGAGCATTTTGAGGCTACTACTAGCCTATTTCCACACAGCTATATATTTAAAAGACAGCCATATTTGTAAAACCTTAGCAAAGAAGTATTAAAACAATTCTTTACTTATAAAATATACATGTTGCTTCCATTAGACTGCTTATAAAAAAATCAAAATTCAAAATTAAATCTGAGAGAGTTACCTCATATTCTCTGACAGAAATCTGTGTGCAAGAGTACAGAATGGACATCAACAATTTATCTATCCTATTTAACTATAATAAAAGTAAATAAGATAATTCAAAATGTCATTGCTATATTAGTTCACCATAAGTGATCTTTGGTAATTACCTTTGATAATTAATGTTGGACTTTCCTCATGTTTTAATTACTTAACACCATTTCATATGAACAGAAAATACACATATTCCTCACTTTTTTGTTTTGTAATGTTCTGGCATGATAAAGAAAAAGTAAAAGCAATCTTAAGCAAAACCTAATAGAAAGCAAGATTTACTAGGTTTCTTTGAATTAATCTTTGTTGTGGCAAAAGAGAGCTTTAATTAACAGAGATGATCAAATGTAAATCAAATGTCTAAAGGGAAGAAAATCACTATGAAATTTTCCTTCTTTGCATCATAGAAAACTAACAGAGTAAGTATTCCTCATAGTCCAAAATACTCCAGGAAAACACATCTGACTACCAAGAAAAAAAAAAAAAGAAGAGACTATTTAGGGAATCTTAATCTCATATAAGGAGACTCTGGTTCCATCTCCATTGATTTTCTGATGCATAATGTTTTAATATGGATGTCTGGAAATACTTTTAATTGCTTCAGACTAGTTCTGATACAATTATTTGACCGTTCTTGAACTCAAAACAAAGATTTAAAATTGAAGAGTTCTTCATTGGAGCTTTGTTAAATATAATTTTATTTCAAGCATAATTTCATTTAATAAAGCAATTGTTTTTTATTAGCAAATTTCCAAAAGGATATATATTAAGCAAACCAAAAGGACTTTGTGTGAGTCTATCTGAGGAAGAAAAATGCATTATTTGACAAGGTAATGTATTTGATGACGTTAATAACAATGTCAAGGTCCTGCTCCCTCCTGTGTCCAAATTTCCATGAGTAGACACGACAAAACTTTGCAGTTTCTTTCTGTTGAAAATGGAACATACGATTAAATGCCTGAAATGTCTTAAACAGGGTTCTTATCCTCCAAAGTATTGACATTTAGGGCCAGATAATTATTTGTTGTTGAGGGCTATCCCGTGTTTAGCAGCATCCTTGACCTTTACTCACCAGACATCAATAGCACTCCTCCCATCCAGTCAACCAGTTGTGACAACACAAATGTCTCCAGACATTGCCAGGTGTCCCATGGAGGGATAAGTTGTCCCTCCTTTGGAACTGCTGGTCTAATACACTGCTTTCCTGGGCATGATTGATAGAGAATTTATTTATGGAGCTCTGTAGACAATTCCTATGTGCTTGCTGCTTTCTTGTAACTCATGTAAAATGGGATTCCTAGAACAGTTTTGCAAGGATATTGACTTCTGCTCAAACTAAGCTTCACCATTCTGTTGTGCTCAATACTTTGTTGTCTCCGTTTTATAAATTCATTATTAAACAACAAGGATTTCCCATAAGAACATTTTTACACACTGAATAAATCCCTAAGAAAATAGAAATCGTGTCATTTCTGAATCACAGTTTCTGTCTAATGGGCAACTTCTGTTTCCTCTAAGTCTTTAGACAGATTTATATATTTTTAACATATTAATTGAACATATTTTAACGTTATAAATAAAGCCAACCTTCAGTAGTCAACTTTGATCATATCCAGGTCAAAGATCATGTTTTTTCATGAGACCTTTAAGATGCTCCATGTCAAGACCTTACTAACTTATAGCTTCACCTCTTTCAACACCTCGTCTTACAAATCACATGCTAAAAATGTGGAGATAGAGTTCACATCATACCTTACTCTGTCTTATAACTTGGTGCCTTTGATTTTATCATGCCTTGTTTAGAAATACGTTCTTTATTATTTTTCCATCAATTAATTTTGGGGGGGAGTTTTCTTTGGTGATTTCCAATATGAAATTACATAGATCAATCCTTAGAAACTGATTTAGTGTTTTCAGGAAAAAATATTGACAGGGAATTTTATAGTTGTATTTAAAAAAACAATGACAAATAGACATACTACACCACTGGCATCATCTGACATCAGCAATAATTTCTACAAGATATTTAGATCTGGTAGCTGAGAGATAATTTCTAATTCTTCTGTTTACTTAACCTAAATCTGGAATGTAATGACAAAATGCACATAAGTAACAGCTGTGATCATTTAAACGATTTGCTGCTTTTGTTTTGTCTGAATCATGATGTTTTGTATACAAAATGATTACCTTGTGGGAGTTGCGTGATCAACCCACTAAAGTTGGTTTTTTGAAACAGGGTAGGTGGAGTATGGAGGTTTCTGAGCTGCTTCTAAGAGGTGAACAGGGTCTGTGACTATTTTTCCATCTGTTCTTTTGTGATTTACACAAATTCCATGCAGAAAGAGGAGCTGCTACATCTGACAGAACTCCCCAAACTGCACTATAAACAGCAGGGAAGGCCACCTGCTACTCTCCAACTTATGTTACATCAAAGCAGCCTGGATCGCTCACCCTGATTGGCTAACAGCAGGTCTCCCATGAAAAATGCCTGCTTGATTCTAGAAAAAATAATTAGCAGGCCCCAAATCATCGGAGTATTATCCAACAGGTTGTAAATTTTAAGGGTAAGGGCAAGACAAGTATCTAGTTTTTGTTCATTTATGTCTTGAAGCTCCGTGTTTTTCTCAACTACTTCTGGTAATTTGTTTTATTAGAAGCTGCATTCACTCTCCCTTTCACATCCAGGGTAGGCTGGAGTGCCAGACGGTACATTGAAAATAAGGGGTGAAAAAGGGATTTCAAGAAAATGACTGTTACAGGGATGCATTTCTCTTTTCTTTTTCTGTTTTCTTTTCCCTTGAGGGCACAGGCAAAATAATTGGGTTTTGTTTGTTTGTTTCCATTTTGTTTTACCATTCTTTTTTTTTTTAATACTTTAAGTTCTGGGATACATGTGCAGAATGTGCAGGTTTGTTACATAGGTATACACATGCCATAGTGGTTTGCTGCACCCATCAACCCATCATCTACATTAGGTATTTCTCCTAATGCTATCCCTCCCCTAGTCCCTCACCCCACAACAGGCCCAGTATGTGATGTTCCCCTTCCTGTTGTCCATGTGTTCTCATTGTTCAACTCCCACTTATAAGTGAGAACATGCAGTGTTTCGTTTTCTGTTTTTGTGTTAGTTTGCTGAGAATGATGGTTTCTAGCATCATCCATGTCCCCACAAAGGACATGAACTGATCCTTTTTTATGGCTGCGTAGTATTCCATGGTGTATAGGTGCCACATTTTCTTTATCCAGTCCATTCTTTTATTTTATTTAGAAACAGTGATCTCACTTGTGAAGAAGTATCATTGAAAAACTTGGAAGTTGGAGTTATATGTGACTTCTGGACCTGATAGTTTTCAAAGAAGGAAACCCAATGTCCCATAGCTACTGTCTGCACAATTCCACCTGTCAGGTCCCTATCCACTCAGCAGGTAGCTCAGTCACCAACTGCAGAAGTAACTTAAGAGTAGCTCAATAAGTCTGAGTTCTTTCACTTTCTGCTTTGACAAGTTGATCAATTACAGCAATAACTACAGACATTTGAGGTGACTTGTTTACTGCCATAATGTGGAACCAATCTGGAATAATTTTAAGACAATACAAGCTATGTTAATGCATGCATGACTCATGTCTTCCAAATTACAAGTTTGCAAAACTATTTTGAGACTAAGATGACATATGCCAAATGTAATTTAATATTTATACTCACCTTTATTGTTGTTGTTAGTCTGTTTTCAGAGTTTATAGACAAATTTCCTGCAATGAAGTTTAAGGAGTAGATTTATTTTTAAGTTCCGGGTTAGGTCCACTAAGTGATGAAGAGTAGAAGTCCTTCTGTATCTTGACTGCCTGACATATAGCTTGGGGAATATATAGGAAATATTTATCGAATGACTAAGTTGATGCATAAATGAACGTATCTAAATGGTAAGCTCTATACGGGCATGCTTTGGTATTATAATAGCCCTTCTCTGGTATTCAATTTAAATCTTTTTATAACTGCCTGTCTACTGAGGGTTGGAATTCTAACAGAGACATGTCAGGGTGCAGATGTTTCTGCCAAGTTCAAATCATCCAGACCCCTAGAAGGAAATACAGCTTTATCTATGTCAGAGAGGTTCCTGTGAATTCCTAAGCTGCTTTAAAACTGGCAGTACCTGCCTGGGGCTACATATCAGCCTGTAGACACTTTGGCAGAATTGTGCGGACAGTTGAAGAGGCAGGAATGTTGGAGGTACACTGGAAGCACAGTGTGGGAGAAACTTGCATAGCACCTGCCCTGCTGCCCAGCAAACCTGTGATCCTTGCAGAGATGTATTCATGAGCAGCTGAGAAGTCAAATGAGCCTGCATTTAAAGAAGAGAAAGCAGCAGCAATAGCAACAAAAAAGACTCAAACCCAATACAAGAAATTAAGAAAACTTTATTTTAAAAGAACAATTAAGCTTACTAAATGGACAGCTCATTATTGGACTTGGAAGCGGACCATCTGACAGCCTCTGGGACGGTTGTGCAATAGCCTGAGATACTCATAGCTAGTAATTGAAAAAGAGAAGGTCACAGGAGGGTTTTACAAGTCTTGAAAGAAGTCTTCACTTTGCATTTTTGGAGAGCTTACAAAGGCGGCCCCAGGGGAGGAAAGGTGGAGTGGCACATTCCTGGAAATGGTTTCACCTGCAGCCATGGCAAGGGTCAAAACTGAAAGAGATGGGCTAGTAAAGGAGTCTGGGCATTTGACACACATTAGGGCACTGGGTTTCAGAGAGGAAAAGAAATTGGCTGGGCGCGATGGCTCATGTCTGTAATTCCAGCACTTTGGGAGGCTGAGGTGGGTGGATCACGAGGTCAGGAGTTTGAGACCAGCCCGACCATCATGGTGAAACCCCGTCTCTACTAAAAATACAAAAATTAGCTGGGTGTGGCGATGCGTGCCTGTAATCACAACTACTCAGGAGGCTGAGGCAGGAGAATTGCTTGAAACCCAGGAGACAGATGTTGCAGTGAGCCGAGATTGTGCCACGGCACTGCAGCCTGGGCGACAAGAGGGAGACTCCATCTCAAAAAAAAAAAAAAAAAAAAAAAAAAAAAAAAAGAGTGCAGCTCTCTAATTGGGCTCTTTTACTTACTATTCGTATATTCGTATAATAAGAGCCACATTCCTAGACTGTATAATGAGATTAATCACAGTAAGTACCTTGTAAAGTTACGTGAGAACCAAATAAGTGGACATTTATTAAAAAAAAAAAAAAAGAAAAAAAAACAGAGAGATAAAGAAATAAAGCGTGCCAAGTTCACTGATTCTTGCCCTGTAAATAAAGTCAAAGCCCTGTATTATTTCTTGGTGTCAAAACTCCTTAAATATATTCATTTGTTCCTTATAATTCATTTTAAACAATACAAGAAATTAAGAAATCAATTGAGATTTTCCAAAATGTTTTATTTTTTTAAATTAAAAGATGTCTAGGCTGATCACATTCTCCTAGCCTGCTTAACAGATTCCGTCTTTCTGTACAAATCAGATACTTGAATTTTTAACCTCATACTAAGTTATGGATTTAAGCTCATGCGTTTCTCTTCAGCAAGAATGTGTCCAGTTCCTGAACTAATCTCATCTTTGGCAGTGGTCCCCTACACCCCATGGCGACGCTCTGGTATTTGGAATGTCTGTTTACATGATGGCCTCCTGCACCTGGGACAGCACAGGGGGAGCTTGCAAAGAAACAATGAGCAGGGGAAGAACAGGAACTGAACCAGGCCACAGAGTAATCATCCCCAGCAGCAGCAGTGCTTATCTGCAAACACTCCCAAGACCGCTGTCACCTGAAAATGCCCTCTGTCCTCTTTGAAGAAGGAAATGCTGTCACAACCTATTAGTCACAGAAATGTTCCCTGGGAATTAGTATGCTTAATAGATCTACTGATTAATTAATAGAAAAAAATGGAAATACCCTTTGATCCTCTGACATTACTTCCCAGGAAATTATCCTACTGATATGCTCATGCACGTGCTCAAAAATATATGTTGGGCTGTTAACTGCAGCATTATTTGTAGTAGCAAATGACTAGGAAAGCTGAAATGACCATCAGTAGGAGACTGGTTAATTAAATTATAACACGTCCATAGAGTGAAGAATGATGAGGTCATTAAGTAGACAGACAAGGGCTCCACAGCTGCTGGTAACAGATGATCTCTAACATTGTTAGTTTCAAAGGAAAAAGATGTGCAAATAAGGCACGAGTCAAGAGAGAGACAGAAAGGTAGGTAGGTACGTAGATAGATAGATAGATAGATAGATAGATAGATAGATAGATAGACAGATAGATATGTATATGGAAATTTTCTGGAAGGATCCAACATAAGTAAACTGTTTTGGCCTCTAAGAAAAGCATGAGGTGGGAATTACATTCTATACCATTTTGTAGTTTGCATTGTTTGTCATGTGCATATATTGACAGAGACAGTAAAAATTTAATACTAAGATTGGCCTCCTGATCAGGTAGAATAGCAGAGACTGCTTTTGCAGATCAGTAGCATGGGGCAATGGGTAGATGATGGTCATGAATGCCATAGTTCTGGTTTCTTCAATGTACTCTCCAGTGCATGATTCTTGGCAATTTACTAAGACTTTCCAGGCTTGTTTCCTCATCTACAACAAGCATAGGGTTAAAAAATACCTATTTCCTTTGGACCCTGAAGATAAATTAAATGGCTAATTATTGAAAGTGAATCTTCTCACACTATTTTACTCTCACCTAACTTTTTCCAGGGGAGTCTTCAAGACTTAATTAAATTCTTTAAGGTTGAGCTTCCTCATTTCTGAAACCAGGATTTTAATTGAATCCAGCTCACGGGGTTTTTGCGGTGACTATACAAAATAATGCACAGAGAGCAATCCATAGTTTTTGGCACAAATCAAATTGCTAAGTAAATATTAATGACCATTATCATTGTCAGAGGACCTACTATTATGGATCAGAAGTTAGGCAAACCATACATCTATAGGGATTGCTATAGAAGGTTTATCTCAGCTAATCAGATAGCTGGAGAACTACTTACAATAGAGTCTCTTTCTTCTACTTTGCCTCATCAAGAGATGCTTCCTGAAACCATAGTGTCTTATGACTCTTTGGCAAATTTATTTCCCCCTGCTTTTCTGGGTACCAAATCAGGTCAAGGAAATTTCCTCCTAACCGCCCCCCACCCCCATTAATTCATTTGCATTGTCCCAAAGAAGGGATGATAGATTTTCTACCTTGATGTGTCTTAGTTTGGATTGCTCCAATAGTAAACACCAAGTAATGAACTGGTGTGAGTCAGAGAAGGGAGAAGTGCCAATAAATTCTTCCTTTATGAATGAGTTATGAATGAGTTATCACTGTGGGCAGCTGGGGCTGAATCCCATTGGGCATGCTCTGAGAAATAATATAGGACATGCCTCAGAATAATTTTATCAGAGGCTGTGGAGGCTGGGTAATTTCTCTACCAAATTCTATCCTCCATTAGTGGAGTTGTCCTCCACTAATCCTACAAGTCACCTGCTTCAAGGGAAGTCTCAAAACAAGGGGAGGTTTCTCAAGAAGAAGGAGCTGATTCTACCAGCCCAGAGGATTGGAGGAAATTTAGGATTCAAGATTCTCAGCATCAACCACTCAAATACCCTATCCTGGGGCTCAGAGATTCACTCTTTTCATAATTCCTGACTTTGGCAAAGGAGATCTGTTCAGAATGGGCATTTGTTCTTTTGCAACTCTGCCACTCTTATAATTAGAACCTGGTCTTGATTTTTAGCATAATATGCTCAGTAATTGCAGGGAATAAAAAATGTTCTACAAAGCATGGGGGATAACGTGATTTGGCTGTTTCCCCACCCAAATCTCGCCTTGAATTGTAATAATCCCCACATGTCAAGGGCAGGGCCAGGTGGAGATAATTGAATCATGGGGGCAGTTTCCCCCATACTGTTCTCATGGTAGTGAATAAGTCTTACAAGATCTGATGGCTTTATAAATGGGAGTTCTCCTGCACAAGCTCTCTTGTCTGCCACTGTGTAAGTTGTGCCTTTGATTCTCCTTTGCCTGCTTCCATGATTGTGAGGCCTCCCCAGTCATGTGGAACTGTGATTCCATTAAACCTCTTTCTTTTATAAGTTACTTAGTCTCCGGTATGTCTTTATTAGCATCATGAGAACAGGCAATACAGGGGAATATTGGCTTTCAAAGCATATCATGACTTGACAACTGACCGTTCCGAACCTGATGCTTTTACCAAGACTTTCAGTGTAGTTAATAATGATTAACTTGCTCCACAATTCTTATAATTATTAATATCCCATATATTCCAAGTACTACTGCTGCTGCATAGTCCAATGTCTTACCTTCCTCCTGCAGTATACCCCAACTAACCATGAATAAATGCCTGGGAAATTGTGATGCTAATTGCATGCTAGGGGTCATAGAAATCCCATTTATGCCAGCAGTGAGATCATTATTGCCATGAGTAATCCCATCCCAACATCTGATCCTGAAGGTTTATTTCCAGGTTCACTTCCGCGTGTCAACTTCTGTAGTCTGTGTTCACAAAAAGTGAACCCTGAAGCAAGGGCTTCATTCTGGAATAAAAGCCAAGGGAATAGGGGGGATGGGAAAGACTGCAAAGGAGGTGTCAGTCCATTCAAGTTGCTGTAACAAAAGTAGCATAATTGGGTGGATTAAACAACAAACATTTATTTCCCACAGTTCTGGAAGCTGGGAAGTCCATGATCAAGACATTGGCAGATTCAGTGTCTAATGAGGACCCACTTCCTCGTTCACAGAGGGCCATCTTGTCACATGACAGAGAGGGCGTGAGAGCTCTCTCTGGCCTCTTTTATAATGGCATCAATCTTATTCACAAGGGCTTTACCCTCATGACCTAATCACTTCCCAAAGGTCCATGTCCAGTACTATTACATAGGGGGTTATATGCATTTTGGGGAGACATAAACTTTCAGTCCACAATAGTAAGTAAGGAAGAAAAGCCAATATCAGGTGGCTTCTCCTAAATGCAATTAATTGCTTGATTCTATGAAACCATCCTGTGAGAAATCACAAGAACTGCGTATCAGAGCAGTCAGCACCGGGGAAGATAGGAGGAAGAATGTATTCATTAGCTCCTAACATTCACTGGACAAAAATATACCCCATAGAAGTTTAACACCACCGTCCCCCACAACGCGCGCACACACACACACACCCACACACACACGCGCGCGCGATTACAAGTTGCATATGCATGGGCATTAAACTCGATCCCATGGGGGCTCATGCCTAAAGGTCCACAGAAAAATGACCAAATGTTCTGGTGTGCCTGCGACTGAGGGGTTACGTGTGTCTTTATTAGCATCATGAGATGCTGACATCATCAGTCTTAACCCTGGGTTAAGAGACTTCCCAATGCTAAAAGCAGGAAATTCCTGGGAAAGCTAAGACTAGTTGGTTACCTTTTCACAAGGACTCCTAGATGGGAGGCAAGAGGTAACTGTACTATTAGAGTGTGCTTTTGTGAAGGTGATCAGAGATCACACAGATATGGCAATCTCTCCAGCAGCTAGAACAATGGCTTGGAGTCTGAGAAAATACAAAGCAAGGCATAATCTGATATGGTATTTGAATTTTTTCCAGAAAATTGATTCAACCATTCAATAAAATAGTCTTATTTTAACACATCCATCTTGTTTTATTAAAATCTTGTTTTATTCCCCCTAGGAAAATCAGATTTTTAATCCACAGTGTCTTGATAATTCCTTTAGGCCTTTCTTTAATTGACATGAACTCTTTTTGATTTTTTTGCTTAATTTATGGTAAATTAAATTATGATAGAAACATTTAATGCTTATTTTCCATGGCATTTGGAAGATAATATTATATTCAGTTGTGTCATCCTGATTAAACATTTTTTAAAGCCAAAAAGAAAGAGAAAAAACCATTAAAAGACTTGGCAAATGCAACCAGAAAAAAACTTTAGAAGGTTGTGCATAGGCTACATTGCATAACAGAATGAACAGTGCACTGATCCCTTTCTGGAAGGACTATGGCTCAAATTACAGTATGTTTTATGTCCTTGTAAATGAAATCATTTGAGGGTCTCTTGTCACAGATCATATATGATTTGCAACACTTGGCACAACTTTTTCTCTGTTCTGGAAATACCTTACAAATGAGCTAGGATCTCAAGAGTGAGTTCTATCTTTCCAGGACAGGAAGTAAGCCTACCTAGAATTTATAGTTGTGAGGAAGCCCCAGGAAAGTGGCAATCAAGACTGGTTTCCCCTGGGGTACTAGAAGTGAAAAGCACTCATCTTAATTAGCATTATGACTTTTTTCTTTTTTGTTTGAAAATTGTATTTCTTTGAAAAACTGGGCAGATTGGGGTTAGGTATGTAATTAAGAAAAATGCAATATGGTAGAAATACACTATTATTTTACTTGTCTTCTTTCCAAACATGGTACATAAACTGCTCAAAGTCATATGCAACTTTATGTGTTTTTAAAGTGAGACTAAAAGTGATTTTTGAAATCCATATTGTTTTCTTGAACTCCAAAGTTTCTTTCTAATGTGAACAATAAAAATTTCAAAATATTGGGAGGCCAAGGCAGGTGGATCGTCTGAGATCAGGAGTTCGAGACCACTCTGGCCAACATGGTGAAACTTCGTTTCTACTAAAAATATAAAAATTAGCCGGACATGGTGGCACACGCCTGTAATCCCAGCTACTTGGAGGGTTAGGCGGGAGAATCGCTTGTACTCGGGAGGTGGAAGTTACAGTGAGCTAAGATTGTGCCACTGCACTCCAGCCTTGGCAACAGAGTGAGACTCTGTCTCAATAAAAACAAACAACAACAACAACAACAAAAATTCACAATAGCAGGTACTCCTTCAAGGCTAGAAGCAGCCTGGTATATAAAGAGCACAAGACTAAGTACAACATGTTGTGGGATGAAGTGTGTCCTCCAAAAAAACATGTTAAGGGGCTGTGGAGGGCCCGCCTGGGAGGGTTAGTGATGTCTTTGCAGGTGTAATCAGGCTAAAACGAAGTCACACTAAATTAAGGTGGGGCCTAAATCCAATGCCTGGTGTTCTTATGAAAAGGCCATGTGTAGACACAGGGACATGGAGGCACACTGCGGGAATGACAACAGAGGTAAAGTAGCGACGCAGCTGCAAGCCAAGAAACACCAAGGACAGCAGCAACCACCAGAAGCCAGGAGAGGCATGGAACAGATTCTCCCTGAGAGCCCCCATAAGGAACCAACCTGGCTGACTCCTTGATTTTGCGCTTGTAGTCTCTGTAACAGTGAGAGAATAAATTTCTGTTGTTTTAAGCCACTCGATTGTATTTTGTTATGGCAGCCCTAGGAAATTAAAACTAAGCGCTAAAGCCCTGGATGCTATTCCACTACAATACCTGCTACTAAACAGCAGCAGGACCCTGGGTAATATGTCACCTTCTGGAGTCTCACTGTACTTACCTGTACAGTGACTGAAGGGCTTTGAATGGATGTCCATAGCATCCCTTTTAGTTGTAAATTTCTTGGGGTCTATAATTTCAACACAAGAAAAATAAGAACAATCCCTGGTGACATAAATTCTATCAGGATAGAAAATTGGACTACTTCATTCATTATTTCCTTAGTGCCTAGAACATGTATTTATTTTATCTTTTTAAATTAATTAATTTTTGTTAAGACGGGGTCTCTGTCACCCAGGCTGGAGTGCAGTGTTGCAATCAGGGCTCGCTGCAGCCTCAGCTTCTCAGGCTCAAGTGATTCTCCTGCCTCAGCCTGGGACCACAGGTACACACTACTATGCCCAGCTAATTTTTAAATTTTATTTTTGTAGAGACAGAGTCTCTATGTTGCCCTGCCTGGTCTTGAACTACGGGCCAGGCAATCCTCCTGCCTCAGCCTCCCAAAGAGCTGGGATTACAAGCATGAGTCACTGTGCCTGGGCCATATATTTATTTTTGAATGGATAAATATACCAATGAATAAATAAATCTTTGTTTAAACAATTCTCTTTATCGTAACTATTGATTCAGTGACTCCCAAATTTGACAGTCACAGTAGTTGGTAAAGTTCTTATACATAAGGTTAAAGAGAAGTATTAACTGAAGATAAAAGTAGAGAGTAATTTCTAGGAATTTGTTCCCTTATCTCAAATAATCCTGCCTTAGTAATAACCTTTTTGTCAAGTTTCAGAGTAAACATCCTCTTAATGTATTCTCAACTAGTAGGCTAAGTGCTCAAGAAGCATTTCCGCTAAACATTGATAATGAAGGAAAGAAATTAGTTTGAAAACATTTATCCCCCTCCTCAGGAGAAAACCATTAATTTCTAAGCAGCTAACTACAGTTCCATAATAATTATTCATTCAGTGCTTGAAACATACCTAAGCAAAATGCATGGAAGATCACTGTGTATCTAAGCACAGATTAAGTTGAAAGATGTGTGTTCTTATTTTAAAACAAAAGCTCACCAATAAGGCCCACTAGTCTGCAACCCACCAACTCTGGGAGAGAAATATGTTTCTTTTGTATATGGAGAGAAACAGGAAGCACTGATAGTGGGTGCTAATTGTTAAATGCTGTGAAAGCCACAATCAGTTCCTTTGTCATACACACACACACAAAAGGGTGTATTCTAGGGTATCTCTAAAATCTCTTAGCAAAGTCTTAGTACCCAACTCAATCCCAAAGCTTCCATTTCAGAAATGGAATTGGCCTCTAGTACAGCTTTTATAGAAACAGCATTCTCCCTGTGCTTTTGTTGTATTTGTAGAAATGGCTTTCTCCAAAGTCCCATGTTTTGGGACCACAGGCTATGGCCCCCCTCATCCATGGACACTTGGTATGCTATCTTCCTGGAGGTATAGTCCAGATGGAGCAGACCCTCCGCTGTCACCCTTGCCCATTTTCCAGACCATTTTCTTCTCTCTGAGTAATAGTGCTGTTATGAGTTCTGAATATTTCTCCCCATGCAGACTAACAAGCTGATGTAAAGTTTTCAGGGCAAAAATGCTGATGTACTGCCTTGATTCCCAAGTCTCACGTTATGAGAAAGTTATTTCTGCTCTTGAGCTTTCAAAGAATTGAGTGATCTCTATACTGAAAAGGCACATCTGCCTAGCAAAAATATTCCATAATTGTGCATGGTCTCACCTCTCTAACTGAGGTATGAAACTATTACAATAGGACTCCTGTTAACAACAAAATCGAATGCCATCCTTCACTCTGAAGGTGACATATGTGATTCTCTCTCCTTTACTCAGCATCCAGAGGGAAACACCCCGGCACCAGCGACTTGTGAAAAGTAGCGCAATGCCAGATCTCAATCTGCATTCCAGCTGCCCATCAGAGGTTTCACTTTATAAAATGGTACCAGACAAATCCGAAGAAAAAGCCAATAACATTTCCCAAAGAAACGCAATATTACAGACTTGCCTTGCCAAGAAATCTATAATGTGTCTCTCCAAGTTAACTTTCATATTTAAATATGTCCACTTCTGAAAAATAACCATTGCTCTACAAATCAAGGGCTCTGAAAAGCCCTGGGAAAACAGAGATCTGTGCAGAAAAAAGAAGATGAAAGTTGGAAGCAAGAGGGAAGAGACAAAGGTGGTCCTTTACATTTATTTCTCCCTTGATCAACATTGAATTACTTTCTCTTTTTTTTGTTTGTTTTTTTGAGACTGGGTCTCTCTATCTACTCCTGAATATCTGGGACAACAGGCACAGACCACTGAACCTGGTTTTGAATTACTTTCAAAATGGTGTTTTTAGAAGAGAAATAGAGCAAAGGGTTAGAAGAATCTGGCATGTAGCATTCTTTGCAGGTATCAGTTGAAGTTGTATATACGTATCCATGTGTTTGTGGGTAAAAGTGGGCTCAGGGATGGGGCCCAGGGATCCTTCACTTAAATAAACACATATTTATGTATATTTTTAAAATAATCAAAGTGACCTTGAGAACTCAGTGTAGCAGCTCCACTTTATAGATGAATAAACTGAGGATCAGAGAAACAAGACAGTGAGGCAGAGATCAAAAGAAAGAAACTTTCAATGCTCTCTACACCTCCAAAGCAGTCAAATGAGTTATACGGTCAATTATCTGAGAAGGAAAATGTTTGCCAAACTTGGTGTCTATGTTTCTGCTTCCCTCCAATTAACTTCCCAATCAGATAGAAAATAAAATTCTTATGTTCTTCACGATGCGTAGATACTTTTGGGTTATAATCAATAAAGCAAAAACCAATATCCTCTTGTTAGATAGTCTTAAGCAATAATTGTATGAACTAATTCATGCAAAATAGCAGCCTATGCTTTCAAGTAGCTCTTGAAAATGAAAAATAATTACATAATGACATATATAGATCAGTGCTGTAGCAATATGGTATCACTGAGGGGATTTTTATAAAGTACAAGTCATTATGCTCCTCCTACTGTGGGTGAAACGTTATTCCAGGTTCTGTGGATACGAAAGTGAACAAGACTACCAGATCTCATGGTACTTAGAGTCTAAAGAAGGAGATAGAGAAAAAGAGAAATATAACCTAATTACAAGTAGTGATAATTGGTATAAAGTAAATGATATAGTTTGGATATTTGTCCCCAACCCAATCTCATGCTGAATCGTAATCCCCAATGCTGGAGTCAGGGCCTGGTGGGAGGTAATTGGATCACAGGAGAAGATCCCTCACGGCTTGGTGATGTCTTTGCAATAGTGCTTGAGTTATCATGATATTCGGTCACTTAAAAGCTTGTGTGGCCGGGTGCGGTGCCTCACGCCTGTAATCCCAGCACTTTGGGAGGGTGAGGCGGGTGGATCACCTGATGTCAGAAGTTCGAGACCAGCCTGGCCAACATGGGGAAACCCCATCCCTACTAAAAATACAAAAATTAGCTGGGCATGGTGGCATGTGCCTGTAATCCTAGCTGCTTGGGAGGCTTAGGAGAATCGCTTGAACCCAGGAGGCGGAGGTTGCAGTGAGCTGAGATCGCACCACTGCATTCCAGCCTGGATGACAGAGCAAGACTCTGTTTCAAAAACAAAAAAAAAAGAAAAGCTTGTGACACCTCCCCATTCCTACTCTCTCTCTCCCTTGCTCCTGCTTTCACTAGATGATGTGCCTCCTACCTCTTTGCCTTCTGCCATTATTGAAAGCTCCTGGGGCTTCACCAGAAGACAAGCAGATGCCAGCACCACGCTTCCTGTAAAGTCTGAAGAACCACGAGTCAATTAAACCTCTTTTCTTCATAAATCACCCAGTCTCAGGTATTTCTTTATAACAAGGCAAGAAGGGCCTAATACAGCAAATGTCAGGACAAGAAGATAGAGAGTGGTAAAGGTCACATCTTCAGAGATGATAGAAGAACCTTTGAATGATATTGACCAACTAGCTGAATGCAGTAAATGAAGGAAATAACTGGACATTTTGGGAGAGATATTCCAGGATGACAGCGGACACTGCAATGATCTTTGCTTGGCTTGGTTGGGATGGGCAAACTGGTTCTTGTTACTGGAATCCTGAGGGAGAAGAGGGGGTTAGTGGGAAATAAGTTCGGTGACATGAACAGATCATCTGGAGCCTTCCATGCTGGATTGTGGAAAGAGGATCAATGAGGAGTTTGGTATTCCAGGAAAGAGAAAATGTTGGCTTTGAGGAGGATGGTGGTAGTGGAGAAGTGGAGATAGTGAGAAGTGGCCATGTTTAGATGTATTTTGAAGGTAGAGGTAACAGAATTAGATGATGCATTGGATGAGAGGGTTGAGAAAAGGAGAGGAGGTAACTCACATTCATTAGAATAAGCAACTTAGTGAATGTTTGTGATTTTTAACCCAGATGGGCGCTCAGAGTAAGAAACAGGGTTGGATGGTTTATTTGGTGGTAGGGTTTGTATTAGGCAGGGTTATCTTAGAAGGACAGAACTAATAGAACACACACACACACACACACACACGCACGCACATATAAGGGAATTTATTAAGTATTAACTTACATGATCACGAGGTCCCACAATAGGCTGTCTGCAAGCTGAGGAGCAAGAAGAGCAAGCCTGAGTCCCAAAACTGAAGAACTTTGAGTTCAATGTTTGAGGGCAGGAAGCATCCAGCACTGGAGAAAAATGTAGGCTGGAAGGCTAGGCCCATTGTCTCACCTTTTCATGTTTTTCCGCCTGCTTTATATTCGATGGCAGCTGATTAGATTGTGTCCACCAGATTAAGGGTGGATCTGCCTTCTCCAGCCCACTGACTCAAATGTTAATCTCTTTTAGGCAATACCCACACAGACACACCCAGGATTAATACTCTGTATCCCTCAATCCAATCAAGTTGACATTCACTATTAACCATCCCTAGTCCAATCCTTGTCAACTTGAACCCATACACAGCTCCTGAATTAATACATAATCTTCAAATAGAGACAGTAATGAAGTCATAATTATGCCTAACATAATATAGCTGTCCTTCATAAAACTGGAAACACACCAATCCCCAACCCAAATACTATTACATAAAGTTAACACTACTTAAATGCTGATATGATGTAATAAATCTTATGTCACATGATAAAGGAAAAGAAAATAAGATGAAGATATTTCCTTAGTACAAGTGTATACATGCACAAACATGTTTTTAACAAAAGAAGGAAGAAATGCTCGTGACAATTACAGTCCTTGTTTCTGCAGCTGGTCATGTGATCGTCGCTGGTATTGATGACTACTTTCTTCTACTACCTATTCTGTATTCCCTTTGCCTTCAGCAATCATCTCAGCAGGTAATTGCTTTTTCCTGGTGGAGTGACCTAAACCTTTATTCCTGAAGGGTATGGGTCATTTGTAGTCCCGTCTGGGTTGGGCTGTTGTAGCTTCCCATTGACCTTAATCACAGGGCATGGTAATACTAAGAGATGCCCTAATGGATCTCCTGTATTCCATGCGTACTCTTCCTTACCTTCATTGTGGAGTAGTAGGCTGATTTCATCATGATAGTCTGGGTCAATCACCTTAGCCAACACTGTAACTCCCTTTTTAGCCTGTTGACTTAAATGTAGGAAGAGCACGAAGTGTCCAGGTGGCAATCTTAACATCCAGTTTGATGGGATTGTTGTTGAGTCTCCTCGTGGCAGCATTCCTCCCTCTGGAACTAAGACCTCTAGGCCAGCAGAATGTAATGTCATGGGAACAAGAAGCAAAAATTTTGCTAGAGGATCACTAGGGGTGATGGTGAGTGGTGTCACTTCCACTTCCACCCCTTGATTCCTGGACCCGTGAATCCTGGCTATGAGAGAAACAGTACCATGTACTGAATGCTGATTCAGAGCATACACAGCCTTCTGGAGAACTTTGCCTCAGCCCTGCCAAGTATTGTCACCTAATTGGCATTGTAATTGTGACTTTAAAAGGCCATTCCACCGTTCTATTAATCCAGCTACTTCAGGATGATGGGGAACAGGGTAGGACCAGTGAATTCCATGAGCATGAGCCCACTGCTGCACTTTTTTAGCTGTAAGGTGAGTGCCTTGGTCAGAGGCAATGTTGTGTGGAATACCATGAGGGTGGATAAGGCATTCTGTGAGTCCATGGATGGTAGTCTTGGCAGAAGCACTGTGTGCAGGACAGGCAAATCCATATCCAGAGTAAGTGTCAGTTACAGTGTCCTTTCCATGATGGAAGAGGTCCAATATAATCAACCTGTCAGCAGGTAGCTGGCTGATCACCCCAAGAAATGGTACCATATCGAGGGCTCAGTGTTGGTCTCTTCTGCGGGCAAATTGGGCACTCAGCAGTGGCTGTAGCCAGGTCAGTCTTGATGAGCAGAAGTCCATGTTGCTGAGCCCATGCGTAACCTCCATCCCTGCCACCACGGCCACTTTGTTCATGGGCCCATTGGGCGATGACAGGGGTGGCTGGGGAAAGAGGCAGAGTGGTATCCACAGAATGGGTCATCATATCCACTTGAATATTAAAATCCTCCTCTGGTGGGGTCACCCATTGGTGAGCACTCACATGGGATACAAATATCTTCACAGTTTTTCACCATTCAGAGAGGTCCATCCACATACCTCTTCCCCAGATTTCTTTGTCACCAATTTTCCAATCATGCTTCTTCCAAATCCCTGACCATCCAGCCTAACCATTGGCTACAGCCCATGAATCAGTATATAATCACACATCTGGCCATTTCTCCTTCCATGGAAAGTGCACAACTAGGTGCACTGCTCAAAGTTCTGCCCACAGAGAAGATTTCCCTTCACTTCACCACTGTCCTTCAGGGATGTCCTAGAAAGGGGTTGCAGTGCTGCAGTCAGGGTTCTCTTAGAGACACAGAACTAATAGGTGATATATATAAATATATATCTCCATATATATTTATATATATCATATATTTTTATATATATCCATATATATATTATATATATAGGAGTTTATTAAGTATTAACTTACATGATCACAAGGTCCCACAATAGGCTGTCTGCAAGCTGAGGAGCAAAGAGGGCCAGTCGGAGTCCCAAAACTGAATAACCTGGAGTCCGATGTTTGAGGACAGGAAGCATCTAGCACAGGAGAAAGATGTAGGCTGGGTGGCTAGGCCTGTCATCTCGCCTTTTCACATTTTTCTGCCTGCTTTGTACTTGCTGGAAGCTGATTAGATTGTGCCCATCAGGTTAAGGGTGGCTCTGCCTTCCCCAGCCCACTGACTCAAATATTAATCTCTTTTGGGCAACGTCCACACAGACACACCCAGGATTAATACTCTGTATCCCTCAATCCAATCAAGTTAACATTCAGTATTAACCATCCCAGAGAGGGTTCGAAAATCACCTGCTGAGGCTGAGTGGGATATCAGATTTACAAATGAAGCTGTCAAATGGACGATTTATAGAGGAAACTGAAGTTCAGAATTGACTACTATTAGTCTTAGATGTGTGCTAAAAATCTGGATTTTGCTAAAAGCTCTCATTGTTTTGGAATCATGGCTTCAGCAAATTCCTAAATGTGGTGACTCCCACCATGAAGTCTTAAAAGATTCTTTCTTCCCTCCCTTATAAATTTGCCAGAAGGAAATCGAATTTTTTTGTAAGTTTGCCTGAGGACAATGTACTTTTTTAAAAAACCTTAATTCCAGGGTTGAATTGTATCTCACTGAATATTTGTTTGGTATTCTGTTAGCTTTTATTTATTTATATATTGAATTTGGCAGGACCCATGATTAGCTTAGGCTGCTTGAGATCATGGTGCTATGGTTTATTTATGCAATACCATTCTTCTACAGTATTAGCTGAATAAATCCAAGACCGATTTGTTGAGTATTTGGGTGTGTGTTTCTGAGAAGCAACAGATAGAGTGGTCTTTTTTTCAAGAAAGGCTTAAAAAGGCATATGCTGCTGATTTCACAGAGTCTTCTGAAATGATCTCTCAGCATTGAGATCCAAAATTTTGAAGCCTTATGGATCTGGCCTTGCACATAGTTATCTAAACTCATTTGGCCGATAAATATTTCATTTGGCCTGAGAAATCTGCTTTTGCTCTGTACACATTTACCAGTGTCACTCTACTTCTTCATTTTGTCGTAAACCACATGCAAATCTGTGACTGTAGTTATGCAACAAATAACTTACCAGGGAAAATGAAAATAAATATGATCATGACATGACATACACATCTTTTGATGGAATTTACTAAATTAAATACATACTTAAGTAAAATGTATTGAATTTTCTTTTGTCTTATTCCCATCATTTATATCTGGTAAATTTTTTTTGGTTCAACTAGTGATTTCTTATTTATTTATTTATTTTTGAGATGAAGTCTTGCTCTGTCACCTGGGCTGGAGTGCAGTGGCACGATCTTGGCTCACTGCAACCTCCACCTCCTGGTTCAAGTAATTCTCCTGCCTCTGCCTCCCGAGTAGCTGGGATTACAGGTGTGCGCCACCATGCCCAGCTAATTTTTGTATCTTTAGTGGAGACAGGCTTTCACCATGTTGGCCAGGCTGGTCTCAAACTCCTGACCTTGTGATCCACCCACCTCGGCCTCCCAAAGTGCTGGGATTACAGGCGTGAGCCACCGCGCCCAGCCCCATGATTTCTTATTTTTAAGTGAACCAAAACAACCCATTGCTTCTGCTTTTCTGTTGACCTTCCGTAGGGCTTTTATGATTTATTTTTATTTAATTTATTTTTGCTACAAATTTCAAAGATTCATATAGGGTTTTTTTTTTTCTTATGTCTATGTTGTACCTAGACTTTAGGTTTATAGTTAAGGCTGATGATCATGAAATTGTTTATTTGGCAAACAGTAGCAATACTTTTTATAATACTGATTATCTCCATTAAGCAGCTGTTAAAGATAAGAAGAGAAAATGAGGTCCTTTTCATTTTCATGCTATATAAATACAGGTGACTGATTTTAATTCATGGTTACTCAGGGAAAAGAAAACTGAGGTGACATAGCAATGGGGTAAGCAGAGGTAGAACCTTAATGTCATTAATATTCTCACTCCTCTGAATCTGCTTTTGTAGGACATCCCCTCTTGCTTGTCACCAGGAACCCATCCCTCTCCCCCAAGATTTAAGTGAGCTCTACTTTTATCTGTATCAATTAGAGACTGCTGTGCCATAGCAATGATACCTGAGGAATAAATCAGTGTTCAATCATAATTTAAGGAGCAAGTCAAGGCTTTGTCACAACATAATGATTTCAAACTTCTGGTTGCTTAGACAATTGCGCAGCTAAGATTACTAGATTCATAACAGAATATGAGACCTATAAAATATCATCAGCACGGAAATACCCATGCATGATGAAGTTTTAGTCAGGGTAATGTAAAATAGTGATATCACGAGTACAGATCTGTGGGCAAATTGGGGATAATGAAAAATAAAGAAGAAAATAAGAAAGATTTTGAAGTTCTATTTTTAATTAAAGTTAGTGGAACTCTAAAAAGGAAATTTCTAGCAACCCAATAATAAAAAGATGTTAGCAGGCATTGAAGATATGAGACATCTTCCTGTTAAAGTAGGTCAATCAAGGACAAAGTTCAACATTACAGTCCATATGTTTATTTATATTTAATTAGAGTGTAAGTTTTTGATTCAATAATAAGCTAGTTAGCTTATTAGTTTTGATTTCATCTTTTCTGAACTGTGCCTACATTCTGAGAGGAGTGAGATATTTATACATCCTGTTTCCTCTTATTTTGACATATGTCTCCAATAATATTTCAATAAAATGCAATGAAAGATAATGGAATATTTCTTTCTGACTTTTGTTTTGCCCAAAACTCCCACTGAAAAACGTTGATAAGGGAAAAGGTCAGCTGAGGAGCCAAAAAGATCGTAAATTTTGTGATTTTATTTTCTCATCAAATTAGACACACTGTAGTGCTAAGAAAGAAAAAGATTTCAGTAATATGAATGTATGTATAGTGGGCAGGCTAAACTTCATGTCACCCTATTCATGAGTTTTAGTTTTGACCTGTAAATCTCTTTACACCTGGGTTAATTAGAAACTGTACTCATAGGCCCTAATTGGCACAACTTTCTTCTAATCTCACACTGAGTTGACAATGCCTTTTCCTACATGTCCAACCCTGGTAATCCTAGAAGGAAAGGTTAAAGAAGAACAACTTTGTGAACTTTCTCCATGACATACAGCAAACCTATTTTCACTTTCTCTCTTTAGTACAATCTTTCTCCACAGTCTTCTAAAGAGTCTGTTCAAATGTACATTTAAAATTGAAAATTTATGTTCAAGCCTGAATACCAATCACAATAACACTACTCCCCCAATTCCTCACCATACCTAAGTGTGTGTTAGCTAGACAAAAGGCTATGCTCAGAAATGGAATGGATTAGAACCTTGTAGACGGGGAGAAGTCATCAGCATCAGGTCTTCAGTCCCTGATGCGTAACCAAATAATTAAATATACTTGAGTAAGTCACTTCCCTCCTTTATCAAAAAGAGATGCTATTTATACACTTTCTTTCTCACTTGGTGGAATGAGGGTAAAATGTGAAGTATTACTCTCTTGCTATTCTTTTAGCAAACATTTCTTTTGAACCTGTGAAATTCACTTCATTGTGCTATGTGTGGAGAACACAAGGCAGAGACATGGACCCCTCTGAGTTTAAAGACTATGAATAAAAAAAAAGGAATATGCTCATATAACAACGATAAAGCAGGATAGAATGCAGAAATCGTTCTGCAGCAGGAACAGAGGAAATATTAGATATGTGATATGGTTTGGCTCTGTGCCCCCCACAAATCTCATCTTGAATTGTAACAATCTCCATATGTCAAGGGTGGGGCCAGGTGGAGATAACTGAATTATGGGGGTGGTTTCTGACCAAACTGTTCTCATGGTAGTGAACAAGTCTCAGGAGACCTGACGTTTCATAAATGGGAGTTCCCCTGCACAAGTTCTCTTGCCTGCCGCCATGTAAAACGTGCCTTTGCTTTTCCTTTGCCTTCTGCCGTGATTGTAAGATGATTGTAAGGTCTCCCCAGCCATGTGGAACTGTGAGCCCATTAAACCTCTTTCCTTTATAAATTACCCAATCTTGGGCATGTCTTTATTAGCAGCATGAGAACAGACTAATACAGTGTGATGAAGTACAATGAAAGTTTCGTAGGAGAGATCAGTTAGATTTGGCAGCTCAGGGAGATTCTTTGGAGGAGGTGCCATTTGGGCTGTGTTTGAGCAATAGATATTACTAATCTGTTTAGAAATAGAGAAGGACAATGAGAAGAAATTCAGAGGGTGAAAGATACCTAGTTCAGGAACAACAAATAATCATCATAGAAACATTTATTAAACTCAGAATATGTACCAGGAACTAATCCTTGTGAATATTAACTACTTGATCTTTATAATGACACTATGAGTAGGTGCCATCATTGTTATCCCCATTTGAGGGATTAAGAACTTCATGCACAGGGAATTTATAAAGCTTGTCAAGGTCATTCAGCTAGTAAGTTGGAAAAGAAGGGTTTTGGTTTAGGCTACATGACACCAGGACTCACACTCTGAACAACATCTCTGGAGGGTCATATTAGACTCACATATGGTAATAATTAAATAAAATGTGTGAATGAGAGTGAAGGGAATAAGGTCACACTAAAGGCTTTAAAGAAGAGGATGGAAAGTCTTAATATTCTGGCTAAGAATTGTTGAAATTTTTTAAATGGAAGACAAGTTATTTAACATCTATGGTGAGAACAGCACAATTATAACTATGCTTACATTACACAGTATAAACAAATGCATAGTATTCATGGGGTTGCAAATAAGGAAACTGGCTCTAGCTAACTTAAGAGGAAAAGAAGTGAAGAATTGAGAAATGAAGGCTAGGAAAGGGGAGGAACTAGACAGTTTTGGCCATCTACACTGAAAGATCTTCCTGGCACAACGTCTCACCTGGAAGGGAGACATTAACAATGACAGCCACTAGCGGCTCACAGTTTTGATGTCTTTGTCCAATTTTAAGTCCCTGAAAGAGGTTACTTTTTGGCCTCAGTTTGAGCTTAGAGTCCATACTCGGACCCATAATCATATCTGGCTTGAAGTCCAAAGACACACAGAACTGCCGTGTCAGTGTATCCGGGTTCGTTCTCAAAGCAAAGAAGATGATAAAAGCTGGGAAGATGCATCAACTTTAATACTCAATGATTTGAAAAGCCTCAATGTGGACAATGAATAAAAGGGAGATACTGGATGTGAGGAGACCAGTCACAATGCAGTGGGGATGATCTTAGAGTTAGGTAACAAGTGTTTATATGAGGGTAATGTATGTTGAAATGGAAAATTAAGAAGTATGTGATTATCAGACATGGGGACAGAATTTTTAAAAAGTGAAGAGTCAATAGTCATGCTGAAGTTTTCAGCTCAAGTGACATGGAATGTATTATTACACACTCATTCCTTGATGTTCAAACTCAGCCAGCATTCACAGACACCACACTGGGGAAATAAACAGCACCCGTGCTAGGGTTTACCTATTGAAGACTGCCTTCCTGACACACTTTGCAGGTCTTGTTTAAAGCTGACATAAACTTGTTGTGGTATATGTGTTACATTTTATATAAGTTTCACCTATAATAGTATTTTTTTATTATTTCTCTAACTACAGGTCCTGTTTCGGTTAGATGAAAGAACTTCTACTATATTAAAAATATCAATAGAGATATTTATTTTTTAAAAGTTCCCACTCTAGATGGGATAACATGAAATTCACTGGAATTCAAAATATATGAGACAACATTTGTATGCAAGTGACTTGTAATCTGGAAAGGAATCAGGACATGAAAGATAAATTGTGAGCCAATGACTAAGATAGACAATATATGATACAGCAATTCAGAAGAGGCTGGGATAGTCAGAAAATACTTTATAGAAAAAATGATAGGACTAAAATTGAGTCTTATGAAAGGGATTCTGACAAGATTCAGATAATGTAAGATTCCTAGATAACTGTTGATATATTGGATGGACATGAGGAAGTCCTGGATAACAATGTTGGAAATAGAAAGTAACACTTAGCCTACTCTATGTGCCAAGCACCATGAGAGATAATTCAATAAGTCATGTCATTTAATTCTCCCCCAAATTTCCAACTGCCTTAGTCTATTCAGGCTGGTGTAAGAAAACACCATAGGCTGGGTAGCCTGTAACAACAGAAACATATTTATCACAGTTCTAAAGGCTAGGAAGTCCAAGATCAGGGTGCCAGCATGGTCAGGTTCTGGTGAGGGCCCTCTTCCAGATACAGACTGCCAATTTCTTGCTGTGTCTTCACATGGTGGAAGGGGCCAGGTAGCTCTCTGGGGCCTCTTTTGTAAGGGCATGAATTCCATTCATAAGGACTCTACCCTCATGACCTAATCCCTTCCCCCAAATCCCCACCTCCTAATACCATCACCTTGGGGGTTATTTTAACATACAAATTTGAGGGGGACATGAACATTCAGAGCCAGCACCAACCAAGATGCAACTTATTATCTCCATTTTATAGATGATAAGACTGACTGAGAAATAAGATATCTTGTTCAGGAGCACAACGATGGAGATAGTCAGAGCCCAGATTGTAGTAAGCCAACTTCTTTTGGCTGCACCTCCTGACCTTTCAAATGACAGGCTAACACAAATGAACTCTATTTTATACTATACAGGTTTTACCTTTAGCCTCTCTAACAACTTTTCAAACACATTTATTCCCCAGCCTACCAAATATTCAACTTCAAGCTTCGGTCTACCTTAGATATTTCATATTTAACTAAAGTTTCAATTTTCAAGTCAATATTCCTAGCCACAGGCTCTCTCTCCAGTTCCAAACCTACGTTGCCCATTGTCCATTGGACACTCCTATCTTTCCTTCATATTTGTATTTTAGGTTCATAATAATTGGCACCCAGTAGTCTCTTTTCCTCTTAAAAACTCTTTCCCAACATAGTTATTTCTGCTGAAGGGTCTACTAAGTCCCTAGTCATCCAGGCCCAAAAAATCAGTCATATTGGCATCTTCTTTTTCTTTTATCCTTTGGACTAAATAAATTAACAAATCAGTCTGCAGAATTTATCCTCACAATGCCTTTCACAGTCATTGCAACCTTGCAATTCCCATTGGTTCCAATTATCACCTCCTGTTTTAAGCATTCCTCTGATATTATTTGCTTAAGAAGCCATTGAGTAGCTGTCCTTATGGTCCTGAGTAAATTTTCTCTATCATTCACTCTCATAACATTCTGTTTTTTTCCTAGCACTTTTAACAGTTGGAAATTATATTATTTACTTGTTTTATTATTTAATAGCTGTCTTGTCTACTAAAGTGTAACTTTTGTGAAAGCAAGGATCGCTTCTTCATTCTACCACCTATGCCCCTCTCAACGTCTGACACACAGGAGATGTGCTTAGTAAATATAGCCAAGTGAATAGTCTTTCCAAAAATCTACTTCCCATTTCTGTTCGCAATACCTCCTGCATTCAGCTGTCAGAGAAATGTTTCTTGAAGTGTAGCTCTAAGAAGCCATTTTTCTAGTTTAATCATCTATTATTTACCTATTGCCTATTAAGTTAGTTATTAACTACTACTAGTTCTAGCATTCAGACTCATAGGGTCCTCTGCAATGTGAATACAAACTACACTTCTATGCACAATTCCCTTACTCTCTTTGTCTCTAAATCAAATGCTGTTTAGTTTTCTGTCTCTATGCCTTCTGTGTGTGTTTGTAGCATCTTCCAGAATGTCCTGTCCCTGTATCAGTCAGTTTAAACTACATTTTTCTCTAGTAATGAATAGATTCCAAACCTCAGTGGGTTAAAACCACAGAGGTGTATTTCCCACTCACATTTCCTGCTTATCATGTTTGCCTGTGGCTTTTTTCCTTGCCCCTCCATTCTCAGAATAAGCTAATAGAGCAACTCCTCTCTAGAACACAACAGTCACTTGGCAGAAGGAACAGAGAGATGGTGGGACTCTGAAAGCTTTTTCTTGGAAATGGTGAACATTTTATTAACGAAAGGCAGTTATTTGACAAAATCTAACCTTAATGGAGTAAGGAGTATAATACCTCTCCATGTACTGGCCCAGTATGGAGAAGTGGTGAATATTTTCACTGCAATACTGTATCAGTCTGTTCTCACGCTGCTAATAAAGACACATTTGGGACTTGGTAATTTATAAAGGAAAAAGGTTTCATAAACTCACAGTTCCGCATAGCTGGGGAGGCCTCACAATCATGACGGAAAGCGATTAAGGAACAAAGTCACGTCTTACATGGCGGCAGACAGGAGAGAGCTTGTGCAGGGGAATTCCCATTTATGTAACCGTCAGATCTCCTGAGACTTATTCACTACCATGAGAACAGTATGGGGGAAACTGCCCTTATGCTTCAATTATCTCCACCTGGCCTTACCCTTAACATGTGGGGATTATTACAGTTCAAGGTGAGATGTGGGTGGGGACACAGCCAAACCGTATCAAATACCATCTACTTCACCTTTCTATCTCAGTCATTAAAATGCTAATTATCCAAGACTATACTTTCAGGGATCATTTCTATAGTTTGTTACTAGAGAAGTTTCTCTGAACGTGTAGAGCACTAAAATGCTAATTATCCAAAGAGACCCATGTCACTGAGATGCTTTTCCCCATTCTCCCAGCCAATACTACATTGAAAACACAAAGCATATTACTTAAACCTATCTTCTAAACTTATTTTTCTCTACTTTTCTTATTCTATCATTCCTCAAAACCCCATATTCCGATTGCAAGTTTTACTAAGACCTGGTGGCTATGGCATGTAACACTCAGCAAAATGCCTTGAACACAGTAGATGTTAATAAATGTTTATTGAACGTAGTTGATTTAATCACAAGTAATGAGACATTGAATACTTTTATGCTAAGAAGAATATGAACAAACTATATTTCAAGCTGATTAATATGGTAACTGAAACAGTATTTGCTTCTTTAAGCATCTTGGTTTATTTTCTTATGTAAATATGTTCCCACGATGTACAGGGTGCACAGAGCTAATTACCTTCCTTTGCTTGGTATGCAACAGACCAGAAAACCTAAAATTATTCTAATCCAAGTGTTTTTCCAAATGGCTTCTCTACAACCCACATTGATTCGGTATAGCAAAAGTAAAATTTACTTGGCAAAGATAATTTTTTTGGTAATGCAGTATAAAGAGAACGGTATAATACAGTCAGAACTTTTGACTTCAGGGTTTTGTGACACTGTCAGTGTATGTCTAATATTTAGTGTAAAGTTGGAAAAGATAAGAGTGACGATTGAATAAATAAATGAACAATGGATAAAATAATGTGTTCAAAAAGAAGAGTAATAATAAATTTTAATTAACAGATTTACATAAAAATATAGTTTCCACTGGAAAGATGGGATTGTATCAAATATCAGACCTAGTTAAGTCCTGCATACATGAGGTTGAAAAAATAATTCTATCAAAGAAAAATCTGGAAAGTTTAGATATAGCTATTTCTTATTTGACAATGTGGTCAAGAGAATAGTAGTTCCTTACAAGAACAGCAATATGCATATGTAAACATATCAGTGTACATTAAGGCTTAAAATGTATTTCTTAAAAGTATTTATTTTATAAAAGAAAAACAAAACAAAAACGAACAGACAGACTTAAGCTGTTTTTATGGGGTCTTCTTTAACTAACTGAATCTGAGTAGTATATATGATGGTTTACATTTCACTGTCAATGTCTGTAATTTAGTAAAAGTTAATCGTGTGTTCATTTTATGTTGCCATACGCAGCCCCACCAGCAGCAGCGTGAATGACCTAAGCCAGTAAAATCAAACACTGCAGAGACTGTTATATCTGAATGGAACAATTCATGTAAAGTAGATGAATTCCAGGTTTTCAATCAGGAACAGAACAATAGTTAGGAAAACTGCCAAGCCCCAAACTCATAAACACTAGGTTAAAACAATAATACAAATATTGTCTCATTGTATTCATGAAAAGAAAGCTGTCTATAGAAAATTTTTTGTTTGAGATCTTTGTAGCTATCAAGGGTTTCACTTTCCATTTAAACAGTGTTTCATTTAACAATCCTGCTCAAGTCAGTACGTTCGGTCAGGGATAGTAAGACTAGATATGAACACTAGTCTTATTATTTACTGAACTTCCTCTCCTTTGAATAATTCAAATGACAAACACTATAAATAATTTACTGGGAAAATATTTCCATTTTACTGCACCCAAGTGGTAAATTGTAACATCAAAATGATATCACTTTTATTATTGAAAAACATAATTTCAGAATATGGCCTATATACAAGCAACTGTCAAGCCATTAGATGAAAATATATCCAGAGGGAGTGTTTGTTGAATAAGTACAATTGAGTTCTTAACACTTTTGAAAACCAAAATGTGATTAGAGTCCTATAGAACAAAACCTAAAAATAATAATAATAACAGGGATAATAATAATAAGGCTTAAAATGTATTGAGTGCTTACTATAAGCCAGACACAGTTTTATATTCCTTATGTTTTATTTTATTTAATTCTCATAAAATTCTTCTTATGTAGGAATTAAGTAGAGAGAAAACTAAGGCATAACTTGGTTGAAAACCTTGCACAGGGCTATGTAGCCAGTTAGCAGTAGAACTAGAATTTGAATCCAGGCAGGCTGACTCTAGAGAATGCACTCTCAGCCACAATGTGTATTTATATGCCTCATACATCTCTGTGATGAATAAAATACCTAGACTTTCCATGTCAAATATTCAAATTGCAGCTTGAAAGCACATATTTCTCCAGGGATGGAAACCTCTATTTCATTGTAATCTTACTCACAGAGTTGCCATCCAATACAACAACACGTAAGAGAAAACCATAAAGAAACAAGGTTTTATGGATACTGATGTGCTTCATTAATTTTTTCATTCATTTATCTAATATGTACTGAGCTCCCATGGTGTCCCAGCTCCTAGACATTGTATTAGCTTCCTCCTGATGTTATAATTAATTACTACAAAGTTAGTGGCTCAAAACAACACAAATTTGTATTCTCTCACAGTTCTGGAAGGTCAGAAGTCCAAAATCAAGGTGTTAGCAAAGCTTCATGCCTCTGGAGGCTTCAGGAAGGAATTATATTTTTGTCTTTTCCAGCTTCTAGAGACCTTCGTCATTCCTTGGCTTTGGGCTCTTTTCTGCATCTTCAAGGCGCATTACTCCAAACTGGTTCTATTGTCAAATCTCCTTTTTCTTTTTCTTTTTTTTTTTACTTATACTTTAAGTTCTAGGGTACATGTGCACAACGTGCAGGTTTGTTACATATGTATACATGTGCCATGTTGGTGTTCTGCACCCATTAACTTCTCATTTACATTAGGTATATCTCCTAATGATATCTCTCCCCTCTACCCCCACCCCACAACAGGCCCTGGTGTGTGATGTTCTCCTTCCTGTGTCCAAGTGTTCTCATTGTTCAATTCCCACCTATGAGTGAGAACATGCGGTGTTTGGTTTTTTGTCCTTGCGATAGTTTGAAGAGAATGATGGTTTCCAGCTTCATCCATGTCCCTGCAAAGGACATGAACTCATTCTTTTTTTATGGCTGCATAGTATTCCATGGTGTATATGTGCCACATTTTCTTAATCCAGTCTATCATTGATGGACTTTTGGGTTGGTTCCAAGTCTTTGCTATTGTGAATAGTGCCGCAATAAACATACGTGTGCATGTGTCTTTATAGCAGCATGATTTACAATCCTTTGGGTATATACCCAGTAATGGGATGGCTGGGTCAAATGGTAAATCTCCTTTTTCATTTTGAGCTTTTTGCTTCTCGCTTACCAGGAGCCTTGTGATTACATTGGACTCACCTGGATCATTCAGGATAACAAAGTCAAGACCCTTTTGCCATATAAGGTGACATATTTATGGGCTCTGGGGATCAGAGTAGAGACTTCTTTGGGGGAATATTAGTGTGTCTATCATAGGGATGGTCCAAAAACCAAAAGATAAAAAGTGCAGATATTACCCTTGAGACATTAGAGGAGCTACTAAAGGATATAATACAGGGAGGGATACAATTTGATTTTAGAAAAGAGTATTTTGGCAGCTCCAAAGAGCCAAATTATTGATTTAATACTTTTGAAAATATTAAAAGTTGAATTAATGTAGCAGAAGTAAAAATGGAGAGAAGAGCAATGATCAGAAGAATGTGTAGAAGGTAGGATCAACTAGGACACCATGAATTCTCTACAAGTAATTATTTTCCTTTTGAATTGGCATTTCCATATCTGAAAGAGATAAATGCTGTATTGCATAGAAGACTTTAAGCTTTTAATAAAATGCATCTTCATCACATTTTTCATTTAGGGCAACGTAGAAGACACCATGTGGCATAGCTATGGGGTAGAATCCTAGTAACATATTCCTTTCCTGTAGAGTGACATCAATCCACTTGTTCTTAATTGAAAAAAAGTTAACTATGCCCACGTATTCATACACATTCTCCAGTGTAACTTATCAGTATCACCTGGTGATATTAGATCTAAAATCCAACTATAGAACATTAATTGGTTTCTTGCCCTAGAGAAAGTTTTCTTTTTATCTGAAGTGATGTACTGCAAGATGATCTATTGCTGGAAGTTTATGAATTCACTCCATTTAGTTTAGTAACACCTGCTCAATTCAGGTTTCCTGACTGTAAATATTAATATCTCTTATCAACGTTCATACCTACTCAGTAGAATTGCTTTTTTATAGCACTTGGTGGTATTTTTTTAAGCCAGTTCATAACAGGTGCAGTGTATTTTACTCATATAGTTGCTTCATTCAGTAGATACCATTCAAAAATATGCCAAACCATTCATAGAAATTCATTCCGAAGAGTTGATTCCAAAGTTTGTGCCAATGAACGGAAATTTTGAATTAGAAGAGAAGAAGTTGTGAGAGCTTGTCAGATGGCTGGTGGCTGGAATTAGTTTTAAGCATTTTGGACCAGATCTCATTCACAGTAAATGTAAACCAAACACTTTTATCCTTTCATCTTATTTGTGTTATTTATTTTGCAGAAAAAATGCCATTTATATGAGTATGTGAACTCATGTGATTCATTTACACTTAAAATCTTTGAAAGGTTATTTTAGAGAGGGTTGATATCAAAAATAACAGCTCAGCTTGGATAAGTCTGAAAACCTTCGTGAGAGGATAGCAGAAGGGAGGAAAGGAGAGCTTCCAAATTCCTTTTGCCATATTTTGCAAGCTTAGACGCAGAAAGATCTTGAGTACAGCAGAGAAGCCTAAGCATATATGTTCTAGTAACTTTAAAAGTTTTAAAATCTGTATTTGGGAATAGCAGTAAAAGAAGACAAGGAATAAACAGGCCACAAATAAAAGAGTCCCGTCTTTCTATTGCACTGCTTTGAGGACACTTTGCTCTTTCCACTTGTCTCTAGCCTGCAAATTCTGGGGCTTCAGTGTCTAATGCACCAGCCTTGAGCCACAGAATTTCTAGCATGCAAAGTATTCAATGTTCTTTTTTGGCTTACAAAAAATACTCCTCTCAGATGAAGCAAGAAACTGGGACTCTTATAATGCTCTACTTTCTGTCATTTCATCTTCTACACTAGAGGGGGGAAAAATCCTAAGAATGTTAAATGTAGGTAGCAACACTTTTTGCTCTGCATATACTCAAGCCTAGCATTGTCGATCTATTTTAGTCTTTTACAAAATCTAGTAGGAAAGGACTTCTGTGTCTTCACGTTAGTGGTCCTTTTTATTTTATCCTTCATATTCACCAGCCACACAAGAATGCTGGAATTTCTTAGTTATTTTAAGATGCTGTATTATTAAATTACTTTCCTTCACTAGGCTTTGGGTTTAAAACATTAGAGTAGAGAATTATGAGGGCATTTTACCTAGAAAGGTCACTTTCTTTGCTCCAGATTATGAAAGGGCTTTGGATAAAAATCCCATTTGAATATGTCGCTGTTATTGATATCTAATGCTCTGTCCATGCTCAGAGAAGACTCTGAATGTACTGGAAGTACTTGTTAGACTGAGGGGCTAGCTATATTCAAGATGCCAGTGAAATATAAGTCTACCACTAAAGTGGCCTTTGTGGGAGGCAAACAGTTCCTTCTCTAAATGCGATAGCTTCTTTTTTTTCTTTTTGTAAGAAAGCTGGTGAAGTCTTTAAGACATCCATACCCCCAAGTGAAGTAATAAGTAATATAGACCAGCTGTATTTTTCTTATTTTTTTCTAAAAGAAAAGGATTATTTTCTTAGTTTATCAGCTTAAAAACCATTTTTTAAAATACAGCGGGGAAAAACTTGCAAAAAGGATGCAAAATTTTATTGGGAAATGCAGCCTGACCTAGTGGAAGGAAGATTGGGTCTTCATACCACCAGCTCTACCACTCTGGCTCTTAACAAAATCACTTCACTGACAGTGTCTGCTTCTTCAACAGAAACTTAAAGTGACCTACATAATAGGGGCATAGAAAATAGCTTCTGTCAAGAGCATTTGACTTCTGGAATTGTACTTTGTTCAACAAAAGTTATTGGGCTTGATTTAGGGGCTTGGCAACGTGCTAGGCCTTGCAGATATGATGATGAGTACCCTTCAGCCCTGCCTTCAAGGATTTCACTTTGGAAACACACACGGGCACACACACACCCACCAGGATCATTAGTACATTAATAATGAAAGACTAACAGCTCAGGATCAAGCATTTTAAAGGCACACTTTACCAAATCAATTGTAACTCTTGTTGAGTTACAATTTATAAAAATAAATTTATTAAAGCTATAGTTTAGAGCATGAGGTTTTATATCTTCCCCATGTATACAGAGAAAAAACATGTGATAAATATGCTTAAAAGATCCTTCAATAAAATTTTTGGGCTAACTAATAATTTGTCTTATGATTCTTCACATAAGGTCATTTCAAACTGGAGGTCCTATGCACCCTTCATCCAGTCCCCTCAATGTTAATAGTTAACATAACATAACTGGAGTGTAATATAATACAGCATTTCCTAATTGCTGTAATTAAAAACACACACTTCTGCTCTTCCAAAGGTGAATGACTAGACAAACTAGGGCACAACCATACCATAGAACAATACTCAGCATTAAACAGGAAAAATAATTGATATAGGTGACAACATAGATACACCTCTAGGAAATCATCCTGAGCAAAAAAGTTAACCTGAAAAATATATACACTATGCAACTCCATTTATACAACATTCCAGAAATAACATAATAATAGAGATGAAGAAAAATCAATGGTTGGCAGGTGCTGCGGGAGGAGTGGAAGTCTACAAAAGGAGTAGAGCAAGGAATTCTGAAGTGACTAGGCACTTAAGGGTCTTGATTTTGGAGTGGTTGCACGGAAGTATGCATATGATAAAACTGCATGGAGTACACAAACCTACACACACACACACACACACAAATGAGTACAGGTACAACTGGTGCAATCAGAACTATAGAAAACACTAAGGCAATTCGTGTTTTTTATATTACACTCCAGTTATGTTAACTATTAACATTGAGGGGACTGGATGAAGGGTGCATAGGACCTCCACATGCCTTTTTTGGCAACTTCCTATAAATTTATCATTATTTCAAAATAAAACGTTTTAAAAAAGAGTATGCATTTCTTCTTGGTTATCAAGGTGCTGGTCTTCACTCACCATTAGCAGTGCGTGCATCTTCAGGTAACGCTGATACATGTGTACATCTTAATTGACATTTTCTGGCTTTGTTCCCTTTAAGACTTGTGACATGCATACAGGACATGACTGGTAAGACCCTAGCTTATTTAATCCTTTTGTGCCTCTGAAACTGATGATAATATGTAAAACGTTTTAGCGTACTTAGGGATTTTTTTTCAAATATCAATTCAGATTCATAAACAATCCTGTGAGGTACACAAGGAAAAGTAAAAACACACAACTCCTATTGTTGGAGTAACTATGAAAAAGAAATGAGAACTAACATAGCATGTGCAGGTGAGACTGGTGTGTAGGTCTTCCAATGCTAAACCTAATGCTTTTTTATATTGGAATAGGTTGGGATAATACGCTGGACCTGTGATATCCCTGTATCATAAAGGAATGTTCATCAAAGCCTTTCAAATGACCACATTACACTAAAATAATATGATTTGACAGGTAGTCAGAAGTCTGCTACAGTAAAAGGAGGCTCTGCACTTTTGGTTAGAGGATGAGTAAGAATCTCAGCTATGCCATTTAATCCTATTGGGCCCTAATTTCTTCTTCTGTAAGACCACATTCTTACATCACAAGAATATTCTGAAGATTATAAGGGCTAACATTTGCACACATATTCATCAAATTTATGAATACCATTAGTAAGTATGCACAAAAATTAAGTTTTCTTTGTACAGCCCCTTTTGTTGTGACCTATACTATAACAGAGCCAAGAATACACCCGCAAACAAGTATTCAAGTCACCGACCACCACAAAATGACAGGCAAGGAAGTTCATATACATCGTTCAAAGACAACTCTGAAAAAATCTTACTCCCAATCAACTTGCAAATCCATACACCCCACAAATATTGATTGACTACTCCTTCTCTGCTTGGCGATAAAGAATACAATTATAAGTAAAATAATGTCCTCCTAGATTTGTTGGCATTTCCATTCTATGCTAAGCATGTAGCCAAAAGTTGAAGACAGATCTTTGAACAAGACTTGGTACATGTTCCCAGCTAACTTTCAATCTTGCTGTAAAAGCAGTGCCAGATAAGTTAAAAGTCTACTAAATACAGTGTATGAGAGCTCAGTAATAAGTTTCAAGGGAACACACAGGAAGACCAATGAACTACACATGACTCATCAGTCAAAAGGTTATATGAAAAAATGACATCAAGATTGTGATCTTAGATTGATAGAGGAATGAGAAAGGCAGGAAAGTAGAGAAGGAACTGTAAGGTTAGGGGAGGGCACAGAGGCAGAGTAATGGTGAAATCCAGCAAGGGAAAGTCACGTTCAAAGATTATTAAGTGATAAATGAGAAAAACGCACTAGTGGACAAAAGATCTTCAGTAAAATGGAAGCACAGAATGTGAGAACTATTGAAAGCAAAATATGGAAAAAGAAGCTGGGCCCACATCATGAATGCCCTTATAAGCAACAATAAGAATTTTGAATGTTATACTGAGGATAATGTAAACCCACTGAGTGGTATTGAACAGAAGAGTAACATGATGAGGTTTGTGTCTTAATCTTATTGCATACCAAAATCAATACAGTACCTTTGTCTGCTTTCCAATCTCTAAACATGGAAGAAGAAGATCTTAAAAGTCAAGAAAAAACCCACTACACCAGGAGAAGCAAAAACAGGAAAAAAAAATATGGATAATGAACAAGTTATTTTAAATGCTGAAACACCTGTACTTTTTTCTTTTTTGTATTAATTACATACATGATTACTAAATAAACATGACTACTATATATGTAGGATTAATATTTGATCCTTTACTAGAATGTATGATAATGAGGGCTGCAACCACATTACCTGGTTCATGATTATAATCCCACCATGGAACTAATGTACAATTTTTGAATAACTGAGGGCATAGATGAAAATAGCATAAAAGCTTTAATGCTTAATGATGTCTTTAGGGCACCATTCTATTACAACAAAATACAATGTTAACAAGCGTAAGTTGTATATAGAATTTTAAATTCTATCCATAACAATCAGCATTCAGTTTGAAAAAGGAAAATAGTATGTATACATTTTAGAAAATCTCAAAATGTGTAATTTTTTGTTTAAGTTCATGAGTAGGTAAACCCTAACCCACACAGAAATTTGGCTTCTCTGTATTTTATATACAAAGTGGTCCAGAAAGTCCAGGTTTTACAATTTTGCAATTAGCATTATAATTATTTTAGAGGAAAATTTAAAAGGTATATTCTCCCTTATTTCTTTTTTCCATTAGGCTTTGAAACTTATGAACTAGCCTGAGTTTGAATTCCAAGAAATTATGCAGTGTATTAGAATATTTTTCATGATTTTCATTTAAGACCAACCTCAGTAATTGTGTCTTATGCTAAAAAGCCTCAGAATACCTATGATTATGGATATTAATTCACATGCATTGAAAGCAGCCATCTCTAAGTAGATCTGTTATTGCTGTTCAGAGCATTACAGTAAAATGAAACAGGAAGTGAAATATTCCATGTTTCCTTTAAATGCAAGAGAGATACATGTTATCAACTAAAGTGTGTCCCATTGGAAATTTAGTCAAAGCTACAAACTCCTACAGAGAAATTAATCTACATCAGCCTCATTTAAACATGCTAGAATACATCCCTAAACAGAGAATGTGGAAAGAACAATTACAATGTGAATATGGCTTATTGCAAGAAGTGTCAAAATTAAGCATCTGGTCTCTTCTTTGTCAAAATCATGCTTTCCTCTTTCATTTAATCGTTTATATTTAAATATATGTGTGCATATCTTTGTGTGTGTGTGTGTATTTAGATATATTTTTCCTCTATGAAGAAGTCATTTTAGGTCTTTAGGGAAGGGTGATTGCTTGTGTGAGTGTTTTGAATTACAAGAGTCAGGTTTCTTTGTTAACTTAATCAACAGCAACTTGAACAAACCAAGCACAGCTTTTTCCTCCTTCCCAGCAGAAAGGGAAAACCACAAACATTGCTTATCAATGCCACGTAAATGTGTCTCCATTTTCAAGATCAGAACTGGACACATCTTGTGAGGATCTTGTCCCATAACTTCCTAATCATTAGCAAGGTTAAAGAGTCATGCTATCTGCTTTTGCACATCTGGAGTTATGTTTACGAAGGTTACATGCGTATACCATTAATAGTATTATTGCATGTGCCATTATCAGTATAATTCTTACTTCTGATTTTTATACCACTATGCACTTTTTAATGCACTTTAACTCCTACAACAAACTTGAATGCAAAACAACATGGGAATATTATTCCAGTTTTGTGCTGAGAAAACTGAGAAAATGAGTTTAACAGATAGGCTCTAACTCACAATTGGGAGAAAGATCAAATTCATGAATTCTACAAACAAAACAAAATAAACTTAAGCAAACAAGACAATAGCTGAAGTAAAAGGCAATTTTATGTTCTAAAAGTACATAAATGAAAGCCACTTAGCCTTTTATGCTGCTCTTTAAAATAATTTTGCTTTCATTTGTCCTCAAACAGTATGCAATTTTTAAAAGTTAATTTCTTTGAAAATAAAATTTCAATTCTTTAATGTTTCCCTTCACAAAATGAGTAACTGAAAAGCTATCCAACATTCTCTGGGGTATTTCTTTAATAAAATAAAGGTACGTAGTTATGACTGAACAGCCCTTATAAAGTCTGAGATTCTGTTATTTTGATGGCAAACTCACCTTATTTGAGGGAATTTAATTTTTTTTAGGGGAATGTCCAGTGAAAACTAAAAAGAATCTAATCTTTTTCCTTAAAATATGGGATCACACAAGAATATATTCTCGAAATCTATCACCAATACAGACATCACTGGTAGTCTGAATCATAGCTGCCACCTAACTGAATTCACCATTTTGAGTAACCTATGGTTAACTAGTACTGTGAAAACTACTCCCTGATTGTTAAACATTGGTCCTACCTTATATTTTTGTACAGGCACAAACAAAACTGTAGCACGCTTGCCTGTATATCATTTATATAACCAAATTCCTATACTTTCATGGCTCTTTAACTTTTACAGAAGGACACAACTCCCTGTTCATTATAAAATATTTTTAATGACAAGAAGAACCAAAAATCAGGAAACCTTAATTCTAGTTCCAATTCTGCAACTCAAGATCTGTGATCCTGGAGATCACTTTGCTTTATAAAACATATCTGATACCTCTTATGCTACAAAGGTGTTGTGAGTATCAAATGCTAGTTTTTGGGACTTGACATCTCATAATGTTTCAAAAGCCAATTTTCTGCAAAATAAAGCTGCTTTGGATATAGAGAAACCACTTCTTAATAATAAAATTATCATGATGATCACTATCATTTATCATGTGCTTATTGTATGCCAAAGGTGGTGAAAAACACTTTATATTATTTAATCAAGGTGCTAACTAAAGTCACCCTGACATTGAAAGTCAAAGTCAAAAATTATCTTATAATTTGCCCCACTTCCAGTAGGAAAAACAGTATCCCTGGTAATATGATAACTGTGGAATTCTTAGAGGAATTTTTTTTTCTCTTCAAACTCATGTCTAGCTAAAAATTTACTTTCCTAATATATTATGTCAGTGTCTTCCTGTCTAAACTCATAAAAAAACCCATCTGATGTCTTTATATTCTAAATAAAACACCTTCATAAACAGAAATGTGTATTTCAGGCTTCCCAAATCAGGGTAACGTAAGGGCTTTAAATTGTGAAATCACAAACAGTTTAATATATATTCATTTTTTTGAAAAAGAGTTTTTATCCCTACTGCCACCGGGAATATCTCAGGGACTGCCTTTTTCTGCAGGCTTAGCCTCTGCTGTGGTCTTCATCCTCTCTTTCTTCTCTAACCCCTGCTCCTCTTTCTTATCTCTGATCTTCGTCCTCAATACATGTTAAAGTCATTTTCAAAGTCACATAACTCTCTTGTTTGACCATCTGATTCCAGACCATTCCCTGGGGATTCCATCAGCTACCATGAAAGCAGTCTATTAAGGACTTTCTCTAAATATAGGTCTTTCCAAGACAGAACATGGGATACCAGTGGTTGAAATATATATATATATTTTTAAATTACATACCCCCAAAGCACACTGACAGCAATTCTGTGGAGATGGGCACAACTGTGTTCATTGACATTTTGTAAATGACGAAACTGAGGCTCCAACAGATAAAGTCAACAGTCCCCAGGCTAATGAGTGGTTAATGTGTGGATAATGAGTAGGACAGCCAGCCTTGCCTCTTTGAATGTTTTAAGCTTGGCCCTCAGAGCACAGCTTAAATTCTGGTTCTCCTGTTAGTTCCTACTTAGATCTGGTCCTTCTTGATTTGTTTGTGTCTTCATGTGTAGCTGACTCTGCATGAATTCTAGGAGAGCTCCTGCTAGCTTTTTTCTTCTTAGTTTCTGAATTCAACTTCATACCCTATTTTCAACCTTTCCATTAAAAGGAATTCCACATTCACTAAATGTGTGAGGAATGTCAGCATCAATCTGGTAAGTTAATTCACATAAAAACACCTTATAAACTGTAAAACTCTCAAAAATATAAGGTATTACTGAGGCTGAAATATGTTACATCTACCTCCTTGAATCAATAAAAGCATGAAAGTGAGTTATTTTAGAGTCTGCAGACTGAATGGCAGTTTATGATAAATATCTTTGGTAGAAATGTTTTATATGATGAAACATCAATACTAATACTAATTTATTATAACAGATATCTAATGTAATCATACTAATTATTCTAAACAAAATTGGGGCTTACATCTAAATGGAGCCTGGAAAATGATCAAAAGATATAATCCCACAATTTATGCAGTGACAAACAAAATTTACACAATGACAACTTTTTATATGTGTAAGAGGTGGACTTTCTCAGGAAGTCAAAGATCTTGGAAATAAATGCACCCATTACCTTTCTCTGAACTAAACTAGAGAGATGAAAGACTGTGATTCTTGAACTTCAAACAAAGATCTTGATAAATTAAAACAAAACTAAACTGAAAAATATTAAATACAGAGACCTATTTCAGGTGGACTGTGTGAAAGACATGAAAAACTTGTAACCAATTTCTGAAATGATGAATAAATTATTTGCTTAGTATGTAAGATGATGTATGTAAAATTTGGTGCTTATCTGCAGACTGAACTTCTCTTTGATCTAGAAATCCATGTCATGGATAAGAGTCAATAAACATGAACACTTTGTTATATAAACAGTCTCAAGATATGTGACTCCTCCATCTTCTATAACTGACGGGACCAAAAAAAAAAAAATGGCAGAAATATCTAACCCACAAACTGGTTACTAAAATAGAGCAACCCACATCTCTTGTTACAGAAAAATGAAAACACACTCATTCTTCCATGAACTTTTATGGTATAACATGCCAGCCTAGAAAGTAAGATTATATTAAGCCTACGAGGTCACTATGTTTTCTTTTCATTTTGGTAGTAGGAAGGGAGTAAGAAGAATAAACTTTTAATTATAGTAAAAATTCATTCTGAATATAGGACAGAGGCATTCCTAGATATTTTGGGGCTAGACAGAAAGTTGGTTTTCGAGTGTATCTCTCCATAATTCTGTATATTTTTGTCATTTCCCAATAAGGTAGTTTTAGAAAGAATATGACAAATTATAATAGGTTAATTGAACCTATAA
The DNA here is from genome assembly GCF_000001405.40 of Homo sapiens. Taxonomy (NCBI): domain Eukaryota; kingdom Metazoa; phylum Chordata; class Mammalia; order Primates; family Hominidae; genus Homo; species Homo sapiens. The sequence continues at coordinate 85,285,778 of NC_000014.9, forward strand.
ACAAACGGAGTTGTCTGCCTTGGGCCAGAGAAGGATTTTATTATTAGGGCAAATGTAGCAATGGTTTGCTGACATTTCACATTTGGATGTAATGAGACTTGGAATATAACAATCAAGAGAGCTGCCCGAGCAATTTATTCCACTACATTGTCTGTTACTATCATGTGCTGCTTATCCTATAAGCTCACATTAGACACTAGTAGATCAAATCTCTAAACAAAAAAAAAAAATAAAATATTTGAAAGAGTTGCCTATAAAAGACTATTGGTCATTTATTAGATTTTTATTGTTTTCAGTATAAATGGTTTAATCTAACATAACAGAATAGATGATCTTCTATCTAAAGTCCTGTAACAACTCAATTTTGTATGATATTGTATTTTCCAACACATTTCTGCACTGAGTTGTAAGCAAAATACAAGGCCAACTGGGGTTCCTGGAAGTTTTCTGGACCTTAAAGAATGTAACAATTTGTTTTGTGTTCTACTTTGCAAAGAAAATATTCAAGGTAAACTGGGATGGAATGTAAGTCAGTGATGAAAATGATCGGTCACTCTATTATCTAAGAAAACAGTAATATTATTATTAAAAATAAATGAGGCAACATTCTATGTAATCAGCTTTTACGATAAGCCTATATATGATTCACATTTGAACTATACTGTAAATCCTTTTTAACATTTACTTATCAGAAAATTATAGGCAAAAGTACTTTGGATGCAAGTATCATGCATCATTGTGTTCTCTAGGATTAACCAAAACCACAGCAAACTAAATTGATAATGATAAGGCTAAACTAATAACTCATAATGAAAGAGAAGGAGCAACAACAATTGAAAACTGAGCAGCTTGAAACAAACTGATTCTGTCTTTCACTTAAGTACTCTATCAATCATATCCATCATTTGACTGTAAAACCAGAAGATGGAGCTTAAAAATTCACATCAGTTTATGTTCCATTAAGAAGTTCTTCCTGGTCTGGGGAAATCACAAGAATCAATGGATATATATTTAGACTTTGGCAGAAACATTGATGCATTTGCCCCCAGTGAGTACTAATATGTTATCAGATACTTCATATGAACTATGACCCACCTGGATTAGACCCCTAGGTTCTAAATCTGCCTCCGTTTTTCAATCTGACTGTCTTTATCTGTTTTGTAACCTACAAAATTATTAAGAGAGAAAAGACAGAGAATATGAGAAAATCCCTGTCCTACTTTCCTCATAGGACTCTTTTAAGGTTCGAATGTGATCCTGCATTTGAATGTACACCAAAGTGTGTAAAGTGCAAGCCATATAACATTAAAAGTCAAAAAGGCATTTAAAGTTATTAAGTCCCATCTTCTCAGGTTGTAGATAAGCAGCAGAGATTTATGATTCACCCAAGAACAGCCAGAAATTTAGTGGCTGGAATCCAGTTCTTTTGAGACCTGGTACAGAGATGTTTCAGACTCTTTACAACAAATTCTCAGTTCACACTATTATCACAATTAGCACCAAGATTTTTGTTAATATATTACTGATTAAATACATTAAATGTCCATTTAATAACTCTGCTAACCACATTTTTTTGAAACTTTTCCCTTTTCGTCTTTTTGACACTGAATAACCTGGTTCTTCTGCTGTTCTTCTCTTTCTCTTTCGGTCATCAGACACCCTTGATCATATCTTTGGGAATCCTATTAAAATTAGTTCTCTGTTTTACACTTTATCACTCCATACTTCCATGGTTTCCATTGTCTTCTCCAAATGGATGACTACACAATTTGTATGTCCAATGTTTTCAAGTATAAGAGCTGGTGAGATATTTACATACAGATGTTCCTCTCAATGTCAGAATCATAACAGCTTTGGACAGCAGGAACTATGAGATCAAGAAGACAATGGATAATGCCTTCAAAAGTCTGAAGACGAGTGACTTTCAACCCAAAATTCCCAATCTAACCAAATGATTAAACAAGTGCACTAATTAAATCTCATGGCATATTCAGGCAAGGAAAAAGTAAAAATATTAAATTTTCAATGCATCTTCTTTTAGGAAGCATTAAGAGTAAGGGTTCCAGCAAAATGAGGATGAAAGCAAGAACAAAAGGAGATTTGGAGACCACAAAAGAGGGATATTTGAGATATCAGTAAATGCAGTACCAGGAGGAAAGCCACGCAGGAGCCCAAAGAGCTTCAGTACAACTTGGAGAGAAGACAGTCTCCAGAGAAAGGAAATACTATTGATAGAGTATCTGAAATATTCGATTATTGAAAAATATTAGATAGAATTCATACAATTAGTGGAGCATATAAAAAAAAGCAGATATATAGGAAATTAATCAAATGAAAACTAAAATAAGGTAATTATTAATTCCTGGAAATCTAACATTTGGTGGAAATCTTAGTAAGCCATGGCCAGATTCTTCCGACCTATGAAGCTCCTCCCTGTGGCCAGCCAGTGACCACATAGTCTTGGGTGCCATTCCACCGTGGAGACAGTGGAATCTGTGTTCACTTATTCTTAGCCTAATCATGAAGTTACAAAATGGGAGACAATTTTCGCAACCTACTCATCTGACAAAGGGCTAATATCCAGAATCTACAATGAACTCAAACAAATTCACAAGAAAAAAACAAACAACCCCATCAAAAGATGGGCAAAGGATATGAACAGACACTTCTCAAAAGAAGACATTTATGCAGCCAAAAGACACATTAAAAAATGCTCATCATCACTGGCCATCAGAGAAATGCAAATCAAAACCACAATGAGATACCATCTCACACCAGGTAGAATGGCAATCATTAAAAAGTCAGGAAACAACAGGTGCTGGAGAGGATGTGGAGAAATAGGAACACTTTTACACTGTTGGTGGGACTGTAAACTAGTTCAACCATTGTGGAAGTCAGTGTGGCGATTCCTCAGGTATTTAGAACTAGAAATACCATTTGACCCAGCCATCTCATTACTGGGTATATACCCAAAGGACTATAAATCATGCTGCTATAAAGACACATGCACACATATGTTTATTGTGGCACTATTCACAATAGCAAAGACTTGGAACCAACCCAAATGTCCAACAATGATAGACTAGATTAAGGAAATGTGGCACATATACACCATGGAATACTATGCAGCTATAAAAAATGATGAGTTCATGTCCTTTGTAGGGACATGGATGAAATTGGAAATCATCATTCTCAGTAAACTATCTCAAGGACAAAAAAAACCAAACACCGCATGTTCTCACTCGTAGATGGGAATTGAAAAATGAGAACACATGGACACAGGAAGGGGAACATCACACTCTGGGGACTGTTGTGGGGTGGGGGGAGGGGGGAGGGATAGCATTAGGAGATATACCTAATGCTAAATGACGAGTTAATGGGTGCAGCACACCAGCATGGCACATGTATACATATGTAACTAACCTGCACAAGCATCCTATGTTATCTGCTGTTTTAGTTTGTTAGTTTGTTCGAGCTGCTACAACAAAATACCATAGGGTGGGTGGCTCATAAACAACAAATTTATTTCTCACAGTTCTGATGGCTGGACAGTTCAAGATCAAGGGAGCAGAAGATTTGAAGTGTGATAATGACCTGCTTTCTCATAGGTAGCCATCTTCTCACTGTAATTTCACATGGCAGAAAGGGCCAGGGATTTCTCTGTGGTCTCTTTTGTAAGGGCTCTAATCCCATTCATGAGGGCTCTGCCTTTTAATACCATCACCTTGCGGGTTAGGATTTCAACATATTAATTTTGGGAGAACAAAATAATGTTGTTCACCTACATTTCAAAAGATGAAGCTTCTGGGAGCCATTGGATTGCAATCCCAGCAGAGAACTGCCATGAGGACAGGGCCTCCTGAGACTTCAGGCCAGTGAAGTCACCATTGCATGATTCTAGCCTGAGCATGTTCTAAAACTTTATGTTCTGCTTCCCTTCTGTTGATCAATTTCATCTTGAAGTAATTTCTTTCTTTTGCATGTTACTGTATGCAATTAAGAGAAACCATGACACAACTTTAACATTTTGCATAGAAATTTTCTCAGCCAAATATCCAACGTAATCACTCATAAGTTCTAACTTTCCCAAAGCACTAGAATACAAATAGAATCCAGTCAAGCTCTTTGCCACTTTATAACAAGGATGGACTTTCTTCTGTTATCTAATAACATGTCCCTAGTTTTAATCTGAGACTGCATCAGAATGACCTTTACCATCCATATTGCTAGCAAAATCCTGTTCAGGAATACTTAGATATTCTCTAAGAAGATTCAGGCTGTCTCTACAGCTCTCCTCTTCTTTCTGAGCCCTCACCAGAATTGCCCTTAACATATTTTCACCACAATGTAGTCTTTTACTGTAATGTACTTCAAAATTATTCCAGCCTCTACCCATTATGCAGTTCCAAAGCTGCTTCCATATTTTTAGGTATTTGTTGTGGCATCACCCCCGCTTCTTGGCATCAAAATCTGTATTAGTCAGGGTTCTCCCAAGAAACAGAACCAAGAGGATATACAGAAATATGTAGAGTGATATTTATTATGAGGGATTGACACATGCAATTATGGAGGCCTAGCAATCTCACTATCTGCGGTCTTCAAGCTGGAAGTCTAGGAAAGCTGGTAGTATAGTTCCAGTCCAAGCCAAAAGGTTGAAAAACCAGGAGACTCAATGGTGCAAGTCTAGTCTGAGAAAAAAGCCCAAGATAAGGAACACTGAGAGTAGAAGAAGACAGAAATCCCAGCTCCAGAAGGGAGAGAAAATGTGTTCTTCCTTTGCTTTTTGCTCTCTTCATGCCCTCAAAAGATTAGATGACGCCCATCCACACTGGGAAGGGTGGACCTTCTTTACTGGGTCTACCGATTCAAATGCTAATCTCTTTATAATACACCCTTAAATGCACACACAGAAATAATGTTTTACCCTAGTAAACTGACACAAAATTAACAATCACACCTGCACATAGCAGAGCTGATTCTAAGTGCTCAGAAAAACCTTGGATGATTTTGTGTTATTTAAGCTTTGTCTGATTCTGGGGACTTGGGTTGGAAAATCATACTTCTCTGCATGGTTAGAGACAACCTAGACGATTTTCTACATATTATTTCCCTATATATCCACAATGGTCACTGTGTTTGTATGCATAGAGAAAAATGTCATAATACAAAGAAAGAGGAGGAGGAGGAAGAAGAAGACTGTATTCTAAAGAAAGAGTATCTATTAATAAAAAGTCAAAGTTCAATTTGAAATGTCATTGTCTCCCTCATTTCCTCTCATCTCAGCCATTTGATCTTCAAGGATGAAGCCCAGAACAACTTTCTGAGCTGGGCTGACTTGTTCTTTTCAGAGCAGACAGGCATCAGAGGGATTCATTATCCTTTCATGACATATAGAAACAGTCTACACTCTGTCATCCAGAAACTAAATCTACTATCAGAGAAGTTTGGTCTCTAGCCTGTCTTCAATATTATAGGCAGGGCTATAATCATTATCTACCTATCATCTATTTATTAGTTCTATCTATCTATCTATCTATCTGTATCATCTGTGTATCTATAAAATTGTGTATACATCTATATATACACCTATACATAGACATATATACACTATAAATGCAAAATATGTGTATATAAACATGTATACACATATATAAAGTTTCAATATATGTGTGCGTGTTTATGTACTCAACATGTGTGTGTGTGTGTGTGCGTATGGATCGTACAACAATCATACATCTGGAGTAAAACAGGCCTATATCTGAATCCCAATTCTAGCTCCTACGAGCTATAAAAAAATCTGACAACTTAATTAATTTATTTGAGCCTACCCTCCTCATCTCTGAAATGGCAATAATAATGCCCGCTTTGCCATCTTATCATGTGAATTAAGTGAGATGGTGGCATATAAATTGCTGGCTTACAAAGAAATTCAGTAGAGTAGCCATTGTCATTTTGTTATGGGAGATAGAATTACCTTTTTTGACTTCAAAGATGTCTTCTGAACTGAAGTTCAGAGGTGAAAGGATAGGCAATAAAAATATAATAGAATTCACATTTATTGAGTTTTAGTTTATATGGCAAACAAAAAGATAAACAGTGACCAAATCCCACTTGTGTTCTCAGACAATGCAAGCTGCGATACGTTATGAAACACATGGACAGAATACACAGGGTAAACCAAAGAGGGAGAGGGGGAAAAGAAAGCAGACAGAGAGCAAGAAAGGGAGAGAGGAACACCAAATTCAAACGCTATGATTTGAGCTAGACTATAAAACCTCACTTACTCAGAGGTCACATTTGGCAAAACTTAACTAGGATGTAAAAGATCTCTGGAGGTATGCAAAGCAATGCAACACCTTCATGTACTTGAAGCCAAGGAGAAATATGTCCTTTGACTTTCTCTCAGCATCTACTTACCCTTGGTTCTGATATAAAATTTAACACATTTATTTATTTAGTGTTCTAGTATATGAAAGATTAGAAGTAGAATTTTCATGCAGGATAAGTTGTATTGCTAGTGGGCAATGTTTTGGGAGAAAAGTAAAATTGCAGCTAATAGTTTGATAGAGAAGAAAAAAGGGAATCCATTAAAATCAAGGGCTAGAATTCCATAATTAAAGGAGCTGGAGCAATTTTGTGGAAGAGAAGTTATTCATAACATACCCCATTCCTCTTCATGCATCTGCATATTATAAACAACTTACTAACTGCTCCTTGAAATGATGGGTTAAGTCATCAAAAACAAGTTAAATTATGTTTACAATCTCTTTTAATGAAATTACAGCATAAAATGTATTGTTGAATGATACCACTAAAATAATTAACATTTCTTGCAAAGACTTAGTGTTGAACAGTTGCATAATTATAGGTTGCTTAACTTTTCTGAGCCAAATTTCCTTATTTATAACATATGCATGATAATATCTAACTAGGGCAGTTGTCATTGGTTCTAAATGAGATAATAATTATAAACATACATTGTGTCTGGTCTTGCATATAAGATGCTAACTCATTAATTTCTACTTTTAATTGGTTAATTTCTTCTTTAACAGGATTAGCCTTAGTTATTTGAAAAATTCATATTTCATGAATTTACCATGGTGAAAGTTAAATTAGCAGTTACTTCTTTTTCTTTTTCCTTAAAAAGACAAATAGTAGGCTGGTACAGTGGCTCATTCCTGTAATCCCAGCACTTTGGGGTGCCAAAGTGGGTGGGTCACTTGAGGTCAGGGATTTGAGACCAGCCTGGCCAACATGGCGAAACCCCCTGTCTACTAAAAATATAAAAATTAGCCGAGTGTGGTGGTGCATGCCTGTAATCCCAGCTACTCAGGATGCTGAGGCAGGGGAATTGCTCAAACTCAGGAGGTGGAGGTTGCAGTGAGCTTACCCTCCTCATCTCTAAAATGCTATCACTGCACTCCAGTCTGGGCGACAGAGAGAGAGTCTGTCTTAAAAAAAAAAAAGACAAATAGTTAAGTATAAAGAGATTAATATATGTTTTAGTCTATTAAATTATAGGTTGTTACCCTGTCACAAGGGTTCCTTGAAAAGTCACAGTTCCTTTAAGAATGCCACGTGGTGCCAATATGGAGAAAACACCATTTATTTTTCATGTATACAAGTGTCTGCTGGATTTATCACACAACTGTGGGAACTCAGGTTCTCTCTTTGTTGATTCCTCAAGCCTCCCTCAAGTAGAGGGAGTCTTAGCCCACAGGCACACAAAAAAAGTGTGTATGTGACTGCACATGTTGGAAAGAATATAGATTTGTCTCATTTTTGTATGCCACACTTTGAGAATGAACATTTATTAGGGAAGAATAGGGCTACTAAAGAGTCGTTGCATATGATTTCCCGAAGAAGCATATATTTTATTTTAGATTTGGAGAAGTCAAACATGAGTAAAATTTCATTCACAAATGTTATTTACTCTTTCACTGAAAGCAAGCTTCTACTTTTTGAAAATGAAAAATCATTTCCACTTTCATTATATCCTTTCAATTCCACTCCAAAGCAGTGTTGCTGAAGCACTTCTCTATTTTACATGTTGCCTTATCAACATCTTGTTTCTGCAATATTTTTCACACCAAAGGAACGCGGTGTATTTGATTGAACTTATCAATCCCTCATTCTGTTCCAGTGAAGATGAGGCAAGAGAATTTGTTACTGGTAGTTAAAGAGAGTTCAAGCTGCGGAGCTTGTTTCAAATGTGTAATCTCTGTGCTCAAGCAATCAATGATCCTGGTCACTGACCCTGTCTGAGTTGTAGCCTCTCAGACTGAGCAGATGGCTGATTCATAGATCCTAGGAAACCCCCATCTCCTTCCTCTTCTACCCATTCCTATCACACCAAACACACACACACACACACACACACACAAACACACATCATAAGACAGTTTTGGAATACGCCTTTCACTTGCATCTACTCATTAAACCTTGTCTGACTGTGTCTCATTAATATTGTCAAGGTAATACCAAGTAACTCTTCAATCTTGCTTCTATTTTGGGGATTGAAAAAATTGGGGATTACAAAAAATACACTACAAAAGAGAACATTAGGAGAACTAATCAAATGGGCTAAATCCAGGTTTGTGCTTGGGGGTCAAAGATGATCTTTGCAGTGAGAACATGTTATAGTCAGAAGCAGAGGGAAATTGATGGCCAAAACTGTTCTATACTTAATGGCCCACCAAAGATCAAAGATGCTAAAGCAAAGATCAAAGATGCTAAAGAATCTTTAAGAAATATAAAGGAAGTATACATCCAGGAAAAGAAAAAAATGAGGGAAGATGGAGAAATGGAGATGAGGTGCTTATGTAGGAATGATATAAATGTACATAGGACTTTTGACATGACTAGAACTGAGATTCTTTGTGTTGGGTGTGATGAGGTTTAGGGTGCGCTATCCAAAAATATGGCACCTTAACGTTTGAGAAACTGCAGAAGCAGGAATATCTCTCTTACCTTCCCCTCATCCTTCACTTCCAAGCAGATCATAAAACCCTCATTCAAAAGGTTGTCTCCATATACCTGGAAGAGAGGAACACATTTATCTCTGACGACACAAGGATACAAAGCAGATTTTTAACAAACAAGCCTTGCTATGTTTCTTATAGTATGTTATCATTAGGTCAAAATCCCTTTGTTCACTCATATTACCCCCTGACTGTCCACACTTCATTAAACCTAAGGATAAAAATACACAGGCTTTCCTGTTTCTTTGAATTTTCATTTTTGAAGGTTTCTTTGTCACGTAAAACTTATATTAAACCAATGTGTGTGCTTTTTTCATTATAGTCTGGTTTTTTTGCTATAAGGGCCTTGGCCATGAACCCAGAGATGGGTAAGGAAAAGAAGTCTTTTCTCCCCTACAGGTGTCACCTGTATGGAGTTTTGTGAAATCTGTCTGTCAGAAAAGCAGAGTAGCTTCCCTACAGTCAAAATGCACAAACAGAAATCATATCCTACAGTTCAATATCAATACATTACATGAACTCTCTCACAGTATCCTACAGAACTTTAAATATTCCTCTACTGTAGTAATTATTGAAGTATCTTTATATATATATATATTTTTTTTTCTCATTCATCTGACACTCACAGTCAGAATATGAGTTCCAGGGGAAAAAAAACTCTTACCTCTCTATCTGTTAATATCCAGTAGAGTACACAGCAGTTTGCTGAAGCGGCTTTTAGTGTAGCAAGCTGATCATCTGGAAGAGATTTACAAATCCTGAGCCAATAATAAAGCTAAGTGACCTGGATAGTGTAGGCCCAAGTTGGGGGAATGAAATTGCAAAGGGGTGAAGGGGCCTGAATGCACCATTTCACAAAATCCAGTTGCATTCATTCAGCAAATATTTTCTGTACATCAAATATTATTTTCACATAGATGAGGAGATAGCATTACTTGTGTTGTCTCATTGTCAGTAGTTGACACAATCTTCCTCTTTTACTGTGAGTTGCTGAAGCCAGGGACCCAACTTAACTTGGCACTCTGGGGAATCCTTTATGATGAGTATCACACCTTCTACGTTTCATTAGAATTTTTAAGACAGTGGTTTGTGGCAAAAAAAAAAAAAAAAAAAGAACAAATACACAAAACGTTGAAGTGAATCATTAACATTATTTTCAGCTGATTGTTGGGAATACAGTGAAATAATAGATTATGGCAGAACTTAAAAATGCTTAGTATTAAGATATTTCAAATACAGCAGGACATGGCCAGGCGCATTGGCTCAGTCCTGTAATCCCAGCACTTTGGGAGGCTGAGGCAGGTGGATCACGAGGTCAAGAGATCGAGACTATCCTGGCCAACACGGTGAAACCCTGTCTCTACTAAAAATACAAAAAAATAGCTGGGTGTGGTGGCATGCACCTGTAGTCCCAGCTACTTGGGAGGCTGAGGCAGGAGAATCGCTTGAACCCGGGAGACAGAGGTTGCAGTGAGCCGAGATCGGGCCACTGTACTCCAGCCTGGTCAACAGAGCGAGACTCCATCTCAAAACAAAAACCAACCAAAAAGAAAACAGTAGGACATATGCTTAAAATCATTAAGTTAAGCAAAACTGAAGTGTGGAATAATATTATATACTTTACTTAGGACTGATTTCATTCATCTATGTTTCTGAAAAGAACAGGAGGTTGGGAGTGACTGGCATGGCATAGTGCTGGTTTCAGTCTATAACACGTTATTGCCAGACTTTCCTTTGTTTGCACTTCCTTCTCTCACTATAGGCTATTTCTTAGCTCCTCTTCACAGGAAAGCTCCTCAAGAACTGTGTTTTCTTCCTTCCTCTGTAGTCACTGACATTGAAGCCTTGCCCTGCATAGAAGGCCAGTGACTCAGACCTGCCTACTTCCCACTATCTCCTCAACACACTCATAAAAGCGTTTGTTGCCACTCCACTGAAAAGGCTTCAACCAAGGTCAGCAGCTGTTTACATTTTGCCAGATATCTGCTACATTTAAGGCAGATAACCATTATCTCAGACCAGAATGTCAAAAGATGTACTTAAAGTGGGTTGCTGAGAAAAGGGCCTCCTACTCTCTTTTAGATGCTATAACTTTACAGATGGTAGAAGCATTGATATTACACATTTTGAATCTAAAGCAAGACCTCTGCCTCTATAGGCCAAACAGAGACTGAGGATGAAGTTAAGGAAGAAAGTATGTAATGATGTTTTATGTTAAAACTTTAAGATACTGGTGTATTAGGCAATTCTTGCCTTGCTATGAAGAAATATCTGAGATTGGGTAATTTATAAAGAGAAGAGGTTTAAGTGGCTCATGGTTCTGCAGGCTTTAGAGAAAGCATAGTGCCAGTATCCACTCAGCCTCTAGAGAGGCCCCAGGAAGCTTACAGTCATGGCAGAAAGCGAAGAGGAGCAGGCATGTCACATAGAAAAAGCAGAAGAAAGAGATAGTGGGAGCGGGAGGGGTCACAGGCTTTTAAATGACCAGATCTCACGTGAACTCAGAACCGGAGCTCACTTTCCACCAAATGGACGGTGCAAGTCATTCATGAGGGACCTGCTCCCACAATCCAATCACCTCCCATCTGTCCCCACCTCTAACACAGGGGATCACCATTCAATGTGAGATTTGGGTGGGGACAGATATCCAGACTATATCAACCTGTTTAGTCAAAAACCATAGAAAATAAAGACATAGGTAAGCAACAAGTTGGATATATATTTGTAATATAGAAGGCAGAGTGTTAATGTTTATATAAAGAGGTCTTAGGAAAAGGACTCCAAATCTCAATGGGAGGATAAACAAAAAATCCAACTGAACAATGATCACCCAAAAGAAATACAAATGGTACTTGTTCAGCTTCACAAATTTAAAAGTGGAAGATAAAATAACCGTAGGATGCCAAGATTAACATATTACATTGGCAGTGATTTCAAACATTTAAAAACTTCATGTAGTGTACGACTTTCTGTTTCTAAGTTATTTTTCTTAGGATAAGGGCCTCCAGTTTCATTCAGGTTGCTGCAGAAGACATGATTTTATTATTTTTTATAGCTGAGTAGTATTTCATGGTGTGTGTGTGTGTGTGTGTGTATGTGTGTGTTTGTGTGTGTGTAGAACATTTTCTTTATCTAATCATTCATTGATGGACACTTAGGTTGACTCCATATCACTGCTATTGTACACAGTGCTGTCATAAACATAAAACTGCAGATATCTTTTCAACATAATGATTTCTTTGCCTTTGGGTAGATATCCAGTAATATAATTGCAGGATCAAATGGTAGTTCCATTTTCAATTATTTCAGAAATCGCCATACTGTTTTGACAATTATTAACTAAAATAATCAATGAGCTAATTATTAATTAAAATAATCAATTAGAGTTTAAAAACTTCATGGAAAGAAGAGAGTGTAAAAAAGAGCTTTCTCTTTTGTTACAAGTGGGAATGAAAGATAGTAGAATCTCTGCACTTGGAAACTTGTAATATATTCCAAAAACTCTAAAGTTGTCTATTTTCTTTAATATCAAAATTTCATCTCTGGGAATGTATCCTAAATAGATTAATTCTAAATGTACGCAAATAGGAAATTGGAACGATGTTTGTGGTAGTACATTCTTTTTTTTTTTTTTTTTTTTTTTTTTTTTTTTTTTTGAGACGGAGTCTCGCTCTGTCGCCCAGGCCGGACTGCGGACTGCAGTGGCGCGATCTCGGCTCACTGCAAGCTCCGCTTCCCGGGTTCACGCCATTCTCCTGCCTCAGCCTCCCGAGTAGCTGGGACTACAGGCGCCCGCCACCGCGCCCGGCTAATTTTTTGTATTTTTAGTAGAGACGGGGTTTCACCTTGTTAGCCAGGATGGTCTCGATCTCCTGACCTCATGATCCACCCGCCTTGGCATCCCAAAGTGCTGGGATTACAGGCGTGAGCCACCGCGCCCGGCCGTGGTAGTACATTCTTATGCAGATATTTATTGGCCATAGAGACCCCTCTGAGTGCGGGCAGGACAGAAACCCCCAACTCAAGGCAGAGCCTGACCTATAGCACCTAGGATCCATCAGTCACTGGCACTGAAGCCTTGCCTGGCAGGTGATCAGAGCTTGCCTGCTTCCTGTCCACTGTCACCATGACCACTGTACATTCTATACCACAACTGCCACCATCTCCTCCAGTGCGAGAGAAAAGGAAACACTTAGCCCCACAATAAAGCCATCAGGTTTCTGTCTTCAGATCACAGCTAAATTCTGTGAGACTAACCAATGTTGCTTGAAATTACTGAGACTAAACTCCTCCTCACAGTTATTGCCAAAACTGTAAGACCATCCCATCATCCATACTCACCTCTTGGCCCTGTGATGCACTGAGCATCCTCATCCCCAGTGCACCCTCCCATGCCTCTTTCGTTTTCCAAATCTTTTCATCAAGACTTTGGAACATCCACACATAACTGGAAACTCATCCATAGCTCCAGCCTCTATACTTCAACTAAGACTGACTCTCTGTGAGTCTACACTGCTACTCCTGCATTTTATCCAGTGGAATTTGGCCTTTCTCCCACATCTTATGGATTCTGGATTGAAATGTGTAAGTTGGACAAGGTCCTTTCTTTCTGATCTAGACTCTCACCCCTACACCTGATAGAGAAACTCTCAGGCTTTGGTATGTGTCCTCTATACCCCCCCTCACTGTTCTCATCTTCTAGCCCTTGTAAACTACACCTCATTCACTGACATCTTTGTTCCTGGCTTACTGTATTCCTCTCTGCCTCAACTCCATCTGTAGCATCAACCTGAGCATTATGTCAATACCTTGGCCTCTCAGATACTCACCTCCTCTCTCATGCTTCCTCCTTTTCCCAAGTTGCCCACTGGAACTCTCCATGAGCTCTGGAATCAGCAGGTTCAGATCCTGATTTTGCCGTTTACTATATAGGTGATCTTGAGCTTATTTCTTAACTTCTCTGATTCCCAGTTTTTTCATCTGTAAAAGAGTGTACACGTGGTTCCTGCCTCACAAGAAAGCCACTGGTTCTTCTTAGTGCCTCAGCATGCATGGAGATGTTATTTAAAATATGATTTTTTATCTTATTTCCTTGCTAATAACTTAATAATTCTATAAAATAATTGTTATTATAGGCCTAAAATCATAGCATATCATTTTCTTCTCTTGAGATATAAAGTTTTCTATACCTTATCTAGAAGAATAACTTTAAAGTGGTATATTCTTAAATTATTGACAAAAACTTTTAAACCATATAGACAAAAGTTTACAAATAAAAACCTCTTCCACTAACTGCCCTCAAGACTTTGTTCCCCAACATAAAAGTAACATTTCAATAGTTTTCTTGTTTTGTAAATTCCTTTAAAAACATCACAGATTTTTTTGAAGAAAAATTACAGAATCAGAAGTAGCCAACTGTCAAACCATCCAGATTACAATGCACTAAGCACAAAGCCAAAAGACCGGGTAAATAGCAGCTGTTTATGGCACAGGTTCTGAATTTCAAGGACCATGTACATACTTGACAGCCAAGTGGATGCCAATCTGTTTCAGTTGTGCAGCTTAATAAACAATCCCAGCACAAATTTATTTGCTCAAGACAGTGTACATTGGTGATCTGGGCTGTGTTCAGCCAGGTAGATCTGCTGGTCTTACCTGGGATTCTTCATGTACTGGCAGCCATCAAGAAGCTTGACTGGTATGAGATGATCCAAGATGGCCTTGCTCACATGTGTGATGTTGGTGCTGGCCATGGGTGGGGCCTCTCACCCCACATCATTTCCCATCCTCAAGACTAGGCTTGGCTTCTACACATAGCAGGACCAGGGCAGCAAGGCAGTGAGAGCAGAAGCTACAAGGCTTCATGAGGCTGAGGCTCAGAAGTCACACCATATCTGGCCAGGCATGGTGGCTCACACTTGTAATCCCAGCACTTTGGGAGGCCGAGGTGGGTGGATCATGAGGTCAGGAGTTCGAGACCAGCCTGACCAACATGGTGAAACCCCGTCTCTACTGAAAATACAAAAATTATCCGGGCGTGGTGGTGCGTGCCTGTAGTCCCAGCTACAGGCTGAGGCAGAAGAATCACTTGAACCTGGGAGGCAGAGATTGCAGTGAGCCGAGATCGTGCCACTGCACTCCAGTCTGGACCAGAGTGAGACTCCATCTCAAAAAAAATAAAAAATCAAAAGAAGTCATACCATATCTGTAGAGTTCTATTCATCAAAACAAGTTACAAGTTCAGACCAAATTGAAGAGGGGGAAAAAAAGAAAACAACTCTGCTTCTGAATGGCAAAGGCAATAGAGTCACATTGCAAAGGAATGCACCAACGATGATGATAGAAATTGTTGTGGCCATTGTTGAAAACGATCTATTTCAGAGCCATTTTTTTGAGTAATCTTTTTAAAAGCATGAAATAAAATGCACAGAATTACAAAGGCAACCAATTTTATAGAGTAATTAAAAATTAGTTATCAAAATATTTCCAAAAACAAAACTTTTGATGTAGTGATACAAGCTCTTTATTTTAACCATTAAGGAAGCAATATCTAGCAGAGATCCTTATCACTACTGTAATTTCAAATTAATGTTGGTTTTTTTACATTGGTGACAAGCTCACAGATAGTGCTAACACTATTGCAATTTGTTTCCTTCAATTCTTAATTGAAGTAAATGCACATTTTTAGTTGAGACTAGAGAAAATAGACATATAAGTTTTCTTTCTTTTAGTGCATGGTCTCCTGATGTCTAAGGACCCAGGAGAAGTAGCCTGCTCATATGTGTGTGTGACACTCTGGGTACCTACACTAATAAATATAATCTGAGTATGCCTAACTCTTGCATGTGCAAGATCTTTACTCAAACCGTTCATTCCTACAGTCAACATATTGTTTGGACGTTCATGATGTGTCAAGCTCTGCTTATCTTATATCCAAACATGTGCGGATAGAGGCAAAGCCCTTGCTCTTGCACAGCACACATTTTAGCTAATGTTATCTTATAATGAATAGATGAATTGCTCCTGCTGTTATATCTATTTCAAGATCAGTTACAGCAAAGTTATTTTTTTGTATTGTAAACAGACGCCTTGCACATTACCTAGCACAAAGCTTGGTGCATCTGGCAGATGCTGGATATGTATTTCTTGCATGAACGAAGAGCTGCTTTTTCTACCATAGTAGTAATAATATTAAAATTTCAGAAAGCATTGTTGAGGCTCTTTTTTCTCTCCCTAAGTGGAATAATTCAAATAATTTTGGGGGGATGCCTTGATCAGCGGTAAAAACAAATGAGATAAAATATATTAAGTTCTAAAAGTGTATCTGGGCAGAGATATTTCCATGAATACCCGGTGATTAAGCATAATGTAAGCATACCCCTTAATGATGTTTATGTGTGAGAATATATCCAAGGAGATTATTTAAATGGGTGATGTGAGTACAGTGCTAGCCATGAAGCCAATTTTAAAATCACTGTTGAATGTAAGACTGCACCTGTTAAAACAGTAATTTTCTGTACGGCAGTTTCTATGTTTACCATAAAATAGCAGTAGCTTGATCTTTATAGAAGATGAAATTGGGTTTTCATCCTAAGAGGCAATAAATAGTAGCATGTTCATTCTCAGCAAGTCCCTCTATTGACCTCATTACTACACACTATTTCTAGGGAGTAATAATAGGAATATTTTTTATTAATCTTACTTTTTCTCTCATAAGAGAGGAAAGCACATTTTCCTGTGTACAGTCTCACCCACAATTCTGTACTGTAGTTTAAAGCTTGACAACTTTGCAAAATAACTGGAGAAAACATGTATGAGATTAAAGTAATCAGCCCCAGCTAACTCAAGTACACAGTCAATCTCATCATTTAATTCAGACTTGATTGTCCTCCCTATTGACCCTTTTCTTTCTTCCAATCTATTTGCCTTCTCTTAGATTTATTATCTTTTCTATCCCTCCTAGATTCCTTGGTTCATCACCCTATTTAAACCTTAATAGCACAATGCATGGAATTTTGCCACTCTCTTCCCACCACCCATATCTTAGAAATTTCTCAATTTTGATTTAATCCTGAATTTGAACACCTTCCTTCTTGCTCTTTTCTGAATAGTGAAATTGCATATGGATATATAGATATGGAGATAGACACAGATATAGAACAATCTAGAATATGACTTCTACACATATTTGAGCTCTAAGTTTTGCTGAAACTTCAGGGTCTCTTGGAAGACATTCCTTTTCCCATTCTCCCCAGCACATATTCTGAACTTTCATCATGTTCATCACACCCACTATGCTATACTTCCCCATGTTATACTCAGCATTTAAACATGCCTTCTAAGTCATCGAGATGATGAGAATCATTAATCAAGAACTCCTTTCATATCCCTGTCTTGGCCTTTTTAAGAATTTATCTTCTTTACCTCCACCCATTAGATATCCAAGGATGAAAATGACGTTGCTTCCCTCCAAAGCGAATCCTTTCACTTAGGGTATAGATTTACAAGATCTTCAGGCTTTTCTGGAAACTTCCTCCATTAATGATTCTCTTTTTTCTGTATCTTCAATCCCTTTCTCTCCATGGGAAGTTTTCCCTTAGCCCATAAGCAAAACGAGTCTCTCCTTTATTAGCGAACAAAAGCAAATACAAGACAAAATGAAAAACAATCAAGGAAACAAAAACAAAGCAAACATGAGAAGAAATAAAACCTTAGAGCACCTTGCTGTTCAGCAGCCTACTGTAAACTAACTCCTGCCCCATGTTCCCTGCTATTCCACTCAAATTACTCTCATTGATGTAACCCACAAATTCCCGATATCCAACTTCTGTCCCCCTTTCAGTCCTCATTTTTCTTAACTTGTCTGCTACATAGGATACTATTAACCACCCTAGTTCACCCAAGATCCCCTCCCACCTTGTTAGCTGACATGCTCATATTAGCCTCTTTGGCTTGTATACTACCACTCTCATCTCTCCTTCTCATTCTCTTGGCTGAGCTCCTCTTCCTCACTTATTAAATGTTGTTACACCCCGTTTGCTCCTGTTTTCTCTTCCCTTAAGTCCATGATCCCACTTAAGCCCATGGCTTCAACTCTTACCTAATACTGAGAGGTTCCAAATAAGTTTTTCCCATTCATACCTTTCTCTTGGGCTTCTCACAGCTTACCTTAAAGTGGATATCATACAGAAACCTCAAGGTCAACACATCCTAAATGGAATGTATTATCTTCCTTCTCATTCCAATACATACACCATGTTTCTAAATTGTCCTTCCACCTCATGTCTTCCTATCTTACCCATAAGCAAGGGAAGGCACATTAGAAATCAAAGCATCTCTTTCATTTCTTTGCCTCTGCTTCCATTCCCAATCAGCTCTCCCCCTGCTTGTTTCTAAAATGTATCTCATCTTTTTAACCACTTCTGGTATTGCTTTAATTCAAGCCTCATCATCTTTTGCTTCGATTAGACAGACATTAGGGCCCCAGTTCTGATAGGTGTAATTTCTGGTCTCATTATTGTTATTCTGTCACACAATATCCTGCACAGGAGTCCTTTTGAATTACTTGAATTTCAAGTTCTCATAAGCCTTTTCCCCTGTACATTAACTCGTGGCTCTCTCTGCCTGGAATCACCTTCCCTTTATACTAACTACTTGGTCCTTGGAGAATGACATATTTTTTTCTTCTAGGCTCACTTAAAACGTTACCTTTTTGCTAGAATTAGGTACTTAAGGTGTAAAAAATAATTTTTATACATGACTCTTATGGACCTCTCATCGATTTTATATTTGTTGCCTCTACAAAGCTGTGAACAAAAGGAGAGAAGTCATGTCTTATTAATCTTCTCTTCCCAATGCATAACCCAGTGCCTGGACCATATTAGACACTCACATTGTCTTGAATAAAGGAAGGAAGAAAAAACTAGAAGAAAATAATTTGGAGGCAGTACTGTAGCATATATGAACTCATTTGCTTGTTCCACAAATAATGTCAGCAACCAACATGGTCTCTAACACAGAAAGAAACTGAAGAGAAAGTAGGATTTTATAACAGATTTTCTATAGAGCATGTCCTTATGTTACCATAGTCCCCAAAGTCTAGATATAATCTGAGTTGGTGCAATCAATCTTTTAGGAACAAGATGATTAAAAGCTGAGTAAATAATTTTCAAATTGTTTCCTCAAGATATTGAGCACTGATACAGTTACTATGCTTACAATAAAGATCTTGCTTTCTATTACATTAAAAAGGAAATGAGGATTACCGCTCCATTTCAAAGATGAAGAAGTGAAGAATAAAACAATTAATGAATGCAGTTAGGTTTATGAGAAATTTAGAGCTCATAATTGTAACTCTACTTCTTTCCCTCTCACTCCAAAAAGCATTTCAAAATACAAGTGAGAGTGAGGTTAATCTTTCATTCAGTCAAATTTATAAATGCATAAACCATTCACAAATTTTAATACTTTACTATTAGTATTGTTTTGCTTGTGATATATCTTTCCACCGATTAAAATGGATATATAACTATGTGTCTTAACAGTAAAGTTGGAAACCGTTTCACTAGACTATTGACTGATTCACCAAACCTCATTCCTTCACTGGCAAATTTTGAAAACATCATCAAAATAATCTCTATGATTAGGTGCTCAGTTACATTTATATTCTTGCCATTGACAAATAGATATTTCTCAAAAGTGTATTTCTCAAAAAAAATTCACTTAATGCAGTGTGGTGTTTTGGATTGGATTCTGGAACAACAACAGAAAAGATACCAGTGAAAAATCTAAGGAAATCTGACCAAAGCCTGCAGGTCGGATAGTAGTATTATACCAATGTTAAATTTTTAGCTTTGATAAACGGTTACGTAAACAGTTAACATTAGCAAAAGCTTGATGAGGTGTATATGGGATCTCTCTGTACTATCCTTGCAACTCTTCTGCCAATCTAAAATTATCTCAAAAAAATTTCAATGTTACCTTATTCTTAAAGAGATGCCTTTATGAAATTATTATTACTGTGAAAAAGCAGGTTAACAGGTTCTCATACTCACTACATATTTTTCATCTGAAAATATGCACAAGGTACAAAGAAGAGCCTAGAGTAGTGGATTCCCAGACCAGCATCCCAGTTTTAAATAAGTAAATGTGAGTTTACAGTTGTTCCAATGTTACTACTTTGCCATTGCAGAAAAAGGGAATGAAGTGTCAGGAGATAAAATTGATTTTTACTCCTTCTGCTAGATAATAATGCCTAACATCTATCTTACTTTTAAGATCAAGGCCAGGAACTAAGACACAGCCTGGAGGGAAAAAAATCAAAATCAATATTATGCATTATATCCTAGCCACATATGATTCATGCTGAAATTAATACTATAGATACAGGTCAGAGCTAGTAATACCAATTTAGAATTACTTTTCAAGATAAGAGTTTGTGATCATTTCTATGTGCCCAGGTTACATTTCTCCCTTCCTGAGAGAGCTCTGCTACGTTAAAAAGGGTGTGTGTGTGTTTATGTGTGTGTGTGTGTACAGCAAGGGGTGGGCAATGTGCTAGAGATTAGGCCAGAAATGTGAAAAATGGTTTTGTTTCATTACTACCTTCTTATAACTAACTATGTACAGATAGTGACGGTCAGAATCTGAAGGACGCATCAGCAGCATTAGGTATTCATGCATGCATTAAACACCTACCGTGTATTTAGAGGCTGATATTAAAAGGAAAGAAATCTAATATTGCTGAATACAAAAACGTACAGAGTGGTAGACTGAAATAATGATCTATTTTTCTTTCCTTTATATAACACATAATTCTCTCTGACATTAGTAGGGTTTAAGAATGAATAGGGAATGAAAAATGTACTTTATTTCCATCTATGCCCTATCCTTAGCAGAATCTGCCCAGTTTAAATGCAGTTACATGATGCAGAGCCTTTAATGTGGACATTCAGGCATCAGGAAATATGAGGAATGCTTGTGTCAGGGCCTACATCTCAAAATCATGTGAGTCTTCTCAGTATGCTTGCATTTTAGATGGGCAATAATACAAGGATAATGTTCAGAGTGAGGTTGAGAATTTTTGAACACTGAATGTGCTTTTTATATTCAAAGAAAAAAAATGAAACCCATTCTAGGTATCACAAGTTTGTAAACTTCCAGAAATATGACTGCTTACTTTGAAAAGATTATAATGTAAACCTAAAATTCTTAATAGCAAGTGCTAACCTCACTGAGTACTTATTCCATGAGGGGCACGGTGCGAAGGACTCAGGTGACTTTCACCAATAATATTATGCTGTAAAGGCCATTATTAGCATGTCCATTAGTTATTTGGTGTCTTAGTGAGGTAAAGTAAATAACCTAATGTTAAACAACTAGTAAGTGGACCTGTAATTCAAACTAGGGCAGTTTGAGCCCAGAGTCCACACTTATAATCTTCCCCTTGCAATAATGGTCCTTCTTGGTTCAATAATTAAATTACAACCCAAGAATTTCTTTGGCTCTAAAATAATAAACAAAATTGTTCTCACTACTTGAATAGAGCTTTTTTATTTCCTACAAAAGACACATTTTTACATTGTCTTTTTTCTGGTTATTTGACTTCCCTTAATAAAGAAGTTTTTATTTTATAGTATTTAAACAAAAAGTAAATGTTTCTGTTGCAAAGGGGGAAAGAGACAGAAGAAAATTTGTGTTGCAATTGGAAGAAGCTTCAGAGATGTATGGCACAAAAAGAGACAAAGGCATGCAGATTACATTGGCTGGTCTGCGTAATTTGGTGAGGCCTAAAAATGCTGTGTCCATATTGCAAATATTACACGTAGAGGACAGGACAAAATAGCCCTTGGGGCCATATAGAACAATGGGTATCTCATGAGGCAAAGCTCATGATGTGAGGAAGCCCCACAAAAAGAGAGGAAGTGTGAACAAGAATGCCTGCCTGCCAACACTAGGATTGGCCCTGGCATACACATAGTAATGTTCAAAAATGCAAAAAAAAAAGTCCCATGTCCTGAAGCTGGGCATGGATACCTTCTCCCACTACATGCAAAATTAGGATCTTCTATATGGTCAGCGGTGCCTCCGGTGAGGAGCTGGTGTGAACTTTCGGGCATTCATTGACTGTACACCATGATGGCGGTGAGATGAGTCCCACTCTGCACTGTCCCTGACCACGAGGACGGGGCCAAGCTGCCTTCCAAGAAGGAAGAGATTTTAATCAGAAAGTAATCAAAGAAATCTCAGAAGAAATGTATGAAAGGTAAAAAGAAAAAAAAATGCCTTCTGGAGAAGCACTTCTGGCAAGGGCAAGCATCTGTGAGCATCGCCTCCAGGGCTGGCCATTATGGTCCAGGTGATGACTATGTGTGACAGAGGCTGAAAAAACCTTATGAACCCTCTTCATTCCCACCCTAGCTCATGTGATACAGGTGCATCCTATTCAATACATATTAAATATAATTGTAAGACTGTTCTGAATCCCTGAAAAATGATTGCAGAAAGTTGAAGTTGTTGCCACTTAATTTACAAAACCTTTTTCTTCCACAAACGAAATGTAGTCAGCTGGTGCTTTGGACTAAATGTTTGAATCTTTCCTAAAATTCATATTTTAAAACCCTAAGCCCTAGTGTGATGGTACTTGGAGGTGGGGCTTTTGGGAGGTATATAGGTCATGAGAGTGGAACCCTCAAGCTTGGATTAGTGCCCTTATAAGAAGGGACAGGAGAGGGTTTGCTTCCTCTCTTTGTTCTCCACCATATGAGGACACAAAAAGAAGACAGTTGTCTGCCCACCAGGAAGCAGACCCTCACCAGACACAGGAGCTGCCAGCACTTTGCTTTTGGACCTCATAGCCTCCAGAACTGTGAAACTAGATTGTTGTTTAAGCCACACAGTTTATGGTATTCAGTTATAATAACCCAAACAGAGGAAGACAGCTGGCAACTGGAACTATCGTTGTCCACATTTCCAGTGTGGTCATAGCTATCATTTTGAATGCTATTAATAATACCCCTTAGCATGCTTAAAGAAAACAAGGGAAAATAGGTCCCTTCCCCTTTAAGGTAAGATTCCTTCCTCGAAAATGTTTTTAGTTCTATCATATGCTATGTGACATTTTACATGACAAGAACCTCAGAAAGGGGCTGAAGAAAAGGGAAAATGTACCCTCTATAGGCAAGCAATCAGTTGAGAATGATTCTAATCCTACATTGACCCACTCTGTCTCAATGCTGTTATTTATAGCAGCATTTGGTTGAAATCCCCCCGGGCTGCTTCTCTTTCTGTGAAGCCGGTAGTGAGAAGTGCTTTATAAAGAGGCTCCCAAGCACTTCAGCTCTGGCTGGGAGATCTGCACAAACAGCTCCAACTGGTGTCAAAGCCCCCATCTGGGTACACAGCGTGGATACATCATCTGCTTATCTGCCCAGTCCGGATGTGAATGTGTAGAATTCGGTACACACGTGTCAGCTTTTCCTCTCTGAGAGGAAAGAGAGCCCATGGGGAGAGATAGAGAGAGAAAGTAAGTGTGTATGTGTGTGTGTGTGTGTGTGTGTGTGTGTTTGTGTGTGTGTGTGTGTGTAGTGTGACTGTGTGTGTATGTTTGTAGGAACTGATGAAACAAAATCCTAGTCAATTTTTCTGACTTTTTTCAATTGCATCCGAACTGTCTTCCTTTTTCTTATCATGTTATTCTGATGACGAACCTATCACTTCTTTAATATGGTGCTGTGCTGTTGCTTGTATGATTTCAATAATGGCCAAGTGGAGCACATATTGCACGTAAATTCCACTTCCATGAAATCGGATCCCAAGATTATGAAATAAAACGAAAAATGGCTTTCAGAATCACACACGAGGGTTCAAATCCTTGGCCCTACTTGTTCTCAATCATTCAACGACACTTACTGAGCCTACCACGTGTTGGGCACCGAAAAGACGTGGCTGTGCAAGCCTCACCCACTTCTGTTGTGATGGGGAAAACAGACAACACCTAAGTAAGAAACCTGAGGTGGGAGGCGGAGTCAAGTGCGATGGAGAAAAGTAAACTAGAGCAAAGGGTGACCCGAGAAGGCTGGCTGAGAAGATGATACTTAAGCAGAGACTGGAAGAGAAGAAAGAGCTCTGAGGAAACACAGAGCTCTGAGGAAAGGCTGTGCTGGGCAGAGCAAATGTTAAGGTTAAGGTACAGAAATGGAAGTTCCTGCTGGACAGGAGGAAAGAGGTCTGTATGGATGAGTAGACAGAGCAAGAAGGGTGCACAGGAGATTAGGTCACCTAAGTAAGTCACCTCCCTGGAGCTTTAGTTTTCAACTAAATAAAGAAAAAACAATAGTGTATAATTTCAGGGTGAGGGGGTGCTAGTGTAAAGGCTAGAGAAAAACTTTCCAAGAAGCTTATTACATGTGTATTAATCCATTCTCACATTGAACGTGGTAATATAAAGAACTACTTGATACTGGGTAATTTATGAAGAAAAGAGGTTAAGGGCAGGGCGCAGTGGCTCTTGCCTGTAATCCCAGCACTTTGGGAGGCATAGGTGGGTGGATCACCTGAAGTAAGGAGTTCAAGTCCAGCCTGACCAATATGGCAAAACCCTGTCTCTACTAAAAGTACAAAAATTAGCCAGGCGTGGTGGTGCGTGTCTGTAGTCCCAGCTACTTGGGAGCCTGAGATAGCAGAATCGCTTGAACCTGGGAAGCAGAGGTTGCAGTGACCCAAGATCATGCTACTATACTTCAGCCCGGGTGAGAGAGCAAGACTCTGTCTCAAAACAAACAAACAAACAAAAAACAAAGAAAAAAGAGAAAAAAAAGAGGTCTCATTGACTCACAGTTCCATAGGCTAACAGGAAGAATGTTGGGAGGCCTCAGGAAACCTATAATCATGACAGAAGTTGAAGGGGAAGCAAGCGTATCTTTCCATGGCAGAGCAGGAGAGAGAGGAGAGTGAGGCAGGAAATGACATACATTTTTAAACCATCAGATCTTATGAGAACTCTATCATGAGACAGCACTAGGGGAATGGTGCTAAACCATTAGAAACCACCCCCATGATCCATCACCTCCCACCAGGCCCCACCTTCAACGTGTCAGGATTACAACGCCACATGAGATCCAGGTAGAGACACAGAGCCAAACCATATCAACATGCCTGGATCGAAATTGGTGAGCTTGTTATTCTCCATGTTCACCCCTTTCTCTCCAAGCTTCTGTGCCCAGCTTTATGCCCTGGGAACCTGACCACAATGAGTTACCCCTTCCAGGCTCCCCTGCAGGGCTGATCAGAGGCTGGGAACAGAGAGGTTGGGGTATTTCCTTCCCACTTCCTTTCCACTTCCTTCCTGCATTGGTGTCGTATTTCTGGCAGCAGCTACATTTTCCCAAGAATACAGCCTCCTACAAGAGGTACTTCCTAGATACAGTTCTCCTGGGGTCTTTGGATGCTGTTTTCTTCCCCGGTCATTCAACTTTATTGAGGGAAATTGCTTTCCGCAGTTGCTTGTCTGTGGGTGCAGCACCATCCCTCTGACCACACCTCTGTAGGTGGTACTGTCATTAAAGTTTCTTAATTTGAACAATTTGGCAAAAATTCTAACGTATGTGTTACCTTACATATATTTTTGTAATGAGAACACTTAAAGTCTACTCTCAGTGATTTTCAAGCATGAAATAGTTGTTAGGAACTGTACCACATTGTACAACAGATCTGTCTGTCTTTCTTACAAGTATACCCATGACTTCAGTTAGGACCCACCAGGATAATCCAAGATTATTTTTTTTTCCTCTGGAAATCCTTAACTTAATCACATCTCATATAAGGTGATATTCTCAGGTTCCAAGGACTAGCATACAGACTTGTTGGTCCAAGGCTTCACCATGTAACCCACTACACATGCATGCTTTGTTGTCCTATTTTTGATGGCTCTAATATTGCACAACCTGTCTCTCATTTTCTAACTTTGGCCTTTGTATCTTTCCTTACATTTTAATCCTTTTTTTTCCCATATGAATCAAGGTGGTAGAATGCCTTTGTCCATTTCTTCTTCAATTTCTTCGAAGCTGAGCAGCCCCTCCACGTAACCCAAAGAAGAACACTTTTGCTTTGTCCAAATTAGTTTTGACCAGCAATATAAAAGTTACTCAAGCCATTTGCAGAAGTTTCTGGGGGAAAAAAAGAGCCCGGAGGAAAATTGGTTCAATTTATCTCCTGAAGAGTTAAACACATGGAGGTGGAGGGACTCTGTGACATAAGTTTACGTTGTTACCTATGAAAAGCAACATATGTTCAACTCACCTTAACAATATTTAATCTTGATCTTTGGTGTGGGCCATATTCATGTAATGTCCTGGAGATTTATTTATTAGAACATAAATTTCATCATAATGAAGTGTCACATATTTCATCATCATGAAGAAAGAATTATCCTCAATGTCTGTACTTCTATTTGAAGTACCTATCTAATAGTCCTCATTTATTTTCAGCCATACACTGAGAAACCCAGGTGCTATGGTAGGGTGAAAAGAGTAAAATCTGTTTTTTAGCATTTCTCCTGAAAATAAGGGAAGCAGTTTAGCTATGAACTTTTCTGGTCCTCAGTTCTCTGTTCAATTAAATGATAAAGAGAGTAGAATCTATCTATCCTTCTCTCAAATAAAAAGCTTTTATTCCATTCTGACCTCAATTTGAATGCTTTTTCTCAAACTGACAAATGGTGCTTTTCTTGATAAAAATGCTTTTATAAAAGCTCAAAATATTAAATTGTACTGATATTGATATTATTAAAAAGCACTACTATCTTCAGGTTAGCATTTGTAAATTACTTTAGCTCTTTTTTAAGAATTCAAAAGAGGCTAAGAAGGTTGGTTTCCTCTCATTTGGCTTCATTTAGATACCCTACTGTGCAAGGCAGGTGTAAAGAGGCACCACAAAAAGGAAGAGAAAATAAGCCAGATGATCAATCAGATTACTGAAGTGTTTGGTTGTTTTGTTTTGTTTTGTTTTTCCTTTAACCTGAAAATCTAGGTGCTAATTACTCTGCAACCTTCCTACTGGTTGCACAGGATACTGGGTAAGAAAAGCTTAATACTGTGAGTTCTTTAAAAAAAAAAAAAAGTTATCCATTTGAAAATCTTTTCATGAATTCAGTCTCAGCTCCTCATTGAATGTTTTTAAATCTTTCTAATACGGCATCATTTTCTACAAATGCTTTTGAATATATTTTCAACTTTCTTATTTCAGTTTTATTGGTTCATCTGTTCCCAGTGCCACCTGTTGCAAGAACTGACTGTTACTTCTTCAGTACCCAGAAAATTGTGTTCCTCGTGTAATTTTTAAAAATAGCATTTCTACTAAGTGTTAAACCTTTAGTCAGACTGCTGGTAGCCTTCTGGGTTGAAGGCACTGTCACGGCAATTTCTCTACAGAAAACAGGTTTTAAACTGAGAAATTCTGAGGTCTAATCTTGATTTGACTTTTGCTGCAGAAGTAGCAGCCCTAGGGAAGTTATTTCTTCCCTGCATTCCTCTTTTAAAACTGCAATGATTATATCCACCTCTTTCACACATAAAGTTATTAATAAATCGATTCAGTTATGGATCTACTCAGGTCAGGAAAATGTAGAAGGGATAACATTTATTTTAAATTGTTATTTTACTTGGCCAACTAGGACTGGCAGATTTTCTCCTTGGGCTGCCAGAGGAGATCTGGGCAGGGGTAGCTGAGCCCTTAAACTGTAGTTCAAACACCCCAAGAGGCCTGCCTCCCACTCTGGAGAGGCAGCTGTGGCCCTTGGACCAGCCCAAGTGTGCTTATTTAAGATGATCGCTGTTCATTTTCACATGGCTGACAAAATATTTCCAGAGTCAGGAAAGACATGTGCATTCCTGAGTTGAGTGTATAGGAAATAGAAAAGCTAGTATTAAGGTGGGATTTTTGTGTCATACTTTAAATGTCTTAAATTTTCTATGGTGAATTACTGACTTTTCTTATGCAATATTTCTTCTTAGCAGTGGCCTCTGGTTGCCTGTAACATTTCCAGTACCAAGAAAAGTGTCTGAAACATAGAAGGCCATAAAAAAATTTCATTCATTTATTACTTATTCATTGACTATGTACCATGCAACAAAGACATTCCTAGGCCCTGGGATACAACAGTCAAACAAAAAGTAAAATAAATAAACAAAAAGACCAGAATCTTTATCCCTGCCTGTGTGCGGCTTACATTCCAGTTAGCAGGAGTGTGGGGGAGATATCAAAAGCTTCTTTTGCTTAATTGGAGGCATTCTGCTTGACCTCCAGATTTCCAGCTCTTCCTTGTCAACTTAGGCAAGTTACTCAACCATCCTGTGTCTGTAAAATAGAGCTAATAATAGTTTTTAACTCATTGCCTGTGGTAGGATTAAATGAGTAAATACACACATAACTCACATAAAATAATAGCATGGAGAGTACAGCCTGCCACATACTGAGAGCTCGGAAGTTTCCATTACTATTGTTATTTTTTTATTTTGAGCTTATCATACATCTGATTTCCTTGTATTGCCTATAAGGTCTTCTATCTGCCTTTCTACCAGCTGTGTATACATATTGTGTCAAATATTATAAACTTTGCTTGGAAATCAGTAAAGACAAAAATGTAAAACTGTGTGAATATACAACGTTCCTGCTCTCATAAAGTTAATATTCTAATGGCGGACCACAGATAATAAACAAATAGATACACGGCAAGTAATAGTGTTGTAAGGAAAAATAAATTAGGGTACACCACATAGAAGGTCTTACTTCAGACTGATTAATCAAGAAGACCTCTCCAAGAAGAAGGAACTTAAGAGACCTGAAAGAAATGAAGGAGTTAGTCCCATGTGCATTTGGGAGCACAGAAGACTTAGAAAAGGGAACAGTAAATTGAAAGACCTCATAGACATGAAAAAAAAACTGAGATTGTTGGACAAGAGCAAGGAGTCTATTTTCCCAAAGAAAACAAGATCTATTTAGGGAAATTGTAGTGTGAAACTAATTTCTCAAAAGCATTTGTATACTAAGATTAGTGTGTACCTCACCAGTAACTGTATAATAAATACTTTTTAGTTATTGCTAAAGTATAATTTGCCAAAAGGTAAAATCATGGCTCCCATGCAAATGCAAAATAAACCCTTATTAAAGATGTTATTCAACTATTTAATTAGTGACAGAACGAGTAAGATGTTAAGATCGGTTTAAAGAATATTTGTGGATCCAAGTATTTATAGTCAATTTAATGAGTCGAAATTAGAATAAGATTGCTGGATTAGATGCAGAATTGATTATTATCCTAATTGTCCTATATTGTATAGGACAGTAAGCCATAACTCTGGGATTATTTTTCCTACCAGACAAAAATTTTTTGCACCTCTGCTAGACAAAAATCTGCATGCCAACATGTAACCTCACTAAACTGAGATCTTTAATCAATAGTAAACAAGACCTTGGGTAGATCCATTCTCCCACAAAGCACTGAAACAATATGCCACCCACTTTTTGCTTTACTTTAAAGTTTTGAATATTTTTTCTTAACACAATTTACCTTTTACATAAATGCTTTTAAAAGAACAATGAGGTATGTGTGCTTGCTTAGTACGTGTTAGTTTCTGTCATCTATACAGATCCAGGAAGTTGAATATCCATATTCATGAAACATAGACCAGTCGAGTTCTCTTTCTTCCAAAATAATCCTTCTGTTACAATAATCCCTTTTGTTTTGCTTAAACAAGTTTGAGTCGGGATTGTTTCTTTTGCTATAAGCACAGTCCTCACTGGTAGCCAATCAGAGCTCAGGGGAACAGCTATTTGAGTTCATTATGTTCCAGTATTTGACCCACTTCAACTGACTGTTCTTATTAGAAACAATTCACTTCTTATTCCAAAGTCATTACTTTGACCAGTAGCTCTTAATGCATAGAGCTGATTAATTCCAGATAGATCCATTCAAACCATGGAGATCCAGTTTCTCACTAAAGAATGTGTATAGGAATTTGTGTAAATTAGGTAAACAGAATGTAAGTGAGCTAAGCTTTTGTATATGTCTTAATTCTCAAGATGTAAGAACACTTCCCTTTCCAGATGGTAACATCCGCATTTCTGTTGTTTCCTGGACTTGAATGCAAACATGAGGCATGAGAAGCACTTCTCAACTTTTACTTGTCGGAGGTCAGAAAGGGTCCGGAGTCTTCAGTGTCTTTTATCATATCACTGAGAACACTTCCTTTCTCCCTGTCTCCTTTTACTTCATCAGATGCCTGCCTCATAGCTCATTGTCCAGATATCAAAGAGATGAGGATCATAAGGAAACAATTATCCTCTCATGACAAGGGGGTAGTTGGAAAGCTTTACGCTATTAAAAATGAGGGTATTAACAATTACTCAGTATGAATTGAGATGCCCGTTTATTAATTTCTATCCACCACAAAGACCTATAAGCTTCTGCAAACTACCTAAATAGAGGATAATAAGCAGTTTTAGCAACACAATAAATTCTATCACCAGAGTAACTCTAACTCCTCTCTTTAGACCCAGCTACTCTGCAAAACCAAGGGCTAGATTTTCACCCTGCAGCAAAATAGCTGCTCCTGAGGCAACATTATAAACCAGACCTTATTCCTTTGACCAGGCTGCTCTGTGAAGTCGTTTGCAATCTATTTTCTTTTAATTGGAAACAAATTAGTACTGTCTGGAGAGAACAATATGAACATTGAACCACAACCTTTTGGTAGAGCACACCACAAACGGTATTTTTTTTTCACACACCCATTTTAGCTACAATATTTTAGCCTCCTATTATGTTATGTTGCCTCTAGGGTTCCACTATAAGCAAGCCATTAATGCTAATGTGAAAATCTTGCAATGTTTGGAATAAATTAAGCACATGTTGTACCCTAATTATTTTACAGGTATTACCGCTTCGCTGGCTAGGTTGTGAGCAGGAAGCTAACTGCAAACTTTTTTAATCATCTGGTAGACATTAAGCTGAAAGGATCTCTGTCTATGCCCATTGCTTAAACTCTGTTTAGTAAACAGACTGCTCACAGCTAACTGCTCTGACTTCTCTTTGAAATGAGTATATAAATAAAAGGCCACCACTGCTGTGTATATTTTCATTTGTGAAGCTTCTAACCACAGGGTTGTGCCATCATTAAATGAGTGGGCTGTGGAAGTGACTGTGCTGAAGATAAATGTCAATTAGTGCTCCTGGGAGAAAAGACGAGTCAACTACCTACTGTCTTAAAGAACATGCAGCTCAAAGGTTATTTTTAAAAGGAAGTTAGGGTTAGATACGAGATCAAAGCCTTCATTTACTTAAAGCTGAGATCTTTGAGGGATGGACCTCAAATCCATTAGACTTATAAGACTAGGTCCTTGTTAGATTTTCAGATTCCTAAATGTAATCCTAGTCTCAGCCTTCTGAATCAGAATTACTTGATGTCAGAACCCAGATTCTGAGTTATTAAGCACCCCTGGGAAATTCTGCTTCACACTAAGCTTTAAAATCACTGGGAGATTTCTCTTTCTCACTGCATTCTTCCTAGATGCACTCCTCTTGGTTATACTTCACTGTCTAGACTTGTCCCTGGAACAAAGTAAAATCTGTATGGTCACATTTAAGACATATGTATTGTCTTTGTCCATTTTATGCCACTATAATATAATGCTACAGACTGGATAATTAATAATGAACATAAATTTATTTGACTCACAGTTCTGAATGTTGGGAAATCCAACAGCATGGTGCCCCAGCGTCTGGTGGATTATTCATATTGTATTCATCATTCCATGGCTAAAGGTGGAAGGAAAAGAGAGGGCAAGAGGGCGTCAAACTCACTTTTATGACAAACCCACTCCAATAATAATGACATTAACCCATTCATGAGGGCAGAGTCCTCATGACCTAATCACTTCAAAGTTCCCACATCTCAACACTGTTGCACTGTGGATTAAGTTGCTAACATATGAACTTTGGGGGACACATTCAAACCACAGCAATTACCTCTAAAAGAAATGATGGTTAAGCCAGTTATGTCCGTTAAGCCATAGAGTTATCAAAGCCAAGTTGGTAAATCATTTAGAAAGAATGTAAAGATTAACCTCACTTATTGGAGAGTAGTCATATTGCCCTACCCAGTAGTTTGAGTGATTAACATCTTTGGGGGATGTTGGATACAAGAATAGTAATACTTGTGTGATTACAACTTGCTTTGGAAGAATATATCAGAATTCTAAAAGCATTATTTGAGTCAGTCTGTGGCATGGTTCAACTTCTTGTCCAGGCCTTGGGAGCCCAGAAGAGAAGAATTCCATGACTGTCAGGAAGTATGCTACACACTAGCTATTGGTTTTCATCTTTAGAAGCTGTACACCAGGAGCTAAGCATCACTACCTTTAGGATCTAAAAATTCTAAAAAACTCAATTCCTCTTCATTTTGGCCCAAATTTAAATTTGTGTTGCATCTTTATTATTACAGGCATGACTAGCTCAATACAACTTGCTTAGTTTGTGTGTTAAATTCTCCAAAAAGCACATGTTTTAAGAGATGTTGTTTAAATGACGACAATAGTTTTTGTTTTATTTTAAAGTCAAAGCATGTGAAACAAATGCAATATATTCTTGAATTATGACAGCGGCGGAATTATTTCCCAATTATCACCTATGGTGCGTTTCTTAAAGATTACACATTGCTTGCATTATCTTGCATGATATTTATTACCTAGAAGGACATTTTATTAGAAGTTTTTGTGATTTTGAACAATACTCTCTTTTGATTTTCTTTCTTTCTTTTTTTTTTTCTTTTGAGATGAAGTGTCTCTCTTGTCCCCCAGGCTGGAGTGCAATGGCACGATCTCGGCTCACTGCAACCCCCGCCTCCTGGGTTCAAGCGATTCTCCTGCATCGGTCCCCCAAGTAGCTGGGATTACAGGCACCTGACACCACTCCCGGATAATTTTTGTATTTTTAGTAGAGATGGGGTTTCACCATGTTGGCCAGGATGATCTAGAACTCCTGACCTCATGTGATTCACCAGCCTCAGCTTCCCAAAGTGCTGGGATTACAGGCGTGAGCCACCGCGCCCGGCCTCTTTTGATTTTCTGAAGTATTTTCAGATATAAATAAATTGCTCATTTATTTAGGAATATTAGCTCAACTGGTAGAGTTGCTGATATTGGTTGAAATTTAAGTTTTAAATGCCTAGAAATGTAATATGACAGTGTAATTTTTAGGATATGCATAAAACATTAAAAAATCCATGACTTATGAGGTAGACAAAGAACCTCATTGAAGGAACCAATTTCTATTTGTGTAAGGTCTAATAAAGCAAAAGAATAAAGGGCGTAACCGGTTTCTTTTAGAACATAGGGTAAGAAGTTCTATTTAATGTTTCTTTAATTACTTTTGTAGAACAGTTACTAAAAGAAAACCTTTTACGAAAGATAAGGATGCTTTTGTTTCTGCTTTCTACAAACAGAAGGGTGTGGACTCCTGTTTGGTGAAGTTGACTTTGGAACTCCTTCTTGGCAATAACTGAAAAGACTCTAATCCTCACCAATATGTTTCATATAAACCATGACTATGACTACTAAATAAACAACATCTGTCATCACAGAGATCGTAGAGGTACCTGTGAGTTCTCTAATCTCAACTTCAGCCTAAATTAGGGAATGCTACATGGGTAAAGGAGAGAGACTTGAACCAGTATTGTCACGTGATTGTCATGAATTAAGCTCACCAAGAGATTATCATCAAGAATCAAAGAGTTCCATCTCTTTCTGAGAACATAAAAATAAGGTATTTGGATGATGAGATTTTATATATATTTATGAAAATAAGATCATCTTAAAAATAATTTGGTCCTAATGATCATTTTATTTTGACAGAAATTCCCTGTTAAAGTTAAAGCATTCTCCTGGAAAAGCAGATCCTTGTCATTAACAAGTTTTGAAAATATGAAGAAAGATGAACTACATATAAAATGAGAATGATAGGAAATGCAATTTATTCTTATAGCCACTAAATCGGCTTCACCATGCAGAAAGATTGTGGTGCCACAGGGGAAAAAAAGAAAAAAGACTCTCAAAAGAAATTACATACTAAATTTCTATGAATCAGCTTGGTCTTATAATTATGAGTGGGCAGAACTTTCTTTTTTATAAACAGTTTTTCATTGATGCATTGTTCCAATTCAAAAAGAGAAGAGGAAAGAAACCATCAGGAAGTAAAGCTACTACACTATTACCCTGAAATTTATTTGTGTTCTTCCTGTGTTGTGATCTCTCTTTACTTGAGGGAGCTCAGGGCTCCAAGTTTCTCGACCCCTGCCTGGTCAGCCTCCGGAAGGGGAGCTGGCTTTTGTAATGTCGGTGCCAGGTTTTAAAACACTATTTTCTTTCCCACAAGTTGAATAACTACTGGCTCATTGAGTCATATGCCCTCCAGAAGGCAAACAGGACTTACAAAAGATCTCTCGTTTTCTTTAGTGATGATACATCCTACCTTCCCCAGCTAAGTCAGGTCTAGTCCATGAGCAGAAACTCTTAGAGCCAGGCTTGCATAGCCACACACACACTTAGCTCACAAATGTCTTTTCTTCCTAACCCTTGCTTTTTGACTCTCAGTTTATTGTTGCTGTCAAAAGGAGATAAGCATATGTTTGTCAAGATTACTTCCTGAAGAAAGATCCATTTCGGACTCATTAAATAAATCGTGACTTTGACAAAATAGAAGACAAAGATTATTTTTGTTTCTTCCTTCCTCCAGAAAGTGGTTTGCATTAGCAGAACAGTTAATAAAACTGCTTTGGTCAAGGTTGTATGTGATTTTTTAAGTCTAATGTGATTTATATTATAAAGCCACTTCTGTATTACACTTCCTCCCAGTGTCCAGACTTCTCATTATCATTGAATCACAGTACAAACTCCTAACAAGTCTGAAATTTAATTAGAAACACGACTGTTTCTTTATGAGCTCTGGGGTCCAGCTCTTTTCTTTTGTATCTGATAGCAGCTGCTATTAGAGTTTAGCCTCTTTGAATTATTTCCCAAGTATTTCAATTGTTGGCCCCTAAGTCTGAAACCATCTACCAAAAACATTTTAAGAATCTACTATGCACCTAGAAATGTGTTAGCTGATGAGAGGAAAAGAATATAAAAGGTTTATTAATTGACCTTGAGAATATTAAATTAAATAGATAAAGCTATTGAGATATTGAATGGGTGGACAATGAGGATTTCCTCTAAATATAACAGGATCTTGAGACTTTATAAATCCTTTCTGGCTGGGGTAATAAAACATGGATTCACAAAGGCTATGGGATTAAGCTGAATTATGAGATACTAGGAATTGAGTGCATGAAATTATAGAGGACAGAAAACAGGATATGAGCCAAGGCCTAACTAAATAAAGTGTACATTAGAGACAGCACCACCGTCCTATGTAAAAGTCTGCTTGCCTGCAAAGGAAGGTTATAGTGGGGAAGATTAAGAAATCAGTTTGAATAGGCATTGTTGGTATAGTTGATGGTGACTTTAAAAGCCAGTCAAAATATTTTAGCTCAATGCCTTTCTGACAGTTTGGTCTTGTAGGAAGCAGATGTCAAGACAGAAAAATATAAGAAATTTATTGAGACCAATGCTTCAGAAAGATAAAGAGGAAGAGAGAGCAGGAGTAGCAAAGAAGACCTTTCAACCATTATCGGCCCGACACCTGTGAAAAAAGAGGGGGAAGGAAGGAGGGCTGGTTAGAAAGAGTCTCTGATGCAGTGCACCTCTGAGAAAATCCCAGGTAGTGTGGGGGAGCTCCAGCACAAAGATTGCTGGTGAAGGGGTCCACCTTACACAGAAATGGCCAGGCTAATGCTGTCACTATGCACAGTCGATGTCTGAGAGCGGCCGAGGAAGGGCATAGCCTCAGCCTCAATAGCTAGGGCAAATCCTGAAGATACCTGCAACTGCAGGCTCTCAGCTGGGATAATGCCCCTCCCAAAGGCAGTTTCTCTCAGACAGGTCAATCTCAGTAGTGCACTCCATAGACATCATCACCCTTAACTGCCTTTGTAAGCATGTCTAATTAAAGAGCCTCTGCACATTGTCTCCAAGTTAATTTCCCAAACACCCAACACACCAGTCTCTCCCTATGCACATGATTTTAAGAATGCTCCATGTTCCTTTAGTTCTAGACAGGTCCCTTTGTCCATAGCTTCCAGAGGCCAACTAAAAATTCTGATAAAGAAACTTATTGCCTCCAAAATATAAAAATTATAATGTTGGTTTGACATTAACAAATATTGAATTAAATGTCTATTTTAGATTACATTTTTCAACTATATTAAGTGTTAAATTTAGTATCTCTGAATATATCATTATAATTGAAAATAGTTTAAAGGTTAGATACCCTCCTTCTTTAATGTTTTTCAGAAAATGGACAATGATTAGTAAGAAGCCAAAATTAACTTTAAGCACTTAGGCTTAGCCGATTAATTCCAAAGTGAAAATTTTACAGCAGAGATGTACGTTTACTGTGGGATGTTGATACATTTTAATATGTTTTATATAATAAGTGGTGGGGCTTCCAATGTGCCTACAGATTAGAAGATCCTAAAATGACAGTACTTCTGCAAAGATCCTTCTGGGACAGGTGGGTGGCTGCATGCCATTGTCGCCAGTCATTTTTATTCTCTTTAACTAGAGTAGCTCCTCTTTTATTCATTTTATATATTTGGATCTGGGATATGTATTTATGTAAAATGCACCAAGCACACTGTTTTAGAGACTGAGAACACAGTAATAAATTGTAAAAACAGAAAGGAAAAAAAGAAAAGAAAATTTGTGCCTTCAAGTAACTTACCTTAGGGGAGAATTACTGGCTACCAATAAATAAGCTAGTATAAGAGATAGTATGTTAGATAGTGATAAGCACAGCTAAGAAACATAGAGCAAGTAAAGAAAGGAAAGGGAGTAGGCTATTTTAAACAGGAAAGTGAGAGAAGGACTCACTGAAGAAGATGAGAGAGTTCGACAGGGAGGTGTCACAGAGAAGATCATAAGTTCAGCGTTGGACTTGTTCTGCTGGGATTCCTCATGAATCCAAGTGGAAAGTGGAGATACATGTAAGGTGGTTGAATATACTTGTATGGAGTTTAGGGCAAGGTTTAGACCAGTGGTCTCCAACCCTTTTTCGCACCAGAAACTGGCTTTGTGGAAGAGAATGATGTGCACTTCAGTCGTTGTGAATTTTTAATGAGATAATTTATAAAAATG
This sequence comes from Homo sapiens, assembly GCF_000001405.40. Lineage (NCBI taxonomy): Eukaryota > Metazoa > Chordata > Mammalia > Primates > Hominidae > Homo > Homo sapiens. The sequence goes on from NC_000014.9 coordinate 85,323,043, forward strand.
GTCTAGTCCAATGTCTAATACTCACAGTGGGTATAATGACAGAATGTGGCCAAAGTCACCCCCAAGTCCATGGTGTTTCTTGTACAAACTATTGGCTCATTTTGTCAGTGGCCAACTAAAAGCCACAGGCATTTTATCATGAATTGTTATAAACTTCTCCCACTTAAAAAACACCATGTCAGAATGTTCAAAGTCTACCTCACTATCATTTCCTCAAATCAGTTTCTTTCCTGGATGATAAAAAGAATAATGCCACCCCCCCACCCCTCGAGACACCCATATCCTAATGCCTGGCATCTGTGAGTGTGATATAGTACGTGGCAAAAGGGGAATTGAAATGGCAGATGAAATGCAAGTTGCTGATTAGCTGACCTTAAAATAAGAAGATTATCTTGGATCATCTGGGTAGGCCCAGTGTAATCAGACAGATCCTTAAAAGTGGAAGAGAGAGGCAGAAAACAGGAATTTGAGAGACAGCAGTGTGAGAAGGCCCCAGGCATATGTTGCTGGTTTTGAAGGTAGAGGAGGACAGCCATGAGCCAAGGGAAGCAATCAGTCTCCTGATGTTCAAAGGCAAGAGGAAGGATTCTTTCTGAGGCCCTCCAGAAGGAGAAAAGCCCCACAGACACGTTATTTTAGCCCACTTAGACCAGGCCAAACTTCTGCCTGCAGAACTGTAAGAAAAATTTGTGTTGTTTTAGCCCACCAAGTTTGTGGTAATTTGTTAACAGCAGATATAGGAAAGGAATACACCCATGTTCCTATTGATGTTCACTATATGTCCAGAATGCAAGGAACAATTGACAAGGAGGGGGCCCTCTCATCTCCTCTTGTTACTTTCAAACATAATGAGTTTCCTGGGTAGAGCATTCCATTACCCACCAAAGCTCCAGAATTTCTAGGCTGGTGTGCTAGTCCATTTTCAGGCTGCTGATAATGACATACCCGAGACTGGGCAATTTACAAAAGAAAGAGGTTTAATGGACTCACAGTTCCATGTGGCTGGGGAGACCTCACAATTCTGGCAGAAGGTAAAAGGCACGTCTCACATGGAGGCAGACAAGAGAAGAGAGTTTGTGCAGCGAAATTACCCTTCATAAAACCATCAGATCTCATGAGACTTATGCACTATCACAAGGAAAGCATGGCAAAGACCTGCCCCCATGATTCACTTACATCCCCTTGGGACCCCTCCCAACACGTGGGAATTGTGGGAGCTACAATTCAAGATGAGATTTTGGTGGGGACACAGCTAAACCATATCATCTGGCATTCACAGTTCTCAAGATTCTTGCCCCAACCTGCTTTTTTCCCTCTTTTACTCCTGATGTTTCATCAGTCTGGACTATTTTTCTCCATGTCTTCCTCACTCAGAATTCCACTCTTTAAAATTACTTGCCAAAACCCAATTCTCCCATCAAATCTTTTGAGATATTTACCATTCTCATCCTTACTCCTTACATATTAATAGGTAAATCCCCTCCCATAGCATACTGCCATTAATATAGTAATCACTCACAGAGTAAGTGTCAAATGAATAAATGCCAAATTTGCTTGGGAATGTTTTTAGAGTTGCACCTTCAAATTCATTCAGTGTTATGGGCTTCAAGGGTTTCTGATCTCTGAGTAACTATCACAATGATTACGCATGTGCTTTTCCAGCTTATATTTGAACTGATGATCTTATCAAATAAGGTAATTTTCAGCATCATCTCATCTATAAATTGTGAGATTTTTGCTTTATTTAGTGTCTTCATTCAAAAGGTTAAATACCATTCATTATCATAGAATCACAAGTAAAGACTAATACAGTAAAGAGAAAGAAGTACAATGATATTTTTGAAATAAAACACAAGATTCAAATCCAGAACCATTGGAGGGACATTAGTGTGGGTGGAGGTGCTCAAGAAAATAAAGTAAATAATTAAAGTACTCAGAATGTTGGGATTAATCTCTGTGGAGAGCCATTTGTTATGGCAGCAACAAAAATGACTTTCCTTCCTTCCCTGTTAGCAAAACTATACCTCCCAGGGTGGTTAACAGAAATTCAATTATCATGATTGAGTTTGAATTTGTAGACATTTCCTTGTGCTGCTGCTGCTAATAAACTCAGATGTTAATTTGTATACTTCAATATATTTAGCTTAAGTGTGAGATGATGTAGAATTTCCTGGATTTGGACACATGAGAGGGGCCATAATTTAGAGTAAATCTAATCATAGGATGTTTTAAAAGATTGGCTGGGTTTGCTGTGCTGGGAGCTGAGATGATGTTGCTAATGGCAGATGCCATGCTGTGTATTCATCACACCCCTTTGCTTAGGGCACTGGCCCACCTACCTTGTTATACTACTGGGAAGAGACAGTGGTTATCCATCATTTGCTTAATTAGTGGATAATTAGGGAAGGCATAGGACAAACACATTTTCTCATTCCGGTAGCAGATAGCAGAGACTTCAGATAAAAATGGCAACCAAGAACTGGCTACTCTCTTTCATTTACAAGACAGCTCTTCTCAAACTCTATATTTTATCCCTCTATATATTGATGTCATACCCCAGCAGTGCTGATGAGTAAGGAACACAAGAGCTCAGCCTTTCCTTACCCAAGCTATTCCCCAGTAAAGGGAGCCAATTTATTTTTCAAGCTATCATTATCATAACTATTGCCATCATCAGGATTTACAGAGTACTTACTATGTGCCAGAAACTGTTCTGAGAGTTAGCTGAAGTCTGAATGATTTATTCACTTCCGACAAGAAGTGAATATTGAACTGTCAAGGGGACCATCTGTCAGCAGCGTAGGTAAGTAGCAGGCCCAGGGACATGCTGCCTAGGTTTAGATCCTGATTTTACCTCCTACCAGCTGTTTCAATTGTAAAATTACTTAACTTCTCAGTGACTCAATTTCCTCATCTACACAAATGGAATAAGAAATAGGGCCTACCTCATAGGCTTCTTGTGAGTTGAGTTGAATAGCCAGAGTGTCTAGCACATATCAAAAGGTCACTAAGTACTGGCTAATTTTCTTATTATTATGGGTGGGGACAAAGTGTTATTCATTTTTGCATCACTGAAACCTAACAGATTCCTTACTACATAAGAGATACTCAGTATTTAAAATGGAAGAAAGGAGTGACTTGTAAATACTTAATAGATATTAATTGATTGGTATGGTAGGCTGAATAAAGGCCCTCCAAAGACATCCATATCCTAATACCTGAAACCTGTGAATATGTTACCTTACATAGCAAAAGAGACTTCTGTGCTTATGTTAAGAATTTTGTGATGAAGAGAATTTTAGATCAGGGGGATCCACTCTTTTGGCTTTCCTAGGCCACGTTGGAAGGATCGTCTTGGGCCACACATAAAATACACTAACACTAATGATGGCTGATGAGCTGAAAAAAAATCTCGTAATGTTTTAAGAAAATGTACAGCTTTATGTTGGGCTACATTCAAAGCCATCCTAGGCCACATGGTGCCCATGGGCTGCAGGTTGGACAAGCTTGTATTAGATTATCTGGGTGGACCCAGTGTTCCCAAGGGTCCTTTTAAGAGGGAGGCAAGAGGATTGCAGTCACAGAGAGACGTGGTCACAGAAGCAGAGGTTGGATTGATGAGCTTTGGGGATGGAAGAAGGGTCCAGGAACCAAAAAATATGGCAACCTCTGGAAGCTGGAAAAGGCCAGGAAACAAATTTTCCCCCAGAGCCTTTAGAAGGAATGCGGTCTTGCCAACATCTTGATATTTTAATTTCTGACTTCCAGGATTGTAAGATAATTAATCTATGCAGTTTTTAAGCCATGAAGTTTGTGGTAATTTGTTACAGCAGCAATAGGAATCGAATACAATTAGATTTTAGACATCATGTAGAGATAAAAAGGAGTTAAGACTATTTAACTCAACTATCTCTGGGTAATGTTAGTCCTCTCATGCATCTTCTGGCCCTGCTCACTAAAATTAGAGCTTCTTAGGAAAATCTTTGGATTTTAATCACTGTCTTTGGCCTGGAGAGTAATATGCATTGTTGTATCTTGCCTCTTAGATAGCTGTTTATATTCATATGGATTTACTTCTTTAACAACTTATGATGATATCTGGATTTAAGTCTTTATAGTCTTCAAAGGTAGTGTTCATCTTTAGAACAAAGGGGTTTTAGGATAAGGGTGGGTGTTGATGTTTGGGCAGTTCTCCAGAGGTTGGGTTGACAGGAGAAGCCTCTGGGAAGAAGATTTGCTGTGAATGATAAAGGCAATTTTAAGAGAAAAGAAAACTTCATTCAGCATGTCACAGAATCTGTTTACAAGCAAGTTGTAATTTGCAGGTATTTGATAGCCGGGTTCCAACCACCCCTCTACCAAGGCATCTGGCATGTGCCTGGTTGGCAGGGTGCTTAACTAAATTGAAAGCAGTACCCCAAAAGCATCCCCTAAGAAAGTTACTTCACTGTAAGGACCAATCTTGTCTTTAGATGTGCCTTTAGTTTAATTTTGTTTTTAGAGAGGGAGACTTTCCCTATCACTCAGGCTGGAGTGCAATGGCATGATCATAGCTCACTGTAACCTTAGACTCCTAGGCTCAAGCAATCCCCCCTCGGCTTCCTGAATAGCTAAGACTACAGGTGTGTTCCACCACACCTGGTTAATTATTTTTCATTATTTTTTGTAGAGGTGGGTTCTCCCTATGTTGCTTTATTTTATAAAAGAATACAACAGCTTAAGATCCCAGATGTACAGGCTGAATCAAACACTATATTTGGGGAACAGTGACCCTGAACTCTAATCAATGAAAATACTAGTTTCAGGGTCATAGCTAGGTTTGAATGTCATCTTTGCTCCATGAGAGCTTTGTGGCATGAAGCAAGTTGTTTAACTTATTTGGGTCTCAATTTCTTCATCTGCAAGATTTCAGAATTATAGGACACATCCTTTGTGTTTATTGGAAGGAGAATAAAAGGAAGAGTGGATATAAGACACTTTAGCACAAAAACTAAGGAAGCTGTAGCTAGCATAACATGAACAGACACGCATGCGGCGTTCTGGAAGGGGCTGCAGCCATCATCTACCCTTCAGCTCTGTTTCTTGCCTCCCCACTGTCCTGCTTTGATTTTACTTTGGTGCTTGGAATTGTATGCGGGAGCTTCAATCACCACTCTTTTCTGCTAGTATCACTAAAGCCTGGAGGACCTCAGAGAGCATCAATTTTACATCTTTTTGAAACTCTAGCTTCATTTAAAAACAATCAAAAACCAAGAGAATTCACATAAATATGTAAACTGCAAACCCCCAGTCTGTCTGTCTACAGTGTAATGATGGGAACAGATCGATAAATCTTAATTGTGTTGCCGCGTTCCCTGGGCTCCAAGAACACGGTTCACAAATGGAAAGCTGGAAATGTTACCTCTGCTCCTTTTCCCCCAATATCTCACTTTACTTCTTTGAAAAGATTACATCTAATTTTGAGGCATAAATAACCTGGACAGGACCTAAAATGCATTTTATAGTACAGTAGTGAAAAAATAATGAACTTAGTTCAGCCCCAGTTCACCTAAGGCTTACTGCATGCATTATGTTAACTCATAAAGTATCATATTTATGGCATAACTATAATAGCTCCTAGAATCTGGGTGAGAGGTATGAGTGCTTAAGAGGAACTCAATTCAATATGACGGTGAAGACATAAAAATTCAATGGCATTTGCTTTGTAAATCACATTTTCGATATGTATATTTAAAATTGGGAGTTTTACCTTCTTAGTAAACAATTACTTCTATTAATATTATCATGAATGATAACTTGTTATTGATTCCCTATTTATATGTCCAGAGAAAGATGTTCTCTCTTTCTGATATAGAAGCCTGAGGTCTCATCAAATAATAATGTATAATATCAAATTGAATTAAGGCTCTCAATAGACTATATTTTCCAGACATGTTGGCTCATGCCTATAATCCCAGCACTGTGGGAGGCTGAAGCAGGAGAATAACTTAAGGCCAGGAGTTCAAGACCAACCTGGGCAATATGAGGACATTCTGTCTCTACAAAAATGAAAAATAATAACAATAAAATAAAAATTTATATAAAAAAAGACTACATTTTTTTTCACATTATAAACTCAGGCATAGTATGCCAATATTTTCTGTTTTATCACCTGCTGTGTCAGCACACATATATGTCATTTCCAGGGGCTAAAGAAGGAAATATAAACACAATTAAGCAGAAATGAGGAATAGTCAATTATGCAAATAACAAGAAACTTAGTATATACATACTTTTCTTCATATAGCCATTTAATTCAGACTAAAATGCCTTCAGTTGAGGCCTTACATGATGTAGAAAAGTGTCCTACTCTGTCCAAGATTTGTATTTCAATATCTCAACATTAATACTATTTCAATCTCTCTTTTCATATAAGTAACACTTATGTTAAAGAATAATTATGTGAAAGTTGGTGAAAACTAACATTTAAATAAAGTAATGAATCCTCAGCTGTATTTTGAAATAAATGCCCTGGTAACTCAGAAATTGTATATAACATCTTTGACCAATATATTAGTCCATTTCTCACATTGTTATAAAGAAATACCTACAACTGGGTAATTTATAAGAAAAGAGGTTTCATTGGCTCACAGTCCTGTAGGCTGTATGGGAAGCATAATGGCATCTGCTTCTGGGAAGGCCTCAGGAAGCTTCCAATTATAGTGGAAGGTGAAGGAGGAGCAGGCATATCATATGGGGAAAGCAGGAACAAGAGTGTGAGGAGGGAAGTGCTATACACTTTTAAATGAGCAGTTCTCATGAAAACTCACTCATTATTGTGAGGACAGTACCAGGTGTGATGGTGCTAAACCATTTATGATAAATCTTCCCTTATGATCCAATGACATGACCTCTCACCAATCCCCACTTCCAACATTGGAGATTACATTCAATATGAGATTTGCTTGGGGACACACATCCAAACTATATCAACCAGTTAAATATTTTACTACCAAAACATACATTTAAAATGCATGGGAGTACTGTAATTCTTTTTATACTGTTGGGTATTCCACAAGATAAGTACACGTTGAGCACTAATTTAATTCAGTAAACATTAATTGATGATGCACTATGTACCAGTTCCAAGGAATACACTAATGAATCAGTACATACTGCACATCCAAGAAGGAAACAGAAAGAGAGCTATATAGCCCAAGGTGAAAATTAGCATGGGAAAATATACTTAGTTTCAAATATTCTGGGTTCCCAGAAACATTTTAAATCTTATAGAAACATATAATAAGATAATAGTTTTATTGCAGTTTTCTAATCTAGTGGATAAAATAAGACATATTGTTAAAAAAAATCAGCCAACAGGGCAAGACAGTATATGCAAAATGAATGTCATACTAATAAGTTCATGGTTAAATGCAGAAAATGAAGTAAAAATTTGGCCCAGCATAGAAATAATAAACTCTAAGATTTTTAATAAAGCCACATACTTAATATTTCACTTAAACATTTAGGGGAATATAATTTCAAAAAGTTATATGATTGCCTTTATACAAGTAACCATATCCAGTGGGAAAATTCCTTTCTCTTGTAAAATCACATCTTTTTTTTTCCTCCCAAATGGATCACAGGTAATTTTCAGAGTAGTTTCTAAAACCCCCTGACAAAGTTATCAAACCAGACAAATTACATTTCCTCCATGTTTGCTATCAACAGATTGTGCAGTGATAGGATCACAGTCTCCTTATTTTCCAGACATGAAAAACATTCTTGCAAGCTGGATTAAAAATCCAGATAAAATAATAACACTAATAATATCTTCTGTATCACATTACTTTCCATGATGTTATATTGGTTATCTAGCTTGAATGACAGCAAGCACAGATGAAATACACTTAAAATGAGTAACACGTGTGGGATGTTTATCTCATGCAAAGTGGACAGAAGCACTGGAGTTTATTGCTATGACTTCAATAGAGAATTCTTTACATAATGTTACATGAAGTGTCAGTGCTAGAATATACAGTAATTGGAAGAAGGGTACATGGAAAAATAAACTCTCCTGATGTTATATATTAGATTCCACAGTGGTCTCAGGGCATGTCTGAAGATCTTAATTCATTTAGTGTGCAGGAGCAATCTTTCTCTCAGGCTTATGTCTGTCTTCTCAATGTACAAAAGACTGCACTACAGGCTCACATTAAAAAGGAGCCTTGTAAAATGTTTCTTACAAAAATAAATAAATTGAGTATCCATATATGTAAGAGCTTAATTCTCAAGATATGGCATGTTTAAGATTCACATTCTTTGGGCTTTCAGTTTGAAACAGAGAAGAAAACACTCTTTATGGTTGAGATTTCTGGATACATAACCAATGAGCAGTGCCTTAAGACATCTCTTTGCCTGGTAAGCACTTGCTTTAGAACTAGTGCAAGGCCTCAAGACCACTTGAAATATCAGCCATTCAAATTAAACATAATTTCCAGGTATTTAAAATGGCACATATATGAGGCCACAGTTCATATTTTCAGGTTATGTGTTTTCTGCTACTTTCTCCATTCTAACTTGAGAGTGGTGTTTCCATGGCATCAGAAAAAGCACAAAAACACAAAAATGCCATTTCAGGTGGATTGAAGTTTGTTCTGGCATATCAAGATTTGTTCACTCCAACTCTTAATTTTCCTGAGTGGATAAAACTAATGCTGTTATTAAACTGGTCTAGACTGTAATCTGAATTGTAAAGAAAATAGATTCAGATTTCTTTCTCAGGGCTTAAACTTTGGTTTCTATGTTTATGGCTTATACAGTCTCTCTTTTAATTTGCTGATAAATAGACCACTTGGGAAGTTTCTGTTAGAGAGGCAGACAAAAGTGCAGGTGAAAAGGAGAATGCATTATTTGATATTTATACCTTTATCTGGCCCTGCACAAAACCAAGAGGCAAACACTATCTGGTCTCCATCTATCACTCATCCACCAGACATCACTCAGTCTCTTTTTCTTACCGTGTCTCCCAAGGTGAAACAGCCCTTCTCACTTGTCTCCTCTCTCTTTCCTCTTTACACCTAGAGTCAAGTAATATAAACTTGACTTAGTCATTCAAGATATATTTTGAAGACAGAGAACTTTTAAGCTCTTGGCTTCTGCAATTATGCCCTGTAGGCCATAATCAAGTCGTAAAATTAATTACATTAATGTAATTCATTAGAACCCAATTAAAGAATAATTTACTTTATCTGGATAAACTGCATTTCAGATTGTATTTCTGGGTTAGGAATTTTAGAAAGATAAAAATTTCTGAAGGATACAAAACCTCACAGAATATGTGGCACTTGTCAATATTATTATACAGACGGAGACCCTTATATTTTTAAAGCTACAGATTTTACACATCAGTGACTTGATCAAAATATGGATTCAGTCTGGCAGTTTATCTTCAGGATAAAAGTGGCCAGCCTGATATGTTTGTAAAGGTCATGTGGTGTGTTTTAATATCTGTCATACATATGTAGAGCATGTTCTCAAGTTTACACTTGCCCTTTAACTCCCAGTACAGGAAATCTGCTGCTAGCAAAGACTTGTAAAATGTTTATGACATTTAAGTCATGCACAAGATTTCTTATTCAGGAAGAGTGAGCTGTAAAATTTGCATATGGTGTCCAACGTTTAGACCCAGAGTCCCATATTTGGCCTTCTAAAATCTTGCTTATACAGTTGTTTCATCCCCTAGCCATTTGATTATATCTTGTTACCAAATAGCACATTAGTTGGATGATCATCGTTCTCTGTTATTGAATAAGTAAATTATAGATTATATCAACATCCCATCTTGTTCAAGTCGACCTTGTCGTTAAGTTGTACAGAGGACTTCTCACTGTGCAACATGACAAGTATGAACTCGTAATGCTTAACACTGCAAACTTAGCTTCCAGAAGAAACTATATACAAATATTAAGGGGACAAGACCATATAGGGTTTGTGCAGAAAGACATCACACATGTAATTCACAAAGATGCAGATGTTGGTTCCTTATTATCACTGGTATTTGTGAATCATGTTTATATGTATTTATAACCAAATATATATTTACTATATCAACAAACACACGAACATGCACCTAACAAACATATTCATCTGAAGGGTAATTTTTGAACCCTTCCAGATTTGAACAAGCATATTAGATGTTTTGCAAAAATCAGTGAAACACACACACAACCTTCAGAAATGGGACCCGGGAAGGAATATCAATAATTCATTTGGAATCAAAAAATGTGATAATAAAAAATGTAACACAAATGTTATAGGAGCTCAGATGTAGGGTAAACGAGGTGACAAGGAAATCGGCTCTGCTGAATTTTCTGAGAAAAAAATTGTCCCCTATCAATGTGGTTATGACTATGATAGAGAAGAAAAAATCAGGGGAAGCAGAGTGAAAGGGAAGAATGAGTCACCCAAATTGGAGCCAGCTGGAGGAGTGGTTTCTTGTATACTTGCTTGGCCACCAACCAATGAGTCTATCTCTCTCCCTCCCCATGTCACCTGGGCTGGCTGGGTCCATTGTTCTTGTGGGTAGAATCTGGGTAACGACATTGGTCTATCTTCAAGTCTTTCATGTTAGAAAAATAGAGCTTTTTTTTTTTCAATATCATCTGGAATAAGGTTGAAGTTTTAAGTCTTTCTGGATTTCATTTGATTATATAGAAATCACAATCAAAAGCAAATAGATTTTGACTTTTCTGCTGGTAGTCATGATAATGGCAGGCAGACTAGAAAGATAAAAAAGATAAAGCGAGCACAAGAAGACCTTCAATTGCACTATCAATTGCACCTCAACAATTGCACTATCCAATAGCCATGCACGTATTTGAATACGCAGTACAACCATAGCAGAGAAATAACAAGGAAGTGCACAATGAATTTCCAAAGAAGTGTCTGAAATAATGCTGTGAGTTGAGGAGCAGATGCCTGAGCCTTAAGGCTTGTGGGATTCTTACAAGAGGATCAAAATAGAGCTTAAAAGCTTTGGATAAGTAGAGATGTTGGAGTAGCTTAGGCACTGCAGAGAGTCGGCTAGGATCCAACCTTCCATGACCTTACTGCGCCTCAGTTGTTTCATCTGAATTTTGGGGAATATAATAGTGGCTACCTCAAAGGATTTAAGGAGTCAGTAGACACACAGAAATGCCAATGGTGCTTGATACAAATAAATACATTTTGTTATTGTAATTCAGGTTTTAGGAAAACTTATGAGTGAAGGATACACTAGGTATTGAGGCAGAAACAAGATTCAAAATATTTTGGAAACCAAGAATAGTTTCACTGGAATTGAGATGTTGATAAAAAAGTATAAAACAATCACTTTTCCTGGGATTGGGAGAGCCAGATATACTTGGAAAAGTTTGTCAGATTCCTACATTCCTCTCTTATCTCTCCTCCAAACTCAACACATATTTGAAACACACATTTACTTAAAAATAGCCACTTTGTTGTAATTGATGGACGCGTGGAACTGTTAATGTATTCCTCATATGCACTGGGGAAGAATAAAGAGTTGAGAAAAAAATCCCATGTTCGGAAAATACTCAGTAAGCACAAAGGATAGTTCTGGTACTGTGTGCTATTGTTGGCATAAAGGAAAAATACATACATAGGAAAACACAATTTTATTTGAGAGACATAATTATCTAATCAGTGAAAGGTTGTATTCCAATTTTATAATTCCCTTCAAGCCAGCACTGGGTCTGCCATATAGCAATCATCCAGAAAAAAATTTATTAGCTCCTTCCCTGGATTCAACCCCTTCATTTGAATTCCAAGCATTCATGAAGATCAAGTTGAGTAGGCTTCCCTAAATTCACTAAAGTAGTGGAGAATTATGGTGGGCTAGATCTGTAAGCTCCTAACTGAGCATGAGGAGTTCTATTTGCAATCAGGCTTCTAAGTTTCTATGAGTGCAACAGGAAGGATATTTGGGGAAATGTATAACTGGATATTCTACGTTTCACACTGACTTTTGCAAGAAGAAAGGGCAAGAGACATACTTCCCCACCAGAATCTGTGCGTGTATATAGGTCAGAACATGCACATACTGGCAAGGAATGCAATACAGGGTGACAGTTGCTTGGATGGCCAATTCTTCCAGATTGGATGTTTACAAAAGGGGTCTCTTTCAGTTACTAAGATTTGCTCTAACTCGAAGACTGGTCTGTTCAAAATTAGCCTGCATCTGTGTTCTTCTGGGATGTGAGTTTCAGAATGCCTCTAAGCAATGTTTTTTTTTGTTTTTTTTTTTTTTTAACTTTGATGCTATTGACATTTTGGGCCAGATAATTCTTTGTTGTGGAAGCTGTCCTGTGCACTGTAGGATGTTTGGCAGCATCCTGGTCTCTACTCACTAGATACCAGTAAAACTCGCTTAGTTGTGACAGCCAAAAATGTCTTTAGACGTTGCCAAATGTTCTCTAGGACACAATACAGCCTCCGCATCCTCAATGCTCCCGAACCACTTCTCTGGGTTGATGAGCTTTGCGCATTTACATTTCAGTGACCAAGTGAAAGTGGTTAAGCCAAAATCGGTTTCTTCAGGAGGGTGTTTAGGGGAGAAGATGACAATTACAGCATGTGCCATTAATGATACGCATCAGGTATGTTCAAGATGGTGACAAGAAGGATATGTGCCTAGGTACAGTTTAGTATTGGAAATGGATTAATTGGGTCACTAGCAAAAGGGTGAGAGTGGGCCATATTAGCATGTTCTTTCCCAATGAAGTTAGAACCCAAGCTTTTTGGATACAAGTGAAACTGAATCCTTGGTTGGATCCAACCAACTAGATGGTTGATTCAGAAAATTACGTGTAATAGATGCACAATCTCTGCTTCAGTGAATCCCAACTTTGCCTTCCATCTAACACTTTACCTAAAGGTCTCTGGTTTGTGCAGGTCCATTTGCTTAATGGCCCATTGGGCAGTGGGTAGTTGCCAGCAGACTGTAAAATATGAGTTGAGTCTATCAGATTTCCTCTGTGTTGAGTATAAATTATAAGGATAAACTGAATTTGGTAGCTAGAAATTGACAGTGTGGAGCAAACAAGTATAATAGTTGAGTCAACCTAATGGTAAATTCCCAAAATGAAAAATTCTATGGACTGATCTAGTAAATGTCCTGTCCTTTCTGACTTTCCAAAGCCAAGTTGTCTGGCCTCTCCTGTTATATCTGCTGGTAGCCTTACAATAATCTCTGTTACTTGCATTAAATTGAGTGTGTCTGTTCTTTGTAGAAAAATGTGCCTATTTGAAACACTAGAGTTTTATCAACTTCATGGAAAATATGAGTAAGATATTGGGAAGGAAAGCTCACAAACAAAACTTGTTTCTTTTATATTGTCACTGATGTCAGTATGAGCGTAAAGGTGTTACTCACTGTTCTATTACTTCCATTACTTTACAAACTGTCAGTGTTGATGGTAAAAAGACAACTATGACATATATTTGTCAAAGGCACTTATTTAGTGGTGACTGTAAAGCATAAGTATAGCATTAATTTTTGTATTTGTGTTGCCTTAGTAAATTGAGTTTGAAATAAATGCTAGATTATGTAAGTACACTGCAGTGAAAAGTTATTGCCAAGTATTGCTTTTATTTCACTTGAAATAGTCTTCCACCATGACTTAACAAATTAAATTAGGCATAGCAATGTGAGGTAGAAACTGCATTTTATAGGATTGTCAATACCAAAAGCCGGTGCCTAAGTGATACATTGGTGGCCACCTTGTTTGTTATGCCAAATACGTCACTGTCTTTTCCATACTGGTTTCCCTGAACTGTTTAATGAGCTGGAATTTAAAAATATCCTTTTACATGAGTGTGTGAATGGTGTGATGTATTCCTCAGGTGGGGGCTCAGATTGGAAACGTTCTCTAGTCCTGGGAAAGGCTGGGTTTAAGGAAGGTCTTTGCAAATGCCAACGGGTTCCCTTTCCTCTCTGAAGGGAAAACATGCTGCTATTGCAGATTGATTTATCAGGATTGCAGTGCCGCATCCAGAGGTGACTCACCGGCTGGGACAATACAGATAGTCCTTCTGAAAAATAAATGTGGTCATATTATTGCCAGTGTTTCATATTTGAAAAACAACCAAAAAAAACTACAATGGGAAAAAAATATAAAGCTGTGCATGCCAGAAATAAAATAAAATAATCAAAAGAGGAACCCAGTGTGTTCACAGGCTTAAAGGTGACCATCAGTCTATTTTCTTTAATTTAAAGATATTAATTAATCAGGACAAATAGGCATATTGATATGATTTGGAATTTCTTTTGTGGCATGTACCTTAATATAGGAATAATCAATGCCTTTTATAATGAGAACTGTGTAAATCACTCCCCTATTAAGAATTGTTAGGAGAGAGTTGAGAAAATATCCTCTGATGATACTTCCCTTAAAATTTGTCTGCCCGTTTAAGCTGACAATAAATATTATTAAGAGAGAGGCCTAATATGACAATAAGGTAATATACTATGTTATTTTTTAATGATACTGTGGAATACTGCTTTGATTGATGAAAAAATGAACAGAGATAAAAAGAATCACAGCTACCATTTATAAGTCCTTTCTTGGTACTTCTATGTAGACTGCCATAGGAGGGAAGAAAATGTCCTTAAGGCTGGGCATGGTGGCTTACGCCTGTAATCTTTGGGAGGCCGAGGAGGGGTAGATCACTAAGTCAGGAGTTTGAGACCAGTCTGGCCAAAATGGTGAAACCCCATCTCTACTAAAAATACAAAAATTAGCTGGGTGTGGTGGCACTCGCCTGTAATCCCAGCTATTCTGGAGGCTGAGGCAGGAGAATCACTTGAACCTGGGAGATGATGCTGCAGTGAGCCGAGATCATGACACTGCACTCCAGCCTGGGTGACAGAGTGAGACTCTGTCTCAAAAGAAAAAAAAAAAAAGAAAATGTCCTTAAGCACTAAACCTACAATATGGATCAGAGTTCCCTAAAGTGGATTATACACATCCCAGGGAACTTCCTAGCTGATCACAGAGATTGAAGAATTCAGTATTGAGATTTCTACTTGTATTTACCTGATCATATTCTTTTAACATTTTTAATTTTTGTTTTTGTATACCTTATAATACATTGTAATATGTATAATATATTGACACTAATATTTGTATAGGATTTAACTATGCAGTCATGAACCACATGATGCATATAATATCATATTTTTAGTGTACATTTTCTATGTTTACATACACAAATACTCACCATTGTGTTACCATTGCCTATAGCATCCAGTACAGTAACATGCTGTAGAGATTGTAGCCTAGGAGCAATAGGCTATACAATATTGCCCAGGTATGTAGTAGGTGACACCATCTGCATTTGTGTAAGTACACTCTGATGTTCACACAATGATAAAATAGCTTCATGATATGATTCTCAGGATGTATTTCCACATTGCTGTGTGTGTATAAAATATACATTAGCAGAGTTTTACTGAAAAGGAAGTGATAAAAATTATATTGGGAAACACTGAAATATTTTGTCTTTGTTTTTTGAGGCTTAATAGCCTTTATTTCTTTGTAACTGCCTAGCCATTTAATTTAGAAGAAATTCGACAACACTTAAGGAGAAATGTGTCTTTGCAGAGTGAGGTGGGTGTTTTGTTTGTTTTCAAACATTCAAATGTGTGAACCGAACTTCTCCTCAACTGCAGGCCTATTGAGAGCCTGGAAGTCTTTTCGTTTCTGTCCATGGCTTCAGAAAGAAGCAGATATTTTATTTAGACAATGTTGTACCATCCTCGAAGTGAGATTTCTTTAGATTCCTCAGTTTTCTACTGCAGAAAACAAGATATTTATTTTATATTTTGGCTAGTATTCACATGCTACATTTTATATTTTGGCTAGTATTCACATGCTACAAACCAACAAAAGCATTTCATCTTCTTCTCCACTTAACATAGTTTTAGAATAAGGCTCTTATCTCCTTTTAACAAATCTTTACATAAATTCCCTCTGTTGTCTTAAGTCAAAATACTCAAGTGTTCTATACAACAGCTGTTTTCCAGAACCCTCAGGAAGGAGTCCTTGTGGACAGAAAAGCTTTATAGTCAGGCTAACCATTCGTATATAGAAATGTAATTTGTTAGTGGAACTCTCTGTCATCTAAATATATGTCTTTATCTTATAAACATAGTAATATTAGGTTGGTGCAAAGATAATTGCGGTTTTTGCCATTACTTTTAATGGCAAACACAAAACAACACAATAGTTTTTGTGTGACAGTGACTTGCCCTTAACAGTCACAACTATTTGTTGTGGTCATTGTTTTTCTTGTTATGAAAGGAGAATGTACTGAACTTGTCCAGCTAAGAGGTTTCTCAAGACCACAAGGAGATATGTACACAGATGATACACACTGTTGGGTCTTTTCCTGGAGGACACATAGAACTCTGTGTGTCAACCTTCAATCCAGCCAGTTCATCCCATGAGATTCTTGTACTCTGACGGATAGCCCAGTCCAGCATCTGTACAATGACCCTAGACAGCGTATCTTCCACCTTGATAGGCCACAGGAGTTTTGGTGCTTTTACATTAAGCAGTGTCTAATAATCTACCTTCTGTCATTATTGACCATGACAATCTATTTCCACTGGAGCAGAATGGCTTGGGTGTATGTAGCAGCATTTGATCTGCCTAGAGCACTATTATGAACTGACTTATGTCTCCTAAAATTTATATATCGAATCCCTAACTCCCAGTACCGTAAAATGTAAATGTATTTAGACATAGGGTTTTTCAAGAGGTAGTAAATGTTAAATGAGTTTGTTAGAGTGGACCCTAATCCAATCTGACTGGCATCCTTATAAGAAGAGGACACAGACAGGCATGGAGGGAAGACCATGTGAAGACACAGAGAGAAGGCAGTCATCTATAAGCCAAGGACAGGGGCCTCGAAATGACATCAACCCTGCTGACACCTTGATCACTTCCAGCCTCTTGAATTGTGAGAAAATAAATTTCTGTTGTTTAAAACAACCAATCTGTGATACTTTTTATGGCAGCCTTTATTGACTAATTTAAGCACTTTTATTGAACAGAGTTTGAACCAGCCACTTCAGATCATGTAAATTGTTTCTGTGCAAAAAATAGCAGGAAAATGAACTATATGCCTTCTCTCAGAAATAACTATTAATACTTTAATATTATATTTTAGTATTTTTCCTGTTATTAAATACTCTTAGTAAAAAGCATTGCTAAAGCTGTAAATAATCCCTTCATGGGTTTTCAAGTAGATACCTGATATTAAACATTCTGACTAAACCTTTATTTATTTATTATGTTACTAGTATAACTTTAGCTGTAACAAACAATTTGTCATATAAATTCATACCCAAGTTTTTTTTTATGTATTTAGAATGGATTCTAAAGCAAATATTTACTGGGACAAGCTATATGAACTAAGGTTATAGAAGTTAGCAGTTTTATGATTGTTTTCCAAGAGATTTGTAGCAATTTCTGCTTACATAGGCAGTTGAAGATGATACTTGCCACAATCATAAAAAAATAAAATTGTATGCATTTTCTTAAAATATATCTATTTATGAGTTAAAAAACAGCATTTTTTTTTTTTTTTTATGGAGTCTCACTCTGTCACCCAGGCTGGAGTGCCGTGGTGCAATCTCGGCTCACTGCAACCTCCACCTCCCAGGTTCATGTGATTCTCCTGCCTCAGCCTCCTGAGTAGCTGATATTACAGGTGCGCACCACCACGTCTGGCTAATTTTTGCATTTTTAGTAGAGATGGGTTTTCACCATGTTGGTCAAGCTAGTCTCGAACTCTTGTCCTCATGATCTGCCCACCTCAGCCTCCCAAAGTGCTGGGATTACAGGCTTGAGTCACCGCGCCTGGCCAAAAAACAGCATTTTATTTTTTAATAGTAAGAGCAAACAGTTTTACTTTTTAAAATTACTCAAATATTTTCTTTTGTGAATCATCTTGCCTTGTCTTTTGTCAATTTTCCAATTATACTTTTTGCACTTTTTCACGTAAATCATGCTATAACCTGAAAATTATTCCAGTTTTATTTTTTCCAATAATATTTCCTTTTTCTTATCATATTGTAGTGGCTAGAACTTTTACAATAATATAGAAAAATGATAATGATATCAGTCACCCTTGTTTTACTCATTACAATTTAGTTAATATCTCAGTCACAGCATCTTATAAATTTCTGGTGATGAAGCATTAGTGAATCACAAATTTGTAGTTTATGATTTTTTTTAATTTTTAGATAATTGTAGATTCAAATGCAGTTGTTAAAAACAATACAGAGATTTCTCATACCCTTCACCAAGTTTCCCCAGGGATAACATGTTGCATAACTATAGCACAATATCACAACTAATACATTGATACCATCCACCAACTTTATATGATTCGTTTAAAAAGGGAACACTATACAATGTAACAGAATAGAAACTAATAAAGATGCATTGCATATAACCAGAATAAATATTTCTGCACCAGGCACAGTGGCTCATGCCTGCAATGTCAGCACTTTGGGAGGCCGATGCGGGTGGATCACTTGAGTCTAGGAGCTCAAGACCAGCCTGGGCAACCTTGCAAAAACCTGTCTTCACAAAAAAATACAAAAATTAGCTGGGCATGGTGGCATGCACATGTAGTCTCAGCTACTAGGGAGACTGAGGTAGGAGGATCCCTTGAGTCTGAGAAGTCAAGGCTGCAGTGGGCCAAGATTGCCACTGCACTGCAACCTGGATGAGACAGTGAGATCCTGTCTCAAAAAAAACTTACTTCTGAAATTTGATTCAGTTATATGTGTGTGTTGTATCTGCGATTAAGATACTATGCCACACTCCCCCCATTAATGATGATGTTGCCTACTTACCAGTTTAATAGAGACATTTTTTATCATATTGAGAAATTACAGAAAAATAAGGGCTGAACTAAAATGTAGCAGATTTATATATAGATACTTAGATATGTTTAAGTGATTAAACATATTAAGCAATTTGGAGTTTTAAAAAAAGTCTCATCAAAAGCTGTTGATTATTAAATCACTGTCAACCACAAGCAGGTTGTTTATAGTCTGGTACAGGGATCTGGTCTACTCACCATTTTTATCAGTGAATTTAATGAAAATTCAGAAGGAAAAATATCATATTTTATTTAAATTATAACAGGCAGGCACCAAATTAATGGCTATGCTATAATTCATTAGACAAAATGTAACAGTAAAATTTAGGCTGGAATCCAGTTTCAAAATTAACTAAACATTGTCACATGGTAATGAAAGTAATGGAACTGAAATCAGTTCCTCCTCCTCCACAAAAAAAAAAAAAAAAAAAAAAAAAATGGGGGGGTATTGGGGACTTGGGGAATTCTGTGTTTTCTTTAAGTACCAGTTCCATGTGGGTCTTCTCCACAAAGAAGAAACATGATCAGAATTGTCTAAGATCTAGAATTCAAATAATTTAAGTAACAGTTGTAGGAAGTTTAATTGTTTGGCCAAAAGAAGAGAGTTAAATTGTAGGTAGGATTTTATATTGCAAAGCTGGGTCTGTGAATATGAAGAAATTCTGGAAAGGGAACTTAGGAACAAAGGAGGAAACTACTGGGAACTTTAATGAAAGAGTTATTTGCTTGCAGGCAGTATAGACAGATGCTGGTTGACTTAAGAAAACAGCATAGATTGGAAAGGTATCAAGAGCCACAAAATTTGAAGTGAAGGCTGGTGACTTTGATTTAGCAAAGGGCTGGATTCTAGGGAACCTGGGGTCCAGCAGTAGAGACTGCAGGAAAAATCTGGTGAGCACACACCAATCTGATTAGCACACCAGCACTAATGTGACTCTAAATCCCTCCAAAATGGTACATTTTATTATTTTATTTTTGTTTTACTCCTCACAAGATTTAATGTCCTGGGAGAGAGAGTCCTATGGTCATGACACATGCCTGTCTCTTGAGCAGGGAGAGGAAGCACCTGGTAAACAAGACCTACTGTAACCTCTGACGTGGGAGCGAAGAGCCTTGGCACACCATTGCACCAAGACTGCAGAGAACAACTGAAGAGAAAAATCATTCTGTATTAGAAAAGGGTAATGGACATCAGAAGGTCAGAGAAACAGCAAATGTCCACCTAAAAAAGAAGACATTTCCAACATATAGATGAACTTGCCAAAATTTTACTCAAATGAGTCATCAGTCTTCTGTCAAAGACATTTAGTTCAATTGAACACAGAGTAGGTTGCATGTATATGCTGTGATCACACTTACATGGTATATGTCAAGGCTTCCTGGAGTGAGAGGGGGACTCTATGACTGAATGACCTCTGGAATTAGTACCAAATCAAGCTTTCATGATTAATAGAGGACAGCAATGAAACATCTAACTTGCGTAATAGTTACACTATTTTTTCTGGATAACATATTGGAAAATAATTTCTCCTTTGAGCCTGAGATGATGTTTTCACAATTGTGCTGTATGAGGACTCCAAAGATGTTGCATAATGAAACAGAAAAAAACTGGAATAATCACTTTAGAGTCGACTTAAAAGATTTCTTTGTGCTTGTATCTAAACCTCTGATTTCCAGCACTAGCTATGCAATCACGTTGATATTCCAACTTTTTAAAGGATATTTTTTAAAAAGGAAAAACTTAATTTATAAAAATAAAAACTTGCTTAAATAGCCTGATCAGAATATCTAAGCAAGAGGTGTTCCAACTTTAAGGAAATGACTTAAAATATCCATATGATGTTTCTGTTTCCTAAAATGGGAGAAGTCCACATATCTCATAGAACAGGTTTACAGAACATGTTTACTGCTTTCCATATAATTTCAACTGCATCTGCATGCCATACTTAAGGAAAGCAAGGCTTCATCATTTCTTTCTATTCGCTGGGTGCTTGTGGATTTTGAGATGTGCATTTTGCATAAATAAATCAAGGAGAAAGTGGTATCTAGAGTAGAATACATTATGCATAAATTTTCTATGACCATCACTTGGTCAAAAACAATTATTTCAGCAGAGATACATCACAAGCAAGTGTGTGTGTGTGTGTGTGTGTGTGTTCACTCCAGATAAAAAGTGTCTAAAACATTGTTTATTCTTTGTTTCTGGTTTAATAAGGCCACTGGTTGGATTTTTTGGTGGGGGGGGCTGGTATTAAAGTCAATAATTCCACTTTAGACAGTGCATCATGAAAACTTTGTAATCAATTCTAAACGATCAGCCCGAAGGCACCCATAGTGGATATTCTTTAATACTACAGATGGCAAAACAGCCTGTGGAAACATGTCTGGTGGGCATTCTGTGAAAGCTGTTTCTGTCAAAATGACTCCAACGTGACGTGTAGGACAACTGCAGCATGGAGAGTTTCTGTGAAAACTTCTCACATTTATGTCTCCTTTTTGCCCTCTTAACTGATAATTTTGTAGATTGAGTAGACAATGCATATTTTTCTAGCTCAAGGGGGAATGGTCAAGGATAACTCGCATTAACAATGAAATTTGATTATAATTCAAAGGACTCAAATTGGCAGGAATTTGCTTAACAGAATCTAACAAATTCAGAGAGAAGTTTTTGTTTTGTGTTTCCAAAAAATCAGTTCCAAATATATAAATAATCTCTGTGCATGTCACTCTTGAAGATATTTGGCAGGTGTCACATGGGGTTAATTAAATCAACATACTTAGAAACCATGACAGTAATACTCCTTGTTCTAAAATCTAGATTTCTCTTTAATGGTTATTAACTTTTATGAGCTCAAAACAAATCCACCACCGCAAGATAGGTTAATATAGATAGCTCTGAATTCTTTAAAGTGATCAGTGCTCAAGAATTCTGATTCTCTGTTTTGGACATCATGGACCAATTCAATCTCATCACATATGATAAGAGGAGCTGTGGTTTATGGTGCAAGAATCCAAGCTATAGGCAGGAGCCACCCTGGATCTGCGATAGATTAGCCCTGTTTTCGCACTGTCAGCTCTTTTCAACTTAGTAAAAGACACACAAAAGTTAAGTATTATGTCTTATTAATTTCTGAATCTAGAGTTCCTAGCACAATGTTTGGCACAAAATTCTTGCTTAAAAGTATAATGGATCCTAGAATTAAAATTATTCTCAATTAAAGGCATGCATTTTAAATCCAAATTATTCTCTCCTGAAAGAGCCAATTCCGAGTATCATAGAAAACCTGAGGGTATTTATTTCCTTGTGGCTATTATGTGCTTATAAGTGGAAAATAGTTTAAAAATAGGGAATCCAGCCAGACTTAAAAGTGCTTCTGATTCTGCCCAAATAAACAGCCAGCAAGACCACACACGCTTTTGTCCCTTGTTGTAGAACTTGGCTTTAGTGTCTAAAATCGACTGTTAATAGGGTACAGTAAAATTTTATTAAGCCAATGAATGTTCATCCTAAAATAATAATTATAAAGATTTCTTATCTTTTAATGAAACTGAAGTCTCAATAAAAATATTAGATTGTGTAATATTGGTTAATCTATAGTTTTTTTAATTCTCCTGTTTTTAATTAACATTTTTTTAAAATGATAAATACTTTATAGCACATTTTATAAAGACTGATGTTATGACTATGGTAGGTCTTACTAAGGTAAATTAATAATGTTAGCATTAGAATGTCTGTATTCTATATTTTGCATGAACAAGTCATGGAAGTTCAAGCGGGCACATGGATATGTTTCTTTGCTTCATCATGTGGTTTTCAGAAGTCCCTGAAGAGATAACAACGCAGGCACAACATTTTTGATGTAAGGTATTATTATCATTATCTTTAATTATAGTGATTTACAAGACAAATAAGTATTTTCCCTGAGTTAAAATCCAGAAAATTCACAGAGATTTCTCTGATTTCTGTAACACCTGTCACATATTGCTTCAGGGTACCACCATACTTCCCTAATTTTTCTACCCCATGGGCAATCCAAGAAAAGTAGTCAATACCCACATAATCTCTTTTCCACAATAAAATAATTATTGTACTTTCAGGAGAAGCTTAAGTACAGAAAAGGAGCTTACTTTATGAAAGTAAATAAGGTATTTTAACTTGTAGGGTTTTTTTGACTGACCTGGAGGAAGTGAGAGACTAGTGGATGCTCCCGTTCAGCTGACTAGCAGGAAAGAAGTGGTTTTCAACCCACCTGAATCTTCCAGTCTCTTGAGGAGGTTTAAAGAGCAAGAATGCTGGGCCCCACCCCAGATCTAAGAACACCTGAAGTATAGATTCCAAACATTTATATAATTTAAACTCTATCAGGCTGGGTGTGGTGGCTTGCATCTGTAATCCCAGCACTTTGGGAGGCCAAGGCAGGTGGATCACTTGAGGTCAGGAGTTCGAGACCAGCTTGGCCAATATGGTGAAACCCCATCTCTACTAAAAATACAACAACAACAACAACAAAATTAACCAGGCTTGGTGGTGCGTGACTGTAGTCCCAGCTACTCGGGAGTCTGAGGCAGGAGAATTGCTTGAGCCCGGGAGGTGGAGGTTGCAGCGAGCTGAGATCCTGCTACTGCACTCCATCCTGGGCCACAGAACAAGATTCTGCCTCAAAAAATAAAAAATAAATAAATAAACTCCGTCAGAAGATTCTAATGACCAGACAGGTTAAGATTACCACAGTTTCAACCCTGAGAAAACAACTTGAGCGCTGAATTATGATGGTTATGGCTACCAGAATCTTCATTCTTATTTCAATGTAATTCAAATTCTGAAATGACATTTAATAGTCAATTAATTATTATCTTCTTAGGATAAATGTCCGAAAGGAAAATAACTGGCTTCAAGAAAATGCCAGTTTTTATCTGCCTTCAAATTTTATTAGGTTGGTGCAAAGTAATTGTTGTTTTTGCAATTACTTTTAGTGGCAAAAACAGCAATTATTTTTGCACCAATCCCAGAAGAGGGAGAAAAAGATTAGTCTTATTAAATAATAGCTCAAGAGATTCAAAGTGAGCCAGTATATGAAACCTCAAGAAGAAAGACTCACATCTGACTCCCTGTAAGCAAGAACATTGTAAGAGATCTCAGTTAGAATTGACTATGTTGAGAAATAGCATGTTCTCCATCACTGCAATTTTTTGGATGTATTCATGGGTGGATGTTGTCAAGAAGGTTCAAGTTTAGAACATGGATGTATTTTCTAATCCTCGGAGTCTTTATTAAGCCTTAGATTTCCATAGTGATTCTATTAGTCTGTTCTCACATTGTTATCAAGAAATACCAGAGACTGGATCATTTATAAAGAGAAGAGGATTAACTGGCTCACCCTTCTGCAGGCTGTACAGGACGCATGATGCTGGCATCTGCTCAGCTTCTGGAGAGATCTCCAGAAATTTATAATCATGGCGGAAGACAAAACGGGAGCAGGCACAGTCACATGGCCAGAGCAGCAATAGCAAGGGGGAAGGGGGAAGGTACTACACTTCTTTATTTTTTTTTTGAGATGGAGTCTCGCTCTGTTGCCCAGGTTGGACTGCCATGGAGCGATCTGGGCTTACTGCAAATTCTGCCTCCCGGATTCAAGCAATTCTCTGCCTCAGCCTCCCGAGTAGCTGGGATTACAGGCACCCGCCACCACACTCGGCTAATTTTTTGTATTTTTAGTAGAAAGGGAGTTTCACCATATTGGCCAGGATGGTCTTGAACTCCTGACCTCGTGATCCACACACCTTGGCCTCCCAAAGTGTTGGGATTACAGGTGTGAGCCAATGCACCTGGCCACTACACACTTTTAAACAACCAGATCTCATGAGAACTCACTCACTCTCATGAGAACAGCACCAAGAGAATGGCGCTAAATCATTTATAAGAAAACTTCCCCCATAATCCAATCTACTCCCACTAGGCTCCACCTCCAACATTGGGGATTGTGATTTGACTTGAGATTTGGGTGGGGACACAGATCCAAACTATATCAGTTATATATTTCAAAGCTTGTTCATTTTGCTCATAACATCCATTACCCTTTCAAAATCCTGTAAGGCCATATTTTTGGAGGAGTTGCACAGAAATGGAACATTCCTAATGGTCATTTAGGAACTGAAGTCATAGAATGGAGCCCTTAAAGCCTTGAATCTGTCTTGCATTCCCCTTTGATAGAAGTAGAATCATCCAGGCTGGGCCAACACTATGAGGATGTGGGTGAGAGTAGCGGGACACTCGCCTTTGGAGCAAAATCTGTGGGACAACAAAAACTCAGTAACGAACGCCGGTTATCCCAGCACTTTGGGAGGCCGAGACGGGTGGATCACGAGGCCAGGAGATCGAGACCATCCTGGCTGACACGGTGAAACGCTGTCTCTACTAAAAATACAAAAAATTAGCCGGGCGTGTTGGCGGGTGCCTGTAGTCCCAGCTACTCGGGAGGCTGAGGCAGGAGAATGGCGTGAACCTGGGAGGCAGAGCTTGCAGTGAGCCCAGATCGCACCACTGCACTCCCGCCTGGGTGACAGAGCAAGACTATGTCTCACAAATAAACAAACAAACAAACAAACAAAAACCCTCAGTAACCAATACTTCAATACAATATTTTACAAATCAAAAATCATGCCAAAAATTTCTGACCAAAACATCAGCATTTTTAATAAAAATAGGATCTGTGTTACTGCTTTTCTTTTTATCTTAGACTCCTATGTAGCCCAGTACCACAATATTATTGGTCCTTATCTTGATTGAGGAGTTTTTGGTCTCCCCTTACATATCACACCCAAAGCAAGTGCATCACTCGACTCCTGATAGTGATGAATCCAGGCCAAAAAAAAAAAAAAAAAGAGAGAAAAACAGAGAGTAAGCAGTTGAGCTCTGTGAATACACATTTGTGCATATATTTGTGCACACATTTTTGTGTGTGTTCAAGTAAGAGACTCAAGAAGTTAGTAACATTTTCTTCATGATTCCAGCCATTTTTCTTCTACGAATGAGCTGAGGTTGTACAGCTCATAAAATATGACTTTGACTTTAAAATTTTCATCTTTAAAAAGGACTCTATTATGGTCACTTTTTTGGCAGTAAATCGTTACCTGTCCATGACTGGAAAGAAGGCAGTAGATATTCCTAACCACTCTATTGGGCAGCTGCATTCTGGCAATATACTTAAAGATAGCTGAGCAGCTATGGGGTTAATTAAGTCCCTTTGTATCAAACCTTCAAGTGAACGCTCTTGCATAGTGGACAGGTTGTAAAGATTCACAACCTATGAGTGGCCAAATTTTATTTTGAAAAACAAAAGTTTTAGTAAAAGACGAAATTGCTGTTGTACACTGATGATAGAAAATAAACAGTCTATACATGTTTTGCTACTTCATTAGGGGGCCACATTTATAACACATCCTTTTCCCCTTGAAATCAAAGGTTCAGAGTCTGATAATTAACTTAAGGACTAGGAGTATTATTGAGTAGGTAAAATTTCATAAGAAACAGAATTTCAAAATACGAGACACTGGCCTAAAAAGATATGTTTAGCTTACTTACTATAGAAGAAAGGCACACTGTAGGCAGTGTTAGAAGAAATAGCAACTTATGCTTGATTTTTTACAAGATTTTATTTATTAGTCTCATTAGCACTGACATCACTTTCATCTCCTGCTATGTCTGGATGGGAATTTTCTACACATTCTTTATTTCTTCCTTTACCTGCACCTTGGCCTAGGCTGAGTAGAATGTCTCTCTTTACGTTCTCTTCTGTCTTTAAGAGCCTCCACTGGGATTTTTAAAAATTATTAAATGTACATATGATATTTTTTAAAGTCTCCATGTCTACCCTGGCAAAGACAGACATGGCATCCAGGAGGCACTGTAAGCTCCAGTTTCACTTTAATGCTTGTGATTTACCCTTTGCTGGGTTTCTGGGTTGAATTGACATTAAGGGAGCATAAATCTGCTCATTCATTTAATAAAAATGTATTGAGTGTCTTGATGTAACAGGCACTGTGTGGCACAGGGATGTGGGTGTGAATGAAGCAAACTTGTCTGTATGTGGCTCTGTGAATTTCTCCCTTGCACTGCAAGGATGGTTTGGCTCTGGGTTTCCATTTTCATAGTAGAACAGGGAAATTATATTCTCATATCTGTCCTCACATAACTGTGGAGAGATGCCAATGTCAATTGAAACGTGAAAGACCTGCGTATTCATTGGTTTAGTGTTAAAAAAAAAAAGGTCACTACAAATTAATTTTTGAAAATGACTGTGGCTCTATTAGAATGAGATAAAGACATAGTGAAAGAGTTCTCTGCTTTTCAATCCCAACATTAAAGCTAACAAGCCATGTGACTTTAAGCAAATTGCTTCACTACCATGCGCCTCCATTTATTTCTAGCTATCAAATAGGTGATGGGTCAAGAAGGATGGATTAAATTATCTCCATCATTCTTTCCAGGTCTAGAATACTAAATTTTATAATGTTATCCCATTTGAGACTTATTGATTTCGTATGTTGAAAAAGTGCTGAAAATGTTTCTGGAATAGTTGATTAGCATTTGTAGGTACTCAAATGTTTGTAGAATGAACGATCATTTTGGAAGAATCTAATTTCCTCCATTAGTAGGGTAGTTTGTTTTGAACATACTGGGGATGGCAGAGTATTGCACTGAATTTCTCATTACCCTGATATTGTATGCTGTTGACATACATTCGATTGGCTCTCATGTTTGTGTTCAAGAGAAAAAATATTGATATCCATTTTAATTTTGGCTTGACATTTGAATATGTGTCTATGAATAGCTAGTTTACTTTATTTAACAAATCTTTTATTTGCTCTGGTTTGTGTGCGTGTGCCTTTTTGTTTGACTGCCAGGAGAATTTGCCAAGCTTTCCTTTGATCATCAGTCAGTCACAATATTTTTAAAGCACACTCTTCTAAAACTTCCTAGTATCCTTTCTTTTAAAAAAATCTATATTTTTGAACTGCTTTCCAATAACTCAGATGGTCATCAAAATCTCTTTTGTTTTAAATCGGCTTCTTTTGGTAGGTAGCAGGGCTTGTGTACTTGGCAAAACTATCAAACAGCAGCCTAAGATGAACATTGGTTCTGCTGTCAGGATGCCATCATTCTACTCCATCATAGCTGTTTCCTTTAATCACCTATGCCTTCAACGTCACTATCATGATTTCTAACCCATTTACCATTCGTCCTAAGAAATGAGCACTGGCAGAAAGCTGCATTTTCTTTTTCTAAATGGGAAATGGGTTTTTCTAAACAAGTTAACTATGAATAAATGGATGCTCCACTCTTTCCACCATTTCTCACCATTCCACTGCTGCCATCCTGGACCAGGCACAACCACATCTTACCTGGACTGCTACAATAGCCTGCAACTAGGCATCCCACATCTGCCTTCTATTCTTTCAAGCTGTTCTCAGCCCCACCCCAGCAAGTGATTACTATAACCCCCAGGGCTTTGCATGGTCTGTGCTTACTCCTCCATGTGTTACCTCTATAAGCCCATTTCCTAGTTCTCTCTCCTTACTTACTCTGCTCTAATCCTACTGCCCTTTTGGTTGTTTCTCAAAACTGCTATACAAATGCCTACCTTTGGACTTTGCAGATCCCTGTGCCTGGAATGTAAAATGCAGACAGAAATAGTACCTACCTCAAAGGATTGTGGGTATAGCCTGGTTGGAGGCTTTTGCAGCAAACCAGGTAAATTGTGATTATGCTTGCTCCAGGATGGTAGCAGGGAGCCGTGAGAAGTGGTAGGAGAGAGCTAACTTTATAAAAGTCAGGTTGTAAGGATTAAATGATTAATATATAAAAGGACATTAGAACAGTCCATGACATTTTATTAAGGGTTACATAAATGTTAGATATTATATTTTTAGCATTATTGTTATTATACACGTGAAAATATCCATCATACAGTTAAGTCACCATCTTTGTCTACCTAGAAAATGCTTGATACATTATTACCTTTGGTCCTATTTTTCTTTTTTTTTTATTTTTTAATTTTTTTATTTTTTTATTTTTTATTGATCATTCTTGGGTGTTTCTCGCAGAGGGGGATTTGGCAGGGTCATAGGACAATAGTGGAGGGAAGGTCAGCAGATAAACAAGTGGACAAAGGTCTCTGGTTTTCCTAGGCAGAGGACCCTGCGGCCTTCTGCAGTGTTTGTGTCCCTGGGTACTTGAGATTAGGGAGTGGTGATGACTCTTAAAGAGCATGCTGCCTTCAAGCATCTGTTTAACAAAGCACATCTTGCACCGCCCTTAATCCATTTAACCCTGAGTGGACACAGCACATGTTTCAGAGCACAGGGTTGGGGGTAAGGTCATAGATCAACAGGATCCCAAGGCAGAAGAATTTTTCTTAGTACAGAACAAAATGAAAAGTCTCCCATGTCTACTTCTTTCTACACAGACACAGCAACCATCCGATTTCTCAATCTTTTCCCCACCTTTCCCCCTTTTCTATTCCACAAAACCGCCTTTGTCATCATGGCCCGTTCTCAATGAGCTGTTGGGTACACCTCCCAGACGGGTTGGTGGCCGGGCAGAGGGGCTCCTCACTTCCCAGAAGGGGCGGCCGGGCAGAGGCGCCCCCCACCTCCCAGATGGGGCAGCTGGCCGGGCGGAGGCGCCCCCCACCTCCCTCCCTGACGGGGCAGCTGGCCGGGTGGGGGCTGACCCCCACCTCCCTCCCGACGGGGTGGCTGCCGGGGGTGGAGATGCTCCTCACTTCCCAGACAGGGTGGCTGCCGGGCAGAGGTGCTCCTCACTTCTCAGACGGGGCGGCTGCCTGGCGGAGGGGCTCCTCACTTCTCAGACGGGGCGGATCCCAGACGGGGCGGCGGGGCAGAGGCGCTCCCCACATCTCAGACGATGGGCGGCTGGGCAGAGACCCTCCTCACTTCCTAGATGGGATGGCGGCCGGGAAGAGGCGCTCCTCACTTCCCAGACTGGACAGCCAGGCAGAGGGGCTCCTCACATCCCAGACGATGGGTGGCCAGGCAGAGACGCTCCTCACTTCCCAGAGGGGGTGGCAGCCGGGCAGAGGCTGCAATCTCGGCACTTTGGGAGGCCAAGGCAGGCTGCTGGGAGGTGGAGGTTGTAGCGAGCCGAGATCACGCCACTGCACTCCAGCCTGGGCACCATTGAGCACTGAGTGAACGCGACTCCGTCTGCAATCCCGGCTCCTCGGGAGGCCGAGGCTGGCGGATCACTCGCGGTTAGGAGCTGGAGACCAGCCCGGCCAACACAGCGAAACCCCGTCTCCACCAAAAAAGTACGAAAACCAGTCAGGCGTGGCAGCGCGCACCTGCAATCACAGGCACTCGGCAGGCTGAAGCAGGAGAATCAGGCAGGGAGGTTGCAGTGAGCCAAGATGGCGGCAGCACAGTCCAGCTTCTGCTCGGCATCAGAGGGAGACCGTGGAAAGAGAGGGAGAGGGAGACCGTGGGGAGAGGGAGACCATGGGGAGAGGGAGAGGGAGAGGGAGAGGGGTCCTATTTTTCTTTAAATACTTGGAAGCAGAAAAGTGAAATGATATGAAATATGGACCTTGTGTTAGCCAGTCTCCCAGGTTATCTCCAATGATTCTTCCCTCATTCACACTGCTATGACTCTCCTCCCCTCTCATTGAATAGGATTGACCTGTAACCAATAGGATATTGCAGAAATGGTGAAATATGGCTTCTGAGGCTAGCTCATGATAGATATCGTGGTTTCTGCCTTGTTCTCAATGTTGTATGTTTTGGATGCTTCATGCCCTTCAAATCTCATGTTGAAATGTAACCTCCAATGGTGGAGGTGGCCCTAGTTGGGAGGTGTTTGGGTCACAGGGCTGGATCCTTCATGAATGGCTTGGTGCTGTCCTTGCAGTAATGAATGATTTCTCACTCTGAGTGAATGTGAGATCTAGTTGTTGAAAAGAGCCCAGCACCTTCTCCCTGTCTCTCCCACTCTTGCCATGTGACATACTGGTTCCCCTTCATCTTCTACCATGACTGTAAGCTTCCTAAGGCCTCACCAGAAGCAGATGCTGACACTATGCTTTGTATAAAGCCTGCAGAACTGTAAGCCAAATAAACCTCTTTTTAAAAATAGATTACCAGCCTTTGGTATTCCTTTATAGCAATGCAAATGGACTCACACAGAAAGCAGTTTCTCTAAGGGAAGTCAGTTCTCATGGCATGGGGAAATTCAAGTATACCTATGAAGAAGTCCATGTGGTGAGTAATTAAGAATTTCTGCCAACAGCCAGCATCAACATGTCAGTCACTGGTGTGAGCCTTATTGGAATTAGACCCTCCATCCCCAGGCAAGCCTTCAAATGACAGCAGCTTCCCAGCCACCATCTTGATCATGGCGTCATAAAATACACTGAGTAAAAATAACCCAGCTAAGCCACTCCTAATTCTTAGCCCACAAAAACTGTGAGATGGTAAGTGCTTATTGTTGTCTTAAACTGTTACATTTACGGCATTTTATTATGCAATAATAGATAATGAACACAGTTCTCACAAACTAAATATATACAATTGAGAAAAGGACGGAAATCATTAAGCCAACCAAAAGCACCAAATTCTTGACATCATTCAAAACTAATTGGCTTGAAACTACATATGTGTTAAATTATGAAGAGAAGGAACAATATGTCAGATTATGTATAAAATGCTGGAAATATCAAATGCTGAATTGAAAACATGAGATATAATTTGGGTTTTATCTTTTTTTCTAGCATTTTGGAAATAGAAACTTTATTAGATATGGTAACTTTCTTGGAGGCAATAGAATGTGAATCTTACTAGTTTAAGCAAAAAATCATTTTACTGAGAAGTTCTTGGGGTACTTTATGGGATATAGGAATATTTGTACAATTATTTCCCTGAAGGACAAGAAGAAGAGCTGCCTCTGGGATATCATTGAGGAGTTCATAAGCGGTTCTTTCTGGGGAGTTGCCAAGAGCTGCACTTCTCAAACTTGATTATGCGCAGGATTCTCCTGAGGATGTTGGTAAAATGCTATTCAATTTAGTGGGTCTGGGGTGGGGCCTCTTATTCTGTAACTTTAGCAACTCCTAGGTAATACTGATGCCACTGTGTCATGGTCCTCTTACTGAAGAGCAATTTCCAACAAAGGGTTCATTGCTATATGCTATCATAGTAATCTCTACCTGACCTTCTCAGCTTCATTATGCCTGACATATGTATGTAATTTCCATCTTTCCTACTGGACTATAAGCTGCATAAGGAAAGGAACATGCCTGGCTTGCTCACTGTTGGCTCCTCAGCAGCTAGCATAGTGCAAGAACTATAGTTCAAAGAAATTGTAAATTTGCTTTCAAATATTGAACACGCCTCACCTGACTCACACCATTCTCTTATTTAAAGAATTGCTGTCAACCCTGGCTGTACGTTAGAATCAACTGAAGATCCTTTATAAAGTGCCCATGATGGGGCTCTACTTCAGACCACTGAAATTAGAACCTTAGGCAGAGGGGCCTAGGCATTGGTTTATAAGCTCCTTGGGCATTTCCAATTGTAGCGTAATAAAAATATGTATATTTGGTCTTTGTCCTTGGCTTCTGGCAAAGAGCTCCTAAAACCTTGGGATATTCTGATTGACAGGAGTGTTTATTTTTATTCATAACGAACACCTTTGACCATACCTGGGTTTATACTATTGAGATGACTCCTGGCAACCCCCTAGGCAGCTTTGGGATGGGGTCTGGTTGCCAGAGAAAGCAACAACCTGGTTAAAGGATTGGAACTTTCAGATCCACCCCTGAACTTGAGAGGATTCAATAGTTTGGATATTTGACCTACCGAACATCATGTTGAAATTTGATCTCCAGTGTTAGAGGTGGGACCTAATGGGAAGTACTGCGTCATGGAGGTGGGATCCCTCATGAAAGGCTTGGTGCCATTCTCACTGGAATGAATGAGTCTCACTCTATTCATTCCCATGAGAGCTAGTTGTTGAAAAGAGCCTGGCACCTCCCCCATCTCTCTCTTTCTTCCTCTCTCACCATGTGATCTCTGCACACACAGGCTCTCAATTGCTTTTTGCCACGAGTAGAAGAAGCCTGAGGTCCTCACAAGAAACAGATGCTGGTATCATGCTTCTTGTACAGCCTAAACACCCATGAGAAAAATAAACCTCTTTCCTTTATAAATTACCCAGCTCCAGGTATTCCTTTATAACAACATAAATGGACTGAGACAGAGGAGGAAAGAGGTTAGAGATTGAATTCAATCACCAATGGCCAATGATTTAATCAATCATGCCTACAAAATAAAATTTCGACAAGCACATTTAAACAAAGCGATATGGGAAGCTTCAAGGTTGGTGAACACATCAATGTGCTGAGAAGGTGATCTGCCAAGAGACGGGTATGGAGGCTCCTCACCTCTCCATCTCATACCTTGTTCTGTGTATTTCTTCCATTTGGCAGTTCCTGAGTTGTTTTCTTTATAATAAAAACGTACTTGTAAGCATCATGCTTTTCTACTTTCCTGAATTCTGTGAGTCATTCTAGTAAATTATCAAACCTAAGGAAGAGTTATGGGAACCCATCAATTTATAGTCAAGCAGACAGAAGTATGCATAGCTTGAGGACACTATTTGTGGCTGGCATCTGAAGTGAGGGCAATGTTGTGGGACTGAGCCCTTAACCTGTGGGATGCATTCTAATTCTGGGTAGTTAGTGTTAGAATTGAATTGTAAGACTTCCAGTTGGTATTGGAGAACTGTTGTTGGAAAACAGGATATAAATGTTCGACTGATAAAAGGGATGATTTTAGAGTATCATTTGGATTAAAACCCATTCCTCTTACCAGGTATTCCAGATGGCTAGAGCTGGCTTCAGAAGACATGGATATTATTTATTTATTTATGAGAAAGTACTCTAATAGAGACAAAGACTCCTTTTAGGCCAACTATCCTCTGATACATTTATCTTTTTCACTTTACTGAAACATCCCCTGTAAGGGACTACATATCTTTCAAGATTTCTTGTGAATAGCAAATGAAAATAGCAATGTAAATGTTGTTCTATTGCTCAATAACTGTTAAGTTTTATTTTCCCTTTCCTTCCAGAACTTTCTGATAATAAGCCAAATCAGCAAGGCTCATCAATAATGAATTGAGTTCATTGGGTTCCATCGTAATTACTTGCCTATTAGATCTTAGCTAAACCTATCATGCTTCTAAGATTCAGAAAACTATTTAAAAAGTTTGTCTTTGTAAACAGGCACACTTTGTTCTATGATATGTTCCAAATGTCTACAGGAGTACTTTGTACTTCATAAGTGCTCATTAAATATTTGTTTAAAAAACGAAGTGTTTGTGTTTTAGTGAGAAGAAAAAGTATTACTAGATCTGCTCTCACGTACTTTTTGATGTAACTGATGGGAACCAAAATAGTAAAGACTAATTAAAAAGGACAAGTAAAGTTACAGTAGTTCGTGGTCAGAAAAGTCTGCGTGGAAGATCTAATGTTCACATGAGACTTCTTAGGAAGAGAAAAGAAGGAAGGTCTTTCCAAACTGAGAGGAGAGCATATGTTGAGATAGGAAAAGGAAAGGTCATTTTGCTTTCACACTCAACACAATACTGAATACTTCACCTCAGGTCACCAAAATGTGTGAGGTTTCTCCCAATGATGCAGATTCTCCAGTAACACCAACTGGTAGTCCTCTAACAAAATTCAGTTCTGACACTATCTACCTAGAGATAGAATCAGATACCACAGGTTGAGGGCTCAGTCCCATAAGACTGCCCCCATTCAGATGCCAGTTGTAAGCACAGGTTGTGGCCTATGCTTCTGACTGACTGGCAATAAATAGGGGTTCCCATGACCCCCTTCTTGG
The DNA here is from genome assembly GCF_000001405.40 of Homo sapiens. Taxonomy (NCBI): domain Eukaryota; kingdom Metazoa; phylum Chordata; class Mammalia; order Primates; family Hominidae; genus Homo; species Homo sapiens. The sequence continues at coordinate 85,357,900 of NC_000014.9, forward strand.
GTTCAATTAATTGGCTAGAGTGGCTCACAGAACTCAGGGCAACATTTTACTTACATTTACTGGCTTACTAAAAGAATATTTCAAGGATACAGATGAGCAGCAATATGGAAGAGATGTATAGGGTGAGGTATGGGAGAATGAGGGCAAAGCTTCCATGCCTTCTCCAGGCAGATCACTCTCCAGAAACCTCCACATGGTCAGTAATCTAGTGGTTCTCTGAACCCAGACTTTTTGGAGTTTTATGAAAGCTTTATTACATAAATGATTTATTACACCATTGGCCATTGGTTGAACAAGTGAACCTTCAGCTCTACCCTACCAGGAGGTCAGGAGTGGAACTAAAATTTTAAACCCTCTAATCATATGGTTGATTCTCCTGACCCAGCCCCCATCCTGAGGCAATCCAGGAGCCCATCAAGAGTTGCTTCACTGGGACAAAAGATGCTCCTATCACTCTGGAAATTCCAAGGGATTTACGGGCTTTGTGTCAGGAACAGGGTCAAAGACCAAATGCACCTTTATGTACAATGGTATTAGGAGCTCTATCTCAGAAACTAAAACAGAGACCAAAACAGAGACCAAGACAAAAGGTTCTCTAGTACCCTATTGCTCAGGAAATTACCAGAGTTTTAGGAACTCTGTGCCAGGAAATTGGGACAAAGACTAATGTGTATATTTCTTGTTATTTCATAGTGTACCTGAAGGCACAGGATATGAATGCATGAACTACATTTAGGACATTATGAATAGCTCAGCCTGTCTCAAGTGGAAAAATTGCATGGGTGAAAAGCTTAGACTGAATTAATGAGTTAGGACCAGATGGTAGAGAGTGCTGAGTTCATTCTATATTTGATGGGATTGGGCAGGATAGTGGAATTGCAAGATGCACCCAGTATTCAAGGAAGCATCCATGAGGAATCCAGACTATTTAGGAGAAATTTTCATCTAGGAAGAAAATGAAAAGTAGGACTCTGGGATGATAGAAAGAGTTTCAGAGACTTTTTGTTAAAATGATAGAGCAACTGTTACCTGGTGAATCTCAGCTTTTACTGTCATGAAATTAAGGTCAGCTGAATCTGACTTCTTTTGTAAAAGGGATAGGGATCTGTTTTGTAGCTCCCTTGACTGTGAATCACAATTCTGAGTTTTGTGTATAACTTTGGGAACAGGTTTCATATTTTATAATGATATCCTGTATTTTCATGGTGAAAGAACTTCTTTTAGCATTTGTACTTGTGTTCCAATTTGGGCCAAAATCAAAGAAGCCAAAATGAAGAAAAGAACTCAGGAATTATACCCTTAATTATGCCTTCATACAGAATGGACAGGTCCCTAATTTATAATTAATTGCTCAAATTAAAGTGTTTATTTTAGCTACATTAAGTCCTGAAATCAAGAGAAAAAAATAAGGATTATGCCAAATTGTCTCACAAGATTATTTTAAAACCAAGGTCTTGTACTATAAATCAGGAGTGTTCTACAGGCCAACGTCTTTCTTTCATAATATTCTGGGAAACTTCATTTGCAATTGAAGACTGCCAAAATGATAGGTACCAGATTTGATATTGTGAAAATCACCCTCTGCTTATATAAGGTTAAATTATTAGGTCAAAAACTGTAATCTAAATGTTCTGAAACTCTATGTAAAAGGAGAAAAACATAGAAAAGCAGACTTTTCCTCTAGGCAATGTGATAGTGATTTTAATTAAGAGCTAGGAGTCTATAAGGGAAATCTAGGTTTATATGTATTAGGTTGAAATGAAATAGAACCTGAATTGAAATTGAACTGGATGCAAGAATTTGTTGAGTCATCCTTCCTTTATGCTCACTGATGTTTATTGACACATTGTTCCATATACCAAGATAGAAGATGAAATTCTAAAACATGCAAGATGGAAATTGAAAACAAAATCACAAAATTATGTTGTTTAAATCAATATGTATATGAAAGTACAGATCAACTCTGAATACCTAATATTCCATGTCTGATGGATATATTTTATGAAGAAATGTATTGACAGTACTAGTACTAGTGAAGTGGCATGGAAAAGAGGCTGTAACTGCCCCCATTTCAACACTAATAAGATAGAACTGTGATTTTTTTTTTAACCTTTTGGAGACCTTATTCACTTTAAAGTGAAATATTACAACTGAGCAATTAGATACTTGTAGACCTAAACGATCAGTCATAGTATCTTTTTGAGGTAAAATATTACCAATAATACTTGTGAAATTATAATGAATAATGATATTTAGGACGCACCTACTATGTGGCAGTCCTAAATCACTATACTAAGAGATACAAATGCATTAACGTTAGTGTTTATACATGGGGAAACTGAGACTCAGGAAAATTAAGTTATTGCCCAAGGCCACACAGCTAGCAAAATATCACAGATCTTCCTGGCTCTAAAACTCATATTCAATTTAGTTCTTCACCTATAACGTCAGTAACTTCTACTGTATTGTGCAATTCATGAGAGATAGGGACCATGTCTGTCTGGATTTTGACAAAAATACTGTGCCTCAACCTCATTCAAGTCTAATTATATCAGAATTCTGGGGTTGAGAACCCAGGTATTTTATTATTTTGTTAAAGCTCCTAAGATAGTAGTTACATGCAACCTAATTTCCCTGTTTTCCACTATCTTTGTGGAATACCTCATTGTACTACTAAAGCATCAGGTATCATTAACCCTATTTTTCAGATTTAAAAAATCAAGATTAAATCATTTATCTAAAGTCACATAGCAAATAAGTGAAGGAGCCAGGATTTAAGCTCAGTTTGTCCAGTTCCAAGGCCAATATTTATTTTACAGCCAGTAAGTTATCTCCCTTCAAAGGAAATTAGTACATGTTTCTGAATATTAATAACCCCTTAAATTCTTCAAATGACAAACATAAATATTATGAGTTTTTCTAACTTTCAAAGTCTTAGCAGAAAAAGATCTACGTGCCAAGCATCATTGCAATTAACCTGTTTATCAACTTGAGTTATTGCATATTGCATTATTTTATGCCTGAACATACTACTTCCAAAATCTATTCTACAATTATTCCAGCTCTACTAGGGAAACTTACAGGACCAAAATAAAATGTCCCTCTACAAAAATCAGAGAATTGTATGCTAGTTTTATTTTAATAGGCTATTGATTGTTTACCAGTAAAAAGTTATCTCATTTATTTTATCTTGTAAGGTACACATTCCAGGCATTTAATTTTTTATGGCTTGGAAGCTAGGGAAGTATTGGAAAGCTAACTTTGTGTCTGGGTCAAATAAAGCCTCTTTTCAATCAGGCAATATAAATTTCAGTTGTCCTGTTAGGAGCATTAGGGGGAAGGATATGAATCAAGGTTATGAAGTTAAGTATTGCTTGCCATCATGTATTGCTTGCCATCATACTAAAAAATGCAAGATGAATCTCTTTGCCAAATGACGAAAGTCTGTGTTCCAAGAGAATGCAATGCTACACCTTTTCCCACATGGTTCCTCCAATCTGTGGTCAGGAACAACTCAGATCCTTACCAGAAACTCACTGGTGCCTTCACCAATGGTAGTTGGTGAGCACCTGCTGGTAGGGAAATGTAGATTAAATGAAGACAGTGTAGCCAGGAAAAAATCGCCAGTGAGTTGAAAGAATGGGGTTTGATTTTTCCCATATTTCCTGGCATTTCCAAGCTCCCTAGCCTTGCAAATCAGGATGTTTGCAGTCTCTTGCCATATCATCATTAAGAATAACAACACAAAACTCTAGGAGTGCAGATTTCCATTTACTGTCTGGAGGAAGGTATAATATAAGAGTGATATGTAATATTAGAGCAATCCATGATTGGGAGGGGGTGCACTGATTTAATCATTTGCATGAATAACAGCATAGATAGCAATTACTTTGTGTTTGGTACTGTCCTTAGTCTTTAGATATATTAATTCTGGAGGGTCACTAAGATGTGAGCTTCCCAATGAGAAAGACTTCATCTTCTTGTTCTCCTTGTATCCACATGGTACACATTCAATGGATATTGGAAAATTACATCATATTGAATATATACAACACCATATCATCTAGGCACTGTCATGCTAATCATTTCATCCAATTGTTATGATTCTGTACTCAATGGGCACTTGGTTGGTAAAAGCAAGGTTAGGATTTTGAACTCAGAACTCAGACTTCCTGATCCTGTACTCTTAACAATTAAAACAGTCTAATTCCTAACTGACCAGTCTAATTCTGTTGGAAAAATATATGGTGCTCATGAGAGTACCGTATATTTTGTGTTCACGGGAATCATTTTACCGAAGTGTTATGATTCTGTACCCAATAGGCACTTGGTTGGTAAGGGTAAGGTTAGGATTTTGAACTCAGAGCTCAGACTGCCTGATCCTATGCTCTTAATAATTAAGGCATACTTCTTAACTGACCAGTCTAATTCTGTTGGCAAAATATACAGTGCTCACAGGAATGACCTTCTTTCTATTCAGAAAGATCAATTCTTTGTAGAAGTAGCCGTTTTCCCATCATGAAACATCAACATCCTTTGAAATGTCTCCGGATAATTAAACTCATGTTGTCTGTGTCTGGGAATCAAGTGAACAGTGGACTGATTAAGAAACTCTTCAATTTGTAGTTCTCCATAGGCAACCTGCAGTGGAGAGAATCAAGATTTGAAGGACTTCCCATCTGCACAGACAGTTAATAAAGCTAGGGTGATCCCAGCCTCTTCAATGGCAACATGGCAACTGCTGAGCCCCTTTTCTATTACAGAAATACACTCTCTTCTCCTATTTACCTCTCTGATCCCAAAGGCAAAGATATGAAGTAACCAAATAAAAGACCAAATTCTAACACCTGGCTCCAAGGATTGGAAAATGTCATACAATACTTTGACCAACGCATTTTGCCAGACATGCGTACATTTGGGAATTAATTACCTGCTGGTTGCCAGGTATAGCCCTAGGCATTGAAAGTCGAAAGATTAATAAACATGACCCAAGCTTTAGAAAAGTTCACCATTTAAGGAGTATAGAGACCCATAAACATATCATTAAAGTAGAAATGCCAGGATGGATTATGTCCAAAGCACAAAGGGAGCACAAAGGAAAGAGGGATAAATAGAGAAATCTAGAAGGCACACTAAAATAAAAACCTTGAATGAGGCTACCAGTTCTTTTATTAACTGTCAAAATAGTATTACAATGACAGACATTGATTATTTGCCTGCTAATAAGGGGACTAGTGGGAAAGGCAAATGTGTGTTTTAGGAAAACTCCTTTTCCAGGTTCAGTAGCTAGGAAAAATGCTACTCTGCTTGACAACACATACATATGTGCAGCATATTAATTTCTGATAACTTAACATTTGAAAAAAGTAATGCTGGGCATGGATAAGATTTAATCCCTTTATGGCAAATTTAAATAATATGTCAAGCATGATTTAGAAAGTTAAAATTATGGTCTTTCCTATGTAGCTAAAATATACTGGCAGACTCCTTAAAACTATAAAGTTTAGCATGACCATAATTGTCTCAAATTTGCTTACACATACTAATCTGACAATACTTTCCAAACTATTAAGACAGTTGGTTTGGATATAGCAGTCATGGAAGTTAGATTTCACCACTCAGATCTTTTGCACTTGGAAAACTGAGGAAATCAACAACAATATGAAGTGGGATATAAAAGAATTCATGTGGCTGACACAGAGCCGTGTCTGAATCTCAAGAGAGGCTTTTTTTGTGGGGGAAGGTGGCAGTTGGAAGGGGAAGAAAGAAGCCTGTAGAAGACTGTGGCATCGAAATGGAAACTGGAAAGTCTCAAGGGACAAAAGGAATACATTAGGCCTTTAGTTAAATTGTTTGCAATTGTTTGGACAAAAGCAATAGATCAAAAACTAATGGTCTCAAAGGTGCTTCAAGTTGTATCTTTACAATGCTTTAACAAAAGACAATTGGGTGGGAAATTTTGTCAAACTAGTTATTTGAGTATGTGGAAAAGAAATCTCCAGAGTTCGCAGTTGTGATAGCATTGTGAAGACACAACAGAATCTCTCCCTGGCAAACAAAGCCACTTACCAGCCTTTTCTGTGCTCTGCCCAGGAAGCTCTAGGGAAAACCACATTGATCTTTCTGCCAATCCAGCTTCTTATTCCTTCTTTCCCAGAAAGTTTTATTTTTTCTCTCTTTGTCATTCTGAATAAATTTTTTTTAAAAAAGAAAATTTGTGAAATTAGTAGCCAAATCAAATGAATTCAGAGCATGTTTAACACAGGCAAAATGAGTTTTTATTAGAAAGCATTTTCTTGATTTGTTGCAGGGGATGATGAGACAGAAAAGAAAAACATTTATAGAGGGGCTTGAAATTTCTTATTTCTGTCCAAGCCTAGCTATTTCCTTCTAACTAAAAATGTATGGAAAGTTGTGTTTTAAAAATTAGTAAGTTGAGCCATCAATCTCCCTTTAAATATTAATTCTAAAATTACCTTAAAAGACATTTAAAGACTTGAACACAGGGGCAGACAAAACAGTCGGGTACAATTGGGTCTTTTTGGCCTGAATTCTGGCCCTGCAATGTTAGATCATTTCTTTGCTTCCCTGTGCAGAAGGTTCTAATCTATAATTGACTCTTGAACAACTTGGGGGTTAGGGGCGCCAACCCTCCTCCACATAGTTGAAAATCTACCTGTATCTTTTGACTCCCTCAAAACTTTATTAATAGCTTACTGTTGACCAGAAGCCTCACTGGTAACATAAACAGTCAATTAACACATATTTTGTATGTTATATGTATCAAATACTGTATTCTTACAATAAAGTAAGCTAGAGAAAAGAAAATGTTATTAAGAAAGAGAGAATATATTTACTACTCATTAAGTGCAAGGGGATCATCAAAACGTTTTTCATCTTTGTCATCTTCATGATGACTAGACTACGGAGGGATGGAAGAAGAGGGATTGGCCTTGCTGTCTCAAGGGTGACAGAGGTGGACCCGTGCAGTCCAAACCCATGTAACTTAAGTGTCAACTGTACCACTTGAACATCGCTCAGAGGGAGCAAACTAATGTCCTGTGAGATGACTGCTTGTTTTCATAAATAAAGTTTAATTGGAACACAGTCATACCAATTCATTTAAATTTTGTCTATGACTGTCCTCACATTCTAATAGCAGAGTCATGACAGGGACTCACGGGCATGCAAGAATGGAAACTGCAGAAAGTGTGCTGACTCCATTTATAAGGATAGTCTTTGCAGGAAGAAACTAACCAAAGTACTTTAAAGAGTCAGCACTTTAGATTCTGAGATGGATGGGGTCATTGACAGACCGCCCCAATTGCTCCTCTCCCAGCTCCCCTGACCTGTCCTACCTGCAGGTAATATCTCTCTTGAACACCAAGCATTTTTGACTCTGTCTGCCTTTGCTTATGTTTTCCATTCCAGTTAATGCAACCTTTCTCCTTTTCCCATTTAACAAAGGTCTTCTCTGATTCTCCCAGGAAGGATTAATCTCTGCCTTATGATCACTACTGAACCACTGTTGCAACGCTACATTAGCCCTTATCACATTGTATTGTGACTCTGCCTTGATTGCTATGCATGAACTCCTGGGAGACAGAAAATCTGTCTTATCTCTCCTGGTGCTGAGTAAGGTGTCTAGCATTTAGTAGATACTCGATAAATGTTGAAGCCAACTGAAAAATTATCTCAAGCAATTCATACAGGTCCCAAAAGAAAGGCATGGATGGTTTCTTAGAACCTATTTGCAATTTTATTATTTTAGTAGGAAGTAAGTCCCTGAATGAACGGGACAAAAAGCAAATAAATTATGAGAGGGAAGGAGAAGTCAAAAAACATCTGGAGCATGGAATGCCTCCAAAAGGTCAAGGCCTTTGAAAACAAGAGAAAAGCATTCTGGATCAGATTCCGAAGACCAGCTTTCTAACTTTGATGTCCTACCTTGCTCCAGTCCTCTCATCCACAGCTCCCTTTCACATCCATTCTCTCCCCATCTCAATGCTCCTTTTGGGATTATTGTCTTTCTTTTCTACCTGCCCAAGTCCCAAAGGCCTCTCTTACCCTCACTACTATTCCTTCTTTCTCTTCCATCCTCCCTTTCTTATATTGCCTATCTCTAAATATTAGCCTAACGAGATATTCTTCAAACAGGCTGTTTCTGTATTTATTTATTTTTGTATTATCAATTTTACATGTTCTTAAATTTCTGCTATATTCTCTTTCATTGTTTAGGTAATTTTCCATGAATTACTGAGTGATTAGCATTAGCTGAATTTGGGTTTTCACTCCCAGGAAGGTAGTAAAATGAGTTCCTTTTCTTTCTTTTGTGTTTGTTTTTTTACATGGCATGCAGTTCATTCCTTCGAACACCCCTTACCACTAGTTAAATGTGTTAGCCAGGGTTCTCTGGAGAAACAGAACCAATAAGACACATTGAGCTATTCTCACTTTTATTTTTTGAAGCCTTTTGTTTCCCCAAAAGTGACTGTCAACTAACATCAGCAGTCAGGCAGTGATGATCTACTTAATGTTTATCTCTTGAGCCTCTTGAGCCTGACTGCTTTGGACTCCTTTATACCTCTTTAGGGGCCACTGCGCCTGCAGTTCACTCCCAGAAGAGTCTGCCAATTACGTGGTGTTCTGCTAACTAGGACTTGGGGCCTGAAACATTCGTCAGTCTCTTAAGTGTTTCTTAAACAGGTGCATACCCTCCAGTCTCTGACTACAATTTCATCTTCATGGATGGCTAATTATATAATGTAGGAGTAAAAGCACATACTTTGAAAAACATACATTAAAAAAATACAGATACTGACTCACACTTTAGCGGGAGGATCCTGCCAAAACGTACTAGAAAAACACCCTTTCTGCTCTTATACAATCACCTTTGTAGGGATGTGTGCTTTTTGCCCTTCATGCATATTTTCCCATTTCTTCTGGAAAAATAAACATTTATTTGCTTTTAGAAACTACCATCTTCATCTATGTGCTAAAGGAGAGGCTTGTGACTTTTATCCCCCTCCTTACCCCATTTTTTTTTTGAAATGTTTTTCTTTTTTTAAATGATACTTTAAGTTCTGGGATACACGTGCAGAACGTGCAGGTTTGTTACATAGGTATACACATGCCATGGTGGTTTGCTGCACCTATCAACCCATTATCTACATTAGGTATTTCTCCTAATGCTTTCCTTCTGCTAGCCCCCACACCCCCTGACAAGCCCCAAGGTGTGATGTTCCCCTTCCTGTGTCCATGTGTTCTCATTGTTCAACTCACACTTATGAGTGAGAACATGCAGTGTTTTGTTCTCTGTTCCTGTGTTAGTTTGCTGAGAATGATGGTTTCCCGCTTCATCCATGTCCCTGCAAAGGACATGAACTCATCCTTTTTTATGGCTGCATGGTATTCCATGCTGTATATGTGCCACATTTTCTTTATCCAGTTTACCATTGATGGATATTTGGGTTGGTTCCAAGTCTTTGATATTGCGAATAGTGCTGCAGTAAACATACATGTGCATGTGTCTTTATAGTGGAATGATTTATAATCCTTTGGGTATATACCTAGTAATGGGATGGTATTTCTGGTTCTAGATCCTTGAGGAATTGCCACACTGTCTTCCACAATGGTTGAACTAATTTACACTCCCACCAACAGTGTAAAAGCATTCCCGTTTTTCCACATCCTCTCCAGCATATGTTGTTTCCTGACTTTTTAATGATCACCATTCTAACTGACATGAGATGGTATGTCACTGTGGTTTTGATTTGCATTTCTCTAATAACCAGTGATGATGAGCTTTTTTTCATGTTTGTTGGCTGCATAAATGTCTTCTTTTGAGAAGTGTCTATTCATATCCTTTGCCCAGTTTTTGATGGGGTTGTTTGTTTTTTCTTGTAAATTTGTTTAAATTCTTTGTAGATTCTGGATATTAGCCCTTTGTCAGATGGATACTGCAAAAATTTTCTCCCATTCTGCAGGTTCCCTGTTCACTCTGACGACAGTTTCTTTTGCTGTGCAGAAGCTCTTTAGTTTAATTATATCCCATTTGTCAATTTTGGCTTATGTTGCCATTGCTTTTGGTGTTTTAGTCATGAAGTCTTTGCCCATACCTATGTCCTGAATGACATTGCCTAGGTTTTCTTCTAGAGATTTTATGGCTTTAGGTCTTATGTTTAATTATTTAATCCATCTTGAGTTAAGTTTTGTATAAGGTGTAAGAAATAGGTCTAGTTTCGGTTTTCTACATATGGCTAGCCAGTTTTCCCAACACCATTTATTAAATAGGGAATCCTTTCCCCATTGCTTGTTTTTATCAGGTTTGTCAAAGATCAGATGGTTGTAGATGAGTAGCATTATTTCTGAGGCCTCTGTTCCTTTGGTCTATATATCTGTTTTGATACCAGTACCATGCTGTTTTGGTTACTGTGGCCTTGTAGTATAGTTTGAAGTCAGGTAGCATGATGCCTCCAGCTTTGTTCTTTTTGCTTAGGATTGTCTCGGCTATGCGGGCTCTTTTTTTGGTCCCATATGAAATTTAAAGTAGTCTTTTCTAATTTTGTGAAGAAAGTCAATGTAGCTTGATGGGGATAGCATTGAATCTATAAATTACTTTGGGCAGTATGGCCATTTTCACAATATTGATTCTTCCTATCCATGAGCATGGAATGTTTTTCCATTTGTTTGTGTCCTCTCTTATTTCATTGAGCAGTGGTTTGTAGTTCTCCTTGAAGAGGTCCTTCACATACTTTGTAAGCTGTATTCCTAGGTATTTAATTCTTTTTGTAGCAATTGTGAATGAGAATTCCCTCATGATTTGGCTCTCCTGTTTGTCTATTATTGGTGTATAGGAATGCTTGTGATTTTTGTACATTTATTTTGTATCCTGAGACTTTGCTGAAGTTGCTTATCAGCTTAAGGAGATTTTGGGCTGAGATGATGGGGTTTTCTAAATATACAATCATGTCATCTTCAAACAGAGACTATTTAACTTCCTCTCTTTCTATTTGAATACGCTTTATTTCTTTCTCTTGTCTGATTGCCCTGGCCAGAACTTCAAATACTATGTTGAATAGGAGAGGTGAGAGAGGGCTTCCTTGTCTTGTACCAGTTTTCAAAGGGAATGCTTCCAGCTTTTGCCCATTCAGTATGATATTGGCTGTGAGTTTGTCATAAATAGCCCTTATTATTTTGAGATATGTTCCATCAATACCTAGTTTATTGAGAGTTTTTAACATGAAGGGGTGTTGATTTTTATCGAAGGCATTTTCTGCATCTATTGAGATAATCATGTGGTTTTTGTCATTAGTTCTGTTTATGTGATGTGTTTATTGATTTGCATATGTTGAACCAGCCTTGCATCCCAGGGATGAAACTGACTTGATTGTGGTGGATAAGCTTTTTGATGTGCTGCTGATTCAGTTTGCCAGTATTTTATTGAGGATTTTCACATTGATGTTCATCAGGGATATTGGCCTAAAATTTTCTTTTTTTGTTGTGTCTTGGCCATGTTTTGTTATCAGGATGATGCTGGCCTCATAAAATGTGTTAGGGAGGAGTCCTTCTTTTTCTATTGTTTGGAATAGTTTCAGAAGACTGGTTCCAGCTCCTCTTTGTACCTCTAGTATAATTCGGCTGTGAATCAATCTGGTCTGGGCTTTTCTTGGTTGGTAGACTATTAATTACTGCCTTAATTTTAGAGCTTGGTATTGGTCTATTCAGGGATTTGGCTTCTTTCTGGTTTAGTCTTGGGAGGGTGTATGTGTCCAGGAATTTATCCATTTCTTCTAGATTTTCTAGTTTATTTGCATAGAGGTGTTTCTAGTATTCTCTGATGGTAGTTTGCATTTCTGTGGGATCAGTGGTGATATCCCCTTTATCATTTCTTATTGTATCTATTTGATTCTTCTCTCTTTTCTTCTTTATTAGTCCAGCTAGTTGTTTACCGATTTTGTTAATCTTTTCAAAAATCCAGCTCCTGGATTCATTGATTTTTTTGAAGGGCATTTCATGTCTCTATCTCCTTCAGTTCTGCTCTGATCTTAGTTATTTCTTATCTTTTGAAAGCTTTTGAGTTTGTTTGCTTTTGCTTCTCTAGTTCTTTTAATTGTGATGCTAGGACATCAATTTTAGATCTTTCCCACTTCCTCCTGTGGGCATTTAGTGCTATAAATTTCCCTCTAAACATGCTTTAGCTGTGTCCAAGAGATTCTGGTATGTTGTGTCTTTGTTCTCACTGATTTCAAAGAACTTATTTATTTCTGCCTTAATTTTGTTATTTACCCAATAGTCATTCAGGGGCATGTTGTTCAGTTTCCATGTAGTTGTGCAGTTTTGAGTGAGTTTCTTAATCCTGAGTTCTAATTTGATTGAACCGTGGTCTGAAAGACTGTTTGTTATGATTTCCATTCATTTGCATTTGCATAGCAGTGTTTTACTTCCAATTATGTGGTCAATTTTAGAATAACTGTGATGTGATGCTGAGAAGAGTGTATGTTCTGTTGATTTGGGGTGGAGAGTTCTCTAGATGTCTGCTAGGTCTGCTGGGTCCAGAGCTGAATTCAAGTCCTGAATATCCTTGTTAATTTTCTCTCTTGTTGATCTGTCTAATATTGACTGTGGGTTGTTAAAGTCTCCCACTATTATTGTGTGGGAATCTAAGTTTTTTTTTATAGATCTCTAAGAACTTGCTTTATGAATCTGGGTGCTTCTGTTTTGAGAGCATACATATTTAGGATAGGTAGCTCTTCTTGTTGCATTGATCCCTTTACCATTATGTAATGCCCTTCTTTGTCTTTTTTGATAATTGTTGCTTTAAAGTCTGTTTTATCAGAAAGTAGGATTGCATCCCCTGCTTTTTTTTTCTTTCCATTTGCTTGGTAAATATTCCTCCATCCTTTTATTTTGAGCCTGTATGTGTTTTTGCATGTGAGATGGGTCTCCTGAATACAGCACACAAATGGGTCTTGACCCTTTATCCAATTTGCCAGTCTGTGTATTTTAGTTGGGGCATTTAGCCCATTTACGTTTAGGGTGAATATTGTCATGTTTGAATCTGATCCTGTCTTCATAATGCCAGCTGGTTATTTTGCCCATTAGTTCATGCAATTTCTTCATAGTGTTGATGATCTTTACAATATGGTATGTTTTTCCAGTGTCTGGTACCAGTTTTTCCTTTCCATATTTAGTGCTTCCTTCAGGAGCTCTTGTAAGGCAGGCCTGGTGGTGACAAAATCTCTCAGCATTTGCTTATCTATAAAGGATCTTATTTCTCTTTCACTTATGAAGCTTAGTTTGGCTGGATATGAAATTCTGGGTTGAAAATTATTTTCTTTAAGAATGTTGAATCTTGGCCCCCACTCTCTTCTGGCTTGTATGGTTTCTGCAGAGAGATCCACTGTAGGTCTGATGGGCTTCCCTTTGTGGGTAACTCAACCTTTCTCTCTGGCTGCCCTTAACATCTTTTCCTTCATTTTAACCTTGATGAATCTGATGATTATGTGTCTTGGGGTTGCTCTTCTCAAGGAGTATCTTTGTGGTGTTCTCTGTGTTTCTTGAATTTGAATGTTGACCTGTCTTGCTAGGTTGGGGAAGTTCTCCTGGATAATATCCTGAAGAGTGTTTTCCAGCTTGCTTCCATTCTCCCCATCACTTTCAGGTACACTAATCAAAGGTAGGTTTGGTCTTTTCACATGGTCCTATATTTCTTGGAGGACTTGTTCATTCCTTTTCATTCCTTTTTCTCTAATCTTGTCTTCATGCTTTATTTCATTAAGTTGATCTTCAAACTCTGATATCCTTTCTTCCACTTAATCAGTTTGGCTATTGATACTTGTGTATGCTTCACGAAGTTCTCGTGCTGTGTTTTTCAGCTCCATCAGGTCATTTATGTTCTTCTCTAAACTGGTTATTCTAGTTAGCAATTCATGTAACCTTTTTTCAAAGTTCTCAGCTTCTTTGCATTGGGTTAGAACATGCTCCTTTAGCTCAGAGGAGTTTGTTATTACCCACCTTCTGAACCCTACTTCTGTCAACTCATCAAACTCATTCTCCATGCAATTTTGTTTCCTTGCTGGTGAGGAGTTGTGATCCTTTGGAGGAGAAGAGGCATTCTGGTTTTTGGAATTTTCAGCCTTTTTGTGCTGGTTTTTCCTCATCTTCATGGATTTATATACCTTTGGTCCTTGATGTTGGTGACCTTTGAATGTTTACTCCATCTTTTGTGGTATACTAAGAGTAGATGACTCAGATATGTCCAATAAGAACACACAGATATTGGCATAGGACTTGATGGCACCCTAATTGGCCAATTAGAGTCATTGCTTGCTGAAACTATTGCTAAAGAGGTTCTATTTCCTTTCTCACTGAGACAGTAAATAGCAAGGACCAAGTAAACTGAAAAGAACCAAGGGCTGTCTATTCTACCACCACCGAGAAAAGAAACTGCTTAAGAATGAGGCTCGTACCAACAAAATTAGAGCAGAGAGAGGGAGAGGTTCTAATATCATACACACCTTTCTTTGGATGCAGGAGTGCCAGAGTTGGCAGCATTCCTAGAGTTCTCATTTGGGTGAAATGTAAATGGACTATCTGTTACTTGCATGTTTTAAAATCTCAACTGATTTTCCTGTTAATCCTGGATGTCTTTTTAGGACCTTTGAAGTAAGACTTGGAATTGTTTGTATACAGTTTCTGTTAGCAAAGAATAAATTTGAGATAATAAAAGGAAATAGTCATTATATACTGAAACATCTAGTTAGTTGCTTGGCTACTTAGGAAAGTGGTTCTCTTTTACTAATGGGAAACTATTGCAACACAATTTGTCTTGCCATATTGCAATTTGAAATACTTTCATGTAAACTTGTGCATAAAATTCTACCCAATGCTCTTTCTAAAATTTTATGGCTTATTCTAATATGACCACTAAAACTGATTATTGGATAAATACACATATGACATGCTTTGTTTTGATAACTACTGTTTTTTTTTATTATTTTGCTATATCCATATGTTCATGTACTTTTGATGCTGAAAAACAGAAATTTTAAAAGTATTAATGTAAGACTTTCCAGAAAGTAATTTTAATGTGTGGGTGTATGTATGTTTTGTTTAACTGAGACTGAAGTGTTTTTTTTTTCTTCTACTGGTCTTTTTGTGGGCTATGATTGTAAAAACTAACATGATAATTGTTGAGTAAAGATTTTCTAAATGATCTTTTTTATTTGATATAATGTGTCAATAACCTTATTCAGGACTCATCTATTTAACAATTCAATCCTAAACATTTCTTTTCAATAAGTAATAAAGCTCTGCTGCTAAAAATATACATAAAAGTATTCTCATTGCAACATTTGTGAGAAAATTAGAAATAGCCTCTGTTAATAAAAAAGTGCTTTAATTTTAGTATCAACCGTAATTACAAAATTTAATGTTTGCAATGATTTAAAAGTAAATTTTAAAGTAGTAAATTCCATGGAAAGAACTCCTGGTATACTGCTAACTTAAAAAAAAAGTATGTAATATGTATGCATTATGATATTAATTTTATAGAACAAAATTTATAAAAAGCAATTAGAAGAGAGAACATAGGGTAGCGAAGTTATGGACAATTTTTATTTAGTTATTTATACTTGTCTATGCTCTTCGTATGATTGCCTATGAAGAGGTGTTATTTAATAATCAGAAAAAAATCTTAGAAATAACACCTAGAACAGTCAAAGGTATGCTGATATGGAAACAACTTACAATATTGGTGGTACAACAAATTAATTTATCATTTTAGAATAGATAACTCCTTCAAACAAGCCCATAATATTTTCATTAGTAAAATGAAGCAAATAATCCTGAAAATTGCTAAATATAGGCACCAAAGGTATGTTCTTTACAAAATAATTATTTGTTACTATGAAAAAATTGAAAGTAACCAAAGGGCATAACCTCTAGTATATAGATGAAAAAAGTACAAATTACATATCTTTTGCAATTACATCTATGTAATTAATCTAAAGATGATGAAAAATCCAAAAGCCTATTTTGCTTTAACAACAACAACAACAAAATTTTGCTTTAACAACAACAAAAATAACTACCAAAAAAGAAAAAAATAAAGACCAAGCGAAATGTAAAGTTAATGAGCAAATCTCCTCTGATTTATTAGATAAGCCTTTTTTAGATGTATCAAAAGATTTTCAATTTCCTAAATTTCTTTCAAGTAAGACTGTTTCTCAAAATGATTCATATGGGAGGGAGGGAGGGCAGAATGTTTATACTTTAAAAAAATTTATACTTTAAACAGAAAGCAAAAATTACATGGTGCACAAACATATAGAAATTTGAAAATTGAGCTCAAAAGGTTGATCATATGTTTAATATTATGTAGATATCTGTTATGAGTGAAATATTTGTGTCCCTCTAAAATTTGTATTTGAAACCCTAACCACTAATGTGACAGCACTTGGAGACAGGGCACTTGGGAAGCGATTTGAATTAGATGGGGTCATGAAGGTGAGGACCTCGTGATAGGATTAGTAGCTTTCTAAGAAGAAGAGAAAGAATGCATCTGAGGAAAGGTCATGTGCTCACATGTGCTCACACCTGCAGAATGCCACTGTCTGCAAGCCAGGACGAGAGTCCTCACCAGAAACCAAATGGGCCAGCACCTTGATCTTGGACCTCCCAGCCTCCAGAACTGTGGGAAATAAATTTCTGTTGTTTAAGCCACCCAGTCTGTGGTATTTTGTTATGGCAGGCCAAACCCACTAATATAATATCTTAAAAATCTCTTGCTGTATTGTACAGGTGACAAGATAAGAAAGACTACCTTTTTATTAAGCCTATATCTTGTCAGAGTTAATGAATGAATTTAAGCAACGAGTGGTGAAGATGTAACTTTTTTAGAGACAAGATGGTAAAGAATCAGTCTCAACACTTATTTACAAATGATAAATCAACTTACTTAAGCCAAACAAGGTAACATACTGGCTCATGTAAGTGAAAAGTACAAGTTGTAGCTACAGATACAGCTAGATCCAGGGGTTCAAGCAATCTGATATAGAGTCAGACTTATTTTTTCTAACACTAGGCCCTCTTGTTTACTGACTTCATTTCCAGAGGCTCTTTCCTCCTGGTGACATGATGGCTACCTGCTGCTTAGCAAGAATATCCTATTTTCTGAGGAACCCCAGAGGAAGGATAGCTTCTTTTTTGCAAAATTTCCCCCAACGGGCCTATAGTTGATATCCATTGGCCTAGGGAAATTTGAGAAGCAAAGAAACAAAACCAGTAAAAGATGTGTGAAATTAATGAGTAGATTACTATTAGGGGCAACCAGGGCTCAATCCCAATGGGGCCCTCTGACTCTGTAGGACTAGTGTTTATTTAATCTGTTGCCTGGAAAATATATACCTGTTGAATGAATAAGTTAGTGAAGGATTGAATAAATCAATGAATCAATGAGTCAACCAATCAATCGTTGAACTCATCAAATCGTGAATAAGTCAGTCAATGTGTGAGCCCTGACTTAAGTGTAGGAATTTATGTACAACCATAATTTTCACACGTGTTTGGTTTATTCAAAATTCAATTGCCCAGTCGTGGTGGCTCACGCCTGTAATCCCAGCACTTTGGGAGGCTGAGGTGGGTAGATCACCTGAAGTCAGGAGTTCAAGACCAGCCTGGCCAATATGGTAAAACCCCATCTCTACTAAAAATACAAAAAAAAAAAAAAAAAAAAAATTAGCTGGGCATAGTGGCAGGCACCTGTAATCCCAGCTACTCGGGAGGCTGAGGCAGGAGAATTGTTTGAACCCAGAAGGCAGAGGTTGCAGTGAGCCAAGATCGTGCCATTGCACTCTAGCCTGGGCAAGAGCGAGACTCCGTCTCAAAAAAAAAAAAAAAATTCAATTGCCCTTTAACAACCCTGAGTTCACAGAACAAACTGCAACCTGACTGTTATCCATGATGAACAAGGAAATGTCATTAATTGGTAAAATAGGCTACATTAAGGACTCCTGAGCTTATTATCAGACACGGTAACTTCCCTGGTATTCCCGCAGGCGACAAAATTCTCTTTTACTCTCCACTGACTGAAATCATTTATAAATAGATAATATCCTGATGACAAGAGACATCAAAGCATAGGAAAACGAAATATTCTACTCTTTTTGGCACTATACACTAGAGGTAATGGACATATGATGAAAATAAAACTAATTTAATTCCTTGGCTTAAATCAAAACGTAAGAGATCACCTATCGCCGGGCGCGGTGGCTCACGCTTGTAATCCCAGCACTTTGGGAGGCCTAGGCCGGCGGATCAGGAGGTCAGGAGATCGAGACCATCCTGGCTAACACGGTGAAACTCCGTCTCTACTAAAAATACAAAAAAAATTAGCGGGGCGTGGTGGCGGGCGCCTGTAGTCCCAGCTACTCGGGAGGCTGAGGCAGGAGAATGGCGTGAACCCGGGAGGCGGAGCTTGCAGTGAGCCGAGATCGTGCCACTGCACTCCAGCTTGGGTGACAGAGTGAGACTCCGTCTCAAAAAAAAAAAAAAAAAGAGATCACCTATCAATGGGTCCTGGAGAAATTCAGCCATTTGCTTGGGGTTCACCTGATAAAATAGTGGCCAAGGTGGAATGACAGCCTTGGTTCTTTGGCTGTCAATCCAGAGTTGTAATTTAGATTGCTATTTAAAGTGCAGTCAGTCGATGATTATATATTTCAGGGATTTTTCAACCCTCCTTGTACATCAGAAGCAGGGGAAATGCCTTTTAAAAATTCCTATATCTACATGAAAACTTCAGATAATCATATTTACTTGGTCTGGGGTAAAGCATTGGTGTTTTTAAAAAGTCATTTTAATGTTTAGCCAGTGCTAATATTCACTAAGAAAGCTGGTGACAAGGATGAAAAAAACAGTCCTTTTCAAAGATTTACTCAAAAGAATCAAATAATCAATCACACTTTACTATGTCCTGCTTGTGTATTCACACAGGGAATACAATTTCTAAACTTAATGTATTTTCTAACAGAGATCCAGCAGAAGGAGGCATCTATAAAATGTCTGATGATTAAGAATAATGCAAACACTTTTCACCGAGGCCGATAACAAAATGAGTGCAATTTCCAAATTCTCCTAGCCACACTTATTTCTTGCACTTTATTATGACACTGACATTTAGCCAGAATATTCCATCTAAACACTGGAGCTGACTTTAATTGTTTTTGAGTTATCAAAGTTTGTTGATCCTATTATGACATTTATCTTTGCACTTCAGTTAAATGTACAATTGCATATTAATTCATATGGTATCTGACTACCTATTAACAATATGGAAGGTTTAATTTAATGTTAGCTTGTTCAAGAGCCTGGAGATGCTCAGGTGAGAATGCATATGATTCTAATCTCTTTTCATAAGCCACAGTTGAATTAGTATCTCGCATTAGTGTATTGTCTTTTCACAGTTTATCCTTTTTCAATCAGTTTGCCGTTTCACCTTGTTAGTTCTGACAGAGGCAAAGTAGAAATGCCGAAAGCTGTTGAATAAATGTAGCATTGAGTCATATATATCTCAACTACAGACAACAAAATTCAATTCGTTTTCGTGGGTAATGTTGCTGTTCATTTTGTAGGCCTTAATTAGAACCCATGTTGTTTTTTATCCGCAAAGTTTCAGGATAAAGTAAATGCTCATTTTTAAAAAGAGAAGGGGAAATGTTCTTGCATTTAATCACACTAAACAAGCTCTTTAGACAATTTGTTCAGAAATTTCCCTAATTAAAGCTTGCCCTCCAGGTAATGTGGTGATCAGATCAACCAGCGGATATAAATTAGGGACATTATGCAATTAGCACTAAGACCACAAATGGGAGTAACAGCTGGGTGGCTATGAGGGACGCAAACAAACAGCTCCTAGGTGGCTCCTTAATATTAAGGAGTAGGTCTCCTGTTCGAATGTGCTGTGGTGACTGCTTCCTTAGCTCAATGAAAGAGGTATTTTTCTCTGAGTTTATGTCAGAAGATTAAAGTTGAATATTTTTAAAAATTTGTTGCAGATAAGAACATTTAGCTTTAATTCAGAAATGGATCTTGGTTTCTATTCATTCATAGCTTTCTGAAAGTTTTGAAACTAACTTTACCCTGTTACAAAAAAAGTCAAGAGATCAAGCAAAGGATATTTGGATATTAACATAACATTTCCTTGGGATAATTAAAAGGCTGAGAGACACATGGGTGTTTTTAATTGAAGTCAAGAGCAATAAGGCTGTATGATCCACTATCTGAATCCAAGTTTGAAAATTAGCTCATATAAAAACATATTCAGAATTTTTTTAAAGTGTCTCTTTTTCTGAGACAGAGTCTTGCTCTGTCGTCCAAGCTGGGGTGCAGCGGTGTGATCTCGGCTCACTGCAACCTCCATCTCCTGGGTTTAAGCGATAATCCTGTCTCCCTTGTAGCTGGGATTACAGGTACCTGCTACCATACCCGGCTAATATTTTTGTGTGTGTATTTTTAGTAGAGATGGAGTTTCACCATGTTGGCCAGGTTGGTCTCGAACTCCTGACGTCAGGTGATCTGCCCGTCTAGGCCTCCCAAAGTGCTGGGATTACTGGAATTTTAGGGCACACTTGGCCCTAAAAGTGTCTATTTTATAGGATTTCCCAACATGCTCAGTTGTATCCATTCCTCCTCGCCCACAGCACACCAACCCCATCATTTTCTACCTTATTAACTCAGCTTTCTAAAAAAAAAAAAAAAACTTCCTGAGCTCGATAATGGTTGTGATTTCATACCTCTCTTCTCACCTCTAACCTCACTGCACGTATTCACTCTGTATCCTAAAGAGGCAAACCAAGTGGCCAGAGGCCTCTTTGAGGATACACAATTAGCAGGACGGGGTGTGAATGGTTTCCTAACAATATCTTGGTGTCTTGTTGAGGATGTCAGATTTGAGAAAGAAAATAGAAATGGGGCCAAAGTGTCATTCCTCATGTTGCCAAAGTGGAACGTTCTTTCCAGGAAATAAGATGTGAGCACCATATGTAAGGAATCCATTGAAACCTACCAGGCTTAAAGAAACTAAAGGGCCATTTGAAAAAATGAATGCTCAGTTTTAATCTTTCTGAAAAGCAGAAAGTAGCTAATTTGCAGCCATTTTTATTTATTAGATACTTCTTTTGAGTAACATTTCCACCTCCAATAGCATTTAAATCTCAACAGGGGACAGCCATCTGAGCCGTTTCTAATTTCATCTAATTTGACAAGCTTCATTTCAACATGAAGTTATCCTCTCTTGCCTGCGCTTATGGAACACCCATTTATATGAGCTGGAGCTCCAGCCAATTGGCCTAGGTGAGATCAGCTCTTAAGAGGAATTAAGATCTAACCACTTAAGCACAGTTAGCAAGTCAAAATATTCTTTAGAACCTCTGCCAGAGGAACTCACTCCAGATAGCAATACCCACTTTTGGGATTCCTGGTTCAGGACCCCTTCTAGCGTCATTTGCTATTTGTATGAAGTCAGTAGGGCAACAATATTAGGCCAGTCTTTTCTCAACAGCCATACTACTGACATTTTGGGTTAGGTGATCCTCTGTTGGGGTGACTGTCGTGTGTACGGTACGATTTTAACAGCACCCCTGGCCAGTAGCACCCACCAGTTTGACAACTGAAATATCTCCAGACATAACTGGAGGTACTCTGGGAGGCAAAATTACTACCAGGTGAGAATCACTGCATTAGGCAAACTACGCATAACTTGCTGTGAACCAGAATACTTAAAATCTGAAGTTGCCCTGAGCCAGAGCACTTGAGCTGCAAACCTCAGCAGCCCTGGACTTAGCTCATAGCAAGACTTAAATCCTTTAATCAAGGATATGTGCTCACCTGAAAGACCTGCTGGTCAGTCACAAATGTAGAAAGAATTTCATTTTCATTGAGACCCGAAGTCCTATCATAACGGATTTTATTAAGTTGCAAGAGAGATTACTTAACCAGATTAAGCTTTGTTGTTTGCCAAAGCTAGTCTGCTTTCATCTAATATACGAAACTCTTTTTCACAAATCCAAGAAGGGCTACATTGAACACTGAAGTGGACATGACTTTGAGAAAATTAGAAAATGAATCAAAATATATTCAAAATTATTGCAAATCTTAAAATATTTATAGCATTCATTTTATATTACTTTCATTTAGTATTTTTGTGAATTTTAGACACTTTGTGATTGACCCTAGAGCAGTCCTGAAGCACCAGCATGAAAGAAAATTCATGAGCCCTGCCCCTCCCCATATGCTCAGCATGACGGTGGGTCACTACAGCCCTCTGGGCCTCTGTTTCCTCACTTATCAATGAGGAGATTGGAGTAGAGAAAGAATTCCCAAACATTGCACCTGGATGGCATAGCCTACTGGGGAGGGCAGAGACTCCATGCTTTGATTTAGCAATAGCAGCTTTCCTTTAATGGGATTCATCAATTGAGCTTCAGTTAACGATATTGTCACAGGTAGGCCCCTTTCAAGAGACACTGAGATGGAGATTGGGGCAAAAGGGTTTATCAGAAATCACCACCTGTGAAGAGAAGGTAATAGAAAGATTAAAGTGTGGGTGGTTTTATATTTGTTTTTGTTTGTATTCTTTACAGTTTTGCAGGTTTTTGCATGTGAAGAGGTTGTTTTCATTTTTTACTTGAATTTTGTTTTGTTTGCAATGAAATCTTTCCTATGCTTCATCCAGTTGTTTCACTCAAATCAAGATTGAAAGGAGCCTGATGAAAGGAGTTACAAGGTTTAGGAAGACAAACTGATTAATACAATACTTTCTTGGCCCTCCCAAACAATCTTAAAACTCCAGATGTTTCTCTATTAGCTTTCTCCACATAAGCCCAAAGTTAGACCCCAGTATCTCCAATATTTCAGTATAGAGGATATAAAAGTATTCATACACAAGGCACTCATAATGACTAAAAACAGAATTCAACCCTGAAACGTGTGAAGGGTGAAGACAGAAAAATTGTAAATCACAGTTTGGAGAGTGGCAGCCAATTCCTCGTTCTCTAACACTGTCTACAAAACCAGTAGGATTAAAAGCTTGCAGTTCTTTTTTAGACAGCTTCTTGTCAGGCAATAGCACCCACAGAGTAGCTAGCCTTTAAAGGGATTTCCCGTCGCTTACTAATTGAACACCGGACACAGGACAGCTTAGAGCAGAAATAAAGAGGTCGTGACGAAGTTAGGAGGAAAAGGCTGTGTGTGTTGGGAATATGATACGCTAGTTACAGTGAAATTCCACTAAAATGAAAACATTCAGATTACTATACAGACCTCACACTAATAGGATTGAAATAGCAGTTTTATCCTCTTCCCTAACTGAATATACTTTAAACATTGCTGAAGGAAGTACGAAACAACACTAGGAAATATATTTAAATCCATGCATTGATCAACTCAAAGGTTAAATATGTTAAGCACTTAACCAAAAGTGCATATTGGACTCTGGTTAATTCAAGGATTTTATTACATCATTTCAGTTTTTTCTTTGGCATCCAAATCTGTTAACAATTGTGATTCTGTAAGAAAACTACTAGTGTCAAATTATTGGTTCCTGATGCCTACTTGAACATCATAAAGGCATCTCAAACTCAGCATGACTAAAGTAACCCATCATCCTCTCAACCTGGTCCACTTCCATCTTGGAGAATTTATGCCATATTTACTTTACAGGTCACTGTCCCTCATGTGCTGGCCAATACTGGTCCCCTCATCATTCCTGAAGTTTACTGCAAAACATGTCATGTTTCACGTACAGCAGGCTCTGGAGTCAGACTCTACCTGTGTTTAAATCCCCCACTACCCTCAAGAGCTATGTGCTCTCAGCAAAGTGAGTTGACTTCTCATTGCCTCAATTTCCCCATAGATAATAAAAGTACAGTGAGAGCTTCATATTTCATAGCAAGGATCCACCCCAAAGGAGATACATAAGTAAGAATCACTTTTTAAATTCTTTAAATCAACAACAAAATATTTGATGTTGTATATTTTCTGTGACATCAGTGTCGTCTCTCAAACAGATTCACAGCAGCCCCTTTGTCTTGAGTATTAGCATAGCCAATGTTCTTCTATATTACAGAATATATTATATATAATTATTAATAAATACACATATTGTTACAGAATGTATTATACTCCAGCCCTTAAATGCACAAGTTGGTTTGGATTTAAAGAGCCAGCTCAATAAAACAGTAACACTATGAACTATAAAATCAAGTCAAGAAGCAGGTACTTGCACTGTGGGATTCGTGGGGCAACGAAAGGTAGCACAAAGGCATGAATACACAGAGTCCTAGTCACATCGAACCCCCTGTATTTTCTCCATCTCAGTGCTCTCCTCAGCACTGTGTTAGTTGGCAAAGGTATTAGCCTGAGTAATGGAGCAAGGAACGCATTTTTGTAGTACTTACAATGGATGCTTTGCCTGTAGGTAACATGAGGAAGCAGGCTGGTCAGGTATTCAGTGGCAGGTTCAGCATTCCCTGTGTGCAGTTCATAGGGCAAGGAAGACTGTAGGTAGTGAACTTCCCTTGAACTGAGACCCAGTCCTGTTTTCATGTACAATACAGTAAAACAGTAGAACGGAGAATGTGGTGGGAAGGAATGCATATTTAAATATGCATATATTTAACTCATATGCATATTTGAATAAGTAAGAGTGGATGCATTATTTCTAACTTACTTGAATTTTCAGAAGACTGAATGAGATAACATTAATACCTCTAAAAAAGTAAACACTTAATAAATGTTAGCAATTTATTTTCTTTCTTATTTATTACCTATTCATGGAAGCCCAAAATCTTTCACACAAGACCTTTCTCCTCCTTGATTTTTCATGAACCAGGATTAGTGGCAAGGGAGAGTCACTCAGTCAGGCCAGGTGAAGATAAAAAGAGCTTGATAGTCTAATTAGTTTGCTGTATCTTACTATTCTATCTCTGCCAAATGACAACACTTCTGAATATGTGTACTACACAGTGAATATTGCTTTACTGGCATGGTGATAGGAGTCTTGTTTGTCCATATTCCTGTATAGCACTTAGTATTACCTGACACTTCATGCTCCAAGATTATAGAAATGTTAGTGCACATTAAGGATGCTCATTTTTTTTTCCCCAGAGCTAGACACGTTGCTGAATCCAGAGGACCTTCAAACCTGGCTCACATTCTATGGCAAACTATCCCTGCTAAAAAATTAACTGTTTAGGTAATGTGGCTTGATTACTGTTTTGGTCTTCTCTCCTATGAGGAATTCCTAATGAGGAATTTTCTCTCAGGTCCTTTACAGCCAATGGTCTTTGATCAGTACTATTGCAGTCCCCACAGGTACTGCTATCTATTGCAGATTGTCAAGATAAATGCAGTAGTTCCTTCCTGTATATATGCCCTTTGTCACTCTTCTGTCAAGAGGTGGAATCTACTTCTCCATCCTTAGAATTTGCAAGCCCTGTGGCTTGCTTTGGCCAACTGAATATTGTGGAAGCAATGCTTGGTGCCTTCTGAACAAGGCCTCAGGAGGCCTTATATATTCTATTTTGAGACACTTACTGTTTGTTTCTACTACATGAAGAAGCCTGAGCTTGCAACCTTGATGATGAAATAACATGTGGAGAGAAAGGCCCAACTGACAGCCCTAAACTCAAACACATGTATAAGGCTATACGGACCATCCAGTCAAAGTCATGTCAACAGCTGACTACAGCCACATGAGTGATCCCAAGTGAAACCAACAAGTAGAACCATCCAGCTGATCCCAGCTCAGATTTCTAAGAGAATTAGGAGCAATTAAAATGGTGGTGGTTTTATGCTGCTAAGTTTTTGGGTGCCTTTGTTGCACAACAATAGATGGCTTATAAACGAGCTTGGAATCCTGGGAAGAAAATGCTGAAATTTCTATTCCTTTCATTCAAGAAACCCACCTGGGCTTCTTGTACAAATTAGTTTCCCCTCTTCAAGAGTTCTCCAGGAGGAATAGCATTCTTACGTCAAATCACACGTATTCTTTTACACTCTTCCTCATGGAAAGTATTATACTCTGGAGCCATCTATCCGTGTCTATTTATCTATTTATCAACTTTAAAAGGACTACACATGTGCCCATTTTTTCTTATGAGACTATCTCCAACTGTGAAGATACAAGTGATGAGCTTAATTATTAAATTATTTTTAAAACTACTTTTTACTATCAACAATACATCATATAGCTGCATCATAATTTATTACATTATTTTCCTATTATTGGATATTTATTACAACTAAAATTCTATTAAGAGTATATTTTTATATACATATTTGTTCACATTCCCAGCCTTTTCTTCAATACAGAATCCTAGAAATACCATTACTAAGGAGTATAAATCTCTTTTTAAGATTTTAGTGACAGCTAAAGTTGCTTTCTACATAGGCTCATAGAATGCATATCCCTTTCTAAGGTAGGTCAAAATAGCTATCTCATCATTTCCTTGCCATTATGGACTATTAACTTTGTAAAAAACTGTTGAATGTTTGATAATAAAAAGATAGTATTTTGATTGCTACTACCACTTCTTTCCGTTTAGCAATGTTTTTATAATATTTTCTTTTTGGATAATTTTCTTTCTTCTACTCTTTTTTTTTCTCTCTTTTTTGAGATGTGATCTTGCTCTGTTGCCCAGGCTGGAATGCAATTGTGCTGTGCAATCATAGCTCACTGCAGCCTCAAACTCTTAGGCTTAAGAGATCTTTCTGCGTCAAGCTCCTGAGTAGCTAGGACTACAGGTACCAGACAAAACAGCTGGCTAATTTTTTAAAAATATTTTTGTAGAGATGAGGTCTCTTGATATTGCACTGTCTTGTCTTAATCTTTTGGATTCAAGTGATCCTCCTGCCTTGGCCTCTCAAAGTGCTGGGATTACAGGTGTGAGCCATCACGCCCAACCAATCTTCTTCTACTCTTTATCTATTTGTGGATTAACTTGGAAAGTACTCATTTTCACACTACTTTGTTAGAATGTTTGATATTTTAATAATAGTTCCATGAAATTTTTCTTCATATTTTTATATGTGAAAAATAATATTTAATATTCACAAGAAAAAATGTTGCAGAAAAAGTATTTATTCCATTGAAGAGCCCATATACTCCTCATTTTATCACACCTTCTCTCTTTCACCAAATAAGTATATAAAGGTGTTTTACAGGGTTGAATACAATTTAAATTTTCTTACGGAAATAAATCTTTACTTACCCAGTTGTAAGCTACTTTGTAATAATAAAAGACTATGAGCCTGGATTTCCAAAAGAAAAAAGAAATACTTATGAGAAGCAAATTACATAAGAGACATTAATCTCAAAGCTTATTAGGCAGTTAAATTTCTTCTAAGTAAAGATGTTTCTAAGCCTTTAAAAAAAATCTAAAGTAATATTTCACAAGCAACTGCTAATGGTATCTGTTGGTGTTAGTAGAATTGATAAAATTATGTTTGGGGGTATAACTTCATTGGACTCTTTGAAAAGAGATTTTAAGCAGCAAGGTCTCTATACCACCAACAAAAGCGGTAGGGGTGCTTGCTATATGAGTCATCTTACATACAAACATTTTTATTCCCAAGCTTCCTTCTGGAATTCAGATCATAATTTCCACAAGAAAAAAGGAAATATGGTGTTTCTGACCCAGAAAATCCTTGGAATCAGAAGTTGGGGGATGAGAATGGGTAGGAAGTGGTCCATTTGTGTCTGCAATTCTCTTTTCCTTTCCTAGACCAAACTATCCACCCTCCAACTTTGCATTCCATCTATGCGGATGTCTAAATTGATATTAAATACTCATCTTCAACTTAAAACTAACAACTATTTTTTCTGGAACCAGTCTTCTTTCTCTTTCGGAGGAAAAAAAAAAGTGACTTCAAGAGGGTGGAAGGTAGTATACAATTTTTGGTGAATGACCTTCTTGCTTCTCGGAATTTGCATTGCCACGGAAACTACAACCACAATCCTTTCAAAGAGTTCTGGCTTAAGCACAGTCAAAATCAGAGGGTTGCAAGGCCCTATGGAATAACCAGCACTTTTGCACCCTTTCTCTTAGCCTGGGTAAAGTTTGAATCCTGGAACTGGGCTTTGTGGAATAGCACAGTGGACATTTTCAGGCCTGCTGTGTTGCCTCTTGTACTACGGAGAGGAGAGTTTCATTGAATTTTTTGAGATATGACTTTGTACCTGTACAAATGCCCCACATGTTAGTTACTCAATTTTAAATAGAAGTTTTATCCTTTTAAGAAGATCTCTTTCTCCTGTATAAATTTGTCACTTGTATTGAAATTATAGATTCACAAGATTCATTAATTTTGAAATTGTTCTGCACGTGTATCCTGATTCCCATGGATGATTTTCATCCTCTGCATTTACTTCATCGAAAAACAAACAGCTTGGAAATTACACATGTGTTTCAAGAAAAGCCCTGATTTTGCTGCTTCATGGCTAGGACCATTCAGGATATGAAATAGGAGGCATGAAAACAGCTAGAGTTTAAGATAAGTAAATGTAGAACTAATAACAACAAAAATGCAGCCACTATCCTCAAATAAGCATAGGCTGAGATGTATTCCAGAGAATACCTATAAAATAATTGTTTAAGTTAAATCCAAAGAAATTCACTTGCTGAATTGGAATGCTGAATTAAAGACATCCTAAAAGAGAAAATTTAAGGTTCTAAGACTTTCCTTGCTCTTTTTATCAATATTGCTTAAAATGCTACAAGTCTCGTTTTCATTACATTAGATTTCCCAGCACTGAAAGGAAATCAGTTGCCTGTTCAAAACCAAAAAATATATATAAATTGACTATTTCATACAGATAAGAGTAATTTAAGCCTAAGACCTAACGTATGGTACTTGTTTTATTTCAATTGTCTTCTTTCCTGGCTAACATTAGAAAATATTAATATATTGGTAATATTTGACTTTTTGGAATATATTCTGCAAAGCAATTGTAATTTCCCCACATATTTTTGTATACATCAACTAATGGACATGCCGATCCCTATATAAGATGAAAATAGCTCTCTAACTATATAAGTAAATTAATAATGATCAAATTCACCCCTGTTTAATCATGCAATTATCAAGTCGCTAAGAAAGGCTGAAGAGTTAAGTAAGATAATAAAGGTATCCCCATCCTCTTGGGAAGCTCCAGGAAAGCTATCATGTGCTAGCGTGTTGTATTGAGCTGAGAAAGCAGCCTCAGAATAACACAGAATGAAAACCATCTCTTCTTACAGTTCACCAAGTCGAGGTGCAAATTATGGTCACACATTTCTAATATTCCTATGATATGATTTTGAATTATCTACTGGCCCTTTTCACACATTGGATTCCACTTGCCTAATCTCTGTGATGCATACCAAAAACTCCAGGAAGCTTAATCAGCCAAAAGGTCAGTCCTGGTCACTATAAATTCACAGGGAATCAATCAGAAAACTTGTTCTGACTGCCTGAAGACCATCTGCTACTATGCTGGCTTCGGCTGGCTCAGCTTGCTGTTGAAATAGGAAGTTCCATTAACTCATGTAATAGTTGTTGAAGTGTTGCTCCGTCTACCTGGTGTGCATATGTGCATGTGCACATGTGTGTGTACATAAGTGTGCATGCATTTGTCTGTGTATGTAGAAAACTGTAAAAGTTTTAATTTGTGACTTGACAAGTATTAAAGAATGAGGGAGAGAAGGGGTCAGATTGTGGGTGACTTTGTTACAGGCAAAAGAGAGTTTCAAGTAGAGGGATGAAAATCAAATTGCACTTATGTAGCTTGCTTTGTTGCAATGTGAAAGAGGGATTAATAGGAGAAATGCTGAAAATACAGGTATGAGTAGGAGACTTTTCAAACACAAGGGCCTGAACCAAGGCAACCATTAATATAATAGGAAAATGGGAATGTATACAGTTGTAAGTATTCTTGTATAATCTAAAATTTCATAAAGCATTTAAGACTTAATTTTAATTCATGCACATGAATCTGAATACCCTCTCTTTCAAAAAACTATATTGTCTTATGGTTTATGAATTGGCCATTTAACTATTCATTTATCATCTGTTAGTTCATTATTCAAAACTTCATTTTCTGATGAAGATGATCAAAAAATATTTGTTGAGGTTAAAGAAGTTAAGCAACATGAATAAATTATCTTGGTTATTAGTTAAAGAGATTACTATGCCAACATTTTAGGCTGACATCCATTCTGTTTTTGCTTCACTGTTACAGAACTGAGGGGACAAGTCCACTCTATGGCCAAATGCATTAACTGAAAGAGAGCAATCTTCACTGAAAACCAAAGTTATTTCAAAGATTGAGGATAAACTTCCAAGGATTATTAACCTAATGGCATAATTATTCTGCATGATTCTAAAGATCCTCTCTAAGTTCATCAAGTCATCATGTTTGAACATTCTAGTGGTCCCTGCATTACTAGCTGACTGGAGAGTTGAAAGAAAATGAAGGAGGTTTTGACTGGTCGGTCACACACAGTCTTCACTGAGAAGCTAGGTGTGTGTGCCAAAGGTCTAAATTTTCTGAATTAAATAACTAAAATGATTAAATTAAAGCCCCCCTCAGTTCTGCCTTCTATGTATATTTTTGCCTAGCCTCTTACTCTGTTAATTCCTATGAACTGTAAGTGATCATTGTCCCTTCTTCAACAGTATTCCTCTTCTTCAACAAAAAAGAAAATTCATAAAATGAAATCTACATAATTGCATCTCCTAAGGATT
Organism: Homo sapiens; assembly: GCF_000001405.40. Taxonomy (NCBI): domain Eukaryota; kingdom Metazoa; phylum Chordata; class Mammalia; order Primates; family Hominidae; genus Homo; species Homo sapiens. Next base: position 85,388,686 of record NC_000014.9, read on the forward strand.
ATTGGAAGACTACAATAAAGCATTTTGTCAAATGAATGTGCTGAGGTAAAAGAAAATAAATAAACAAATAATTAAATGGATTTACATTGTTTGTCTGTAGGTATTCCCCTCCCTTTTAAAAAAATACAACTATGACTTTAACTGATTTTTAATGCATCTTTGTCTTTCTTAAAGAAAATATTTTTAGAGCTAATATGTTTTTTAGCCATGTAGTATTGCAAGGGAAGATTATATTTAAATAGATTCAATTGGTTGTTGGGTGAAATGATTAGAAAGCCTTGGGAAATAAATTGTCAAATAATAAGAACTTGTCCATTTCTCATGGAGCGTGGGCTTCACTTTCTGACTCTCTGAGAATCTTGCAATTACAGATAGTCATTTAATAAAAATGAGAATCAGTTTGCATGCTCCTGTTTCTAAAAACACAAATACAACGTACAGGGAAAGAATTTGCTTTTAGCATTTTAAATTAAATTTACCATGAAGTTGTAATATGATTTCCCTCAAGTTCTTTTAAATTAATATTTAATATTCTGTACTTGGTGTAAAAATTTGGTTGTAATATGGGCTTATGAAAAGATAATAGGAAAAACAGATATAAAATGTTTGGCAGCTGTCTTTCCTCTTACCTTTTTCTCTGAGTGTGAGCTGTGCTGAGGCCACAAGCCTGCTAAGTCTATTTTGTGTTTTGTAACATGATACTATACACTGGGTAATTTATAAGGAACAGTGGCTTATTTCTTACAGTTCTGATGGCTGAGACGTACAAGATCAAGGGGTGGCATCTGGTGAGGGTCTTCTTGCTATGTCCTCCCATGGTGGAAGGTGGAAGGACAAGAGAGCACAAGAGAAAGAGGGGGGATGAACTAGCTTTTATAACAATCCCATTTTCTCAATAAACCTACCTCTGTGATAATAACATTAATCCATTCTAATCACCTCTTAAAGATTCCACCTGTCAACACTGTCACATTGGGGATTAAGTTTCCAACACCTGAACTTTGGGGAACACATTCAAGCCATAGCACATGCTAATCAAGTGCTAAAGTGAGCTCTCTATTGCCTACATACCAATGTATGGATCACACATGGTTTGAAAGTATCAAGTCTTTCAGCACTTATCAACTTAATGATACATCAGTATAAAAAAAACATTCTAAAGGAATAAGTTACTTTAGTGGTCATCTGGAAAGCAATATAAACATAGTCAGTTTTCAGTTGGTCTAGAAATAAGAATGTTGACGGGCACATTTCTCCCATTCATACGTCCCATTTGTTGCTTGAATCAAGTTACAGACAACTTTTCAGCCTGTGAACATTTAAAATAAAAGAATTTCATTAAAATGCAAAGTTATTTTTATTTTCATAGTGCTGTGTTAACATTTTTATACTGAGAATAACGATAGTCCTACCCAATGTGTTTGGATACCTGCTAACATCTGTATCTATTTTATTATATGTTTCAAGATAGGATGAGATAGGGGTTAGATCATTGCTGTACTAAAAGGAGACTGTTCATTAGGTAGCACATGTAAGAAACATCTGGCAAAAAGAGCTTTGCCATTTCATGTAGATTCTTCTCCATTTGCCCAGGAAGATCCAGGATAGAATGAGGCACTCATTAGAAATGAATAGTCTCTTAATTCCTCTTTCTACCAGCGACCCTTTCAGTATAATGAATATTTATTTAGATAAACAGCATGGTGGTCCATATTCCGGTTGTAATCTTTCGTCAGATACTTGTCCCAGAAAGTCTTTTATTTCAAAGGTTTTTACTGCGTTGTTGTCATTTGTTTTGGGATTGTTTAGATTCATTATTTATCTTACATGCTAGATACGCCTTTTAGTCCATGGATGCCATTGAATTTATTTTTAATTTCCTAAAACTTGGCACAATTTCTATAACATAAGAAACACTCAATAAATATGTTTCCATGGTTTTGCTTAGGAAGGAAAAAATGAATATTATGTTTATGTTTCTAATCATAAGCACAGATCTCTCTTGCTGTACATAAATATTACCCCGCAATTTAAAAATTGAACTCTTTTTTCTTAGAATGAATATGTAAAGAGAGACAGAGAGTAGGAGCAGAGGTACTAGTAAGAAATTGTGTGCTCTAGATATGTGATAAATCTATCCTTAATAAACTAGTAAGTTCTTGTTGTTTTTCTTCTTCACTCTTTTCTCCTCTTCTGTTATCTTTATTACATGAATTAATTCCCCTGAAATAAGTCTATCAAAATGGAAATTTGAGCCAAAATATATGAGCACTATGAAAAATGTGTTCTATCTCTTTCACAAATACACTCATACACATACACACACTCTCTCACTCTCTCTCTCTCACTCACAAACAAAACCTTCATGCAATGTTAGAGCCGAATGAAAAGTTAGAGAACATTTTCTGTGATTTACTCTTCACAGGGGATTATGGATAGAAGGCTCTGATTGGGGATATGGATTATAGAGCCAAACACACCTGGATTTCAGTCTTGAGACATTTGTTACTTAAGTTTCAGTTTCTTCATTGATAAAATTGGCAAAATAATACTAATTAATCAGGGTTGTTTAGTATGATAACAAAATGATGTACTTAAGGTATGTGTTGCTGTATATAGAACATGGCTGCTCAATAATTTTAGCAATTATTTTTTCCTGAATCATATATGAAAATGAGGTGGTATTTTTGCTTATGGCTTTATCGTGAATGTGTTTTTATAGACATGCTCTAACCGACTTTAAATTTCACAAAGAATTATTGTCAAAGTCAATAAAATTGCAGCCTGTTGCATTTTGTCTTTTACAGGCATGTAGTGAATGAGAAGAAATAGTGTGACATTATAAAAGAAGCATTGCAATAGGAAAAACGTGAACCGAGTTTCAAAACTTTGGTCTGACACCCTTTTTGTATAAACTTGAACCTGTTCCCTGGTGGTTTTGGGCCTGAGTTACTTCACCTTATAAAGAATTACATGATCTCACTCACAGGAAGGCAGAAATCTGGGCCAAACCCTTGGTTTTTCCAGTCATTTGCAGATCAGAACTCTATATTCCTATGAATGGCTTTTTCATACGTATTTATGTTACACTTTTTTTAACATGAAGTTGTCATGGACTAAGTAGAAAGAAGCTAGACCAGCACAGTCCAATAGAACTTTCTGTAATGAGGAAAATGTTCTTATCAGAAATTGCTATGGTAGCATTAGATGGTATGGTATCTTATGAATCAGTAATTAATATGGTAGCAATAGCCATGTGGCTGGCTATTTAGCACTGAAAATATTGATAATGTGACTCAGATACTGAATTTTTAATTGGATTTTAATTAATTTAAATTTAAATATAAAGAGCTACTTGTGGCTGGTGGCTAGAACGTGGGACAGATCAGACAAAACTACAGGAAGTCCTCAGCTAACGTCCCCGATGGGTTCTTGGAAACTGCCACATTTTAAGTGAAATGACACATAACAATACCATTTTTTTCATCAACCTTATAAAGAAATGATGTTGAAGAAAATGATGTTATTTGAGGACTTGCTGTACATCTTTTGCTTAAAGTCACAATTTCTAAGATTCTCTGGGTGATGTTAATTGAGGACTTACTGTACAGAAAAGGGTCAAGTCAGATGCACCCTGAAGGCCTAGTTATTGTGTTAAAATAAATTTGACAGATTATTAAAAGAGCTCATCTGTTTTTAGAATAGCAATATACATGAGCTCATGAGAGCAAACATACTTCGAAAGGAATCTGCTTACATGTGACAGAGCCTTGACATAGGAAGTGGTAATATCCTGTACTTAATTTTTAATTGACAAATAAAACTTAAATATATTATCATGTACATTTTTTGAAATATGTATACATTGTAAAATGGCTAAATCAAGGTAATTAACATATACATTATCTTACACTCTTACTGTTTTTTTGTGGTGAGAACAATTAAAATCTACTCCTTTAGCAAATGTCAAGAATGTAGCATATTGTCATTAACTGTAGTCACCCTGTTATGCAATAATTATTCTTAGTTTCTTCTAAGTATTTCTCTATTGTATTAAAAATGAGTGTTGCTGATTAAAATCTCGTGCTTAGAAGGCAGTGTGGGTTGGATTCCCACCCTATCTCATCTTGAGTCCTTTCTGATTTTGGGTTATCAAACAGTGCTGAGTGAAGGAGAAGGATGGCAATTTTGTAGAACAGAATTTAGAAATTTGTATCATGTGCTGCCCCGGTTTTTGACACTGTGTAAAATAAAAAAAAAAATTATTTTGGGTTATAATAGGTCATTTAAGGGAATACTGGAAAAGCAGATGGCTTTTTAGTAATTTGGGAAATCCTATAAAATATCTCAATATTTTATTTAATATTTTTATCTATTTAAAATACCTAATATTTAACAGTTTATTTAAGTGAAACCTGAATACAAAATGCAGGTTTTGTTTTTGTTCAAAAACTTTCATTCATTTATCCTGCAATTGTTTTTAAAAACTACAAAGCAATCATTTCACAGTGTTTCACATTTCACCAAGCACTTCTATGAGCATATGTCATTTGGCTCTCAAAATAAAATAGTCCTACTGCTCAGGTGTCATAGTGGTCCTGGCTTTTTGTCTGTTTGTTTGTTTGTTTCTAAGATAATGAAAGTGAGCTTAAGCCAATTTGAGTGACTCCGGTGGGCTCATAATTGAGTGTTAGAATCAGAACTTCAAATCCTGTGTCTTTGCTGCTAACCTCTCCCACTCTCTACCCTACTTATAGTGCTGATTAGGTGGCTTTTCTCTCCTAGTATCAATATGCCACTGAAAGGGAGATTGCTTTCTTGTCGAATGCTTCTTTTGTTAGTTACACTTTGCCCTGGAGAAATTCTCCCTTTGGAATTTTGCAAGGGATAAAAGCAAGCCCTACATAACGTGATTAATGGTTCTGAAAACCGTTTTCCTTTTAAACTGCTTTGTGGATCATATATGCTTTAGAATTATTTATTTTTATTTTTGTTTGACTTGTTTTGCTTCCTCCTTCCTCCAACACAGATTGCTTAGTGGGGGCCTACAGGGTACAGATTTAATTTTAAAAGTGTATTTAAAGATATAATTTAAATACAGTTGCCAGCACGGGTCTGGCTGAGTTGTCCTTCTTTCAATGTAGAACCTCCAGGAATGTCCGTTGTGCATGACATGAGGGCAGTTTCACTGACAGTTTATGCAGGCAGGGGGAGGTAAGCTCATATAACCTTGTTCCTTACGGAGGTGTAGAAAATCTGTAGCATGATGTAATGGTAAGCACTTGATGTTTTCTTCAGATTTTTCCTCTCAAAAGGAACAGTTCTTACTGGAAAACTGTTCCAAACAGATGTTCATAACTCTAGCGCTGGTGTTGCTTACCCTTAGAGTATGGTAGGTCTTTGAACGTTCTTCACAGGGTGCCTTATTCAAGACTCATGACTTTGTGTGCAACATTTATGGTCACATTACAATAAGACTATTTATGATACTATGAGTTTTGACGTTACTCACGGGGTCCTCAAGTCAGAGAGTGATTAATATTTCAAGCTGTCTTTGAGCTACACACTTTTTTCTTAATATTTTCCTCCTTTTAAATAGCATGCAAAGCAATTAAGAGACCAAATAAAACCTTAAAATGTGAAAAGGTTAAAAATGAGCAGAAATAGTCACCATTTCCATGTTATGATATACAAATATATCAACAAATGTCTAGGTGTATGTTCGAATAAATATTTTAAAAGTCATGTGTAGATTTACTTAGCTTAAAAATGGAAACCAGGAATATGAAAAAGGAGAAGACATTTAAGAAGACAAATGATTACAAAATGGTATCCATTGATCCTCTGTGAAATGTTTGTTTGTTTGTTTGTTTGTTTGTTTGTTTTGAGACGGAGTCTCACTCTGTCGCCCAGGATGGAGTGCAGTGGCGCAGTCTTGGCTCACTGCAACCTCCGTCTCCCGGGTTCAAGCAATTCTCCTGCCTCAGCCTCCCGAATAGCTGGGATTACAGGCTTGCGCCACCACGCCCAACTAATTTTTGTATTTTTAGTGGAGACGGGGTTTCACTATGTTGGCCAGGCTGGTCTTGAACTCCTGACCTCAAATGGTCTGCCTGTCTTGGCCTCCCAAAGTGCTGGGATTACAGGCATGAGCCACCGCACCTGGCCCGAAATATGTTTTTTATGCAATTGTATTATGCTCAGTGAGAAAAAGAATATTCTGACTTGAACATATGCAAAGTCAAAACTGTGGAAAGGAACTAACTACAGGGCTATTGGTTGTATTTTTTTTTTTGAAAATTACTTGAATAATTGTTGATTCCAGAGGCTTTAGTAAAGATTATATTGAGACAGAAACACAGTTTAAATCAAGCAATCGGTTATCTAGGGATGCGCCTACACAGTGAATGTATCAAACAGCAGCTTAAATTGCAAGACTGGAGTAAGTACATGCAACTGGAAGCAGCAGGGATAGGAGTGAGTACATGCAACTGGAAGCAAGGATAAGGGCTACTTGATTTCTAGTATGGTTGTTTAGGCACTTCTGGATGACTAATAAGAATTTCTTTTTCCTTTTAACTTTTATTTTAACTTAAAGGGTACATGTCCAGGTTTGTTACATAGGTAAACTCGAGTCACGGGGGTTTCTTGTACAGATTATTTCATCACCCAGGTATTAAGCCTACTACCTGTTAGTTATTCTTCCTGTTCTTCTCCCTGCTCCCACCCTCTACCTTCCAAAAGGCCCCAGTGTGTGTTGTTCCCCTCCACTTGTCCATGTGTTCTCATCACTTGGCTCTCACTTATAAGGGAGAACTTCCCGTGTTTGGTTTTCTGTTCCTGCATTAGTTTGCTAAGGTTGACCTCTAGCTCCAACTAAGTCCCTGCAGAGGACATGATCTTGTTCTTTCTTTGTGGCGTAGTATTCCATGGTGTATATGAACCACAATTTCTTTATCTAGTCTATCGTTGATGAGCATTTAGGTTGATTCCATGTCTTTGCTCTTGTGAATACTGCTTCAACAAACATATGCGTGCATGTGTTTTTACAAGGCCTCCGTACTCACAATCAAATATAACCTCTGACTCCTTGAGTCTCTGGGAACACACTCAAGACAGAGGAGAAGGGAGCAAAAAGAGAGAACTGGTGGGAGGGGGATAAGGATTGTAAAACTAACTGTTGGGTACTATGCTCGCCAGCGGAATGACAGGAACATTCATATCCAAACCTCGGCATCATATATATATATATATATCCATATAACAAACCTGCGCAAGGACCCACTGAATCTAAAATAAAAGTTGAAATTACTTAAAAAAAAAAAAAGAGAGAGGAAGGGAGAGGGAGGGAGGGAGGAAGGGAGCAAGAAAGAATACAGTGCGCAGTTTAGCATGAATCACGCTACAAAGCAGACAAATTTGTGTCACATAATGTTCATGATACCCATGGAAGCAGATAATGTTTTTGTTACGAATTCACTGATGAAGTCAGTGAGGTTCTAACAGGTTAAGAACCATGTCCATGTTACACACATAAAATGCTGTACCAGCTGGTCTGTTGGAATCCAAAGCCCACGTGCTGAACTTCGCTGGCAGCCTTTGACTTAAAATTGGAGGAGCGTAAGGAGAAGTTCTGAACATGAAGTGTGGGACTAAACGGATGGTGGACTGCAGGGTTGGACAAAGAGAACAGGTTGACATAGTATCTCCAAGGTCAGTAGGCAAGAGGGTGTTTACAAAGGTCTTCAAGGGAGGCAGCTGTGGCCAATAAAAAGGGAATTTCAGAGAGAATCATGGGAACCTAGGGTGCTGTGAAAGATTAAAAGACAGAGGAGTCCCACAGAGAGAATTAATGAAAGACCACAAGCACAGTGGGAAGGCCAGGTAGCAAGGACCCTGCTCAGGGTTCAAGGTCAATAGAGTAATGATATGAGCAGCATCAGGGGGTCCTCACATGTGACAAACCCCAGTAAGAGAAATGGTGTTTATTTCATCACCTAGAAAAACACTGTCCGAGGAACTTTAGTTTTAAGGAAAATGTTCTGTATTTATGCTTCCTAATGCAGAAACCACTAGCCACATACGTACTCGAAGTGTGGCTACTGCAATTGAGAACCTGACTTCTTAATTAAATTGAAATATAAATAGCCACATGGAGCTCGTGGCTACCGTGTTGGGCAGCAGAGACGAGAGCTGTAGGATTACGGGGAGAGGCAAAATATAGATTGACCTATAACTGACATCAGATAGTAAGACAGCATTGATATCAAAACAGAGACTGTTAGGCCTTTTAGCACCTTGTCAGGAACTCGGGTGAGAGCTGGATAGTGCTTTGCCTAAAAGCAGCCATTCCAGGCCTTTTTTCTGCTCTCACTGAAAGCAAAGAAAATTCTTCTTTCTTTCTTATCAGGAATCTGGCTTCATATATTCTCTTTCATGTATGTTCAAGCTCATTTTCCTCTTCCCTTGCAAGCATGGTTATGTCTCTCCCACACTAAAAACAACAAAAATTACCAATAATAATAATAACGGAAATACTTCCTCAGCCTTCCTTATCCCTCCAGACACACTTGTCCCTCCCTCCTCCCTCACATTGCCAAGCTTCCTGAAATAGCACCACATAGAAAGGATTTTCACATCTTTGTCCTTCATTCATTCTCAGCCTACTGGTCATGATCCTCTTGCTGAAAATAGGCTCACTTCACTGAAAATATTAACGTTGACAAATCCAAAGACACTCCTAATTTTTAACCTTAGTTGAATCATGTGTGTGCATTTGCCCATGTTAAACAGTCTCAGAAAATCTTTTCTCCATTGGCTTCAATAACATAATTCTCTCTAGGCCTTTTTGTCCATTCTTTTGGTCTCCATATTTCATCCTTTTTTCTTTGCCAATTTATTTATCTACTTTTAAATGATGAGGCTCCATAAGGCTTTTCTTAAAGCTTTGGTTTTCTCCCACCAAAAATATTTCCTGGTCCTTCTCATACATTAGAAAAATCTCTCAGGAGGCCGAGGCAGGCGAATCACAAGGTCAGGAGATCAAGACCATCCTGGCTAACACAGTGAAACCCCATCTCTACTAAAAATACAAAAAATTAGCCGGGCGTGGTGCCACATACCATGTAGTCTCAGCTACTCGGGGAGGCGGAGCTTGCAGTGAACCAAGATCGCACCACTGCACTCCAGCCTGGGTGACAGAGCGAGACTCCATCTCAAAAAAAAAAAAAAAGAAAAAAAAGATACTATTAAGTTTGTATCACCCACTGGTCCAGGCATTTTATAGGCATTAATTTATTCACTGTTGATAACAGGGTTATACCAGATACTGCTATTGTCTTCATTTTAAAGGTAACACTGAGACTCAGAGAAGCTAAACAATTTGCTCAAGGCTGAACAGTTGCTAAGTTATGAGGATGGAGATTGAATTTAAGCACTGTAGCTCTAGGGTCCATGTTCTCACCTTCTATATGATGCTGGCTGTATGATGACTCCATTTGTTGCTCATTCCATTTTTCTACAGCTCTCATTGAAGCACATTGATTAGTCCATGCATGTCCATCCTGATAACCCAATATGCAGCAAAAATGCTTTTGATGAGCACGTCTGCTGTCTGCCTTTGTGAATGTTCCAGTGCTTGCTCAACCTGAACAAGAACAAAACGGAGCTATTCTCTCCCAGCCCAACCCACCCTTCTGTATTAGGTTATAAGCATCACCAGCTACCTGAGAGGCCAGGTGAGGATCCAGGTGTTCATTCTGGACTTTCTTTCCACATTTCACACCATCTTATCTTTTGCATCCCCCGTTTCTTGGCATAGTTCAGGGCTGTATCATTTCTTGGTAGAATAACTCGCATACACTACTATTTGGCCAACATGTCCTAAGTGCACCCAAGCCCCCCAAAACACTCACTCATATAAACAATCTGCCCTTAAAACTCTTGCTAGCTTCATGTTTCTAAAATGCAAAATAGAATTAACTTTTATCTTATTTAAAATTATTTAATAGCTTCCCATTGGACAATTTTAAAAACTCTCAAATGCTTTAGCATGGCAAGTGAACTTCACACATACCTTCCTTGCCTACCCATCCAGCCTTGTCTCTCGACTCATACCTGGCTGTGGCTTCTTTAGCTTCCACTTTCAGCTCTCTAAAAACTATGCTGCTTCCGTCTCTTCCATCTTCATATTTGTTGTTCCTCTGCCTAGAAGCACCTTGCCTCTTTCACGCACACTTTGCCTCACTCAGGACCTACTAAGACTTTGTCTTCTGTGTTCCCCTCATGCCTTATATTTTAAAGACTTAACTATTATGTTTCAGTTATGCAGTTCCTCTTTTCCTCACTACTTTAAGAAGTGGGACTGTGTAGCATTTTTTTTTCCTCTTGACACTGCATTTTATTGCTTGGATCCTCAGTGAATGTTTGAATGAATGAATGAATGGCTGAATGAATGTCATTTCCCCTTCTTCCATGAGCACTTTGGCTATATATGAGAATGGAGAGGAGTCTCTTGGAAACTGACAACAAGAAATTTGGAATATTTCCTCCATTCCACCCCTTCTATCAGCCCTGAAACTCTCCTCTCTAGGCATGGTTTTTCTCACATTTTGAGGAGGGAAATGCCACTCTGGAGATTCTTTCCCTTGGGTAAAATGCTGTTGGCAAGTCTCCTAGAGCAGCAGGGTGGGGCTCTGGGGAGAGGAGGGACCACACACAAGCAGCAACACTCAGAGATTTTCATTCCTGCTTTATCCTCCATTACTGCACCCACTTCAAGAATGTCCTTAAGTCTGGCAGTAGGTTTGGAGACGTGGAAGCCCCAGAAAATGTATAATTTTGCCCGAAAAATACAGTCTCTTTGCATTTTCTAAAGTACAGTGAGAGTTTAGAAGCTATTTTCTGTTCTTGGGAAGAATGTGGTAGGGAAAAGGTGGGGGCTGTGTTGATCCCCCACAAGTAATGCAAAAAAAATTTTTTAAGGCACATTATATTGCAAAAGTATTGTGTAGCTCCTATGAACAAGGAGAGTAAAGTGATGTAGTTATCTCACGGATTGATGCTCTTCCTAATTATTGAGTAGCAACTATTGCCAAGGCATACCTCTCCTTGTGTGGGCCACATACCTAATGACACCAACTCAGTAATGCTACTACTAATAATAACTACAACAAGAGCTAATATTATGTGCTTACTATTTGCCAGTCATTGTTTAAAATGCTTCACATAACTAAATGCTTAACCCATAACTCAATAAATCGAACAATATATAAAGACCTTTCCAAGGAAATCATCTAATTTTGGCAGTTTTTAAGGTTAATTATTTTATGAATGGCAAAAGTAAGGCCCAGAGTGGTTGATTCCTCAAGTTTCTACAGCTAGTCAGTGTAAAAGCCAAAAATCCTGGCCTATGACCAGCATCTGGGGAGTCAAAAGAACTCCACGGCGTGAGGTTTTCAGTATTGAAAATGCTGTTCTACCTTTGAGGACTCTCCTCATAGAGACTGAATCCCAAATTCTGAAGCCTTATATGACCACAGTTTTTTTACCTATCCACTAATGTGTTCATTGCATAGGTGTGCATGACTACCATTCTATATATAATTATATATAATTTAATTCACAAGTATAGAATATCCCTTAAGCTGCCCCCAAAAAAGGCAATCTTGTCCTAATACGAAATCATCACATAAATAGCAAACATCTCACTGTGCCTGTGTTAGGCTCTGATTTTAAGAAAAGAAGGGGAATCCACACTGCCATCCATTAACCAGTTACAAAGCTCGTACTCTGTAGCTGGTACTGTGTTAGGGCCAAGACAGAGAGATGGGAATAGCACTGCAGCCCTGCTGTCAAGTGTGTTTGGTGTCATGAAAGAATCTGTTTGTGTTCCTAGACTGAGCTATATTTTCCATTGATTGTCATTTTTGTGTGCTTCTTAAATAGTAAGATTATTTTTCTTCACCTTATCTTTGTAAGAAGCACAAGCCATAAATACTCCTAAAAAAATGGAAAAGAAAGTGATAAAGAGTTGAGCAGATATAGGCATAAGAAACTAATGGTGAAGAAAAGAAAGAACATCAACTGCAAATATAGGAAGTGTCTGGAGAAACCTAAAGGCAGTTGAAGAAGAAGAGAGTATATTGGGGTCATACATGGGCCAGCCAGGTTTCTTTGGAGACAACTGTTTACAGTGATGTCCAATTCCTACTTGGATGATCAAGCCAAAACTGGTATGTATCATATCTCTGGAGGAATGTGAAAGGGTGATGTCTTTAGCACCTAAGCCAGGGAACACCTGGGATATTTAGTCGAGTAATTGGATGTAACTTAACTAGAAATAACTTTCGGATTCTTTCTCAGAAGACCATTAAGAGAATCAGGCGTTATACTTTGAGAAATGTGACCATGCATCAAATCTACAACCTGAAAGAAGTCAAGACATTTTGAGAAAGCAAAGATAATTGCAGGAAGGAGCACTGGAAATAAGATAAAATTAAATTTAGAAAGTGTTTTCTCAAGTGGATTTGTTTGTTTGCCCATTCTGAATAATGAGCATGCAAAAGATTAGACAAGTGTACTGTGGGCTTTGGTGAAGGCAAAGAAGGCTGAGGACTACAGGAAAGCCGGGCACTCAGAGCAGAGGTAAGGGGAGAGGGAGGGAGATGCTTGTAAATGAAGGCAAAACCACATATTATAGAGGCTCACAATCAATTAAATATTTGAGTTTTATATTCACATGAAAACAAACAAAATGTCAGAGGTCTGTTGCCTGATCAGCTTTGGAAGCTTCAAATCGAAAATGGGCAAGGATTTTATGCTCTGCATTCAATTACTGAGTAGAACTCATTTTGACCCTCAAAACAAACAGGATATTTCACTGAGATCCAGAGAGCAGAGAGGAAAGGCTCTTGAATTCCATCTGATATTACACTCAGTTTTCAGCTCTGTAATTCTCTCCACCAAACAAAACAGCCAGCTGTGTCAGTGTCATCCAAAATCTGAAGGCCTTTCCAGCTAGAAGCCTCAGGGGAAAAAAAGAAATTCTATACTAAAAAATTAGTTTATTTTCTATGTAAATAGAATTCAGGTTAGAGGAAAAAGTTCCTTGTTTTTCATTTGTTTATAGACTCCTAATCAATTAAAATATGTATGAATCATTTTCTAGTGGAATTCATATGAGAAAGTGGAGCAAAGGGATGCATTTCAGGTATGGGAGATGAGAACAAAGGAAAGGGGGATGAAGAGTAGAAAGGGAAGAAAAGAAAGAAAGAGAGGAGGAAAAAGAATAAAGAGGGAGGGAAAAGAAGGGAAAGAAAGGAGAAAACTGGGAGGCAGTTTCCTCTTTCTGCTGAGATATTTGACATACATTATCAAATGTAGCCTCACAACTCTTCTGTGAGATAGATTGTACAATTAGACCCAGATTAGAGAGAGGAAAGCAAAGCTTTGAGAAGTTCTGTAAGCCCAGTGTCTCATATTTAGCAAGAATTGGAGCCAGACATCCACCCAAGTCTATCTGCCACCAAATCCCATGCTTGCGAGGTCAGCCTAGGATGGAGAGGGGGTGATATTCAAATTAGCTTCATCTATGTCCCATCTACCTGAGATAGATGTGTGGTTACCAAACATTGAGCATGCATCGTGCCCAAAGAAGTGACTTTCTTAGTGGGGTAAAATTCGGAAAAACCGATTTTGGCCAAGTATTTTATACACTATATGTAAATAGAGTAAAACATGATTAAAAACAAAATATCCTCTTTTTACCAAATCCCACTCAAGTCTCTACTTAAAATAATCCATTCATTGGAATTCTCACATAAAGAGATGAGAAATGTATAGGATATTGAGGAGGTAAGACAAAGAAGGAAGAAATTTTTAGGGGACAGAATATCACCTTCTAACTAAAAATGGAAAACAGAAAGACTGCATTTCCAGTGGCTTCCTAGACAGGAGTCTATGTTTCCCACTATTTGAGAATGATTAATGAATTGACCTCCTGTGTGCCACTTTGAAAACACACCAAATGTGCTTAGTTTGGCAGAGTAGTAGAGGAGGAACTATTCACACAGAACAAAAAAGGCTGCTGTTTGCCAGTAGCTATTAACTCGCGGCTATATCAACACTTGCGCAGTTAACAATAATCTTATCCAAGAGTCTATTCTTGTAGAACCTCGAGGGTTGAAGAAATATTTTATTGGCAGCGTCCCTAATCTTATAAGTAGCAATATGTTTTGACAAAATGAAACCACACAATTCTCACCTAGTCTTGGGTTTACTTTCTTATGAGAGCATCTGAGGCTGAAAATAAAAAGCATTCCCAAACCCCTGCCACCTTCCCCTGCCTTCCGCAAAAAAAAAAAAAAAAAAAAAAAAAAAATATTGGCTTTACACTCAAACCTTGAGGTTCCAATTTCTTTTAAATTTTTTAGTACTCACAGTTTCTCTAAACTTATACCTTCTAGGCTTTCGAATCTAACCACCCTACATGGATGCATTTTCTTAACCTATGTGCACAAGAACACTTCAAGATTTTGTGATCAGCTACTGTTGAAATATCTCCTCTTGCTGTCATATGCTGGCTCTTAGTTTTGGGAGAAACTACAAACCTCTACTTAAATTGAGAGTTTTTAGGTATTGAAATAGTGCCCACAGCAGGAAAAGAAAAAAATTGGGTGTAGTGGCAAACTAAATTTGTAACAGAAAGTGGAAAAAAATAGCCTAGAGCACACATAGAAAAGTTCTACTGGGAATTAATCATTTCTATCCATTGGGTCCAGTATGGAGTATAAAGAAAGGAAGATAAGTGTTATGAACAGACAGCAGTGAGTCCTCAGCAATAAGTTGTTACATGAGCCTAGCAAATTGTTGACTCTATCTTGTGATCTATCTCCATAGCTCCATGTTCTACTTCTTGAGACTTTTGTTCCACAGACTTATTGAAAAAAAAAATCCACTGAGTGTTTATAATTTGCTGAGAACTCTTCTAGATACTGGAGCTACAAAATAGATTGAAACTGGTTCCCTACCCTCAAGTTCCCTCCCCAGCTCATGTCCTCTGAGTGGAGATAAGGGCAGCGTATGAATGAGTGATTTGAGAAGAGTGGGAAGATGATACAAGTCCCCTGCACAAAAGAGATGCTGGCAATGGCAAGTTTGTACCTCATAAATTATAGTCCCTCAACAATATTGTTGCCATCATCTTCATCCTGACATGTGGTTTGGTGGCATAACATTGGCAGACAATTACGTTGCAGGAGACCTGCCTGCATGACCCCACTATTATTTTAATGTAGGGGCTTCTCATGAATACCTTTTAAAAATAAATAAATAAATAACAGAAGTGCAAGTTCAGGGTAATGGTGTTGGTGGCCTAGTCCTTGTTCTACTTCATTAATTGTCCATAGTAATTTCCACATCTGTTTGGTTTTTTTTTTTCACTTTTCCAGTAAGTGAATTGTATATGATTCTCTTTAAGATTCACTCAGCTTATAATTACTTGATTCATCAAAGACAAGCTCATAAATTCACTTTTCTTCAAGCAATACTTTTTCTGAACATTTACTATTTGTACTGCACTCATCTAGATATTCAGAACATAAAGTCACATGTAAGACATGCTCCTTTCCCTGAAGTTGCTGAAAATCCAGTGGGAGATATGGCAAATCCATAAAAGAGGTATAACCAAATTAGGCTATGAGTACTTACATAAACAAAAGGAGTAATTAATTCTGATGGGGGAAATGGAAAACATTTCCCAAATGTAACACTTAAGTTGAATATTAAAGAGGTAGAAGTGCACCAGGCAAAAAAACAAAACAAAAAAGTTATGCTCAACTGATGGAACTTCATGAGTAAAATATTTGGCGGGAAATTAACAATACCTAAAACTTACTGAGCATTTATTAAGTGCTAAAAGTTTCCTATGTATTAACTCTCTTAAATCATTATCATAACTGTAGAAGGTAGGAACCAACATCTCCAGTATAGAAATGAAATACCCAAGCCACAGAGAGGTCAGGTAGTTTATCCAAGATAACAGAGCTAACAAAGATGGAAATTTGACACCAAACAGTCTGAGTCCATCTGTACTTGAAACCCCCAGCTCATACATGTCTAGGAACAGGGGGCAGTCTAATATGGCTAAAATATAAAGTGGGATATAGAGGAGGATAAAATAAGGAGAGGATAGTGAAGCCAGCCTGTAAGGGCCTTGAATGCTGTGCTAAGAAACATGGACATTATCATACAGTAGGAGGAAGTGGGTTGGAAATAAGAAAAACTACAGTGAAAAAAGATATGACAAGTGAAAGCAACAGAAGTTGTCATTGCTAAGGAGACATGGGGACAACAGGAAGTGATGGGGACTGTAGTGACATAGAGAAGCCTTACATTTGCAGGAGTATGTGGGGACAGCAAATCAGTCCAAAGGGAGAAATGTCAACCTACCATTCATTGCTGGTTGCTCTTTCTCAAGAAAAACAGTAAATATCATAAGTTGATTCTACAAATTATTAAATGTTGACCAATCAAAAAAATTTTAGACCGTGGACTAAACAAAATATGCCTGCTGGCACCCAGATTGAAAGGAGAGACATCTGTGCTTTTAGAAATCATTTCTTCTATTTTTTTTAACCTGGGAAGCAATGTAAGCTTATTAGTATTGTAGGAAGATAAATCCAGTGGTATTATAGAAAGTTGAATTGAGAGGGAAGGGCCAGTGAGAGATTATTGCAGTAGGAAAAAGATGACAAAGGCTTGAACTAGTGGCAGTGGGAAAATCAAGGCAGGAAAGGGTTTTCAGAGGATAATTGATCTGTTAAATGTGGCTGTGGATGAGAAAGAATGTATCAACAATAACCAGGACTGTCTAGCTCTGGTGATTAGAAGGAAGGTAATGTATTGATGGAGACACAAGACATAAAAGGAAGAGCACATATCTGGAGGAAAAGAGTACGTTCAATTTGAAAAGTGTTGAAATAGGGTTTAGGAAGCATTCGAATAGTATCCAGCTCTTCTTGGCTTTTCTATTGAAAAGAATACTCAATCATCAGATTAAGTCAGATCTGATTCACTGATCACAACTGCTTCCTCGAAAACGCTAAGAATTTAAAGCATTGCTAAAAACTGTTTATTCTTGTGAGATTTAAGCACAAAATCAATTATCAACAAGAATTAGTAACAAGAGGATTGCAAACTGTATTCCTTTTAAAAAACTTGCTCCTCCTTACTTTCCTTTGAGTTTTGATTATGTTCTTCTGCAGGTATTTGTCTCCATTACCATGGGCAGCAAATCTGTCAAGGGAAATAGTGTTTGGTTTAGAATTTTTTTTTTCAAAAAATCATCTTTGAAACTACTTGTAGTTTTGCATTAGTTTTCCTATATGTATACAATCAGGTTTCTAGGAGTTTCTATTATTTAATAATCATAATGTACATTTAGTCCTTATTAGTAACCATAAAGCTTTTGTTCCATTAATCCATTTTAAATGACTTTGTAATCAAATATTGTATAACCATAGATCTATGAATATTAATTAGAGACTGAATTAACTAATTTTTAGTTCCTTCTGATTTCTGTGGATTTTGATTTGATGAATTCTTTGGGGTAAGGAAAAATGGTATACATGGGTTATAAGAGGTTTAGGAGTCAGTTAAATGGAGGTGTCTAATCCCACAGATTGTATTACACATGCATATGTCTTTGGTTTGCCAGCATGATGTATGATTTTTTAAAGGAGATACAACTTCTCTAATGGGAAACTTCACATGCAAAATACTTGGATTTCTAATTGCCTTGACTAATCAAGATTTCTGCCAAGGGTGTGTTGAGGGTGTGTGTGTGTGTAAACCACCCCCTCTTCTTGTAAACAAGGCTCAACCTATTCTAAAAGAAATTAGAGTATTAGAGTCATATGAACCGAAACATATGTTGAGATCAGTGGAAAATAAGTAAGTAATGTCTTAGGATGAGTATATATGTATACCTATGAAGACATGTGTATTTTAGTTCATTCAGCAAACACTTATACTCATCCCACTTGAAAGACATTGTGCTAGCTGGTGCAGAGAAACTCTAGGGAAAAGACAGTTTATGACTATAAGCAACACACAATCTGAGGACACATAAATAATTAAGTTTAATATGAAGCAAAAACTGCCAAAAGAGAAGCAGAAGGTAAATGTTATTAGAGGACTCCAATAATTTTAAAGTTGATGAGCGACCAAAGAAAGTCTTGTTAACAAAGTGTGGTCTTCTATTATCTTTCTACCTTGTTGAGCTATTTCTCGTTGACCTAGCCAACATAAAAACATAAGACTTTTCTGAATCCTTAAACTTTTACACTTTAGCACAATTCCTTTTAAAGAAGCAGCTCCAGCCTCTGATCAATAAAACTAGAAGAAGCCATTCTAAAATTAATTCTTAAATAATATCAAACACTATGCTATGGAACAGTATTTCTATTCTCAAAGGTAAGAGTGTTGGGGAAATATTCATTATTTTCGCAGATCTTGAATTCCAAGAACAGTTTGTGTCTCATAAAGTTTGTTCTTTAGGACTGCTATGTCACTCACCCTGACTGGTACATGGGAGTCCTAACACACTCATAGATATTAATGGGATACCTTTCCTTCCTACGCTCTAAACTGCACTGTATATGGCTGTAGTTAAATTAACATTCAGCCATGACTACTTCAGCCTCCTTTTATAACCACATCATTAATAGAGCTCAGTGTGCATAAGGCTGCTCCAAAAGCTCATGTCCTTTGTGTGACTCTGTATTCTTTTACTGAGACCAGATAGACACTTACTAGGAAGGCACTACTGGGAAGCTGGGTAGTGGCCACGGTAGGGAGGGATCCTGTAAATTTGTCTTGACCCTTGGTTGCCTGTAGTATGCTCGATCTTTTGTTGCCTGCAGTATGCTCACCCTTTGACCACTTAGAGCAAGATCTTCAGGAGTTGGCATTGTCCTATAAAATGGAAAGATGCGATGTTTTGCTTCTGTAAAGAATAGACATGAGGGATCCTCAAATACCTTGAGATAATAACACACATATTTTTCAAAACAAAATATATTTTTACAGATGAGGACACAAATGGCATTTAGGTGACTCTCTCAAGGTCACATAGTGAGTGGATTAAAAACTTCAATTCAAATTTCAGGGATCCTGAGTTAAAGCCTAGTGATCTTTTCTTATTCTTGTTCTTTCAGTGTTTTATTAAATATGCAAATATTAACCTACTCAATCCTCATAAAAACTCAGTGGTGAACTGACTGTTGGCCTGGCAGATGAGAAGTTTTACTCCCCCACTCTCCAGTGAAACTGGTGAAAAGTATTTTTAAAGGCAAGTATTTAAAATCTCTGATGCAGATAATTTTATTTCTATTTTATATTAATAAGCAAAGAACTGAGGCATAGAATGGTTAAGTAAATTGCATAAGGTCATGTGGAAAAGCTGAGATTCGAACCTAGTTGGTTGGTTCTAGAGCACAACCTCAGGGTGAGAATGGAGATGTAGTAGGCACCATATTCCTAATCATGTTATTCTAGAGGAAAAATGGTATCCATGGGATATAACAGGTTTAGGAGTCAGTTAAATGGAGGTATCTAATTCCACAGATTGTATTACACATACAGATGTCTTTGGTTTGCCAGCATGACGTATAATTTTTTTAAGGAGATACAACCTTTCTAATGGGAAACATCACACGCAAAATACTTGGATTTCTAATTGCCTTGACTGATTAAGAACTCTGGCAAATCCTGACCCCTCCTCATGAGCACGTGGCAGCTCTCAGCTGGAGAAGAAGGGCAGCAGCACCACTTGGATGAATGTGTTCATCAATGTGTGCTACCAGGCCTGTATCATAGTATCCAAATGATTTCTCTAGGGCTTTAATTTCATGTCTTGCCCCACACTAAAATGATGCCTAAATAAAGCTTATTCTCGGAGGAAGATTTATTCCTGGCAGGGGTGGGTGGTGGGTTGGCGGGGCAGACTTTGGAGTCAGACTAGCTGGTTGAAAACTAGATCTGCCTCTTACTCCTTGTGTGACTCTCAGCAAACTAAACCCTAACTTGGATAGCTTCTGCAAAATTCAGTTTTGTCCCTTATAAAATGAAAGGCTAACAGTAGCTGAGTCAGAGAATTCTGCTAGGTAAAACACATAGCAGAGGGCCTGGTATATAGAAGGCTTTTCATAAATAATATTAAGCACTTCCTAAACATTATTAAGCACTGCTTAATATTAGCTGCTAAGGTGTTATTGTACCTTTTGTAATTTTTGTGATGAAAGGGAAGTGTTTATGAAAATTCCTAAAAGCACATGATAATAAAATTGTACACAACGAAAATATTGAGTCCTAGAATAAATTGATATGGAAAATTATTCAAAGTAGCTTTAGGTAGAGATGAGGAGATGATTAAAAATTAGCAGTTTAAGTCATAATGGTGAAAGAAGAATAAAATACAAGTAAACGAAATATCTAGTATGATCAAGATCTGTAGAAATAAAAAGAAGAAAAAGCAAGGTTTTTGCAGAAGGAAAGAGAATGTGTACATTGGAACAGAAATTGGGGGGATGTTTATAGAGGAAGAAGAAAATAAATAAGGGAAAGGACAAAATTATCACTAAATAAATAAAAGGAAACTCCTCCAAAAGTCCAAAATAAATGAAACTCAAATGCAAAAGAGAAAAACAGGAAGAAATATTGTGTTTCCATAAGTCTGTGGATTATGAGGAATCATGAAAAGGAAAAAAGAGGTTTGGCACAAAACCTTGAAGGATAAATACGAGCACATCACAATTGAAAAGAAGATAATGAAAACAGATAATTAAAATGCAGAAGCTAGAGTTACAGCCTTTGGAACTCAAACTAAATAAACTTGTTTTATTGTCAGTCTGGAAATTGGGAAATAGCTGTACTGAGAGTGAGTATATCTGCAACCATCACATTAGCTGACAGGGCATGTAAACATTTCAGAGGTAAATGAACTAACCCTGAGATGGATGATTATGGATGTCAATTGTGGAAAGCGAGAGATTTGATTTTATAGCAAATGCTGCAGCCCCCTCTTCCTCTCAGACAATGGCACCAAGAAATACAAATGGATAGGTTACTTAAGGATATGTCTCCCTTCCTTAAAGAAGAAAAATGGCTGCATTTAAAGAGAATATAAGATTTACTTAGAAAAAAAAGTCGAGAGGACTAAAAATAAATAAAACTAAACAAAGGATGCAAATATATAGAACCAATCTAAAACAAATACAGAATTTAAAGTGTTGACATGTATATACATGCAGAAAGGCTGAAAAATTACTTCTAAAAGATGAGTCACAGGACTGTGAGGGTTTATGTGTAAGAGAAAAAGAAAAGTTCAACTTTTCAAATCATTAATATCTTCCCTAAAAGCTGCATATATTGGAAAATATACTTGGAAGATAACCTTATTCCTACAGAACAGGAAGATGATTCAACTTCTAGAAGAAATATCCAAGGTGTGAAAAATTTTCTTCCTTTGTCAGGACAT
This sequence comes from Homo sapiens, assembly GCF_000001405.40. Classification (NCBI taxonomy): domain Eukaryota; kingdom Metazoa; phylum Chordata; class Mammalia; order Primates; family Hominidae; genus Homo; species Homo sapiens. The sequence goes on from NC_000014.9 coordinate 85,410,224, forward strand.
CAGAGTCCATCGAGAAAGTTCTAGAGGAAGCACTCTGAGAAGAAGAAGTGAAGCTCAAACAATTCATAGGCTGAAGATATTTTTACTTTCAGATACATTTAATGAGAGCAGTAGGGGGAAAACAAGGATGAGAAATTACCGCATAAATCAGAGAGCAAAATGAGGGCCATTTGTATTGACACAGTCAAACTGAAAAAAAGAAAAAGAGGAGGGTAAGGCAAAAATGAAGGCGCATGCTACAAACATCTTACTGTGTTCATGAAGAGACGAGAGGTTGATGGGTTCAGAGTGCATATGGAGGGCAAAAAAAAAAAAAGATATGGAAAAAGAAATTGGATAACTTAACTGTTTCAATTTTAAGAAAAGGCCTTTGAAGAAAATTATACGGTTTCCCAACAGAAAAGAAGCCGAAGATGAAAAATCCAGTGATTCAATGTGAGACCTCACTCCACTACCTGGAGACCGGATAATCAGTGAGTTGAAAAAGAGAGGTGTCCTCAGTCCCAGTGGTCTGACCCTAAACTGTATATCTTATTTTAGCTAAAAAATCATAAGTAAAAATGAAATAACTAACACAATAAAAGAATCTTGTGATCGTATTTTTAAAGGATGTTTGAGAAGGTATGAAGAACTAGAAGTGACAAACATCACTATCCTGATAAAACTGGTTTTCCAGGAAAAGATGCTAGTCTGACAAGGGGCAGGATGTGGCCCATGCAGTCCTCGGCCACTAAGCTATTTAGTGGATCGTATTCTGGTATCATGACAAAGAACATAGCTAAGGCTATTTTATACCATTTAGGTCAAGAAAAACTTGCAAGGAGATGGTTTGTTAGATAAGTTGGGAACACATACGAATGTGTTATATGTCAGGTCTAGAGCCATCACCATAGGAATATGAAAAATAAATTAAAATGATAAGGGACTGAGGTGAAGCTGTTTGTTATGTACTTGCATATGACACCTTCAGATTTTTTCCAAAGAAAAAACATGTTCGATTTGAAAGAAAGTAAATGTAAAGATGAAAAAACAAACAAACAAACAAACAAACAAAAGAGTGAGAGAGAGAGACTGATAAGCCGGATGGTCCCAGACATATCTTATGCAGCTGAGATCATCCTGGAAATAATGAAAGCAAAAGAGATGAGGTAATTTAACATATGTGACAAGTACACAACAAAATATGCAGAAAAGTACAATACAATAAAAGGAAAGGAAAGAGACTTACATTGAGACAGCATAAGGTGACAGATGATCTCTATGCCTCTTATTATTCAAATTTCACAACGGAATTATAAAATATGTCATCATCTCCATTTTACACATTAGAGAATTGAGAATTAGGCAGGTTAAGCAACTTGTCCAAGGTCACACAGTAAACAAATAGAGAGGTGAAATTCAATTTGCTGTCTATCTTACTCGTAAGCTTTTATCTACACACCATTGCCTTTCAAAACAAAGACATAAAAGTGAGAAATAAAGGGAAATACAATTATATTGAAGCTGTAGAGTTGAAGGATGGGTGTATTGTCTGTAGAGCATAAGCCTGCAACAAATTTTTTAAAAAGAAGAAGGAAATGTTGGCAGGATTTCCACTTACTTGTCAGTTAAAAGAGAATTCTCTACAATATTATGCAAAGGTACATCTGACCACATGAATACTCAGGAACTGACCTGTGTGTTAAATATCCATGCTAAAAGCATAAAGCTGTAATTTTGAGTGAGAGTTCCTGTTAAGAAAATATCCCTTTCTAAAATAATACATCATTAAAGCAGATTAAGTATTACTTGACTTCTCTTTTGCTGTTATTCAAATTTTATTGCATTTTTTGTTGCTATTCAAATGTTATTGCATTGTACATTATTAAACTAGCAGTTGTCATTAAAGTGTTCCATTAGGAAGCTCTAGGTAGGACAGACCTGCTGTCCTCACTCAAAGATCACTCTGGGGATTGCATACCTGGAAAATGTTCATTCCTTGAGGAATCCTGGAAGGGCACACTGATGGATTTATATTAGGGCACCATACTTCTCTTTCTTCCCGCTGATGAAATAGTGCCCATACTTTGTCTGTAAGGGCACACTGTCTTTTTAATTTCCAGGAGTCATGTAATTGAACAATGAGATTAATAAAATGAAAATTAACATAGAATAAATTTGTAGGCATATTTTATTGAAAAAATTAAGAAATATGTAAAGTTTTGGCATTATTTTTATAAACACTTTTATGCGGCCGGGCACGGTGGCTCACGCCTATAATCCCAGCATTTTGGGAGGCCAAGGTGGGTGGATCACCTTAGGTCAGGAGTTTGAGACCAGCCTGACCAACATGGTAAAACCTTGTCTCTACTGAAAATACAAAAATTAGCTTGGCATTGTGGCAGGCACCTGTAATCCTATCTACTCGGGAGGCTGAGGCATGAGAACTGCTTGAACCCAGGAGGCAGGGGTTGCAGTGAGCAGAGATTGTGCCACTGCTCTCCAGAGTGGGCGACAGAGTGAGACTTTGTTTCAAAAAAAGAAAAATTTATACACACCATAAGATGACATTTTGCATGGAATATATTAATGGATTACAGGTAATATTATAGGTAATATTTTTCTGCATTTCCTGATTTTTTACAGTAAAAATACATGACTTTTTAAAGTTTAATAGTGTGGATTCAAAAGAAATACCCATTTCAATTCACTCTCAGAGATTAAAATTGGGTTAATTATCATGCTGACTCAGGTAAATGTTGTGATTTTTCTAATACAGAATATTTATGCGCCTAACCAGAATGTATAAAAATTTAGATGTCTGTTTACACCCTAAGCAAAAACTGTTGTAAACCAATTAAAATTATAGTCAAATGAATGAAACTTTAAAAGGTTTGTAGATCATGATTTCAATTAGTAATAATAATAACAATTGCTATATTTACTGAGATTACTATAGGCCAGGCACTTTTCTAAGTGTTTCCATCACTTAACATGTTTGAATAATCACGTGATATAGACGCTGTAATCATCCTAGTTTTCACCAGTGGAGGGGCTGAGGCAATGCTAAAACTGTTTTAATGACATTCTTGAAAATTAATTATAAGTTCACAAAAATAATGCCTTGTGAATGTTGAAATAAATCAGCCAAGACTGATGTTTCCATAGATGATCTTAAAAATATTTTTATTATGCATCTACACGTACATTTATTGCAGCACTACTTACAATAGCAGACTTGGAACCAACACAAATGCCCACCAATGACAGACTCAGTAAAGAAAATGTGGCACATATACACCATGGAATACTATGCAGCCATAAAATGAAAGAGTTCATGTCCTTTGCAGGCTCATGGATGAACCTGGAAGCCATCGTTCTCAGTAAACTAACACAGGAACAGAAAACCAGACACCGCATGTGCTCACTCATAAGTGGGAGTTAAACAATGAGAACACATGGACACAGGGAGGGGAACATCACACAATGAGGCCTGTCAGTAGGTGGAGGGGAGGGGGAGGGAGAGCTTTAGGACATCCATGCAGGGCTTAAAACCTAGATGATGGGTTGATGGGTGCAGAAAACCACCATGGCACATGCATGCCTATGTAACAAACCTGAACCTTCTGCACATGTATCCCAGAACTTAAAGTAAAATAATAAATAAATAAATATGTGAAAAAATATATTTTTATTGTGCATCTAAAGGAAGCTAGAAAATATTTCTCCTTTCTTTATTGAAATAAAATAGTTTAGAGCACTCACTGCTCCCAGTCCCCATTCTTCAAAACATGTGCACGGACCACCTGCGTTGGAATCCTCTAGAGAACAGACCCAAATCCCAGAGGCTCAAAAGTCTGCATTGTTAAAATGCTTCCTAGCAATATTTACAACTGCTAAAATGTAATGACTTCTGAGTTTATGTGGGAAATCAGAAACTTTTTTAAAAAAAATCATGAATTTCTGATTTTCACTTTCCAGTTTGACTCAATTGCTTTCTTATGTGTTATTGGAAGTGAGATGTTCACAGCAATTTTTTTTTGCCCCACATATTCTTAGTATTCATCCCAGAATGCCAACGCCTCAACACTTCTTTCTGTACTTCCCCATTTCTCCCCTCCTACATTCTTGCAATTGCTGAGGAAATCGTGACTGAGACAGGAAGTGCATCTGCTCACTTGGGCCTAGTATTTCAGTGTGTGAGTTTACTTTATACCTTCCACATCCCATACCTAGTGGCCATCTACACGGTAGTGGAATCAAATATCCCCATGTGGGAAGATTTATTTGTTTCCTCAAAGGATACAGGAACCAAAAGGGATCCAGTGGGGAAGAAAAGAGACTAGCTGCTATCCTTCACGGAGCCAACATTCTGCTGGGAGAGGCAAGAAAAAATCCACAAATGAATAGAAAAATAAATAAGTATAATAAAAGTTCAGAGAGCGATAAGACCTATGTAGAAAAAATGTTATAAGGGCACAATTACTGAGTGACAGATGGAGTAGAAGATGCTAGATTAGAAAGGAAAGGCCTTCCGGAGGAATTGGCATTTGAGCTGAAATATGAATGAAGTAAGAAAGTGAGCCATCCAAAAACCTGGGGAAGAGTGTTCCAGACAGAGAGAAGAGAAAGTAGAAAGGCCTGAGGCAGGAGTGGGCTTGGCTTGCTCACAGAAAGCATGAAGGTCAGTGAACATGGTTCGAGCAATATGCGTGAGGAGGAGAGTGGGGTGACATGAGCAATAAGGTAAGGATTGATTCACGTGTGCCATTGTAGCCCATGGTGCTTGGATTTCATTCTGAGTGTAATAGAGACCATTGGCCAGTCTTGAGCAAGGGTGAGAAATTATCTAATTCACATTTTAAAATATCGCTATAGCCAGTGTGTAGAGAATTATCAGAGCCACAAAAACCTGTCAGTAGTATGTTACAGTCCAGGTGAGAGAAGACTGTGGCTTAGTTGGAGTATTCACAGAATAGATGTTAAGACGTGGTCAGATTCTGTGTGTACACGTTTGTATTATGCAGTTAGAGACCACTGGAGTTGCTAACAGATGAGGAATGTGGGAGATAAAGAGGAGTCACAGATTTCTACAAGGTTTTGGTCCCATGTATGAAATGTTGACGCTAGGGACTGAGATGGGGAAGGCAGGTTGCAGGAAGACTTACGAGTTCTGCTTTCGATACGTCGAATTTGAGCATCAGTTAGCCGGTCAGTGAAGAGCCAGTAGGTGGTGCAAGTCTGAACTCAGGGGGAGATGGGAGTAGAGATCCAAAAGACAGAGGCATGGGCGTGTAGATGGAATGCAAGTTCATGACTCTGGATGAGATCACCCAGGGAGGAGTGTACACACAAATAGAGAAGAGAAAGATACATGGATTCATGTGGCTCAGTGCCCAGTAGAAAACTTGCTCGAGCCTGTTGTTCTGTGACAACGGGTGTGGGTTTTTAACTGCCTGCAAGTCACAAACAGCGTTGATCTGACAATAGGACCATGATATGTAGAATATAATATGTATGTTATTGTAAATAAATTGGAATATAAATGTTACCTGTTAATGTCATACAACCTCCTTGAAAAGGCAATTATTTTTCTTTTTGTTGCAATAAAAATTTGTGTGAATATATTAACGCCCCACAGTACAGGATTCATTTTTAGCAGTGAGTTTCAGTTTATCCTGAGAGGCAGGCAGATTCACTTATAAAAACTGGTGGTACAACTGGGAAGAAAAACTACCCTTTTGAGTAAGTGCTTTATAAAGGCAATTAAAGCAGAAAGATGTGTTTATGGGCTTTCACCCTTCAAAATGGCTATAGATCAAATTTATTAAAAATGTAATTTGGAAGAGAAGCTGGCAATACAGTAATAAAAAATGAAACTAATTTATCTTCAAAGTGTGTGGCGCTTTTAGCCCTAACCAGCCTAAAGACTTTGTTACCCCACTACAAGTAGGAATTGAAAACTGCTTTTCAATTCCAAAGCATTTTGTACTAGAATGTGGCTGGTGTTTATATGGTCACATGAGAGGTTATTTATTCTAATAGTTCAGGACAGAAAATATAGATATAATTTGTATATTTCTGAAACTTAGTAGGAATAATATTTAGGGTCTACTATAGCAAAGATAGAAAGAATTTGATGATGTAAACAAATCTACTATTAAAACACATGTATCCAAGTGGTTAAAAAAGGCAGTAACTTTTTGTATGTTTAAGTCAATACTTTTTCCTGTTTTGCAAAGACACTTTCTCTTTTTAAATTTTTTTTTTTAAATAAAAGAATATGTTTTAGATTTAGCAGGACACTGGAAATATGAGATGCTTTGAAAATTCAAATGATAGTGTTTCTTAATATTTCTCCTACAAAATTACTTTTTAGAGGAATTCATCTTATTTTAAGAGGAAATGTATAAACTTTTTTTCATTCAAGAATAATGTTCCAGTGGATTGTTTTGTGTAACAAAAAGTATCATTTCCAACAGCATTCAAATTATTTCAAAATCCTATATTGAAACAAATGGAAAGGACCTAAAATTGGATGAAGTTGTTCACCAGTAAGGAAGGGGCAGCTTACAGAGTCAGTTTCACTGTACTGAAATAAAGAATGTCCTGTAGCATTTGTGGGTAGAGAGGAAGAGTCTAGTGAGCAGAGGAAACAGGTGATGAAATAAGGACAATGTGTGGTCACCCCAGTAAAATTAGTTGAACTAACTGTGTAGACAGGAAGGACAATTCTGACTTCACATGGAGGCTCTGCTCATGGTGCCTTATGAGTATGTCTTCTCGGGATCAGCACTGTTGAGAAATGTAAATCCCCACGTTTCCTTTCTTGCCTCTTGCCCACATTCCTAAAAGATTACTCTTAACTGTCAGAGCTAAAGAGTAGATCTTCATCTTCAATTCATTCAACATGAAAAGATTATTATTAATAGCACACTGAGCAAATAATGATTTCAAAGAGTCCTTGTTATTTTATAAGCCTGCCTACAAGGTGATTTCAGAATAAGAAATGTGAAGTGTTTATTTTATCAGAAATTGAATGTGCACTTGCCTTTCAAACTCTGTAACATCGTTGTAGTTAAAATAATTGAATATGGTTAAATGTCTACACTGATTGGATTATCTTGACATTAGCCTGAATTAGCAAGTAAAACAATTATTTTTAAAATCCAGGTAGGTTTTATTATTAATTATAATTGGAAAGCACCATCCACTTAAAGTATTAATAATCACAGTTCTTCAGTGACATTAATTTAGAAAAAATAACAAAAATTTTTGCCTCTTCACCATTTATAGCCCAAACCTCGTGTAAATTAAATGCTGTATTTTTATTTTGTACAGACCGACTCACCCACCCACCCAAACACACACACACACACACAGACTCACACACACACACATTCTCTGTGGTTTTCCTAGTTCAGGAAAGTGATTATGATCAAGCAACAAACAATAGTGGTTCTCCATTTGCTATGCTGACATTAAAATTAGAGAAAGGACATTTTAAAAGCAACAATTACCACCCAAGTCACTATTTGGCTTCATATTTTTAGCTATAAAAATATAAAATCAAATAAGAAGGTTTTATGAGATCGAATGATTTTCCATCTCTGGGCAAAGGAGAGGAATAGCTGATTTGCTTTGCGAATATATTTCACCAGTGTCTATACAGAATGTGACAGTTACCGACTGCACAAACTGTATCCTTTTAGAAATGTAGTAAATTTAAAGCTTTTTATGAGTCTGTGTGAGCCAAAGACACGATAGCTGGAAAAATCACATGTTGAAAAGAAGTTTATTTTTACTTCAGTGTCTGCCTAATAGTGCAAACCTCATCTTTGCCTGGAGGTGGTATATCTATGTAAATGAAGATGGGCTAATAATGTGAATATGAAATGGGATGGATCTTCTGTCTTAATTCGTGTGCTATTTTCACATGAAGAATAAATGAGAACAAGATATTGATTACTATAAATTTTGTTCATTTTAGTATAAATATGTCCAAACACATTTGAGATTAAATGGCAGTTATATTTCTTCATTGAATGTCATTTTCTCCTTCTCTTTGATAGATATTATATAAATAGATGCAGATAGGTCATAGATATAGAGATGTAGATATAGCTAGATCATAGGTAGATAATACACATATATAGATGAATAGATCATAAATCTACCGACCTATCTATAGCTATATATGAAAAGGAAAGAGAGAAAGAGAGAGACCAAGGTCAGCAAATATCTCTGTAAAGGGCCAGATAATTAATATTTAAGGCTTTACTGGCGATATGGTCTCAGTCATAACTACTCAAGTATTTTTGTGTTGTAGCACAAAAGTCTTAAACAATATGTAAATGAATCAGTGCAGCTGTATTCAAATAAAATGTCATTTGTGGACACTGAAAATTCATTTCATATAATTTTTATGTATCATAAAATATTATTTTCTTAAATAATTTCAAAATATAAAAACTATTCTCAGCTTGAGTTCCATACAGAAAGAGGCCGCAGGGCAGATTCGGCATGGGCCATAATTTGCAACCCATAATATATATAATATTCAATTGTTATTTTTAATCTCAAAGAATCCCATGGCTCTTTGTAAAGCTGTCAACTCATTATGATTTGCAAACCTCTCCAGAGTAAATATGAACTCTATACAAGAAAGTGAAAGTTGGTTTTGAAGCAGAGGACTTTGTAAAAGAAAATGCAATCTTATTGCACAAAATGGAACACAGCCAAAACAGAAAAACTCACACCTCTACTTAAAAGAAAGTGCAAAGCAAGACTACATCTCAGCTAAATGTTTCATTATAGGATAAGTTAAGATGTATAATTAGTCAAAATAAGATCCCAGTATTTTCACAGTATTGCAAACACAGTACAATATTAATTTTCACATTAAATTTTATATGCAAACAAATTGGGTTTGTCAAAAAAAGGTGTTGCTTTCCTCACAAAAGCTGTCTTTGATAATAAATAAGAATTCTACTGAAAAACTGAAGCTTTCCATATGTGACAAATTTTGGAAATAAGAATAAAAGAGAAATGTAGCATTCTCTCTTAAATACAGATTTTTACAGATGAAACTTCTTAAACTAATGCTGAAAATTTTGAATGCCCAACTCTATCGACTTATGCAAAAGAATGAATGGATACATAAGCAAGTGGGTTTTTTTGTTTATTTTGTTTTTTAAGATTTCATTTAGCATCCAGGTCACTGATAGGGTGTAGACAATGGAAATAGTTCCCTCTTCCGTTCAATTACAATTCCTAATCATCAGTTGGATTTGTCATGTGGTTCTTTCAAGAGTGTGCTATAAATGTTGCTTCCTATCCAATCTCGATATTCAAAATATTACTAATCTTTGTTTGTTTTTGATGAAGGGGTTCATGCATTTCTGTTAAAGACTTAGACTTGAGAACGGAGCACTAGAACCTACATTCAAAGTGTTTCTCTCATTTCGTTCTTTGCCACTAGGAATTAAGAATGGGTCAATGAAATATACAGCTCCTTTCTGGAATGTACCTGTTCTGCTACAACCATGGATATCCTGACCTTTCTGTGCCTTTCAGGGACAAGGGTAATAGAGGAGTTTCAGACTCCCTCTAAAACAAAACAACAACTGAACAATAAACAACAGAAAAAGAACACAAAAAAAGACGGTGGTACTCTTTCCCCTTTCCTTGCTTTCTCCTGCTACCAAAACAAACAACAAAAACTACATTGTCTCATTGGATGACGAAGCTAAAATTTTGTAGCAAATCTATAGAAGAAAAGAAGTGGAAATCTACTCAAGAGCTACTGTAAAACACTGTATACAAAACAACCACTTTGATTCACATTAAAAAGTGTTATCTGTTTCTTTGAATTCATAAGCTAGATATTAATCCATCTTTAGAAGAGAAGAAAGCAAAGATCGTAGATGACAAGTCTTGCTTTCTTGTAAGTATCTTTGAATCTGTATGTTTGCCATCACAAGTTCTCAGATCAATTAACTATTGTTTACTTCCAAAAAAAATCTGGCATGGCTTATGAAGATGTATATATATAACAACATCAGTATGAATGGGATAATACAACAAGACCAAGGGAAACTAAACTTGTGTAATTATTGAAGGTAGTAAGCATCTAACAGACATTTTGTCTGTTGTAGTTTAGATTTAAATTTGCCACTGAAATCAGCCTCTTCTTGGGGATTTCCTGCTTGTACTGATGAGCCAATACCCCTCCCTTTATACTCATTTTCACAGAAATTCTTTGCTAATTCATTGCCTAGCTCGCTCTGTAACATTCATAACCATCTTCAACACCACCTCCAGACTGACTGCAGTTTGACATAAAAAATGGCCTTAGAAAAGGCTCTGGCTGGGAAATTTCATTCCAGCATGGCAGAAATGTAAAGAGTCTGTTGTGATATAAGTACTATTTATCAGGCTCCTATAAATCTCCTTAGCATAGTCAGCAGAGTCCAAGATACAAACTTCCTAGCAAGTCTGCAGGTAAATTCAGATAAAGCAATCACAACTTGGCCTGGGGAGTGGATTCATGCTCTCTAGAATAAGAGTTGCATGGTGTGCAAAAAGATTCTGCAAAAAGAGTCAAAATACTAGTAATAACGATAATGATAATAATTCATTCCACAAATATGCATGAAACACCTATTAGATATTCATCAACATGAATCACAAGACCTTGCAACAATTATATTGCCATTGATGATTTTTTTTTTTAATTGAGACGGAGTTTCACTCTTGTTGCCCAGGTGGAGTGCAGTGGAGTGATCTCGGCTCACTGCAACATTTGGCTCACTGCAACCTTTGACTCACTGCAACCTCTGCCTCCCAGATTCAAGGGATTCTTCCGCCTCAGCCTCCCGAGTAGCTGGGGTTACAGGCACTCACCAACATGCCCAGCTAGTTTTCTGTATTTTTAGTTGAAATGGGGTTTCATCATGTTGGCCAGGCTGGTCTCAAACTCCTGACCTCAGGTGATCCACCTGCCTTGGCCTCCCAAAGTACAGGGATTACAGGTGTGAGCCACTGACCTGGCGGATGAATTTTTAAGACTGTTGTATGAATGCCTGTGGGGTATTGCCCAAGAATAAGGTGCTTTCCAGAGTCTTTGTCCAAGGGTTTGTGATTAACACTCTTGAACCATCTGTGAATGGCTCAAGAGGCCATGATGATGGCATTGCTATGATGTTGCGGGAAGCCCTACAGGGAGGTTTCTTCTCCACAGAGGATATTTCACCATTATCACAGTAGAAGTTAGTATTTAAGGAACTCAAGCCATTCCTGACTGAGTGAATGGTAGCAGCAGATGGAGCTGAGGCTGCAAGGGCCAGATGCCCTTGGGCCTTAACCATGTCAGTGCCTGCAGGGCTAATTTTCAACTTGCGAGTCTGTTTCACTTTGCCTGAGGCCCTTCTCTAGTCATAAGATCTCACTCTGCCTGCTGTAGTACTGGGGAAAAAAGGGCCCCTAGGAGCAGCCCTCAGCCAGTGACTCACTGGGAGTTGGTGCAAAATGCACCAGTTGCCTCACCCTTGAGGTGGGGTGTTGCAGATCCACTTATGATGCTTTGGCTCCCAGAGAACCCATCTGGGTGGAATTGCAATCTCTCATTGGAAACTTGCTTGGAAAGAAAGTTTTCTTGACTTTCTGAGGCCTTCCCCTCCTCCCCATTCTACTTCTTCATTATCAGCATTTCCAGGAACCACACACCAAATAAATAACTTGCACTTGAATCCTTGTCTCTGGGTCTGCCATACCTCACAATGAACCCACTAAGCAGATTTCTTAAAATATCTTCTGAGAGTAAGAGTGGGTGGCATTCTTCTTTTACATATTATTGGTATGTAAGAAAAAAAAAAAGCTTTTTAAAAAGAGCTTGAAATTATTTTTTTTCTCTAAGAAAATAAAATAAAATAAGTGCTTTCATATCTAACCAGTTTCCTTAAATCAGATATGCACACATCTGGGATAATGATAAAAATTAAGAAATTGGGAAAGCTAGAGTGAGTTCTGATAAAGCATTTATGAAGTGCCCTAATCCAGTCAGCCATCTTGCTGTTAGCCAACACTTTATTATTCTTTATCGAAAAAGGGTTTTCTTCGATATTTATGTGGCCTAAACGTTCCACCCGATATTTATGAAGTCTATTTGATGAAGTAAAGTAGCATGGTATCAGGACCATGGTTTGAATTAAACTCTGAACCCTTCTTCATCTTAATGCTACATTTTGAAATTATTTCCTATACCTCAAATGAGAATTTGACTACCTACTACCCCTCAAAATGGCTCATGTTAAAAGAAATGCTAGTTATAAAAAGATATGGCACTCACTAAATGCCTAAATCATTCTGATGCATGGATCATCAAATAATTATCATTGCTCCAGCAGCATTGAGATTTCTATTACCCCTCTAATTTTTCAAAATCGTAGAAAGCCGTTGGCTTCTGTAATTTCACATGTGATACTTCTCATTGATGTGCTGATTCTGATACTAACATAAGATAAGCTGAGAAAATCAGAAAATTTTAAACATTTTGATAAGCTGTTTGAATCAATAAGAAATATGTGAAATTTTAAAAAAATAGATGGATGATAACTGTATACTATCCATACTCCTGATATTCACCTCATCCCTGGTTCAACACTGTAACACACCTGCCCAAGTGGGAGGCCACAGCCCTGTGCCTCGATCAGTTTCAACCACCATCTGCTTTAGACTCAAACCTAACTCAGCCACTCCAGCAATTACTGGAAAAACAAAACAAAATAAAATAAAAACAAACACACAAAAAGAAAGACCCACGTCATAAGGGCCCTTCTAGATTATCAAGAAGGTAATAATTTCCAATTCTGGAATGATGCATTTGCATGTATTAAAGACATTTGAATTGCCACTTTTGCTTTGCCTGAAAGTGTTTCATTTGTGCTTACAAACAATCAGGATGGTAGGGTAGAGAGTTTGGAGGGACCAGTTGCTTATATCTCATGAACGATAATGTTCATGAACAATGAACTGTGAAAGAAATGATAATGTATGGGCAAGAAAATGTATTGCTCTTACATACGGCAGACCATTCCACAACACCTTTCTGTCTGGTTTGTTTTTATTTTAAATATTGTATGAATCTGTATTAACTCATAGTCTCTTTAGGGTTTTATTTTCTAAGGAAAAGGGTGCATCCTTAACTTAGAAAGCGGATATGCAGTCCTGAAATCCTTTAACCTGAATTCAAATACCAGGATGTATATATCCATTTATTCACCAAACGTTTATAAAGTGAGCACTAGCTTTTAGCTGAGCAGGTTTATAGATGTTGGGTATACCCAATCACCTAGATCATGACACATAAATTTTGAAAAATTCAATAAAGATACTAAACTCAAAGTAGAAGTAGAAGGTAAGGTGTGGCCAGAAGAAAAGAGTGATCAATTCTTTCTGAGTACATGGAAAATTTCACAGAGGAGGTCATACTTTTACTCAAGACTAGAAGGAAATGGAGATAGATGTTTGTTAGATGGTGAAGAGCCAACAGGGCATCTCCGTCAGAGGAAAGAGTGTGCTCAGAGGAATGAAACAGCCAAGTGCATTCAAGAACCAGGCACTTCATTAGGACTCAAGTAAATGTGTAATGAAAACGGCCAGAAGCAAGAGTGGAGAGATTGGCAGGAACCAGAAGGTGGAGACCTGAATAGCTGGGATTTTATTCTGGAGGCAATGGGAGCCCAGGAAGATACTGGGGAGGGGTGAACAGAGGAATAACAGCATAGCATATGTTATTTAGAAGGGTTTCCTCAAGGCCAATGGGAAACTAAAAGTAAAATTCATGCAGTATGTTTCAGGCCTCAGGGCTGGGAGTGACAAGCACACCTTCCACATACACACCCTCCTTTCAGACACGCAGGATGCAATCATAAATATTTCTGTTATTACATACAAGTGATGGTGGGAGGTGAGTGACGGTGATGAGAAGGAGAAGAAGAGCCACAGAAGATGAAAAGGAATGGCTGGTGTTCTTGTCAGATATGCCGCAGCCTGGCAAACATTTGTCTCTGGGCCCCTCCTCTATTTTATTATCCACTACTTACTTCTCTGAAACATCCTACTTCCATCCTTAACCCAGAAGCATATTTTTAAAAAAACCCTTTCATCTGCAGAAATATCCATCCATAGGAAAGATAATGGCTTCTTTTATTCTTTTTTCTTTTTCTGAGACAGAGTCTCTCTCTGTTGCCCAGGCTGGAGTGCAGTGGCACGATCTCGGCTCACTGCAACCTCCGCCTCCCAGGTACAAGCGATTCTCCTGCCTCAGCCTCCCAAGTGGTTAGGGTTACAAGCATGTGCTGACATGCCCAGCTAATTTTTGTATTTTTTGTAGATGCTGGGTTTTGCCATGTTGGCCAGGCTGGTCTGGAGCTCCTGGCCTCAAGTGTTCTGCCCACCTGGGCCTCCCAAAGTGCTGGGATTACTGGTTTGAGCCACCATGCCCAGCAAGACAAGGGCTTTTTAACATCCATTTAGATGTATACATATGACAAAGTTATTTACATAAGATGCTGTATGGTGAAAATACAGCTTTAGGAGAGAGAGAGAGAGTGTGTGTGTGTGTGTGTGTGTTTAATTTCTAGATGTCAAACACTTCAGTAAATTGGCCTATGCAAACCATGTATATGTCCACTGCCTCCAGTATGATTAAACCTGGGGGATAAAAGATTCCGAGATTCCCAGGCTCTGCATCTGTCACTAATAATTGTAAATAATATACATGATGCTAGAATGTGCATTATGCTTTCAATCTGGTTTTACATCTGAAATGTTTCTTATATAAACTGCCACATCGTCCAGTGATCAGCAATTATAGTAAATCAAATTCAGTACCAAACTCTTTTACCTTTCCTAATGGCAGAAGGAAATGTCTTCCTCACCCTGAACATCAAAAACATCCACGATGACCTGCCTGTAATAATGTCATCAAAAGTGCACGGATCACACCAGAAAACACATGAAACGAATTTTCATCTATGGCATTGCTTCCAGATAAAACTATCATGAAAAAAAAATAGTTTTTCAGTGGCTGTAAAAGAGAATATGGAAAAGATATTTACCCCGCATCTATTTCTTCTTATCCTTCATCATCTCTCTGACTGCCTGTTTAATTGTCAACCTGTCTCTTGAGTTTCATACCCTTCCCAAATGTGTTTTCCCCCTCTGCCTTATCTCTTCAAAGCCATCAGTCACACAGCAGATTTGTAATGAACTTGCTCTCTGCCAAGGCAAAAAATAAAAAAGTGACATCATTTTCAAAAAGGGGGAGATCAGCACTTTAATCTCAGTGAGATAGAAAATAGAACAAAGGAAATGCCTGGCAGGAGTAAAAGGGGGAAAAGTTGGGGATGGAGAGCAGGCTTTCTTTGCTTCTCCATGCTTTGTACACTGAGCTTTAGAAATTTGGAAACCATTTGTTTTCCATTCTCATCGTACCCTGCTGGCCATTTATGGTCTTGTCCAGAATAATTACTGGAAAAGGAGCATGGCATTCTCTCTCTCTGCTTTTGTGAGTTTGGTGGGATGGGCTGAGGGTAGAATCCTTAAATGCTTATTACAGAGTTTTGACATGGAGGCAGCATTTCAACATTTTCTTGTGAAGTAGCTAACTCACGCATCCGGTCAGACAGGTGTATTCTAGCTGTGTACAAATTAAAGCTGAAATAAGAATGCAGAGTTATGATGGTGGAAGAAAGAAGGAGCAAGCATATTGCTTTAAAGAGCTGAAGATCCCATCAGACTAAATTATAGACATACGTATCAAACGTAATGTGGAAATCAGCTCTGAAGGCTCAGAGGCTAAGGCATTAAAACAGCTGTTTACAATAACTTGGGATATATAATCAGAATGATTTTATAAAAAACATAATTCTCCAAATTAATCAAGCTGAAGAGAAATGTGGGTTCTCTCCATTTACTTGGGGGCCATGTGCTGGAGATTATCAAATATGTACCATTTGTAAGAGAAATGTGATGAATCACCCTAGATAAAATGATAGCAAAAGCTTTATTTCTAAAATGAAGCTGGTGTAGCATTAGAAATGTGTGTTGGGCATGAACCTCCCACGTCACAGGCTAAGATGTGCCAAGAATGTAGCTTTATTTTTCTGTTACTTGATTTCTGTCCTGGAATCGTCACTGTTTCTCTTATCAAAAATCCCAACCTGAAGTCAATTCTTGGTAAACTCATTCAGCTCCAGATTTTGCTCTTGCTCCTATTTCCCTGTGTTGATTCAAATTCCATGAATTTTTCACAGTGTCCAGGTCCTGGCCCAGTCCCACCTGTATAATCCTTCATCTACTAAGGTATGTACCACCCTGTCAGATTTCCTGTCTTAGCACCTCTCATCTCGCCCCAGCCAAGCATCCAATTTCCTGTGGTATCACTGGTTGACATTTCAGAGGTAACCCTGAGTGACTGGCATCACTACCATGAATTATTTTTAGCTCCTGTGGCCATTTCTCAGCCACTTTCACGTCCCTCAGCATGGTGGAAACCACAAGAAACTTCTGGATGCTCTTCTCTTCCACTTTCTGGTTCCAAGTCTGGTGAATAGAAACTTGAAGGCCATTAGAGGACTATTCAGTCTGCCTAGATTGAACAGACCACATTTTCTACTTGTGGCTGCCACATCACTCAGGCAGGACAGGAGATGAAGGCAGTGGAGTCTTAACAGGCTTTTGTTTCCCACTTTCCATCCAGGAAAGTAAGGCAATGACCCATAGATGATTGGTTAGCTCTAGGTCCCAACCATCAATCTGGGATGTGGTCCAGAGAGGGCAGTTGTAGCAGAGCTTGCAGCCCTTTCTCAGGTATCCCCATAACCATTTCACTCAACTGCTCTCCTTGATGATGCCCCTCTTTTCTCCCAACCCAGATGCATAGTGCCTCTTCTGTAATTGGGAAAACAGAGGGAGAAAGTTTACCTCCAGTCTGTTACTTAAAACTCATGTCATCAAGCCCATGATTTTTAATATTCAAAACTTCAGACTTTCAAACAAAAATTAAATTCTTCTTCCATAAAAATTGTCTCTATAGTATTTTGAGATTATATTTTAAAAGTTTTAAAAACTGAGCTTTGATCTTTTATTTCTTTTGATATTTCTGCTATATATATGTGTATATATATGTGTGTATATATATGTGTGTGTGTGTATATATATATATACTCAAAACAGTAGCAGATAATTTCAGGAAGTATTATATACTAATGTTCCAAAATACTATTTTTTCCATCTATAATTCTTTGCCTACCAAAAAAAAAAAAAAAAGTGAGTCTTGCCTTTTTATCTTGCCCTCTTCTAAGAAAGAGAAAATTGGATACTTGTCTTTAATCTATTTCTCTAGAATAGTAAATTCTACATAGGGCAAAGTAGAGTATATATCCACAGTAGAATATAGTCGTCCCTCAGTAGCCATGGAAGACTGGCTCCAGGACCCCCCACAGATAGTAAAATCTACAGATGCTCAAGTCACTGATATAAGGTGGCATAATATTTGCATATAACCCAAGCACATCCTCCCATATACTTTAAATTATCTCTCAATTACTTATAATACATAATAAATGTAAATGCTATATAAGTAGTTGTTATACTCTATTGTACAGGGAATTATAACAAGAAAAAAGGTCTGTACATGTTTAGTACAGACACAATTTTTAAGAAATATTTTCTATCTGCAGTTGGTTGTGTCCATGGATGAAGAACCCATGAATACAGAAAGCTAACTATACTCTATACTGAGGTCCTAAAGACTCAGTAGGTAAATCCACACAATAGAGTCAAAATATGTAACCAAGAGATTTCATCCATTGGCTCAACAGTACCCTATGGACCGATGCCATTCTAGGAAGGGTTTTGTCCAAACAGAGTCCAGTTGAAGCCCTAAGAGCCTCTTAGGGATTGGTACTAAGAGAATCCAAAGTTATACTGTAGTTAATGGTGGGCACTTCAGTTAAAAGACCATGTGAGATTCGACCAAGTGGACACAAGATGAGTCCCATAGAACACATGGACACAGCTGGAGTTGAGGAGAGGAAGTAGGAAGAGTGGCATGGATCAAAAGAAAGCAAATGCTAAGAGCTGTGGAAATCATGGCTGAAAAATAGAGGTGAGAGACTGAATTACTGGCTCCTTAATGGCAATTGCATTTGCTCTCTGAGTCCCCATTCTTTTCTTCTTTTTCTCCATAGATTCTATTAGTAACCAACATATGATATATTATGACATAGTATATCATATATTGTATGTGTTTGTTTTACCATTTTCATACATGCATACACACACACACACACACACACACACACACACACACACACACACACACGCAAAGATTATAGAATCCATAGAGAAGGAATTTTTTAGTTTGTTTTGTTCACTGGTGTTTCCCTTGCTCCTTAAAGAGGTGATAGAAATTTCAATAAATGCTTGTTGAAGGAAAAAAGAAAGAGAAAAGAAAGGAAGAAAAGAATGAGGTGGAAGGGAAGAAAGAGAGCAAGACAATGAATGAAAATTGCTTGATTGCTAATTCTCCAGACTCAAGAGTACTACTGTCTGTACTTCTTGCTTGTGGGTTCTATGTTGTTCCCCATTTTCTTTTCACTTGCTTGCTTTTCTTGACTTGAATTAGTTTAAATGTGTTTCTCTTTTGTAGAGTGAAACGAACCTTCACAACAACAGGTGTAGTGAGCAATCCTAGTTGTTTTGCCAACCCTTTTCTTTATTTCAGGCAGAGTAGCAAACATTATCATCTTTAAATTATCTTTAAACCTCATTATTAAAGCTGACCACATGGTAGTCATAAGCTTGTTGGAAGAGCATGACCAAGAGTGCTGATTCACAAGGGAAGATGTTTTTAAAAATAATAATAATAAAAAGAATGAAAAAATACAACCATTATATCCACAGAGATCACAGGGATGTTACTCATAGCTGCCTGCAAAGTAGTATATTCAGCTTCTAGATAGAGTTATATCGAATGAGGTTGAATAAGGAAAGAAGTGCCTCCCACTCATAGAGTTAGAAAATATATAGCCTTTGCAAAAAGTGCAAAGGAGGATTCATAGACTCTGGAGTAGTTTGGTGTTCCCACAAATACCGTGTGTCTCATATAGGAACTTGAGAAGATGGAAGACTCAGTTCATGGCAAACCATAAAAACAGAAGACTAAGTGCATTCATCTTGTAATTTGTTGTATTATCTCAAGATTTATAGAAGCAGTTCTACCTAATGCACAAATCTATATTAGTTTTGTTCTCTTTCCTTTTTTCCCTTCTCTGTTTTAAACTTTCTTTGATAGGTGGTCTTGGAAAGTGCTGAATTAAGACTTGGCACGGTAAAGTCCTATGTATTTGGCTGGTCCTTCAGTTCTAAGAGTCTCACAAACTGGCATCTCACATATGTGTGAGAGACTGAAGATCAAAGTAGCAGTAACATATACTCACACATACACTCGCAAATGAGAGACTTACATACACAGAGATACAAACATGCATACACACTACTACCCTTTTGTACTTTAATGTGATTTAGTTTGGGAAAGCACTGCTTCTGTACCTAAACAAATTCTTCTTTGTAGCAAAATGCTTATATATCTGAGCAGGACACAAAACCAAATAAATGCAAGGTAGGATTTATTTTATAATAAAGGGCAGGAATTATCTATTGAGTTTCAATAACATTTGATAACAGGTTTGACATCAAAGTATATTAGTGAACTTTTAGTCTGTTTTCACACTGCTGATAAAAACGTACCCAAGACTGGGCAATTTACAAAAGAAAGAGGTTTATTGGACTTACAGTTCCACGTGGCTAGGGAGACCTCACAGTCATGGCAGAAGGTGAGGAGGAGCAAGTCACATCTTACATGGATGGCAGCAAGCAAAGAGAGAGCTTGTTCAGAGAAGCTCCCGTTTTTAAAACCATCAGACCTCACGAGACCCATTCACTTATGAGGACAACACAGGAAAGACCCACCCCCATGATTCAATCATCTTCCCCTGGGTCCCTCCCACATGTGGGAATTATGGGAGCTACAAGATGAGATTTGGATGAGGACACAGAGCCAAACCGAACCAGTGAACAATAATATTTTCACAGAGCTTTGCAGTTTACCGTGTGGTTTTAAAACTATTATTCATTCACTCCATATTTGTTTATTATGTATTATTTATTTTTTTAAATTTTTTCGAGACAGAGTCTCACTCTGTTGCCCAGGCTGGAGTGCAGTGGCACCATCTCAGCTCACTGCAACCTCTGCCTCCTGGGTTCAAGCAATTCTCATGCCTCAGCCTCCCGAATAGCTGGGATTACAAGCATGCACCAATATGCCTGGCAGATTTTTGCATTTTTAGTAGAGACAGGGTTTTGCCATGTTGGCCAGGCTAATCTTGAACTCCTGGCCTCAAGTAATCTGCCTGCTTTGACCTTCCAAAGTGCTGGGATTACAGGCGTGAGCCACTGTGCCCAGCCCATAACTATTTATTGAGCACGTATTATGTTCCAGGCACTGTTCTAGGCTGTTGGAATAGAGTGCAGGCAAAAATTTCTGTCCTCATGGAGATTATATTCTAGAGAATCCTGTCATTTAAAACCCATAATAATTCTGTTATATACTTTCTTTTGGGGGAAATGTGACTGTATTAGCCTGTTTTCCCACTGTTAAAAGAAATATTCGAGACTGGGTAATTTATAAAGAAAAGAGGTTTAATTGACTCACAGTTCTGCATGGCTGGGGAGGCCTCAGGAAACTTATAATCATGACAGAAGGCAAAGGAGAAATATATACCTTCTTCACAAGGCTGCAGGAGAGAGGGCAGGGGAAACTGCCATTTATAAAACCATCAAATGTCATGGGAATTCACTAGCTGTCACAAGAACACTATGGAGATCCAGTCACCTCCCACCAGGTCCCTCTCTCAACACCTGGGGATTAAAATTCATATCACAGTTCAAGATGAGATTTGGGTGGTGACACAGAGTTAAACCATATTAATGACTTAAACCCAACTTTCTACTTGAACATGCTGCTTCTTTTAGAAACATCTAACCAATACAAAAAGAATAAGGCAATGAACCTCAGTGAATTCTCTATACTAGGACAAGCAAGTACACTAATAAGTTTAGTAAATTGATAAATGATTTTGGAAGCTATACCATGAATTTAGCTGGTAAATTCAAACATTTTAACAAAGTACTCAGGAAGGAGCCAAGTAACAGTAATTCTTTATAGTATCTATAGAAAGCATAGAATGTGGCTTTGCATATACTGCCAAGTAATTGTAATTAATTTTGTTCGGCTCTGCTCTAAATTAAAACTGAGATATATCACATAAGAAGAAATTTCTGTTTCCCATTACAATTATAACTCAGTTAGTGCCCACTTGAGCGCACACATGTTTTCTTAACTGAAGTGATTAATATTATAGCTTTCATTTCCTTTAATAAACCTTGATAATTTCCACTAAATTTAGTTTTAAACATTTTTCAAATACTATCAGATTCAATTCACATCTCAACAGATCAAGTGAAGTGGAAAGATCCAGCCTATCCCTAAGTTATTTTTACCCATGACACAGGACAAGTCAATATCTGTCTTATAGTTGGCTCATCTTGAGAGATTCATTTGTAGTTTTCTGAATACTTCTGTAAGTAAGCTATTCAAGCATGACTATATATATACAGATATATATAGACATATATACACACACATACGTACTATACAGATATACATATGTGTATATATGTGTGTATATATATACATAGATGTATATGTGTGCATATATATTAATATATACACACAGTTGTATATATGTATATACATATACATGTATATATATATATATATCTGCATATCGTACTTTGATGTGATTTAGTTTGGGAAAGCACTGCTTCTGTATCTATACAATTTCTTCAATTTCTTTGAATACACACACACACGTGTGTGTGAGTGTATAAATATGTGTGTATATATATCATATGGTATATATATATGTGGAGATATATATATAGAGAGAGAGAGTGAATGAAGTAGGTATGGTAGTCTTAAACTCGTGTAGTATTAGATTTTATTTGAACTTTACAAGAAGAGCAGCCAGTTTGATTGTGTTGAGATCAGTCATTCGCAACATGGTTAACTTCTGGCTCCCCTTCTCCTCTCTAATGTTTTCCAACATTCGCTATGCTTTTATCTGTAATGCTGAAATCATTACTTTGGTTACAGTTGCCAGATTAGTATTAAGTATTTTAGTTTCTAACAATGCAAGAACCTATAAAAGGAATGTGTTTAAAAAGAAAAAAAAAGTTTGACTATAGATTAAATGTGGGTGGGGGCAGACGGTTGGAGGAGAAAGATAAGCTTTAAAAAATGTGCAGGCTGGGCGCGGTGGCTCACGCCTGTAATCCCAGCACTTTGGGAGGCCGAGGCGGGCGGATCACAAGGTCAGGAGATCGAGACCATCCTGGCTAACACGGTGAAACCCCATCTCTACTAAAAATACAAAAAATTAGCCGGGCGCAGTGGCGGGCGCCTGTAGTCCCAGCTGCTCGGGAGGCTGAGGCAGGAGAATGGCGTGAACCTGAGAGGCGGAGCTTGCAGTGAGCCGAGATTGAGCCACTGCAATCCGGCCTAGGCTAAAGAGCGGGACTCCGTCTCAAAAAAAAAAAAAAAAAAAATGTGCAAATACATATACACCATGGAATACTATGCAGCCATAAAAAATGATGAGTTCATGTCCTTTGCAGGGACATGGATGAAGCTGGAAACCATCATTCTCAGCAAACTATCGCAAGGCCAAAAAACCAAACACCGCATGTTCTCACTCATAGGTGGGAACTGAACAATGAGAACACATGGACACAGGAAGGGGAACATCACACACTGGGGCCTGTTGTGGAATGGGGGGACAGAGGAGGGAAAGCATTAGGAGATATACCTAATGTAAATGACGAGTTCATGGGTGCAGCACACCAACGTGGCACATGTATACGTATGTAACAAACTTGCACGTTATGCACATGTGCCCTAAAACTTAAAGTATAATTAAAATGTGCAAATAAAAGTTAAAAAGAGGAAGGCCCCCAAGTCACTAACAATCCACATGTTCATTTAAAGTTACATGATAAAGTTTAAGTCAAATATTTTGTAGGAAAAAAATTCCTTCATTTTAATTTTCTTGACATTTTAAGTTAAAGAGCATAAACCTTCCTCCGATCCAAGAATATTCTTGGGCACTGTAACCTGAGAGAATTTTCCTTCAAATCGCAGGGTTCTAAGTGATAGATAATATGTAATCTTAAGATATATGTATACACACACACACACACACACACACACGTGCGTCAATATAGATCTTAAGAAAAGAATGTGCACAACCACAATTATTAGAAAGATAGATCTAACTTTTAAATACTCTAATATGCTATAATCTTAAATCCACCATTTGAGATTAGTTTACACATAATAAAAGCCTTTCAAATCACGAGGTCTGGAGATCAAGATCGAAACCATCTTGGCTAAACGGTGAAACCCCGTCTCTACCAAAAATACAAAAAGTTAGCCAGGCGTGGTGGCACACACCTGTAATCCCAGCTACTTGAGAGGCTAAGGCAGGAGAATTGCTTGAACCAGGGAGGTGGAGGTTGCAGTGAGCGGAGATCATGCCATTGCACTCCAGCCTGGGAGACAGAGCAAGACTCCTTCTCAAAAAAAAAAAAAAAAAAAAAAAAAGGCTTTCCTAGGCATGCAATATTTGCTATCAGGGCATGATGCCCTGAGCAGAAAGTGGGATCACCTATTAGTCTGGGTCCTGTCAGGGGAAAAAAAGTCTACTAGTTATTTTAATGGAAAAAGTTGTTATAAAGCATGGATAAACAAGTATTACAGAAGTGAAAGACAAAAGAGGGACACTGTGGATTCACACAGGTAATTACTGGAGGGAGCAACTATCTCCCTTAGGGTTCAGGAACTAATGGGACGAGGGTGGTATTAAAATTTAGAAGTTTAGAGAAGAGTCTTGCAGAGCCTGGACCTAGAATTCTGGTGAAGGGGTCCCAGCTGGTTGGGTTCAAAAAAGGGACCCCCATGAAGTTAGGACGTAGATTAGCTGGCTTTAATAAAGTTGAGGAGGCTCTAAGAGGCTATTTGTAGCATGTGGATAAACTATAAATTGGGACCAATTGCAGCTTTTGGAATCTACTTTTGACATAAGTGAGAAGAGCTATTTCAAGGATGACCCCAATAAGGACAGCAGATAAGAGCAGAAAACACTCACTCTCTGTTACTGGGGAAGGTGCCCTCTACTTGAAGAGCTTTGAGAGTCCCCTGAAGAAGGTCCGTGCCTCCTCCTGCCTTCCAATCTCCTTTTAAGTCTGACTATTGTCAAAGCCTAACAGAAGATAGCTGGCAAAGAAGTGTGGTTTTCTCCAGAATACAAAGCAAAACATAGTAGGGAGGGTTTAAAGCTGATAAAGGCAATAGCTTAATAACTGGTGCAAAAGGAAAACAACCTGTATTAATTTGCCTGTCACTTACCATTACTGTTTGCAAAGCTATACTTGTAGTTCCACAATAGAGTAAACAATACTGGTAATTGCTAGCATTTAATAGCATTTACTATATGCTAGGTTTTTGCTATACATATTTACTATATGCTGGGTGTTACATATGTGTTATCTTATTTAATTGTCAAAACGTATTTAATGAGATGGAAGCCATCGTGAACCATGAATAGAGTTATCCAAACTGAATATAATCATGAATTTTAAGATAGAAGTGTTTCCCTAAGCCATTCTTTGGTCTAGTCCTTTGTCTACAAGAACATTTTTTTTTTTCTTTTTTTTGAGATGGAGTCTCTCTCCGTCACCCAGGCTGGAGTGTAGTGACGCAATCTCGGCTCGCTGCAACCTCTGCCTCCCAGGCTCAAGTGATTCTCCTGCCTCTGCCTCCTGAGTAGCTGGGATTATAGGCACGCGCCACCACGCCCAGCTAATTTTTGTATTTTTAGTAGAGACAGGGTTTCACCATATTGGTCAGGCTGGTCTTGAACTCCTGACCTCATGATCTGCCTAACTCGGCCTCCCAAAGTGTTGAGATTACAGGCATGAGCCACCACGCCTGGCCAAGTACATTATTTTAAAATCACACTATCTTACTTAATAGTTCTCTAAATCACCTGTAACAAGCAGAAAAGTCAGAGGAGGTTTTCCTTGATAGGGACTATGTGCCTCAGCTTATATGAACATCATAGCCTTTTCTCTTAGCCACATTTTAAGAAAAGGTGGTAATATTAAAGAGTGAATAGGAGCATGCTAGAAATATGAATTGGTTGACTTTAGAAGCACTTTGATTAAAATATTTTTTAATTCAAACCATAATGATACAGTTAATAAATCGTCTCAGCTGAAAATGAAGAAAAGAAAAATAATGCAACTCCTAGAGAGCTCATTAAGAGCCAGAGCAGCCAGGTGAGATTAGAAAGGCAAAATGAGAAAATAAACTAGTAGTTAGCAAGGTAATAATAATAGAAAACAATTGAATTTTTATAACTATTATATAATCATATATATAAAATAGCTATAACTATTGTTTGTGGTTTCACCTCTGTGCCAAGCATTTTGTTTGATAAATGCACAGACAATTACAAACATATACAACTCTCCTCAATGACATTACCAGGTAGGCATTAGGCTCATAGTTTTGAACGTAGGGAAACGAAGACTTAGCCAGAAAAATGGTGGAATCTAAGCATAGGAGTTAGGTTTTCCCTGACAAATGAGTTATTCTGCACAATGTGAAATTAGTCATTAATGCTTTCTGGTTGGAGACACTTTGGTGTCAACTTAAAATGTCATCATTATCCAAATCTTATTTGTGAATAGTGCTGCAATGAATATATAAGTGCATGTATCTTTATAATAGAATGATTTATATTCTTTTGGGTATATATCCAGTAATGGGATTGCTGGGTCAAATGGTATTTCTGCCTTTAGGTATTTGAGAAATCACCCACTGTCTCCTACAATGATTGAACTAATCTACACTCCTACCAACAATGTAAAAGTTTTCTTTTTTCTTCACAACCTCATCAGTATCTGTTGTTTTTTAACTTTTTAATAATAGCTATTCTGGGTGGCATGAGATGGCATTTCATTGTGGTTTTGATTTGCATTTCTGTAATGGTCAGTGATGTTGAGCTTTTTTTCATATGTTTGTTGGCCACATGTATGTCTTCTTTTGAGAAGTGTCTGTTGATGTCCTTTGCCCACTTTTTAATGGGGTTGTGTTTTTGCAAATTTGTTTAAGTTGAAGGCTTTAAAAAAACCTTTTATTTTATTTTGTCATTGCACTATCTTTATTATTTTAGTCTATTAGTTAAAAACTTTTTGTTGCAAATAAGAGAATGACAAACTATTGATTTAAATAAACAATAAGGGCATGTAACTGTCTTGCATGACAAGAAAGTGGAGGTACATGTCCCCAGGATGGGCTCAGGATACAGGGAAGTCATCGAAGACCCCATCAGCTTATGTTCATCTACCTTGCTATTCTCTGTGTGTGTTCTTCTCAATCTCAGAAACTGGACAAGTATGAATGGAACCTAGTATACACAAGGCAGTCAATACACTTAAGTATTTTGGAATTATATAAAATCTGAATGAAAAAAGACAACTAAGTAAGAATTTAGTGGGAAATGTACAAACAAGTATTAAGTCTGGTCTCTTCTCTAGCATAAATCAGCAATGTGACTTGGAGAAAGTCATTTAACCCTTCTAAGCCTCTATCTCCTCTGTAAAATGAGTATAAATGTTCTTAAATAATCATTAAATGCATTTGACACCGTTACATTGCAAACATTTAGTAAACGAATAAACTAAAAGCATAATGAATGTGTGAAGAAATATGTAGAAATATACGCTTAAATATAATTAGACAGCTCTTAGCTTAGAAAGTTTAAATTGATGGCATTTCAACAGAGAAAAGGTAGGATTTGCCTAATGCAATCATGGATATTTGGCCTTCCTGTATGCTGATGAGACTTGGCTGATTCAGGCATGCCTATGTGTGAATAAGCCTTACTGTTGAATCTGTCTCCAGCTCACCTAAATCTGTCTGAAAGGTAGATAGAGCCAGACAGCTGAGTCACTCTCTAACAATTGCCAACTTGTGATAGCTTTCCAAAGCCAGACAATCTCCCTGCTTGGTCAGCCTTCTTTTTTTTCCAAAGATTATCATATAGTATATGTATTATTTTCCATGTATTGTGTCATAAAACACTGATTCCAAATGCTGGGAAGGTGAATGATTTCTTGGAGAAGGTAACTTTAAGGTTGAGGCTGGAACAAAGACCCAGTTATTCGATAGAGGAGATGGAAAGTACAGGAGACCAAAAAACTCAACAACAACCACGAAAGTTTACAGTCAATGCTGGGTTTCTTGTGTGAAATTATGATCATATATGTACATATAGGTTTTTATTCACAGTTCCTAGCTCATAACTCCCATTTATCATTTTCCATTCTTACGGTCTTGTTACAAAATTGGGGGCACTTTAGGTTTTAGAAGCACAATGTTTCTCTCTGACGTTCTCTTGTCCTCCTTTCATCTGCCCAAGGCATGATTCTCATCTGACTGTGGATCATAAGACCCTCATCCCAGAGAGGGTCCTGCCGCATATTCTGGGGGAGGGAACACTGCACAGAGAGGCCAAGAAGAATCTGAACAGACAGGTCTTGCTGGATTTAGATCCTATCCTTTGTGTCCAGTTACATTTCCACATGATCATTCATGCTTCAGTGATACACAACCAGCGAAGTCTCCATAAAAGGTCCAAAGAACAGGGTTCAGGGAGCTTCTGGAGAGCTGAACACATGGCGGCCGGCCCAAAGAACAGGGTTCGGGGAGCTTCTGGAGAGCTGAACACATGGCGGCCATCAGGAAGGTGAAGAACTCATCCGCGTGCCCGGAGGGTGGCACGCCCCAAGTCCACGGGGAAAGAAGCTCCTGCGCTTGGGACCCTTCCAGTCCTCGCCATGTGTATCTCTTCATCTAGCTGTTTATTTGTATCCTTTAAAATAACCTTTGTAATAATGGGTAAACGTAAGGAAGTGTTTCCCTGAATTCTGAGAGCTGCTCTAGCCAATTAACTGAACTCAAAGAAGGGGTCGTGGGAACCCCAACTGGAAGCCAGTTGGTCAGGATTTCTGGAGACCGGGACTGGTGTCTGAGAAGAAGGAGGAGGGCGGTCTTGTGGGACTGAGTCCTCAATCTGTGGGATCTGGCACCATCTCTGGGTAGATAGTATCGGAACTGAATTGGAGGACCCGCTGCTTGGTGTGTGGGGAGAAACCCCCACACATTTGGTCACAGAAGGCTTCTGTGTTGATGATTGTTTTGGTGGTGTGAGAGCAGAGGAAAAACATAGTGTGAGACAGTTTTTCCCTGAAACAGTTGTCATTTAACTGTGAGCCAAAGAGAAAAACAGACTCCACCGTGAGAGACCAAGCCATGCATAGCCAGAATCACACTAGCATTTGCCCTGATTTTCTCACACACAGTTTCTCTCCCTATGGCCTACTCATCTTTTCTTGGAGACAAATGTAGGTTCACTTTCCCCAGGGCCTGACCATAAAACCCAGCTGCTAGAAATGTGCTGGCTGATTTTTTTCTAGCATTACTTGTCTGCTACTTACTTGGGTCTGTCAGATCTGGAATAAGAAAGAAAAATAGAGGACCCATATTTTGAAGATCCGGGCTGTGAGAATTGTTAAAAACCAGCAACCAATAATACTGGTCAAGCCACGGATTTGTATGAGTTAGATTTCTATGCAGGGATACTTTATCTGTTACTACCATCTCCATCTTGGATATCTCTACTTTGTTTTTATGATGTGGGCCAAAAGGTATTGTTTTAATAGAGCGTTTCTTCCTTTTTTTTTTTTTTTTTTTTTTGTGATGGAGTTTCACTCTTGTCATCCAGGCTGGAGTGCAATGGCGCAATCTCAGCTCACTGCAACCTCCACCTCCCAGGTTCAAGCGATTCTTCTGCCTCAGCCTCCCGAGTAGCTGGGATTACAGGTGCATGCCACCACACCTGGCTAATTTTTGTATTTTTTTTTTCTTTTTTTAGTAGAGATGGGGTTTCACTCTGTTAGCCAAGCTAGTCTCGAACTCCTAGCCTCGGATGATCCGCCTCTTTAGGACTTATGAAAATATAGTCGGCCAAGGACTTCCTATAGGTAACAATTAATGTTTTATCTAATCTACCTGAAGATCTAGTGGCTGTAAGGTACCATTAAGGCCTGTAGATTATTTAGTTTATCCAGATCATAATAGTACTTAAAAATAGAATCACTATCCATATTAAATAAAATAAAATGATAGTTCCATCTGAGGTTTTATAAAAAACATGTGGGATGGTGGAAATTGTTTTAAAGATTGGCAGACTGTAAAAGGAAAGTGGAAGTTTTCTCAAGTGCATTGCTCTAAGGGTTAACCATAATTCAGTATTTACTTGCGCACTTGCAGAAAATTAGCTCACTGTTTGTTTTATGTGATGAGTTGTTAATATTACATATTATATCAAACTGACATCATAACTAAACAGAGACGCTGGGCAGTTATCATAAAAAGAACAATGAGAATCTAAGTATACAAGTTAGGTTTTCCCTGACAAGTGAGTTATTCTGCACAATGTGAAATTAGTCATTACTGCTTTCTGGTTGGAGACACTTTGGTGTCAATTTAAAATGTCATCATTATCCAAATCTTATTTATTATAATTGTGGGTGAGATTCAGTTTGTTGCAATGAGAGCCTATTACATCGTTCTGTTATTTTTAAAACCTTAGGAATTTCACACTTCCCCAAGTGAAGGACTGATGTGTGGTGCTAGAACCATTCCTCTGATGGCAAAGCCATTCCAGCAACATTCTTGACATGCTTGAGGCTGATGGCATGCCCAGACAAATGTTCCACTGTTCCCTATTTATTCCATTTCTGAAACTCTTATTTCCTGGCGTCAAGTAGTAATCAAGCTCCCCACCAGCCCTGTGAGAAATAAAATAAAACCAATGGAAAACTCCACAGAAATATCTGTTAATACAGGACTGGAGAAAGAAAGCATATTAATGAGTGGAACTCCAAACAGGAGCCAAAGTCATTCATTTAAAGTGGGAATCAGATGACCTCTTTAAACCTTCCAATGGGGAGGGAGGGCAGGGAGTGGAATTTGACTTAGGCTTTATACAAAGAACTTCAAATTCAGACATGAAGATATCCCCAAATGATGTTCTACCTTGTTATGGACTCTATGGTGCCCCCCAATATTCATATGTTGAACCCCTAAGGCCCAATGTGACTATATTTGGAGATAAGGTCTAAAAGAAGATAATTTAGGTCAAATGAGGTCATAAAGATAGGGCCTTAATCCAATAGAACTTATGTTAATATTAACATAAGAAGAGGAGGAGACACTAGGAATGCACTCACACAGAGGAAAGCTTGTGTAAAGACAGTGGGAAGGTGGTCATTTGCAAACCCGGAAGAGTGGCCTCACTAGAAACCAATGCTGCTGCCACCTTGATCTTGGACTTCCAGACTCCAGAACTGTGAGAAAATAAATTTCTGTTGCTTAAGCCATACAGTCTGTGGTATTCTCTTGTGGTAACCAGAGCACACTAACACATAGCTGGGGTCACAGAAGATGACTTGACATACTAAATGATGTTTGTCTTTTTTTTTTTTTTTTTTTTTGAGACAGAGTCTCGCTCTGTTGCCCAGGCTGGAGTGCAGTGGCACAATCTTGGCTCACTGCAAGCTCCGCCTCCGAGGTTCACGCCATTCTCCTGTCTCAGCCTCCCGAGTAGCTGGGACTACAGGCACCCTCCACCACGGCCACCACGCCTGGCTAATTTTTTTGTATTTTTAGTAGAGACAGGGTTTCACCCTGTTAGCCAGAATGGTCTCTATCTCCTGACCTCGTGATCCGTCTGCCTCGGCCTCCCAAAGTGCTGGGATTACAGGCATGAGCCACCGTGCCTGGCCAATGTTTATCATTTTTTAAATGCTTGTTCTTTTATGAAACCACATTGCTCAATGCCAATAATAACAATAATCGCAATTTATTGAAGTTTTGATGAGCACTGTTCTAGGTATTTTAATTTCTTAAAGTAAGTCATATTATTACCTCTATTTTACATGTAAGAAAAGGAATCAGGGACAGTTTAAGTAACTGATCCCAAATGCCCAAAGTGTTATAACTAGCAAAGTGAGCTACAAAATAACATCTTTCTAAATCCCGTTACCATCAAGGGAAAAATACAAGCAAATCACTGCACATGTGTGTGCTTAAAAGTATTTCTTTAACAAGTGTGGAAATTTTAAATTTTTCACAATTTAATAAAAGCTTTTTGGCATTATATATTTTTTAATACATTAGAAGTCTCAGAAAAGGAAACAAAAGGGGCATTTTTAGGAAGATCATTATACTGAGTTGTATTCATTAAATACATACATCTAAACATGGGGAAAATCATTTGTATTTGAAAACAATTGTAGGATTACATAGTTAAAGGATTATTTTTTGGTAAATCTTTAATAAAGAATTTAATCACTTTTTCATTTATTTGCTGATTTTTATATATCTCTGCTTTAAAGTTGAGTGCAAAATATTTCTTTTGAATCTGACGAGGGGCTTAAAGAGCAACAGATTTTCAGGAGGTAGGAAAGCTACCATAATCTTATTTTTAACTTGTCAGTAAGTAAAAATCTAACGAATGTTGATCTTTCTCTGACAACAGTTGCTTGGAAAGTTGCATCTGTTTGATTAATATTTAAACACTAAGGTTTCCAAAGCAAATTTACAAGCTGAAATTACTAGAGCTACAATAAGTACTGAAACATGTTACTACTTTATTTTCTACATGAGCTAAAAAGAACAGCCATTAGGAATAAGCAAGAGCAGGAAGGAGGAATTTTGTTTTCAGTTTGTTTTCTTCATTGGCCATTAGAAATGTATAGCCTAGAAGATAAAAGTGTGGTGGTATTGTTTATTTGTTTTGGAGTTAGACTGTCTGGATTTCAATGCTGGGTTCCACCTCTTCCTGGCTGAGTGACATTGGGCAAGTTACTTCCTCTTCCAGTGTCTCAGTTTCCTCATCTGTGAAATGGGATAATAACAGTATTTCTCAGGAGTTTTTAGACACCATCAATGAGTTACAACATATAATGCAAAGAACAGTGCCTGGCACACAGTGTTCCATACATGCTAGCAATTAATATTCCCAATAAATATAGTAGTTAAATAAAGTCATGGTTCTATAATATTCACCCATTCACTCAACAAATATTCATTCATTCAACAGACATTTATTAAGTTTATGCCATGCCAAGGAACTGGTCATAAAGATTTATTTTTTGGTTTTTAGGTTTTTTTATGTGGGGGAGGGGGACAGAGAATTTCTCTGTAGCCCAAGCTGGAGTGCAGTGGCACCATCTCAGCTCACTGCAACCTCCACCTCCTGGGTTCAAGCAATCCTCCTGCCTCAGCCTCCCAAGTAGCTGGGATTACAGGCATGTGCCACCACACCTGGCTAATTTTTGTATTTTTAGTAGGACAGGGTTTCGCCCTGTTAGCCAGGCTGGTCTCGAACTCCTTGTCTCAAGGGATCCGCCCACCTAGGCCTCCCAAAATGCTGGGATTACAGGCGTGAGCTACCACGCCCAGCCAATATTTAAATAATTCATAAGATCTGTGGTCCAGAAGCTAGCATTCTAGTAGAGCAAACAGACATATAAATGGTTGATAGGTGCTGACTATTGAGCCATCTAATGGAAACACAGAACTGGGAAGTTGAAATAAATTTGGGGAAAACATTTTGGAAGGCATATTGCTGGAGCTGAGTTTTGCAACTTTGATGACTCAGAGTTAGAAGAGGAAACAGAGGCAGTCATGTCTAGCAGAGGACACAGCATAGAGAAGACATAATAGCCTGAGGAGTTTGGGAAACAAAATATAGCTGTGATTACCTTATGAAGTGTGCTTAAGGAGTCTGTGAGTAAATCAAGCTAA
This sequence comes from Homo sapiens, assembly GCF_000001405.40. Classification (NCBI taxonomy): domain Eukaryota; kingdom Metazoa; phylum Chordata; class Mammalia; order Primates; family Hominidae; genus Homo; species Homo sapiens. The sequence continues at coordinate 85,443,333 of NC_000014.9, forward strand.
AATGGATCCCATAACTTCTCACAATTCCTGTTTTCCGTAGCACTGTGGTGGTCCCTTTCTTCTGGGATCAATGATTTAATTCCGACTGAAGGCAAGAAAAAACCATAAGACTTTCGCCCAGTTGTCCGCATTGGGTCAACATTTCAATAAATAACCCGGTCACAGCCATCTTGGTCTAAGGGCTATGATTAATTAGACGTCATCCAAAATACACTAATATTGGCTAATTTTACCTGCAGGTGAAAATATGTTAATATGCGGCTCAAAGATGGCAAGACAAGTGTTAGTCCAGAAAGTATTACAATATATTTAAAATTTTAAAGCTCAATATTAAATAGTCCTATAAATTGCAATAAAACATCACATCTGATTTAAACATACATATTTTCTAAATTATGGAGATGAGAAATTGCATACTAGGTGTAAAAGCAGCTGCAATTAATGACTGCTATTTATGACCCAGGGTATTCTTTTGATGCATACAGGTTATTGAGCTCATGGTACACAAAAGCCTAAAAACTGCAGGAAGATTTGAGATGAGAAATATTTAATCATGCCAGTTTTATTGTAGGTCATCAAGGCCATCTCTTCAGGTGGGCCTAAATCAACAACACTAAAATGAGTAATTTACTCAGCTCTGACTTGAAGCCGGCTGACTGTTTTATGCCTAAGGAAAAATAACTTGGGCCTTTGTAACTCTTTAGCCTGGTTGCTTGTAATGCTCATTGATCTGACGACAAACGATGCATAAATCTGTTCTTTAGCAACAGATGCAACAAAGGTGTCGATTAAAAATGACCAAGCAGAAATTGGAACATGATTACCAAATCCATAGAGCCCAACACCTTTCATTGACTTACACATAATTACTTCATTGAGAAGAATGAACTCAATGAAAAACTCTTTCAAAAATTGAATTGTAAGGGACATTTTATGAGATATTTGTGAGACTATTTTTTTCTGAGACAAAAAGATAAGTTTCTAACAACCCTGAGGATTCAACTCATGCCCCTTCTAATTTTTCTTTCTTTCCTTAATGAACAAGATGATAGAGTCAAATTTCATTTGCCCAGTGCTGTACACTAAATTGGTTTCCATCTAATGCTCCTTAAATGTTAGAGGAGCTCAATTGAACAGAACAAGCTTGCATTCTTATGAAGGATATCGAACACATTCATCACACTATTCAAGAACAAAGAGTTACAGCAGATTAGATCTGTCAGATGAGTTATATAGTCAATAATTGTTTTCTAGATATCATCGAAGAATAAAGGATTCTCCTCTTTTACAAAAGAGGAAGCTGAGGCAGAAAGCAGTTCAGCGGTTACACCACTTGCTCAGAGTCAAAGTCATTAGTAAGTGCCAAATCCCCCATTCAATCCCCAAGAATTGTCATTAGTGCAGTTTACCAAATATTTATGGATCTCTGCTTCCAGGCACATGGTATGGTTGCACTTCCTCTCTCCCCTGTGATTGGGAGGGACCGTGGGTCTAGCAGTAGCCAATCAGTTCCAAGCACAGTGACATGTGCACCTTTCTGGATAAAGCATGTAAGTGCTACTGCAAGACTCTCCAGAGCTCTTTCCTTCTGCCCCTGCAATTGGCAAGTTTCCAGCTTGTGGCTTCTCTGAAAGCCAGAGTGCCAGAGTGAAATGAAGCAGAACAGTCTCTAGCCAGGCCGTGATGCACCATTAGAACACTGGAAAAACCTTTGTTGTTTATAGCATCTGGGACTGGGGGCTTGTTGGCTTCCACAGCACAGCCTCACCTACTCTGAGAAATGAGAACCACAAAGTCTACTCCACCCCACAGTGGAGCACAGATACAACTTTATAAGAGAGCTGAGACAAGATATGGGCCTTCAAGAATGGGATAATTGGGACTAGAGAAGAGCGATTTGAAATTCTACACATAAACCAAGTGTAGAAACTAAATGCACTTGATATTTTGGGAGGATCAAGAAGAAACTGTCTTAAGAGTTCAAGGGAAGCATCAGGAAGTAACTGGAACTTAGGAAATAATGATCTATGGTGTGGAAACAGGGAAATGAGAACTTAGTTGAAATATCTCTTCTCTATACAAAAGGGGCCGCTTGCAGATAACTGTGTATTTTTATAACCATAATAAAATTATTGGAAATGTTATATAATTCTAGTAACTCCCCAAAGCCCAGGATGAGAAGATATTGTTACAATCTCTTATCTAATTATTTACATGTGTTTCTGAAATACCATTTTTGAAAATAAACCAAATATATGTGCTGTATTAGGAGCCCTCATTGGACTACAAACCCTCTGAAGGATTATTTGGATGGGATAACACTAGCTTAAAAAAAAACAAAAAAAGAATCTCATTCTAACATGTATCCAACAAAAGGTCTCAAAGTGGAACCCTCACAGCATTTGTGTTAAACTTTCCACACCCGTTCAGGGGCCTGAATGTCTTTGCACTGGCTGCTGGGAACAAATGAAGAGGCATATGCCTGGAATTGATGACCAAACCACTGGTAAGGCTGCTTTGTTGAGGGTACAAAGGGACCTTTGCAATTCCAGACTGAACCTGATCCAGTATTTTTTGCTGTTGTTTTTTGGTGTTTGTTTGTTTGTTTGTTTGTTTGTTGGAGACGGAGTCTCACTCTGTTGCCCAGGCTGGAGTGCAGTGGCGCGATCTTGGCTTACGGCAAGCTCCACCTCCCGGGTTCACGCCATTCTCCTGCCTCAGCCTCCCGAGTAGCTGGGACTACAGGCACCCGCCACCACGCAAGGCTAATTTTTTGTATTTTTAGTAGAGACGGGGTTTCACCTTGTTAGCCAGGATGGTCTTGATCTCCTGACCTCGTGATCCACCCACCTCGGCCTCCCAAAGTTCTGGGATTACAGGCGTGAGCCACCGCACCCGTCCTGAGCCACCGCGCCCGGCCCTGATCCAGTTTTTAGACAGTATGAAAATGAATACGGCAAATGTGGCCAGAGAGGGAAACAATTAAAAATAGAAATGGCTTCACCAACTTGCCTGGTGAATGCTGCGTGTTAGCAGAGGGGAAGGATTAGACTCTTGCTCTTCTTGTAACCAGTTCTATCTTGCTCTAACTACAGTGAAGCTGATTCTTATTCTGGCAAAAGCTGAAGGTACCCCTTTTACAGTGAAATCTTCCCCTGTAGCTCTAGGATGAGTTGAGTCCCCTTGACTGGGGCTGCTATTAAACCCTATACATTGTACTGTCAGTGTGTTTGGCATATTGCTTTGTAATTTCTGCTTACGCCTGAGTTGGACTCTTCCACAAGACTGAGACTTCTGAGGACAGAGATCACTTAATGTTCACTATTTATGTCCCCAGCACCCAAGACAGAGGCAGACACAAAGTATCTCGAAGCAAGTTTTTTAAATAAAAAGAATGAAAGAATAAATAAATTATTTGAAGCTAAATGAGACATCTGTTGAGAAGGTAACACAACCTCCATTGTTTTACAAACATATGTCAGTAGATGACCCATCACTTTGCAGCGTGAGATTGTTGCAAATGTCCAGCTTAGTAGTATCAGATTCAGTTTCAGATATTATATTTTGAGCTATGTACATGTCACTTGCCCCCTGTTCATCTCATTTAATAGCAGGATATTATTAGATTGGTGCAAAAGTAATCACAGTGTTTGCCATTACTTTTAGTGGCAAAACCATTAAGTGAATACAAATGTATTCAAATCATTACTTTTAATGGCAAAAACCACAATTACTTTTGTGCCAACTTACCATCTTTGCTTTCCATATGAAAAACTAAAGCTCAGAGTTTTTATGTGCCATAAGAGAAACAATTTTTTGGGAGGCAAGAAAGTATGCTTTCTTATTGGGTGCATTTATTATAATATTAGTAAGTCTGAGGATTCTGAAGCCTGAGTAATATTGCTCTAGTGCTTGTAATTTCAAATTATTCAAAATAACATTATTCACATGAACTGCTACAGCAAACATATTCTCATGATGGAAAGATCTAAAGTGGAATTTTGTGCTAGTGTGTACTATTGTATCTAAGAGAAAAAATTGGAAAATAGACTATGTGAATTCAAATCCCAGTTCTACGCTACCTATAACAAGATCTCTATGACTCAATTGTTCTTGTTTGTAACACTAGGATAATATTACTTACCTCATATGCTTGTTGGAAGGATCAAATAATTGAATAGCTAGAAAGTGCTTAGAACAATGGTTGCACATAGACAATGTTTAATAGATAGTAGCTATTATTGGCATCCTCGTTGGAAACATTTGAGTTGACTTTTAAGCCATTATCTCTTTGAGAAGAAACATTTTATTTTTCTGCATTTTATTATTATAAGATTAGAGACTGTGACTTTAGCATAGAAGACCCTTTGTGATCTAAAAGGCCCTGCAAGAACTGGCACTTTTTTACCTGGTCTCTGAGCCCTACCCACCTTGCACCTGCTCTTCAGCTATATTAAAATGTCCACATGCCCTAAAAGGGAGATTTCTAGGGTCTCCACCCTTTGTACAGTGGCTCATTCTGCATAGGACACAGTCTCCCTTCACTTGTCATTCTTTTGCTTGGAAAATTCCTCCCACTACTTTAGGGTTCAAGTAAAAGATCATCCTCTCTGAGAAGATTCCCATGCACTCCGTTGCAACCAAACCTTTCTCAGAGTCCCATCTAAGTATTCCTATAGCCCTTGTACCTACTCCTGTGACCACCTTTGTTACCTGCTCTGAGTCTGCCGCTGTGTCTGATGCCTCCCCTGCTGGACAACAAACTACCCACACACAGGCAGGAGCTGAGTCTTTTACCTTTTTATTTGTCACATCTGGCACCATATCTGGAACATCAGAGCCTTTGGTAAATCAGTGTTGAATGAATAAATGCATGAGAAATATCTTTCAAGTGGATTGGAACATCTGTACTAGATTGCTTAGAGCCATCCTTTCCAAGCATTTTCCAATCAGGGCAAATCAGAGTACAATAGGGAAAAGGACGGGGAGGGAGCTTGTCCACCTGAGGCTAATGCCACAGGCCCTGACAGCCTGGAGAACTGGAGGAGCACCCATTCATCACACCCATGAATGCAGGGTCCCCCTTCTGAGCTAAGAAGCTCTAGTTTAGAGCACAGAATATGACAGTTGAAATCTCTTACTTGTTCAGCCATCTTTACTGTCTTCCTGGGGCAATCTAATGAATTAAAGGTGAGATTGATTACCTTTAATAACTGAAGCTGGTGTGCTTGATCCAAAGGTTAGAGCAATCAGAAGACACAGGGTCTAATACCCTCTCTGCCACTCACAAAATAGCATTGGCACACCCTTGTCAAGTAACAGATTTCTTACTTACAAAAGGGATAAATAATGCTTCCCCTGGCTACCCCATGGAACCATTGTCAAGATAGCAACATATGCTACAGGTAAACACAATTCAAGATAAAGGTTTTATCTTAAATATTTATATAGATATTGAGACCTATATAAATATGGTAATGGATTGCAAACCTATACTCCTAGTTTGTGATACGATAGCATTCATCATAAATAGGTTGACTTTATAATTTATCTTTTAAACCAGGATGTAAATGAGAGGAATGAGGTGCTATTTAGAAATACAACAGGCAATTGTCAAGACTTTTTCAGGCAAATCATTGCCCAAATTGTATTCAGTATTCTAGAAGATGCCAGAATTTGAAATGTTTCATCACGATTTTGGACTGTGCCGCATAGGAACTTTCTTTTTTTATATTTAGAGCATGTCTCACCTTTTGGAGGGAGCAATGCAAGACCTTTGTGTTGTGCTGCCCCTCTGCAGCTGAGGCATAGGCATAGGTCATTGACCATTCCAATCAGACATTCTTTGGGCAAACTAGGGACACACAGAAGCAGAGGCTGCTCCATATCCTTGCATACATTTGTGGTGGTAACTATAGTAACTACACTCAGTTTCCCCAGGCAGAAATGATGGTGGCTTTAGCAATAAGCCTTGATTGGTTAAATGGTTCAAATGGGAAAGTCCATACACAAAGATGAGAAAACTCTGTCCTCCAGGAGCCAACTAGCGGCTTCATTTTCACATCATGTATCCTTCCTTGACTTCTAAGAATATGTCTCTGACTGTCCCCAAGGATCTGTGAACTATCCTATAGTAACCATTAATGAATTTATTTTCTGCTTAAATTAGCCAGAGTTGGTTTCTGTTGCATACAACTCTGATTTAGAAGCATCGTAATAAAAGAAAAGTAATTTAACAGATGAAGCGACCAAGGAACTGAAACGTACATAACTTGCTTACAGTCACATAGCTAGAAATTCAAGACTAGAGACGAGGTCCACTGCTCCTGGTCTAGAGAGTTTCATACTTGACAGTCTACTCAGCACACTGAAAATACCCAATAGGTATTCATTTAATTTACTATTTTGGGTGTGCATGCCAAAGCATGCTTATGACAACAAAAGTCGAAATTGACAAATGGGATCTAGTTAAACTAAAGAGTTTTGCACAGCAAGAGACTATCATCAGAGTGAACAGGCAACCTATAGAATGGGAGAAAATTTTTGCAATCTATTCGTCTGACAAAGGGCTGATATCCAGAATCTACAAGGAACTTAAACATATTTACAAGAAAAAAAAACAAACAACCCCATCAAAAAGTGGGCAAAGGATATGAACAGACACTTCTCAAAAGAAGACATTTATGCAGCCAACAAACATGAAAAAAAGCTCATCATCACTGGTCATTAGAGAAATGCAAATCAAAACCACAATGAGATACCGTCTCACTCCAGTAAGAATGGCGATCATTAAAAAGTCAGGAAACAACAGATGCTGGAGAGGATGTGGAAAAATAGGAATGCTTTAACACTGTTTGTGGGAGTGTAAATTAGTTCAACCATTATGGAATACAGTATGGCGATTCCTCAAGGATCTAGAACCAGAAATACCATTTGACCCAGCAATCCCATTACTGGGTATATACTCAAAGGATTATAAATCATTCTACTATGAAGACACATGCACACGTATGTTTATTGCAGCACTATTCACAATAGCAAAGACTTGGTACCAACCCAAAAGCCCATCAGTGATAGACTGGATAAAGAAAATGTGGCACACATACACCATGGAAGACTATGCAGCCATAAAAAAGGATGAGTTCATGTCCTTTGCAGGGACGTGGGTGAAGCTGGAAAACATCATTCTCAGCAAACAAACACAGGAACAGAAAACCAAACCTACATGTTCTCACTCATAAGTGGGTATTGAACAATGAGAACACATGGACACAGGGAGGGGAACATCACACACTGGGGCCTCTCGGGGGGTGGAGGGCTAGGGGAGGGATAGCATTAGGAGAAATACATGATGTAGATGATAGGTTGATGGGTGCAGCAAACCACCATGGCACGTGTGTACCTAGGTAACGAACCTGCACATTCTGCACATGTATCCCAGAACTCAAAGTATAATAAAAAAAAAAGTAAAAAAAAAATAAAAAAATAAACAAACAAACAAACAAAAAAACATACTTTATACAGAGCCACAGTTTTAAACTGATGATTGATGAAGGGTTTTTTTACATGATATATTGTAATCATTCAATTAGGAAAAGGTTTAAAGCTATGAATGAACAAAAACCGAGGAAACAGTTTTTATCGTCTTTGTCTTTCAGAAAAGATATATTTTGTCTTAGAAAATAACAGCTAAAAATTAAGCACTGAGCTGAATAGATAATTGTATAGATGTTCAATGGGTAGGAGTCTATTTTCTGTGGAGGAATTTAGTCATCTCAGAAACACAACATTTTACGATAATGTGGTTTGATTGATAAAAGTTAACACGAACTTGGAACTTACATATTTAAAAAGAAACACTACTAGAATGGATATTATTTTCCATGTGTTCCTAAAAACACAGCATTATTATGATGTTTTTAGATAATTTCTTAAAGGTGAATCAATTTTCTGTAACTAGGTCTTCCAAGACTGCTTATTATTCCAGAGGGATAGCTTTTATGTACCATTTATTATTGTGTATAATACTGCATCTTCATTTCCTCTTCCTCGTTTACTTATTAGGCATCAAATATGCTAGCTACTTTACAAAGTATTGCCAAAATAATTCTAACAGTCCATGGCAGTAAGTACATGGAAATGTATGCATTGGTGCTGCTCTCATTGTTTCACTGGGCTTAGCTTTGCTGAGTCCCCTCAAGATATCTGAATTTCTCAACTTTTAAAACCAAGAAAGCAACTTTAATCCCAGAACATCTGCCCCAGCTGTATTTCCCATTTTGGCCCTGAACTCCAGGAAGTACTTGAATTCACAATGCTGCCAAAATATATAGTCACAAACTTGGGACTCAAGTTACCATGGAACAGCATCCATGGAAGTCTCCTTAGACTTTTGAAATCCTCCAGTATCAGCAAAAAGAACATATAGCCATTAAACAAATTAGCCTAAAATGTGTTTAGAGACTATGAAGTGGTTGACCCACATCTGGAAAAAGCGTCTAGTGAGGGGCAGGTAGGGAGGGAGAGCCTAGGAAAAGGGAAATATTAATGGAGTGGATCATAAAAAGGAGAGCATAGAAAAAATATCAAGCTAACATGGATGCAAAGTCATTAGTGGATATTGCTTTGTTCACAAAAATGGAGACCATGATCTTTGGCCAGAGAAGACTCATTCCAAGACACAAAATTGCTGCACGTGTATTAGCCTGGTTGCTACCCATTAAGCCAGTTCCCTCCCGCCTTCACAAAAAACTTTTCCTTTATACCAACACCTCTGCTTGTGTTACAGTGTAACAGCCAAGCTGAAATAGCCTTACCATGGCACAAGGATGCCTCTTCCCTGGTCTGTGTATTCTGGGTCCCCAAACTGACTGTTGCTAGTCAATTGGCTCCAACTGAGACAATGTCAGCCATTGATTTATTGGGGTTTGCTAACCCAAGCAACACTGAGGGGAAGAAGCAGAGGGTAGTCAGTGAAACTGTGGATTTTAGAGTCAGATTTCCTGGGTTTGAATCTATGTTTCATCCCTTTTCTGCTTATTTACTATACCTGTCTGGGCCTCAGTTCCCTTATCTGCAGAATGGGGGTGGCAGTAGTAGTATCTCACAGGGTTATTTTCTATGTTAAATAAGTGAACGTACATTAAAGTGCTTAGAATACGACATGTTAGAGCATTTGCACTATGTAAATATTTGCTTACATTACTATCATCGGTGTGTCCCATGAAGTTTCAGCCTCTCCCATCTTCCCTTGAATGGTCACTTATTGGGCACTAGAAGTAATTCTCCACCTCAGTACCTTCAATTGCTGCAAGTTTATGGTAAGTTAACTGTCCAAGCATCCATTCTGCTCATCAGACACTCCACAAAATGGCACTGACCTACTGCCCGGGAACAACTTCTTTTTCTCTCAGCCTTGTGCCGCCCAAGGGAATTGATTACAAATGGGCTTGATTGAATTTTGGAGGTTGATGGAAATGTTCTAAAGCTAGACAGTGGCAATGGTTGCACACTCTATAAATTTACTAAAAATTGTTGAATTGTGCACTTACAATCTGTGAATTTTATGGTATGTAAACTACACTTCAATAAAAATGTTTTAAAAAAGATAATGATTGTTTTACAATGTTCTTATTATATCCTTTAGGAGGCATAGAACTATAAACAGCCGCTACGGAAATAGAGTGGGAAGCAAGTACAACATTGTTCAATTTCTCTCTGGGGTTTTGGGTTTTTTTCTTTTTTCTTTCCTTCTTTTTTTTTTGGATGGCTCAATTATTTACTTTAGAAATAATAACACCATTCCTTGGCTACAAAGCCTCTAAGGCTTAAGAAACCAGGCAGTATTGGCCGGGCACAGTGGCTCATGCCTGTATCCCAGCTACTCGGGAGGTTGAGGCAGGAGTATCACTTGAACCCGGGAGGCAGAGGTTGCAGTGAGCCAAGATCGCACCACTGCACTCCAGCCTGGTGACAGAGTGAGGCTCCATCTGAAAGAAAGAAAGAGAAAGAAAGAAAGAAAGAAAGAAAGAGAGAGAGAGAGAGAGGAAGGAAGTAACGAAGGAAGGAAGGAAGGAAGGAAGGAAGGAAGGAAGGAAGGAAGGAAGGAAGGAAGGAAGGAAGGAAAGGGGAGAAACAAGGCAGTATTTCTGACATGTATACTAGGATATTTCTGGATTGATAGCAACAAGAATGAAGAGGGTGCCTGGGAGCAGATTTGAGAAATCTGGAACCTGCCCTCATTTAGCTGAGCAGAAGAGCCAAGGAAAAAGCTATAGGTATGTCAAAAGAGCTAGAAAGGCTTGCTTTCTAATGACAAGACAGAATGGGGTCTTATGTAATCTGCTTTGAGGCTCATTCAAAGTTGATTTTAGCACAACCTTTATATTTGAATGGTGGAATTTATTTTAAGCCAGATGGTGATAATCTATACACTATGAAAGAAAAAGAAAGAGGAAGAAATAGATAAGCAGGAGGAAATATAAGTTGTGTCACTTAACCAATGACTAATCAGAGCAATAATAAGCTTCTGATTTCAACTGTGCTAAAAGCTTCACTTCAAACACCAATAACAAGGAAATATTTCAGCCAATTCCCTTTGTATTTGGCATTTCTATTTGCATTTTGACAAATTCTTGATATATTCAAAAGACAGTGAATTCTCTCCCCTGAAACTTGTGCTAGCAGGGTGGGTGGCTGCCTGTTCACACGAATGGGAAGCCCTGGCAGAAACTATGAGAGTTGAATTAAGACAATAACAGCAGTGTATCTCACTCTGTTTGGGCAGTAACTACAGAAATCCTTGGCAGATGTCATTTTGGTTTTGGAAATATGAAAAGACAGAGATTTAGAATTTATTTGGATGAACCAATGATTTCGTTCATGTTTTTACTCTCCATTTTAAGGCTTTATTTTATTTAAAAAATAAAATGCCAATCTATGTAACTCCCTGTAAGTTGCCTTACTAGTGACATCTAATCCAGAAATATGCTACTTCACATGCTCCAGGGTTGGTAATTTGTGTTTCCAAAGAGTTGAAAGTTGATCTGCACTGTCTGTGGGTCTTGGAGAGGGGGCAGAGTAAATCCAGGCTCTGCTCAAGAAGGGAGGGGATACAGGTGACCTTTCAGTAGAAGTGTGCAAGGCTGTTCAGATTAACAGTTTTGCTCTATGAAGAGCTCTAATAAAGCGGGTATGTCTTTCTTAGGAAAAGATTGGCCTCTTTTGACCTGCAAAAGTGAAGGTACCAAGATACCAGATTTACTCCAAGTTAATGTTTACCTGAATTATTGATTGCCACATGAGATACAAAACAGCTGGCGACTCGGTGATGCTTTTTCTTTGGGTTACAAGAGAAGAGCTATAAATCCAAAGCTGAAAGGCTTTCTTTCATCTTTTCTACTTGTGAAATATACCTCTTCAATAGCACCAACCCCAGGTCATTTTAAATCAATTTCTAATAAATCTGTGGTGCTTTTTCTTTCTCTCATTGAAAGAAAGGTAGTATTGTAGGAATTATTTTTGTTTCTGGCTTACCTTTATCTAAGCTGATTGGCTGTGACTTCCCTTATTTATTTCACAAATGATTGAGTATTAAATAGTTTACTGGATGTTAAGATGCCTTGAGGTACAGGGATGTTAAACCACACAGTGAGTTAAAATATTTCAAAAGCTCCTTCAGATGTTAACAACCAAAATAAAAACCACTGAATGGCCAAATAATGTAAATTTGGGTCATTGTATCTTTATTTCTTTATAACTCTTCTCACTACAAAATAGTTTAGAGATGGTATGCAATAAAAGGCTTATTCAATAAGACAAGTCTCATTAGAATAAGAACAGGAAATTAAATTCATAAATTAAAGAATAATGTAAATATTTCAGCTATTGAGGATAAAGGAAGTAATATTATCAACCACCTGACTTTTGAATTTGAGCTTCCTGGCAGCTGGAGAAAAAAATAGATTGTACTAATTTTTACCTAATAAAAATTAATACAGCATTTGTTTAAAAGAAATGTTTTTGACTGTCATATTCTAAAACAGGGGCTCAACCTAAAGCACATAATTCCAATGCACACACAAATTAATGTATATTCAAAATATGCATGTAAATAACCCACCAACTACTGACTACAAATGTCCTGGAACACACACCTTGTATTTAAAAAAATTGTTGGAAATAATTTTATTATATGGAATTATAAACAGAAGGCAGCGTTAACAACATAGGTTTATTACTAACGCTAGTTTTATAGGAAATACAAAAGTGAGTCTCATTCGGTTGTCTCAGGATCAATTGTTGATAATGGCCAAGGCTATTATACTGAAGCACAAACAAGAGAATCAGGGGCATCACTAACATTGTCCCTATGTATGATTTTCTATTGATTTAATTTTATTCAAGGTAAAATTAGGATATTTACAAGACTAAGTAAGTAGAATAACCCCAAGATTATCTATAATAGATACAATTTCTGATGTCAGAGTGTTTTGTAACATACAGTCTAATTATATATGTTTCAATTACTACTTAAATAAGTATCCATAAACTTCAGGTAATCTTCCTGAAGGCAGAGATTTTGACTATTTTTTCTACTGTAAAATCCCTGGTACCTAGCAAAGGATGTGGCCTATATTAGGCATTTAAAAGACATTTGTTGAATTAAATTTAACTAATTTTTTATTTAAAAACACCTTTTAACTTCTTAATCATCCACAGTACCAAAGAATAGAAAAATCATCTTAGACACAAAGCTGAACAGGATAACTTCTTGATGCGGCCACCAATGGGGTTAAGATGCAAAACGTACCCTCAGATAACTGATTAATTTTCTGAATAAAATAGTAAAAAAAAAAGCTTATCTTTTTAAAATGTGTTATTTTCAGAGTATAATAATTTTAACTATGATTTTATTGATATTAAGCTGTTATTTCAGATATTTGTCAAATGTTCATGAAGGCATTCATGGTTTACAGTACCTCACCACTTTCTGAGATTCTTATCTAGATACTAGATCCCACCTTTCTATTTACCATGGCTCAAGCAAGTATCATTTTATAAAAAGAAAATAGCATTCCATTGTGTTCAATGTTAGAAAATTATGTTCAATGTAGGCTTTAAACTTAATAACTGCAAAACTTCCCTGAGTTATTCTCTAACTTTGATTATTACTATAGGATACAATTCCAGAAACTACAAAGCATCTCATAGAGTAATATTTTCTATCTGTGTACCAATTCATCTCATTTGATCTCAACAACTATCCTATAAGAAGGTATTAATGGCCTCATTTTATAGACAAAAAATGACAGGCTCATAAATATTTTGATCAGAATATTAGTAGTAGACAGTGAAATAGAATGTTGGTTTCTTCCATTGGAATAAGCTAGATGATACAGTTTAGATATTTGTTCCCCCAATTTCATGTTGAAATGTAATCCCCAAAGTTGGAGGTCAGATCTGGTGGTAGGTGTTTGGTTCAGGGGTTGGGTCCCTCATGGCTTGGTGCTGTCCTCACAATAGTGAGTGAGTTATCCCCAACCCCACCTCTCCTGCTCCTGCCCTGGCTATGTGATGTGCCTGCGCCCACTCCATCATGACGGAAAACTCTCTGAGGTTTCCCCAGAAGCTGAGAAAATGCCAGAGCCATGCTTGCACAGCCTGCAGAACTGTGAGCCAATTAAGCCTCTTTATAAATTATCTCATCTCAAGTATTTCTTTATAGCAACGCAAGAATGGCCTAATACACTAGGCAAAGCTGTGGAAAAACCAATCCCAAATCCTAGTGGTTTGAATGAGCAAGGTTTACTTCTTCTTTATGTGGATTGACTGGGGTTCTGTCTAACATCATTGTCTTCTTCACATTGGCACCAAGACTAAAAGAGTAGCCACAACCTAGAAAATTGCAGTGTGCTGTTGCAGGAAAGAGCTCTTTGAGGAACCTCCCATGGAAATTAGATGCTCTAGCCCAGAGAAGAAATACATCCTGTCCACTCCCAATCCATTACGCAGGACTAGATAGACATGGAGCTCTACCAACCGCAATGTGACCAGGAAATATAAATCTACCATGTGCCCAAGAGAATAACACACTGGAATTCTATTTCCCAGTCCTCTGTTCTTTTCAGAACCGCCTCTCAATTATTTTTATGGGATCTAAAGTAGCATCTAACCAGGGCAATTTAGAGGGGTCTTTAATAAATGTGAGATGCACATTCTGGAAAAGACAGTGTGATAAAAGTAGGTAGAGGATAAGAGTGTGACCCCTAGAGTCAAACTAGGGCTTTCATGTGCAATTTTGTATTTTGTGCACTGCACAAGGGCTTCAGACCTGAGTCAGACAACCTACCTTCTTCGCTCCCTAGCTGCGTTTATTTAACTTAGTTCAGAGGCTTGCTGGGAAGACTAAATGAGACAAGGCATGCCGGGTGTTTTTCACAGTTTATAGTAGGTACTTAATAAAATTAGTGGTTAATATTATTAAACACATTTGTTTTCACTTCTTCATCCCTATTAAATAAATAATTCTTTGAACTTTGTATCATTTCCTGAGGTTGGGCTGCTGGAAGTGGAATAACTAGACCAAAGTTAGTGAACCTTTTGAGATCTTGAGTTTTATTTGCTTTTAGGAATAGCCATACCAATGTACATTCCCGCCAACAGTGCATGAGATGACCCATCACACTATGTCCCCAACACCTTCTTTGGGATTTCAAGCACCTTCACTAGGTGCCAGCCTCCTGTGATTTTCCAAATCCCACCATTAGAGGCATTAAAGCTTCTATCTTCTGAGGACAAATATTTCATTTGAAGGGATACGATGTCAGTGTTCATATGCTCCCTAGTACATTGGAATAGAGGAGTTAACAAATCAGCTAATACACAGCTAATCACTGGGAATACAACATAGACAGCCACATTGTTTGTGGTGGCATAGAGAACTGTAAACATTTCTAGGCAGAGGAAAGAGCACTGACACAGAAGGAATTAATTGAAGACTTTAGCAACAAGCAATTACTTAAAGATTTAAGTACAAGATAGCCAGAAGCACAACAGAAATTTACCTCCTTCAGATATGTTCCTATGGTTTATTGGGCCCCTAAAACTGGAAAAGAATAAACTTGAAGGTCTATGTGTGATCTTACGATCTGTGGGCACACAGAAGAGAGAGCTGGCTTGCTCACTGTCAAACATATAGGTAATGAAAAAATACAAAAATAGAAACCTCAGTACAATGCTGTCTCTTCCATTTGCATTTTACTTTATTTGTTGAGCCATCAGTTCCAAAGATTTTGACACAAAAACTCTTTAAAGCAAAATACCTGTATAAAAGCACAGATTTAGACTAACTTCATGGACCCAGAGTAAAGTGTCAATGTTTTCCTTGGAGGTAAAAATCTAAGGGAATCAATGCTACTATGAGAGGGAGAGGTTATTTTCAAAGTACCTTGATAAAATGTTTTCCACCTTTGCAAGCAGAGCACCTGCTGAAATCAGGTGGGCATATTAGAGGATCACTGCAGAGAAGAAATGCATTATCTTTTGGAAGGCTGTGCTCAAATCTGTTCAATATAATTATTTTTTCTCCTCATTTCCCTTTGTTGAAGAAACATTCCTGGTGCCCTTTTCCACCATGTTAAAATAAAGCTTTTATTTTATCCTCTGAGGAAGCAAGCTCAAGTGCAAATGTTCCTTCAGGTCACTTGTCTAAGCCTACTCTATTTAAACAGCTGTATTTCAAATGATAGAAGCACCAAGTCTCTTGCCTTGTTAGCTGTAAGCCTTATGATGAGCAAGTCCCCAAATGCCATTACGCTTCATACTTACTACTGCACACCAGCAAAAGAAAATCCCTAGGAAGTTATCTGTGTTGCAGTGGTTTAAAATGTTTCCCTATTTGTGTTCAACAACCGTAATCATTCAGATAAATGCCTGAGCTCCCAGCACTTTTCCTGCTATAAATGTTTTATTCTAGAATACTCTATTACTGGTAATGCCACCTCCAACACACTCATGTACATATAACCACTGAAATATTTCAAGGACTAAAGTTCTAAAAACCCTTTCCCTGAGTCATACTTTTAAACCTTATATTTTCATGGGGAGTGGGTTCTAAATGTAAACCTGTTTCTCTGTTTGGATTCTGAGATATCATGTACATTTATTAGCCCATCTGCTTCCAAGAATGGCATCCGGGGAGCCTCAGAGCATTAAGTCTATGCCCTGAGTCATTCACAGAAGGGGAGCAGAGATGTCAGAGCTGGAAAAATTGTAGATCATAACAAGTGTGTTGATATTTCTTAAAAATTAGTTTATGTTAGTCAACTACTGTTGGGTTTTTAAAATCTGCTCCAGCTGTTCACAAATCTGGGAAGTCAAGAGATGAAGAGCTAGAACATGGAAGGCAAAGAGTCAAAGGAAAAAGGCTTTGCAAATTCAACCGTGAGAGTCTACAGTTGTGGGAGGAAGTACACCCACAGTGGTGGTGGAAATGGGGAAATTCTCAAGAAGCTTTTAACATTTAAACACTTCGCTAAATTCAAGAGCTTATTAAATATAAAATCATTCTGCCCAAGATGTGCAAAGGATGGCATTAATACAAGCTCCCAATAGGGATACTGAGATGAACAGTTAAACATTTTACATTAAAGATCAATTTTTTTTTTTTTATTTCTGAGACAGAGGCCTGGGTATCTCTGTCACCCAGGCCATAGTGCAGTGGCATGATCTCAGCTCACTACAACCTCCGCCTTCTGGGTTCAAGCAATTCTCATGCCTCAGCTTCCTGAGTAGCTGGGATTACAGGCACACACCACCATGCCCAGCTAATTTTTGTATTTTTAGTAGAGACAGGGTTTCACCATGTTGGTCAGGCTGCTCTAGAACTCTTGACCTCAGCTGATTCTCCTCCTCCTCCTCCTCCTCCTCCTTCTCCTTCTTCTTCTACTTCTTTTCCTCCTCCTCTTCCTCTTCCTCTCTTTCTTCTTCTTTGGAGAAATGGAATATGCTTTTGAAAACAAAACTTCAGGGCTTAGAAACCACCATCTTGGCTTCCAGTACAGTGAGTAACAGGGGGGCAAATAATGGTGAACTTCTTTATGAACCTTCTTTCAACTGGGCTCACCTATGAGAATTTGCAAAACACTAACCAGGTAGCTACTGAGTAAAGAGTAAAGACAATAAATGTATTAAAAATACATCTATGAGAGTCTGGGCCCATTGAAAAGTAAAAATTTTAATTAGAAAAGATATTTGGGCTTTATATAAAATATAGATACAAACGTGTACCCAGGTGCACACACAGAACACCTGATTGTCATGTGAAACAAAACTTTATTTTCTTCCAAGTAGATTCTGAAATTTTGTTGAAATAAACATAGATTTAAATCTATTTCTTGCTGCTTTGTTTTCTGGTCACCATGACCATAAAGCTATGTGAGTCTGTTGAAACATATTGCAGATTTTGTTTTGTTTTGTTTTGTTTTCTTTTCTTTTCTTTTCTTTTCTTTCCTTTTCTTTTCTTTTGTTTTCTATCTCCCAGAAATAAGTCCATCTTAAGTGCCCAGGGATGGAATATGGTTAAAGCAGTAGCTTGGTTTAGCTACTCAGAAGTGACTGTTCTTACCTGTCTTAATCACTTTTCCAGTATAAAATGGCCACGGCAAGTCCTTTATCTAATTTCCAGGCAATTACTTGGTATTTGCCTTTAATATCTTCGGGCTCCACTATCCTCCCTTTATGAAACCTTCATATATCAACCCAGCTGCCAGTGGTCCTTTCTTCAGATGTCTAAAAGCCTCTCATGACACTTATTTACTACATGTCCAATTTATGTCCCCAGTTTTTTCTTAAATACATTGTTATTTTCCCGAAGTCAATGTCCTTCTCTCCCCCACCCCCTCTCTCTCTTTCCCATATATATATGTATATATGGTAGAATTGGAAAATCTATTGGGTGCTAAAGATTACTAGCACATATTAGATTCTCATAAAACAAAAATACTTAAAATTACAAATGAACAATCCAAGGCATTAAATTCTCAGTAATTGGTTCTTCTACTTCCACTTTCATTTTGGTATTACTATTTTTTGACTCAGTGAATGTTTCAAAGTTGGGCCAAAATGTATTATTAAAAGTCACCTTATTGGCAAATATTCTAAAGTAATTATAAGTGATTGTACAGTCAAAAAAAAAAAACATGTTGGAGAAGAAAAATAGATCTTCCTTGCCTACAGGAACAAAGCCAGGATTACAGGAATCTGGCGTGTTTGCCTTGTATGAAAGCCATTGGCTATGAGGAAATTGGATTTTCCACATGAGGCAGGGTAGGGAGCTGTATTTTTTCCTTAAGGTGAGTGTTAGTTGCCAGGACTTTCTCATGACATGGAACAAAAACCAGGAGCAAAAAAGACCCAAGGAGAGAAAAAAGTCTTCATCTTGACAAGCTTGGCTAAGAGTATTGTTCCTGCTTTTTGGAATATTTATAGAGAAAAAGGATGACTATGGCCTTGTCTTTGTTTACATTTTCTGAAGTCAGAAAGTCATATCACTACATATCGATAATGGAGGGCCTGGACTCACAAGGTACAGTTCAGGCATGAGCTAAGGATCTAAATATTGGATTTGGGCAGCATTGAGTCAGCAGCAAGATGAAAACACCAGGACTGGAAAGAACAAGGATCAAGGTTAAGAGTGGTGAACTTTGAGACCAATTGTCTTCAGATTTACTTGAAGTCTCCTCCATCTATTTTGAAGCATCTGACCCATGACTACCAGGACATAGTCCGCATCTGACCCATGACTACCAGGACATAGTCCGCCCGCCCGCCTGCCTGCCTGCCTGCCTGCCTGCCTCTCTTCCTTTTTTCCTCCCTCGTCCTCTTCCTTCTTTTCTTCTTTCCTTCATTGCTTCCCTCTTTCCTTTCTTTCTTCCTTCTTACTTTCTTCCCATATATATTGTCATGCATTCTGCTGCTACTAGGACTATGAAGAAAAATAAGCCAGGTACTCTGTCCTAAAGGGTTTCTTATGCTAGCTAGATCCACGTGTTTCAAATTTTAACATCTATAGGCATGATCTGGGGATCTCATTAAAGTGAAGAGTCAACAGCCCTGGGCTGAGTCTGAGAATCTGCATTTCTAACAGTCTCCCAGTCTGCACGTCCACAGACCACACTCTTAGATACAAACCTCTTGTTGGATTATTTGAACCTGTATTGGTGGTGTCTGAAAATTACAGGACATGGACTACATCCTCAACTACAGTTTTGCACTTGATCCCCAGGTAACCTAAAAAAAAAAAATTAGCAGATTACCACCCCCTTTTGCTAAGAAAATATCACAAAACACTGCCTACCAAGGCAAGTGGATGGGTGTCATCATCGTAATAAGCAAAGAAGAAATCATTTGTAGAAGTAGCAAAAGGATTATGAAGCCGTAGAAAAAAGTTAGGGATTTTTAAATAAACAGGAATACTTTGAACTGGATTCAGACATTAGTAAAGTTTCAATAATCGGCATCATTTTATCAGATATCTTGACCATTCTCTTTATGCACAGCATTTTTTTAAAAGTGCAGAAGATCATAGGACAATATATGGTGCTAAACTTGTTTGATTACACTTCCCAGGTGTTGCTGGGTCCAATTACCCTGGTGCTAAAATATCCTCTAATTGGGTGTGAAACACACATCAGAGTTAATTACACTGTACACCACTATATAGGCTTGAAATAATTAAGAACGTTTTCATTTCTCAACTGGCCTAGAATAAAAAGTACATGAAATTCAAGTTTCAATCCTTAGAGATTTCTTTGAAACTCATGAGATCATCTAAATATGAACTTATGTAAATTTCTAACCCTAGAAACTTTTTGAGACCATAAGCCTCTTATCCTAACCTAGATACTTTGTACAAATGTATAGCTAACTGTGTTTCATAAGGAGCATGTGCCCTTTGAAACTTGTGAAACCAAATTATCATGCGAAAAAAAATTATATTAGTCACTTAAAAGTACTGGTCATTTAAAAGTACTCCTTTGGGAACTCACCCTCATAATAAATATTGGATTATCAAGGCCAATTGCATTACAGAATATTGGTTATATAACGCATGAACAGTATTGCGAGAGTTGGAAGATTACAGCTATAATGACAATCAAATCTAGAAAGAAAATCATGGAAATAGATTAGAGTGGAAATTATCTATTACAAGAAGATCTAGGCAACCCGTTTGACACAGTTTGGATATTTGCCCTATCCAAATCTCTTGTTGAAATGTGATCCTACATGTTGGAGGTGGGGCCTAGGGGGAGGTATTTCGATCAGAGGAGTGGATCCCTCATGAAGTGCTTGGTGCCATCCCCATGGTAACAGTGAGTTTTGCTCTGTTAGTTCATGTTGAGAGCTGGTTGTGTAAAAGAGCCTGGCATCTCTCCCACTTCCACTTTCACCATGTGACACGCCTGCTATCCCTTTGCCTTTTGCCGTCAGTAAAAGCTTCCTGATATTCCCATACATATTGTCATGCATTCTCCTGCTACTAGGACTGTGAATAAAAATAATCCAGGTACTCTGTCCTGGAATGTCTTGTTGGATTATTTGAACCTGTAGTTGGTACTTGGCCTACCAAAAGCCAAGTAGATGCTGTCTCTTACTAGTACCACCTGCAGAACTGTGAGCCTAACAAACCTCTTTTCCTTATAAATTGTGCAGTCTCAGATATTCCTTTATAGCAATGCACTACAGACTAATACAGAAAATTGATATCAAGGAGTCGGGAAATTCTATAAAGATACCTGAAAATGTGAAAATGGCTTTGGAACTGGGTAATGGGCAGGGGTTAGAAGACTTTGGAGTGCTTAGGGAAAGACAGGAAGATGAGGGAATGTTTGGAACTTCTTAGAGACTGGTTTAATGGTTGTGATCAAGATGCTGACAGAAATATGGACAGTGAAGGCCAGGCTGATGAGATCTCAAATGGCAATGAGGAACTTATTGGGAAAGGGAACAAAGGTTACCCTGTTTATGCCAAATCAAAGAACTTGGCTGCATTGTGTCCATGCCCTAAGACTTTGTGGAAGGCTGAATTTAAGGATGATGACCTAGGTTATCTGGGAAAAAAAATTCTAAGCAGCAAAGCATTCAAGAGGTGATGTGGCTTCTTCTAACAACCTACAATCAGATATGGGAGCAAAGGAAATACTTAAAGTTGGAACTTGTAATTAAAACAGAAGCAGAGTATAAAAAAATTTGACGCCTGGAAATGTGATACAGAAGAAAAGAACATTTTCAGAAGAGGAATCCAAGAGGCCTGCAGAGCAACCACTTTGCTAGAGAGATTAGCATGACTGAATGAGAGCCAGGTGCTGAAACTCAAGACTGCAAGCAGAAGGTCACAAAGGCATTTCAGAAATCTTAGAGACAGTGCCTCCCACTACAGGCCCTAAAGCCTAGGAGGAAGGAATAGTTTCAGGGGCCTTGGAAACAGTCCTAGCCCAGGACCCCACTTCCCTGCTTAGCCTCAGATGCTGCTTGTCACATCCGGACCTCTATGGCTCTGACCAGCTATCAAAAGGGCCCAAGTACATCTCAGGCCACTGCTCCAGAAGGTGCAAGCTTTAGGACTTGGTGGTTTTCATGTGCTAGTTTAAGTCTGCAGGCATAAAAATGCAAGGGCGAAGGAGATTTGGCAGCTTCCACCTAGATCTCAGAGGATAAATGCTGAAAGTCTGGGTACCCGGGGAGAAGCCTGCCACAGGACTGGAGCACCCACATAGAGCCTCTACTAGGCCAACGCCAAAAGGGAATGTGGGGTTTAAGCCCCCACACAGAGTCTCCGTTGGGGCACTGCCTAGTGGAGCTGTGGAAATCAAGTCACTGCCCTACATACATGAGGATGGTAGAGCATCCTCAGCTTTGAAAAGGTTGCAGGCATTTGACTCTAGCCCTTGATGGTAGTAGCTACATGGGCTGCACCCAGAAAAGCCATGGGAGTGGAGCTGTCCAAGGCTTCGGGGATCCACCCCTTGCACCAGTGTGCTTTGTATGCAAGAAATGGAGTCAAGGGTTGTTTTGGAGATTAAAGGGTTAACATCTGCTCTGCTGGGTTTCAGACTTGCGGGGGCTTGTTGCCCCTTTCTTTTGACTACCGATTTCTCCCCTTTAGAATGGAAATGTTTACCCAATGACTGTACTACCATTGTAACTTGGGAGTAAATAACTAGTTTTTGATCTTACAGGCTCATAGGTCAAAGGAAATTGCCTTGAGTCTCAGATGAGACTTAAGACATTTGAGCTGATACAGAATGAGTTGAGACTTTTGGAGGCCTATTGGGAAGGTATGATTGTATTTTGCAATGTAAGAAAGAGATAAAATTTGGGGGCATCTAGGGGCAGAATGATATGCTTTGAATATTTGTCTTTTGCAAATGTCATGAAATGTGATCCCCAGTGTTGGAGGTGGGACCTAGTGAAAGGTGTTTGGGTCATGGGAGCAGATCTCTCATGAAGGGTTTGGTGCCAACCCCATGGGAATGCTTAAGTTCCAATTCTATTAGCTCACGTGAGAGCTGGTTGTTTAAAACAGCCTGGCATCCGTCTTGCCTCCTCTCTCACCATGTGACACATCTGCTCCCCCTTTGCCTTCTGCCATGAGTAAAAGCTTCCTGAGGCCTAGCCAGAAGCTGAACAGATGCTGGTGCCATGCTTGTATAGCCTCCAGAAGCAAGACAAAACTTTTTTCTTTATAAATTACTCTGTCTCAAGTATTTCTTTATATCAACACAACATGGGCTAATTAGAGCAAAATCAATAGACATGCTCCTTGATATCACTTACATGTGGCATCTAAGGTTAAATTCATACAAGTAAAGAGTAGAAAAATGGTTACCAGAGGCTGGGGCAGGGGGAGGGAGTGAATGAGGAGTTGCTGGTCAAAGGATACAAAGTTTCACTTATACACAAGGAATACATTTTGAGATCTGTTTTACAGCAGGGTGACTGTAGTCAATAAAATGTGTTGTAAATTTTAAAATAACTGAGAGTAAATTCCAAATGTCTCATCACAGAAAAAAGATAAGTAAACAAGACAAAAAATATATTAATTGGCTTGATTTAATCATTGTATATTGTATACATATACCAAAGCATCACACTGTACCCCATAAATGAATATAATTGTGGTTTGTCAATTTAAAAAGCATAATTTTAAAATAAAAAATAAATAAAAAGAAAAACATGCTCTTTACTATACTTGTGTTACTTAACCTAATATATAAACATATATAGAATATATATTTATATATAAATATAGTAATCATAAAAAAATTTAAATTCGCTTTGGTTGATAATCTTCTGAAAAGGCACACAGATGCAGAAAGATGGAAATGAGTTAGTTTGGCAGCAACTAATTTTCCAATGCCTCTTGATCTATTGTCCTGGAAGCTTGTGGCAGTGTTGACAGTTCCCTTGCTGGATTATCTCCTGGCATCTGTGGACTGACCCGTGTTATCTGCCATGTTTTTCCTATTGTGACTGGCTCTCTGGTTACTAGCTGACTCGCCATGTTATCATGGGTTTTTTCTTCGATTACACTCTACCTCCCTAGACTTTATCTACCATCTGATGCTGTCCTCCTCTCCTACTATACCAATAGTTCATGCTCCTTTGAGCCAACACTTTCTGGTAGTATTCATCCAAAGCATGGCAATGCTTAGCAAATATTAAATCTTAATAACTCATCTCAAACTATGGTATACTCTACAGCAGTTATAAAGAGCACAAGATATTTTTAGATTCTTCTGCCTGTTAAATTATTTCAGAGCTCAGGATTTTTTGATAAGAATTTGTTTAACTTATCTTGTCTACCCAGAATAATTTGATTAATCCCAAATCTCTGAGTGACACATTTTTTACCAAGCAGCATTAGAATCTGATTTTCAGCAGTTTTTCTATATCATTTCAATGAACCAGTTCAATAACCTGAACCAAAAACGAACAAAAAAAAAACTTAAAGTAACAAATACTCATGAATTTTTAAACTTTTATTTGTCTTTGCACATCACTGTCATACAAGGAAACAGTGAGTATTTTCAAGAGGCATACTATGTTTGATATATAGATTCTTTACTCAATAGCTGTAACAATGTAAACTATTATCAAAAATTAATATTATCTGTACTTTGCCCAGTTTGTAGGTAAATGCTAAAGAATTTGAATATTTGCTGACTTTTTCCTTGTTATTCTTGCAAATCCCATCAACTCCCACCACTTATTTGTATTTCACTTTGGCTTCTTTAAGAAGATAAGTAGGGGGCAACGGGGGAATTTGCTGTGATACCCTCATTCATCTTGAAAGCCAGATAACTAAGTTCTTACAAAGCAAGAGTAAATGACACTGTCTACATTGACTTTAACCTTATGAAAATTACAAAAATTTAAATATAGTTTTGGAATCACAATTAAAGTCACTTTTCCATGGTGACATTTATTCATTTTCATTTTACTTCATGCTGTAATCAGAATTCTTGAAATTTCTAACGTCAGGCTAATATAACATTTTCTATACAGAGAAAAGTCTATCTAAGTATTAAATAACTTTTAATTCCTTTTTACCTTTAATGCTCCTAGAACATATATTCTTTAGTTCATTCAACAAGCACTTGAGCATCTTCTACATGTCAGGTATTAGTGATACAATGCCAAGGAGACTCAAGACCTGTGCCACGTGAACTTATACTCTACTCAGTAGAGTTTACCAGATAAAACAAGAATTAATTGAACAACCACAATAATCCCATTCATATTTTATGACAAACCATGCAATAATAGTTTAAATACTAGATTTATTTATAAATTTTGACTTAGTTTTTAGATTTAGATTTAGATCTACCAGATTTAACTTTAGATTTAGATTTATCAGATTTAGATTTAAACACCAGGTGTAGTCTGGAGATCAGGATTCCTTAATTAAGCGGACTTTGAATAAGAACTGAAAAGGAGAACTATTTAATCAAGTTAAGGGGAAAACTTGCTGTTCAGACAAAAAAAAAAAAAAAAAGTGATACGTCCAAGACCTCAGGATAGGAGGAAATGTATCACATTGAGGATCACTGAGGAGGACAGAGTGACTGGAGCAAAGAAGGTGAGGGAGGCTGTGCTCTCAATGTGTTGATCCTGTTGTATTAGTCCAGGCTCATGCTGCTGTGAAGAAATACTTGAGACTGGGTAATTTATAAAGGAAAGAGGTTTAATTGACTCACAGGTACACACGGCTTGGGGGGCCCGCAGGAAACTTACAACCACGGCAGAAGGTACCTCTTCACAGGGTGGCAGGAGAGAGAAGTGAGTGCAAGCAGAGGAACTGCCAGATGCTTAATACAACCATCAGATCTCGTGAGACTCACTCACTATCAAGAGAACAGCATGGGGGAATCTGCCCCCATGATTCAGTTCCCTCTACCTGGTCCCTCCCATGACACTTGGGGATTATGGGGATTATAATTCAAGAGGAGATTTGGGTGAGGACACAGCCAAACCATATCACCTGTATTGCCCAATTCTCTGTTCCATCTGCTTCACTTCTATCCCAAAGCTCAAAAAGCAGCTGATTCTGAAAAGACAGATACCAGATCTCCTGTTGGTTTAAGGCTTACCCCGTGTGACTGGCAGGTTGGCCTGGCTGGTTCAGGTTCAGACATGAAAACTGACATTCCTCCATGCAGATGCCCTGTCCTAGCGTAGACTCACTTCCTTAGTGTCTGCAGGGTCCTTATGTCACCCACAGTGGAGTTGACAGAACAGTATTTCATAATGAGGCCTGTTCTGGAAAGATAACTCTAAATGAGAATCTGAGGGCCAAAACAGATCTTCATTATTCCAAATTCTGTGCTAAAGCAGATTGCATTGTAGCTGGCCTTTGATGTGTTCTCAGAGTCTAATAATAACTTAAAAATGAAGACAAGCATCTGTCTAGAAAAACTTTTAAAGGGTTGTATTTAAAATGCTTTGCAATGGCAAATTAACAGAGTTGTAATTTAAGTTTTCTTCTTCCTTCCTGCAGGAATGAATCGTAAGGTTCAGGAATGCATTTTTTAATATTTTGACAGAAACCTACATGTTTTAATCTTTTAAAGTATGTAATTATAGGACATGGGCCTGGTACAAGTGTGCTCCACGTGGGTGGTAGAATAATATGCCCTTTAAAAAATGAATTAGAATAGATTTTGGATAAAAATGATAAACACTAGATCACATCTTATTAGCAAAGAAAATGTCACAGTTTCATAAAAGTAAATTTGCTAAATAAAAATAGTAATTAATAGTTGAATTAATGACTAGATACCATTGAGAGTGTACTCAATATCCTAAAATTTTAATTTTAGGATGTGAACCCCAATGCAGATTTTGAGTTTTGGGTGATTATGATGTGTCAATGTACGTTCCTCAATTGTAATAAATGTATCACTCTGGTGGGGGATTTGATAATGGAGGAGGCTACCCATATGCGGGGACAGGAGGTTCTATGGGAAATCTCTGCACCTTCCACTCAATTTTATTGTGAACTTAAAACTACCCTAAAAATAAAGTTTATTTAAAAAAAATTAAAAAGCGATCTGATGAAATAATCTTAATTGTTATGGAAACCATAATTTTAAAAATAATGTAAGTTTACATTTAGAATATCAGGAACATAAGGCAATTCATCCACCTCAAGGTCAATGTATCTGCTCAGCAGGTACTAAGTGATTCTATAGGTGGGCCATTTCCACAATGCTTTCTGTATTCTAAACACTGCATGAGGACCTCCTGCCCACTTTTTCATTGATTCCTCACAAGAACCTCAGGAAATAGGTCCTGCATTTATTATCAACTTATAAATAGGAAAACAGTGAGGTTCAGAGAGGTTCATTAAATACTCAGAAGTCACACAGATAGTTGTTGTCAGAGGGATAAAAATAGACTTTGCACATGTCTGAGTAGCTAATTCTTCTGCTTGGTTTTTTTTTTTTTTTGGAGTGGATAAATAAGGTTGTAAGAAAGAATACCTTTCTACCCAAATATGCTTTACTCTTTACTCTCCTGAAAAAAAGTGAAATGTAAATACAGCCTTTGAAGCTAGTTTTGAAAGTAACTAAAAATTGTAATGCCAGATGAGATAATTAGACTATGAAGTAAACTCTAACGGGGTTAGGAGAGATGTACAAGAATGCACCCGTCAGTTTTCTTGCTGCTGGTGAAGACCTAAGCACTCTCTTCTTCTGGGTAAGTTTTAGGGCTTATCCAATTTCATGCCAAAGTGGGTAGAAGCAGAAGAATATTCTAAGCACGGAGAAACATCTAAACAAAGTACAGATGCATGAGCCTGTGTATTCAGGGCACTGCAAATTATTGTTCAAAATAAATTTTTAGGCTGGGCGCGGTAGCTCACGCCTGTCATCCCAGCACTTTCGGAGGGTAAGGCGGGTGGATCACCTGAGGTCAGGAGTTCCAGACCAGCCTGGCTAACATGGCGAAACCCTGTCTCTACTAAAAATACAAATATTAGCTTGGTGTGGTGGCGGTGCCTGTAATCCCAGCTACTCAGGAGGCTGAGGCAGGAGAATCACTTGAACCCAGGAGGCAGAGTTTCCAGTGAGCCAAGATTGTACCACTGCACCACTGCACTCCAGCCTGGGCGACAGAGTAACGCTCTTTCTCAAACATATATAAATATAATAAAAATAAATAAATGTTTAACTATCATCTTGAAAGCTTCTGATTTGGAGTTTTTACTGCAGTTACAATTATTCACAGATAGTTCTTATAAAAGTTCATTTCATGAGTTTCTGAGTTTAGTGTAACTTAGTTTGATAACATCAGGAGAAAAGAATGGTATCCTCTAGGAGTTTACAATCAGAAGAGAAGAAAGAAATATTATGTCAATGTGAACCAAGAAAGACAAATGTTTTGAATGTCTGAGTCAGTTTACACATTACAGCAAAATGTGGCATTTGCAGGAAAATCTTTGGGGGAAAAAAAAGAAAAACCACAACAATCTAAATTATCTTCTCCATTTCCCAAGGCATCTGGGCCAAGTTTTGTATTTGATGAAAATAAGTCCAATTCTGTAACTTCTGCTTTTGGGAGAATAGGCTGAGAAGCATGTAAAAAAAAAAAAAAGAAAAGAAAAGAAAAGAAAAAAAGAGAAAAGCAAAGTCTTGTTCTTCTTACTTCTCCTCTTCCCTCTGTTCTTTCTCTCCCACCATCCCCTTCTTTGTGTTTTTTAACAACCAGAATTAAACATTACTTAATCCCATCTGGGAGCCATAGTCATTTTTCAAAATCAATTTTTAAAGACATTGTTGTCATATGTTTACCGTCCAGGTGTCTACTTTCTCAAGGTAACAAAAAGGTTCACAAAGATTCTTATCTCAAACCGATAAACAGATGCAAACAGAGCCGGGACTATCTGGGCTACCACAAGGCCTGTTTGACTAATTGCCCTGATAGATCCTTCTCCTGATGCCTAATGTTGTTATTGCACCCAGCATAGCTGAGATAGCACATGTTTAACCCCTGACCCTCCAGCTGCCTGGACCATGCCGCTCTGGAACTAACTATTCTCCATCATCACTTCCTCCTCATGGCAGACAGAGAGAGAGAGATCTGTTTCTAAGCAAATAGCAAAGGCTCTGACCCCGTCATGAGTCACCAGTCTGTCTACCCACTTCCAAGATTCCCCTTTATGTATTTATTCAGCTTGTCAGAGTTCCTGGCCAAAAGGATAGTGATTTTTGAGTTAAATGGGATTCATGCTAACTCTGGGAACAGTAATTTCATAAATCTGAGATGTGTTAAATGGCCTCTATAAGCTTCGTATGAAACAATCCATCTCATTCTATCCTTTTTTAAGGTAACTTTTTATTCAATAAAAATGATAAAATAGCAAAAGACACAGAATAAATAAAAGGCAAATATTCCAGGGCCATTTATTACCATGTAGGGAAATACCTAATTATTCTGTGCCTTAGGGCACTGATTTATAATTACTATAAGACAGGCTAAATACTATTAGTAACAGCAGAAGTGAGAAGTAAGTGTATTTTATCTAAGATAGTTCATCTTTCTCTTATAGCATGTTTCATAAGTCTTATTCACAGGACTTAACACTGGTCAAATTTTAACACATACTGCCAACACATGGAAATTCAGCTTCTGATCATCCTGGGTAAGTTTTGCTGTGCAAAAATTTTACATTATACCACATTGCAGAAACATTAAGCAGTAATAGCACAATAGTAAGCAACAGTTCTTATGACCATTTGGGTTAATTAATGAAATTACATTGTCTGTATGAAAAGGCAGAAAATAAATGGAGAAACAGAAAGGTGTAATCTTTATGGAGTATATTTGAAAGTCTGTTCTTTTTTTAATATCTGAAAAACTTAAGCAGACATGAAATATTATAGGCTATAATGCTGGGGAGAATAGTCCATTCAGATATACATTGCATTTTAGTTTTCACCAAACCATTTAACATAGAATCAAAACACTGTGGCTAAATTATAAAATTGCTTCTATCTTTCTAACACTTTGTTTAATCTGGTCTAAAAACTAAAATGCAATGTATATCTGAATGGACTATTCTCCCCAGCATTATAGCCTATAATATTTCATGTCTGCTTAAGTTTTTCAGATATTAAAAACTTGTTTTGTGAAATCAATTCCTGAATGCTAATGTTATTATCAATCATCATAATCCTTCTCTCATAATAAATTCTTGATACTTTCCTCTGTCCATTAAGGAAGCAGAATCGTAAAATATTGAGTGCATTGACAAGGTATTGTAGATTACTGAGAACAGCAACAATAACAAGATAAATACTCAAAGTTTTTGTGTCTTTGGAAGTACTTTAAAGGGAATGTAATACAGAAGGAGTCCTTGACATCAGAAGATGGTCTGGGTTTAGCTTCATCTACATAGCTGCAAGCCCGAATCTCAGTTTTCTTTCAAATGGGGTTAATGAAACCTTTCTAACCATCTTCTGAAGTCTAAATGATGTAAACTGCCCAGCACAGTGACTAAAATTTTTAAAAAGCAAAGGCTAGATCCATTCAAAGTCCCTTCTTGCCTTTGCTTGTAAAACTGACTAAAGATTCCACCTTAGTCCAATTTACCTTCAAGCTACTTTGAGAATAATTTAAACTAACTCACACAAGTTTTGGAAAGCTTGATTCATTGGGAGGTAGCTTATCTTCTAAAAATAAAAATTTTAAAAACTAATGTTAAACATTAACAGGTACGGCTCAACTAAAAGATAGAAAGAAATTTAGGTGAATTTCTAGAAGAAATAAATTCATTTATTAGAAAATTTTTGGGGGGATGCCAAACAGCAGAATCATATGGGGTAAGGCTCTGAGGATAAGGATGTTACAGGACAGAAATTAACAACATGGGCTCTGAGATGGAGCGATCCTGGGCTTCACTCAGCAGAAACTTTAGACTTAGTTCTCTCTTTTGTAAAATGGGATAATAATACTTGTTTCATAAAATTATTTCCTATGATCAAATGAGATAAGGTGAGTAAAGTACTTACCGCAGCAGAGGAGACAGATTTAATAAATGCTATTTTAGTGTAAGTAGTATTAATATTAATTAATTATGGTGTGAGATGATTCTGAAGTTATTGAGAATGCCACGATGCTTTAAGAGTGTTGGGGTGCTCACATTCCCACGGATCTAAATCTGTGTCCATAATCATCTCTTAAATATTAATTCATGATGACAGAAATATCTTTCTCAACTTCACCTTTCTTCATTTCCTAGTAACTCTCCAACCAGTGGCATCCATTCAAGTTAATGTCAATATAGCATCCCATGTTAGGGTGAGCTCCAGAATGTTAGGCTAACAAGAAAATTCTCCTTTTTTAAAATGATTTATATACTCAAAGCCTAAAATTAATCATGTCTCCAAACATTTGTATCTGATAGTGCAGAACATTCGGCAAATAATTTACCAGATTTTCAATGAATGCAAACAAAGTTTGACAAATACGGGGAAAAGTGGACCAAGAATTTTTCTACACCTGGTATCTACCTATCTATCTATCTATCTATCTATCTATCTATCTATCTATCTATCTATCTAGGTATCTATCTGTCTTTCTATATATATGATGTAGTATTTTTAAATAAGTTCGCAAATAAAAGACTTGTGACATGTAGTATCCAGTTTTATTTGCAATAAAATGAACTATTTAGCTATGTAATACATCTAACTAAATGACACTCCCATTTTCCTGCCAAATTATGTACAGAGACATGATAAGAAAACTACTTTTTCATGTAGTAACAACCAATAGTCGTATTGCTCAAGAACAACTACAGCACTGGGCTCAAAGGTTTAACATCCTAGCAATGATATTTTTAAATCATACCTTGTTTAAACAAATGTAAGTAATTGGATTTTCTTCTATATTAAAAAATGTTCCAGATAAATGCTATAAATCTGAAAGCAGAAAAGTAGGGAAGAAATAGTAATTTATATGCCACAATGGAGTGTTTCACAATTTTTGTTTAACAACACATATTTTATCCTGCTTACACCTTGATCTATAGGACCCCACTGATTACAAGGCTGTAAATTGTATGAAGAGCTCTGCAGAAAATCATAAAAGGGCAGCAAGGGGACCTTATATCATGAAGTCACTTGGTCCCTAAGACTCAACCAGGACTTTGATATTTAGTTTAAACACAACCATATATTCTTATTAATAATGAATAGAGCCACTTCTTTCAATTTCATAAGCCCAGTGCACCAAAGCTGGTGAAATTTCTATTACCCATGACCTGGATATTAATCCTACAATTAAAAAAAAAAAAAAAAAGCCTCCGTTTTTCAAATGTTGACTTAATGCTGAAACAATGAGAAACAACTTTCCCAGAAATTTTGGCACGTTGAACAGAGAAATAAGGGTGACCATTCTTTGTTCACTGGGAGAGCTATTAAAAATGCTTTTGCACAGGAAATACTTTTTTTCTCCCCAGGAATTAGGGGATATCTTCAGGAAACTCAGCAGATTAATCACATGAGCCCTGGCTCAACTTTATTTAAAAGTAAAGCATAAGCCTTAACGCTTATCCCAAAATGCAAAATCCCTCTTTTGGTATTTCAGTATTTCATGTTGTTGCTATTTCTTGTCTGAATATTTTTCTATTGTCTCAGAAACTGATCACAAAGGTTTTTGTTTTTTCCTTTTTTAAAAATTATTTTTTGTTTTTAGTAGTTGGATAAGGGAGAGATAAGAGAAGAATCTTTGTTAAACTTGCCTGGATTTTTAACATGAAACAGCAAGATTAAAAGCAGTATTATCTGAATTCATAAAGTGAAATATAGGCCTAGGCACGGAAGTTTTCAGAACTTTGAATTTCAACTGACTTAATGACTTTGTACCAGCTGTTTTCTAATATGTTTTTAATCAGAAAACTTAATTCAAAGAAACAGGTACTTCCTCATTTTTTGTTGGGGAAGGGAATATTCTGCCTTTTGGTATTATAGACTTTCCACGTAAGTCTGGAACATTGTCTACGTTTTCTAAAAGTTCTTCTAAGAAATTGTATTTCCTTGCACTTCTAATGGAGAAGTTATAGCTTATATCCATGTTGCCAAACTCAAGGCTATTCCCTTTGGCTGAGTCTTAGAATAATCACAAGTACAAAAGTACATATTGCACAATCACCGCTCTAAGCCTAGGACTAAACACTCAGGATAGTGGTCAAGGTCGAGGGGAAGGCCATGGAAACAGAAGATCTTGACTCTGCTTTTAAACAGCACATGTTGGGGGCCGGGCACGGTGGCTCGCGCCTGTAATCCCAGCACTTTGGGAGGCCGAGGCGGGCGGATCACGAGATCAGGAGATCGAGACCATTCTGGCTAACACGGTGAAACCCCGTCTCTACTAAAAATACAAAAAATTAGCCGGGCGAGGTGGCGGGCGCCTGTAGTCCCAGCTACTCGGGAGGCTGAGGCAAGAGAATGGCGTGAACCCCAGGGAGCAGAGCCTGCAGTGAGCCGAGATCGCGCCACTGCACTCCAGCCTGGGCGACAGCAAGACTCCGTCTCAAAAAAATAAAAAATAAAAAATAAACAGCACATGTTCTGATTGGGAAACTAGAAGTGGTGTTCACTAAATAAGAACCTGTTTCTGAAGCCATATGTCAGTGCAGATTGAGGCTATGTTGCAGACACAGAAGGTAAAGAGTAGAGGGAGAGTTGGATTTATGAGACAGGATGATCTCCTGAAAGATGTTTGGCTGAGACAGATCTAAATGGAAGCATGGACAATAAGCAGGATGTAATGGGAGGTACAGGGATGGGTCAATGGATATGGATGCTGAGTTTACAAAGGCTAGAACTCTCTCCTCCTACCCTAGTTCTCTACATTTTTCCACCCATCCCCAATGCTTCCGGTAGCATTCAGGAAAATGCATGGGAAAAAGTGGTCCAAGGGTACATTTGCATTTATACATGCAACTTTCCAGGCCATCAACTTGAGCACAAAAGTCAAGAGTATATATTTAAATAACTGATGGCACATAACTTTATTTCTGGTCTACCTCATAGGTGGGGATTACCCCCATGATAGTAATCTCTCTGAATCTCAGTTTCCTTACCTGTGAAATAGGGATATTGACGATGGAGTTGGGAAGATTAATTTCTTTAATGTATACAAAGCATTCAGTCCAGTGCCTGGCACCAAAAAAGCACTCAGTACTTGCTTGCTGTCAATATAATACTTACGAAGTTTATTCCCCAAAACAGAGATGCCTTGGGCAGCCTATGTCACGATTTGTAGTATTTTACCTTCAATTTTTTCTACACCATGAACAGAGTGAATGGAGAGCAGGAATGAAGCATTTACTTATAAAAAGAAGATATATTAATTTATATACATTTATGTAATTTGGGATGTGATGTCTAAGGACTGAAATTCTGTATTTTATCCCTCCACCCACCTTCTCCCCGGGTTATAATTACAATGATAAATTGTAATAAGACCACGAGGTCCTATTGAATCTTTGGTGGGTGACTCTGTTCCTTGATAATTTGTGCGCCTGTGAGAAAGGTGAAAATCTGAAATCACTCAAGAGTCTCAAAAATTGCTCAAAATATTGTGCTAAGAACAAACAGATATCAGGGATAACCATGAAATATTTTATCAGCCAAGACAGTTTCCTTCTAACAAAGAGCAAATGTGGTATATAAAAGGTAACCATGGTGAATAAACGTTAACTCCCCACCCTTATTTTAGGCTTTGTTCTATTGCAAATGAAAAACTTGAAATTTAACACTATCTAATGCAATTTTAAGAGAATCTGTCACAAATATTGAGATCCCAATGGCAGTCTTTTAACACATTGGACATGATAATAATAAAAACATTGTGTTTAACTGTTTCAACCTCCTATGGTCTTAGCCTGCAATACCTATTTCCCAAAAGCTTACTTCTTAGCCACCTTGGATCCTACAAGCACTGGCCCAAATTGAGCAACTTGAAAGATAGCATTTCAAATACAATGCCCTCAATATATTTGTCTTCATGGGCAATTTGTAACAAATCTGGAATGGCTATATTCTGCCAAATGAAACACTGTAAAAGATGATTAAAAAAATTTACCAACAGGTTGTAGTCAAGAGACTATTAAGAGTTTCTACTTCTGCTAGTCAAAAGAAATTACCTGCAGTCCTTTGAGCCATATAATTCCAGAAAGGTCAGGCGCTCTGTCTCTAAGAAAGCTGGCTGGTGCCGAGGAAATGATAACCCACTGGGAGAACATGGAGGAGAAAATTTTCAAAGCACTCAGCCAGCTTCTGCTGCAAGATTTCCCATTAGCAGGACCTGGTTGTTTCGATACCAGATTTACATTCCCCAGGAGGAATGCAAAACAAATTTGGAATATGAGGGTTCCTGCTCCCCAGAAACTAAATTTGCTTTTAAGTGGAAAGAGTAAGAAGTGACCAGGTGGTTCTCTTATTTTCTAAGCCAAGCAAGTACATTTTTCAAAAAATCATATATATATATATATATATGTATATATATATGTATGTGTATATATATATATGTATTGTGTATATATATGTGTATGTGTATATATATATGTATGT
Organism: Homo sapiens; assembly: GCF_000001405.40. Classification (NCBI taxonomy): domain Eukaryota; kingdom Metazoa; phylum Chordata; class Mammalia; order Primates; family Hominidae; genus Homo; species Homo sapiens. The sequence continues at coordinate 85,478,477 of NC_000014.9, forward strand.
GTATATATATATATATATGTAAAGGGAAATCAGGAAAGCAAATTTAAGATTTGGGAAAAAATTAGACTTACAAAAGGGATGTTTAATGACACCTTTTGAAGAAAATTTTTTTACTAGCTAATTAGTAATTACAAATGCCTTTGCATATTTTCACTTGAATCAGGAAAGACGAAAATGGCCATTCTCTGAACACTTGCTGCTGTTTCAATTCACAGGACAGAAATTAATTATGCTGTGAATGGAGAGAGTAGAGAGTATATAATAGTATTTTTTAAGCATAGGTCAACAGCCTGGTTCTGATTCATGGCTAAATTTTAAGCCACCTATGGCCAAATGAGAAAAATTAAAATAATGTTCATAAATAAAGCTAACTATTTAATCCAAAGAACCATCATTATGTATTTCCTATCTTTAAGAAATATTGATGATGGTAAATGTTATTTTTACTCCTAATGTCTTTAATGAATAAATTTGAAGTGAGCCACTATATGTTAATCTGTAAGCCTATTTTTTCTTATTGACAAAATTTAAAAGTCAGAAACCTTCCAGTATATACTGCAGGCATCGAGCTCATAATCATTTAGAATGGCTTCATTCACCAGGAAATGAGCTTTATCTTGCCTACATTTGGGATGAAAACATAGTAAGTACACTCATATATGTTCTCCATTGTGTGTTTTGAGAGGCAGAAATCATTATCTGCATATGTACAAACGTAGATTCCTGTATGACATTCTGACCTACCACAACTTTGAAATTTTGAGATATTTCCAATAACCACTGAATCCAAGGGCCATTTTCTCTTTGGATCACCTTTTCTCCAAGGATGATTTGGCAGATGCTCTGTCATGAAGAGGCTCTCTAAGAACTATTATTTCCAGATTCATACAATCCAAAAACAAACAAACAAACAAACAACAAAAACCCCTAGCACAGAGAGACTGTGGCCCCAGAACCCAGAAGAGATGAGAGCCCTGCTTTAACAAGGAACTAGAAAGTGCCTCCAGGCGACCCATGCTATCAATAGATGCATCATCAGCCTGACACCTAGAAGTGTGGGAAGAGTCGGCAAAAGGGTTGTAGATTGGAAATAAAATGTCATGGACTGACAGGCTTAAAACCTGATTGTCTGGTGTTACAGTCACAATTCACAATAATGTGAAAATGACCAAAGCCTGGAAGAGAATTTGTCTAGTTATCGTGTGTATAAGCAAATGCAAGGGGCTGCATGATAGAAACTGCCAGATTCAAAGGCATCATATTCCTTTGCAGCTGGCCAAAGAGGAGAATGAGAAAACTGTTTGTAGTACTCAGCCTGGGTGTGTAGTTTCTTGCCCTTTCCTGCTAGCTTCTGGACTTTTCTATCGGATTCGTGGATAAGACAGCACAAACTGGGTAGATGGAATTTAGAACTTGATGGTTTTAAGTCCCAAGAGATGACAAGAGAAGTGGCTGACAACTGGGTTAACAACCTGCAGCATCTGGTAGGAGTTAGGCTACTGTCACCCATTTATCATTACTTCCATCTCCAATGATAGAGAGCACCCTTTGTTGAGTCATTTGCACCCAGAGATAAGTGAGGATGCTCCTCCCATACATCTTACAATTATGGACAGTTCCCAGAAAATATAAGATAATATAAGAAATGTGCCTAACTGCCAGCATAGTAGGAGTTTTGCATCAAGAGTCATATATTAGTCGCTCTGCTGCACATCTAAAACTCTATGTTGAAAACATCAACCCCTGTAGTAGGGAAAGTGGCAAGATCTCCTTTGATTTATATCTATGCATTAGGTTTTAATTTTCCAAATGATAAAGGAGGGGCCAGTGATTTTGAGTTATATAGTTTTCCCTAGTATGATCCTATAAAAGAAAATAATCTGTATTCTAAGGATGAATCTATAAATTCAAAAGTTTGTCTTTTTTCTCACGCTGTTCCTTCAAGGTTCTGGCCTTAAAAATAAGAGCATACTAAGGGAAATTTCTCATCTGTCTGACACCCAGAGCTTCCACACTGTTGACATTGGCTATGGCAGTAGTGAAATTTGGGGACAGAATTCTGGGGCTTGTCCTCACTCATCAGGAATGTCACATGTCTGTGCGTCTGCTGTTGTTTGAACCATGAAATAAAAGGTGTAGGCACAAAGCCATGCCATTCGATGAGGATGGAATAGTCTAGATTATCAGCCCAATTCTGACTTGCTGAATAGTGTGACTACTAGAAGTTGCTTCATGTCTATGGATTCTCAAAATAGGACATTGTCATAAATATTGTCAAGTACTTTCCAGCACTGAATCTCTGCCACGCTATGTAACCTCAAACCTATTCACTATTACCCGTTCTTTCTCCTTTGAGATGAGGGGCAGGATGGTCACTAGAGGCTTTTCCAAGTGTGAGATTTCATCCTTTCTGATGTCTCATCCAGCCAGATACGTTGGGTATTTATGGTATAAAACTTAGTTTCACATGGATTATTTCCCCGTAAGAGTTATTATTAGCCCCATATTATAGATTTTTTAATTCCAAAGCTGAGAGAAGCTAAGGGATCGGCTTTGAGATCCCGTCTTAGCCAGAAAGGCTGAGTTGGGATTTTAACTCGGCATAAAATAACTTCAAATCCAAGACTCAACCTACCTCGGTGAAGCCACCTTAACTCTCTCTCATGAATGTTCTTAAGGATTTGATCTTCAGGCCTCTTTTTTCCTTTCAACCTCTGGGAGGGCCTGTGGCCTACCTCACTCAGGAGAGAAGTAGACCAGCCATCTCAACCTTTGCAGTTCTTACCTCAGATCTAATCTTCATCAAAACCCTCTTACATGATAGCAAGGTAGTTCTAAGTTGTCTTGGGAGCTGGGGAACAAAGCAGGCAGATGGCAAGGCGCTGCAGTGTTGGCCATTCCTGAAAACTCAGGACTAAGTTTATTCTTGAGTTTCTGGAGAAACTCTGGAGATAGTATAAACTTCCAGTGTAGGTGTTTATTTTATTTTTTCTCATAACATATTCAAAACCTCCAAAGGTATAAACATTAGTGAAACACAAATTCCTACCCTCTCTTTTCCTCGAATGTCCCTTCTCCTGGTATGTATGGTAAAAGAAGGACGTTATCTCACAATCTTTATAAAATATTGACTATGAATTATTGCTTCTCTTATCTCACTCAGCTTGGCCAGTGCTACTACTAACTCTCGGTAGGAAGCTGCTTTCTGCATAGGAGCCAGTGGACAGGTGACATGGCTTGTTATGCATATATCTGACCTCAGTGAATGATGACAAAACATGTCAAATTAGAAACTGTCTGTGTGAAACACAATTTTTCCTATAGTTCAAATTATCTGTGTCCCAATACATACTATCCTTCCTGAATAATTTTTAAACAATAAAGTTAGGCAAGTGGAGATCAAACTAGCTGCCTTATATTAATAAAAATCAGATTTGAGGATGTGGCTTAGGTGTGTGACCACAATGGACTTCCTACTAGTGAACCCCAGAAAAAACCTTATGCCCCTAAGCCCAGGCAGCACTGAATAACCACAGGCTTCCCTATGTTGAGGTTGTCCCTGTCACACATGGAGTGCGAGGACCAGGCAGAATGCATTCTCTCTGTGGGAGTACTATTTCTCAAGGGGAAGAAAGGGAGCAGGGGTACCCTGTGCTTATGAGTTCCTTACCCAAACTCAGCATTCTGACAACTCCCTCGTCTTCTCTGGGAGAAGCGTAAGTGAGTAGGTGGGGCAGGAGGCCAGGAATGTTGAGAAAAAAATGCTCTTCTCCTTAGAAACCGGAGAAATGGGGAATAAGTGAACCCCCAAATACAGAAGATAAGCATCTTTGGACTTAAGCAGTTCCTCCTCAGGTGGAAGTCTCTAATTTCTAACTTTGCTTAGGTATTTGTAGCTTTCATATCGATCTATGAAAATGCCAGTTTCTTCTAGGATTTTTCTAACCTCTGTTGTAAAATCAGTTGCCCACTTTTTGGAAAACTCTTGTCCTCTGACACTGGATGGCTTATACTGTGATCTATCCCTTTCTTTGCGTGAGTATCACTTCCCATGTGAGTTTCTCAGACTGTGATAATAGCCTCAAAGCTACTCATTCAAGGTAGTCCGTGGTGGTGGCATTTGGCGTCTAAATTCATGGCATAATCCACTTGAGCAGGTGGGCACTTTGGAATGAATTTTGGCATTCGTAGTCTTGCCAGAGTGGATGTTTCTCCCTACACCTCCGACCCTGACATCTATGTCCTTTGAGGTCTGTAGATATACCTTTCTATTCTCTTATACTGCTGGTTGCCTAGGAGCAAATATTGACTCTCTCACAGCCAGCACCCAAGGACAGATTCTTTCAGCTAAAATGTCATAGGTATGGTTTACCATTAACAGACATAATGACCAGCCAAGTTAGAATCATAATCTTTCAAAATTTCTGTAATGAGCATTGACTTAACACTGTGGTCTAGTGACTTAAGGCTGTTCTTCCCACACAACATTTTTTTTTTCCTCTTTGAGAACCAAATCACAGCTTCCTTAACTTTTATATGGGTTATCCAATTAGTCCTTTTCAACAATTTAAATTCAGTCACCCTGTAAGTGTCTTTTGGAGCCTGCTTTGATGAAATCTTATCTGAGAACTCTAGCTGAGGACTGACTCTGATCTCATATAGTACTTGTCTGCATTAACTATTTCCACATTATATTATTTGTCTTGGCTTAAGCAAAATTTGTTTTCAAAAAGCCCTAGTACTTTCTTGAAAGCACTGACCTTGGCTTATAATATCGCAAATCTTCTACATTATGTGTTTGCTGAATGCTAATTGGTTGGCTAAAGAATTTGTCCTCGTCTGACACTATGTTTGAGAATAATGCTGCCTAATTACTCATACTTCTTTATCAGAGTGCCATGTTTTGATACAACTTAATGGGGATAGGAGGAGGAGGAGGAGGGAGAGAACTAAGAAATTGAAGCCAGATAATTAAAATGATTCAGCTCAAAGATGTCCTGTTAGTTAACAACAGATATGGGACCCAAAATTTAGTTCTTCTGACAGTAAGATGAGGTTTCTATGTCATCATGCTGAATCTTTCTGAGCTCCTTTGGCACTTTCTCTCGTCCAGGAAGCTGTCCCTATTATCAAAATTAGAGCCTGAAGCCATAGAGGACTGAGACTGAATTGATTTTAGGTGGGGCATAGGAATCTGCCTTTTTAGCAAGCACCCAAGGTGATTTTAAGCAGATAGTTTCAAAACCACAACCTGAGAAACAACTCTAGTCTTACCATCAATTATTCTTGCTATCTTCTTCTACTTACTGTATTATTATTTTCCTAGTCCTAACTCCAGTTTATTTGTATTGTGCTGAGTAAGAATGTTTAGAAATAGTCAGGAAACAGTCATGTCATCAACAAGACAGTATTTTATTGCAGCAAAAGTGACTCTGGTCTACCACCACAGCCATAGCCACATGCCTGCAAGAGTAACACAAAATCACAGGCCTTTTCCTCCTACCTACTCACAATGAGCCCCAGGATCCAGTGTATAACAATCCTCTCTACTTTACAAGCTTTTAATCAGCAGTGACAGCCAATTAGATTCACTAATTTGAATGTATTTCTGACATACTTAATAAAAGAAATAGCAGCAACATGTTCTCCAAAAGCAGTGGAGTTCAAAGAAAAATTCCATTTGCTATTGTCCCTTCAAGAGGAGGACACAATAAATTTTTTAAATTATTTTTATTTAAGTAGTTTTGGGGGTATAATAAGTTTTTGGTTACATGGATAAGTTCTTTTAGTGGTGATTTCTGAGATTTTAGTGCACTTGTCACCCGAGCAGTGTACACTGTACTCACTCTGTAGTCTGCATCCCTCACCCCGCCGAGCCCCCAAAGTCCATTACATCATTCTTATGCCTTTGCCATCCTCTTAGCTTAGCTCCCACTTATAAGTGAGAACATATGATATTTGGTTTTCCGTTTCTGAGTAACTTCACTTAGAAAAATGGCCTCCAGCTTCATCCATGTTTTCAAGAAAGACATGCTCTTGTTCCTTTTTATGGCTGAGTAGTATTACACGGAGTATATATGCCGCATTTTCTTTATCCACTCATTGGTTGATGGGCACTTAGGTTGGTTCCATATCTTTGCAATTACAAACTGTGCTGCTATAAACATGCCTGTGCCTGTGTCTTTTTTCACATAATGACTTATTTTCCTTTCGGTAGATACTCAGTAGTGGGATTGCTGGATCGAATGGTAGCTCTACTTTTAGTTCGTTAAGGAATCCCCATACAGTTTTCCACAGTGGTTATACTAATTTACATTCCCACCAGCAGTATAAAAGTGTTCCTTTCCACCACATCCATCCCAACATCCATTGTGTTTTGACTTTTTAATTATGGCCACCCTTGCAGGAGTAAGGTGGTATCTCATTGTGGTTTTAGTTTGCATTTCCCTGATGATTAGTGATATTGAGTATTTTTTCATATGTTTATTGGCTGTTTGTATATCTTCTTTTGAGAGTTTTCTATTTATATCCTTTGCCCACTTTTTGATGGGATTATTTCTTTTTTCTTGCTTATTTGTTTGAGTTTCTTGTAGATTCTGGATATTAGTCCTTTGGCGGATGCATAGTTTGCAAATATTTTCTTCCACTCTGTGGGTTGTCTGTTTACTGATTATTTCTTTTGATGTGCAGAAGCTTTTTCATTTAATTAGGTTGCATTTATTTATTTTTGTTTTTGTTGCATTTGTTTTGGGGGTCTTAATCATGAATTGTTCACCTAAACCAACGTCCAGAGACATTTTTGATGTTATCTTTTAGAATTTTTATGATTTCTGGTCTTAGATGTAAGTCTTTGATCTATTTTGAGCTTATTTTTGATTAAGGTGAGAGATGGGGATTCGATTTCATTCTTCTACATGTGGTTTGCTGGTTTTCCCAGAACCGTCTATTGAATAGGGTGTCCTTTCCCTAATTTATGTTTTCGTATATTTTGTTGTATATTTGGCTATAAGTATTTGGCTTTGTTTCTGGGTTCTCTACTCTTGTTCCATTGGTGTATGTGCCTATTTTTCAACCATTACCGTGGTGTTTTGGTAATTATAGACTTGTAGTAAAATTTGAAGTTGGGTAATGTATTGCCTTCAGCTTTGTTCTTTTTGCTTAGTATGGCTTTGACTATGTGGATATTTATTTATTTATTTATTTATTTATTTAATTATTTATTTTGAAACGTAGTTTCACTTTTGTGGCCCACGCTGGAGTGCAATAGCATGATCTCGGCTCACCGCAACCTCCGCCTCCTAGGTTCAAGTGATTCTCCTACCTCGGCCTCCTGTGTAGCTGGAATTACAGGCATGCGCTACCACGCCTGGCTAATTTTGTATTTTTAGTAGAGATGGAGTTTCTCCATATTGGTCAGACTGGTCTACAACTCCCGACCTCAGGTGATCCATCCGCCTCGGCCTCCCAAAGTGCTGGGATTACAGGCATGAGCCACCGTGCCCGGCCTATATAGGCTTGTTTTTTTTTTTTTTTCACTTTAATCCAGGCACATAGTTTAAAATGCCCAATTTGTCCACAAACTCATGCTTATGTTACATCTGTGTTCTACACTGATTAGGACATAAAAGGCTTGAGGTCAGGGACAATGCCTAGCTTGCTCACTCTTTTAACTTAGAGCCCAGTACTACATCTAGAAGACAGTGTATATTCAATAAAAGTTAGGAAAATAAGGACCATAGAGAAAATTACAGGAGGCTTCAACCACCCATAGGAGACATTACTATTGAGGTGTGTATGTTTTATAACAGCAACCAACTTCTGTTAAAAAGCAGGAAATGAAATGTCATTCTTTTTTTTATCTGAGGAAGTAATTTCAGAATGATATGGTACATATAAAGGACTAAATATTACCTATGAAATGTATGTGAAGTGTCTAGCATTGAATCTGGCACATAGTAGGTGCTCAATGGACCTATTATTGCCGCTATTATTATAAACATTGGGCGTTTTTTTTTTTTTAATTCAGGAAATAAACTGCAATTATATGGGTTTTTTTAGCCATGGAACCTGAGTAAGGATTAAAATCCCCAGGAACTCTGCCTGTGAAGATAATAAGGATAGGATTCTCAGTTGTAATTACAGGGTTTTCTCTGAGTTAGCAGAATACAAGCCTCTGATCGTTTTTAAATAAATCTGTCTTCCTATGATCATTTTAAAATAAATCTGTCTTCCCATAAATCACACATATTGAGAACAGTTAAAAAACATAATGAACAATTTTGTGGCATTTTACAAGATTATATGTTTTTTAGGGAAAAAAAGACTACATGTATATACATGCAGACTCACAAGTAGGTATACACGTGTATATATTAGAAAAAACAGAACTTTTAAAATTGATATGGCCTAGAGTTATCTGTCTTTATTTTAAATGTACCAAAAATTTTTTAAAGCTAAATATATAAGTCAGTGACATACACTCTGTCCATAAATTCCCATGGTTCAAATTTTAGACAGATATTACACTGCAAAAAATTATTGTTTACCCACAGTCCAGACCACTAGGATAGGGAAGTACCATAAATGGATTTAATGGGATTTTTGTAAATGCTGTCCTTCAGTTTTATGCTAAAAGAGAGGGAAGTGGTAAGCAAATACACTGTTAAGGCTTTGGTCGGATGAAAACAACCTCTAGGATGTGTAAAGGATTAGGGAAGCCTGCCCAAGCTTTCATGACCAGTGGTTCTTAACCTTTCATTTCTTAGGGATTACTCTGAGAGCCTCATGAAAACCATTGGTTTTCTCTGAAGAAATGCACTTTTACACATGCACATAAAATCTGGCATACAGTTTCAGGGTGTTCGTGACTCCTAGAGAAATTAAGTTTAAGAAAAAGCCCACATACTAGTTATTTAAAAGGTTTCCAGCTGAGGTTGAGAGCCATGACCCTTCCTTGCCAAATGCTACATGTTTCCACTCAGTGACTCAGCTCGAGGAGAGCCAGCGTAAAGTCCAGATGTGAGCAAGTGTACCAGCAAGGGTGGACGCTACTTTCTTAGAAACTATGGAAATGTTGCTGAATGCATGACTCCAGTCTTTTCTTAAGAATGATGTCCTATGAACTCTTTTCTCTTGGAAAATCCCAAGAATCTCAACCATTGTGGAAGACAGTGTGGCAATTCCTCAAGGATCTAGAACTAGAAATACCATTTGACCCAGCAATCCCATTATTGGGTGTATACCAAGGGATCATAAATCATGCTACTATGAAGACACATGCACACGTATGTTTATTATGGCACTATTCACAATATCAAAGACTTGGAACCAACCCAAATGTCCATCAATGATAGACTGGATTACGAAAATGTGGCACATATACACCATGGAATACTATGCAGCCATAAAAAAGGATGAGTTCATGTCCTTTGTAGGGACATGGATGAAGCTGGAAATCATCATTCTGAGCAAACTATCGCAAGGACAGAAAACCAAACACCGTATGTTCTCACTCATAGGTGGGAGCTGAACAATGAGAACACATGGACACAGGGCGGGGAACATCACACCCCAGGGCCCGTTGTGGGTTGGGGGGATGGGGGAGGGATAGCATTAGGAGAAATACCTAATGTAAATGATGAATTAATGGGTGCAGCAAACCAACATGGCACATGTATACATATGTAACAAACCTGCACATTGTGCACATGTACCCTAGAACTTAAAGTGTAATAATAAAAAAAAGAAAATCCCAAGAATCGTCTCCTTATTAAATTGTGATAAGTGGAATTGTCCTTTCAGATGCTTTTTAATTTTTAATTATCAGCATGTCAATAATCTGATAAAGTAATTACAAGTATTTACTTCATGCATGGTGTATCTCTGGCACTGTACTAGACTCTATGGCAGTCAGTGCAAGGCAGCAAAAGGCACACTCTTACCTGTATTTGAAGAAATTCAGAACTGCTTGAGAATTCTGAATAACTTTTGAAACAAGGGCATACCTAATGAAGAGCATGCACCTAACAAATCTTGAGATGTTTGGCATTATTATATATGTCACTAAAGGAATATACAGTACATTTCAGATTGCTAAAATGTGGTGTCATATGTAGGAACTTAGTTGTTACAGTATCTTGGGGCTCAGCCAGGCATTGCCCGCTGGTTTATAAGAGAGAACATATTTATTTGGAAGGTTTGAAACTAGGACTAGGGATTGGAGATCAACTGCAAGGGCCAGCCCTTCTCCCTCCCTCTTCCTTGTCATCGTAGCTAACTTCAAAGCATATGTTCCAGGCACTGCTCTAAGGTCTTTACATAGATTAGCACATATACATAGACAAGCACACTATGAGGTAGATTCTACCTCCATTTCGTCACTGTGATCACTGAGGGACGCCTCATCGACATCCCAGGGCCAGGAAAATGCATCAGCCAAAATAGCAACCTTGGCAGATCTGGCACCAGAGGTTGTGCCTTTAACCAGCGTGTTCATAAATTAGCATTTATTCTGTGCCAGCACAGCGCTTGACTCTGGGAAGGTAGAGTTTGCTGTCAGTGTCCTGTCATGGGAGACGCTGTTTCTGAAGACAATCACAAGAACATCTCTCACCCCACGAGCTCTGATGCATTATGGTCTTCCTATCTTCCCAAGGGTGTTTGAAATCTACTGTTTTCCCCTAAATCTGGGTGGGTTCTGTGACTGCTTTGACCAAGAGAATACAACAGACATTCTGAGACTTCTGAGTTCACATCTGAAGGAAGACGAGAAGCTCCTTCCTGGGCTTCTTAGATTGCTCGCTGTTGGGGTACTACGTCTAAGAACCCTGCCGCCATCCTGAGAGAAGGCCCCGCCACATGGACAGGACACACATAGGTGCTCAGTAGACAGACCCAGTCCGGCCCACAGGCAACAGCCAGCATCAACTGCACATACAAGAATGAACATTTTGTGCATCTGGCCTAGTCCAGCCTTCAGATGACTCCAGTCTCAGCTGCCATCTGACCACATTCAAATGATACCTGACAAAAATTCTTTGCTTGGCCAGATTTTAGCCAGGCTCCTGAACCTTCTTGTAGGTCCATCTGTGCACTTCTTTGTAAAATCCAGTTTTAGCAAAGAACCCTGTTAGGTCGATTTAGTCAGAACCGTCTGCCCTCAATATCTCTGATCACCCACAATATCTAGTTAGATTCCTCATTCTCCACCTCCTCCAGGTGATTTTTGATCACCATGGCCTGTCTCCAGTGAGAATTCTCTTACTTAGAATTCTTATTTAGCTAGAATCTTCCTTACCCCGATGTTTCCTCTTTGTAATTTTTCATCCACTGCCCCTCACCCTGCTTCTTCGCTATAAATTTCCATTTGCCCATGTTGTAGTCAAGTTTGGCCCAATCTCTCTCCTCCACTGTGAGACCCCATTGCAGTGATTGCTATACCTATTGCAAGGGTCCTGAATAAGCTATCCTTAATGATGCTTTAACAATATCATTGAATCATTTTTTCTCTAACAGACCCCAAGAAAGAGCCTTTCCACAGTTAACCCACCAAACCAAGAGCAATAATAATTGTTATTTTAAGCCATTAAATTGGGGATGATTTGTTATATAGCCACATATAACTAAACACCCACCCACAAGAAGCTCTATTGCAAGGTAGTAAAGTGGTAACCAAATTCAGTATAGAAAAAGAAAGTTATAGTTAAAATAAACAAGGAATTCTAAGAGCACAAAGAAGCAACAACTTCCTCAGACTTGGGGATGGGAAAGGCTCATTAGAGGTGGCAACAGATGAGACAGAGAACAGCGAAAGAGAAAGGAAGGATGTGGAGAGGGAGGAAGAGAGAGGGAGAAGGTGCCAGGGAGGGGAATGGAGAAAGGGAATTGGAGAGAAAGAAGGGGAGAGAAGTTCTTGCAAAGGGGGAGTACCTGAGAGGTAATGGCTTATTTGGGACCAGGTGAGTACAGTGGGTTACCTGAAGAAAGGAATATAGTGGGTGTGAGTGTGGCAGGCGTGGTGGAGTGAGAAGGAGGCTGGGTTAGAGTAAGCTTGAGTAAGATCCTACACAGCGTTGGGTAACTGGCTGAGAATGTTAGACTTTATGTTGAAGGTAATGGAGAACTCCTAAAATTTTGTGAAAGGAAGAACTAATGGAGCATATTTGCAACTCGGGGAGGTAAGTCTATTTGGCAGCAGTGTGCAATGGACGATAGGAGAAGGCAGCCACATGGAAGGCCAGAGATTCTGTCGGAGGTGGTTCCAACAAACAACCCCATTCAAAAGTGGGCAAAGGACATGAACAGGCACTTTTCAAAAGAAAATATGCATGTGGCCCACAAGCAAATGAAAAAAAAGCTCAATACCGCTGATCACTAGAGAAATGTAAATCAAAACCACAAAGAGACGCAATCTCACAGCAGCCAAAATGGCTATTATTAAAAAGTCAAAAGTAACAGGTACTGGCAAGGTTGTGGAGACAAAGAAACACTTATACACTGTTGGTGGGAGTGTAGACTATTTCAAACAGTGTGGCAATTCCTCAAAGACCTAAAAACAGAACTACCACTTTACCCAGCAATCCCATTACTGGATATATACCCAAAGGAATATAAACCATTCTACCATAAAGACACATACATGCATATGTTCATTGCAGCACTATTCACAATAGCAAAGACATGGAATCAACATGAATGTCCATCAATGGTAGATTGGATGAAGAAAATGTGGTACATATACACCATGGAATACTATGCAGCCATAAAAAAGAATGAGATCATGTTCTTTGTGGGAACATAGATGGAGCTGGAGGCCTTTATTTTTAGCAAACCAATGCAGGAACAGAAAATAAAATGCCTCACTTATAAGGGACTTATAAGTGGGAGTTAAATGATGAGAACACATACACACATAGAGGACAACAACAGATACTGTGGCCTGCTGGAGGGTGGAGAGTGGGAGGAGGGAAAGGATCAGGAAAAATATCTAATGGGTACTAAACTTAGTGCCTGGGTGACAAAATAATCTGTACAACAAACCTCTATGATACAAGTTTACTTATGTAACAAACCTGCACATGTACCCCTAAACCAAAAATAAAAGTTATATTAAAAAAAAAAAAGGAGGCCGGGCGCGGTGGCTCATGCCTGTAATCCCAGCACTTTGGGAGGCCGAGGCGGGTGGATCACGAGGTCAGGAGATCAAGACCATCCTGGCTAACACAGTGAAACCCTGTCTCTACTAAAAATGCAAAAAAAAAAAAACATTAGCCGGGCGTGGTGGCGGGCGCCTGTAGTCCCAGCTGCTCGGGAGGCTGAGGCAGGAGAATGGCGTGAACCCGGCAGGCAGAGCTTGCAGTGAGCCGAGATCGCGCGACTGCACTCCAGCCTGGGCGACAGAGCAAGACTGAAGCTGCCATAGGTGTGTGGAGGGCATGATTTAAAAACAAATCAGGGAAATAGAACTAATACTACCTGGGACTAATTAGATGGAGGGATAAGCCATGAAGGCAGTCATGGAGGAGCCCCAGTTTCCAGATGTGGGCATTTATTGGCTAGTGCTGCTACTCATCAAGATAAGGAATAGAGACTCACGAGCAGACATGAGGCGAAAGGTAAGGAATAAATTTCTGGTGTGCCTTTGGTGTATCCAGACGGAGATGTCAAGCAGCTTGATCAATAGACAAACTGAAGTTCAAGACAGATGTTGCCCAAACATACAGAGCTGGGAGTCATCAGTATGCAAGTGATTACTAAATCGCACGAGTGATTTAGAACTCTTAGAGAGAGTATGCCTAGTGTCCTCCCCCTAAAACATTGCTAGGAAGTGATTCTAAGAAAAATTTAACAATTCAATGATTTCAAAGCTTTTTTATGACATTTTAACATCTCTAAATAAAAATGCCTCTTAAAATTAATGGAAGTTCATAGTTTAGTTGACAGTACTTTTTTCCTAGGATTAGAAAAATAATAGTTTCTTATAATCAATGACATTTTTGATTCATAAAATAATGTAGCACATCAAAGCAGCCTGGATCTAGTGATTGCTTAAGGAGAAGGCTACATTTATTTAAGTTAAAGAAGCAGTCTATGAAAAAAATGCATTTAAAAATGGTAGTGCAGGCTGGGCGTAGTGGCTCACGCCTGTAATCCCAGCACTTTGGGAGGCCAAATGGGCTGATCACGAAGTCAGGAGTTCAAGACCAGCCTGGCCAACATGGTGAAATCCCATCTCTACTAAAAATACAAAAATAAAATGAGCTGGGTGTGGTGGTGGGCACCTGTAGTCCCAGCTACTTGGGAGGCTGAGGCAGGAGAATCGTTTGAACCCAGGAGGCAGAGGTTGCAGTGAGCTGAAATCATGCCATTGCACTCCAACTTGGGCAACAGAGTAAGACTCAATCTCAAAAAAATAAAAAAAATGGTAGTGTAGGGGTAGTATGCTAGTGGTGAAAAATAATGACATGACTCAAGTGACAAATTTGGGAGCACTGTTCTAAAGAGCTTTAATAACAGCAATGGCAACAACTGCAATTATTTATTGCACACTATATAGCACACTGACTGTGCAAGTGCTCAGCTAAGTATACATGTGTATTAATATCAACCTCATGTGGATCTCAGGACGTAAGTACTATTATTTACTTTGTTTTACAGATTAGAAAATTTCATCGGTATGACAGAGCATCAAGCCTAAGTCCTAGCAAAGTAGCAAGTCCACAACAGGAATTAGAATGATCTGATGGTTCCCAGGATTAAAGCACAGCCAGAAAAAAATTTTGGAAAGTCAGCACCAAGAAATGGAGGTTCAATAGCTTGTAGAGGAGACTAAATTGTGTTAGCAAATGACAAAGTTCTAGCTACACAGGGCAATTCATGAACAAACAAGATATAAAGACTCTGGAAAGGAAACTTCCAAGAATAACTCAAGACCTCAGTTCTAAGAAGGGAATAGGGTGCTTGGGGAAGTCACTAGAATGAGAAATAAGGAGCAGGGCCAAGAGGTAGGTATGATAGAATTGACTGAGTCCTTTGGAGAAAAACTTTGGGGATAGACATAGAGTAATTCTTGGGAGACTCCACGGTATGATGTACCAGGAAGTGGCTTGGGAACTGCTTCAAACTTAGTCAACTTCTGGTTCAAATTGATTCTGGAACTGGGGAAAGAACTAGCTTATAAAAGGGGGACGAAGACGCCAAAGTTGTGAGAAACAAGAGGTTACAGAGGCTAGAGAGTCAGGCAGGACTTGAAATCAACAAGAAAAGTGTTCAGGAATTCCTTGGCTATCTGATGTTATCAGTTGTGAGGAAAACTCAGTTTCAGATAATAGTGATGAAGATGGAAATCTCCAATAGTTTCAAATAGCTAGACTTTTTGGCCTTCCAATTTATGGGTCAAAAACAATAAAGCAAACCCTGTGAGAAGCAATTTATCAATTTATCAAAACTGCACATGTACCACTGAAACTAAAATAAAAGTTTAATAATAATAATAAAGCATGAAGAATTTTTAAATCTGTTGCGATTTAGCCAGATCTATGGATTAAAAACAAAAAGTAAAAATATTTGTGAGAATACTGTTAATATCCAGCCTGGGCAACATGGCGAAACCCATCTCTGCAAAAAAAATACAAAAATTAGCCAGGCACAATGGCACATGCCTGTGGCCCCAGCTACTCGGGAGGCTGAGGTGGAAGGATGGCTTGAGTCTGGGAGGCCGAAACTGTAGCGAGCTGTAATTGTGTCATTGCACCCCAGTCTTAATGACAGAAGGAGACCCTGTTTCAAAAAAAAAAAAAGAATACTGTTAATATTCATAACTGAAATATAATGTCTGCTTATCATGTACCCTGTGCTGTATATTTCACATCTACTAACTAAACTCTCCAGATAACACAGTGAAGAAAGCCTATTATTACTGTATCTATTGCTATACACAAGGAAACTGAGGTTCACTGATGTGATGTAATTTGCCCAAGAACTAGATAATAGAGACAAGAATCAAACTCAGGTCATTGACCATGAAACCTATGGTCTTTCCACTATATTATTCTGTTAAAGACTGGCCTGGCCAAGATGGTGAAACCCTGTCTCTACTAAAAATACAAAAAAAATTAGCCAGGCGTGGTGGTGGGCGCCTGTAATCCCAGCTAGTAGGGAGGCTGAGGCAGAGAATTGCTTGAACCCGGGAGGTGGAGTTTGCAGTGAGCCGAGATTGCACCATTGCACTCCAGCCTGGGCGATAGATCAAGACTCCATCTCAGATAAATAAATAAATAAATAAATAAATAAATAAATAAATAAATAAAAAGGGTCGGGCGCAGTGGCTCACGCCTGTAATCCCAGCACATTGGGAGGCCTAGGCAGGCAGATCACCTGAGGTCAGGAGTTCTAGACCAGCCTGGGCAACATGGTGAAACCCCGTCTCTACTAAAAATATAAAAATTAGCTGGATGTGGTGGTGGGCGCCTGTAATCCCAGCTACTTGGGAGGCTGAGGCAGGAGAATTGCTTGAACCCAGGAGATGGAGGTTGCAGTGAGCCGACACAGTGCCACTGCACTCTAGCCTGGGCGACAGAGTGAGACTCCGTCTCAAAAAACAAAACAAAACAAAACAAAAAACACATTTTTAAACTCTCAGATGAAATTTTTGATGCTGGTAATAGATAAAAAGCCGTTAAGTTCAAAATTCAAGTAGTTAAGGAGAATAATCCTCTTGATAGATCTTTGCTAAAATGAAGAACAGCTTCAGAACTGTTAAAGTTTTCCCGTACAGATCATCAGTAAGTAAATAAGCCTCAACTTTTCCGAAATGCAAAACACACTATGTGTTAAGGAGTCCTGGTTTTCGTGCAATTCAGGTATTAAGAGGGAAGAAACAAATCAGATTCATAAGGCTTCATGGGGGTCTAAGCTCAGGATGTGAGATAGAAGATGACAACGTCCTTGAAAAATTCTAGGTCAGGGGTGGACAAACTGCAGCCTTGGACCAAATTCTGCCAACTGCCTGTTTTTGAACAACCTGTAAACTAAGAATGGTTTTTACATTTTTCAATAGTTAGAATGAAAAATAAACACATACAAAATATAATATTTCATGACATGTGAAAATGATATAAAATTCAATATTTGGTGTCCATAACTAAAGTTTATCAACACACTGCCACATTTATTCATTGACATTTAGCCTGTGGCTGCTTTCTCGCTACAACAGCAGAGTGCAGTGTTTGCAACAGAGACCACAAAGTCTTACTATCTTGCCCTTCACACACACACAAAATGTTTTCTGACCTCTGCTCTAAAAGAAAAATGAAAAAGCATCTTGTTCAAGCCAATCATTCATAACTCCTGAAAAGGTAGATCCCTGTGGTAAATGAATAAATTTCATTGATAAGATTGGTGGAGAGTCGGGCGTGGTGGCTCATGCCTGTAACCCCAGCACTTTGGGAGGCCGAAGCAGGCAGATCACCTGAGGTCAGGAGTTCGAGGCCAACCTGGCCAAGATGGCAAAACCCCATCTCTACTAAAAATACAAAAATTAGCCAGCATGGTGGCGGGCACCTGTAATCCTAGCTACTCCGGAGGCTGAGACAGGAGAATCACTTGAACTCAGGAGGTGGAGGTTGCAGTGAGCCAAGATCGCATCACTGCACTCCAGCCTGGGCAACAGAGAGAGACTCCGTCTCAAAAAAAAAAAAAATTAAATTAAATAAAAAGATTGCTCGAGAAAACCCCTCTGGTCTCTACTCCCACATCTCTGTTTTCCCTTTTACATCCCATATTTTCAATCCTGGTTAGACATTATTTTTAGAACTTAAAACCTGATGTCCTTCTACTTTGAGTTTTTGTTTATGCTGTCACCTGCTTGGAACATTTTCCCCCTCCCACCTCTGCACCAATAATTATTATTGTTGCTCAATCATATAGCCTACAACAAAAATATGCCGATAGATTAAGACATTTTAAAATTTTCTATAACTATAAATCTTTAAATATTACATTTTTCTCATAGAATAAGTTGTCATTACAATGATTAATAAAGTTCAATTGACAAGACAATGGAATTATTTTGTAGATTTGATTACAATTATTAAACATAAAAAGGGAAATGTTATTATGTAAGCATCCGTAATAAGATAAACTGGGTTATTTTAATCTATTATTTTTCTAGGTTCATATGACTTGAATGAATATTAATTACTGATAGAATAACACAGGACTCAGCATCAAGGTTTTTTCTCCCCATTTTTCATTATTGTCTTTGTTTTTAGATGTAGAACTGAGAAAATGTGTTATCATAAATAAATAGTTTGGAATAGAAGAGTTTGGGGAGACTCAATTCATAGCCCACCTTGGAGTTTCACCACAGAAATTAACTTGTAATCTAACATCTAAAAATATTTTTTATGTTTCCTCACTCTTCCACTGGATTAGGTTCCCATTCTTTTTTTTCTAAGCAAATAATTGGAAATCATTTAGATTCGCAAAGGGATTAGTTACACAGTTCTTAGTGATTCGTTTTCTTATCACCATTGCTCTGTTAGTTAAAAGTTCTTACACATCTAAGTAGAACCTCAGAGACCTGATTTTTTCTTGTAACTGGAAGAAGAGCTATCCTGAAAGGGAGGTAGGAAAGTTCCATCTCAGATAGATTGACTTTAGGAACATGTAACGATGGAGTCGACTGTCTAGACAGTGAAGTCTGTAGAATTCTTTGGCTGCTCTTACTACCCTGAAAGTCTATACACATCTGCAAAGTACATGTAGCCCAGTGTGAAAACTGTTGCTGTACTAACTGTCTCTATAGTCACAGTATGAACTATATTCACCTCTGCATCTCCACGTGGCTGATACAACGTGTGTTCAGTCATGTTCAATAAATTGAATTCAGATGATTTGCAGATCTAATTATATCATAAGATTCTAACTCTCATTAAAATGTGACATTTTCCTTCCTTGTCATTCACATATGAGCCAGAAACGTCTACATTTCCCACAATTTAAAAAAAAATTCAAAAATTTCAGCTTTCAAGGACACAGTTTTTCTCTAAAAAAAACCCTATAAAGAAATTCGATGCCATATTGCTAACCCTTTTTGAGAAAGTGGGAACAAGAAGCTTTGGGCTTTAACAATACCCTAACCTTACCTTTTGAAAATGTGGCTATTGAAAGAACAGATTAATTAACACTCTAAGAGCTAGGTTATATTCACAAATTATAGAACTCAGTCAAGGTGGCTTCTGGCCAAAATAAGAGTGCTAAGTTGCTAATTAGCTTTGCCTATTATTTGTAGGAAGGCATTTATTCTGTCTCTGAGAATAAAGTATGTATTAGAGCTACCTCAATTATTAAGAAACTTGATATATTGCAACTAGCCAAAAATAATGACGGAATAATAGAAAAACCTGAATACTTGCATTTTCTAAAACAACTTTAATTTACGTTCTGCCTTTTTTCTATAGTTACCTTTTTCTATGTCCAAAAACTGAAGGAAGGATATATCACAATACAGGAGTTCTCTCTGTTACGGAATATTTTCCCAGCTACCTTTTCCCCTGCCAAGCACCCTTTTGTTTATAAAGGCAAAGAAAAAAAAATGATTCCATTCAATTTCTTCTAAACCTGCTACTGTAGTTTTTATAAGATAGAAAAACCAAGGGCAAAACCATCCAGATTTGCTGCCTGTAGTAGTAGAATTAGCTGAAGTCTCTGGTTCGCTTTGTCTTTATAGATATACCATAAATTTCAGGACTTGCTTTTCTATGTCTATATTTCTTTATTGGTGTTCCACAGCTAAAATCGCTGACCCCATTAGATCCTTGTTCCTAAAGTAAACATTGAGCTTTCAGCTTTTCTTTTTTCTTTTCAATGGCAATTTTTGCCTTGAGGACGCTGGTTTATATTCCCGGAATGACCAGTAGTTGACAGAAAATCCCAAACCATACTATTGACAAATGGATCTGCAATACTAAGACCAATATATGTCAAGGCTGGTTTCATTTCAGATAAAAGTTGGTCTGAGTGTGAGCCTAAGTGTCACTTAAAATAAATTTCATAAAACCATGTACCATTATCTCTACTGAACAGACACAAAACCTAGGACTACAGATACAGTAAGCTAGCCAACAAGGCTATTAAAATGCAGATTTGGGATTGCTGACTGCACACTCAGTGCCCTTTCTTAACATACCATGCTGTAAACGCACTTTAATTCTAGGGAGAAGCACCCATGGATAGACAAGTACTTAAGAACAGTCGGTACCCAATGCAAGGCCAGAGACACTTCCTTTCTCTTCCTAGTACAGAAACACACACCAATGAAAGTTCAGAATTGCTAGTGGATATACAATTAACCAAGCATTGACTTATTCATTACCAATCATAAATGAGTGCTATTTAAGCACCTAAAGAAATGGCAATTATTTACATTTGAGTTGAGGTGACTATAGGTAACAAACTATCCAAACATTTTTAAAATGTTTGTTCTTTAGGACCCTCAGAGACTATAATAAAAAAGGAACACGTTTATATAGATAAATAATATGTTATGTTTGTACAAATAAATAAACAGTATTTTATACCATAATAACATGTTAAAGTATCCTACAAATAACTAAAAGTTGAAATACTCAAATGAATTATAAAATCCCTCAAGTATCCTCTGCTCACCTCCCTCTCAACCTCCATTTCCACTTCTCTGTAGCCTCCTGCAGCCCTGCTGGTCACTCCAATGTCAACATACACAAAAGCAGAAAATTATTCAACACAAGAGGCAGCTGAATCTTGAAATAACAAAACATCTAATAGCATCTTTCTCACCGAATAAAAAAAATATATTACAAAACTCTTTTCTTCTCTCTATTTCTCTGCTCAGGGACTTCCTCACTTCTTGCCTTCCCTTAATGGCAAAATTCCTTCTAGTTAGGGCCTGCATCCACTGTCTCCATGTCTCTCCTTCTGTATTAGTGTGTTCTCAGGCTGCTAATAAAGACATGCCTGGGACTGGGTAATCTATTAAGGAAAGAGATTTAATGAACTCAAAGTTCCACATGGATGGGGAGGCCTCACAATCATGGTGGAAAGAGAAGGGGAAGCAAGACACGTCTTACATGGCAACAGGCAAGAGAGCTTGTGCAGGGAAACTCCCATTTATAAAACCATCACATCTCATGAGACTTATCTGCTATCACAAGAACACTATGGGGAAAACTGGCCCCATGATTCAGTTATCTCCACCTGACCCCACTCTTGACATGTGGGGATTATTACAATTCAAGGTGAGACTTAGGTGAGGACACAGCCAAACCATATCACTTTCCCTTCTTGCTTGAAGTCACTAAAGTCAGGTTCTCTCCAGCAGAACTCCATGACAAGAACATTATTGTTTTCAAGTTCATCAGTGACCTTTGTCATGGACAGAATTATGTCCCTCTCAAATTCACATGTCGAAGCCCTAACCCTCAACGTGACTGTTTGGAGATAGGACCTTTTCAGAGGTAATTAAGGTTAAATGAGATCATAGGGTTGGATTCTAATCCAATATGACTGGTGTCCTTATAAGAAAGACAAAAAGCTGGGATACACTTGCACAGAGAAAGGGCCATGTGAGAACACAGTAAGAAGGCATTGTCTGCAAACCACAGAGAGAGACTTCAGGAGAAACCAACCCTGCCAGCCTCTTGAACTTTCAGCCTCTAGAACTGTAGGAAAATAAATCTGTGTTGTTTAAGCCACCCAGTCATTTAATTTTGTTATGGCAGCCTTAGCAGACTAATACAACCTCCACATTACCAAATTCAATGATAGGTTTTTTCATCGTCCAGTTTTACTTTACCTATCAGCAGTATCTGATACAGTTGAACATTCACTCAGGATACCACAACTAATTAGTTCTTCTCTTATTCTCCTACCCACTCTTTCTCATCTCCTTTTTCCACTCCTTTTCAATTATCTACTTCTAAATGTTAGTAGGCTTCAGTCAGTGAACTCATCCTCTTTACTAATTATGCTTTGTCCCTAGGTGATCTCATCTGATTCCTGGCTTTAGTTACCACTTGTATGCTGATGACTATCAAATTTATGTCTCCTACCTGAAACTGTCTTCTGATCTCCAGACCAAAATATCCAACTTTCTGCAAAACACTGTCACTTGGATGTCTATCAGATATCTCAGAATTAACATATTGTAAACTAAAAATTTGCCATCACCTCCAACTCACCTATGCCTCCTACAGGTTTTAAATCTCAGTTAATAAAATCTCAATTTTGCTCCAGGCAAAACAATTGTGTTTTACTCACATCCAGATCCTGTCTAGCAGCAAATCTGTTGGCTGTGCCTTCAAATATATCATGGAACTCATTTACAAAAAATGAAGGTAAATTTAGTTAGGAAGGAACAAACAACCCATTAATTACGCCACACACAGTTTAGGTTACCCATATGCAATGGTTTGAGTGTGTCTCCTAAAGTTCATATGTTGGAAACTTAATTCTCAATGCAATAGTGTTGGGAAGTGGGGCCTAATGGGATATGTTTATGTCATAAGGACTCCACCCTCATAAATGGGTTAATGCCAAAGGACTTGAGGCTGTGAGTTCACTCTCTTGTCTTCTATCACCCTGTTATACCCTTCTGCCATGGGATGATGCAGCAAGCAGGCCCTCAATGGATGCCAGCACCTTGATCTTGGACTTCCAAGCCTCCAGAACTGTGAGGAAATAAATTTCAGTTGTTTATAAGTCACTCAGTTTCAGGTATTCTGTTACAACAGCACAAAATGACCTAAGACACCATCCATATAAGCCTCCCTTTCTAAAGGGGCATCTCCAGCCACACAACATTAAAGAATTGGCTTAGAAAGCCATGTTTTATTCCATATGATGATGGTTCTGGGCCTAACCGACGGGACCAGGAATGAGCCACAACAGAAGGACACTGAAATACACAGTCCTGTAAACTAATCTATCGTCTTTATAACCTCATCCAAAGAAGCGAGGTGAGACAGTAAGAGTCCTCTATCCAGCATTTGGTTTTGGAATGCTGAGAGATTGAGCCCCTGGACAGGCTTAGGACAGAGAATGATCCAGGAATGGCAATGAAGGACCATGTGGACAGCAAAGATAAGAAGGAGGAGCAGCGGGGAACAAAATGAATGCAGATGAAGTTAGTTTATAGAGGAACAAAACTGGAGCAAGAAAAGAGCATAAAAGCTGTGATAATAAATCAGTCTCAAGAGAAGACTTGCTTCCTAAACATACAAATATGTCTGTAAACCACAGTTTTAAGGTAACTTGAATAGATTCTTATTTTTTCCTTGCAAACAAGCTAGTCTAACAAATTCACCAGCTAAGTGCACTGGGAGGTTATATTTATATTAACGATATAAAAAATGTATCTTACTCAAGCATTTGAGCAAATGTTTGTGAAGTCAGGTGTGTTTGCCTAAGGGTATCAACAAACACAAATGTACAGAATCACAGTTAAACAACTAAATGTTCAGGGCAATTGCAGACAACAGTGTCTCTCTGAATGGCATTTTGTTAAAACAAATACATTTAATGAGCTGCTTGCAAATAATTTTTGTCCCTGTGAAAATCTAGTGAAGCTTAGAACTGTATAGCCATAATTTAAATTCACCTGACAGAGGTAGGTGTAGCAAAGGTACAGTCTTTCATTTCATTCTTTATTTTCAAATATATGAAGCTAAAGATCAACCATAACAAGAAAAGATGGAGGGTGATCACTTCTAAGGGGATAGAAGGCACATTTTGATTTGGTGATGCTGATTTTGTGGCATCTATTGTGTGAAGGTGACAGAGAGGAATAGACCCCAGAGACATTAATCACACAAAATCTGTCACTAAGGAGGGACACAACCAACAATTTTACCATCAAAATGCAATCCATAATCAGGAGAAAAGGGAATTGCTTCGCTGTGTGATTCCAACCCTGATAACTAATTACTTAGATGCCAACTCCTAAATAGTGGAGCCAAGACAGACAAAGGGTCTATTTTCTCCCTTGGCAAAAAAAGCGTTTATCAATGAACCATATTCATTTCTTTAAAAAAATTTTTTTTTGGTTTAAGTTTCGAAATAAATCATTCTTAAAACTCTGATAACTAAAATCCCTCATCTTCAGTATGAATCTACAAGTAGAAAATCTTAGAAATGTGAACAGTATCATTTATTCCATATATCTTTAAAACAGCATGATATGCTGCTTGGAAAATTCTAAACGTTTGTTGTTACCTTGAGTTAAAATTTCACTAAACATTAAACCAGAAGAAAGAAGCTTTATGTAAAGGCCAGACTGGTACATATTTTTGTGTACACATGGTTTACATTTCCTGTTGAGAGTTAACAAAGGAAGTAAAATATGCAAAAGAAAGAAAAAAAATAGTGGTCTTTGGCCTTCAGATTTCAAATCCATTAAAAGATAGGTTTTAGAGAGGTGGTTGCTTTATCTGAATTGTTTTTCTTTTTTTTTTTTTCTATTCCTATCCTAGTTATTAACCAAATTAGAGTTATTACCCAAAGAATAGAGGTCCTAGAATCAGGCTCAGGGGGAATTCAAGGGCAGCAGCTTTTGTGTATGAATTTGTGCTATTCTGTTTAAAGAAAGCCATTTAGGCTTTCAATAACTTTATTTTCATCAATGTTTTAGGGGGAGCAACAAAAAAAGAATGAATATCGTGTGTCCATGAGGGAGTGTGAGGGTGGGTTACTTGGTATCTGAGTGGTCTAAAGACAAAACTGGAAAAGGAATTGGTGGAATTTCTATTCAGTGATGTGTTGAGAAATGTTAAACCTAGTGGGATGTTGTAGTATCTAGGTGATACAACGCAAAGCATTATCTGGCAGGTCTGCAAATCAGTCGCAGTGAGCAATCAGTTGCAGGTTAAAAGTAACTACCCCCATAATTACCCCACACGTTTTCTGTGATTTCCAGTAGAAAACTAAGTCCCCATGCTCTCTAGATCTTATACGAAACTAAAACCTCTTTACTCAGAAATGTTAGTAATTTCTCACTGAAAGCAAATTAATTCAGCCCTTTTTGGCATCAACCACTACATTTTTATTGGCTACTTACCATGTGACTAACTTGTACAGTGCCTTCTGGGTATTCCATGTTTATAACACATATTTCCTGCCGTCAAAGAGACCTGCAATCTACAAGTCTGTGTTGGAAGCAGATCTAACACATAAGAAATAACAAAGTTGGAGGGAGGAAAGGCATAGAATGGCACAAATTGTCTGACTTAAAAAGCAAAAGAAGCCGGGCGTGGTGGCTCACGCCTGTAATCCCAGCACTTTGGGAGACTGAGGCGGGCGGATCACGAGGTCAGGAGATTGAGACCATCCCGGCTAACACGGTGAAACCCCATCTCTACTAAAAATACAAAAAATTAGCTCAGCGTGGTAGCGGGCGCCTGTAGTCCCAGCTACTTGGGAGGCTGAGGCAGGAGAATGGCGTGAACCCGGGAGGCTGAGCTTTCAGTGAGCAGAGATCGCGCCAACGCACTCCAGCCTGGGCGACAGAGCGCGACTCTGTCTCAAAAAAAAAAAAAAAAAAGCAAAAGAAAATCCCTTATTGTCAATCCCTCAATCCTAAAATAAATCATGTATAAGCGAATGTGAGGTATTATGACAGTAAAGGATAAACTAATTTTGTCCATGTTTATGCTATTCATTAGAAAAGCTAAAGGAGTCCGGGCACCGTGACTCACGCCTGTAATCCCAGTACTTTGGGTGTCCGGGGTGGGAGGATCACCTGAGGTCAGCGGTGAAACCCTGTCCCTACTAAAACTACAAAAATTACCCTGGTGTGGTGACGCATGCCTGTAGTTCCAGCTACTCGGGAAGCTGAAGCAGGAGAATTGCTTGAACCTGGGAGGTGGAGGTTGCAGTGAGCCGAGATCACACCACTGCACTCCAGCCTGAGCGACAGAGCAAGACTCTGCCTCAAAAAAAAAAAAAAAAAAAAAAAAAAGAGAGAGAGAGAGAAAGCTAAAAGAACTTATATTATTTAAATTTGAAAACTATGTTTCAGAGCTAGTAAGTGTTCATAGTAAGTGTTAGCCAGTTTTTCTTGATATGCCACCTTCTGCAAATGTCTCTAATAATTAGTTTAATTTTCGTGACCTGGTTATGTTGCTTAGGGTGACTAAACTCCACCTTTGAATCCTTCTTTATTGCTCCATTCTCTGTTTCCAAGAGGCCACTCACTACCAAAGGTGCCAATGAAATCTTTTCTATGGTTTAAAGTAAATATTTGATTAAGAGTTTCCTTTTCTTCACAGTATAATACATGATGAAATATTTGAATTGATTTTTTTAAAGTATATCTATATCATCTTTACTTGTCAGAATGCGGCAGCTTTAAATTATTTTTATAGTGTTTTATGTAAATTTGGCACTTGGGTACACAAGCATCATTTGTGTTCTAAAATGTATGCAGACAGCATTTGGGTATATTATGCCAGTTTATTTATCGAGAATACTATAGCATTCATACTTTGATGTTAGTGGGCTCTGTAAAACACTGTACTAAGTGGCCATTTCTACAAAATATTTTTTAATCCATTTATTTGTTTCCACAAAATGTTGGAAGCAGAGTTCTATGCTGGGAATCAGGAGTCTTAAGTCTTTCTCTCTGCTATATTGCTAAGCTGTGTTCTGAACTTGGGTCTCACCAAAATCTTCAATGATTTCCCATTTCCTAATAACAATAGCAACAATAACAATAAAAGTTAACGTTTATTGAATGCTTTATTATACACCAGGTGCTACATGTCTTAACTCATTTAATCTTCACTCTTCTCTAATGCAGTAGGCGCTGTCACAATCTCCATTCACTATTAGGAAACAAGCCCAGAGAGCGAAGAATCCCCTAGCTAATAAGTCACAGAGCGAGTAATATGCACAGCCTTACTCCAGAATTCACACTTTCATCTGGGTTACCTTTGAAAGCTAAACTCTCTAACATTCCATTTATATCTTTCCACCATGTATTTCATCCTTATTCTTCAACATCTTTCCTCGACTATCTTTCGTTCCAAACAAATTAAACTCTTCCATTGCCAATTTATCTTCTAATCTTTGCAGGCTGTGGATTTTTACTTAGGTTTGTTCTTCTGTCTGGAATGTTCTTTGCCCATCTTTACCTTTCCAAAGTCCTACCTACCCCTTAAGAACTAGTAATTACTAACAACAACAAAAAAGAACAAGTAATTACTAATAACAACCAATAGAAAAATAAAATACTCTTCAATATCACACCAAAACTTTAGCAACCAACTAAACGAAGAAGAAGATATTTACAGAGAAATTGGATAAATTTTGAATAAATGGAAGATAACCAATTACATGGATAGGGCAATATATTACGATAATTATGTCTTTCTTCCCAAATTGTCCTACAAATTCAAAGCAATCACAATAAAAATTCCAGCTGATATTTTTAGAAAATTGATAAAACTCCATCTAAAATTAATATAAAATAATAATGGTCTACAAGTATTTATATTGGTTTTGAAAAAGGAGAATTAAGGTTGAGTTAGGCAGAATTAATTTACTACATATTAAGATATATTACATGGTTGGCTGGGCACTGTGGCTCATGCCTGTAATCCCAACACTTTGGGAGGCCGAGGCGGGTAGATACTTGATGTCAGGAGTTTGAGGCCAGCCTGGGCAACATGGTGAAACCCTGTCTCTACTAAAATACAAAAATTAGCTAGGCATAGTGACACACACCTGTAATCCCAGCTACTCAGGAAGCTGAGGCCGGAGAATTGCCTGAACCTGGGAGGCGGAGGTTGCAGTGAGCCAAGATTGTATCATTGCACTCCAGCCTGGGCAACAGAGCAAGACTCCATCTCAAACAAACAAACAAACAAAAAAAGATATATTACAAGGCTAAAATGAAACAAAGAGTATGACATAGGTGAAGGAACAAAAATGTCAGTGGAACAGAATACATAGGTTATGTATGTTATGTATAGCTCTATTTAGACGAAGAAACATATGTTATTCAAAGAAATATGTATCAGTGATACTTCAAAGCAAAGAGGACAGGATGGATTGTTCTATATATGGTGTTGGTAAAACAAGATCCTTCTACAGAAAAAATTTAAACAGTTCTCTACTATATACAAAATGAAAAGCATACTCCATAAAAATTATTTTAAAAATTTTGAGAGGTAATACCATTAAACTAATCGCAGCAAATGTTCCAAAATATATTTGTGACTTAGAGAAGAAGAAAAAAAAATTGAAATAAGATGGGTTTTTATCTAATAATGGGTAATATAGACAAAGTTAATTGATAAGAGACTGGAAAAAGATATTTGAAATGTCCAAAATAAACACACTAATACTCTCCTTAATTACAAAAAAAACCTCAAAATTTTAAAGAAAGGCAGAAATCCCAATTTTTTCAATGGTCAAAAATACTTGAAAAGCAATTAACAAAAAGGAAAGTTCAAATACAAATTTTATGAAAAGACATCCAATCTCATTAGTAATCAGATAAATTTATATTATAATGATGCTATTTTATATTCACAAGTATTGTAAAACCTAATTTTTGCTGAGATCATATAGAAATAAACTTAGCCATACAACCTGCTGATTGTGTAAACCAGCATTCAATCTGGAAAGCAGTTTTTTAATATTTAGTGAAATAAACTCAGCACGTACCCTATGACTTTCAAGCACCTTGTTCCTAGGGGTCGGTAAAGGTCCAGGTATATAAACATTTTTCTCAGCATTGTTTGACATAATGATTTGGTAACATTAAAATGATAATGATAACATTTGTAGCACAATACCATTCACGTAAGGATAACACACACATCAACAACAGCACGACATCAATTTATTTTGCAAAACTACATATATATTTAATGACATATACCCAACACACCATAGTAAATGTCTACAGGATAAAACAATGGGAAGGGAGGTTCAGCATGGAGGGAGAAAACTAAAGGTATGTAAGTAGGAGAGATACTTTGCTTGAACTTGCAATAATAATTTGACATAAATGGAAAAGTATGATTATCTCAAATCTCTGCACCTGAAGGTCAAGAGGAAAAACAGAAAATATACTTTAGATTCAGATAAATACACCTAGACTGGTGCAATGAGGAACCCCTGGGAGGGTGCTGGGAGAGCTCATAGGTCTGAGGAGAGAAACAGGGAAGAGCTTTGCCTTCTATTCATTGCAACCATATGGAGTCCCACCTTCTCTCTTTCACTCTGACGATGTGATGGTTTTGGCTAAAAGCACATTCTTATTTGGAGAACAAAGAAATGGAACTAAGAGAATCCATAAGGCACATGGAGGAATCGTTGAAAGAATGGCTGCTTTGGTATCAGAGTAAAGCTCTGCCCAGCTCTAGACAGGCCATGTGACTTTGAGTGAGTTATTAATTCCTGTTTTATAAGCCTTGGTTTCTTTATCTGTCAATAGAGGCAATAGCACGTACAGTGTGGCATTGTTACAATGCGATAATTTATTCATTTCATTCTACAAGTATTTATTGTCTCTCTCATATTCTACTATTCTCAGGGCCAGAATACAGCATGAGCAAAACAAGTTAAAAAAAAAAATGCCTAGCTCTTAGGGATTATAGCTGGCAGTGGGGAGGGACTACAATAAATAAGGTAAGTAAAATGTCCAGAATGGCAGATGGTGATAAATTTAGGTGAAACAGAAAAGAAGGAAAGGAGAAAGGAGGACGGGAAGTGCCCAGAAGTAGGGCCATTCTTTTTTAAATAGGATTTTTGGGAAAAACCTTGTTGAGAAGTTTAAACATAGATCTGGAAAAGTTAGTGAGTAGGCCATGCAGATAACAGGGAGAAGGGCAATCAATTTTGGTGACCATGAGGGAGAAGCTGTGTTGCAGAGGAATGAGGACTCAGTATAAGTGGAGGTCAGGGGCAAAGGAAAAGGCAGCAAGGGTGAGGGGAAAGAGCTCAGCATCCACATCACAAGGGTTTTGTGGACCATTGTAATGACTTTTGACCTCTGCTCTGAGACAGGAAGCCCTTGAAGGCATCTAAATATGGAGGTCACAGGACTTACCTTACTTGAAAAGTGAACTTGCTGGTGACTGTGTTGAGCTAGACTGCAGAAAAGCAAAGTAGAAGAAAGAAACAAGCTAGGTTGGGCACAGAGACTCACGCCTATAATCCCAGCATTTAGGGAAGCCAAGGCAGGAGGATCGCTTGAGCTCATGAGTTCCAGACCAGACTGAGCAACGAAGTGAGACCTTGTCTCTACAAAAAAAAAAAAAAAAAAAAAAAAAAAAACCACAATGTTTTAATTAGCTGGACATAATGATGTATGCCTGTAGTCCCAGCTACCCAGCAGGCTGAGGCAGGAGGATCGGTTGAGCCCAGGAGTCGGGGTTGCTCTGAGCCATGATCATACCACTGCACTCCAGCCTGGGTGACAAAGTGAGACCCGGTCTCAAAAAAAGAAAAAAAAAAAAAAAAAGCAGACGCTAGGAGGCATTTGCAGTGATCTCATCAAGAGATGATAGTGGCTTTACCAGACCAGACTTGTAGAGCAGAGATAGAGAGTGAGAATCTGGGTCTGTTTTGAATAGGCTGACAGATTTACATGCAGAGTGTGAAAGAAAAAGAGATACCTGGATAAGTGCACATAAGCCACCAGGCGTGACACTTGGAATCCAGAAGTCACCTTCTAAAGCAGTCACCTCAAATATTAGTTTATACCAGAACTCCCTGGAGGGACCCTGTTACAACGCAGACTGCTGGTATCTGTGCTCAGAGATTTTCATTCAGTACCTCCAGGATGAGCCGTCTCCGGAATCTGCACTTTTGACAGGCATGTTGGGTAATTCTGGCACACATGGTCTACAGAACCACCCTCACAGAAACACTGATCTCTACACAGGGGTTGATGTTTTCAAAATTATATGCAATCATGAAAGAAATGAAATTAAACTAGAAAAAGCTAATGAAAATCCTGAGAAAATTATTGCATTTTAATTCTAAGATGGGAAAAATATACAGAATAAGTGAAATTTATCCCAAAATGTAATAAGTGTGGAGGTAGGTGTAACTATGGTTAATGCTTTCTTCTTCCAGTGACTATAAAAGTCAAGATGACTGAGTGTACCTGTGAAGATATACTTGATTGCCTTTATATGTGGGATTAATGAGCTATATAAAAATTGAGGTAAAAGCAGAAATGAGAGGAAGGGGATGGACTCTATGACTATTCTTTCACCATTATTTTGTGTTGGGATTAAAATTAAACACCTGTACATTGGCCGGAGCAAAATCAGAGGAAATGAAAAGTGCAAACCACTGATCTTCACCTCTCAGCCTGAACTTAAAGAGTCAAGTTAGAGGATTAGAAAACATTGTAAAGCCTTCCTTTTTTACCTTGAGTATTATCTTTCTTTTAAAAGTGCAGTGACTCACGCCTCTAATCCCAGCACTTTGGGAGGCCAAGGCAGGCGAATCACCTGAAGTCAGGAGTTTGAGACCAGCCTGGCCAACATGGCAAAACCCATCTCTACTAAAAATACAAAAATTAGCTGAGCATCGTTGGGGACACCTGTAATCCCAGCTACTCAGGAGGCTGAGGCAGGAGAATTGCTTGAATATGGGAGGCCGAGGTTGCAGTGAGCCAAGATCACTCCAGTTCACTCCAGCCTGGACGACAGAGCAAGACTCCGTCTCCAAAAAACAAAACAAAATTGCAAACTACTTAAAGTGCCTCAGCCAAGGTTTCTGCTTTTGTAGATTGAAGGCCCTCCAATGCATCCTAAATTAGGATTCTTTTTTGGTCCAAAATAGCATGTCATGCTAAACAAAGATAAGTGACAAAGTGTAGGTTGTAATTTTAATTAAATATCAGACTCACATGCAGAAGTTCCCTGCATACACAAATTCCCCCTAAATTAGCTACTTTTCTTCAAAACATGAAGCCTAGTGAGAGAGCTTGCTCTCCAATTTCAATCTCAGTATTTGAGATGTGAGATTCAGGAAGCCCGGATCATTTAGACGAGGTTCAGATAAAGATCCTAATGTTTGGATTCTTTTGAACCTCTTTAATTCAACACCTCCATCTAACGTGGGAGTTGGGTGTTTGTGGATAAAGCCTAGAGATTGTTTTAGAGATGGACTATATAGATAAACATCAAGGTTGCTGGCAAAGAGTACTTTTCAGTAATTTTTATAACTAAAAATACAAATGGCATCATCATCTTGGCTTGGGAACCCCTAGAATATTATAAACAACCCTGTTATGTAACCAGAAAAATTAAAGGCAGAGAATGCCAAAAGTAGCTTACCCTAACGAATCATCACAAAGTGGTAAGTAACCAGGCAAAAGGTAGTACAAGCGCAGGAAGGCCAGGCTCAAATGCTTACAGATGACAGACAGTTCAATGTGGACAAATGAAATGTAATTGTGACTTTGATGAGTCTTCATGCCACAAGACAATGCTTTGTAAGAAATAAAATATGAGATTTTTTTCTGAAGGCATGAAAAAAGTCTCCGGAGACAAATAGCTACGTGTCATTAATGAAAGAGAAACAGTAAGAAAAAGATAAATCAATGCAGTTAACAAGTGTTAATGGCTCAATTGTGTATTCACTTCACCAAATCTGAAAACTTGAGAGAACACAAAACAAAAGACGACTTTGGAATTACAAAATCCTAGAAATGAGTAATAGACTTCAAAGGACTGGAGAATCTTTCAATGCGGGGGGGGGGGGGGGGGGGTGGGGATTTGTCCTGCATTCTCTCAGATTTGATAAGCCTAAAATTGGAAAATAATGATGCTTACAAGATTTCCCTAATGACAGCATTTTAGAATATGTTATTTCCTCTTTCTTTTCTTTTTTTTTCCCCTTCTCCTTGTCAACTACAATCAATCCTTCAAGAGGCAAATAAGGGCAATTCATATTTATGTTGAATTCAGTGACTATTTGGTGGTCATAGGACCAAAGCCAGGAAAAGGCAAAGGTTTGATCTAGAATAATGGTTCTTGACCTCCAGAAAATTTTGCTTCCTAGGAGACCTTTGACAATATCTAGACACATGTTTGATTATCATGACTGGTGGGGGTGCTACTGGTATCTTGTGCATAGATGCACACAAGGGTGGTGCTAAACATCCTATTATGTTTGGGGAAGTTTCCCTGTAATAGAGTCATCGAGCTCAAAATGTCAGTAGAACAGAGGCTGAGAAACCCCAGACTAGACCTTTAAGGAGCCATCAGCTTATGTTCTTTGAGCAAAATAGAAAGAGAAGAATTCAGAGTATAATGGGAATATATCTGAGGTGGTGATTAGTTTATTTAGGGATGTGGAGTAGACAAGAGAAATACTTCAGATCTCAAGTGATCTTTGAGCTCCCTGGTTGATAGAGGTGAAGAAAGACTGAAAGCAGAGAGACATAAAAGTGAGTTTGAATGTCAAAGTCTGTTAAATAACAATCAGGAAGACATGAGGCTGGGGAGAAGCATGTGACATATTCATTCATAAAGTGTCTACTATATTGTATTAGTCCGTTTTCATGCTGCTGATAAAGACATACCTGAGACTGAATAATTTATAAAGAAAAATATGTTTAATGAACTCACAGTTCCACATGGCTGGGGAGGCCTCACAATCATGGTGGAAGGCAAAAGGCATGTCCTTTCATGGCAGCAGACAAGAGAGAATGTGAGCCAACAGAAAGAGGAAACCCCTTATCAAATCATCAGATCTTGTGAGACTTATTCACTACTACAAGAACAGTATGGGGGAAACTGCCCCCATGATTCCGCTATCTCCTCCCAGGTCCCTCCCACAACACATGGGAATTATAGGAGCTACAATTAAAGATGAGATATGGGTAGGGACACAGCTAAACCGTATCATATGTGCAACTGGTGAAGATGAATTGCAGAGGGAACCTCCAACTTTGAACTCTGTGGTCAAGAGGTTGGACTTAATTCTATAGTTAATGTGAAGCCATTTAGGGTTTTTGAAGCCAGGAACAATATTATCAGCCATATAATTTTAGAAAGATAATCCCGGTGTCAGAAAATAAAATGAACTGAAAGAAAAAGAAGCTTGAGTAAAGTTGTTGGAGTATTTCCCAAAATGAATTCTCAGACTTGTTATGAAGTGTCATTGGATAAAAGTCTTCTGTGGTCAAGTAAGTTTGAACAATGCTTAGTTAAACTAAATCCGACTGAGTTCTCTACTATACCACTTCTCAGAATCTTTGCTTAGCTATTTGCACATTGTGACCCTTCACAAGGAGCATGTTGCAAGTATATTTGCCTACAGAAATTGTTCATGGCTTTTGCTACAGGAATGTGTTCCAAAGAACACTTCGTAAGAAATGTAAGGTAAGATTTCGGGGGGAAAAATTTGACAATGGGTTAATCTAAGAGTTATTGGGATGACAGAATTAGCTTTTAGACTTTCAGCTGAGACAATGAGCAGACAGTGATACACAGGGAAAATCCTTAAGGATCAAGATGTTCTTGTCACCTCAAGATAGGCCTGGAAGTGGGAAGTAAGGAACTCTAACAAAGTGTTAGAAGAAGGATGATGCTTAACCTATTTGCCAATACTAACCAATTATTATAGCTGCCTGAAATGATGGGTTGAGAAGGATTCTAAGATTTCACCAGGAATCAATGTGAGCTTGCATAAATCTAGTTATACTGTATTAGTCTGTTCTCACACTGCTATAAAGAAATACCCCAGACTGGGTAATTTATAAAGGACAGAGGTTTAATTGACTCACAGTTCCCCATGGCTAGTGAAGCCTCAGGAAACTTACAATCATGGCAGAAGGGGAAGCAGACGCCTTCTTCACAAGGCAGCAGGAGAGAGAGAAGTGCCAGCGAAGCACGCAGAGCCCCTTATAAAACCATCAGATCTCGTGAGAACTCACTCACAATCACTAGAACAGCATGGGGGAAACCACCCCCATGATCCAATCGCCTACTTTTCTCCACTTGTGGGGGTTAGAGGTCCGTCCTTCGACACGCTGGAGATTACAATTCGAGATGAGATTTGGGTGGAGACACAAAGCCAAACCATATCAGAAACCTTCCATGGAAGCAAGGAAAATAACAAGTAGTGCTCCTGTCATATGTTTGTCACATATGGACCAGAGGTACGCAGCTCAGATAGTTTGTGTTGTGGTTTTAAACATTCTTAGCTCATGAAAACTTTCTTAAAAAGAAACTTCACCTGAAAGGTAAACATAACAGATAAAAGTAAAACTGTCTATGTAATGTCTAGCCTAGATACTCCACCTGCTCTATTGCTTCTTTCTACCTTCCTTCCCACTGACATTACTATTCATGATAATTCTGCAGTTAATTAACTAGTTGAGAAAGATAAGGTTAGCAGATGCTCAGGAAAGCTAGATAGGATGAACACACACATCTCTACCTTATCAGGGGAAATACTTCTTTTTTTCTTTTCTTTTCTAACATTTAGTTCCCATTTGTTCTTTATTAATATTCAGTAAAGATTTGGGGAACTTCCAGAGTAATTCAGTTTTACCAATAGGCAATTAAAGGGAGGGATTTGGGTTTCACATGTGAACATCAACATAAAAGATTGGCATGTACAGCTAAGGGACGCAGGTGATGTTGAGGAGTAGATTGGCTGCAGTCACTGAAAGTAGGAAAACCCTAAGAGGAAGACGTTATCTGTGGTAAGCAGAGTCAGTGATCTCTCTCTCTCTGGCAGTTACCCTTGCTGAAGCTTTGAGGTTTTGAGATGTATTTAATTACTAGAGAATGATTTCTTAACTTAATCGTCTGTCCTGTAAACTCACAGTGAAGTGCAAAGCACGGGTTACATGTTTTAAAATCATATTTTGTCTTGGAATCAACCAAGAAGTACTACAAGAATAATTTGTCACTTTGACAAGCTTTGAATAGCTAATGAAACTAGCAGATACCTGGTTTTTTAAAAAAGATTAGATCTAGAACAAAAGCAAGCCAATAATTTGGAGTAGGACAATAATTGACAGGTTTTATCTGATACATTCTTGTCAAGTAAAGCAACTTAATGTTCTCTTCTACTAGTTGCAACCAAACAAATTCTGAAGGCTCACAGCTAGGACAGCTTCCTCTTCAACTTTGCATCTCCAACACCTAGCATACATGCTCAGCACACGTGTAGTAGGTTCTCAGGTATTATTTGCTGATGTAAGGTTATTGTTTTCTGAGTATCTGGACAATGTGCAACAGCTACCTTACTTCTGAGAGATTTAAACAATAAGGGGGATGAAAAACTCTAGCCCTCTTCTTGGAGGCCTTGTACATATGTCCGAAAGTATAAAATCTGTGCCCAGATAGTTACAAAGTCCAGAAAGCATGCAGACTCTGCCTTCTGACAATTTTTGAGCAATGGGGCTAGAAAAGTTACTAGCAATGCATTTCTATCCATAGATTGATGTGATTAACAAGGAAGTTGGGTTAATTTTTGCTAAATTACAAATTCCATCTTATTATAATACAGATTAATAAGCATATGTTAAGCAGTGAATCTCTGAACATTTTCCACATAACTGGGTAGTTATTTGGTGAGATATGACTTTTTAAAGTGGGTTTTTTTGAAGCATTGATTTTGTGTTTCGAATTATCTAAAATGTATTCTGTGCACTGTGGCTATGAAATTTTGAAGAGGTACAATCTTGATCACTTACTCTGGATTTGTTTCAGCCAAAGCAATACGTTTTTTCAACTAATTGTAAATATCACCTTTCGGTGGTTTTAATGAACCTAATAAAAAGATATGGTAATTTGTCTGCTCTATACAAACACTTAGCTATGAGAAAATCAAATAAGAATGAAGCCATATTAACCCTCATTACTAAGTCAAAGTAGGTGTATATTTGTATAACTTAAGACAATAAAACAATGTTATATGTGAATCTTCATAATTTTTGAAGCAAGCATCTGATAATCTTTACAGTTATATTTCAGATGCAATAGATGGGATTATTCCTTATACTTTGAATAAGATGAAACATCTACAGGGACATTTGGACTTGAACCTGGATAGACCCAGCTTTATTCTAACAATATACTTGGTAATAAGCAGGCACTTTTCCTTTCCTTTGTGTGTGTATGTATGCATGCCGTGTTTCATTAAAATGAACCCCATCATTAAAGAAAAAACTCAAGGATATGTTGTTAGACCTGTGTAGTCGTGTCTACATGACAGACAGTATAACTAACAGGATCTTTTAAAGCTGATAAAACAATTTTTAAAAAGTAGTGAACCCTAGGTTCTGCCTTTTGGAACACAGAGAAAGCATGCATTTTGCTCTCTGGACAATGGATCCCTCTGAAAATGTAAATCACTACATATATATATATATACACACACACACGCACACATCACTACACACACATACACACACACATACACACACACTCCAAATAAATAGCCTTCAACTGTATGCCTCCACGTTATTTTCTGAGCACACGAAATGAAACCTTATTCTCACACATCTGGACATACTCAGGGCTTGTCATGTTGAAATTAAGAACGCAAGATGGCAATGACCCTGCTGTCATTGGGTTATGACATTTGTATCAGTGTCCTCTCTTTAAAATAGGGGCGTTTAGACAGTTCCTGGAGGGGTTCTGGAGATCTAAGGCACATGGATGTGACTCCATCTACATGAGAAGGAAATGTTGCATCGTTTGGTAGTGGTTTCCATGCCAAAAGTTTGCAGACACTGAAGATATTGACACCAAAGTTTCAGAGAATAGGAACTGGTAGAGTGGCAGGGAGTGGGGATATGGGCAGAATCTCCAGATTTTGGATGCTTGAATCCAATGAAGCTTGAAGTTCCAAGTTATATTTGCCAGGAATTTAAAAGCTGCATCTTCTCCATTTGATGGACTCTGATGGCCCACAAGAGAGGCGTGCCAAAAAGGAGGAGCAAAGAAATTTCCTTTCCTTGTAAGAGTATAATATCTCCCAAATGTCTTGCAGAACCCAGTAATTAGGAGTTGCCAAAACATTTTAACATCACATTTGGCACATTATGGCACAACCTCACTGACTTCATGTTCATCTGCAGAAAATGAAGGATGGAAGCAAAAATGGAGATGGAACGAATGAGAAAAAATAGCATAAGAACACCAGGTCATCAAGGCGAAAGCAGTGATATTATCTGGGAAACTGGAAGAAATCCAATTGTGGATAAAGATAAATTACAGATGAAACCAGTGCTAAAAAAAAAAAAGAAGAAGAAAGAAATGGAATAGAAACTAGAAGGTATGTGACTTTCAAAGGAGAAAAGGCAGATTCCTCACTCATCTTACCTTTTAAGAATGAGATATTGCACCATCTGCTCCCCAAACCGTTATTTCATTTCACTCTGGATTTCTCCTTGGTCTCCTCCCTGTGTTCTCTGAATTTTCAGATTGGCTCTCTTCCTGTGAGTCACATCCTTTCTTTAAATGTTTCCATATTTCCCCTGTCTCTGCAGCTTATGTATGACTCTTTGTTAAGCATTTCAAAATATTACATGTTACTGCGTTGTAATACTTTGCTTGTATCTAGCACCTCTTATTTTTAGAACTTAGTGTTTAAACAAATACTAGCTACTGTGTTAAAAATGCCTATACATTTTATAGGTGTAAAGTTACATCATAATTTTTTAAATGATAGAATGGCTAGCTCACACTCTCATACTACAATGCTTACTCTAACTTTGTGTTTGTGTGGGGCATTTCAAGATATACTCCAAATTATAATAACTTCTATGATTGCGTCATTGACTTTTTCTATAACATTCTACATGGTATATTAACACACATGCCTTAGAATTATTCATTGGTAATTATCTGCTTCACATTGACTAAGCCAGAAACTTACCACTTCTGTCTCCCTTACTTCTAGCAGGTGACCAAAACCTTTCAATTTACCTTATCAGCAGCTTTCCAGGTTTTGCAAACTCTGACCTGTGGGTCAGTTCCAGCCACCCACCTTGTTTTGTAAATAAAGTTTTATTGGAACACACTCATTTGTTTACATATTGTCTATGACAGAGTTAAGTAACAAAATTACAAATTTACCCTCCGGTTTAAAAACCCTCAATCCTCCTTATTTCCCTCAATATAAAGCTCACCCTTCTAAATTCAACCTGCAGAGCCTATTTCTACCTCTGACTCTTCTTTTATCCCCTTTCTCCACGTGGACATTTCATGCAAAGTGTGAATGACATTAAATCAGTTTCTGCAGTATTCCATGCCATACCAGAAAAAGCTCCTGGCTCCAAAAGAATATGTTAGGTGCCTCTTCTATGCCCTTATATAGAACGTTATGTTTCCGCTAATCTAGTCCTTGCTAGAATTGCACTGTAATTTGACTTATTTGTCTGAATACTCTGCAATAATCTGCTGCAGAGCTAGCACCCTTGCTGCCACATTTAACGGGATCAAATACAGCACCTGACACATAGTAGGGTTTCAGAAATATTTAATAACATAAGTAATAAAATGCAGATACCATTCATATACTAAAGAAAAAAAAGAAAAAATCTATAATATCAAGATGAAGTTTAATCTGGAAAAGTGCAAAGAAAACAACTGTTAAGGAGAAGTACACAAGGCCCAGGAGTGGTAGAATGAACATGAATTTTTGTTGGGACATTAAGGAAATCTGA
This sequence comes from Homo sapiens, assembly GCF_000001405.40. Classification (NCBI taxonomy): domain Eukaryota; kingdom Metazoa; phylum Chordata; class Mammalia; order Primates; family Hominidae; genus Homo; species Homo sapiens. The sequence goes on from NC_000014.9 coordinate 85,518,171, forward strand.
GAAAGTGATGCTATAGCTATGAGAGATAATGATGTAATAACTAGACATTTATAGATTATGATATACAAGGAAGAGGAAACAATTCCATAGCTGTATTTCACACTGCTTTGTCCATCATTATAAGCATGTGGATGTCTCCACATCCACATTTTCTTGTTATTAATGATTCTAACTTACCCATTCAATTATTTAGATATCCATTTTGATTAATTCTTCTTCTTCTATAATTGCATAGTTTGAATCTCACTGTTTTGAAATATGTTAAAAGTAGTAGCATGAAAGTGGTAAACTTCTAGAAGGTAGAAGAAGAGACATTAGGGTTGCTGCTGAATCAGAAGAAGGTTGCAGGTATAGGCATAGGAAATACATGTTTTATTTTCCATAAACACGTTTTACAGATGGTGACCCGTTGTCAGCATATCCTATATCTTAACTAGTTTATCCGTAGTTGGTAATGAATTGTCTCAGATACAGCTGTATGCCTTTTCCATATGTATGAGTATCATCCTGTAAGACATATGAAGTTTTCTTTCTTTTTTTTTTTTCCTTGAGACAGCATCTCGCTCTGTCGCCCAGGCTGCAGTACAGTGGTGCGATCTCGGCTCACTGAAACCTCTGCCTCCCGGGTTCAAGCGATTCTCCTGCCTCAGCCTCTGGAGTAGCTGGGATTACAGGTGCGCACCACCACGTCCACTAATTTTTGTATTTTTAGTAGAGACAGGGTTTCACCATATTGTTCAGGCTGGTCTCGAACTCCTGACCTCAGGTGATCCACCCACCTCAGGCTCCCAAAGTGCTGGGTTTACAGGTATGACCCACCATGCCTGGCCTGAAGTTTTCTATGTTACCTAAATGGAAGGAAGATAGCTTGCCTATCACATTAACTCCATTTGCCTCATTAGACCAATCCCTAACCACTGTAACCATTTACATTTACCTGGAGTAAAATGAATGGGGGGGGGTTCACAGGCAAGAAAAGCAGCTAGGAAATTAATGTTTTAATTCAGCTTAGAGTATCTGGCCCTCCCAAAACAACTTGGAAATTGGGACTGAATATAGTCTTCTTCAAAAATATTGTAAAATTAATTATATTGAAATATACTTTTATATGTTCTGTACAAATTTCACCCACACAATTATTTAAATGGTCTTGTTAGCATTAATCCTGTTGGAATCTTTGCTTGTATAACTGCAAAATGAAAGTACACTCCAACTAATAGATGTGCTTTAGAACATTTCTAGGAAGGAAAATATGAATAGAATATCAGAAAATAAATAATAAAACTTTCACAAATGAAAGAATTTTAGAGGGTTTGGAAAGCTAGGTGTAACCAAAATATAAAAAGGAACCTTATGTAAATGAGTCCTAGTGAATAAAGAGTGTACTCTGACCATAGTCCCAAAGGTGGTCTGGCTTCTTGCTTGTCTCAAAGTAGCCTCTTCCTACATAAAAGACTTTGCCAATAGAATTTATGAATCCCTTAGAAATAACATTTGCCTTTTAATCTTAAAATATCCATGGAAAGAATTGTCAGCATTCTTTTCTAACTATAACTTTATAGCATTGGTTTCTAAAGGCAAATACATGTGGATTATCTGATTCACATAAACAACTTGACTTACCCCAAGAAAGGAAAGCCCTCCTACTGTTCTTAATGGTTATGTGAAGGGGACAAACCATGTTTGAACTGTTTGAATACATATCCCCTTACTTCTGCCTGGTGGGATTCATAGTCACCCACTAGGCAAGGTTAACTAATGACTGAAATGAAATCCAGTCATTTAAAGAAATCTCAAAGGCTTCCTGGAGTTAGGCTGGAAAGATGTCACTAAGAGAAGGGCTGTACTTTATGCTTTTGCAATGTTTACAGAACCTGTAACACAATGGAGCATGATTAATGAGACTCTTCAAACTCCAGCACAAGCATAGGACTTTGTACTTGTCATGTCTAAAGATCAGCCTTTATCACCCCATAACATAAGAAATGTAAACCAGAACCTAATCATTTCCTAAAGGAGTTACCTTGGCTTTTATTCTCAAGTAAACTTAGGGGTTAAAGAGGAGACGTTCTCATTTTTTAATAAGAATGGCACCTTTGCTTTGGGAAATGCTTTTCCCTTAAATGTTTTTACATTTATCATTTTATGCTATACTTACAAAATGATGTAAAGCATGTTTGCCAGAAATTATTATCACCTGTGACAGATGAGACATCTGGGGCATAAGAAGATTAAGTGACTTTCCTAAATACCCAGCTAGTTTGAAACATATTTGATACCAAAACTCAGCCTGATTCTATTCCAAATAGACTGCAACATGCTATTATGCTTAAACACACCCTATAAAAATTAGGAAAAGAACCTGGGCAATTAGCAAATTTTCTTAGTATTTTCGAATCTACTTTCTATTCTTTTCCTAAAGTCTAAGTAATGTAAAGAATTTTTAAAAGATAATTTATAGCCACAATAAAATATCTTCCATTGTGTTAATTCAAGAAGTTGATCTCAAAACCTTCAGAATTGTGTTTTTCTGTCCATTCAAAGCTCACACCTCATTAAATGTGCTCACCCTCATCTCTCTTCCATTCGGGATACCGTCGTAAATGGGTGATGGATGGCTCACAGGTTTAGTAGATCCAGTAACAATTTTAACCTCCTTCATTCTATCAACAGTTTCCTGAGGCCTGACAAACAAGATCTTCCTGCCTGTAAAAAGGCCATTTAAGAGCATACAAACTCAATCTTACCACATCTTGTGAGCAAACTTCCATTTGAGAAAAATAAACTCAGAGTACCAACTAGTGTCCGTTTTCAACTGAGAGCAACTATGTCAGTTGTCCTGAAGCTTCTCGTGTCAGAATCACACATCGGTGCTTTGGATCCCTTTATATTGTTGAAAGGGATGTGGATTATTCTTCCTGGATGTTTTCATCAGCTGCATCTAGAAAAGCATGATAACCGTCTACCCAGATGTAATAGACCCTATTCAGTTTTCTTCTTTCTTCCTTTTCTATTTTGGTTACTTTTTTTCAGGTAATCTTCCCAGTAAAATGACATGTTTGTCTATTCCAGATATTACAGTGGAAACCAGGGAGAAACACTTTTGGTGGTTGTGCTTATTTATTTTCTCGTTGCTCACAGCTCTGGAGCTGTCATCATTTGAGAGAAGAAAGAGCCTTTATCTGAGTTCCTTGATGGACAAGATGTTGTCTTTACTTGTTTTCCCCCCTTTGGCAACTGATACTGTGTCTGACTTTCTTCTTAACCCATCTGTCTTATGCTTTCTTGTTTTGCCAGAAAAAAGAAAAATTTGACATCCTCACAAAATGGTATTTATATTGCCCTAACTGGACAGAGTAAAAAACACATGACTGATGAATATCTGAAGGAATTAAACTGTTATTGAATATGTTAAAATACTTCTTAACTATATTGTGAAAGATAGATTTTTTATTAATAAACAATCATGTTAACTTGGGCCATAGTAAACAAACATACCACAGGTTGTAAAAATAGAAGAATCTTCTGGCAGAAGAGCCTAGTGAGCAGAGAACTTAATACAAATACAGAAAATTTGTTTACTCTTGGTGATTCATAAACTTTTAAAAAATGTTAACTTTTTTTAAAAAGAAAATAGAGTGAAAGAGATATGTCACTTTGTATTTTGCTTATTTTATATCTAAATGTTACAGATCAAAAAGTGTATTTAATTAGATTGGAAATTACCTGCTGTTTTGAAAAGTTAGGGAACTACAGGAAAAATTCTTTAGACTTGTATATTTGTTTACTATTTCTGATACATTTCATATTCTTTATTTATCCTCTTAAGATAATTCAAGTCCTATTTATTGATGATGTATGAGGATCTAACAAGAATTTGACCAAGATATAGGTAGTGACCTCTTCCTTCCTAGCTTTTTAAAAAACACTTTTATTTAGATATAGTTTGCATAGCATATAATTTGTTCTTTTTGTGTGTATAGCTCTCCATACATCTTTTTAGTATTTTTTTTTTTTTTGATGGAGTCTCACTCTGTCACCTAGGCTGGAGTGCAGTGGCACAATCTCGGCTCACTGTAGCTTCCACCTCGCGGGTTCAAGTGATTCTCCTGCCGAGTAGCTGGGATTACAGATGCGTGCCACCATGCCCGGCTAATTTTTGTATTTTTAGTAGGATGGGGTTTCACCATGTAGGCCAGGCTGGTCTCGAACTCCTGACCTCAGGTGATCCACCTACCTAGGCCTCCCAAAGTGCTGGGATTACAGAAGTGAGCCATCGTGCCCAGCCTCTTCTTAGTAAGTTTACTACGTTATGCATCCATCATCATGAATCAATTTTAGAACCTTTTCATCACAGTCTTATGATCCCACATGAGTATTTACTGTTAATCCTTATTCTCTCTTCTCTCCCCCAAATCCCACTCCTCAGGCAATCAATAATCTGCCTCCTGTCTCCATAGCTTTGAGTTTTCTGTAGATTTATATAAATTAAATCATACAGTATGTGGTCTTTTGTGTACATCTTCTTTCATCCAACATAATGTTTTTGAGGTCCTTCCATGTTACAGCATGTATCCAGAGTTTGTTTGTTTTTTTTTGCCAAATAGTATTCCATCAAAGGATATGTCACATTTTGTTTATCTATCCACCAGTTGAAGGACATTTAGGTAGTTTCCAATTTTTGACTATTATGAATAATGCTACTAAGAACATTCATGTGAAACTATTTGTGTGAACATATTTTCATTTCTCTTGAGTAGACACCTAAGAGTGGAATTGCTGGGTTATACGGTAAATTTATGTTTTAACTTTTAAAGAAACCATCATGTCAAACTTTTTTCCAAAATAGCTGCACTATTTGACATTCCCATCAGGAGCGATTGAGGGGCCCAATTTCTCTATTTTCTTGCCAAGTCTTGGTTATTGTTTTTCTTATTATATCCTTTCTAATGGGTAGGAGTGGTATCTCATTGTGGTTTTGGTTTGCATTTCTTTAATGATGCTGAGGCCCCTTTAGCTATTATAGGCTTACTTTTATAATTTTTAAAGCCTCATGCTTAAGACAGACCTATGAAGAAGACATTGTCACTTTATGGGATCTGGCTTTTAGTTCAGAGATATTTAAAAAGTTTTGAAAGTACTTTTGGTTTTATCCATAATGACAAGAACAAATTTTCTTGCTGATGAGAGAATAAGATGCACAGTAGGTCACTGGGCTCAACTCTGGACAGGTTTCTCAAGACCTAGCATTCACTACTAGCTACCTCACTGTGACCTTGGATAAGGAGTTGACACTTAACTCATAATAGCATGTCATGGAGGGTGTGGGTGGCAGGCCTTCAGATAAAATAATTCATTTAGGAATGCTCTAAGGGATAAAGGCTCTACAAATAGAGGCATTTTAATGCCTACTGCTTGACTTTCTATCAACCTTGATCTACAATCCATGTTCTTTTATCTGCTGAACTTAAAAATAATCTAACACTGTATTATTTATAAGGCATTAAAGGAAAAGGAAGAAGGAATTCCAGTATATAAACATGAAAATTCAGCAGAATCACTAGAGGGAAAAATAAATAAATAATTCAAAAACGGAACAATGCTGACCTTTCTGTGGTTTGATATTGTGCTTGGGATTGACTAGACAGAGACATCTCTTCAAAATACCAAGGAAAATGAGAAGGACTTTCAAAATCAAGCTCTTTATCATAGAAAAGAGCCCCTAGGCCTTTGTCAACCTACAAAACAGGCAGTTGGTCCAGACTAGCTCTTCCGTGTTTAGGAAGAATTTAACTCCTTTCCCTATATGATTAATAAAAAGCAAAAATCTAATACTAATAAACTCACTTGTATTCACGGTAAGTGATTGCCCAGCCTATTTATAAAATATTGTACTAAGGGAAACTTTCAAAGGTAAGACAGAGGACAGAGAAACAGGCACTATTTGTGAGGAACTGTTTCTTTAACTTTCTTATCAAGTTTTAGTGTTAATTTTATTTTTCAAAGATGTTTTATGTAGAGAAAAAGGAAACATAAAATCCAAGTGTTCCAACCGTGTAAGTAAATGAGATGACTAAATCCAGAAAACTGAAGCACTAAAATAATTCAAGAACAAAATTAAAAAGCAAAATAAAAGACTCACTTGAAAAACTTTACAGTTACCTCTCTTAGCTAAGAAAAAGAAGGGTGAAAGAAAATTGGCTAAGCAATTATATGAATTTTAAAATAATACATGTAGTGAAAAGGCAAGCTCAGAATTCCCTGGTTTGAGGAAGTTTATTTCTAGGGTAGGTCAAGTTTATTTCTAGGGTAGCAAATGGTGACACCTGAAAGCACTGCAGAGTTAACTGTGCAGGAATTAAGCAGCTCTACACCTTTGAAGCTCTCAGAGGTTATATGGAACAAGGGTACCAGCAAAGCAGGAAGTACCAATGCAATTAAAACTCCATGAAGTGGCTGAAGGTTAGATGGACTAAAATATATCTCACACTAAATTGTGTTCACATTAATTATATAAATTATGTTTATATAATTTATATTATTTAATTATATAAATTATATACATATATACATTATATATATTTATATATTATATAAACACATTAATTATATAAATAATGACAGCTTATTTTTATTTTGAGTTTTGAAACACCTCACTTTACTTGATCTTTTCATACCTACCCTGAAAGATGATCTTTATTATACTTTTTTTATTTGATAGAAGGGATGCTGAGGCTCAGAGCAGTTACGTGATTTCCCTGGTAAGATGGAGACATGAAGTAAGATCTTCCAAGACCAAGCTCAGACCTTCTTCTAACTGCATAAAGTTTGAGTGCAAATATTCATTTTTTTCTTTGAATAAGCACTCTTGAAAATTGCCCCTGTCCTTCCAAAGAAGGCAATTTTATTTTTCTAGCACGTTGATAGATAGTGAGAGAAAATACATATGAATTTTAATTCAGAATCTCATTTACATGTTTGATTAAGTGTGTTTTCCCAAATTAAAACATCACTTCCCTCTTTATCAGAACTATAGTTAGATATAGGTAGACTTGGTAACATTTTGTACAATGGTAGCATCTAGGTTTGAGTAAGTCCCTAGGTAGATCTTTTATCTCTTTGTATGCCCTTCTTAAAAAGGTGTTACCTTCACTTATTCCTCCCAGTGCAGTTGGAGAATGTTTGTATCAAGTTTTTGCCAGCTTCCCTGTGGAACAGACAGCAACTGCTTAACAAATGGCAGGTTTATGTAAGAGGAAATCTCCATGGTTTAACGTGCTTTTGTTTCCTGCCAGTATGTACCTTCTGTTTTTGTTCACGCATAATCATCTTGTAACCTGCACAGAAAGGCAAAGAAACCACGGCTTGAGGAAATGGATATTCAAGCAATTACTTCCATGCTGATTTTCCAATTCTTGGCCCAAAGGACTTTCCTCGAGACTGGGGACTCCAGTAGCTGGGGCTGCTGTATGCAGAAGGCTGGATATAAAATAATGCTACGAAGTCCCTGGTAAAATCAGTACATTGTGAAAAGAGCCTCATCATCATTTGAATGAGGTCTTTTCTCTAGAGAGAACCTGTTTCAGGGCACAAAAGTACTTTGTATATATCTAAATTGTTATATTTCCCTAAAGAGAGGATAATTATTTTTCTATGGGTCTCCTCTAGACTTTGAGGTTTGACAGATAGGGACTGAATCTATTCATCAAGGGCCTGCTACATGTTTTGTGTTTTCTACAGATGTGTGTTGGATAAATGGATGAGCCATTTACTGTAGAGTAGTGTTTCAAAATCAGAAGGTATGCATTTCAATGTCACAGGTTCACATGAATCAAGTCACACTCACTAAAGGATGTCATAGATTGAGTACTTTATATTCATGAGAGAAAAGAAAACCCACTTCTCCATAGTGTGGTAGGCATGGGTTTCCTTACACTGGTCCACACCTTGGAGAAAAAGATGCTCTCTACCTGACAGGGGAGCTTATTTGTGAATTCAGCAACCATGTTTTGAGCTTCAATCAGGTGAAAGTTCCATACTGGACACTAAGAGAATAGAAAAGTGAAACCAACTTAACTCTTGGAGTCAATAAGATCTAGACATGAGATTAAACATGTAGATTGCTAATATTACTTTAAGGGAGAATGAAATGAGTACCATAATGGTGGAAAAATGTAAGAGAGAAGTGTAGGACATAATGGATATTATCTTTTCATAGAGAAGTTGGAATTTTGAACCATCCGGAAATGTGGCAATGGGACTGGAAGAAAGGGAGAATTAAAAAAAAAAAAAAAAAAAAAAAAAAAAAAAAAAAACTTTACCAAGATTTGGAGAATGACAGGGTTTGGGAATTGTAAAACACAGACTAACTGAAAATTGCTTCAAAATACATAGCCAGAGGAGATTTTTGAGCACTTTCCTTTTTCCTTTTTCTTTTTCTTTCTTTTCTTTTTCTTTCTTTTTTTTTTTTGAGACAGAGTCTCACCCTGTTGCCCAGGAGGGAGTGCAATGGCACGATCTCAGCTCACTGCAACCTCCGCCTCCCGGGTTCAAGCAATTCTCCTGCTTCAGCCTCCAGAGTAGCTGGGACTACAGGTGCGCATAATCATGCCTGGCTAATTTTTTGTATCTTTAGTAGAGACAGGGTTTCACCATCTTGGCCAGGCTGGTCTTGAACTCCTGACTTCGTTATCCACCTGCCCCGGCCTCCCAAAGTGCTGGGATTACAGGCATGAGCCACTGCGCCCGGCCTGTTCAGCACTTTCTAAGGAAATACAGGAGGACTTCTCTAAACTGCATACAGGAAAAATTTCGTGAGAGATTATTCCTGAGTAAATTTGATATTTGAGATGTTTACAAGTCATAAATGCTTATTTTGCTCATTTAAAATTTCTAAATTCCTAAGGGTAGGCCAGATTTAGTGACTCACTTTCAAAGAACAGAGTATTGAAAGGGCAAATAACTTTACAGTAGAGAACCCTGGTATGAAATATCTTGGAGAATGTTAATGTCATCAGTGGCATCATGCTGATATCATGTGCCAGCTGACATGATGTGATCAGTAAGGCATTCCACCTCTGATGCTTTTTACCAAGAACTATAGCTAGAATCTAATCATGAGAAAACTTCAGATGAACCAAAAGTGGTAGATAGTCTACAAAATACCTGACTATCACTTCTCAAAACTTACAGGATCATACGAAACAAGAAAAGACTGAAGAACTATACAGAATACAGGAGACAGGATATTTAAAGTCATTGTGGTATCCTAGATGAGATCCTGAAACAGGAAAAAGACTTAGTGGAAAAACTGATGAAATATGAGTAAAGTTTAAGGTTTAGTTAATAGCAATGTAGCTGGTTTCTTAGTTTTGATAAATGTTCTAAGGTAATATAAGATGATAACATCAGGGGAGACTGACAATGTTTACACTAATATAATTTGTCAATATTTTGAAGGCTGATACGGTGTGATGTAATGATAATATCAGTAGTAGTAACAACAAGTCAAATTTCTAAAGCACTTTCACATATGCTGACTCATGGTGGGACAATGTTATAAGGCTGGCAGAACAGGGATTTTTTTAATGTCCATTTTAAAAATGAAGAGGCACCTCAGAGTTGAATTTACCCAAGATCAAAACTGAGCTCAAATCATGATCTTATTATACTGTGTTATTTTTACTTTCACAAAGTATTAGAAAAGAAAGGCCAAGGTACCTATGTGTGTATAGATGGGGAATGATGTAAGAAACACGCGGGTGGGGGATTAAAGTGTTTGAGATGACAATCAATTTCAATTGAAAGGAAAACTATTGAGGACTGAAGTCTTAAGAATAGTGGGCTGACCCTCTGTTTTTTGAAGCTTGCAGATTTGCTTTTTGTTTTTCTTTCACCCACTTCTCTTATGGATCAGTGAGTTTCCTAATAAAAATAAAGTAACCTAATTGTTATAGTTTTCTAAGTCTGCAAAATTATTGCTCTTTGGAGTCCCTGAGCCACATTTCCTATTCGTTTGCTTCCTCTGGCCCCATCATCACACATTTCTAAAGCTGACTCATAGGTCATGTGCATAAGAAATTTGTTACAACGATTCTGCTTGTACTTTGGCGTGATATTTTTTCTTACTTAATTTTCCTTGTCGTGATTACAATAGATGCAACCAATAGCTTTTAATAGGTGGCACATACTCATAACATGGTTTGCTCATGGTTTAGAAACACCAATAATTTAAAGTATGAATTCTGTAAATCTGCAACCACCCCCTCCCCCATTTTCAATCTCATTCATTTTCTAGCAGCATAAATCAGAAAGCAAAACCTTTGTTGCTTTAAAGATCCTGCTTTGCCTTTTTAAAATGTGTTCTTAAAGATGAAATAATTATGCTGCTTTCCTGGATCAAGATTTCAAAGGAAGAACCTCCTGCGGATACTTATGTACACTTACATACGAAAATGGATGTTTAAATGCAGGTAGATGAGTATTTGTCCTAAAATGTGATCTTCCTTGTTGATGCTGGAGCTTGAGGAGCTATCCCTATGCTCTGCTGCCACCTTGGAAACTCAGAAGGATTTACAACGGAGTTCTGCACAGGGGAAGCTGGAAGCAGCATTCCCACAGCCTCTTCTGGGGCTGGCAAGGCTCAGAGAGGCATTTGAAATGGCTATTATTGACACCCATAGACTTGGGTATGTTTCAGAGAGAAACTATAACATCTATCTCATGGGAAAACACACTTTCTCTGTTTTTAAATAACTCCGTTTCAGCAAGATCCATGTGTGTAGCCTCTGAATACTCTATAAAGGCTCCGTATTTCTTTCTTTCTTTCCTTAGTCCGGAATGGAGACAGAAGAAAGATTCGGTTGAAGATGTCCCTGTGTGGATCTCAGTTTGCGCTCTGAGCGACGTCCTGGCTCATTTGGGTGTGACGGTGAGAGCAGAGGCGCTCTGCTGACAGTTTTTTCTTGTCTAAGCTTCCATTCCGCATCCACAATATGACTCGCCTTCCACTCCAGTTAACTTCTTGGAAGTCCAGAGCACTTAGTCAAAGCTGTTTACAAAATGCAAAGCATCTGGGCGGCCAAGGCAGAGGCTCCTGTGTTCTCTATGTAACCGCCTCCAAAAAAGCTGGGAAATTTCGCGGATCAAAATGTAGGCGCTTAAAGCTGACCCTCTGCTGTCAATGTTGGGACTTAGATACATTTTTTGCATCGTCATTCTTGTGTGTGTTTCCCGTTTATTCCATTCTAAGGCTCAGGCTCGCGCTGTTTCTCTCGCGCGCGCTGTCCCCTCTCTCCATTTCCCATTCACACATCAAACTCCGTCCTCCGCACCCCTATCTTCCCGTGTCTTCTTAGTTATGTGAATGTGTGTCATTAGGCTTACTCGGACACTGGATGGGTGAGTGGGAGGCAGCTTTTCTTGCGGTTTCATTTACACTTGGCATGGGTGGGTGGGTGCCCTCCACAATTCGTCTCGCACACGGAACACAGTTAAAATCTGTAGCTAGAACGAGTGAAAAGTTCCGAATCTTTAAAGCGCAGCTAGGACAGGAAATAATACAGGGTTGGGGGATGTGGACGGGGGCGGAGAGCAGAGAAGTAAAGGAATAAAACCAACTTCGCTGGCAACTTCAATAAATCCGGTAACTGGAGGCAAAAAATAGACTCCGAGGGCTGGGTCTGGTCCGGATGAAACGCTAGGGCTCCTTCCCTTCCTTGAATCTTGGGCGCTGGAAGCCAGCCACGGGCGTCTTGCCACGCGAGTGCCCCTAGACAGCAACACACCCACTGGAAACGCACGTGAACAAAGCTCTCGCCCCCGGGAGCCGCTGCCTGCGGTTTCCTAGTCGATCCCAGCTTCTCTAGGGAGTGTCAGGCGCACACAGGGTTAAGTTAGTTCCCTCCCTGGTAGGAGGGAGAGGAGGAGGAGGGGAAAAGCAGCATACTGTCTCAGGCTGGGTACCTTGTAGTTAGTTGTACGTTCGAAACCTGTCGCCGTCACTTGCGCGTTTGGCATTATCCATTGTCACCGCGGAGGAACGAGCGCTCGAGATATCATCAGTGCCCGCAAATCTCCGCGCCAAGGCGCTGAGCTACTCCTTTCCGAGGTGCGCCTCTGGTCCTCCGTCCCTGGTGCCCAGCAGCGGCGAGGCGGCATCTCCGCTCCCGCCGCCGTGTCCACCGAGCCCTGGGATCAGGGTGGCAGTTCTCAACGATGGGCAGGAGGGACCTCGGCGGCGACCCCTAAAACAATACCATGCCCCGGGATCCCCGCTGCTGCCGCGCCAGCGTCTTCCCTTTCCACCTCCCTGACCCTGTCGGATTCGGATGAGCCCATTGCAAGGAGAAGACGCAGCCGTCAGGTAAAAGGGGCTGCGTTGCCAGGTGAAGTTTCCAGTAACCGGCCGAGCTGCTGCTACGCTGGCACCACGCTGTCTCTTCGGGGGATTTTTTTTTTTTGAAAGAGCTGGGGGTGGTCATCTTAAGTGGGGTGCTCTAGGCTTTGTCTTTCACCTGGAGAGAAAATAGGCAGCTTAGCTCTCTCTCGACTTTGGGGACATCTGTCTGCTGGTCGAATCCACCTCCTCTACGGAGCATCATGACTGAGTTCTGGGTCAAAACGCAAATTTTCTTGCCTGGTAGATGCATCGATGCTAAATTGGGGTTCTCAGTGCCCCTAACCTTGTCAGAGTTCAGTCTCCTACTTCCCTAGATTGAATCTCTTAACTTTCACCAGTAACAACCCTCTCCCCTCCACAAGCTGTTGTTAATGTCACCAGCGTTATTATCAGGCTGTTGTATCTAAAGACACCAACCTACTACCTGCCCGTAATCTGGGATCTATTAGCAGTTAAACAGATGCGGTGGATACTAATTCCTTTTCCTTCCAGTTGGTGGGGGCGGGTGGGGCTTTTTCCAAAACCAAGTCCCTTCCAGCCCTGCTTGTCCTCTTCGGGCTGGCGGGCACTGAGCTGGGGCCATCACGCCTTTCTAGAGCGCCTGCGGAGGTGGCGAAGGCTTGGAGAGCATACGAGGCGGAATCCGGATCGAGTGAGTTCCTTGAGCCGCTTGCGTGGGACGCAGGGAGAGGGCGAATAACGCCCTCAGGCGCTGAATGCAGGGGCAAGGAGCCAGCGAGGGTGGCTGGAGCAGGCCTTGCCAGCTGTTACCAAGTCTCTCCACAGGCTTGGGGGCTTGGGGCCTCCTGGAAAGATCCCTCCGCCGCGCTGACCAGTACGGGGCTCGCTCCCGCACTTTGAAGGCTGCCGCGGTCTTTCGTCATTTATAATCAAGCCCAAGATCAAGGTTGCAAGCTGAGGTCGGGGTACTGACAACGGGAATGAAGCCATAGGGGAAGAGGATAACTGGGACGGGCTGGACCCATACTTGATACCCGGGAAACTCCTAGAGCGTGTGGTGCTCCTGCCAGCGGCAGTTACTGGTGGAGCTGAGGCCACCGCTACTGTCGTCGTTGGCGCTTTGCTTCTGGAACCTCCCAGCAAGATGGCACTCACTGTCTGTTCCCTTCCGATTAGCACCCCCAGCCGCGCTCCCTCCTCCCCGGGATACGTATTAGTCACATACTGTGGGGAGAAGATGGGCTATGTAAATGTAAGTCAACGCGCTTTCCCAGCCACCTTTGCATAATGCAACAGGAACAGCGACCCGCGCGCACGAACCGGGTAGTGTGCGCGTGTGTGTGCTCGCGTGTGTGAGCGCGTGTGCCAGCGTGCGTCTCCGCGCGGGCGTGCGTCTGGGTGGATCCTTGCGTGGCTTGGGAGGCAAATCGGGCGTTTCTCCAAGTCGTCTTAACATGATTTAGGCTCTCAAATACGTGAAAGCGGTAGACACAACAGGGATGCGAAGGAAATAAAAAACAATTGGGGAAGTGGTGCCAAGTCACTCAGGCTTTGAACTGAGGACGAGTAGTGCGGTCGCGCCTGGGGCGCGTCCGGAAATCATCCTCAGCCTGTGGCGGCCACTGCCCCACTTAAACTCTTCTGCGGGGAGAGTTGAGCGGATCCCTGGGGGGTTGGTCCTGGGCTAGTTTTAAACTCTCCGGTTGCATCTCGCGTGGCCCCACCGACGGCGCGTCTCGGCGTAGCTCTTGGCGCGGGCTCGTTCTCCCTCTTCTGTTCAGATTCAGCCTCACCGGACTTGTTACAACATGACAGCAACTTACTGGAGGCAGGAAGAGCAGCACGAAATAAGATGAGAAAACCAAAAACATCTCCTCCTTCCTAAATAGAGACGTGCACCTAGCTTTTTTTACTTGTTTGTTTGTTTTTTACATTACCCTTTAACCTTTGGAAAGAGACTGCGAAGTGGAAACGTTGCCTGTACAGAAATCAGGCTTCTTAGCTGTCAAGACTGTTTCCTAATCTTTAGGCTGAATCTTTCTTTGTCCGCTGCAATCTATGGGGAAATTTAACAACGCTCTTGCCAGAAGCAGCCAGGTTGAAGGAAGAAAGTGGGGGTGTTTAAATTAATCCTATTAAATTTTGGATTACTCCCCCAGTTAAAGTCATTTAAGGTGGTCCAGGATGAGGGAACTAGTGATGGGGTGAGGAGTGGGGGGCACATCACCAAGGTTGCCTGCATTTGAAATAACGCCATTTTGGTTGAGAGGTTTGCTGTATTTTACCCTCTAATCTCACATTTCGATCATTTCTCAGTGTCTAAGTAATAGATCCTCCCTCTTGGCAGTACACCATTAAGCAGGTATGGGGAATTCTCCTTTCAGGGTTCAGATGGTGACATTATCCCTAAGGACTGGTGGTAGGAACGGCATGTGCCGGGTAGATAGAGAGAAGGTCAGGGTGGCATCTGCCGGGTTAGCCAGGCGCTCTTCAACTCTTTTCAGAGAGGACAGGGTTAAAAGCCAAGTCTGACTTTGCCTCTTGGAAATCACTGGGTAGCAGCCGCGCCTCCCAAGCATTCTTTAAACCAGAAAAGTAGGAGGGACTCCGGGAGAGAGGGAGGGAATGAGGGAGGGAGAGAAAGAGGGCTCCAGGAGCGGAGCGCGCCAGAGCGCGAGGGACGGAGGGAGAGGAGGAGCGCGGGAGCTGCGGAGGCGATCCCGCGAATTCATTACTGTAAACATATCCGGGGGTGTCAGGAGGGGTAGGGGTGGGGGCCGCGGCGCCTACATTAGCCCGGCCGCGTCGGATTGAGGCAGTAGTGTGGTCTGAGCAGCCTCCAGACCCACGCCGGGCGGGCGCAGCACTTGGAGCGAGCCCTGCGCCCGCCCCCGCGCAGCGCCGCACGCCCGGCTCCGAGCTGTCCGCACACACGCGTCGGAGGAGAGCCCGCCTAGCTCTCCCGCCGAGTCCCGGGATCCTCCAAATCCGAGGAGCTCCGGCGCCGCGGGGCAGCTTTCTGCCGCCTTCCCCGCTCGCTGTACTTCTTTTGGGGTTCGTTGGCTTGGCGAAGCGGAGAGGGGGAGGCGGAGGAGGAGAGAAGGCGGGGGTCGCGGCGGCCGAAGCCAAGAGAAAGTGGCATGCCCGAACCCTGGAGGCGGTGGTGGCGGAGGACGGGGGAAGACGATGCCGCAGCTCCGTAGGGGACGTAGGCGAGAGCAAGCGAGGCGAGCTGGGCGCCCCGGCCCCGGCCCGCTGCGGGGAGGCGCGCGCCGCTCTGAGGCTCCGGCCTCCGCACCCCCGCGCCCCGACGCTGCGGGCGACAGGGCTTGGCTCCAGCAGCCGCCGCCGTCGCCGCCGCCGCCACCCGGAGGACCCAGCAAAAGTTTGGATCTGGGGGAGGGCGCGGCGCTGAGCGGGATTACCACCAGGGCTGGAAGGAGACCTCGAGAACCTTTGCAGGTAACGCGCGCCCCCAACCCTCTTCTTCCATGCCCCGCCGCTGCGCTCCCGCTTCCTCCCAGAGCCCTTCCTGGCCCTCGCGGGTCTGGCAGAAAGTAAGAGGGAGGCGAAGTTCAAGATCCCGGGGATGAGCACCGAGCGCTGGCAGATCACTAGTCACGTTAGAGGGGCAGCTGTGCTGAGAGGCAAATTCCCCCAGGAGTGGGTGAGAACCCTCAGCCCCAGCTGGTGCCTCATCTTGTAGCTCTTTGGAAATTTGGAACGTGAATCCAGGGGCTTTTAGTATTCTTCAGTCCAGAGAAATGGTTCATGGATTTCACTTACCGCACGCTCCCCCCTTCACACTCTCACCCGTTTAGCATTTTTAAAAAATGATTTGAGCCCACTCCCTACTCTCCTGCTTCGTTTAGCTGGACAGCAAATTTCAGGGGTGAAATATTGCAAGCAAAGAGGAAAAAATATCCTTTCCCCTTTTGACATCCCTGGAATCCTCCTTCCCTCCCTTCACCTTCTGGCATCATAAAATAGGAACTTTAGAAGTTACATTTTCAGGGGTGAGGTGAAACGTGTTAGCTATTGGTGATGTGAATTTGCCACGACTGTCCGTATGTGTGTCTGTGTGTGTGCGTGTGTTTGGGGGAGGGGGTTAGTGGTGTTGCAGAGAGGCGGAATTTTTCTCGGTGGCCTGATGCGCAGTGGTCCTAAGGTAGTGAGTGGCCGCGTGTGCGCATTGAGGCGGCGGCAGCGGAGAGAAGACGGTCACGTTTCCCGAACGGCAGCCTTACTTAGGCTAAGAAAATAGCTGCAGCTCACTCCAAAAGCAAAAAGATTCCAGCCCCAACTCCCCGACGCCCCCTTTCCCCCAACTGAGTTTTTAGTTTCAAAGCAGCTCAGCGTTTGCTGCTATCTTTATTATGATCATTATTTATTCGCCTGGAAACTCATCCTGTCTTCTCCTGTGAATGGGAATCAGTCTTCAAGAGCTTTTGATTAATTTTAGTAAGAGAATCTCTTGTAAAGCTTACAGTTAGCTAACCAAGTGTAAGGCACAAATCCGTGTAAACGCTCGCTCAAGAGTGCAAGGTGCTGATTAGATTTCTTTACATGCTGCATTTGCTATGCAAAGCCTCTTCTAAATGGGAGCTATTGCTCCCCACTCAGCTGGGAGGCTCTTTAATCACACAGGGTTTCAGGGCGCTTTGGAGCATGTCCACTCGCTCACAGACTTATTGCTAAATTTATTATGTCTAATTTCTCACAACCAAAAGCTAATCTGAAGGCTAGCTTCCATATCGGACCGATATTATCTGTAGACTTAACCGGTATGACCTTAATAAATATCCAATGAAAAGCCCCCCCCCAAAAAAAAAAAACAACAACATTTTGAGGTAAATAGAATGCAGATTGGCATTTGTCCAGGGATATATTAGGTTGTTCAGTGTGAATGTAAAATTTTAGGTCCGTATTTGAAGTGTTAGAACTAGATTCTCACTTGTTTTCATTACTGAACAACATGGGCCAGCTACTTATGACGGGCAAGCCACCAGCCACCATATTAGCAGAGAATCAATCTGTAGGTAATACGCATACCATGAAAAGTTACTTCTTTCTCCACAGCGTTATTGCGTCTGAGAATACTACTTCTCTTCCTCCCCTCCTTGAAAGCCCGAAACAGGATAGGGTTAAACCATTTAGGGATTTTTTAATAATCACTGAAGACAGTGCAACACCATACTGTCATGTTGAGTTGCAAATATCTTTGACTGGAGGAGGTTGGAAGATGAAATTTCAAACATTATTCCATGTCTCTGCCAGTAGAGATACAAGAAATTGTAAAAAGAATTGGGCTAGCTGTACTGTAGCAGAACCTATTACAAACCTAGCATGGAAGGAATGCTGTTTTTTTTTTTTTTTTTTTTTTTTTTTTTGTTGTTGTTGTTGTTGTTGTTGTTTTAAAGCCCATGTCTTAACACTTCAGTAGTTTCATTGCAGTTTTAGAAATTCCAGGGGATGCTTTTAGCAGAAGAAAGTAGATTCCCAAATGACACCATGCTGGGCTACCCTGGAGTCCCCAAAGCAGTCCTGGCTTTTCCTGTATGTTAGGTTTCAGATGATGTGATCATATACGAGTTTGACTTTGACCGGCTGGATCTAATTTGAACCTTCTCTGATGCCCGTTACATTTATATTCTGGCCTGCTGGAGAGTTTGATTTAGGATTTAGACAACTTTATATTTTCCCAGTTTGAAGCTGTGGTTTTAAGAAAGGCTCAAGTATGTACAAGTCCAGAAGCTTTATTCTGTAGAGACCCAGTGTGAACATCTGATCTAGTTTGACTCTTGAGCTTTGTACTTTACAAGGAAGAATTCCTGCTTCTGGGATCTGAAGCGTCTGAAGTTAAAAAACAGCAAGGGTGCCGAGCGGCTTTTGGTTTTGCTCTCTGTTTAGAAGATTCAAAAAAGGTCAAGGTGATGTAATATTTGTATTCAGGTCAGACTTTTCTGGATAATCATCTTTTGATATCTTTAATTTCAATTCGAGTTCCTTTTTCACTAGATTACTTTAATAACTTTGTGATTTCTGCTACAGTGATTCAAATTCAGTCCATTAGTGACCTCTATCTGTGAGAAGTGAATACTCATGGTTTTTTTTTTTTTTCCTTCTCATCAAAGTCTGAAGATGACGTCAGGGTGCTGGGGGTGAATCCCAACAGTTCTGTAGTTCTTTCTGGATATTTCAGTTTACCTAATTTGATTTTTCTAATACAGAGTTCAATATGGATAATGACATTTAATTACAGTAATAAAAATGTTATGGACTAATAGAGAGGCAACTAAATGGTTATTCCATATAGCATTGACAGTGTGATCAACATAAATAAAACACCAGAGCTATCCACTGCCAATGAAGGGATTGTACAGTCAGGCTGACTATTGTTTTGGGACTCACAATGCTGCTGAATGTAAGTGAAATTTTATTGCTCCTAAGTGCTTACATAACAAGGGAAACTTGAGACGAGCTCAAAATATGTATGTGGTAACTAGACTTCATGGTAGCTGTGTGTATATGTCTTTAAATTCTGCTGTGCTTCTACTGTGAACTTATGGTACAGATCAAAGAGTGTGAGAAGAGTATTTATAAACAGATGGTCCTTTTAAGGAGACTTTAAAAATCTGATTCCTAATCCAGGTTTGTCTTGTGAGGGTTTTCAGATAGAAATTTCAATTTTAGCCGATTATTTCAAATGCTAATTGAAGACAAAGTTTACTGAATTTCTTAGGTGGGTGGATACCATTATCTGACATTTTCCAGATGGTTTTTGATCTAGTGGTATTTGGGGATATGGAATTTTTAGGAGGTTTTCTTTCTTTTCCCTTGGGCAATTTTTACACAAAAGACTTTTTTAAGACTAGCTATTATTATTATTAAAGTTAAACAACCATTATCTTACTTCAGACAACTTTCTTACTTTTTCTACTCTCCAAATTGCTTTTGTGCAATTATATCTTTCTTCTAAAACTACATGTCGCGAATTGACGTATCAGTATACTTTTACTCCTTTCAGTAATAAAGGACCTCCAATTACGTATCTGTTTATAGTAAAACACACACACACACACACACAACACACACATACATCAAGAACCATTTTAAGACAGAGATTCTTTTCAAGGTTTGAACTATGTTCCTTTTTTAAAGGCTATGACACAAATATTGTAATAAAAATATCCTGTGTTCTGATGAATACAGAGACTTATTTCATTCTCATGGAACAGTAAAACACTGTACTAGTAAAATAATCAGTGGTATTTTGAGTACATGGTCAAAATCTGTTAGAACCTTCATGTTTTGTTTTTTTTTTTTCTTCCTTAGCGAATTTCACATCTACTGGTGTTTTTGGTTTTCTTTGATTCCTTCTACTGTGGCTCTTTGAAGTGATTCAAAATTAAACAGTAGCTACTTTTTCAGGGAAATTCATCATGTTGTGTTCAGGATTCCAGAAGAGTTAATGATGCAGAAAAAGTTCTGTAAAACATCTTTCTAAAAGAAGTCCTTCTCTTGCAAGCCTCCCACTTACTGGCCTCCTGTACCATTTGCAGTGAATTGGAACTCCGTTATTTATTTATTTTTCAAATACCACCTCTAACTTAATTTAATGTAGGATGTGTTCCTGCAAAAGTGTGCAGTGCCATGTGCCTTGAGTCACCCAAACAAAGCAGTGTCATTGTTACATCCGGATCTGTTAATCAGGGAAGGTCAAAGAAAATATTCTTATATAATTTGGAAAGTCAAAAGGACACGTTGATGATTCTCAAACACTGGTCAGTTATTCTGCTGATACTTACTAAGGACATACTTTTTCTGGCAGTTTAATGGTTAAAGACCTCAGCCATTTTTGAAGCATTCACAAAGTAACTCTCTGGAGCTACTAACCATTAGATGCTCATTAGAACTGAGCAGTTTTTCCCCCCACTTTGTTCCCAGGTTACTTTTAAGGGAATGTGCAAGAAACTTGGAAAAAGGTCTTCTGTTCCCTTCAGTTCACATGTCATACTGTTATATTTCAGTTCTCTTTATTAGAGCTTTCAAGACACAGATAAAAGAATCTTCCATCTGAACCCCTTAAGAACCTGAGGGCTTTTGGATTTCAACCCACTGAAAAAATATCAGGTCCCAAAGTTTATAGATGATATTAGGCCTCAGAACAATTGAAACCACCTTCAGCAGGGAGCAAAAGAACAGTGGCTCCTAAAATTGGTTCACAAATATACTGTCCATTGAAGTCAACAGAGGTCATATGGCTGAATGGAAAACATTAGACGCATATCAGTCCTGAAATAGGTTCACATGCTGGTGTCACTCTTAGCCCCAGCTGCCTCTACATGTCACGTTCATCAGAATCTAGCATCTAAACAGCCTCTGTAATGATTTCCTCTCCCACTTTGCTCCCAAAATTGGACTCAAGTACTTAGACAAAGGAAATAATGCAAGGAATTATAATATTCATCATATCTAATAGACAAAGTGGAGGTAAGAGGTTTGTTTGCGTGCATAGGGGCCATAGAGGTTCCAGGAATCTCTTTTTAAGATTGATTTTGAGAGCACATTCGTATCCACCCTCATCACTCCGGGCCCTTACATTTTCCAGTTCTCACATCCAGGATTTCATTTATTTCTCACAACTGCCTCTGAATTTATACAGGAAAGTCCTACCTGCCTCACTTCTGATTGGGTAACTGGAGCCAGAAAGAAGTTAAGGGCTACTAAGGCTGGGCATTTTACATTTTATCATACAGATGTAGAATTCTGCAGATAGAATTGAGAAGTTCCATTCTTTATGAAACCACCCAAAATGATGAGAGTTGTTTGTTTTCGTTGGAACAGTAAAAAAAAATCACAAGCCTAGAAATATTTTGATTTAAAATAATAGCATTTCACTCTTCAGCATTAGATTAGATGACAAGTTTACCTGTTCTGAATGAGTATAATCCTATGATGTACGTATTTGGCACTTTGTGGTGGGGAGTGAGAAATAAATGAGATTGCTTTGGGGGAAGGAAAAGAAAACCTACATTCTCATGTCAGCATGCTTCTTTCTATATTCAGCCTTGTATGAATTACTTAATCTCCTGGAGACTTAATTTCCTCTCTACAGAGTTCAACAGAGTTGTTGAGAGGTCACATAAGATTAATGTGTGTGAAAATACCTTGATAACAATACAGTGTTATATTCCTATAAAGAGGCATTATTCAAATTGATAACATTTATCACTGCATGCCTGTCTTGTGCTATGATAGACTAGGTTTTATATAAATAAAATGGTAACCAAGACAGAGTCCTGCCTTTCAGGAGCTTTCGCTCTTACGGCCTCAAGAGATATCATCTAACCAATACACTGGCTGCTAGCCCCTGCATCATTTCTTCCATTCAGTTAATAATGGATTATCTCCTTTTCTGAGTTTGCGCTATTTTGATGAAAGTATCCATTTTAAGGATAAATGATAATTAGGGTGAGTTGAGTTCAAGGGTCAAACTTTTCTTTTGATTTTGGAAAGAGAATTTTGAGGATTTTTTTTGGAAAAATAAATCATCAATGTTTTCTGAAATGAGGTCGTTTCTCTTTTTGACTGGATTTACAGTTTAACTATCCAGGTTACCTTTTGCAAACACACACCAATAGAAATACAATGATTTTTTAAAATTTTGTTTTGCAAAATAAGGCAGGCTAGTGCAAAAGGGACATTTTGTAGTTTGGCAAACCTCCTCAACCCATTAACAGTGAATAGAAAGACAATTTATTATGAAGCCAACGTGTATTCCAAAGCTTGGCTTTATTTTGATGTTAGTGTCATTAAACCCTGTGGAACAGTTCTTTACAGTGTATTTCTGCATGTTTTGTTCAGTTCTGTTTTTACTATTGTCAAATCTGAGACTCTTAATTTTAAAGGTTCCAAGAGTGAGCATGTTTATTTCTCTTTGCTAAATTGTTTACATTTAGACCTTTGTAAAGGTTAATTCTTAATTGTTTTTCTGTTGCATAGTTGAAGGCTTCAGAAAACAAATGCCTTGGTGAAATCTATATTTATAAAATACGTGGTTGGATCCCGATTCTTGGCCAAAATGAGTATTTCTTTCGGTGATTTGAGGTATGAAGTCTGTATCCAACAACATTCTTTTCAATCTATGATTTGCTATTGTCGGAGTTCTGACACTTGCTTTTTTAATGTTTTTTTTTTAAAGTTGATTAGTACTTTAGCAGTACATTGTAAAGTATGTGGCCACAGAACTGTATTTTAACATGGAAAATTACTTGCATAGTTCGGCAAAATTAATCTGAATACCTTTTGTACTGGCAGTGTTGAATGATATAATATTTGAAGAGAGAAAATATTTGCTACTACTTTAAAGAGGTCTACTAATAAAATGAGAATCATCTGTAGGTATATATGTGGGGAGTTAGTACGTGTTTATATCTCTGAAATGCACCAACAAATATAAGTCTTATGTACTATGGGGAGGAAGTATGGTTATAGCCTGAAGCTAGGTAGTGCCAGTTTAGCACATATGTCCTTAATATGATAAAAATAGTGATGTAACCCAAATAGTTTTTAATTGGTGATTTTCTTTTTCCAAATAGGTCTTAGGGAAACTGTAAATGAAGAAAAGTACAAAATGCAATCAGAAAATATATTTAAGTCTGACTGGCCTGATCTTCATGAAGGAGATATTCTTATGGAGGTTTCACCAAATGAAGAAAGCTTGCTCATTCATTCAGGAGATGATTTTTAGCACTATCCATGAACTGGGCATAGAGTAAGATGGGACAGGCCAAAAGTAGGTAAGGCATGATCCCTCCACTTGAGGCCAGCTAGGCTAGTGAGCAGAGAGGTAGACACAAAACCTAATTGCATTGCAGTTTTATACAAGATTGAAGGGAGTGCAGTCAACACTAAGTATGCCAGAAACTCATAGTGTTAGTGAAAAGAGCTCTTCATTTGGAGATGGACAGTCTTACTCTTTGTCTCCTTAAGTAGAAAATGGAGGAAAATGGAGGAGTAGCTCTTTCTACTCCTAGAGCTATTAATTTTAGGATTGAGATAATTCTTTAAAATGTCTACCTGTTCTGGCACATAGGAGAGGCCTAATGAATGCCGACTGTAGGTCCTTCTGTCTCCAAAATGATAATGATTTCATTGTCTTACCATTACCTTCTACTGACTTGTCTCAGTTTGGGGAATGAACTGGGTCCTAACTTGGACTTTATTTGTTCATTGAAAGCATAGCCTTTGTGGCAATTAATGGGTTTATACCCACCCCCATGCCTTCTACCTCACAGCCATGTGTCCTTCTGCCGATGACACCAGTGCCTGCAGCTTCCAAGGAGTTCCATGTCTAGACTATGACACTGAGCTCAGTGAGCCATGGTTATGTCCTTGCCAAAGTACAAAGATTTTTATCAAAATGAATTTTAACAACTTTCCTCACACAATTCACTTTATACATGACTCTTGGCAGAGTCATGAAAATATTTTATTGTAGAAGATTAGCATGTAAATTATCGTTATGCTTGCTTAAGGCTTATTCTATCCTTATAGAATGATTATACCTTGCTGTGTACATTGGAATCAGAATGATACTCTTGGGCTATGAGTTCATTGTGGAACTATTTCTTTCAGAAGATAATTTTCAATTAAGTAAAGGAACTTCTTACTGTTTCTACTGCAGATACTTCTGAACAAATAGCAGTGTTCAGATGTCCTGGTAAAAATACATGGTACTGGGGTTATTTTTCATTTATCATTATAATTGCATGTATGTATAGTATAATTTCTGTGTTCCATTCAACATTTGAGATTTGCCCCTGTTTTTTTCAACACTGTGAATCCGTAAATTTATTGATGTAGGAAAGCTATATTTAACAAGATGTTAGGCATGCCCCAGACCTCCAAGCTAGGAAACACATAGGCTTTTTCTGTTAAGATCACATAATATATAATGTAATATATACATATAATTAATCAAATTGGACCTGAGAGAAGCAGGCACTAGAGTGTATTTTGTAAGCTGTTAACATCTTAGTAAGTAGCTTCTGAACCAACATTCAACCCAGCATAAAACAAAAAGACCTTGTTTTGCTACTTTAGGAAATGTAAGAGAGATTAAAATTCTTTGGGAAATGGTTTTAAAAAGTAGTTTTGTACTCAGATAGGTAAAGAACAAGTCCAGTGGTGCTGACAGCAATGGAATTTAAAACTTGATTCTAATAATCTCTGAGTCCCGAAGGAATGCCACGCAGACATCCGTTTGAGTCACGAGCTTGTAACTGAGGATTTGACAAAGATTGAGTCCTCACTGTGTGCCAGGCACCATGCTAAATTTTGTGCTAGGCACTTGGGATACTCTTTCAGACAAGACTTTGTCCCTGCTCACAGAGAAATCTGATAGGTTGGCCTATAGTCACTCTTTTCTAAACTTGACCTATCTACCTGAATTAACCGAAGGAGCTGGTTAGAAATACAGATTCCTGGGCCAAGAAGAAGAACCTAAAGTCCAACTTCCTGTAACCATCAACACATTTAACCCTGTAAGTTTAGAGTTTATTGTAACCTTCTCATGCCCTTTGCTATACTCAGTGTGCAAATCATGAAGACTAAGGTGGATCCTGTTTTGGTGGAGATTCTGATGTGTTAAGTCTGTGATGAAACCTGGGAATGTGAGTTCTTGAAAGCTCCCATTATTGGAAATCACTGAGCTAGATAGTTTTTAGAATTTTTTTTCTGACCGGAGAATCAGTGCTTTTTATAGTTGTCTGACTTGTAGTCACTTGTGACTTTCTGAAAGTTTTTCTGTGTATTTTGCCACATAGAAAATATTGCTCAATTTAACTCCATCTGCTAGAAAAGTACCTTCAGAGAGGCTAGATATCAGGGCTGGCTTCTCTCTTGGTAGCGGCAGTCTCCTGTCTGTTCTCCCCACCATCAGTGTCCCCTAAACCATTGTACTGTTTTTGGTGTCCCCAGAATTAATTTTCTAAAAAAAAAAAATAAAGAAATCACATCATATTCCTTTAGAAACCTATATCTTTGGATAAAGCCCATCAAAACTTGTTATCATGCCACGCAAGATCCGTGACAATCTAGATCTCAAACCACTCCTCAGACCTCATTGTTCAGCACCCATCCCCTGTACCCTCATGCCAAACATGGTGAGGCATGGCCCTCTTGATACTTTGCCTTTCCCATGCTGTTTACCATTTACCTAGAACATTATCGCATACTCTCCATTTGGCAAACTCTTCCTTTAAGAGGCACGTGGATGACACTTT
This sequence comes from Homo sapiens, assembly GCF_000001405.40. Lineage (NCBI taxonomy): Eukaryota > Metazoa > Chordata > Mammalia > Primates > Hominidae > Homo > Homo sapiens. The sequence continues at coordinate 85,543,821 of NC_000014.9, forward strand.
CCCTCCTGGTTACTCCTTTCTCTGGGCTTCTACAGAGTTTTGTTTGAACTTTGATTGGTTCTCTGTTTATATTGTATTATAAAATGTGTCTGCTTACATGTCTATCTCGCTCATTAGACTTTAGGAACTTTGGCCCATTCATTTCATCTCTGTGGTGCTAACAGAGTTGCCCAGTGTACCGCATTCTGCAAAAATGTAATTGAGTTAGTAAATGGAATAGCACTGACCAGACCTGGAACACAAGAAGATCTTCATAATCCAGTGAGAAGGACTGCTTCCTCAGAAGTATTTTTTTATTCCCATAGATTGATTACCCAGTGGAGGGGGAAGTACAACCACCACCTTTCTGCCTTACTCTGAGCAGGTTTGTCAGACAAATATTGGCTGGTAAACCCAACCTTGATCAGCAGCAAGCTTTCCAAACCACACATGAGGCAATTCATATGCCACACTGGATAGGTCTGTTTAAAGAATAATAATTTCGCTTGATGATACACCTTTCTTGGCACTGAGTAAAACTATCGGTTACGTAGATGTTCACACAGATGTGGTTTTCCACAGAATGAGAAATTTAACTCAGCATTAACTTTGTGTATCTGTCTTGGCATAATTAACAAGAGCAAAGCAAAGGTCTTGTGAAATTTTGTGCATTTGCTCTCTTCTTTATTTTTTGCTTGTTATTATTTTGTTTATTTCATCCTAGGCCCATTATTTCCTGATAGAGGCCTCTGAGGACCCAGGGCTCTCCAGAGAAGGGAAAAGAAGGCTAGAAATCACAACGCCTTAATTTGGCTCCACAAAATAGGATCCATCTTTAGTCTTCATGATTTGCACATTGAGTACAGCACAAAGCTTGGGAAGGTTACAATAAATCTAAATTTATATGGTTTAATGTGTTGATGGTTACAGGAAGTTGGACTTTAGGTTCTTCTTGTTGGCCAAAAGAAAATTCAAACAATACTTTGTTAAGTTTCGCGGTAGATTGCCATTTGATGGACAAAGTTGACTTGCATGCAAGTGGTGTATTTGCAAACACACATTAAACACACTTCAATCCCTTCCTCCCCTTTTTTCAGCAAAACTTTTCAGTGGCTGAAAAGAGTAGAAGAGGATAGAGCACAGTTTGATATGCCCCTTCCTAGCCTTTGGTTTCATCTGGGCTGTCTGCATGTTGGGAATACTTCCCAAGCCAGTGGGAAACTCGTGAAAAAACACATGAGATGATTTTTGATCAGACACTACCCCTTAATACTGGAGGCTTATAACACCACCCCAGATCTTTTCATGTTAATTTATGAGACTGTTTAGAAACAATGTGCTCTCCTGGTTTCTTGAATTACAAAGAGTATTGGCAGGGCCAACTTCTTATCCAGAAGTCCAGTAATAACAACAGTAACAACAATATTAATAATGATATTGATCGTAAGGTTTATTTAGAGTGCTGTTTATGCAGTTCATGTATATTATCTCATCTAAACCTTGTACAGTAGGTTCTGTTGATAAAAGTTGTGAATAGCCCCATTTTACACAAAGGGAAACTGAAGTAGAGAGAGTTGCCTCAGATTGCTTGTTTTACTTTAGAGTTATTATTAATTGTCTTAAAAGGGTAGATGGACACTGGATAATTTCCAAAATCAACTCAAAATTTGTTTGTCCATGGCTTAAAAATCAAATTCAGAGGTGATTACTCACTGTCCAGTAGGTATAAATGATGAGCTGCTAACCAGTGGTCCAACTTTCTATATTTGTCTTTTCGAGTAGACAACTGCCTAAGAAATCATTAGTTAGTCTGCCACTTTTGGGTGAAAGAGATTCATGAGTCTCTCAATGTATTTCTGTAACATGGAAATAGTGAAGAATCATTAATTTGAAAACAAAGCATGACAACTTCTAGCACATTTTCAGTACTAAGGAAAGCTTGTGGATACATGCCTAATGATTAGGGGCTATATTTATTGTAGAGAACACTCTCCATTTTTTCCCCTTACCCTTTTACCAGCACTGCTAAATGGATTGATTTGAGATTCACCTCTTTTTCCCTGTGGAGGTGATAATGGACAACGGAATGACCAGAGGGAAGATAATAGCATAAAGTGTGTGGCCTCTGAGAGGGCCTGGGAAAAATGGAGAATTGACTGTGTTATTAATAGGTCAGCTTCACTGGTTTTCAAAATCTATGTAATTGCTCAGGCGGTAAGCTTTTATTGGGTGAAAAAATGATGAGAGATGGGCTCGGAAAGGCTTGTTCCACATTGATGAATGGAAAATAAGCACAGTATGTGCTTGCAAATCTTTACACTATTGAATTAGATTTTTGACCATCCCTCGCTTTTTGCACTTTCTGTGGTTGCACTCATCTCTACATGTATGAAAGTTGTGTTTTTTGAATTCTAGGGTTGTAATTAAGACCCTTCAGTTATTTGTCCATGGTATTTCTCTGTAAATATTATTAATACTGTCGAAATTATGTGATCCATTCCTTAATTCCTTCACTTCCCTTTAAGTAGCTAGACTGTGGCTTCTGTCACTTCTGTGTTCTTTTGTCACCATCTGCTCATTATCTGTCAAGAGGGGACTGTGAATTATTTCTGCCCTGGGCCAGTCTAATGGAATCCTTGGTGGGGCTGTTTAGGGAAGTAGGTACTACTTAGGTGTGGTAGCAGTTAGGTGAATGGCTCCACAGGCAGCCAGCTCCATTACCACATGAAAGCACCAGCAGCATTTGGCTTCCTGGTGAATTCTGTGGTGTTTCTTCTGTCTATGGAAGTGCAAATTTAGCTGAATTGGGTAGAACCGAAACGCTTGCCCTCTGCAATTTGCTCCTGAAAAATGATCAGGCCCTATAAAGGAAACCTTAACATACCAATGTCTCTGCTGCTAGAAATGGCTTCCTTGTTTGTCTGGACTACATGCATCCGTCAAGAATCAGCCTATGGCATGGTGTCCCTCTTCCTTCCCTCCAAGTGCTGAACTCACTTGGGTTTTCCACTGGACTTCAGTGTCACTGTGTTTTAGAATGAACTAAACATTCCCAATAAAGTCCTACTTGTGCTGAATTAACATTTCTTTATTAAACAAAATATGCTGCCTAGAATCAGTAGTTTGAGTCTTCTTTGATTACTGTCTTTTATTCATCGTCACGTGTTCTGTCACTAGTCTTAGGCACTTAAAACAAATTTCTGTTTTGATTATCCTGGGGTCATTGTAATTAAGCCCATATTTCTCCTTCCCTTTCATCTTTCCTTTCCTGACCTGCACACCAATTACATTACTCTTCCTCATTCTTGTGCTGACAATATTACTCTCCATTGTTTAGAGGATCAAGTCTAAACTCCCCAGTTTGACTTTCAAGGTCCCTCTTTCTCAAACTTTCCCTAGTCTTTCCAAAGAAAGTTATTCTTCCCTTCTGACCTAAATTTAGGATGTGTCCCCATTTTTATCTGCATAGTAGCCCCAATGTGATGTAAAATTTTACCAAATACTTTGTCTTTCTTTTCTTTCTTTCTTTTTTTTTTTTTTTGAGATGGAGTTTCGCTCTTTCGCCCAGGCTGGAGTGCAGTAGCGTGATCTTGGGCTTACTACATCCTCTGCCTTCCAGTTTCAAGCGATTCCCCTGCCTCAGCTTCCCGAGTAGCTGGGATTACAGGTGCCTGCCACCACACCCGGCTAACTTTTCTATTTTTAGTAGAGATGGGGTTTCACCACGTTGGCCAGGCTGGTCTCGAACTCCTGACATTGTGATCCGCCCGCCTTGACCTCCCAAAGTGCTGGGATTATAGGCTTGAGCCACCTTGCTCGGCCGCTTTGTCTTTATTTTCTGAGGGTAAGCTCATCTAGGGTATGAACCCCACAAGTCTGAGACAGGTCTCAAGTAATTTAGAAAGTTTATTTTGCCAGGGTTGAGGATGTGCACCCATGACACAGCCTCAGGAGGTCCTGAGGACGTGTGCCAGGGTAATAGGGGCACAGCTTGGTTTGTGTACATTTTAGGGAGACATAAGACATCAGTCAATATGTGTAAGATGTACATTGGTTCAGTCCAGAAAGGTGGGACAACTTGAAGCAGGGAGGGGGCTTTCAGATCATAGGTAGATGAGAGGAAAATAGTTGCATTCTTTTGAGTTTCTGATTAGCTTCTCCAAATGAAGCAATCAGATATGCATTTATCTCAGTGAGCAGAGTGGTGACTGAATAGAATGAGAGCCAAGTTTGCCCAAGCAGTTCCTAGCTGGACTTTTCCCTTTAGCTTAGTGATTTTGGGGCCCCAGGATTTATTTTCCTTTCACAAGGGTGAAGATAATGCTGAATAAATGTTTGAGGCATTGAATTGAACTCAGGTGTGTGGCCTCAACCTACTTCTGTGAAACTTCCATAGAGTACCACTCTGTCTACCTCATGTATGCTACTTCCCATTAGATTTAAATATTGGATAAATTAATATTTACCAAGTTTGCACAAATAACTCTGATATATATGAATTTTAAAATTATCTCATAGAAGAAGCTTCCTTTGTTCTCTCCATGGAATCTTTTCCAAAGCAGTGCAGCCTCTTGCTTTGAAAATAGGAAGGTAGAATATTCCAAATGCATCATAAGTCCTCTGTTTATATTTTTAAAACCTGTACTCTTTCCAAGCCTCTAGGCAAGAACAAATAGAAATAATCAGAGGCCTTAGAACTTGATTATGTTGAATTGAATTATTAAGCTGAGGCTTGATAGCCAAATTAATTGTGCTATAGTTTATATTGAAGAGATGCTTGTGATATTGCAAAACCATAGACTAGCTTGCTGGAATCTTCGAAGACATCTGGATGTTTTGGAAAATACAACAATCACATGCTTTTTATTATCTCCATGATTGTATTCTTTTTAAAAAGGAGCTGTGTAAATGATACAAACAGGAAGCAGGGAAATACTGGGTAGAAGAAGTGTGGTCCCTGGCGAGAGCCACACCCTCAAGCCTGGACCCATGGCCCAAAGTGAGAACATGCATTTCTGTTTTCCCCACCCGAATGTTGCCTTTTCCAAAACCATACTGGCCTGCCCTGTCCCCCATCCTGTGCCCATAAAAACCACAGGCCCCACCAGCAGAGCAGCAGAGCAGCTGAGAAAGACAGAAGAGAAGAAGTAGCTGGACGTTGGAGAAAAGCAGCTTGACTTCAGAGGGACAGCTTGACAGTGGGACCTTGGAGAAGAGTTTGACCAGGGATGGCCAAACTCCAGGGGAAGACCACCTTCCCACTCCATCCCCTTTCCAGCTCTTCATTCCACTGAGATCCACTTCCATCAGCAATAAAATCCTCTGGGTTTACCATCTTCAATTCATTTGTGTGACCTGATTCCCCCTGGATGCCAGACAGTGACCCAGGTACGGGTGCAAGAGACTGTCACACTGACCCTCCACTGAGCTGTCTAACACTTAAGCCATCCATGGATGGCAAAACTAAAAGAGTACACTGTAACACAGGGCCTCTGGGACTCTGGGGGCTTGTGGGCAACTCCTAGATGCTGCCATGGGCCTGCACGGAGTTTTGCTTCTGCCCAGTTGCCCAGAAGCTCTTGTCCTGGCCTCTGCACCTGCTCACCTGTGTGCTACCCTGCCCATGAGGGGTTGAGAGCTGTGGGCTGAGTAAATGAGCCAACCCCTTCACGAGTCTTGCAAAGAGTCTGAGGGGAATATCCCATTTCATAAAGATATAGAGTGAACATAGAGAGAAGGTCATGGAGTTTGGAATCAGACAGACTAGATTTGAATCCTGGTTCTGTCTCAAGCAACTAGGATGACTTCAGCATGTTTCTTGGTGCTTGTGTTTGTGGCTACTTCCTCAATTTTTCAGTAGAGAAAAAATAATACTCATAGGACCACTCTGGTGAATTGTTGAATAGATTGTGTGTTATCTGCCACACTTCAAGTACTAGCATGCATTAAAATCCCTATCCCTTTGCCCTCCAATGTAAAATGATATGAATTCTGTGGCTTACACATAGCTATTTTTTTTTTTTTTTTTTGGCCTGCATAGATAAGGCAATTCCGTAAGGCTGTGTTACCATTCTCCTAAAGGGCCTCCCTGTGGGGCCACAGTACATCTTGCCTAATTTCTTTTTAACAATATTTATTTCTGTGGTCAAGAAGAAGATAAGGTACCTTAGAAGTAGTCACTGTTCTATCTCAATTTGGATATGCTTGTTGAAGAACTCTTACAACCACTTATTTCTGGGAAAAAAAAAAAAGAAATATTTTCAGCCATCTCTTCACCTCAAAAACAGCAGGCATCGTGGATTATTGGAAGGGAATTACCCAGAGAAAGTGCTCTTAAAAACAACTGCATGTAGAGGAGGCTGGCTTATCAACAGGCAAAAAAGGAGATTTTTTTCTACTAAATTTCAGCTTGTCACTATAAACGAGAAAATAGCCACATTCGTAATATATTCTATGGGGACAGTGCTGTGAGTGTTTCTACTGGTGGAATTCTCAAGTACGAGATTCTAAGAATGAGCATTTACTCTTAGAAAACCCTAGGGAATGGCTGTTAGGAATCAGGTAAACAATGAAATGAGAGCCCTTTCAAACAGGGAAGCAAAAAAAGGCAGATCAGGTAAATGAGTTCACTGTAGACCACATTGTGGAAAATGTGACGTGATATGAGACACATTTCATTTAGCATGGATAACTAATGTAATTACAATCAGCTAATGAGTTTTGTTTCTTTTTCTGCATAATATTAACATCATCCAAAGTTAAGAAGGTATTTTTTTCCGATGAAAACCCTAAAGTCATGCAAAATTATGTGGACTTCCTTTCTGATTCTTGGAGAGAAGTTAGGGTTGTTTTAGCCTTTACCTACATTTCAGTTTAAGGCTTATCCACAATCTAGAAATGCAATGTTAAAAGATAAAGAAGGATCTATAGAACACATTTTTTTTAACTTAAAACATGGATATTAGAACTTATATTTGATTATATTTTTCTTTGTGCTGAAGGATTGATCTCCTTGTCTAACACACGTTGAAAATCTGGAGGGGGTTTCATTGGAAAATTGTAGCATTTCCTTTATTAGCGACCCTTAAAAATAACAAGAATAATTAATCTGCTGGTTTAGCTTAAATTTGGTCTTATGACAGGCATGCACACGAGCTGGCTTTTCATTACCCTATCCTCCTCCATGATTCTGTCTTGTGAAATCATGAATGGAATTTCTATGAAAATATATAGCAAATAGGTTCCTGACAAAATTACTATTCACATAATTCATCATCCTTAAGTGACAGAGATTTGTAAATAATGAAATCTAGTGAGAAATCTTTAATTTCATTTAGCTAGTAGCTTAGAAGTGATTCTGATTCCACCTGTTTACCAGAACTCCTAAAGAGAAAATGAAGAAATTTAAACTTCAAATCCCATTTCCTTTTCTTTTTGAAATTAAAAGCACCTTGTTGATGGAGGAGCAGTGATTGGTATCTGTGCAAGGTGGTATGTGGGACCATTTGATCATAACTGATATGATGTAAGGAATGGGGTTGCCTGGAAAAATTAGGAAATGGGAGGGGTGGGAGAGAAATTTAAGAAAGGCACAGGCATGCCACTGGTGGAAATTACCTTCTAGTATCTCCTTTTCTGTTTACAGTAGCTCTTACCTTTCTCCAAGGGATATGTATTGAGTATTCACAAAGAAAGTAAAATGGCTCCAGTGTTACCTCCATTTGTCCTGTTTATTGTTGTGGCTATGATGTTTTTGGCTAATTATCATTGTATCCTAAATTCTTTACTAAATGGATGGATGAATGCATGCATACATGGAAGGATGGACACATGGAAAGGATGAATATATATAGGGGTTTCGCCCTGAAATACCTTAAGATTTATTGTATTTTAGATTTTAATGGACCCGACTGAGATTACTGATGACTTAATTCACTTCTTGCCAGTGAGAAAAGGTAGCCATGTGGTGAGAAACTTGAAGGTGAGAACCATTTTCCATAATCTTTTCCATGTTTGTAACTCACATATTTTTTATTTCTTAAAGTTTCCATTTTGATTATCATTTCACTTCTATATCTCCTGTGGTAGGTAAGGCATATGTATTTATCCCTGTTTCTAGATTTCCAGAGAGGAAAATGAACTACCAAAGGTCATGTCCCTTTCTGTTTTGTGCATCCATGTAGCAGATGGACACCTTATCAACAACTCTTGCCATGAATTGGACTGTCAAGCAATGGGGGATACTCAAAATATCAATAGGATAGTGAGCAGGAGCATTAAATTCTAGGTTTTATGTTGCCCCTAAAAAAATCTGTGACTTCTGTCAATTTACTGAACCTTGGAGGCACAGTTTCTTCATCTGTACAAGGCCGGGCAGTTCTAGTAATTCTCTGATTCTCAGAATCTAGGGAGCTTGTCTTAGTGGTTAGAATTTGGCTCTGGGTTTAGTCTACTTGGGTTTGTAGGTACCTTCGCTGCTTCATAGCTTTGTTACCTTGGCAAAGTACTTAACCTATATAATCCTCACTTTTCTCATCTGCATAGTGGGGATAGCAGTAATAAAACCCCTTGAAGAGTTGCCATGAGGATTAAATAAGATAATCCACAGGAGGCATTTTGCATAGTGCCTGATGCAATTAAGTGCTCAATAGATTAGCAGATCTTCTACTGTGGCTTATTCAGAAAAAGTTAAGGTGAGTATCACTGATGTTTTTAGAAAGCAGTTGATATTAACAGGTTCCTATATGACTGATCCAACTGCCTGAATCATGCCCAAATCATTAAAGCTTTCTAAAGGGCAGAGCCATCATAACTAATCCCACAATGTCCCACAGGCCTCTTCAAAGAGAAAAATGGCCCCTCTGGGAGCTCAGCAATTGTTTCAGGATGATAATGTTGATAATTCCGTCGCATCATTGGGTTTTCTGGTGCAGACAGGTAAGACACGGAGACCTTTGGGTTGATGGCAAGATTTGGAGGGCTGATTATGGCGCCTTTGATGTGAGGAGGTATTCCTGCAATCCTTCCGAGACACCTAAGCTGCTGTAAGTAATGACTTTTGTTGCTCATGTATCTGATGCTTCTGCCACTGTGTTGTCTCTGAAAAATTTGCCAGCCTGACACCCAGGATCTAGTTGTAGAACACTGCAGGAGTAATGGTATTTTTTCATGTGGTGCTCAACATACAACTCCTACATTGAATTTTAACTATGGGATTTTTGTGAATTAAAGACTTTCAGGTAAAATAGATACAGTGAATAAGGTGGGGAATACCTAAGAGAGCAGCCCCCTTTCACCCATTGGCCCTTTTCTTTTGATTTGGTTAAGATTCTGTGAATATCTGCATTAGTTATTGTTATGAAATGCGTACCCAGCTCTTCTTTGTAGCCTTCAGAAAGAGCAAATAATTTAGTGTTGTGCAGCATTAAGGTTTATTGGCCACAAAACACAGATAAAGACTGTGATGATAAAATTTTAGAATGCAGACAGGGAGTTTAGTAGTGGCCAACTTTTAAATTCCTGTGCCCAGTAATCCACGTGCTCTCTCAGTGAGGCTATGCTGCTGGGACCATCTAAGGTAAGGGTGTCCAATCTTTTGGCTTCCTGGGGCCATATTGGAAGAAGAAGAATTGTCTGGGGCCACACATGAAACACAATGATAGCTGATGAGCTAGAAAAAAAATCACAAAAATTCTTATGTTTTAAGAACATTTATGAATTTTGTTGGCCCATGGGCTGTGGGTTGGACAAGCTTGATCTAAGGGTTATTTCTTTTGTTGAATCCTGTGGGGACTACGGACATTAGATTCACACTTTTATCGCCAGATCCAAGCACTGATTAGTTATCAAGTCAGGAGTTAACAAATATTTGTGGAAGGAAAGGGTGAGGACGGAAAGGAAAAATTGAGGGAGAAAGAGAAAGGGAAAAAGATTAGAGCCTACCTCCAATAGGTGACTATAAATATTTTGTTGTTGTTTTTAGTTTTCATTCTGCATTGTCACTTTGGGTAAGGATAGAGTGTTTTTGTGCTGTTGAAGAAATAGCATTAACAGATGAGTTTTCAGGTGTCTTAAAACTGAACTCTGCCTATAAGATGGACACAGTTGTCCAAACTACTTTAAAAAACAATAGATTCAGTTTTATACTCATTCACTTAAAGGGTAGGGTAGATACTTGTCAAATGTGGTTTTGAGGGTTTACACTGGAAAGAAAAATCTCATCAAAAATATGAAGCAAGGCCTCCCTTCTCTTTTCATTCTCATTTGGAAGAAAGGGGAGAACATCTTATTTTAGTCTTTTTTAAAGAGCATAACTTATTCAAAGGCTTTGTTACACTCTGCAGGACACTACCCGTATTTAAGTTAAAAAAAAGGATTCATGAGTGAGCCAGCAATCAACAAGTATTTACTGAAGCCTCATATACCAGAAAGTTCAAAGTGCTAGTTTAAATGGTCTTCCTAAGGTATTTAACAAAGTCATGTCACAAAATACATTGTAGAAGATAAACATTTATCAGTGAGTCATCACAGACCACAAGTGCCCTTACAACAGAGTGGACGTATGTGCTTCATTTTCTGATATATTAGTAAATCTGAGAAATATTGTCCAGGTTGTATAGGATGTACAGTATTTTCATTGTCTTTAAGTGCCAGCGGACTACAGATGGCTCTCAGATCCCCTTGGATCACTTCTGTGTGGTTTGTGTACCTATTTTGAATCCTCTAGTCTTTTCCTGAATCGAAACCTCACATTCCAATTAAAATTGCTTAGAAATTCAGCTCACCTGATAGGGTTGAGAATATTTTCTTCTCAAGTTGTGGTTTCTACTTGATCCCTTATTTGTAAAATTGAATTCACTGACTTTGATCTAAATAGTTAGGGTTGTGAATATTAGTCTAGGTTTTAATCTAATCCAAGGAATGGTTACTTCTCTTTAGTTTTTCCTTTCTGATTATAAAAATAGAGAGTTGTGCTATGAATTTCAATAAACAGCCTGGTTGGGAGAACAATTCTGTCTGTATCATTACAGGATGCCCATTAAGAGTTGACTCAAAGGTCCCTTTTCCCTGTGGCTGAAGGTGGTAGTTTGCCGTCCTGCAGAGTCAGTGGTGGCATCTGTCACATGCCACTTCCGCAGAATGCACTGATGTGGATTAAAGATCTATAACATCATCTAATAATGCCTATCTATTGGAGATAGGCATCACTTTGATAGTATAACTTTGGGCCTTAGAGATGTGGTATGCAAGTTAGAAATTTGATTGTACTATGTGTATAAAAGCTGTTTTTAAAGAAAGAGCTAAAATCTAAGGTGGTAGCATACTAAAGCTTAGTTTCTTACTTTAAATATCACAGTAGATTCAGATCCTGACTTATGAGGCCAAAAAGGTTAGCAGTCCTGATAACCTTGCTGTACATTTAGAAATGAACTAGTCAGTATGTGAGAATATGCATAGATTCCTAGAAGATGTTACACATCAGCAGATCAGCAGTGTATTAGTCTGTTTTCATGCTGCTGATAAAGACTACCTGAGACTGGGTAATTTATAAAGAAAAAGAGGCTTAATGGACTCTCAGTTCCATGTGGCTGGGGAAGCCTCACAATCATAGTGGAAGGCGAAAAGCACATCCTACATGGCAGCAGACAAGAGAGAATGAGAACTAAGCAAAAGGGGTTTCCCCTTATAAAACCATCAGATCTCATGAGACTTACTTATTCACTACCATGAGAACAGTATGGGGGAAACCACCCCATGATTCAATTATCTCCCACCAGGTCCCTCCCATAACCGGTGGTAATTATAGGAGCTACAATTCAAGATGAGGTTTGGGTGGGCACACAGCCTAACCGTATCAAGCAGTTTAACTATTTCTCTCTTATCTGAAATCTATTTTATTTTATTTTATTTTATTTTATTTTATTTTATTTTATTTTTTTAGAGATGAGGTCTCACCCTGTGGCCCAGGCTGATCTCAAACTCCTGGCCTCAAGTGATCCTCTTGCCTCAGCCTCCCAAGTAGTTGGGATTACAGGTGTGAGGCCCTGTGCCTGGCCTCTCTCTGAGATCTTAAAATGAATCTGGTGAGGAAAGAAGAAAATTGGAAGAAAGCCAACTATTAAAAACTAGAAAACACTTTTAAGGACTTGAGGAAGAAATAAGCATTAAGACGTATACATGTTTCTAATTTCTAGCAATGAGATGTTAGTATAGTACAGACGGAAGGCATGTAATTAAGAAATTTACCATTAAGTTGGGAAATCCTATCCCATGAATACAGATGTTTTAGGCTTGCATAAAACTACATGGAATATCTTCAATGCAATAATAATAAGCAGTGCTGTCTGGACATTTAAAACTTTTTTAAAAAGTTTGGTATCCTAGAGACAACTATATAGATTTTGCGAGAAAATGCCCACTGGGTCATTGAAAAATAAGCTTATAGGGGTATATGCATGGCACAGTAATTTCATTGGTAGGAGATTTCTTTTAGATTTTTAGCTTGCCTTTAATGGGCTCTATCCTACATCCCAAATACCTTCTTTTCTTTTCCTCCATTTCCCATACAAGTAGTGATGTGTTAATTTCAAAATGTTAGTGATAAAATACTGTTGCTAAAAATATTTCAGCTTGCCTGGGCTTGATCTGGGGAGGACACATGTTTCTGGGAGAGAAGCCACATTCAACCCTGTAATGTTGTGTATATGCTACTCTGCAGGGCGCACCTATGCCAAGAGGCAGTTGGAGAAAATGGCTAAGCTGGTTGTGGAGGCAGACTCCCTGGGTTCAAAGTCTCATTTTTCTACACACTGGCTAACTGTAGACAAGTTACTTATTTCTCTGTACTGTAGTTTTCTCATGTAGAGCCTGGAGATAAGACCAACTTTATAAAGTTCTTGAGGAATTAAATGAGTTAATACATAGAATAGTGCTTGGCACATGGTATATACACAATAAGTATTAACTGTTGCTATTAGTTGTCAGTAATGCCTTGCTAGCACAATTTCTGTACCTTTTGTGATATTAGTCTGTTTTCACGCCGCTAATAAAGACATACCCAAGACTGGGAAGAAAAAGAGGTTTAATTGGGCTTACAGTTCCACATGGCTGGGGAGGCCTCAGAATCATGGCGGGAGGCAAAAGGCACTTCTTACATGGCAGCGGCAAGAGAAAATGAGGAAGACCCAGAAGCAGAAACCCCTGATAAAACCATCAGAGCTCATGAAACTTATTCACTACCACAAGAACAGTATGGGGGAAACTGCCCCCATGATTCAAATTATCTTCCACTGGGTCCCTCCCACAACACATGGGAATTATGGGAATATGATTCAAGATGAGATTTGGGTGGGGACACAGAGTCAAACCATATCAGATGTTATGAATAAACCTGCAAAACACAGAGACCCTCTTACTAAGGTAGAAGCTTAAAAAACATGACTAATTTCCAGTGTTTTTTTTTTTCTGAAGCTTTTTTTAATTAGCCAGCTACCTTACTAGTTTGCAAATGCCTTAAGAGCAAGGTTCATATCATATTCATCTTGTAATACCTCTGCCGCACCTAACCGAGTATTGAAGTGTTGAATTAATAAATCTTCTGGAATTTCTTGTTTCTTCAGGTTACATTAGGAATATGAAGTATTATGAATGGGGCACCTAGATTTTCAAAAAGGAGATAGAATAGATGGCATCTCCACTAGGCCCAGATAGAGTATAAAAACAAAAGCACGGCAAGGCGCGGTGGCTCACGCCTGTAATCCCAGCACTTTGGGAGGCTGAGGCAGGTGGATCACCAGAGGTCAGGAGTTCGAGACCAGCCTGACCAATATGATGAAACTAAAATTTAGTCTCTACTGAAAATACAAAAATTAGCCGGGTGTGGTGGCATGTGCCTGTAATCCCAGCTACTTGGGAGGCTGAGACAGGAGAATTGCTTGAAGCCAGGAGGTAGAGGTTGCAGTGAGCCGAGATTGCACCACTGCACTCTGCCTGGGCAACAAGAGTAAAACTCCATTTCAATAAATAAATAAATTAATTAATTAATTAATTAACAAAAGCAAACTAAAAAGACACTTCTCAGAGCTACTTTGCTTATGTCGCTAGTTCATGGTAGAAGGAAAATGGTGACTGTAGAAATGGTCAAACTGGGATCTTTTTCAGGAAATGAAACACGTAATGTAGACTTCTGTGGAAAGCATCCATAGACTTATGTGGAAAGCATCCATAGACTTCCGTAGAAAGCATCTGTAGACTTCCGCAGAAAGCATCCGTAGACTTCCGTAGAAAGCACTGATGATGTTGTATAAACAGACCATAAGGAGATTGAAGCCCTCCATGTATTCTGTTTGCCCTTGGAATATATGTGCATGTGCATGTGCTTGTGTGTTTATTTTCATTTGGGTTTATGCCCTATTTTTAATTTGTAAGCAGAACAAGAGGCAAAGGGCTCTCATATGCCCGTAGAATTATATAGTCAGGCTTTTCAGGAATTTTTTTTTTAATCCTTCAACATTTATCTTTGCATCAAAAATAAATTTTTTAAAAAAAGTAAATAAGGATAAAAGAAAAACCGAGTAGGTGGGAGAGAAGGAGGAATTTGGAGTCATGGGAATGGGCAGGTGTTCAGGTGATTTAAAAGGAGAAGTAAAGGCATGTTCCTGGATAAATGTCGATATGCATTATTAAATGAAACAGTGGTAAAATATAGACTGTCAGAAGCATTTTTCTTCCAGAGACATGAGGAGAATTGAAATGCAGTTTCAAAGGAGGAGTCTCTTTCGGTGTTTCTTCAATCATTTTTTTGTTTGAAGCTTTAATTACAGTGCTCCTTGCTACCTAATGCTTTCAGTTTAAAATGACATCACAAAAGAGAGGGGAAGATGTAATTGCTCAGATGAAGGGCAGCCATCACAGCAGCATTGAGGTATTTACTCACCAGGGAGTTCCTGCTACATGATTCTTTTCTAGATCAACATTTTGTTTTTGGAATGCTTTTGTATCATGCATATTTGACATGGTTTGTCTTTAGAGTGATTGCTCTGATACTGCTATTGCCAGAGCAGATAATAACCTTCGGGAAATAATGTATTCTGAAATAAAGGAACTAGTTATTTGCATAGTTTTCTCTGGATTGGATAATGTGTACAGGTGGCTAGTGGCTTCCTAAACGTTTAGTGTTCTAATCAAATAAACTTGTATTTAAATACATTAACACAGACCAATACACGCACATAGAAGCACATGTGTACACATAGATAGGTGCACATGCATGTGTACACATACATCACTGTCATAGCTCTTCATGCAGAATACTTTGCTATTCAGCCCCATCAACACATACTTTTTGAAAATATGCTCAGCAGAGGGGTACAAGCATACAGAGGACTCAGACCCCAGTCTCAACTTCTTCACAGTCTGATGGGGACAGACTTGGGAGCAGAGATGCTATGATGGGGGAGGCTGTGTACATTGCAGCCTGAAAACAGAGTAGAAGAGGGGCCCTTTCTCCTTCGGGCCCCTGGGAAGACTCCAGGAGGTGATGGATGAACTTTGAGCTGGTCATTGGTGAAAGAACATGGATTAGCTGAGCAGAAAAGAAGAAGGAATACTGGATGCAGTAAGTAACCACTTTGGGACTAAATTTACACCAAAATGAGTATTAGTTCCTTTGGTTCCAAATGGTTCAGATGTTCTTTAAAGGCACTGTTCTTACTGCCCAGAGGAAAGAGAGTGAGCTGAACCATACATGCTTGTAGTAAAGATTGTATGTATGTCATATATGTATATCTATATATAATATATCTACCCATGATTATACGTTGTCTATAAAGCCCCTTCACACTTTTTTTTAACCTCATAGCAGCTCAGCAGGTCAGTTTAATATGATCATTATTTTTCAGCTAAGGAAAGGGAGGCTCACAGAGATACATGGCCCAGTTTCCCTCCAATGATGTTCTGGGACTCACTGCTCTTACTCAGGTCTGTGCTGCCCATTACCTCCGTGAGGTTAGATCACAGGTTACAAGTTAGATCTCTGATATCCGGATCTCCTGATGGCATTAGCAGCGTTTAGTCAGTGACTTTCCTGGGCCTGCCTGGATCACTCTCACTTCATGTGGATGATCTCTCTCAGGAAGCCATAGATTTTGAGCAAAAATGCAGACTTCCCAGAGGCTTTGCCGGGTCCTCCATCTCACTCCCCTCAAGAATTTCAACAAATCTGTTAATGCTATTTTGTCATTTCTGTACTTCAAAGTGTTTCTGCCAGGCATACCTTGTCTGTCCCAGCTCTGACTCTTTGGGGCTGAGTAGGTTTACTTGTTTATTTTTTGGTTCTTACATGTCTCCAACTCCATGTGGATTTACATCCTACTGGGTGAGGTTTTGTTTTTCCTTGTGTCTATAGGTGAGAAGATGTGAACATACAGTTAATTGAAACTAAGTCTAGAATCATGAAGCCAGAAGGAGAAATGTATTAGAATTAGAAATGACATCACAGGCCGGGCGCAGTGGCTCATGACTGTAATCCCAGCACTTTGGGAGGCTGAGGAGGGCGGATCACGAGGTCAAGTTCAAGACCAGCCTGGCCAACATGGTGAAACCCCGTCTCTACTAAAAATACAAAAATTATCAGGGCATGGTGGCACGTGGCTGTAATCTCAGCTACTTGGGAAGCTGAAGGAGGAGAATTGCTTGAACTGGGACTCGGGAGGCGGAGGTTGCAGTGAGCCGAGATCGCACCACTGCACTCCAGCCTGGGCTGCAGAGCGAGACTCCATCTCAAAAATAAATAAATAAATAAAAGAAATAAATAAAAAATAAAGAAAAAAAAGAAATGACATCACAAAAAAGGGCTGGCTCCTCATAAAGCAGTCTTCACACACAGAATGTATGCTGTGTGACCAGGAATTTGTAGCAGCTGAGAAACCATAGTTGTTCATAAGAAAAAAAAAAAAATTAGAAGGCACAATATGCCAGTATGGCTAGCCTGCCTGCGTTAGGGTCTCAGTGATGCTGGTGGGAAACCTAAAAAAAAAATGTGAAAAATTTTCTTTTCTTCTTTTCGTGCAATTAGATCTTCTTGACTAAGAAAAAATGCAGACAAGCAATTACTCCGTTACTTTAATTACTCTCCTAATTATAACGATAACCTTGTCACATTATCATAATTCCCCAAACAGAAAAACGCATGCTCCAAATTGCACCAATATTTGATAATTTTACCTTGTTAACGGCTCACTGTCAGTATGTAGAGCACTACATTTTTTCCCCATTACCTTTCTATTGCACAGTCTATATTTCTTTGCCTCAGAAAATGATAATACATTCTGTACAACATGTTTGTGTTGCACAACCCCGTGATTTGAATATGGCTTTTTAACGTCTCGCAGTTTCAGAAGCTATCTCCTGAGCAGTGTGTAATTCTCTCCTGGCTGTTTGATGGTAATGGGAGCTGTACATGTATCTGGAGAGAGGAGAACCAGCCTGGGGGTAAGAAAGTAGCTATTTATCAAGGTATCTTACAATCTCAGTTTATGTTGTTGTAAAATGTTATTGTGCACGTTCCCTGAGATTATATCCGCTAGACATTTGTCAGCCATTGTCAACATACTGTAAGGAATAAGCATGTGTATTATTCCAGTCAACTTAATTTTATTCTGCATTTCTTTGCCCTCATTTTCAAAGAGACTGACTACTGGGGACCCTTGCTTAATGGTGCCATCTGCTAGGTTATGAATTGTACAGAACGAATGTTGGAAATGTTCTAGAACACTCACAGCACCCTGGCAGGTAGATGGCAAGGCATCCTGATGCACGGCTCCTGCCATCATGGAAATTCTCCCTCCGTTATTACAGCAAATGATACTGTTGACAGCCAATAAAGTTACAGAATGACTGCCTAGAATACAATGATAAAGTAGGAACGAGATAAAATAGAATCGTACCAGAAGCCTTTCCCACTAGAATGTCAAATTGCCCTTTTTTAAAAATGTATCATAAAGTAACCTTGAAAATCATTAGTTCTTTAGATAGCCCCGGTCTTTGGTAAAATTATGAAATTCTATTGCTGTCATTGTCTTTGTATTTTGTTGTTGTTGTGGCTGTTGTTTGGTTTTAGTGCCCCTAAAATTCCAGAGCTTCTCATCCTCACATCTATGTGACACTTCTGTCACTTCCATGGACACATTCCCTCATTTCTTTTCTGTCCTTAAGCTTTCTTACCAATTGAAACTGGTCTCAAGATAAGTTGAAGACTCTTTCCCGCTACAGGGAATATGACTAATACCAATGCTTAGTGTTAGTTTTCTGACAGTTTTTACACTTTAAAGCTATGAGTAAAACCTTGGACTAAATGCAGGCATCTGAGAAAGTAAGTAACAATGCCGTGGAAGGAAAGGCATCACTTGTTTACACACCTGGTCACCTTCTTTAGTCCATGGGACTCACTCATGTTTCCAAGAGAATATTTCATTTCCACACAGACATAGACATTTCTGACAGTTAAATCCAAAGTAACTCAAATGCTACATAACATTTTTACATTGTTTTGTGTGTTTCTTGGGTGTGTGGCATTTGGCATCAAGAAGACCCGTGTTTCAATGCAATCTCTGCCACATTTTGGCTGTGAAGACCAAATGCAGGTTATTTGACTTTTGGGAAACTCAGTCTCCTCCTCTGAGAATTGAGGTTTGTAATACCAACTCATGAACTCATTCTAAGGATCAGATGAGATAATAGATCAGAAAGAGTAGGTGGGTCTATAATGTTAGTTACTTGAAGCTGGTTCCCAAATCTCCTCCTAACCCACCTTTCTTTCTTTCTTTTTTTTTTTTTTGAATCTAGACTCAAGATATATTAAAGACTATGCTCATGGACATCAATTCTTTCCTGTCCTTTAGGGCAGTATTCAGGCCACACGGTTCAATAACGGGAAAGAATGTCGTCACATGATTGCATCATGTTCTTCAAAATGAAATCTATTGAACAGTATAAACAACAAAGAACATCATTTGTCAGAATGACCTGGGGGAAATAGTCCAGTGAAACTAAGCAAAGGGAACTTTATACCGTGAGGGAAAATCAATGGATTGTAACAGAACCCTGCAAGAAGAGACATAGCTTTCAAGTTCCAGAGACCTAGAGGTGACTGAGAAGCAGGATGTACCAGAAACTGGGCTTCTTGTTCTACTTATCTAGCGCCCTTTTCACAGTGTTGTATATGTAAATAAATAATAAAGCAGTGTGATTTTTAATTTTTTTTTTTTTTACTTATGTAAAGTTAGACATCAAAAAGCATCTGTTGGACCTCCACTCCTTAAAAGGAACACATACTAAGTTTGAGAATTATGGTTCTCTGGGCATTGCTGCCTGGCAATTACAGAAGCCTAGGGAAGTAGGGGTTATCACAGTTGTTCCCAGGTAATATCACAGTAGTTACCCCTGTCACCAGGGCCTTACAACCACTTCCTAATGGTGAGATTGGAATGAGACTGGATGTGTCTGACTCCATGGTCTATGTTGTTTAACAAATGCCAGATACATTGAGTCCCACACACCTTGTGTTAGTTTGTTCTCACACTGCTGTAATAAGCTACCTGAAACTGGGTAATTTATGAATAAAAGAGGTTTAATTGACTCACAGTTCCTCAGGCTGCACAGAAAGCATGGCTGGGGAGGCCTCAGGAAACTTACAGTTGTGGAAGAAGGGCGAAGGGGAAGCAGGCACCTTCTTCACATGGTGGAGCAGGAGGAAGAAAGAGAAGAGGGAAGTGCCACATACTTTTAAAAAACCAGATCTCCCAAGAACTCATTCACTATCATGAGAACAGCAAGGGGGAAGTCCACCTACATGATTCAATCACCTCCTTCCAGGCCCCTTCTCCAATGTGGGGATTACAATTCAACATGAGATTTGGGTGCGGACACAGCAAAACCATGACTTGGCTCAGATCTCTTACCTCCAAACCCTAGTACTTTATGTAATCTTAAAATAGAAAAACAGACAAACAAAAAAATAGATAAAGTTGACTTTTCTCTCAAGAAAAGTGAAATGTTCTATTTCCTCTTAGGTGGAGACCATGAGTATGTCTGCTATTTGTACATAACTCAATGGATGATAATTGATCTAAATTCCAGGGAAGACATGAGAGTTTAAAGGGAGACACTCATGTAGAAGCCCTAGTGTGAAAGGGCCCCTACATTTGACACTTACGTGGACAGCCAGAAGTCAGGGCACTTGTCCTCTTCCTACATAGATGAACTTATTAAGGGAAGGAGAGGGTGGACAGAGCGTTTTGCTTTTCTATGGCCCTGTTTTGAATGTTGACATGGCAGAACACCAAAGTGGCACTTGGCTACCTGCTCTTCTCTGCCTGTACATAGGGAATATTTCAGCCAAATGGCATTGTTTTCTCATAACCCACGAATTGATTTGGCCAGTGACTATGTATTACTCGAATATGTATTGCTTGGATTGGCTTCAATTGCCTATATCAGTTTAGAAGCTTTAACAATGTTTAACCCATATGTTGAGTAAAATTTGGGAGTATTAAAAGAAACACTGGTTTACCTCATTTTAGTACAAATGAATCGTCTTAGAGAAATAGAAAGCAATCAAAAATTAAACAAGTAAATACAATCACCAGTAACCCGGGTTAAAAATATATTTAGGTAATTAAAAGCCTAAGTCATTACATTTCCACTGGACCAACCAAGATTGTTCCAAATGTATTCGTGGAAGATTTATTAAAGGATATTTTGACATTGGCAAAAGGGCTAGTTTTCTGGTGGGTTATGAGGCTCTCAGATAACATCAAAAGGCAGTATTTGAAAGTAAGATTCTGTCATGCACACCGTTTTCTGTGTCTTTTGAAGACGTGGGTAACTCTATTACAGAAAAATACTACTATACCTAGCATGATTGAAACAAACTGTATGTAATGTAATGTAATAGTTCTTAAACTGTGCAGCTTCGCATCCTCTGCAAATCAGCTCCTACATCTGGACGATGAGAATTGTAATAGCACTGATCTCAAAGGGGTTTTTGGTTGTGATGTGAGATAGATAAGATTTATCATGTGATCACTAGTTTTATCAAGTGAAGGAGATAAGAGACTCATCCTATGATCACTAGTTATCTTGGCTCTCTGCCTTACCATTTCTATGATAGCAAGAAAAGAGCAACAAAGTTATGAACTCTGCCAGTCTTGGTATGCAATTTGTAAGATAGTATGTATAACAGTCAGTGGTACAAAGCCACAGAAATCCTAAAGTGTTATTTTAAACCAGATTTCCATTTTCGTCACCTCCATTCCTTTCAGGGATCTTGGGAAAGGGAATGAACTACTTTACTTTGAAAAACAGTTTTGTTTTGTTTTATTTTCTGAACGAAGATAATGAAAGCCT
This sequence comes from Homo sapiens, assembly GCF_000001405.40. NCBI lineage: Eukaryota > Metazoa > Chordata > Mammalia > Primates > Hominidae > Homo > Homo sapiens. The sequence goes on from NC_000014.9 coordinate 85,565,205, forward strand.
TCCTGACCCAAATAGCATATGCAGCCTGGAGTGTCATATATTGTTTTTGCATAGGAGTGATATTAATAACCTGAGTATGTATGCAGTCATCAAAATAGCTTTTGTCATAACATCACTTGTGTGCTGCTATTTGTCTCATAAGTAATCTGTCACATTCATTTTAAGTTGAAGTGTGGATATGTGACAGGTGGAATCTACAATTGTTTTATTGGGCTGGATGTAAAAATAATGACCTTGATGTTGCTATTCAGAATATTATGTGGCATCTGGGACCCCGATAGTTTCCCAATATTATTAATAGTGATATTACTACCTCTCCATTACATGCATGGTTAGTGATCAAAATTTTTTTTATTTATTTAAATTTTTGAATGATTTTAGAAACCATATGCATGGAGATGTATTAAGATATATAAGCTTCTTGTGGTGAGGTTATTGGTTTTAAAATACACATCGTTAGCTTTTAAAATAAAAGTTGGCATTTCGAGTTGTCATGCTTGAAAGACTCTTGGAAGTAGCATTAAAAGAATCCTAGATTGAAAGCTAATTTAGGTCAAGAGGGAAAATGTGCTTGATGTGACACTGATAACTTCATACCAATTGAATCCATGGGGCCTTGGAACCTGAAATGGAATTTATGATAAAATACCCACCATGAGGTCTTATCTTAATGGAGAAAACACATTGCTTTGTTAGTCCTCCAGACAGAAACTTCATTGTTTGGGGAATGATTTCAGTAGAGGATGAAAGGATGAATAAGCAAAATACACCGATTTTTTTGTCAACTGCCACCCCTCCCACCCCGATGTTCCCACCAATCATTAGAATAAGAAACATGAGTCTTTGTCCTCTGCCAAATCTAAGCCATGCCAACAAGTAAACCTGTATAGGAAAATGACACAATTAGGGAAATTTGCAAGTGCTATTATGCCAGCAGTAGTTTTTTCCATGAAGTAATCTGATGATTCATACACTGGAGATCAGGAGACAAAACAGATTCTACCTGGTTAGAGACCCACTATCACAATGATACTTGGCCTAATTCATTTTGGTTGAGGGCCTGATGAGCCACACATGCGTGGGTCAGGGAAGATGGTTTTCACCGGATGCCTGTTGAGTCTGATTGTAGAGACTTTCAAGAGAGGATTTTATTGAGGAAAAAAAGAAGCAAACATAACAAAGTATTATTCTGCTTTAGACTGAAATCAGGGACTGTTTTCTGAGAATAAAATGACTTCATAAAGGAATCAAGAAAATTATCTTGATGCTCAGCCTGTAAGATAATCAAAGGTAAATTCTCAAGTTGAATCCTAAAGGAACACTCAGTCCTCTTAACTTCCATGGTTGTGTGTGTGTGTGTGTGTGTGTGTGTGCAAGATAGAAATTTCTGCAGCTATTTAGGTGAAAGCACTTTGGAAAATGCAATATTTCGTATTCTTCAGTAGTTGATCCAAATACATACGGTGGAATATACAAGGTTTATATTCCTGGCCTGGTTGCAGGGGAAGAAAGTGTCATCTCGTGGCTGAAAAATAGTCTCAGTGTTGGATACTATGAAATCTTCAGCATGAAAAAAAAAAAAAGAACATATCCCTTCTATGTATTAGCTTCCCAGGAATGAAGCAAACATAAATATTTTTCAGTTTGGTCATTTGTGAATTAGTCATGATGAAAAAGCCTTCCGTTTCTGCCAGATGAAGAGTAATACAGCACAGAACTTTGAGGCAGTATTAATATTTCTGTTGTGCCTAAAAAGTAATCAACATAGTTTCCATGGGTCACACAAAATTTCTCATGATTGAAACAGTGTCATTGAAAGTTGGGGGAAGGACACATCGGTTAGAACATATTTAAATGAAAAATGTATTTATGCTTTCACTTCAAGGTAATTTTATCAGAGGGGCTGGGTTTGGGGGAAGATACCTGCAAACACGTGCATAAAGTTTGGGCTTCATGAAAGTGGGTGAAAGCATCATATTTGAGCTGCCACATTTGACATGTCCCCCTCAGAATCCCATGGACACTGGACAGTTTCCTGAACGCTGTGGTTTCCCCATCCCTGGTGGGTGTCTGCTTGTAATAGAAGCTCCAAAGATACCTGGAATCTCGAAGCTTCCTTCGGCATCTTCCTTTATTAGACCAACTTGAGGCTTTCTAGAAAAGCATACACTCTGTGTTTGCAATGTGTGTGTGTGCCCAGTTGCCACATTATGCTGGTTAAGAGCATGGATTCTGGAGCCAGACTGCATTGGCTTATATCTTAGCTCTGCCACTTCTTCAGGAGCGTAAGTTTCTGCATCACCCTGCCTCAGTATCTTTCTGTACAATGCACATAGTTAGAGTACCTGCTGTTAGGGTGTTTGTGAGGATTGAAAGAGTTAGTATTGTGAAAGGCTTAGAAGAGGGCCTAGCACACGGGAAGTGACTTACATTTTTTTTTTTTTTTTTTTTTTTGAGACGGAGTCTCACTCTGTCACCCAGGCTGGAGTGCAGTGGCACGATCTCTACTCACTGCAACCTCCGCCTTCTGGGTTCAAGTGATTCTTCCGCCTCAGCCCTCCGAGTAGCTGGGATTACAGGGGCGCGCCACCATGGCCGGCTACTTTTTGTATTTTTAGTAGAGACGGGGTTCCACCATATTGACCAGGCTGGTCTCGAACTCCTGACCTTGTGATCCTCCCACCTCGGCCTCCCAAAGTGCGGGATTATAAGCGTGAGCCACCGCGCAAGGCCTGATTTTTATTTTTTTCTATAGAGATCAGGGGAATGTTAACTTCCCCTAGAAACAGCATGACTTGCCGTCCTCTCAGCAGGTGAGTTACAGAAGGCCTGTAGAGTACCACAAGAAAGAGGCCTGACTACTTATTTGGAAATTAGCTGTTTTTGTTCTGCTTGTGGAGGGTTCCTTGAGAATTTGGCCCTTTCCCTGTTTTATAAGGGGACAAATAAAGATGAGATAGGGAAGTAGGGGTAGGCATTGCCTTTGTTCATGGGACCTTGCTGATCTGCGGGGGGATGATTGCTGGGGGAAGATCATGGGGCTTGGAGGCAGAGCGCATAGTTTTGGCTCCAGTTCTGCCCTAGGTAAGTCATTCAGTGTCTCGCTGAATGGGCTGAGTTTTGCTTTCCTGCTTCTGCACTTGAAATGCTTATTGTAAGGAGAGTGAACATGGAAATCATAAAATGATTGGACAGGCTCAAGGACCATGTGTAAGGCGTTAATACCAAGTCAGTGGTCATTGCTAGGTATGTTTCTGAATGAATTTAATTTTTTTTCTGGTATAACCTGCAGTTGGGGATTTTAGTTAAAAAATGTGCTCACATTCAAGAAGCCTGGACCAGCTCTGGACCAAATTGCACAAGAGGTGGTGTTTGGGCTTCAAATCCAGTTCCTGCTTTTTTGTTGTTGTTGTTGTTCTTTTTCTCTTTGTTTTCATGAACTTCTTCAGGGACTCAATGGCCTGATCCTGCACTCTTCGCCCCACAATTAATGAGGCCACTTCACTATGGAGCCCAACCTTGGCTGCTCTCTCTCCCTATTTCTGGGATCTTTACCTTTCTTCTCTCACCTACTTAACTTTTGGAAACCCAGTTTTACTACGTGTAACCTGGAGATGCCATTACGGACTTCAGAAGTTAACATATGTGGTATGTAAATCATCTAGCACAGTGCCTGGTGTATATCAGCCGCCTCTCTCTGCCTCTCACTCATTCCGTCTGTCTCCTCTTTTCCCTCGTCTCCCTTCTCTTAAGGATTTGCCTGCCAATCTATCTTTTATTTTAGAAATCCCAACGGTGGTACTGATGGATCAGTAAACCCTTTCATGATACATAGTAGCAGTTTCCTAGTGACTGCAACTCTTCACTGAAACAAAGACTTCACAGGTGGTGGATTTTTAGGCTTTGTGACAAACTCGTGAGGGCTCTTTGGGGACAAAGGAGGACATTTTAGCCACTCCAGATTACCATTTTTGCCTTTGAGCATTGTTCTTTAATTTCTCCTAGAAAGAAAAGAGGAATCTGCCTGAAGCAGCTCTGCCATCCGCCGACACCCTTGGCAGTTGAACACTGATTGTCAAGCCCACCGTGGGCAATGCAGGTTTCCTTTTGCCAGCCTGGCATGGAGTGAAGGGGAAGTTTGTGCTCCTCTGGTTGCCTCAGCTGACCAGGAAACCGTACCAGGAGCAGCAGGGAGGGCAGAGTCTAGTGGAGTCCTCTGTGCTGGGACTGTGGGACCAGGACAGGGCAAGGACAGCAGGAAGGAAAGACCAACTCATGCAGCAAACACCACCCACACTGGATGCATTCAACTCAGTCCTTAGAGATAAATGTTAGAGACAAAGGCACCATTAGGAACCAGGACACTGGACGTGTACTTTAGAGTTCTCATAAAGTCTGCAGACAGTCACAGTGAGGAATGCGCTGTAAGAATTTCAGATGAGGTTTATTTTGTCCCCTAGCCCTTTGGTTATCACGGTTTGTTTTGGTTTTAGCAGAGCTAATAAAAAATACATTTATCTTGCTACACAGTGATGAGACAATAGCAGAATACCAACCCTGAAATCACGTTATTAAAGCATTTTCTTTTTCTGTGCTTTTGGAGGGATTTTGCATTAGCCAAAAAAATGATGACAAGTGTTGTCATGACCAAACTTTCTTTTAAAAGTTTTGGCCAGATTGAATTGTAGGATCACGTTAACATGACAGTGGGTCTTAGTGGTATTTGTAAGATGTTGGTATGGCCATTTTGTCTACCACAGTGTTCTTTAAACAGCCTTTCTCCAAATGGGCATATCGTCTTTCAGCCTTACAGAAATCAAAAACAGAAAGTGACAAGCTTTCACACCAAATAAGACTGTGTATCTCCACCATTCTGTTCTCCAGCTTCTGATATTAACAGCCATCACCCAAGAGGGTAGAGCTGTTATTTTGACACATAAATTGTACCCTGGGCTCCTTTGAAAATGTTCTCTGGTTCCTTGTCAAGTTTGCATTGAATATTAAAGATAGAAGACCTTGGTTTTTATAGGCATCACATTCCAACTCCAAATTAGATTCTATGTGAGGATATTGTAAATAACTCAGTAAACACATATGAAAATTGAACATGTAACAATTCAACTTCCTTTTCATTTTAGGAATTAGAATTCATAGTCTTACTTTCTTACCTTAATCTGATTACAGTATTAGAAGTATCCAAATGACTTTACATTTAGCTATCAATTATTATTTTTTAAAACATTGCATAGGTGTGCTTCAGTTTGTACAGTTAATGAAAGAGCAAAGAGTGAAGTGCATAGTTTTACAGACTTTTTTAGGTTTGTATTTCCCTTTAAATTCTCCTTATTTTTATTTATTTTATTTATTTATTTATTTATTTATTTATTTATTTATTGAGACAGAATCTCACTCTGTCGCCCAGGCTGGAGTGCAGTGGAATGATCTTGGCTCACTGCAAGCTCTGCCTCCTGGGTTCATGCCATTCTCCTGCCTCAGCCTCCCGAGTAGCTGGGACTCCAGGCACCCGCCACCATGCCTGGCTAATTTTTTGTATTTTTTTTTAGTAGAGACGGGGTTTCACCTTGTTAGCCAGGATGTTCTCGAACTCCTGACCTCATGATCCGCCCGCCTCGGCCTCCCAAGGTGCTGGGATTACAGGCGTGAGCCACCACGCCCGGCCAAATTCCCCTTATTTTTTAAAAAAACAACTCTGGTGGCTTAATGTATTCCATTATACTTGCCTTTTCTTTGCACTTTACTGAGTCAAGAGTTTAGATTTTAAAGCTTCTGTTACTTAAAGTTTATGGTTTTCAGTAGTGTTGCATTTGGATGATGGTAGGTGGTGACAGTAGATCTAGGGTCCTGGTAACATTCTGAAGATTTGGGACTCGGGGCTTTTCTTCATCTGCTTTGCTCAAGACTGAGATGGTTTCAATGGATATACTTTACTTCAGCCCTGGATGATATCTGTGAATGTGTTTCTGTAGAAAACGATGTCATCTTAAGAATCCCATCATGTTAACTTAGGGTCTGCTATCATGTTTTTATATTCTGGAATTTCTTTGAGAATAGAAATTATCACCTTATATAATAGTTTCAGAAATTTTAACAAACTATAAAAAAAAGTTGTGGGGTGGGGAGAATATTGAATTATTAGGTGGTCAAATAATGTATAATATGACATTTTCACTTAACTGTTGACAATTGGCAGCATGAAGAGTGTAACCAGTGGATGGGGTGATTGATGTAGACATAAGGAAGAAGAAATGGTTTGTATAATCTCTGCTGTTCCCTTCGATTGACATGCTCAAAGGCTGCCTATACCAAAGATTGATTCCAAGAATTAGAATTAAATGTAATCATTGTTAGTCCAGTACTGAATATTTCCTCGATGTGCTTACCATGGTGGAGTGGGAGGAATCTTATTTAGGTGGGCTGTGGTGGGTCAGCATGGGGACAGAGCCAAAGGGAGGCACAGCTTCTCTGATTTCCTGTGTATTTGATATCCAAAGAACACAGTTAGGACCTTTTTCGCTCATCAAGTGTCTCATGATGTGGTGTGTCAAAGCTCTCAGTGGCTCTTGTTTCTCACTACGGTGACCTAAACCATTTGTCAAGAGATACCATTGTTTTGCATTCAGTGAAATAGAAAGGTGAACATGTGTGTATGTGTTTTGGAAGGATGGGATAGTGCCAGTTTACTAGCAATTTCCTGTAATCTGCAACCAGTCTTACCTATGCAACCCCAAATATTTTGGGGTCCAGAGCCTTGAGAACGATCACTATTATTATCTGACAGCTGCATAGGGGTGAGACAAACCATAAAATGTTGAGAACCCCCAGCCTAGACAGCTATGGCCTCACTGTTGTGTCTGGCATTCACTGCTACAAACAACACAAATCATGTACTTTATATCTTGAAGTTGTCACTCAGCCCTGTGTTTTCTCATTTCTGTGTCTTTACTTAGATCATAAACCTAGGATTTCCTTTTCTCTGCTTATCTAAGTCCTACTCCTCTTTCAAGGCCAATCTTAAGTGGCTTATCTTCCATGAAGAATTCCCAGACTGTTTTAACTCACGGTGGTTCCCTTTTTCTGGGAGCTCATAGTCATTATCAGTTATACCACTTTGGGCTATTCATCAGGAGCTGCCGTGTGTACTTTTATGTTCTTTTGTAGTTGTTATTTAACTGTCATTTTCATTAACTTCTCAAGCAGGTATGCGTTATCTCCTCAACCCAGACATGGGGAGCAGGACAGTATATCCAGTAATTTTTTGTACTGTCTGCATAATTATTCACGTCCCGTATTCATGGCAGGGGTTGTTATTAAGCATGTGTTGGCTAACTGATTATAAGACAGTTATGTGCAGACAGTAGGCCTCGCTATTCTTTTATAGCTCATTTTTCCTGCATGTTGCTAGGCACAGAGTAAGTTTTGTGCTTTAGTCCCTGTAAGTATATGGTGACTGGCTGACCCACTGGGTCCACAGAAACACACATTCATGCTTCTCATTCAATACATTTCGTGTGTGCCTTGTGCCCTGCTTGTGGAAGATAGTTCAAACATGTTAATTGACTTACTCTTCATAGTAGCCCCTTGAGTTAGCTGCTGTTATTTATATTTTACAGATGGCTAAGGGACTTAGAGAGTTTGAGTAGCCTGTCCAGATCTTATGGCCTGTGGAACCTGGATTTGAACACAAGTCTGAGTAACTCTCTCAAGAGAGAGTTTTTGTCACTCACTACTTTCCACTCTACTGAATTCTTACTACATACATGCCACACTTCAGTTTTTTAGTCATTCCTATCTCTGATTAGTCACAGTTTTGTGTGCATACATTTCTTTGTGAGTCATCATTTTGGGCATAGAACTGGGTTGAAACTCATAGTCAGCAACCCAGATTTGTCTATCATATCCTCCATCAGAGGAAAGTTCCTATCAATGTAAATAGAGGGATGGGTGGCAAGTTATTTTAAAAAGCTGATATATCACAGAGAAAAAAATCCTGCTAAGAGAGGGAGACCCTCCCTCTCCCACCCCTTCACTCCTACCCCACACATCACACTCACACATCACACATATCACATACATCACACTCACACATCTCTCTCTCTCTCTCTCACATACACACACATCTTTGGGAGCAAAAAGTAATTGAGTTTTATTTTTAGGTCAGTGCAATTAGATTTTTCTTTACTCGCTTTTAATATTATATTAGCTTTCTCTGATAAAATGAAGAAGCAGTTTACGCCTGTTGAGGTAATTTCTGAATCAGATGTGGGTTTCTTTATGCTCCACCATGATTGGCCAGTTGCTTTGTAATGAAGGAGTTTGCACTTCAGCTAAGCCTGGAAAAATGTCTCAGCTCCTTCTACTGGGTGTGCCAACCCTTTCAGCTGTTCAAGACACAGGATGTGAGGAGGAATTGTTTAACGGTGACAGCATGGAGTAAATTCTGACATCAGGTGTCAGGGGTTCTATTCTTGGTTTTGTTTCTGGACTGCTAATTTAGGGTGAGAATGATTTTCCCCTCAGCGTCCTCATCTGGGTAGTGAAGTAGTCCAGGACAGTATTTTTGCAGCCATTATTTGGGTTTACATGATCTCCTTTTGACATTCTCAAGTAAACCCTGCTTTAAGTTTTAAGACTTTTATACCACATCTAAAGGCTCAGTGGAGTGAGTTGAGCCATCAGAGAAATCTGGCTTGTTGTGTCTTCCTCATTTCTTTTGATTAGTCTGAGTTGCCAGATCATTTTCAAATGGCTGTGCATCAAGGCTCACCTGGGAGCTTGTAAACATAGTGGTGCTTGGCCCGTAAGAGGCCGGATCCACAGGGGAAGGTCCCAGTAGTTCAGATTTTCAGAGTTCTTCCCAGGAAACCGTGAAGCATACTAGTGATAAGGGCATCTGGGCTGCACCATTAACCAGCTCAAAAATAGTTCATTCAGAATTTCCCCATGACTATTTCATTATTTTGTTATTAGGGTTGATAGTTTTAATACATAAAAATAGAGGATAAATGATAATATTTTATATATAAATAAAAAACATATATGTATAATAGTATATTTAATACATAAGAATAGAAGATAAATAATAAATAAAAATAGGTATATTTGAATTTCTGATAATGCATATTCTTGCATGCATATGTCCCACGCAATATTCGAATCTTGTTTTATCTTGTTTGGCAATGCTTCATGCCATAGAGCCAGGAAAATCTCAATTCTTTCACAAAAACTAATGCAGAGAGGTCACAAAGGACCTTGAGACAGAGGGTTTGTAGAGGCTTTGGTACTGCCCATTAAAATGTATTGAGTCCTTTTGAGAACCATTATACTGGAAATTTGGAGACGCCTTTTCAATTTTTGGTTCCTTTTCTTCTCTTTCTGTTGCATTTTGCCAGTGCAGCATTCACTTTTATTTCTTAAATAAATTGAAGATTTTTTTTTTAGAGTGTTAAGGAATTTAACCACATGGCTCCTATTAAGCCATCATTGCATACAGAAATTTGTTACAATCTTTCTCATGTGGATACTGCCACCTTCTCCTAAACTGCAGAGTATCTTGATGTGAGGTGTGTAAGAAATCTAAGACCTCCTCACTGGCCAATTTGTTGTCTTCACAAATAGTTATTCTTTCAAATAGAATATTTCTTACTGTAGTTAAATTGTACTTCTTTAGGCTCCTTTGGAAAAAATTTACCCAGGACATACCAAACAAGGTAGGAAACCAAGGCATTGGCCATTGTTCAAGAGCAAACCAGGTCAGCACCAACAAAGTCGGGATTCATTTCTATTGAAACTGATCTCTGGGTACCACCCACAGTTATTACAAACTGACTCAGCAAAAAAGGCCTGTGGCCATTCGAAAAGCAAATATTTTTGCTTTGGCTTTTATTTAATAAGTTTTCAAATGTGATTTTCTAGGCCCCTAATAGGCACACTTATCTTGTGAATATGGCAGATACTAGCACAGAGCCTGCAATGGGGGTTGTGATTGTCAAGGATCTGCTGCTTCTGGGTGCTTTGGGGTGGAATGTGGGTGGATGGAGTAAGGGCTTCTGTGACTGAGAACCACATTCCTCTCTGTCTGCAGGTGAGGACAGTTTGATTAGTTCTTACAACATTTTTTTTTTTGCAAACTCAAAAATATCTACTAATACTTCTGATTTTCCACCTTAAAATATTGTTGTCGAAGGAATTAAGGAGTTCTGCAGCTCAAAAACAAAGTGTTCCCAAATTTACTTACCTTTTTGGTAAGCACATGTTAGGTTGGACCTGGGGAAATAAAACAGTTGTCTGTGTTGGGTCAGACACAGTGGTGATCCCAGGCAAAGGGTAGTCAGTGGGGAAATGAGATGAACAGTTTCCTTCCCTGAGGCCCCAAACCACTGTTTTGTAAAAGGAGCATTGGAAATCCTTCCCTCAACTGCACTTTTTTTTCCATAGGGCAAATGGACTAATGAATAAAGAACAATGGGCAGCAATTTAAACCTCTAGAAGAGCTGCAGAGAGTGAAAGTGTTTAGGAGGGAAGACAGAATGAGCCTGGCTTTGTTGCCCTTCACCCAGCTCCTGAAGCCCTAGTCTACAGCTAAATGCCTTCACGTCTGTGTGTCAAATATTCATCTGTAAAGAAGTGATAATGCCACTTACTTGGCTGGGCTATGGAGAAGATTAAAGAAAGTAATATATGTTAAGTGCCTAGCACAATGCCTGGGAGGGGTATAGCTTTTAAGGAGTTCAGAAAACCTTAATTCCCTCTTGCCTTTAAAACTCCATTTGTGAGGGTATATTCTAGAATTAGAAAGGGTACTTATTGCACTAACTCGTTAAGAGATTGTTCATGGACTTGTTTATTTATATGCTGTGTTTTCTCTGATTAATAACCTACTTTGGAGCTCACCACGACCAAGCATGAGGTAAAATGATCTTCCTTTACTCAAAATGTGTGCTATATTTGAAATTCTGGCTGACCGTGGCCGCCTCAAAAACTCATGACCTCAGTTATCCGGGTTTCCTTCAGCTCTAGTGCTGTTTTAATTATAAGTATTTACTTTTTTTTGTTTTTCTTTCGTGGCAAGAGCTGTGTATTTCCATTACCATGGTTATCTTCTGATGCCTCAAAGTATTTGGCTGTTTTCCTTTATTTAGGCATAAAGGCAGAGACATTGTAATTTGTCCAAAAGTATTTGCTGTCTCCAAACAGTAGACAGAATGGCATACATTTATGAAGTGCTAAACCATTACCATTGTTTTGTGTTTGGTGCTTGCAAACTGGGAGCTTTACATGTTATTAAAAGCTTTCAACACCTTCTTCTCCTCCTTTGAAAAATAATCAGCATATTGCTTGCCTCCAGCATTCTTTTAAGGAAAGCCAAAGACAGTGTTTTTCAATTTCCGAAAATCTAATTCCAAATGCAATGGCAGTACACACTGGTTGGACCTTTTAGGGGTAAGTTAACAAGCTGTTTGTCCTATTTGTTTTCAAACCCATTTCAGATTTGCAGCTCTCCATATTAAAACTAGTTGCTTGTTTGGTGGTGGAAATATTCTATTGCATTGGAGAAAAGGTATTGTAGACACACCTTGAAAGTATTCCAAATGTACCTGAAAGAGCATTGACATTCAGCCATCAGAGGGGAGCAGAAATTCTGCTGGCAGACCCCAAATCTTTGACATGAAATTCACAAAATGTGCACACGTTTTGTATTTCTATTTAGAAAAAGTGGAAAGCCAGCTCTGCCCATGTGTGCTCCTGATCTTAAATACTGTTATTCTTCTAAATATAGTTCAGGACATTTGTCAGTGAACTGTGAAGCTATTGTTAAAAATAAAATGGAAATTCAAACCTCAAAATAAACGATGAGCGATTTGTAATGCATTACCACTTGCGGTTTTCGCTTGGGGTTGGTAAATCTGAGGCCCATGGAATCCCATTTTGGGGGAACCCTATTTAAATACTGTAGTAAAAGGCTTTTGAATCTTATAATTCTGGTGGCTACTTTTGCATTTGAGTAGAAAACTACAAAGCTGGATTGATTTTTCAAAAATGTATTTTTATATTTTGTCAATATATATAAAAATGGAGGAGAGGAAGTGAAATGATTCATTTTAGATGACAAATGAATCCATTTTCCCCTGCAGTGCTCTTACAAAATTCCTGTTGACATTCAAGTTAAGCACATGCATGAAGAGGAGAATTCTAGTCACAAGCTCACTGCTGCTGTCTCTAAAAGGAGATGCATGGATTTTTGTTAATTCCCTGCAGCCATGCTCCCTTTCAAGACTCTGTTTTCTAGGCAGTCTCCTCTCTTTTAGTCTGGCTATTAGCCTCTGAGGACTATGCCCTACCTTCCATGTGTGTTTTCCTGATTATTTTTTTTTTTTCTTTTGAGACAGGGTCTCACCGTGTTGCCCAGGTCAGAGTACAGTGGTGCCGTCATAGCTTGCTGTAATCTGGAACTCCTGGGCACAAGTGGTCCTCCTGCCTCAGTCTCTCGAGTAGCTAAGACTACAGGAGTGCAACACTGCACCTGGCTAAGGTTTTTTGTAGACATGGAGTCTCACAGTGTTGCCCAGGCTGGCCTCAAACTCCTGTCCTCAAGCGATCCTCTGGCCTTGGTCTCCCAAGGCACTGGGATTACAGGTGTGAGCTACCACACTAGGGCCTGATTTACTTTTTTATTTTTTTTCACTGTCAATAGGACTTGCGCGAGAAGGTCGTGAGCAGACTTTGGCCTTTATTCAGGAAATGGCTATCACTGTCTCTGGAGATTGTGTCAAACTGAGTTGAGCAGGAAAGGGCCCAATGTTTCTAATGTTGCATCCACTGCCACCTTTTTGTTGTCACCTATGCACAAAAGGACACCCAGTTTGTTGTTTAAAGTATATATATATTTATATATATAAAAATATCTGTATATATATATTTATATATATAAAAATATCTTTATATATAAAAATATCTTTATATATATTTATATATATTTATATATAAATATACGTATATATATTTATATATTTTTTATGTATATATATAGGCACCTGTGTTTTAGCCCCTAGTTCTCCATGTAGACATTTAGAAATTTGCTAAATATTCTCCTGCAACAGTTTTTGTGTGACTTGTGCCAGACCAAAAAAAATCACAGGCTCACTATATTAACTAGGCAGTGTAAAAGCATATTGCAAACATTATTATCAGAAGAGAACAACTTTGTAAGTCTATAATCATTTTGAATACTAATGGCAGCAATAACAATGGTAACTGATGGGTGATAAACCGAGGACGGATGGCTAAGTGCTGTCTCGGAGAAGTCAGCTTATAAATCAGAGGCAGAGCACAGGGAAGGAGGACAGGCCTGACCTCAGGACAAAGCTTTCAACCCTGACACAGGCAAAGAAAATAGTCATCGTAGCATCGTGGGGAGATACGGGTTGAGTGATATAATAAACCTCTTTTAAGGAACTTTCTGATTTTTTCCGCATATTTACTTTACGTACCTCAACCCAGGGGGCATTCTTTCACCAAAGGAGTATTGCTTCAAATTGAATAAATGCACACACAAAAAAATCACAGGCAGCTCTACTGGATGGTGAAATATGGCTGCCTTGTCATGAGAGGAGTTAACTGAGTCTCATTGAGACCTGGATGGCCATCCCTGCTCCTCAAACCAGAAGGCACTCCAAAGGCTGGAGATGTCTTGCAAACTTGGGAAATATTTGAGCAGCAGAAACACATCTCTCCCAGTTGGAGTCTCAACCTTCTGATCCACCCCAGCACCCCTGATAGAAATCAGCTTTGGGAAAACACTTTGAATTCTTGTTTTGAGACGACTGGTGTCTGCAGTGAATCTCTGTTCCTCTCCCACCCTCCCTTCTGGATAAGGTCCTCCTTTCTGCCAGCCCTGTTGGACTTTTGTTTCTCCTTCCCCCGGGAGCTGCCTTTGAAGTCAGTGGGAGCTGTGCAGTGGGCTGGTGAGAGTGGGAGGCTGGAGTGGGGGAACCAGGCCCAGATGCAATCTATGCTGCTTACTGGGATTATGGGTTTCTCCTTCTCCTTCCTTTTTATGTATTTATTTTTATTTTGAAATGTGTGTCTTCTCTTGGCTAAAATAAAGACCGGGGGAATTGGTCTGGCTTTAAAGAACCCTCTGGAGCCAGCTTATTCATACAGAGTTAACTGTGACAAGTAGCCGCCACCAAAGCCACAAGTACCAGGATTTGGAAATTGGACATAAACCCATTTCATTTATGCTTAGGTTATTTGGGAGGGGTGGGGAAGGGCTGGAAAGTGTCGGAAAATTTATAAATGAATCCTGTTGTCCTCTCTTTTCTAGTATCTCGTTTTCCAGCCACTTGGAGCAAATTAATTTGCCTCTCAGAACCCCAATTTTCCGTATCTATAAAATGGAAATAAAATTCTTAGCCCATGGGGTTGTTTTGAAGATGCAAACACTGATATTCTTAAGCACTTTACATAGTTTCTGGTTCATTTTAACTGATTAATAATTTGAATTCTTTGTCATTATCAAGACTGTATTTATGAGATGGCAAGTTTCTACTGAATATGTAATAAGGGCTTACAGGGCAAAAATGACAGGGCTGTCTTTAAAAGCGATGCCACTGGGATACTAGTGAATACTTCTTTGTGAATATATCCACCAATACTCTAGATTGGGTCAGGGGTGGTCATTCCATGCACAGGGTATTAGAATTTTTTTTTTTTTTTTTTTTTTTAAATAAGTGGTTATCCAAAGGGGTTGATGCCTGGGTCATTTGGAGATTTGTCCTTGAACATTCTCCAGTCTGGCTTGGGTTGTCTCAGTTTTGTCACTCAGATTTGCATCTTGTCTTTCTTTCTGTTTTTAGTTGCTTGGATTTCTCCCAAAGTATTTGTGGCTGAAATTCCTTTTGGACTCTGAGCTGCCTTTTTTACATAAGCTTTGGATTGGAATCAATAGAATGTCAAGATGCCAGGCACATTCAGCCTAATAGCAGGTGGGTGTCTGCTGGACAGTGTGCCTGGTTTGCCTGACAGTAGCAAATTTAGGCCAGAATTAATGAGCCAGGGAAGGTACTGTTGGTGTTGCAAGATTTTTGCAGTTTTCAGAAGTAATTTTGTTTTTCCTTTTTAATGGGATTTTCAGAAGTTTTCAGAAGTAATTTTGTTTTTCCTTTTTAATGGGATTACATTTGCAAAAGAAGTTTGTGTTCATATATGTGCGAGTGCATGCATGCCCCTTTATTATAATACCTTTATGATGGCATCGAGGCAATTTATTTTTAGAAAATAGTATTCACACATACCTAAAAATCTGGTTCATAAACCTTAATAGAGTTTCGTTAAAGTTAACGGTTTGTCTTAGTCTGTTTAATGTTCAAAGAGAAGAAAACACCCAAAAGTGGAGTGAATTGCTGAAGTTTCTTGTGTACACTTATTAGGACATATTCCTGCTATATGATGAGCTATCATCAGAAAACAGTCAGCAGAAGCCAGGTCATGTGGGCTGGTGAGGAAAGGAAATGGGTGTAGAGCAAGCGTTCCTGTGTTTCTAGCGGATTGAGAAAAATGCCTGCCTTTTGATTTTCTTTTTCCTCTGGGGTTTTACTTATATATCAAGGAGTAAAAAAAGAAATCCCTCATTTATCTAGGTGCTTTTAAAGAATAAATGTGGAAATGCAAGTAAAGTACCTGGTGTACATCCTAGGCATTCCAAAAATAGTGGCGTTCTGGCTAATCCGAAGAGATTAGATGAGAAGTCCATAGTGATGATTCAGGTTTCTTTCATGTTTTATATATTAGCTGGCCTTTTTGTTTTTCTTATTCTTTATCTTGCAACAGGCATTCGCTTATTTCGGCTTTTAATTTCTAACATAAACTCAACTCTGAAACCCATGCCTTCTAATTGTTGACCACAGATACCCTTGAAATTTGCGCGACCGCCCACAGTGGGATGGTATTAAAACATTCTGATCTAGATTTGGGCAGAGGATGAATAAAATGGAAATGAGGCTTATGCAAATTAGCTTCCCATTTGTTTGAAGATGGTCGAGGGCAGCAGCAGTCCTTGAGTCTTCCAGATTTTAGAACAGAGCAAGCAGTGCTCTGAATGACAAGCCCTTGGCTTCACGTGGCTCATAACAGGATACCACTTACCCCCAGAGAAGACTGACCTCTATATTTAGTGGTCAAAGAAAGGAAAAGAATTGTTGGATGCTACCATTGAGTCCTAGTTCAAACAGTTTAGAAAACTACCACATCTCCACTTCTTGGAGCAATATGGCGGTTGTTCCCTTCCCCTAGGTTCACAGCCTGAGTCTTCGTGGGCCTTCATAGCACAAGTAAAAGAATATTAATGTTAGAAGTTGACTCCAGAATGGAGACTTCCATTTTCTTCTGGAATAAAAGATTAAATTATCTCTATAAAGTAGTAACATTATATACATTCTTACAAAGTTTGTTTTACAGTATTATTTTAAATTTATAGAAATGGATTGTATATAATGAAATTATTTATTTTTATTCAGGGAAAATGTGTATTTATTTATGGGGCTTATGAGATTGGTGCCCCAAAGTTCTTGACCCACGTTTCATTTGAGTAAAGCTTGGTGTAAGGTTTGGAATCATTTTGTAGTGTTATTTCTTAAGATCTTTCCACCCACAGTTAGGACATGTGACACATGTGATTCTATGTCATTTCATTTCAACTTGGGTCTTACTTAGCCTTTGAAAGGATGAAATCCTGACTCTGGTTGACAGCTGTGTCTGTAAACATGAATGCAGTTTGGTATTAACTTTTATCTTTCCATACAGTGAGGGGCATGGAACAGTACCACTAACAATGGGAGGTGCTTACATAATGTTAACTACCACTCTACAATCTGTGTGATATAGGAGGTTGAATCCATATGTAGATCCTGCTCTTAGATCCTGTAGATTGATGGTAAAGCAAAAACAAATGGAGCGTTGATAGAATTCTGTTGAGTAGCCATATGAGCATTATTCTGATACATATGAAATACAACCTTGTGATTATATGATATATGTGTTTGTATATGCATGCAGGGTGTAGTTGTGGTTTGTTTCAATTTAGGAACCTCTGTGAAAGTGACGGAAAGCTTGAATGGAGACCCTAAGGAAGAGGTAGAAATTACTTGTTCAATAACTCTTAGAGGTCTTTTTCAATACTACTAATTGATTGTGATTTGTACTTAGTGTTTGTTTGAGGCATTGTGGCAAAGTGGTCAAGAAGTCTAGAATTAGGCCAGTCAGAGTTTAAATCCTAGCATTTATTAGCATAGATTTTGGGTGCATTATTTATCCTCTCTGGGATCAGTTTCTTCATCTGTGTAATGGGAGTAACTGGAGCATCGACCTTATAATCCTACTGTGTGAATTAAATGAAGACATCTCAAATAAGGTGCCTGGTACGTAGTTAGGCACTCAGTAAACCATAGCTATTGCCATTATAATCATTACTATAATATGTATAATGGGAATAATAATTAGTCTATCTTATGGACTAATATAGTCCTTGTATGGATTACATATCTAGCTGTTTTTATTATTAATTTAGGATGACAGCACCTAATTTTGAGTGTTGTTAAGTAGCGGCTAGCAGAAAGGACCTCATTTTATAAGATTCTGTGTAGGTTGGAGATATATACATATATATCCAACTATATATATATATAGTTTTTACTATATATTTCTATAATTTTCTGCCTCATTGTTTGATTTCACAGCTCTGGAGGTTAAAGCTAAGCTACCTCTCCACTCTCCTGTCCCTGCCCTTATCTAAAATAGAAAGCCATCTGAAAGAAAAGAACCTAGGGAAAATTCCCATGTGAGAAATGAAATTGTCCTTGTGAAGGGTTAGGACTCTAGGAACTGTGTGCAGAAAATCGTTGAAAGATAATCTTTATAGGATGCTGAAAATTACTGGCAGGGATCAACTCTGAAGGTTAAATTGTCTCTGCCAGTGCCTCTAACAGGAAATACAAGGGAGATTTATTTATTTATAATGTCCACCTTCATTTTGTATACTGTGTTGTAATACTTAGAGAAATAAAGGTAATGGAAAAGAATAGGTAAAGTACATTCATTTTGTTAAATCAGAAATTCAACAAACAGTCTTAACCCATTCAGAAGCCTTGCAGCTGGTGTGCTGAAGTGGCCAGATTTTTCCTAGTTGTAGTTGTCAAGGAGTTAATCCATTGAGCAACTGATGAGCACTCTGTCCCATGAACAGAATTCAAATGTGGATTAAAGCAATGAATTTTAGGAACAGAACGCTCCTATTTTGGCAACAGTTACTTGAGCCCCAAGTACTTCCAGAATTAAGCAGTAGATGCTGTGGAGAGACGCTCCTAGCACAGCCCTGGACTCCTACAGGATAAAGTCAGGATCAGAGCTCCTGGTCCGCTTAAAGAATATTCCCTCAAGGCATTGTGCACGGAAGGAGATATAATTTACTTTACATAACGTGGAGTGCTGCATGTTGATTGCCATGCCCTAGAAAGAGCAGAGGCAGAAGCCTCCTGAAAATCAGGCAGAAGGAAGAGAAAATGGGCTCTTCTTAAACTAATCAGAATCTGAAAGTGGATATATGGATGTTTTAAGAATAGGTGGTGGCTGAATGCAAAGGTGCGCCTGTAATCCCAGCTACTTGGGGGCCTGAGCTGGGAGGATCCCTTGAGCCCAGGAGTTTGAAGCCAGCCTGGGCAATGTAGCAAGACACTGTTTCTTTAAAAAAAAAAAAAAAAGACTAGGTAGTGATTGGCATTAGTGTTTGGATCTGCCTCTGTGGTTGCAGTAGACCGTCTTTATTCTTGCAATAGGATTTATTTATTTATCCCTCAGAGAATATGGGCTGCCTCACTTCCTCACCAGTGAGTTTGCAGGCTCAGGAAAGCTCTACAATTAAATTGCTCTATTGTTTTAACCTCTCTGTTTAAGCACTGGTGAACTAGGGCTCCTTAGCTACTTGCCTAGCAAAATGAACAAGTTGATTAATATTTGCACAGGACTAGAAAATGCCTTTTTTGAATGAGATGGGCACATATGGCTGCATAGTATTGACTCAGGACATTGCACTTATTTCCTTGTTTAAATAATTAGCAAAAGAAATCATATTAAAAAATGCTGAAAGGTATAAAGAGAAAAATGTGATGGCCAATCAAAGCTGTGAACGGCCTTTCTTATGCTGTGTCTTAATTCTGTATTTCTGTAAAGCAGTAGGTATTGAATGCCTAGATGGAGTGGCTCAATACAGTCAGATTTTGAGGCTTTTCCTTAGACATTCTGCAGTTCTTTCTCCTCTTGGTGTCTTTCAGGACATGACAGTATGCCCCCCAGAGCCACAGAGGACAGACATCCTTCTCTGGGCCTCCATGCCTGCTCCTCTGCAAACAGGGCAGGTCCTGCCCGGGCTGAGCAGAGAATCGCTTCCTGTGCAGTTGCTGGCCGCCCCTGCAGATGCAGAACCCTGACACAGGGTTCTAAGTGGTACTGAAAGCTGCTTTATGAGCCTTGCAGAGGCGGTGTGCATGTGTGCAGCTGCACATCTGCGAGAATACTGGTGGGTTCAGGCAACGCTGGCCCTACCTTAGCCAAGCCTTCTGTGTGGGAGCTATATGAGGCTTTTGTACTCTTGCTTAGTTTTCATTGCAAATGGGGCCGTATCCAAAAGGCATAGAGTGGGGGTGGGAGGTGGGTGGCAGGGCGGGGGGAAGGTAGAAATGATGGATAAAGATGTAAGAAGGATAAGGAGAGACCAGATGCAGTCGAGGGCTTTTGTGGCATGAGGAAAGGATATTTAACTTGGCACCAAGAAATGGGGTGGCATTCTAATGCTGCTCCTGACCTCCTGTGTGACCTTGAGCTCCAGTTTCCCTCTTTGTAAAATGGTGGCCCTGATGACTACCTACAAGGTTGGAGGTGGGAATAAGGGACCTAATGCATGTCCAGTCATCTGTCATCAACACTCAATAAGCCTTTTCCTTTCGTGGCCATCCATCTTCAGGTTTGACGGAAGTGAGGATCTGCCCTCAGGGTTGAAAGGTCAAGATGGTTTGCTCAAATATTTTATTTCTCTCATAAATCTCTTGCAGGTTTGGTTCATCCCAGACTATTCTTTTTCAGGGCAGTATTTATATTGTCACTGCGTTCAGGCTGCCTTCCCCATTTGATGGGGCCCAGCAGTGTTCAGTTATACTGATAATACCAAAATTATCTTCATTTTAAAAAATGTAAACCTTTTTATTTCTGATCATTAATGTAAGGTAAGTATATTGTTGATAATTTGGAAAATCCAAAGTTAAAGGATAAAATTACTACTAATTGTAATCTCAGCACACAGAAAGAATCATGTGTGTGTGTGTATTATATGCATGTGCGTGTGTATAGAGGGCATTCTATTTGTATTGTATTTCTTTATTATTTAGGGTTGTTGATACTGTAAAATAAATGATTTTTTTTGAGAATGAAGATGGGTGAACCTTGTTTTTCTCATATTTAACTAAATCTAAATGACAGGATATTTGGTAAAAGGAGATATAAAGCTACAAGGGCCCTTGCGGCACCTGCCATGAGGTCTGTCTAGGTGAAGAGCTGGGGAACCAAAGATGAGCAGCTGAATTTTCTGTTCTTGATGTTCTGCGGGAGTAATGATGCACCAGATGATAATGATAGAAGATATTTTGATAATTTACTTCTTTGATATTGGCTCTACATGCTTTTAATTAAGTATATATATTTTTAGTTAAATATGTAAATATATTTCATTAAAAGCATATATTTTAATGAAATATATATTTAATTAAAATATATATTATACTTAAGTGATATAAGCTATATACAGTTTTTATATAGTCAGTGTATATTTATTATATTTTATATAATCAGTGTTTATATAATATATATAATACACATATGTATATATATTACATATTAATATAAATATGATTAATTCTAACAACTCCATGATTTTATCTTTATCATTTTATCTTCATTTTACAGAAGAGGAAAAGAAGCCACAGAGAGGTTAGTGAAGTAACTTGTCCATAAGTCACACAGCAGTAAACACTGGAGTCAGGCTTCAATCCCAGAGCACTCTGGAGCCTGAGTTTTCTTACGTACTCTGCTTACTGCACTGACAATACTGATATAAGAAACAATGTTCAATCAATAACATACAGTTTCAGCTATGGAAAATGAATAAGTTCCAGAGATTTGCTGTACAACATTGTGCCTATAGTTGAGAGTACTGTATTAAACACTTAATTTGTTAAGATGGTAGACAGCATATTAAATGTTCTTACTATAATAAAATGAACACTTAAAAAAAGAATACTTACAATTGATGCTTTATAATCGTGATAAAACTCACTCATATTTATGTGCCAATTCTTACACAGTTTAGGAATTGAAAATACGGTATTTTGATATATATAGGTAAATATATGAAGTAAATATATATGTACACACACACACACACACACATATCTCAAAGTAAAAAGGAAAAAATAAAAAAGGTCTTTGTTTAGGTTTCTGTTTTAGCAACTGAAATTTTAACGCCATTCAGGCAAATTCTCATGGGCATGGTAGATATAGAATCAGTTTAGTCGTGATCCTGTCATTTGTACAGTGGGGTCATGCTATTTCTCAAAGTCAGAAGAAAGAAGTTCACATACAAAAGGTTGACGTGGAAAGATAAGCTGGTTTTCATTGAGCTTAGGTGGAGCTGGTTTTCCTTTATAGACCAGTATATATTCTCCTGCTTGGCCATAGGGAAATTACATGCTATTTTATACACAATTATATATTACTTTCTACAACCAGTATCTAACTTGATATTTAGCCCTTGGCTCTATCTAAGACAAAGGTATTGCAATTGCCCATTTTACCATCAAACGAGGAAGCTTTGTTGTACTTCGCTTTCAAAATGATCCTTGAAAACCTACACACATACACACACCAGCACTTACATTCTTTTAGTATTTCAGGAAGTGGGCATGAGTAGGTTTGAGCCTTGAAACTGCTTTGTCATCCAGTTTGTAGCTGGCTAAGGAATGGAAAAAAAAAAAAAAAAAAGAAGAAAGCAGAGCTCATCTTGATCATTGTAATTGGCACTGACAGCAAACACCAGTGTGCCAATAGCGCCAAAGAATTCCTACGCAAAAGCTACTTCAGCTGTCCGAGATTTTCCTGATTTGTTTTGTTTGTGCATTTGATGTATAATCTTGTGGTTTGGCCCTCCTCACCACCTAAAACAGAAAAAGCATATTCAGTTCCTAGGTCATTTTAACTGGAACTTGATCTTCAAGTTCCAACTATGTCAACAAATTAAAGGACTTGACCATGAATTTTTTTTTTTTCTAAGTGAACACTTTGCCATTCCTCAAACCCTACCGCAGGTTCAGCAGACACATGTAAGCGGCCTCTTTAGATGTGGTCACCGTTGACAGCTCAAAAGAACAAAATCAAAACCCTGAAGACTTTACATAAAAACTCATCGTTGGAAGAAGAGCTCGTATTTCAAAGATGATATTAATATGAGAATATTTTTTAACATCCTCTTTTAGCATAAATTTCTCATGATTAAAATATTACCCACAATGCTGTATTGTCTAATCACCTGGTTAGTAAGATGTCTGGAACTGTGGCATGGTGAATGATGAGGAAATGTTCTGGGGGACTGCTTTTATTTCAGCTTCTTTTTTGTTTGTTTTTTTTTTGAGATGGAGTCTTGCTCTGTCTCCCAGGCTGGAGTGCAGTGGCGCAATCTCAGCTCACCGCAATCTCGGCCTCCCGGGTTCATGCCATTCTCCTGCCTCAGCCTCCCGAGTGATATTTCAGCTTCTTTCTTATTGATGATGATGATGGGATTAGACAAAAATATTGCAGAACGAAACAAGTGTCACTATTTGAGTCCCGAATCTTATTTTCTTCATACTATTATACACTTAAAATTAGTGCCTATTTTTGTCTCCTCTTATAGCTTCTTCTCCTCACATCTTGTTAAGTGAAAGACAGACGGGCCTTAATATTACTAAGAATAATAAAAATACTTCCAATTCAATAAACATTTCAGTAACTGGATGAAGGTCTTTGCTTGAATTGTCTCTCGTGGTACCCTCATCTACCCTTCAAGGCAGGTATGCTGTGTTAATGATAGTATTACTCAAATAAGACTTGGCCTTCTAGAAATTAAATGACTTGATCCAGTTCCTATCACTAGCTCAGTTTTTTTTTTTTTTTAATTTTTACTTTTTTTGGGTACATAGTAGGTGTATATATTTATGAGGTACATAAGATGTTTTGATACAGGCATGCAATGTGAAATAACCACATCATGAGAATGGGGTATCCATCCTCTTAAGGATTTATCTTTTGTGTTACAAACAACCCAGTTATACTCTTTGAGTTACTTTAAAATGTACGGTTAAGTTATTATTCATCATAGTCACCCCGTTGTGCTGTCAAATAGGTCTTATTTGTTCCTTTTATTTTTTTTCTACCCATTAACGATACTTACTTTTCCCCCACCCCAGCCCCTCAGTACCCTTCCAGCCTCTGGTAACCATCTTTCTATTCTATATGTCTATGAATTCAATTGTTTTGATTTTTAGATTTCACAAACAAATGAGAACATGTGATGTTTGTCTTTCTGTGCCTGCTTTATTTCACTTAACATAGTGATCTCCAGTTCCATTCATGTTGGATGGGTGATAGGATCTCATTCTTTTTTGTGGCTGAATAGTGCTCCATTTTCTTTATTCATTCATCTGTTGATGGACACTTAGGTTCTTTCCAAATCTTGGCTATTGTGAACAGTGCTGCAACAAACATGGGGATGCAGATATCTCTTTGATATACAGATGGCCAACATTTTCTTTCTTTGGGGTATATATCCAGTAATGCAATTGCTGGATTATATGGTAGCTTAATTTTTAGTATTTTGAGGAGCCTCCAAACTGTTCTCCACAGTGGTTATGCTAACCTGCATTCCCACCAGCAGGGTACAAAAGTTCCCTTTTCTCTGCATACTTGCCAGCATTTTTTATTGCCTCTCTTCTGCATATAAGGTATTTTTACTGGGGTGTGATGATATCTCAATGTAGTTTTAATTTGCATTTCTCTATTGGTCAGTGGTGTTGAGCACCTTTTCATATGCCTGATTGCCATTTGTGTTTCTTCTTTTGAGAAATGTCTGTCCAAATCTTTTGCCCGTGTTTTGATTGGATTATTAGCTTTTTTCCTATAGTCGTTTGATCTCTTTATATCTTCTTGTTATTAAGCCCTGGTCAAATAGATAGTTTGTAAATATTTTCTCCCATTCTGTGGGTATGTCTCTTCACCTTGTGGATTGTTTCCTTTGCTGTGCAGAAGCTTTTTAACTTGTGATCCCATTTGTCCATTTTTGCTTTGGCTGCCTGTGCTTGTGGGGTATTGATCAAGAAATTTTTGCCCATACCAATGTCCTGGAGATTTTCCCCTAGGTTTTCTTATGGTAGTTTAATTCTTTGAGGTCTTAGATTTAAGTCTTTGATAGATTTTGATTTGATTTTTGTATATGGCAAGGGATACAGGTCTATTTTCACTCTTCTGCCTATGGATATCAAGTTTTCCTGGTACCATTTATTGAAGAGACTGTCTTTTCCCCAGCATATGTTCTTGGCACTTTTGTCAAAAGTGGATGCGCTGTAGGTGAGTGGATTCTCTATTCTGTTCCATTGGTCTCTGTGTCAGTTTTTATGCCAGTACCACGCTGTTTTGGTTACTATAGCTCTGTAGTATAATTTGAGGGTAATGTGATTCCTCCAGTTTTGTTGTTTTTGCTCAGATTTTTTTTTTTTTTTAAACATAACATTATAGACCTTTTGAGCTCTTTGTTGTAGGATGCTGAGCTGTGCATCATATGGGATTTTGCAGCATTCATGGTCTCTCCCCACCAAATGTCAGTAGCATCCCCAGTCAAGACTATCAAAAATGTCTCCAACGTTGCCAAATTTCCTTGGGGTGGGGGCAGTGAGGCAAAACTGCCCCCTTTAGAATGACTTTGCTAGCCGTGTGACAGAGCCTGGGAATGCCCTAGACGAATTTCCTTCCTCTTAACCCATGTGCTGTACAATACCTGTCTTCTTGTCCCTTCTGTTTTTTCATCTGAGCATAAGAGTTTAGAACTTGAAAAGCAAATCACTAATGTCTGCTTTTTCATCTCAATGATAGGTGAAGTGCATTGATGAATACTTCCTTTTCTCTTTGTGGGTATAGTAAATTAAATCTTGTATAGAGATCCATGTATTGTGAAGGCAGTAGTATTTGCACAGTATCATGCATATGGAGAAGGGATAGAGTAAGGATATTTATTTTATTTTATTTTTATTTTTATTTCATTTTTTTGAGACAGAGTCTCGCTCTTTCGCCCAGGCTGGAGTGCAGTGGTGCGGTCTCGGCTCACTGCAACCTCTGCCTCCCCGGTTCAAGCAATTCTCTGTCTCAGCCTCCCGATAGCTGGGACTACAGGTGCCCACCACCATGCCTGGCTAATTTTTGTATTTTTAGTAGAGATGGGGTTTCACCATATTGGTCAGGCTGGCCTCAAACTCCTGACCTCAGGTGATCCACCTACCTTGGCCTCCTGAAGTGCTGGGATTACAGGCTTGAGCCATAGCATTTTTTAAATTGCTCACCTCTCTTTCCTAATTGTGTGCTTGGGATACATGTTCACTGAGTCAGACTTCTAATCACTCTTTCCTCTGAATTTCTGTGTGGCCTTGAGTGAGTCACTAAATCATTTGTATTTCTTCTTTATCTTTTTTGGGAAAGCAAACACCATCTTCTACTGTAATACTTTTACTTTTGACTTTGGAGGGTAGCATGATAGTAACTGCAAAACTCTTTGAAAGGAATTCCAAGACATCCAATTCATTGAAAAGCAAATATAATTTTTGGAAAAAGAAAGCATTGTTCATTGGAATTAATTTTGCAGATGAATTAGTTCATTTATCAGCCATCAATCAATATTTAAAATACGGTAAGAAGAAAGCCAGGAGGTAGTAACACAACCCCTTCCCAGGCCGTTTTCTCAGGGATAGGCCCTTTCTCAAGCCTTGGAGTCACTGAGGATTGGGTAAATACAAAACCACTGTAGAAAAACTGAATGAAAGCACGCATCAGTAGTGACTGGATGTTGGTATCATCCACTCATTTCATAGAAGCTGAGGACACATCTTGCCCTTTTCCAGTATAGATATGTTTGAAGTACATTGTCTTGTGGGAATGCCTTTTCCCAATTAGAAATTTGGCAATGGAAAAAAAGATTTGGCCTCTGAAGTTCTGAAGATGCATAGGCAGGGGACACACCACAGCCCTGCCTCTTGCTTGAGGAAGTTACAGAGCAGGTTGTAATTAAGCACTTGAAATGTAACAGGTGAATCCTTAGGTGACTGGGAATCCCATCACCTCAACCCTGCAAAATAGCCATCAAATTGCTTTTGCCAATTAGTACATGAAACAGCTGAAAATATAACAAATCTCCATTTATCTAGGGCGGTAGGCAACTAAATGTTTCTTCTTAACTGCTCTTGATTTATTGAGTGAAGTGAGGTGGTGTTTTGTCTGGTGAATACATAGCATTTTTACTGCTTAATAAATATTTCATGAGCTAAGCCCTGACTCTTATGGATGTGGAGAATAAAGAGGCATTATGCTTATATAGAATGCTATATAATTTTAATATGCATTTATGTCATTGTTTTAAACACATAAACAGTCAAGAAATGAATAACTCCATGAAGTTGAAATTAACAAAGTAAATTACAAATTGACTTTAAAAGTGTCACATTAAATACTTTTTTCCATAGTTGCTGATTTTACCCTGCCTGCAGTGGGTCGTTAAAACAGATGTGACAGGAAGAAAACAAAAAAAATATTTTATAAGTTTTTTTTAAGTGATAGGATAAAGTTGGTTTTCTTGTGATGGTAGAAAAGAAAATAGAAAAATAAGAAAGTGTCCCCAGAGAAAGAAGGTGGTAGCTCCCCTTTCTTCTGCTCGTTACATCCCGAAAACCACATCCTGGTTCCTCTCCTTATCTGGCAGCAATTGGGCTGCAAATTGTGGGACACGTGGTAAATGGGAACCTCCACTCACCTTTCTTTTTTTTATCAGGTAGATAGAACTGATAGACCATCCTGTTTGGTGGTAAATATACGTCAACTCTAAGAACAAATGGGGTCTGGAATTTGCAAAGAAGTATCACCATTACTTGCCAGGTGAAAATCTGGAATCAGCCGGGTGCAGTGGCGCAACGGCTGTAATCCCAGCACTTTGGGAGGCCAAGGTGAGCAGATCACCTGAGGTCAGGAGTTTGAGACCACCCTGGCCAACATGGTGAAACCCTATCTCTACTAAAAATACAAAAATTAGTCGAGCATCAGGTTGGGCACCTGTAATCCCAGCTACTCAGGAGGCTGAGGCAGGAGAATCGCCTGAACCCAGGAGGCGAAGGTTGCAGCGAGCCGAGATCGTCCCATTGCACTCCAGCCTGGGTGACAGGAGCGAAACTCCGTCTCAAAAAAAAAAAAAAAAAAGAAAAAAAAGAAAACCTGGAACCGCATGAATTCTGTACCTGTTCATACAGGATACCATGCAGAGTATAATGGAATATTTGGAGCTGGAGAACATTCTACATTGTTGGCTCCATGTGCACAGGGCTTTCTTTGTAGTCATTCTATAATATTTTCAAATTACATACATGTTTAACACAATATTTTCAAGTAATAGTTTCAAATCAGTGGATTGAAAATGTAGAAAAGATACCTTCATCTACTGTACACTAATCTCAATTCACATTTGGATATGGGTAACATTTCCTTTTCTTCTTAGGCTAAGTAATTGCCACCAGGTTATACTGTTTTTTAAGAACATTTAGGTTAACTACAAAAGAGAAAAGGAAACAGACATTTTGCTAGATGTTTATATAATTTTCCTAGATTAACTTTTAATTTTTTTTGAAGCATGGGTTGCTTTCAAATGGTTAATTTTAGGCTTTTCCTAAAATTTTCAGATTTTCCTACAATGTCTGTGTGTCCAGTTCTGTGTGACTTTTGAAAGTCCATGAAATTAACCACTATCTCTTGCACATAATGTTCAAACTCTTTTTCTCAGACCTCACCTTCTGGCTGCAGGGCCAGTAAGGTTAATTTAGAGCATGTCATACCTTTCACAGGGCTCTTCCTTACATATGATTGAAACTCTGTTGATTGAAAATGTGTTGAGCCCAAATCTGTGAGTGCCAGTAGGGTTTTCAATGTCATGTACTTTCTGAGGATAAGAACCAAGGTATTGTTGGGTATTTAAAGTCTATCTCAGAGCCAATGAATAATGTTTTACAAATTCTTCACTCTTTACAACATTGCCAACCTTCTACTGTTTCTTTTGGCTATTTAGCATTGTTCGTGTGACAGTTACCTGGGCATTTTTTTCCCCTTTAATTGAAACAATTTTATAACTAGCTCTGAGCATTAAAGATACTTAGCATCTGATATTTAAAAATTATGTTTTTGTGTAATTCCAGAACTCTGGGAGTTCAAGGCAGGCGGATCACTTGAGGTCAGGAGGTTGAGACTAGCCTGGCCAACATGGTGAAACCCCATCTTTACTAAAAATATAAAAATTAGCCAGGTGTGGTGGTACATACCTGTAATCCCAGCTACTCCAGAGGCTGAGGCAGGAGAATTGCTTGAATCCAGGAGGCAGAGGTTGCAGTGAGCCGAGATCATGCCACTGCACTGCAGTCTAGGTGACAGAGCAAGACTCTGTCTCAAAAACAAAACAAAACAAAACAAAACATATATATATGTATTTAAAATTCCTAGTCATCTTATATATTGTGGATCCCATCATATGTCTACTTATTTAGAATATTCAGGTCCAATTATTTGTTAATAATTTGTTTTTAAATTCATTAAAATAAGTTTTGT
Source organism: Homo sapiens (assembly GCF_000001405.40). Classification (NCBI taxonomy): domain Eukaryota; kingdom Metazoa; phylum Chordata; class Mammalia; order Primates; family Hominidae; genus Homo; species Homo sapiens. The sequence continues at coordinate 85,594,200 of NC_000014.9, forward strand.
TTAGTAATGTTAAACATACACTAAGCATATAATATTTAACTGTTATTGCTTAAATATTAAACACTCTCAGTTAAGGGACAGGAGGAAAAAATTGTGTAGGCCTTGATCAGTATGGCTGGGAAGGCCTGGGGATTTGTGTTGTGTGTGGAATGTGTGTACACGTCTTTGAGTTTGGTTTTGTGTGAGTGAGTAAAACTTCATCAAATAGCCACTCCCAGAGATGTGTGTGTGCCGCTCCCTCATACCTGTAAGTCTCAACTCACATACCCTAGGTGCGGCTTAGCTTGACTGTGACTATTTAAACCTTGGCCCTCCACCACAAACTCTAAATCTCTCTTACCCCAGTAGGTGCTCAATAAACAGTTGAGAACTTTCTCCCTGAGCTCTGAAAGAATGAGGGTCTTTGGAGTTGTTTTAATCTCACTCATTTGCAGTTGAGAAACACATGTTTTGGTACTTTTGAATCTAAACCCGTCTCCTATTCAATTTTCCTATAATCCTCATAAAAACTAAAGTTTACTTAATGGAGTTGACTCTTGAAAAATGCTGGAGTTAGGAACACGGACCCTCTGCACAGTTGAAAAATCTGCCGTTACCTTTTGACTCCCCCAGAATTTAACTACTAATAGCCTATTGTTGAGTGGAAGCCTCACCAATAACACAGTCGATTAACACATACTTTGTATTTTATATGTATTATTGACAGTATTCTTACAATAAACTAGAGAAAAGAAAATGTTATTAAGGAAATTGTAAGGAAAATACATTTACTTAAGTAAATGTATTAAGTGGAAATGGATCATGATAAAGTTCTTTATCCTCATCTTCTTCACATTAATAGGCTGAGGGGGAGGAGGAAGAGGAGGGGTTGGTCTTGCTATCTCAGGGTGGCAGAGGTGGAAGAGATGAAGGGTGAAGGGGAAGCAAGAGAGGCAGGTACACTTGGTGCTACTTTTATTCAAAGAAATCCACATATAAGTGGACCTGCATGGTTCAAACCCATGTTGTTCTAGTGCCAAGTATACTTCCATAATGCCCAAAGTCATTAATTAATAAGAGATGTGTTTTATAAGTTAGAAAGACCCTGGCTTTGGGAGTCATATAATCCTAGGATCAAGTGCTGATGTTTACAGTCTGTGTAAATTTAAGCAAATGAATTTACTTAACTTTAGTTTTAAGATAAATCTCACAAATGGGCTAGTAATAATGACCTACAAGAATTTTGTGACAATTAGCAGTAAGATGTGAAAAAAAAAAAAAAAAATGCCCGACAAGGTGCTTGGCATTGAGAAGGTGCTCAGTAACTGATTTGCATACATTTCAAGTATATATATGTGCTTGTTTGTTACATATGTGTATATGCACACAGCTATGAGAAATCATGGATTCCTTTCAAAAATGTGGAAGAAAGAACCCTTTGAAGTCTATATGAAAAGAGCTTAGGAATTAATGTCCTGCTTTTATCCACGGTATAACTGCCTACCATGTTCAAAGGGCATCGATAGAATTAATATTCAAAATTTTCTTTGAAGCCCTGATACAGAAGGACCCGGAAGTAAAACCCATAGCTATTTCTATAGGGGAATAAGTTCTCAATATCAAGTAACAGACCCAGTGGGAAAACTAGGCCATTTCTGGTTTGCTATGTTTTCTTGACTTCACATATATATTTTCTTGGTTCTGTGAAGAAGATTTGGAAGGGTTCACTTGGCGGGCAAGAAGTGATCGTGTTTCTTTGTCTGTTGGTTGGAGTTGAGCTGTACAAGTCCCCTGGGGCAGGTTTGGAGGTCTTTGAGATTTCTGCAATTGGGATTGGACTGGTTTTCATTCCGATTCAGATGGGCTGTGGCTGCATCTCTCAGGAAATTACGGTTCACTTTTTGACCGTCCAGGAAGAGCCTTTTAAAATAGTGATGCCCAAAAAACAAACAATGACTCCCTGCATAGGGCAAGGAGGCTGCATCTCACCCAGGGGCCAGGAAACAGGCGCCCCTGAACCTTTGCCGTTGTTTGTTTTCACACGTTATCTTCTCTTCCAGATCTGGAGACTGACATAGAAACTGTCCTCGCGGATTTAGGTGCGGTCCATTGAATTACCACCAATACTCATCTTCACAAGAATCTTAAATAGAATCAGGCGTTTCTGTAAATATTGAAACAACTGGACATACACTTTTCATGTCGCTCTGTTTTCCTTTCTGAGGAGCTCCAGCACATTTGTTAGCTATTTGTCATGTTACGCCTTTTACAATCATGGACCAAAACAGAGATTAGACACTAATGTAAGACAGTCTTTGTTGTCGTTGTTGTTGTTGTTGTTGTTTAAATGTGGAAAAAGGATTTTAATGTGGGAATTTATTTTCTGGAATTGTCCAATGTACAAATAGATAAAATAATTTCAGAGGTAGAGATTCTAAAGTAATTGAACCCATCGTCTTGCTAAAGACTTTTTTAAAAAAAACATTTTCATTATTTAAACTCTCTTAGCCTATCATGATGGTACCTGGGAGAATTCAGAGTTTCACAGGTGAGCAGTTACTGTGCATCTGGCACAGATGAGAACATGCTAGTTGCGCCTTGTTATGGGGTGTGTTGACTTTCAATTGATTTTAAGCACACTTGAAATGGTAATGAGAATACTGAGCTGGGAGAGAGCATATGGCCTTAACGATTTGATTCTCAGAAAACAAGCAAACATTTAAAAATGATAGAGTTTTCTGAGCGTCAAAGTCAAGGTGAAAGCTGGGTGTTTGAATGACAGAAACGATTTATTCTTTATTATCTTTAGCTGTGCCTTTATTATATTTTATTGCGTTGAGATGAAAAAAATAGAGAGGAACACCAGCATTTGCTATCCAAGTTTGGATCAAATTAAATATGACATAAGGCTTTGCTCAAAAGGTATGACAACTTTGGCGCTTTTGAACTCAAATCATCCTTTCAAACAAAATTTAATATGAAAAAGTCAATTAAAATATAATAAGGAAAAATGTAGCTCAAGGAGCTGGAAAATGAGAGAATATATATCAGGCCATGAGAGAAAGATGAAGAGAAATATAAGCTGTTAGGGCATGAACTACATTTATATATACAATACTCCATACATATTCTCTTATTAACTAAGACAGGTATGTGAGAAAAGGAGATGGGCGATTTAGAGAACGTTGATTTCTTTATGAGAAAATACATCCTATTACAAACATACGTGGTAAGTTTGTCTTTTTATTTGTTCTACCTGATTTTGCTGGCTGCCATTACCAGCTAAATGGCAAAGTCTGTGAGCTTATTTTTTTCTTAAGTTGCTCTATTTTCTTGATTAGAAGCTTGATACTGGAAGTAACAAGATGTGGTCAACTTTATATATATATTTACTTAAGATGGAGTTTTGCTCTTGTTGCCCAATCCAGAGTGCAATGGCACGATCTCGACTCACTGCAACGTCTGCCTCCCAGGTTCAAGGGATTCTCCTGCCTCAGCGTCCTGAGTAGCTGGGATTACAGGCATATGCCACCTTGCCCCGCTAAGGATGCGGCCAACTTTAAGACATTTATTTGGTTTAAACAACTTGTGAGGAGTCCAGTCTGTTCAGAGACACAATTACTTCTACTTCTGTGGAAATCTAAAAACATGAGTGAATTATGTGGAAACGTGTGGCTTCAAATTGTATACTGATAGATGTTCCAGCTGAGTGGGACTGCTGAGATGATATATTCTGTTGGCATGCCTTTATACCCACAAAGTGGTTTATTTACAGTCAGAAACATAATTGTCTGCAGTTGGGAACTCATCTGAGCTGATCTCAGTTTTCAAACTCTTTTTCTTATGGCTTGCCTACACTTGTCACTATTTCCTTCAGTTGTTTCACTCAAAACTGTCAATCTAGTCACTTCATATAGACACATCCCACATCTAATGATGAAAATAATCATTGCCATTTATTGAGCACTTACTCTATTCAGGCCATTTACTAAGTAAAAACTTTGCATAAGTAGGCTCATTTAATCTTTATAAGCTTGTTGCAAGGAGATTTTGGATCGGAGTTGTTACACGATTTGCTGCATGTTTGTCCAGCACTCATTAATGACAGAGGAAGTGTTGGGACATACAAGTCTGTCTGACTGCATTTCAGAGAAAAGGGAATGATGGAGTGGGATTGGGTGAACTGTGTTTCATTCATCCTGGAATTAAACAGATTTCACAACTGAATAAAGCCATTATACGGGAATTCTAAACTTAGATTTTCAAGTGATTTTGGGGTGCAGTGCACAAGTGACACCAGATACTGGGAGCAGATTCAGAAAACCAAGTCTTCTCTATCATCCTTATCAGCCCTTTATGTCCACTGAATTCATCGTAGGGCTTGGCTTCTGATGGTGATGTTCTGATGCTCTGAGAAGTTCTTTAGAAGTTTGTGTGATCACAGAGCTGCTTCTAAGTTGGACCTCATAGGATTTTCGAGCTGAAGGAAACCTTAGATGTTATAAAATTCCTCTTCTTCCTGTTACGGTTTTAATATGCAATCCTAGATAAATGAAGTGACAACACTTCCCGTTAGTGACAGAACTAAGACAAAGATGTAGGTCTTCGGAATTCAATTTACCTCCTTCTCCTATTCAGACAGCCTCTCTTTAAAAAGCTGTGTTGTGTGATAGGTTTGATGATGTGCAACTTATTTTATATAGCTATACATTAAGATGAAATAAGAGAAATGGGATGGTTTTTTTTTTTTTTTTTTTGAGACGGAGTCTCGCTCTGTCGCCCAGGCTGGAGTGCAGTGGCACAGTCTTGGCTCACTGCAAGCTCCGCCTCCTGGATTCAACCCATTGTCCTGCCTCAGCCTCCCGAGTAGCTGGGACTACAGGCTCCCGTCATCATGCCCGGCTAATTTCTTTTTGTATTTTTAGTAGAGACAGGTTTTCACTGTGTTAGCCAGGATGATCTTGATCTCCTGACCTCGTGATCTGCCCGCCTCGGCCTCCCAAAGTGCTGGGATTACAGGCGTGAGCCGCTGCGCCTGGCCTTTTTTTTTTTTTTTTTTTTTCAAGGTGACAAGTATTGCAAACAGCTTTTGATCCTATGAATCACTATTAACTCAATAGGCTAAAAGTATTTGCAAGGTCAGAAATGGCCATATTTTGGCTGCTGCCTCTGTAAACCACTGTGAAGAACAATCTTATAAGTAGGGCGCTACCAAAGATACAACATATTTCTCTTCCTAATTCTTAAAGCAACCATGTAAAGTAGGCATTGTTATTCATATGTACCAGGAGAAAACTGTGACCTAGTGAAGTTAAATTACTTTCCAGTAATTTCAGAATATTCAGGCATTGAACACTGGTTTCTCTAATGTGTTTTCCTCTATACCACATTGGATTGAAGAAAGAAGTTTTAAGTTAGTCAGACAGCGCCATGTACAACTAAACAAACTTAAGTTGTACCTTAGCCATTAATTAATCTTTAATCAGTTCAATTACTCTTTCTCCTTCTCTCTCTTTTCTTTCCTCCCCCCGTCTTTCCTTCTTTCCTCCTTTTCTTTCTTTCTTTCTTCCCTTTATCAGTTGATTAACAAATTATACGTGTATTTTACAGGTGAAGAAACCAGGCCACAGGAAGATTAAATAACTTCCCCAAGGTCACATAGCTAGGAAGTGTTAGATCTGGGATTTAAATCCAAGATCCGAATAAAAAGGCTGCATACAGCCATGGAAATGTTAAATATTATTGTCACAGGCAGTAGAAATAAAAGTTGTTAATAGGACAGTATATGATGGGCACAATGATACCTTCAGAATATCATCTGTAAGTAATTGATGGTGTTTAGAGACTGGAGACAAAGAGATGTGACGCAAGTGCAGTTCAGCTCATTTATGGGGGTAGCTATAAATAAAGGAGGAGAGGCATGTGAGCGATGTTGTAAAAGAAGAATTGACCTCACTAATGATTCATTTGGGCGATAAGAGGAAGTAGTAGGAGGCAGCATAGGCCTCTTTACTGTAACAAAAGATGTTGATGCCATTGGTCAAAATGGAGAAGTCAGAAAAAGAGCTTGAAAGATTTGGTTTGAAGTTCCAGATGGACGTGTGTGGCTGTCGGTATCCATGGGTTTGGAAATGCAGGGCTAAATTTCTGATCAGAATGTTCTAATTGGGTTAAAGATTTGGTATCCAGACTTCTAAGATTAAAGTGGTAGCATTTAATCATGTACATTTAATCTGTGTACTGAGGAAGAGGTGCTTGGAAATAGAACTATGAGGACTGCCCACGTTTATGTGCAGGGAAGAAAACAGGCATGGTCAGAAAAAGGAAGACTCTGACAGGACATCAGAGAAACTGATGGAGGTTAGAGCTTGGGGAAAATAAACGTGGTCAAGAGAATCTAATCCTTGCAGAGAAGTCAAGGCAAAGGAAAATTGAAAGAGACCATTAGATTTTCTATTATGAAATTATATTGTGGACTTTTTTTGCAATTTCAAAAGTATTTCAGGAGAGTATAAGCTGGATTATAAGGAACCAGGGAGTAAGAAATAGAGACAATATAATTTACATGGAAGCAAAAATAAAGGTGGAGTGGGAGCTTGGGGAACTTCCAGTGCTGGGAAAGAGTTTTTGGAATAGTGAAGACCTGATCCTCTTTCTCATCAGAGAAGACCTGGTTGGGGGTCGAGTCTGTGACTTATGTGTTATGCTGCACAGAGTGTTATCCATTCTAACTGCTTAATAGATGTTCGTTGAATGACAAGTTTAGTCTTTATCAAGCCAGGAGATAGATAGGACTTTCATTTCATATTGTGTAAAAAATAGAAATAAATAAGCCATTGGAAGTCGTGTCCTACAGTAACAGGAGGGTGAGAGGGAGATTGGATGAGGGGCACAAGCTGAACCTCAGAAAGGAGAATGTTCAGCTGACCAGGGAGGGACTAAGGTACAGGAAGCAGTGAAGATGTAGGGATGGAAGCTGAAGTGCTGTAGGTAGTGTAGGATGAGATAGAAGGGAGATGCAGCATGGAAGAAACCAAGTGAAATAATGTTGCCCTGGGCAGGCGGTAAACTATGAGTCCAAGCCATCAGGGCCGGGTTGAACTCACCATGGACTAGTGGACCATTGTTGAGCCATTTTTTAAGCATTGCTTACAAGCCTCTTTGAACTTTAAATGACACAGCATGATCCTAATAAAGAGGTTCTGGAACACAGCCAGACTTCCAGGACTAAAATTATGCCCAACATCACCAGTTCCCTGGGGAGGCCACAGGCCTCTGGATAATGGAAGACAGCAGGCTGTCCTAGCAGCTGGTGAATGGCAAGCTGCAATGGATTAATGGCTTAGGGAGCAAAGCCCTGAAGACCTTCCCAGCCCATAGGAAAAAGCACAACTCTGGAGTCAGAATACTTGGGTTTGAACCCCATCTTTGCTACTTGCTAACTGGACAAGCTTGAGCAAAGTCCTGCTACTCCCTGAGCCTCAGTTTGGTCGCTTATAAAATGAGACTAATGATAATACTTGCCTTAGAGAGATGTGAGGATCAAACAAGATGCATCAGAGAAAACTTTGTAAATTCTATGCAAATATTAGATTTTAAATAATTATAATTATTACTGGTAAAGTCACAGAGATGTGGATAGCTAAGAAAGAGTACTAGCAGAAGGATTTCCCTGTGTCTGACATACTCAGCTCAAAAATGGGAAACTTTCCCTTGAGGTCACCGTGGAATGTTTTGAATATCAGGTTCTAGAAATAGTTGCTTCTGGAAGTCAGGTGGGAGTGTTCATTGTCTACCACCAACAATGATTATTGATCTGTATGAAGGAGCAGCCATTTTCACAATAGAGAATTGCTTTTTAACCATATCTAAGCCTGTGAATACAATTTGTTATTATTTATTTATAATGAAGGGTAGTAAAGTGTCTGCTTAGATATATAGTGACTTATAAATGCATTTGCACATATGTATTTACATATGCACTCTTATACATACGTACACCCTGTAAATGCATGCATAAATATGCATGTATATTACACAAAAATACACATGTACCTACTTGATTTTCTTTACTGTCTCCTGACAAAGCAATCTATTCAAATTCAGTTTCTCAAAGTAACCATTTTGCTACCACAACCTTAGAATAGTCCCTTTGCTCCGACTTGGAGTTGTCACTGCAGAATTATTCCTGGTACACTACTGGCTTTGCTCCCTGCCCAGCTTCTCAATTGGAAGGCGAGATGGCACTTCCGATTTTATTAAAGCACGCTGGAGCTCAAAGAACAAATTGGAGAAATCAGGATTGATTACGTTATGTGCTCTCTTTGTCTTCCTCCGGGTTTGTTCAAAGCCAAGTGTGAGCTTTCAAAGCCAGAGTAGCTGAATGGAGTTCTATGCTCAGCACAGGGAACTATGATTTGGCAAATGTTCCAATTATGAAGAGTGAAATGGAAAGAGTGGGCGTAATTTTGCTTTAGGAACTGCACCTTCACATCAGTGATTTTTGCCCTGTTAACTGAATAGATCTGGCAACTTATTAGGAAACAAGTTGCTGGAGTGTCACAAACGGATGGTGTCTTCTTTGATGCATGTGAATTCTTTGTGTAGGGGACCCTTCATTTCTGTTTAAAATGGAACAAATAAACCATTTGGAAGAGGTATTACATAGAAATCTACTATAACCCCAGAATAATGATTACCTCTGTTTTAGGGTTTCGGGTTTTTTTGCTTTGTTTTGTTTTGTTTTGCTTTTGGAGAATGGGGGCATTTGAGCGCATAACTTCCTTCTTTACATCTGATGGGGAATGTGAAAAGTATAAATGAAGTTTATCTTAAATGCCCTGTTCTCTTCAAATCTTTCAAATATTCCATTTAAATAGGATCTTTCTCTTTTGTGTCTGGGTATAATTTTGTTGATACCTCTTTGGCATTTATGACCATCTGCCTTAAATTATTAATTGGGCTTTCATCCTTGCCGTCCTCTCTCCTAAATAATGTGCAAGCAAGGACTTTAACTGATTTATTTCTGAATTCCCTGAAGGTACTTGGTACAAGCTGCAACAGAGAACAACGCCTGTAGAGCTATCTACAGAGAACAGTAGATAGAGGCCCCTTTGTGTCTATGGGAAAGAGGAAAGTTGAGGTTCCGGGCATCGATTATGAAGGAGAAAAAAAAAGATGTGTCATGATGCTTTCTAGAATAATAGGATTGACTGAATAACTGATAGCTTCAAAACCAGCATATAAAGAATAGCTGTGTCTGACTGCTCATTGCTGAGTGAGGTTTTCTGATAAGGATGAGATAAGGTCAGGTAAATAACTTCTGATAATAGATGATGGGATTTCCTTTTCATTCTTACCTTTCTTTCTTTTCTGTCACATCTTGTTAGGTAATTAAGACCTGGATTGAGACCAGGCACGGTGGCTCACCCCTGTAATCCCAGCATTTTGGGAGGCTGGGCGGGCAGATCACCTGAGGTCAGGAGTTTGAGACCAGTCTGGCCAACATGGCGAAACCCCACTCTACCAAAAATACAAAAATCTGCCAGGCATAGTAGTATGCACCTGTAGTCCCTGCTACTTGGGAGGCTGAGGCACAAGAATCAATTGAACCCAGGAGGTGGAGATTGCAGCGAGCCGAGGTCTCTTGCCACTGCACTCCAGCCTGGGCGACAGAGCGAGACTCAATCTTGAAACCTGGATTGAGAATGGAGAACAGATCCGAAATTAAATGTATGCATGTTTCTGGATAACATAAGGTAACTTTTCCTTGTGTCTTGAGAGTGCCATTTTTACTGTGTTAAAACATGGCTGCTTTAACAGAAATGGAAGCCCATTTCTGTTGCTTTCTTCAATATCATTTTGATGCACTGAAGAACTTCAGGAAGCCATCCTACCTAAATCTATCCCAACCTGTCTTACTAGTTAGTGAAAACATTTTTGTGGAGTATCTTGAGGGTGGGATGGGTTGGAAATTGTCACATATTTTAAGATTGAAAAGGAGCTTAACTATAATCTGCTTTGTCTCCTTTCATGCTGGTGGGTGGCATGACGCCTAGGAAAGGTAAGTGATGTGTCTGCCTTAGCGGAACATTCAGGAGTAAAATCATGACTTCCTGAGTCTTATCCAGATCTTCCTTTACTTATGCCTATTTCCTCTGTTTTCAACATTTATATATTGCCTGGTAATCGCCAATGTGCTCATTTTATTTACGTGACTAGATTACCAATTTACTAAGCACTCGAATCATATCTTTGACTTCTTTTGAGCTCCCACCATCTAGCCCAAGTCTTTGAACATCATAATTCACAGTAGTATTGTTCACTTTAAGGATTAATGATTGCTGTGGGCTGCATTTGTTTTCATAAATTGCTCTGGGTGAAGAAATTGAGAGAGAGTTGGAAAACTCCACCAAGAAAGAAAAAAAAAATCAGAAGCATTTAAAATAAATAAGCCTAGGACTGTTTTTAAAACTGAGAAGATTTTTTTTTGTTGTTGTTCTTATTGTTTTTGAAATTGGACTAATGGTAGAGGGAATAAAAGGATCCAGATAAACTAAATTGCTCTAAATAGCTGTAGTTCAGAGCAGTGCTAAAGAAATACCTTCAAAGAGTGCTTAGAAAATGGGGAAGAAATTAGTCTTTCCTGCTGTGTGTGTTGGCAGAGGGGTGAAGTGGGTGGGGGTTAGGAAGGAAAATAGGAAGACATTTGGTCCTCCCAGCCTAGTCTGGCTGTCACTCCTGTTAGTGCCGACATGATTCTTTGACACAGAGAGTTCAGAATCATCACAGGTCACAGAGAAGATGCCAGTAAGAATTCATAGCCCTTTTGGGGCCTAACTGCAGTGAACCTGGTAAATAATTCAGGCAGTCAGAAGTGCCTGGGTATGGAAGACTTTAACTGAGCGTTTTCATCTTTTCTTTTAATATCATCTCAGGCCTTTCCAGCTAATTTGATTAAAACCTACATTTCCCCACACCCCCTCTTCCTATTGTCAAGAAAGACCATTTAGGGAGCCCAGAGTTTTGTTTTCTCTCAGCTACATTGTGCTTTTGATAACTTGGAAATATAATTGGAGATTGGGAACATCATTAAGCCAGTACTGGCAGCTCTCTCCTGTGAATGGTGCTCAACACTTTTGCTTGAGTTTTGCCTCAAAAAGTCATAGATTTTCCAGATTTTAAGGCTGATAGAACCATGATATACATTTGAAAACTTATATAGTGTACATGTTACCTAATATCAGACATAATTGGGACAGTTACTTCAGTTAAATTAAGAAATCATAAAGATATTTAATAATAACTTGTGGCTGGGCACGGTGGCTCACGCCTGTAATCCCAGCACTTTGGGAGGCCGAGGCGGACAGATCACAAGGTCAGGAGATCGAGACCATCCTGGCTAACACGGTGAAACCCCGTCTCTACTAAAAATACAAAAAATTAGCTGGGCGTGGTGGCGGGCACCTGTAGTCCCAGCTACTCGGGAGGCTGAAGCAGGAGAATGGCATGAACTGGAGCTCGCAGTGAGCCAGGATCACACCACTGCACTCCATCCAGCCTGGGCAACAGAGCAAGACTCCATCTCAAAAATAAAAATAAATAAATAAAATAAAATAACTTGTACACAGAAACATCAAATTGGACATTAATTGGCCAATCTTTTGACGTACAGCTCAGTTTTCATCTATATATTTCCATAGCACCGATTGAATTCATATTATTTTCTCCCCCAAATATGTCAACCCTGACTTCCAGTTTGCTTTATTATATTGAGATGAAAGATTTGTAAGATTCTCTTTTCCCTACTTCCCCCTCCCCCGCATATACCAGCAACTTTAGCTAGCATTCATGATTTTTTCTGAACCATTCAAGTAAGTTTTCACACCATGAGTAACTCCTTTTTGTACTCCTAATATTGCCCAACCAAATATTTCTTTATATTATATAATTACAGTTAAAAGGTATAAGTGGCATCACATACTTAGGGACTCTTGGTGAGCGCACAGCTCAATGGTTAAGAGTACTGTGTGGAGGTATTAGAAGAATATTGTAGCAACCGCTAACACTCAGTATGTCATGGGCTGGTGTATTTTGTTGAGGGTGTGAGAACACAGTGTTTTCTATGATTAAATGGAATATTGGTAGGAAATTTTCTGCTACATATATCCCACCTACCTGTAATCTTGGGAAAGTTACTTAAACACTTGACGTCCCAGTTTCTGCATCCCTAAAATGGCAATGTAATATTTACTACACAGTGTGGCCATCAGAATTAGGTAGCAAATCTCAAGCACGTGGCTTGGTGCATTACACGTTACATGTTACATGTTAGCTGTTACTCTTTTTTTTTTTTTTTTTTTTTTGAGAGGGAGTGCTGCTCTGTTGCCAGACTGGAGTGCGGTGGTGCGATCTCAGCTCACAGCAGCCTCCGACTCCCTAGTTCAAGCGATTCTCCTGCCTCAGCCTGCCGAGTAGCTTGGATTACAGGCACGCACCACCACGCCCAGCTAATTTTTGTATTTTTAGTGGAGACAGGGTTTCACCATGTTGGTCAGGATGGTCTCCATCTCCTGACCTCGTCATCTGCTTGCCTCAGCCTCCCAAAGTGCTGGGATTACAGCTTGAGCCACCGCACCCGGCCGTTAGCTGTTACTCTTATTTCCATGCTTGGTAGTCTATGATAGTGTCTCTCAAACTTCTTGCATTATTACACCCCCTTCCCCCACACCCCCTGCCACCATCCGAAGGAGATTGCCTAGATTTTTTTTTTTCTAAAGATTGCCTTCCCTCATGACATTTTAATACTACAGATCTACTGTATATCTATGGATGTACTGTAGCCACCTGGAGGGACACAAATTCTCATAATAGCTAAGGTTTTTTTAAATCTCTTTTCCACAAGAACCAGTTTTTATCCCGCTGGAGAAGACGCCATATGCTCATTGGGAATGCATGATCTATTGGGTTATAGATGATTGCGTTTTTGCTCAACCCAAGCCATCAGAGCACCATGTTAGAAGAGGGTTGACTTTCTAATGGGGGATTGAGCAAGTTTTGACCCAAGAGTCATGCTCCCTCCTCTCCTGGAAGTTTTCCTGCCGAGATGGAAGCTTAGATTTGGGAGCCAATGGTGCAGAGGGTACAGTAAGGGATTGATGCACATCAGTGATTTTTAGAGTCTGGGAAAGCAATTAGAGTTAGGCGATATGACTTTTCTTAATAACCACTTAGCAGCAGTTTTCATTTTTGTTAATGGATTGTCATTGAAGATTCAAAGTCATTATTCATTGAACAGAAAAGTAGGGAGTCAGTGGATTCTTGCAACAGCTAGGGGTGGGATCACAGCACCAGGGAAAAGAAAGTTTTCGGCTCCAGGAAGAAATGTTTTTGGGGAGGCCTGGAAGCTGAGATTGAATTCAGTGTGAATGTCCAGAAGAAGGACTTGCCTTCAGTTTACAAACAAGTTTTTGCTTTGCAGTCCTTCTATGAGAGTTGGTTGTAAGTGAGCTGTTTCTTAATCACCTTGTGTTGTAATTAGTTGTGGCATGCTTGTCTTATGTATTATGCATTTTATGTGCTTTCTACTGTATTAAGAAATCAAGCGTCTCTGTATGAGTCAGCTCATACTGCCCGAACAAAGTACCACAGACTGCACAGACTGGATGACTTGAACAACAGAAATGTATTTTCTCACAATTCTGGTGGCTAGGAGTTCAAGCTGTCGGCAGGGCTGGTTTCTTCCTAGGCTTTTCTCCTCAGATTGTATTAATAGATAGCCATCTTCTCTTCTCTTGGGTCCTCACATGGTCTTCCCTCTGTGTATGTCTGTTTCCTAATCTCCTCTTCCTGTACAGACACCAGTCATATTGGATTAGGCCCCACCTTAATTACTTTATTTTAACTCGATGCTCCCCTTAAAGACTCTGTCTCCAAATATAGTCACATTCTGAGATACTGGGGGTTAGGACTTCAACATATGAGTTTTGGGTGGGAACAGTTTAGTCCATTAACAGTCCACTGCCTCTCATGTGTTTGCTTGATAAATGATTTTTTTTTTTTTCTTTTTTGAGACAGAGTCTCACTCTGTTGCCCAGGCTGGAGTGCAGTGGTGTTATCTCGGCTCACTGCAGCCTCCACCTCCCGGGTTCAAGCAATTCTTCTGCCTCAGCCTTCCAAGCAGCTGGGATTGCAAGAGCGAGCCTGCCACCATGCCTGGCTAAATTTTGTATTTTTAGTAGAGACTGGGTTTCGCCATTTTGACCAGGCTGGTCTTGAACTCCTGACCTCTAGTGATCCACCCGCCTCGGCTTCCCAAAGTGCTAGGATTACAGGCATGAGCCACCTTGCCCAGCTGATAAATGATTATTGAATAAGTGAATGAACAGATGAATGGATGGATGGATTTTTATTTAATTGTGGTAAATCTGTTGAATTAGTAACTCTAGCAATATTCGTGAGTTAAGTCATAATGTTTCTTAAAGTTTTTGTGTTTCTTCCACCCTGAAGATATGCTTAACAGATGACATTCTTCAGCAATGTTTCTATTTATTCAGGAAGTATGCACGACCCTTCTCTTCTTGGAGGCAGGTCTGCTCGTCATGTGAAGAGCCACTGCCCTCAACAGGCCCACGCAAACATTTGCCAGCGTCCTGAGCAAGAACATGGGGAGAGGCCTGCTTTAGATCTAATTGTTCAAAAGCTACAAATCTCATTAGCAAGTTGTTTAAAAAGTGTAGGCACTTTGCCTATTGTGACCCATCTGGCTTCCAGAATATCCTGGAAGGCCAGGCAGATTTGACCTTAGAATTCTCAAACTCTACCAAATACAGAACAGAAAGTGGCAGTGCAGGGATAACTGGTCCAAAGTCTCTTCCTTTCCCACTGAGGTTCCGTCCTGAAACCCAAGAGGCTTTGCACACAGACACCCCAGCTCTGCACTCCTCCTTCCCAATCCGAACAAGCTTAGAAGTGTCATAACCTCAGGAGGACAGACCCAGTGGAGAGGTCCTCCAGGGCCCTGTGAGAAAGTTGGAGCCAGGAAATTCTGGAATCTGGGCACCCAAGATGGAACCTAGAAGGAGCAATACAGGCTTTGGATGGTCATATCCCTTTGACCCTGTGCGTTCCTTACCCTGATAGGAGGGGTGTTGGTTGTAGGTCTAAGGTTGGTACTGTGGTCAATTTCAGCTTTTTCAGGAACTCTCACTGGTTTTGAGATTATTCCCATATTCTGAATTCCCTGCAGAATGGTCAAGAGAGTTGGGGAGATAGAACATTTGGAGAAAACACTAGAGTCAGAGCGTAGCCACCTGCAAAGGTAGTTAATGGAGGTGGCTGTTTCACCGGGAATTTGTTTCATTTAGTCTTGACCTCTTGACCCTGAATACCTAGTTTCTGCACCTGTGAGTCCCCCCAAAAGACAAAGTAACTCCGTTAGGAGACTTGGTTCTAGAAACATATGAGCATATTTCAGGAAGAACCAGAGCATGAGTGGGCACCTGCACGCCTTAAATGGGGCCTGCCCTCTGCAGTGAGCCATGAGCTGGGGGAGCAGCCCCGCACCTCTATTCTCAGGTGAGACAGGGTCACCTCTCGTGAGTCACACAGCCCAGGCAGCCTTCTAGAAACGTGTCAAACTCTATTGCACTAGTAACTTTTTTATTGCTAGGGTCACTAAAAGCCACTTTTTCAAATTATCGGAGGTTGTTTGCCAGGCTGTGCACAGAACTTCAGAAGAAGGAAAAAAGCCAATGGTTTTCTTCACCACACATAGAATAATTTATAGGTAGGGACCAATTTACTTGCTAGGGAACAGTGGGTGGCCTGTGCCTTCCCCAGTGGAAGGGACATTATGCTAAGCAGGGTGGCAGGCTTCAGTGCTCATGATAGAAGTCAAGAGACCCTTCTAATTAATTACATGGCTGTCTTTACCCAGCATGGGTTCCTCACTTTCTCATCAAAGACCTTGTTTAGTCAAAGCTGTATTTCTTTTATTTATTTATTATTTATACTTCCTCTCTTTCTAAAGAGAATTTGAGACAGGTGGAAAAAAAAAAGTGTGGGGATGTTCGCGAGAAGAGACTCTCTGAAATGGGACATTTGAAGAGAGAATTCTGACAGAAGTTCAGAGCATACTTTTCTTCTCCAGGCTCTTGTTCTTGATAAAATTTCCTGTTCTACTTCATCATTACTTCTCAAGAACTTCTTTCAGCTCTTTATTGGCTAGATCCAGGTAGCGTCTTTGATCTTTACCTTCTCACCATACCTTCCCTGCAGGCTTTTCATTGCCGTGAGAATAGAATCTAAATGGATTACCAAAGCCATAAAGATTTGCCTGTTTAAGTCCATTAAAACTCTTGGCCCTATTTCTGCACTTTGCCTTCTCATTTCTCATAAAATTTCTGAGACACACCAGTCTTTCAGTTCCTGCCAGAGCTAAGGCTCTCCCTTCCTTGTATCCTTGTGCCTGCTCTTGCCTAGACCTGGACTTACTTATTGGCCTCTCTTCTCCTGAGCACCATCATTCTGCACCCTGAATCCCCCATCCTTAGCAAATCCTCATTCTTTAGGAATCCCATTTTCTAAGTTGCCATCTGTGACTGCCATATTTAAATCTACCTGACACACACCATTATCATCGTCTATGACACTTCTTTATTTCCTTCATGACGTTGCTTACAATTTTATCTTTTCTAATCTCAAGTTTTGTAGTTTTAATTAATGAATTTTTTTTGAGACAGAGTGTCACTTTGTTGCCCAGGCTGGAGTGCAGTGGTGCAATCTCGGCTCACTGCATCTTCTGCCTACTGGGTTCAAGTGAATCTCCTGCCTCAGCTTCCAAAGTAACTGGGATTACAGGCACCTGGCACCACACCCAGCTAGTTTTTGTATTTTTAGTAGAGACAGGGTTTCACCATGTTGGCCAGGCTGGTCTCGAACTCCTGACCTCAGATGATCCACCTGCCTTGGCCTCCCAAATTGCTGGGATTACGGGCCTTCTTGCTTTCTAAACATAGCACCTTCCTGACTGTAGGGACTTTATCTGTCTTGCTCACCTGTGCGTCACACGGGCCTCCTGCTTCATCAGACACAGTGGCCACTCAACAATTGCCTGATGAATAAATGCATGAGAAATACTAGTTTTAAAGAAAGGTCTGATACACTTCACTTGGTTTGGAATGTTTACCAAAAACCTTTGCTTTTCTAGAGAGGGTTGCGGGCTAATCCAAAAGAATTGGTTTATAATTATGAAATTTTAAAAAGCGTCAGAGAACCAACAAGGAAAGATTTTTGAGGAAATGGAGGCTCATCAGGAAAGCACAACATGTGAAGTTGTTGCCCACTCACATGTCTTTTTCCTTGACCTGTTTCTAGAATGTGTTGTCTCAGACAGCTGACCTGTCTTGGAGATGTAGTACTTTATAAGATGAACCAAGTATGATCCTCCCAAGGACCAGGGCCTACAGTCCAGTCAAGCTTGGGAGTGTAGCTAAGGGAGGAATGAATAACCCACTGTCATTTCAAGCGTAGGATTCTCTCATCACTCTCACTGTTTTAAATCTTCTTTATCATCACAGATTTTACATTATTCCCTTATGTATGAATGTTATTTTTATTGACCATTGAAGATTGGAACTTTTTTCTGGAAAAACATCACATGGTTGAGTCAAGGATGAAAAGTCAAAACTACCTTTTCATGTGAGGGGAGAGAGAGAGAGAGCGCGCGTGCGCGAAAGCGTGTGTGTGTGTGTGTGTGTGTGTGTGTGTGTGTGTGTGTGTGTGTATTGGGACCACCTTTCAGCTGTGTTGCCTCCCTCTGGTGGCCATTATATGCACAAGGCCTGGGTGACATGGACTGAGTCAGAATGTAACTTACTTTTCAAAAAAAAAAAAAAAAAAAAAAAGACTAAGTCATTGTGTGCACCTGAGTTTTTAAAATTATTATTGGTGGGAACTCTTTAAAAAAAGAAAAAAAAAAACACAGTTAAGTGGTTGAAATTGATTAGCACTACAAAAATATGAGCTTTTTGCCTTTGGGGTAGAGTTTGAAAGCTGCCATGGCCTTCAATGAAAGCAGCATTCTGGTTGTGTATAAACCTGTAAAAGGATCTGCCTGTATGTTTAAATTCTTCTGTGTTTGGAGAACACATCTCAGAATTCATTCACATAATCAAGGCCACCACTATAGATTATTTTAAAGGTAGCTTTTAAAACCTGTTGTGTATTTTCAATATTCTCCTTCAAATTATTCCTTAAGAGTATTGTGCAACCACAGTGGATATGATATTGAGGCAGCTTATCTGGGTTTTATTTAAAGCTTTAGAATGACTCGATTTGATCTTAACCCATTTCTAGTCATGTTCTTGGGGTGGGTTGGGGGGAAATGTCCTTGAAAGAAGGAGAGGGTCAAGGATAATAAGCAATACTAATTTTCTTCTGTTTCTTATCCCCTCTTGTTCCTCAAATCCAGAAATAGTCTCCTGAACATAGCCTGACACCTCAGCATGACAGGTGTTCTGAAGATGAGAAGGCACATTGTAAAAACCTATTTATTCAGTGAGGAAATTTTATACCATTTACATTCAGAGCCATCTCTATGATACCAAAATAGGCTTAAGCAATGAATTTTTCATTTTTTAGACTCAAAACCAGATAACTCACCTGGAAATACACACTATGTAATTTCATTTCATGGGCCTAATCAATATCTTCGACCGAAATGTGTATTCCTCTTGTGAAGGAGACATAAGATTTTCTGTTTTGTTATGTATATTACATATGTGCAATATTAGGGTAGGGAAGTAGGCCTTGTTTATATTTTTGGATTGAGTTTATTTTTTTCATAAGCTTTTTTATAGCTCTCAAAGATATTGGCCTATTTTACGTTGATTCTAACTGTGTGGAATGGTAAAGTAGTATGCAATTAAAGTTCGGTTGAACTGTCACATTGAATTTATATAAATATTTAAAATATATTGTTATTATATAAGTAAAAATTCATATTTTTTGTGATAGATCACGAATACTTAGTTGATTTCAGGTCACAGCCATCATAGAACTGAACTGTTAGGTACATACATGCCTCTGAACAAACCAAGTATGTTATGTTTCTGAGTGACCCTATTTCTGCAGTACTATAAGTCAATAAGAGCATGGAATTTGATGTTATTTGGTTAAAACAAATATAGTGCTGTAGTAATTGCAACTATTTCCTAGTTGCATGTTCTATGCCTTTTACAAAGGTCATCTAGTTTCTTTATGCCCAGGGACTATTCATCCATCGCTCTATCTATCCCTCAATCTTTCCAGATAGCTTTAGGTAGCTTAAAACTCTTGAAAGCTATTCTGAAATATTATCTCACTGATTCCTTATGGGACCTCAGATTGAAGATGTCAAAGAGTTTTTGCAGACTACCTTTTCAAACAAAGTAATCATCTGAAGGTCGTTCTTTGACTCGTTCATTTGTGTTACAAACAGATCTTGAATGCCTGCCACGTATGGCTGTAGGCTCTGGGGAAATAACGGTGAGCGAAAGCAGACCAGCCTGTCTGCCTAGAGCTTACAGAGAAGCAGGACAGAGGTTAGGAGCAGGCCCTGCAGCCCATTCCTGAGTTCAAGTCCTAGCCCTGTCACTTACTCACTGATCAACTTCATAAATGTCTGCACTTATTTTCAGGATTGATGGAAGGAAGATGTATATGTATATTACCAAAGGAAAGAACTATGATCAATGAATGAACAAGGAAAGTAAAAGTTGATGGATTCAGTACAACCAACTCTCTACCAAATTAGGGACAAATGCTCCCCGGCACAGGAGCTTTTGTTGTTGTTTAAAGCTAATCTTAGGAATGACCAACATAAAGAGTGTGTGTTTTCCACATGTTAGGCAATGTTCTAAGTGATTTACAGCCCTCTAACAACCGTGAAATATTAATACTATTATTTTCTCCATTTTATATGAATTAACTGGGACATAGAGAAGTGACGCAGTGTGCCCAAGTTAACACAACTGGGAAGTGGAAAAGCTGTTCAGGTCCTCTGTCTCCAGAGCCCAGCTCTTGCTCATAACACCTTTTCTACCTCTCTTAAACCAGTTTATTGAGTGCCTAATTGGTCCTCTTAGTTACTTTATATGATTTATATCTAATCCTCCCAACAATTTCCTAAGCACAGCTGATTATCCCCTTTGAAATTAAAAAAAAAAGGTAAAATTCAGAGAGGTTAAGTCAGGTGCCCTTTGTCATGCTGTTAGGGAATGGAAGTGCTGAGATAAGAAACTAAATTCTGACTGACTCCAAACCCTCAACTATTTCCACAACATCAGATCAGACCCGGAAGAGAGAAGGACCAGTTGTTTCAATTCCCTGAAAGCAATTCCTGATAGGGAGCGGCTGGGTGGTCAAACGTTAGTGACTAATCATCAGCCCCACTTGGGAAAGTTGACAAATTGCACCTGACCCACCTCCTTTGCAGACCTATGAAACCACAATCTGCAGGGGTGGGGCCCAGAAACCTTCATTTCTCATCACTTTCCCCTAGTGTTTTTAATGACCCTCAGGTTTGGGGAACCACTGTACCAAGTGATGAGGGGGAAATATTTTTCCCAAAGGTTACTGTCTAAAAAATCAGTTATTTTCTCTGAAACATAAGATGGTTGGTATCTGTTTGAGCAAATGAATGAATGTTATGAATGAACTGAATTATATTCCTTTGAAATGGATTGAAAGTACATAGACATTCACTGTAGAAGATACATCTGTTATGGACCATATACTTTTATATCTTATTAGTACTCTCTCAATTTATTTGCCTCCTGAAATTCTGCTCTACCAGCTTCCTTTTACTACCGGGGACCAACTACCCAACCAGTTGCTATCAGGAATAGCTTTCAGAGCATCAAGACAGTTGGCTATTCTTCTAGATCCAAACACCGTGCAGGCAGTAGTTGACGTGGAAAGAGGCCACCCAGTCCTGCAGTTCCAGATTTTAAAGGGAGCCAGGGATGATCAGTGGGATCTCCCTCCCAGTGGGCTGAGAGAGGCAGGTAGCAGTAGTGAAAGTGTCTTCAATTTCATCCATTTGAATTTATAACACTGGTTATTTGTTCTCAAGTTACCCCCATTACTCCAACCAATTGGAAACCATGTGAGAACAACGCTTCAAATGTATTAGAATATTTTGTGTTTGCCAAGAGCATAGCTTTTCCTTTTTGGTCTGATTTTAATGTTTTCAATTTTAGACTGACTGGAGCCTGGAAATGGCCAACTGTTTAAACAAAGTGTTTCTTTTCTTTTCTTCCCTCCTCCCCTCCCTCTCTCCTTCTTTCTCCTTTCCCTTGTTTCTTTCTCTTTATCTCAGTAAAGAGAAATATCTGCCTAATGATCAACTTCCGGGGGCTTGGTTGAAGTTTAGTGAATGAGATAGAAAAATGGTTTCAGGCTACGGGGTGGCTATTGATATATGTTTCCCTAAATTCCTTTGCTAATCCCCACACCTTGGTCAGCTAACTATAGGACTCTCCTGATTATTGTGCAAACAGTAGAGAATTCCTCTTCAGTATAGCTTTCTCATTGTATCACTTCATGCACTGTGCTGCCTTGTCACAATTCAGCCAGTGCTGAAACCATTAAGATTTTATTAGGTTTGTCCTTGTCATTCTATTACGCGATTGGCAATGCTTATTGACAATTCTTATTTTCTGTACTATGATTTTTATAGTTTTAGTTTATTAAGTGCTCCTGGAATACAGGCTCCTGGAATTAATTAGAAAAAGAAAAAACCTTCTTAGGCAGCACTAGGAGAGAAACACTGAGCAGAAAGCTATAGCATGACTTTCGTGCTTTGAGTCTCAGTTCCTATGAAAAGAGTTAAATTACAATAAAGTAGCCTGGAATAGCTGCTGGTTTTTACTGTCATCTTTAAGAGACTGGCAAGGACGGGTTCTTGCTGCCCCCAAAGAGCATTTTTTTTGCATGTTGATTTATACTCAGGCTTTTGAAGCTATGGTCTCCTTTAAATGAGAATTTCTGTTTTTACCTAGCACCTGCCATTAAGCCATTCTTTATAATTTCTAGTTTCCTGGAGAGGAAGCAACATATTCAATACAGTATTCACACAAACAGGGAAATATTTAAAAGACAAAAAAAAAAAAAACCCTTTTCCTTTTGATATTTGAAATTCATCTTGTAAAGCAACTATTTTTATCACCAACATTTAGACTTATAGGTGACATGCCCAATGATTTTGAAACATGAGTTCGTTTAATATCTTCTAGAAGCACGACTACCTCAGTGAGAAGCGGACAGAGAGTTGGGAGAAAGTATTGTGCAGTTAACATTTTTTTCCTTCTCTCAGTTGAGCTGGGATTCATCTCTGGCTTCACATTACAAGCAGCTTGGATCTGTGTGCAGAACTTACATTTCTTCCCTGGCTTGGGCCTCTCTATCCTTCCGATTTTCACAGAGCCATCCTTTGCCTGCAGTGTTTTTCCTGATACCTCATGGGCTAGGGTAGAACTCTTTCCACAGGACCATGATTACCTGATGCTCTAGGGTTAAGAACTCTTTACATAGAACCCTAATTCCCTGCCTACTCATTTTTCTCCCCTCACTTAACTTTTAAGCCTCATGAGCCAAAAACTACATCAGCTCTGCATACAGCTGTATCCTCGTTCTAGTGCTCAATAAGTATTGGTTCAATAAATGAATGGAAAGTATATTACATTTTCATGCTTTTTGATGTCCATGGGAGAAGTATTTTTAGGTTATGTTTATTAGAAATTTATCTTAATTTTCTCTAGAAAATTGTGGCAATAAAGCCAACTTTCTAAAGCACTTGTAAGAAGGTGTGTGTAGATCATCGGTTCTCAACAGTTGGCGATTTTCCCACTCCAGGGGACATATATATGGCAACATCTGGAGACATTTTTGGATGTACACCACAGCCCCAAAGCACAGAATTATCTGGCACAAAATGTCAGTAGTGCTTAGGCTGAGAAACTGGGGTAGTTGGAAGTGCATAAAGCTTGGCAGGTCAAAGCTGATTTTATTTTGTTCTACACAGTGGAATTCAGCTCTTTGGATATCATTAATAATAACAATTACATAGAGAACAATCAGCATTATTATGTTCTTGCCATGTACAGACATAAGCTTTTCACAAGTATTATTTTGTTTAACCCTGTCAACTGTGCTGTGAGTTAGGAACTATTATTATCATTTTTCAGATAAGGAGACTAAGACTTGAAAAGAGAAATGTGTACTCAAGATCCTGCTGCTACTTGGTGATAGAAGTAGGATGAGAACTCAGGATCTATGCTTGGTGACCATTATACATTCTTTCTCTGTAAATATGGTCCCCAACTTAAAGTCTAAAAGGATCGCTGCCTTCATTATTCAGTAGGAACCACAGCTGGAAATGCAAAGAAAATTTAAATTTAAAAATTTAAATGTAGAAAATCATTATGGCTTAGGTGGTTGTAATTTTACCAATATGTATACTGATTGAAACAAAAATAGAGTGCATTCACTGATAGGTGTAAGCTGCTGTTGATACACGGAACAGAACAAATCTGCTACATGCTGTTATTTTGTGGGATTCCCAAGAAGGTCAAAGAAAGCCCTGAGAGTTTGTTTTCATTCAAAATTGAACTTGTCATAGCCGATCAACACATTGTGGTCTAGATGGGACTTTTCTCCTATTAAGGTATATGAACAGTGACAGTTTGCCCCATGTAATCTTATTAGGAGCTTTCTTCAGAACCACATCATCTTCTTATATAATTACAAAAGAGCCACTCATGAGTAAAATATGCCTGCAAGAGAGCAAGGCCTGGGGGCAAAGGGTTGGCTGATGGGGGCCTGTTCTCTCCTTGCAGAGGACACAGTTCAGGAAATGGAAAATTTACGATCTGGATGCATAATAATAGTTTCTAGGCCCATCCCTGAGTACTTGGTTTGCTCCCAGTGTTAATGTCCTTGAGGCTGTTAGTTGATGAACTCTAAGCAAACACCATCATCCTCAAGTATTGATTTGTTTCTTAGCCCCTAATACTTGGCCTATAAGACAATGTAGAAGTATCTATTCTTTTTACATATGAACTTAGAGACCCTGGTGCTGCTGTTTTTCTCTCCTAGGACATTCTTTTCAGTGGTTGCTTCTATCACACTTTGAAGATGCCAGTAGAATACTTAAAAACATTACATTTTATTCTTTAGTCTCACTTTCCTATCTCTTGTGGAAGTAATTATTAATAGCACCAAACTGTTTTTTATTCTTAAATGTTTTACAAAAGTGGGCTCCGGTGATGACAAGTAACTCTTTAATGTCCTACTAGGCATTAGTACTTGTCATCTAGATAAACATTTTCTGTTAAGGCCAAGTGTCGTACATAGTCATTGCACTGCTCCACCCAGAAGATGTAATTTACATATAAGATGTTATTTGAGACTGTCTCCCGGGGACAAAAGTGATTAGTATGCCTTATCTCTTCTCAAAAGAGTCATGTAACATGCTCTTGCATCTATTTTACATTTAATAAATTAAAACATGAATGATTAAATAAGATGTTCATAGTGCTTCACAAATTTGAATGCGCCCATCCCAGGCTCTCGCTAACATTCTGGGCCTGAGGTTTAGCTTTTCTACCATCTTGCCAGGTTAGGCTCATGCTGCTGGACCAAGGACCACACTTGAGTACCAAGATGTTAGGGAACATTAAGATGGTTTGAAACCTGAGCTAAGGATGCCATCAGGCTGATAGCATTAAACTCATTTTTCCTATGCCACCTCAGTTATATAAATTATTCTTTAAGTTTATAGAGAGGTTTCTTTTGGAAGGAATGGCATCCTTTTCAGCAGCAAAATGTATATTAGGTTTTGTAAAAAATTAAATAATGCTTGACTTTTTTTTTTTTTTTTTCTTTTTGAGGCAGGTTCTTGCTCTGTCACCCAGGCTGGACTGCAACAGCATGATCTTGGCTCACCTCCGCCTCCCAGGCTCTGGCAATCCTCCCACCTCAGCCTTCAGAGTGGCAGAGACTACAGGCTCATACCACCGCACCTGGCTAATTTTTCTAATTTTTAATAGAAATGGGGTTTCACTATATTGCCCAAGCTGGTCTCGAACTCCTGGGCTCAAGCTATATGCCTGCCTCAGCCTCCCAAAGTGCTGAGATTACAGGTGTAAGCCACCACATGAAATCAAGCCCGGCCATGCTTGATTTTTAATAAAGCATCGTATCTCTCTATTTTACCTGAAAAAAGATCCCCTCCCACCCACCTTATATTTCCGAAACAATAAAAAATGAGTTTTACCTTTTCTGGTCATCGAAGGCATTTTTTGAGATGGCTTAACAATCTTTTAAATTATAGAACACATTTACAACATCCTTGACACTTAAATAACATTTCCAGTGTTCTTTTTTTCTTTTTTAATTATATTTCTAAAGATAGCTAAGAGAACAATTTCAAATAGTTCCTCTATGCTTTTAGATGTAAGTTGTTTCAATCTCCATGTATTGGTGAGAATTAAGAGACTTGCAGTTCGCCATGTCCTGTCATGTTAGCTTATTTTGTAGGGAAATCAAATCTGGCACCTTTCAATTAACTTCTTTACCTCTCTAATCTAAAAACAGATAGAATACATTCTGGAGCAAGAAGGCATGATTACTATCTGTGGATTGCCTTGACTTCCTCAACTGTGTCTTCTGTCATTTCGAAATTTGCTAAAAGACCTCCTATAAAAGCAGGAAAGCACAGACGGAAGGAAGGTGGTGCTGTTGAAAAATAATTTACCCCTAGTCGTGAGCTTGGCAACTCTTCAAGGGATCACAATGGTGTATCTCATCTGGACCTAGAGGTCTCGAAGGAGGAGATAAGTGGAAATGTTTTGTGGGCTGGAGCTTAGTCATTCTCCTCGGTGACTTGAGGTGCAAGCTATTTTGGAGGAAGATAAAGAGGAAGGGAGACAAGAAGTGGGAAAGAAAAAAGTCTCTCTGCCTTCATACATGCTTCTGTTCACTACGTTTATACTACTTTTTTTTCTTTGAAAAATTTTTTCTTTGAATTTCTTTTTTTTCTTTGAATGATTGTTTTAAATCATGTGGTAATGTGGTCATGACATATGTTAGGTAACAAAAAGAAAAATAATGATTCCAATTTTGTTAAGTATATGTATAGAAAAAAGGAAAGTAAGCAAATCGATCAGTTATCTTTGAGTGATAATATAATGAATAATCTTTATCACCTTCATACTGTGTTCTTTATATTTTATTCTCTAAAATTTTCCATTAAGCATGAATAAGGTTTTGTATCAGAGTTTTAAAATACATTTTAAAAGGAAATGGCAACTTATTCAGCTACAGCTTTTTTATAACATAGTATATGAAAGTTCATATCTAGTAAATGTATTTGGAAATATAATACATTTGGAATAACTTTTCTGTAAGGATGCATCTTTTTAAGTGACTTTATTAGTCTCCATGTTGCATTTTTAAATATATAACTCTGCAGGGCTTCACATTTTCCCCTTCACTTTTGCTAGCTGTCAGTCATCACCTCTACCTTGAAACTAGTCTATGACCAGTAGGATTTGTAGATAATTATCATTAACTGATTGAGTGGATTCAGCAGTGTGCCTGTTGTAATTAAGTGTTTGGATATGCAAATAGATAAAGAATAGATAAAAGAGAAGGTACTGATTAGGATGTTAAATTCACAATATGATGGTTGATAGTGACAGGTAATAGCATGATGTCCTTTTGAAGATACTATATTAATTATTTCTTGAATACCTTTTCAAGTAAGTTACTGTTATTTGAAATTCCACTTAATGCCAGCCCTGGCCCCTCAACATTTCATCCCAATCTCGTTGTTTTTGAAAGGCTCAGAGTCATATTGGGCACTTCTTTCATTACTGCCTTTAACTGACCATTTCCTCTTTTCTTTCCTGCAACAGATTGCAGATTGAGCTTAACCAAGAAGTTCGTAGGCTAATCAAGGCTGGCTTGACCTACAAAAGAAGAAGAGAGTTCTGCCTGCCCACTTGGGCTTGTGTTGACACGGCTGATAACTTGCCATCACCTGTTGCCAGTGTGGAAAAATTCTCCCTGTTGAATTTTTTGCACATGGAGGACAGCAGCAAAGAGGGCAACACAGGCTGATAAGACCAGAGACAGCAGGGAGATTATTTTACCATACGCCCTCAGGACGTTCCCTCTAGCTGGAGTTCTGGACTTCAACAGAACCCCATCCAGTCATTTTGATTTTGCTGTTTATTTTTTTTTTCTTTTTCTTTTTCCCACCACATTGTATTTTATTTCCGTACTTCAGAAATGGGCCTACAGACCACAAAGTGGCCCAGCCATGGGGCTTTTTTCCTGAAGTCTTGGCTTATCATTTCCCTGGGGCTCTACTCACAGGTGTCCAAACTCCTGGCCTGCCCTAGTGTGTGCCGCTGCGACAGGAACTTTGTCTACTGTAATGAGCGAAGCTTGACCTCAGTGCCTCTTGGGATCCCGGAGGGCGTAACTGTACTCTACCTCCACAACAACCAAATTAATAATGCTGGATTTCCTGCAGAACTGCACAATGTACAGTCGGTGCACACGGTCTACCTGTATGGCAACCAACTGGACGAATTCCCCATGAACCTTCCCAAGAATGTCAGAGTTCTCCATTTGCAGGAAAACAATATTCAGACCATTTCACGGGCTGCTCTTGCCCAGCTCTTGAAGCTTGAAGAGCTGCACCTGGATGACAACTCCATATCCACAGTGGGGGTGGAAGACGGGGCCTTCCGGGAGGCTATTAGCCTCAAATTGTTGTTTTTGTCTAAGAATCACCTGAGCAGTGTGCCTGTTGGGCTTCCTGTGGACTTGCAAGAGCTGAGAGTGGATGAAAATCGAATTGCTGTCATATCCGACATGGCCTTCCAGAATCTCACGAGCTTGGAGCGTCTTATTGTGGACGGGAACCTCCTGACCAACAAGGGTATCGCCGAGGGCACCTTCAGCCATCTCACCAAGCTCAAGGAATTTTCAATTGTACGTAATTCGCTGTCCCACCCTCCTCCCGATCTCCCAGGTACGCATCTGATCAGGCTCTATTTGCAGGACAACCAGATAAACCACATTCCTTTGACAGCCTTCTCAAATCTGCGTAAGCTGGAACGGCTGGATATATCCAACAACCAACTGCGGATGCTGACTCAAGGGGTTTTTGATAATCTCTCCAACCTGAAGCAGCTCACTGCTCGGAATAACCCTTGGTTTTGTGACTGCAGTATTAAATGGGTCACAGAATGGCTCAAATATATCCCTTCATCTCTCAACGTGCGGGGTTTCATGTGCCAAGGTCCTGAACAAGTCCGGGGGATGGCCGTCAGGGAATTAAATATGAATCTTTTGTCCTGTCCCACCACGACCCCCGGCCTGCCTCTCTTCACCCCAGCCCCAAGTACAGCTTCTCCGACCACTCAGCCTCCCACCCTCTCTATTCCAAACCCTAGCAGAAGCTACACGCCTCCAACTCCTACCACATCGAAACTTCCCACGATTCCTGACTGGGATGGCAGAGAAAGAGTGACCCCACCTATTTCTGAACGGATCCAGCTCTCTATCCATTTTGTGAATGATACTTCCATTCAAGTCAGCTGGCTCTCTCTCTTCACCGTGATGGCATACAAACTCACATGGGTGAAAATGGGCCACAGTTTAGTAGGGGGCATCGTTCAGGAGCGCATAGTCAGCGGTGAGAAGCAACACCTGAGCCTGGTTAACTTAGAGCCCCGATCCACCTATCGGATTTGTTTAGTGCCACTGGATGCTTTTAACTACCGCGCGGTAGAAGACACCATTTGTTCAGAGGCCACCACCCATGCCTCCTATCTGAACAACGGCAGCAACACAGCGTCCAGCCATGAGCAGACGACGTCCCACAGCATGGGCTCCCCCTTTCTGCTGGCGGGCTTGATCGGGGGCGCGGTGATATTTGTGCTGGTGGTCTTGCTCAGCGTCTTTTGCTGGCATATGCACAAAAAGGGGCGCTACACCTCCCAGAAGTGGAAATACAACCGGGGCCGGCGGAAAGATGATTATTGCGAGGCAGGCACCAAGAAGGACAACTCCATCCTGGAGATGACAGAAACCAGTTTTCAGATCGTCTCCTTAAATAACGATCAACTCCTTAAAGGAGATTTCAGACTGCAGCCCATTTACACCCCAAATGGGGGCATTAATTACACAGACTGCCATATCCCCAACAACATGCGATACTGCAACAGCAGCGTGCCAGACCTGGAGCACTGCCATACGTGACAGCCAGAGGCCCAGCGTTATCAAGGCGGACAATTAGACTCTTGAGAACACACTCGTGTGTGCACATAAAGACACGCAGATTACATTTGATAAATGTTACACAGATGCATTTGTGCATTTGAATACTCTGTAATTTATACGGTGTACTATATAATGGGATTTAAAAAAAGTGCTATCTTTTCTATTTCAAGTTAATTACAAACAGTTTTGTAACTCTTTGCTTTTTAAATCTTAAAAAAAAAAAAGTTGCTGAAGTACTGTACAGGGTTGTACAATGAGAACCCAATGCCAAGGCAAAAAGAACGAGTGATTTTTCCTTAGGATACACATCAACCACTTTGCTGTTGAAGCTGTCAGAATAAATTCCTGGTGGTCAGATGAAAGGGCAGATTAAATGGACTCATCAGGGTAAGAGGAATAATATGGGTAAAACAAGAAATGGCCCGATAGTTTCACACTATTCCTATACCTCCAGGTCCGGAAGACAGGTAAAAAATTCTATAATGTAAGAATGGAGGTAGTTACCCTGATTTGACCCTGTGTGGGAAATGCTGAAAGCACCAGGAGGAAGCCGGTTCCCGTGAGATAAGTTAACCCGGCCTGACAGAATCAAGAAAATTGAGATGAGATTTGAAAGGACCCGAAAATGCAGGGGTTGGCTTTCTGACTGGGAACTTAAAAATCACTCTTCATGCTTCCCTGGTCCTATGTGATAACAGAGTTAGAGACTTGAGTCTGATTTCAGTCATCTTCAGGGACCAGTCTGATGTTGTAGCAAGAAGACTCCCTTTAAAAGTGTTACTGTTCAAATCATATATCAGGTTG
Source organism: Homo sapiens (assembly GCF_000001405.40). NCBI lineage: Eukaryota > Metazoa > Chordata > Mammalia > Primates > Hominidae > Homo > Homo sapiens. The sequence goes on from NC_000014.9 coordinate 85,624,323, forward strand.
AATCACATTCAACAGAGATATATTCTAGAATACTTTTTTAGAAGAGGCTAATAAAGGGAAGAATTATATTGAATGGAATTATTTTTGATAATGAGAATTATTTGGGTAGATTCACTGAGGCTATGTCAACATGATATTTAGACCAACAGGTGATCAATGTTTGGAAAATACAACAATGACTTATTTAAAAATTACCCTTCCTGCTATTTAGACAAAAACAACTGATCAGTGGTTCTGTTATGTCAGCTGACTTTGTTAGTATCATGTTGAAATAGCTTGAAGTAATATCTTTTATCCCCTTGCAAATTCTTGTCTTCCAATCATCTCCCATATATTTTCATAATTAGTTGTTTATGACACCTTTGTTTTTCTCCCTCTGTTCAGTATTTCAAGGAAAATTATGGATGCCAGTCTTGGCTGCACAAGATATCCATTACGTACTTATACATTTTAAAATGAGTACTAATTTTCACTGCTAATAATTCTGTAAGGACACATCAAAGCTGGCCAAAATAATGAATTTTTTTTAAAAAGCAATACCTGGTTTCCACCTTGGACTGACTTTGATCCTGTTCCACTTTTGAAATTTTATTTGTTCCTTTTCCATCGTGGATGTTCCTCTACTTTGGCAATTGTGGAGGGCTAATCAATCTTATGTTAGCAGGACAACCCATGAAAAACAAGTCAGAGAGTGAAGGCTTTTTCCCCTAATCCTGGCAGAGCAGGGCGTAGAAAAGAGAGGATGTCCGTGCTTAATTCTAGATACTTTTGAGACAACACCTTCAGAAAACACATAATTTAATCTTTGCCATCCTTAGATAGAGAAGGGCTATAGATCACATACGTTATCAAAAACTACTCCCTTGGAAAAAATATCTTTCGAAAATCAAATTTAAACATTTCACTCTGTGCTGCATATTTCTTTTACCATTGACCATTATTATAGGGACCCATGAAGTAAATGTCACAATCATCTTACTAGCTCTCTCTCTCTCAGCAAAATAAAACTGTGATGTGTCTTCTTTGTAAAAGTTTAGGTATAAAATGCTATGCAACTTTTTCTTTATAGTAAGAGCTTTATTTTCTTTAATAATATAGCCCAACTTATATGTTTTAATCTCCCTTGTCCCTCAGAATAAGCAGAAAATATAACTGCAGCTGTATGTCGTAGACACAAGAATTGAAACTGTGCAGTCAGTAGAGCTGAACTTAGCTATGAATTAATTTAAATTAATTCTAAAGTGACTCTGGTTTCCATTTTAGTCTATTAGCTAGAGGGTTTTGGCTGTTGCTTTTTTTAAAGTTAGGTCCACACAGTGAAGGGAAAAGAGTCTGTGAAGGTGATCAGTGTAGCAGTAAGACATCTAAAATCAAGACAATGACATGGGGGCTTTGTGTACTTAGCTGGATAATTCCCTTCTACTGTCCTCTTCCCCTTGGCTGTGTAGATAAAATTGTGCATTCAAATGATGGTACTTTGACTTTTGAGGGTTTTTATTTCTGTTATTCACAAAATACTCATTCTCATTTATGTATATTGTATGTTTAACCCCCAGTGGGATTTCTGGCTGCTGAAACCACTTTGGGCCAGGAAGAACAAGGATGAAGAGGTTCCTGTCATTTCTTATGGGGTTCACAGAATTATTTGGGGCTTAAATGGTACAATGGAGACAGTCATGTGCAATGCTTAAGATGGTCTGACAGGGTCCCTTTTGCTGGAGGTGTTCCTGAAGAGATTGAACCTAGTAACAGGCTTTATTTTCACCTTGTGTACAACATGGCAAAGACTGCTAAGATTAAAATCCGTCTCCCATTTGTTACAGCCTCACCTGCACCAGGATAGAAAGCACGTGATGGAATCTGTGATGTCTAATGTGTCTTATGAAAATTGCCAAACAACTGTCCCTGGGGATTCTGCTTTGATTGGCATTTTTAGTCATGGGAATGTATATTTGCTGATATATCTGCTCTGTGTTTGGGCCTCTCTTGCTGTCATTATGATGTATTTTGAGATGATTAGTCAAGAGTCAAGGTTGCGAGTACAGGCCAAGACCATGGGAAAAAAAGCCATGCTCACTGGCCAATAAAGAGCTTGATGCTGCCTGGCCAAATGAGGTGACTCAGATAGAATCTGATCCCATTCAGAGCTTGGTAAATGTCACTGTACAGAAGACATTGAAAAGGAAGAGGCATAGTCATGATCAAAAGGATATATTGACAGTTATCTATAGCCAGGGTAGTTGTTAATACCTGCTTGTTTGGGGAGATATGTTTGATTATAGAGAGACTCTGGGCCACCCTCAAACACCGTCAGATGCATTAGCAGCCCACTGCATGGGACAATCGCAGGCAGATACGAGGAATGTATCCCCTGCCTATTTTCCTTGTGTAACAAATGGAAAACATTCTCCCCTGTGAGAAATAATGCAATTTCTAATTATCTGGATGTTCGTTGAAAATATATTAGACATTCTCCCTGAGGTTAAAAACAAAAAGTACGTGACCAGTCTGGTAAGAAGTATTAATGAAGTAGCTAATATTACAGCTTCATTTTCTACTAGCACCTATCATAATGGTCTTAGTCATTTCACACAAATCAGAACTTCCTTCCCCACCAGGGAGGACAACATCTTCATGCTGTGATTGAAGCATCCATTCAGAACACGAGGCAATATTGCAGTCCACAGGGAATGGATGCTTCACTTGATCTCCGGACCTTGGCTGCAGAGGCCATCGCAGCTTTTGAAAAGTGAAGGGGTTAATTCCCATTGGTGTCTTTGCTTATAGCATTTTTCTCTAACCTATAACAAGGAGACATTACATTTTACTTTAGAACATGAGAATAGCAGTTTTGCTCATGACTTACCATTCCAGCTGCATGGGAAAGCAAAGCAGAAAACAGTGCCCCAAATGGAAAAAAGATACTCACACAGAACAAAACAGTTCTTGGTCTTGTTCTTGGTCTTGTCAAACCTTGCCTGATGCTCTTTCTAAAGTCAAAATATGAATGCTAAGAAGGCATAACCTACATCCTTCTCTGATTTCTTCAGCAGGGTCAAAAGACAGTTACTAGCAATGGGGAATGCTTGTCACTGTGGAGAAAGAGTTTTGTATATGTCTGATACCGTTGTTATAACAAAACAAATTTTTTTACTATAGTTTTTTGTTTTCTACCTGCACACCCACCAGAAGAGCACAAAGCAAGGCCATTGCAACAGGCATTTAAAAATTATTATCAAACATGCACATGCTTGTACACACACACACACACACACACAAACAGGGGCATTTGTAAAGGTGTCCCTGGAATGTAAGATTTATAATGTTTAAGGCAAGGTGAAGGCATTGCCAAGTGTGTGTCGCTCATAGGACTAGTGTATATTCACTGAAAGTTAACCTGATGATTTGTTATTGTTTGAACCATATGCTGATTTGCTTCTGGTTTCTGTTTAGTGTGTTCTCTCTGATAAGGGGCTGAAAGATTCTGCATCACACATCCTCTGAGACCTACCATGTCGCACACTTTGTTAATGACAAACTTCACTCTACACTATACAGTACCTTGTTGATATATTCAGTAAAGTCTTATTTTAAAAGAAAACCACATTGTGTTTATCTGAGTAAGTTCATTGGGATACAGTCAATACTTGTGCTGTTAATGTAGAAGAAATGACGCAGGAGGGCAGGAATAAAAGAGGTAATAGGACTTTCGTATTCTCCTATCATGAATATGACTTGCATTTCTAAAGGCCATTTGATCCTTTTTGTGTGAGGAGTTTATATGAAATCCTCATGTTCTTTTAAATTTCCCAACTAAATTGTGTGTTCCTACGAATACCTTTTAGGTATGCACACATACACAGAGCATCTTATTTTATACTGGTGAAATCTATGTTGTTTAGGATACAGATAATGTCATTGTATTTATCCTATCAGAATAGGCTTTTCCCCTATTTCAAAATAGATGCTATTGGCTTTATTTTTTATTTTTAAATTTTTTTTAAACACGGTCTTACCATGTTGCCCAGGCTGGTCTCAAACTCCTAGATGCAAGCAATCATCCCACCTCGATCACCCAAAGTGCTGGGAGTACAGGCAGAGGACACCATGCCCAGCCACGCTATTGGTTTTAAATGTCAGATTTCTTTAAGAATTCTCATAGTACTTTTCTGCCGCAGAATTTATAGCACATCTGTCCATCCTTTCAATAGGCACTCAAGGAAATGTATCTATTCATATGCTCAACTTCAATTGATTAGTCTCATATGATTTTTCAGAACCCCTTTTGCTAACCCCTCTTGGCCATTTCATTAATAATGTATTTGACAGAGATTGAATCAGGAAATAAATTCATGACATTTCAGTTAACTAGTATTACCTGTTTGTAGAATCTCTGTTGGAACATTGACTATGAAAGACAGTGCTAACAAGTAATTCATATTACTTTTGGGGATTTTATGTAAAGTAACATCTATGCTATTCTTGGGTACTTTTGCCAAGAGTTACAGACCTTATTCTATACAGACTAAACCATTAGTCAAAAAATACCATTCATTCAAAATAATTCATTAATGTCCTCCTACTCTGTTCCAAACACTAGGCTGAGTTCAGAGGCCTCACAGAATAGTGAAATGCGTTCTTAGCCAAATCAGGCAAATCTTCTCCCTCACTATGTCCCTGAAGAAATCTCTTCATCTGATATATTTACTATTCATCTACTTTCTACAGCACTATGTTAGGGTCTTCCGGGGATTCAGAGAAAAGTGTCTGTGAGCCATTAAGAAACTCACAGATCAGGTAATAAACACTTTTTCTAATGCATTCCAGTGTCTCAGAGCCTGCATAATCACTTTATACTACTTCATTAAATTGACAGGACATCTAAGGTGACAAAAGAGATGTTTCTACCTGTTGGTAAGGTTGATGCAACTGTCATAATTAGATGTTCTTGGTTTTTAATAGATGCAGCAATGAGAGAGTACATTGCTAAAGTCAGAACTTAATTTGAATTAAATTTTCAAGTTTCCACCAAGTATTTGAAAACTTAGAAATTGTATTTCGTAATTACACATGCAGACATTTAAATTTTTATTAAGCACCACGATGGAACTCAATCTAAAGGAATAATGGCACCTGATAATTACTAACAACCTTTGTTTATATAAGACCTTGTGCAAACTGTGTGATAACGTATGTTTGCATTCTGTCTTTAAAATAACCCTGTAAGGTGCGTTATTTTAATTTTTAGATTTTAAAACTTAGCTTCAAGAGAAATTAAGTGATTAGTCTATAGCTACAAATCCTGTAAATGGCAGAGTCAGGAATTACCACTGAGCATGACTCCATGGACTCTTAATTGTTTTCCTGCCTCTTAATAAATTGACCATCCTTGAGACTGACTAGCCTTCAGATTTTTCATGATGGAGCTATCATAACTTCTCAGTGGATACATATATTATCATTTATGGCAAATAAAGGGAACATTTTAGAAGCCTCAAAATTCTTGTCTTTTAAAGCCCTTGGTCATCCATTCCTATTTTTTATAAAAATTCTTTTTGTGATTATTTGATGGCTGCACATTTATCTGATTTGAAGGTTTCAGATGGAATCAAGATATGTCTGTACCCATAGGGTGAGCTGAAAGAGCTACTAAAAGGTCTTCAGTTGGGTTATTTTTAGGAATGAATTTGTTTCGTACTTGAGATGTTGCTCTAAGTATTTTGTAGATTCCGCTGAAAAAGCACGTATGTCACAATCTATTAGGGCATTAGTAAACTGGCTTCTGAATTTATGCTCTTTTTTTTTCCCATAACATAGATAAAAATGTGTGCTTTAGGGGATATTATATAAGCTTTATTTTCACTGGCTCTACTGAAAGTTAAGGATACAAAAGTTTTTAATGGTAATAACCCAAACTATATGTCATTTTAGCACACACATACCAATGGGTGATCATATCTGTCTTTTTTTTTTTTTTTTTTTTTTGGTATGAAGTCTAAACTAGACGAAAACCTCAATATATCCTTAGGGGAATTCTTATTACTTCAATGACATAATAAACCTCAGTATTGGGTCACTCTTTTCCTAATATAAAAAACTATGCTGGCTCAAAAAGTCTTCTAAACTCCCTAGTTGGGATAGGATGGGCCTTTGTTGGTTTAGTTTTGATTTCATTCAGCAAATATTTACCGAGGCCTGGTAAGTTCTGGTGCAGAATAAGAATGTTTTCCAGGAGAGTTAAATTTTGCTCATCAAAAATCTTTCTTGGAAGCTGCTGGTTTTTAACCGTCAGCCTGGGCTCTTTCTGCCTCTTTGCTTTTTTTGAGCAGAATATGGCCAGGCTGGTCTCAAACTCCTGATCTTAGGTGATCCACCCACCTAGGCCTCCCAAAGTGCTGGGATTACAGGCATGAGCCACACCACTGCATTTAAATAATCAGCCTAGGATTCTGCTAGTTCCAGCACCAGAGTGGCCTCTCAAATGTGTTTTCTCCTCTTGGTTCCCTGACTCTGACTTGGTTAAGACCCTTCCTTTAGTCTTTTTCTAATTTAGCCTTTCCAACACATTGAAGGACAAAGGGTAATCATAATCTATAAGGAATGCCTGAGTACGATACTGCAGTGCTTGCAAAACATGCGTTTTTATTGCTTGCAAGATAGAATTCAAACTCTTTGTGTGACTTATGTATCCTACTACATGTTGCTCCCTGACATTTCTTACCAATATTGCCTCCTCCTTCATTACATGCTCTAGATTATATATATATAATTACATATATAATCTAGATTTTATATATATATATATATGAAATGAGCAAACAAAATGCTTTCAGTTTATCTTCCTGGGATCTCAAGTTCCTTCAAACCACTATATATGTGCTCAAGGTCTTTCATCCTGTGACATTCCCCTTTGCCTGATGACATATTTGTCCTTTAAGATACAAGTCAAAGACCTCTCTTCCAAAGCCGCTGGAATCACACCTGCCAATTATCTGACCGCTTTGTGCGGTTAATATAACTTTAAAATACATTTATTTTTAGCACCTATATATTGTAATTTTTTGTGAGTCTGCTTCATGCCTATACAATGGGGCCCCTGGAAACAGAAAACATATTCTGTAAATTGTTGTACCTCATCCAGTGTTAAGAGCCATGCCCAGGCCCTGGTGGGTGCCCAGCTACAGGGGAAGAGCCACTCTGTCAGTTGCTTATGGCCAGATGGCTCTTTTTTTAATAGCCCCAGAAAGAGCTGTGGAGTTCTGACTTGTGCAAAATTAGCCTTGCTCAAAGACCACAGTATGCGTTTTACAAGAACAAACAAACATATATATTTTCCTTAAAATCTCTTGATTACTCATCAACATTTTTAAAAGAAATTTTGTTTTTATGATTATTTGGTGGCCATGCATCTGATTTGAAAGCTTTAGATGGAATCAGTATGTCTACATTCATAGGATGTGCTGAGATAACAATTAAAAAGACCTGAAGAACATCTTTTTATTTTATTTATTTATTTTTTTTTGAGTTGGAGTCTCACTCTGTCACCAGATTGGAGTGCAGTGGCACAAGCTCGGCTCACTGCAACCTCCGCCTCCCGGGTTCAAGCAATTCTCCTGCCTCAGCCTCCTGCGTAGCTGGGACTACAGGCGTGCACCACCATGCCTGGCTAATTTTTTGTATTTTTAGTAGAGATGGGTTTTGCCACATTGGCCAGGCTAGTCTCGAACTCCTGACCTCAGGTGATCCCCCCACCTAGGCCTCCCAAAGTGCTGGGATTACAGGTGTGAGCCACTGCGCCCAGCCAAGAACATCCTTTTTATATATTACAGACAAACTCAAAACTGAACCAGCTTGCAGAAAAGCATACAAAGAGGTATCTTTAAAAATCACCTTAATCCCAGCACTTTGGGAGGCCGAGGTGGGCAGATCACGAGGTCAAGAAATCAAGACCATCCTGGCCAACATGGTGAAACCCTGTCTCTACTAAAAATACAAAAAATTTAGCCGGGCTTGGTGGTGCGTGCCTGTAGTCCCAGCTACTCAGGAGGCTGAGGCAGGAGAATTGCTTGAACCTAGGAGGTGGAGGTTGCAGTGAGCCAAGATCATGCCATTGCACTCCAGCCTGGTGACAGAGTGAGACTCAAAAAAAAAAAAAAAAAAATCACCTTGCAACAAAATATCGCCATCATGAAAAGTCCACAAAGCACAAGTAGACACAAAGTTAAACATTTCGACAGTCGGCTAGTCAAAATGAATTCTTTGCATGTGAAAAGCAGAGATTTTTTTTTTTTCATCTTCATCAGCAAAATTAAAAAAGACAGTCATTATTCACTATGTCATATCCCATATAAAAATACAGCATATATCATTTAAAGGTTCACATTGTGTTATCTTGGTTATTGCCATGAGAATAGTCTTTCCTAGAAATGATATGCTTGTAAAGAAGGGAGTGGAGAGTGGTAGTTATTAAGAAATCAGTTTGAAATCAAGCTGACTTACTTTGGAATCCTGCTTCAACCACTGACCTGCCAATTTGCCTTGGCAATAACTTGCACTTTAGGGTTATCAGTGTACTTTTCCTAAAATGGGGACAATGATGTCTAACACATATGGTGGTTGTCAGAATTAAAGGCATATATAGTAGTTGACAGAGTATCTGGTACTGAGTATACATTGAATAAATGACATGAAGCACCATGTATTTTTCATGCAGATGTAATTCACAAGCACATGGTGACAAATTGCCAGCTTTTTATGATGAAAATCAAATTTCTTGTGTATTGGGGTAAGAATTACATGTAGAGATGATCTATTTAAAGGTAATTAGCATTCAAAATTCCTCAAAACACTCAATAATTTGCACAGCTATTATCAAGATGGGTCTGTCAGAAAGGTTTTCATTATTCTGTATTCTTTCTGGGGGAAAAAAATTGGGAAGATGAGGTGCCATGGGATAACACACAACCATGGCAGGCCTTTTTTCTCATGGTGTGTGGGATCATTGAACAACATGGTTGAACAGAAAGAGAACAGACTTCTTTATAATGTAGCATATATTCTATCTGGTTGCTAGAGTACACATAGATGTAGTTATTGCTGAAAATTAATTCAGAATATGTGGGTGTCAAAAGAGCCCCAGGAATGAGCATTCAGAAGGCATTGGAAATCAAAATACTAAAAACAAAATCAAGATAAGCTGAGCACAGTGGCTCATGCCTATAATCGCAGTACTTTGGGAGGCCAAGGTGGGAGGATTGCTTGAGGTCAGGATTTCCAGACCAGCCTGGGCAATGCAGTGAGACCCTATCTCTAAAAAAAAAAAAAAAAATTAGCCAGGAGTGGTGGCATGTGCCTATAGTCCCAGCTACTTGGGAGGTTGAAGCAGGAGGGTCACTTGAGCCCAGGAGATCAAGATTACATTGAGCTCTGATTGTGCCACTGCACTCCAGCTTAGGCAACTGAGCAAGACCCTGTCTCAAAAAAAAAAAAAAAGTAATAAATTTCTGATATTGTTTCAAAAATCTATAATTTCTAGTAAGACATAGTTTTATTTGATGCTAGTACACCACCAATTACGGCATTTAAATCCACACTGGGTTTGCTGATAGTGGGGATGGTAGCAGTCAAATGGAAGAACATTTTAATGTCTCTACAATGCAGGTGCAATAGTCTACCACCTGTCATGTGGTTACTTTTTGCAATCGATATCATTATTAAGTTTGGAAGCTGGTTGTTATTAACAGGCATGCATCCTCTTCAGCTGGATCACGTTGTTTTCTTTCTGTACACTTTGTGGTAGTTAATAGTCTCAAAGCAATTCACTCACTACGGTCTGTATTAGCATTATTTTCCTTTCTATTTATGTCTTTCCTTGCTTAATAAATGCAGAAGTTCAGACATTTGATGAGGGGGGAAATATACTTTTTCAGTCCTTGACTGCATGATTTAATTGGTTTCAGGACAGTTATTTGGCAAGTAGTATCAATGGGTACTGGCATTCCTGTGGTCTGCTGCCAATCTCTATTCTGTTTGGACTAGTGTCTGTTTTGACTGGTAGGCCTCAGCTATCCTATTGCTAAGTATTTTACATAACTGCCCTCATTAGTTGGAATATAGCATGCTTTACTAGTGTATCTGAAGTAAGGAGGAAGCAGGAAGTGAGCTGTTTTGTAATGGAGGCCAATTATATCTAACAGCAACTGTGTCTATAAGACTGTAGCCTATTGGATGGGAAGTTATATTATGAAAACATGATGAATCTTTTAAATTCTGAGTCCAATGCTGTCTACATCTAAATTTAAATCCTGGCTCATACTAACCTTGGTCCTTGGGCATGTATATGCTTCAATTTTCTCATCTGTACATGGGTTAATAACAACACTCACCTCAACAGTAACCATACTGCACAGTGCCTGACACATATAAAGTGCTCAATAAATGCCAGCTACTTTCTGAAAATATATGGAATTAGTGTGCAAAAAGTTGGGCTATATAACTCAAATCTCCTTTGTATCTTGGATAAGACCACTTCTCTCTCGGGCTTGTTTCTTATAGTCAAAAGCGCAGGAATTTAGTTGATCTCCCAAGTTACTTTGGACCTTAAATTCTGTTTTATGGTTGTTCATTTTCTATGTAGTTTAGATTTGGTTCATTGGACTGATTTGTGTTCTGTGTGCTTTTAAAATTCAGGAAGATGTGACTAGGATAGATAAAGCAAACATATAAACACTCAGTTTCATTGACTTAAGTATAAAGACTAACATGTTTCTCATTAGTTATAATAACCTTAAACTTGATATGTTAGGGAAGCAACCTGCATAACCATTAAAATCAGGAGCTACAGAATCACAAAGAACTGTGACTTTGTATCTGTGTGATATTATTTAATGTCCCTAAGCCTCAGTTTCCTCATATATGAAATGAGGTACTAATACTTTTAAGGATTTGATGAGATAATTTATATCATCTTCACTTCAGTGGTTGGCATATATTCAAACCCATTATGGCTGAAAAATTACAAATGAATAGAAAGAGAAGCAAGTGAAAACAAAACTCATTAGTTCAACCACTTCTCCCTCAAAACAAGGAAATACAAACTATATTACTAAGTAGACTATTAATAAAACACTTTATTTAAGTCAAAATTATCAAAGATAGAGTGTCGTACAATAAAAATTGTATAAAAAATTGTTTATTAAAATATTAAATATTTTATGTTTTCAAGCCATTATATAACAGCTATTAAACCCTAATATTTGACAGAGAAAGAATTATGAGAATAGCTAGAAAATATTAAATAATAAATGTGGTTTATTTTTGATGGAATAGAACAGATTTTAACCCTGATCCCTGCCACTTTTATCTGAACCTTGAACAAACATACAATTATGGTTTAAAAAAAAGAAAGATGAAAACTTTTTAGAATAATTAGGAAATTCTTCTTTCCCAGACCTTCAATACTTTTATAAAACCACTACTTAGCAGCTAACAATGAAATGTTCATTTCAAAATGTTTAGTCTTTAAAGCGGTTACCTAAGAATATCTGCCAGTGAACACTAGCTTTATTTCATCACATCATACACCTGAATGTAATCAACATTGCTTTATTAAAGATGTTTATATAATTTTTATATAATACACACTTCCAATAATTGATAATAGTCTAATGATTGATATTTTAAATTAATGGCTTGTAATTGTGTAATTGGAAAGTGGTCCTTGGGACTCAGATTAAGGTATCATTACCTGTTCTTTCATAAGCTGTTATTTATGCTTCTCATTAATTAGTTCTTTGTTATGAAATCTTTAAAAGTTCATTAATTCTGTAAAGGGAATTTAATAAAATGCAAGCAGATTAGTAAAATAATTTGTTTTAAAGTTAGTTTTAAATATTATGCTACCTCTATAAAGGACCAAAATAGTATTTTTAAAAGAATTTATCAAAGTAACTATAATAAAAGTATTTAATGGTATTTGTATTGCAAACATTGAAATTCTACCTGGCAGTTTAAAGAACATCACTAACATTGCCTAAATGTAGGAAAATCAAAGGTGAAGTCACCTGCAGAAAAAAAAAAAAAAAAAACAAAAAACATTCTTATTAATCTTAACTAATTTTCTTTAGTGACAGAAATTCAAACTTCGAGACATGTTTGAAACATTTTATTTCAGTAAATATAGCTGTCACTATGGAAGTAATTACTCTAAAGGAAATCTGTTTTAAAAAGCCAGTATAAACTGAAAAGTAAGCAACAAAACATCTTCAGGAAAAGAAAAAGAAAGGCAAATAAAATGTTTATATGAAATTACGAACATTCTGGGCCGGGTGTGGTGGCTCATGCCTGTAATCCCAGCACTTTTGGAGGCTGAGGTGGGTGAATTATTTATTTGAGGTCAGGAGTTTGAGACTAGCTTGGCCAACATGGTGAAAGCCCGCCTTTACTAAAAATACAAAAATTAGCAGGGTATGGTGGCAGGCGCCTGTTATCCCAGCTACTTGGGAGGCTGAGGCAGCAGAATTGCTTGAACCTGGGAGGCGGAGGTTGCAGTGAGCTGAGATAGTGCCACTGCATTCTAGCCTGGGTGACAGAGCGATACTTCGTCTCCAAAAAAAAAAAAAAAAAAAAAAAAAGAGAGAGACTAACATTCTAACAGACAAAACAAAAACAAAAAACAAAAAAACACATTTTACAAAACAATAATCTAAGTGGGCAAGTAAATACTGGTGTGACATACATTTTTAGGGAAAAACTAGCAACATGTTTTGTGGAGATAAATGTAAACACATTTTACACATACAAATCTTTTCTGGCATGGGTACAAATGTAACTAATCAAGTGTAATTTATAAACTATAAAAAATTTTCATCTAGACAAAGAAGTTATTAAAAGCATTAACAAGTAGTTGAAAATATTATCCCTCTAAGTATTAGAAAGTTAAACTGCAGTAATTAAAAGTCATATAAGAATCACCATGGCATAGACATGGTAGGAAAAGCATTAGCTTTGGCGTTCAAATATTGACTCATTCACTTACCAGCTGTGTTCTCCAGTCAAAAAACTTCACCTCTTTAATGTTTGGTTTCATATTTTTTAAAAGGTATAACAAAAACACCTACCACAGTGTTGGTGTGAAGACTCATTTAAAGTTACTAGCACAGTGTCTAGTATATACAGTTGCTTTGTTACATTAACTCCATTCAATATTCTTTCTTTCCACAATCGTCTGTCACTCCCGGTAGAACTAAGTGATTTTCCATGCTCCTGCAATGACAGCAAATTTCCCCCAGTCTGCTCTTCCATGAATATCTCAGACAGAGAAGGGTGCCTTCTCATGTGATCAGGAGTGATGTAGCTTTGAGGGTGGACCCACCATTCCTGCCATATTCCTTGGGTAGGCTCATCTATCACTTGTCTTAAAGGAAGATTTGAAACATAATAGTTTCCTTTGCGCTTCTGTGGATGTCTCTGAAAAAGCTGGCAGGGCACACACTCTTGCAAATTTTTCATGTTGTAATCACCCACCAGTGGTAATAATAGGGTTAATTATATGAACCCATATAGTAGTGTCATTTAAAGGGAATTTAAATTCTCTCTTGTCCTTACTCTGCTCCACCATCCTCCACTGTGCTTGAAATGCCTATCATTATCCTTATTCTTTTGATACCAGGCATCACTACAAAATGTATACACATTACCTAGATTTTCAAGAAGTGAAATGTTTAGTAACCATTATGATGGAAGCTGGGACTAGGTGACTTATTCTAAATGTAACAATTACCGGTAGAGAATGGGATAAAGGACAACTGAGTGTGGATAGAGAAAGGAGAAATGGAAGAGTTTGGAGCACGGGCCATTGCGATGGACAGACGCCACCGCAGAGAGCAAGGTTTACCTGTGTGGTTGGCATTCTTGGAAGTGCTCTGGTTCTATTGGCAGAGATCCTTGCTGTTAGCCTCTTGCCTTTCGCCCAGGCTGAAGACAGAGTGCTTTCCCATGGTTCTGTCTTTTTCTCCAGGCAACACTTCCTGATGACTGATCAATATTGGGGTAGGAAGTCTTAGACATCTTACTCCAGCTCAGATCAGCTCTGATGGGCTGCAGGCTCAGTTTAGGCTTCCCTTGAGATTTCATCATGGCTTTACTTCTCCCTCTACCAGTCCTGGTTCTTCATAGCCTTCCACAGGTGTCAGCTGCAAAAACCCTCCCAAGTAAGCCTCTTGTATGCTACTCTGTCTCAGAGTCCATTTCCTTGGGAACCCAACCTGCTACAGCCTACTTCACACTTCTTCTCAAGGCTGTCTTGAATTCCTCCAACAATAGACCCGTTATTATGTGAAAGTGTGAGGCTGGGCCCAAGGGATTTCTTTACTTATTGAGCAGAGCGAAGTAACATTAATTTGTGTTATAACCACTGAATGTTCTAATTCCATGAATTTAAATGACGCACCTGAACATATATGAGGCCTAGATTTTGCTGCATGTCCGCAAACCTATTTTGATCAACCAGTACTGAACTTTTCCCCTTCTCTTATGATTGTCAAATAACCTTGTTATATGCTAAAAATAAAAGATTAAAAAACATACAGTGCAAAAAAGCAAACAAAAGTTAGCTAATAATCAATTCTTTGAACGAAGCCCAGTGAAACCAAGTTTATCAACTCTATCTGAAAATAAAAATGTCCAAGAAAATGACAATCAAAACGATTAGTGCATTAGGATAAGTGTCGTCTCTTGTAGATAGATAAAAACTAAACTGAAACCAAAAGAATTTCCAGAGCAGGCAGTCTCTATTCTGTAACAAGGTTTTCTCATGATCCAGTTATTTTAAGGATACCTGCAGGATCCCACAGGTTTTCTCAGGGATTTGCTGGAAGCTGGGAAAGTGATGACTCTCATTCACTGTTGCCCTGTTTCCTTTTCCTTGACAAATTCAGTTAACCGGATGGCAAGTTGTTTATGAGCATGCCTTCTCGTTAAGTTGACAAAATCTTGACAGGAGTAAAAGATAATCGAATTCTCTTTGTGAAGTGATTTATGGTTTTAAAATAAGCAGCTTTTCTTGAAAGTAGTTTACCGGGTTGGGCAAAAAGAGGATGAGTATTAAAGGTCATTAGGCATTCAAGGTACCACATTTACTTTCTACAATGCAAGTAGAAGAAGGGGCCCCACCAGTCATTCTGAGACGTGTTTCCATTTTCTGCTACTTTTTAGTGAGCCCAAATGATGGTAGCAATGATTGATTTATCTCAATCTTCTTGTATAGCTGCTGAATTTTCTCTCATGAGTTTGGCTAAAATTAGAGTGTGTGTTAGTAGAATTTATATTTATAGACTATTGATATTATTATGTGCATTACCCATTTTAAAGATGGAAACACTGAAGCCCCCAGAAAGGACTGGCTAAGCTCTTACAATAAGTGATGGAATGAGCTTTGAAAACACAGGGCTTAGGATTTCAAATCAGGCTGTTTTCCCTCACCGCACCATGGTGCTTCACTAGCAGAAATTCTTTATTTTTTTTTTTTTCCTTTTTTTTTTTTTTTGAGACAGTGTCTCGCTCTGTCCCCCAGGCCAGAGTGCAGCGGCGTGATCTCGACTCACTGCAAGCTCCGCCTTCCGAGTTCACACCATTCTCCTGCCTCAGTCTCCCGAGTAGCTGGGACTACAGGCTCCTGCCACCACGCCTGGCTAATATTTTGTATTTTTAGTAGAGACGAGGTTTCACCGTGTTAGCCAGGATGGTCTCGATTTCCTGACCTCGTGATCCGCCCGCCTCGGCCTCCCAAAGTGCTGGGATTACAGGCGTGAGCCACTGCCCCCCACCCACTAGCAGAAATTCTTAACAGTTATTGTTATCTAACTACTTGACTAGTGTAGATTCTGCTGTGAGCTTGTGGTGGTTCCTTCTGCAGATAAAGCAAAGGAAATCTGGAAATGGCCAACCTGAATACTTTATTTCCAAAACTGTATATTTTATCAGGACAGTAAGGCAATCAGTGGAGTAATGATCCTTCCAAACTGCTGACTACATCTAGAATCATGCAATTATTAGTTTTTAATAAAGATCGTGACCAAGCTTTCCTTGGGAAGTAAACTTTGGTCACCACAATATACATAGCAAGTATTAAATATCTTGAGAGGTTTTCTTTAATTGTTTAATTCATAGGAAAGCCACTGGGAGCCTTCTGGGAGCCAGAAGCAAATTAGGAGACACAGAATTATTTAATAATAATGGTAATAATGACTAAGTTCTCTCATCAAGGTCTGTACCATGATTGAACTACTTGCTGCCATAAATTTTTTACTATTGAATAAATATGCTTTGTGAATATTCCATACATTTGCTAAGTTCTCACTGGTCAGGTTCAGTCTTTGCTATTAGAGTCGAGCATCTCTGCAAAGAGATTTGAGCCCCTTGAGTAGAACATAGGCCACATAGTGTGGCAAACACATCATTAGAAACTGCCTCCTATTCACTCTCTTAATAGCTTGAGAGAATTGTACACAAACGTTTCTAAAATACAGATCCTACCTTAGGCTTTTCGGCTGCACAGCTGAATCGCCTCTGTGAAAATCCTGACCTCGCTTTCTTCTGGCCTTTCTTCCCCGTGACCTTGGGCAAGTTGCTTAAACTGTAGCCATAATTTCCTCATAGATTTGGTATGAGTTAAAATGCATAGAAAGCATGTACTACATCTAGTGCATTTCTCCATAATGTGGGTGGCAATTATTCTAATCCCTTCCACAAAGTATTTAGTCTATGACTTATTTCTGCGAAAACCCACGAAAGTGAAAACTAACAATAGAGAAGCCTTTTAAAAACCTAACAGCCTCCAAAGACTGAAGAAGAGAGCATGGTGTTTAATGCCAGGGTGGAAAGCTGTGACAGTCAGCTTTTTCCCTGGATATGGCTTATTGGTATTCATTATTCCCAATTCCTTCTATATGCCTTCCTTTCTGGATAGAATCGATCACATTTGCTGGACTCCATTATGTTTGGATTCTATGTATAAATTAGGTTCTACCAATTACAGGCACGTGTGCAGGATTTTCAAGGTAGAAGTGAAGTGGAAACTCTCTTCTTACTAATGTCAGTCTTGGGCCCAAGAGGCCATCAGGCACGGTGCCCATAATCAGTGTTTTAGTGTCTGGTCACTATCTTCAGTGGAGTCAGGTGATGTGAATAGCAGCAGGAGAGACCTGATTTCTGGATAAGGACTACAGTAGTACGTCCTTGGACGCAACAGTTTAAGAGGTAGTTCCTGATTTATTCCCCTCCCCTTTCCAATTCATTCCCTGATTTTGTGCACACCTAATACTTATATTAAATACCTCTCCTGCTTTGAATAAATGGAATAATTTCTGTTTCCTGCATTTTATCTTGTTGGATTAAGTATTTGATAATAAAACTGATTGTGGGTCTACTTACCTAAGGGTATAAATTTGATATTGGTTACCTAAACTGTCTGAATTTGAAAGTAGAGACAATCTTATTCATGCATAATGGATCACTGATAATTTTTGGCTTGCAATGAGAAAAAAAAATCAGCAGCTGAAATTATTACCTGAGATCACCTGGAATGAAGAGCCTATTAAAGCCAAGGCTTTGGTGACCAATGTGATTGCTTCAGAATTTTATGATGAGAATGTAAATATAATAATTGTGAGGTAGGCTGAAGCATGTATAGAAAGAAAACAACAAATTCAGAGTTTTAAATAACTGGCTCAAGGCAAGTCAGAGGTCCAAGGAGCATCTATGATTATCTCCGACACTATTTTATTTCTTACAGTTTCAAGGTTGCTGTTGACAAAAAAAAAAAAAAAGAAAGAAAGAAAAAAATGGCACACAGTGTCTGATCTTGTTTATTGCTGAAATATAATTTCAGTTGAATCACACCCTCATCAGGTCTTCTCTGTGAAAATTAGGGCATTGAGTGAGAAATATCAGAAACCCAGAGCATTATAATGGGAATGTTAGGTAGGTTTAAATTATTCTGACTATACTGAACCCCCAAGTCCGATGAGCCTTCTTTGCCAGTAGAACTCCTTCATCTCTGTTATATAAGGTTGATTCTGCCTTTGTGGGGAGAACTAACTTACCTGAGGTAACTAATGTAAAATAGCTTGTTCTGATCACCTCACTGCCTCCAAGTCTAGAGTTAGAGCTCGTTCCCAGTGTCTCAGTAGGGCTTAAATATGAAGTATAAACTGGGAAGAAAAGGCTAAAATAACAACAAAAAAACGGCAATAGTTTGTTATTTTTTATCAGGAGAAATCTGCGGACTATGTATGGCAACAGACTCAAAGGGAGGTACACCAGGTAGGAAAAATCATAACCAGATTGGGCCATATTAGCCAATATGGGTACATATACTAGAGCCTGCATGCAATGAGCTTACCCAACCAGCTCAGAGTGATTATAATTGTTTTGCTTTCTGGATTGGTTGACTGAAATCTGGACTCAATGGTGAGTCACACTAATTGAAGTTGAGATGGAAGAAATTCCTTGGCATATTGTAGAATCTGAAATATAGGTTGTATATTTATTAGTCAGTTTGGACTGCTGTAACAAAAATACCATAGACTGAGTGGCTTAAACAATAAACATTTATTACTTCCAATTCTTGAGGCTGTGAAGCCCAAGATCAAGTTGCCTGCAGATCTGGTGTCTGGTGATGCTCCTCTTTTTGAGTTGTAAACAACTGCCCTCAGAAGGCTCTCTCCTGTCTCTTTTTATTAGGTCATTATTCTCAACATGAGGGCTCCACCCTTATGGATTAATTGCCTCCCAAAGGCCTCATCTTCAAACACTATTCCACTCGGGGCTAGGATGTCAACATATGAAATTTAGGGGCACATAAATATACAGTCCATAACAGGGAGATAGGAACATTGGAGTAACCCATCATATGATTCACTTTAATGTCTAAAAACATCTCATGAGAGAGTTCAGAGGGTATTTCTTTTTTTTCTTTCTTTCTTTCTTTCTTTCTTTCTTTCTTTCTTTCTTTCTTTCTTTCTTTCTTTCTTTCTTCCTTCCTTCCTTCCTTCCTTTCTTTCCTTTCTCCTTTTTCTTTTTTTTGTTTTGAGACAGGTTCTCTCTCTGTCACCCAGGCAGGAATGCAGTGGCGTGATCTCAGCTCACTGCAACCTCCGCCTCCTGGGTTCAAGCGATTCTCCTGCCTCAGCCTCCTGAGTAGCTGGGACTACAGGCGTGCACCACCACACCTGACTAATTTTTGTGTTTTTAGTAGAGACGGGGTTTCACCATATTAGCCAGGCTGCTCTCAAACTCCTGACCTCAGGTGATCCACCCGCCTCAGCTTCCCAAATCGCTGGGTTTACAGGCGTGAGCCATTGCACCTGGCCAGAGGGTGTTTCTTTAAGGCATTTATTAATGCATTGATGAGGACTCTCCTCTTTTAGATAGAGATGAAAGTGTAGATGCTGCCCACAAAATGTGCTCCCTGTTTAAGTGGGGTTGGTGGAATCCTGGAGTGACAGAGAACAAACGACAACATTTAGTCCAGTTGCAGCAGAGTGGTTGTGGTTTTTATTATAAGCATTAAAAGTATAGTAGTAGGAAACTGTGTTTAACCTGTTTTCAAGAATGGATAATTGCTCATTATAGCTTCATGAATAATATAGATGTTCAGCCAACTTAAGTTGTACCTGAATTGTGCAAATGAAGGAAAGATGCAGGTTTGGCAAATTGAAGCCAGACTAATTATCACAATGTAGTATCATTAACACTCACACAATTCCCAGATTCAAGGTGCAGCAGTGGATATTTCTAAGACGTCCTCATTTAACTTGATTTTTTTTTTTAATCTATGAAGTAGTTGGCTATGTTTTGGAGAATATACAATTAATGTAAGTTTACTCAGGTGGTAATTCCAGTTGCTATGGTTGTGGAAGATATGGTCTCTACTTAAACAAATTCAACTGAGCTATGGCATCTCCAATGCAACTGTCAATTTAGAAATTTCTTTCTTTTTATCTCAATAGGCAAAGAACACTAAAGTAGTCTGCTTTCACTTTCATTAACACGCCCCATGGAGATATCATGAATTACTCTCAGGCCCTTGATTATCTTATCATACCAGAGGATGTCCCACAGGTCTACAGCTTAATAACATCATGTGACTGAAGTGGAAGAACTGGAAGGAAAAGATAACCTAGAAACTCAGTAATTCACATGCATTCAAGAAGGTAGAAGAAAATTCTCACTAAAACTCAGGGACATGCCACCTTTTGCAAATTTCTGGGAGTTTAGTCCGGCATGTCTGGAAATCCTTTCCAAAGAAACTGGGCCTGTTCTTGATGGGCTCCCTGGATGTTTGAAGGCAACATATACTAGTTTTAGATGCGCTGCTTCGATACTTTGGATTCAATACTTAGTAATCCCTAAAGCTGTGAATTTGGAGTTTGTTGCTGAGGAAGAGTAGACTCTCTAGCTTTTCCAGGCTGTGGTCCAGGCTGCTGTCTTTGCTACTTGGTTACAATGATCCAGCAAATTCAACGGTGCATAAAATGTTTCAGGCAGATGGTCATGCAGTTTGTAAAACTTTGCCAATCTCGTAGGAGATTAATAGCGTAGAGCTCTGTGGTTCTGAAGCAAAATCATGCTTTCTTTCTTAGATTATTAATCTCCTTGTGAGGGACAGTTCTTGTCTTGCTAATAGAAATAGATGCCGAAAGAGGCTCAACTGTTGGCTATTGGATCCCGAGTAGTAATGCAACTGAACTGTAATCATGAGTTTTGATCAACCAACCATAAAGTTGAGCTTGGGCAGCAGAACTCCTACATCAAGTAAAAAGTATATATATACACACATATGTGTGTATGTATATGTATACCTATATATATGTATACATATGTATATATGTACACATGTGTATATATGTATATACATATATGTATACATGTGTATATATGTATACATGTGTATATATGTATATACATATATGTATATAGAAGTATATATACACATATAAATGTGTGCGTGTATATATATATGATTGGCTGAGTGCTCTATTTGTTGCTTGAGCAGGTGTTCACCCTCCCACATAAATTCATCCTACTTAATTGGCACTTTTTCTTCAACCCATACCTGCTTCTCAGAGAAACTATAGAGAAGAGGAAACTTCCAAGTGAGCAGGTCTTTGAATGGTACATCTATTTGTTCACTCTGCTTGGAAACAAAGGTTTCACTAAGCATGGATACAATTTGGATCATTGGTAATAAGGAGACTTAGGGAAGAAATACGTGTTAAGGATTGTTCATAAGTGGCAGAACCTATGAGAATATTCATGCCACATGTTATTTCTTTTCAGAAGATCTTCCTAGTTGAGGAATCTTTCAGAGATTCAGTAGATAAGGTGATCTATTATATGGATGTCAAGCTGTCCTTTTCCCCAGCCACCCTCCTCACGTCTTGCTCAATGACTTCATGAATGAAAAGTTTATGATAGCAAAGATGTTGGTAACATATGCATTCAACAACATAGTTCATTTGGTAGAGTCAATACTGAGTACCTAAGAGCCCAATTCTGATACTCTCATATTGCACTATTCACTAGGAGGTTCAGCAATCTATTTAGTGGCAGGTGGTGACAGTGGATTTCTTCTCTTATGGAAAGGACAACTATCCATATTGAAATAGACAATTACTCTGTATATAGATTTGCCTGCCTTGTAACCATGCCTTTGCATCTGTTTACTTACTTAATGGGACATTATTATGGTGACCCATACAACATCACTTTTAAACAGTGGATTTATTTATGGCACAGAGGTTAAGAAAATGAACTCAGGCCGGTAAGAGTCACTGTTATCATTCACCACAAGTTGCCTGAAGCAACCAGCCTTTAAAATACTATAATGGACTGTGGAAAAATCAGTTAGAGTGTCACTTGGATGAAGCTGTAATTGGAAGTTGAGGACACTGTCATTCAGAATAAGATGTATGATCTGAATTAGTGGCCAATACCTGGCCCTTTTTGTCTGTAGTTAAATGTGATGTGAGGAAATACCAAAGCTCATGGTAATCTCAGATGTCATTGGACAGAGAAGCTCACAGACCAAATTAAGATGCTGAAGTCAGATGACTTATGAATCAATTTAAAACAAATCATGAGAAGGAAGGGAGGAAAGGATGAAGTAGGTTTGCAGTCCTCTTAGAAGAAGGTAAAAGTGGGTAGAATGGACCATAGTACTTGAATCTTGAGTTCAGAATCAGATATTCTTCCTCCTTGGCCTCTTCTGTTTCAGGGCTTCTCGAATTTTTTTTTCTTTTATTTATTTTTTGAGATGGAGTCTTGCTCTACCACCCAGGCTGGAGTGCAGTGGCACAATCTTGGCTCAATGCAACCTCCTTCTCCCAGGTTCAAGGAATTCTCCTGCCTTAGCCTCTCGAGTAGATGAGATTGCAGGTGCCCACCACTACACCCAGCTAATTTTTGTTTTTTTTGGTAGAGATGGGGTTTCACCATGTTGGCCAGGCTGGTTCTGCCTCTTGACTTTATCATCCTTCCTCTCTGATGGTATGGTTATGTGGACCAGAACTGAAGTTTAAGGAAGGGGCTTAAGATATGGAAGTTGCCTGGGACCAACATACTCTGTCCAAGAGACACAGTGACACATACATGCACAGCTGACCAAAGCTATAGCTTCCCAATTACTTGATGAACAGCTATGAATGTTGTTTCTTTTTCTTAGACAAAGTGCATATCTGCTCAAGATGGATGTCACTAATGTGCAACTGATCCACAACCTCATACAATTTTAGTATCTCATATGCTTCGTGTACATGTCATGTATGAAGGTGCCTGAGGTACCCCATGTATATATAGCATGTTATGAATGTTAGGCATATTTTGGTCTTTCCTTTCTATCTATGTTTAGTATGCACAAGACATACTTATTTTACCTTTGCTTAATATGCCTTATAGTTTACTAACTTACTTAACAGAGGAGTTTTGTTTTCTTGTTATCTGTAGCAGAATTGAATGTTGCCCAGCAATATAATATATGTAAATCATACCAAATTATATGTGTTTAAAACTCAAGGGATGGAACTGGGAGAGATAACACTCATTTTTCACCTACGCATCACTCACAATATTTAGCTCTCCTTCCACATGATGTTGGGATATGATGGCTTAGAAGTCTTACTAGTCAATGGAAGAATGTTTCTCTTCCAAGAGGACACAACAATGATTCATTTGAACTCTATGATTGCCACTGAATAATTTGGTCTTTCCATGCCTATAAGCAAAGAAGTTACGTGTATTAACTGGAACAATTGGTCCTGATTATTAAGGAGAGTAAGTTTTTCCTACAAAGAGATGTATGTATGGGACCCAGGGAATTTTACAGAAACATCTCTAAGAACTTCCATGCTTTTTTGTCAAGTTAAATGGACAACTATCGCAACCACATACAGGCAGAACCACTAAGAGTAAAAACCCCTCAGGAATTAGGATTCGGGTCACCCTGCTTGGCAGAGCCCTAATTAGTCACAGTGCTAGGTGAGGTCAAAAGTAATATGAAATAGGAAGAGGATAAACAGTGTCATAAACAACTGTGATCTTATGGCCAGTTGCAGAGTAAGAAATTAATAACTACTCCTGTTCTCTTCTTTGCCTTGTTATGCATGTACTGACTTTTTACCTCTTTCTTTTTCCCTACAATTTTATAAAAATGGTGATACATTTGTAATTTGTCCCTCAAATTACAGACTATCAGCTTGAAACTATGATTGGAATTGAAGGTTAAAGAAAACCCAGCTATAGATTCAGTGACTAACAAAATTTGGGGACAGTGTAAGCCTCATTCTAATTGCATAAGGAATAGTTACTGTATGTTAGGCAGGTGCATGTTGTTATTGCTACTTTTTTCAAGTCTAAGTTCTAGGTACAAAGTGTACACTGTACTGGATTTAGTATTTGACATCTATTTTCACATCCTTCTAGGAGTCATCTTGTACTAAAGAAGCTGTAAGCCCACATGTGCATTTCCCAGAGTCCCTTGTTGCTAGGGGGCTGAATGCGAACGAGGTTTCACCATTAAATATACTTATACATTTGGAAAGGCAAAAATGAGGCAGAGGCCATCTTTGTGTTGCTGGTTTGATTAGCAAGTTTGCTAAGACATGAGTGTCAAGGGAAGTTGAGGTGGAGATGGTGGCTATATGGTGCAGCTGTTTTCCTGATTCCCAGAGAGCAATCACTCAGATGTGCTCTTGTACTTAATACTTCCACTGGCAGTCCCTTTTCTTTCCTCTTTTAGTTCTTCCTATAATTTTCTAAGTGTATAATTGCCCATTTTCCCTAAATACCTAGGTAGGTTTTATTTCCTAAACTGGACCTCTTACCAAACACAGATGAGATGTACTGTCTGCCACCCTAACTGCCCATAGGACTCCACCAAGGATGCCAACTCTAAGTGGTCATTTACCTCTGTGATTGTGTTTTTAATGCCTGCCTCCCATTAAGTTATAAGATCCAGGAATTTAATAATTTATTTTGATAAGGACTTAACACAATGCTTGGCACATAAGAGGAATTAAATAACATTTTTCTGAATGAATAGATTTTAAACCATGTGTGAGCAGTCACAGAATTCACTGATCTATTATAATTTACCAATTCCTTTGCATCATAGCACCCATGCAAAATATTTTGGCTACAGGGAGTGCTCCAATTTTGATACTCTCCCTGTCAATATGCCTATTACCCCAATATAATTTAAGATTGACAGGGAGAGCATCAGTATTCTGCAGTCTGATTGCAGAAGCATATATGTAAAAATATACCTTTTAGAAATGATTTTAGAATCTGGAAATTTACAAACTATTAATTTTCTTTTCTACAGTTTCCTCCAGAAAGCCCCTATGTATTTATTCCGGTTAACAATTTTACTTGAGTAGAAATCACTTGACTCAAATTTTGATGATTTAATAGCTCATTGAAAGAACTAGCCTGAAGCAGATAAAATATGTTGCAGATGCTGTAACTCTTATTTGCATCCATTGGTCTTTTGGTTTATGTGCTTTAATAATTTGAAAAACAAGAAGATAATCAGGAACCAAGATGGATATGTGTGTCTTGAGGCAGAACTTAATTCAAAATTGTTCAGTGTTTTGTCAGATGAACTCCTTAACCACATTTGTTATCAGTAGCACACAATATATTGGATTAAGTTTTTGAATGATGTGCAAAGATGATGCCAGATTGATCCTAACAAACATAAAGCTCAGAATCAAAACCAGAATGTTGTTTTGATCATACTGGTTTTAGGCAAAGGATTTTAAGATAAATTCTTTCATACTGGAATTTGTGATACTATCCACACTTTTCCTCACTATAAAATTTAATGAACCTTATATCATTAATATTTTTGTGTCAATGGTGAGTTCTTCTTTTTTCTTTACCTGAGTTGTATCAACAGTTTCAAAGGAGAGAGAGTGTTTTTGGTAAAGGCAATAAATTATTTTTTAATGTACATCTTATACACATAAAATACTTTCTCATATTCTGAAGAATGAAGCATTTCTGTCCTAGGTGATTATAAAGTTTGTTGCTATAGTATTTCATTATTTTTTATTAGAAAATATTTTAATAACACAAGAAAGTAAAGAAAGTAATACAAGGAACACTCATGTACACATCAACCAGCTTTGTCTGAAATTAATATCATCCTAAATTTGCTTCATTGCTTTTATTCATTAAAAATTACAAATACAATTGAAGCCCTTGAACCCCTCACCTGTCACACTATCCTCTTTGCTTTGTCAAATACTTACTACGTTCATATGTATTGATGTACAGTATAGCCTTATTTTACGTGTTTTAAATTTATACATAAACAATTTCAAACTCTATGAATCATTCTACATTTTGCTATTTTGTGTTCAATATCCTGTTGTCGAAACATTTCCATGTTCCTTTAATTCATTCATTGGCAATACAGTATAATATGTTATTGTATAGATACATATATATTTAAAATATATAGGTATTTTAATTTTACTGTATTATATTGTTGAACATTTCCACTGTTTTACATTTTTTAGTATCATAAACTATCCTTCAATGAACACTCTTTTAATGTCATCTGGTGTCAGGTATGAGAGTTCCTAAACACACACAGTGTATCTAGAATTTGAATTGCTAAAATTGAACATTCAATTTTCATTTTTAACTTTACTAAATACTGTAAAATTGTTCTCTGTGTGCCAATTTTCTTTACCACTGGTAAAATGTGAGTTTCCACTTTCACATGCTTGCCATTTCCTATTGCAAAACATTTAAGTATTTATGTTTGTGATAAAAATGGAGTCTTATTTTGATTTTAATTTGTACTTCCCCAGTTCCTGTTGTGTTTAAGTTTGTTTTTTATTTATTTATTATCTGTTCATGATTTTCTTCATTTTTTCTCTTACTGGTTCATATTCTCTATACATGCTGAATGGTGTTAGCTAGCTATATTCTTTGCAATAATTATTAAAATTTTCTTTTTCTTTTCTTTTTTTAAGAGACAAGGTCTTACCCTGTCATCCAGGCTAGGATGCAGTAGCACGATCTTAGCTTACTGTAGACTCCAACTCCTGGGCTCAAGAGATACTCTCCTGCCTTGGTTTCCTAAAGTGCTGGGATTATAGGCCTGAGCCACTGGCCTGTTTTGTTTTTCTTAATATAAGGCTATACATTTCCCTCTAAGAACTAATTTAGCTGCCTCCCTCAATCTTTTATATGTAATTTTAAGTTAATATTCAGCTTTAAACTTTTCTAATTCAATTATCTTTTTTGATTAATCAATTGTTTAGGATAATGTCTCAAAACTTTTTTGGTATATAGATATCTTTAATTACATATTTCTAAATTATTTTCATTTAAGTCAAAGGACATAGCCTGGAAAGTATTCGTTTGTTTGTGTGTGTGTGTGTGTGTGTGTGTGTGTATTTGTTGTGATTTGTTTTTATGTTTTAGCAATTTGGTCAGTTGCTTTAAATTAGAGATTTTGCCTGATTGTTATCTACAGAATTCTATGCAACTCCATTACATTAAGCTAATATCGCTTCATTTTATCTCTCATCACATTTTGTTTTTGTTTGTTTGTGCTGTGAATTATTGAGATAATGGGTTAAATGTATGTGCCTGTGTCCATTTATTTCAATAATATCTTATACTATGACTCTATATTATTAATTGGGAAGATTTTAGAATACTTAACGTATGTTTTCTAATTAAGCAGTGACCCACTTAATTTCTCAGAAGTACATTTTGTTTTATTGCTTTAAACTCTATTTTGATTGTTTTTAATCTGATCATACAGACTTTTATTTTGGCTGATATTTTCGTTACTTTTTTCTTATTTTTATCCTTTCTATGTCTTTATGATTAAATTGTGTGCCTTACAAGGAGGTTTTACTTTTTCCCTCAATGGATTTGGAAGATATATGTTCTATTTTTATTTCTGTTGTTGGTTTCCTGAAAATCTCAGCATGCATATTTGACTTAAATTCTAAAATTAATAAACACTTTCTTAATTTCCTGAACAATAAAAGGAATTTCAAACATATTATTGGTCATCATCACCTGCCTATTAAATATGCTTTCCCACTAGGGCTGGGGCTAATGGAAAATACATCTTAAAAAGTCTTCTGTGTAAAACATGGGACTCAAAACAACACTAGGAAAATAGCGTAGATCAGATAATTCTCATTAAATCAGCTGTTTATTAAAAAAAGCAATGAGCAAGGAACAACAAAGTCTCCTTAGGAGGCAAAACAAAGTATTATTAAAAGTATGTTTGATGTTGCTGAAGATTCTTTCATAAACATATTAAAGTCAATTATAATTCTGTTTTTAATGACCTTATTAGCTCAGATGATGTTTTAATGATTTGAGTTTATGTATTATTTGAAGAATCTCTAAATAGCACTATTAAGTGCTCTGATATGCAGTAATATTTATATTGAGAAGCAACTTTTTTAATTGTTTGGGGAAAGACTTCTATTTCTTATGACATGCTTCCTTTTCATTGAGGAATACCCAAGATACCAAGTTTTCTTTCAGAAGTAATTTGCATTTTCCACCTTGAAGTTGTATTTGCCATTTTGTTTGTTGCCATAGGAAAATTCTTTTTTGAGAATTTTTTTCTTATAACGTTCTTCATCTGATTAAACAAACAAAAAACCCATCTTTATTTTTAGACTAAAAGCCTTTGAATAAAATATTATACAACTTTAAATAAATTTAAGATGACATTATGACTTATTAGGCCACAGTTAAATATGAGCTTCATCTATTAGTGAGTCAATCATAGGATTTTCACACATGGCTTTTGTTCACAGTAAGTTATATCAATTAAGTTGCTTAGAATGAACATATAGCTGAACTAATAAGCATGAAATATTTTCACTGATTTATAAGAATCCAGAAATTATCAATGAGTTTTCTTTTTCTATTATTTAAAAAAGTTTTTGCTTGGCAAATCTTCCCCTCTAGGAGATTAAAGTATTTTTTGCTCATTAATCAATGTAAGAACACCTTACTTTACATTCATTGAACTCTGAGGTTATAGAACTGTGAACTTTTCGATTTGTTCGGCTTGGGGAATGTCATAGTTCATTCTGTGAGTGGAAGTTGCCTTTAACCACATGAGAACAAATAAGGGAATATTAAGGTTTTAACTCAAGGCAGCTGATATGCAATGGCTGGGATAATGGCCATTACCTAAAAGAAAGAAGGCAGCAAATGGTTCCAGACATTTATAATTATGCATCTGAAGTCAGAACACCTTTTCTTTTTAAACATTTTCAATTTGTGATCTGCTTGAGGACTTGTACATAGATAGGCTCAAGATATTTTGAGTCACATATGTAAATGAAATGTTTTGAGCAAAGTTGTAACCCTGCCCACAAAATAGCTTTGCTAGGGAACAGATGTAACTTGGAGAAGTACCAATTTTGTCATTCTAGATGAGAAATCTTCTGGTGCCATCAATGGGATGCAATTTGGCTAGTCACACCTGGGTGACCAATATCCGGAGGCTCTACGTCAAGTCATTGAACATGGATGGATGCTCCATTAAGTCATTTAAAATAAACTTCCTAGCAAGTGATCTCTAGCATCTCAATTTAACTGTATCCTTTGGAGATTTAAGGAAAACTGACAAAGCTAAAAATACCTCTGCTAGGGGATCTATTAGTATTCTCCACATTGCTACTGAAACTTGCTGCCTTTTCCTAGAAGCACATGAAAGAAACCCTGGTCCAAGCGAACTGTCTCCTTCACCAAAGCCACCTTGGAGAGAGCCCACACGGAGACTGGAGATGTAGACTATTAAGAGCACTCAGCCACAGAGTCACTTTGGTTGTGTCACTTAACCTCTGTGCTCTTCTAAGCTCCATTCCTGGCTTGTGTTGCAGGGATGTTTTGAGGATATGTTGATGTGTGTGACTCCTTCTCTGTGTGTTGCTATTAAAGACATTAAGAACTGAGCTGAGTAACAAACTTTCTAGAAATGAATGAAGAAAACATAGCAAAATTATACCTATTTTTTTAAATTGAAGTACAAAGAAACTGTAGCTATAATTATCTTTCTTGACACTAACAGTACATGATTCCTAAATGCTATTGCTCACCTCAAGTCAATGTCACTTTGTATTAATGGATTTAGTGTCATGTATGGTCTTGTTTTTTGAGGTCGTCTGATGAAATCAGAATGATTTCACTTAAGGCAAGGCATATTAAAATACAAATTCGTAAAGATAATACCTTGATGTTTATGTCTATGCCAAACTTGCTCTGCTGAGTTCCTG
Organism: Homo sapiens; assembly: GCF_000001405.40. Classification (NCBI taxonomy): domain Eukaryota; kingdom Metazoa; phylum Chordata; class Mammalia; order Primates; family Hominidae; genus Homo; species Homo sapiens. The sequence goes on from NC_000014.9 coordinate 85,654,157, forward strand.
GTGGAATGAAAAGACTGTCTTTTTTTAATTGTGATTTGTTTATGACTAACAGCATGGATTTGAGACAGTTATGAAAATGCCATGGTATCATTCTGTAAATAACTTTGTCTATGTAATTGTAGTGTATACTTATTATTGACAACTTGAAGAAAGTACATAAAGTACAAAATAAAAGTTACCCATATTCTTATCAGCCAGATCTAACTAATTTTACCATTTTCATATCTCTGTGCATACTCTTAATAAAAAATGGTATAATACATTTAAGCAGATTTGCATCCTACTTGAGCAATTTATTTTTATAAAATATGCTTTTGAAACATAATATTTTATCTTATTAATGTAACAACATTTATTTAATTGGGGGTCCAATGAAGGGTATTAGATGTCTTTTTTCAGTATCATATATAAGGCAATATGTACATTGCTTTGCTTGTGCATTTCAATTAGGTGGAAAAATTGAGCAAAGGAATTTGTAAGCTTTTATTTTACACTGTCATATTCTTTCAGTGAAATTTGTACTACTAACTTACAGATTTACCTGCAGTGTATGGAAACCCCAATTTTACTGTATCCTCAACATAGCAATGTTAATTTAACAAGGTAGGAGATGTTGCTGATGTCTTCTTGGTAAAATCATTAAACAGACTTCAACCAGATGTTGAAATAACACCTGGCTATTAACAACCGTTAAACAAATTGAAGAAGCATCTTTAAACTCAATCCTGAAAGCTCTTCCTCAAGATTTGAAAAGCTGTAGGCAAGAGAAAAAGAAAGAACGCATTAATTTTGGAACCTAGGGGTCCATATGCTGTCTACAAATCAAACCCATTAGCTTTGCTTACCTTATGGTTTGGCTATCACGTGGAAATAATCTTGACTGTCAAGAAAAGATAAAAGTGTACATTAAAAATACATTGCACCTTATCTCACGGAAGCAGGTGAAGAGGCTTTCATTCCTTAAGCAGATTGACTCTACCTTTTGTTGCTCGTGTTTAATGGGGACTCAACACAAATGCTAGCAACATGCGATCTGAGCATGCTGTTCTAGGAGCAGTGTCTGCCATCTGTTTGGGCTAAATGGAACTGGCCCAGCCCTTGCTTCCCTGCCCCTGAAACTTGACTATTGGAATTTAATTACATGGTTATATGATTAAATCCAGTAGATGGAAAGGTTAGAGCTAATGTCCCCAGAGGTGAAGCAGGCCCCAGGCCTCTGAAACAGCTGGCATCGGGGAAGCAAGCTCCTTCCTAGCACACAAAGGAAGGAGAAATAACAAACTCTTCTGAAGGTGATGCTGGTTTTATTTTATTACCTGTAGTGTTATTGAGAAAGAATTTCAAGCTCACAAGTCCAGAAAGTGATTTGAAAGCCTTTATAGTTTTAAAGTCAAAATACCCAAACAACATTGTTTCTCCTGATTTCGCTCTCCGATCCTTTTTGCTCTATTTGAATAATTTTGAGAGCCTGGAAAATCTGGACATATTTTCTGAAGGTTAAGGAATTAGGAAAGCAAAAGAGAATCTGGGATTCATTTCCAGTAGATGAGTTGTCTCTTTCTAATGTCCAACAACTTAATGTAGTGGTGGTGTCAGCATCAAGATAGATATTTCCTGATGGATTTTGACCTGGATAGTGAAATTCAGCATACTTTTAAGAAGCCCCATCAGAAGTCAGCAAATGAAGAGATACCAGTTTTGCAAACAATCTCCTGGATTTTAGAAGGCAATGCTGTCCTGGATTTTACAATACTGTGCTACACAGAGCATAGCAAGAGGTAATACAGTCCAGACTCAGAAGGCTAGGATTTGCATTAGAGAGCAAAGCCTAGCTCTACCACTTCCTGGTGTTAGCAAATTACTTGACCTCTCCTCAACTCAATTTTCTTATCTGTAAAATGGACTAATAATAATATCTGCCTCACAGAATTGTTAATCAGGATTAAACTAGATAGTTACAGCCAGATGTGTATAATAGAGCATTTTTAAGTCTAAGTTCTTACTGCTGTTAAATCAGATGATGGGCTGGGCGTGGTGGCTTACGCCTGTAATCCCAGCACCTTGGGAGGCCAAGGCTGGCGGATCACCTGAGGTTGGGAGTTAGAGACCAGCTTGACCAACATGGAGAAACCCTATCTCTACTAAAAATACAAAATTAGCCAGGCGTGGGTGGCGCATGCCTGTAATCCCAGCTACTTGGGAGGCTGAGGCGGGAGAATCGCTTGAACTCGGGAGGCATGAGGTTGCGGTGAGCTGAGATCATGCCATTGTACTCCAGCCTGGGCAATAAGAGCAAAACTCTGTCTCAAAAAAAAAAAAAAAAAATTCGGATGATGGGAACTTTGATTTTTTTCTCCTGATTCTTCATATAGTTGCAAAATATTCCTTTCTTAGAGGTCTATGAAGTACTTCTATGGCTCTTTGACAAATTCTCCTCTACATGAACAGAGTATGTTGTGAGAATTCAAATTATCACGTGGATTTATGGCAGTGTCATATGAACTTCTAGCCACAACTGTGGAATTTGCAGCATCATTTTGGTGATAAAAAAAATATTTTGGCCAGGAGAGATTAATAGAGAAGGAGGCTGTGTTACTCAGAATCCTTCCAAATCCTCATTTCTCTTTATATCTTCGTTGGTTTGGCTTTCTTTCTTTCTTTCTTTCTTTTTTTTTTTTTTTTTTTTTTTTTTTTTGATGGAGTTTCGCTCTTGTTACCCAGGCTGGAGTGCAGTGGCACAATCTCGGCTCACCTCAACCTCCGCCTCCCGGGTTCAAGTGATTCTCCTGCCTCAGCCTCCTGAGTAGCTAGGATTACAGGCACATGCCACCATGCCCAGCTAATTTTTGTATTTTTAGTAGAGACGAGGTTTCACCATGTTGGCCAGGCTGGTCTCAAACTCCTGACCTCGTGATCCATCTGCCTTGGCCTCCCAAAGTGTTGGGATTAAAGTCTTGAGCCACCGCGCCTGGCCAGTTTGGCTTTCTTGAATTCCAAGGCATTGGACACTTGTTACTTTTGTTTACAAAAAGCTTATTCACAAAGGATGGGGCAATTTACTGCTTGCACCTGGGAAGCTGTGTCTTTGCCAAAGCAACAGTAACTTGCTGAGATTTAGGCCAAGGGGGAGGTGTGACATGCATATTAACTCCTTCTGTGACTACTGAGATAAAAGGGAAAATAATCTTTAAATGCAGAATGACACAGTCATGGCCAGGCACCCTGGCTCACGCCTGTAATCCCAGCGCTTTGGGATGCCTAGGCAGGCGGATCACCTGAGGTCAGAAGTTCGAGACAAGGCTGGCCAACATGGTGAAACCCTGTCTCTACTGAAAATACAAAATTAGCCGGTCCTGGTGGTGCATGCCTGTAATCCCATCTACTTGGGAGGCTGAGGTGGGAGAATCGCTTGAACCGGGGAGGTGGAGGTTTCAGTGAGCCGAGATAGTGCCACTGCACTCCAGCCTGGGCAATGCAGTGAGATTCTGTCTCAAAAAAAAAAAAAAAAAGAATGACACAGTCATTGCAGGCATGGATGAATATTTTCTAAGAGTGAGCATGGTGAATCACAAATATCAATTCATTTACTCATCTGTTCTATGGGTCTTGTTCCTGCAATGATAATAAAATTTGCCTGCATTTCCACAGCTAGGAAAGAGTGATGCCTGACTTGAACTCAGCCCTTTGCAATCTCAAAGCCTTCATTTTTTACCATGATGTTATATTGTACCGTGCAAAGCAATACAAGTATCATAATCATAATTACACCAGTATTTATGGACCTCTTTTTGTGGGCTGTGCTCTTCCAAAGCACTGTAAAATGCTTTCTATGCATCCTCGTATCAAAAGCACAGTGAGGTGAATGTGATATTAGCTCTACTTTACAGAGGAAGAAACTGGGTTGAACTTAGGTCCTGTGAGTCAAAGCCCAAATGCTTGTTAGCCACATCATGTTAGAGGATATAAGATCATGCTTCTGACTTGCTAAGTGCATACGTAAAGCATTAAGAAGTGATATAAAATGGTGGCAAGGATTTGGGTGAAAGGATCTGGAAACCCATATTGTAGGCTGATCTACGACAACTCAGTGTGTCAACTTAGATAAACCCATTAAGACATTCTAGAAAATAAAGGAAATCAATTGATGATCATTACACATCCTGGCAGATGAGCGTTCTGAATGTTACTAACGAATTATTGCCACATATCTGATTAAGGCGATCACAAAAAGAGAGATCTCCCTCTGAAAATTATTGACTACATCTGGTGTTGCCACTTCATCAGTTTTCTTTTACCTTTTAATGCCTTTTTACAGTACATTGTTTTTATCTGAAGCACTTCACGGAGCTACCTTAATAATGGTCTCCAATGACTTTCTATTTTATTTATTTATTTTTGCTATTGTGTCAGTTAAAGGATTTATTTCTTGTGCCATGAAATGTGATGAAGATTCTGATGAAATCTATGGGATCTTTCCTTAGAACATTACACTAATGCATAAAAACACATCTCTATATATGTCTTGGGTGGCATCCAGTGCCAAATACCTCGTGGGGCTCAAGAAGAATGGGCCTGAGTAAAGTCTTTTGAATTTGAGAATTTGAAAGATTTCATAAATTTCAACTGCTAAAAGTTTGAGAAAAGTCAGTTAAAAAGTGATTATAGAAGGAGGAATATGAAACAATGTCTTAGATATTTGTGGGATTCAAAAATAGAATTATATAAACAACATTAATCCTGGGGAATGTTAGAGACAATCTTATTCAAAGTCCTTATTTTATAAATTAGACACATTATCTACAAAAATAGAAAATTGACTTTGATATTGTGAAATTACTTAATGGATTTCTCTCTACTTTTCACTTGGCCCTCCAACTCCCAACATAAAATCATGAGTAGAGGCAATTATAACAGCATATGAACCCCATATATGTTATAAATTTCTTTTTAAAAAAATATGTAGAGAGAGTTTTCATTCCCTTCAAATTTCAGTTGGGGCACAGCACCATTATGGCCCAAAGAAGAGAGTCTTGCAACCTGTTTTGGCTTGAATTTCTCTCTATAAGTTTGTAGGGATAATAGAAGAACAGAGGGCTAAGTGAAATCTTGCTCTGTAAGTAGGAGAAAGATGAGGAGATGAACAGAGTGATAACTATAGCTTGGGTGACAAATACAAGCTTACTACTGCTCATTTCTTCCCAATGGAATCAAATACTTCCTGTTACTATTTTTCCTGATACTTCCTGTTACTATTTTTCTACCCATAGCAGGGGTTGGCGGTATCAAGTAGACCCATGTGTTTGTTGTTCTAACCACTGAATGACTGACTACGGGCACGTTGTTTAATGACTCTGAATGCCATTTCCTCATCATTTGCAACTTTATTGGTAGGTTAAAAAAAATCTGCAGAGATCTCAGTATACCTAGCACATAGCAGGTATTTCACAATGATAATTTTTACTATAATTATGTAGCCAAACATTCAAATTAGAAAAATCTCTGCTAGTCATATAGTACTTGTTCAAAGCACACACATGCAAGGTTACTATGTAAGTTCATAATAAGCATCGCATTTTCAAACTTGAAAAACTAATGAAACACATTTTCATTAGTTTTTCTAGGTGTCTTCTGCTAATGCCATCAGAAGCTCAAGATAATGGTTGGCCCCATCAGAGCCAAAGTGAACATACTCTAGTATTTAAGTTCCAACTATTATTTAAAAATCACATGTGTATGTATAGTATTGGTGCTGTTTCTGTGGAGAATCTGTTTCTGTTTTCATATGTGTATTATATAATACTATTTAGATATCTATTTATCATATATTATTAATATAGGATCTGTTATATATTATTAATATAGAATCTGTTTCTGTTTTCATATATATTATATAGTATAATACATAACATATAATGTATTATTTTATATATTATATAGTATAATACATAACATATAATATATTATTTTATATATTATATAGTATAATACATAACATATAATGTATTATTTTACATATTATATAGTATAACACATAACATATAATGTATTATCTTATATATTATATAGTATAAATACATAACATATAATGTATTATTTTATATATTATATAGTCTAATACATAACATATAATGTATTATTTTATATATTATATAGTATAACAATATATAATGTATTATTTCATATATAATATATTATTATATGTATTTTATACTATTTGTTTCAATATTATATATTTATATTATGACATATTTGTATTTATAATATCTATTTATATTACATGGGCTAAATAATATTATAGAGATTTATTATAAGGGATTTGCTCATATGATTATGGAGGCTGAGATGCCCCAAGACGTTCAGTCAGCAAGCTGGAGACCCAGATGAACCAATGGTCTGCTTCTAGTCTGAGCTGGATGCCTGAGAACCAGGATAGCTGATGGTGTAAGTCCTCATCTGAAAGCCAGCAGTCTTGAGACTCAAAAAGAACTGACGTTTTAGTTTGACCCTGAAGGTCAGTAAAGACCAATGGCTCAGCTCAAGCAGTCAGGCAGGAACAATTTTCTCTTACTCAGCTTTTTTTGTTCTATGTAGGCATTCAACTGATTGGATGACTCCCACTGACATTAGGGGGGCAATTTGCTTTACTCAGTTTACCAGTTCAAATGTTATTCTTTTATCCAGAAACACCTCACAGACACATCCAAGACAATATGAGTAATATTTAGCTAAATGTCCTGGCATCTGGTAGCCCAGTAAAGTTGACATGTAAACCATCATACCATGAAATTGTAGCTGCTCAGGATTTGAGAAAGACAGAATTTGCCTGACTGTGCATGAATTAAGCATTCTGTGTGACTTATTTTTCACGATAAGAAACCTTCTCCGAGGAGAGACAGAGCAAAGTGGCAGAGGCTATTTATACAATTCAGAGCCAACCAAACAGGGAAGAAAGACTCACTTGTGACTGTGAATTTAGATATAGCCTACTGAGCTTTGCTTGTGTCGTAAACCTGATGACTGCAGTCAAAAAGGTCAAATTCCCTTGTCCAACTCATCAGAGTTATGACAGTAAACATTCATCTTAAAATTTTGCTTTGCCTTTCTTGAATAAGGATATGGGATCAAGTCTCATAGACATAGAGTAGAACTTGGGCATGGGGGATGTGAAACCCTATCGACTTCAGGCTGGAAGTTGATCTGATTCTTCCAGGATTCCCATATGTCATTCCCCACCTGTGCCTTCAACTGACCTTAAAAGGGCTGTGTCAGTCATTTTGAAACTGGACTATTCTCATGAAGAAGTACACAGTACTGTTGTTTCCGTGATCCAGCCAATTCTTAGCATGTTTTCTGAGCATGACAGGGAACAGATGTCAACACCTAACAGAGATGTTTCTCTTTGTTTAATCTGAAAAACTGACTACTGGATCAGTCCCACCAAATCTACTTTAAATGGTTACCAAATCATAATAAATTTAATTTAGAAAGAGCTTGGAATGCAATTTAATGAGCACCCTTGATGTAAGGGTTTGTAGCTTATATCCTGTCACAATTAATATGCAATAAACCTGCTTTCCTCCGTTATTTCCTTATAGAACCTTTACTTAAACAACTAGAGATTTTTTGTTTTCTTTTTATTTTCTTGGTAGTGTGAAGAGTTATATATCCAAGATACCAAGACTGCAGCTCTGGTTTGTCATCTGGTGATGGTATCATGTCTCATTTTTAAAAGACAAAATTGTACCAGAGCCCATAGGCCATAGAAATGTAAAAACTACCAAAAAGTAAGACCCTTCTGATAGTTTGGAAAAGCTCTCTGAAAATCCCGTGGACGTAACAAAAGAGCGGGAGAGGGAGAAGAGAGAGAGAAAGAGAAAAAGTAATTGCAGTATTCATTTCCCCTAAACCGATGTAGCAATCAACTTTGCAATTACCAAGATCCATTTCACTGGACTTTATAACTGGAAATGAAATGAGTGAGAAATGAGGATCTCTAATGAAGGCTCAGATCCTCACCCATTGCATTATTATCACATTCCACCAGTTTCAACATTCACTCGCCAGCTTTGTAATTTGTAGCTTATTTTCTCACACCTCGCCAAGCGATTCACATTCATTTACATTACTGCCATTTAACTTGCAGACAAGAAGAAATACGGTTTCAGATCTGATGGGCTCGGCATTTTTTGTGTGTGTGTGTCTAGTTGAGTTTGTTTTCCTGCCTAAAACAAATGTCTCTGGAGCTTCGTTTAATTTAGCATGTCAAACTGCTTCCTTCAAAGGCGATTTGGAAATGCTTTGTATATACAATAGACGCAAAAAGCCCGAACAAACAGAGTAGAAAACAATGCTTAGAGGAGGAACAATGAAAACACAAGCAGGGCTGCCTATCTATCAGCTCCAATGAGATTTCCCCTGTTGTTAAATGAACTACTGTATTCCTGAATTAAAATAAACTGAAGAGAGGGCACAAGGTATTTCAGAATAATGAGCTATAAAAGACATTTCTCATTTAGCATTTCTTGTTCTTTTATATTGTTTTTAACCATAACTTCATAGTGGCAACTATTTGTCTGGAAGCTGAAAGATACATATTTTCCAGAAGTCTCTGGCTATAGAACCTCTCATTGTTTATAAATTCTTGATACTACACCCTTATCAGATATATTATGATTTCTCCCATTCTGCAGGTTGCCTTTTCACTCCCTTGATAATGCCCTTTGATGCACAAATATTTTTAAAATTTTGATGCTGTCCTGTCTTTTTTTTCTTTCCTTCTTCTTCTTCTTTTTTTTTTTTTTGTTGTTGTCGTTGCTCTTCCAATGTTTATACAACATGATGAGCAGGTCTCCCATAGACACCAAGATATTTAATAAATATTCTCTAAAAATGGAGTCTGCATGGACTTCCCAAAAAGGAATGGCATTTAATATTGAAGTCCTGTGAATACAGATTGACTATTTCTCATATCCAATTGAAACATTTGAAAAGCTATTAAAATGAAACACTTTTGTAATTGATTTGAAAGGAAATCCTGTCTTAAATGTTCGTGAAGCTACACATTGTCTTTATTTATCACACTTAGTAGAAATATTTGTCTATTTTACTCCAGAAATATTAATGTGTTTCATTATGAGTTGCTATCCCATACCCAACTGAATCTAATAATTGCCATATGTACTAAATCACTTTCTGAAATCCAAACATTCTGAATTTTGAAGACAGGGACTCTGAAAATACTGTGAAACTGCAATGACAATAGCAGCTAACGATGATGTAATGCCATTTTCGTTTCCAAAAGGCTTTCCTGTACATGATCTCACTTGAGCCTCACCAAAAATTCTGTAGTGGGTATTATCCTTATTTCACCAGTAAGAACACTGAGTTTTAAAGAGGTTAAGTGACTTTTCCAAAAGGAATGAAGTGTTAGAACTGAGAGGTTAGATCTCATGTCTTCTAGCTCCAAATCCTAGTGGATAGCACAGTGTTTATTTGCTAAACACACATAACAAATTTTATGAAATAACACCCATGCAAAGTTTAACCAAAACAGTATCTCTGTGATACCAGAAAAATTAGGCAATTCATTGAGAGAGAGAAAGAGAAAGAGAGAGAAATAGATTTAGTCAGCTGTTCCCACAGCTACAGAACCAATCTTTCATATAAATCCACTTTCTCTGGCATTTGAGGAGGATCCAGGATCCAGGGAGTTCCTGTGCATAAGGAATGTACTATGCATAAGAGTATCAATTACCAGCTAAAATTTTTTTTTTTCAGGAAATAATTCTGTAAAGCCAGACTGCTGAAACTAATCTTGTCATATTAAGGTAGGTAGGCAAAGCAATGTTTAAAAAATTTCCCAACTTATATTAGTTATAGGGTGTCAAGATAGTAATTCTTACAAAGAAAACCAAGCTTTTTTCCTTCTGTGGGTCTTATAATTTTATTATTTGTAGAGGCCCTACCACCCCGACATAGGCTCATTTCTTCTCTCCCTTCGGGCTGTTATGCCAGGACAGGAAGCATTTTGTGACGCGCAGGATAGATTTCCAGAACTCCCCGATGCTTCTAAATCTCCTATTTTGGCTGGGGTAAATTACCCAGCACAATTTGTAATATCAGACAGCAGTGTGAGGAGAGGCTAAATGTCGGGGCCGGGGAAGCAGAATGATGAGGGACAAATGTGATTGCCGAAAGCAGGGCTGAAGATGATCTCATTAATCTTTCATTATTCGGGCACTGGTTTCCAAGACAGACAACAGGGACACAAATAGAAGAGGTATGCTCTGGACGACTTATGGGACCAAACATTCCCACACTGACCTAACTGGAGTGCCACATGGCTCTGCTAATACTAGTATTTAAAGGATTCTGATGTGCTTGATGTTGCCTCAAAGATCTCATTATGTGAGTAAAGGTGAGCATTTCTTAAATCTCCATGGAAAATACTCTTAGTTCATGGGTCATCAGTGAGTTTGGGGATTTTGATTTTTAAAACAAATCAACACTGTTTCAGATCATGACAAATAAGAGTAACTTGTGGGAGCATGGTATTTCCTATTATTTTTTTCTGCCGGTTACTAAATCTATACCCCAAGGGTTCAATGCCAGAATTCCTTTTCACAGCCCATCTGCATCGGAATAAACAATTTCCCATGAAATCAGCTTAGGTCACAATCGAATTTTTATCGTTTTACTTATCTTTTGTGACTGTTTCTGAAAATAATCCATTCTAATCCTGGATTTACAGAAGAAATTATTTATTTACATATTTATTAAGATGGTGCAATGGAATAGGCATTGAGGTAGAGTAGTTAACGTCTAGCGGGAAAATATAATCAATAGAAAAGTACAGTACAATGTGATTATGCCTATGGTTGACAAATGAAGACAGATGAAACTATGGCGTCATAGGAGAATGCATGCTAGGGGAGTGATGGAAGGCTTCTTGGAGGAGGTGTTGCTGAGATTGATTCCTGACAGAGTAGGAGTTTTCCATATGCATAATTCAGGGAAAGCTTTTTCTAGGAGAAGAAATATCATACAAATGGCACATATACACGGAGTATTCTCATAGATAGAATATTTCATCCTGAATCCACTAAAACATGTATGGTAGTTTTCATGTTCTGTCATAGTTAAAGGTATATAAAGTAGATTCCCATATTAAACTTATTTGAGTGCATAAATGACACAAGAATCAGATTTTCTGTTGTGAGAATTGTGTGATTATTCATTTAGAATATCATATGATAATATCTCATATTACATTCTAATATGTATATATTTATTTTAATTGGCTCCTCTGCATGCTACAATACACTGAAAACATCTGTTCATAACAATGTCAATAAATTAAATTATAGAATTCTGAAGTGCCTTCTGATGTACAGGGAATAATTTAAATTACGCCATTGTGGCTTTACTGTTGTAAATTTTCCAATACTTTTCCATCGTTTTTTCTTTAAAAAGATTCTAGGTTTTGACAGAATTTATGTGTTTCAAAAAGACAAAGACCATGTCTTCTCAAACTTGACTCTGTATTTATGCATTATGTTGAGTAATTTCTCCAAGTATGCTTGTTGAATTGTATTTAGTGCTGTAATCTTCTGTTTATCCAGATTAAACCACAAAAATTATTTTCCAACTCTGCTGGGGAATCTAGTTTTATATAATCAGTTGTGGCCATTAACTTCATTAAACTTAACACAAATTTAAACTCCCATTTTGAAATAATTTTTGTTTGCAAAAACAGTACAAAGAATTCCCATATACCTTCTCCACAGCTTTCCAAAATGGTGAAATCTTTACATAACTACAGTTATGATGATCCAAACTGGGAAATTAACAATGATTCAATACTATTAAGTAATCAACAGAGCTGTGAAAATTTCACCAATTGTCCACAAATGTTGTTTGTTTCTGGTCCAGAATTCAATCCATAATCCATTGCATTTAGTCATCATCCTTAGTCTCCTCTAAGATGGGATGGTCCTTTGTCTTTCATGACCTTATCCTTTTGAAGAGGCTAGACAGTTACTTTGTAGAATGACCTTATTGTATGTTTGTCTGATGCTTCCTCGTAAATAAATTCAGGTTTGCATTTTTGGCAAGAGGACCACAGAGGTGTTATTTCCTTCTCAATGCATCGTATCTGGAAGCACGTGGTGTTGCTATGTCTCATTACTGGCCTTGTTAACCTTGATCACCTTGAAGTCTGGCTGCAAGAGACCAAGCTTGAGATTAGTCTGCTTTATTGCAACTAGACTGAGTTCATGTACTAATCTCACATTCAAATTTTAATTTGGGTAACAGTTGTTGTTGAGCTCACAGTGTTTGAATTCCTGTTGAAAGAGACAGGATTGTTATTAATGTTTGCATTTCATGAAAACCAAATCAGAAGTCTGAAGTTTTTGTATAAGTTCAAGGATTCAGCACATACAAGTTCTATCTCTCTCTTTAGTTTCCTTCCCTCTCTTGCCGCCCTTGGGCAAAACCGAAAAAGCAAACAGGACTCTGCTACCCTAGTCTATCCTGTACTATGAATGAAGCAGCATTGATCATATTTTCCCAAGAAAACTTCAATGTATAATTGCAGTTCTCCCATTTTCAGTCTCCTAGCAAAATAGCCAAACAAATCCCTTTCTTTCTCTAAGGGAGTGACTTATTGGCTCTAGCTTTCCTATTATTGTTAAGGAATATTATAAGGTTGATTTATGTAGAAAGGAAAGACCAACAGCCTAGTTCTTAATAATAGGAAAGCAGGAGAGATTAAAAACAAAAAGAGTTTAAGAAAAAATTTCCAAGAATGTTTAATTGCGTATGTCCATGTGTGGGGAAGATCAGTGAAACAAAACTCACCCCTATCAAAATCAGGAATTCAGTTGGAAATAGAAGGAAGCCCCAACTTCATGCAATTAGGAAAGAGATTGATGTGGAAGCACATGGAGACATTAAACTGCCCAGGTCCGTCATCACATGATACTAGGGAACCGGCAAGTTGTTATTCTACTTGGGTGATCCTAAGTTGAGTTGACGAGATTATTTTAGTAAGACGGAATGACCACTCTATCCATTTTTTGTCATTAAAAGTAGAGAATGCTATTGTGATGCTGCAATCCAAGTACTGTGTATCATTAAGTCAGAATGTATTTTAAAAAAATGTGGTTCAGTGTGTTAACAGATTCAATCAAGATTTACCCCTGAGGATAAGTGGTAAGCATGTATTTGGATCATGAATGTATGATATCTATAGTTTCTCTATTTTGGAGGAGCTGCCTGGGAAATCAGAGGGGAGAAACCCCTTTTTCAGTTACTCTAGGATTCAGATGATTTAGCTGAGAATTTTCATCCCAGCATCACCATATGGAAAAGAACTGGTCACTCATTCCCGAGGTCTGGGCCAGGGTGGAGGAACAGTGGAAGTCCTTGGATCCCTCAACATTCAGATATCTGGGTGACAAAAAGAGAGAAGTTGAGTCCAAAATGGACTATCTATGAATCTCAGCTGTTTTCAGTGTTCTCTTTTAATCTGCCAGTCTCAGCATTTTATCTCAATATCAACAGAGAATGTTCATTTGACAAAGTACATTCATAACTTCTCTAGATTCCATCTTTCTGGACAATGCCATTCAATTATTAACCTGTCTTTTTAAAAATGATGCCATAGCATTAAATTCATGAGCTGCTTTCCAAGCTTTGTTTCCTAAGATGTTCTTAAATAACAAAACATCCTCTGTAGTTATTTAATACTTCCAAAAAGGCGTACATTTTAAAGCTACTTCATGATTAACCATTGAAATGTTTAAGCCTAGGAATTTAGCAGGTCTGCAAAAACCTAACACCTTCTAAATCTGACTTCCATTTGAAAAACTAGAGGGGCATTTAACTCCTATTATAACTGCCTTTGGCTTAAAGGATCATATTGAATACCAAAGAGAAGTAAATAGATTGGATAAAAGGAATTTCTGTGGCTGGCTGCTTTGGTTTGTTCTGTGTAAAACACACCTTTTAATTTAAATTAGGCAAATGGCAGAATTTCCTGCCTAATAAGACTGCCCTGACTAGGGGTTTGGATGTGTCACCTCCACTCTTAATCAGGTAATCATAATTAAGGTGAATGAACCAGCCAGGGAAGTGGAAAGCAAGTCAAAAAGTGTATTGAACAAAAAAGACCTCCAACAAGCAGACCACCAGGGCACAATCAGGAGGAAACATCTACAGCTCCAACACATGACTTGGGAAAAGCCACTAGACACCAACAATGTGACTGTTGAATTATAGTTCACAGCAAGTTTGAATCCAGACTGTCTAGATTGCCTAACTGGTTCTACATTAATTGTGTCCACTGTCTTGCTACAGCCCCCAAACCCTAATATGTGTCTTTTTCTCTCTCTCTTTCTGTCCATTAAAATAATCCATGATCAATTTGAATTCCATTTGGCCTTATATTTGCTTGTTGCCTCTTTCTGTTCTGACTCTAGAATTCTTTCAACGGTATTGGGATTTACTTGCTTTAGGGCAAAAAGAATCTTTTGAATCCCTAACTATACCACTTTAGATGCATTGTAGACTCCATATCAGCTAGAAATAATTGCTAAAGGGCCCTTTAAAGTTTTGTTTTTACAAAGTGTTAATATTGTTAAATGTCTTTTTCTTTAAGGAAGATTTCTGAGGAAAATTTCTAGACCAAGCCACAGTAAGATCTGAACTTTGATTGAATGTAAAAAGTACGGCAGTTACTATAGGTATTAATATTAGGAAGGCCAAAGTCAAGTTTATTTCTTGTTATTGTTTTAATGGTGGAAAGACCAAAGCAAGAGAATCATGAAATTAATTCAAATGAGGCATGGAAGTAAAATTTGGGGTCCTAGTGGTTCAAGAAAATGAAGAGCAGCAAACAGATTCCAGATCAGTGACTATTAGACATTTGAATGATAACTCACAACTATTCCCAGTCCTCATTTTCCCAAAATTCTGATTCAGTAAGACAAGGGTGGCCACAAAGATGTGCAAGTTTTAAAGAGCCCAAAATGTTGGGATTACGGGCATGAGCCACTGCGTCCAGTCTAGATTTAATTTCAATATAGTATTCAGGGAAAGTTAGCAAAGGATATGTCAATGAGGTAGGGATGAATACAAATTATCATCATAAGCTGTGGTTAAAAGCAGTTATACATTGCTGTTGAAGATAATGGACACATTGTTTATTTATTAGCTGTCAGTTAAAGGTCATTGACATTCAACACATTAGCATGTTATTAAGTGATATGTATTATATATATTTAATTTTATTTTTTATTGTAGTAAGTATATACAACATAAAATTTACCATTTTAGCCATTTTTAATGTATAGTTCAGTGGCATTAAATATTTTAACTTTGTTTTACAACATTTACCATATATGAACATTTTCATTAACCCATACTGAAACTGTGTAACTATTAAACAATAACTTCTCATTGCCCCCCTGTTATATTTTCTGTCTCTGTGAATCTGACTGTTCTAGGTACCTCTATAAATTGAATCAAATAATATATGTCCTTTTGTGTGGCTTATTTCACTTAGTGTAATGTCACTAAGATTCATCCATGTTGTAGCATGTATCAGAATTTCATTTCTTTTTAAGGCAGAATAATATTCCATTGTTTGTAGACACTATATTTTGTTTATTCATCATTCATTGATGGAAATTTGGGTTTTTCCCCTCTTTTGGCTATTATGAATAATTCTGCTATGAACACCCATGTTCAAAGTCTGCAAATGTAAGGTTTTCACTTGGTAAATATCCAACTTTGTATTTCAGAAAGATCTTAAGTGTCATTGGCATAAAAAAATCTTATAACTTTGTAAAATAATTTTACCTCAAAAAAAGTAAAATCAATGTAGATAGAAGTTTTAAAGAAGCAAATTTTGAAAGCTTATAGACTCTAAAACACATGAGTAGCCTTTTAAATGTCTGATGTGTAAATGGCACCGTGTTATGTGTTATATATCAGTGTTCCCAGTGTGTGATACCACCTATGGTATTCAAAAGAAGTGCAGGTGGTATCTGAACCAACATATTTTACTTCCATGGTTATAGATGCATTTTTTTATGCATTGAGAAAACATGGTAACCAGCATATCAAATATGAGAGAATCTTAATGCAGTGTTAAATGAAAAATAAAAACAAAAAACAGAGAATTTAAAACATAGATTTAGTAAAAAAAAAATAAGTAGTAAGTGAATATGGCAGAAACTGTAAAGGCAATTCATAAATGACTGAATTTGGGGAATGTATCATGTATTCAGGAATAAAGAAGCAAAAAAATAAACCCATTCCTAGGAAGAAAGGTATAAGTTAGTCATTTAAGTTTCCATTTATACAGAGAGAAATGACAGAATAACGGGCCATAACACAGTGGTAAGAGAGAGCTAATGTAGTACTTATATATGCTTGTGCATAAAAGAGAGGTATAAAAAAAATTGGACTGGGGTTTGAGCCAAGAAATGAGAGGTGATAGAAATTTTTACCTCATTGTTTTCAGTGCTGATGTCAGATTCCCTTTCTGCCAGAATAGCTTAAAGGGAATGATACGATTTTCACATTGAATCTTTTCAGCAGCTCCACCTGGTTTTCTTGCCGATTGTCAGGCTCAAACCCCAAACGTCACACTCAACCACCTGTTAAACTGCATTTGTCAAACCTGTAGGAAAGGTATGCTAGCAGAGCATTATCACAGCAGAATATTTTCATTTTTTTCTATTTCAAAACTGTTTTTATGTGACACTCAAAGTCTGGAGGAGAAGCGTAAAACCCAGTTCAAAATATTTGATTTCTTTTTTTCCTCCATAGAAGGCAAAAGAGATAGGTTCTAGTTAGGTACTCACCTATATCTCCAAAGAAACTAATGAATCGAATAGCTTATTTTTGCATATGCTGATGTTTGGCCAGATCTTGTGGCTTATCCATGATAGACTGTCTTTATTATTTAATATAATTTTCTCTGTAACATAGCAAGAATCAACATGGTGAATGATAAGAAATAAGACATTTTAATGGGAAATAAAATCAGAAGAACTGGATCTAATAATGTTCCTGTTATTAATTAGCCAAGGCATTTTGAATAGCTCATTTGTCTCTTAACTTAATTTTTTTAGTTCTAAAGTGACTGTAGTAATTTTTTTTTTCAAGTTGCATGAGTCAGGAGAGGCTAGGCTATGCCACAGTAACAAGCAATACCCACAGTTCCATGACCTCTCATAGGAAAAGTTTATTTCTTACTTACGTAAGGTGTTCAGAGATGACTGTTCATTTAAATTGACTTCTGAATGTTTCTGTGGCATTCCAAATGGCTTGACTCTGATAGCGCCTCTGTGGCCACATGTGCTGCCATAATCCCCAAAGTGATGGAAAAGCATCAAGTCACATACCAGCTATAAAATTTCTACTGATAGTTACATATGTCACTCTTTTCTGCTCACATCTAATTGGGCAAAAAATGTCACACAGCTATTCCTAAATTTAAAGGGTCACCTTACTATGTTCCTGGATGGGAAGAGAACTGGAAATAATATGAATTCTGGTAAGGCCTACAAAACCAGTTATTTTTAGGAAAAAAAAAATTTAAGGGTCAGTTTCTTATATCATGACGCCATATGCTGACCATGTTATACTTGTGAATATTTGAGCTGAGAGCATCACATAAGCATGTTTGAATGAATTTCAAGTCAGCATTTCTTAATTATCTGCCCCTAAAAATTTAGGAATTAGCCAAATGGACAACTCCGTGGATAAGCATTTCAAGGCAATAGGGTCATTTTCACTTGGCATTAATTTGAATTCACATTTCATGGATTAGTGCATTCTTGTACAGCTATGAAGAAATACCCGAGACTGGGTAATTTATAAAGAAAAGAGGTTTAATTGACTCACAGTTCTCCATTGCTAGAGAGGTCTCAGGAAACGTACAATCATGGTGGAAGGCAAAGGAGAGACAGGCACCTTCTTCACAGGGTGGCAGGATGGAGTGAGTGCAAGCAGGGGAAATGCCAGACATTTATAAATCCATCAGATTCTGTGAGACTCACTCATTATCACTAGAACAGCATAAGGGAAACCACCCCCCATAATCCAATTACTTCCCACCAGGTCCCTCCCATGACATGTGGGAATTGTGGGAACTACAATTCAAGATGATATTTGGGTGGGGACACAGCCACAGCCAAACCGTATCAAGCTCTTACTGTAGAACTAATGTTTGATAGAATACTAGAAGGAAGCCATAGTGGAGTCAAAATGCTTAGATTAAAATCTTGCCACTAAAGTCTTCATCTCGAGAGTTCCCCTAGCTGTAAAATGGAAATGTTGTTATAATAGTATCTGTCTCATAAAGTTATTGTATTATATTAATTAATACATGTAAATAATTAGAATGGTGCATAGCACATGGGGCACCTAGTAAGTGCCAGCTATGAATTTGGTAAACTCCGTTTGGGCTTTTGAAGTTACCCACAATTGACTTACTTGTTTTCATTCTGTCTCTCTTATTACATATCTGTGTGTGTGTGTGTGTGTGTGTATATATAGTTATATTTATGTAAAGAGATAGTGAGCATATGTAGTTATACATATGTATGCATGTATATTTATCTATCTAGCCAGCTATCTATCTACTCTATCTTAATAAACCTTAATTCCCAACATATAACAAAATATTTCCAAAGCAAAACTCTAACCCAGAATCAGTCCTATTCTTTGGGGCTGAAAGTATAGTTTGTTACAGAGTTGTTCCTTATATTTTCCTGAATAAAATTATGTCCTTCTGCCAAGGAACACTGTGTCTACATAGGCCATATAAATTAGAGATAGCATTTTATAGGACGAACCTAACTTTATCTCAGCACTCCTATTTGGCATACTACAAAAAACTCCTTAAATATTTTGCTGAAACATGGAAAAAGAATTTCTGTTGAGACTCATATTTTTTTTGTAACCAGAATGCAAGTTTCTGACTGTATTTGCCTAATACATAGTCAGATTGCTTGATACACATGGTTGATTCAGATTTTGCTTCTAAGATAGATGCTATATAACAGTCTTATTAAAATCCATACATTTTGTAGTGAAATTGAAAGAAATATTCCACATTACTCATGCATAGTTGCTATTGTTCGTATGTTTTCTTAGAATAATAATGGTGGGAAATGGCACAGAAGGAAAAATGCAAACTTATTTTGCTTTATTTTAATAAAAATGATCTTTATTGTTAAAAAATACATCATCACTCTAATGCATATTGTCAAAAAAAAAAAACCAAAAAAGAAATTTATTGGCTTACATAATTATACCATTCAAGCTGTGAAATTTGCTTTAGGTACCTCTATATGCAGAGCCTTAAATTGCTGGCTATCAGCAAGGGAGATGCCACCCTCCAGTGTGCATTTTGAATATTTATGGGGTTTATTTTTAGTTATCACAACATTGGGGGGGTGGCCACTACTAAGTTTTGTGAGTAGGGCCACAAAGTTTAGACATCCTGCAATGATTGGGATTGTTCTGCAAAAACGTATTATCTATATCCTGAGAGCTCTTAAATGCCCTTAGTGCAACCCAAATGCATTGTTTATACCTAAATTTAGAAATTAAAACTCCATTTTTACATGCATATTCAAAGAGAACGGGTTTTTGCATATTATTACAGCAAACTGAGTAAGCAAAAAATGCAAATATTGTATAAATCAAGAGAGGGTTGTTGTGTTTGACACTTTACCAAGAATTATATACTACTTTGAATCTTCCATTGTATGAGGCCACACCTTTCATAAAATTTGAGTCTGGATCATTCTCAAGTTGTAGATTTTGCATTCACATTTGTAACAGTGTATCTGATACTCCTTTTCACAGCCAGAGATGAAAATGTTATCAGAATTAGTGGAGACATGTGAAATGTAGACATCGCATTAAATTGTATTAGTAAGAATTCTCTAAAAATAATTCATGTTCTTAACTTTCTATTTCTGAGTTTCTCTGTAGCACAATGAAAAACCTATATGCTGAGAAAACATATTGAGGTTAATTTCTATTTTTGTGTTTCCTGTATTTAAAACCTGTTTTCGTGATGTTCCAGAAATTGGAATCACCATTTCTCAATAGTCTTTTATTTCTGGTTTTTTTTTTCCCTGATATGTCCTATTTCTCCTGTCTTGTATTGATCAGTATAGTCTCCAAGGTCTTTTTACGTAACAGGAGTACTTTATATACCTCAACATATGGTGAGGTTTTAAAACAGGAGATATATTTTGTTATTCTTTGATGCAATCTGACCCCAGGTCATTATATTATAGAATGGAAATCAAGTCTATAGACACTAGAATCAGAATGCCAGGGTTCAAATTTTGGCTTTTCTGTTTGCTAACTGTATATTTTTGGGTAAGTAACTTAACCCCTTTTTGTCTCAGTTTCCTCTGTAAAATAACGTTTCCAGACCCATGGGGTAATTCATAAGATAAGTGACTGAATTAATAACATTGAAAAAGCATAGAACTGTGCCAGACACACAGACAGCACTATATAAATGTTTGACAAATAAAATAGAGAAAATTTTAAACTATACTTATAAATAAGGTATCGCTCATATGTAAGTATTTCAACTCCTCATTTTCTCTACTTTGGCTGTCTGTAATGGTTCGTGGTGTTTTATACCTATATTGACTAATACCATTTTCCTCTTTCTCTTATCACTCACAGATAAAGTTGTTCTGTTATTTATTTATCTTCATAATGGGTTTAATTCCAATATTTTCCTATATCTCTGCTTTCATTTTCCTGTAAAACTTGTGCAGAATTGCTTCTGATGATCTTCCTTCTTTTATTCTTGACTTAACTCTTTAAAATTAGTAAAAATAATCTGATGACTTTATTATGTCTCCTAGTACAGTCAGCTTGCACAGTTACAAATTGAAATGGATTTTTTCATCATAAGTTGTTTTATTGTTATTCTATGTAACAGGGCCTTATATTGACTTTTAAGAATGTTATTGTATAAGTGTTATACATGAATTTTATTTCAGAATAGCAAATGAAATGTTAGAATATCATTATTAAAAGGTTTTTTATTAGCTTAAGAAGTATTAGTGAGAAGATGATCTCCATCAAGATGTCTCTTTCCTGAGCGCCTAGCCTTTCAGAATTTCACTTGTGGATCAGTTTGAGATATTATGCCAATCTTCTCAGGGTTAAGTGACTGTTTTATGACCGTCCATCTAACAATACTAAAAGAAGAAACAAGAAACCAGGTTTTATGACTTCTAGTAAACTCAATAAAACTGTGATTAAAGACAATGACCATATTCAGTTTAGTCACTTAATATCTTATATTCACTTACTGAATTAAAAATGAAGAGTTAAGAGAAAGTAATCAATAATATTTTGTGTTAAATTAATTCTTACTATCTTAAGCTCTAAGACAAAACTTAGTGCTTTTGCAACTTTTCTGATGATTCCTTTCATCCCAAAAGTAGCAAGGCACTTTGTCTCAGTTAATTCTACAGTCCATTTTGAGTTCTGCCTTGGAGGCCTTAAGACTTTACACACCTTAAACAATAATTGGAATCATGAATCATTTTTATCTCCAAGTCAATAAAAGACCCATCTTTGTAATGTGTTGAGGAAAAAACAAAATCCCAAACCAAAACTCCAAATTACTCTGTCTTTAGGATTAAGCAGCCTTGAGTATTATTTCCTTTGCTACTTCAACTCAAAGAATGTTGATTCAAAAGCAGTTTTAGCAAGACCTAAATGAAATTTTAAAGCATTTTTTAAACAGCTTTTATTCTCCGGAGTCTTAATAATAAAATGAGCCCAGTTCCTGGAAAATCTTTTCAGAATTGTGGTTGAGAAATGATGTGCAGTGACTAGTGTGTGTAATATTTGAGTCTGTGGAATATTAACTTAATGAAGGATTGGTTGCTTATTGCAAATTCGGTCGGAAATTTGGCACTGCTAACTCTGGTACAGTCATTCTCTCTGTTCATCATCTTGTAGTTGCATTGCCTATTAAAAGGGTCACAAGAGCAGCGCGCTATAACTTGGGCTTTCTTGCAGCTGCAGTTCTACCTAATTTGTACTTTGGCACTCGAAAGATTATAATAAATGAAGTGCTGCCTTCAAAGTTTCAGACACACCAGTTTTTTCACCTGTTTGGCAAAGGTGGATTTAATTTGACTTTCACGAGTGCAAAATCCGTCTCCTTAGAAGTTCGTCAAACTATTAATTTTATGGCAAGGACAACTGAGTACAGTAAACCTTTTCACAAAGCCAGACAGCTTAACCTAATTAAGTGCTTGTTTTGACAGGTGGTTTAAAGTAGAATGAATGCCATCAAGAATGTTTCAAGAAATGAGTCTGATGAATGTGCGAGTGTGGGCATGCAGGTGAAAATGTGTTTTGGAAGGATATGATGACAGGTCTGTGTCCAAAAAGTGGAAGGTATACATCAAGCTTCATCTGTGCACTCGTTTGGTAATTTCTGTCTCTTCTATAGAGATTTTAAGAAGATGGACAGCATCAAGTCCATATGAAAATCTAAAGATACTGGCCGGGCACGGTGGCTCACGCCTGTAATCCCAGCACTTTGGGAAGCCAAGGCGGGTGGGTCACCTGAGGTCAGAAGTTCGAGACCAGCCTGGCCAACATGGCGAAACCCCACCTCTACTAAAAATACAAAAATTAGCCGGGCATGGTGGTGGGTGCCTGTAATCCCAGCTACTCGGGAGGCTGAGGCAGGAGAATTGCTTGAACCCGGGAGGCGGAGGTTGCAGTGAGCCAAGATCCGCCACTGCACTCCAGCCTGGGCGACACAGCGAGACTCTGCCTCAAAAAAAAAAAAAAAAAAAAAAAAAAAAAAAATCTAAAGATACTGAGAAATAACATTGACCATTATTAAAACAACTTGCAAAGTAACTTGTTTGCCTCTGAGCAGAATTCAAGTATCCCTTTAAGAGACTGGAGGTGGGTTACAAAGGAAATTTCAACTTTGAATTTGATATTTCTGAATATACATAAAATTTCTCAGCCTTTTTTCTGTATGGGGTGCTTAAATTTTAAGACTGGAGACAAAGTAGAAATATCATTAGCCAGTCCTACGACTATTTTTCAGGCAGCTTCTTGTATCCTTTCATGCACATTTCAGGAAAAAAAAAGAAATTGATCAATCTTCCAGACTGGGATTCAAAAAGATGTTTTTTAAAGAGGAGTCTATAGAATTTGTTCTGATGTGGTATTTCACTGTGTGTGCAATAAGGGTTGGTGTTCAGAACGTGGATTCTTGATAGATTTCCAGCTCTCTATCTCTGTTTCTTTTCCCCATCAAGGTTCTGGGTCCTGGATAGCAAAATGAAACCAAATCAATATAGGAGCCCTATAGTCATTTGATAGTGATGTAATACTTTTGTCTAAAAAGTGTTGATTTCTTTAGAGTAAACTTAACACATTGATAGTGTCAAGACTTTCAGAAAGACCTATCTCAGACATCATATTCCTCATCAAATTATTAATTTATCTCTCTGATGACAGGAAATAACCTCCTAAAATAATTCATATAAATTTCCATTTTAATTTTTTTTCAGTGCTTGCAAAAATTAAAAACCCAAAACTGTCAATAGCTGAAGTGATATCATTGCTGATGGTGAAAAAAGTAATTTAAAAAAAACTTAATTTGCCTGAAGTCATATATTCATTAATTCTTAGAGCTCCAATTCAATCCAAATCCTTAAAATTCGAGGAATATTCTCTTAAACATTATGATTCCCCAGATAGTGAATTTGTAAAATTTTTTTATCATTCTGATGTATTTAAGTGATTTAAGATAAAATCAATTCAAAACCTAGTATTTTCCCATTCAAAATGTCTTTAGGCTTATATGGAGCTAGTCTAAATTCTAAAACATAGCCTCTACCAGCTTATCATTATGAGGACCAAGAAATAAGATGAAAATCTTAATTCAACTAAACTGATAAACAGACAAACTAATGCCAGAACCATGAAAACTTTTTTAGAAATTTTAAGGTAACTGGAACTAGGAAAACGAACAAACAAACAAAAACTTACCTGAGCTTGGACCCGGCTTTGACTTAGCTTTTGGTGAGACAGGTGTCACCTCAGAAAAAGGTAGAAAATGCACACTTTTCTCATCATATCAATATGAGCACTGACTCATGATCTGGGCACCACTCACAAGATCCAGGGCCACTTTTTCTCATTACACCTTGGATATTGGTCTGTGAGCTGGCCTGCAACAAACCTACCTGAATGCTCAGGAAACAGTTACTAACATGAATGGAGTTTTGGAAACCATATAAAATAATGGAACGGAAATAGAGTGAAATCACGAGTTTTGCATGCATTCAAAAAGTTATAGATTTCATGTATAAAGAACAACTGTTGAGAGTTAAGATGATCAAAAGAAAGAAACTTGATAGCAGGTAACTTAGAAATTATATTTAAAAATTAAGTCTAACAGCCAGGAATATCAGAAAAACAGTGTAGTTGAAACAGGAAAAATAGGCGACTTCAAGAGAGCAGAGCTTGCTTGGATCAAAACTTAGGAAGAATAGTTTGTCCATTATCTTCTCTCTAAATGTGAATGTGAAAATTGATTGCATTTTTTTTCTATAGGCTCTTGTTACATAATTACTGTAGGATATTTGAGCCAATACTTTATATCTAAAAATTGATATAAGGATACAGTTTTTAAAAAATGTATGCACTCAGACACATGTAGAAGTATCTTTATTTCAGTATTGCTTTTTTAGTAGTTAATAATATTGTCATTCAATTTTGGTGCATCCACATATCTAACAATGGACTATTGTGAATACTATAAATTCACCAGGACAGATACGATCGATAAATTTTTATTGATGTGGAAATATTCTCATCATTTACAAAAAATACAGGTTAAAAAATAAAAATCGTTTCTATATATTTTTGCTTATCTGTAACATATTTTTCCACTACTTATATATATATAAGTGGTGTGTGTGTGTGTGTGTGTGTGTAAATGAACACTAGTTAAAGTACTGCCCTAAGCATTTGTTAAACATCCACTAGAAGCTGAATTGGAGAATATCGTTTCAAGAAATGTTGCAATTATAACTGGGTGTAGAAGGATTAGCAATATTTCAACAAATGGAGAGGAATGGAAACAAAATCCTGGAAGCACAGTGAGGCATGCTTGGTGGATCACTTACATTGGATGAAAAACATGAGAGAAAGCTGATTTAGGGTAATTTTAGACAACTCTTGTTTCTGTATTCACCATGAGCAACCTGCCATTATCCAAAGACTTGGTCATCTGAAGTGAAAAATCTCTTCTTTTCCTCCTCACTGAGACCCACTTGGCTCTTTTAGAAACATGGCTTTTTGGTGATTGATTCAATAAGATTTTGTGATAGTTCCTGCCAGAGCTCCCATTTGACATTGCATAAATGCCTCTCAAATCTGAGCAGGACACAGCCGGTGCCTGGGATAGCTCGTAACGGATTGTCTCCATCTTTGTAAAGAACCCTATTCAGGCTGCATCGAGGCCACCCCAGACTAGCATTTCCTGACTTCCAACATTCTACTGAGAGTGCTGATGCCAGGTTATCTAGGGAACAGAAACTGGGCCTGTGGCCATATATATATATATATAATATATATAAATGTAATATATTTATTTATATATAAAAATTATATATATATATATATAGAGAGAGAGACAGTCTTGCTCTGTTGCCCAGGCTGGAGTGCAGTGGCATGATCTTGGCTCACTGCAACCTCTACTTCCTGGGTTCAAGCCATTCTCCTGCCTCAGCCTCCCCAGTAGTTGGGATTATAGGTGCCCACCACCACACCTGGCTAGTTTTTGTATTTTAGTAGAGATGAAGTTTCACCACGTTGGCCAGGCTAGTCTCGAACTCCTGACCCCAAGTGATCCACCTGCCTAGGTCTCCCAAAGTGTTGGGATTATAGGCGTGAGCCACCGTGCCCAGCCTTGTATATTTTTTTCCTAGTTAGATTACTTACTATGGGAGTTTCTGGATTAACCATTCTTACAAGTGGGATCTCCTTCACAGGCACAAAAAAAGGTTCTATTACATATCCTCTTCCTCAAAACTAAAAAGAGTTAAGACCTTAAAAAGTGTGAGATCAAAAGCTTTTTTTTTTGTCTGTTTGACTGAGTTTTATAAGAAGCATTAAATTTAAAGAAATTGAGAGTCTTATAGATGACAAGAAAATAATCCATGGGTTGGATTTTTCTCACAATGTGGAGATCAACTTCAAGAGGAGATGTATTAAGTAAAATCTGATTTAGGATTAAAATTAAGATTTAAGTAAAGCTAGTAAATATGTTTTACACACACCCACACCCACACAATGCATTAGCATTTTTATGTAATTTTCTGTAAAGGGGCCATTCATAGGTTTACTGAGTAATACTGGTATGATCATTTATGTACACATTGTTGTATAGATGTATGTTTTCATTTTTCTTGGATATATATTTAGGAGTGTAATTTCTAGATCATATAATAATTCTATATATAACTTCTGAGAAACCACCAGACTCTGTCAAAGTGGCTGCACAGTTTTGCAGTGCCACCAGCAATGTATGAGACTTTCAGTCTCTCCGTCCTCACCAATATTTTTTATTATTTATCTTTTTTGATTGCAATCACCTTAGTGGGTATAAAATGGTTCCCCTTTGTGGTTTTGATTTGCGTTTCCCTGATGGCTCATGATGGTGAGCACATTTTCATGTGTATTGGCCATTTGTATATCTTCTTTGAAGAAGCGTTCATTTAATTCTTTGCCTAGTTTAAATGGAGTTTTTATTTGCTTTTTATTATTTAGCTGCAAGAGCTCTTTATATATTCTTAATACAAGTTCTCTATGAGATATATGATTTGCAATTATTTTCTCCCATTATAAGGATCTTTTCACCTTCTTGATGGTTCTTTTAAGCATTCGGTTCTTAAATTTTGAGAAAGTTCCATTTTATCTGCTTTTCCTTCGGTTGCTTGTACATTTGGTGCCGTATCTAAAAAGTCTACTGACTCAAGGTGAAGAAAATTTACTATGTTTTATTGTAAGACTTTTATCATTTTTGCTGTTAGATTTTAGGTCTATAATTCATTTTGAATTAATTTTTGTCTATAGCATGAGGAAGGGATCCCAATTTATTCTGTTGTATATGGCTATCTAGTTGTCCCAGTACCATTTGTTGAAAGACTATTCTTTCCAAATTTAATCGACACCCTTGCTGAAGACTGATTATCTTTTGAAGATGATTTTATTATATCTATATTAGCTGTCCTGAAAAATAATTTCAGGCCAGGCACAGTGGCTCAAGCCTGTAATCCCAGCACTTTGGGAGGCAGAGGAGGGCAGATCACTTGAGGTCGGGAGTTCAAGACCAGCCTGGCCAACATGGTGAAACCCTGTCTCTACTAAAAATACAAAAATCAGCTGGGCCTAGTGGTGGGTGCCTGTAATCCCAGCTACTTGGGAGGCTAAGGTAGGAGAATTTCTTGAATCTGGGAGGTGGAGGTTGCAGTGAACCAAGATCTTGCCACTGCACTCCAGCCTGGGTGACAGAGTGAGACTCTGTCTAAAAAAAAAAAAAAGAAAAAAAAATCAAATGTGCCACCTCTGTTAACTATGCAAATCCTAACCATTGAAAAGAAAGTGTTTTATTACTAATTGACAACTATAATTTATGGGCTAGTGATTATTTTATCTTCTTTGAAGTTAGAAATGCTATAGTATCAGTCAGAGATACTCTTTATATCTTCTCACTGAACACTTTGATCAAATTTAACAGCATGAAGAGCTTTCCTGTGTGGTTGTGTGTGTGTGTGTTAGTATGTATGAACTAACAATGTGTTAACTTTCTTTATTAGTACATAATAGTGGAGTCATGTCTAAAGTGAATTAAGTTCTACAATCAGTGAAGACGTTGAAAAAAAGGAAAAATTAACCTGTTAAATTGTCTAGGCATAACTTATTGGAATTTCAGCATCCAAGATTGGTTGATTGATCGATTTTTTAGCTTGCATTTAGAAGGAATTGGAATGGAGATTGAATGCCAATAAGTCTTTGTCACATTCATATTATTTTATTATTGAGAAGAATGGCCAAACATTACCTTTTCCCATCCATCTTTACGAAAGAACCCCTATCCAAAACTATTTTTACTAAAATAGATAGATAGAAAAATCTGGCCAAGAGGGAAAAAAAGGTCATTAAAATTACAGATTAGTTGGTAATTCTATGTACTATTAAGGTTCATGATATTTGTTCATAGAAGTTATATTTAGTCCTTCATTATAAATTATTTTCTCTTATTTCATGTATAGTTCTTAATTATCTAGCAGCAGCAAAATGTGGCTGAAATAAGTGTAAGAAAAAGAAGTCTTTACTAAGTAATACAAAGCCTCAAAAATTATAAAAGATCAGGATCCCTAAGATTATCATTGAAATATATTGCACTTCCAATGAAAGAAGGTGTATGTTTTGTTCAACACGCTTAGTTTACACTTAGTTTAAAAAACACAAGTAAATGTACTTCCTGTTTGAAGGACTTCCACAGAAATGATTCACATAAGATCTTGTTCTGCTTAGCCATCCAGTTGCCCAGCCCCACTGAATTTATATTTATAGCATCTCTCATATCTACTTTCTAATCCACTTGACAACCCCTATATGTTGCTGCTGGAAAATTACCACAGTCTTCTCTTCTTCTATTTTCATTTTATTCCTAATATGAACTCTCTAAAGTAAAATTCCATTCTGCTTTTCTGCTAAAATAATAAATAAACAAAAGCCCCCAAATCTCTCAATATTTTATTATAGTCCTAAGAACAGAGGTAAAAGATGTGCAAGTGTGGAGGAGGACGGTCTATTTCTTGGATATCAATTTCTGATTGAAGATGTTGATTAGATTGATATGTTGAATATATAATTCTGAAATATATTTAAATAGCCCCAAGGCTTCTATTGGACACTTCGTAAATAGAATGCCACACAGTGTATATGATGTTAGCCAATGTGTTAGTCAAGGTCTTATAACAAATAGATGCCAAGACTAGAATAAACACTCAAGACATTTGTTAAGGATATCACCTGTAAGTAAATAAAAAGAGGGAGCCAGGGCAGGGAAGGAAGGCTGTCAGACCATGATGGACGTGTCACCATTAGTAAAGGAGGAGATAGAATGAAAGCATCTTAGTCTGAAGTGCAGTTCCCAGAAAAAGTAAACAAGATTGTCGGGCAGGTCTCAAGCCAAGCTTGCTCCTGAGAGGAATACTGTGTTTCACAGGAATGGCCCCAGTGTGTATTGTAGGAATGGCCCCATCTTGGTGTCTCTACTGTGTTCAGTCACTGGCTAGGAGCAGCCTGAGGAATCATAGGCTTGGTGCCTGGTATTGAATTTTTTAGTACAGCAGCTGGATCCCCCCATAGCTAGGGATCTGAAAATGCACCGTCATGGTCAACACAGGTGTACAATGCACCCCAAAAAGAATAATTTCCATTTAGATCATGTTTTGGGGCTTGCAATGGCTTAGAAATATGGAAGAGGCTAGGCATGGTGGCTCATGCTTGTAATCCCAGAATTCTGGGAGGCCAAAGCGGGTAGATCACCCGAGGTCAGGAGTTTGAGACCAGCCTGACCAATATAGTGAAGCCTCATCCCTACTAAAAATGCAAAAATTAGCCAGACATGGTGACATGTGCCTGTAATCTCAGCTACTTGGGAGGCTGAGACAGGATAATTGCTTGAACCTGGGAGGTGGAGGTTGCAGTGAGCGGAGATTGCACCACTGCACTCCAGCCTGGGTGACAAAAAAAAAAAAAAAAATTCCCGTAGTGACAGTTTTTGTTTTACCTCTAGAAAATAAACTTCCGATTGAAATAATTAAAATAGACATTTTTCATATCACAATACTTCTGAGTAATGAAGTCCTCAGGGTCTTCCTGAGACAGAAGAGCAAGCTTTGATGCAACTGTTTCAAGGTGATTGTCCCCTTTGACATTTCCAACAGAGGTATACCTAAGTTCCAGCTCCTACGCACCTTCAGCAACACTTGGTAATGCCAGACTTAAATTTTAGCCAGCCTCATAGGTGTATAGTTGTAACTCATAGATCATGCCTTTGATGTCGTATCCAAGAATTCTTTCCCTTACCCTAAGTGACAAATATTTTTCTCCTATGTTTTTCAGTTTTATAGTTCTAGTTTCACATTTAGGTCTCTGATCCAGTTTGACTTAATTTTTCTATACAAGGTGAGGTATCCATCAAAGTTATTTTTTAAAAAATATGCATATCCTATTGCCCCAACATAATTTTTTATAATAGTTATAATTTCTCCACTGGATTGCCTTTGATCATTTACTACAAATCAGTTGCCTGTGTATGTAGGCTATTCATTCTATTCCATTGATCTTTGACTGCTTGGAGGCGAATATCATACTGTCTTAATTTCTATAGCTTTATAATAAGTCTTTAAGTCAAATAATGTGACACTTCAACTTTGCTTTCAAAGTTATTTTGGCTATTCTAGAGGTTTTTATAATTTCAATATAAATTTTAGAATCTACTTCTTTCTGTAAAAAATACCTGATTGAATTTCAGTTTAGATTATGTTGAATCTATAGATAAATTATGAGATAATTGGCATCTCAATTATATCAAATCTTCTATTCCATGCACATGGTATATCTCACCATATATTTAGGTCCTCTTCAATTTATCTCAACAATAGTATTATAGTTTTCAGCACACAGGTCTTATACATTTTTGTCAAGTTTATCCTTAAATATTTCATACTTTTTCTCACTATTAAAATGACTATTTTAACTTTGATTTCTCTATGTTCTTTGTTAGTGTTACTCATTTTTTGTATGTTGGCCCTCAGTTTAAACTTGCTAACTGATTTATTCTAGTTTTTTTGTAGATTCTGACTTCTATACATTTTCTACTTAAAATATCCTGTCTTTGAATAAAGACAATTTTACATTTTCCTTTCCAATCAGAGTGACTGTTATTTTTCTGTCTAACTTTATTACATCAGTGAGAACTCCCCACTCCTGCAGTATATTGATGAATAGAAGTAGTAACAAGGACATCTTTACCTTGTTCCTAATCATTAGGGGAAAAACTTTCGGTCTTACTATTAAGTATGATGTTATCTCTAGGTTTCTTAATAGATGTCATTTATCAGATTGAGAGAGCTCAATTCTGTTTGTAGTTTGCTGAAATTGTACCGAAGTGGCTTTGTAGTTCGTCAAGTGCATCATCTATGTCTATCAAGATAATCTTAGGGTTTTCTTCTTAGCTTACTAACGTGATGACATTCCTGGGACAGAACCCACTTGACGATAATATATTATTTATTTTATATTTCATTAGACTGTATATTACATGAATTTAAACAATAGGGGAAAATCTTCTGTACTTAGCCGGTTGTTTACCATTGCTAGTGTCCTTCATTAACATGTTGATCTATAGTTCCATCTGGCATTTTTCTTCTATCTTGTAGTACAGATCTGATGGTGGTAAATTATTTCTATTTTTGTATGTCTGAGAAGTCTCTCTTGACCCTGTTTTTAAAAGATATTTTTGCTTGAGATAAAATTCTAGATTGACAGTTTTCTTTTCTTTCTGAATTCAAAAGATGTGCTCCATTATTGTATTAATTTCCATTTTTTCTAAGAAGAAATATGCTGCCATGCTTTCCTTCCTTCCTCTAAGTGTGGTTTGATTTTCCCCCATTCAGTTGCTTTTAAGATTTGCTCTTTATTACTGGTTTTGAGCAATTTGATTATGATGTGCCTTGGTATGGATTTCTTCATGTTTCTTGTCTCTTGGGTTTGGTGAGTTTCTTAAATCTATCAACCTATAGTTTCATTGTATTTGGAAACTTTTTAGCAAGTATTCCTTCAAATACTTTCTGTCCTCTTATTTGAAGATTCTAATTCCACATTTATTTGGCTTTTTGATGTTGCCCTATAGCCTCCTGATGCTACTTTTACTTTTTTAAATGTTTATTTGTGTTTAATTCTGCATAGTTTCTATTGCTATGTCTTAAAGTTTATGAATCTTTCCTTCTGCAAAATCTAATCTGCTTTTAATCCCACCTAGTGTATTTTTCATCTCAATTATTGAAGGTTTCATCTGCAGAATTTCTTTTTATGTTTCTCAAGTCACTATTTGTTGAATATATGAAATACAGTTATAAATAACAACTGTGATGTTCTTGTCTTCTAATTTTTAATAACTGTTTCAATTCTGGGTCAGTTTCCATTGATTTATCTTTCTCCTCAATATATGTCATGTGTTCTTGCTTCTTTTTTTTTTTTTGGAGACAGAGTCTCTGTTGTCCAGGCTGGAGTGCAGTGGCACGATCTTGGCTTACTGCAACCTCCACCTCCAAGGTTCAAGTGATCCTCCTGCCTCAGCCCCCCTAGTAGCTGTGATTACAGGCAGTCTCCACCATGCCTGGCTAACTTTTGCATTTTTAGTAGAGACAGGGTTTTGCCATGTTGGCCAAGCTGGCCTCGAACTCCTAACCTCAGGTGATCCAACAGCCTTGGCCTCCCAAAATGCTGGGATTACAGGCATGAGCCACTGCACTCAGCCTGTTCTTGCTTCTTTGTCTGTAAGCTTTGATTAGGTGCTTGACATTGTTAATGTTATCCTGCTAGATGCCTATTTTTGTATCCTAAAAGTACAAAAATTTCAACAATTATTTTTAATCATTGGCC
Organism: Homo sapiens; assembly: GCF_000001405.40. NCBI lineage: Eukaryota > Metazoa > Chordata > Mammalia > Primates > Hominidae > Homo > Homo sapiens. The sequence continues at coordinate 85,686,950 of NC_000014.9, forward strand.
CTTATAATATGTTTCTCATCTCTTACAAGAATTGGGGATTTGCATAGTTAGGGCTGGCAAAAACTAGTGGTTAGGAAATACCAAAGATTTCTAGTTGCATCTGCTGTAATAGTTTACTTGTGCTGCTGTAACAGGAAATTACAGACTGTGTAATTTACAAAGAACAGAAATTTATTTTCTCACAGTGTTGGAAGCTGAGAAGTCCAAGATCAAGATACTGGGAGTTTCATTTGTCTGATGAAGTCTGCATCCTCTGGAGGAGAGGAACACCTTGTCCTCACATGGTGGAAGGCAGAAAGGCAAGCTAGCTCCATGACACAACTTTACTTATGTAACAAACCTGCACTTGTACCCCGAACTTAAAAGTTAAAAAAATACTAAATAAATAAATACAGCATAGACATGTCAGAAAAAAATGTTGTGTGGTGCCTCTTTTAAAAGTTTCTTCATCTCATTAATGAAGGAGCTGCTGTCTATCAATGAGAGCAGTTCTTATTGATAACACCTGAATTTTGCAGGGGACATATTCAAAACATAGCATCTGCCTAGAATGATTCCAGATAAATTGCACCCATGATATTTATTTCTCTCCTGCCAAAAAGTAAGCCCATATTATTAATGGAACATTTAGCATGCTGTAAGTAACAAATAACTACAATTGGCTGAATATTTTCTTGGAAATATTGAGATCCAGATTCAATTATCTAATTCCATCATTCATAATGGCAGTAGTCCACACGTTTAATATTTCCTTATAGCATTCTTGTCTCTCTTGAGTAAAATATCCAATTAAGTTTGGCTGTCTAGATTATTTAGAAAAATATATTCAGAAAAATACAAGGAGAAAAGTATCAAGTACTTTGAAATACCTAACTAGGCCATAAACCTATTTCTTTTACTATATCTTAGCATTTTATTCTTAATTTTTGTTATTTATCACTCTTATCAGTGCAAGACTCCTGCTTGGACACTCCCCAAGGCATTTTGGCATTTTACTGAGCATCTACCTATAGTGTTTTGAATTATAAAGATTAAACTACTTCACGGTTAAATCTCTTTCTATATACTGGGCCTTTTCCTGTTGCAAAAGTAGATTTGTTTTCTAATGGTTATTGAAAAGAATTTAGTTTGAAACTCAAGGGAAAAGCCAAGAAAATTTATGCTTGGCGTAGTGAACATTCAGAGTAGTATGGGTGTTGGCCTTCTCTTTTTTCTTTTCACATTTGCACATACCCATGGGGCAGTGAATATTTGCTATTGCACAATAAAAAGCATAATTCTTGTGCAGTTGAGTAATAGTCTATGGTTGTATTTACATGATCTCAGTCTAGTGAAGTAGATAACTTCAGAGGTCAGGAAGAAATTTCACATAGGCACATTATAAATAGTGTGTTTGTGAGAGGAGGCTGTGGATGTATGAGGTTGAAGTCCAAATCCTGCTGCAGACATAATAGCAGAAAGGATTCATGATTACTTTATATCCTATGGATGTCTAGTTTTAGTTGCTTCTAAAGAATGCCCCCATAGAACATTATATTTACTGCCTTTCACGACAAGTATGATATGGTTTTGGCTCTGTGTCCCCACCCAAATCTCATCTCAAATTTTAATTCCCATAATCCCCATGTATCAAGAGTAGGATCAGGTGGAGGTAATAGGGTCTGGATCATGGGGGCTGTTTCCTCCACGCTGTTCTCGTGATGGTGAGTGAGTTCTCACGAGATCTGATGGTTTTATAAGCATGTGGCATTTCCCGTGCTTGCACTCACTTCACCCTGCTGCCCTGTGAAGAAGGTGCCTGCTTCTCCTTTGCCTTCCACCATGATTATAAGTTTCCTGATGCCTCCCGAGCAATGTAGAACTGTGAGTCAGTTGAAACTCTTTCTTCTATAAATTACCCAGTCTCGGGTATTTCTTCATAGCAGCGTGAGAACGGACTAATACAAAGTGTTTCTTTTTAAAGCAAATAAAGTGAGATTTTAATTATGAGACTTAGAAAATTTTAACTGTCGGTACATTTAAAAGCATTAAATATTTAAAATAACTTTATTTATAAGACACTCTGTATTTCACATTTCTCCGATAGTGACATCAGATTTATAATTTTGAAGAGACAGATCTACTGATGATACTTCAGTGATTCTTCTTAGTTGCAGAAAAATATGTCTCAGAATGAGTCTTTTTGCTATGTTTAATAATAGAACAGAATTGGAAGAATTGACAAAAAAGTGACAATCCAGTCATAGAATAAAGAATATATGGATATAACCCTGCAAAAAACTGAATTATTTAAACAAAGCACAGAAGGATACATTATGGTCACCTATAAGATCTCAAATTGTGGAATAATTTTTCAACAAAGACCTCATCAGTCAAAAGTCAGAAAGCCATGGTAAGCTCTGAAGATCTTTACATCCTGAAGGAGGAAAAGAGATTTTCCATACCTTTCTAAAAGCACCGTCTTATTTATGTGTTAAAATATTGAGTGATATTGGCCGGGCGCGGTGGCTCATGCCTCTAATCCCAGCACTTTGGGAGGCCGAGGCGGGCGGATCACGAGGTCAGGAGATCGAGACCATCCTGGCTAACACGGTGAAACCCCGTCTCTACTAAAAATACAAAAAATTAGCCGGGCGTTGTGGCGGGCGCCTGTAGTCCCAGCTACTCGGGAGGCTGAGGGAGGCTGAGGCAGGAGAATGGCGTGAACCTGGGAGGCGGAGCTTGCAGTGAGCCGAGACAGCGCCACTGCACTCCGGCCTGGGCGAAAGAGCGAGACTCTGTCTCAAAAAAAAAAAAAAAAAAAAAAAAAGAGAATATTGAGTGATATTGCATGTTCTCCCTCATAAGTGGAAGTTGAACAATGAGAGAACACATGGACACAGGGAGGGGAACATCACATACTGGGGCCTGTTGGGGGATGGGGGGCTAGGGGAGGGGTAGCATTAAGAGAAATACCTAGTGTAGATGATGGGTTGATGGGTGCAGCAAACCACCATGGCATGTATATACCTATGTAACAAACCTGTATGTTCAGCACATGTACCCCGGAACTTAAAGTATAATAAAAAAAATTTAAAAAAGAATATTGGGTGATAACATTACTTTGAGATATTATTTGATGTTGTTTTTAGACTCAATAATCATTGTTTTCATTTAATTCAGAGAAAACTTTAAAATATGTAAGTGATTATGTTTTATAATTTTTTTGTTCTGGAATGTCTCTATTCTGCTGCTACTCTTAGTTCTTTCACCCTTCGATGAATCATATTTAAGAACATAGGAACTTTCTGTAAAGAACGGATTGTCAAAAATTTTTATTGACCCTGTTGAAAATATATGGGTGGGTATTTCTAAACAGCTTTCCACTGCTCCATAGAATAATACCACAGTAAGGGGTAAATAGTGGAAAGAAAAAGTGTGGCCTTTGAGGCAGAAGCACGTTGAGAAGTGGTAAAATTCTGAACCAGCCATCTCACATGTCACCAACTTGAAAATAGTGTTTGGGGCAATCAAGGTTTCTACTTATTTTTTTGTTAAATCTTCCTGCCCTGAAATGAGTCACTGCTTTTTCTGAGCATGGGAGCAGCATCTTACTCAATACAGAAGCAGAATAACATTCAAGCTATATAATTTTTCTCAAAGCATTTTTCTCTCGATGTATTACTTTTTATTTTATATATTTCATTCACATTGGGAAGGTGTGAGGTAAAATAGCAACAATGCAGTATAAAAGTAATGCATCCTTGCATTGAACATATTTTCCAAACAAACATCATGAGCTATATGAAATTCCTTACCCAGTAAAGGATAAAATTTAAAAGAGAGTGAGAACGAATGGAAGGCTGAGTGCAATACAAATGACAATTTATGATTATTACAATCATATAATTTTTATATCTTTCTATGAGGTTTGTGATATGGGAAAATGGAAAGGGAAATATGAAGAGAACACTAAGAGGGAAAGTTGAAAGAGGAAAATAGTAGAGCGCTTTGTACCTGGGATCTGCTAACAGGTAGAGGGAACCAGTTGGAACATTCACCATGATTACTGGGAGAAGGTGCTGGGAACTGACCTGATTGGGTAGTGAGTTTACTCAAGGCAAACAGGAGCTCAGTCAGAAGAATCCAAACTGTTGTCAAGCAAAAGGCAAATATTCAAACTAAGAAGATGATCCAAGCATTAAAATCAAGAAATGAGACAAGGTGATCACGGGATCTGAACTTGGGGGACATATGATATTGAGTCAGGATATAGAATACAAAGGAATATGGAAGAAGAGGTTCAGGGTCAGTAAGGTCTTGGAAGCCTCCATGAGAATGATGCTTTCACCATGTTGCACAGACAAGTTCCTTGGAACTAGCCACTTTGCATCTCTTGCCAGTGGACACTATGGTTCAGACATACTGACTTCTCTGATTTCTGAAAGGCCTCAGAAAGATTCTTAAACTTAAAATTTTAATAAAATGTGATAAGCATTCCTTTATAAAATGTGATAAGCACTGTAATAAAGGCAACCAGTACTACGGGAATTTATTGGAGTGTCCACATGGCTTCTGTGTTTGTTGGACAGAATGAACAAATTGTTTAGGGAATACCATGTTCAGGCAGTGCTCTCAAACATTTCCTTGAATATCTCCTACTGTGAAAGTTCTTCAACACCTTCCATCATGAGATTAGGTGACCTTAGAGCAAGATATACAGAAAAGTAGGAATCTGACAAAAACTGACAATGAATAAATGATATTATCGCCCAATTAATGTAAATAAGAATAATTGTTTTGAGCACTCAACCATGTCTTTTGCTTTTTTGATAATCTTGTTTCATTTCCTGTAGACTTTGTGTTATTGCTCCGGGAAGGAGTGAGGGCAAATGGAAAGAAAATTGATAGAGCATAGGGGAATTTGGCATTAGAAATAGAGAGCCCTTCCAGTGGTGGAGGGTGGGATGGAGCTCAGACACAGGGTAGGCAGAACATAGCAGGGGGTCAGATGTGAGTATTCCTTCTGCCTCCTTCATGCTGAATTCCTTGGAAATAGAAGAGGAAAGGGGCATGTAGGGATCACTCAGATAGATTTTGGAAGATGCAGGAAGCTCAAGGTTAGTGCCCTGCTCCCCTATTTTGTGATGTGTTGAAATTGGAAGCCTCCCAGAGAAGACCCATATTTGGCATGGCACAGTGGCCATCGTGGTGCAGCCGTGCAGAAGAGGGTCCAGAGAGATCTTCTAGATGGCATTGCTGGTTGCCTATAGCTTAAGTGTATCATATGGGAGGTCCAGAAATTAAGGTAGGTGGGAGAGTGGAGGGGGAGTGTGTTGATAAAATGCCATGTAAATCTGTGAGCCTGAATAAGCCATGATTTAAGAAAAGGTAGACACACCTCCCAACCAGAGGCTATGCTATACGGAAACCATGTATTTTAATGTGGATGACATCTATGAGCTGCTCCTCCTGGCTCTATCCAGAGGAGAACTGACCAGAACACCCAGCCAAAGCCTATACTGCAGTTTCATAACTGGAGACCACTTCCTCTGTCTCCACTAAGGACAGCTAAGCTCCCCATACTAAGACATATATTGGGAGTGTAGAAGGGCTAGGCACACATTTTAAGAGTGGAAAAGGGCTGGGCGCCGTGGCTCACGCTTGTAATCCCAGCACTTTGGGAGGCCGAGGTGGGCGGATCACGAGGTCAGGAGATCGAGACCATCCTGGCTAACACGGTGAAACGCAGTCTCTACTAAAAATACAAAAACAAAATTAGCTGGCGTGGTGGCGGGCACCTGTAGTCCCAGCTGCTCGGGAGGCTGAGGCAGGAGAATGGCGTGAACCTGGGAGGCGGAGCTTGCAGTGAGCCGAGATCATGCCACTGCACTCCAGCCTGGGCAACAGAGCGAGACTCCGTCTCAAAAAAAAAAAAAAAAAAAAAAAAAAAAAAAGTGGAAAAGGCCTTAATATGAAGTCTAAACTTTAAGTGCACAACATTTACCAAAAAGAGTCTATTTTAAGATAGACAAGATAGAGTTACTACTAAATAGCATTTTTCCCTTGGAGTAATAAAATAGGCATTTATATTTGCTTTAAAAAGTGACCAATGGAGCAGTATTTATAAAAAGTATATAAAGAGTTAAGTGGTACAAGAGGAGTGATTCAAGCTGAAAGATAAAATAAACTTTTCATTGTTTAATAACTTTTCTAAGTTACAAAAAATCTTATCTCTCACCTCTATCTCAGAATTATTTCAAAAATAAGTCAGTTTGCCACCAATTGAGTCCATACGTCTTTTCCTTTTCCTTTCCTTTTCTTTTCTTTTTCTCATTTCTTATTTCTTCTTTTCTCACCCCCACCCCCAAATATTGGGCTACTTGAATTTGTATCTTCTTTTTTTCACCAATTTTGAGACAGTCCAAGACATTGTATCTTCAAAGATTGCTACTTCCTCATTATGCCTTCTTCCTTAGTTATTCACGTTAGACTTTAATTTGTTCTGTACGTCTTTGTAATTTTCTTTCAGGTTTTCCAACTATTTGATTCTATTCTAATTTTTTTTTATAACTGACATACAGTTTATTACTTTTCAATGATTCTAATCTGACCTAAATTTGTTCATGAAATTTTACTTTTAATGGTTAGATTTTTAATTTTGGAAATGTTAATTTATTTCCTTTTAAAGCTGTCCTTTTGTTAATTAATCATATTTTACTTTTTGACATGTATTCAGTCTTCTCTTACATTTTTCAAACCTACTGAATCTGTGTGTGTGTGTGTGTGTGTGTGTGTCTTTCTTTATAATAAATCCCAGTCTCTAACATTTTTGCACTTCTGATTCTGTTGTTATTTTCGCTGGCTTCTTCTCATGGTACCTTTTTCCTTTGTGAGCTGGTGACTTATTTTATCTGTGGCTCATATTGCTTAGAAGTTTAACTGTGAGGAATATTTGGGTGAGTTCCTTCAGAGAGGATGTGAATATGCTTCTGACAGTTTCTGGTGGGGCGTGGTCAATGTTAGACCCTTGAAATGAAATACTTTACCTGAGAAGGACCTTCTCCTTCCACCAGTTGTGTAAGTTTAGGCTGAAAAATTACATGAGAACAGGCCTCAGAGAAGACACTATGTTCTATATCTAGCACTAAGGCTCAAGACAGGGCCTGGGTATAGAAGAAGAGGATGACAAAACTAGATTATCTCTTCTTTGCTTTTATAAAAATATGTAATCTGTGAAGCAAAGCTGATGTTCATCATGGTTCAGTAAGCGGCTGTGGATAAAGGGCTCTTCAGTTCTCTGAGACTCTTTCTGTACTTATTTTCACATTGTCTTTGGCATATGAAGATTTCTTTTTTTGGGCCAGCTTATCGTGCAATCAAAGCAATGCTTTTCATATAACTGACATTGTTAGATTTTATAATGAGAAGGTGTAAGAAGGTAATGCAGGATATAAAGTGTACCATATCACTGGCAAAGGAAATGTAAACTTTGTAAGTTTTTACTCTACAAAAGGAAAAACATTTACAGAATATGACAGGCAATTAAAATGCTCACAAAAAATGTATAATTTACCTTCATGGGATTAATTGTGTTTGAGTTCTAATACCCAGTACTTTAGAATGTGACCTTATGTGAAGATAGGGTCTTTATAGAGATGATAAAGTTAAAATGAGGTCATTAGAGTAGAACTTACTTCAGTATAACTGGTGTTCTTATAAAAAGGGGAAATCTTGGACACAGGGACAGACAAACAGGCATAGGAAGAATGTCAAAAAATGATTGGAGCTATGCTGCCTCAAGCCTAGAAAGCTAATACTCTAACATTTATTTACTATTCACTATGCACCAGATACTCTTTTCTGTGCTTTACATGTATTAACTCATTTAATATTAAACTCTGTGCGGTGATGACTATTGTCATTCCTATATTACAAATAAATTAACTGATGTACCAGGAGGTCTAGTAAGTTACCAAGGATACACAGCCGGTAAGTGCAAAACTGAAATTCAAACTCAGGTAGACCAAAGTGTGCATATCCTCTATAAAACATATTTTAGTACTGATTTTTATGCAAAGCTTCTAAAGTGTGTACACTTGTCTGCTTGATGTGTCTTTGATATAATCCAGCCACTGCTAATAGCCAGGAAATAGAGCAAAAGCCTTTCTAACGTTTCTTGATCTGCCTTCATGTTTGTCTCTTTCTTTTCTTATTTTCAGTCTTCTAGCTTCCATTTTTTGCTTTTAATGATTTTTATGAACACATTTTATCTAATTTAGTTGAGCATAGTCCCTTCTTGCTGATACTCTAATTACCTGTCACTTTGACTCTACATATGAACAGCTACAGGGAAGAGGCAACCTTATTCTTTTAGTGGGATTCATACCCACTCAGCCATCTCTCTACCACTTGCTGCACAAGGAGGGATCGGCCAGGAAGGTTAAAACGGCAAAAGCATTAGAATCAGATAAATCAATGCTTGAATGATAGCCCCAACTACTTGGAAGTACATGACCATTTCTGAGTCATTTAAACCCTCAGCCACATGGAATAAGGGAACAATGCTACCCTTCTCACAGGACTCTTATTTGGAAAACATTAAATATGACTAATAAAACACTCAATAAATAGAAACATGACAATGATAATGATGCAGCTGCCAGAGTTGATGGCAGCTGAATTCAATGGCTGGTTGGAAATTGAATTGTCTAGAAACCAATAATGGTGTAAATAAATCCCATGTAACTTGGGTGCAATTTTTAAAGGTAATCTTTGTTGATGACAGGCCTTAAAACCTTGTAATTTATTCAGTGAGAAAGTTTGTGTTCGTATGATGTGCTTCTTATAGTATTTTCAGTAACTGCGTTCTTTTCCACAATTTGTTCTTCATGTCAGCCTGAGGAATGACTTGCTCCACAGTTGGGTGTATGATTATCATATATCATGTGTGATATTTAGCTGTAGCATTTACACTAGAAAAAAATAAAAGAGTTTCTGGATCCTTTGAAACTCAGCTGCCTCAATCCAATGAACAAGTCACTTCTAGCACCACAAGAGGCCAGGGGCACTACAAAGACACTGGAAAATTAATGACCTAGAGTCAATAGTTCTATTAAAGCTATTATTGAATAGGTAAAGACATTTCATAATATCTGCAGGGGGAAACCTGACAAAAACGTAAGAGGATTGTTTTAGTTAGTAAAACACAATTGTCCTTTTTGATTTGCTAATTAATTTAGAAGATTCAAATGCAGAAATAATTATGCAGAAAACAGTCCATGATATGATGAAATGGAGGGACATGGTTAAGAGAATAAAAAATCAAGCTCCAGATTGGCAGAAAGCATTTGTAAAATAGTTATCTGTTAAAGGACTTTTATCTAAAATAGACAAAGAACTCTTAAAATTCAAAAATAAAAAAATTAATAAATGGATGATAACTAAACAAACACCTCACTAAACAAGATATACAGATGGCAAATAAGCATATAAAAATATGCTCAATATCATTTGTCATTAAGGAATTGTAAATTAAAACAACAATCTGATACTAGTTCACACCAATAGAATAGCTAATATTAAAAAAAGAAACCGATAATAATTCCTGGCTGGGATACAGAGAAATAGAGACTCATTTATTGCTAGTGGGAATGCAATATGGTATAGCCATTTTGGGAAACAGTTGGCAGTTTCTTAGAAAACTCAGCAGAGAATTAGCATGCAATCTAGCAGTTGTGGTTATAAGTATTTACCTAACTTATTTGAACACATATGCATATGAATATCTGCGTACAAGTATCTATAGCAGATTTATTCATAAAAAACAAAAACTGAATGCAAACAAGATATTCTTCAATAAGTGAATGGACAAACAATAGTCTGTCAAACAATGATACAATGGACTATTATTCAGTGATTACAATAAATGAGTTTTCAAGCCATGGAAAGATATAGATAAGTCTTAAACGTATATGTTAAGTGAAAAATGCCAGTCTGAAAAAGCTACACACTGATGTACTCAAATTATATGACATTCTGAAAAAGACAAAACTGTAGAAAAAATAAATGGATGCCAATGGATTGGAGTAGAGTAGAGACTGGGAGAAAGTTAGAACAGCGCAGATGAATAGGTGAAGTTGAAGAGGTGAAGCGGAAGGGATTTTTGCCATAATAAAACTATTCCCCATGACACTGTGATAGTGACTATAACATATAAGCATTTATTGAAACTTGTAGAGCTTTATAGCACAGAGAGTAATTTTTAATATGTGTAAATTTAAAAAATCATTTAGGAATTTAGATGATCCCAGGATTCAATGGTAGAGTGTGACAAAAGAATCTAAATGTATTAAAAATACATGTAAGAACCTCACTGAATAGAGTAGGAGAATAACATGCTGGCCTCAGTAACTTTGGAAATGAGTAGGGTGTATTGAACTAAAGCAAAATAAACTGCTATAAATTAATAATGTACTCTAAGACTACTATAAGTTGTTTGCTATGGGGATATGTATTAATAATTCTTAAATTACTAAACCTGAATAATGCAGTTGAACAATTAAGTCAATGGATGACAGTGGTGGGATCCAGGTTTCTCACTGTGAAGTTGGAGCTTACAGATAGGTAAGGGGAATAAACTAAAATAATCCATATGGAAATGTATTACAGTTGGAGATATCAGATTAACACATATTTAGTATAAGATAGATGCAGATGGTTAAATATAGAAATATTTATTGATACACAGGTCTATACTTTTTAAGGCCTAGAAGCGATGGCATTCCAATTGCAATGAGCACACCTAGGGTTCAGACTTTGGTTTCTTTTTTTTTTTTTTTTTTTGAGACGGAGTCTCACTCTGTCGCCCAGGCTGGAGTGCAGTGGCGCGATCTCGGCTCACTGCAAGCTCCGCCTCCTGGGTTCACGCCATTCTCCTGCCTCAGCCTCCCAAGTAGCTGGGACTACAGGCGCCCGCCACCATGCCCGGCTAACTTTTTTTGTATTTTTTAGTAGAGATGAGGTTTCACCGTGTTAGCCAGGATGGTCTCGATCTCCTGACCTCGTGATCCGCCCGCCTCAGCCTCCCAAAGTGCTGGGATTACAGGTGTGAGCCACTGCGCCCGGCCCAGACTTTGTTTTCTAACACCATTGTCTAATAAATGTTAGGTCTTTGGAGAGGTCTTTGGAGAAATGGCAGATTCTCGACAGGCGCCGGAAATATGCGTGATAAACATGGGGCAGCTTATAGTGCCCAGAAAATAAGAAAGTTCTCCACAAACAAACAAGCAGCAATACAAAACCAAAGTCAAAGAGCAGAAACAAAATAAAACAAAACAAAACTTAATAATGGATATGTCAAACTAATTTAAGAGCCAAAGTGCTCCCAGTGGTCAATCTATAACAATTTAAGCAAGAAAATAAAGTACTATTTAATTGTAATCTACATAAGAAAGTAAACAATCATTACTCCATACTGAAAAAGTAAATATTAAATAAATATGTGAAAATAGAAACACCTCCCTTGCAAAGAATCCTAAATAATTTATGAAGCAACCTACCCTCATGGAGGTGGAACACACCTCCTTACTACTTAAGTGTGGGCTGTGTGTAGTAACTTTCTTCCAAAGAGTGTACTGTAAAAAGAAGGAGGGAAAAGAGTAACTTCAGAGTGTTGAAATCTAATGCACATTGCCTCCAGACAGGTGATCACAGTTAATATCAACAGTATGTCATATTGATAGTACATATTATTGATATGATATGATGAGAATGGACTTTATCTGATGGTCTTCCTTCCAAAATCACATTACTCCAGTCTAATCATGAGACAAAGTCCAATGAAGGGACATTCTACAAATTACTTGACCAGTACTCAACATTGTCAAAGTCATCAAAAACAAGAAAATTATTAGAAATTGTCACAAGTGAAAGAAGGCAAAGGAGAGATGACTATCAATGTACTTTGTTATCCTGGTGGTATCATGAAACAGAGAAAGGATATTAGAGAAAAACAGTAAATCTGGATAAAATATGGACTATACATTACTATGTATCAGTTTTGGTTCTTGAATTGTGAGAAAAATATCATACTAATATAAGATGTTAATAATGGGGAAATTGGGTATGCAATATATAGAAACTCACTGCACTTTCTTTTCATTTTTTTATAAATGTAAAATTTTATTAAAATTAATAAAATAAAAAATTTATGTAAAAATTATAATTTTAACTTTCTTTTTTCTGTTGATTGCTTCTGGTTCTCTACCTATACAATCATGTAAAAGTAAATAACAGAAATTTTATTTCTTCTTTTACAATCCTGATACATTTTGTTCCTTCTGTTCTCTTACTAGCAGGGACTTTCAGTAAAATGTTTGATGGAAATGGAGCTTCCCAATCTCAGTGGGAACGTTTTCAACACTTTACCATTGAATATGCTGCTTACTCTTGGTATTTTTAAGATTCACTTTTGTGTGTTCAAATCTTCTATAAGCATATAGATAAGAGTTGAAGATGTTTTGGAGGTAGAGACTAATAATCATAGCTACCATTTTTGACTTCATACTGTATATAGACACTGTGTCAGGCCCTTTACTTAGATTATTCTAAGTCTACACAATCACAAGGTAAGTAACTTTGTGGATGTTTAACCATGAAAATAGGTCTCAGAAAATTGAAGCATTGTTCTTAATGTCACAAAAGTTGTCCAGCAAAGATAAAATTCCATCCAAAGTAGCATATGCTTAAGTAAGTGATTTAAGTGAAGTTTAAAAATGTAGAAGCATTTATTTGTCAAAAATGAGTTTAAGAGTTTGAAAGTGAAGGCTTAGAAGGGAAGGGAGACTGAGCATGAAAGATGAAGGGGGAGTTAACAGGGGTCCACAATGAGGGAAGCAGATAGCTCAAAGGGGCTATATTTCGGGTACAGTTTGCAGAGGTGAAATAGCACAGGTCAAGGTTAAGAGCTAGAATGCAGGAAGAGAAGTGGCAACTGAATAGACTCAGAATTGGAAGTGACACTTTGGTTTCAGATGTAGCCCCCATGGTCTTGCCCTCAGATACACAGAAACTATAGCAGTAAATATTTAAAAAAATAGCCACCTAGTCAATGATATTTGGTATCAATATCCTTCTCCACTACCAAATAGCTGTGAGATGTTATGCAAACAATGTATTGCTCTGAGTCTCAGTTACCTGATACTAACAGGCAGAAGAACAAAGGTTGAAGCCTCTCAGTGTTATTGAGAGGATTAAATAAGGCAATGTGCATAAAGTACTTAGCAAAGGGAAATAAGCTCTATTCTCCAAAGACTGCCCAAGGCAGTGAGTGATGGAAGAAATTCAAGGATTTTGGTACCTGGGGGGATAGAGGCCTTCTAAGGAACAGACACCTGATGCTTATGGAGCAATAGTTCTCAATAGTGGCTGCAGACTGGAGTCATCCGGGGAGCTTTAGAAAATATTGATGCTTTATATTTCTTCAGATATAGATCATTCTATTACGAAGACACATACACGTGTATGTTCATTGCAACACCATTGACAATAGCAAAGATGTGGAATCAACCTAAATGTCTATCAATGGTATACTGGATAAAGAAAATGTAGTGTGTGTATACACACACACACACACACACACACACACACACACACACACACTATGGAATACTATGCAGCCATAAAAAAGAACAAGATTATGTCCTTTGCAGGGACATGGGTGGAGCTGGAGGCCATTATCCTTAGCAAACTCACGCAGGAACAGAAAACCAAATACCACATGTTCTCACTTATACATGAGAGTTAAATAATGAGAACACATGGACACATTGAGGGAAATAACACCCACTGGGAACTATTGGAGGGTGGAGGATGGGAGGAGGGAGAGGGTCAAGAAAAATAATGAATGGGTACCAAGCTTAATAACTGGTTGATTAAATAATCTGTACAATAAATCCCCATGACACAAGTTTACCAATTTAACAAACCTGCACTTGTATCTCTGAATGTAAACTAAAAGTTAAAAATAAAAATAAAAAGAAGAAAATATTGATGGCTGTATGCAACCCCAACCCCAAGAATTTTGGCATAATTGGTCTGGAGTATGGGCTGAGCTATTGCAAAACAGTTGGTTTCTGCTTCATCTTCTTTCACTGCATCTGCTTCACCTTCTTATAATATTGGTTCAAATTTATATTTTGGGCTCATTCTCCAGTCATGTGACACCAGTGGCCCCCGGTTCCACACCAATTCCACGGGTGAAAGGTGACTCAGATTTGGCCAATAAGAGTCTTACATTCCTCCTTCACTGGTGGATAGACAAGGCTGTCAGAACCAACGAGACGCTATGAGACTTCCGAAAGCCTTTGAAAGACAGAGACGCTAACCTGTCATATTTGAGGCTGGGAGGTGTCAAGATTTGCAGCTACAGTCCTCATCTTCCTGTTCTGAGAGAGAAACTAAGAGATGGAGAGAAACCTACTTCTGAGCACATTAAGTCAGCCATGCCTGAAGCTATTCTGCCCTTTTGAATGCATTGTATCAGTATGTTCCTTCTTTTGCTTAAGCTAGTTTCAGTTAGATTTTTTCTGCTTTTCAAAAAAAAAGAGGCTTAACTAATGCATACCTTTCTTCCTCCAACCCAAATTCCCATGTATCTTATGTGGAGTGGGGCCATGATTTTTGATAATAATGCTGCTCAAATAATTTTCAAGCATTTTCTTTCAAGGGCTACTCTGAGTAAAGCATGGAATTAACTAAGTAATTAAAATCTAAAACGTGTTTTCTCTAGGCTTCTAGCTCCCAACAGACCCTTGGGTAATGAGACCGCCTCCGTATGCCTCAGAGCTCTCACCTGTTGAGCTGCACTTGAAGAGTCAGATTTTCAAACCAGAACCAGGAGCTACAGTGAAACTTATATTTGACATAAGAAAGGTGCTTACACATGAGTCAGCTGTCTGGATGGTTTTGAAACACTTTGCTATCATTTGATCTTTAGCTACAAGTTGTCGGAAAATAGCTTGGCTAATGCTACTCAGCAAATTCTCTCAAGGGTAAGGCTTCACACCATGAGTTTTTCTCAGGTCTGATGACTAAATCTCTCACTTTATTTTTTTCACTCAGACACTAGCTGTTCACCGGGGGCAGAGTGGAGTAGAAAGGAAATACTTTGTAGAAAGGGGTTGGGTGATAAGTGTGTGTCTGTTTCCCCAAAGCTGCGTTTGGTCACATCAGCCCAGGATAGGAACAGCAAATTAAAGAGCATGTCAATGTTGTATTGTAAAAGATAAGGCAAGGACACCATGAAATGGTCAGAGAACAGAAGAATGCACTTCAACTTCCTCTGCTAATAGGCAGGAAATGGAACAGCAGCCCTGTCTTCATCCAACTTCATAGGCGAATAGTACTTTTCATTTTATGAAAGTAATTGTAGATTTTGTGGAAAACTTAGCCACTAGAGGGTCCCTCTGTTCAAAGTCATGCATGTAATGTTCAAGGATTTGCACACAGAAAAAAGAGAGAGGGAGAGAGAGTAAGACAGTTATAGCATTGAAAACATGAACCAAACAGGAATTAGAGGATCATGGGGCTGTTTTAGTTCACTAATATCTACCTATATTTTGCTACTGACTGTTGGCAACACACCTTAAATGGAATTGCTCTTCTTTGAAGAAGAAAATGATTTTGCTATAAAATGCACTATAGCATATTGATAATTGTTGATTTTTACTGGCTGGACTATTTTACATTAGAGCAAAGGATTATTTAAAGGCAGTTGGTTGCATCTGCCCTTCCCCTCCTCCAATGGAAACGCTGATAGCTAAGTTGAAAAAAGGCACAACCTGCTTTTGACTTGAGATGTTAGGCCTAGATATAATTAATTCAGAAAAATGTGTGAATTTCTGCCATAGAATAAATTGTACCCAAATAACATCCTTCCCAACTGCTTGGGTGTTTATGTATGCGGCCTGAAGAGGTTCTTTCTTACTCAGTTTTGAGGTAGCAGTGGATAGATAGACAATACATTCAGATCTTACTTAATACAATAGAATACAACACAATACCAGTGCAAATCTTACACATTTTCATAAACTTGAGGGATCCAGATTCTTTTTAGTGAAAAATGTATCTGAAGACCGAAGTCTTTCTCAGCATTGCATGTCTAAAGCATTTTAGGTCCATTTTTAGTTTTGCTGACAGTGCGAATATATTTTCAGGCCAGCTGGGGCAGTGAGTCAGATTGTAGAAATTATCCCTGTGTGGACCAGATGATGAAACTGGAGAAGATTTCTTGGCTCCTGTTTTTGTACTTTTGTTCATATTGACTTTTTTATTAATAATGTTCTGAAGCATCTTTTTCATATATTTAAATTTAATCAATCTTTTAAGACCTTTAGAATCTTATAACATCTTAAATTTCTTTAGTCTTCAGAGATGACCCGTTTTTCTGAACTAGATGAAAGACTCTTTAACCTATACTTTCATTTGACCCTTGGTCATACATATGTCATCTTAAAATTCATTATCTTCATTTTTGTTATTATTACTGTAAACTGTGATTTATAAGATATTTGTTGTGCATATAAAAACTAGAGAGCTGGGATTTGCAATTATGCCTGCTGGATTTTCATACATTTAATCATTCATTCATTCAAACATGGAGTGCCAATATGTAGCAGGCGTTGTACTCCTTAAAGAACTGTACATTGGCTACAATTGAGAGGCAGAGAGGCTTTCTGGGTCATATTTATATCTCCTGCCTCACAGTTGAAGTTTTAGGCAATTCTCTTTTCCTTCCTTTCTTTCCTGTATTTATTCATCAATTAGGTCAATTGTCCATTTACATTTCAAACTTATACTGATGTTCTATATTGCTACAAAGACTAATTGCTGGGAATACAAAAATGAATCAGGCATAATCCCAGCCTCCCAAAAGTCAATGACCACTGATAGGTATCTTATGTTTAAATGAAGTAGTTCTCCACAATCTGATGAAAGCAATGACAGAAATTCCAAGGCCAGGTTTCTTGGAGGTTGAGAGGTTCAAGTCCTTTAAATTTCTGAGGCTGAAAGTATAATCAAAGTTTAAAATTCCAAATCAGGGGCTACAAAAAGAAATGACTTATTTTAAATGTTTTTACATTAACCATAAAAATACAGTGAAATATGATTTTGTTACTTATAAATAAATATTAAGAGGACTTCTAAAATATTCATGGGATACTGTAGGTATTATAGATTAATATTTGGATACAAGTTTAAATTGAATAAATATATTCTCTCAGCCCCATTCATATATCTCTTGTGGCTATAAATATTTAAATTTATATTTGAGTCCTTCCATGAGTGTAAAATATGGGTCCTCTGTTATAGGCCATACAACCTTCTACCCCTTCTTTATATGTGTATAGCAGACAGTGTGTTCTGTTTCAAGGAGTGCTTGATGCTAATTAGCCCATAATCAATTTGCAAATAGGAGAATGATGTCAGTATCACTTGGAGATTGGAAAACTGGTTGGTTTATGCGGATTTTTCTCCAGAAGATTAATGTTTCAAAGTGATTAGGTTAAAGAGAAAGTCTATGCAATTGTTAAAGCCTTATGGAAAAAGAAGACAAAAATTTGGCAATCTTTAGCATAAGTAGTGACCGATACGGTGGCTTCAGGAAGCACTGAACTATCTATACTATTAATCTGGGAAATTATTAACCTGTTAATTAATCTGGGAATGTGGAAGAGGAAATTGGAAAGATTATCATCATCTTAACAAAAAATTTGAAGAGATGTATATCCTGGATTAGATTTTCAAATATGATCAAGCTAGTCACTATAAGAGGCAAGCCTCTTCAATGCCTTACATCTTAAACCAGGAAGCATGATTATAAGGTTTTAGGCTGCAAAAGAGAGACTGGCTGTAATATTGGGTGTAAATGATAGTGGAGATTTAATTGTGCAACTTAGTTGTTATTTTTGTAAGTGCTCCCATTACAAAGTCTCACTTGTTTTGAAAGGTCTGCATCCAGCCCCATTTCCTCCATAAGTCCTGTTATTTTTGGTACATGATTCCACACAATGTAAAATACTTTAGAAACACATATATGATGTTATAGCAGAGTACACAAAGGTGACCTAATACCCAGTAATGTTGAAATGTTTCTTCTACCTGGAGATCTTGAGTTCTATGCAGAAAGAGACTGTATCTATTTTGTTCTGTAATATATCCCAGTGACTTTCAAAGTGGCTCACATATAGTACATACTTGTCTTAGCTTTCTAGGGCTGCCATAAGTGTCATAGACTGAGTGACTTAAATCACAGACATATATTTTCTCACTGTTTTGGAGGCTAGGAGTCTGAGATCGAGGTGTCAGTAGGGTTGTTTTCCTCTGGGGTCTCTATTTTCGACTTGTGGAAGGCCACCTTCTCTCTGTCTTCACATGGTCTTTTTCTGTGTATGTCTATATTCCAATTCCCTCTTCTTATTATGATACCAATCGTAGTAGATTAAGGTATACTCTAGTATACCTCATTTTAATTTACTTACCCCTTTAAAGACACTGTCTCAAAATATAGTCAAATTCTGAGATGAAGAGTTTACAACTTCAACAAACAAATTTTGAAGGAACACAACTCAGCCCATAACAGTGTTCAATTGGTATCTATCAATAAATGAATGTATTTGCTGAGCATCAATATATAAGCATAATTTAACTTGGAACAGGAAAAGAGTAAGAAGGCACTCGAGGCAGGAGATTCGGCATGAGCAAAGATTCTAGGCAGGAGACTGTAGAAAACGCAGAGAAGTATAAGGTGTTCTCTGTAGTTGAGGGTTTTGTGTTATGTGAGAAGTGTTGAAAATAAGGTTAAGGGGTAAGGTGAGTATCTCATCTTGGGGATCTTGGTATTTCTTTTTGAAATGATAAGGCTGTAAGCGGTAGGCATGGGCTGTGGAAGGTTTCACTTAGGGAAGGCAATCAGGTCTGGGCTCTGGTATTGAGCCTACATGGGACAGAACTGTGCGTTAGGCACTGGGATCCCTGCATGCCTGTGTGTGGGGGATGTATGAGGCCAGGAGACAGATTAGCCAGGGGAACATATACAACAAAATCTGGACAATTGCTTTGCCAGTATGGCTCTGGGCATGGGGCCACATGGGAGTGAGTAGTTTGGGAAAATAATAACATCTCCCCTTTGCCAAGCATTGGGATTAATGCGAATGTGTGCTGTTCACAAGGAGAGGTGTAACAGAACTACAACTCACAATAGATATGCCTTGGGAGGGCTAGACTCAGACGAAAGGAGGTTGGAGACAGCTGAGAGGACAGGCTTTTGATTGACTCACTCACTCTAATGGCTTTATTTATTCTCCCTGGGTCAGTTTCTGATTATTGATTTAAGACTCATTTGAATGGAAATTGGCCTAGATTATAGAGATGGGAGGACGAGGAAATGAGACGTCAAATACTTTATTAAGTGTCAGCGAGGTACTTGACGCCCAAACTCACTGTTCTTACTTAGTTTAGCAAAATGTTCTATCTTAGTCAAATTTGATATATGTATACTTATCTCTTACATTTTAAAGACTTAAAATTTTAAAATGAAATGAATAATAAGGAAAATATTGTTAACTCTTTGGTGTGTGGGACTGTGAGCATGCCATATTCTGCCTATTTGGGTTAATGACAAATTGCTGTAGGACATTTCAGGATCATTCGGAGCCTCTGGTGTTAGATGGTTGTCAGTCATGATTGTACTGAAGACTAGCAAAGCAAAGCTTTGAGTATAATTATATGATGAAGAGAATGTTGTTAATCCCTTGTTAAATGCCATTTTGCTTTCAGAATCTGGTCATGTTCTTTATATAATCCAAAATGTCTTGAGGGTGAGAGCCACTACATTAAAATATCTCTATGTTCTAAATGGGTTGCAATATTATTTGCAGCAAGAAATTCAATCAAAATGAAAAAAGGAAGCTCTGATTTGTGCTGGATGGGTAAGTTTAACAAAAGAACTATAAACTAGATCCCCATCTGTGAAGGGTATGCATACAACACCTTTCCTATGGAACTGAGGCCAAGAATACTAACAAGGATACAAAGAGTTAAATCCATACTACCTCAATCTTTCCAATAAATTGACTTTATCCATATCAAAGTTGCCTAGCAAGATTATTTTTTATCTTCATTTTTTTTTTCAAGAAGCCACATGTCAAAAAGAGAATTGCCTAACTCCAGTCAGATCAAATTTTTTTATTTCGTAGAAAATAATGCCATTAGGCGGCAGGTGCAGCAATATTTTATTCTATTTTATATCTTTCTGAGTTTCTATCTTAGTTCTCAGAAAAACATTCTGAGCTTTTGGCTTTCCACTGGTGCACACAGAATACATGCACTGGGAATAACAAGGCAGAAATTAGTTATTTTTAAACGGCATCTTTCCAAATTGGACTTGAAATGACTCTATTAAATGGTATGATGGCTGGCTGAGGGTGGCAAATCAAGAAAGATGACAAAAAGCTAGGTAGCTGGTCTTGTTTTACTTCTTCATTAATGATCAAAAAGGAGCAAACAGCACATTAAATTTGGATGATATTAATTCAATAGCCTTTGAAAGCCCAAGTGAGATCAGGGAAAAAAAAAATTAAGAGGCCTGTAAAACCTAGAATAGGTGAAAAAAGATTGAAATAAGAGAAAGGAGACCCCCAGAGCTTGAGAACAGGTAACACTCAGAACCACCATGTAATGAAAAGGGTATATTGTTAATCAGAACTACTTAATAATACCTCAGATTTATAATGGGAAGAAAAATTAATGGAACTTGCAATATGACCCAAGGGTGAAAAGCTAAAGATAAATTAGTGTATTGTGTCTACTACATGGATTTAAGAATATGGGCATTTATACAAAAGGAAGCTATCCTCATTTATTCTTCCACAGTTCAATCACCACAAATAAAAGCCAGGGGAATCTTTGTATGTGTCAGTCATCCATAATACAATGCTTAAATTTTCTGCTTACTTCCAATAGCAACTAGAATTATATCCTGTTGTCCTATGACTTCTAAGCCAAGGGCACTATAGATGTTATTCTATCTACTGGGAATTCAGCCATAAATAAAACAGGCAAAATCCTGTCCTTATCGAGCTTATATTCTAGTGGAGGGGAACATAAATGTGTGAGGACTCTTGATAGTAATGAATACATTAAGAAAATTTAGGTTAAAAAAATTAAAGAACATTAAGACAAGACTAATTTAAAAAAATAAAGAAACTATATAGTTTGAAAAGTGTTGAAACTGCTATGTGAATTCCATTGGTGTGAAACCTTATAGTCACACATTAAAATAAAAATTTGTCAAATGTAGTCATCTATCAATATAAAATTCACCTCAAATACAGTAGTATAAAATGATAGCAATTGCTTATCATTATTATCCTCTGCAATTTGAGGATTTGAATGGGCTCAGCTGGGCAGTGCTTGCTTAGGGTCTCTTCATTGTTTTGACTGGATTCCAAACCCAGTCAAACCATGACTGGGCTTTGAATCACCTCTAAGACTTCTGTGCTACCTTGTCTGTTAACTAGGCCAGGAAGACTCAAACAACTGGGGGCTATAAGAGCTACAGCTCCTTGGGCATCTTTCTCGTTTTCTATATGGTCTATTCTTGAGGTTCCTCAGCATTGTGGCTTCACTGTAACTTATTGCTTCAAAGACACATGGCCTGAGAAAGAGAGAGAAAACCAAGTTGTAAATTTGTTGCTTTTATAACCAAGTCTAGGATCAGTCAGTGTTGTTTCAACCACAAGCTGTTGGTGGAAAAATTTATAAAGATTTATCCAAGGTCAAGGAGAGGAAACATATACAATATTTCTGCTGGGAAGAGCATGGACATTATGTTGGAAGAAGTGCATGTGGGCTAAGATACATCCTCTTGTTGTAGTCTTCGGAAAACACAATCTACCATATGAATAATAATTAATTTTTATTAGGTGCAAAGCAAGTTGAGTCTTCTGATGGCTAAACTCTAAGAGATTGCAGCTCAGTAAGGAGAAGTAACATCAAGTTACAGTGAACGTTAACAAATGTTACATAAAAATATAAGTTTATAAAAGAGCTGAAAAAGGACATTGTATGATTTTTATTTTATAATATCGTAGAGAGAACAGAGTCTGTAAATTCAGACAAAAGAGATCACCATGAAACATTCTGAGAAATTTCAGATTGGAGAAGGACTTTGATCTTCTAGTTTGGATTGTAGACTGAGAAATGGATAAGATACTCCCAGGCTAGAGGAAGGGTAAATACAGGCTAAGAGGTGAGGACATTTTTAGCAAGTCTGATCTGAGGACACTGAAAAGACAGGAGAGTTTCCTCCAGAGAGTAATTAAAACAAGAACAGCAACAAAAATCCAGATAGCCTAGAGACCACGAGCACATAAACACATATAATATGTTCTGCATTTCCTTACAAAATCCAGGGATGAGAAAACAGAAAATTAAGATTTTGGCCCTCTTTGAGTTGTCACTTAAAATTTGTTAAGAAAATTAGTGACAATATGGTAGTAGCATACTGGCACGTCAAAAACTCAAGTTCGATATTGACTAGTTAAAAGGAAGATATTAACATTATTAGAAATTAGTTCCATGGAAGTTTGCTTAAAAAAAAGTAAAATAAAGTATAAAACATAGGTATATCCTGAGAAAGAGAGAGCCAGGTTGTATGGCTGTGGCCTCTTATGACCTTGTCTCAGAAATCCCTCAGGGTGATTTTTGCCACAGTCTTTTGACGAAGGCAGTTACAAAGATCTGTCTAGTTTGCAGGTGATGAGAAAATAAGGCAGCACTCTCTTCCAATACTGGCACAGCCCATAGTATGTGTCAAATCAGGTAAAATACGTTGTTGGTAATGCTTCTTCATTTCATATGAGAAAAGAAAAGCCAGAATAATCTGAGTTGTTGCTAAGTCTAGATTGTTTTATCTGCCAGCCAGGAAGAACCTTGAAAGCAAAGTCTATATTCTATTAATCTTTGTAACCTCGGTGCTTAGCACAGAGCATGAATTTGTGGAGAAAGTAGTAGTTCCACTTGGACAATGATTGGTTTGTAGTTTCTTACTTAACCCAGGCCAAAGATACTCCAAATTGTCTTTCTTATTTCAAATGGTAGGTTTAGCCACATGATATATGGACAACTCCACTGATCAGATTCTCCTCTTAAGCTGCCAGTTATGTGTGCCATTCTCTAGTACCCTTTGGTTGGTAGTTTCATTGTGTGTATGTGTGTGTGTGTGTGTGTGTGTGTATTTAATTAAGCTTGACACTTTGCATGCACAGAGAGCTGCTAGAGCTTTCCCTGATATTTTGCAAAAAAGGACTCTTTTTTAGATTGAAGTCAATGTGAAAAACTCTCCTAATTTAAACTCTTAGTTTCTGTGACTCTATCTGTCTTCCAAAAGCAGCTGAGAGTTCAGTTTTTTATAATATATATTTCTATTGTAGGCTGTTCTTTAATTGGACATTATTTCATATTTATATCCCAATCTTGGGTGTTCTGCTTAGAGCAGCCTATGTCCAGAGGTTCTCATCAGTGTTCAATTTTGCAGCCTTTGTATAATTGTTGCAAATATTGACAACATATCAGAATGGGAAAGGGAGAGTGCAAACAAAAGTACTGCAGATGATGCTGTTAAACCTTCCACACAATCCCTACACCTTCACCTCAGAATCACCACTAATAGAATATTACTGCCTCATTTCATTTTTAATCATAGCAATGATTCAACACATAATGCTGGTACTGAGCTGTGGTGGTGTTGTCTCTCATCCATACAAGTTCGACCAGGCAATGCTGGTATATATAGTTACATACCTTCGAGCGTTTGTCCTGAGAAAAATGAAGACCGGCTACAGAAAACAAGCACAACAGACCGAAAAACATACCTTTTCTCTATCCTGACTCACATGTAAGGTGATTTTCTTGGAAGAATTTTCTACCACAAATGTTAGCATTCTGATGCTTAATCAACAAGGCTCACTTAAATGCCACTTTTCTTAGGAAGTCTTTCCTAAAATGATATAACACGCCCTTCATTGTTGTAGTTGTTTATTTACACTTTAAATTCTTAAAGTACTCATTCAACAAATGTTTATTAAGGACCTAATATATGAAGGCATGGTGTTAACGAACGTGTGTATAAAATCAGTGAGTGATGAAACCAGCCACTGTTCCTGTCTTACGAACTGGATTAATGATTTGAGGGAAACAGATAGAGGGAAACAGTCCTGTGATGATAAAAATGTGTGTGTATGCAGTGATGCAGCGAGGAGGGAAGAGGTTTACAAAAAGTACCCCCAAAACACTTAAAAAGAATACAGAGAAGGTCATGCCATCTTTCCCAGGCTGGTCTTGTACTCCTGGGCTCAAGTGATCCTCCTGCCTTGGCCTCCCAAAGTGCTGAGAATACACACATGAGCCACCACACCCAGCCCAGAAACACTCTTAAAGTGTCATTTAAGCTGACATCTGAGTAGTTAATCATGTCGAGGACATGATCAACGTTAGGGGTCGGGGCAGACATAGACAAGGCTGAAGGAAAACACCTGCTAAAGCTCCAGGCCATCAAGAGCTTGGTATGCTCAAGAGACTGAAGGCTTGAGTGTTTGGAAAGGTAGCAAGCAAGGTTGAGTTAGAGGCCAGATATGGCACAGTACTTAGTTGTAACACAAAAATGCCGTAAAATGTCATTGCAAAATGTTAAGTAAGAGATTTTATACAATTTCATAATGTAGATCTTTTCACATTTGAAGGCTGCATAGTTGTTGGAAGAGTATTTGCTTTAATTTCCTTTTTAAGGCAATAAGGCTACTGTTGTTCTAGCTTGGGTGTGGTCATTACTTAGTAGTAGTGTCTCTTCCTTGATGCCTAATGGAAAGCAGATGTCAATTAAGTAATTGTTGAATTGAACTGAACTGAACTGACTAATTTAACTACTTACGTACTTTCCTTAGACCTAACAATTGTTTGATTATATTTTAATTTCCTACTGCAATATAACAAATCCCTCCAAAACTTAGTGGCTAAGTCAATAATAATCAATTTTTATCTGTCACAGTTTCTGTGGTTCAGGATTTTGGGAGCTGCTTCGTTGTGAAGTTCTGGCTTGGCCTCTCTTGTGAGGGTGTAGTTGACTGGGGTTGCAGTTATCTGAAGGCTTGGCTGAGGCTGCAGCATCCACTTTCAAGATAATTCTCACTCACATTGCTAGAAAGCTGGAAGTTGGTGCTGGATGTTAGCAGGAAGTTTCAATTCCTCTTCATGCAGCCCCTCCAGAGGGCTGCTTGAGTGTTTCTATGGCATGTTGGCCGGCTTCCCAGAGAATAATTCAAGAGACCAAGGTGGAAGCTGCTATACCTTTTATGATTGAGTCCTGATTCAATATGAAATAGACTAGCTACCACAGGTGCATAGATGGCAGGAAGCAAGTCTTATTGGGGGCCATCTTGGATGTTGACTATTACAGGTTGTAAGCACTTGATACTAAATCTGTTGACCATATGTTGCTTAGGAATATTGACACTTTGTTCTCTTTTTGCCATTTATGGTACTCTTCACCTGGAATTCATGTGATATTAGTTTCTCCATTGCAAAGATAGTCTGAAAATTCTACTTCAGGTGTTGTAGACTGTGCACAAGTCTACCTCTGCCCGCTGAATGCAATTCAGCCTCTCTTCCACACTCAGCCTCACTTCCTTTTTGCCACCATGAGAAGCAGATGGTAAGCCTCTCAGGGGGTACCGGTGGCTTTTAAAGCATATTTATAAGATTACATGAGACAGCATGTCTTTATTTTGCTATTTAGCTGCAGACTAATATATTTCCCTATTTGGAAAACAGTTTTGTCAAGATACCGGAACAAGGGAGAGAAAATTAGAATTTCTAGGATCAATTTCCTAACTGAATTATGGGTTGCAGTGTACCTTTCAGCAAGGCACCTAAGGTGCTTGCCTGTAAAACAGGGATATGAAGAATAAATCCCTACTTCAAGGGACTGCATCATAGTTGAATTCATATTAATGCAATAGGCTTTGAAATATCTCACAAAAAAAGTACTATGGAAATGCAAATTATTATGTCGTAAAGCTCTTTGGGATACAAGGTGCTGTGTGCCTGGAAAATACTAAATCACCTTGTTTTATCTGCTTCAGTATTGTTGCCTTTAAATTTCAAAAAGTACTTCATTTTCTTGAATTGTGACAAGACAAAGGGCAAGCTCAAATGCATTTTGTAAATTATGCATTGTTTGGGTAGCTACCTTTCATATAACCTTAAAAAGGGCTCTATCATTCTCATATGGAACTCATCGCTATAATGAAATAACACCATTTGAAGATGATAATTGTCTTTTATTCCTATGTTATCAGTTAAAGGTGCATCACATTAATACCCCATTTTTATTTTTATTATTTTTTAACTGCTGAAAGTATAATTCTAATAATTATGAAAGTGTGGGCTCATGCCTGTAATCCCAGCACTTTGGGAGGCTGAGGTGGGTGGAATACCTAAGGTCAGGAGTTTGAGACCAGCCTGGCCAACATAGTAAAACCCTGTCTCTACTAAAAATACGAAAAATTAGCTGGGCATGGTGGCAGGCACCTGTAATCCCAGCTACTTGGGAGGCTGAGGCAGGAGGATCTCTTGAACCCGGGAGGCAGAGGTTGCAGTGAGCTGAGATCATATCATTGCACTCCAGCCTGGGCAACAACAGCGAAACTCTGTCTCCAAAAAAAAAAAAAAAAAAACAAAAACCAAAAACGTGTGGAGGAGAGCAAAGGGGAGAAAGCTATAATCCCACAGCATGCACTGGAGTATAAAACACAGGTATGTTATATATTTTACGTATATATAAAATATATACACAAGTATTATAAATATATATTTGCAGATATACACACACACACACACACACACATATATATATATATAAAATGCTTGTTTTGTGAATAAAAATTCTCTGAAAGGGAATTTGGATTAAAGACTTTATTCTTGTGAAACAGTTTGCAAATTGAGGAGATGCAGTGTCTAGTGTAAAATGAAGGTGAATTACAGAGAACCAAGAGAAGGTTTGGGTTTTACAGCAAAAGTTTTTGCCCAGGTTCCCAATCACATCTGTTTTTGCAAATGAAGGATTCAAACTTGCTTAGTTCTGATCAGTGCAGCTGGGCCCTGTTGGCTGGGGCAGGTGAGCTCTGATTGATTGGTTTCCAAGCCTAAAACCAGAAGTCTCTGTCAGATGTTTCTTTCAAAGGGCCATTGTGGGCAGGGATTTACCACCCACTGACAACAGTAACTGGTTTGGTTGATTGTACAAAGGGAGGTCCTGTGATACTTTTGCAACATCTTTATGAGAACACAGGGTATGTGACCACTCCCTCACCCAGCCATGGCTGCCTGCTTCTGTCTTAACACACCTCAGTTAGCTACGAGAAGTCCATTTTTTTTCTGTCAGCTGAGTGCATACTTGAACATTTTGCATTTAGTGTTTAGTACATAAAATTCAAATCTGGGACCATTATATTCAGGTCCTGGAAAAATTATTCTGAGGCTATTTTGTCTTAGACTGGAGAGACAGATAGATATTGGATATCATAAAAGTTTTATAAATGACTCAATTATAGAAGATGTTGACAGTATGTTGTGACATGCACATATGATCAGTCGACTGTTAGTGAAATTAAGACTTGGATTTTATTTTAGAGTTCTCTCCCTTCCCCAACACCATTTCTTATTTCTCATCAGTATGACTGCCACTCCCTACCTTCATGCATTCCTCTGTCTCATGTTTTCTCTATCAAAATCGTTTCTTGAGAATGAACCTGAAATTCCTTCTCATGAAAAGCAAAAGTGACAGAAAACAGTTTAAAATATGACCTCAACCTAAAAAATTTGAAATTTAAACAAGAATGAAGGTCCTGTGGTAAAAGTTGACAAATGACCCTGATGTGTCTCTGGCAAGGAGACTTTTCATTCATAACAAGTATGATGGACTCTGCCAACAACAGATCTAATACCAAATTGGAATCTCATGGGAAGAGTGAGAAATGGCAAGAAGGTGGCAAATCAGAGTAAAATAAGGGCAGGAGTCAGAGGTGTTGCATCTTTAGTAAATCTTCTCATCCTCCAATTTTTTGTCCCTCCTAATAGTTAAACATGGCAAATGACTACTTCTTTTTATCAAGGAGAAACATTTTAAAAATTGCTAATAAAAATGTGACTTTCATTTATCAATTAGCTTTTGGTGTATAGCAAATCACTCCAAGACCTAAAATTTAAAACATTCATTGTTTTTCGTGGGGTTTTGGATGTAGTTTCCTGAGAGCCCAGCTGTAGTGGCTGTTATCTCTTTTCTGGATCTGGCCACCCAGCAAGTCTTCCAGGCTCCTAGCTGGTACTGGGCATTGTCTGTGTAGAGCCCTGTGATGTGAACCACCTGTGGATCTCTCAGCCATGGATATCAGCACAGTATTTGAGGTGTCTCCTGGGTCCTGCAGGAGCAATCTGCTTCCTTCAGGGGGTCTCTGGGTCCTCTCAGGTTTCCTGATTTATTCCTGCAGTCATTCTGGAGCAGTAATTCACGACGTGAGCCTGCGCTCACTGCTCTGTCCGTCTGAGTCAGAGCTACAATGTAGTCCTGCATCCCGTCCACCATGATGACTGTGAGTCACTTTCCCCAATGTTTTCATGACAGCTCTGAGACTCCTCTCACTAAAACTAGGTACTGTCACGATCACAAGGCTCCACAATAGGCCATTTGCAAGCTGAGGAGCAAGGAGAGCCAGTCCGAGTCCCAAAACTGGGGAACTTGGAGTCTGGTGTACAAGGGCAGGAAGCATCCAGCAAGGGAGAAATGTGTAGGCTGGGAGGCTAGGCCAGTCTTTTCATGGGGTTTTGGATTGACTAGGTGTTTCTTCTGGGCTGAACCAAACTACCTGAAGTTGGATGACTTAGAATTGCCTCATGAACATGTCTGGTTGTGGGCAGTAGTTGGTCTAGGTCTTGTTCACCTGTCTAGCAGTTGGCTTGGTATTTTCTGAGGCAGGGCCATGTATCTTTCAGAATTCACCGGTCTAGCCCAGGTTCGTTCTCATGGAGGTAGGAAGGTTCCCAGCAACTAGAGCAAGCCTCAAATTCACAAACCTTTGCTTCTAACATATTTGCTCCTATTTCAAAGTAAGTCAATGACGAGGCCCAGACCCAAGGGTTTGAATGGGCTTCATGTTTTGATGGGTGGAGTTTCAAAATAGTTTTGGTCAATGTAGTTACAGTTTGTCATAGATTGTAAATTTTATCATCATGTCTTCAGTCTTTCCTTACTTATTGGTCACCCAATATTAGAAATATATTCCTTCTTTGTTTCTGCTTTCTTTCTCCTACTCAATAAAAATATTCTCTCAAGAAAAGTATAATCATTATTTTTTCTACAAGGAGTGGGTAATCATTCTCTTCCCAAGAAGCCTATTATTTTAACATGGAAAAGGTTTGTTGAGCCTAATATTATCATAATAGGAACAGAATCACAGATTTCTACAGACTGATTTGGAGTGAAAGGTTTCAGAGTAAAGATAGGAATTTCTTTGATCCCGAAATATTGTCATATATGTTCCCAGTGGTACCAAGCAGTCTTTTTTTTTTTTTTTTTAAGTCATTGTTCATCTAGGAAAGCTGGGCTTTTCTTTAAAAGTAGTGCTGACCAAGAAAGATACAATCTACTGGAAATCCAACCACCAAAATATCTATGTGTCCTTCTCCTGTATCTTTTTGTCTTTTGAATTTATGCTTTTCCTGATATTAAGTTACATTCCTACAATATAAATATGTTGTTCCATCTATCTACCCATCTCAGCAAAGTTCTTTCTCATAGTGTCTCCATGGGACTGAGGAGCCATCCATTGTTTTGTTTTGTTTGTTTTCCAGGTCCTTACTATATGATAAGAATAGATATACTAAGTAATTGAAAATACCTGCACAAATGTTACCTAAACTATGGCCTTTAAAGGTAAGAAGCCTCTAAAAATGCCCCACCTCAAGGTCATAAACCAAAAGATATATGGTATCTCCAGAAGAATGGCAAATTACCATTTTCACCAGTCTTGATAGAAGCAAAAGTCTTCTTGATTACTACATTCCTATTTAACTTACACATTTTAGTCAGCACAAAACTTGGTTCACAGAAAATGACTTAGATTCTTTTAGACAAAACCAGGTCATGCTTTAATTCACAGCTGTAAAATTCAAATGTGGTATCTTTACTGAAAAAAAATAGGGACTTTTGCACCAAGTATACAGTTACTAATACTTACCTAGAAAATGCTTTTCTCTACATCCCTAGTATTAAAGATAACCAGAAATTGTCTTCACCTGGCAGAACAGCAATATACCTCCATTCTCTTGTCTTACGTGAGCTGTTCTACTTCTCATTATATAATCTGGAGGAAATTTGATAATCTTCATAGCATACAGACGTGGTTCACTATATTCATGATACAAAGGTCATTGGACTTGGTTGGCAAGAAGTAGCAAGCACTCTAGGTGACTTATTAAATTTTGTGATTGCAAGAGGGTAAACAGTAAACTGAGAAATTTCAGAGGCCTGTTGTTTCACTGATACATTTTCTAAGGACTAGTAGTCTAGAACATGTCAGTATATTACCTCACTTGCAGAAACAAGTGTTGTATCTGCACCTTACACCGCAAAGAAAGAAACAAATGTGTGTTGGTTTGACCCATATGTTGCCTAACCTTCAAGACTGCCAGTTTTGAAAGGAGTTCAGAACAAAAAGCATAATTCTGTAACAAATACAGACATTGATATAAGATTCTCTGCCACTTGGGGCTTGTAACTCAGCAGAATCCCTGGTAAAGGAAATGTCTGTGCAGATAGAGATGCTATATCGAGCCTCTGGCAAATACTCACAGGAGAAAAAACAGTGTAGGTGCCTATGGTTATGGAGAAGGGCAATGCTCTTCATTGCCAACAAATACTTCCCATTTTGAAAGCAATGTTTGACTTGCTATTAGGCCCAGGTAGACATTGACAACTCATCGTAGAATAACTAGAGGTTACATGACTAACCTAGTTGTGTCACTAACCACCAAAACCAAGAAAAAAATGGAAATGCTATAGTAAACCAAGCCTAGAGAGATCTGGAAGAGGAATACAAACAGCATGAGCAGGTGGCTCAGATTCTCATGGGGCCTGCTCTTATTTCTAAACCACCTTGCCATTAATGCACACATATTTGCCACAGATATAGATGTATGGAGCCTCAGGCAAATGCTTATAGTAGAGTATCAAGAGTTCCAAGTAAAATAGAGAAACATTGCAGCAGTTTATTTTAATTTATTCCCCGGCCATCCTCCTTAGTGCTATTTTTATATACATAATATTATCTATCTATCTATCTATCTATCTATCTATCTATCTATCTATCTATCTATCCATCATATATAATGTATTACATGTTTATATCTGTATATAATAAAAAACAACTTAAGGGTTATGATTTTTATTTTAAGTGGTCACATGCTTTTTAAATTATTATAAAAGAAAGCAAATATATATGCACTCAGATGCATATATATTAATACATACATACATAGTCATTTGTATACCAATTTGATGCTCTTCTTCATTTTTCCTTGAGATCTGAATTATATTTGAGTGCCATTTGTCTTTAGCCTTAATACCTCCTTTGTTATGCCTGGTTTATGTAAAATGTTATTATTTTGTCTTCATTTTTAATGGATAGTTTTGCTGGATATAGAATTTTTTTGTTATGCGTTTTTATTTTTATTTTTTCTTTCAGCACCTGAATATGTTTTTCTGGTTTCCTCTGGCCTTCCTGGTTTCTAATGATAAAGATAACAAATCAGGCATTTGTTATAATCATTGTTACCCTGTAGGTGACATGACGTTTACATCTGGCTGCTTTCAAGACTTTCAAGATTGCCTTTTATCTTTGTCTTTCAGCTGTTTTAATATCCTATGCCTAGGAGTAGTTTTCTTTTTGTTTATGCTGCTTGGAGTTTTTTGAGATTCTTGAATCAAGTTTTAACTCAGTTTCCCACAAGATTTGGCAACTTATTTATTTATTTATTTATTTATTTATTTATTTTTTAATGAGATGGAGTTTCACTCTTGTCGACCAGGCTGAAGTGCAGTGGCACAATCTTGGCTCACTGCAACCTCTGCTTCCTGGCTTCGAGTAATTCTACCTCAGCCTCCCAAGCAGCTGGGATTACAGGCATGCACCAGCACCCCTGGCTAATTTTTGTATTTTTAGTAGAGACGGGGTTTCACCACACTGGCCAGGCTGGTCTTGAACTCCTAGCCTCAGGTGATCTGCCCACCTCGGCCTCCCAAAGTGCTGGGATTACAGGTGTGAGCCACCACACCTGGCCAACTTGTCAACTTTTTATCATTACATTTTCAAGTAGTTTTTCTTACTGTTTCTCTCCTCTCTTTCTGGAACTCAAATTACATGTTTGTTAGGGCATTTATTTTCCACAGATCAGGTTGCCTGATATTGTCCTATGAATCTTGAAGTCTTCTCATCTTTTTTTAAAAATGTTTTTTTAAACTTTTTATAAAAACGTTTTTAAACAAAGTTTTTTAAAAGAGTAGAAAGACTTTTCTATGCTTTGAATTGGGTTATTTCTCTTTGTTTATATTAAAATTTTCTAAGTCTTTTTTTCTGTCATTTCTAATCTGTGTTTGTGCTAATCTAATACATTTTTAATTTCAGCCATTTCACTTTTAACTAGCTAATTTCCATTTTTGATATTTGGCATTTGCCTGTTGGGATTCCCTATTTGTTAATTCGTTGGCACTATGTTTTCCTTTAATTTTTTCATCATATCTTAAATAACCACTTTGAAATTATTATCTCCTGAAGTCCACATCTAGGCTCGCTGGAATTCAAATTATTTTAACTTTTCTATTTCCTAAAAGTTACGTTTTCCTGTTTTGTTTTTTAATGTCTGGTAAATTTTTGTTTGAAAACTAGATATCATAAGTAATATGTTCTGAATTCTGCTGTGTTCTTTGAGAATTATTGTTTATTTAGTTCTACTAGGCAATTAACCTGCCTGGATTCATAGTGCAAATGTGTTTTTCTTCACTGTGTACAACAGCTCCTATTTCTGTGCTGCCAGTGGCTTCCAGTTGAAACCTTTTTTTCCTGTCCCTTAGTGGTCTCCTCTGTGTTTGCATAATTTGATCATCAGCCAAAGATTTAGGCATAGATTATTTTCAGATTAAAGAGCTCAGCTTTTCTATGATTTTCTTGCTTCTAGGGGTTTGCTCCTTATTTCCAGCTGCTATATCAGCCTTCTCCTCTATTCTCTGACACCTCAGGCCAATACGCTCTAGCTTTATGCTAACCAAAGTATATATGACTGTAGAATGCTCCCTTATAAAGGCAGAAAATTCATAGAATTTGCATAAGAGTGGCTGGAACTTTCAAGGGCAGACTTCTTTTTGATCTTTGACTGTTTTTGTCCAAAACCCTTGGGAGTCTTTGTTCCTAGGTATTTTATTTGTCAGCTATTGGTTTGAGTACATTTTTATAGATTTCATAATTGTAATCCATACAGCCTGTCTGGTGTAATTGAGAGGGTTTGCACAACTATGCTGCTCCAGCACCTTTACCAAGAGTTCTTCATTTCCTTGTAAATTTGCTTCAATTTCATGATCATGCTACTAAAGGAGTAATATTTAGTAATATGGAGGTTTCCAGGACCCTGTTAGAACACGATAGTAATTATTCTCATTGCTCATTCTTCTGTCATACTAATTGTTAAACCTTGTTAATATCCCTCCTAGTTGCATAAACACCAAAACATTTGGATGTTACTACTTACAGAATGAGAATAAATAGAAGTGATAAGACGTACGAGGACTGAGCCCTGTAATAGAAGTCCAGGAGATGAGAAGAGCCCAAAAATAAATATGAACTCCTTCATCCCAAATATTACTATTATTTTGAAACATGTCTGATCAAATTACTTTTCTACTTAAAATTTACCTTTACCTTCTTAGGTTTTATAAGACAAAGTCCAAACTCCCTATTATGTCACGTAAAGTATATACTGCACTTGTTTTATGTCTTTATCTACCAACCAGATTCAATACACAGGGTCTGATGTATGGTGGGCCATTAGTAAATTCCTGTTCAGAGTTACCTATAAGACTTGAATGGATTAATGCTATGTTGGTTATATAAACTTTTAAAGGAATATTACTTGTCTTCAAAACTAGATTAGAATGTGATGGTTAATTTTATGCATCAAGTTGATTTGGACACATGGGGTGCATAGATATTTGTTCAAACATTCTGGGTGTGTCTATATGACTGTTTTGGATATTTAAATAGTTGATGAGGTGGCCCTTTGTAATGTAGATAGGCCATATCCAACCTATTGAATATATTAAAAAGGCTGGCCCTCCCCTGATTAAGAGAGAATTCCTCCTGCCTAACTGCTTTAAACTGGGGCACTGGCTTGTTTCCTGCCTTAGGACCCCAACTGAAATATCAGTGCTTTCTGGGTCTTGAGTCTGCAAGCCTGTGGACAGAAACCACCTCATTAGCTCTCCTGATTCTCACAGTTTTAGAGTCAGAGTGGAACTCCCATGGGCCCTCCTGGGTCTGCGGCTTACTGAATCACCCTGCAGATCTTGGGACTTTTCTGTCTCCATAATCATGTGAGCTGATTCCTTATAAGAAACCTCTTTATATATTGTCACCTGAAGAATGATGAGGTTCATAAATTTGGAAAAGAGAACTTTATTTCTCATAAAGGGTTGTGTTACAGTAGGTAGTCAGGCAGATATGAGCAGAGCAGGAGAGCCCCCTCCGCCCCCTCCCACCACCAGGAACATCAGTTAACCCTCAGGTGATGATCAGGCAGTTGTTAACTGTCTCTCTAAAATAATTGGCCACAGCCAGCACCCGGGAAAGATAATCTCCCAATACATAGAAATACACAAAACTGATGATCAGCAGCTCCCCGCTAAGATCTCAGAAATCGGGTGAATGGGCTAAAGCATAAGCACTAAGGCAAAATGCTGGAGATTAACGGGTATATGACCTTCTAGGAACATATGACTGGTAAGGAAAGAACGCCTCACGTGAGCTTGAGTACAACTCTAGTAAACATACCGTGCATGTGGCCCTTCCAAGAGAAGAATCTCTTGCCACAAGAAGACAGCCCACTCCAAGGGAAGAATCAGGGGAGAAGAGACACAGACCCCAGAAGAATGCCAATTTATAAAACCCCAAGTCAAAGGTCAAACTGGCCACTTGATCTTTTAAGTTGCCCACTTGGCCCTTTTCCAAGTATACTTTACTTCTCTTTATTCCTGCTCTAAAGCTTTTTAATAAGCTTTCACTCTTGCTCTAAAACTTGCCTCGGTGTCTCACTCTGCCTTATGCCCCTTGGTCAAATTCTTCTAAGGAGGCAAGAACTGAGGTTGCTGCAGACTCATACAGATTCGCAGCCGGTAACTGTTAAAGCCTGCAGGGTGGCCATTCTGGCAGGCTGGGAAGTGACGTTTCTGGTCAGAAGCCAGAAACAGATACTTACAGGTGGGAAGAATAAGACGGGAATTTCTGCTGAACAGAGTAGCCAAATATACATATTCAATAAGCTATAGGAGGAGTCATGAATATTTTTGAAAACAGAAACAGGCACAAGCACATTTGAGTGTCATGCGCCCCCATGGGATTCATGCTCATAAAATGGCTGTCAGCAAGATCCAACAGTGGAGTTATTTGGTTCTCTGATGTCAAAAGATGAAGCATAGGATGCAAAAAGTCTCTATGGGCATCCTCCGTAGACTGGCCAGAACCACTTTGTGGTGGGTGGTCTCTTACCAGGAAGGAGTACTGGTTGGTAGTTTTATCAAAACTGCAAAAGGGAGGGGCAGTGTCAGGCAGTTGGTAGGCGTCAGGGGTGGAGGGAGTTTTTCCAAAGGGCTAGATTCTGTTTAACCCTTAGGAAAAAAAAGTAATGGCAGTTAGTGAGGGAGGGGTACAACAAGGCGCGTCTTACCTCCCATTCCATCATGGCCGGGAACTGAGTTTTCAAAGTTTCCCTGGGGTCTTAGCTAAGAAGGAATCTGTGCAGTCAGTTGAGAAGCACAGGATTTCATTTTTATTTCTCAATATATGTAATATGTGATACTACATGTGATGTATATATACATCATACATATCATATACATCATATATATGTATATGGTATATAGCTATATCTTATTGGTCATACTCATCATATATATGTATACACACATATGATGTGGATAAATATACACACACACTTAAATATATATCTATATATAGATGTATGATGTATATAGGATATATATACACATACACACATCCTGTTGGTTCTTTTTCTCTGGAGAACTGACTAATACATACAGTGATTAACATATATTAAGCAAGTACTTTCTTACTGAAGCAATAAACCGTAACGAAAAACAAAGGAGTTATCAATTTAGATTCTTCTTTTCTATATAACTACAAATACCTGGTTTAAGTGATTCATTCATTGATCTGTCATTGCTCTAACCCTAATTTTTAAAATTTCCCCATTACTGAATTAATATTGAGGCCCTAGAACATTAATGGTAATAATAGATATAGCTTATTTGATATTCTTTTGTAATTTAAAAAGAGCTCTAATATGTACCAGGGCTCATTATAAATGCCTTCTCCATTAATTCACTTAGTCCTCACAATTGTAGAATTATTAATATTATCCTTGAAAGAAACAAATGTAATTCATTAAGCATCTCCTTTATGACAGAGGCCATGCTGAGTGTTTTATATAAATTTTTACATTAAAATTTCACTGTAAACCCAGAACTTACAGATGCAGCACTGATAGTCAGTGACTTTAATAATCTGTTCATCTTCAAAAAATGTGGAAGATGTCAGTTTGAAACGTAAGTCTGTATTTCCAAGGCTCTTTCCTCTACAATGTTTTCTCTGGACTAAAGCTACGATTTGACCCTAGGTAGAAGTAAGCATTTTCTTTTTACCTAAATATGCACAATTGAACTTAGTTTTGGGGGACCGTGACAATTTTTTTAGGCTTATCTCAATGTTCATAAAAAAAAAAATTGGAATTTTATATAAGGTTCTGCAAACTTAAAAGTACTCAGAGAGTGCTTATCAGGAAGGATTGATTAACTAAGAAACTGGAACATGTAGATCTCAGCCAGCAATGGTCTGAAACGGTTTAAAAAAGATGGAGTTCGAGCTACAAGCAAAGTAAATCTGAAGTGTGTGTAAAAAGAAATGAACATTCCTACAGGATATCTGCCACTTCATGAGCTTCTTTCATGGCTTTTCTGTCTCAGGACTACACTCTGTGTATACAAATTGCTTCTGAACCATTGCAGAAAGTCTTTCTTGACTCTAAGTTACTATCCTGAGTAACATATTGACATATCTATTTGATTATTTTGCCAATGTGGAATTCCATTCATTGTATTATTGTCCAATTCTCTAATAAATCTAGTGATGAATTTTTCCATTTAATTATGGTTCAAATATTAGTAGCGATAGAATCGTCTACTACCCTAGGAAAAGAGATGACTTCATACTAGGGTGAGTCCTTGTTAACAGAGCAGTCCTGCTGGGTTTAGCTCTGAGGCATTTTCATTGCTTGCTGCATGCTCAAAGGCCAGGTGACCTTTGCAGATAGGAAATATGCACTGTCCCTTAAGGACCATGCATTCAGTCTTGGCCATTTGGTTTCTATTTAAAAAAATATATTCCTCTTGGTAGGGTGTGCTGGCTCACACCTATAATCCCAGTACTTTGGGAGGCCAAGGCGGATGGATCACCTGAGGTCAGAAGTTGAAGACCAGCCTGGTCAACATGATAAAATCCCGTCTCTACTAAAAATACAAAAAAATTTAGATAGGCATGGTGGCGGGCCCCTGTTATCCCAGCTACTCGGGAGGCAGAGGCAGGAGAATAGCTTGAACCCAGGAGGTGGAGGCTGCAGTGAGCCAAGATCACACCATTGCATTCCAGCCTGGGCAACAAGAGTAAAACTCCGTCTAAAAAACCAAAAAAGAATATATTCTTCTCTCTGCGAGTCTGTGTTAGAAGGTTTAGCAGATGTTTCCATTGTGTCAGCTATGGTAGGTTTTCTCCCGTATATGTAGGCTTTTCAAACCAGGCTTAATGATCTAACCACTTATAATGTTTTATTAGAAAAGAATTTCTAAAAAGAGCTGCCAATTTATTACACTTTTAAACCTTATTGAAAGAATAAAGATTTTCCTTGAATTGTTTAAGAGAGATTTAATTGTGCAATAAGTAAAATTAAGCTGACATAGAATACAAAATACTGAAGAGGCTGTTTCCTAGAGGCGTTAAAACTCTGTATATGAGTATAATAATAATAGTTGGCATAATCCAATCTGCAGATCTCAAAACATTTTTACATTTCTTTCACTAATATTATCTCAATTTTGCTGAATTATCTTTTGCTAGTTGTTTTTGATGCCATTTGAAGCAGATTTAAGTGACTTCATATCATTATTAAAACATAAGATAATCAAATTTGGCATAGTTCCTGGAGATCTTAAAGAGGTACTCATATTCCTATAAACATAAACTAGAAGATGCTCTTCTCTCTTTTCTGGGGACAAAAGCAGAGAAGTTTTGATAAACATTCTGAAAATAATAATCATCATTATGATTTCTCACTAATAACCATATTATTTGATACAGGTGAAAATAATTCTTGGTTTTCACTTATTTTCCTGGCATCTACACAAACTTTACATATTTATATGATGCATGATCATGGCTGGGGATGTTTTCAAAACTATTCTTGGGGAGAGAAATACCAACGTAACTTTAGCATCATAATATATGATGTACGTTTAAGACTATGTTTAAATTATCCCTAAATAATATAAAACCTTATGCCAATTTATATTTGTGTCATTTATTTTAGACAAAATAAATTACTCACAAGGTTGGGGTTGGATTTTGGTCTCTCATTTAAACACCTGTTAGTATATGTACTTACGATCAGAATTACAGAACAGTTTGTGGAGAAGAGAGAGTTTTGAAGACATTGTTAAAGTTTGTTAAGCCACCTCTTTCATATCTACAGCTCTTTGTAGTGACCGTAGCTAAATTTCAAGATGATGTGAAAATATTGTTTATGAATATGTATAGTTGTATGAAAATTAGAAAGCGGAGTTGTATGTATTAGTCAAAACCATTGACATACGTAACATATATTCATATCAATAAACTAGATAAGATGACAAAAAAGGGTAGTAGCTAAAAATATTTTGTTTTGTTTTTTTCTCTTTTCAGAGACAGGTTCTTGCTCCGTCACCTGGGCTGGAGTGCAGTGGTGTGATCACAGCTCACTGCAGCCTTGAACTCCTGGGCTCAGGCAATCCTCCCACCTCAGCCTCCCAAGAAGCTGGAACTATAGGCATACGACCACACCTGGCGAAGTCTAAAAAAAAAAAAAAAAAAAAAATTGTAGAGACAGGTTCTTCCTTTGTTGCCCAGGCTGGTCTTAAACTCCTGGCCTCAAGTAATTCTTCCACCTCAGGCTCCCAAAGTGTTAAGGTGGGAGCCACCATACCCATCTGTAGCTAAAAATATTGAGTAAGTTGGGGTCAGGATATATATATGTATGTGTGTATGTATATATATATATATATATATATATATATATATATATACACACATACATATATATGTGTGTGTGTATATATATATATATATACACACATACATATATATATGTATGTGTGTATATATATATATATATAACAGGTAATAACTATAATGTTATAAGAATTAGGACCAGAGTACAGAAAAATATAGTTGGAACTGCCCCACAAGCACATGGGTGCCACCAGGACCCAACCTACACAAGAGTCTAGGAGCTAAGTTTGCTTCATTTTTCAGACTATAAATTGAGGGCACAAAAATCTCTACCAAGCCACCAAGATGGAGATGCTTTTGGACTATGTAGAGTTAGAAGTTCTATGAGGTGCACCACGATCTGCCCACTGTACCTATGAGCCTTGGACGTCTGTTGGGGACTTCGTGTATCAGCCTTGGCTTGTGGATGGGAAAGAAGAATGGAAAACAATGTTTCATTTTACTAAGACAAGGCCAAAGAATACAAGTTTTCCATGCTCTTTTCCTTCCCATCTTTTCATCACTCTTTAAAAAGTCGATTTCCAGTAAACAGATATGAGACATATCAATCAAGGTCCTGGTAGGAAACAGATGGCACATTTAAACCAGTAATTTGAAAAAGCTTACTAAAGGGACTATTTAAGCAGGTTTGGGGAGAATTTAGGAAAATTAATAAGGGGCTGGTAAGAGGCCTTAGAGGGAAAAAGACTAAAATTCAAGGGTTCTGGAAAGAGGTAGCTGTAAGCTCAAGAGCTCCATAAAGGATTCAGTTAGATGGCAGTCACCTGGCAGGGAGGAAGTCGACCTCACATTCTTCTCACTCTCTTATCTCCTGTCTGTACCTTCCATTGGCCAAAACCAACTTACAAAGACACAGAGAAGGGGTCCATTTATGTAAACTAAAAGCAATGGCCTTCCAGAGTCCAGAACAGAGTGTGAAGAAGGGAGAGGCATGAATCTGGAGGGACAAAATCATATTTAACATGTAAAGGTGGAACAAAACAACTTAAAAACAATCTTTACATCTGTCTTGGGGAAAGCCTGTCTAATGCAAATAATATG
The DNA here is from genome assembly GCF_000001405.40 of Homo sapiens. Lineage (NCBI taxonomy): Eukaryota > Metazoa > Chordata > Mammalia > Primates > Hominidae > Homo > Homo sapiens. The sequence goes on from NC_000014.9 coordinate 85,727,743, forward strand.
ATTCATAATTTTTGTTTATATTTTTGAAATTCTATTGTAGTAATTCTCAACATTCAAGATAGGGTCTATTTCTGATATGGGATCAGAAATAGAGACACACACAATGTAAAAGGAGTAAAAAAAGTTGGGGTAAAACAAGGAAAACTATAGATTTAGAAGCAGACTGCACAGGTCTGTATCAGCGGAGTTGCTACCCTAAAGTAGAATTTAATGGAATCTGGCCTAGGCTTAAAGGTTGACCTTTGTCCCATCTTGCCAGTTACTTCCCCTCTCATGACTCTATGTAATAATTTGTTGAATAGTATCTGAAATTATAGCACAGGACCAGTTTATTTGCATTTTTTTCTCTCCAGTGTTGGTGTAGATCCTAGTGGTGTCTTTGAACTTAGTCCCATCTTTCACTGCCTCTCTGGTTGTGTAACTTAGCAAAGACTTCTGGTATGAGCTGTATAGAGGAGTGGGTTTATTACAGGTGGCAGAGTGAGCCCTGCTGTATTTGTTCTCTCTTACTGGAAAGATTTTTTAATCCACCTACATCCTGTAAGTTGCTCTGATACTTGCAGGGTGGGGCAGATATGCAAACAATTGCACAGACTTCTAATAAGAACTGTAGGAGAGATGGGTGAGTTGAGTACCTAGCATAAATAGAACAATTTGTGAAAAAGCAATTTTCAGGACACTATGTAGCCTATATGAAATGTAAAGAACATATACCCTTTCAAAGAATACTGTCAATCTTCAAAAAATAAATTCAATTTAACAGTATGTGTAGACGTGATCTGTAAATATACACTCAGCACATTGTTAGGTATCATATAGAAAAAAATGAATATAATATTGTGCATCAAGCATCTCTTCAGCTGGTTAAGAAGACATGAAAATCTGTTAAGTGATATAGTACATGCTGCACTGAATTGTTGTTTAAGTGTCCAGCGAGTGGTGCTGGCATTCACTGCTGAAAGAGAACTGTACATAACAAGAAAGCCTAGACAAGATGAAGGTCAGACCATAGCTTAGAAATGGGACAGTAAAGATTATAAGAAAAGATGGTATTCCAAAGGAAGTGTAAGTATTTTCCTTTACCACTCTGAAACTAGAGAGATACGGAATTGTAACAGCAGCAGAGTTGACAAGATTAACAAGATTCCTGACCTCCAAAATCTTCCCTATCTATAATTCTCATGGATTTCCAGCTGTCTCTGCAAAAGATAAGTACATGAATTCTTTTGCAGTGTGGCCCTATTTATCTGGTGTGTGTCATAACTTATAGTGTCTAAGAAATCTGAAACTATTATCATTTGGGGTTCACAGTAGGTCTAGGATGTTCGCAATAAAATTGTTTGTATATTTGTATGTATATATACACTACACATAACTCTAAATATGATATATTTATGATACTATCAGTGTTCAGAGAGTGTGGTATTATGAAAAGTGTACTGACATGTAAACACTGCGTAGGTTTTAAAAGCTTAGTAAACTTTATCTAATCATTCTAAAATATTTTAGTAGAAACTTTCAATTTTCGTTTTATTAATTCCATTCATATTCAGTTCTCATAAAAAATAGTATGTCTTTTATGCTTGGACTTATCACAGTTTTTCTCCTCATGCTTGGTCATTTAATTCAATGTCAGAATTGCTTAGTTTGGCAAGATCTTTTAGCATCCAGGAAGTTAAAATCATGCATAGAAAATTACATTCTGCTTCATTATGGGAGTAGGTCTTATTTTTATATGGTGTCTATATCATAATATGTAGTAAAATATAGTCTTCCTTTTTGAACATACGTGCAGATAAATTTTTATGCCCTTTGGGGCCTCTGAGGGAAAAATGGTGCCCCCAAAGTCAGAAGTCAGATTCCAGATGCTTATTATTGGTATTCATTGCCCTGACCCTTTATCCTTTATCCTGAATTATTATTATTATTATTATTATTATTATTATTTTGAGACAGAGTTTCGCTCTTGTTGCCCAGGCTGGAGTGCAATGGCGCGATCTCAACTCACGGCAAACTCCACCTCCCAGGTTCAAGCGATTCTCTGCCTTAGCCTCCTGAGTAGCTGGGATTACAGGCACGTGCCACCATGCCCAGCTAATTTTATATTTTTAGTAGAGACAGGGTTTCTCCATGTTGGTCAGGCTGGTCTCAAACTCCCGACCTCAGGTGATCCACCCACCTCGGCCTCCCAAAGTGCTGGGATTAGAGGCGTGAGCCACCACGGCCCGCCTATCCTGAATTATTTAAGGGATTTCCCATCCTCTCCATCTCCCACAATCCATTGTTTTATTTTTATTTTTATTTATTTTTGAGACAGGGTCTCACTCTGTTGCCCAGGCTGGAATGCAGTGGTGTGATCTAGGCTCACTGCAACCACACTGCTTCCCAGGCTCAAGCAATCCTCTTGCCTTAGCCTCCTGAGTAACTAGGACTACAGTGTTGTTTTATATTTTAAGAAAATTTCTTAAAACTCACCCCTGTCAAAAATGCTTAAATGGCTCTGGAATACTTGCAGTTTTAATTCCTTAATAGAGTATCAGAAATGTTTCAAAATAAAATCTAACATCTCCTTTACATTTTTATTTCCCAAAACACTCTTTTTTTTTCATTCACCACATAGACTTGTCACATCAGACTATGCAGCTGAAACAGTATGTATTGTGATTTTTACTTCCATGTTCTTAGTTAGATTTTAATTAGCTGTTTGTATTGCAAGTTAAATGGCCAGGCAACCTGAAGAATTACTTGAAGAATGATTATATCTATTTTTGCAGCACAATCTTATTTCTGAACTCTAGATCTATATCCCTAGGTTTTTTTTGATTATGTCACTGGACAATTGATAGCAGGACTTCAAATCAACACTGCTCCCTATAATGCCATCTCGCCCTCTCCTGCTGTTGTAATATATGTACTTTTGGGCCAAAACTGAATGTGTGTGGTCACAATCTTTTCCTCTTCCATATATTCAGTCTTCATCAATATCTCAGTAAAGTGTGTGTCATTCTTGGTCCTGTGTTTTAATAATTTATATGCATCTCTCTCGTCTAACACTCAACATTTCGCTCACAAACATTTCATTGCTATTTTATAAAAACTTTTAGAAAGAGAATATAACAGGGTCTTTGTGTTAGTGCAGTTCATACTGAATTTGGTGGACCAATAGCTAAACAAAAAGAGTCACAAAACAACCTGATAAAAGTGTTCATAAGAGAATATATGAACTGTTACATAAAAAGAGAAGAAAAAGTACCTAAGTCTGCCTATGAGAGTAAAGGAAGGCTTCATTAATGACAGGTTAATAAAACTAAGTCTTAAAGGATGAAGAGAAATTTATCAGTTGGGCAAAAATTAGAAGATAATCTAATTTTTAGATTATCTTAGAAGATAATCAAATATAAGAGAATTAGACTGTGGAATGGGTGCAAGCAATTCAGTAGTGTTAGGTTCAGAGTACTTGTAGAGTTAACACAGTAGAAGTCAGGTCACACAAGAGCATTTTATACCCTACTAAGGCTGTAAGAGATAGGAAACATCTGGAAAAACACTAAGCTGACCAGTGATTTGCATCTCTGAAACACTGCCCAGGCTGTGGTGTGGAGAGTGTCTTGATGGCTTGGAGTATACTAGACTTGGGAAAGGGAGTGAAAGTAGATGATTGCTTCTGTGGTTCCAGTGAGGCATGATTAAGTAATGAACTATGACAGTGACCTCAAACTTGGAGAGGAGTAGGCAGATTTGAGGATGGAGAGGAACAGTCAGTAGAAATGTTGGAATTTAGTGGCTTATTGACTGCAGGAATGAGAGAGAAGGAAGGTTGAAATCTCTCTCTGGTTTTGGCTAGGGCAACTAGAGAAGAGGGAATTTCATTTACCAAATCAGGGAAAATGGGAGGAAAGGCTGGTAGAAACAGAATAATGAGATTTTTATTTTTTTATTTTTTAGGAGAGGCTGAGTTTGAGGTACACTCAGAACTTTCATGCTGAGTTGTCAACTTGGAATTTGGAAGAAAAGATGAGGAGCTTAAGAGACAGCAGTGAGGACTCTAGAGACTAGGAAAGTGTTGTTTCAAAACAGGGAAACAATAGAGGTAATTGAAAAGGTGGCATAAAATGGAGAATCCAGGGGGAGGTTATGGAGAGAAAAAGATCTCTAAAACTCTACAAACACTGAAAACTTTTAATACACAGGAAGCAAAAAGAAGTTTATGATCCAGTTAAAAACAAAGAAACAAACAAACAAACACACTAAGAAGGGGTCAGGCGCAGTGGCTCACGCCGGTAATCCCAGCATTTTGGGAGGCCAAGGTGGGCATATTGCTTGAGCTCAGGAGCTCGAGACCAGCCTGGGCAACATGGGGAAACCCTGTCTCTACAAAAAAAAAATGCAAAAGAGAAAAAAATAGCTGGGTGTTAGAAAAAAATAGCTGGGTGTTAGAGATTAATAGAAGGCTGAAGTGGGAGGATTGCTTGAGCTTGGGAGGTGGAGATTACAATGAGCCAAGATTACACCACTGTACTCCAGCCTGGGCTATGGAGTGAAACCCTGTCTCAAAAACAAAACAAAATAAACAAACAATCAAAAGAAAACCTCCCAAACACTAAGAAGGAGGTTTTAGGGGAGTGTAGTGTAATGAAAGTTCAGAAAGGAGAAAGTGGTCAACAGTATCACATGCCAATAAGATAACTTCCACTCGCGTCGGTGTGAAGAGACCACCAAACAGGCTTTGTATGAGCAAAAAGGCTGTTTATTTCACCTGGGTGCAGGCGGGCTGCGTCCGAAAAGAGAGTCAGCGAAGGGAGATAGGGGTGGGGCCATTTTATAAGATTTGGGTAGGTAAAGGAAAATTACAGTCAAAGGGGGTTGTTCTCTGGCGGGCAGGAGTGGGGGTCACAAGGTGCTCAGTAGGGGAGCTTTTGAGCCAGGATGAGCCAGGAGAAGGAATTTCACAAGATAATGTCATCAGTTAAGGCAGGAACAGGCCATTTTCACTTCTTTTGTGGTGGAATGTCATCAGTTAAGGCAGGAACTGGCCATCTGGATGTGTACATGCAAGTCACAGGGGATATGATGGCTTAGCTTGGGCTCAGAGGCCTGACATTCCTGTCTTTTATATTAATAAGAAAAATAAAACGGAATAGTGGTAAAGTGTTGGGATGGTGAAAATTTTGGTGGTGGTATGGAGAGATAATGGGTGATGTTTCTCAGGGCTGCTTCTAGCGGGATTAGGGGTGGAGTGGGAACATAGAGTGGGAGAGATTAAGCTGAAGGAAGATTCTGTGGTAAGAGGTGATATTGTGGGGTTGTTAGAAGAAACATTTGTCATTTAGAATTATTGGTGATGGCCTGGATACGGTTTTATGTGAATTGAAAAACTAAACCGAATAAGAGAAGGAGAAAAACAGGTATTAAAGTTCTAAGAATTGGGAGGACCCAGGACATCTAATTACAGAGTGCCTAAGGAGATTCAGCATAGTCCTGCCAGCAAAGATTATTTATTTACTTTAAGAGTTAAGAGTGGCGGTTTGGGGATAGCATCAGGAGATACCAGCTGTGATGGCTTGGAGAAACAGTGTAAACCAGCAGTGTAAACAAGAGCAGGGCACGTATGAGTAGATGAGAATGGTGAATAGGAGTATGACTAGACAGAAGATAGTAGGGATGACAAGATTTTTGGGGCACAGTCCAAGTTGGTCTGGTGTCTAGAATAAGACTGGGGCTTAATAAAAAGGAGCATCCATACAGGAGCTCAAATGGGCTGTACCCTGTAGCATTCCAAGGACAGGCCTGAATTCTGAGAAAGGAAAGTGGTAAAAGTATTGTCCAGTCCTTTTTAAGTTGGTGGCTGAGCTTGGTGAGGTGTGTTTTTAAAAGACCATTAGTCCGTTATACCTTTCCTGGAGACTGAGGACCGTAAGGGATATAAAGGTTTCACTGAATACCAAGAGCCTGAAGAAATGCTTGGCTGATTTGACTAATAAAGGCCGGTCTGCTATTGGACTGTTATAGAGGTGGGAAGGCCAAACGGAGGAATTATGTCTAACAAAAGGGAAGAAATGACTGCGATGACCTTCTTAGACCCTGTAGGAAAGGCCTCTACCCATCCAGTGAAAGTGTCTACCCAGACTAAGAGGTATTTTAGTTTTCTGACTTGGGGCATGTGAGTAAAGTCAATTTCCCAGTCCTGGGCAGGGGCAAATCCCCGAGCTTGATGTGTAGGGAAGGGAGGGGGCCTGAACAATCCCTGAGGGGTAGTAGAATAGCAAATGGAACACTGAGAAGTGGTTGCCTTGAGGATAGATTTCCAGGATGGAAAGGAAATGAGAGGTTCTAAGAGATGGGCTAGCAGCTTGTAACCTACATGGAAGAGGTTATGAAATGACGACAGAATAGAATGGGCCTGTGAGGCTGGAAGGAGATATTTTCCTTGGTCTAAGAACCATTTGCCTTGTGTGGGAAGAGATTGATAGGTAGAAGTTTCAGCGGGGGGGCGGGGGGGTAGGTGGGAGTGACTGATGTGAAGGAGAAAAACTGGCTGTGAGGGACAGAAGTTGGAAAGCTACCTGCTTGTCTAGCCACCTTATCAGCATAAGCGTTGTCTAGAGCAATGGGATCTGACGCCTTTTGATGGCCTTTGCAGTGAATGACTCCAGCTTCCTTTGGAAGTAAAGTAGCCTTGAGCAGAGCTTTTATTAAAGAGGCATTAATGATGGAGGACCCTTGCGTAGTGAGGAAACCTCTTTCAGCCTGTATAACAGCATGGTGGTGCAGAATATGAAAGGCATATTTAGAGTCACTATAAATATTGATACATAGTCCTTTTGCAAGAGTGAGGGCTTGAGTTAAGGCAACTAGTTTGGCTTGCTGAGAGGTAGTGGAGGGGGGCAGAGCGGTTACCTCAATGACAGATGTGGAAGATACTGTAGCATAGCCTGCCTTTGCTGCTGAGTGGCGATTAGGCCTGGCGGAACTGCCATCAATAATCTAAATGTGATAAGGGCGAGGAACAGGAAAGAAGGAAATATGGGGAAATGGAGTGAATGTCAGGTGGATCAGAGAAATACAGTCATGAGGGTCAGGTGTGGTATCCAGAATAATGTGGGAGGCCAGATTGAAGTCCATGCCAGGAACGATGGTAATTGTGGGAGACTCAACAAAGAGTGAGTATAGCTGAAGGAGTTGGGGAGCAGAAAGTATATGCGTCAGGTATGAGGAAGAAAATAGATTTTGGAAGTTATGAGAAATGTAGAGAGTGAGTTGAGCATAGTTTGTGATTTTTAGGGCCTCTAAAAGTATTAAAGCAGTGGCAGCCGCTGCATGCAGATATGAGGGCTAGGCTAAAACAGTAAGGTCAAGTTGTTTGGACAGAAAGGCTACAGGGTGCGGTCCTGGCTCTTGTGTAAGAATTCTGACCGCGCTAACCATGCCTAGGAAGGAAAGAAGTTGTTGTTTTGTAAGGGATTGAGGTTTGGGAGATTAGTCAGACACTATCAGCAGGGAGAGCACGTGTGTTTTTATGAGAATTATGCCGAGATAGGTAACAGATGAGGATGAAATTTGGGCTTGACTGAAGTAATGGGGGCTGTCTGTGAAGCCTTGTGGCAGTACAGCCCAGGTGATTTGCTGAACCTAATGGGTGTCAGGGTCAGTCCAAGTGAAAGCGAAGAGAGGATGGGATGAAGGGTGCAAAGGAATAGTAAAGAAAGCATGTTTGAGATCTAGAACAGAATAATGGGTTGTGGAGGGAGGTATTGAGGTTAGGAGAGTATATGGGTTTGGCACCACAGGGTGGATAGGCAAAACAATTTGGTTGATAAGGTGCAGATCCTGAACTAACCTGTAAGCCTTGTCTGTTTTTTATGACAGGTAAAATGGGGGAATTGTAAGGAGAGTTTATAGGCTTTAAAAGGCTATGCTGTAACAGGTGAGTGATAACAGGCTTTAATCCTTTTAAAGTATGCTGTGGGATGGGATATTGGCATTGAGCAGGGTAAGAGTGATTAGGTTTTAATGGGATGGTAAGGGGTGCATGATCGGTCACTAAGGAGGGAGTAGAGGTGTCTTATACTTGTGGGTTAAAGTGGGGAGATACAGGGGAGGATGTGAAGGAGGCTTTGAACTGGGGGAAAAGGCAGCAATGAGGTGTGGCTGTAGCCCAGGAATAGTCAGGGAAGCAGATAATTTAGTTAAAGGGTCTCAGCCTAATAAGGGAACTGGGCAGGTGGGGATAACTAAAAGGAGTGCTTAAAAGAGTATTGTCTAAGTTGGCACCAGAGTTGGGGAGTTTCAAGAGGTTTAGAAGCCTGGCCATCAATACCCACAACAGTTATAGAGGCAAGGGAAACAGGCCCTTGAAAAGAAGGTAATGTGGAGTGGGTAGCCTCCGTATTGATTAAGAAGGGGACGGACTTACCTTCCACTGTGAGAGTTACCTGAAGCTCGGCGTCTGTGATGGTCTAGGGGGCTTCCGAAGCAATCAGGCAGTGTCAGTCTTCAGCTGCTAAGCTAAGAAGATCTGGGAAGGAGTCAGTCAGAGAGCCTTGGGCCAGAGTTCCAGGGGCTCCAGGAGTGGCTGCCAGGTGAGTTGAACAGTCCGATTTTCAGTGGGCTCCCGCACAGATGGGACATGGCTTAGGAGGAATCCTGGTCTGCAGGCATTCCTTGGCCTGGTGGCCAGATTTCTGGCACTTGTAGCAAGCTCCTGGGGGAGGCGGGCCTGGAGGACCACCTGGCCACTGCGGTTTAGGTGTTTGGAAGTTCTTGTGTGCTGGAGACATGGCTGGGGTTTGTCTCACAGTGGAGGCAAGGAATTGCAACTCAGAAATATGTTGCTACTTGGCTGCCTCTACTCTACTATTGTACACCTTGAAGGCAAGGTTAATTAAGTCCTGTTGTGGGGTTTGAGGCCCGGAATTTAATTATTGGAGTTTTATTTAATGTCGGGAGTGGATTGGGTAATAAAATGTATATTGAGAATAAGATGGCCTTTTGACCTTTTAGGGTCTAGGGCTGTAAAGCATGGCAGGGTTGCTGCCAAACGAGCCATGAACTGGGCTGAGTTTTTATATTTGATGAAAAAGAGCCTAAATGCTATCTGATTTGGGATAAAGAAAAAGGAGCATTAACCTTGACTATGCCTTTAGCTCCAGCCACCTTTTTAAGAGCAAATTGCTGGGCAGGTGGGGGAGGGCTAGTCACGAATGAAACTGTAAGCCAGACCGAGTGTGAGGAGGGGAGTTGATAAAAGGATTATAGGATGGAGGAGCGGAGGCTGAGGAAGCATTGGGACCTAGCTCAGCCTGGAGAGGAGGGGAGAGGTCAGATGGGTCTGTAGAAAAGAAGGATTAGAAAGACTCAGCGACACTTGGGGTTGGGACTGAGGGGACAGGCGGGAGGGAAAAACGAAAGATTTGGGAGGAGTGGCATTGGGAACAGAGACTAGGGAGGGACCGATGTGTAAAAGAATGCCTGGACATCAGGCACCTCAGACCGTTTGCCCATTTTATGACAAGAATTATTTAGATCTTTTAGGATGGAAAAATTGAAAGTGCTGTTTTCTGGCTATTTGGAACCACTGTCAAGTTTGTATTGGGGTCAAGCAGCATTGCAGAAGAAAATAAGGCATTTAGGTTTTAGGTCAGGTGTGAGTTGAAGAGGTTTTAGGTTTTTAACAACACAGGCTAAGGGAGAAGAAGGGAGAATGGAGGGAGAATGGAGGGTGGAAGCTTGCCCGTAGTGAAGGAGGGAAGCCCAGAGAAAAGAGACAATAGAGACACGGAGAGAAGGGCTGGGGGTTCTTGCCTCCCAGAAAAGTGGAGAAGGGGTAGAGACACGGAGATAAGGGGTTGGGGGTTCTTGCCCCCAGAAAAGGGGTACTTGCCGCTAAGGGTGAAGAAGGGGTTGGGGGTTCTTGCCCCCAGAAAAGTGGAGAAGGGGTAGAGACACGGAGATAAGGGGTTGGGGGGTTCTTGCCCCCAGAAAAGTGGTACTTGCCGCTAAGGGTGAAAGACCAAGGCAGGCGTTCCGGCGTGGTCAGACACCTCTGAAACGTGGGTGAATAATCAGGCAGGTGTCCCCGTGTGATTAAACACCAAGGGAAGACTGTTTTCCCAAGTCCGTGACCGGTGCCGGAGTTTTGGGTCCACGGATAAAACGTGTCTCCTTCATCTCTGCCAGAAAAGGAAAGGAACTGAAATTAAGAGAAGGGAGAGATTGAAGTGTGGCGCCAAGATTGAAAGGAGAAAGAGGTTGAGGGATAGTGAGAGAGGTTGGAGAAGAGAGTAAAAAGAGACCGCTTACCTGATTTAAAATTGGCGAGATGTTCCCTGGGCTGGTTGGTCTGAGGACCAGAGGTCGTAGGTGGATCTTTCTCACGGAACAAAGAGCAGGAGGACAGGGGATTGATCTCCCAAGGGAGGTCCCCCGATCCGAGTCATGGCACCAAATTTCACTCGCGTCAATTTGAAGAGACCACCAAACAGGCTTTGTGTGAGCAACAAGGCTGTTTATTTCACCTGGGTGCAGGCAGGCTGAGTCCGAAAAGAGAGTCAGCGAAGGGAGATAGAGGTGGGGCCATTTTATAAGATTTGGGTAGGTAAAGGAAAATTACGGTCAAAGGGGGGTTGTTCTCTGGTGGGCAGGAGTGGGAGTCACAAGGTGCTCAGTAGGGGAGCTTTTGAGCCAGGATGAGCCAGGAGAAGGAATTTCACAAGATAATGTCATCAGTTAAGGCAGGAACAGGCCATTTTCACTTCTTTTGTGGTGGAATGTTATCAGTTAAGGCAGGAACCGGCCGTCTGGATGTGTACGTGCAGGTCACAGGGGATATGATGGCTTAGCTTGGGCTCAAAGGCCTGGCAATAACAATGGAATATTTCCCATTAGATTTAAGGATTAGGAATGATTGATGACTTCATCAGGTCGTTTTCAAGGAGACACAGCAAATTTTCAGCAATTTAAGAAGTGAAAAAGAGAGATACCATGTATTGAGCTCTGTTTTGATAAGCTGAGGAATGATAAAAGAAAATGTGATAGGGCAATAGCCAAAGAGGATACAACACAGTATACAATGCATACAATAAAGTATTATTGAATATTTTATTTTTGTTTTGTAGTACTTGTATATTCTTAGGGGAATGATCCAGTGGAAGGCAGTAAAGAAACCTCCCTGAGAAAGGAGTGTGTGATCGAAGTTATTTTTAATCAAGATGAGTTATAGGTATTAGGAAATAAAGGTGATATTAATAGGATAGTCTTTGAACCATTGAACTATGGATGGAGTACTTTGAACTATGAATAAAAGCAAGCTTTTAAATGAAGGAGTGAGATAACTTTTTTCTTCTGTAAATTCAGAAACTAGGTAATCTATTGTGATGTGGTGATGGGGAGGAGACTTAGAAGAAATATATGCATATTTGTAAGAACTACTTGTGAATGTGAAGCACTTGACCAAGTGCATGCAACAGGATGTCTGTGCCATGTTCAGGGCCCACCTCAGGTCAAATATCATAATTTTTATTAAGGGCTGAATAATTTTTCTCATAGATGAAGAAATTTCAAAAAATGGGGTAGTTTGATGCAGACACAAGGAATTTCAGTTTGAATAAAATTGCAGACTATGTGCGAAGGGTAGAGAGGTGTTACTATATAAGTTTGTAAGTAATGAATTTCCAACTTGGAAGTAATGATCTCAAATAAGGAGGTCTGTGGTAAACATAAAACAAAGGCCACAAGGAGCAGATTTGATAGCTGAGAAGTGAGTGGTAAGTTCAGGGAAAATGAGAATGTCTTTTTGGCTTAAGCTGAGACCTAAATTGTCTCAAACCTCAGGGTATATAAGAATCATCCAGGATATCACATTAAAAGGTCAGGTTTCAGGCTGCCCCTACAGACTTTAGGCTGACCCTGGGAGCCTACATTTTTAAACCACCTCAAGTGATGATGCAGGAGATCCTCAACCACAATTTCACACAACACTGGGAAAGGGTTTCCACTGAGAACAAAGATTGGGAATGAGTCTGGAAAGGTAAATGGAAGTTGTGTTTTGATAGGACTTGAGTGTTTTGTGCTGAGGAATGCAAAATTCTTCTTTCTGATAATATATTAGGCCAAGGAATCTACAAAAACAACCTCCAAGAGCTAATAAGTAAGTTCAGCAAGGTTGCAGGGTACCAGATCAAATAAGTAAATAAGTAAATAAATAAATATCACATTTCTATTTGCTAACAATGAACATTAAAGACCAAAATTTAAAACCAAATTTAAAAAACAAACTTAATAACAAAATTGAGAAATTTAAAATTTGAAAACCAAAATTAAAAACACAACAACTCCAAAGAAATGACATAGGTAAGTATAAGCTTAACATTTATGAGATTTATACACTCAAAACTACAAAATACTGATGAAAGACCTAAAAGCAGAACTATATTAGATGGATAAACATACGATATTTATGGATCAAAAAACTCAACATAATAAAGATGTTCATTTTTTTCCAAATTGGTTTATATGGCTTTAGTGAATTTCCTAACAAAAGTCTAGCACGGTTTTTTGTAGACATTGTCAAAGTTTTTCTAAAATTTATTTGGAAAGGCACAGGCCCTAGACCACCTAAAACAATCCTGATAAGAAGAATAAAGTGGGAGGAATCACTCTGCCCAAATTTACATCCTGCTATATAACTACAGTAATCAAGACAGTGCGGCCTTAGTAGGGAGACACACTTAGACCAACAGACTGAATAAGGAACCCAGAAATGGACCCAAACATGAAAAACCAACTAATTTTTGACATAGATACAAAACCAATTTGTATCTGTTTGCATTGCTATAAAGGAATACCAAAGGTGAGGTAATTTATAAAGAAAAGAGGTGGATTTGGCTTATGGTTCTGCAGGCCGCACAAGCATGGCACCAGCATATGTTCATGGTGAAGCCTCAGGAAGTTTCCAATTATGGTGGAAGTTGAAAGGAGCGCAAGCGTATCACATGGTGAGAGAGGGAGCAAGAGAGAGCAAGGGAGGAGGTGCCACACTCTTCCAAACAACCAGATCTTGCGGGAGCTCATAGAGAAAGAACTCACTCATAACCACAAGGACAGCTCCAAGGTACTCATGAGGAATCCGCCCCTATGACCCAAACACCTACCAGGCCCCAACTCCAACATTGGGAATCACATTTCAGTGTAAAACTTGGAGGGGACAAACATCCAAACTATATCACAATTCAGTGAGGGAAAGGTAGACCTTTCAGCAAATGGCAATGGGACAATTGAACATCTGTAGGCAAAAGAAAGAAAAAGGGAAGGAAAGAAGGAAGGAAGGAAGGAAAGAAGGAAGGAAGGAGGAAATAATTTGACATCTTTTACAAATGGTATATTATGTGGAAGCTAAACCTCACAGATGTCACAAGTGATATATTAGGTGGAAGTTTTTACAAAACAATAGGAATGGACAGTCTGTATCTGAAACAGAGCTGACAAGCTTGGAGTCTTTCATTTCCTGCTCATTTCTTCCTCAGAAACTCCATCCAGGACTCCTTTATCAGCCATTGTGACCTCTGAGGTTCTTCTATGGTTCTTCCAGGAAAGTAGTTTTCAAAAGTGAGCTTTCATCAGTATCACCTGGAAGATTCGTTAGAAGACAAATGGCTGGGCTTTATCCCCAGAGTTTCCAATTCTCAGCAAGTTTATGGTAGGAGCCTGAAATTTTCATTTTGGGAGCCAGACATGGTGGCCCATACTTGTAATCTCAGCTGCTCAGCAGACTGAGGCAGGAGGATTAATTGAGGCCAGGATTTCAAGACCAGACCCCATTTCTTACAATTTTTTTCCCCCCATTTCTAAGAAGTTTCAAGGGAATGTTGATGCTGCTAGTACTAATACAGGGATGAGACACTTTGAGAACAACTGTCTCAGTGTCCACAGGTGAAAACTGCTGTTCATGCAATAAAGGACGAAGATAAGTTTTAAAGCAAGTAACTAACGTAATGAAAATCATAGTACTTCAATCAGAAGACTGTTCAGAGTGGGAAGAAATCAGAAGACCAGTGCAAAGAATACTTCAGTGGCCTAGAAAAATAGATGGAAGGGGCAGATTTAAGAAGCCAGATGTCTAATTGGAAATTATTTGTGACAGTTTGGAAATTAGGAAAAGTTTGGGCCATCAGTGATGTATTAAAACATTTTAGCTTGAAGAGTTAAGTTTGTTTTTGATGGTGTAGCAGGAAAAATTTACTCGCTACCACTCAGCTATGCAAGAAACTATGGTTATTTATTCTATAATTGATCTAAGTACATATCAATTCTATAATTGCTCTAACTTTCCTCATAAGTCTTCACTCCACTAAGTAGCAAGGGATGGCTGGGACTTTAAATTGCCAATTAATGGTAATGAGGCTACAGGGGGGAAAAAAGAAGTCTACATCAAGAAGCTCAACCTTTTTCAGGCTAATGCTCATTATTTCATATGCTTTTCCTCTCTCTCTCTGCTTCTGAAAAGATATCATTTTGCTATTTGAGGAGGAGTGGGGAGGGGGGGTTGTATGGTGAATTAGAGATGATTAGAGGTCTCTGAATGTCAGCGGCATTGCCAGAGAAGATGGGCTGAATCCAGTGAGGTGTGACAGGTTCTGTCTCACCCTGCTATCTACCATTGTCCATGGTTATTAATGTTTGTATTCCTGATTGTCTCCTCTTTCTGATGCAGGCTTTTGTTAGCCCAGTTGACCTCTCAGTGTCTCTTGGTTCTATTAGCAAGGGAGGAAGCAACTCCCACTACTCTGCATCCCATCTTGACCATGGACAACCAGCAGTGCGGTCTCAGCTCTCTATCCAGCCATCTTCTCCCAAACTTGCTGTACAATTGCTCCCATGCTGCCTTGGATCTAGGGTCCAGCCAAACGTGGAGCTCCTTTGGGAGGTTGATAACATACCCCAGGCTTTCCCCAGGAAACCAAGCTCTAACATTCTCAATGTCTTCATATTTAACTCTTTGTCTTCATACCTCTGAGTGTCAGGGAACAGAGGCCTCCTTGGGCTCTTCTTTCACCATTTTCTCTCTTCTCACACTCTCAGGAGGCAAGGGGGTTTTCCATGTTCTATGAAAATTGAGGAGCACATTTCCTTATATCCCCTTCATTTCTGGGGTGACATTCGTCTTGCCCCATTTTTTCCAGAGTCCACAGTCATGGATGGATACAGGTGAGAAAAGGATTTTGCAACATCATAAAATACACTGACATGCATGAAATATGCAAATTATCTCAAAATAACTCAGGGAGAGAGAGAACAGGAAAGAGGGGCAAAGTTGTTGGGGAAGGTAGTTTACTCTGCCTGAGCACCATTGACTCCAAGTCCTGCCAGGCCAGCAGTCATCTAGATGAGATAACCCAACAGAATCTGGGGATATAGATCTAAAGTTCAGAAATAAGATTGTGCTGAGAAAATAAATATAATAATTTTCAGGTTGCCTGGACATTTAATTAAAAGCAAAAACAATCAGTTAATTAAAAGCTGTCTCCTTGGCTGGAATGTACTAGGGCTAATTACAGTGGTTCTACAGTCATGTATTTTGGAGGAATGTGATTAGTTGTTAACTACTTTGCCTATAACTCTGGAATACATTCTTTGTTTAATAGTTAATTTTGATATATGGAGTTTGGAGAATTAATTTCACATGCTTAAATTACAGAGGATGACAGAGTGTTGTGGAAGTGGTTCCACTGGTTTATTATAAAAGTGATGTGGTTTCAACTTAGTTGAGAGTTGATCTGAGGAAGGTACACATTTGTAATTATTCCTGCTCATAGTTACAGCTTACAATGTCCGTTTGCTGGGGGATTCAAGGCTGCAGCCTGATTGTGGTGAGGGCTACTCTGGAGTCTCTTCTCTGCTCCTTTTTTTCTCCTCTAGTCTATGTCTTGTTTTTCCTTCTCCCTCAACAGCCATTTTTCAAAGTTTTTCCCTCTTTGTTTTTTTTTTTTTCTCCAATCTCTAAATGTTGGAGATTCCTGAGCTCCATGCTGGGCCTTTCTCCCTTCTCTCTCATCCTTAGAGATCTCATCCTGTCCTCCAGATTCTGTACTGTATTAACCATCACAAAGACCATCTCTCTGCAGATGACTCATGTTTTTCTATCTCCAGCTCTGACCTCTGTGGACTACAGACCCTTCTGTCCACCTGCCACTTCTGCTCAGAGGCTAGCAGACCTGAAACTTAAAACATCCAAGACAGAATTCTTGATGAATCTCCCACCCTGAATCTTCTCCTCACAGGGTTTTTCATATATCATTAAACAAAGACATTATTATTAACTCCAATCCACCAGTAATGGTCTTGGCTCTACCCTTAAATCTGTTCCAAACCTGATCATGTTTCACTGTCTCTTCAGCTGCCTCTTTATTGCCTGTTGCAATAGACCCCCAGCAGGTCTCCCTGTTTCCACTCATATTTGTCTAGAATCTGTACTCCACAAACATAAATCAGATCATTTCGCTCTAATGCTCAAAACTTTCTCACACTTTTCACGTGTCTTAGAGTGAAGCCCAATGGGCTAGCACCTACATGGTGCATGAGGCTCCAAATTCCACCCTCATCCCCACCTCTGTTTATTGTGCTAGTACTCTTCATTCATATCAGCCTCCTTATGAGTGCTCTTGCTTCTGCCTCTCCATCTTTGCATCTTCTCTTTTGTCTGTCTGAAATGTTCTTTCTCCATCTCTGTACGTGGTCTCATGGCTTCACTCAAGGCCTGTGTGAACAGCATCTGCTGCTGTATCCCTGTCCTCATCCTCCACTTACCCATTAACCTCTTATCACCTGGAACCACTTTAGAGAAGCTGCCGTCAGTATTCGAATTGCTAAATTCACACAGAAATGATTCAGCGTGTGTATCACTTATGCTTGTTGCATTATTTGACACTCTTGGACACATTCTTTCTTTCTTCAACTATTTCTCTTTGCCATTTGTGATACCACTTTCTCATTTATTTAATCATTCAGGCTTCTTCTAGGCAATGAGTGTGCAGCAGTGAACAAAACACTTAATGTCAATCACTAAGGAAATGCAAATCAAAATCACAGTGAAAAACCACTTTACTCCCATAGAGATGTCAACCATAAAAAAAAAGGTGGGGGGCCAGTGTGGTGGCTCATGCCTGTAATCTCGACACATTGGGTGGCTGAGGCAGGAAGATTACTTGAGCCTAAGACTTTGAGACAAGCCTGGGCAATATAGCAAGACCCTATCTTAAAAAAAATTAGCCAGGCACAGTGGGGCACACCTGTGTCCACAGCTACACAGGAGGCTGGAGCAGGAGGATTGCTTGAGCCCATGAGTTTGAGGCTGCTGTGAGCCATAACTGCACCACTGCACTCCAGACTGGGCAAAGAGAATGAGACCCTGTCTGAAAAAAAGAAAAAAAAAAAGAAAATAACAAGTGTGCACAAGGATGTGGAGAAATTGGAACTCTTGTACACTCTTGGAGGACATGTAGAATGGTGACTACATTGGAAAATGATATGGCAAGTCCTCAAGAGATTGAACATGGAATTAACCTGTGATCCAGCAATTCCACTTCTGGATATTTACCCAAAAAGTTGGAAAGAGGAATTAGAGCAGATATTTATACAAGCATGCTCATTATGCAACTGCATTATTCATGTCTAAAAGGTGGAATCAACCCAGCAGTACATGAATGGATGAATGGTAAACAAAATGCAATATATACATACAATGAAATATTATTCTGTCTTAAACAGGAAGGAAATTTGACACATTACAACACTGATGAATCTTAAAGAAATTATTATCAGAGAAATAAGCCATTCACAAAAGGTGGTATATTATTGGATTCCACCTATATGAGATTACTGAAGTACTCAAATTCATAGAGACAGAAAATAGAATGATAGTTACCAAAGGCTGAGGAGAATAGGGAATGACAAGATATTGTTCGATGGGTATGGAGTTTCAGTATGGAACAATAAAAAAGCTCTGCAGAGGG
Source organism: Homo sapiens (assembly GCF_000001405.40). Taxonomy (NCBI): domain Eukaryota; kingdom Metazoa; phylum Chordata; class Mammalia; order Primates; family Hominidae; genus Homo; species Homo sapiens. Next base: position 85,745,748 of record NC_000014.9, read on the forward strand.
ATGGTGGCTATGGTTATTCAACGATGTGAACACACATTGCCACTGAACTGTATATTTAAAATGGTTAGAATGGTAATTTTAGTGTTATCTATATCTTCCATAATTTGAAAAATTAAAAAAAGAGAAAAAAAAAGTCCAGTGTACTCACACTCATGAAGTTTACTGGGGGAAAAGGCAATGAATAAACAAATGAATGTGTACCATGAGGTCCCCTCCATAAGAGAAGTCTAAGCAATAGTCCTTCTTTCCCTTTTTACCCATCTTCTCTGCCCTTATCACCACTTAACATTATATTATACACTAGAATGTAAGCTCCCTGAGGAAAGGAAGTAATGAACTTTTTTACTGGTCCTTGCTATGATTCTGTTTTTCAAAACACTACTTAGCATGTGGTTATAGGATCTCAATAAATATTTTCTGAGTCATTGCATCATTAAGCTGAATAGAATATTATTATTTGTTGCCTTACATATAGGTATGATTTCAAGTGATTGTCTTTGCTTACATTGTTTGTGAACAATCCAAGTATTCACAAGTGTTTTTTAGAGAGTGTGTATAGCTTCCACATTGTCCTGAGAGAAGCTGGGTGCAGTTCATAACATTACAATAATAATGGAAAGAGAATAAAGAAGTATGAGATCAATCAACTGCTTGTCTCCAGGGAAAGACTTATTGTGTAAAAGGTAGAGAGGAAAATTATAATCTATTTTTCTCAATTTGAATGAAAGGCTCAGTATACCTGAAAAGCTGTCATATACATTTATAGTTGTGTAAGGAGGAAGACAAGGCAAGTTCACATTCAGCTGATTGCCTTGTTTAGAACTTTTGAAAATAATTGCAATATCCCTGGTTGTGCCATCATTTCTGTGGTTCCTCAAGTAAGTTTTGATCAGCTGCAGGCAGCCAAACCAATTCCTCAAGCTACAAAATTAACTAGCATCACAGTGAATCTGAACAGCTTATAAAGTGCTAGAAAAGCACCAAGGTGTAGATTGAGCATGATAGAAAATTCAAATAAAAAACTGAATTCATTTTTGTTGTTTTTACTGCCGAAACACATCACACTTGATGAACTGGAGCATATGAACATACTCCTTTGAATCCATGATAAAAATCCTGATTTTAGAATAAAAGAGATGCACACACACATACACACATACACTTAGAAATAAAGCATCTTGAGGATTAACCATATTAAAAAGTTACGTGAAGTTGGATTCTTGTTGATTATAATGGGAAGGTACTACATGATATTATACCTTGTTCTTATACTTTCTTGCTTGGAAATAGAAAATAAAACTAACAGTTTCTACACTGGTGGAAGCAACAAGATGGCTAATAGCAGCTGCATCAAGTCCTTGGAAAGGTGATGGGTGTGGGTCCCATTTCGCTACCCACTTTCCATCTGACACTAAGTACTCCCCAGTGAGTAGCCTTCCCTCCGCACTGAGTGTGAGAAGTTTGCCACCTTATACTACAGCATTATTGTCGAAGAACCCGCCTGGGTGTGTGCACCTTCAGCTGCATAATCTGTGGCAAGACCTTCAAAGAAAAGACCCATTAAAAAAAAAAATCTATATTTTCTACCTCTTGGCATCATGAATAGTACTGTAATAAGCTTGGGAGTGTTAATATCTCTTTAAGATCCTGATTTTAATTCTTTTGGAGAAATATTCAGAAGTGGGATTGCTGGAATATATGGTAGTTCTATTTTTAATTGTTGGGGAGAATCTCTTTTATAGACTGAATGCTTATATCTCCCCCAAATTCATATGCTGAAATCTAATTCCCAATGCGATGGTATTTATAAGTGGGGCCTTTGGGAGGCGATTAGGAGTCCTCATGAATGGGATTAATGCCCTGATAAAAGAGGCCCCAGAGAACTTCATCATAACTTTTTCCTTTCCTTTCCTTGCCTTTCCTTTCCTTTTTAATGGAGTTTCACTCTGTTGCCTAGGATGGAGTGCAGTGGCACGATCTTGGCTCATTGCAACCTCAGCCCTCTGGGTTCAAGCAATTCTCCTGCCTCAGCCTCCTGAGTAGCTGGAGTTACAGGTGCTCGCCACCATGCCCAGCTAATTTTTGTGTTTTTAGTGGAGACGGGGTTTCACCTTGTTGGTCAGGCTGGTCTCAAACTCCTGACTTCAAGTGATTTGCCCTCCTCGGCCTCCCAAAGTGCTGGGATTACAGGCGTGAGCCACCGCACCCGGTTTTCATTATACCTTTCAACATGTGTGGACACAGTGAAAAGATGGCTTCTCTGAACCAGGAAGCAGGCTCTCACCAGACACTAAATTCACCAGTGCCCTTATGTTGGACTTCCCAGCCTCCATATGATGAGAAACTAATTTATGTCATTTAGAAGTCATCAAGTTTATGATATTTTGTTTTAGCCCCTCAAATGGACTAAGACAGCCCCCATACTGCTTTCCATAGCAACAGCACAATTTTATATTCCCGTCAGCAGTATGCAAGGGTCCCAGTTTCTCCACATTCTCACGGACGCTTGCTGTCTGTTTTCTTTTTTTAATAACAGCTGTCTTGAAAGTTGATGTGAGGTGATATCTAACTGTGGTTTTGATTTGCATTTCTCTGGTGATTAGTGACATTCAGCCTGCAGTGGAATACTATTTGGTCTGTAAAAAGAGGGAAACTGCAATCTGTGATAACATGGATAAACCTTGAAGACATTAAGCTAAGTGATATAAGCCAGTCACTGAAAGACAAGTTCTGCATGATTCCACTTGTTGAGGTATCAAAAATAGTCAAATTCACAGAATAAAAAAGTGGAATGACAGTTGCTAGTGGCTAGGGGGAAGGGAAAAGGGGAATTTATTAATCAATGGCTGTAAAGTTTCAGTTAAGCAAGATGAGTAAGTTTTAAAGATCCACTGTACAATATTGTACCTTCTGTCAACAGTGTCATATTGTACACTTAAAAAGGTGTTAAGATGGTGGATTTCATGTTGTGTTTTTACCGTGATAAAAGAAAATTTTAAAAATTTAAATTAAAAAATCTAAATTTTGATTTATTACCACTGTTAGTACTGTATATATGGAGGTGGCTGGTGATGATTATTAGGTGGCAAATATCCTAATTGATAAAATGTGGTAGGCAGTATTTTTAAATGATCCCAAGTTTTCTATTTGTCCCTCTTATATGACTTGTGTAATTCCTTCCCCTTGAGGATAGGAGGAACCTGCAACTTGCCTCTAACCAATTGAAAATGAAGAAGGTGAAGGGAATATTTATATGTGATTAAGGTCTCTAATCATTTGAATTTGTGTTAGTCAAAAGAGAGATTATTCTGGGTGGGCCTGACCTCATAAGGTAAGCTCTTCCCTTAGAGATTCTGTTTATTGTTGGCTTTGAAGAAATAACTTATCATGAATTCTAAAACTACAAGGAAGGAAATAAATTTTGCCAACAAAATGAGTGAGTTTGAAAGCAGATCCTTCCCTAATCAAGCTTTCAGATGAGAACACAATCGAACCAATATCTTGATGTCAACCTTGTGAGATCCTGAATAGAGGGCCCAAGTAAGATACATCCAGACTTCTAACATGCAAAAACTTCAAAATAATAAATGTGTTAAGCTGCTAAGTTTGCGCTAATTTCTTACACAGCATAGAAAACAGATACACAAGGGTATAGGAGGTTACACATGCCTGCTGAGCAAAAACATGGATTCAAAGCATTAGATGTATGAGAGAGGAGCCAGTGAAGAATCCTAATAAAGTTATTAACATAGTATTCCTGATAATCTGAAGAGCTAGACGGTATTTTATATGTGCCCCCTTATTTGGCTCATAATATCAATTATATAAATCTCAATCATTGTTCTCATCCTCCGAACCCAAGTTGTTACTTTTCTTTTGTTTACCCACTAGACCATGCAATTACATTTATTTCTCAAGTGTAAAATACACTGCCATCTGGATAAAAACTACAAAAAAAATTAATGATTTGGAGAGCTTCAAATATACAGATGTTTAGTGTTGAATTAACTAACATTCTGGATGGTTGACTGATTTGAATTTCTTTTAACTTGGATGTTTGGGGACTATGTAGATATACTACCTGAAGCTATAGATACTGTTAAGAAGCCAGAATTGTTACTTAGAAAACAATATGTAATATGATAACATGATTTAGATTCTGTCTGAGCTTGTGCCTATGTATATTTGATAGAACGTTTCTATGTATTACCATACATCAGGGTTTAATGTATTTGAAAAGCATTATAAATGTTACAGCTTTTAATAATTAAAATTACATCTATAGTTTGCTTCACATAAATAGAGCTTCTTATTTCTTTCTGTCTCTTTCACTGAACTCTGTATTTTATTCTTAAATGTCCAGTCTTTTTGACAATAATCTATGATAACAAAATAATATTACACATTAAAAAAGGAAGATGGGGTTACATCTGGCAGTTCAGAGACACCCATGTTGGTTCTAGTTTGCCAGATTCTTCTCTGGCAGGCTAGATAATGGCATCTAGTCCTTGGTATTCAGAAATACAACTATGTGTTTAAATGCATACTGATTTATTTAGGAGATAATTTTGAGAATTTCTTGTAATATTTATTTGTGAAATTATTATCTCAAATAATAATTTAAGTGAATGTGATAAAATCTAACAAATAGTGATGCAGGGGCTGTGGTAATTTAGAAAAAGGAAGATGCAGAAGATAGGGTTTCTAATGGTGGGGAAAAGATATAAGTGATCAACCAATTTTCTGATTTATTTTGTTATAAATATTTGGTGTCTAAGTATCTGACATAAGAGAAAACTTTTTTGTAAACTTTCTTATAAAAATATTGTATTAAGCACCGGAGTTTGCATACAAATTTTAAAACTGAAAATTCTTGACTACTCAACTGAATTTTTGGTTTGTGCATTTATGCTTTATCTGGTGAATGGAGTAAGTGATCAATTGTATTGTGGGAAAATTGCATTTTCTTGGGACTGCCTTCTACATAAACAACCTGGGTATGTTCTGGGATTTTAGGACAATTGCTTCTAAGTATCCAGTGATGGGAAAAAGCATTTAGGCATATGAAAGGGGTGGAACAGGAATATTTTGCTCAGAGAACTTCCAGGATTAGGTGCTTTTAATCTCTAAAAATTTTATTCATACAGGCATTTCTCATTGCAGATAAATACCACTGTCTCGCTATGAAGAGTAACACTGTGCAATGCAATGAACACTTGAATGTTTAAGTTATTAAACATATATGTTATTTCAAGGAGAAATGATCTCCTTTAGGAGGAGAAAAACATTTTTGTTTTTGTTTCTGCTGAAGATCACCTTGGGCAATTGAAAAGGAAAGCATTCCTGTGCATCCAGATTCATTTATTTTTGGCTTGAATTTTTGTAGCAGAGAAAAAGCACCAGTTCCCCCACTGTTTCCTGTTCTTAGCAGGTCCAGCTGCCTGCGGGTGGTCTACAGATTTGTGAGAGCAAAGGCTCTTCACTTGTAAGAAGAAGTTGCCCGTGGTCTTCCAAGTTTGGGTTTCTAAACTGGAATTTCTGAAGTTTGGCAAAAGCTCTAGGAAAATACTCAAGTTTGGAAAAATCCTTCCTTTAATTCTTGACTGTGGCTTTCTCTTAGTACATTTCTCCCTTGTTGAAGCTACATTTACATATTTAGTTTTTAATATTGGTTTTGTTGTGGCATTGCCTTAAAATAATATTTCTATAGAGAAAATCAGAGCTTATTTTATGTGATATAGTTTGGCTGTGTCCCCATCCAAATCTCATTTTGAACTGTAGCTCCCATAATTCTCATGTGCTGTGGGAGGGACCCGGTGGGAGATATCTGAATTGTAAGCATGGTTGCCCCCCATACTGTTCTCATGGTAGTGAAAAAGTCTCCTGAGATCTGATGGTGTTATAAGAGGAAACCCCTTTCACCTGGCTCTCATTCTCTCTTGTCTGCCGCCATGTAAGACATGCCTTTGCCTTCTACCATGATTGTGAGGCCTCTCCAACCACGTGGAACTGTGAGTCCATTAAACCTCTTTTTCTATATAAATTACCCAGTCTCGTGTATGTCTTTATCAGCAGTGTGAAAATGAACTAATGCATTATGTTTCAAGTCAAAGTGCAATGACGGGCATCTAACAGATGGTTTGGTACCTTATAGTTTATTCAGCCTGAAAATAAAAGGGGATTTATTGCAACCTAAATTTTAAAAAATAGGTGAAACATCCTAAATTAAATATATGACTTAGGAGATACAAAGTTGAATTTATGTTAAAATATTAACACACAAAAATATAAATTTTAGACTTTTCTATCTGGCTTACAATATTGGAAATAACAGTTTGTTTCAGGAAGTAAATTGATATCTTCCAGTCTTCATGCTGTCTTTTTAAAAAATGAAATTCCTATCTCCAATACTATTTTATTTAGCAGTCGTTTGAGATATTTTGTGTTCCAGGAATTTTTTTATTTCCTGGACATTCAAAGATAAATATGATGCACTTGGTACTTACAGGGTAATGCAGGAAATAGACGGTGCTCTCTGATAGGGACTAAATGAAGAAAGCACAATGGCCTTATAAGAAACATTGTTCTACTTTTTACACTGATGTGGAAATGAGAAAGGATGACTCATCTACCAGCAATTAATCATATTCAGTTATCATGTATTGGTTGGTTACCCTTTGGTATATGGCAGACTATGCATGCATTATTATTATAGATGAGAGACCAGGATGTTGCAGATGGGCTGAGTGTGAGTCTCAACCCACCCCTCACTTCCTAACTGTGTGAACTTGGGCTAAAAATGAGGTTCACAGTGCTGCATAACTCCATGGAAACACCAGCATTAAAAATCATATCTACTTCATCAGATTGTGAAGATTAAAGAGGCAAAACATAAAAATAACTTAGAACACTGCCTAAGACATTACTGATGAACAGGTGCTATGGATTCAGGAGAGCAAATTCCATTTCCTACTTGTACTTTACTACAAGCAGGAAAAAATGTTTCTGGACCATGGGGAATTTGAAGTATTTTGATGAAGACAAGATAATCCATTTGAAATACAAAATGATATAAAGGAAAGAACTAAGCATTTGGTGGCATTGCATTAACCAATAAGGAAACTAACAGGATTTTAGGGGTGAGAAAGATGAATAGCCTCTTTTGCAATAAATTAATTATCAACTTTACATTTATAAGAGCATTTTCTACATGTGAAATCATGGCCTTATAATGATGCTATCATCAAAATATCTCATTCAGTGCATGTATTAGTTTGTTTTCATGCCCCTGATAAAGACATACCTGAAACTGGGAACAAAAAGAGGTTTAATTGGACTTATAGTTCCACATGGCTGGAAGGCCTCAGAATCATGGTGGGAGGTAAAAGCCACTTCTTACATGGCAGCAGCAAGAGAAAAATGAGGAAGAAGCAAAAGTGGAAAGCTTGATAAACTCATCAGATCTTATGAGACTTATTCCCTATCATGAGAACAATATGGTAAAGACTGGCCCCCATGATTCAATTACCTGCCCCTGGGTCCTCTCCACAACAGGTGGGAATTCTGGGAGATACAATTCAAGTTGAGATTTGGGTGGGGACAGAGCCAAACCATATCAGTGCACATAGGAAATCTATGAGATTTAGCTGATTATCCCCATTTACACATCAGTATATTAAGAGCCATATAATTTAAGTGAATTGCTCATAGTTATACAGCTAGCAATACAGAGTCTGGATTTGGACCTACAATGTTTATATCTGAAACCTGGGCAACTAACAACTTCTTGTCTCCCATGAGGAGGTTGAGCATGGGCTGTGTTTACATAGTATACATCTAGGTAAGTCAAAAAGAAGGGTTAGCCATCTCATGTTAGGGAAGTGCCTGGAACAAAGTTACATGGAGGAGCAAGTTGTGGTTGGGGGACAATGAGGGTTCCAGCTGCATAGACATGGTTGGGTTGAACATAGGATTAGTATAGATGAGAATGCAATAAAAAGTACTCAACTGAAGTGACTCAAAGTAAGTATTTTTCTACATCACAAGAAGTTCAGTGGTAGGCAATTATTAGACATATTTTGATGATGCTATCAGGGCTTCCCTATCTTTTAATTATTTATTGTCATTTTTATTACTTATTTATTTTCTTCATTCATAATAGGTCTTATTTTGTCCGGTGCTTGTCATTTTATAGTCATGTCTCAGTTCAAAGCAGGAAAAAGGAAGAAGCTTGAGGAAGAAGCCTTAAAAAGCCATGTCTGCCACATCTCTCTTCTTTCTTTAAGAGAGCCATGGGTTTCCCAGAATTGCCACTCCCCCACCCCAAACCATGTATATTCTTGCTTAGGTTACTGGCCTAAGCAACCTCACATATCACCCCAAGTTATAAAGGACCGGTCAACTTTCAGTATAACAGTGTACTTTGGGGATGCATTATGTTGCAGTAACAAATGACTCTCCCAAAATCTTGGTGGCTTAACAAGAAGAAGGGAAAAGAGAGCATGGTGAATATATAAGATGCTTTGGTTTGGAAGTTCTATGCCTCCTTTCCTTGGCACATGTTCTTTACTTTTCATGGAATGTCTTTCCTCTTGTCATCCTTTCCCTCAATGTTTCCTTTGTCATCTTTAATACTTAGCCAATCCTGTCTATTCTTTACCTCCCCCGGAAAACATTTTCTGAGTTACCTGGGATGAAGATCTCTCTGATGGTTCCTACCCCTGTATACAGGACTTTTCATACTCTATTGTTTTCTTTATTTTTTCGTCAGTTCAAGTGCAGTTTGAGATCTTTTGTGGCTTACAGCTGTGTCTTTATCTTTGTATCCACAAGGTCTAGTTTGCAGCTGAATGATCTGCACCATGACTTCCTACAGCAATGTGTTACACCAAAATAACCAAGGAACAAAGAAACCCTTTGCTTTCATCAATTTCTAGGGTATGAAAAGTCTCATAGCTCTATATGTAAATCCACAAAGAAAAATATTTCCTACATGGACCTCAAATAGAAGGGCAATATTAAAATATTTTTTGTAAAATACTTTGCAACTGCTAACTTGCAACTATAATCCCTGTATATTTCTTGGAGTTGTGAGTTCCTCCTTACACACTGGTAACAACATCCAAGATCATTTGAACAGTTGTTGAACAAATCAATAATTGTTGATCATTCAAACAAATGGCCAGATATGCTTTGTGTTACAACAGAGGACAAATTACCTCTGGCTCTCTGCCACACAAGCTTATGATATTTCCTTGGGTATACAGTAGGAGAAAACATCATACAAATGGGTCCTAGTGTTACCTGAAAAGTCAACAAGACCAGTATTAGTCTAAGGGGTAAGTGAACAAAATTGTTGGGTGACACCTTCCAGAACACAGCACAATACAGTTGAAAGAATACAGGATATAAATCAAACAGTCCATGGCCTGAGTTTTTACTGTGCCAATGATAAGCTTGGTGTTTTGATTAATGTTCTTAACTTCTTTGAGATGTGATTTCCTCACATGTAAAATAGGGGAGTTAATAACAATTTCACAAGATTCTATGTGATATGCTTGGCATAGCATGTTTTTAGTATCAGCCCTTCTTTCCCCACATATCCCATGATTTCCAGAATCTCTGCATTTTCTAGCGACCCTACTTGTCTTATGGAATCTGAGTATTCCTTCTTGCCTTGCCTTTTACATATATTGGTGTGTTTCATCTTTTAACTATAACTCCCTCTGTGTTTCATGTTTCTCTTCTTCTAACAACTCCTATTTCCCTCAATTAAAGTAAGCTTTGTGTCTTTGTGTAACAATAAATGAATATGATAGTTTCCATTTTTGAGTCTATACTATTTGCCAGAAACATTGCTAAGAATTATCTTATTTAACATTTATAGTGGCTCTAAAGTAAATATATTTTAGATAAAGAGCAAAATTCAGAATACCTGCAACTTAATTTCTTGAACACGTATTTATTAAGTTTCTAATATGTACCCAGAATAAGGGATAGAACAGGCATTGCTAGTTTATCAAAATTCAAACCCATGATTTAACCACTCTCCTACATGCTCTAATTGTCAGATTTTTTTTACTAAATAATCAGTAGGAATTTATAATGAAAGATGGGCAGTAAAAATGCATTCCTATGTCTAATTTTTTCAAAGGGTGAATGTGTCAGAAACTTCAGTTTTATTATGTTTTCTGATCCATACATTCTAGAGAAAAGGAAATGGAAGGAAAGTGCATGAACTTTGGAAATGGCAGAGGTAGGATTTGAATCTGGGTTTTTCACCTCCTTATGCAATTTCTTCTCATTTTAACACACTACCTCTGTCAACACAAAGAGTGTCTTCTGTATTATTAAAGAAATGCTAGGCTATGTTGTCGTAACAAGTATAACATTTTAGTAGTTTAATTCCTCTATCACTTCTCATTTACTTTGGAGGTGCAGCCTGGCTTGGTACTAGTTGGTGCAAAAGTAATTGCAGTTTTTACATTGTTGGAATTTGCCGTCTGATATTGGAATACATTCTTAAATAATTGTGGTTATGTTATACCTCGTTTTAATGGACATTTCTCATTTTATATTATTTTGCTAACGATTTATTTCTTAATGTTTATTTTATATTTATTTTAGGCTATGGAAATGACGTTAGACAAAAAGCAAATTTCTTTTTGTCTAACATCTTATTCTTTGAATAAGAAAAGAAATTTTCTTATTCAAATTCAAAATGGGTTATAAGGCAGCAAAGACAACTCACAACATCAACACATTTGGCCCAGGAACTGCTAACGAACATACAGCGCAGTGGTGGTTCAAGAAGATTTGCAAAGGAGACGAGAGCCTTGAAGATGAGGAGCACAGTGGTCAGCCATCGGGAGTTGACAACAACCAGTTGAGAGCAATCATCAGAGTTGATCCTCCTACAACTACACAAGAAGTTGCCGAAGAACTCAACATCTACCATTCTACGGTCATTTGGCATTTGAAGCAAATTGGAAAGGTGAAATAGCTCGCTAAGTGGGTGTCTCCTGAGCTGAGTGAAAATAAAAAAAAATTGTTTTGAAGTGTCTTCTTCTCTTATTCTACGCAAGAAAAACGAACAATTTCTTGATTGGATTCTGACGTGTGATGAAAAGCGGATTTTATACAACAACCAGCGATGAACAGCTCAGTGGTTGGACTGAGAAGAAGCTCCAAAGCACTTTCCAAAGCCAAACTTGCACCAGAAAAGTCATGGTTACCGATTGGTGGTCTGCTGCTGGTCTGATCCACTACTGTTTTCTGATTCCTGGCGAAACCATTACATGTGAGAAATATGCTCAGCAGAACGATGAGACGCACTGAAAACTGCAGGACCTGCAGCCAGTGTTGGTCAACAGAAGGGGCCCAGTTCTTTTCCACGACAATGCTTGACCTCACCTTGCACAATCAACGCTTCAAAATTTGAGCGAATTGGGCTAGGAAGTTCTGCCTCATCCACCATATTCACCTGACTCCTCACTGACCAACTACCACTTCTTCAAGCATCTTGACAGCTTTTTGCAGAGAAAACACTTCCACAACCAGCAGGATGCAGAAAATGCTTTCCAAGAGTTTGTCAAATCCCCAAGCACAGATTTTTATGCTATAGGAATAAACAAATTTATTTCTCATTGACATAACGTGTTGATTGTAATGGTTTCTATACAAATGACTAAAGAATGTGTTTGAGCCTAGTTATACTAATTTAAAATTCACCGTCCCAAACCGCAGTTACTTTTGCACCAACCTACTAGATGGGCTCTGTTCATTGTAGGACTCAGGATAACTGAGGCTCTCAATTAAAATGCGTCTCCAGGATCACCACCACAGGAGTCGGGGAACAGGGCTACTCAGGCGCATGGCTCCTGCAGTTTCTATACAGAAATCACGTGTGACTTCGCTCACATTTCACTGGCCAAAATGTCACATCGTCCCACTTAACAAAAGTGGTGCAATATTCATTCCTACTGTATGCCTTGAAGAAGAAGAGCACAGAACATTCTGGAAATACTTTGAAGCACTTTAAATACACACACAAACACACACATACACACACACAAATGTGTATCCAGAAAAGAATACAAGAACGAGCTTTTTTAGCACCATGTCAGTCTGGAGAAACAACAAAAGCCATTGACCTTCTAGTTCAATCTAGTACAATTTTTGTTTGTTTTTTCTTCTACAGTAAAAGGATTCAATATTATTTATCTATAACCATGCATGTTCTTAAATGTTTTATATTGTTAGATTTGAAGTCATTTTCTATTCTGTAAGCATTTGAATAGATGACACTAAAATAACCCTTGGTTGAAAGTCAAAAGTTTAACTCTTAAAATGCCCTCCTCAAGTTCTCCACTTTCTTTTGTTCTTCTCTGAAATTAGCATTAAAAACGAGTCTCAGAGAAGTGAAGCCTTGACTCCTTTAGGCTTTAGGAACCTTGGTTCTTTGAGAACCTTGGTTTTTGGTTCCACTGTTTTGTCATAAGTAAGATGTTATTTATTAAAATAGGTTCCCTTCACTTTCGCTATTTACTTATTTGTTTGTTAACTGACTTATTTACTTATTTGATCATTTATTAAGAGAAAGCTGTGGAGGCAAGTATTGGGTTAGCGTTAATATGTTTCTGAGCAAGTAACTGGTAGAGAAACTCTCTCCTTGTTGGTTCAAGAGTCAAAAACCTGTATTCAGATCACAGCATTACTACTTTTTAACTTTGTGACCTAAGCCACTTTCTGAACCTTTTCAATTCTGAAAAATGAAGGTCATCTCTCATGTGTGATGCAGGAAAAGGGACAAAAAGAGTGACTAGGCTGGACACGGTGGCTCACATCTGTAACCCCAGTGCTTTGAGAGGCTAAGGCAGGAAGGTCTCTTGAGGCCAGAAAAGTTCAAGATCAGCCTGAGCAACATAGTGAGGCTCCAACTCTACAAAAAAATTTAAAAATTAGCCAGGTGTGGTTGCCCATGCTTGTAGTCCTAGCTGTTTGGGAGGCTGAGGGAGGAGAACTGCCTGAGCCCAGTAGACTGAGGCTGCAGTGAGCTAATGCACTCCAGCCTGAGTGACAGAGTGAGACCCTGTCTTCCTCTAAAAAATATTAAAAAGAAGAAGAGTGAGGTCTGCATGGTTGACAGCCCTGGCGTCACCTACATTGCCTGGCTCAGGGCCAACTTTAACATGAGCATTGACTTGAATGAAAATGCTTAGAAATTGGGAACTCAGTTTCTAAAAAGGATTCTCAAAAAATGAATTCTAGTTTGAGTACCCAACAACCAGGCCTGGAAATGGCCCAGACATTAATGTTAGCATATATTTCATTTCATGCCTTTACAGCTCCCCCTGATGTTACATTCACCCCCAAGCTACTTCTGAATGTACTGAGTACCATCACCACTTGACCACTTCCCATTTCTGCTCTTTAGAATAGGTTTAGCCTATGCTGTGGACTGAATGTTTCTGTCTCCACAAAGCTCCTAAGTTGAAATCCTAACCCTCAATGGGATAGTACTTTGAAATGGGGCTTTTGGGAGGAAATTAGGTCATAAAGGTGGAGCTCTTGTGATGGGATTAGTGCCTTTAGTAAGAAGAGACAGGAGAGAACTTTCTGGAGGCAAATTTATTTTTCAAAATAAATTTTAATATATATTTTTTTAATTTCAATAGTTTTTAGGGAACAGGTGGTGGTTGGTTACATGAACAAGTTCTTCAGTGGTGACTTCTGAAATTTTGGTGCACCCGTCACCTAAGCAGTGTACGGTGTACCCAATCTGTAGTTTTTTTAACCCTCACCACCCACTACCCTTTCCCCTGAGTCCCCAAAGTCCAAGTCCAATGTATTGTTCTTATGCCTTTGTGTCCTCATAGCTTAGCTCCTACATATGAGTGAGAACATACTATGTTTAGTTTTCCATTCCTCAGTTACTTCACTTAGACAATAGTCTCCAATTCCATTCAGGTTGCTGCAAATGCCATTATTTCATTCCTTTTTATGGCTGAGTAGTATTCCATTATATATATACACACACACACACACACACACACACACACACATACACACACACATATATATCTATCTCACATTTTCTTTATCCACTCATTGATTGATGGCTATTTGGTTAGGTTCCATATTTTTTGCAATTGCAAATTGTTCTGTTGTAAACATGCATGCAGTTTTTATAAGCCAGGAAGAACAGCCTCACCAGACACCAGATCTACTGGCACCATGATTTTGAACTTTACAGCCTCTGTAACTGTGAGAAGTAATTGTTTATTGCTGTTATTAGCCACCAAGTCTTTGGTATTTTAGTTACAGCAGTTCAAACCCACTAATATATACCATAAGTTTCAGATTCCACAATATACCAGGGAATTTCTTTCATCTCAACTTCATTTAGTGTGAGCCATTGTTGAATCTGGATTTCAGTCAACCAATTCAGAAAGCAAAACAATTATAATCACTCTGAGCTACTCGGGTAAGCTCACTGCATGTAGGCTCTGGTACATGTACCAATATTGGCTAATTTGCCCCAATCTGTTTATGATTATTTCTACCTAGTATAGCTCCCTTTGACTCTAGCTGCACATTTCCTCCAGGTTTCTGCTGATAAAAAATAACAACTATTGCCATTTTTGTTGTTGTAGCCTTTTCTTTCTGGTTCACACTTTGTATTTGACCCCTTCTGACACATTGGGAACAATTCTAACTTCAGAACTGGAATCAGTGAGGTGATTAGGGTGGCCAAGAGGAGAAATGGCATTCTTTAACGCATTAGATGAGTTAGTTGGAGATGGGGCATTTGGGAGGTAATTAGGTCATGAAGGTGTAGCACTGTTGATGGAAGAAGTGCCTTTGTGAGAAGAGTTACAGAAATCTTACTTCCTTTCCCTTTCTCGTCACCATTGAGAAAATACAGAAAGAAGACCATCTACAAGCCAGAGAGCAGCCTTCACGAGACACTGGATTTCTAGAGCCTTGATTTTGAACCTCCCAGCTTTCAGAACTGTAAGAAATAAATGTTTGCTGTTTAAGCCACCCAATCTATGACATGTGTTATGGGAACCTGAGCTAAGGCAGCCTACAAGAATAATCTGCCTCATGTTTTCTAAAGGAGATTCCTTAAATATGATTCCCCATTTGTTCTTCATACAGTAGTAATAGTACTGATGGTGATAGTAGGTGTAGTCCTAGAAGTAGTTGTTTTAAAAGACACAGATATGAATTGAGAAGAGAGAAGAAAACTAAAATAAGTTGCTTTAGACCAAACTTGTCCAACCTGTGGCCCACAGCCCACATGTGGCCCAGGATGGCTTTGAATGCAGCCCAACACAGATTCATAAATTTTCTTAAAATTTTTTAATGATTTTTTTTAAAGTTCGTCAGCTATCATTAGTTTTAGCATATTTTATGTGTGGCCCAATACAATTCTTATTCTCCCAATGTGGCCCAGGGAACCCAAAAGATTAGATACTCCTGCTTTAAACCCAAGTAATATAAGGTCCTTCCCAGGGTTGTGCACTTTAGATGACTCTGTATCGTGATCCTACTTAGCTCTATCCCATAGGACAAGACATTCATTAGCACAAGGGGTCTTTTCTAGGCCACAGTAGGTTGGTTGAGGCACTGGAATTCCCTGACCCAATGTCTCTGAATCCATTTCTGTTCTTGCACAGGCTTCTTCTTCAGTTGACCTCTTGAAGTCTCGGAGGAATGGCCATTTGTCGGGGTATGTGGGGAAGCAGGTATGTGGGAATGAATGGAGCTTGGATTTAAGGGCTGTGTTCACACAGAAGTGTGTAAGGCCCTTCATATTGAAAACAGAGCTGGGATGGGAACAGAAGGGGTGAAGTCTAGGGGTCTACAGTCATATCCTTGTCTCAGGCCCTGCAAATTTCAGAGATGAGCTTTAGAGAAGCGTGTGTGTGTGTGTGTGTGTGTGTGTGAGAGAGAGAGAGAGAGAGAGATGCAATACTCGCATTCGTAATTTTAGGTTCTTGTAATTACATTCTTATTTTTTAGGGAAAGGAAAGCTGAAGCTTCTGAAAGAACTTGATAGGGTCAGATCAGGGAGCTCTCTTTGATTTCATTGTGCTCTGATATGAAGTGAGCACACACAGGCACAGTGAAAGAAAAGAGAGATGCTGAATGCTAAGACCATTATAATTGCCATAGGGAAACCAAAGCTGCTGTTTTAGCTTGAGTTAAAAAAAGCAAAACTGTCCAGTTCCATGAGCCTTTCGATGTGGCTACTGAGGCAGCTCCTGTGTTTCCATCCTCCCTCATGTATCCTTACAATTAACCCCAATTCCCTGAGGCTCCATTCTGTTTCTTGCAAATTCTGTTTCTAACACAGCTGTCTAGGGGAATAATTATCCCCAACACCACTGCCGCTTTCCTCATGCCTACAGAGACCCACAGCTAAGATGTTATGAGAGATTCCTGTGTTTGGGTTTAAAGTTTGTAAAATCAAAGCACTTTAACAAACTACAAATCTGCTCCCTGTTCCCTTCAGCTGGTAGGAGGCAAATGCGATGAAAGACTCCTGCTTGCTTTGCAGATGGAGAAACTGACCTGGGGGAAGTTCACTGGCCGGAATCAATGAGTGAATATCCAAACGGCCCAAGGTGCCTGTTTGACCCCAGATCGTTCCTTCATCTGTGCATTTATGCTCCTTGACTGTACATGTTAAGTGAACAAGTTCTTGGTCTATTCTGGAAGTTTGGTAAAAAAAAAAAAAAAAAAAAAGAAAAAAAAATTACAGTGTCTACTTCAAGTCTTTTCTCTGTTTTGTTTTTCTGGGTTTTGGTTGCTTTTGCAAAGCACTGAGCAATTCATCTTATTGACCTGCCACAGAGGCCTATCCTTTCCCTCACAGTTCTAATTTCTATCTCCTGTTGAGAACCATTGTGTGAAGGTATTGTTAGGTTTCCATGCCCACTCAATCCCTAGCCTCTCTTCTTAAACCGCCAACTGCGCCAATTAGTACCACATGTGGTGTGAGTTTGCAGCGTGGTTATTGCTGCCAACTCCTCAAAATGTGGCCAAAATGCAAATTGGCCTATAGACAAGTTTTTGGGTGTGAGTTCAGGGGGAAAAGTTTAAGTATCACAGCAGCGTAAATATCAGTTCTTTCATTCCTTGAAGCTCCTGGCATGCTTTATAGCTTTAAAGTGAAATATGTAAAAAGACCTGGAATGTTCCAAAAGAGAAAAATATGGGAAAATGCTGAAATCAAATAAAATTGGAAGAATAAATCATTTAAAACTTAGTTGAAGCACATTAAAGAAAGAGAAGAAGGGTGCCTGGAGTTTCAAGTCTGTAATTGGTTATCATCCCAATGAAAACCACTGAAGTTTCCCCATTAATGGCAAATCAAGCACTAGTTACATCTCTCAGCCTCTTTGAATCTCTTTTTTTCTTTTGTTTTTTCAATTACAAGTCCCACTGTTTGTGTCAGGAGTCATTCTTGTGACTACTTTAATCTCATCACTATTTCCCTGTGTCTTCCTCACCATGGATGTGTTCTACCACCTTCAAATGTAACAAATTCCTCAGAGTTTATTGCCACATTTTCTGCTGTGATAGTTCTGTCTTAAGGCCGAGCTCAAATCTGGCTCTATTGTCCCCCTAGATTTAACAAAGACCCTTGACAAGATTTCCTATTCATCTATGCCCCAGGCTGTGGAAGTGTGTGTACAGAAATGACACAAATGGATACTATTATAGGTCAGAAACTCTCTTAGGCACTTTATTGTATCAGAGGAGCCTTGATTTCATGATCAAGTAATTCCTATAAGGTAATTTTTGTTTTCCCCATTATAAAATGAAGAAACTGAAGTTTTATGAGGGAAAGAAATTTGTTTTCATTCATACAGCTACAAAGGGGGTAAATCTCATATTCAGACCTGGTTCTGTCTCATTCACTAAATGATACTATCATGTAAGACAAGAAGGATCATAGAGAATGCAATCTATAAGTCATTACCATGTACCAGGCATAATGTTAGATGCTTTACATACATTTTTACTAACCCTTACTATAAAACTGAAGGTATTACCTACAAGATGGGCTCAGGAAGGTTAAATGATTTGCCCAAGGCCAGACAAACAAAAGTTGCAGAAATGAAGTCTAATACAAGGTCAGCTGACCTATGCAATCTCTGCTCTTTTCATTGCAGTAAACTTTCTGCCCCCAAAAGAGGCCCTTATTGCCTGTTAGACACACTCATTATTGATTTCCTTCACCTCTCTGGAGGAGTCCAGTGCAATACGAATTGCCTGGTCCATCATTTGGGGAGTCACAGCTCCAACATGTCCTCTTAAGAAGCTATCTACAGCTGGGCGAGGTGGCTTATGCCTGTAATCCCAGGAATTTGGGAGGCCAAGGCAGGCAGATCACTTGAGGTCAGGAGTTCGAGACCAGCCTGACCAGCATGGTGAAACCCCATCTCCACTAAAAACACAAAAATTAGCTGAGTGTGGTGGCGAGCACCTGTAATCCCAGCTACTCAGGAGGCTGAGGCAGGAGAATCGCTTAAACCCAGGAGGCGGAGGTTGCGGTGAGCCGAGATTGTGCCACTGCACTCCAGCCTGGGCAACAAGAGTGAAACTCTGTCTCAAAAAAAAAATGCTATCTGCAAGTCACCACTCATAAGCTTAGTTCTCATTTTTAACTTTTAGGAGAAGGGTTAATACACCCTTCAGGAACCTCACTACCATAAAATAAGCAGAAGACATTCAGTCCCTGAACACTGGTTCCCACATTGCTATGAGATTGTGTTTCCCCAGTCTTTTCACTTGTATGAAGTTCTTGTGCAAATAGAGTCATTCAGGGGGAAACATTCCCATGCCTTCTTTCTACCTGCTGGTCACCAACCATTAAACAACCATATGTAGGCTCACCTTATTACATCACTTGATGAGACATATTTATAGTTGTGTTGGCCAATTAGCTTTTTGGCCAAATCAGAATTAAGATGTATCTCTATATTTCTTCTGTTCATCATGCCAATGAGTTGTCCAGATCATAATTTGGGCTTTCACAAGAAAAGAAAACAAACAAACAAACAAAAAAAAACAATGTGCTGACCAGATCCGCTAACTTCCCTAATGTATCAAACATTCATCCTAAGATTTAAAAAGGTCATTTCTGATCCAGCTGGTTTAGTCAGTGACCTGAGCTCTGTGCATATCCCATTACCAACGCCCAGCAGCACAAACCACAGTCTGTCTAAGTATTTGCATGGAAAACAACCCTAACCAAAGATTACGCATTTCGGGCTGGGAAAGGCAATCCATTCCATTTAAAAACATCTGCCAGAAAGGTCAGACGCAGGCTGGGCAGTTTCTGGTCTTCCATTCTAGAGATTGCTTTGGTTGCAAATACTGTGTCCAAGGGAAACTAAATTTCGAAGAGAGCACAACTTCAGGGAGAAATCTTTGACAGTTAACTCAGATTCAGTTCAAACTAAGATTTCAGAGACTTTTTTCAAAGGCATTGGGCCAGAGTTTTTAAGCAAGTGAGAGAATTTATTACTTTTATTCAAATACACAGAAAAATGAGAGTGAGAGCGAGAGAGAGAGAGAGAGAGAGAGAAAGAGGGAGAGAGAAAGAAAGAGAGAGAGAAATATTACTGTTAGTTCACCTTAAATTCAGGAGTTTGCTCTCTTTTCTGTAAAGGCATAAAGAAATTGTTTTCAGTTAACCAATATGCTGCCAGCAAAATATGAAGCATTTGATTTATTTTTTTCTTTTTGTGAAAAGCTATGCTACCACTCAAGTTAGTTTAAAATAAAGTTCCTCAAAATAATATGCAGTTTAAGCAATGAAAACAACAGAGACTATCAGTTTCCATTTCAGGGTGGTGGAATGAAACATTCCTTCAACTTGGGGTCAGTGAACACATACTGTTACAATTCCATACAAGCCTGTGCCCCCAAAGAGCTCGTTTCCCTGATCTGATCTACCCAGAGATGGATCTGTCGGGGAAATCCATTACCAATCTCCCAGCAATGCTAAATAAAGTGAACCACTCAGGACAGCACACTGCACATGTACAAGAATCAAAACCTACTACTATTTATTGGCTACTAAGATAAAGTTCCTTTTATGATCCGCAAATATGGCTTTAATTTAGCGAGGTTTATTTTGAATTGGTGGGGAGGGATGGGGGATAAAGGGAGAGGGGGACTTTCAGAGCACTCACACGTAAAGGGAACAGCAAGTTTCCACTAATGGGCTTTCAGCTGGTTTTACCAAAAAGAGAGGAACACCAATCCAGTAATCTTTCTTGCACAGATCGGATTCCTGTCTCTGCATTTCCACCTGTAGTAAGGGCTGAATCCAGAGGTGCCTTATCTTCAGGTTGCTGGGAAACAACATCTATCGTCTACCTTTTTATTTGGACTGTTTTCACTGTTATGCTAATTACAATCTAGAGCAAATGCTTGATCCATCAAAGTGAAGCCATAGGATTTGTTTCCCTTATGTTTAAGGATGGGCTTCAGTTCACATGGGTGTTGTTACGATGGTTATTAAGGTATTCTGCATCCATTAGAAGTATTAGCATAGTTACTATTTCTTGGATGTATATCTGCATTGTGATTTGAAGCTCAGTGTGCTACCAGAGTGTGGTAGATTATAGATGAAAGACAGCTACAAGTTCTTCGAGAAATGGAGTCTAACTCCACTCCCCTGGGGCTGGCCTAGGTGACTTGTTCCACTAATAGGATGTGAAGGAAGTAATGGTCGGACATTCCAGGTTTAGGCTGTAAGAAGGCTGGCAGGTTCCCCTCCGGTCTTTTGGAATTCTTGCCCCAGTGTTTCTTGCACTGCCATGTAAGAAGTTCACAAGTGCCCACCTTGGACCAAGACCATCAAGGTATAGGTTCCTGGCTCAGCATTCTAAGCTGAGTCCAGCATTTGTGGGCATCCCTGTAAAGATGCCAGACATGGTTTATATCTACTGGACCAGCCTGTCTACCTGCTGAATACCACCAAGTTGAAAACACCTGGAGCAGGAAAAACTTCCCAGCTCACCTGTCACCTCAGGAACCATGACAGTAGTAATCATTGTTTTAAACCATTAATTTTGGAAATGTTTGTTAAGAAGGAACAGATAACTGAATCTCGCATAATTCAACAATGGAAGTGCACTACTTTATATGCTGGAATGGTCATCTGGTTCTTGTGTCTTTTTTTGCCTTTTTTTTTTTTTATTCTTTGAATCTCAGATCAATTGTTACTCCCTCTGAAAGACTCTCCTGCCTCTGCCTCGCCTCTGCCTAGAACAAATTAGATCCTTGATCTTTCTTTTAAGCCCTCCTCCCTCAAATTCAGTTCACTGAGGGTAGGTAATTTTTAAATTGATTAAACATTTATTCATGCAAGAAACATTTACTGTATACCTACAAGTATAAATCATGATGTTCGCTGATGGAAAAATTGTGAAAACATTTTCTTTGCTGTACTTACCCCTCAGACCTAGCACATGCATAGTTGGAGTTTGATACATGTCAATTTTTGCTAACTCCAAACTGTAGAGGTGCTGGCTTTGCTTGCAGCTAACTGGTTTGATCTGAATTGCTACTCCTACTGTTGCAAAGTAGCGATCAGAAATGCTGATAGCAAATATAACAAAGTTCAAATTTTGACTCTGCCAAATATAAGACATGTGACTGAATCAAACTTTCTTTTGCTTTCTTTCAGAATAAAAGTAACTTGCTGAAACCAGAAGGCTTGGGGGTTAAATCCCAGCTCAGTTGCATCTTTGTAGTTTGTCAGTTTCCCATGGGTAAAGTGGGACTAATATCCACCTCCTAGGGTGGTTATGATAATTAAATGAGTTAATACATAAAGTGGCTTAAAACAGAGCCCTATACACAGTAAGCACTGTAGAAGTATTTGTTAAACGAAATTATTTTAAGATGTACTCTTTAGGATAGAACCCGGTATATAATGGGAAGGATGAAAAATACTATTTTTCACGCCATTTTTTTTTTTTGCCCTTTTGAGCCACTTGTCACTTAAAAGGAAATAGCAGATTTATACATTTTTATATTTTTAATTTTAAGTAATGTGTGAGTTGCAAAATAATTTTGTTTCATACTACATGCCAAATGTATGTAAGTGAGCCAAGTGATTTGTTTATCCAAGAGCACACCTGTTAATTCAGGATTAGCTTATGGTAAAGACACTCACATGGGCATTAGCCCAATGATTTTTAATTCTCTCTCTTTCTCTCTCTTTTTTCTTTTTAAATCATCTCATTTATTATTGGTTTGCAAATCTAATACTATTGAATGGCAGTTAAGTGATATTTGATCAAATTCTAAGTCCAACATGATGAAACTCTGTCTCTACTAAAAATACAAAAATTAGCTGGGCATGATGGCAGGCACCTGTAATCCCAGCTACTCGGGAGGCTGAGGTAGGAGAATCGCTTGAACCCAGGAGGCAGAGGTTGCAGTGAGCCAAGATCTCACCACTGCACTCCAGCCTGGGCAACAGAGTGAGACTCTATCTCAAAAACAAACAAACAAACAAATAAACAACAAAAAACCACAAAAACAAAAAACACTTCTAAGTCACATGTATACTTTTTCCTTGAGAATTAGTTCAATTACTTAATATTTACATCACATCTGGAGAGAGGTGGGAGAAAGGGAAGTAAGAAGGGAGATAGAGAAACAGAAATATCCAAGACATAATATGTTTCTTGGAAATCCAGTATTGTTGAAGTTAACTCATTTCAATTTCATACAGATCTGACACTAAGTCACAGACCTTCAATTATATTTAACTTGCTAATTATATTCTTTAACTTTGGTAAATATAGAAGTAGGAACATTTAGTTTTTACAATTACTTATGGGCAGTTAGATATCCTTAGAACTGGTAATTACACTGGCAAATTATACTTATTGTGTAGAGCTACATAAATACGGATATATACATAAATGCATATATTGAATGCATATAATACTGATGTTAAGTGTTTTATTTAAGCCAACCATGCCTCCAGTAAATTTCTGCAGCCCACAGATGGAGAAACATGAAGAATTTTTAAAAACTATATTTATGTCTAATTTCTAGGGAGATATCAAATGGTGATTGCCTAAAAAAAATAAGAAGAGCCAGCTAATTGCAAAGGCATGGAATTAAATAAAGCAACCAGAGGACATTATGTACATCAAATACTAAAAGTAGTATGGATGAATGTAATGGGTGAAGAGTTTGAGGCTGTTCTGTGTGCTTCCCCTCTGCACTTTCATTCTGTTTTGTGGTTTTCTCTAATATAGGACCTCCCATTTCTTATTGCAAAGCTTCATCCTCAGCTTATTTTCTGATCAGACTGTGAGTTTCTCAAGAGATGAATCTCTCTGTGACTACCACTGGGTTTAACTATCTTGTATGGAAATGATTTGTTTATCTGACTGTATGTTCTACTTGCCTGTGGTCTTCTGGGAGGGTGAGAATACCTCTTACCCCTATTGGGCTCCTTATCCCAGGAATCTAGCCCATGTCACAGAATGCCAAGTGGAACTTCTCTTCATGTCTCTGTTTGTCTAAGGAGCCAAAGCTGGAGACAGTAGGTGACAGGAAATCCTGAGTTATGAGGGCTGCTACACACGTTTCTTTAAGATTTAGTAAGAGTTGGGCAAACTGAGTACCAACAGCATTACCGATCTTCAGGATAAGACTAGAAATTAAAAAAAAATATGTGTATACCAAACCTCTGTGACACACAATGTACCTATGTAATAAACCTGCACGTGAACCCTGAAACTAAAATAAAAGTTTGAAAAAAGTGATCCTATAACAAAAAAGAAGAAAATGTAATGGTATTTTCTCTCACATTAAGGTGAAGGAAAGAACCAGCTGTTTCTCCCCTGTCCCTCAGGCTAAATGAAGAGGAAACTGGAAGAACCTCTCATAAGCACTTGAGAGTTTTCTTTCTTTCTTTCTTTTCTTTTTTTTTTCTTTTTATGGCATCTAGCACCTTTGTTCCCACCCAGACTGTTGCTGAGATGTAGGCTGCTGCTGTGCTATTACAGGAGCAGGCAGAGGATGGAAGTGTTCTGACAATCTGATGTGTATATGTGGAGAGAATTGTGCCTTCTTTTTTATCTGGAAATGGCAGAGCGGGGGTGAGTGGGGGCATATCTAGTGGTGTCCTTTATAGCTGGACAAGAGGAAAAAAGATCTGCCATGGGGGAAGCCATTATTTTTATTTCTTAGAGGGAGATGACCTAGTTACTAGTGAACGAGTATTATTCAGAAAGGGAACTGGCCTTTGATTCTCCAGTAGCCCAAAGGGACCTTCGCAGAAAAAAAGCTGTAGATGTATTGTCTGGGGGCAGAAACAGAAAGGGATCACTTGACAGACAGGGTCCATTACTTTGTCAGGAAAAGGTGCAATCCAGTCTTTGGAGGAGGGTTGGAGAAGAAAGTGCCTTGGAAAAACCCCCCATCTGAACTTTAAGATCAAGGGACAGCATTTTGATACCCATCATAGCACCCAGGGCTTTATTCCTTTCCTCTAATCCCACTCCCAACATAGGGGAGCCCTGGCATTAAAAGACAAAGTCACACCAATGGGGGAAGAGCAATGGAAGAACTAGACAGTGCTAAATATTTTACTAAAAAGCATCTAGTTTTAAGTGCACATTTTGATGAGTTTTGACAAGGTACACACCCATGTAATTACCACCCATCCAAAATACAATCATCTCTACAAGTTTCCTTGAGACCTATGTAAGATACTGCCTCACACTCCCCATTACCAGCCCTGAGCAATGACTGATTCACTTTCTGTCACTATAGATTGGTCTTTTTTTCAAATTTCAAACAAATATTACGGAGTGCTTAGTTCATGTTTTTGACATTATATATGTCGTTGCACATATCAGTACTGTGTGCCTTTTGAATTCTGACTGGTATTCTATTGTATGGATATACCACAATTTGTCCCTTCACCTACTGATGGACATTTGGGTTGTTTCCAGTTTTTGGCTATTATGAATAGAGTTGTTATACACAATAAAGTCTTTATGCACTCATAAGTTTTCATTTTTCAAGGTAAATACCTACGAGTGGAATTTATGTATGATCTGGTAAGTATGTTTAGCTTTATAAGAAATTATAAAACTATTTTCCAGGTCACACTATTTTGCATGAGCAGTGTATGTGAGTTTTAGTTTCTCCACATCCTTGCCAAAACTTGATGTAGTGTTTCTAACTTTAGCGAATCTAGTAAGTGAGTAGTGCCATCTCATTGTTGGTTTGATTTGCATTTCCCTGTTGACTACTGATTTTGAGCATTTTTAGTGTGTTTGTTGCCATTAATATATTTTCTTTTGAGAAATGTTCAAAGACTTTTGCATTAGGCTATTTGTCTTCTTATTGAGTTGTAAGAAGTTTTTGTATATACTGGATACAAATACTGAAAACAAAAGTATGATAATACTTTGTGAGGATTATTGCAAATACAAAGAGTTTGTACCCAGTATCTATAAAATATTTGCAATATATTTATTGCAAATACAAAGTATTTATTTGCAATAAACATATTATAAATGTTTTCTCCAAATTTGTGGCTTATCTTTTTCATTTTTAAACCATGTCTTACCAACAGAGAATATTTTCATTTTGTAAAGTCCAAATTATTATTTTTTCTCTTATGTTTCATACTTTTGGAGCCCTGTTTAAGAAATCCATCCCAGAGTTGTAAAAACGTTCACTTATGATTTCTTCCAGAACTTTTCTAGTTTTAGATTTTACAGTTAGATCTATGATCCATTTAAAGTTAATTTTTGTGTATGTCAAGAGATAAATGCTTGACTTTGCTTTTTTTCCAAATTAATATTTGTATTACTTCAACTACATTTGTTGAAAAGGCTATGTTTTCACCATCTGGGTACCTGTGTCAAACATGGATTAACTATGTATAAATGGGTTTAATTCTGAACTATATATAGATACCAAAGTTCTTGATTATTGTTGTATTACATAAGTTTGAAATCAGCTAATGCAAGTCCTTCAATTTTATTTCTTTTATTAGTTTTTATTGATAGGATGGCTAATAGCATGTTGATTAAAAGTAGTAAAGGCAGAAATTAAATAGCGCCCTATCTATGATATTAATTATAGGTGTTCTGTAGATTCCCTTGACAAGTTGAGGAACTTCCTTCTTATTGCTAATTCTTGAGAATGTTTACTATAATTGGTGTTGAGTTTCCTCAAGTGTTTTTTCTGCTCACACTGAGTAATCATAGTGCATTTTCTTTTTTAATCAGTTAATGTGTATTGCATTAATTGATTTTCTACAATGTAAAACAAGCCTTGCATTCCTGGGATAAGTTCCATTTGTGCATGATGGATTATTCTTTTTGTCTATTGCTGAATTAAATTTGCTGATGTTTTGTTAAGAATTTCGTTCAAAAGAGATATTACTTTCTAGTTACCTTTTTTTAAAATTTTATTATTATTATACTTTAAGTTTTAGGGTACATGTGCATAACGTGTAGGTTTGTTACATATGTATACATGTGCCATGTTGGTGTGCTGCACCCATTAACTCGTCATTTAGCATTAGGTATATCTCCTAATGCTCTCCCTCCCCCCGCCCCCCCACCCCACAACAGTCCCTGGTGTGTGATTTTGAAATATATTATGGCTTTAATATCAGGATAATGTTAGCCTTATAAAATGAATTGGAAAGTAATCACTCCTCTACTTTATGAAAGAGTTGGCATAGGAATGATATTTTTTCTTTCTTATTAAGTTTGAATTGATAAGAAAAATTAGGACTAGAGTTTTCTCTGTGGGAAAATTTTTGATTATGAATTCCATTCATTTAGTAGACACAGGAATATTCAGATTATCTTTTTCTTTAGCTTGTTTGGTTAATTTGTATCTTTCAAGGAATTTGCTTATGTAAACTATTTTTTAAATTTATTGGCTTAATGTTACTTGTAATATTCTTTGTTATCCTTTTGACATCTGAAGGATTTCTAGTAATTTTTCCTCTTTCATTCTTGATATTAGCAGGTTGTTTGCTTCCTCTCTCTCAGTCTTTCTAGCTGGAGTTTTCTCATTTTTGATGTTTACATTTGGTTTCAAATATTCCTTTTTCAGTTTTCTATTTCACTGACTTATGCTCTCGTCCTTATCGTTTTCTTTTTCATGCTTACTTTGTGTTTAATTTACTCTTTTTTTTTTTTTTAGCTCCTTAAGGTGGAAGCTTAGATAATGGGTTTTAATTGTTTTTTTCTTTTCTAACATAAATTTTAAATATATGATTTTTCCTCTCAACACAGCTTTAGTTGCACCCCATACCTTTGATATGTTGTAATTTTTGTTTTATTTAATTCAAAATATTTTCTCATTTTGTTTGCAATTTTTTCTTTTACCTATGTGTTATTTAGAAACATATTGTCTAATTCTTCTTTTGTCTAATTTCCAAATAGCTTCCTGTTGCCATTCTAGGACTGTTAATAGTTTAATTTTATGGTTAGAGAATTTTATATCATTGTAATACTTTTGTATTTATTTATTAAGACTTGTTTAATGGGCCAACATATGACTTATCTTGGTAATGTTGCCTGCGTGCCCATAAACAATGTGCAGTCTGCTTGTGTTCTGTAAATGTCAATTAAGTCATGTTGGTTGATAGTTTTTAAATCTTTAGTATACCTACTTATTTTCTAACTATAATTTACCAACTCTTGAGAGAGGAGTGTTGAAATTCCCATTTATAATTTTAATTTAGTCTATTTTGTTTCCATTCTATCCATTTCTTAATGTATTTTGAAGCTCTAATTTAAGATGCATACTAATTTAGCATTGTTATGTCTTCTTTATGAATTAATATTCTTATCATTATAAAACTTCTATCTTTATCTCAGATAATATACCTTCTTCTGAACCTTAGTCTGATTATAAGACCTCCAGCTCTCTTATGCTTTGAGAACATAAGAGAAATCTGTGATTATTCTCAACCTTTCATTTCTATATATAATTATTTATTTTTCCTGGTTGCCTTTATGATTTTTTTTCTTTGTCATTTGTTTGTAATAATCTGATTTTGATATGTCTTGAAGAGTGTATATCTGTGTCTGTATTTATCCTGTTTTGGGTTCTTTGAACTCTTTGACCTGTGGGTATGTGAGTGTACGTATATGTGTGAGTGTATGTGTATGTGTGCATGTGTGTGTGGTGTGTTTTACAATCAAATTTGGAAAATATTCATTATGTCTTCAGATATGTTGGGGTATTTTTCTGTTTGTTTTTTGTTGTTGCTGCCGTCACTGTTTTTTGCCATTCTTTTCTTGTGTCTTATACTTCGGAACGCCAAATACACATACTTTAGGGTATTTGTTATTTTACCACCAGTATTTTAAGCTCTGTTCATTTTCTTTCAGTCTTTTTATTTGGCACTTTGCTACATTACAAATAGTTTCTGCTGCTATGTCTCAATATCACTAAAATCTTCTTCTGTACTGTCTAATATGTAATTAATGTCATTCAGTAAAATTTTAATTCCAGAAACATTAC
Source organism: Homo sapiens (assembly GCF_000001405.40). Classification (NCBI taxonomy): domain Eukaryota; kingdom Metazoa; phylum Chordata; class Mammalia; order Primates; family Hominidae; genus Homo; species Homo sapiens. The sequence continues at coordinate 85,774,314 of NC_000014.9, forward strand.
TTTTTATATCTAGAAGTTCTATCTGGGTGCTTTTTTTGTATTTTTTATTTACAACATAACTTTAATATGTTCATGTTTTCCTTTGAATATTTGAACATAGTTATAACATCCTCATTGGCTAATTATGTTATCTGTCTCACTTCTTGGTCTGCTTCAATTGACTGAAATTCCTTCTGCTCGCGAGTCACACTACCTTCTCTTGAGATGTCTACTAATTTTTGATTGCTTGTTAAACATTTTGGCATTATCTTGTTAAGTGTCTGGATTTTGTTTTTTTCTTTAAGGAGCATTGATGTTTGTCTTAGCAGACAGTCGTGTTACTGGAAGATCAGTTTGATCTCTTCTGTCCTGTTTTGAAACTTTGCTAGGGCATGGCCAGAGTAATTTTTATTCCAGAGATAGACTCCTCTAGTTTCTCTACCCTGGCTTGTTGGAACTCACATTTTCTCTTCCTTATGTGAGTTTAGGGAATTGCTCCTTCTTTGCTTGTCTTTTGAAATTTTTCTTTTCACATCTGTGATCACTTTGTGAGGTGCCAAATTTTCCATGTGAGCAACACTCCCTAGAATTCCCTTTTTAATATGTTGCAGGTTAGAATGGGCTACAGGGGAGACATCAACCATTTTGTAGCTATACACACCTTCTCCAGAATTATCAATTAAACACTAATCTGGATGTTGTTTTAAAGGAATTTTGCATATGGAATTAAAATCAAAATCTGTTAACTTTGAGGTAATGAAAACAAAGTTATCCTGAAGGGGTCTGAGTCATATAGAAGTCCTTAAAAGAGGGTCCTAGGCTTTCCCTGATACAGAATACAAGCAGCACAGAGGCCTGAAATTGCTCCCCACTTTTTCCCCCTATATCTATCCTTTCTACTTGCCTGCCTGTGAACTCAAGCACCAGTTCAAACTCAAAGTTCCAGCCTGATCATGATCTTCACTTCCTAACTCTGTCCACCTTGCTTCAGCTCACTTTACCACACTGCACCCCCACTCCACCAAACTGCATAAGGAAATTCCTTATAATAATTACATCTAATATATATATAATATATATAATTATATATAATATAATATATATAATTATATATAATATAATATATATAATATGTATTACATCATATATATGATGTACATCATATATATATATGTGATGTACATATATATATATATGTCTACTTCCCTCAGACAGAGCCATCTGAAATCACATGCCCATACCTTGTGGTCAAAGTAGTGACTTATGCTGACTGACTTAGGCCTGGATTAAATGCCCATCATATATATATATGATGTAATACATATTACCAGTATATATATATATACTGGTGTGTATGTATGTGTGTGTATGTGTGTGTGTGTATATATATATATATATATACACACACACACACATATATATATACACACATATATATATACACACACACACACATATATATATATACACACACACATATATATATATATATATATACACACACACATATATATATATATACCAGTAGAATGGATATATACATCCATTATGTTGATTTTGTTTCTCTGGTTGATCCCTGATTGACATAATATCCATGGTTTAATACTTAGCAAATACTTAAAGGGATCTCTATGCAAATTTCTCGAGCTCATTTCCTATGTTGTTCCAGTTTTTATGAAACTCTGCCACAAAAACTTTCCATGCCTTAGCCTCCTCCTCAAACTCTTACTCCAGTCTCCTGAACTCAGCAAGACTACAGGGTCCTGTTTGACTTCCACTTCTCTAATAATAATTGCCTCCATAGAAGAACACCAGGAATACTGTAGGGTTTACTTCATTTATTTCCCTTTTCTGAAATATCACGTCTTGCATAGACTTTTATCCAAAGTCTGAAAAATTTTACTTTTACATTTTGCTTAGTTTTATTGTCGTTTATGGTGGGAGGGGAAGCTCTTTATAATTACTCCAACATGGCTGAAACTGGAAATCTTTTATGCAGACTTTTTAATACCTGAAAGTTAGACTATCCTTAGAGCTGAAATGTACTACAATCTGACCCACTGTAACCCCATATCCGAGAATGGGAATACTTCAGACTGCACTAGAAGGCACTGGTGAGGAAAATGAAAATACTGATTGTGCCTTTCCAAGTTTATCCAATTCAGTTACTCAGTTGTGTATCTCACCTGGCACATGATAGACTCTCAAATACTTTTATTGGCCTGTAAGGAGTTTTGCTTCTAGTTCCTATCTAGCACATCACCTGACCCATGATTAATTTAAACCAGCAGAATATAGTGGTTAAGAACTTTTTAAAGGGATAAATAAAATAATGTTTAAATTCTAGTTCTTCATTTACTAATTATATGATTTAAGCGGAAATTTAATTTTTAGTAGCTTCATTTTGTTCATCTGAAACAGGGATGGTTATAGTTCCAACCTCCCTTAGTTGCTGTGAAATTAAATAAAAAATGTTTGCCAAGTTCTTGGCACTGTTACGGACACATTGTAAGTACTTGACCTATTTCAATATCTTTAGTTTATTAATTAAAGAAAATTTCATAAACATTTGAATAAAGTTAACACATTGGGAAAAAACTTTTCTCCATGTTTGATGGTGAAATAAAGTTGCAAGTCATTTAGAGGTAGAAACATCCAGGTTTGGATGAGACCTTGTAAGTCACCTAGGTGAACCCCTCGTCAGATGCTTGCAAATCAATTCAGCAGATAATTTGACTCAAACTAATTTAAGCAGTATAGAAAATTTATAAAATCACATAAATGAGATGTCCAGAGACAGAGGAGGCCTCCAGTGGTTTAATAATCTCCATGTCTCAGGGGTCCTCTATAATCCACCCTTCCTCCTCAGGTTGGTTTTATCCTCAGGTGATTCTTGAGATGATTCACTCAAGTAGCCAAATTGTTGCAGTCATTCCTGGGCTCACGATCTAAAATATGAGAGCATGTTGTTGCATCAGATATGGAACAATACCCTCTACTTCCCTCAGACAGAGCCATCTGAAATCACATGCCCATACCTTGTGGTCAAAGTAGTGACTTATGCTGACTGACTTAGGCCTAGATTAAATGCCCATTGCTAAATCAACCAATGGCACAATAAGGATGGCAGTGCTGTCCTTATTTATTTGTGTTCTTCAGGTTCTACCATTATGCTGAGGCTGGAGTTAGTCCCATTGTTGAGGCTGGAGTTAGTCAACGTTGCTGCAGTTCAATGGAGAAAAATACAATGTCTGCAGTTCAATGGAGAAAAGTGCAATGTTTTCTAAAAAGATCATGGGTAATATCTACATTCTTTGTGAATTTTCAGAGTGTGTTTAAATTTTCTCTATCATGGGTGACTTACCACTACCCATTCAAGTGACACATTTTCACCACTGACACATTTTGATCTCTGTACCTCAGCTGTTGTGTTTGAGGGGAAGCTAGAGAAAATGATGTCTGTCACTCTGAAATAACCAAGAAAGACGGAGGGACACTTATTTAGTGCTCTTACATATTAGGCATAGTTCTAAGGGTTTTTTATTATGTAATCATTTAATCTTCACAAGTTTATGAGCTATGCTTATGAAGCAGTACCATTCTTATTTTACAAATGTGTTAATTGGGACACAATGGTTAAACCACTTTTGCCAAGTAAGGGCTGTTATGCGCATCCGTATAAGACCACCTGAGCAGGCTTAGTGCGAGCAACAAGACTGTTTATTCACTTGGGTGCAAGTGGGCTGAGTCTGAGAAAGGAGTCAGCGAAGGGTGGTGGGATTGTCATTGGTTCTTACAGGTTTGGGATAGGCGGTGGAGTTAGGAGCAATTTTTTGCCGGCAGGGGATGGATGTTACAAAGTACATTCTCATTCTCATGGGTGTGGAGGATGTTACAAAGTACATTCACAAGGGCGGGGAGGATGTATTGTCACAAGGACTGGTGGGGGAATGTTACAAAGTACATTCAAAAGGGCAGGGAGAGTGTATTGTCACAAGGGTATTTTGTCACAAGGACAGGTGGGTGGATGTTACAAAGTACATTCACAAGGGAAGGGAGGGTGTATTGTCACAAGGGCTGGGAGGATGTCACAAAGTACATTCACAAGGGTGGGGAGGGTGTTACAAAGTACATTCACAAGGAATATCACAAAATACATATCACAAGGGCAGGGGAATGTCACCATGGCTTGACCATGGTGTGGCCAGCTCAGAGGACCTTACAAGGGTCACAAAGAAATTGGCAGAGCTAGGATTTGAATCTATCTGGTCTGGCTCCCAAATTCATGTTCTTGACCATAATACAATATCACTTTGTGATTAATTGGTTCCAGATCTCTAGTCTAGAGAGAGATGTAAAGGATTATAATAACTCTTCAATTTATTGGGAAATGTTATCTTTATCTATCATCTATCTATCTATCTATCTATCTATCTATCTATCTATATCTTTCTATCTAATCTATCTACCTACCATCTCTCTATTTATCACTGACCTACCTATATATGTACTTAATCTACTTATTTTTCTAGCAACAGTAGGGATACACTACACTTAGAGGGAAATATAATAACCACTTCCAAAAGTTCCAATCTTTTATTTTTAGCGTGATGAATGTAAACTCCATTTATTTATTTATTCCATCATTCACAAAGAATTTACTATCTGTTCATTCAACCTTAGGCACTAGACTCTTTCCTTGAAATATAGAGATACAAGGTAGGCTTCTTGCTCTTGAAGAGGTCATAGCCCTGCCCTCTAGGCCAGTGTCTTTGAAATTGTGGATCATGACTCATAATTAAAAAACAAAAATGAATATTCAGAGTGCTTTAAATGTAATATGTGTAAGCATTACCAGTTGTTTATGTTTTAATAAAAGTGTCTCTGTGTGTGAATGTTCTATGTGTGTTTGGTTATGTTATAAATGATGTTTTTTAACACAGGCATGACCCAAAATATTTGAGAGTGACTGAATTAGAACCTAGTCATCCAATTCTTTAGACCTTTCTCAAACCCTTTACTTACTAAATTGTATTATAGAGACTTGAAGAAAAGGACTGTATCTTATATTTCTACTTTATCCCTTCTGGCATACATTCTAGTAATTTAATTGGTGACTGCTTGACACAACTGATTATCTTTCTGATCAATGTAGGCATGTTTTATTTTGAATTATTAGTGTCCATTATTGTTTGATATCTATTTCCCCTGGATTTATTTTAAAAGTCATTTGAACAACATGTTTGACTTTGTGGTAAGAAAAACAACTTGTTGCTTGATCAAAATTTTGAGTTTTTCACCAATTCCTTTTCATTTTAGAGACAAAGTCCAAGCTTTGCTTATGAGCAGCCCTCACATGGCAATAATTCTTTTTCTTTAACCTTATTAATGTACATTTGTTTTGTCAATGTTGAGGTAAAATGAGTTAGTATTAGTGTTATTAAACCATAAACTAGGCAATAGCTTTACCATCGGACTTTAGGCCTTGTGGTTGCAGCATTTTATGAATTTATACTGCATGCTGTCAACATGTAAAAGAACCAGCTGGAAAATGCTACATTAACTCAAGACCACAAGGCTTTGGACATTCGGATAACTCAACATTAGGGACTCTGGGATGGAAATTTTATGCACGTGTAGAACAATTTCATTAGTGTCTCATGCTTCCTACCATCTCTCTCTCTTTACCTCTCAAACTTGTGCAGACATGTAAAGACGTGGAATTGTTTCTACGATTTTGTTTAAAGTAAAATCATCCTCTGGCATCTAACCTCTATGGAAAATATGGAAAGAAGTAACCACAGCCAACATTTTTTTCTCTGTGGGCTTAAGAAAAGGGAATGGTATAACTTTTATTAAGTTCAGGACTTTTCCACAAAGAATGCCTATGTAGGTAACACTCATACATTCATTCTTAACTTAATTTCTTTCTCTTCAAAATATAATGACGGCCATCTGGAAAAACAGTTCTTTAAAGCAGTTATTCATGTTTCAGAACATGCCTTAATTCATGTCAGTGTAGTGTGAAATGTAATAAACTTTTATCCATCTATCTATCTATTGATCGATCAATTGATTGATCGGTCTATCTGTCTCTCTGTCCATCCATCCATCCATCTAACAAATTTATTTATTTATTCATTCATTGTTTTAAATACAGGTAAAGGAAGAAGAAAATCTCAAGGAGCTTAAAAGAGAATAATACTACTCTTATATGCTTATTTAAATTTTTCACAATGTTTTCAAAGTAGCCACTTATATAAGCATTTATCCTCAGTAATATTTCATACTTAAAAACTGATATGAAATCTACATGCACACAACATCTTTCAAGAGCAGATTATCAGACCTGAAAATTGTCACATTTTGAAATCATTTATTAATCAATTAAGTTAATATCAAAAGAAGAGGGGAAATTCATCTGCAACATCTTAAGCACTATTTTTAAGTGGTTGGTGAACTAATTTTCATCACCTTCATTTGCTTTTGGGGTATGTATATTTATAATGCAGCATCCACAGCTATTTCTGAATACTGGTTTAAGTTAGAAGAACTTTTCCTATTGGCCTTTGTAGTGCTAAACTTCCAGAAGAATTTTTATCACTTATGTGGACACATTACACATTGGCAGCCATGTTAGACCCAGCGGTGTTAAAGATCAAAGCCTTTTTGGAACTTATTCTGACAAACAGTGGTATGATAAAACATAATTTAACTTTTGAAATTTTTAACACTGTTTCTACATGTCTACATGTAACCCAACCCCTGGGCAAAATTACTGTTAGTGTATTTGTATTTCTATCATGTACAACATGAGGATGGTATTAATTTGGGGATGTTGGACTAATCAATGAACTAGTGTTTTAATCAAGGATCTCATTTCTCTTTAAAGTGCCCCTTTAGCAATTGTCTACATCTCCTCTTGCTTGACCACAAGATTTTTAGTCTTTTGTCAGATTCCCCTCTCCAAGGATTTGTGGGAAGTCCTGAATAATGTTTATAAGTTTCCCAAATCCATTCCAGTTGTCCCTTGTCCCAGCTCCTATATCTGTGGGCTATGCTATTCCCATAATAACTCCAACAAACTACCTGTCTTCTTATGTCCTGGTCTTTCAACAGCCAAATTGGTACAAGGGGTCATCTTATTTCCCACCAATAGGAGTGGCTTTGACCTTATCTTTACTACCCTGGAATCCATCCTTGCCTTCTCAATCTTCCCTGAAGCTGAGCTAGAAAAAACAAAACAAACAAACAAACAAAAAAAACTATTAACCTCTCACTTCCAAGTATAGGCCTATTTCCCAGTCAATATAATAATAATTTATACAGACATGGCAGAACTCTTCATGAAGATACTGTTTTGCATTTTTATGCTTAGAAGTTTTGCCCAGTATAGTTAAGGTTCTCAATTTTAGCAAATACAAGTGCTTGTACTTATATAAAAATACTTTTTGCTTACCTGAAATTCACATTTAACTAGGCAGCCTGTATTTTGTTTTCTGGCAACCCTAACTATAATTCAGGGAATCTTCCTGCTATTATTGGAAACCTTTAAAAAAAAAATTGAATAACACAAAATAAGAAGAAATCTAGCCTAAGGAATCCATACTTTCACCCAAAGGAAAAGATAAATTGTTGGATCCTTACAAATTACAGTTTCCCATCTTGATTTAGCTATCACTGGTTCCAACATACTGGGGTTAAGTGTCAGACCATCCTGCAGATGGTTATTTTCCCTTTCTAACTGGTTGTTGTAGTGCTTAGTGAAAAACTTACCTTTAAGGAAATACTATGACCATGGGGATGCTTCCTTTGTTTCCCTGTTGTTTCTCCTTTCCAGAAGTCTGAAGGAGTAAAGAAGGACAATCCTTCCTCCATATTCCAGCTTCATCTCCAATAGAATCCTAAGGAGTATAGGAAGCACCCAAAAAAGTTGTGTTTGCAATATCTTCAGCGCTGTCTAAATGAGAGAAGAATGGAGGGCGGAAAATCAGGATTGACCCAATATATTAATGCCTTCAGGTCATATCTAATTACAGTAAATTAAGGGACTTCCCAAATATGAAATTTCTGAGGGTTTTTTGTTTGTTTGTTTGTTTGTTTTTGAGAACTCATGCATTTAATGATACTGGGGTCAGGGGAAATTACACTTTCTGAGGTTTAGCTGTAAAACAATCTGCCATGGTCATATTTGGTGTATTTGGATTCATTCTACATTGAGAAAACAGGTCATCTTTGATCACAAATACCTGCAAACTCAGTTTGCATAATCTATTTACTGACATATTTATATCAGTGTTGAAATTCTTTAGCCATCAAATTAATTTAAATGTGTTTCAGCACCTTTTCACCCCAAGATTTAAAATATTCACCATATTGTGTTACTGAATGTTTTCACGTTTTCCTTGTGCTTAGCTTACCTAGTTTAGACTTTGCTAATGCAACCTTTTGATTAACTAATGACTGAAGCATTAGCGCTATTATCTGTTGCCTCCAAAATTTGTAACAGAACCTGAACCTTTTGACCCCATCCTAGCAAAGTAGTAATTAATGTCAGATACATTTTGATAACACTATTAAAATTTTTTTAAGCTGGGGCAGCTAATTAGAGAGAGCAGGTCCTTGTATTACTTTATGAAGCAGAGTCCCCAAGTGACTATTATCTTTCTGATTAAACACAATGAAATATCTAATACTTTAGGAAAATAATCAAGTAAACCACACTTTGGTATAAAATGTGTTTATACAGGGAATGTACTTAAAACAGAAAATTCCTTCTCTGTCATTCAGAGAATGAAATGACACTTTGACCCATCAAATTCTTTACATGATGATGGCACAGTTTGTGTTTTGAGCAGTTATGAAACTTGGCTAAGGTCATTGTTGGGTCCTGCAATCTTATACAAGATTAATTTTTCCAATATATTTTGTGGCCGTAAAAAGGATCAGAGGAAGCATGTAGGTCATGCTCGGGTCTGATGAAATTTTTCTTTGACACCTGCTGCCCACCCCACACTTTTTTATGAGGATGCATTTTTTTTTAAGGTTGATGTGCCTGAATATTTTTTTCTGTTACATTATTTACTTATGAATAAATAAAAACCAGAAGCCTCTACGGCATTTCCAGTTTCAGTAAATACTAAACTAAGGCTGAGAAATTAAGATAGATTTTGCACTCAGACATTTTTTCAACACTTCACGTTAATTAAAGCCTAAGATGCATTTGGCAGTGCTATTAAACTAATTTTAAATCCAAGAGTTTAGACTGTCAACACTTGGTCAAAATAATCTCCAGCCTTTAATACATTTCATGATTAGTTCACACGGTATTATTGGATTTCTTCTCCTTAAAGTGCATGCGGTATGCTGGATGGTTTTCTTTTTTCTTCTAAACGCAAACAATAAATGGATAGAAACCAAGTTAATTTCAGCTTGAAACTTTCAAACTAGTATTTTGAATAAACTCTGAAAATATCATCAAAACATGAAATTAATAGTTGTGTAGACTGAGTTTTAAATTTTAAATATTACTATGAAAGAGTTTTGTGATTGTTTTAACTTTTATTTTTACGTTCAGGGGTACAGGTGCAGGTTTGTTACATAGGTAAGCTTGTGTCGTGGGGGTTTTTTGTGCAGATTATTTCATCACCCAGGTATTATGCCTAGTATCCATTAGTCATTTTTCCTGATCCTCTCCCTCCTCCCACCCTCTACCCTCTGAAGGGTCCCAGTGTGTGTTGGTTTCCTCTATGTGTCCATGTGCTCTCATCATTTAGCTCCTACTAATGAGAGAACATGTGGTTTGGTTTTCTGTTCCTGAGTTAGTCTGCTAAGGATAATGGCCTCCAGGTCCATCCATGTCTCTGCAAAAGACATGATCTCTTTCTTTATTATAATTGCATAGTACGCCATGATGTATATGTACCACACTTTCTGTATCCAGTCTATCATTAATGGGCATTTAGATTGATTCCATGTCTTTGCTATTGTGAATAGTGCCGCAGTGACCGTATGTGTGCATGTGTCTCTATAATAGAATAATTTATATTCCTTTGGGTATATACCCAGTAATGGGATTGCTGGGTTGAATGGTATTTCTGTGTTTAGGTCCTTTAGATTTTTGAGGAATCTCCACACTGTCTTCCACGATGGCTGAGCTAATTTATGCTCCCACCAACAGTGCATAAGCACTCCTTTTTCTTTACAGCCTCGCCAGTGATGAGGGAGGGTACAATTAGAAAGGTCCATTGTGTGAGGTTTCTCTGAAGAGATAACCTTTGAACCATGACCATTGATGAGAATGAGAGTTCTGCTGAGATCAGGAGAAAAGGAAACAGCAATTGTGAAGGACTTGAGGCTGGGCCATGTCTGGAACATTGAATAAACAGCACAGACAAGTGTGTCTGGAGTTAGGGAGGAGTATGGTAGGAGAGGGGCTTGGATATCTAAGTCTTTGTTGGTCTTGATAAAGATTTTGAACTTAACTCTTAGTGAGAAGAAAGTCCTTAGAGAATTTTGAGTGAAGGAATGAAGACAGATTTTGAAAGCATTCTTTTCGCAGCTCTGTGGAAAAGAATTTCTACTGGGAGGCTACAGCAGTAGTTTTTGAGGTGAGTCACTTGAACTATGGTGGTAACAGTGGAAGGAGTGAGAAATTGTTGGATTCTGCCTGTACTAAAAAGTATCTACCTAAAGACAGAGGTAACTGTAGTGCTTAATTAAAACTGGCCAAGGTGGTAGACTTCTTAAGAGACGGCACTGAGTTGGAATGCTACAATGCTACAATTTTATTAAGTTATTTCCCAAAGGGCAAAAGTAAGCTTAGAAGCTCTCATTAGCAAAATGCATTCTTTTTATATAAAAAAAGTGAGCTATCTACTGGTGTTACGAGTATATACAGGAAAGGACGCCAGCCTTGAGTGTCACGTGGAATTGTATTTATTGGTGTTGTGTCTTTTACTATGCAGATGCAATAAATTAATCATTTTATTGCCTCACCCTCCCTCTCAATTTAAAGGTTGGAGGGGGAAGAAGAGGAAGAGAGAGAGAGAGAGAGACAGAGAGAGAGAGCGAGAGAGACAGAGAGAGATCATCTGGCCATGGAACCTGGCTGTGGGAAGTAGGAGTCACTGTCTGCTCACAGAACAATAAGCTCTCACCTTTCCCCATGCCTTGGTGTTCACATGTGGAGCTGACCTTCACAAACTTTCTCCAATTCCTTTGTCTGCTTGCCTCTTGAGCAATATTCCCCCTGTATAATTTTCTAGGAAAAGGATAGGAACCACAAAACTTATGCAGCTTGATTTTCAAGAGAAATCAAAGGCTGAAAGAACAACTGATTCCACACAAGGATATGCTGGGGTGGAGAAGAAATGTCTTTTCAGTATAATTCAGAACTATGGCATTATGTCAGGCAGCTCTTACCAAGGTGAGTTGAAAGGAAATGGGCAATTCATGATGTGGGGAAAGCCCCTTGTGGATGAATGAATTTGCTGGGGAGAAAGTGTAAGAGCGATCCTCAAGTTGGACTGTTATAAACAAACAACAGAGGATAAGGATTTTAATAAGAGTTTTTATAAGTCAAATTTGAAATACCAACTCTACCCACTCTACCCACTCAAATTTGAAATACCAACTCTACCCACTCATGTAAGTGTATGAGAGAGTTAGGAGCACTATTTTAATGTCCTAGCCAGACCATATTTTTTAGATGAGATAAAGTTGATATTATTTGTAGTATTTTTGTTCTTCAAAGTATTGTGAACACTGAATTAGCAAATACTGCATCATTACTCCCAGAGGAAATAGCACAGCTAGATTGCTGCAAGCCTCTGGTCACAGTCTTTTCATTAACAAATTAGTACAGAGTCATGTTTTAAGTGTGTTTCTATTTAGTCCTTTTATTTAATATATATTGTTGATTCATTAACATTGAACTCACAGCCCTATAACTCAAGCCTGAACAAAGCTCATTTAACACACGTTATTTCTTTGTAAGACACATCACAACTTTCTTGCACTTAGGAACACTAGAAAGCAATGCTTGAGGCCATTTTGAACAGGAAATCACCAATGAAAAGCACAGAAATACAGAAATCATGACACCAGATAGGCCACAAAAAGAATGCTTGTTTACAGCATGAGAGCTGAGACAAGAAGGCAGTGCACCCATTATCTTATTTGACCTTATTCAGGAAGGTGCACTTGGGTAATGGTGACTTACATTTTTTTCCACTTACATATGCCTCTTAATGATCACAAAATCACTGTGAATATGGAGTTGAGGGTTACAAATAAATTTTAGTGCATAGTCGAATTTGCAAATACAGAATTAGTGAATAACTAGCATAAACTATTCTTCTCTGGGTATGGATTATAGTGAGCTCAAAAATTATGAGAAACACACATATTACTTAACTACTTCCCCTCTGTAATTTGCATTTGAACAGAAAATCCAGGGTCTATGTAACTTCCCTGCAATTATTATACATCTCTTCTTTAAATAGTAAGCAGTGAGTTTAGGCAGTTTGGAGTGTGAATCATGTCTGTCCTTTAGTCTCTGTGTAGCTGTTACCACCAATTATACATCTCTAAAACAGGCATAGTAGCACCTACTTAATGAAGTTGCTGTGTGAATTGAATGAAGTGTGATATACTAATATCTAACACAGTTTGGAACACCTAGTGCATTTTCATAAATGACATTCCTTTTAACTGAGCCCATTTTTACCCCCAATTCTATTGCAGCTCCATGATTTCTCTTGCTCCCTGTTTTCCCTTCACTTTAGTTTCTAAATGAAATAAAAGACTATTTTCTGGTAATCACTACCCTAAATTTGTTATATGATAATCTAATTCTTATTGTATGTGTGATTTTTCGTGCATCTATCTATCATCTATCTATCCATCTATGTATCTATCCATCTGTCTACCTATTTTGTTTCTATCTACCTAATAAAGTATTTTGGAATATAGCAGAAAATAAGCCATAAATTTAAAAATAAGCAAATAAATATACTACTGATAACATTACAATTACTTCTTCAGGCTTTAGTAGAATTGGCTTTCACTACAAGATGACTGAAGACTAGCATTTGTCTTCTAAATTTGTATATTGCAAGTTAGAGGTGAACTTGTGGATAGGCAGTATGCATTCAGGAGGGCATAAATCATGGTAACTAACAACACAACAATAATTATAAACCAGAACTCTAAAACAGATGTTTGCCTCTTTTTCTGACTGTTCTAACATGGCTCAAACAAAATATTTTTCTGCATATAAAAACTTAATGATATGAGGGGATTAACACTGAATTGATGATTTTAGTAATGTAATAATAATAATAATAATTGAATAATTCATTTATTTTGAGCATTGGTCATTTGTTGAACATTCTACTGAGTCTGTGCATCAGACTACTTATTTCTCATAACATTCTTGTGAAAGTAGAAACAATTGATCTGTCTTTGATAAGTAAGTAAATTTAGAAAAGTTATAGAAGTAATCCAAGGTTACAGAGCTCATAAATGATGCGGCCATGATTAGAACCCAGCTCTGTCTCTAAACTTTTATTCATTTTCGATGACTGTTTAGATAAGTAATAAATGCTGTGAAACATTTTAATCAGATTCCTAGGCTTCTATATAACCCTCAAAAGATCAGAGTACCAAACCTTCTAAAATGGAGCTTCAAAGCACAGATTAAAAATATTTAGTGGACAAGCAGATCTACTTCACACATAGGGTTCTTTCATCTGGGAAAGGCAAGGTAAAAAGTGGTAGCCCAAACCATCCAGAAGATAAGTACAATTACTAGAATAGTCATTGACATGGTGGTTTGTTAGAAAGAAGCAACATAAAATATGAAAAATAGAACTAGATTAGATAGAAAAGTATAAAAATTATTAAAACCAGAAGACACATTTTATATAAATAGAGTAAAACACTTATTCTTTCTTCCAGGTTTTCCACCCTGACCTAAAAAATGTGGTTTGTGTTGGAAAATGTTTTTATCTCTGTTATTTTGGTTTCAGGGATAGATATACCACATTAAAACTCATCTCGATACTGAACTGTTTCTTTTTCAACCAACATCAGCTTTCAATGAATAAAAAATAACAGAGATCCTGTGTGAGAACACAAAAAACAAGGAGATAATGCCCTATTTTTTTTTTTCTCTCTATAAAGAGGCACATACAATGATTGGAGCAGACATCAGGAAATTAGACCAAATGGTAGTGTTAAATCCATTAGCCAACCTACATTCTCCAGTGAAAAATGACATAACTTTTAACAGTTTGGGTGAAAAAATTAAATATGTGGCTAGGATCTTTAATTCCTTTGTGGGTTACTCCCCTAGTAAGTATTTGCTAAAGTTTCACCATATGTACTTCCTTGGCTCACACTTCAGATCACGTGCAAAATTTAGTTAACAGACATATTCTCAAAACAGGTTAAGCCAAGAGAGGTCTTTTTCCATTTCCTTGGTAGGTTTTCATACTTTGTTATTTATTCAGGGGTTAGGAGTATCTATGAATGTGTGTGTGTGAGAGTGTGTGTGTATAAATGAATTTTGTCGTAAATTTTAGATTTATTTTAAAAACTTAATTATTTAGTTTTTTTTCTTTGGATTGAAATGCTTTCTTAAAGTTAAAACAAATACAATATACCAAAATCAAAGAAAAGCATGTAACAGAGAGAAACATGCAAGTTTTGTTTTATTCCACTTCACTTTATTGCATTTTTGCTGACATTGCTTTTAAAAAAAATTGAAGATTTGTGGCAATCCTGAATCAAGCCAGTCTATTGGTGCTATTTTTCCAACAGTATATGCTCACATCAAGTCTCTGTGTCACATTTTGGTGACAATATGGTGACAAGTCTCACAATATTTCCAAGTTGTTCTTATTAAATCTGTTTAGGTGATCTGTCATCAGTGACTTTTGATATTCCTATTGTAATTGTTTTGGGCCACCACAAACTATTCCTAGATAAGACAATACAATGAATCTATAAATGTTGTGTGTTTTCTGACTTCTCCACTGTGTGGCCCTTCCTTTGTCTCTCTTCCTCTCCATGGGACTTCCTATTTCCTGAGATATAATAATATTAGGCTAATTAATAACCCTACAATGGCTTCTATATATTTGAGTGAAGGGAAGAATCTCACGTATCTTGCTTTAAATCAAAAGCTAAAAAATGATTAAGCTTAATGAAGAAGGCATGTGGAAAGCCAAGAAATGCCAAAGAGTAGGTCTCTTGTGCCAAACAATGAGCCAAATTGAGAAAGCAAAGGAAAAGTTCTTGAAGGAAATTAAAAGTGCTACTCCAGTGAGCACATGAGTGATTTAAACAAAAAGTGAAACAATCTTATTACTGAAATGGAGAAAGTTTCAGTGATCTACATAGAAGATCAAAGCAGCCACAACATCTTCTTAAACCAAAGTCTAATCCAGAACAAAGCCCTAACTCTCTTCAATTCTGTGAAGGCTGAGAGAAGTGAGGAAGCTGCAGAAAAAAAGTCTGGGACTAGCAAAGGTTGATTTATAAGGTTTTAGGAAAGAAGTCGTCTCTGTAACATAAAAGTGCAAGGTTAACTAGCACGTGCTAATGTAGAAGCTGCAGCAAATTACCCAGAGGATCTATCTATGATCATTGGTGACAGTGGCTACATTCAACAAAAGATTTTCACTGTAGATGAAATAGCTTTCTATTGGAAGATTATGCCATCTAGGATTTTCATAACTAGAGAAGAGAAGCTAATGCTTGGTTTCAAAGGACAGGCTGACTCCCTTATGAGGGGCTAATGCAGTTGGTGACTTTAAATTGAAGCCAATGCTCATTTAGCATTCTGAAAAAATTCTAGGGCTCATAAGAATTATTTTAAGTCTACTCTGCCTGTGTTCTATAAACGGAATAACAAAGCCTGGATGACAGCACATCTGTTTACAAAATGGTTTACTAAATATGTTAAGCCCAATGTTGACACCAACAGTTCAGGAATAATATTTCTTTCAATGTATTATGATTTTTTGAAGATATTGTAAAATATTGAGCACACATGGACGTAAACATGGGAACAATAGATACCTGCAAGCTACAAGATGGGGTAGGAAGGGAAGTGGGCTTGAGTTGCAATTGACACTTAAGAACTGTGATGAAGATGTACAAGGAGATTAATGTTGTTTTCATGCCTACTAACACAACATTCATTCTGCACCCCATCGACCAAGGAGAAATTTCAACTTTCAAATCTTATTATTTAAGAAATACATTCTTAAGGCTACAGATGCCATAGATAGTGATTCCTCTGCTGGATCTGAGCAAAGTTAATTGGCAATTTTCTGGAAAGGAGTCACTATTCTACATGCCATTGAAAACATTTATAATTCATGGGAGTAAAGTCAAAATATCAACATTAAACATTAGCAGGACTTTGGGAGAAGTTGATTCCAACTGTCATGGGTGACTTGGAGGAGTTCAAGACTTTAGTGCAGGAAGTCACTGCAGATATGGTGGAAATAGTAAAACAAACAAACAAAGAAACTAGAATTAGAAGCAGAGTCTTAAGATCTGGCTGAATTGCTGCAATCTCAACATAAAAGTTGAATGGGTAAAGAGTTGCTTCATATGGATGAGCAAAGAAACTGGTTTCTTAATATGGAATCTACTTCCTGGTGAAAGTGCTGTAAACATTGCTGAAGTGTCAACAAATGATTTAGAATGTTATATAAACTTTGATAAAGAAGGAACTTTATCAGCAGGAAGGCTTGAAGGTATTGACTACCATTTTGAAAGAAGTTCTACTGTGGCTGAAATGCTATCAAACAGCATAACAGCTACAAAGAAATCTTTTGTGAAAGGAAGAGTTCATTGATGCAGGAAATGTCATTGTTGTCTTATTTGAGAAAATTGTCACAGCCACCCAAATCTTCAGCAACCACTACCATCCTGATCAGCCAGCAGCCATGAACATTAAGGCAAGATACCAGCAAAAAGATCCTGACTTGCTGAAGGGTCAGATGACAGTTGACATTTTTAGCAATAAAATATTTTTAACTGAACGTATGGACATTGTTATTTTAGACATAATGATATTGCACATTTAATAGAGTACAGTCTAGTATAAACATAGCTTTTATATGCAGTGGCAAATCAAAAAATTATGTGACTTGTTTTATTGATATATTTGCTTTGTTGGAGTGGTCTGGAAATAAATCCCCAATCTCTCCCAGGTATGCCTGTATTTCTTGTTGTTATCCAAATGAAATTGGACTTTAAATTTGATCTCTAAATGAGGATTTTTTTTTTTTTTTTGACGGAGTCTTGCTCTGTCGTCCAGGCTGGAGTGCAGTGGTGCAATCTTGGCTCACTGCAAGCTCCACCTCCCGGGTTCACGCCATTCTCCTGCCTCAGCCTCCTGAGTAGCTGGGACTACAGGCTCCCACCACCATGCCCAGCTAATTTTTTGTATTTTTAGTAGAGACGGGGTTTCACCGTGTTAGCCAGGATGGTCTCGATCTCCTGACCTCGTGATCCACCTGCCTTGGCCTCCCAAAGTGCTGGGATTACAGGCAATAAGGAATGTTTTGCAAATCAATACCATTCACAAAAAAGTCATGCAAGGCCAAAAATTAAATGTCATTTATTTTTCAGGAGGTAAAACATTTCAACAAATAGTCTTAGAAATGACAATATACTGATAGTCTAATCATCAGATTTGTTTTATAGGACTGTGACATTTATTTTCAAAAGTTTCTCAAGTATATGGGTCTGTGGTGATCAATACAGTACAATCCTTTTTCACTGTATGTCTTTAAGAGAAATATATATATATATCTGGTTTACAGTATTAATGTGACAGATTAAAAGAAAAAGAAATGCTAAGAAGCTGCATAAAAGGAAAGCAGGCCTCAATAGTATGCAACCACAAAAAAGAATGAAATCATGTCCTTTGCAGCAACATGGATGAAGTTGGAGGCCATAATTCGAAGTGAATTAATGCAGGAAGAGAAAACAAATACCACATGTTATCACTTATAAGTGGGAGTGAAACACTGAGCACACATGGACATAAACAGGGGAACAACAGATACTGTGGACTACAAGAAGGGGGAGGGAGGGAAGTGGGCCTGAGTTGCAAGACCACCTATTGGTTACTATGCTTACTTCCTGGGTGTAATATACTCATGCAACAAACCTGCACATGTACCCCCTGTAGCTAAAATGAAAGTTGAAATTTAGAAAAAAATTAAAGTGGAGAAACCTCATGGGTTAACAAATACATTGGATCCTGTTTCTGAAGAGAACCCTCTAGGACAGGCAGACCTCAGGGAGGACTGAATAGGTGGATCCTCCTACAATGCAATTTACAGGGCAGCCAATGCCCTTACCTGTCCAGATTCTTTCTTGCATGTCCTGCCGTGGTGTCTGGCCACCGATCATGAAAGGGAGATTCTCCAGTGGAATAAATTTCATGGGCTGCTTTGCTGGCCTTTGGAGAGCAAGCACCTTCCAGAATATGACCCATGTGGTGTGGGGTTCTCCAAAGGGCGCGCTGAGGTAAAGACTGAGGCTGCAGGGAAAACACAAAAGATATTTTTGGCTGCTTGGCAATGCACCCAGGGGAAGACCTTGGGTCGAATGTGTAGTCGTACTGGTGTGGGTTATTTGTGCGATTTCTAACTGACACATACAGATCAGGGCTGCTTTTTCACAACCATAGGTAGAAAGCTCACAGTTCACATTGAAGGTAAATCATGGCTGGACCAGTTCTGGGAGACTATTCTGTGCAAAGTCTTTATAATTTAATTCCAATGCTAGGTCAATAAATATGGCATGCCCATCAGCATATAAAAGAGGGACAGTAAGCCAGCAAACAGGGTAAGCAAAATCCACGTCAATAGTGTACATGTTCAAAACCATTATTCTGGATTATTGGAAAGGGAAACCAAATTTTACGTGATAGAAACCCTGTTCACAACATTTTAAACACAGAAGTGAATTTATTCACTGATAGAATTAGGAAATCCGAAGAGGTACAGCTGATTTTAGGCCTGTCTCAATCTAAATGTTCAAACAAGTTCATGAGGCTTGATCTGTTTATCTCTTTCTTTCTTTTTCTTTGATCTGATTTCTTTTGTGGTTTCAAAAATGGTCATCTACACCTCAGGTTTGTAGCATCCTTATATCTATGATTCCAGAGCGCAAAGGGAAATTTTCTCTGTCGCTGTGACCATATCATTCTCCACCAAGGGACTCCTATTGACCCTTCTTGTTTGGTTCTAATCTAGCTGTCAGCTTTTGTCCCCACAGTTGCACTGTGCAAGTACAAAAAAAGGTCTCAGCTTATTTTAATGCTCAGAAAAATATATTCTAAGGAGACATTGCTGAAAATGATTTTTTGGCAAATGTTCAGGTCTTCAATCATAGTGACAAAAATAGCTACATACTGATAACTGTCATCTTATCAGAATTTCACCCGATCTGACAAGTTATTACTGACAGACATATGCTCTGGGAAATTGCATATCTGCTACTGTGGATAAGTACCTTCTCTGTTAATCTCCTTGGGTACCCACTATTAAAACAAAAATTTTTGCTTAAAATTAAGAGTTTTTTAAAACAAAAACAACAGTAGTTATAAAAATGGTTCTGAACTTTACAAATGTTGGAAGGATTTGAGCACATTTACTGTTCTTTCTGACTCTCAAACTGCAGAAAAATAAGAAAGAGTAAGAGAGAAAAAGAGATGTTGGAAACTGAGTCCAGAAAAAAAGGAGAAAGAATGGTCAACTAAAGATTTTGTCAGTACAAGAGCATATCAAGAGAATACAGATAAATCAATGATGAAGCAGGTAAATCAGTACAGTGACTATAGCAAAAATATTTACTACCAGACTTTTAAAAACAGTTTCTCAGATAAATTTTATCATTTAATCATGGATAAAGATTTTTAAAATAACAGTACTGAAGGCAGGGCAGAAAAATTTGAAATTTGGAATAGGGCTTCTTTAGAAAAAGAAGTATAACATAAATCTGAAATGTAAACCCCTTATTAGACAATGGGGGCAAAAAGTAGAATTTAACTCACACAAAAGTTTACAAACTCACAAAACATACATACTTCAGGAAAAAATCCATCATATAATGGGGACATCTTTTCTCTGATATGTTTGCTGAAAAATAAGGAGGCAGAGAAGAAGTTTGCCATACATATAATACAATGCAACCCCTGTGAACTGTGATATTTTACCACTCATCTGCAGCTCCACAGAACACCATTGAATATATATCAGTGATGCTTCAGAAGGGCTTGTGTGTCACTGGAATTATGTTTTATTTATAGTAATTGACTCTATTTGGCCTGTGTTCCAGTTTTTAAGAGACCATAGTAGAAGGATCTTGATATGTGTGGTCACTGAATCCCATAATGCACCTAATTATGCTACATTTTGCAATGGTGAGTTAGTTTTAATTTGCAGCTATGGCCTTTTCTTGATGTATATAGATATTTAACAGTATATCTAGGCTTTGAAACAACCGAACACAAATGCCAGGTGATTTCTTTACAGTTGTACAAGGATAGAATACATGGTGATTTCTTAAAATTTACTGTATCTTTACAGAGGTGCTGGAAGGAAATTAACCATGTAAGCAGCTATCAATCAATCAATATCTACAAAGGACTTACTGTGCTCACAGTACTGTAGCAACTACTTTTCACAAAACAAGGGAAACGTAAAGTATGATGCTTACAGTATGTTAAATTTATAATACTGTCTTGCAAATGCAATAGAAATACACCAAAGGCACAGTGCACTATGTGCCGCGGGAGAAAAGAAAATTTAAGCTGGGCGTTGAAGGGTTGGTTAAATTCAGAGAAACAGTACACATAGTTTTCACGAAAAAAAGAAGGAGAATTATACAAAGATAAAGTGGTGAAAGTGGGCATGTAGGTGTGGGGGCATGGATGTGTGGGGAAGAGGCACAGGAAGACCAAGAAAAGATGGAAGTGGTTAACAAGGTAAAAAAAGTTTGGATAGGTAAGAAAGAATTAGATGTAAGGAGGCTTTCAAATTTACTAAAGGAATCTGAACTTTTGATTTGATAAGATAATTGAAATAAAAAGGATTTTTGCCTTTGAGTAAGAGAATAACACATGGACAATCAAAATGGACAATGGTATTTGTCCACAGATGCAGCAAAGTAAAATACACTAGAAAGAAAAGAGAGGGTCAAAATATTGAAGGAAGTTTAAAGATTCCTGAGAGGTGCCTCTGTGAACTATTGGAGATTTGGGTCAGATGTCAAATTTAAATTAAATTTAAATTAAGCATGAAATCAAAATCTCTACTCTTAAGCAGTTTAATTTCATACCAACACCCTCAAAAAGTATTTTTAAGTAAATACTCTCTATGAAGCAAATTTCTATTTTAAAAAATCCCATTTAATGCTAAAATAAGAGCCGTGATTGAAAAGAAAAAAATACCTTCACATGGATGTGTTTGCAATATTTGAGGAAAAGAAGATGTCCCCATGTTTTCCAACCCATAAGCATGAAGCTCTCTGCATTGATTCTACTAATACTGAGAGTTTAGTCAGATGCTACATCAGGCCAAGAGCTTAGATTTAAATCATGCATTTGCATCTTAGTTCTTAAATAATGAACTAGACATTTGTTTCTAGGTGCAAACAACAGGTTTTTGGGATCCTCTTTATTTTCATTTATGGGGCCACAAACTACTGCACTTCCTGGGGGCTTTCACTTTACCTCTCTAGGAAACTAAATCTAGGAAAGATTTAGTGCATCTATTCAACCTCGTTTATTTCCAGTAAGTTTATTTATTTATTTATTGTGCATAGAATGCACTGCCTTCTAAGATGGGAGACAACTTGGTATTTCAATGTTTTAACTTCCCTGCTGGTTAAATTTTAGCTGTGTGACACATGGGAGCAAAGGAACAACCAGGATTTGTAAAGGATGTAAAAAATATAATGTTTGTGGGAGTAAAGATGACAATCAACTTAGCGGGGACTCCAGGGACGAACTACATTTCTACCTTTCTTTTTATTCCCCTAATTCCAAGCACATTGCAAAAATAAAAACCCAAATAAACCAAACTAAACCAACCAAACAACAACAAAGTGTTTCAGGAGTTTAAGACTTTATTCGGTTTCGGCCCCTTGAGATGTTGTAGATAATTTAGTGTTATCTGATTCCATATGTATAGCCAAATGGAAACAGAAGGGAAAAAAAAAACAAACTCCTTTTGGTTGTTTTTGGGAGATGTTTATATTAATCATCCCAACTGATTATTATCTTGAGTTTTCTTGATAGGCTATGGGAATATCATCAGATAATGCAGAAATGAGTATTTATTACATAAAAGAAATAATCTCAAAGACTCTATATTGATTTGCAGAAGTGCTATAACATATTTTTAATATTGATGTTCCTTTGGGGTATTTGAGTCTTAAACACCACTACAAATAACTAAAGGTGTCCAAATTAAATTCATAAGTAGAATGTTTTAGTGAAGATTTCCAGTCCTAGCAATTGTTGGCATAGTGATTTGTGCCACTCCAACATGACAGTACTATAAACAACTAGTTTAGCAAAAAGCAAAACAAAACAAAAACAAGCAAAGAGCTGAAACATGGACTCAATCTTACTTTCCTCCACAATTCCTACACACAAGTCACTGATATTCACTAGTGAGGGTAATGTACTAGATAACCCTTGAATTGGGCCTGAACTTTAACTCCTTGGGCTTTTGCTGTCAGCATTTGTCCTACCAAGAAAATCTTGTGCCCCGCCTCAGCCTCTCAAATTCTCTCTATAATCTATCTTTAATTCTCAATTAAAATGCAACCATTCCTGGACAGATTTTTTTGTGTGTGTGCTTTCATTAGAATATGATATTCGTTGGGCTTCTCCTGGAATTATTTTGGCACATGTGTTACGTTTGCTATTAAATCGTTAACAGTGAAAGCCGGGGGCAAATATCGTGTCTTATCTCTTTAAAAAAATATCTCTTCATGATGCCAAAGAACAGTCCTTTGAAAATACAGGTATTAAATAACTATCTGCTAACTGAGAGTCAACTTAACCATAAATTGTTAACAAGAACAAGAGCAATCCTGAACTGTTACTTAACCTGTCACATATCTGTGTTCTTTTCTGTTTGTACTTTAGTTACAAGCTAGAAATGAAACATATTTTAAACATAGCATTTGTTCTTAACTTTGAAAAGACCAGCTCTAGGGTTCCCATTGTTTCTCATTCACAGTGTGCTATTAACAGAATAGACTTAGGGGTCAAACCATCCTGTTCCCGTGTGCCAACTTCACCAGCTGTTAACTATTAATATAAGCAGTTTAACATCAGTTCTTCTCATATGTAAAATGGTAGTTGAAAGAGTCCCTATTTCCAAGGATGTTCTGAAAGTGAAATGCACAAATGCTTGCTTTACACAGTGCCAGTAAACACTAACTTATCCATAAGAATTAGTTGCTTCCAAGGCTTTTGGGAGATAGTGGGGATGTTCAAATTCCTGCTGTCTTACCCTGTTTTTCGATCTTGTTCATTTCTAAATTTCAGATGCATATTGCCTTGCAATCTCAACAAGAAGCAAATTTCCAAACTACCAACTCTTTTCTAATTTTTGAGCTTAAGAAGACACCTTATTAAATTTCTTTTATTGGAATAATAGGAAATACACACATTCTTTCTTATTTATCTCTATAGACTTCTCTATCCCTGATCTAAAGACATAAGGAAGTGAGGACTGTGTTTGAAGGAATAGCCAATTAAGAAAACAAGGAGATGGGGGTGGATGGTATCTTGGAAACTTACATTGATTCAGGACTAGTTGACCTTAGTTTAAATCTAATATTTTTCTTCTCAAATGATTACATATTTTCCTACTTAATAATGACCAATGCAGACAGGCTGAGAGAACTTTGAAGTTCAATTGATAAATTATCTCCAGACCTTGTAAAACTATCATTATCCAGCTGCCTTACTGTATAGTCAAATTCAATTTGGGACAATAAGAACATTGTAGCCATGTGTCTACCTCAGGGCCAAGTGTGTGATTGTGTGTGTGTGCACACATGTGCATGTGCAAGTGTACACGAGGCTGTGTATTAGAGTAAAACATGGCCAGTTGAAAAAATTGAAACTAAATGATGAATGCTCAACAGGAAGTTTCTGTGATCCAGGAACCTATTTGACTTGAAGCTGTTAATTTTCCCTGGTATGTTCCAACACACTGCCAGGGACATATAGGATTTCTCCCTAGTGAATGCTATTATGCTGTTCCTCACTCTACTGCAAGGGGTAGAGGCAACGACCGCAAGATCTTTGAGAATAATTATTTCTTCATATCAGAAAAGAGACTGCATTTTGCTGCATACAGATGGATTTTTCTTTCATCCCAGTGGCCTTCTTTGAAAGTCCTGAGAGTTACAGCAAGTGGTCTGGCCAGCCCTGCAACTAGCACACATAGCCATGATGCTGTGTTTTTGTTATTATGGCCTTTTTAGAGTGTTCTCCCTTTTCAAATGGATTTCATACACAATGAAATAACTGTCTGTCATTCATGGTAAAATCCACAGTTTGTGTTTCACCTTTCAGTTAAAACCATTTCTTTTCCTCCCCTTTCCCAAGTTCACTCTTCTAGAAATTGAAATTTACTTCTTTGCTAAACTGCAAGGTGTGCCAAACCGCAAATAGCTCAGGGATCATAATTCAGAAGCTGCTGGTTCAGTCTCTTGTACGCAAGTCTGTAGAAGTTATACCATGGGCCCTCCAAGTTTCTCGGAGCAGCCAGGAAACCCAACAGGAAGATGCTGAACTTGCCTAAAAGAACTTTCCAGAAGGCATTGGGATAACTACTCCATATTTTAAACCATATGGTAACGTAGACTCGTCTCTTTTCTGTTAGGCCAAACCTCCTTTTGCAAATAGATAAGTGATTCCTGGGGAAATAGCACTTGTTTTCCACCTTTTCTTACTGTTTAAGGGGACTGGACTGGGATTTAAAAGATTTAAATTCTAGTCCCTGCTGAAAAGTTAACTAACTGTGACCTTGGGAAAGTTGCACATTCCCTTAGCTTGTTTCCTCATCTGTAATTTGAGGGGTTTGGAAGGAATGGTCTTTATGGTCCTGTCCAGCTTTACAATCCTGTGACTTTACTCTGTGACTTTTTTCCTACAGTGCTTCCTTTGAGGCAAAAAAAAAAAAAAAAAAAAGTTAGGAGATGATTTTGTTTGTTTTTGCTTTGTTTGTTAGTGTGTGTGTTCCTCATTTTTGAAAAAAAATTTCTCCATCTATAAAAATAAATAGGAATCCCCCTGTGGTCTGTAAAAAGGCTTCATATTGAGTGCTATGTATAGCAGCCAGTTTTCCACTTCAATCCTCTAAAAATATCTGCTAACACAAAATAAGTGTAAATTATTACAAAGCCTCTCTCTGGCTCATTGTGTTTTGTGTGAGCTGCCCTCTGCTACAGTTTTCAGTGGCTGGAAGAGTTGGAGTTTAAATATAGCCTGAGAAACAAGATCTGGTATTGTAATGACATTTTGTCACCTCTTAATATCTCACTGTATGGTGCCTGGATATGGAGTGCGAGGAGGCTGTGATGAATAAACATATATCCAATTCCATGTTGATTGTCTCACCTCTTAATAACTTCTCTCTGTGAGATAAAATTAGCTCGTACATTCATTTTAAATACATAAAGGTGGATATGCCTACAAGTCAGTCTATAATGGGTAAAAGATTGAATGACCAGAAATTAACAAAACACAAGCACATTGGTGCAGAGAAGAGCAGAAAGAAAAGTAAAAGGAAAGGAAAAACGGTGATTCAAGAGTTTAACCCTTTTCCCGTTTAGAAAAAATAAGCGCAGCTCGCAGCCCACACTTATTTAATTTTACATAAGCATGCTCTTTGAGGCTGAAGCAAATCTGATGCTTTTCAATGTGAAAATAAAATTTAAAAACTATTCTTGGAGTTATTTCTAAACAGAACTAACATCAGAATCATCTCAATCATCAGAATTGTCAATTTCGGAAAAATTGGATTCATCAAATGAATCTTCTGTCAACAACTATTCGAGAACGAAGTTAACATCATGCATAGAAATGCTACATGTCAAATCCCTAATTTCTGTGGTCAATATGATTATGTCTCCTTGCTTTGTATTTCTGAAAAGCTACCTGCCATTGCTTTCATGACCAAGTCCAAATGGAAAGCTCTTTATAGTTCTGATCTCCTCTATCTCTATCCCACTACCACCAGTCTGTATGTGAGGTTTATTCTAATATAAAGTCCTTGAAATTTTATTTTATCTTATTTTATTTTTATTTTTATAATTATTTGCCCAGACTGGAGTGCAGTGACATAATCTCAGCTCACTGCAACCTCCGCCTCCCAGGTTCAAGTGATTCTCCTGCCTCAACCTCCCGAGTAGCTGGGATTATAGGCGCACGCCACCACGCCCTGCTAATTTTTGTATTTTTAGTAGAGACGGGGTTTCAACATGTTGGCCAGGCTGGTTTTGAACCCCTGGCCTCAAGTGATCTGCCTGCCTTGGCCTCCCAAAGTGCTGGGATCTACAGGCATGAGCCACCATGCCCAGCCAGAATTTTTAATAATACCTTTCTTCACATCTACTTGGCTTTAAACTTGTTTGGGCCAACCTTTCAAAACTACTTCAACAGTCAAAACCTTAATTTTCCTTCACAAACCCAGTAAAATTCACCTCCTTGGCAACACCACCCCTGAGTCTCTCTGGCAGAACTTGCCCATCTCTTGATCCCCAGTAGGCCCCCTCTTCCCTGTGACATGGTGCTTACTGATGGCTGATGTTGCAACTTGTTTTCTCACTTGTCCCCCAACCGAACTGTGAACCCTTGTATGCAAGTACTGTCTCATCTTTTAAAATATATTATTGTAATTATTATGACGATTAAAATCCATTATCATATGCTCTATCCATTATACTGCAAGCATTCAAAAAATGAGACTAGATTGAAAAGATTCAACCTTGAGGGCTCATTATTCCCTATGAACATGTTTCTTTTTGTTCTCTTTCTTGTATCACCATCTTTCACGTTGGGTGTATGTTTATATCTTTTTCCACTTTACCAGTTAGGAAACGGAGGCCTAGAAAGGTGAAGTAATTTTCCCAAGGTCACACAGCAGTTAAACAATAAAAGCCAAAGCCGACTTTGTCCAGACCAGTCTTAAACAAATGTGCTTTGTTAGATTGAATAGAATTATAATAATTTTGTTTAAAATGATTTTTCTCTACCAAATGATAAGGGAATAATGCATGTGGTTAAGTCCCCAAAGGAAATGGAAAAATGATACAGAATGGAAAAATGGTGAAATTCAAGGCGATTCTGAGAAAGCAATTTGAATCTATCTTAGCTCTGATCTAGTTACCAAGGAAATTTAAATCAAGTACTCTTGAATTAGGAGTTGTTTCACCCTATTAACCTGCAGACAACTGTACTCTGTGGCCTGAAGTTTTGCCATAGACCTTCTTCATGTCAAGGCTTCTTATATGCCCAGTGTGTACCTCTCCTGCAGTTAGGCTTGGGCACAGGCACCACAAGCAGCAGACACACACAAAGTATCATGCACACGAAGAACATGTGTTTGCAGAAAACACACAACCCTCTCATATTACCAGAGTTAGTTGAGCAAGGCTCACATTTATGTGGGCTTCCACTGTGCTGGATTCCTCTAGCATCTGACTGAGCTGCATCAAAGCACAATACAGCATCTTGTCCAAGACCATGAATTAAATACTCCATCACTGGATCTTTACTGTGTCAGCCGCAAGCAATTCAAGTTAAGTATATTTAAGGATCTCATATTGGATTTTTTCTGGCAAACTGACATCCCAGATATGTAAGTGCCATATTAAAAATAAAATCCAGATATAGTTGTATGGAATTTGCAGGAAAAACTGCTGACTAAAAGGAACCTCATGTTGACATTACAAACCAAGGTCAAGGCTAAGTTGCAAATATATATGCTGTGGGTGAGTTTCTTAGAGTAAAAAAAAAAAATGGAGTTACTTTACTTTTGAGTCTTGTTACACTGAGATTGATGAAAGGTCTTAAGCTTGGGGTGTTCCTCTTCATATTCAAATCTAGTGTAATTGCAAATAGAAAGTGGAATACTAAAACTTAAGGAATTAAGATAAAGAAAATTTATTTTTTGTATGTGCTTCAAATACCAGGCGAATTGTTCTCAATGCCAGTGGGCACAAAATGAAATGTCATTAACCCTCTGCCACCAAAAGCACATATTATAAGTAGAAAAATATTCATTTTGGGTCAATCTGGCTGCATTCTACAAATATCTGTGATGTTTTTCCATGGCTTCAATAATCTAAATGTCACAACATAGAAGGTTGGAACTTGACCTCCCTTTTGAGTATTCTGGTTTCAACTTATAAATAAATAATTAAGATGAAAGGTTTTAGTAGAGGAATGAAGCTTTATAAAATTAAAAGGCACAACAAAACTGATGCTGTAGTCTTAAATATTGGGCAGAAATTGTCTTAAATATTTTAATATGGAAGATTTCAAACCTACAAAAGAAAAAAGTACAATGAATACCATTGTTCTCACCAAAATCCAGCTTTAACAGTTATTAATTCAGAGCTATACTCCTGTCTACTCCCCCATAACATTGTGTTGAAATTTGTTACGCAAATATCATATAATTTCATCTGTAAATATTGCAATATATAGCTCTAAAAGATACAGTATTCAAAAACTGGAAACAATAGCAATAATTCTATACTTTTAAATATACAATCAGGTTTCAAATATCCTTTATTATTTGCATTAACGTGTTTACAGTTGGTTTGTTCAAATGAGACACAATTATAGTTGGTTGATATGTCTTCTAAGGCACTTTTTATAAATTGTTTCTCTGTGCTTTATATTTGTTGAAGAAATCAGGTTATTTGTAGAATTTCCAGCAATCTGGATTTTTACCAAGAATGACTCTAACACTATTTTTATTTCATTTTTTTCTTTAAAAGAACTCTAAAGGGTAACACTGTTGTCTTATATAAGATTCATCCTTTTAAACAGCAAAAATACAAAGAACTTTTACCCCACACTAGGTATAGTCTTGTTTTTCTCCACTGAAAAACATTTTTCTTTATGTTTGTGTTTATGACAAAAGAACATTATGGAAAAGAGAATGATGATTTATCAATGGCGAGGGGCCAAATAAATCTTGTTTTCACTGATTGTTACAGCTGTAAAGGGCCATAGGAAGCAGTCTGTTGAATTGTTTTTTTTTAAATCCTTATACATAATTTTATTTAATTTTATTTTTCCATAAGTTATTTGGGTACAGGTGGTATTTGGTTACATGAGTAAGTTCTTTAGTGGTGATTTGTGAGATTTTGGTGCAACCATCACCCAAGCAGTAAACACTGTACCATATTTGTAGTCTTTTATCCCTCCCCCACCCTCCCACTCTTCCCCGCAGTCCCTAAAGTCCATTGAATCATTCTTATGCCTTTGCATCCCCATAGCTTAGCTCCCACATATCAGTGAGACCGTATGATGTTTGGTTTTCCATTC
This sequence comes from Homo sapiens, assembly GCF_000001405.40. NCBI lineage: Eukaryota > Metazoa > Chordata > Mammalia > Primates > Hominidae > Homo > Homo sapiens. Next base: position 85,803,922 of record NC_000014.9, read on the forward strand.
CTGCATTACTTCACTTAGAATAACAGAATCCAATCTCATCCAGGTCACAGCAAATGCTGTAAATTCATTCCTTTTTATGGCTGAGTAGTATTCCATATTGTATATATAGCACAGTTTATTTATCCACTCGTTGATTGATGGGCATTTGGGTTGGTTCCATGATTTAGCAATTGTGAATTGGGCTGCTATAAAAATGTACATGCAAGTATCTTTTTCGAATAATACTTCTTTTCCTCTGGGTAGATATCCAGTAATGGGATTGCTGGATCAAATGGTGGTTCTACTTTTAGTTCTTTAAGGAATCTCCACAGTGTTTTCCATCGTGGCTGTACTAGTTTACATTCCCATCAGCAGTGTAGAAATGTTCCCTGATTGCTGCATCCATGCCCACATCTACTGTTTTTTGATTTTTTGATTATGGCCATTTGTTGCAGGAGTAAGGCGGTATTGCATTGTGGTTTTGATTTACATTTCCCTGATCATTAGTGATGTTGAGCATATTTTCATATGTTTGTTGGCCATTTGTATATCTTCTTTTGCAAATTGTCTACTCATGTCCTTAGACCACTTTTTGATGGAATTGTTTGTTTTTTTCTTACTGACTTGTTTGAGTTGGTTGTAGATTCTGAATATTAGTATAGATTGTGAAGATTTTCTCCCACTCAGTGGGTTATCTGTTTACTCTGCTGACTGTTCCTTTTGACATGCAAAAGCTCTTTAGTTTAATTAGATCCCAGCTATTTATCTTTGTTTTTATTGCATTTGCTTTTGAGTTCTTTGTCATGAAATCTTTGCCTAAGCCAAGCTATAGAAGGGTTTTTCCAATGTTATTTTTTAGAATTCTTATAGTTTCAGATCTTAGATTTAAGTCCTTAATCCATCTAGAGTTGATTTTTGTATAAGGTGAGAGATGAGGATCCAGTTTCATTATCCTACATGTGGCTAGCCAATTATCCCAGCACCATTGGTTGAAAAGGATGTCCTTTCCCCACTTTATGTTTTTGTTTGCTATGTCAAAAATCAGCTGGCTGTAAGTATTTGGGTTTATTTCTGGGTTGTTTATCCTGTTCCATTGAGCTGTGTGCCTATTTTCATACCAGTACCACACTGTTTTGGTGACTATGGCCTTATAGTATAGTTTGAAATCAGGTAATGTGATGCCTCCAGATATGTTTTGCTTTGTCTTGCTTTGGCTATGCAGGCTGTTTTTTGGTTCCATATGAATTTTAGAATTTTTTTTTCTAATTCTGTGAAGAATGATGATGATGATGTTTTGATGGGGATTGCATTGAATTTGTAGATTTCTTTTGGCAGTATGGTCATTTTCCCAATATTGATTCTACCCATCCATGAGCATGGGATGTGTTTCCATTTGTTTGTGTCATCTATGATTTCTTTCAGCAGTGTTTTGTAGTTTTCCTTGTAGAGGTCTTTCAACTCCTTGGTTAGTTATATTCCTAGGTTTTTTTTTTTTTTTTTTTTTTTTTTTTTTTTTTTTTGCAGCTATTGAAAAAGGGATTGAGTTCTTGATTTGATTCTCAGCTTGGTCACTGTTGGTGTATAAAGAGCTACTGATTTGTGTACATTAATCTTGTATCTGGAAACTTTGCTGAATTCTTTTATTAGTTCTAGGAGATTTCTGGAGGAGTCTTTAGGGGTTTCAAGGTAAATGATCAGCAAACAGTGACAGTTTGACTTCCTCTTTGCTGATTTGGGTGCCCTTTATTTCTTTCTCTTGTCTGATTGCTTTGGCTAGGACTTCAGTAATATGTTGAAGAAGAGTGGTGAGAGTGGGCATGCTTGTCTTGTTCCAGTTCTCGGAGGGAATGCTTTCAACTATTCCTCATTCAGTATTATGTTGGCTGTGGTTTTGTCATAGATGGCTTTTATTACATTAAGCTATGTCCCTTGTATGCTGCTTTGCTGAGAGTTTTAATCACAAAGGGATGCTGGATTTTGTCAAATGCTTTTTCTGCATCTGTTGAGATGATAATGTGATTTTTTGTTTTTAATTCTGTGTATGTGGTATATCACATTTATTGACTTACATATGTTAAACCATTCTGCATCCCTCATATGAAACCCACTTGATCATGGTGAATTATCTTTTTGATATGTCTTTGGATTTGGTTAGCTAGAATTTTGTTAAGGATTTTAGCGTCTATGCTCATCAAGGATATCGGTCTGTAGTTTTCTTTTTTGGTTATGTCCTTCCCTGGTTTTGGCATTAGTGTGATGCTGGCTTCATAGAATTAATTAGGGAGGGTTCCTTCTTTCTCTATCTTGTGGCATAGTGTCAAAAGGATTCTTCTTTGAATGTCTGGTAGAATTCTGCTGTGAATCTGTCTGAGCCTGGACTTTTTTTTCTTGGTAATTTTTAAATTACCATTTCAATCTCGCTGCTTGTTATTGGTCTGCTCAAGGTATCTAATTCTTCCTGGTTTAAGCTAGGAGGGTTGTGTTTTTCCAGGAATTTATCCATCTCTTCTAAGTTGTCTAGTTTATGTGTGTAAAGGTGTTCATAGTAGCCTTGAATGATCTTTTGTATTTCAGTGATGTCAGTTGTAATAGCTCCTGTTTCATTTCTCATTGAAGTTATTTGGATTTTCTCTCTTCTTTTCTTGGTTAATCTCACTAATGGTATATGAATTTCATTTATATTTTCAAAGAACCAGCTTTCTGTTTTGCTTATCTTTTGTATTTTTTCGGTGCTTCAATTTCCTTTAGTTCTGCTCTGATCTTGGTTATTTCCTTTCTTCTGCTGGGTTTGGATTTAGTTTGTTCTTGTTTCTCTAGTTCCTTGATGTGTGACCTTAGAATGTCAGTTTTTGCTCTTTCGATTTTTTTGTTGTGGGTGTTTAGGGCACTTTCCCCTTAGCACTGCCTTTGCTGTATCCCAGAGGTTTTGGTTGGTTGTGTCATTAATGTCATTCAGTTCAAAGAATTTTTTAATTTCCATCTTGATTTTGTTTTTGACCCAGTGCTCCTTCAGGAGCCAGTTATTTAATTTCCATGTATTTGCATGGTTTTGAAGGTTCCTTTTGGAGTTGATTTCCAGTTTTATTCCACTGTGGTCTGAGAGAGTGCTTGATATAATTTCAATTTTTAAAAATTTATTGAGGTTCATTTTATGGCCTATCATATGGCCTATCTTGGAGAAAGTTCCATGTGCTGTTGAATGGAATGTGTATTTTGCAGTTGTTGGATGAAATGTTCTATAAATATCTGTTAAGTCCATTTTTTCCAAGGTATAGTTTAAATCCATTGTTTCTTTGTTGACTTTCTGTCTTGATGACCTATCTAGTGCTGTCAGTGGAATATTGAAGTCCCCCACTATTATTGTGTTGGTGTCTGTCTCATTTCTTAGGTGTATTAATAATTGTTTTATAAATTTGGGAGCTCCAGTGTTAGGTTCATATATGTTTAGGATTGTGATATCTTCCTGTTGGACAAAGCCTTTTACCACTATGTAATGCCCCTCTTTGTCTCTTTTAACTGCCATTGCTTTAAAGTTTGTTTTGTCTGATATATGAATAGCTACCCTTGCTCACTTTGGTCATCCATTTGCATGAAATACCTTTTTCCACCCCTTTACTTTAAGTTTATGTGAGTCTTTATGTGTTAGGTAAGTCTCCAGAAGGCAGCAGATAGTTGGTTGGTGAGTTCTCCGTTCTGTGGTTCTGTATCTTTTAAGTGGAGCATTAAGGCCTTCAAATTACATTCAATGTTAAGTATTGAAATGTGAGATTCATTGTGCTCTTTGTTGCCTGTGTACTTTGGTTTTTTTTGTTTTTTGTTTTTGCTTTTTAGCTTGCACTTTTGTTTTATAGGTCCTGTGTGATTTATGCTTTAAAGAGGTTCTGTTTTGATGTGTTTCCAGGATTTAAGATTTAGAGCTCCTTTTATCAGTTCTTGTAGTGGTGGCTTGGTAATGGCGATTCTCTCAGCATTTGTTTGTCTGAAAGAGACTGTATCTTCCCTTCATATATGATGCTTAGTTTCACTGGATACAAAATTCTTGACTGATAATTATTTTCTTTGAGGAGGCTGAAGATAGGGCCCCAATCCTTTCTAGCTTATAGGGTTTCTGCTAAGAAATCTGCTGTTCATTTGATAGGTTTTCTTTTATAAGTTACCTGGTGCTTCTGTCTCACAGCTCTTAAGTTTCTTTCCTTCATCTTAACTTTGGATAACCTGATGACAATGTGCCTAGGTGATGATCTTTTTGCAATGAATTTCCTAGGTGTTTTTTGTGCTTCTTGTATTTTGATGTCTAGGTCTCTAGCAAGGCTGGAGAAATTGTCCTTGATTATTCCCCAAATATGTTTTCCAAGCTTTTAGAATTCTCTTCTTCCTCAGGAACACCGATTAGTGTTAGGTTTGGTCGTTTAACATAATCCCAGACTTCTTGGAGGCTTTGTTCCTATTTTCTTATTCTTTTTTCTTTGTCTTTGTTTGATTGAGTTTATTCAAAGACCTTGTCTTCAAACTCTCCATTTCTTTCTTCTACTTGTTCAATTCTATTGCTGAGACTTTCCAGAGAATTTCACATTTCTAAAAGTGTGTCCAAAGTTTCCCGAATTTTTTATTGTTTTTTTCTTTACACTACCTATTTCCTTAAATATTTCTCCATTGACTTCTTGCATCATTTTTTTGGATTTCCTTGCATTGGGCTTTGCCTTTCTCTGGTGCCTCCCTGATTAGCTTAATAACTAACCTCCTGAATTCTTTTTCAGGTAAATTAGGCATTTCTTCTTGGGTTGGGTCCATTGCTGGTGAACTACTGTGATTTTGCGGCGGCGGGCGGGGGGGTGGGGTGGTGTTAAAAAGCCTTGTTTTGTCATATTTCCCTGGTTGCTTTTCTAGTTCCTTCTCATTTGGGTAGGCTCTGTCAGAGGGAAGGTCTAGGGCTGAAGGCTGTTGTTCAGTTCCTTTTGTCCCATGAGTGCTCCCATGATGTAGTACTCTTCCCCTTTTCCTATGGATGTGGCTTCCTGTGAATCTAACTGCTGTGATTGTGGTTTCTCTTCTGGGTCTAGACACCCAGCAAGTCTGCCCATCTCCAGGCTGGTACTGGGGGTTGTCTGCACAGAGTCGTGTGATGTGAACCACCTATGGGTCTCTCAGCTGTGGACACCAGTGCAGTATTTGGGGTATCTCCCAGGTCCTGCAGGAGCCACCCACTTCCTTCAGAGGGTCTGTGGGTCCTCTCAGGATTGGTGGTTTGTTCTTGCAGTCAGTGTGGAGCTTAAATTCACCATGTGAGCTTCCACCTGCTGCTCTGTCTGGAGCTGTAACGTAGTCCTGCCTCCTGTCTGCCATGATCTCCCCATCGATCCTTGTCCAATTGCTTTTGACAGTTGCAAAATATTGTGGCTCACCGAATTGAGCCTAAAATTTAAAATTATTTTCTAACTTTGCTTTTCAGAGGCTTAGGGTCCTCTGCGATTATAAGATTCCTCAACAACGCTCTACCACAGATAGAAGTGGAGATGTAGAGAGGTAGGGAATAGGGGTGAAAGGGAAATTAGCCTGACTTCTATTCAGGGACATCTATGGTGCTGTGGCTGAGTTCTTAAGCAGTGTAGTTTAGCGCAGTACAGGAAACACTGAGACTTGAATCATGAACTTGAGCTGAATTCCGCATTCGTCAATTACTACCTACTTGCTTTGAGTTCCAGTTTCCTCATCTGAGCAATCTGGGTCGTGCACTAGATCGTATAATGCAATCTGTTGAATAAAATCCCTAAAGGAAGGTTGTACTTACCAATGCCATTGATATCAGGCTTGGCCTTGGGACTTTACTGTGCCCCCTCTTATGGAAGCCAAATACATCTCACTCTGATTGAGCTGATGTATAACGTGACTTTGCCAATAAAATATGGGTAGAATTGAGGAGTGCTGATATGGTGGTTCACCATATTTCTGCCTTTTCTTTGCCCAAAATCTGCAGTATGCCAAATACAGGCTGCACAGCCACCACTAGCTTGCAATGCAAACACAGAGGGAGCTAGAGATCAATGTTGGTTGTGCAAAGCCACTGGGATTTGAGGGTTATTTGTCACTACAGAATAACTGTCTATCCTGCCTGATAAGGATACTAACACATGCACTGTTATCCTTGTATAGTTGTAATGAGAAATCAAATACAGACACAAAATTGGAAGCTCTTCAATGAATGTAAAACACTTACCTTCTCCGTAGCTTATTTCTTGAATATTCATTTTATATCAACCAGAATGTCAGTACCTCAAAAAAAAAAACCCTTCAAATTATACAACATTTGGAAGGCTCAGAACTTATGCCCTGAACAATGCCTTGTTTGCCAAGAGTTTGAAAGTTAGAATTGTGTTAAGGGTGTGAGTTTCACAAATATAAGCTCTGTAAAATTAGGAAAACACTTAATTTCTCCGAGCCTCAGTAAAATTGTTGTGCTGCTCTGCTTTGAGCCTCAAGGGTTATAACTATGTAAAAATATTTGTTAACTCCTTAGAACCCTATCAGTGTTATTTTTCATGTTAAAAATTCTCAAGAAAAAGTAGCTAGAAAGATGAAACACTTAAAAATTGAGGAGTGAAGAGTAAGCTTTTTTTTTTTTTAAAAAAAGGGAAATGATGTATACTGAGGCTTACAAATAAATATATGGCACTGTAAGTTTTAAATAAGACAAAAGTTAAAATGTATGAAATGTTAGATTATTTTTAATTCTAAAAGGCTAATCTTACATAGAAGAAGAGAGTTCCTAATCCTACCCACGTAAACATCGCTCTTTTACATCCCTTTGAGGTACTTCTGACATTTGAACAAATACCTTCCCAAAAAATTATGGTTAAAAAGGCACCAGAACATCATAGCCAGACGTACTTCACACTTCTGGGATAAAAAGGAAAAAAAAAAAAAAAGAATATGATGTTTGTCATTTTCATGTCATGTGGCGAGAACAGTATGTGAACTTGGGACTGGTGTTTCAAACTGAGCTTACCTCTAGGGCTGGAGTGGCACCAGTTTTCAGTGCTAGCCATTGTTCTATATGCTGTGGAAACCACAGTGAACAAAAATTCCCCACTGTTACAGAGTTTACTCTACTGTGGGATTGGAGATGGGGAGTTGAAAATAAACAAAAATGTATATGACCTAAGGTAAATGCAGGGTTCAGATAATGGAAGGTTAGAGGAGTTATTGAGGAGTGAGTCTTCTCTGAGAAGGCGATATATTTGATCAGAGATGAGGCAGTGAAGGGCACAGAAAATTGCCCTGTAGATACGTGGGGAAAACTATTTGCTACACAGAGAATAGTAAATAAAAAACAAGATAATACTTTGTGTGTGAGGAGCAGCAAAGAGGCCAGAGTGAATAAGGGAAAAGAAAGGGTTGGAATCTGATTTCAAAGAGGTAGCAGGAGATGAAGTACCTGAGTGTCTTGCATTTGATTACATGACTTTCAGATTTTAATCTGAGAACTGGGTAGCTATACCAGGATTTTGAGCAGAGAAATGACAAGATCTAATTCAGCTTTTAAAGAGAGCACTTCGGCTGCTTTGTTTAGAATAGACTCCTGGGGGCAGGGGAGGAAGCAGAGACTTGAATAAAGTGGGTTGTGCAATAGTTCAGGTGAGAAATTGTGAGGCTCAGTGAGGAGTGGTTGTGGCAGAGGTTGTGGGGAGAGTTTGCATACATGCTGAAGGTGAGGCACAGATAAGCTAATGAGTTAGATATGGAGCTTATGAGAACAAGATAGTGATGTCTCCAAGTTTTAGGCCTGAGTAGGTAAAAAGTACAGTGCTGTCATTTACTGAGTTGGGGAAGCCTGCAGATGAGCAGGTTGGGGGGATATCTATCATGAATGTCTAGGATTTGGAATTTTAAAGATGTCCCTCAGCCCACACACGATACCTAGTGAGAAGACTGAAAGACTCTCACGCCATGTATTGTCTTTTACTCCTAATTACTGAGTCCTCTTGCATTTCTGAGTGACTGTTTTATATGTGACCTTTACAAGATGGAAGACCCAATGTATCCCTTCATCTAACAAATGATTGCTGTTCACTGTGCCATGTTAAAGTCATAAATTTCTACTTACAATTAAGCATGTATTTTGTTTCTCCAACCAGACATTAAGTACCTCAGCATATCAAATCAAGTCTTGTAACTCTAATTATATATAGAATATTGCCAACCATCTAGTTATGGTCAGTACATCCTTGTGCCTGTTTGATTTAAATTTGCTTATCTCTGGAAAGAATTATATATATATTTAAGTTACAGAAATACAATATGACAGAGCATCCTTCTGGTGAAGAATGAAGGCAAATTGAAGTGATGTGGTTCAGGATAATTTTGGTGGATGCGTATTTTAAGCTACGAAGCTTTCTTCCCTTTATGCTTCATTTCTGTCTGCTTTCCCACAAGATCCAGTTTGAGGTTCGTCTTTGCTGCTGAGTTCATAGTTACGATGATAATGATAATGATTATTATCATAATAACAGTACAATATAGCAGGACCAAAAAGGGTGTTATAGCACTATAGCAGAATCTGTATCCCAGCAGTGCCTACAAAGTTTGAATTTGGGGAAGAAGGACCTTTTATTTAGGGAATAGACATTTTGATTATGAAAGGGTGAGCGCTCCAGGCATGCTTCATGCCAGGCCCTTGGCAATTGTTTTCCTAAGTGCTTAGAACACCAATTCCCCAGATGTAGGCACTGCTTTCAGGTCACTGTACAAGCGACACCTACCCAGAAGACCTTTCTTGATCATCTTATATAAAATCATATCCAATCCTGTTCCCCTAGTATCCTATGTCCCTGCATGTTTATTCTTAGTAGTAGTTATAAACATCTGAGTTGTTATAAATTAGTATTTATCTGTTTACCTTTCTACAATATTTACTCCTTGGCATAGTCTTATATACTGGTATATGCTTAGCCACCAGAAAAGTGCTGATATGAACTGTGTATTTGCCGAATGAAGAGCTAAATGACAAGCAAGTGTCAGGATGGGAAAAGTTGGACAAAAAAGCTGTAAACTACTTTGAAAAGAAATTAAATAGGGGATAAGCAGGGTCTCTGGAAGTTACTTGAAAGTAAGTAATCACTTGCTTTCTTAGGGGTAGCCTGTAGACTTGGTTTCAACTGTCTTTGGGACTGGAAGGAGTAAGGGTTTCCTTCCTTATAGCACTAGATTTTAAACGACAGGTAAGAAATTATACATTCAGGATATATTTGTTTCAGTTTCTTACAACGCCTGCCACCAAGGTCAGTAGAAGTTTCAGTGGCTTTCTGGTAGGCAAGATGTTCTTGAACCTGAAGTCTCCACACACCCCCCAGTGTATTTCCTTTGTGGTATCATTGTTTCCTACACAAGCACTGGCAGACATCCCTCCATGCTTCCCACAAGACAGAGCCTTGCTCTCTGCTTGCTACCTTCCTAGTTGGTCAGGGTTGCAGTCTCCTTTTTCATTTCATTAAAGTCTCCTCTATTATCACTGCAGTGACTCCAACATTAGCTTCTTGTTCTTAATTTTAAGAAAAATGTTAACTGTCACTTAATACCAAGGCCACTTTACCCAAATGAAAAAAAATTAATAATTTCAATAATTTCAATTTCAAAAAGGGATCTTCCTACTTTCTATGAATTCTTGATGAACATCAGTATTCTGTTCTATGATTTTTGCACATTCTGTTTTCATAAATCCTGGTCAGTTTCTCTTCTCCAGTTAAGTTGTTTCAGGCTAAGTACCCCTTAACAATAGTGGGCCCAAGCAACAGGGAGCTGGGCTAGGAAATCAGGAACCCTGTGAATGGAAACAGCTATAGACAGCTGTTGTTTTTCATGTAATTCCCTAGAGTAAACTGTTGTTTACAATAATATTTGCTAACAACTACAGATTGATTTAAAAGTAAATGAAAGGAGAGGCTGTGGCCCCATGTTTTCAATCAAATTAGATTACTGAGCGTTGTAGCTGCATGAAGAACAGCAGCAAGTCCAACAGGAGCAATTTTAGATGCATAGAAAATTAGATGGCAGAGAAGGGGGTCAAGAGGAAATCCTGGCAAGTGGTACACACTGGCTAAGGGTCGTCGGTGGTATTTGAAGGAGGCCATTGGGCTCCTGTTCCATAAGGAATTACGGTACTGAGTTATGGGGAATAACCCCAGATGGTGAGAAAACTAAGGAACATTCAGGTACCAATAACAACAATTAGTCATGACTCCATTTATTAGCTTGTGCCAGGCACTGTACAAATATATGTCATGAATTCTTTCCTTGAATCTTCACAGAAACACCAGGAAATAAATACTCTACTTCCATCTCCATTTAACTGGCACAGGCTTAGTAGAAATCTGAAGGTTGCCATTTATTTGTGTTTGGTTGGCATTTCTTTGAGCTGTCCCAGGATGGATATGATCTTCAGGAGTGAGGAAACTCATGCTTATCGATTTGCTAAAGGGCTGCAACAAAGTCACCGTCCCAGTGAGAAAACATTATTGTCTTGGCACAGGACAAAAGCTAATGTATTCCTGTTTGGCCACAGAGAGCTCAACTGTGCATCTTATTTTTCCATATATGCAAATAATTCCACTGAAGTCAAAGTTGGAAGCAGATTGGTTTGCAGTTTCCCATGTATTTTAACAATTAAGGGCATGTAAAGGGTCTGGCCAAAAAAAATGTTTTTACTATTTATATGTAACCTTGAATGTTCACAACGGATATTGTACACAATCCAAAAAAGCATTTAAAACAATGAATATTCAACTACATTAGCTTTACTTGACAGAAAACCAATACAAATGGAATAGAACTGAGGCCGTCAGGCCTAGAATTTGATCTCTGCTCACATTTATCTACATGATTTGGCCTATTTTCTTTGCCTTCTCCTCAGTCATTCCTCTACTTTTATTACTCCATTTTAAGATGTTTTTGTACACTTAGTATTGATCATTCTCCACTGATATTACACTCTTCATTTATTTGTCCTTCACTTAAACATAGACCTCTGAATGACTTGAGGCCATGTTGGTAATTAAGAACCCTAAGAATAAAATTCTTCTTTAATCATTAGACTGTGTTCTATTCAATCATGAGAAAAGTAGCCATTGTTTTTCCTTTTTATTTATTACATATTGCTTCTTCTAGTTCAGAGCCAAGTATGCATTTTGAGGGTCTATGAAATCAGCTGGATAAGTGAAGAAAAGGTCAATGAATACTGGAGCTGGCACACTAGCTTTGGAAAAATGCATGTCTTAGCTATGCTCTCTCATCTCCAAACCTCAAACTTGTCCTCGAAGGAATTCATATCTTGGGTAGTGCTTAAGGGAGAGTGGATTAAACTACTTCTAACATTTATTTTAACATTAATTTTCTAGATTCTGAGGTTGTGCTATACATACTGATTATTTAAGGTAACACTAAATGCTATATAGATAAACGAAATATAAGCTAATTTTCACTCACACAAATGTTCAGTATGGGTGTTCAGCAATTGAACTGTCACATGGTGATTGAAGATCCTAGGTTTATTTTGTCATGTGTTTCTATCATCCTTTATGTTATTTGACTACTCTAGGTTTAGGTGGAAGGTAGAGTAGAGGTGTGGATATGGCTTGCATTATTTGCACTCAAAATCTGTCATCAAGAATCAGTCACCAGATACACTGAGATTCAAGTATTCCTGGGAAATACAGTCCCTTGCTAGGTAGCTGCTTCCTATAATTGAGTTACACCTAAGTGTTAGAGAGCTGAACTTTATACCATCTCTTTGAATTGCTCTATAGAAGAGGAACATAAATCTTTAAACAGTTTGTTTCCTGCACTACATATAAATGATAATTTGGGGGTATAAAATATCAAAATTGATTTTTTATATTTATTTTATTTTTATTGACCTAGACAGTATAGATAATCTCTTTGACCTAAAGATCAATAAAAAAATAAACCCTACTCAATTTTTAATGACATAAATTCATACTATACTAGGTATTTTTTTTTTAGAAAAAAGAAAAAAGATGAATTAACCACAGTGATATCCGTAAGATGAAGAAATAAATTTAAACTAGGGAATCATTCTCAAAGTCTGGCATTGATTTTCAGGAAAACTTAGGTCTGACTATTTATAGACTTTGACACTTCTTTTAAAAAATTATAATAAAAAACTTAATTTTTTATTCAAATATTGAAAGATAAGAAATGATTTAGAGAAACATTGCACTAAAAATTGAATATATATAAAATTTTCTATGTCCATACATCCTAAGATGATCAATGTGGACACATCTCGTAGGTTGATTAGAAACACATTAGAGTGGAACATTCTGGATTGGCTTTAGCAAAATAAACAGGAAGAAAAGATCCACCAGCATTTGAACAGTCAATTGTAAAGACCTTAAGATTAGCTCATTCCACGATTCATAAATAGAACCTACTGTTCTTAGTGCGGGCCATCACTTATAGCAATGGAAGAACATTTCTATTTTATGTTTGTTTTCTGAACTGTGGTTGCTTTCAGTGATTCTACTGAGGCATCTCTAAAAATATAGAAGGAGGACAATAAGACTGCTCTTTGAAAGTTGAGCTTTTAGATCACAAACAATGTTGACCTATAAAAAGCAATTTAAAGAGATGGTGTATATAGTTCCACCCTTTAAGATTTAGGTGTAACTCAATTAAATGTGTTAATATATCTAAAGAAAGAATACGCTTATCAGAAACGGAAATGGACAGCCGTGAAAACATAGAAAAGGGAATGAGAGAGGCAATGTGTAGAGGTTCCAGCAAAGCACTGGTATGGGAGAAGGCACTGTATTCAGTGATTCCAGTGGGTGCCATCCTGCCCAGAGCCGACTCACTTCAAGTCCTTTTAGCCTGGCTAACTGATGACTTGGGATCTGACCTTACACTCAACAAAAAGGGACCTAAGTAAGATTGTGATTCCTGAGTGATTGATGAGGACAGATACACAGATCATGCTGACAGGTGTATTCCAGCTTTGAGATTGTCATGTTTCTCATAAAATAGTAATTTTTTCTGACTTATAAATCAGTCTTGGTTAATGAATGCATTCTTGCTGTTCAGAGAAAATAAAATTTAGAGGCTATAAGTTTAAAGGCTAGATTCTGGCCTACGATAAATGTACCAAGTTAATGAATGACAAATTCCCATGTAGGCTCTTTGAAAAATAGTTTACTTGCTTTTCTCAAGTAGATTAAAGTCTCCTCTATTATCACTGCAGTGACTCAAACATTAGTTTCTTGTTCTTAATTTTAAGAAAAATCTTAACTGTCACCTAATACCAAGGCCACTTTACCCAAATGAAAAAAAAAAATTAATAATTTCAGTTGAATAGATCAAGAATGCCAATAACATGTGCTGCCAACTTCACTCCTCATTCAATTTTAGTCTTCAGAAAAATGTAAGTTAACACTAGGCATTATTTACCAACGAATACATTCATGACTATATTTTGTACTCTATGCAAAAGCAAATAGCGCAATAACTATAATATTTTACTTACATTTGTCCATAAAGCAAATATTTACTTTATTGTCAGTTACCTTGCTTGGTTCACACAGACCAAATATATTAAGCAAAATTGCTATTTTTTAGCAAAACCATTATTGTATCAGTGAAAGTAAACATTCTTATGGTGGTTTTTACTGTGTTGAAATAGAAACAACTTTTCTGAGTTATAGTAGGATCCGATTACAGACACCTCTAGCTGTCAGGGACCTCATGTGGTTTAGGGACTACTCTGGATTCTGAAGCCTGAATTTATGCCACAGAGGAGAGAGAAAGTCAGTGTAACCATAGTGTATATTATAAAATGCCTGTGCTGAGCTGAACACTCCCATGTCAGAGCTGAGCATGTGTCCCAGACAGAGCCTAGACCTGTGTCCCAATCCAATTATCCTTATCATTATGGGGAATCCAACTGCCTCTAACTTTTCATCACTCCTAGTCACCTAAGAGACCTACACAGGTTCATTTGCCAAGAATGTCAGAATTTTTATTTTCTGCTGATGGAAGTCAAATGTAGTCCCTATCCATTCCATCTAAAACACTGGTGAGGTCAATATTAGAACAGTGGTGGTCAAGATATCTCTTGGCTCTAATTTCTATGGCCTGCATTTTGAAACTCTAAACACTCAATATACGAAATTCACACGTGGTCTTAACTATCAGGGAAACATAGTGAAGCAGCCCTTCAGTTGGATTCACAGAGACCTGAGTGCTAATCCTGACTGTGCCTTTCTTGTGTTATTTATAAAATTAGCTGCAAATTGACTTTGGTTCTCTGAGTTTTCACTATCAACAATCTCTGTTACTTCTTCTTCTCCACAGTTTGAATGCATTTGTCTAATAAAATGAATTAAGAGGAAGTTGCATGGGAGGTAAGGGAGGAGGGGGTAAGAACTATTGAGTATCTGCCATACCATACACAGTGCCTGTCTACAAGCTGTTTTATACCATGGTAACCTTATAAGGTAGATGCACTTATCCCCACTTATGGAAAAGAAAACTGAGTATTAAAGGAGCCTAAGTGTAAAAAGCTAACAAATAGTCCCAGGGCTATGTGACTCTGAATCATTATTTTTTTTTTTCAATACAAATTTGAAAATGAATTAAGTAAATGGTCATAATAATTTGTATTTCAATTTTATGATCAAAGATAAGAATTACTATGATTTAGAATTTCTGATCAGCATGTGATAATAAATTCTGTGGTGAGAAGGAGGCCTGAATGATTGCACGTGCTATAAAACACCCTTGGTAGTTCTCGAATTATTGAAGAGGGTAAAAAGAAACGACCTAAAGGAAAGAAGGTGGTGTCACAGATGAGGCTGGTTAAAGAGGGCCTCAAACGGAGGGCTTCTAAGTTTTGAGTGTGAAGGAGAGACCAATAGCATGATCTGATTTGTACTTCAGAGAAGATGCTGGAAACCAAAAGGTCAATAATTAGTCTTCCAACAGATAGTGCAGGAGATAATGAGATTTTCAATAAATTCAAGTGATTAGCCTACACATACTTATCTTGGGAGAAATATACTCATTTAGTTAGGTTTTTGAAACACTGAAAGAGCTTATAGTGGGGAAATTGGCTAACACCCTTTTTAATAAACACTTTTCATTTTTAGATGATTATAGACTCATAGAAAGTTGTAAAGAAATGTACAGCAGGTATGATAAACCATTCATCCAGCCACTCACAAGTTAACAAATTATACAACTATATATAATACCCTTTTGAAGGCCAGGAGCAGTGGCTCACACCTGTAATCCCTGCACTTTGGAAGGCCAAGGTGGGTGGATCACCTGAGGTCAGGATTTTGAGACCAGCCTGGCCATCATGATGAAACACCGTCTCTACTAAAAATACAAAAAATTAGCTGGGCATGGTGGCACGTGCCTGTAATCCAAGCTAATCGGGAGGCTGAGGCAAGAGAATTGCTTGAACCTGAGAGGCGGAGGTTGCAGTGAGCCGAGATCGCGCCATTGCACTCCAGCCTCGGCAACGAGCAAAATTCCATCTCAAAAAATAATAATAATAATAATAAAATAAAAAAAGATAATAGTCTTTTGAAAGAAAAATATGCTTATCCACACTTCACATTGTATACCAAATTGATCACAATTCCAAAGTGATTATGATCATAACTTCAAAATATGCAATAATACCTGGGAGAAAATACATACTGGCCAGGCGCGGTGGCTCACGCCTCTAATCCCAGCACTTTGGGAGGCCGAGGCAGGTGGATCACCTGAGGTCAGGAGTTGGAGACCATCCTGGCCAACACGGTGAAATCCTGTCTCTACTAAAAAATACAAAAATGAGCCAGGCGTAGTGGTGCACACCTGTAATCCCAGCCACTCTGGAGGCTGAGGCATGAGAATTGCTTGAACCTGGGAGGTGGAGGTTGCGGTGAGCCAAGATCGCGCCACTGCACTCCAGCCTGGGTGACAGAATAAGACTCTGTCTCAAAAAAAAAAAAAAAAAAGGGAAAGAAAGAAAAGGAAATACATACAATAGTTATGGACTCTTGGGTTTCAAACTAACCTGTTGAACATCACACAAAAAGCAAACACTATAAAAGAGAAAAAGAAAGTTATAATAATACATCTATTTGTTGAAACTTTGGTATGTTTAAATGCAAACAACTTACTAGAAAAATAAAAAATCTGGTTTCTCGCCGCAAACCTGAAATACATGTGCTATTTCAGGATCTACCATAGGCAATCCCAAAAACTTCCCTGGCCGGACTCATAGAGGAAAATGGTCGCCCCTACACCAGACTTCGTAGACAGCCAACACACTTGCAGTCTCTGAAGGGCGTTTCAGTCAAGAAGTTAGGCCCCCGGGACAGCCGTGTTCCTACTGGACATTCTGGAGAGGCAGAAGGGTCACCTAGAGGGGCCCAAGTCAATCATCATCCAAACACAATTAAAATGCAAATGGCAAATATGCTATGGAGGAGGTTTCTTTAAATTTATATTTTGACGGGCTATGGGTCAGAGTGTTTCCAACGGAGTTTCTCTCCAAGGGAGTCTTCACCTAAGGAACTTGAAGTTTTGAAGACATTCCCTAGTAAACAAGCGGAAGAGAAGAGGAAAGATCAGGCCAGGCAATTGGCAGATCAGGAATAGAGTACTGCAGTGGAAGAGAGCAGGGAGAAGGCCACTGGAGAGTCAGCTGATGTTCTAGAGCACAGGTAGGAAGGGTGAGTGGATCTGTAAGTGCAATATGGTGCTATGGAGGTGGGTAGTGGCCACATTGTAGAGCTGAAAGGGATACAATATGATATGTCCAGAAAGTCTACATAGTAAACATCTCAACATTTCCTAGCAGGTAAAAAAATTAGGGTCAGTTTTGAGTGACCATTTGAGATACCTATATTCCAAAGACCACAAAAGGTGAAGGAGTTAGATCTACATGCATTTTCCATAACACATCGTAGACTTCTCTTGCTCTGAGTCAAAAATCCAAATGTCAAAATGTGGTCAATTTACTGTATAATCAAGTTTTAAGTTGTAGCTTATTATGCAAAGGTAGATCAGTTTGCATCAATTCCGCTCAGAAAAATCGATTGTTGATTCCCCAGCAATCGAAGGATAAAACTCTTCTTTATTTTGTTTCAGTTCAGTGCCCCCTTACTGCTCTTGAATCATCTTCCATCCCACTTAATACACTCCCACAAAACTAACTGAAGCTCTTCTAGTGGGCCAGCCTTTCCTTTTAGGGCACTGAGCTTTTGTTCATGTCTTCCTTTCACCTCCAAAGAAATACTTAGCTCTGCTTCAGCTCAGGTAAATCTACTCTTGGAAACCTTGCTAGCATCACCTTTTACTCACTCACCAAATCAATTCTCCTATTTTATTTTCTTTACACATTGTATTGTAATTTTTTTTTTTTTTTTTTTGAGACGGAGTCTTGCTCTGTCGCCCAGGCTGGAGTGCAGTGGCGCGATCTCGGCTCCCTGCAAGCTCCGCCTCCCAGGTTCACGCCATTCTCCTGCCTCAGCCTCCCGAGAAGCTGGGACTATAGGCGCCCGCCACCATGCCCGGCTAATTTTTTGTATTTTTATTAGAGACAGGGTTTCACCGTGTTAGCCAGGATGGTCTCGATCTCCTGACCTTGTGATCCGCCCGCCTCGGCCTCCCAAAGTGCTGGGATTAGAGGCTGGAGCCACCGCGCCCGGTCGTATTATAATTTTTTAAAAATTTTCTCACTCCGCAAATCTGTGATGGCATGAGGAAAAATATGTATTTCTGTATTTATTTCAGTAACCATGCTTATCATGATGCCTGCCACATATTCTAAATGAATGAAGCATATCTGTGCATATAATAAAAATATGTTCCTTGTAGTGGTCAATTCAATGAATTCCTGTTAGAATACTATAGGAAGCAGAGAAGTTCTGATTCATGATGTCCTGTGAGTTGTCTTTTAAGGACTACATCTAAGTCTATTTCAACAATTTTATTCTTAAACTCAATCATACATTTTGTTTTTTAGCAATTCCCTTTGTTTATTTTTGTGGCCATTGTGTTTTTATGTACATCGTCAGACTTAAGCTTCTTGAGGAAAAGACCACGATTGCCTCATCTTTGCCCTCTCAGGTAGAACCAATCATAGAATCTCACACACCGTTGAAGCTCTTTAGTTATTTATTTCTTTTGAAAAACAATAAGACGGTTTTAAGTGTGGGTTCTATCTCTGACATTTTACCAAATTATTCTCATATCTCTTGCTTATAGGATTGACTCTCCACATAAGAGCACGTTCTCTTCCTATTCCCACAGTCAAGCTGAAGTGGAAATTTAACTCTGATTTCGATCTTGACATCCCTGCTTTGGCTGTTCTTAATAAATGCAGTGGTTATTTCTAAGCCAGTTGTTGTAATTATATTTTTGTTGGCTTTCTTTATTATATTTCTTCTCCAGATGGTCCACAATTTAGGTTTTTGGCTTCCCTCCTGATATCAAACTATAGGAATATTACACCATCTTCTTTTAAAAACAAATCTCAATTGGTTTCTTATTTGCCAATGGCTAGAACTTGAAAAGTTCTTCTCCTGGGGCGCTTCATATCTCAATGATTTCATTATGGAAGAGAATCCCGTGGGAGATCATGTTTTTTATTTCAGTCTGAACAATGTTCTGGCAAAACTCTGATACCATGGATTAGAATTTGACATCCTTACTTTTATATAAAACATATAAAAACATTCTCCACTGGAAATTCTGCTGAATTGAGACTCATGAACTACCTGACTCATGACATTAACTGGAAAACAAGGCCATTCTTTATAAAACAAGAAAGAATAATGATATGCGGTATGAGGCTTTGAAGAGTTTGCAGCTGAAATATAAAGGCATTTTGAGTGCATACCTACGTTTTAAAAACATCTACGTCCATGTGCATTTGTTTAGCACAAAGAAGGTCGTGCATGTGTATCAATTCTCTGTGCTTCAGCTTCGTTTTCTTTTAAAACAGAAATAATAATGGTACTCATCTCATTTTTCCCCCGAGAATGAAATGAGTTAATGCATGTAAAGCATTTTTATTTTTGCTTCATCAAAATAAAGCTCAGTTAACGTTAGCTATTATAATTGTTAGCAGTAGTTGTAGTAGTATATATTTGCATTTGATATACTGTGCTATTAACTATGTTTTCATTAAATGCTAGGTATAGACGCAACAGTGTTTATATGTAATTAGTGGGATTTGCCTTTGGCTATTGTCTTTCCACCTCTCTTTTAAAGAAAATGAATAGTAAGAACCAAAATGGCATGCAGTTTTTCACAGGGTCAGCTAATTTTACTTAGTCCATGAACAGCAATGTTTCAGGTTTAAACACTACATTTCAAACCCTAACAATTTAACAGTGAAGGAATAGCTGGAAAATTAATGAACTTTTCTAAAAGAAAAAAAAGTAAGCAAGAAAGTGCATGAAAAAAATCTGGGATAAGGATTTCTTGTTACTGTTAATAACATCTTGACATTTCATAATTTCACTTCAGAACTATTTGTCTTCATGGCTAGAGACAACTTTCAGTCATTTGAAGAGATGATTCGGTCTCATTTTGTGTAACATAATCTACCGTAGGTGACTATAATAGTGACTATGAAGCATCCAAGCAGTCATATTTACCAGTAAACATCTGGCCACTACCATAGTGCCTGGCCCATTTAATGAGCTGGTATTCAGTCAATACTTGTGGAATGCAAGAGTAAAGGAGTGAATGCAAAAATAAATAAATAGCATATCTCTAACTGTTTACACATTTCACAAATTTGAAAGGTTAACCATGTAGTTCTGCACCTTAACTAAATCAACTTGAGAACTTAAAAAAAAAAAATCCCGACAATTTTTGCTCCAGAACAGTTAAATCAGGATCTCTTGCTTGTGGGATCTAGGCATCAGCATCATTTTAGATCTTTCTAGGTGTTTTCTCTAGGCAACTAATGTTGACTAACCACTGGCCTGGACCAAAACTAGTGAAGCATAGTCAATGTGACCCAAAAGAATGACTGATGTATGTTGAGCTTGGCACTTTAGACCTCTAGGCCATCTGACAGACATATATACAATGGAATACAATTCAGCCTTCACAAAAAAGGAAATCCTGCCATTTGTGACACCATGGATAAACCTGGAGGACATTATGCTGAGTGAAATAACCCAGACACAGAAAGACTAATACTGTATGATGTCACTTATACATGGATTCTAAAAAGTCAAACTCACAGAAACAAAGACTAGAAGAATGATGTTTGCCTGGGGCTGGGGAGTGGGGGAAATGGGGAGATGGTGATGAAAGGATAAAGGATATACAATTTCAGTTATAAGATGAATTAGTTTTGAGAATCTAAGGCACAGCATGGGTGGTGATGGATATGTTAATTAATTTAGTTGAGATAATAATTAAGCTATATATATATATATATATATATATATATATATATATATACAAACATATATATCAAATCATCATGTTGTATGCCTTGAATATTTATGGTCTTTATTTGCCAAAAAAAAGAAAAAGAATGAGGCAAAGAAATAAAAGCTTGCCCCATGTGTCAACATTATTGCTGATGAATTTGGTTTCAAATTATTTTACAAAGTATATTTATATCTAAATACCCAAATCCTCAACCTCCATATTTTAGGAATAATGATTACTTAAAGCCATATATTTAAAATGTACTCACTGCAGTAGGGCAATCCTCACACCACTGAAGCAATAGTTTGCCATTCTCACTGATGCGTGAAACCCTGCTCTGTGCTCCTCTTTGTATTCAAAGGGAGCTTAGCTTATGGTTTTCAACACCTGTTGGCTTAAGGGGCCATGCTTTGTTTTCTGTGGCATTTTCTAGTCTAAAAAATTTAACAATAATAGTAAAAGCAAACAGAAGTAGACAAATCTACTTCTGACCAGAAGTCAATTTGCCACCACCTGCTGTCCCTTTCTAGGTGAAGAGATTAACTTGCTTCTCATTCTTAACATCCCTGTCTTGTCCATATTTTCTAATTCCTATTCTGAGAAAAGAAATGCAGCATATTGCTGAGTTAGCTCAGTAAGGCTTTGGGGTTTAGGCCACATGGCTGCTTCTTTCGTTAATTCAAGAAATATTTACTGAGCCTCATTATGCTACAAACTCTTTCAGGCTCTGGGAATAGAGTAATAAATAAAACAAGCAAAAAACCAAAATCCCCTGCCCTGTGGAGCTTACATTCTGGTGGGAGAGAAGGACAATCATGAAGGTGAATTATTATGACACATAATATTCAAGATAGTGAAATGAGCCAAAGAGAAAAATATAGCAGAGCAAGGAGATAAAAAGTATTAGTGGGTGTATGGGGGAATGTCCCTGAAATTTGATGGAGGACAGCTAAGTAAGTCTTCACTGAGGAAAACGGTATTGTAGTGAAACTCTGAATGAAATTGGGAGACAATTTATGTAGATATCTGAGGAGTGACCATTCCTGGCCGTGGCAATAGCAGGTGCAAATGCCCTCGGGTGAGAGTATGCTGGAATTTTCAGAAACATAAGAAAATCAACGTAGCTGGAGCAGTCAGTAAGAAAAAGATTACTAGGAGATATGTCAGAGGAATAGCAGTGGGAGAGCAGCTCATGTCATCTTTATAAATAGGACTGTGGTTTCTACTATGGGGAAGACTGGAAGTCCCCAGAAGTTTGGGTGTGTGTATAGTTTTCCTCTTAGGAAAACCATTATTCTAACTTTTAACACCACAGTTTAGTTTTGCCTATGTTTAAATTACCTGGGACATGCTTTTTTTTTTCTTTTGGATCTGGCCTCTTGTGCTCAATGTTAGGTCTTTAAAATCTGCCTGTAATATACATGTAGTTCATATACATATACATGTAGTTCATACATTGTAGTTCATTCATTAGCATTAGCATGTAGTATTCTATTGAATAGATAGGACATTATTTTTGTATCCATTCTACTAATTAAAAATATTTGAGTAGATTTAAGGGCATATTGAGAGTATACAATGTTATGTACATTCTTGCTCATATTGAGACTATACAATATTATGTACAGTGTTTTAGTGAACACATTTCCATGGGATATATTTACTAAGAATATTCCTAGAATTTTGGGTTCATAGGTCTGTATATAACCAGTTTTAGTAATGGATACATTTTAGTGGTTTGGCATTGTCAACCAAATGCCCGGGAAGCCCCAAAGCTGAGCAATAAGTATGGGCAGGTTGGCAGGAAACAGAGATGGAGAGAGTGACTGTCATGTTAAGGAGCCAAGTTGGTCTGATTTATAGTAATCAATGCCCAAAGAAAAGTTTTAAGAGGTAAATGACATAATCGGGATTACTGTTGGAAGGATCATTCTGTAAGTGATATGAAGAAAGATTTGAAATAAACAACCAGTTAAAACACAGCTGTAGTTGTCTAGAGAAGAAAAGATAAGAGTCCGATCTATAGCAGTTGAAATAGAGACAAGGAGGAGGCAACACTTTTGAGAAAAACTTAGGAGGTGAAATACAAGTCTTAGCAATGGATGGATGTTGAGGCAGGTGAGTAGAGAATGTGGTCAAGATTCCCAGCACTTTAGCTTGGGCTGCTACATAGGTTCAATGGCTCAAAACAGAGACAGACTGTAGAAGAGGAAATATCATTTCAGAGAGGAATTAATGACTGCAGCGTTGGACATGCTGAACTCAACATGTTGGAACATGAGCTGAAGTCTAGTGGGTATTTGGATATAAAAATTTCATAGCGGCTGGGCGTGGTGGTTAATGCCTGTAATCCCAGCACTTTGGGAGGCAGAGGCGGGTGGATCACAAGGTCATGAGATTGAGACCATCCTGGCCAACATGGTGAAATCTCCATCTCTACTAAAAATACAAAAGTTAGCTGAGCATGGTGGTATGTGCCTGTAATCTCAGCTACTTGGGAGGCTGAGGCAAGAGAATCACTTGAACCCGGGAGGCGGAGGTTGCAGTGAGCTGAGATCACACCACTGCACTCCAGCCTGGGTGACAGAGTGAGATTCTGTCTCAACAAAAAAAAAAAAAAAAAATGTGATAGCCGGGTGTGGTGGCGCACACCTGTAATCCCAACTACTCAGGAGGCTGAGGCAGGAGAATCACTTGAACCTGGGAGGCAGAGGTTGCAGTGAGCCGAGATCGCGCTATTGCACTCCAGCCTGGGCGACAGAAAGAGACTCCATCTCAAAAAAAAAAAAAAAAATTGAAACCAAAGACTATGGTCTAACTATAGAACTATAGAGGGAGATTTACAAATCATCAGTGTAAATTTGTTTCAGAAACCATGAGGGTGCGGAAGTGACTTGAAAAGAGTTGGCAGAGTGAGAGGAAACATAGGCTAAGTGTAGAAATCTAAGGAACCACCACATTTACAGGGTGGGCAGGGGAGGAGTTTCACACAAAGACACAGAGGGCTGGTGGGGGTGGAGGTAAGAAAGTTGAGAGCTTTAAAGAAACAAACGTACTGATAAATGAAGCAGAGAATAAATCCGTGTAAGAGTATGGCTGAAAAATAGCCACTGCATTAGACAGCTTGGATGCTGTTGCTGACTTTAGTGACTCAAGTACTTTGCTGCAGTTTTAGGAGCAGAAGCCAATTAAAGGTCGAAAGGGAGGACATGATTAAGTAGAATGGAATAGTCTTTCAGATAGTTTGCAGAAAAAAGATTGATAAATGCAGAGGTGTAACTAGAAGGGGATAAGGAATGTAGTTTTTTGTTGTTGTTTTTTTTTTTTTTTTTTTTTTTTTTTGTAGAGATGGGTTCTCTCTATGTTGTCCAGGCTGGTCTCAAACTCCTGGACTCAAGTGATCCTCCCACCTTGGCCTCCGAAAGTGCCTGGATTACAGGTGTGAGCTACAAGTTTTATTATTCTTTATCCTTCTATTTTAAACTTAGCATCAGGGAATATGAGGGTGTTTCAGAAAATGAACGGAAGGCATGAATCGGAATTGTGTGAGAAACTAAAATTACAGGAAAGTTAATTGGAAAGGCTGAAGAAATAGTCATCAAATGCTGTGACTGTGGTCATTGTTATCAGTACCCAGATCTTTCTTTCCATCATGGTCCTCACCATTTTCTTTTTACATGAGGCCAACTTCACTCATGAACATTACCTGTCTAGGACCCTGTAAGAATTTGAATTTGCTACTTTTCTCCAAATCATGTTACAAAGCATAATGATAATAATATGGACAACACATAAAATCAATTGAGTACATCCTATGGCCCACTGTGTACATGTTTTCTACATTGTCTATAATTGGGAAACAACTATTCAAGTCAGAAAGGATTTACCCAACTTACAGACTGGAAACTGAGGCTCAGAGTGGTGTAAATAAATTGTCTTAGGCAACACTGAATAAATAGCTGTATGAGGATTTAAACCTAGCTCTGTCTGAACCCCAAGTCTATATTCTTTACACTAGATCAGGCTGACTCCCATAATATTTATATTTAAATTTGCATGTTATCTAAATAAAGATCTGAGAGTGACCAGTCCCTTTCTGAGCTGTTTTTTTTTTTTCCTTTTTCAAATTTTATTTTACTTTAAGTTTTAGGGTACATGTGCACAACGTGCAGGTTTGTTACATATGTATACATGTGCCATGGTGATGTGCTGCACCCATTAACTCGTCATTTAGCATTAGGTATATCTCCTAATGCTATCCCTCCCCCCTACCCCCACCCCACAACAGTCCCCAGTGTGTGATGTTCCCCTTCTTGTGTCCATGTGTTCTCATTGTTCCATTCCCACCTATGAGTGAGAACATATGGTGTTTAGTTTTTTGTCCTTGCGATAGTTTGCTGAGAATGATGGTTTCCAGCTGCATCCATGTCCCTACAAAGGACATGAACTCATCCTTTTTTATGGCTGCATAGTATTCCATGGTGTATATGTGCCACATTTTCTTAACCCAGTCTATCGTTGTTGGACATTTAGGTTGGTTCCATGTCTTAGCTATTGTGAATAATGCTGCAATAAACATACGTGTGCATGTGACTTTATAGCAGCATGATTTATAATCCTTTGGGTATATACCCAGTAATGGGATGGCTGGGTCAAATGGTATTTCTAGTTCCAGATCCCTGAGGAATCGCCACACTGACTTCTACAATGGTTGAACTAGTTCACAGTCCCACCAACAGTGTAAAAGTGTTCCTATTTCTCCACATCCTCTCCAGCACCCGTTTCCTGACTTTTTTTTTTTTTTTTTTTTTTTTTTTTTATTGATCATTCTTGGATGTTTCTCGCAGAGGGGGATTTGGCAGGGTCATAGGACAATAGTGGAGGGAAGGTCAGCAGATAAACAAGTGAACAAAGGTCTCTGGTTTTCCTAGGCAGAGGACCCTGCAGCCTTCCGCAGTGTTTGTGTCCCTGGGTACTTGAGATTAGGGAGTGGTGATGACTCTTAAGGAGCATGCTGCCTTCAAGCATCTGTTTAACAAAGCACATCTTGCACCGCCCTTAATCCATTTAACCCTGAGTGGACACAGCACATGTTTCAGAGAGCACAGGGTTGTGGGTAAGGTCACAGATCAACAGGATCCCAAGGCAGAATAATTTTTTTTAGTACAGAACAAAATGAAAAGTCTCCCATGTCTACCTCTTTCTACACAGACATGGCAACCATCCGATTTCTCAATCTTTTCCCCACCTTTCCCCACTTTCTATTCCACAAAACCGCCATTGTCATCATGGCCCGTTCTCAATGAGCTGTTGGGTACACCTCCCAGACGGGTTGGTGGCCGGGCAGAGGGGCTCCTCACTTCCCAGTAGGGGCGGCCGGGCAGAGGCGCCCCTAACCTCCCGGACGGGGCGGCTGGTCTGGCGGGGGGGCTGACCCCCCCACCTCCCTCCCGGACGGGGTGGCTGCCAGGCGGAGACGCTCCTCACTTCCCAGACAGGGTGGCTGCTGGGCAGAGGGGCTCCTCACTTCTCAGATGGGGCGGCTGCCGGGCGGAGGGGCTCCTCACTTCTCAGATGGGGCGGCTGCCGGGCGGAGGGTCTCCTCACTTCTCAGACGGGGCGGCCGGGCAGAGACGCTCCTCACCTCCCAGACGGGGTCGCGGCCGGGTAGAGGCGCTCCTCACATCCCAGACGGGGCGGCGGGGCAGAGGCGCTCCCCACATTTCAGACGATGGGCGGCCGGGCAGAGACACTCCTCACTTCCTAGATGGGATGGCGGCCGGGAAGAGGCGCTCCTCACTTTCCAGACTGGGCAGCCAGGCAGAGGGGCTCCTCACGTCCCAGACGATGGGCGGCCAGGCAGAGATGCTCCTCACTTCCCAGACTGGGTGGCGGCCGGGCAGAGGCTGCAATCTCAGCACTTTGGGAGGCCAAGGCAGGCAGCTGGGAGGTGTAGGTTGTAGCGAGCCGAGATCACGCCACTGCACTCCAGCCTGGGCACCATTGAGCACTGAGTGAACCAGACTCCGTCTGCAATCCCGGCACCTCGGGAGGCCGAGGCTGGTGGATCACTCGCGGTTAGGAGCTGGAGACCAGCCCGGCCAACACAGCGAAACCCCGTCTCCACCAAAAAAAATACGAAAACCAGTCAGGCGTGGCACTCGGCAGTCTGAGGCAGGAGAATAAGGCAGGGAGGTTGCAGTGAGCCGAGATGGCAGCAGTACAGTCCAGCTTCTGCTCGGCATCAGAGGGAGACCGTGGAAAGAGAGGGAGAGGGAGACCGTGGGGAGACGGAGAGGGAGAGGGAGACCGTGGGAAGATGGAGAGGGAGAGGGAGAGGGAGAGCTCTGAGCTGTTGAAGTAGACAGAGCTGGTTGTATGCAATGCATCTGCTTTTATGTCCTGAGAGTGAAGAGTGAGCGATCTATAACACTAATTGTCCCTTCGTGCACTAAAGCAGATTCAACTTCCATAAATCAAAGAACAGTTTCTCTGCCTCTTCAAACCATCCACAGGAAAGTATTTGATGCATGTCTTTTGTGAGCATTCCTTATTTCTAGTTATTAAAGAGAAAGGCAGAAAGATTGGCCATTTGAGGTGTCTCTCTAACAAAGGACGCTACTAACCTTAAGATGTAATAAAGCATTGTATTACTTTTATGGCTTTAGTTTATTGGAGTTTGGCTTGGCTGAATTTTCGCTAATATACTTTGCAAACAATCTGTATTTTAAGTAAGTACTTTTTAAATTTCACTGCGCCTGTTTTATGGAGGCAATTGGAAGAGGAAAAGGAGGACTGTGTATATATGAATCATGTCATTAGAGAGAGATTGCTCTCTGACACAGGGAAATTGTACGTACCACAATGAATGGACCTCCCTTGAGGGCTACAGACATGTTTTACCAAAGATGCTCTTGGGGAAATTCACGGGGCCAAATGCACTTTTTCTGAGAAAGAAAATACTCTTTAGGGGATCCAAGCTAGGTATAAATATTGACCATTCTCCTAGAGCTGCAGATAACAACCCTCCACATACAGCTCAACTCCAAGGTATGACAAGCACGTGTGGTTGAACATTCATGGTCCTTATGACTCTAGTTTGATAGATTATTTCAGCTGCAACCTTTCCAATTCTCTTTTGGAACATGTTTATTGATTTTAAAAGAATGGATGTTGCCTAATGAGATTATTGTTCAACTGTGGTCATTCTGTTCCTTAAAAAATAAAAGCATAATTTTAAATCATGCCTTGATACTTTAAATGAAAGAATGCACTAAGAAAGCTTGTCTGCTCTTCCCCTTGTCTGACACATACTTGGACTGTATGGATGTTTTACTTTTCCTTTAATTTATTCATTTAACAAATATTTGGTGCCTATTCTGTGTTAGCCCCTTAATATACCTTGCCGAATCAAATAGATTGAGATCCTTTGCTTGTGAATACGGCATTCTCATTGGGAATAAACTTTAAACAAACAATCATTACAATACAAGTGACATTAAAATTTTAATCAGTGCAGTGACAAACAGGAGACCAGGAGAAGGTGTAATGGGAGAGAGATAATTTATATTAACTAATTTCTAGTTTAGGAAAAAAAAAATCGCAGCTCGCTGCCAGAGCTGATTTAATTTTACATACACACGCTCTTTGAGCTGAAGCGAATCTGACTGAATTTCAGTGTGAAAATAAAATATAAAAACTGTTTGTGGAGTTATTCCTAAACAGAATTAACATCAGAATCATCTACTTTGGAAAAATCGGTTCATCAAATAAATCTTTGGCCAACAATTGTTCAAGAAATATGTTCATGTCAAGGGCAAGATTGCCATATTTTCTAGGATTCAAAATTTTCACTGATCGGGAATTACTATATTTTGTAAATGGAAATACCACTACTAAAACAGAAAGCTGTAAATAGAATGATACCTTTTGTTTCCAAAGTCGATATACTAGACTGATGCGAAAATAATAGTAAAAGCAAGACAGTTCCTGACAAAGTTACCTCGGGGTAAACGTGGCAGCCACAAGCGCCTCCGGTGAGTATTCTCAGGGAAGGGGTTAAAAAAGACCTCCTTGAGGAATGTGATATTTGGAGTAAGACCTGATGCAGGAAGTTACCCAGGTCAACAGTAACAGTGACAATTTCCTGGGCTATGTGACACAAAGCTCAGGAGAATCACATTTTTAGAGAAATGAGGCTACATGTTTTGCAGTATCCTTGTATGCTTGAGGGAAATGTATGCAAGATGGAAAAAAATTTATTGAAGATACTACAATGTGTCTGACACTTCCCATTCACTATTTCCTTTATTCCTTACCACAACCCACTAATGTTGGTGTGAGCACCCCCATTTTAAATACAAGAAAGCTGAGGTTCAGATTACCTAAGATAATATCTTCAAAAGCCTGTTACTGGGATACCAACAAGTTATTTCCCTCATCAGCGTTGTCCAAAATATATTCTTCTAAGACTTGGGTCCATGAGATATCAGATCTCATGTTATACATAGACAGAAACACACACAAGTCAGTCAGTCATACACTTGGATACACATAAACACCTGGGTTTTCTTTATTAAATACCCTGGGCAACGTGGAGTTGAGCAATGCTAACCCAGTGTGCAGTGCAAACTGATATTTACTGAGAATCTCCAAGAAGAATGCTGAGATTTTAGAGGGTCGATAAGTAATACTCCACTTTCTATCAAAACTAATAAAAATATAGACATAAGAGACAGAGAGAAGGGAATGGAAATATCAACTTTGCTACCTAAAGAGCTGAATTGGAGAACCTGGCTTTAGATTTGTGGCCTCCCTGGGCATGCTGATACTATGCCTTAGAATTAGGCAGACTTATTCAGCCAGTCCCTGGCAAGGTTGGGCAACCAGTGAACCTGGTCTATGTAGAGAGAGATACCTGAGTGGATCCTTCCTACACATATGCAGATATGGAATTAGGAGAGAAAAAAATGGTTAAATTGAGCATAATCAGCTCTAACCAGAAAAGTAATTCTTTTCCGGGAGACTGAGGCAGCAGAGAGGAACTAGGAGTATTTTTTTCTGATAGAAATTCCTCTACAGGCCATCATGAAAGTAAAGAGAAAGGAGTTTCTCTATTTGCAAGAAGTAGCTTGTGTGTTGTTTCAGATTCTAGATGATGCTATTCTCATTTGAAGACTACTTTGCAGTCCTAGCTGGAGAATCAAGCAGTCTGGGCCCAGCGACTGTATTGACATCTCTGATAGGCACTTTGGTTGTCTCCTGTGGTCCTTTCCCCATGGTTTTCCATACTTCTAGTCTGATCTTTTTGAAAGTGGTGATGAAAACCTTGGCAGAAGTAAGAAGAAAGGATCATTTTGTAGCACAGGTTACTAAATTATTGCACATCCATTTTCTCTAGGAAATTGAATTAATTATTGAGTAAACATGGCTTCCTATTGATTCTATGTTGATTACTTTCTAATATGAAAAATGGAGCCAAGCCATAATGTTATTTGAGCATGGCAGATTGGGGGCTGGACTGCAGAACAAATCAAATAAAGGATATCGACATTTCTGTAGAAGGAGGGTGTCTGTCTCCACGTGAAAGAGGCTATCTTTCTACAATCTCAAAAATAAACAAATTCGCCCAGGAAGGAAAAGTCATATTAGAAAAAGGTTTGGATTACATAGAGGACTTCATTAGTCATCGATCTTCCCTGTGATAATGCAGTACCCTTAAACATTATTAAAGTCTATTTACCATAAATGACTACTTGGAAGCAGCACCAAATCCTCTATAGAACCTCTGATTTTCAAATTAAAGGAAGGAGCTAGTAATAAGACATTTTTACCATTATGCAGATTAAATATGCTCCTTCAGAAATTCATTCTGTGCAGCATCTTTCTACCAGGAATCTGTGCCCCTGTGTGTAAGGAAGCTTTATGGCATCAAAATGAGAATAAGAGGAAAACTTGCTTCATCAAACTTAACAGTAATTCAAAATGAGTGGCTTCAATGCAATACACATTTTAGAGCTTGTTTTGGTGGACTTTGCCTAGAACATGGCATTCATCTCTTGAAAGACAAACACCCATCAATAATGGACTGAATAAAGAAAATATGGCACATATATACCATGGAATACTATGCAGCCATAAAAAAGGATGAGTTCATGTCCTTTGTGGGGACATGGATGAAGCTGAAAACCATCCTTCTCAGCAAACTAACACAAGAACAGAAACCAAACACCGCATGTTCTCACTCATAAGTGGGAGTTGAACAATGAGAACACATGGACACTGAGAGAAGAACACCACACACTGGGGCCTGTGTGGGGTGGGGGGCTAGGGGAGGGATAGCATTAGGAGAAATACCTAATGTAGGTGATGGGTTGATGGGTGCAGCAAACCACCATGGCACGTGTATACTTACGTAACAAACCTGCACGTTCTGCACATGTATCACAAAACTTAAAGTACAATAATAATAATAATAATAGCAATAATAAAGGTATAAAGACCAAAAAAGAAAGACAGCATCCTGTTAACTTATGAAGACTAAACCTAAAAACAGAAGCAAAAGAACATCATAAGGCTCTTATAGAAACAGATGCTGAGTATTTAGTTATACATCAGAAATGTATGAATTAATTTTTAGTTAAGAGATTGGCAACTTCATTTTCTTCTTTATTAAAGTGTCAGGAAAAGTCTGAAATGTTCATGCTGGAATGTTCAATAGACTTACTTCACAAGGATTATTGCTGAAACTTCATGGTTCATGTAAAATGAAGGGGGGCTTTAAGAATTTAAGTAATACTTCTCCAGCTAAAATATGCCTTATACCAAAGGCTAGATATACATAAGTAAATTTTTCTATTCATTTTTCACAAGCATAGAATTTTCAGGTTGAATATGGAAGAATTGCTGTAAAACTTGAAAGGTGGTTTAGAGTGAATGACTAGTGAACCCTAAACTGTGTAATATTTAAAAGGTATTGCTTATTTAGAACCAGAACCAAGCAAGTCTCCTTCTCTAAGAATTTTACTATTTTACTATTTCTTTAAGTGTAGTAGTAACACATCAATATATGCGTAAAATAATTTTATTGACACTACATAGACATGAGATATAACACATCTTACACCAAACATAATAATGAAATTAGATTTTAATGATTCTTAATAATTTAACATGTATAGATTCATATTGATACTATCCTCCTTTAATATGCTTTAATTCACTCATTTTTGAACCTTTTATTTATTGTTAGATTGAACCTTTTATTTATTGTTAGATTTGCTTTTTTTTTTTTTGTAGTCAGTGGAACATGCTTCTATGGCTTTAATATCTTTAATATAGACCGGAGTTCCAAGATCTACTTTTCTTGAGAGATTCAGAGCTCATTAATTCTTCTGTTGCATGTAACTCTTAAATGCATTGGTTAGAGTGATCTTTTGGCAATTCAAAAGCCAATATAGTCTTTCTTCTTATTTTTAGTCCTCCTTCCATTTTTCTAAAGAAGTGGGATGGATCTGAATTTTCTAGAATATTCATGTCTAAGAGCATAATTCCCTCTTGCTTTTTTTGAGGCTTATTCTTTTGGACCTGTGAGGAATGGTTCCTGCTGACAACTCCATGCAAAGGAAGATTGGTAGCAAGTCACTGATAGACAGTTTTTCACATGGCCTGGCTCCTTTCAATCTGCCAGGTGTACCAGGATCATTCCTATGAACTTGTCAACAGATACATTCACGTATTGATTTACGATGTCACCAATACCTAAAACAACATTCCTTAAAACATTTGAAGTAAGTGAAGGTTATGTATTGCTGATTTGTTTTTAAATATGGATTTGTGTATGTCTGGAGAAAAAATTAAAACATAATTATTCAGACATAGAATACTTAGAGTTCACAAATGAAAATGGTTGCTATTATAAGAGTAAAACATATCCTTTAATAATTAAGGAGATTTAACCTTGACCAAGTTCACTCATAGACTAATTTATGAGTGATCTGAAATGTACCTGTGTTAAGTCAAATGAATGGTTTGATATGGTTTTAAAATTAGTAGTATAATTAATATATGGTAAAGTCTACAGGTGTGTTCTTTCATGGTGACTGGTAAAGCGTTGACTAGGGTAAAGTAACCCTTAGTCACCTAACTGAGTCCACATGCTTCAAGGTTAAAGAAGAAGAACTACAGCATTGACTTCTTATTCTTGAAACTAGTCAAGGCACTGAAATTTTGGCTTCATAAAAGCCAGTGTCTTTACCATTAGTTAATAAAATGAAAGATAAAATTATAAAGATTGACCACTCTTAACTCTTACAATATACTTCTTTGTACAGTCCCAGAGTAGCTGGAAAACAACTGAGTCTATGGCATAAATAGCTCCTATCAGCCAGGACAATACAGGGCCAGGCTTAGTGTCCCAGCAGACATGGGCTTCTGAATTGTTTTAAATCGTTTAGAAGATTACTTAATTTCATAGTGACAGAGAATGAATCTGGATGACAATGGAAACATTACCTAGATTCTTTAGGCCTCTAATCTCTCATCTGTGATTTTGAAATAATAAATATAGGCTTCTATTGGCTTCATCTTTTTAACAAAATTTTGAGTGTAAAATTTTAAAACATTGAACTGAATGTGTGTAGTGAGAATTAAAAGTGCCATAAAAAGCATGCTATTAATTATGATATGGTTGGGCTTTATGTCCCCGCCCAATCTCATCTTGACTTTTAATCCCCAGGTGTTGAGGGAGAGACCTGGTTTGAGGTGATAGGATCATGGGGGCAGTTTCCCTCATGCTGTTCTTGTGATAGTGAGTGAGTTATCATGAGATCTAATGGTTTTAAAATGGCAGTTTCCCCTGGGTTTTTACACTCTTTCTCACCTACTGCCATGTAAGACGTAGCTGCTTCCCCTTCCTCCATGAATGTAAGTTTCCTGAGACCTCCCCAGTCATACAGACCTGTAAGTCAATTAAATCTCTTTTCTTTATAAATTATCCAGTCTCTGGCAGTTATTTATAGCAATGTGAGAACGGACTAATACAAATTATCATATTAGTATTAGCAGATTACAAATAATCTTGCAAGACACTGTTGGTAGATGTCAGCTTTGAATTCCAGGGAAGAGAACAGACCTTGATATTTTAATATGTTCATGATAATCACTACTTATGCTTGAATTTGTTGTTAATTCAATAGGATGCATGGCAGAAAAAAAATATCCTTTTATTTATGACCACATTATTCATAAGCATCAACAGATCTGTAAAGCAATGGTGGCATTGGTAGAGTAGTATAAATAAGGAATATGTGTCTTTTTGTTTCTGGAAAGGCGGGCTAACTTCCAAGTTTCACTGTCTCAATAAATCATTATGTCCTCGAAAAAAAAAAAAAGTAGAAACCCAGACTATTTAGAACTCAAAGCTAGTTAGTGAAGGTGACCATTTTAAAGCTATTATTTTATTCTTCTCCTTTACTTGGGTAGGTGAGGGAAGTATTTCAGTTGCAGCGCTGGCATTTAGCTGTAGTTACAATGAATTGCGGCCATGATTGCAATTGTTTTGTGATGCCTGTGGTGTCATTACCAAGATGCGATTACCAATTGCTATATGAAATTAGTTATGCATGAAATGAATAGGAAGCATAAATACTAGGAGGGAGAGTCTGAGCACAGACTTCATCCTCATTGTCTTCCAGATCCACTAATGCTTATGCATAATGTGGTCATAAAACTTTAATTTATTTCAGAGTCCTAGGACTAGAAGGGATCTTTAAAGGTCATTTAGGACAGCCCTCTGTTTCCAGGCCCTTGAGCAAACCTAAAAGGAAAATGAATGAACCCTTTCCCCAAGACCAGATTAAAAATCTTCTAATAATTATAAGTTAAAATGAGTTAAGTTGTAATAGTAAGAGGAATTTCTACCAAGTAATGCTTCACTGCATTCACTGGTCAATGAGTATAATATTTTTATATATACTATACATTAAATTAATGTACAGATATATTTAACTGGCTTTCAAATATTTTAATGTTAGTACATGATTTTGCTGTAAAGCTTTCAAAAATTAACTGTCATTATATGTGATGCTTCCTTTTAAGGAATGACATGTTCTAAAAATTTTGTTAATTAAAGTTTCTCAATGGAGTCATAGTTTAAATGTTTAAAAGGAACATATTACACACACATACATACACACACACAATACTGTAATGCAGTAAATTGATCTGAAAAGTGAAGGCAGTTCAATACACTTTTAAAAATTAAATTTCTAGGTATAGAATTTTTTGAGAAGTAGGATGTACCTGAAGATTTTTCTACGATAAAATCATATTACTTTTATTTCATTCAGAAGTTAAAAAAAGATTTTTTAGATACATTTTGATAACTCCTAAGTTAATAGTATCTGCAATTAATTGTCTCTAAAAGTATATCTTCATTATTAACCTATTTCTCCTTTCTGGATACTAATTATGGAATCCAATTTTCTTTGTCAAGGTTAATAGCTTGGTGTGAAAAAAGTAATCATGTTCATTTTTCACTTCCTGTGTCACAAAGGTTAACAGGAAAGGGAGTAGGAACTTTGTGAAGCCCAGCTGTAAGACGGTGTCCACTAAAGTCTAGAGCCTTTGAAGTTAAATGACGTTGCTTTTCTCTGCTACGGAGACTGTTTTAGCATAATTGAGCAAACATTGGGTTACTGTGACTCGACGGCCTGTTTTTCTGTTTCAGAAATGCCAGTGAACTTTGGTAGGTTACTTATTCTCCCTTGATCTCAGTTTTCTCTCTGTAAAATGAGGACATAACTCTCTTTTTGTGGTTGTTGTGGTAAGGATTAAATAAAAATCACTTTTTCTTTTAGCAAATTGCTGGACACACAATAGATACTGCAAATGTTAGTTCACTGCCCCACTGCCTCCTTTAACATGAAGGGGTGCAGAAGATTCTGATAGGCAAAAACTTTATGATTATTTGAGCTCTTTAATTGGGGGTGGAGAAAAATGGTCAAATAAAAAGGTGTGGGAACATAAAAGTGGCTCAATGCTCCACATTAGAAAACTATTGTATTGACAGGAGTGTTTGAAAAAAGAAAAATGTTCTGCAAGGTAGAACTATAAAAATACTATTCAAAGTAGAACTATTTTTCATGGCACCTATTTCTGCTTCCATAAATATTAGCACAATATTAGTAACCAAAAATCTTAATATAATTATATATTGACCACTGAATCCTAAAATATGCCCACTATTTACTCACCCTCTATAATACATGATTCTTTTCTTCTGCCATCTTTTTCTACAGTGGTAAAATTTCTATTCAAAATCTATGACTTCTGGGTTGTGAAACCTGTAACCTTAGTATTCAAACTTACTTTATTTTCCTCACAAGCAATTCTGAGGTCCTCAGGCAAGTCTTTCAGCCACACAAAAATGTAGCATCATCTAATTTTGTATTAATTCGGGAACATCATAGCATCGACCTTTAACTCGAGGAGTTTAACAATGCTATTTACACCATTGAATTGTCCAATAATTGAGATTGCTTTCTATTGCACCCTCTTAACCTGGTTTGCTATCCTGGGAATATAAAGATGGTAATAAAACAAATACTTTGCGGTGTCTATGGAAGTAATCTTCATGGAAACCAGAAGAAAGCTGGCTTAGAACGAGGCAAAGTTAATAAAAGCATAGTGAGAGAATGAACAAATGGAGGCGGTATGGAATAGAAAAATAATATTGGGTGCTAACAAGGAGAAAATTGATCCTGTTCCATTCAGATGATGGGTCAAGAACACACTTGTTACCTGTTCCTTAAATCGAACTTTCTCCTCTGATGATAAGACATGATGAGTAGGATGGGAAAAAATTAGATGGTTGAAATTAGGGAAGTAGTGTAGTTTGATCTGCTTTTTAAAAGGCTCATTCTACTGCATGGAGAACAGACAAAAGGAGAAAAAATAGAAGCTGGAAAATCAATAGGAAGCTATTGCAAGACAAACATGAAACACAATTGTAGTTTGTATTAGGATGGTAGCAGAGGAGGTGATAATAAATACCCACATATAACATATATTTTAGAGTTTTAAACAGCAGAATGTCCTATGTATTGAATAGGGGTATGAAAGAGAGCAGTCAAGGATGGCTCAAGGTTTGAGGACTTAGCAGCTCAGTAACAGTAGTGGCATTCGTTGGGATAAGCAACACAGATAGAAATGCAAAGTTGGGAAGGGGATATCAAATGTTATGTGCAGGACTTGTTGAGTTTGAGATGACAACAAGACACTCAAATGGAGACATCATGGAGTCAGCAGAACATGAGCCAGTGTTTAAAGGAGTGGCCTGAGCTGATGAGAGATATTGGGAGTCATTGGGATATTGATGATATTTAAGGGCACAGGACTATATGAGATCACCCAGTAAGACTTTGAAAAAGAGCCAAGTTCTGAGGACAGAGTTCTGATTCTGAGTCATGCCATCATCTCTACATCAGAAAATTATGGGATTCAGCAAAGGATCGTGAAGAGGAGTGGAGTCAGAGGAAAACCAGGAGTGGAGAGTTTTCGGTCTGGCGCGGTGGCTCAAGCCTGTAATCCCAGCACTTTGGGAGGCCGAGGCAGGCGGATCACGAGGTCAGGAGATCGAGACCATCCTGCCTAACATGGTGAAACCCCGTCTCTACTGAAAATACAAAAAATTAGCCTGGTGTGGCCGCGGGCGCCTGTAGTCCCAGCTACTCGGGAGGCTGAGGCAGGAGAATGGCGTGAACCCGGGAGGCGAAGCTTGCAGTGAGTCGAGATCGCGCCACTGCACTCCAACCTGGGCGACAGAGGAAGACTCCGTCTCAAAAAAAAAAAAGAGTTCTCTAGAAGAGGAGTGGAGAAAGCATTCAAAGGAGTGAAGACTAAACTGTGGGGAATGCTGCTGAGGTGAAAGCTAGGAACTGACTCCAGGAATTAACAATTTGGTTGTCATTTAGTGACTTTGATTAGAATGGACTTAAGGGAAAAAGGAGGCTAAAAACATAATTGAATATAACTGAGGGTGTAGGAGGTGATGAGCTGGAGATGAGGCCAAAACAACTATTTGGGGGAGTTTTGCTATAAAGTGAAGGGGAAGGAAAAGCAGCAGGTATAATTGATCAATTGTAACAAACCAACCCCAAATTACCTCCACCTGGGCCTGGAGTTTTGCAGCAACAATTAAGTTACTTTAGGTCTCTGTTCAAATTTTACTTCATTCTATTAAGTCTTTTTCAATGAACACGATTTACAATTTATTTTTAGTTGTAAGAAATCATACGTATTTTGTACTTCAGTTTGAGAAACACAACATTTTAGGACTTGAAATGGCTTTAAATATATCTTATCTGCAAAAATACACCAAATAAGGCAAAGCTATTTTCAGTTTCTTGCTTTTGATCATCCTGAAAATCTCAGAACTGATACTAGAACTTTAGATAGTTCTAGTGCTTGTTCTAGTATCTAGTTCTGGAGACTTAGCAAGTCTTTTTCTTGTCAAATACGCAAGTACTGTTCTCAGAGTCATAATTTTAAATTTGGGGCTAATAAAATAAATGTTTAAGTGCTTTCTTTTTTTAATCAAAAACAAGTTTGAACCCCCGATAAGTGTTGTGTCTATTCTTTGCTCTTGCTTAAAATCTTAATTATTTTGCTTATATGTATATTAATAATGATCATCTATCTATTGATCTATTAAACATACTGTATATGACTTAAGTCAAGGGTCTAGCATCTTCTGTTTTTTCATTATGCCCGGAACATCTCTTACTTAAGAGTTTTTCAATAATTATTTCTAATGCCACATTTAAAACCATCTTAATATGAATGATTACAACTTTCACTGTGTAGTCTTTAAGACATAGAACTGTCTCTGAACTAAAAGCATTTATTCTCTTTAAATCTCTCCACTTTATGTTATGCTTGTAGAAAACAAATTACTTTAAAACTTGTCTAATTTTTTAAAAATGTGGTCTAAAGGTTGCATGTTAATGGAAGATAGCTACAATAAGTTTGTAAAGAGGTTGAAAATCAATGTTATTTTAGACAGGTGGGTCCTAAGTTTTATTTGTTTCTTTTTGTTGCTGTTGTTGTTGTGGTTGTTGTTTTGCGTCTCAATTACAAATACTTTTGTGATGCTTTTGGATAATATGAACCGTAAGTTACTTTCATTTATCTCATTATTGATAGAGTGTATTTCTCCCCAAATAGTCAAGCTTATGATCAAAAGAGTACAACTTGAATTGTCACAACTTGGAACACCTTTTAAGAAACACCTGCGGAAAACTTGTGACAATGAAAATTTTGAATACACTGACCTGTCGTTTGGAGAACTCATTTAACAGATTCGTTTAGCAAACTGGAATGACATGATCTGTTAGGCTGTGACTGTATAGCAACACCAAATTCACGGCACTAGGGTTTCAAAAAGAATTCAGCCATTTTATTGAAGTAGTCACTTCAACAGCTGAGTGCTTTCCATGGGATCAGGTATTATATTTATTTAATAAGAATACTGGATAAATCTCATTATGTTTCAGGAGTGCTTCTAAGCACTTTATGAAGATTAATTCATTTAATCCTCATTGTGATTCTAGCATCCTGGTAATATTAGTATCACCATTTTAGAGATGCCTTCACAATTAATTTGTCTTAGGTCTCCTAACCAGCGATGCAATTCAGATTCAAATCCAGATAAAGATGCCCCACAATGCCTGTGCATATTCACCATGTGGGCTATCTCCCCATGGCTAGCTGAGGCTGTATGTTTTATAGTGTGAGCTTCCGAGCCAAAAAGCCTGGGATCGAATCCCCTATGTGCTGTTATTAGCCTTGGGATTATATGTAAGTTACTAAATCTCCCTGTGCTTCAGTTTCCTCATCTGTAAAATAAATACTAATATATGTAAAACAATAGACTATTAATTAACATGTAGGCAGTATTTATTGAACAGTGTTTTTGTTACCTAATATTTGGCTTTAGGTTAAAAAATAATAAATGATTAAATAATTGAATTTTCAAGTCTGAGTTTTGATTTCACATATAAATGGATAAGAGACAATTGTGTCAAAAAGTTTATAATTCAGCTGTGTGAGAGTGACATCACATTTCTTGATTTTTAGAAGGGGGTATACAGATAACTAGCTTTTTCTAATACCTCCTACTGTGCCAATTTTTAAGGCCTCTTTCTTTTTTCTTCAGGACAATGATGAATCTAGAATATCTAGACAGCGAACTCACAGGTGACATCAGTACCTGTGGAAAGCCAGACTCCCTTGAGAATTCAGTCTAACTGCAGCCTAATGAAAGTGCAGTTTTCTTGTGTTCTGGGATTTAATGATCCCATTCCCAAGGTCAGTGGATCTCCTTTGAGGTTTCTAGCTAGCCCTCTCATGATCCTTGTCAGCTTTCCATACTCTTCAGCATATATGCATATTCATAATGCGCTTTAACGCATCCTTTGAATGAATTCGTGCATTTACTCAACTTTCCATTTGCAGGACCTTTCTCGATGGAGTGTCATGGAAGCCCTCAAATCAAGGGAGGGCTGGGACAGAGGTGTACATAGCACCAGATTTAAAGTCTAGGCTTTATTTCAAGTCAGGTAAAGGGGAGCTAGTGAAGATTTCAGATAGGACATATCTGGCCTCACTTGCACAAAATCTTGCGGGTGAGACAACAAACAGGGAATCATGCTGAAGGTGATGCAGAAGTGATGAATGTGGGGCTGGTGGTAGTGGTCGTAAAGGTTTCCCATTGGGTGGATGTAGGTTCTGAGCTAGAGAAGGTGGTGACACTTTGTCAACTAAGACTGGGTTGGAGGAAGAAAAGAACAGAATTCACACCTCAGGTCTGGAGGGAGAGGAGGAAAAGTCAGTGTGTGAGGAAGGGGCTACTAAGTTGTTTCATTACTGGGGCAGGAGACAAAGGTGACTATATGTATATATATACACACACACATTATATATATCCATATATACACATGTATACATATATAATAAAATATGTTTGAATTTATATGAATATATGTATGTTTATATATTTCAAGTAAAAGCAGAATGTTGGATATTATGCAGGCAACGTAAGCCATCTAGTCCTTAAAGTATACCTAATATGAAAATTCTTGAGCTGTCACTGTTTGGGTTATATTCACCTCCTTTTCTGAAACTAACCTCTAGAACTCTACCTGGATTTAATTTTAAATCTTATACCTAACTTTAAGATAAATTCGCCTGTAATCCCAGCACTTTGGGAGGCCGAGGCGGGCGGATCACGAGGTCAGGAGATCGAGACCATCCCGGCTAAAACGGTGAAACCCCGTCTCTACTAAAAATACAAAAAATTAGCCGGGCGTAGTGGCGGGCGCCTGTAGTCCCAGCTACTCGGGAGGCTGAGGCAGGAGAATGGCGTGAACCCGGGAGGCGGAGCTTGCAGTGAGCCGAGATCCCGCCACTGCACTCCAGCCTGGGCGACAGAGCGAGACTCCGTCTCAAAAAAAAAAAAAAAAAAAAGATAAATTAATATTCAAAATACCTGAAGGTATACTTCTTTTGTAACTTAAGATATAATATATCTCTATGGGTTTGCTATTGCCTCATCAAACACACCTTAAAAATTGTTCAACTTTGGGCCAGTCAGGGTGGCTCACACCTGTAATCCCAGCACTTTGGGAGACTGAGGTGGGTGGATTGCTTGAGCCAAGGAGTCCTAGACCAGCCTGGGCATTATAGGGAGACCTCGTCTCTAAAAAAATACAAAAAGTAGCCATGTGTGGTGGTATGCACCTGTAGTCCCAGCTACTCAGGAGGCTGAGGTAGGAGGATTGCTTGAGCCAGGGAGGTGGAGGTTGCAGTGAGCCAAGATCATGCCACTATGACAGAGCAAGACTCTGTCTTAAAAAAAAGATTGCCCAACTTCATAACTTACCTTTTTATCTTCACATTTCAGAAAAACTTTACTCTCAACTGGTTTTTAAGAGACTTCAATTTATGGACTATTTTTCCTTGAACTATGCCTTACTTCAAATTTACCTTCAGTATTAATATCTTTGCAACAATGAAATATATTCATACAGACACCAAATGACGGGCTGCCCTAGCCAAATTAGTACATCATAAATTGTCTTCAGGAACAACTGGGGCAGCCCAGTACTATTATTATTTCTCTTCTTTAGCTGGACATAGTGAGAGATTTCTTGAAAACAAGATATTTTGCAGAAGTCAATTTCTTCTCTCAATAGGTACAAAATAAATACATTTGAGCACATTCATTTTTCCAAAATCTAGTTTAACAAGCATATATTAAACATAGGCTGATATTACACACAGTTGTGCACAACATCTGATAGACATATGAAAATACTAATTTGAATAAAACATGAACTCTGTCTTCCAAGAACTTAAACTCTTTTCAGAGAGTTTGTTGTAGTATGATACAAGGAAGTAGGACATTTTCTCGGTGAGATACAAACATTAGATTGAATAATGACTGAGCAGATTTCTGACTTTGGGAATAACATATGAAAAAGTGACTCTGGCTCCTAGGAGAATAAAAGGTTTGAAGGTTCAGACAAATGTTACTTGCCATGCAAGCCTTTCACATTATAGGCTGACAATAAATGCTCTTGAAAGAAAAAGAAAGAGGCAGGTAGGGAAAGAAGAATAGCATTACAAGGGCAAGAAGGGTAGAAGGTTGGGGGTCATGAACTTAGAGAGAGCTGAGCTTCAGGTTGCTGCTGTGGTTGTTATTAGTATTATTAATCGTTTGGTCTGCTGTTTGAGATAGGATTGATTTTCTGTTCTAAATAAAATTCCCAGCCAGGTGCAGTGGCTCACACTTGTCATCCCAGCACTTTGGGAGACCAAGGTGGGAGGATCAATTGAGCCCAGGAGGTCGAGGCTGCAGTGAGCTATGATGGCACCACTACACTCCAGCCTAGGTGTCAATGAGACCCTGTCTCTAAACAAAAAAAAAAAAAAAAAAAAAAAAATTAAAATTAAAAAAATTAACAAATACAATTTGTTAAAATTTAAAAAATTAACAAATACAATTCCTCCTGGGATCAGCATAGAGCTGATTTTTTATTTCAAATAAAATTCCTCATGGAATCAGCAGGTCCCCATGTATTTAGAACATAAAATCCCTGAAGCCAGGATCCCATACCAAGCTCTCTCACCTGCCGGAGACTGGAGTCCTCCATTCCCTATGCTGGAAGCACATTCCCCTTGCCTCGTTCTGATTTTACCTTTATATGGATATATATATCCATATAAATCCATATATATATGGATACATATATCCATATAAATCCATATATATATGGATACATATATCCATATAAATCCATATATATATGGATACATATATCCATATAAATCCATATATATATGGATACATATATCCATATAAATCCATATATATATGGATACATATATCCATATAAATCCATATATATGGATACATATATCCATATAAATCCATATATGTATGGATACATATATCCATATAAATCCATATATGTATGGATACATATATCCATATAAATCCATATATGTATG
Source organism: Homo sapiens (assembly GCF_000001405.40). Lineage (NCBI taxonomy): Eukaryota > Metazoa > Chordata > Mammalia > Primates > Hominidae > Homo > Homo sapiens. Next base: position 85,846,933 of record NC_000014.9, read on the forward strand.
GATACATATATCCATATAAATCCATATATGTATGGATACATATATCCATATAAATCCATATATGTATGGATACATATATCCATATAAATCCATATATGTATGGATACATATATCCATATAAATCCATATATGTATGGATACATATATCCATATAAATCCATATATGTATGGATACATATATCCATATAAATCCATATATGTATGGATACATATATCCATATAAATCCATATATGTATGGATATATATATCCATATAAATCCATATATGTATGGATATATATATCCATATAAATCCATATATGTATGGATATATATATCCATATAAATCCATATATGTATGGATATATATATCCATATAAATCCATATATGTATGGATATATATATCCATATAAATCCATATATGTATGGATATATATATCCATATAAATCCATATATGTATGGATATATATATCCATATAAATCCATATATGTATGGATATATATATCCATATAAATCCATATATGTATGGATATATATATCCATATAAATCCATATATGTATGGATATATATATCCATATAAATCCATATATGTATGGATATATATATCCATATAAATCCATATATGTATGGATATATATATCCATATAAATCCATATATGTATGGATATATATATCCATATAAATCCATATATGTATGGATATATATATCCATATAAATCCATATATGTATGGATATATATATCCATATAAATCCATATATATATCCATATAAATCCATATATATGGATATATATATCCATATAAATCCATATATATATGGATATATATATCCATATAAATCCATATATATGGATATATATATCCATATAAATCCATATATATGGATATATATATCCATATAAATCCATATATATGGATATATATATCCATATAAATCCATATATATGGATATATATATCCATATAAATCCATATATATGGATATATATATCCATATAAATCCATATATATGGATATATATATCCATATAAATCCATATATATGGATATATATATCCATATAAATCCATATATATGGATATATATATCCATATAAATCCATATATATGGATATATATCCATATAAATCCATATATATGGATATATATATCCATATAAATCCATATATATATGGATATATATATCCATATAAATCCATATATATATGGATATATATATCCATATAAATCCATATATATATCTGTATAAATCCATGTATACGGACATATATGTCCGTATAAATCCGTATATATGGACATATATGTCCGTATAAATCCGTATATATGGATTGATATGTCCGTATCAATCCATATATATATGGATATATATGTCCGTATCAATCCATATATATATGGATATATATGTCCGTATCAATCCATATATATATGGATATATATGTCCGTATCAATCCATATATATATGGATATATATGTCCGTATCAATCCATATATATGGATATATATGTCCGTATCAATCCATATATATGGATATATATGTCCGTATCAATCCATATATATGAATATATATGTCCGTATCAATCCATATATATGGATATATAAGTCCATATATAGATATATAAATCCATATATATGGATTTATATATCCATATATATGGATATATAAATCCATATAAAGGTGTATATATATATACCTTCATATATTTATATATACATATGTGTGTGTGTATATATATATATATAAAGGTATTTATATATATAAAGGTATATATATATATATATAAAAATACCTTTATATATATAAATACCTTTATATGGATTGCTCACAGGCTCCCTATACCGTGTATGGGTGATTTTCTTTTTCTTTTTTCCTTTTTAACCTTGTTTTGGTAAGTCATCCTTAAAATTCCCATTGGTCGTCTCCAGCTTCCTTGAAACATACAGCAGATGCTGGATATAACTTGATTCACAGTTTAACCAATTTCAGAGCTGAGTCTTGACTTCTAATTAGTCAGAGTGCATAAGATATTTTTATTTATCCTGAGGCATAATGACACAAAAAATAAAGCTTTAAAAAATGCGTATATATGCACCCAGACTGAAGCCCTGTACTGGGGTCCTGCAGTCTCTAATTCCCATAAGTGAGAGCAAACAGGAACGTGCTCTGGCTCTATAGTCTTACTGCATTACCTCAATGCAGTTGGAGGAGGTATCTTTACTCCTCAGAAGTCATTTGGCCTAACTCTAATTAATACTTCACCTAATCTTCTAGTAATACCACTAATTGTTCACAAACCGGCAATTTAATCAACACTCTGCTAACAGGCAAAGTTTTTTTTTCTTTCCACTTTTTTTGTGCTCTGACACAGTGTGAACTTAGGCAAGTATGTCCCAATTGCTTTGTTTCCATGTAATTTAACAGCGCAACATTATTTTCTCATAAGAGGTGCTTTGAATTTTTACTGCTAATGAATAAATTAACTAAAAAAGGTTAATCTGCCTACATGTTTATGAAACATTATGCAAATCATTCTCCGAAAGGTTTAATGGTAATTGAAAGCAATTGGAAACCATGGTACATTTCCCCCAATTTTCATTTATTTTTTTTTAAGTATACAGATTTTTACATTTTACAGATGTGTATGTAGAGGGGATTTTGTGAGTCTCTGACATCATCCCTGCAGGTTAAGCATGTTAATGAAGCAAGTGGGGCCTCCATTTTTGCTCAGGAATGGAATGGACTTTGATAATTAATTTCAAAGCAAAGCCATAAATATGAAAAGAATTGGCGTAATTAATATTATTACAGTGCATAGCAAAGGAAGTGATTATGTTGAGACTCTCATTGTAAAGCTTTGACAAAATGGTACTCGCATCAAGTTACGTGCAGTTTATAACCTGCTATTCACTTTGGAGGTATTTTTCATGAATGGCACAGGTGTTGAAACCTGAAAAGGGTGGATTACTAAGTATGGACGTGAGCGTCACTTTGCGAAGAAACTTTTGCCTAAATAAAGGCCTGTTTTCCCCATCTCACCCTCCTCTCTCCTGTAGGGAGGGTGGGTTGACTCATATGCTGGTAAAGGCATTTTTAGAAAGAAAAATGTGCATGCCTCTGTGCATGTGTGTGTGTCTGTGTGCACGTGTGTATGTGTGTGTGCATGTATGAGTTTGGAAATAGCAAAAGGCATGCACTGGGGATTACATCCTAAAAAAATTTTCCTACTTGATCCTGAAAGTCTGCACTGAGAATCCGAAGCTATGGATAAGTAGCTGATGGGCCTCTGTCACAATTTTTAAAAAATATATTGCATAGGCTGGGCGTGGTGGCTCATGCCTGTAATCCCAGCACTTCGGGAGGCTGAGGCGGGCAGATCACGAGGTCAGGAGTTCGAGACCAGTCTGACCAACATGATGAAGCCCCATCTCTACTAAAAATATAAAAATTAGCTGGGCATGGTGGCATAAGCCTGTAATCCCAGCTACTCAAGGCAGCAGAATCGCTTGAACCTGGGAGGTGGAGGTTGCAGTGAGCCAAGATCGTGCCACTGCACTCCTGCCTGGGTGACAGGGCAAGACTCCATCTCAAAAAAAAAAGACAAAACTGTGATTCTCAAACTTTCCAGTCTCAAGACTTTTCACATTCTTAAAAGTTATTGGGGACCCTAAATATTTAACAATGGGCTCTCTAGGAAGAAAGAAAAAGGACTGATATGTAGCATTTGCCTATCTATACTTAAATTAGGGCCATAACGACAGACTTCAAGCCACCAACTTGAGGGTACTGAACTAGAAATTGTGAAGAGATTCACACGATCAGCTCCACCAGCTAGCGTGGGCTGGCTCCAACATATTAATACAACTGTTCCCATATTATCAGTTAAAATTAACAAATGTTAGAATATTTATTTCTATACTCATCCGAGAAACCTAGAAGAAAATGGAAGAGAGAGGCCTTTGTCCAAAAAGCAGAAAAATATATTAAAGCTACTAAAATCAGAATGCCTCTCTCCTTTTGTGTTTTTTAAATTTGCCATTTATTGTCATAATATTGCCATTCATCTTTATGTTGTGCAATGTCAGTTTTAAATGCAAATAGAATAATAAATGTAATTGTACAATGTATATTTCATAGCTCATATGTACATATGTATTTCATTCTTACCAGAACAGCAGAAACAGCACAAAACTAACTCATAACTGTTTTTATTTTACCTCTTGATATTTTACCAACATTCTCTATCTTGGCCTTACTGATTTGTAAGTAAGGATTGAAAGGAAAAAGAACTACCCTATCTTTTGTATTCTTTTTGTGTCATCATTTCAGTGTAAGTGTTTGGCTAACACAGGGAAGTCATAGAAGTAACAAAGGATGTGGTGAGGCTCTTTGGCTATTAGTGTTTCATAAAATGTTTTTGCCTTTTGTCTGCATTTAAAGGAAATTCTGGTTCAAAGAGAAAGCATGTCCTCTCAGGGATGTCACTGACAGATCTCCCACCCGTCAACGCTAGTCTTAGTCTTAGATGTAGTTTGCTTGTCTTGAACTTGCCTTGAAACTAATTGAATCTCCATGTATTATGGGTCTACCAGAGCTCTGTTCTCAGGGGCATTGTGAATGCTCTGTAGCAATAGAATCACAAGGAATGGTGAACATGTGTGCTGCGTGTATGTCCTCTGCTCAGGCACATGCTTTATTTTCCTATTGGACTTCACGTATAAAACACAAATTCAAAGACAAAAATAAGAATTTCAAGATGGTGACAGCAGAGCATTAAGCAAGGTCCACACCCTTTCTGAGTACAGGGCCCTCTGCCACTTCCCTGGCTGCACACCTAGGAAGTCAGCCCTGAAAATCGCAATAGCAAAATCATTCCATGTTACTGTAAATATTTTCACAAGGAATAACTGTGTTTTTAAAAAGTATAAGAACAGTTACATTGTTTTGCACTTTTGCAAATATCTTTACTGTCTAGTTTAATAGAAGACAGCTGGGCTCTCATGTCTACTTCTGCATTCAATAGGTTGGAATACATTGTTTTGGTTGAGCTATCTGAAGAATATCTGGCCTCCCACAGACATGTGGTTGGACAAAGTCGAAGTATTTTACTATTTAGAAAACTGTAAATATTCTTTTTTATTTTATTTTATTTTATTTTTTTGAGACGGAGGCTTGCTTTGTGGCCTAGGCTGGAGTGCAGTGGCAAGATCTCAGCTCACTGCAACCTCTGCCTTCTGGATTCAAGCAATTCTCCTGACTCAGCCTCCTGAGTAGCTGGAACTACAGGCACATGCCACCACGCCCAGCTAATTTTTGTACTTTTTTTTTTTTTTTTTTTAGTAGAGATGAGGTTTCACCATGTTGGCCAGGATGTTCTCCATCTCCTGACCTCAGGATCCACCCACCTCGGCCTCCCAAAGTGCTCGGATTACAGGCGTGAGTCATCAGAATATTCTTATTTGAAATTATACTAAAACTCAATGTGGTAGTTTCTTAGATGTTATTATAATATGCAATCTGATACCATATTAATAAACATTTTTATTCTGTTGAATTTCAATCCATTAGTGTATCTTGCACTTTGAATAAATCTTTACCCATACATGATTTTATAACAACATGCATTGCTGATTGGAAAACACTGGCTCACTGAATTACATAGATCTTACAAATTTTGGCCCATTTTATTGTGCAATAAGACGAAAATAATATTTATGAATATTGCCATCAGTCTTAGCTCACAGTTGTCAAGCTCACAGTTACAGATACGTTTTCAAAACTTATAATAATTTTCACTTTTTAAGCTCAAATTTTATCATTGACAACAAATGCTGTCAATTATTTCCCTTTAAATGACAGGTTGAGGCTTCATTCATTTTTGAGAAAATATCTGCCAAATACCTAAGTCTGAATAAGTATGATTTGTTAATCATTTTTCAAGTAAAAATTACATACCATGGATTTTCAGAGGTTAGTTCAGGGGACAATGTGAAAAATTACATAAGCATTCTTGCTTCAGATGGTGTAGACACTAGAAATGCTTTCATCACGCTTCTCGTTTCTTCACACAAAATACAAAAAGACATGGCTTACGGGTCCAAAACGGATAATATTAACAATTTTTACTAGTTTGTGAAAGATATTTTGTGAAACTTGCTTTCAGTTTTACCCTGTTGGTATAGAGGTGAATGATGCAATGACTAGCAATGCAGTTAGGTGTCATTGCCTTCGTTTGTGTCAAGGCCTCAGCAGTTTTATCCACCATTATTTTTGTACCACTGGTGCAACTGTCAACACAATGAAAAAGGAAAATAACAGACACTATTATTTTACAATTGTTTTTGACATTGTGGGCACCCTAAGTGGTTCTGGAAAATTCAGAAGTCATACATTGGGAACTGCTGGTAGGAAAATGCTGCAGTAGGAGATTATACTCTGCCACTTGACAGAAATTTGCCTTGGGTGTCACTTCCACACTCTGAACCTCAGTTTTCTTCTCTACTAAGTGAGGACAATCACACGTGTTCTGCCATCAAAAGATTTTCTCTAAGGATCAAGTAAAGTCATGACTCTGAAATCAAAGTTTTGAAAGTCTAAAGACCTTTGTGTTTGTCTTTGTTTCCTTAAAATCACTATTGGTTTCTTGTTGCTAATACTAATAACACCCATATCTGAGTATCAATTATGGCCCATGCACAGCATTAGTCACCTTTATACCTAGTGCCTTTAATGTTATACCTGGTGCCTTTAATGTTCACCACAATTCCTAGTTTATGATAGTCAGATCTGGGATTTGAGCAGAAGCCTGTGATTTTTTTCTTGACATCATAATACTTTGAATGCTGGCATCCATGTCGAAAGAAAGAAAAATTGGGGTAAGAACTAGTTTGACTATAGGATTTAGTTTAGAGGTCTCATTCCTAAAATGACTGAACCTTTGAAATCTATAAATAATAATTACAGAGCTGCATTTATATGCAGAACGCTGTACTGAGCCTAGATACAGATATCGATATAGGGTTCCTCTTCAAGAAGTTAACAGCACAAATAAAATATGCAGACGTTGCATCTCGAGCTTTATATAGAAGAAAACAAGGCAAAACCATAAGGCAAAAACAAGGCACCAGAGAGCTTTGGTAAGAGATCTTTTGCTGTTTTGATTTAGTATTTCTCAAAGTTCTTGTTTGTGCAACTTCTATGGAGAACAAATCTGGAATTAATCTATTACTGAGTAGTTACACATGAGTAATATAGATTTCGCAGTAAAAACATTCCTATCATTTTGCCTTGTGAGCAAATACTAGGGTTTTAACACTTGCAAATGCACCAACAAATATGAAATATGAGAAGCAGAAAAGGCATAGTAACTGGAGTATCAAATGCAACACAAGTGTAATCACTGCCAGGTTGTAATTTACCTTATTTAGATCCACGGTGAGTCAATGGAGTTTTAGGGAAGCTTCTCTGAGTCTCCTAATACAGACACTACTACTACAGTCTATTTTACCTGAAACAACTCCCTTCCTCAACACACAGCCTCCCTCCCACTACCCACATTATTTTACATTATCTCTGTTGAACTTAACCACCAACTGAAACTGTATTAAAATTTCATTGAATTTGCAGCATCTTTAATTATAAGACATTTCCTTATTTTGAGTACACTTAAAATCACCAATTACATTATATTCTTTTATTATTTAAGTTTTTAAATTTTATTTTGAAAAATCTTTCCAACTTGATTATGTTTTAAACATAAGTAAAATAAATATATATTTATTTCCAGAATATCATCATCTTGTGCCATTACAGCATTAAAGAGATAAAATTTCTTTTTATAAAAGGTTTCACCCTTGTCTCTGGGACTCTTTCGAAGGCCCTAATACCATTCTATAAGTGTTAAGAAAGGTGCTTTTAAAAATCTTGCCAGAAGGCATCAACAGAAGATTTTAAGACATAAACTGGGATTTATATTCTTTCTTTAAATGGTTTTTTAATGATTCATGGACTGACATGTGAAAGGGCTGAGGTTGTCTCTTTATGCCATCAAAAATAACAGCCAAGGTAACATATACATAGGTCATAACACATTACCACTGCAACCTGGGCTACTATAAATAAAAGAAGGTATTCCAATTTCAGAGATGTTAAAATTAGCAGAGAAAATGAAATACAATATTATTAAGTTTTCAACATGTGTAGTTTCTTTCTCATCCCACTGCAATATAGCTCCTTGAGGGTGGGGCTCTATCTTTAATTTTTATCCATGCATTAGGTAGAATATTTCTCAATACATACATTAAATGCACACTTTTAAAATTAAGGACGAATACAAGCTGAACACACTTGAAAGCCTTACAGGAATGTGGAACTATGGAGTACTTCAGTAAACAAGGGCCTTTTTAACCAGAAAGACTTCTAACTCCCTAACCTACTCTGACACTGGCTATGTGACATGGCATAAATGTTGAAACATGTTAAACTTCAAAGTGGAAATAAAAACACATACCTTGTGGGTGATGATTTGTATGAGTTTTGACAGAGTATAGGGTAAACCTCTGTACAGGGTCTAAAGGTAGTTTCTGCTAAAGAGGAAGCATATGCCTTTCTCATCACTTTCTATCTACAACTAATTGCAGCACCATGATCAGAATTCTTGTTGTGATGAGCTTTTTCCAGACCCTCACAATCTACACGATGGTGAAGGAGAAACCTGAAAAAAAAAATTGATCTCTTTGATTTTCCACATCTGGAGTTTGCTTTCTTCCTCTCCTCCATTCTAGTAGCTGAAACCAGGGTGGGGGCGGTGGGGGAGGGAAGAAAAAAAGATAGTTCTAAGAGGCAGGGCACAGTAAAGACAGAAAAAAAAAACCCTAATTTATTCATTCTCTACAACTTGAAATAGAAAGTATATTGTTATTATTTTGATGAGTTGTAAGTTTGTGAGGTCTCATCACAGATAATTCCCCAAATCCTTGCTTTGAAGCTATCAGTGTCATGCTGCAACTGCTTCTCTGAAGAAAGGAGTCAGATGGAATTAAAGTTTGGAAAGAAGAGTTAGTCTTTATATTGCAATTTTCACCTTGTGCCTGGCAGCTTATAGCAGCTCAAAAGAAGTCCTACGGAGCCAGTAATCAAGAATGAAGCTGAGTAGGCTTTCAAATTAAACCAGATTTTAGGTAGGAAATTAAGGCACAGAATGTGATGGCATTCCATGCAACTCAAAGAAAGATTCAGTGCTGGATGTAGCATGTGAAACAATTTTCAGGTTTTATTACCTAACTACTTGATAATTAGTCACTGTCTCCAATGCATTATTTATATGTACATGTTTAACTTGCCAATATATCTCATTATAACTTGTAAAATTTTACCAATGTGCTTGGAAAGAATAATATATGTATTAAATATTTTATAGCACTCTTATTTTCCCACTGATAACTACTTCAGAAACAAATAGGAAAGAAATTAAAAGTCTTATTTAATATAAGTTGGAAACAAGCAAAGGGACTCCTATGATTGAGCCAAAGTGAGTTCAACATTATATACCATAATATGTGAAGGAGACTGTGAATTCAGTAGAGTGTTCTAAAACCATAAAGGTAAAATAAATGAAAATATTTCATTTAAATGTTGAAACCTTCAAGAATAGAAAGCATGTCAGTAATCTCAAGAGAATAGATGTCAATGTTGCAGCTTTCAAGGAACTAGATAGATGGCAGTATTGTTAGAGCATGTCTATGACATTTATTTTTAATGGCTAGAAGGGATTTTAGTTCCAAACTGAGAAATAGTCTTCAAATAATTCACTAGTTTGTGTTTAATTCCACATTTGGCTTGAAATATTCTATAAATTGCATACCATAAAGGTGCGTGTTTATAAGTGAGAAGTGTCTTTTCATACATAAATATTGCTTTTCCCAAACTTAATTCTGTCATACAAATATTTTGAAAAGCTTTTGTTGATTTTCCACCATCCTTTGCAGTCCTCAAGTCATGGTGGTCTCAAAATCCAGGCCATTTAAGTGCCTGCTTTATTTTTACCTAACACATTGGACCACGCACAGTCTAATGATGTCAGAGAATAGACTAGATTCATGTCTTATATCAAAATAAACTCTTTAAAAGAATAGGAGTTAGATTTTAAAAAGAAAAATTACAACTTTCCATATCTTTTTTCTTTAATGTCTTTCTATAACTCATAAAACCATGAACCAATTTGAATGTTTAGCTTCCCTTCTGGTTTGATTTCTTTCATGCCAAGTGATACTCGAGGGAGCATTTCACCTGGTGCTATAATGGGAAACTTGGCAGACCTTAATATATCACTGCACTGTTTTCCTCAATTATATACTTTTTTCCGTGTGTTTTTTGGACATATTTCAGATGGTCTTGACCATTAATTCTCTGTAAATGAATATTCTTCAGAAAGTTACTTTTAAATATCCTTGCATAGCAATTTTATAGCCCCATGATAGACCTTATTACCAAGATAGACAAAATTACTGGTTAGTTAGTGTATAAAGATGTTATATAGAGATGAAGCTTGTTGAAATTACTTGATATGGATATGCTAGTTAAAACAAACAATTGAATTTTCCATTCTCTGTCTACTTTTTAACTTAATTCTTGAAGGGCTTTGAACAGTAGAGTGACATATATTTTGAAAGACAGGACAAGACAGACTATCTAAGGAAATAGCCAATGTTGACTTAAAGTCTGATATGGTTAGGCTATGTCCCCACCCAAATCTCATCTTCAGTTGTAACTCCCACAATTCCCATGTGTCATGGGAGGAACCCAGTGAGATTGAATTATGGGGACTGGTCTTTCCTGCGTTGTTCTCATGATAGTAAATGAGTCTCACAGGATCTGATGGTTTGAAAATGGGAAACCCGTTTTGCTTGGCTTTCATTCTCTCTCTTGCCTGTTGCCATGTAAGACGTTCCTTTCACCTTCCACCATGATTGTAAGGCCTCCCCAGACACGTGAAACTATAAGTCCAATAAACTGCTTTCTTTTGTAAATTGCCCAGTCTTGAGTATGTCTTTATCGGCAGTGTGAAATGGACTAATACAAAGTCCTATGATAGATAATGAATAATGGTTAATGTGAGATTTTTTTTTTTTTTCGAAGTCTCACTCTTGTCACCCATGTCACCCAGGCTGGAATGCAATGGCGCAGTCTTGGCTCACTGCAACCTCCGCCTCCCAGACTCAAGTGATTCTCCTGCCTCAGCCTCCCGAGTAGCTGGGATTACAGGTGCCTGCCACCATGCCTGGCTAATTTTTGTATTTTTAGTAGAGATGGGGTTTCACCACCTTGGCCAAGCTGGTCTCAAACTCCTGACCTCAGGCAGCCCACCCACCTTGGCCTCCGAAAGTGCTGAGATTACAGATCTGAGCCACCATGCCCAGCCATGAGTTTTATTCTTGGCTATTTTATATATTGTCGGCCTTATTCTATCATTCTGACATTTTTGTTCTACATCTTTATTTACTCATTTATACAGCAACTATTTTGAATATCCATTATGTGCCAGGCAGCATCTCATTTTAAGGGAGGGGAACTAACTATAATAAAACAGGGCATTTAAAATGTGTTGAAAATAATACCAAGAGAGAAATGCACACTGTATATGGAAGTCTAGAGGGAAAATAATTAACCCAGACTTCAAAATGAAGAATGATTCCCTATGAGGTAGGAGATCAGCAGAACTTGTTTTCCAATCCCCATTCACAACCCTGCTGAACAAAACAGGATGTAGCAAAGAAATAGGCTAAAACCAGCTAGGACCAAAGGTGATGGAAGCAATCTCTAGTTGCCTTTATTGCTAATTATACGTGAATTATAATGGATTAGCATGCTTCAAGACACTCCCACCAGCACTATGACAGTTTACAAATGCCATGGCAACAATCTGGAAGTCACTTTATATGGTTCCAGGAACTCCCCACCCTTTTCCAGAACGTTTGTGAAAAATCCACCCCCTAATTAGCCTATAATTAAGAGTGGGTATAAATGCAGCTAGCCAGTAATCCAAGAGTCATTCTGCTTATGGGTCATTCTGCATATGGGCTAACACTAAACTGTCCTTGGAGCAGCTATTTTGCCATCCTCTGTTGCTCTAATAAACTTTCTTTCATTGTCAGCTTGCTCTTCAATTCTTTCCTCAGCGAATCCAAGAACCTCCTTGGGCTAAGCCCCAATTTTGGGGTTTATTTGCAACATCCATGAGAAGTGACAGTCACACTGAAATTTAATGTCCGAATAACAGTTAGGACTAAAGATAATTAGCACGGGGGATATTTTAAGCACATGTAGGACCTTTTTCAGTAAAATAATTATGGATCAAGGGGATGGAAGGGTGTGTTTCAGAATATTTTGTTCTGCTCTTTTAACTGTCAGTCAATTTATTTTGGTCATCTTCATAGTTATCAACTAATCCTGCAAATTCTAAATGCCTCTCAACTGCCCTTGGATATGTGTATAATAGAATACGATTAATTCTTATTTAACACTGCCTGTGACATTTTCTGCCTTTTGAGGAAGGAAGAAAGGTGTCAAATTTATTTTGTTGGCAAATAATTTTGTATTACTCTGTACAAAGAGATTGGTGGGTAGTAGAAAGGAAAGGTTAAATCTGCAATCTTTCACTATTTCTTCAATGCTGTTAAACTAAGAAAAAATTTAAAGCACATTAGAAAGGTAAAGATAGGCTCAGAGATCTGATCAATAGAAAGCTAAGAAGCAAGGCAAAATAAAGAAAGGGAGATGGGGTTTATGGGAGTTTTAAACAGGAGAAGAGGCTAAGCAATTTGGATAGGTGGCCAAAGCCATTTAAGAATAGCAATAGCTATTGTTTAATTTGGATTTGTTTGGGTTTTGTGATTATATACCTTAACATGGCCATAAATCTTAAACAAGGACGTGAAATGCACAGATGTCTGGCTTTTGAGGAGAAACAAAGAGTAGAGTTGATTGCACAGGTGGTTTAGTGTGGAACAGAGCAAAGAGAAGGGAAGAAACCAGTGGATAAAGTGATGTTCTGTGGAGGACATCAGGCTGTTCCAAGGATATGGCTCAAAGGACTGAAGACAGTTTGGTACAAATATCAAAGGCAGGATGTCTTCCACTGACATCTGGTTGGCACAGAACATTTGAAGAAATAGCATGCAAAGTTTTTCTGTATGTAAGACAACACTGTAAATTCAACTTCCAATTTTTTTGTGCTATCAGCAGCAATAATCTCAAATCGTTAATCTACATTACATTTTTTTTAAAAAATTTGGTTTTAAAAGTATTTTTCATTTGATTTAACTTTTTAATTATATCTTGCTCAGGCTTACATTAAAAGCACAGACTAGACAAGCAATAGGAAAAGAGAGCTAAGATTTTTACAAAGTGTATATTATCTTAATGTATGTAACTGAAAATGACTGCATTTTGAATACTATATTTTATTTTTATATATTCAAACAGTTGTTTTTGCTTAAAATATCTTTGATCAGTCATCCCACACACTTACTGAAACCAACTAAATATATATATTTTGTTTTTTCTACTATTAGATAAGTGTTAATATTCCCTAAACAGTTCTTATGATTGCAAGCTACAAGTATGCAAAAAGCAAGTACAACGACTATAAATCTTACCCTTATGAATGTGTAGAAAATAATTCCTAAACAGCTGAAAATACAGTTCATTATTGTGCTGCACTTTTGTGCCTGTTTGTAACTTTCTTAGGGCTACAGAAATATAAACAAATTTTTGTGTCTTGTTACTTAAAAAACAAACACTGGGCTTTGGTTCTTGTAGGAATATTGCTTAGTCTTTGTACTGTGATACCACTGAAGTCTAGGTTCCTAAAAACCTAACAAGATCATATAATCCATTTTTTTTTTATCCCTTGTGGTGTTTACTTTTTGCATTTCATTTAGTTTTGTCAATAAAAACACTCAGGTCTTTCAAAGTATAATCAGTATTTTATTTTATTATTTTTAAATTTTAACTTTTTAATGCTTCGCATAAACATAAAACCATTCTCAGTGGGTCTCTGGGATGGCATTTAAAGGCTTAAACAAATCAAAAATCTGTATTCAGTTAATGCCAAAAATAAACTCATGATGTTATTTTATTCTTATTAGGTTTTCTAGCTCTTCAGTCTCCACTCTTCTGTGAAACTGAAATTATAGATCAAAGCTAAGTGGTCAGTGTCTTTTTAATTTTAAAAGCATGCTGTAAGAGCAACTGACCTCTAGCCCATACAATTTGGATGTGATCATGTCATTTAGAAGATGCCACTGCACCAACGACCCATAGTTGAGTTTTGGAATAAGAGATGTCTCCAAACTCACCACAATGCTGTCTACATGCAAATGAAAATTTTGAAGAACTACTCTTGCGTGGAAGTTAATTCAGCTTGATTCTCTTAGAACTCTTCTCTTTTCTTAGATTAGAATTGTTGTTTCAGAGCAAAATGTTCTTTTATGGCAATAACAAATTGAAAGGAGAAAGAAAGAGAAGATACCTCTAAACACACTAAAATTGTATCAAATGTTTCCAAATCCATGTCTTTCCTAAGGGTTTCTAAAAAAATTCTAAGTCTTTAGTAACTGTTGGCCACTTCAGTTCAGTCTTGAATTGCATTCTATTGAAAAATAGAGTAGAGAAACAGCAAAAAATCATAACTAATGAGATTTCTATGGTGACAAAATGTTAACTCATTTGATTTTCCTGAAATTCTGGCTACAAAGCAATTCCATACACATTGCTAGATGTTGCCCGTGGCTTATATTAGAAATGTCACTTGGCTGAAGCTCTTTGAGGGTATTACATATGTGTACAATATACTGCTACTCCTCTAGGGTAGAGGATTTCATTGTATGATCAACAGCCTGAGGACTCCTGCATTGAACTTGAAAAATATTGGTTTGTCAAAGTGAATGCTGTACTCAGTGAATGTATGTGATCCCAATTTTATTTTCTCTTGAATGTACATTATCCTCCTACTTTTATCATGGTGCTCATTCAGAGAGCAACATTTCTCTAATTTAAATGAAAAGTAAGAGATTAAATTGGAAAGGAAAAGCATAGTTTGAAAATCATTCAGTGACTCTTCCTGAATACACCACAAAACTACAAGGAACAACAAATAATTGGAAACACAGTTATGAGTGTCAAGTTCCAAAGGCTGTTTTTCTGGTTGCCTTACTTTATTCACCTGCCTGCTGAACTTGATCACTCACCCAACATCTATCTGCCAAACACTGCTAATCTCAGTGGAGAAATCAAAGGGATGTAAAATACTGTCTTGTTTATAGAGAAATTATAAGCTAGTATATGTAGACAACTAGTCACAGTTCAAAACCAAAATACATGAAAGTTATATAAGTGATACCTATGCTTCATGTGAGACTGTGCCTGTGGGGGGGTGTGCACAATATATGATTAGTGCATAATCTTTTTATCCTCATACACAGGGATGTTGATATATATTCATACAAACAAATTAACATTTCAAAATCATACACACAAAGGTCAACAATAATAAACTATAGATTATTTGGCCTCCCTACCAAAATAGAATAAGTATAAATTTAATGTGTTTTGAAGCAGTCTCATTCATTTTTCTACAGAAACATGTTATACTGCTCAGGGTAGAAACAAGGATGGATAGATCCATTGTGCCTTATGAGCACTCCATCTTTTCTTGCCAAGCACATCAAAGAGTGTAGTTTCTGTCAGCAGGAATTATGTGATATAAATATCCCCACGATGGGCCAGTCTGAAATCTTCTCTGGAATTCTGGGGTCTTAATTTTTCTGTGAGACTAAAGAGCAACAACCCACAACTTTCAGAGGAGAATCAGTTCTGGAGAAAGACAATCCATCGAGGTTGACTGGAAAGTTACAATTTTTCATTTGGGACATTCTGACTATGTTTAAGTAGCGCAGAAAGAACATTAAAATGGTAGATTCAAGGTATAGTTTGTCAAGAGATGGGTGCTGGCATAGGGTCCTGGAACTGATGCTCTTTTCTGAGGGAAGGAGCTGACACCTTGTTCCTGATTCTTTCCTGAGTCTTTTCATGTGAAAGAAGTGTTTTTTGGAGGTTATTGGTCAGGCAAATAAAATATGGCCAATGAATACTAGCACAAGATTTACAAACAGTGACAAACTGTGTACTCCTGAGGTTAGTTAATGAACAAGACACCCATTCTTGTACATATTATCATCCTTTGGTACCAATGCCTCCCCATATCCCTTTTTAAAAGCAAGTCACTTAAGTGCTACTTGTTTCATTAATGAAAAGACCACTGTGATGCCGAATGATGAGGCGATGGAAGAAGGATTCACGTGAGGGATGATCAACAAGCATATGAAATACTGTCATAAGCTAGACTGAGGTCAGGTTTTAATTCCCTGGGAAAGTGGAATGGCAGAAGCAAAATCATGACAATAAAAATTATGGATTACGTTTGGAAAAGGTCAACATGTTCAGAGCATAGAATTTGTGTAGAGAAGTAACAGCATAAAATGGTAAACTTGGCCCAGAATCTCAGTTCCTGGAACTTACTCATACTTCCTTCTAGATTCTAGGGATATCAGTCTGTTTTTACTAGGTTGGTGCAAAAGTTATTGCATTTTTTGCCATTAAAAGTAATGCCAAAAACTGCAATTACCTTTGCACCAACCTATTAATTCATTATATACTGTTTAAAATATAGTGCATGCAGTCACTGTTCTCTACTGAACATTCATTGGTGAACAAGTTAGATCCTTTCTCTCAAGGAATTTTCATTCTAATGTGTGTATTTAGGAGCAGGGCTGGGGAAGGGTTTGGAAACTGACAACAAATATAGGTGAATAAAAATATAATACATGAAGCAAAATATTTTTTGAGCCCTTCTTGTTCTGAGCATGCTTTACTAATGTGTTGGAGTCAATAGGATATTACCTGCTGATCTGAGTCTCCACTGAGGGAAGAGTGTTTCAGAAACAAGTGAAATCTGGAGGAAAAGACATTTTATTTAGATATTTATTGAACACCTAGTGTGTGCCGTATACTCTTTTAGGGAGTACCTGTGATATAAGCAGAAAAATCTCTGCCCTTTGGAGTTTACTTTCTAATGGTAATAAATATACACATAGATCAATCAATCAAATACATAAGAAAAAATAGAATACATTAATTTCTGGTAAGAGCTCTGAAGAGGGCTAAAGCAGGGAAGAGGCATGGTAATGCGTGTTGATGATGGTATAATTTTAAAAAGGATAGTCAGGAAAAATTTCACCAGAAAGCTGACATTTAAGCAAAGAGCTAAAGAGTAGCCACGTGCATATTTGAAGGACAGGTTTCCAAATATAAGAAAAAGCAGAAAGCACATAGCCCCTTGTGCCTGGCATGTTGAGGCAAGAAGGTTCATGTGGCTAGAAGAGCCTAGCACGAGAGATTAGTAGGCTTTGAGATAGAGAGAAATGGGGAGCCAGACCACAGTGAATGTTGGAGTCAATTTATCTATTAAGGAGTTGTCACACTGACCTACTTACATTGGAGATATTTTTAGAGGTAATTTTTTTTTTTTTTTTTTTTTTTTTTTTTACTGAGCAATATTTTCTTGGTGGTGTCTGAACTAGTTTCATCCCCATTCTAATCACCTGACAAGAAAACTGAGAGGTAAGCTGTGGTTAAGTAGAATTCGTTAAGATGTTATCTGAGGGGCTCAGAAACAGGCATGGAGCAATGTCCAACACTTTTTCTGTAGAGTTCTCCTGGTTGTGTTAAAGGTACCATATAAATCATAAAAGGAGAACTATAGAAAATTTGCTGTTTTCTTCCAAATAGCAGTAAAGCCATGTTATCTTAATATGGAAGAAACCTACCTATATCATGTGTTTTATAGAGTAAGGGATACTAGGTGAATCATTGTGATGGACATCCAACAGTGATTATGGAGATGGCTAAAACTAGTTTGGTTTTAACAGCAAACAGTGATAAGGATAATACTGTATTGTGTCTTACTCTTCTATCCAACTGACCATCTACTCATTAGATATCAAACTGCTCTTCTTGATCAAGAGAAATCCTCCCGGCTCTTATGATTCCTAGCGTGCCCAGTAGAGCCAAAAGCACTCACTCAGTAAATACTTGCAAAGTGACTAATAAGTGTGCCTCAGGTATTCTGAAATAATCGGTGGTGATTTAATTTAAATATGTAAAAATAAATATTTTAAACAATTATAATCAATGGAATGCCATTTGCCTTAGAAATAAAGATAAGTCATTTTCTTAAAAAATATATGGTACAGCTGAAACATGAGCATTCCTAACAATGGAATTTGAAGTTTGTAAGATTTAATTTATAATCTAAAGATCAAATGACTTATCAAATTAATTATATTCCTTCTAAATGTAATGTGCTAATAAAATTCACACAAGTATATCGCAATAGCTTTTTCAAGAAATATTTCGCTACTCTAGATGGAACTAAGTGGAGGACTTCTATGTGTCTTTCTGTGGTATGGTGAAAAGAACATTAGATTAGAAGGTAGAAAAAATGAGTTCTACCTTTGATGAATTTGTTAACTAATTTATATGACTTTTGAAAACCACCCACATATTCTTGCCTGCTTCCTCATCTATCAAACAGCTTTTGTCCAGAGGCCTTACCCTGTGCCCACATTGTTCTAAGCACTTTATGTATACGATCTCATTAACTCTTCCCAATATCCATTATGTAAGACTGCCTCCTAATGAGAAGGTTAAGTTAAATTAGTTTGGCTATTTCTGAGGTCTGTTATAGCTCCAAAAATTCCAATTTATTCAAATCAGTGTGTTTATTTCCCCATGGAGCAAGAGAAGAAATACCGTGCACGAGCACATGTTAGTAGCTGACCACGCAGAGAATCTGATGCCTTTTCATCACCTGCCTTAGCAACTTAATGGCACATGATTATTGAACTAAAATTTTGATGCATAGTCTAGATTTCTCAACCTCTGGCTACAGAGTTGGATATTACTGCATGAAATATTACTTCTATCTGTAATAACAGAATCACTGGGGGAATGTGAGTTAATTAGAACCTCACTGCAAAAGCTTGGGCAATAGCCCATTAAATGTTACAACTTCAGCAAATACAGATTGTGGAAAAATGCTAGTTTCTAGAAATATGTTCACATTATTTTGTTATAGGACAACTTAACAATTCCTGTCACCACTGTAACTTCACTAAGTGACTGTCGCTGCTGATCTTGAGGGAACAGAGATATTTACTAAAGCAACATAAAGCAATAGTTTTTATATTCCTTTTTTTCATTTGCACAAAGACATGGATTATATGATTAAAAGAAAATTGCCATAGGGTAACGATTCAATAAGCTACATGCACAAAATGATTTTTGGGGATATGTTTTCTTATCAACAAGAATAATTTCTCTTTTTAATGTGAAATATTTTCCAGGTAGTTTCAGTATAAAGAAGAAATTGCTTTTGTGTGTTTATTAATAAATGATCAGGTATCTCTATAAGAGAGCCTGGAACAAAAGAAATGTTTAAGTAGATAAAATATTATAATTTGTTTAAGTATAAAAGGAGAAGGAAAAACAGATTCTTATTTAATAAAGGTTTGAGTACAAGCATGTTTCCTGTTACCAGCAATTATTACCTAACTTGATAAGCCAGCATGTAGTTATTGGAAAACGCTTGTGAAAATAGAGTATTACTTTACCACTATTGGCCTATAACTGCCTGTATGAATAGTCATGGCTCTTTATCACTGATTTTGCTTATGTCTCTGCTCTGATGAAGAAAGACAAAACCGTGGGTGCCAAATTCTGGGAATAGAGCAGCTCAATTATCATTTGGACTCATTTGAATCCCACAGGACCACACCACGTTTACACGATTGATATTGATTCAAGAAATAGACCTTAAATGAGCTGGTGTAACAGAGGCAAAATTAATCTTTGTTGAAATGTGAAAGAAATCATGATGAGGGAGGCTGGCCAAAGATTTGCCTAATGACAGGATCACGAATATCTATAATAGTTTTTAATATTTGCTCTAATAATTAACAACAGAAGTTTATATAAAGAGAGTTGGATAACAGAAGCATTTAGAGAACCAGGTTTCATAGGACAGATGAGGAGATAGCCAAGGGAGGGTGTTCAGTATTAGAAGAGCATCTGATTATGAAATGTCTGAAAGGCCTAAAGATAACACATCAAACTCTTCATACAAGCTGTGTCATACAATTCAAGCTTTTCGTTTCCATTAATGTTTTATTTTGAATAAACTGCTATCTGTACTATGCATTTTTATCCATGACAGCGGTGCTTGAAAAACTGTAGCTGTGGAAATAATAAATATATTAAAGGCCCAACCAGTTTGTAAAAACAGAAGAGGTTACTTAAAATCAGAAAAGCAAAAGATAAGATTAGCAAAAAATGATATTGAGGGAAAATTAGAACAATTGTTAAAGAGATTGCCTATGCATTCCTGTACTAAATTCACTTGAATCAAAGGATGGTAAGAGCAAGTATTACTATGTTCCATTTGACATACTTTGCTTTACATTAGAACCAAGATTCCTGAAATTTTGGACCTCCAAGCTTTTGATATATAACTTTATGGGTGTTGGGCTTTGAAAAGTGAGTAGTATCTGACAGATGTTAGTGGGTAGGACTACAAAGGAGAAATGGTGCCATAGCTCATGAATGAATTTTGTGTTACCACCAGGGGGTGAACTAGCAGAAGGCGCCCATGTGGGACTCCACATTGCACTGACGGGAATGGCCAAAGTGTTTCCGTAGTTGGCTGTTCTCATACTTAAATATAGGTATAGAAACATGGATCATGTTTGTAACAAGAGTACAGTAAACCTTTTTAGCTATTGAAGAATTTGGGTTTTCTGTAGGAAAGGCGAACCTATGGGAAACAATAAATGTATTTTCATAAAAATAAAAGTTATACGCATTTATCTTTTTATATTTATAAAATATTTATATACACCACACACACACACACACACACACACACACACACCCTTTGATCATGTTTAACCAACTCAATCATAGTACTGGTATTTAAATATGAAAAGTATTCTAAAAATAGTGAGTGTTTTTCGTCAGACCATACCTAAACTCTGTCAAGTTGGCATTACTGATGTTGTTCAAATTTAATTTGAGTTTCATAAAAAGGTAACTTATTCTCCAAAAGCTGACTCTGATTGTCAAAAGTTAATAACATAGTGTTGTCCCTGACTCCGATTCTCATTGTCCTATTCTCAATCGGGAAATGGAGGCTGGTGGAACCAAAAGTGGTACCATGTTCTAGAACTTTAGGCTGAGCTTGATTCAGAGCTGAACTTCCACGGCATCACAGAGCGTAGACTAGAAACGATTACAAACGGCAGAACACTATGAAGAGTTTCTAGGTCAGCGTTGCTGAGGTATTCCAAAGCCTTTTAATAAAATCCAAATAGAGTAAAATGGACTGCTTTAAACTGAATGTTCAGGACAGGAGTAGAAAGACAAGACCTAGACGATATCTTTGGAGTAGAGAAGATAATTTCACAGGCTTTTCAATAAAGTTTCTGTGGCCCAGGAAAAGCGGTGTTTGCTGATCCCTTAACATCTTGAGTCTAGAAAATGATCCTGACTACTATTGAAATTCCAGGATACTATATTTTCTTGATGGTCACAGCTTAAATTCAGTAAATTCCTTATGACCAAGTTATTTTGAATAGGTAGGTCTATGATAATTAGGTCTGCCTTAAAATCTGCTATTCTATTAAGTCTGGGATGGCATCCCAAAGAAAAGTAAATTATAGCCTCTAGTTACCATCTTGTCAATCCATATATGCAAGGCAATCCCTATCTCAATTGTTCTAATTCTTTAAAAAATAGATAATTAGTATTTTCAAGGCTAGTGTCTTATCTATAACATCTCTGGGTTAAAGGAGAGTCTAACAGCTCATGCTTCTAGTTTAAACATTAAAAAAAAAATCCTTGGAGAAAACCAACAACTCAACCAAAACATGAGCAAAAGATCTGAACAAACAGCTCATCAATGAATACATATTCATGAATACAGATGGCAAATACGCATGAGAAAGGATGCCCAATATCATACATCATCAAGAAATTTCAAATTAAAACAATAATAAGGACTCAAAAACACCTATTAGAATGGCAAAAATCCAAGACAGTGACACTAAATCCTTGTGAGGATGGGTGTACAAGAATACTCATTCATTGCTAGTGAGAGTACAAGATGGTACCACCTCTTGAGAGGCAGGTTTTTACAAAACTAAACATATTCTTACCATATAATCCAGCAATCATGTTCCTTGGTATTTACCCAAATCAGTTAAAAATGAATATCCTCACAAAAAAATGAACTTGTGTGTTTATAGTAACTTTCTTTATAATGTCAAAATATGGAATCAGTGAAGATGTCCATCAACAGGGAAATGGATAAACCGTGGTATATCTATATAATGGAGTATTATTCAGTACTAAAAAATAATCTACCCTGCCTCAAAAATACAAGAGGATCCCTAAATGCATATTACTAAGGGAAAGTAGTAAATCTGAAAAGGCTGTATACTGTTTAATTTCAACTATCCCATTCTGGAAAAAGCAAAACTAAAAGAATCCATGGTTGCCAGGATTTGGGGAGTAGAGAAAGGATAAATTGGGAGACCACAGACGATTGTTCAGGGCAGTGAAACTATTTTGCATGATAATATAATGGTAGATTCATGTCATTACACATTTTTCAATACACACAGAATATGTAACACAAAGAATGAACAGTAATGTCAACTATGGAGTTTGGGTGATAATGATGTGTCCACATTAGTTTAACAACTATAACAAATGTAGCACTCTAGTTGACTATAGGGATGGCTGAGTGTTTTAGGGAGGTGAAGTATGTGGAAATCTTCTGTACTTACTGTTCAATTTTGCTGTGAACCTAACACTGCCCTAAAAAATAAGTTTATCAACTAAAAATTAAATGAAGTGGCCAGGTACAGTGCTCACACCTGTTATCCCAGCTCTGTGGGGGGTCAAAGTGGGCAGATGGCTTGAGCCCAGGAGTTCCAGACCAGCCTGGGTGACATAACAACACCCTGTCTCTACAAAATCAAACAAACAACAACAAAAACACAATTAGCTGAGTGTGATGGCATGAGCCTGTAGTCTCAGCTACTCAGGAGTTTGAGGTGGAAGAATCACCTGAGACTGGAGAGATGGAGGCTGCAGTGAGCTGTGATCATGCCACTGCACTCCAGTCTGAGCAAAAGAGTGAGACCCTGTCTCTCTCTTACACACACACAAAATTAAATGAAGAAAGTCTTTGGGCCAATGAAAGAGCTCAATGAATCAATCATCTTCACACATTTCCAACATCATTCCATATTTTCAAATTGGTAATATGCACCAAGGGACTTTCTTGAACTCTCACTGCACACCTTGCATAATAGAAGTTGCATGTGATATTGCAAGTTGATCAACGTTTGAACTCGGTGAATCTGAGTTCAAACCCCAGCTATCTAACCTACTACCTAAGTAACTTCATGCTAGATGCATACGTTTTTTAGTCTTCAGATTTGTAGTTTCATGAGATTTCTATAAAGATTAAGTGAGATAATGTATTTGATATTTTTAGTATAGTTCTTGGTATATGCACTCAAAAATATTAAGTGTTATTGAGTGGCTAGAGAAAAGGGAAGCTGGACATAGTACATGTTTCTGCATATATCCTTCCTCCCACTCATACACACACACACATGCACACACACACACCTTTAGTGCAGGTGTTAACATGTGACAAGTGAAATCAGATTTTTCACGTTTAGGACAAATCTCTCATATTTCCTAAAAACGGGTGGTTCACATATGTAAGTTTATTCATTAAAAACCTTTATATTTTCTTTTTGGGCTGCATACTGGAGTCAGATGTAACCTACATGAGATCTTTGCTATAGAATATTAGCATTTTTTAACTTTTTAAAAACAGCTTTATTGAAATCTAATTCAACTATCATTACATCTATCCATTTAAAAATGGACAATTCAGTACTTTTTAGTATATTCACAGAGTTGCACAACTGTTACAAGCAGAATCCATTTGAGAACACTCTTATTCAGTTTGTCACCAAGTCCTCTACAACCTAAAGCAAACACTAATGTACTTTATGTGTTTGTAGATTTGCCTACTCTCTGGACAGTACATATAAAGGAAATCATAAAATATATGATCTTTTGTAGCTGGCTTCTTTAGCATGTTTTTCAAATTTCATCATGTTTTAGTATGTGTCAGTACTTCATTCCTTTTTATTGCCATATAATACTTTATTTTATAAATATACCACATTTTATTTACCATTCATCAGTTGTGTGATAATCAGTTGGGCATTTGATTTGTTTCCACATTTTAGCTATTATGAATAATGCTGTTATGAGCATTATGAATATAATACACATTTTACATGTAACACATATATATCAATATTATAGTTTATATATCTAATTGCTAGAAATCCCTTCTTAAAATTAGTTGAGATAGAGATGTTAAGTTACCTACCTGAAATCATTCACAAACTTCTAGCTAATGATGTATGTGCTATATATGTGACAGTAAAATAAATAGCCACTTTTTTTTTTTTGCTATTATTGAGTCTCCTATTTTCCATAGAAGTGGAGGCTAAAATCTACATTTCATATTATCCCCTGCAGCTAATCAGGGCCATGTAAGTAAGTTTTGACCAATGGATGTGAAAGGAAGCGCTTGAAACTTTTAGATCCTGCACTTAAAGATAAGGAGTATATTTTCTTTCCCTTTTTTTTCTTCCCTTCTGCTGGCTAGAGTGTAGAAGTGACAGTGGAAATGGGAGTAGCCATTTGGGACCAGGAGATGGAGACATTTTGAGAAGTGTTAGAGAACAAACAGAAAGGTCCTTGATCCCAAATAACATGCAGCTGCCATATCAGCTCTGAGCTGCTTAGTTCATACTCTGTTATATTGAGTCTTTCTGTTCAAGCAGCTGAAACTGTTAATAACTGCTAATAATGAAGGTGCCTCATCCACAAAAAAAGTTTCCATTCTTCATGATAACCTTTCACTATGCAAAAGCTGCTTTTTTTTGGTCTTGAGTATTAGCTACTCTAGAAACATTCTCTTCAATTCATTCAAGTGGATTTTTATATAATACTCTTCATAGACATCTCACTTTCCTGGACCATTGTTTATCAATGTTTCTCTAAAATTTTGTTGTTTAGAATGGAAATTACACTCTAGATCAAAACTATGAAAAGCAAAACAGATGATTCCTCTCAAGATAAGGAGGCAGTTCGATTGTGAATCAACTTATCTTTCAATCTCATGTATTTCTTCAATCAATCATTAGGCTGAGATCATATCGTACATACAATAGGATATGTGCAAGGACCTGGAGTAATCAAACACAAAAATACTCTGAATACTTATTGAGCTTGTGCTGAATTAAATATGTCTTTCTAGCCTGTACATCCACTAGGGTTCCCTATGTTTCATCAGAAAAATCAATAAATAAAAGACTTCACAGGCATTTCATACATGTAAAATTTCATTTTGTTCTTTGTTCATATGGGTCCAACCTGTTAAGTTCAACAGTTGGTCTTGAGACTTGAACATTGCCCTAGGAAAAGATAATTTTTTTTTTTACTGCCTTCAGATACTTCTGGAACTCAGAATGAATGTAGAACTACATTTCCAGGGTTGGTCTGCAGAGTAAAAATGGAATGATGTCCTAGCTCTCACCTTTTCTTCTCCATTCCTGCCATCACTGGAGCATCTTCTTGCCATATTTATGGCTTTGGACCTTAGACGTGGTGCTTGCTAGTATTCCATATTCTTGGTTTACACATGGCTCCTCTTCCTGCCACAGTTCCAAAGGATTGGGTGCTGGCAAGGATGTTATGAGTATAGGGTTATTTCCCTTGAGCCACTTATTATTCTCTTCTGCTTAAATTTAGGTTCGTTTTGAATGTCTCCTTTCTTTGCTTGTACGTTTTCCTTGAAAGCCCCTTTGCCAATAGTGTCAAATACTGTCATTTCCAATACATCGTTCCCTTTCACTCCTTTATGGGGGAACGAGGGCGAGAGATGGTTAACAACTGTTAGGCTGCAACCATTGAAACTAAAGAAAGCCACTGCAACACTGCTGTGAAGGAGCTTTCACCAGGAGCATGTGTGCAGTGGTGAGCAACTGTAAGCTCTCTTTAGCTCTTAATTACCCCCACACAAAGGACAGTGTTTGCTCCTCGTACACATGGGATTTACCCGCCTACTTTTCATTAGTGTTAATGGGGGTCTCTATGTATAAATCCTCTTTCCTTCTCCCAGTGTCAATGGTGGAATAGATGCCAAAAGAGCTTTCTGCTTTTTCGCTTACTGATTGGTTTCAGATGAAACACAAAAGCAAATCTCTGAGCTTGAGCCCACTCATCCTCCACACACAGCACTCCAGGCGCTATTAACACTCCTGAGGATTCTTTTCTCATTTGCTGGCTCAGGAGTGGCCAGAAACGATTGCACCATTGTGTACCCCCACCCCCTCCAAAGCCCTTGAAAATCACTTTTCTTTTTTCTCATATCAACTTGACTTATTCTATTCCTCTTGATACAAGTAGATCAGTATAAGGATCGAAAACCAAAAGTACACAAAAATACAAATTTTTCCTTCTTAGATCCCACACACTCTGTTTCAGCTTCCTTCATGTCCTCCAGGGACCCAGTTCCATTTCAATGTCCTACCTCACCTGAGCCTGTTTGCTGGAGAGTGAGGTCATCTTGCTGGTGCATTCATTCCCCCTAATCTATCCTTGAACTTTTCAGGATCCTCATATTTATGTCTTAATTAGTTTCAGGATTTCTGGAATCTCCAAATCCTCACCCAAATATTTAGCTCTCAGCTTAACAGCACATTATTTATTAGTAGGTAGGAACTGGCCAAGTTTCCATTAGTGACATACAGAGTTCTCTTCGTTGCTTTTCATGTTGGCCCTAAATCACACATCCTACTGTAATGACTTTCTTTTCTTTAATTTTATTGGTTGGCTTAAACCTCAGGATACTTATTGATGAAGTTTTTCAGCTACCTTGAGTGTAACATAGTGCAAAGAGTGTTGTTGGTTTCTCTGGCAGCAGTAAGAGGTTTCAAAATGAGAAAGAAGAAGGTCATACCAAATCAGTACCAAAAGCCCAGATTTTTTATTCTGCTACTGACTGTAAGTGCACAGTTTGCATCTGCTGGGATGAGAAAGAGACTGATGAGAAAATGCAACATAATGAAGTATTTACGATGCCACCTCCCTTGTCAAATAACAAAAGCAAACATTATTCTCTTTAGTAAAATTATTGAAATCTAGAATGAATGTTCATTGATTTATACCAGTATACACACACACACACACACACACACACAAACACACCATAGTTGGAAATCTTCCCCTTAAGCCAAAATTACATTTTATTTTAACATTGTTTTTGCTTAAAGGATCTGATAAAACCAGATTAAAATTTTCGGAGATCGAGTTGCTTATTTCAGCATTAAACCTTTTAAAATGTTATCCATAATAATGAATATGCTACTTTCCAGCTTTACCAAACACCGTTATGTTATTATTATAGTTAATCCTCAAGAAAACCCTGATATTCAGGGATTACTGTTCCATTTTTAATAGTAAGGGGTCTGTAGGTTTTCTTGAGTCCCACTGACACACATCTTTTGTCACAAATCTATGATATTTTCCATCGGGATACCTGCTAATTTTAGTTATTTTCCAAATATTCTCTCTGCTCCATCTCCGACTCCATTCTTTAGCTGCAAAATCATGGAATAAGTAAAAATATCAAGACAAAATAAAAATGTTAAGGACAAAGGAACAGCAAAAATATTGTCTTTCTCCATATCCCAGAAACTCTCTCCTCCTCCCAGATACAGGTTTAATATGTGGCATGTATGGTGGGAATAGTCTTCATTGAGGTTAAGAGGTCTGGATGGGGAAGGACTATTGGTCCTTTAGAAGCTGTTAGTATAGACATCGTTAGATTTACGTTTACAAGGGATAGATTACTGACATTAGGTATGGCTTTAAGATGCTTTGGTTATCTGTTAATTCCTCACGTTCCAAGACTATAGAATCTTTGTATTCATTAATTTTTCTAAGAATCCAACATATTCAAGGAAGTAATATCTGATTTACTGATGAAAGTCATTTGACTAGTTTCAAGGAATTCTGAGTGCGGGCGTGAAACTGTGTCCACCTTTCTAGGAGCACCACAATGCCTTAGTAAGGAGAAACAAATGGTCTTGCTGATGAGATATGCAGTGTTTGATACATTTTCCACCAGTGGGAGATACATCGAAAGATGAAGTGAGGCACTTGGGGAGGAGACTCCAAGCTTGACTCAACGTACGAGGGTAGGGGATGTCATTTAGTGCTCCTGATGTGGACCCGGTGGGGATAGAGGTTTTGAGGGACTGTAGTCATGGAACAATCTGGCTGATGATATAACAGTGATAAATGCCTTAACAAAGCATGCATCTGAATTAGAAATGAAATAATTTGAAAGTCAATGCAGCATAGACTTTAAATTGCTTTTGGCCTACATGCTTAATACACTTGCACACTCGCATAATAATTAAGCCTGGGAGTTAAGTTCTTAGAGAGCAAAGTGATCACTCTTCCTGGACAGGCAGGAAACCTGTAATCCTTATATCCACACAGGTCTAAAAAAGTAGGTAAACTGAAAGACACCCTTGTGTCTTAAAAAGGCTGAAGCTTATGTGTATGTATGGAGGGAGCGGGAGTGAGTATGTGTTGGCTTATAAATAAAACTACCTATCCCCACAAGCTTCTCATTCATGTATGGAAATGATTAATGTCTAGGGACCAAGGATTTGCACTTCTGCAGCTCGAGCAGACTTGGTTTGATTGGATGTAGGTTCAGTGGCCATTGTTCTCTGCATAATGAGAAGAGACCTTGCATATTAAAGGTTTGCCCACTTTCCTTTTGTTGCCTCTGTTGACACCCTCTAAGGATTGTTATGAGGACTAAGTGAAACGAAGAATGAAGGTAAAACTCAGCACAACACAATAGTCTGCATCGAGTAGAAGTGCTCAGTTAATGGTAGTTGCTGAGACATTCATCAACATCATGAATAACCATAGTAAATAGACATTTAGAGCCATGAATGGACTTGCTCAAGAGAGCAATTAAATCAGTGGCCCCTGGGCTTGATGTTTTATTTCCTTTGAAAAATATTGTTGAATCCTTATTATGTGTGTTTACTGTAAGGAATACAAAGATAAGAAAGACAATTTCAACCTCAAAACAATGCATGATTCTGTGAGAGTGAAAAGAGAGGGAACATCTTGTGCATGAATAATAAAGAGAATAAGCCAAAAAGCAGGAGGGGACTGGGATAAGAGAGTGAATGCTGAGCCTATGAGTACACTTGTTCCAATTTCATATTCAAACCTAAAGTTGTGCTCCTCCTCCTAAATCATCTCCCAGTGATTTTCTTGCAAGAGTACTAGTTCCGGCCGGGCGCGGTGGCTCACGCCTGTAATCCCAGCACTTTGGGAGGCCGAGGCGGGCGGATCACGAGGTCAGGAGATCGAGACCATCCTGGCTAACACGGTGAAACCCCGTCTCTACAAAAAATACAAAAAAATTAGCCGGGCGTGGTAGCGGGCGCCTGTAGTCCCAGCTACTCGGGAGGCTGAGGCAGGAGAATGGCGTGAACCTGGGAGGCGGAGCTTGCAGTGAGCCGAGATCGCGCCACTGCACTCCAGCCTGGGCGACAGAGCGAGACTCCGTCTCAAAAAAAAAAAAAAAAAAAAAAAAAAGAGTACTAGTTCCCCTGGAGGTAGACAGAAGGACTGACGCTGTGGCTCATATTAAATCCTGTCCCAGCTCCTGGGTAAAAAGAGCAATTTATCTGAGTTTAGGGTAGTGTTGCTCAAATTATGGTCCAAAGTCTTCTGCCTCACAGATACTCAGAGTGCCTTTTAAATGCAGATCAGTTTCAAAATGTATCTCAGTTGAAACTGATCAAATGTATCTCAGTTAAGATACAGATCAAATGCATCTATTTCTAATCTGAATCTCTTGGGAGTAAAAGCCAGAGCTTATATTTGAAACCATGTCCTCAGGTGATTGTTTTACCCACCAAAATATGCAAATCAATGGTGTGGGGCAAGCAAGAATTACATTGCCAGTGATTTAAATGAGAGTCTTGGTTAGGTATGGGGATAATATTTGCAGCCTGTTTTCTATCTCTATACTGCTAAGCTTAATTAAATGTACAGTAGATATCAGAAAGGGATAAAGAAAGACTAAATGATGGAAAGAGGCGAAAAACCAAAGAAATTATCCAGGGATGATTTTGAGACCTCCCTTCTTCCCAAGGACACGTGGTAATTATATGCCGAAGACTTAAGATATAGACAGCAAATACCTAAGCACTTGCACCTTCCCTCACACCTTCAGCACCCATAGTAGTCATTACTCATAGGTAACCACACTTGCCAGCAGAGCCCTAACAGTGTCTCACAATTTGTTCCAACATATCTCTTCATGTAACCACCTTCAATCAACTGGAGTTACCACAGGTGATGAAACCTTCATGCCATACTGGGCAGACACAATTAATCCCTGTTTCCTGAAAAGAAATAAATGGGCAAAAAGTCAGTTCTTCTGCACAAAATGTCTTTGGAGGGATTTCTGGGTGTGCTTGCCCTCATTTTCCTTTCATATACTTGGTGTTATAAGACAGATGTGGGGCTAGGTCCTGTTTGGGATCACATTTCCGGAAAATAAAAACATACATTCTGAGGCTGTCAGGCTCAGAGTGAACTCTGGGGTAGGAAAGAATTCTGTGGATGGTTAAGGTGCCTCTCCTGCTAAATCTTGGTGAAAAATACTCAGTGTAAGGTAGTGGTCAAGAGACAGGTTCTGCTACCCAGCAGATGAGTCACATCCGTGACTTTCTGACAGCATGGAGAACAGGCAAGCTCAGATGCTTCCTTTTCAGCCTCCTCCTCTGTGAAATGAAGGTGATAACACCAGCTACTTCCTTGATAAATTGAGTGAATTAAATGAAAGAGGGCGTAGTGGCTGCCACATGAATGCTAGTGACTATTAATTTATGTAGATATACCTAATTGGGCTTCTTTTCTACATTAGAATGTTGAAGCTGGTTGTGGCGGCTCACATCTGTAATCCCAGTGCTTTGGGAGGCTGAGGCAAGAGGAATGCTTGAGCCCAAGAGTTCAAGACTAGCATGAGCAACAGAGTGATGCCTCATCTCTACTAAAAAGAAAAAAATTTAAATTAGCTGGTGTGGTGGTGCATGCCTGCAGTCCCCATAACTGGGGAGGATGAGGAGGGAGGATCACTGGGGCCTAGGATTTCGAGGCTGCAGTAAGCTATGATCGTGCCACTGCACTCCAGCCTGGTTGACAGAGCGAGACCCTGTCTCAAAAAAAGAAAAAAGTTGAGACCCTGGAGACAAATTAGGATATTGAGTTAAACAAACAAACAAACAAACAAACACAAAACAAAAACCACTTGGTATTATTTTTATAGTTCTAGCTTGAGTGGCAAAAAGAATCTTATTGGACTCATATATAATCCCATGCCATTCATCAGAGTGAGAAAGCCCAAATATTATTAGAGTTCAAATCCAAGTAAAAGGAAAATATGTTTTCCCTGCTGAGATCTCTGGATTATCCTAGAAGGTTTTCGATTAAATGGCTGTGACCAAGGGAGGTGGCTGAGTGACAATGTCCAACAGAAATAACTAACTATATGTCGAGAAAATGCCGTGAAAAGGATTCATACATCCTTTCAGCAATACAGTAAAAGACAGATAAGAAGGTTGTAATTCTGACTCTTTGGCTCTCCTGGCATTAGTGGCTTAAGAGGTTAACACTGTCCTAGACTTTTCTTTACAGAATTCCCTGCAATCAATTTCCAGACTTGGAATATGCTGTGGCACCTGCTCTGCTAGAGTGAGCATCTACTGGCTCTCTTCCGCTTCGTTTTGGGAAAGTAACGAACTGTTGGTTATAAACTGTTGAAAACAAATATCAGAAGGTCATTGTGCTGCTAAACTTTGATATATTGAGAAATGTGAACTTTAGCAGGACTTCTAAAGTACTGTCACGCAGGAGGCGGTAGTGTAAGTGGATTCATCTATCACTGGTGAAAACATGGCACAGCATCACTGCTTGAAGGTTGAGCATGGAAACGCTCAACCCTGATTAAACGACCATAATTTCTCAAGCCTGGGACATGGTTGGCAGACATAGGAAGCTGGGGCCTTAAAATATAAATTGTTGGAATTTATAATGCACTGTCAATCTGTCAGGGAAAAACAGTGTTGGAGTCTCTGTAAATTCACACTATCGAATAATTATTTAAACATTTTCTAAAGCCAATTTGCAAATGCATTTTGGTGGTAAGAGAAAAAATCATATTTTTTTCTGCTTTCAAAGAAATATAATGGGCAGTGTGCATAGAATGGAAATGCTTAGTGTTTCTTCAAAATTTGTGCCCGCTTTGATAGCTGGGTGATTTTTTACTAGTATTTTAAAGTATGGATTTTGTAGTTGGGATATTTAGGGATGCTGAACAGTAGAATTGTTCTTGAAATTTCAAATAGTTACACTGCAGAAATGAAAAATTACTGGTGAATGCATTTATTTTCTTCAATGAAGAAGCCTTCTGCAGATAAACTGCACCATTTCAGTTATTTCAAAGAATAGGAGAATGTGCAGTGAATTTATTGGATCAAGAAACCAAGCATGTTTCTTGATGAAACTGAGAACTGAGGCTTGGGTTAGGCTTGGAACAATCTTGAGTCACATCCCTAGAAATAAAAGTTATGTAGTTTCCTTTCTCTTTTGGACTAGTTGGCATATGTACATAGGAGTAGTTAATAAATACTAGGAAAGAAGAAATTTAATTAAGACTCTTAAGAGTGTAAGACAATGAATTGCTGATGAGGATTTGAAAGGAAATTGTACAGCTCTAAGATATGTTGTCTGGTCAAAGCAATAAGTGTTAATATAGTTCTCGTTACATGCCTTGCTCAGCATCATGGAAGATATAACAATGGGAAGACTTCCTTCAAGTAACTTAACATCTGGAGAGAGAAAACTCAAGCCAATAAGCATTCGGTATATATAACTGTATGTATATGATTGTTTCAGGAAGCAAAGGGGATCACATGTATTCTAGAAAGAAAGATAGTAATATTGGTTCAGTAGTTGGGGAAGGCTCAGTGGAGTAGGCCAGGCTTTGGAAAAACCCTGAATGATGAGGACAATTTTTAAAGTTGAAGAGAATATTCTCAAAAGTAGCTAGAGTAAAATGCATATTAGGGATTGTTGATTTAACTCCTGAGGCTGGAGGAGGGAGTTCAAAGAGGAGTTTCATGAAAGATCAGAGAAGTTACAGGATAGGATGGTAAGAGTCTATCTGGATTTGCTCTATATTTTATCATATTCTATAACTTCCCTTAATCCATTAGTCCTTAATGTGCATTTTCCTCTAGTTACTCTTTCTTCACAAAGGACCTAATATATGGTCTCACCATAACTCCCTCTACACAGTTGTACAAGGGTTCCATCTAATCCCTGTTCCTTTGGGAGGCACTCTGAAAAGGATGGACTTTCTCCTCATCACACTCTGTACATGTGTCTCCCTATGTTTTCTCTCACCGTATTATGCACCCAGGGAATCATAACCATCTTTACATACTATAAAGCACCTAACGTAACACTTTGCTTTAATAAGTACAGAGCAAATGCCAGTTGGTGGGAATTTCCAGTTCTCAATCTTTCTGTAAACAACAGAAAAGTTACATAATGTTCAGTGGATAAAGCTGGAAGTGAATGTCTTCTTCCTCAGGATTGAGTAGATGAGTGCTGCTAGATATTAGAGGCCCCTGAAGATTGGATCTGTCTTATTCATTGCTGTGTTCCCAGTGTCTTTTTGCAACACCTGGCACAGAGAGAGTGTTGAAAATGTTTGGTGAATGAATGAGTGAATAATCATAAGTGGCCACAATGCTATTCATACACTGCATGGAGCTCATGAGTGTGTCATCCCTGCACCTCTCAGGGCTATCTAGCTTTACCAGGTTCAAACAGGGGATTTTATTGAGAACAGTCAAAACCTACCAAGACAGGGTGTACACAACTCCAGGCCATTCTCCCTCTGCCTCTTTGTCCCATGGGGGCGGTTATTCATAGAGGAAGCTATAAAAGGGTAAGCTACTATAGAAGTTGACAGACAGGAACTTTATTCCAGATCTTTATTCTGAGAGTCAAAAGAACATGTCTTCTAGACACAAGAATATATAACAGGATCTTTCTTTTATCTCTAAGTCAAAGTGACTGAGATTTGCCTATAAGCTAGGCAAAATTCTGGCTATGGCTTCAGTACTGTCCTTAACCTGAACATTCTACGACTACAAATAGCATATTATCTGTATTTTCTGTGGGTCTCCATGTAACAGATTTTGGAGAGGTATGTAATTCACTTTTTCTGAAAATACTTACCTTCTGTTTGGGGTTTTAAATGAAAATAGATTCCATGATTAATGCAGAAATATGACACTAAGGTGTTTCCTGTAAAAAACAAACAAAAATACTGTTTTTGAGTTTCTAAATGATATGCCAATGGAGGTCACAAATCTCATGTGGACCAGTTATCCCCATTTAGATGATGAACTCTAGAGAAATTTAATGTGAAATTAATAATGATCATAAAAATCAGAATTTTAGTCATATTGAAGAGAGTATTTAACTTCAAAAGTTAAGTTTGTTGTACGCATTCAGAACTCGGAATACCTTTAAATTATGTACGTTCTTCTCACTATTTATTTTGTGGGTATGCTTTGGCACTTTTGGACACAGGCCTTGTGCCATATCTCACTGCGTATTGAAGAAGCAAGAAGACTTCTCCTCCGAATGTGGATACCCATGTGCTCCCACAAAGGAACAGGCCATGTAGCAGAGTTAGCAGGTGCAAGTATTCGGCCTGGTTTTGTTATACTGAATCCACATAAGGCATTCTATTCAATGTGGGGATATATCTCACTAGTTCAGAGTGATTCATTAGCACAAAGAAATAGCAGAGTGGGAACAGTTCTCAGAGCCTTTGGCAAGCATGTTAAAGCAGGCCCATGACAGATGAACTAAATGAACTAACAGCTTAAATAGCAGTTGGGAACAGGGACTGCTGAGAAATGAATGGGCTGACCTTATAACAGTGAGCAAAACTTCATGACTAGAAAACACAAACTTTTGGGCCCTTATGGGAGCATGTACCCCATTATGTAGTGTTTGAGGGGAGGAGATGTGGGCTCTACAGTTTTACATGCCGTTAATTAAACTTAGCATAGAGAGGCCACTGATGTCTACCTTACTGCCTGATTAACATACTGGGTCAAGAGCGTTAGATGTTTACCGACTGTTTTTGCATCAGAAACCGTAAGGGAAATGGCCCCTCAGAAGTACATCTATAATTCATGGACCAAATCAGAAGCTGTGCATGAAGGCTGGCATTGCTATGCATTCCCTTCCCTTATTCAAGTGGGAGCTAGCCATGCATAAGGAAGGTCACGTCATACTGTGTGATTCCATTTCTGTTTGTGTTGTTTTCAAGATATTTTGGATATCTCGAGGCATGGCCAAGGACATTGGGGGAAAATGGGAAATGCAGGTTAAATTAAAGGAGGCTTATTTACTTCAGTGGATCTTTCAAAGAGCTGCAAGTATCTAATTAGACAAAAACGAATTATTAGATTATGTAAAGACGTCTCGTAGGCACCATTATCAGATTAAATTGTAAACACATATGTGCAATGTATTTGCTTTTTATATATTTATGTTTATTTAGTATAGCTATAGCATTAGCCATGGTGGTATTTATTTTGCCCAAGTGTTTGTATTTACCTCCAATTTTATATCATGCTATATAATAGGTGGGTTTTTTGAATAATTGGTTTTTATATTTTCAAATATATGTATACTGTTTCAAGCAATCCTCAATTACAATTTTTCTGAACTAAATGGTAAACTATGCTATTTGGAAAGATTCCTTACAAACAGTTAACAATTTTAGCAAGCCATTAATATAAATTAAGTGGACAAATGAAAATAGCTTTTGATATTATTATAGAGTTTCTATTTTCAAACTCAAAGTATTAAAATGGGGATTATAAGTCACCCATGAGGACTGTGTAACTAATCAGTTTTACAATTAGATAGAAGCTCAAAACCATTCTTTTCTAAGCACTGGGGAGCAGCCTGCCAGTCTCACTAAGTAATTGTGGGGTTGAACAAATCCCTTGCCAATATTGGGGTGATGTGGCTGGCAGATGGCTGATCAGAGACTGAAATAAAACATAGATGGTAGAACATGAAATAAAAACACTATCCAGCACTATCTCTTACTGGTGCTGCAACTCCCTGCTGAATATATTTTAGTTTAATTAGTTTGAAAAGGTAAAAACTATCACTTTCTAGTAACTTAAGTCCAAATTTTAAAGTGCATACAAATTGAAAGTGACCTGCTTTTAATAACAGCTTTCAGTCTGTTGAGCATTTTCATGTCTAGGTCAGGCAATAGGATTCCAGAAAAGATAAATATTATGTGGGTTGGTGGGCTGGTTTTTTTTTTTTTTTTTTGCCTTGTATATTATAAGGTAATAAGAAATAAGATGTGTGCAATATGAAATGAGATATGTGCATGCATTGAAAAGACTGTTCATCCTCTGGTGATTGTTAGATTTGCAACTTCACCTCATGTGTAACATGAGTCTTTTTTCATACCAATTTCCAGACACATCAGCCTGGTCTTGCCTCATTTTATTTCAATGCTATTATTCTCCTTCATAGGCATATGTTTGCAAAACATCACTCTACGCCTATATTCTGGGACCATGACACTTCCCATTTTCCTTCCAACCTGATGTCACATACTCACTCAATCTAAAACCCTCACTTTACCTCCACCATAGCTAAAATCCTTCTCAGTCTGTTTTCATCAGCCTGTAACACAGGGAAGATGTACATGCCCAAGCCATCACAACAGACCAAAGGCTGTTGATTGACCACGTGGAATAGGGCACACATTCAAAAATGTCTCTACAACTGCGCAGGCTGGTTAAATGTGGGTAAATTATGCACATCTGCAAGGCAGCTGTTGCCTTCAGCTCGATCCCATTCAATGTAAAAAGCCCAGGAGGTCAAGGAGAAGAGCTTTTCAGTTCTCTGCTGTACAAACACATGGTGGTACAGGTGGATCCTTGCCCAGTCCAAGTGTCAGAATGCGGAGAAGGAATTGTGGACACATTGACCCTTCTTCTTATTGTTTTCATCTGCATTATGTATTCATGGAGTTGCACGTATTAGTTAAGACAAGTACCCTAGAAACAGGAAGCCTTTGTTCTTTTTCTAACCAGCTGAACATTACCAAGTAGAGTTAGAAAATATTCCTAGATTCTTTGATTATTTCTTCATTTATATTTGTATAAAATGTAGTGTGCTTCATGAAACAGGAGGATGACAGAAATTGGTTTGCAAAGGACTTGGTCAATTGTGTTTGTTTAAAAAGATGAGAGGAATTCAAAATGAGATTATTCCTTGCGAGGATAACATTCACCTTTGACTTCCATTCTGATGTGGCCCCTGGAGAACACATCAATCAAAATGGAAAATAGAGAAGAATTAAAGTCAAGGAGAACCTCAGATAAAATATGTGGGAGTTAGTAAAAAAATGTTACTGGTATTAGTAACAATCTAAGGGTTTCTTTATGGGGGTCAAGAATAATCTGAAAGGAGCAAAGACAAATTTCTTTAACAAGACAAGAGATCAGAACGAATGAGTAAACCAGGCATTAATGAGCAGATTGAGAGCTCCTTTGGGATGTTGGAATTGAAGACTTTCCTCCCAAGTCTCAGTTTCAGTTGCTTATATGAAATGCTTTAACAGGCACAGGCAAGAAACAAACTATATGTTCACCTGCTCTCATGTTTCTTATTCGTGTTTTCTTCAGAGCCCAGTTAGGCATGTCTACCTACAGGCAAGGAGGTAAAAGTGACTCTTTACCAAATACTGAGTTTCCTATTTCTAGGCCTTTCCTTTAATTTCTCCCATTACTTTTTTTTTCCCTCACTAACATGCTCAGTCTTTTTGAAATAAAGGAAAAGAATATAATTAAGTTGCCCTATAAAGTTTATTATTGTATTTTCTTCCAGGAAAAATTACACTTTAATTACAAAAAAAAAAAAAAAAAAATTCCTACCAAAATCAGCACTTTGGAGATTTCCCTACCAAAATCAGGAAATTTCAGGTGTGCTGGTGGGCATATCTGGGGGCTTTGTGACATGTTTTGAATCACTCCACATATCACCTCTCTACTCTCTTAAAGATAAGGCTAGCCAGTGCCTATATGGGTCTCTTGGCATCTCCTTTAAAGTGGCATGTCTCATTACCTATTCATAGGGCATACATCGTGGTTATGGGACAGACAAACAGGAATGCAAAAGCAGGTTTAGAAAAGGAACTGTCTTAGTCAATTTTCTGTGGCTTATAAGAAAATACCTGGTACAGAGGAGGAGCCAAGATGGCCGAATAGGAACAGCTCCGGTCTACAGCTCCCAGCGTGAGCGACACAGAAGACGGGTGATTTCTGCATTTCCATCTGAGGTACCGGGTTCATCTCACTAGGGAGTGCCAGACAGTGGGCGCAGGCCTGTGTGTGTGCGCACCGTGCGCGAGCCGAAGCAGGGCGAGGCATTGCCTCACCTGGGAAGCGCAAGGGGTCAGGGAGTTCCCTTTCCGAGTCAAAGAAAGGGGTGACGGACGCACCTGGAAAATCGGGTCACTCCCACCCGAATATTGCGCTTTTCAGACCGGCTTAAGAAACGGCTCACCACGAGACTATATCCCACACCTGGCTCAGAGGGTCCTACGCCCACGGAATCTCGCTGATTGCTAGCACAGCAGTCTGAGATCAAACTGCAAGGCGGCAACGAGGCTGGGGGAGGGGCGCCCGCCATTGCCCAGGCTTGCTTAGGTAAACAAAGCAGCCGGGAAGCTCGAACTGGGTGGAGCCCACCACAGCTCAAGGAGGCCTGCCTGCCTCTGTAGGCTCCACCTCTGGGGGCAGGGCACAGACAAACAAAAAGACAGCAGTAACCTCTGCAGACTTAAGTGTCCCTGTCTGACAGCTTTGAAGAGAGCAGTGGTTCTCCCAGCACGCAGCTGGAGATCTGAGAACGGGCAGACTGCCTCCTCAAGTGTGTCCCTGACCCCTGACCCCCGAGCAGCCTAACTGGGAGGCACCCCCCAGCAGGGGCACACTGACACCTCACACGGCAGGGTATTCCAACAGACCTGCAGCTGAGGGTCCTGTCTGTTAGAAGGAAAACTAACAACCAGAAAGGACATCTACACCGAAAACCCATCTGTACATCACCATCATCAAAGAACAAAAGTAGATAAAACCACAAAGATGGGGAAAAAACAGAACAGAAAAACTGGAAACTCTAAAAAGCAGAGTGCCTCTCCTTCTCCAAAGGAACGCAGTTCCTCACCAGCAACAGAACAAAGCTGGATGGAGAATGATTTTGACGAGCTGAGAGAAGAAGGCTTCAGACGATCAAATTACTCTGAGCTACGGGAGGACATTCAAACCAAAGGCAAAGAAGTTGAAAACTTTGAAAAAATTTAGAAGAATGTATAACTAGAATAACCAATACAGAGAAGTGCTTAAAGGAGCTGATGGAGCTGAAAACCAAGGCTCGAGAACTACGTGAAGAATGCAGAAGCCTCAGGAGCCGATGCGATCAACTGGAAGAAAGGGTATCAGCAATGGAAGATGAAATGAATGAAATGAAGCGAGAAGGGAAGTTTAGAGAAAAAAGAATAAAAAGAAATGAGCAAAGCCTCCAAGAAATATGGGACTATGTGAAAAGACCAAATCTACGTCTGATTGGTGTACCTGAAAGTGACAGGGAGAATGGAACCAAGTTGGAAAACACTCTGCAGGATATTATCCAGGAGAACTTCCCCAATCTAGCAAGGCAGGCCAACGTTCAGATTCAGGAAATACAGAGAACGTCACAAAGATACTCCTCGAGAAGAGCAACTCCAAGACACATAATTGTCAGATTCACCAAAGTTGAAATGAAGGAAAAAATGTTAAGGGCAGCCAGAGAGAAAGGTCGGGTTTCCCTCAAAGGAAAGCCCATCAGACTAACAGAGGATCTCTCGGCAGAAACCCTACAAGCCAGAAGAGAGTGGGGGCCAATATTCAACATTCTTAAAGAAAAGAATTTTCAACCCAGAATTTCATATCCAGCCAAACTAAGCTTCATAAGTGAAGGAGAAATAAAATACTTTATAGACAAGCAAATGCTGAGAGATTTTGTCACCACCAGGCCTGCCCTAAAAGAGCTCCTGAAGGAAGCGCTAAACATGGAAAGGAACAACCGGTACCAGCCGCTGCAAAATCATGCCAAAATGTAAAGACCATCGAGACTAGGAAGAAACTGCATCAACTAATGAGCAAAATAACCAGCTAACATCATAATGACAGGATCAAATTCACACATAACAATATTAACTTTAAATATAAATGGACTAAATTCTGCAATTAAAAGACACAGACTGGCAAGTTGGATAAAGAGTCAAGACCCATCAGTGTGCTGTATTCAGGAAACCCATCTCACGTGCAGAGACACACATAGGCTCAAAATAAAAGGATGGAGGAAGATCTACCAAGCCAATGGAAAACAAAAAAAGGCAGGGGTTGCAATCCTAGTCTCTGATAAAACAGACTTTAAACCAACAAAGATCAAAAGAGACAAAGAAGGCCATTACATAATGGTAAAGGGATCAATTCAACAAGAGGAGCTAACTATCCTAAATATTTATGCACCCAATACAGGAGCACCCAGATTCATAAAGCAAGTCCTGAGTGACCTACAAAGAGACTTAGACTCCCACACATTAATAATGGGAGACTTTAACACCCCACTGTCAACAGTAGACAGATCAACGAGACAGAAAGTCAACAAGGATACCCAGGAATTGAACTCAGCTCTGCACCAAGCAGACCTAATAGACATCTACAGAACTCTCCACCCCAAATCAACAGAATATACATTTTTTTCAGCACCACACCACACCTATTCCAAAATTGACCACATAGTTGGAAGTAAAGCTCTCCTCAGCAAATGTAAAAGAACAGAAATTATAACAAACTATCTCTCAGACCACAGTGCAATCAAACTAGAACTCAGGATTAAGAATCTCACTCAAAGCCACTCAACTACATGGAAACTGAACAACCTGCTCCTGAATGACTACTGGGTACATAACGAAATGAAGGCAGAAATAAAGATGTTCTTTGAAACCAACGAGAACAAAGACACCACATACCAGAATCTCTGGGACGCATTCAAAGCAGTGTGTAGAGGGAAATTTATAGCACTAAATGCCTACAAGAGAAAGCAGGAAAGATCCAAAATTGACACCCTAACATCACAATTAAAAGAACTAGAAAAGCAAGAGCAAACACATTCAAAAGCTAGCAGAAGGCAAGAAATAACTAAAATCAGAGCAGAACTGAAGGAAATAGAGACACAAAAAACCCTTCAAAAAATCAATGAATCCAGGAGCTGGATTTTTGAAAGGATCAACAAAATTGATAGACCGCTAGCAAGACTAATAAAGAAAAAAAGAAAATCAAATAGACACAATAAAAAATGATAAAGGGGATATCACCACCGATCCCACAGAAATACAAACTACCATCAGAGAATACTACAAACACCTCTACACAAATAAACTAGAAAATCTAGAAGAAATGGATACATTCCTCGACACATACACCCTCCCAAGACTAAACCAGGAAGAAGTTGAATCTCTGAATAGACCAATAACAGGCTCTGAAATTGTGGCAATAATCAATAGTTTACCAACCAAAAAGAGTCCAGGACCAGATGGATTCACAGCCGAATTCTACCAGAGGTACAAGGAGGAACTGGTACCATTCCTTCTGAAACTATTCCAATCAATAGAAAAAGAGGGAATCCTCCCTAACTCATTTTATGAGGCCAGCATCATTCTGATACCAAAGCCGGGCAGAGACACAACCAAAAAAGAGAATTTTAGACCACTATCCTTGATGAACATTGATGCAAAAATCCTCAATAAAATACTGGCAAACCGAATCCGGCAGCAGATCAAAAAGCTTATCCACCATGATCAAGTGGGCTTCATCCCTGGGATGCAAGGCTGGTTCAATATACGCAAATCAATAAATGTAATCCAGCATATAAACAGAGCCAAAGACAAAAACCACATGATTATCTCAATAGATGCAGAAAAAGCCTTTGACAAAATTCAACAACCCTTCATGCTAAAAACTCTCAATAAATTAGGTATTGATGGGACGTATTTCAAAATAATAAGAGCTATCTATGACAAACCCACAGCCAATATCATACTGAATGGGCAAAAACTGGAAGCATTCCCTTTGAAAACTGGCACAAGACAGGGATGCCCTCTCTCACCGCTCCTATTCAACATAGTGTTGGAAGTTCTGGCCAGGGCAATCAGGCAGGAGAAGGAAATAAAGGGTATTCAATTAGGAAAAGAGGAAGTCAAATTGTCCCTGTTTGCAGACGACATGATTTTATCTAGAAAACCCCATCGTCTCAGCCCAAAATCTCCTTCAGCTGATAAGCAACTTCAGCAAAGTCTCAGGATACAAAATCAATGTACAAAAATCACAAGCATTCTTATACACCAACAACAGACAAACAGAGAGCCAAATCATGGGTGAACTCCCATTCACAATTGCTTCAAAGAGAATAAAATACCTAGGAATCCAACTTACAAGGGATGTGAAGGACCTCTTCAAGGAGAACTACAAACCACTGCTCAAGGAAATAAAAGAGGACACAAACAAATGGAAGAACATTCCATGCTCATGGGTAGGAAGAATCAATATCGTGAAAATGGCCATACTGCCCAAGGTAATTTACAGATTCAATGCCATCCCCATCAAGCTACCAATGACTTTCTTCACAGAATTGGAAAAAACTACTTTAAAGTTCATATGGAACCAAAAAAGAGCCCGCATCGCCAAGTCAATCCTAAGCCAAAAGAACAAAGCTGGAGGCATCACACTACCTGACTTCAAACTATACTACAAGGCTACAGTAACCAAAAGAGCATGGTACTGGTACCAAAACAGAGATATAGATCAATGGAACAGAACAGAGCCCTCAGAAATAATGCCGCATATCTACAACTATCTGATCTTTGACAAACCTGAGAAAAACAAGCAATGGGGAAAGGATTCCCTATTTAATAAATGGTGCTGGGAAAACTGGCTAGCCATATGTAGAAAGCTGAAACTGGATCCCTTCCTTACACCTTATACAAAAATCAATTCAAGATGGATTAAAGATTTAAACGTTAGACCTAAAACCATAAAAACCCTAGAAGAAAACCTAGGCATTACCATTCAGGACATAGGCGTGGGCAAGGACTTCATGTCCAAAACACCAAAAGCAATGGCAACAAAAGCCAAAATTGACAAGTGGGACCTAATTAAACTAAAGAGCTTCTGCACAGCAAAAGAAACTACCATCAGAGTGAACAGGCAACCTACAACATGGGAGAAAATTTTCACAACCTACTCATCTGACAAAGGGCTAATATCCAGAATCTACAATGAACTCAAACAAATTTACAAGAAAAAAACAAACAACCCCATCAAAAAGTGGGCGAAGGACATGAACAGACACTTCTCAAAAGAAGACATTTATGCAGCCAAAAAACACATGAAGAAATGCTCATCATCACTGGCCATCAGAGAAATGCAAATCAAAACCACTATGAGATATCATCTCACACCAGTTAGAATGGCAATCATTAAAAAGTCAGGAAACAACAGGTGCTGGAGAGGATGTGGAGAAATAGGAACACTTTTACACTGTTGGTGGGACTGTAAACTAGTTCAACCATTGTGGAAGTCAGTGTGGCGATTCCTCATGGTTCTAGAACTAGAAATACCATTTGACCCAGCCATCCCATTACTGGGTATATACCCAAAGGACTATAAATCATGCTGCTATAAAGACACATGCACACGTATGTTTATTGCGGCACTATTCACAATAGCAAAGACTTGGAACCAACCCAAATGTCCAACAATGATAGACTGGATTAAGAAAATGTGGCACATATACACCATGGAATACTATGCAGCCATAAAAAATGATGAGTTCATGTCCTTTGTAGGGACATGGATGAAATTGGAAACCATCATTCTCAGCAAACTATCGCAAGAACAAAAAACCAAACACCGCATATTCTCACTCATAGGTGGGAATTGAACAATAAGATCACATGGACACAGGAAGGGGAATATCACACTCTGGGGACTGTGGTGGGGTGGGGGGAGGGGGGAGGGATAGCATTGGGAGATGTACCTAATGCTAGATGACGAGTTAGTGGGTG
Organism: Homo sapiens; assembly: GCF_000001405.40. Taxonomy (NCBI): domain Eukaryota; kingdom Metazoa; phylum Chordata; class Mammalia; order Primates; family Hominidae; genus Homo; species Homo sapiens. The sequence goes on from NC_000014.9 coordinate 85,891,525, forward strand.
CAGCGCACCAGCATGGCACATGTATACATATGTAACTAACCTGCACAATGTGCACATGTACCCTAAAACTTAGAGTATAATTAAAAAAAAAACAAAAAACAAAAAAACAAAAAAAAAAAAACTGAAGAATACCAAGATAAAAAAAAAAAAAAAATACCTGGTACAGCATAATTTATAAAGAAAACATTTTATTTCTTATTTGTATGGAATCTGAGAAGTCCCAGGTTGAGGAGTTCTGTCTGGTGAGAACCTTCTTGCTGGTGGGGAGTCTCTGAAGAATCCTGGGGTGATGCAGGGTATTGTAAGAATGGGGCTGAGTGGGCTAACATGCTATTTCAGACCCCTCTTCCTCTTCTTATAAAGCCACCATTTCCCCTCCTGTGATAACCCATTAATCCATTAACTCACACATAGAGTAATCCATTCATAAACGCAGAGGTCTCATGACTCAATTGCCTCTTTAAGGTCCCACCTCTCAATACTGGCACTTTGGGGATGAAGTTGCAACATGAATTTTGGAGATGACATTCATACCACAGCAGAAAGGAAAAGGTTTCTAGAACATTTTGACTACAGACATTTCGTTCTTAAAGAAGTCGTGTTATACTTAGGTAATATTTGTTAGATTCTTTGAGGAGTGAGAAACGGCTTGAATTATCAATATGCTTTCCCAGTTTGCTTTATAAAACCAAGTGGCTATTCTCTCATTAGTGAAAATCATAAAACTCTGCACACTTATGTCCCTGTGGGTATATACGCTTTACTTTTCTCTTATCCCTTATTTCCTCCTTGATTCTATGAGACTAGTTATGGGTAATGCTTGCTCCATAGAAGTTTTAATCGAATAGCTTTCTCACTTTGATTTGCCTCTAGATAATAGTTTGCTTTCTTAATTAATGCTGTAAAAACACACATTATGATCTTTACCTGAAAGATGTTTTGATTAACGCCAGTACCTATGGTTTTGGTTGACTAAAGTACTCTTTTCCCCCTGCAGAGAAGCTGTGCTCCGTTAAGCAGCTGCTTCATTTCACCCCAGAGGTTGCTGCATTTTGCTAACTGTAAAAATAATGTTTTGTTTATGATACAATTTGTAAGGAGTTCTTCATATCAATGGAAATAAAATTCCCTCCCACCCCCAACCCACCCACCCATTCTCTGAGAAAGATAAGCATCTCTCTCTCACTCTGGCTCTTCCTTTTTGCTCTTTCTCATTCGATTTCCCCCTTCCTCTCAAATGCAGTCTCTGTGTCTGTATAACTTCACATAATAGAATGCCTATGAGCACTCTTGAAAAACTACTCGTCATAATAATGATAATGAGAATAGTGGCAATTTATTGAGCAATTCCTATGTGCTTGGCTTTATTATAAGGTTTTTACATGGCATTGTCTCAATTGTTAACAAACAGTCCTTTAAAGTATAAAATATTATTATTCCCCTTGTATAGAGGAAACCAGCTGAGGTTCAGAGAGGTTATACAGCAACTAAGCAGAACAGCTGCGCTGTGCCTGCTATGAATCCATCCATTCTTTGAATTGAAATTAAGCATTCTCATTCAGTACATGGCTACTAGTCACTTGAAATAACAGACACTAACAAATATTAGCCAATGTCCATATAGTAGTTAGAGTTTTTGTTCTAAAGTGCAAATTGGATCATGACACTCTCCCACTTAAAATTATTCAGTTGACCCCAGTTTCCTTCAAAATAAAGTTCACTTTTGTTGTGTATCCTGTCTTCATGGTCTGGTTCTAGCTTATGATCTGGATTCCATCTCTCCTAATCCCTATCCTGCTTAAGTCAGCCTTATTGCCAGGGCCTTGTATATTTCCCTTTGTCTATTTGCAATATACTTCTTTCCCTACCCAGTCTGGATCCTACTCCTCTTGGAGTCTGAACTAGGAAAATTCTACTTCTGGATGGCCTTCTTGACAGTCCCAGCCTCCCCTATTTGGTTCTGTCTTCATGCTCTTGTAATCCCAAGCTTGCATATCTCTTTATTTGCTTACTGGATTTTTCCCTCTTACTGCTATCCTGGGGGAAGGAGCAGCTCCTTCCTCATTACGTTTCCATCCACAAAGTGCCTGTCATTGAGTAACAATAATAAAAAGATATGTTTAACAAATGAATAAACACAGAACTAAGGCTGAACTTAAATAATACCCGGGGACAAATTTAAGAGTTAACATATGTTAATGCTTGTCCCTTCAAACTTACCTACAGGAAAATGATTTCTGTCTCCTTATAAGTCAGTGCATAGTGGTTGGTTTAGGGATGGCATGAGAACAAAACCTGGCAAAAGAACTAGGTTAATTTGGCTAGAACTATTGGGAACTATCGGGAAGAATAGTTCTTCCCGATAGTTCTACAGAAAACTTTTTCTGTAAAGAACTAGGTAGTAATACTTTTTGCTTTCTCAAGGGCAGTAAGCTGAGGAAATATAGATCTGGATCTGTTGATGTGTTCCAAATCAAAAAGCCTGGTCAAAAAGAAAAATTATATATATATATATAAAATATATATTTATAATGTATATTTAATATATATTATATATTAATATATAATGTATATACATATAAAATTGCCTAAGTCAATCTATGTTGGGGTTCTACAACTTTTTGCTGAAATAATCTTGACTAACACCCTGCTTTGATTTATGCTTTCATATCTCTTCCCTATTCCGCCCTTCTGTCAATCATTAAATGTTCGCCTGAGTTATTCTGAAATGTAGATGTGACTATGTAACTTCCCTTCCTAAAGTGCCTCGGTGATTCCTCATGACTTTTCAATGACTGCTTTGGTGTTGAATAGAACCCCGGTCTGCCTATCCAGTTCCATTTAATGTTACCTCCTCATGGGCCACAGTTCTAAGTCTACGCTTGACATTCGCTGTACATAACATAATGTTTCACTTTTCCGGGGCTTGGCAGATACACATTACTTTCTGTCTGAGTAGCGTTCTCACCCAGACTTGTGAATGTGTGTTCTTACATTAAGACCTTGATGAAATATCATCACTTCCCTATACTTCCACTTAGTTGCTTCATCTTTTTCTCTCATGGAAAATTTAAACCTGCTTCTTCTAGCATTCATTGCACTGCATGGTAATTGTTTAATCCTGTGACTTTCTCTCCGCAGAATATTTGATCTTAGTTATGATGTCTTGTTCATCTTTATAAACATCATGTATAACACATTCTTGAGACACAGTAAGTGATCAATAATTGTACAGAGAATAAATAAATGAATGCATCAAGTGAGGTGATGTTCTTTTTATTTTAGTGTCAATATAAAGCAGGCGACAACTTTACAGAAAAAGGAAAGTTTTTCTGTAAAGGACTAGATAGTAAATACTTTTGGCTTGCAGGCCATACCACCTCTGTCACACTCTCAACTCTGCATTGAAGAGCAAAAACACCCGTGGACGATTAAGAAAATGAATGGGTGCTGCTATGCTCCAAGAAAACTTCATTTATTAATTGGGTAACAGGCTAGATTTGCCCCTGGGCTTTAGTTTGCCAGCCACTATTATAAGGGAAAGAGACAGTTTACAGTTCTAAACCCAAATGTAAATATATTTTGAAAGAGAGGTCTCTGTGTGAAATAGACAGGGGGTGCCTAGATTTTAGGATAATCATGTTGAAGTCCCTGTCTTTGAGATACAAAAGCTCTGATTTGCAACCTCTTTAAAATGGCATTTAAAACTCTATGTTCCAAAAACTCCGTTACATTTTATTAAAATCTATCCGGTCACATAATCAATAAATGCTGATTGAAAACATAATCATACTTTCTTATTTGAAGAAATTTAAAATAAGATGTTCAAATTTAACATTGAATATGCTCTCTGTGAATAGAAAATGTATTTCACTATAAAAGTCAGTGAATACCTCAGTTTCTTTTTGAGAAATACAGAGCATCTTTTATTTTCCTTTATTTTTCAATCAAATGTTATTTTTCAAACTTTTTTTCCTTAAACTGTTTCCAAAACCCAATGAGAGCTCTCTAATGTAAAAGTATCATGCTTAGAAAGGGTTCCATTTTGTAGATAAAATGAGAAGAACAACTATTATAGTTTTATATTTTAAAAATCATTCAATAGTGGAATATTTGATGGTTTCCAATTGTGAGTCCCTCTAAGCATTGAACAGTTAGAAGCACTGAGCTTGGTAGGAGATGGAAAAACTCACATTGGAAGACTATACATGAGCAAACATATGGAAATCATTTAATTATTTGGAGGTCATCTTTTGGACAGTGTCTGTCGGGCCCAGCTGGAGCTTAATGCAAAAGCCCCAAAGCTCTAGCTGTACCCTCCATTCCCTTCAGTGTATTTCACCAAAAAGCCATACAAATCTGCATCCTAATTAGGTTAAGTTTTGGACTATATCTGCCTGAATTAACTGGCACTTTTATGCAGATATGATACTGTCATGGCTGCATCCCTGCATCCAGTTTCTCTCTCTCTGTGTGTGTGTGTGTGTGTGTGTGTGTGCACGCGTGAGTGTTTCTTAATGCCAAATTACACATATTGTGCTTTTGATTTTGTTTTATTTCATTTCTATTTGTTCAGCTTCCTAGATACGTGATGGAATTTTGGATGCTAGGTTTTATAAAAATATCATCAGATTCAAATGGTCTTTTGTAGGAAGTTTATAATCTACTTTTATTTTCTAAGTTTTAAAGAGACTTGGTATCAGTGCATGAAAGCACTTTGAAGGCTATACTGGCACACATATACAGAAACATCATTGGCAAGAGTAGAATTCATAAAATATGGGCGATTTGGATCACAGAGTTAATCCACTTTTAAGTCCCTAAGTTAAATGTCATTTCTCTATAGTCCAGATAGAGATCCCCTGTATCAGCAAGGGTTCCCTGGAGAACAAAAACCAAAGTATATATTATATATGCATGTACATACACACATATATACCTATCACATATGTATTTATATAATATGATAATGTTATTATCTATAATGTAATAATATAATCTGTATGTATCTATATATTATATATGAATGGAGATAGATAGATGGGTAGCTAGATAGACAGAAGGGATTTATTTTTTAAGAGATTGGTTTATGTGATTGTGAAACCTGAAGCCCATAGGTCAGGCTGGGAACTCAGGGCAAAGATAAAACCCAGACTGCTATTAGCATGATATGGTATCAAGATCAGGATATCAAGGATGTGGTTATAACACACTTTGTTAAGACCTCAGAAAGATTCAAAGCAGTGCCTTTTAGACCCTTTTCATAAGACAAAAAAGGTGTGGTTTTACCACAGCTCCCTGACTCTTAGCTCAGGTAGGAAGCCTTTATTGCATAGAATTCTGGGCATGACTTTGGGACAATGGAATGAAGCTCAATAAAATTTTATAGAAAACCAATAAAATGGTTTTATTTTAAAGAGTTTCGTCAGTGGAATTATCATTACCTTCAACTAAAATGAAAAGAAGCATTTAGACCGTCACTCTCTTATTAGGAAAACTATTCATTGCAAACTCATGCCAAGTCTCATGAAAAAGGAAGCACCACTCAGAGATCAGGTACAAGAGCAATAAACAATCATGTATGGGAAGTAGAGTGGGCTCCAATCAAGGAACTGGCTGTATGTATTGGTCTTGATTTAGGAATCCTTATGGCACATTACCTGCAATGTGTCTTCCATTTTCTCCCTTTTTGAATAAAAGAGTCTGCAATGGCTCTTCTGTCCCTGGCTTATAGCAGTAACTCTATGTTAGAAGAAACAATGGGGGTAATTTGTCCCTTTACTTCCTAGTTTATAGGTCTTTGGATTGAGAGGAGCCACTCCTAAGGGGTCTTGTTGTCACCCGAACCTTGTCTTCAAGCCCGATAGTACAATTAGGTGAGAACTTCGAAGTCTTGGAATGGGATGAGTACATTTTGCTCATGGGAGGAATATAAGTAATTTGTGACCAGGGCCAGACTATAGTGGATTAAAAACAGCCATTTATTCATTATCAGTCTCCTCCATAAAAGGTGGACTTTATTGTCGATCCTGTTTAATATATGCTGCTCTAGTGATTGGTTCACCAAATGATGGCAATGGAAGTGACACTGTGCCATTCCCAGGACTAAGCCTATTACATTCATGAGACCAAGCACATAAGCACTAGATGTTGGACCTTCTGTCTAACAGGGTGGTTTTCTTTTAATGCTACAGCTTCAGTGAGAGGAATGCACCCTGGGTTCTGTGAAGGAGGAAGATTTGTGTTCTGCCCAGCAGTCTGATCAGAGATTCAACACATATTTATTGAAAAATCTACTGTGTTCCAGACATATTTCTGAAGAGTTGTATAACTCATGTTTGCATCAAACTGCCTTTATATCTTACACACAGTCAATATCTGCAAACTCAAAGTAGAAAAAATAGTAAAATATTCATATTAAAAGATTTGGAACTGATATTTATTCTGTTAACTGAACATGAAATTTATTTTATGAGCTTGGCTTATGATATCATGGTGTAAAAATAGCCCAAGGTTACATAAAACCCAGCTTAGCAGTTAAGAAAGGAATGAATTGTAATAATCAGAATACAAAAAATAGCAGAAATATTTACCACTAAATACTTGAGGAAAATTCAACACAACCAACATGGGAAGCTTTCAATTGATAAGTTATAATGCAAGAGATCATTTTATTCATGAAAACTAGAAAATTCTCAAAGTTTCAATTTAGTGGCTGTATAGAAATCAGTTCTCATTTAACATTGACAGTAGAATGTGCTTTGTGATTGCTTCACACAAAGTAAAGTAGCGTGAGGTTATAAAAAAGGCAAAATATAATTTGGCAAAAACTGAACAGGGGTAACAGTGAGAACATAGAATAAAATTTTAGAATATTTGTCAATGAGAGTGTAAATATATTACCTAGCACTGTGCTAGGTATTTTACCCAAACTGTATTAATTATCTCAATTATTTTCACAATTACTGTAGCAAGTAAGCACTATTATTAACTTTACATTTGCAGATAAGAAAACTGAAGCATTAAACATCTTGTGATTTTCTCAAATTGGTGTTTCAGTTGCTTATTGCTTTATCAACCAAGAAATGGAACAGTACCTCTGCTCACAAAATAAGCATAAATGTTAAAGACCCATAAAAAATTGTCTCAACAGCCTGAGCCATCACATAAAAGTTTGACTGCTCTCATGGAGAAACCACATGGAAGGATCACCTGGAGAAGAAATGTTTTGAAAACACATACAGAAGAAAAGACATCCAGCTATCTTAGCATCCCAGAGACCTGTAGAACTATTCAGCTGAGCTCACTGAAACCAGAACCATGAGAGATGATAAAATGTTTGTTGTCTGAATCAACTACATTTCGAAATGTCATTTCACAAAATATTGAGTAGTGTTTCCTTGTATGAATATACTACATTTTTAAAAGCCAACTTTTCCTTTTAGAAATTAAAAGCAACATGCAGAAGATGAAATGCGTGACTTCAAAGATTCCGTGGTTTTTCAAATTCTAATTGTGCTTGACCGCTGAAATGTAGTAAAGTAAAAAGAGTCCTAGACTGGAAATTGAGAGATCTGGGTTTTATTTTCTACCCTGTCAAAAGCTATCTGATGACCTCAAGCAAGTAAGATTCAGATTTTAGATTTAAGTTTTTAAGTTCAATGAGAAATTGAACTGTAAAGTGAGAATTTGGTCTCAATTTGGAACTTTTCTAGGGCTAACATTTTATAACTCTAGATTTAAATCACCTAGAACAGTAGTTCTCAAAAAGCTAGGGAGTGTCTTCATTTTGTAGAAATATCTTTCTGATTTCTGGCGGATAAACATCTCCCTTGGCATTTAAACTCAGTTTTGTCCCACCCTCATTGCTATGAAATCACCCCACTCCAAATGTTCTCAAACACCCTCAGGGGGGCTTAACATCCTATGTTGAGAATCTAATTCTCAATTTCTACAAAGTCAGCTTTTTGAGAGTATGTAAATGAGTTTGGAGATAACTAATTTTTTAAAAAATTAAGTCTTCTAATCCAAGAACATATTATATCTTTCCATATATTTTGTTTTTATTTTTCTATGCAATTTTGATTGATTTTCAAAATAGAAGTTATCCATATTTTCATGAATTTATTTCTAGGCATTTTATGTTTCTAAAAATATGGAGTTTTTAATTTATTTTTTCAGTAGGTTCCAGCTAGTATATAGATATAAATTGGAATTTTTAATAATGATAATAAATTTAATTACTTAGCTAATTTCTCTCTTTTTAAAATTTCTTAGGATTTTATCTTTGACAAGTTTGTTGTTTTCTAGTAGACAGTTTAATTTTGTCCTTTCCAAGCTGATTATACTTTATTTCTTTTTCTTGTATATTGCAATGGCTGGGAACCCCGTTCTAATGTTGAATAGAGATAGTGAAATAGCCTTGGCTTGTTCCTGAACTCAGTAGAATCAAATCTAGTTTTTCATCATTAATATGATGTGATAATTTTGTAGATGTGCTTTATCTGTTTGAGGAAGCTCCTTTCTATTCCTAATTTGCCAAAAATTTTTATGTAGAATAGCTTTTGGGTTTTGACAAATGAGATTATGGAATCTGTAATTTTGTTTTCTTATTGTGTTAATTTGGTGGGCTATGTTGATTGATTTTTAAATGTTAAATCAGGTGAGATAAACCCTACTTGGTTGTAATGTATTATCTTTTGAGTTGCTAGATTTAATTTACTAATATTTTGTTAAAATTAATTAAATTATAACCTTTCGATATGTATTAAATATTTTATGCAGCAGCATATGATCTTAGTCAATGTTTTATGTCCAATTTGAAAATTATGTGCATTTGGCAGTTATTGAATTTAATATTTTGGACCTATCAAGTAGTTCTATTTGGTTGACAGTGTTATTCTAATCTTTGGTGTAATTTTTGCTTCTATATATGTGCTTTTGGCTGAGTGTTTTCTCAATTACTGAGAAAGTGCTAAAATCTCCAACTATGATTGTGCATTTGTCTTTATCTCCTTTTTGCACTGTCAGTTTTTGTTATACCAATTTTGACGTGTACATATTTAGAATTATTAGGTCTTCCTAAATCTGCTTTCTAGTGATTGGAGGAAAAAGTATTTCATGTGTTGGAACTCTCTTATGAAAATACAGCCAGTGAATATTTTGAATGACAACCTTCCTGTTGCCCAGGGACTATAAAACATAGCCATGCAACTGTAAGGGCCTTGGACTGATGATCTCTATACCATTTCATTATCTTCACATCATCCTCTGAATTCACTATTGTGGCTGCATATCTCTGCCCGGATGCTAGTGTCTAGCAGCTGGACCATCGATGCCTCTGTAGCAATAGCAAAAAGAAGAGTGTTCTTACCAAAAGACTAACAGTCTGCTGAAGCCCCCAAGCCAGGAACCTGTCTTTTCTAATGTGGATGACAGTCCTGTTGTATATGTCACTTGCATTTAAAGTAGCATATCCTACTCAAGTGACATGCTAGAATATTCACTTTTCTTTAAATAAACTTATAAAGGAAGAAAGTGAATCCCTGTGATTTTGAGGAGAAACAAAGTGCAATTTACATCAAAATTGAATTGGGATTGAAGACAAGGAACTGAGGGAAAACAATGCAATCTGTGATCCCTGGAGGTATTCAGTAGCTGAAATCCAATTTGGGAACTAAACTTGGTGCATTATGTAGACTGGGCACTATCACGGGACTAAAATTTCTGTCTGCTAGGTAAATGGCTATATGTATGAAGGATCAAAGTGATTGACTTAGACAAGGCTCCTTGAGAGCAGAATCAAGGTCCACTCGAACTAGCCATAAGAGTGATAATTTGTTGCAACACATCGGCACAGAGCTATTGAGAGTCTGAGGCTAAATACTAGGGCAGAAGTGAGAGTATGACAAATCAAACCAAGGGAAATTTTGACGTCGAGACCAAAAACGGTGGTTGAATCCTTGCGTGCCAATCCGACCCCAAGAGTTTATTAATTGATCTAAATATTCTTGACCTGTAGACCTGTAGGTCCATCAAAAGTGGGTTAGAGTTATTGCAAAGTGTATAAACCATATGCATACAACGTACTGGTTGCTGAAAACATCTACCATTTTTTAAATGGGTAATTTGTACGGAATGTATTTTTTTTTCTCTAAAGATAATGCATTTGACCCTTTCAACCCTGTGAATGGGGTGTGGGAGGTGTTATTATTTTCGTGTTACTCCCAGGAAGGGTGCATAGGTACAGACCATTACTTAATAGAAAATAACACACCTGATGTTCAGAAGATGGTGCAAGACCTTCTTTTGTTTTTCCTTCAAGTCACCTTTCAGTCCATATAATGTCCTCTTTCTATGGGTATCCAGATGTCTCTCTTTTTGGGTCTTCCCTCCCCCTTTTTAATTTTTTTATTACACTTTAAATTCTGGGATAAATGTGCAGATCATGTAGGTTTGTTACATAGGTATACACGTACAGTTGTGGTTTGCTGCACCCATCAAACTGTCATCTACATTAAGTATTTCCCCTAATGCTGTCCCTCCCCTAGCCCCCCACCCTCAACAGGCCCCAGTGTGTAATGTTCCCCTCCCTGTGTCCATGTGTTCTCATTGTTCAACTCCCACTTATGAGTGAGAACATGTGGTGTTTGGTTTTCTGTTCCTGTGTTAGTTTGCTGAGAATGATGGTTTCCAGCTTCATCCATGTCCCTGCAAAGGACATGAGCTCATCCTTTTTTATGTATTCCATGGTGTATTTGTGCCACATTTTCTTTATCCAGTCTGTCATTTTTGGGCATTAGGGTTGGTTCCAAGTTTTTGCTATTGTGAATAGTGCTGCAATAAACATACATGTTCATGTGTCTTTATAGTACAATGATTTATAATCCTTTGGGTATACACCCAGTAATGGGATTGCTGGGTCAAATGGTATTTCTGGTTCTAGACCCTTGAGGAATTACCACACTGTCTTCCCCAGTGGTTGAACCAATTTACACTCCCACCAACAGTGTAAAAGCGTTCCTATTTCTCCACATCCTCTCCAGCATCTGCTGTTTCCTGACTTATTAATGATCGCCATTCTAACTGGCATGAGATAGTTATCTCATTGTGGTTTTGATTTGCATTTCTCTAACGACCAGTGATGATGAGCTTTTCTCCATTTGTTTGTTGGCCACATAAATGTCTTCTTTTCAGAAGTGTCTGTTCATATCCTTTGACCAATTTCTGATGGGGTTGTTTGTTTTTTTCTTGTAAATTTGTTTAAGTTCTTTGTAGATTCTGGATATTAGCCTTTTGTCAGATGGATAGATTGCAAAATTTTTCTCCCATTCTGTAGGTTGCCTGTTCACTCTGATGATAGTTTCTTTTGCTGTGTAGAAGCTCTTTAGTTTAATTGGATTCCATTTGTCAATTTTGGCCTATGTTGCCATTGCTTTTGGTGTTTTAGTCATGAAGTCTTTGCCCATGCCTATGTCCTGAATGGTATTGCCTAGGTTTTCTTCCAGGGTTTTTATGGTTTTAGGTCCAAACTTTAAGCCTTTAATCCATCTTGAGTTAATTTTTGTATAAGGTATAAGGAAGGGGTCCAGTTTCTGATTTCTGCATTTGGCTAGCCAGTTTTCCCAACACCATTTATTAAATTGGGAATCATTTCCCCATTTCTTGTTTTTGTCAGTTTTGTCAAAGATCAGATGGTTGTAGATGTGTGGAGTTATTTCTGAGGCCTCTATTCTGTTCCATTGGTCTATATGTCTGTTTTGGCACCAGTATCATGCTGTTTTGGTTACCGTAGCATTGTAGTATAGTTTGAAGTCAGGTAGCATAATGCCTCCAGCTTTGTTCTTTTTGCTTAGGATTGCTTGGCAATATGGTCTCTTTTTTGTTTCCATATGAAATTTAAAGTAATTTTTTTCTAATTCTGTGAAGAAAGTCAGTGGTAGCTTGATGGGAATAGCACTGAATCTATGAATTACTGTGGGCGGTATGGCCATTTTCATGACATTGATTATTCCTATAAATGAGCATGGAATGTTTTTGCATTTGTTTGTGTCCTCTCTTATTTCCCTGAGCAGTGGTTTGTAGTTCTCCTTGAAGAGGTTCTTCACATCCCTTGTAAGTTGTATTCCTAGGTATTTTATTCTCTTTGTAGCAATTGTGAATGAGAGTTCACTCATGATTTGGATCTCTGTTTGTCTGTTCTTGGTGTATAGGAATGCTTTTGATTTTTGCACATTGATGTTGTATCCTGAGAATTTGCTGAAGTTGCTTATCAGCTTAAGGAGATTTTGGCTGAGATGATGGGGTTTTCTAAATGTACAATCATGTCATCTGCAAACAGAGACAATTTGACTTCCTCTCTTCCTATTTGAATACGCTTTATTTCTTTCTCTTGTCTGATTGCCCTGGCCAAGAACTTCCAATACTATGTTGAATAGGAGTGGAGAGAGAGGGCATCCTTGTCTTGTGCAAGTTTTCAAAGGGAATTCTTCCAGCTTTTGCCCATTCAGTATGATATTGACTGTGGGTTTGTCATAAATAGCTCTTATTATTTTGAGATATGTTCCATCATTACCTACTTTATTGAGAATTTTTAGCATGAAGGGATGGAGAATTTTATTGAAGGCCTTCTCTGCATTTATTGAGATAATCATGTGGTTTTTGTCATTGATTCTGTTTATGTGATGGATTACATTTATTGATTTGTGTATGTTGAACCAGCCTTACCTCTCAGGGATAAAGCCTACTTTATCATGGTGGATAAGCTTTTTGATGTGCTGCTGGATTTGGTTTGTCAGTATTTTATTAAGGATTTTCACATCGATATTCATCAAAGATACTGGCATGAAATTTTCTTTTTTGTTGTGTCTCTGCCAGGCTTTGGTATCAGGATGATGCTGGCCTCATAAAATGAGTTAGGGAGGAGTCCTTCTTTATCTATTGTTTGGAATAGTTTCAGAAGGAATGGTACCAGCTCCTCTTTGTTCCTCTGGTAGAATTTGGCTGTGAATCTGTCTGGTCCTGGGCTTTTTTGGTTGGTAGGCTATTAATTATTACCTCAATTTCAGAATTTGTTATTGGTCTGTTCAGGAATTCGACTTCTTCCTGGTTTAGTCTTGGGAGGTTGTATGTGTCCAGAATTTTATCCATTTCTTCTAGATTTTCTAGTTTATTTGCGTAGAGGTGTTTACAGTATTCTCTGATGGTAGTTTGTATTTCTGTGGGATCAGTGGTGATATCCCCTTTAACAATTTTTATTGTGTCTGTTTGATTCTTCTCCTTTTCTTCTTTATTAGTCTGGCTAGCATTCTATCTGTTTTGTTAATCTTTTCAAAAAACCAGTTTCTGGATTCATTGATTTTTTGAAGGGTTTTTCTTGTCTCTATCTCCTTCAGTTCTGCTCTGATCTTAGTTATATCTTGTCTTCTGCTAGCTTTTGAATTTATTTGCTCTTTCTTCTCTAGTTCTTTTAATTGTGATGTTACGGTGTCGATTTTAGATCTTTCCTGCTTTCTCCTGTGGGCATTTAGTGCTATAAATTTTCTTCTAAACACTGCTTTAGCTGTGTCTTAGAGATTCTGCTATGTTGTGTCTTTGTTCTCATTGGTTTCAAAGAACTTCTTTATTTCTGCCTTAATTTTGTTATTTATCCAGTAGTCATTCAGGAGCAGGGGTTCAGTTTCCATGTAGTCATGCAGTTTTGAGTGAGTTTCTTAATCCTGAGTTCTAATTTGATTGCACTCTGGTCTGGGAGACTGTTTGTTATGATTTCCATTCTTTCACATGTGCTGAGGAATGCTTTACTTCCAATTGTGTGGTTTATTTTAGAATAAGTGTGATGTGGTGCTGAGAAGAATGTATATTCTGTTGATTTGAGTTGGAGAGTTATGTAGATGCCTATTAGGTCCACTTGGTCCAGAGCTGAGTTCAAGTCCTGAATATCCTTGTTAATTTTCTGTCTTGTTATCTGTCTAATATTGACAGTGGGGTGTTAAAGCCTCCCACTATTCCTGTGTGGGAGTCTAAGTCTCTTTGTAGGTCTCTAAGAACTTGCTTTATGAATATAGGTACTTCTGTATTGGGTGCACAGATATTTAGAATAGATAGGTCTTCTTATTGCATTGATCCCTTTACTATTATATAATGCCCTTCTTTGTCTTCTTTGATTTTTGTTGGTTTTTAAAGTCTGTTTTATCAGAGATTAGGATTGTAACCCCTGCTTTTCTTTGCTTTCCATTTGCTTGGTAAATATTCCTCCATCCCTTTATTTTGAGCCTATGTGTGTCTTTGAATGTGAGATGGGTCTCCTGAATACAGTACACTGACAGGTCTTGACTCTTTACCCAATTTGCTAGTCTGTGTCTTTTAGTTGGGGCATTTAGCTGTTTACATTTAAGGTTAATATTGTTATGTGTGAATTTGATCCTGTCATCATGATGCTGGCTGGTTATTTTGCCCATTAGTTGATGCAGTTTTTTCATAGTGTTGATGGTCTTTACAATTTGGTATGTTTTTGCAGTGGCTGGCACTGGTTTTTTTCTTTCCATATTTAGTGCTTCCTTCAGGAGCTCTTGTAAGGCAGGCCTGATGGTGACAAAATCTCTCAGCATTTGCTTGTCTATAAAGGATTTTATTTATCTTTCACTTTTAAAGCTCAGTTTGGCTCAATATGAAATTCTGGGTTAAAAATTCTTTTCTTTAAGAATGTTAAATATTGGCCCCCACTCTCTTCTGACTTGTAGGGTTTCTGCAGAGAGATCTGCTGTTAGTCTGATTGGCTTCCCTTTTTGGGTAACCCAACCTTTCTCTCTGGATGCTCTTAATATTTTTTTCCTTCATTTCAACCTTGGTGAATCTGACGATTATATGTCTTGGGGTTGCTCTTCTCGCGGAGTATCTTTGTGGTGTTCTCCCTATTTCCCAAATGTGAATGTTGGCCTGTCTTGCTAGGTTGGGGCAGTTCTCCTGGATAATATCCTGAAGGGCGTTTTCCAACTCGGTTCCATTCTCCCCGTCACTTTCAGGTACACCAATCAAATGTAGGTTTGGTCTTTTCACATACTCTCATATTTCTTGGAGGCTTCGTTCGTTACTTTTTATTCTTTTTCTCTAACCTTGTCTTCATATTTTATTAAATTATGTTGATCTTCAATCTCTAATATCCTTTTTTCCATTTGATCGATTCTGCTACTGATACTTGTGTATGCTTCACGAAGTTCTCGTGCTGTGTTTTTCAGGTCCCTCAGGTCATTTTTGTTCTTCTCTAAACTGGTTACTCTAGTTAGCAATTCTGCTAACCTTTTTTCAAGGTTCTTAGCTTCCTTGCATTGGGTTAGAACATGCTCCTTTAGCTCAGAGGAGTGTATTATTACCCACGTTCTGAAGCCTACTTCTGTCAATTTGTCAAAGTCATTTTTTGTCCAGTTTTATTCCCTTGCTGGCAAGGAGTTGTGGTCCTTTGGAGGAGAAGAGGCTTTCTTGTTTTTGGAATTTTCAGCCTTTTGTGCTAGTTTTTCCTCTTCTTCTTGGATTTATCTACCTTTGTCTTTGATGTTGGTGACCTATGATTGGAGTTTTTGTGTGGATGTCCTTTTTGTTGATGTTGATGCTATTCCTTTCTGTTTGTTAGTTTTCCTTCTAACAGTCAGGCCCCTCTACTGCAGGTCTGCTGGAGTTAGCCAGAAGTCCACTCCAGACCCTGTTTACCTGGGTATCACCAGCAGAGGCTGCAGAATAGCAAAAATTGCTTCCTGTTCCTTCCTCTGGAAGCTTCTTCCCAGAGGGGCACCCACCAGATGCCAGTGGGAGTTCTCCTGAATGAGATGTCTGTCATCCCCTGCTGGGAGGTGTCTCCCAGTCAGGACGCATGGGGCTCACAGACCCACTTGAGGAGGCAGTCTGTCCCTTAGCAGAGCTTGAGCGCTGTGCTGGGACATCCGTTGCTCTCTTCAGAGCCAGCAGGCAGGAACATTTAAGTCTGTTGAAGCTGCACCCACCGTCACCCCTTCCCCCAGGTGCTCTGTTCCAGGGAGATGAAAGTTTTACCTATAAGCCCCTGACTTGGGCTGACTGCCTTTCTTTCAGAGATGCCCTGCCCAGAGAGGAGGAATCTAGAGAGGCTGTCTGGCTACAGCTTCTTTGCAAGCTGTGGTGGGCTCCTCCCAGTTCGAACTTCTTGGTGGCTTTGTTTACACTGTGAGGGGAAAACCCCTATTCAAGCCTCAGTAATGGTGATGCCCATCCCCCTGTCAAGCTCTAGCATCCCAGGTTGACTTCAGACTGCTATGCTGTCAGCGAGAATTTCAAGACAATGGATCTTAGATTGCTGGGCTCTGTGTGTAACAGGGATCACCCTGCCATAAAAATCAGATTATTTGTCATTATTTGCTGAGCTAGACCACTTGGCTCCCTGGGTTCAGCCCCCTTTCCAGGGGAGTGAATTGTTCTGTCTCACTGGGATTCCAGGTGCCACAGGGATATGAAAAAAAAAAAAAAAAAAAAAACCTCCTGCAGCTAGCTCGGTGTCTGCCCAAATGGCCACCCAGTTTTGTGCTTGAAACCAAGGGCCCTGGCAGTGTAGGCACTGGAGGGAATCTCCTGGTTTGTGGGTTGCGAAGACCATGGGAAAAGCATAGTATCTGGACCAAAATGCACCGTTCCTCATGGCACAGTCCTTCATGGCTTCCCTTGGTTACGGGAGGGAGTTCCCTGACCCCTTGTACTTCCCGGGTGAGGCGACACACCACTCTGCTTTGGTTTGCCTTCCATGGGCTGCACCCACTGTCTAACCAGTCCCAGTGAGATGAGCTGGTTACCTCAGTTGGAAATCCAGAAATCACCTGCCTTCTGGGTTAATCTTGCTGAGAGCCACAGACCCGAGCTGTTCCTATTTGACCATCTTGCCAACTATCCACATCTACCATATGTAATGCATATATGCTCTGCTGGGCGGAGAAATGGGCATCCTTGAAGAGCTTAGAATCTAGCACCTCTTCAAGCCTATATTTTTGAATTGGTCAGTATTTGTTTAGTACACGTGGGGCCTAGGGCTGTTGAAAACGGTTATAAAATTTCCACTTGAGGGTACTATCTACTGCAAGCAGAAGTAGAACTTACAATTTGATGAGAATTTAGCAAGTCAGGCCTAACAGTTGATTGGCAAACTAGTTTTGCTTATTTCAGTGGATATCAATGCCATTTTTAGATTGTCATTCCATTCTGACCAGCTGTTTGGATGTCTACTTTTAACCTGCCTTTTTGTATATGTACCATCCTCTTTTGTTTCCTTATACTGCTGTGATAATGCTTTGTTTTGTTAATGTTTTAAAGTGTCAGTTAATTTACAATAGCTTGTAGTCATTTTCTTAAACACTGACAGCACATTATCTACACTGTGGAGCTCTGAAAAATTCTTGGGCATTCAAAAGGAGTCCTCAACTATGAAAATATAAAAACTACTGTATTGAACTATAAAGCTACCAGGTGCAAAAAGAAAATCTGTGTTTATTTTACTATGGCATGTATTTTTTTTTATGTAGAAGCTCAATCTCGTTTGTAAATGCAACCGAGTATCTTTTTCATTTAGAGATTGCTTTCTATTTAATTTTATTCATTTACCCAAATACCCACTTTCTCTATTACAGAAAACATTTCTTATTTGATGTTGCTTTCCCCATGACCCCCATCTGTCTCCCACTGAATCAACTAAGGCAATGTCTTCCGTAAAAATTTTAGAATTTACACGAACATCTGTCTGTATTTCTCTCTCAAAATAATTTTGAATCTGTGGCATTGTAAGAGTCTTTTAACTTAAACAATTCTAAAATTTTCATAGAGTTTTCCAGATGTTTTTTTCTGAATGGAAACTTTGTTAAACCACAATCTGTTAAGGCCTCAAAAAAGATTTGGTTTCTTGTTTTTCCTTTTCCTCTCTTTGCCTCATATTGAAATTGAGTTCTATGTCATCTCTAGTTGGAAAGATTTTTCTCCCTTTTTTCCCTTTCTCAGTGGACCACACTTCACTTTTAGAGTCATAATAAAACATCATTTAAATGAAATGTACAAGGCAATAACCACTGAACTCAGTATCATTAAATATTTATCAATACAATACTACAAGTTTGACTGTGAAATAAACATTAGGCCCTGTAAATTTAATAGTTTCCTGTAAAAGGAAAAAAAAATTCTCCTCAAGCTTTTGCAGCCCAGAGTACTGAACTTAACAAATAAATAGTTCATAGTGTGCCAAAACTGAATTGCCAAATGATTGACCACATCCTATACTACACAAGGAAAAGGCCACTATTGTTTGTACAAGTGTGTTTCATTCAGTGTTTTACTTTGGTAGATAAATAATATGAAGTTGACATTTCTAAATTAATCTTTGTTTTCAACTAGCTGCAGATGAGGGAGTATGGTACATGGAAAATAAGCTGGAGGGTTTAGGGAAAGAGGAACACTAGGAAGTCTGGACCTGTTGATTGGAATTTGTGAGAATTAGACCCAATTTAGAGAATATTTATGTTAGCATTGCTATATCTGTACATAAAAAGTTCTACTCTTTTTTTTATCATTGTTGTGGGTTTTTTTTAAAAAGAAACAATAACAAAAGAACCACTATAAAGAAGTAGATAGTGGTTTTACAGTAATAGAAGGCAGATAAAACATTAGTTTTTAATGATTGCACACTGGTACCAATGACAAAAAGTATGTTTTATTAAATGGTGTCTTGGAAAACTCTAATGTGTCACTAACAAAATATACCTTACATAGAGTGATTTATTTTTCTTATTTTTGTTTGAATCAGGAATACTAGAATCAGTATCTTCTATTATGTGTATATTAATCAATAAAATCACAAAATACCAAAATCAGAATGTATTTTTAAATTTCAAAATACTCTAGAATATATATGTTTACACACTCTCTCACACACACAATCTCAATTGGTTTACTGGCCTTCTAAAGCAATAAATTACCTATGTATAGCAGATAATGCATATTAATGTAATTGTGATTAAAAGACCATTAAATATTTGGCCTTAGAAATAGTTATGATTTTAAGAAAAAAAATCTTGTAACAAGAATGATTATGATAAGAAGAATAATGTTTATACCATAAATTATAGTTCACAGAAACTTATTATATTTCACCTCCATTGAAACATAGTCCTGTGAAGAAGGGAGGAGAGGTATTAACATTCTACTTTCATAAATGAGAAACTTATGACTTGTACAGCTTAAGGTACTTGTTGAAGGTCACCACAATTAACATTTGGTTTTCTGTTTCTGCATTTGTTCACTTAGGATAATGGCCTCAAGCTCCATCCATGTTGCTGCAAAAGACATGATCACATTATTTTTTATGGCTACATAGTATTCCATCGTATATATGTACCACATTAAACTAAAGAGCCTCTGCACAGCAAGAAAGCTATCAACAGAGTAAACAGACAATCAACAGAATGCGAGAAGATATTTACAAATCATGTATCCAACAAAGGTCTACTATCCATAATTTAAAGGAACTTAAATAAATTAAGCAAAAAACAAAAAAACCCATTAAAAAGTGGGCAAAGGAATAGACACTTTTCAAATGAAGACATACATGTGGCTAGCAAGCCTATGAAAAAATTCTTAGCATCACTGATCATTAGAGAAAAGTAAATCAAAACCGTAATGAAATACTATCTCACACCAGTCAAAACCACAATGAAATACCATCTAACACTATCTCACCAACCTCAGTAGCATCTGTTAAAAAATAACAGATGCTGGCAAGGTTGCAGAGAAAGGGGAATACTTATACACTGCTGAGGGAAAGGTAAATTAGTAAAGCCATTGTGGAAAGTAGTTTGGCGATTTGTCAAAGAACTTAAAACAGAATTATCATTCAACCCAGAAATCCCATTATTGGGTATTATTGGGTATTCGCAAAGGAATATAAATCATTCTACCATAAAGACACATGCACATGTATGTTCATCATAGCACTATTTCACAATAGCAAAAACATGGAATCAACCTAAATGTCCTGCTTCTTTTTATAAGGAAACTAATCCAATAATGAAGGATCCATTTTCATAACCTAATAACCTCCCTAAAACCCTATCTAAAAATACCATCACATTGGAGATTACGGTTTCAACATATGGATTTTGAGGGGAACCCAAACATTTAGTCCACAGCAATAGTATCAGAAGACATAGATCACTGATTTTAAGATGGGCACATACCAATTAAAAATATTTGAACTCTGGGAGCCCATACCCTAATACAGAATCCACATCTTAGGACAGCACACCTGACATCAGAAAGATCACACTATGCCCTAGGACTATACAGTCTTCCTTTATCTATATGCATGCTGTATGTCAGAAAAGAGTTTTCATTTGTGGATTTAATTGCTCGTGAATCAACTCGATGAATGTCAGAAATAGGCTTTTACTGTAAAAAGTATTCAAGATATGGAGACTAAAAATATGTATCAAAGAGTTTTCTCACACTTCCATGAAAACCTCATTATAAACATCTATGAAGTCTTGCTCTTTTATCCACGGGGATACTGCTTGAGGATAAATCCCCGGAGCTTCTAGCTGTGAACTGCGGGATTCTGGTTGCTGATGCCAGCCACGCGGAGTAGTCCCTACATTTGGAATCCCAGCTTGAATAAACTCTCTGTGAAAGACTTGGAGGGCCTTGAGTCTGCAAGGTAGGCCATGTGATCTTTTTTTTTTTTTTTTAAAGCTTGCTTGTTTAATGCATGTTTAATAAATAAATAACTCTATGTGTGACAAAATTTGGCCTGGGACACACTTTAATTATTGCTTTGAAGCGAGGTCATGGAGTGAGTAGATAACCTTATTTATTGCAAAACTTCTTTGGCAGCTAACACTAACAACCGAAAAACACCCAAAAGTTGTGCTTGAGGAATTCAGCAGGCCACTTTGCCTCGTGCATGCCAATGAAATAACTGGGTGTTTATAATGAACGTTTATATTACTATTTTTTTTCCAGATACTCTAGTCAGAGTCAGATTTTTTTTTTTTTTTTTTTTGAGATGGAGTCTCGCTCTGTCGCCCAGGCTGGAGTGCAGTGGCGCGATCTCGGTTCACTGCAAGCTCCGCCTCCTGGGTTCACGCCATTCTCCTGCTTCAGCCTCCAGAGTAACTGGGACTACAGGTCCCCATCACCACGCCCGGCTAATTTTTGTATTTTTAGTAGAGGTCGGGCCGTGTTAGCCAGGATGGTCTCAATCTCCTGACCTCGTGATGTGCCCGCCTTGGCTTCCCAAAGTGCTGGGATTACAGGCGTGAGCCACCACGCCCGGCCAGATTCAGAATTATTAAGTTCACTTGTTTTTCTTGAAAATATAAGAAGAAAACATACACTTTGGTTAAAATCACCACTAGTTTGGTTTTTTTACTAATAATGAATCTTTTCTTGAGAAAAATATATTTTCATTGACAATACTTCGTTTGCCTACATTTCCTTTTGAAGATATTTTTAAGATAGGGCCTTTACTCTTATATTTGCTTATAACATTTCCATGGTAACACTACATCTTTTCACAGCCTCTCTCTCCCTTTTTTAGGGTAATAGCAGCTGAAACAAGGATTTAAAAAAAAATTTTTTTTAATTAAGAGTCCCAAATGAATTCTTCTATTGTAATTCTATTTTTTGCATATATTTTATAAATGCCCAGTAAGTTTTTCTTGAAAATTATTTTATTTCACAAGATGATTTTATGTAAAAATAGAAAATGTTCTCTGCGTTTTTATTGTATCAAAAAATATATAAAAACAGGGGTTGTGTCATAAATAAGGATGGATGTATTTGTTTAAATACATATGTTAATATATATAGAGGCAGAAATATATTTATGCACAAATATACACACAAATCTGTGCATGTTTGTGCATAAATTTTGTGTATGTGCACATATATGTGTGTATATATGTATGTGTGTACACATACAAATACACATACATATATACACACATAAACACATATATGTACACAAATACATACATATGTATTTAAGGTTTTTAAAAATTAAACCACTCATGACTAGATATCACATTTAATAAGTACCACATGAAAACACAGGGAGGTTGATAAATAAAGGATTTCCAGGGGATATGGCATAGTCAGCAAAGAACAATATAATTTTATTCTATATGGCTTTGTCTTTCAATGAAAGAGAATAATGGGAGCCTGATAGCACCAGGACATTATTAGAAATGCCTAGAGAGTAAAGAGGAAAATAGTTTGCTCACCTTGACAGAGGACATGACCAAATTCAATTTCATTTCATCTTGAGCATCTGAATGATCTGTGTTCAGGTAGAAATAAATCTGAATTGTGATCAACCAGTTATAGATGATCTATAGACCGTGTGTACAAATAATAATGTCTTTAGAGGGTTGGTGATGGAAACATGATTTGTAAACTTGCCTTTTAATTCTTTTTGAGGATCCTGAGAACAGATAGCAGATATAATGGCATCTGTTTTCAGGCTATCACCTGGGTAATTTCCCGTGTAGTTTAGCATCTTATTAATACACAATGCACGAACATTTCACTCAAGGATTGCCTAGGTACTGGTTGTACCATTCGCTGATTTCTTTATCTTATTCACGCAGTTTTGACCACTAGGCTGCTATGACCAAAACTTTCAAACATTTCTGAATCCCTGAGCTCAGTATTCAGACATAAAATATGATCTGTCTCAGATCTTGCTGTCTTCACTGCCCCAAAACTCTCAGAAGATACTTTTTAGGCTTATAGTTTTTTTCTTTCTCTTTCTTTCTTTCTTTCTTTCTTTCTTTCTTTCTTTCTTTCTTTCTTTCTTTCTTTCTTTCTTTTCTTTCTTTCTTTTCTTTCTTTCTTTTCTTTCTTTCTTTATTTCTTTCTCTTTCCCTTTCTTTCTTTCTTTCTTTCTTTCTCTCTCTTTCTTTTTATTTTCTTTCTTTTGTTTTTAAAGACTGTATTTCCTTAGAGCACTTCTAGATTGAGAGCAAAATTAAGAATATAGTACAGAGATTTCCCATAAAAGCCCTGCACTCACACATGCATAACCTCAACCGTTATCAACATCCCCCATCAGAGTGGTACACTTGTATATTTGTACAACTGACACATGATTTTTACCCAAACTCCAAAGTTTACACTAGGGTTCACTCTTGGTAGGTGTACACTCTATGGGTTTGAACAAATGCATAGTGACTTTATCTGCCATGATTGTATCATACAGAGTATTTTCACTTCTCTAAAGGTCTGCTGTGCTCCACCTATTCATCCTTCCTTCCTCCCTAAGCCCTGGCAACCATTCATTTTTTCCTGTCTCCATACTTTTTTTCTTTTCCAGAATGTCATACAGTTAGAATCACACAGTATGTAAGCTTTTCAGATTGGCTTTCTTCATTAGTAATATGCCTCCAAGTTTCCTCCATGTCTTTTCATGGCTTGATAGCTCATTTCTTTTTAGGGTTGAATAATATTCCATTGTCCGGATATACCACAGTTTATTCATTCACCTGCTGAAGAATCTTTTGGTTACTTCCAAATTTCAGCACTTGTGAATAAAGCTTCTATAAATGTACTTGTGCAGGTTTGTATGTGGACATATGTTTTCAACTCCTTTATGTATATACATAATATACATATGTATATAGAAGCACAATTGCTGGATAGATAACACTGTAAGAGTAGTTACTTTGGCAGTTAGCTTTGTAAGAAACTGCCAAACTATCTTCCAAAGTGGCTTTGCCATTTTGTATTTCTACCAGCAATAAATGAGAGTTCCTGTTGCTCCACATCCTTGCCAGCATTTGTTGTTGTGGGTGTCCTAGATTTTTGTTATTCTTATAGGTGTGTAGTGGTATCTCAATGTTGTTTTAACTTGTAATTCCCTGTTGACCTGTGGTGTGGAGTATCTTTTTGTACACTTCTTTGCCATTGGTGTATCTGTTTTGGTGAGGCTTCTATTAAGTTCTTTGGCCTATTTTGGGTGGGTGGGGGTTGTTTGTTTTCTTCTTTTGTTGAATTTAGGCTAATGTTTCTTAAAGTCTCATCCTCTGTCAATTTGTATATGAATCATCTGAGGAGTTTATTGAGCATACAAATTCTTGGGCCTTATTCCAGGTCACTGGAGTCAGAATATCTGATGTGGGGGTCATTAATTTGAGTTTTAAATAAGTTTTTCTGTGATTCTTAATAAGTGCTAAAATATTAGAAGGACTCTGAGACAATTGTCTTTAAAGAAATCCAGATGATTTATTTTTTTTCTTTTTAAAGACTCTGAAGATTCCCACTACGGACCATGAGCTTCCAGAAGTTCATGGCCAGGGCACACTTTCATATAGTAAGGATTGAAAAATTTTGCATCTTTTTGGCATGAGTCATTCACTTCTCTTTTCTTCCTCATAGATTTCCACCACTCTAGTTCTCCTTTCTTTATCTCTCTTCTCTGCTTTTCACATTCTCCATTTCTGATCTATTACCAGAGCCATGCTCTTTTTTTTTTTTTGAAACAGCCTCACTCTATCACCCAGGCTGGAATGCAGTGGTGCAATCTCGGCTCACTGCAACCTTCAACTCCCTGGTTCAAGCAATTCTCCTGCCTCAGCCTCCTGAGTAGCTGGGGCTACAGGCACGTGCCACCACGCCTGGCTAACTTTTGTATTTTTAGTAGAGATGGGGTTTCACCATGTTGACCAGGATGATCTCAATCTCCTGACCTCATGATCCGCCCACCTAGGTTTCCCAAAGTGCTGGGATTACAGGCGCGAGCCACTGCGCCCAGCTCCATGATTCTTTCATCTCTCCTAACGGAATTTGTAATACCTGCTGAATGTACTACATACATTTTGATAGTGTAGGTTTCTGAGAGATTAGTGATGAAATCTGGTCCATGAAGAAGAAAGTTCAATGTCTGGTGTAATATGATTCAGTAAAATAAGTAATGACAGACCTTATCCTCTAGAAGTTCCAGAGCTGGAGGGGGGGCTCTGGGTCTTGAAGAAGTCTGCTGGTGAAACTCGTAGCCCAGGATCTGGACACAGGCGACAAAAGTGGTGTCAAAATTCTATTAGGTTGGTGCAAAAGTAATTGCAGTTTTTGTCATTACTTTTAATGCCTAAGCAATTGGTAAGTACGAATAATACATTCTGGAATTTTAGGGTCTAGGACATTAGTTTGGGAGTTGAATGTCTTTCTCTAACCTCATTGATAAGTTCTCCACTTCAACAAAGTTGACTTTATGAAGTTAGAATGTTGGAATGTGTCTAGCACATGTCCTTTCTGTATTCTTACATGGGCAGTCATACATTTATCCTGTGCCAACCTTCTGAGGTTTTAACAGAATCTGGTACTTCAGTTAGCCATTAAAACAAAATGCTGCAACAAGCTTTCACTGAGAAATGTGTATTTACTGGAGATTTCTTTAAAAAGAACAAGAAGGTTAATATTAAATGTTACATGGCAAAAATTGATGCAAATCCACATTTTCCATTTCTGGATTGTTTAAAGGCATTCTTTGTCTTTCAGCCACCAGATACGTATACTTCTTTGTGTACACTTTTGCTATGGGCTCTGTTTTCCTTCTCCTATATTCTGGGTGTAAGAACCAAGGGTCTTCCCCTTGAGTCTTTCTATGTTTTTCTTCCATATTATCTATTGTATGAATAACTACATTATATATATAATAGATAATATGTTATTACTAAGTTATTATGTTATATTATATTATATTATATTATATTATATTATATTATATATGTCGCTTTTTGGCTATTTGATGCTGTTCAAGATCTTTAACCTCTCTGAATCTCAGGAATAATAACTGTACTTATCTCAATAGAGAAGCAAAGGAGTTAATATATATGCAAGGTTCAAAATAGTAACTAGCCCATTTAGGACTATAGAAGTGTAAGCTGGATCACATATATCATATTAATGGAACTTATTAAAGAAGATTTTTAGCCAAGAGTTCTCAAAGTTCTTAATAATAGCAAATAATAAGGAAAAATAAAATGTGGCAGCTTAAAATGCAACCTCAAACCATAATTCAAACACAAATCTTTACGGAGTACTATAGTATTCTTCCTCTTTAGTAGATTTGGCAAAAGTTAAATATAGCTCTCTGACCTTGCCTTGCACCCTAAGAAAAAGTCTTATCTCCATCAGAATCTCCGCTTTCTCTACAGTTGCTCTTGGAGGCAATGATCAGATGATCTACTCTTTCAGTTAGTAAGTGTCAAAATTTACATAGAAATGTGAATAGCGAGCTGTCACTGCCTTGCTCCAGGCATCTTGCCAGGTTGTGAAGTTGAATATTCAGTTGAGTTTGTATCTCATCATTACAGCTATGGCCTTCCAGCGGGGACCAAAAGGGCCAGACAGCCATGAATTAATGAAGCTCAGTGGGAAGTCTAAATAGAGACAAAAGTTTTCATCTATATTTGTTTAAGAATGTTGAAGTAGAACTTGCTTTCCAAATGCCATGTCTAATTTAAGAGCAGGCCTGCAGTGGTAATAGCCCAATATCACCATGTCTCCACTGCCTGCTAAAGCTGATACCGGGAGACATCATGCTGTGGAAACAATTATATCAACATAATTGGAAAATATTTTTTTCGGTGCCGTTCTGCCTTAATTAAAGCTCATTTTACATGTTGGGGAAGGATGTGTTTTCTCAAAACTTTGGGGTATATTCAGATTTCTTTCAAAAAACAAAGCCTGGATGAAATACATAAAGGAAGGTCCATTTATATTAGGGATAAAGAGAATCAAATGGAGATTTTTGCATCAGGTGACACAGGTTTGAATTCCAGCCCTACCACTTACTGACTCCATGACCTTGGGCAGGGACTTTGAATCTGTGGGGCTGGATTTTTTTTTTTCCTCTGAAAATTTCCACGAAGAATGTATGCTTCTGAGTATTGATGTGAGCAGTGAACTTGGTTATTGAAATATCTTGAGAAGTACAGGGGTCAAAGTTCACATCCTAGGTTAGGGGAGTGGTTGCTAAGGTCCTCTGAATGAACAAATAAGAAGAAATTGCTTTATGCTCCTGAGAGTAGCTTAAAGAATAGGATGAATTTGAGAAGAGAAAGCGGAAGGATGGAGGAGTTAACATGGCAGAAGGCAAGAGCTGTGTGAGTTCATAGATCTTCAGTGGTGGGACTGGACTTGTAAGATTTTTCAATACATTAAAGGAGAGGTACATTTAATGGAAATTTTTTAAATAGTTGCTGTCTGGTATAAATGTGACCTGTCTCATTATCCTGGATCCTCAGTGGTATCTACCAATGACATAGGTGGTTATGTGAGTCTTTTATTTTTGTTGGTATTAGCGGTAGAACCTGAGGAGAAGGGAGAGTTAGCTGAGTTTTATGTCTGTTTCAATATGGTATACAAAAAGATCACTGCTGGAAATAGAAGCTGGTCACAGAAGTGACAGTGAGAATATAAGCCTATCAGAAAAATAACAAATATCTTGGACAGATTGGGCTTTCCATTGGGTATGGAAGAGGGATTTGAGATGAAGATCATTTTGGTTGGGAGCTTGGTCTGACATCCTGGTTACAGACATACAGTAATCAATACCCAGACAGAACATATATGTACACAATAGATTTTTATTATAGTTGTCAAACCAATAAGGATAGCTCAAAGCAATATTACATATAGATTAAATAATATTTTACACTTTACAATGTCATTTCATTTTTGTAATCTCTTTGTCCTGTGGATTAGGTTGCTCCCTTCAACCCCCAATTTGTTTCCCCAAAATATTTTTCATCACAATGTATTCAAGTTTGGTTACATATTTATTCCAGGAGAGATTCTCTAAGAATGAGATTATGTCCAGTTCTATAACTCCGTGATCCCAAAGCGTAGCAAAACGTCTGATACATAGTTGGAAATTAACAAACATTTATTCAACAGATTAGTGGATTTCATTCTTACAGTGGTAGGGGGGAATGTTGTTTCCTTTTACCAATGGGCAAACTGAAGATCAAAGAGTTATACCCAAAGTAACATAACTAAGTGATATGATCATGATTTAGATTTGGCCTTCTTCAAGTTTAGAATTCTCATTATGCTTTATCTCACCACAAGCTTTTCTAATCAGAAAAGGCAAAATGTAACATAATTTAAAAATTTTTGAGATAATTACCTTAATTCTAAAGAAAATTTGCCAGTTACCTCTTCCTAACATTTATTACTCTAAAAAGAGATTAAAATTTTAATGACAGAGCTCATAATTTTCTCTTGGTGCTGGATTCATCCTTTATTCCTCAAAATGGAGTAACACAACTTTAATTTTCATGCCTTTTGCAATCTAAAGACATGAGTGCTTTTTGTGTTTGATGTAATGAATTCATGACCTTGAGATGGAATATAAAATCTTGAAATTCTGTCTCTAAATCCTTAGTCTACTTTGTTAGAAGATGGTTACCCAAACTTTGACTTTAAGTCTTAAAGAAGCATTTTGGCCGTAGAAAACAGATGGAGAGGTGTGGCTTGGGGCTCCCCAAAAGCAGAACACTAACCACTTTCATGGAGACCTATCATTTACTTTCCTTGTTTCTCTTGTGTGGCTTTGCCATCAGACTCTCACATGATTGCTTGAAAGTCAGTTTATGGCCGGGCGTGGTGGCTCATGCCTGTAATCTCAGCACTTTGGGAGGCTGAGGCGGGCGGATCACGAGGTCAGGAGATCGAGACCATCCTGGCTAAGATGGTGAAACCCCGTCTCTTCTAAAAAAGAAAATACAAAAAATTTGCCAGGCGTGGCGGCGGGCACCTGTAGTCCCAGCTACTCGGGAGGCTGAGGCAGGAGAATGGCGTGAACCTGGGAGGCGGAGCTTGCAGTGAGCCGAGATGGCGCCACTGCACTCCAGCCTGGGTGACAGAGTGAGACTCCGTCTCAAAAAAAAAAAAAAAAAAAGTCAGTTCTTAATTTCACCTTTTGCAGATTTGTCATCTCCTTGACTAGAGACTTTTATCCACATATTATACCTTAATGAATGTATTAGTTTCAGAGCTTTTGGGTAAAAATGGCAGAAAACACAACCATAGTGGTTTAAAATCACACAGGCTTGTTTATTTCATAGACCAAGATATCCGGAGGGAGCCACTCAATAGGCAGGATGGCTGCTTCGAGATGTTCTCATGGACTCTGCTTCTTTCTATTTTTCTGTCTCAATCTGGTAGCTTTTCCCCACATGGTTTCAAGATGGTGGTTGTGGTTCAGGTAGGAAATAAAGGAATTAATTCTCTCAGAGGGAAGCCTTACCTTTTTATTATGAGAGATATATGGTTCCCAAAGACAACATCAATTTGGTTGGATACGTGTGAATTGTCCAACACTAGTTCGCTAGTGAAAAAAGTCTGTGGTATCAGTCGAATTAGAAAACCAAAAGTGTCTGCCTTAATGACTTTCTTTCACTTCACCTCAAAACTCTGGATGTACTCTTCTCTTCTCATTGCTACTATCACAGATTCCTAATGAGTAGGAGACAGGATATGAAACTATACTATACTCATTTTCTATAGTAAAACTTTAAGTGGGTCCCAGAACCCCAGAATTTCAGGCTTAACAAGGACTTCAAAGGTCACCTGGATCAATCCTGTATTCAAGGCCGATTTTCATGAAAACGAATTTGTTCAGCCTGCTTTGGAAAATCTTCAGCAATTTTCATGAGCCAGAGGATGTCTGAAGCTACCATCAGCAGAGGGTAATTTTGATTTGCTTTAGATGTCCCTAATGAAGCCACATACCAAGCAAAGTGGCTCTCTGGTCAGCGTTCCCCCTGGACTCCGATGGGAAGAGAAAGTGCACAGCAGAATACACAATAGCTTGCTTATCTGGAGTTCTTTTTCCCATGCAGCTGCTGCTGGCCTGGAATACTAACAGATAACTAGCATATTCTGAGGGTGAAATTAATGGATTGACAAAGAAATGCTGTCAGGGAGATTGTCAAGTTCCTTTCCTAGAACATTAGCCATTCTCTGAAGGTAATGGAAGTGGTTAGGCTAAATTGTCAGTTCATTTTGTTGGATTAAAAACGAAAAAGAAAACATTGGAAATAAAAACTGGGGGTTCTGACGGTGGCTTCCCCATACTATGACTGGACAAAGGGAGCTGTGTATATATTGGCAGGCTCAAATTAACTCAGCTAGGTGGAGACATTTTAACATTTCATTTGCAGCCTAATTTTCTATATATAGGTAAAATACTAATCTGGTCTTTAGCAGTTAGGGAAATGAGAATAAAACAGGGTCTTTTATTTTTGAGTGTTCTATTCACAAATTTTTGAGAAAGTACATAAAGTGAATATTACCAAAAATTACATGTTTTTGAAAAACAAAACAAAACAATACAATACCAAGTGATGTCTAAACTTATCCAGCATGTTGGTGAAGACAGATTACATCAAAATATGTGCAATGCCCTTTTCAAACTGCTGTGGAAATTGATACGGCTGAAATCAACTGTTTCTGTGCCCTTTTTGAGCCATCGTTCTGACATATTTTAGATAATGTGGAAAGCACAAACATTTAAAAAAATAATTTTACACTAAGAAAGAATAAATTTGTTCTATAGAAAGTCTACTTTTATGTGATTTATTTGATATGATTACTGTTGTTTGGTTTCATTTTGTTTTTTAAAATATATTTTTCTATATCTCCTGAGAAATATCAAAAGACTTAGCAGGACTTTCTCTACAATTCACAAAGATTTGATGGATTACACAGAGATTTAATAAGTCAACTAACTCATATATATGTATACATATTTTTCTTAATTCTGAATAAGAAATAATTTTCACTTTGGGAGCTCATTCTTGTGTGTGTGTGTGTGTGTGTGTATATATATATATACTGTCAATGTAATATATATGTGTGCATATATATATATATTCCATTGACAACTTAACTTTTTATAAGAAGCTACTGATAAAGTCTGTAATAGTCATGGAAGTGAGGATAAAATGAGTTAATTTAATTCTATTAATATAATACAGCCTCCTTTATAGAGTTACATCACTGGGGAGCCACCTTCAAAATTTTCTACTCTTATTTCCAACTTTATTCCATTTTTAATTGATCAAAATGCATTGACTCTTCAGTCTATCTACCCATAGATAGATTTGGTAGGTAGGTAGATAGGTAGTTAGGCAGACAGACAGACAGCTTGACAGATATAGGTAGATGCAGTGGCTCTAAATATTGGCTCAAGATATTCTGTATCTTAAACATAGGTTTTAGAAAATACTTCTTGTACTCCAAAGAGAACTCCATTAGAGATCTTTCTAGAACTTTTCTCTCTAGAAACATCACTGGCTTTCTGAATTAAAATGACTACTTGAGGAAAGACATACTGTTCCTTTTTTTTGAGATTTTAATCATTTAAGATTTTTGAGGAAGTATTCTTTTAGTGATACCTACTTTAACCTGGCCTACAGTACCTTAGTTACATCTTTTGATTTGATTTCTTTTTTATTTAGGGAAGTGAAATATTTACCTGAAGTAAGATTGCAAGAACCTTTATCAAATATAGACTAAGGACTAATATGCATTACCTCATAATATTTTAATGACTGGACAAAATCTGGATATACCCCAGCCTAAAATCTGCCCATAATCCTTTTTGTTTCTATTATTGGTCTGATCTGATGCACTATTTCTATAATACTCTACAAATATTCTGTTTTCACAGCAACCCCTTCGAGATTAGTCAATGATCTGTACACTCATTTCCATCTTTAAACTGTTACAGATATTCCAATATCAGAGGGAAAATGAGAAAGCAGATTAATGAGAATTCAATTGATGGCCCTACTGGTGTTTTGTTGGGTACCAGGCCTATTATCAAGGAAGACATCAAAGCTACCCAATCTCATGGTTTGCATAGATTGTCTTATTGCCTAAGGCTTCCGGTGGTTTGTTTATTTGTTTTGTTTTGATTTTGTTTTGTTTTTTACCTTTCCTTTCATTTTATCTGTCCTTCTGTCTTTCTTTTTGTTTGCAGAATAACTTCATAAAGTTTCTGGTTTATATTTTTATTTTTAGGCTACTATTTATTACAATTACAATCACAAATAATCCATAAAATCTAAATACAGTGATAATGTTTATGACTTTGCCTATCACTACTTATCAGGATACAGCTGTGTATATGTAGAAACACAAAGATAGAACCAAACTGAGTTATATTCTTGAGCCATCAAACATCTGTTAACAGAGGTACTTTGTTTCATTATGGAAAAACAGAGCTGAAGAGGGGGAGAAAAAATTCATTCATTCATTCATTCATTCAAACAAGTATGTATTAAAAATTTGCTATGTGATATACTACATTCTGCAATGAGGCTACAGAATTGAGTGCATACTGTCTTTCCTCAAAAAAGAATTAACAATATGTGGAAGAGGAGAGGTATAAGTGAGAGGGCGCTGAAGAGAAATTCTCCTACTTTACAATGTTAACTCATGGAATATTTTTACAAGTTCAGGATTGATATAATGGTGGTATAAGGAAGGAACCTGGCCAGAAAAAGATGGTCTATTCAAATTGAGTATTGTGATAAAAATGTAATGTGTGCACTACCTTTTGCAATGATACAAATAAAAAGTAAGGAAACCACAAAGGATATCACAATACTTGGACCCTACTTAGCCAGAGGGCTAGGGAGAGAAACACTGGAACCTGAAGAAACTGCATAGAAAAGCCACCAGACAGGAGCTGGGACCTTTGGTTGATAGAGCAGGGATGCAGGTAGCCTAAGATGACCCTGTAGGGAGAGATGACAGGAGGGAATAACTGCATTCCTCTCTTTACACACTCCCATCCTCTGCTAGTGCTCCACATTCATCAAATGAATCTTGAAACAGGGCAAGTCAGCCTTCAGAGACATAAAAAAGGTTGAAGAGGGTGTAGAATGGATCAGCAAACCACTGCACAATGATCAAAAGCACAAACTAGAGCCAGACTGCCTGGGTTCAAATAACAGCTTTGCCACTTACAGGCTATGATCTTAGGCAAGTCATTTGAGCTTCCATTCCCTTATCTTTATAATGGAGAGTATTACTAGGACTTCTTAACTGATTTTCTTTTAATAAAATTTTTATTTTAGGACAGTTTTAGACTTACAGAAAAATTGAGCTGGCGAAAACTGCGATTACTTTTGCACCAATCTAAATAGTGCAGAGAATCCCATCTACCTCATATTGTTTCCCCTATTACTAACATCTTACATGACTATGGTACATTTGTATATTGGTAAAGAACTAATGTTGCTACATTATTATTAGCCTAAGTCCATAAATCAGATTTCTTTAGTTTTTAATTGTGTTTTATTTTTTGTCCTGTTCCTGGATCTTATTAGAACACACATTACGTTTAGCTACCATGTTTCCTTACCTATCACCTCTCCACTGTGATGGTTTCTCAGTCTTTCTTTATTTCTCATTACCGTCATAGCTTTACATAACATTGGTCAGGTACTGCTGAGAAATATAGGCCAGAATAGTCCTCAATTTTTTTCTTTTTAAAATCAAGACATAATTAGCATACTATAAAATTCACAATTTTAAAGAATGCAATTCAATAGATTTTAATATATTCACCAGGTTGTGCATCTATCACTTGTATCTAATTCCAGAATGTTTTTATCATGCCAAAATGAAATTCCATACACATTCCTTCATTCATTAAGTCCCTGGAAACCACTGATAGATTTTCTATCCCTACAGATTTGTCTATTATGAGCAATTCATGAAAGTAGAGTTACACAATATGTGATCTTTTTTTTCTGGCTTCTAGCATGCATCTGCACTTCATTCTTTTTTTATGGCCAAATTATATTCAATTGTATAAATATATCAGATTTTATTTTTCCACTGATCAGTTGATGGACATTTGGATTGTGTTGATTTGGGGACTATTACAAATAATGCTATGAACATTTGAGTACAAATTTTTAAGTGAACATGTTTTTATTCTCTTAGCTATGTGCCTTGGAGTAGAATTGCTGGAGTATATGTATCTCTACTTTTAACTTTTTGAGGAACTGCCTATTGTCTTCTATAGGGCTGCGCCTCTTAACATTTCCATCAGCAAGTTATAAAGGTCCCGATTTTTTCACATCCTTATCAACACTTGGCAACATAGTCTACCTTTTTAAACTTGGTCCTTCTAGTGAGTATGAAGTAGTATCTTATTGTGGTTTTCCAAATAGCTGATGATGTTGAACAACTTTTATTGTTCATTGTCCATTTGTATATCTCTTCGGGACAAATATCTATTCAAAATCTTTGGCCATTTTTATATTGGATTGATTTGTCTTTTTATTTTTGGTAAGAGTTCTTAATATATTCTGGACACTAGACCCTTATCAGATACATGGTTTACAAATATTTTCTTACATTGTGTGGGTTGTCTTTTTACTCCTTGATAGTGTCTTTTTAAGTACACAAAGTTTTAATTTAGCTACAGTCCAATTTATATATTTTTTTGGTTGCTTGGGCTAGGTGTCATATCTAAAAAACTGCCTAACCCAAGGTCACAAAGATCTACAACGACGTTGTTTTCTAAGAGTTTTCGAGTTTTAGTGCCCACAGTTAGATCACTGATCCATTTTGAGTTAATTTTTGTATATGGTGTGAGGTTAGGGTTCAACTTTGTTCTTTTCCATGTGGATGTTCAGTTGGGCTGAACAGTGGATGTTCACTGTTCACTAAAAAAAATTAATTGGAATTTTCCTCTTGATTAGACTAGAATTATTGGTGTAGAAGGCCACAGAGGAAAAGCTCCATTCTCAAAACAACATACCATCACCAAGTTACCATGAATGAAGTCACCTTGAGCATCTGGATATGGTAGTATTTGTCAAGTTTCTTCACTGTTCATTTACTGACCCCACTATTCCACTTTCACCCCGCTTTCCATGTTGTACTCTTAGATGCAGACACGTCATTGTACATAAGGATTGGGGAGTTATGCTCCATACGCTTGAGAGCAGAGAAGCTATATAAGTTTTCTGGAATTTTTCTGCACATGAAATTTATTTATTCTCTTCATTTTTAAATTCATTTTTTTAATCAACATGGGCTCATGGATATTTATTTAATATGTTTGGTATTAACATTATACTTGGCTTAGCTTCTTAAATTGTTGTATTTTTGGCCATGGTCCTCTCCCAGTGATTTCCTTTGATATATTCATATTATTGCCTTTTTTTTGAGCACTTCTATACTTCCTGGCACTACAAGATATTCCAGGATTATCTTGTATATTTCATGTCCCAGTTATAGAATCAGTCATTTCTTCAAGGAGCAGATTTTTTGTTGAAAAATTTTATTAAAAAGCAAGATTTTGGTCCTAAGTTGTTCAGTGCTACTGAGGAGTCATTGTTTCTAGGCTCTTTCAACTAACAAAATAAGGAAATATACGTGTGTGTACTAACTCCTGTAGGTATGTATATCTATAAATATTGTTATATATAAACTTCTGCATATACATTAAACATGAGTGCATACTATCTCTACCTCTAATCTATTGCCACATAGGTTATTTTTGCCCTCTTTCTTTGCTTATCTGTAAGTTACCACCCCAACAGTGAGAAAACTGGCTCTTACCATCTGCTATTCTTTCACTTAAGTGTTCAGTTCTAATACACATATATAGTCATAATTGTTAACTCCTACACTTATGACAAAGAACTTCATTAACTAAATAATAGTCGTATGCACAATGCCTTTTGCCTTTAATATTACAGAATCCATTCATTTCCAGTCTTAGATTAATACCTTAATCTCTCAATCTTTTCAGTGATATTATTTCATGCCTTGTAGTACACTTAGATTTCTTTGTCACAGTTTACATTCCTTTCTTTTAAATTTTTCATTTTAATTTATCTTTTAAAAATCTCAACTTTTATTTTACATTCAGGGGTACATGTGCAAATTTGTTGTATGGGTATACTGAACTCAGGTAGTGAGCATAGTACCCAATATATAAATCCATGCCCCCTCCCTGCCTTTCTCTTCTAGTAGCCCACGTTTTACTCCATGTGTGCTCAATATTTAGCTCCGACTTATAAGTGAAAGCAGGCCATATTTGGTTTCCTGTTCCTTTTTTAGTTTGCTTAGGATTATGGCCTCCAGCTCCATCCATGTTGCTGCAAAGGACATGATTTCATTCTTTTCTATGGCTGCATAGTATTTTATGGCATATAATTACCACATTCTCTTTTTTCAATCCACCATTGATGAATAGTTAGGTTTATCCTATGTTGTATTAGTCAGGGTTCTCTAGAGGGACAGAATTAATGGAATATATATATATATATATATATTTATTTATTAAGTATTAACTCACACGATCACAAGGGCCACAATAGATCATCTGTAGGCTGAGGAGAAAGAAGAGCCAGTCCAAGTTCCAAAACTGAAGAACATGGAGTTGGATATTTGAGGGCAGGAAGCATCCAGCACAAAAGAAAGATGCAGGCTGGGAGGCTAGGCGGGTCTCTCTTCTCACATTTTTCTGCCTGCTTATATTCTAGCCACCCTGGCAGCTAATTAGATTGTGCCCACTCAGATTAAGGATGGGTCTCCCTTTCCCAGCCCACTGACTCAAATGTTAATATCCTTTGGCAACACCCTCCCAGACACACCCAGGATCAATTACTTTGTATCCTTCAATCCAATCAACTTGACAGTATTAACCATCACAAGTCTACCCCTTGTCAACTTGAACCCATACACATCTCCTGAGATCATAATTTCAAATAAAGACAATAATAAAGTCATAATTACACCTAACATAATACAACTATCCTTTGTACAATCAGAAATGCACCAATCCCCAACTCTATTACATAAAGTTATATAAATACTATTACAAAAAGTTACATAAATACTATTACATAAAGTTAACAATACTTAAATGCTGATGAGAAGTCAGTAAACCTTATGTCACATGATAAAGGAGAAAGGAAATAAGATGAAGATATTTTCTTACATGTATACATGCACGAACATGTTTTTACACAAAAGAAGGAGGAAATACTCATGACAATCACAGTCCTTGTTTCTGCAGTTGGTCACATGGTCGTAGCTGGTATTGTTGACTACCTTCTTCTACTACCCGTTCCGCATTCCCTTTGCCTTCAGCAAGCACCTCAGCAAGTCATGGTATTTTTCCTAGTGGAGTAACCCAAACCTTCATTCCTGAAGGGTCTGGGTCTTCTCTAGTCCTGCCTGTATTGACTGTTGTAGTTTCCTATTAACATTAATCACAGGGCACTAAGAGACATCCTAATGGATCTCCTGTATTCCATGCATACTCTTCCTTACCTCCACTGTGGAGAAGTAGACTGATTTCATTTTGATAGTGTGGGTCAATCGCAGCAGCCAACACTGTAACACCCTTCTTAGCCTGTTGACTTAAAGGTAGGAGGAGCTCAAAGTTTCCAGGTGGCAATCTGAACTTCCAGTTTAATAGGACCATTGTTTTGTCTCCTGATGTCAGTGTTCCTCCTTCTGGAACTAAGACCTCTAGGACAGCAGAAGATAATGTCATGGGAAAGGGAAGCAAAAGTTTGGCTAGTGGATCAATAGGGGTGATGGTGAGTGGTTACACTTCTACTTTCAACCCCTTGATTCCTCGCCCCTTCAATCCTGGCTATGGGAGAAATAGTACCATATATTGGATGCTGATTCAGAGCATTCATGGCCTTCTGTAAAACTTCACCCCAGCCCTGCAAGTATTGTCACCTAGTTGGCATCATTATTGTGACTACAAAAGGCCATTGCACCGTTCTATCAATCCAGCTGCTTCAGGATGGTGGGGAACATGTAAGACCAGTGAATTCCTTGAGCATGGGCCCACTGCTGCACTTCTTCAGCTGTAAAGTGAGTGCCTGGGTCAGAGGCAATGCTGTGTGGAATATCATGACAGTGGATAAAGCATTCTATGAGTCCACGGATGGCAATTGGCAGTGGCCGTAGTCAGGTCAGCCTTGCTAAGCAGAAGTCCATGTTGGTGAGCCCATGCGTAACCTCCATCCCTCCAACCATGTCCACTTTGTTCATGGGCCCACTGGGCGATGACAGGGGTGGCTGGAGAAAGAGGCTGAGTGGCGTCCACAGAATGGGTTATCATAACCACTTGAATATTAAAATCCTCCTCTGCTGAGGCCACCCACTGGTGAGCACTCACATGGGATACAAATATCTTTGCAGCTTTTGATCACTCAGAGAGGCCCATCCACATACCTCTTCCCCAAATTTCTTTGTCACCAATTTTCCAATCATATTTCTTCTAAGTCCCTGACTATCCAGCCAAACCACTGGCTACAGGCCATGAATCAGTGCATAATTGCACATCTGGCCATTTCTCATTGCGTGCAAAAATGCACAACCAGGAGCACTGTTCAAAGTTCTGCCCACTGGGAAGATTTCCTTTCACTGCTGTCCTTCAGGGATGTCCTAGAAAGTCGCTGTAGTGCTGCAGCTGTCCATTTTCAGGTGGTGCCTGCATATCGTGCAAAACCATCTGCGAACCAGGCCCTAGTCTTCTCTTCCTCTGTCGACTGATCATAGGGAACTCCCTATGAGGCCGTTGGTTCAGGTTGGGGGAGAGAAGGCAGGCTGGCAGAGGTGGAGACCATGGGTATTTGAGCCAATTCCTCATGTAACTTACTTGTGCCTTCAGGACCTTCTCGAGCCTGATCACGTATACACCACTTCCATTTGATGATGGAATGCTGCTGTGCATGACCCACTTTATGGCTAGATGGGTCAGGAAGCACCCAGTTATTATAGGTAGTTCAGGTCACATGGTGACTTGATGACCCATAGTTAAACATTCAGTTTCCACCAAAGCCCAGTAACAGGCCAAGAGCTGCTTGCTGTCTCTCAAAAGGAGGGTAGTTATCTGCATAAGATGGCAGGGCCTTGCTCCAAAATCCTAGAGGCCTCCTCTGTGATTTACCTATGGGGGCCTGCCAAAGACTCTAAAAAGCATCGCTGTCTGCCACTAAACCTATCATTGGACCTGTTGTGTCATATGGCCCAAGTGGCAGAGCAGCTTGCATAGCAGCCTGGACCTGCTGCAGAACATTCTCCTGTTCCGGACCTCACTCAAAACTGCCAGCCTTTTGGGTCACTCAATAAATGGGCTGGGGTAATATACCCAAATGAGGAATGTGTTGCCTCCAAAATTCAAATAGGCCCACTAGGTGTCGTGCCTCTTTCTTGGTTGTAGGAGGATGCAGCAACTTGTCCTTCACTTTAGAAGGAATGTCTCGACAGGCCCCACATGACTGGACCCCTAGAAATTTTTCTGACGTAGAAGGTCCCTGACATTTAGTCGAATTTATTTCCCATCTTCTGGCACACAAATGTCTCACCAATAAGTCCAGTGTGTTTGCTACTTCTTGCCCACTGGATACAAGCAACATAAAGTCATCAATTTAATGGACCAGTGATATCTTGTGGAAGCAAGTTCTCTCCAAATAACATCATGACACAAAGCCAGAGAGTTGATATACCCCTGAGGTAGGGCAGTAAAGGTATATTACTGGCCCTGCCAGCTGAAGGCAAATTGCTTCTGGTGGGCCTTATGGACAAGAATGGAGAAAAAGGCATTTGCCAAGTCAGTGGCTGCATACAAAGTACCAGGAGATGTGTTAATTTGCTCAAGCAATGAAACCACATCTGGTACA
The DNA here is from genome assembly GCF_000001405.40 of Homo sapiens. Taxonomy (NCBI): domain Eukaryota; kingdom Metazoa; phylum Chordata; class Mammalia; order Primates; family Hominidae; genus Homo; species Homo sapiens. The sequence goes on from NC_000014.9 coordinate 85,931,268, forward strand.
GAAGGTGCAATTGAAGTCACCACTAGGTTAAGCTTACGGAAATCCACTAATCCACTGTCATTCTCCAAGATCTATCTGTCTTCTGCACAGGTCAAATAAGAGTTGAACAGGGATGTGGTGGAAATCACCATCCCTGCATCTTTTATGTCTTTGATGGTGGTACTAATCTCTGCAATCCCTCCAGAGATGCGATATTGCTTTTGATTTACTATTTTTCTAGGTAGAGGCAGCTGTAATGGCTTCCATTTGGCCTTTTTCTATCCTAATAGGCTTCATCCTACCTGTCAGGGAGCCAATGTGGGGGGTTTTTCCAGCTGCTAAGTGTATCTATGCCAATTATGCATTCTGGCATTGGGGAAATGACCACAGGATGAGTCCAGGGACCCGCTAGACCCACCATAAATTGGACCTGAGCTAAAACCCCATTAATTACCTGACATCCGTAAGCCCCTACTTTAACTGGAGGACCACAATGACGTTTTGGGTTCCCTGGAATCAACGTCAGCTCAGGCCAGTGTACAGTAGTCCCCAAAATGTCTGATCATTTCCCTTTCCCCAATGCACAATTACCCTGGTAAAAGGCCAGATGTCTCTTTGGGGAAGGATGGGAGAAAGATTCACAGCATAAATTGTAAGTAATGTAGTGGGGTTCTTTCTCAAGGGGACCTGGCCTCATCTTCATTTAAGGGGTTCTGGGTCTGTAAACTGGCTCAAGACTGGAAATTGATTGAGGGGCCATGATTCTCTGTTTTTATAATTCAAATTAGTCTTTTGTCCATTCGACCTAGAAGTTTTCTGCTTGTATAAATTAAGCAAAAATGCAGTAGGCTTCCTATTAATTTCACTTCTAGGAACACCATTATTAATTAGCCAATGCCAGAGCTCTACACAAATCAGACTGTTCTGATCGTCACTTTGCCTCTGCTGTCCATTACAGTAGCTATGCCCACCTTGCCTTTGATGGTTGAGTGCCACCACTTGGTCCCTGCCACCTCGGGATCCAATTATTCCCATTGTATTTAAATTTTGTATTGAGTGACTACGGTTCCCACTGTTAGATCTGACATACAGAGAAGGGCAATTACAGGTCTCTTCAAAGATGTAGGTGCTGCCCTCACAAATCTATTTCCCAAGGCATTGATCAAGGGTATATCTTCTGGACCCTGCCAGCTGGGATGAGTAGGTCTAAAGTGAATAATCCACTGTACCATCCCAATCTTCCTAAGCCTTTGGATCCCTTCCTCTACATTAAACCAAAGGAGATCAGGCATTTCTAGCTCACTCGTAGTAGGCCATCTTTTAATCTATATTTTAGCTAAACAAGCAAATAAACTATTAGAACCTTTTTTAACTCCCCCAGCTGAAACATTAAATGAACAATCCCTACTTAGTGGGCCCAAATCAATAAATTCAGCCTGATCCAACTCTATGTTCCTTCAACCATTATCCCACACCCTTAATATCCATTCCCATGCCTGTTCTCCAGATTTCTGTTTAAACTCAAGCAATTCTTTTTGGGTGTAGAACATCTCATGGGTCACACTCTCAACCTCACCTCTAGAGGCTCGCCTGGACTTTAGTCTAGTTATAGGTCTAGAAGGAAACAGGGGTGTTGGAGGTGGCTCCTGAAGATAATCAACTTTACCTTGCCTGGAAACTGCCTCAAGGGAGGCCATCACTGTTGCCTCAGGCAGCACAGGGTTTATCTCCTCAGACAAAGGTGGAAAGGCTGATGGCAGTGTGGGTCAGGGAGGGGATATTGTCTCTACTGGGGATGGGGAAGCTGTTTCCTCTGGCCGAAAAGTTTCATCAGAGTTTACAAACTCAGTGTCCCCAGCTTCATTAGGGTCCTCCCACACGTCCCCATTCCAAGTTGCAGGGCCCCATTCTTTTCTAATCAAAGCGCTCACTTTAACAGTGGACACCTGGTGAGGCTGTGCATGCATCTTTCATTACAGGTCAGCCTACATGATAAGGGTTTGTGTCTGTTTTTCCACAATTTCAGCTCTTTCTCTACAGGAAGATAAGACTCTCACTCAGGGCAGTCTTAGCAGATTTGAGGCTCAGTATCTGCTTCTGAGGCCGGGAGATAGAATCCCTGAGTTCATTATTTTCTTTCATCACTTTTTCCACTGAACTTAGGAGCAACCAACCAGCTTCATTATGTTCCTTGGTTCTCCACATATGGTCAAAGGTATTACATGTAGAGTCACTAAAATCCTTGCCTCTCAGGAGCGATGAATCAGGAGTGTCAAATGCATTTATTTTGCATATTTCTCGAACAGTTCATGCCAAGGATTATCAGTGTTCTCCATGCTATTAGAAGTAGAGTTCTTAGCATTTTTGGCGTCTAATATTAAGCAGCCAACACCAGAAATTCCAAAACCAATGAAAGAACTACATCCTTAATATTCTGTTCCTCTAGAAGACCACTTCTGGTACCAACATCTGTATCAGGGTTCTCTAGAGGGAAAGAACTAATGGAACACACATATATACATAAAGGGGAGTTTATTAAGTATTAACTCACACAATCACAAGGTTCCACAATAGGCTGTCTGCAGGCTGAAGAGTAAGAAGAGCCAGTCTGAGTTCCAAAACTGAAGAACTTGGAGTCGGATGTTCCAGGGCAGGAAGCATCCAGCACAAGAGAAAGATGTAGGCTGGGAGACTAGGCCAGTCTCTCTTTTCCATTTTTCTGCCTGCTTATATTCTAGCCACCTGGCAGCTGATTAGATTGTGCCACCCAGATTAAGGGTGGGTCTGCCTTTCCCAGCCCACTAACTCAAATGTTAATCTCCTTTGGGAACACCCTCACAGACACACCCAGGATCAATACTTTGTATCCTTCAATCCAGTCAAATTGACACTCAGTATTAACCATCACATATGTCTTTGCTATTGTGAGTAGTGTGGCAATGTACATACAATAGCATGTGTTTTTTCCAGTATGATGACCTAAATTCCTTTCGTTATATACCCAGTAATGGTGAGGGACTAAGTGGCTAAGTTGGCTGGACTTCCTGGGTCAATAGGGACTTCCCTAAGGGGACTATCCCCTAAACCCAAATAAGTCACAGCTGCAAGCTAAGGGATTTAAACTTCAACCAATCAAAGGGGACTTTCCCCTAAGCCAAAATGAGTCACAGCTGCAAGCTAAGGGATTGAAACTTCAACCAATCATATAGGGAGTTTAAGGTCTAGCTACAGCCTGATGTTTTTAACCAATCAGGCCCATCAACCCACAAGTGGGTTGAAAATAAGCTAATTGTATAGGACAGAAAAAGGAAAAGGGGAGGGGTCATAAGGCGATATAAGCATAAGACACCCAAGCCAGAAACAGCAACCCTTCTGGGTCCCCTTCCACCACGCAGAAGCTTTACTTTCGCTTTCACTTTACTTTTGCTTTCACTTTAACAAATCTTGCAGCCGCACACTCTTTGGGTCCGCCCGTTTCTCTAATCAAGTTGTAACACTCGCTGCTGTGGTCCACAGCTTCATTCCTTGAAGCCCGTGAGACACGAACGCTTCCATTGAGAAAAACCTTCCATCAGAAGAAGACTTCTCGTCTCAGTGGGACTGCTGAGTTGAATGGTACCTCTGTTTTAAGTTCTCTGAAAAGTCTCCAAACTGCTTTTTATAGTGGCTGAACTAATTTTCATTCTCACCAACAGTGTATAAATGTTCCTTTTTCTCTAGACTCGCCAGCATATGTTGTTTTTTGACTGTAGAGTAATAGCCATTGTAACTGGTTTAAGATGATATAGCATTGTGGTTTTGATTTGCATTTCCCTGATGATTAGTGATGACAAGCATTCTTTCATGTTCGTTGGCCGCTTGTATGTCTTCTTTTAAGAAGTGTCTGTACATGTCCTTTGCCCATTTTTTAATGTATTCTGTTTTTTGCTTGTTGTAAGTTCCTTACAGATTCTGGATATTAGGCATTTGTTGGATGCATAGTTTGCAAATATTTTCTCACATTCTGTAGGTTTTCTGTTTACTCTATTGGTAGTTTCTTTTGCTGTGCAGCAGCTCTTTAATTAGGTCCCACTTGTCAATTTTTGTTTTTGCTGCAATTGTTTTTGGGGACTTAGCCAAATTTTCTTTGCCAAGGCCAGTGTTGAGAAGGATATTTCCTAGGATTTTTATAGTTTGAGAGCGTACATTTGAGTCTTTAATTCATCCTCAGTTAATTTTTGTATCTGGTGAAAGGTAGGGATCCAGTTTCAATCTTCTGCATACTAACCAGTTATCCCAGCACCATTTATTGAATAGAGTGTCCTTTCCTTGTTGCTTGTTTTTGTTGGCCTTGTTGAAGATTGGATGGTTGTATAGTCACAGTTTACCTTGTATCTGGGATCTCCTAACCTCCTAAATAATTTTTTAAAAATTTTCATACATTACGGTTAAGTTTTTGTGCTCTAGACTTTTATGGGTTTTGATAAATGCATAATATCATCTATCCACCATTGCAGTATCATACAGAATAGTTTCACCACTCTAGGCAATCTCTTGTGCTTCACCTACTCAAATCTGTGTCTGTGAACCTCTAGAAACCACTGATATCTTTATTTTCTTTATTTTTTCATTTTTAGAGACAGGGTCTTGCTTCGTTTCCCAGTCTGGAGTGCAGTGGCACCATATATATGGCTCACTGCCACCTTTACTTCCTGGGCTCAAAGGATCCTCCTGCCTCAGCCTCCCAAGTAGCTGGGACTACAGGTGTGCACCACCATGCCCAGCTAATTTTTAATTTTTTTTGTAGAGCCAGGGTCTTGCCATCTTGCCCAGGCTGCTTTCAAATGATATCTTTACCCTCTCTATAAGTTTGCTTTTTCCAGAATGTAATATAATCATGCAGTATGCAGCAGTCCTTTCATGCTGGCTTCTTTCATTTAGCAATACACATTTAAGAATCATCTATGTCCTTGTACAGCTTGATAGCTCATTCTTTCCTATCTCTGAATAGTATTTCATTGTATGGATATACCAGAGTTTATTCATTTCTGTGTTGAAGAACATCTTGATAGCTTTCAGTTTTTGGTGATAATTTTATAAAATTCTATAAACATTCATGTGAAAGTTTTCTGTAGTTAAAATTTCTCAAATCATCTAGGTAAATATCTAAGAACCCAGCTGCTGGATTACAAGGTAAAAATATGTTTAGCTTTGTTAGAAACTGCTAAGTTATCCATCAGAGTGGTTGTACCATTCTGCATTTTCTCCGGTGATGAATGAGAGTTCTTGTTGCTCCTCATCCTAACCAGTATTTAGTATTAGCATATTTTGGTTTTTAGCCCTCTTAATACATGTACAATGTTATCTCATTATTATTTTAATTTTTATATACCTAATGACAACCAATGTTGAGCATCTTTACATGTACTTATTTGCCATATATATGGTGGTATCTGTTTAGAACTTTTGCTTACTTTTTAATTGAGTTGTATTTTATTCTTGAGTTTTAAGCATCACTCTGTATATTTTGGATGTATTATTTTTATTTTTTCTATCTTTTTTTTTTTTTTACCAGATATGTGTTTCACAAATATTTTTTTCTCATTCTATGGCTTGTCCTTTAACTCTCTTAATATTTCTCAAAGAGCAGATGTTTATAATTCTAATAAAGTCTTACTTTTTTTTCATGTATTGTGCTTTTGGTGCTGTATTTAAAAACTCATCGACAAATCTAAGATTCCATAGATTTTCTCTTTTCTTTTTCTTTTAGATGTTTTATAGTTTTTCATTTTAAAGTTAGGTACTTGATCAATTTCAACTTAATTTTTGTGAAAGCTGTAGAATATGTGCTAGGTTCTTTTTGTTTTAATTTGAGTATCCAATTGTTTCAGCACTATTTGTTTAAAATGTCAACATTTGCTTCATCGACTTGACTTTGAATCTTTGGGAAAAATGGAAACTACCATTGCAAAATTATAACTGAGACAGTGAAAGATATTTGACCTAACCAACTCCATTTTCTTCTAACCTCCAAGCTGTCCTTGTTCATTCCTCGGTGTAGGCTGAACTAACTTTGGGAGGAACTTAGTTTATAGTTTAAAACAAAAACAATAACAGCCCTTTCCCCAGACAAACCTCCTTCTTGCCTGGGGACTAGACTGCCTTTGTAGGACTAACAAATTAGCCACAAGATTAGAAATTATGGGCTGGGTGCGGTGGCTCATGCCTGTAATCCCAGCACTTTGGGAGGCCAGGCGGGTGGATCATGAGGTCAGGAGATCGAGACCACCCTGGCTAACATGGTGAAACCCCATCTCTACTAAAAATACAAAAAAAAAAAAAAATTAGCCGGGTGTGGCGGCAGGCACCTGTAGTCCCAGCTACTCGGGAGGCTGAGACAGGAGAATGGTGTGAACCCAGGAGGTGGAGCTTGTGGTGAGCCAAGATCGTGCCACTGCACTCCAGCCTGGGCGACAGAGTGAGACTTGGTCTCAGAAAAAAAAAAAAAAAAAAAAACAAAAAAACCCTAATCTGCTCTTAAGATCAGTGATTGAGATAAATTTGCAGACCCTCCCCTTGATGGATCAGCTGGCACCACCCAGATCAATTAACTGGCTCATCTGATCTTGTGGCTCCAGCCAGGAACTGACTTGGCCCAAGAGGACAGCTTCAATTCCCTATGATTTTATCCCCTTCCTGACCAATCAGCACTCTTGGCTCACTGGCTTCCCCCCGCCTACCAAGTTGTCCTTAAAACATCTGATCCCTGAATGCTCAGGGAGACTGATTTGAGTAGTAATAAAGCTCTGGTCTCCTGCACAGCTGGCTCTGCGTGAATTACTTTTTCTCTATTGTAATTCCCCTGTCTTGGTAAATTGGCCCTGTCTAGGCAGTGGGCAAGATGAACCCAATGGGAAGTTATAAATTCATTTGAATATATGTTTGGGCCTATTTATAGGCTCTCTGTTTTGTTCCACTGATCTATGTGGTTTTTTTTTGGTGAGGTGAGGTCAATGCTATGTGGTCTTAATCATTGTAGCTTTACAGTAAGTCTTAAAATAAGATAGTGTGAATCCTCAACATTATTCCTCTGTTCCTGCAGGATTGTGTTGGTTATTCTGGATCTTCTGCCTTTTAATTTTTCCTATAGAGGCAAAAGGAAAGCTTCTCTTCTGCTCTCTGAGGATTTGCTGCTGAAAAAAACTGACAATAGATAGATTAACAAAAGAAAGTCATATAACTCTATTAATGTGCAGAAGCATGGGAGCCATGGAAAATATGAGTCTCAAAGAAGGGCCAGATGGCTGCAGCTTAAATAACACTCTTCATAGGGGAGAGGGAGATGGGAGTGCAGGCAATTTAGAGTATAGGCAATGATGTTTAGAGAAATGAATTAGCCTAAAAAAAGACAAAGTTCTTTTGAGATCTGGGCGAGGTGGTGGCAAGTTATGAGAAGGTGATGAGATGTTCACCATGAACAAAATTTGTCTTATTATGCAGATAGTGTCCCTGGTAATCTCTTGGAGCTTCCCTCAGAAGTCTAGATGAAAAATCTCTCTGAGCGTGGTGATGACTTCAGATCTAGTCTCTTCTCCAGTGGTTAATCTTTCCCTGTTTTCTGTTGAAATTTCTAGGAAGTGTGTTTTAAGACAATTTCATGACTTCTGGAGGAACTTTTTTAATCAGATAAGGGAACTTGAGAGAAGGGTTTTCCTGAGGCTTCAATAAAGGAAGGGGTAAGGGGGGGCAGAGATTAAAGAGAGGCCATGGTCCTGAGGCTTATTTCTGAGGCCTTTCAACATTTTTTTTTTCAAAGCACTCAGCATGCCAAACTGCCATATTTTGGGTTGTCATTTTCTGAACCCCAATAAAACTTTAGAATCAGCTTATCAATATCTCCAAAATAGTGTACTAAGATTTTCTTTGAGATTCAATTGAATCACTTGAGAGAGTTTGGAAGAATTGTCATCTTAAGAATATTGAATCTTGGCTAGGCGTGGTAGCTCACACCTGTAATCTCAACACTTCGGGAGGCTGAGGCGGGCAGATCACGGGGTCAGGAGTTCGAGTCCAGCCTGACCAACATGGTGAAACCCTGTCTCTACTAAAAAAATACAAATTATCTGGGCATGGTGGTGGCTGCGTGTAATCCCAGCTACTCAGGAGGCTGAGGCAGGAGAATCGCTTGAACCTGGGAAGTGGAGGTTGCAGTGAACCGAGGTCACGCCATTGCATACCAGCCTAGGTGACAGAGTGAACCTCTGTCTCAAGAGAAAAAAAAAAAAAGGGAATATTGAATCTTTAAACTTGTAAATACGAGGCATCTCTCCATATATTTACACAACTCTTTGATTTTTTCATCATTGTTTTGTGTTTTTTGGTCTATAGATCCTAAATATATATGTATGGTTATATTTGTATGTGAATACTTCATTGTTTCAGTTTGGGGGAGGCTATAATAAATGCCTCTTTTTAAAAAAAATTATAAATCCCAATTGTTCTTTGCTTGTATGTAAACATGGACTTGACGTTTGTGTAATAACCTTGCATCTTGTGAACTTCTATAATTGCCTATTAATTCTCACTGCAGCCTCCGCCTTTGGGTTCAAACAAATCTCTTGCCTCAGCTTCCTGAGTAGCTGAGAGTACAGGCGCATGCCACCAAGCCTGGATAACTTTTGTATTTTTAACAGAGATGGGATTTCACCAGGTTGGCCAGTTTGGTCTCGAACTCCTGACCTCAGGTGATCCACCTGCCTCGGCCTTCCAAATTGCTGGGATTACAAGCGTGAGCCACTGAGCCCAGCCACTTGCCTATTTATTCTAAGTTGCTGCTGTTCATAGTTGCTTTGATTTTCCACATAGAAAATCATGTCATCTGTGTATTAAGACAGTTTTATTTCTTTTTTTCCAATTTGTATACCTTTTATTTATTTTTCTTACTCTTTTGTATCAATTAGTATTTCCAATACAAAATTGAAAAGTAATGACAAAACATCCTTGTCTGTTCCTGATCTTAAGGAAAAATTTTCCAGACACCCACCACAAAGTATGATGCTAGCGGTAGGAGGTTTTGTAATTTTAAAACACCAAATTAAGGAAGGCCCTCTCTATTCCTACTTTGATGTGTGTTTTCATGCTGAATGGGCATGGATTCTGTCACATAATTTTTTCGTTTCAATTGATACAGGCACATAATTTTTCTGGGTCTGTTACATTAGTTGATTTTTTTGAATGTGAGTTAACCTTGCATACTTGAAATAAACTTTCTGGGTTGTAGTGTATTACTGTTTTTATACATTCTCTTCAATTTGTTATTATTTAGTTGAGAAATTTTGCTTCTGTTCTTAAAGGATATTGGTCAGTAGTTTTCTTTTCTCTTAATGTCTTTATCTGCTTTTGGTAGGAGGGAAATGCTGATATTATGTAATAAGTTAGGAAGTGGCCCTTCTGTTTCTGTTGTGGAGAAACGGCATTATTTGTTTCCTAAGTGTTTGGTAGAATTCATTAACTGAAACCATCTGTTTCTCAGGCTTTCTTTTTTTAAAGTTATGAAATATTGATTGAATTTATTTAATAAATACAGGACAATTCTCATTTTCCTTTGTATAAATTTTGATAGTTTGTCTTTCAGGAGGTTTAGCTATTTAAGCTTTGTTATCAAATATGTTAGCATAACATTGTTCATTATAATCTTTTTTTTATTCTTTTCATGTCCATGGGTTCAGTAGTAATGACTCTTTTATTTCTGATATTGATAATTTCTGTCTTCTCTTTTTTATCTTGGTTAGCCTGGCTATAATTTTGTCAACTTTACTGAACTTTGCAAAGAAAAATATTTTGGTTTGTTTGATTTTTATCTATTATTTCTCTCCTTTTGATTTCTGTTACTTCTGCTCTAATCTTTATTAATTCTTTTATTCTGCTTGTTTTAGGTTAAGTTGCCCTTATTTCTATGGTTTCTTATAGTAGAAAGGTTATTGATTGTAGATATTTCCTCTATTCCAAGATATGCATTTAATTCTATGAATTTTGAAGCACTATTTTCACTGCATTCTCAAGTTTAATAATTGCATTTTAATTTTCCTTTATTTTAAACTATGTAAATGTTCTCTTGAGACTTTTTATTTGACCCATATGGTATTTAGAAGTATATTATATAATTTTCAGATACTTGGAAATTTCTCAGCTAAATTTCTGTTATTGACTTGTAGTTTTGACTGCACCTGTTATCTAAGATTAAACTTCATATTATTCTTATTTTTTAATAAGTATTTTTGATTCTTCTTTCCATTCCTTATGATGTTGCTAGCATTCATTTCTTTTATTCATATGCTTGAATCACCAAATAAATTGTTATTATTACTTTAAACAAATAGTTACTTTTTTGGTCATTTAAGAAAAAGTAAAACAAAATATTTTATTTTATCTTTATTTATTTATTCCTATCTTTTCTAGATACACATTTCTGACATAGCATTTCCTTCTGTTTGAAGAACATCTTTTAACATTTCATGCAGGAAGTTCTGCTGCCAATAAAATTCTTTATTTCTTCTTCACTCTTCAAGGATAATTTTGCTGATTATAGAATTTTAGTTTGGTAGTTTCTTTAAATATTTTAAGTATTTCACTTTACCCTCTTCTTGCTTGTGTGATTTTCGATAAGCCTGCTTTTATCCTTAAAATTGTTCCTCTATAGGTAAGTTTTTTGTTTTTGTTTTAGATCTGGCTACTTTCAAGTTGTTCTTCCTATCTTTAGTTTTCTGCAGTTTGAATTTTATATGCTTTGGAGGAGTGTGTATGTGTGTGTGTGTGTGTGTGTGTGTGTGTGTGTGTGTGTGCATTTATTTATTTATTTTTCCTGCTTTTTGTTTTTTGAATGTCCTTGATTTGTGGCTTAGTGTTTGCCGTTAATGTTTTAGATTTCTTGGTCATTATTACTTCAAATCTTATTCCTTCATTCTCTTTCTTTTCCTTCAAATAATATGCATATGATGCCTTTTAAAATTATACTGCAATTTATTTTTAGCTTGTTTTTGGTTTTTCTTTTATTACAATTTTTGAATGTTCTGTCTTTTTTTGTACTACTTTTCCCTTCGCATATATTTTGAGAATTCTCTCTAACAGCCTATTTTTAACCTCGCTGATTCTTTTCTGAGTTATTTGGAGTCTACTAATGAGCAATAAAAGGCACCTCTTCTTTTTCCTGTTAAGTATTTTCCTATTTCTAGTATTTCCTTTTGATTATATGCAATTTTGATAGTCTCAGCTTTGGCTCACAGAAACATCAATTGTCTTTCTATGGGAGCAGAAACTTGAATGAGAGTCCCATTAAGTCAACAAGTAGATAATTTCAAATTTCTAGATTTTTGAAATTATGACATTTGACATTCAACCAGTTAAATTATTTTTCTGAATCTATTATTTGGTCCGTCTAAATATGTTCTCATACCTGACTTAGTAGAAAGTAGAATTTAATTTTGATTGCATATTTAGTGCTAAGACACGTGTAGAACGACAACATATGCTAAAGCCTAAATTTTATAGTCAGGAGTGGCCATTTGTATCAGGATCAAGCATATAATGAGAATTACTCACATTGAAGTGTAGGAAATCAGAGCACCCGTATCTTTGATTCATTCTCAAGACCAAGTCAACTGGATCTAACATGAATATCAGGTGATGAAATAAAAGTGTGGCAAAATGTGAGCTAAAGACATTCTTATGGGCCGACATTGCTGTTATTCTGCTGTTAAAGCTAAGAACTCCTGCCTTGATGGATCATCTTTCTACAGATTAAAGTATAGTGTAAAGTCCATTTTTGTGTAGACTAAAGTACATTGTAAACAATAGTATCTGGTGATTGGTAAAGAATAGGCAAAGCCTACTTCAAGCCTTTCTTGAAGAGTGCCAATCATAAAAACAATATAGATACATAAACCATGTGAGCAATTCTAAATACTAATATCCCATGTTACAGTATGTAACATTTTAAACAAGTGCTGTACTTCAATATGATTCATTATACTCACCAAATGCTCTAGATAAATATATGTAAACAGTTTTGCCCATCATTCCTCCAAAATTCTCCTTTCAGCTCAGAGTGCACTGTTTAACAATCAAAGTTCCTCAAAGCATTGCCTTATGAAAAGGTTAGCATCAGCATGACACATTGGGGAAACTGCAAAAGCAACTTTCAATTGCAGCATTTCATTTCAACACACCACAAATTATCGCTCTTTGCTAGGATTTTGAACTGAAGAAAAAAGAAATGTCCAAATACCAAACCTCTAAAATATTTTTGTTTCCTTTGAAATAAGAGGAAGAAAACACTTCCTTGCAACCACTTGAAACAATAATAAGGCAGGTGTAACCATTACAGGGTAAAATTCTTTGTAAAAACTGTCACTAGACACTCAGACTAGGTGTCCTCATGCAGTAACTTGAGAGATCATTGATGCCATTTTTTTAAAGCAACAGCGAAACTTTGGGTCTGACAAACCCCATTCTTTTCTCAAAAATTCAACTGCGTAATAAGATGGCACTGCCTCTATACATCCATTTAATTTCTGCCAAAGGTATCACAAGCAATTTGCTCTCTAATGAAAATCATGAAAGGACTGTGTCTCATTTTGCAGGCAATTTTTAGTAAAAACCACAAGGGACTGGCATACTGGCATCTTATTTTCAGCTGGTAGGATTAGTTTGTTGAAAAAAAATGTAGAATGCTGAGATTGGAGAGTGGACAGAACTAACAGAGCCCTGGAGAGGAAGCCATTGTGCTCAATTATTGTTTGTGGAATGAATGAGTGAATGAATGACCAAACTATGAAAATCCCCAAAAGGATGTTTGCTGCAATGTTTAAATTAAATCCTCAAGTTGATTTTTTTTAAAAAAATATAACCATGAGGGAGATACCAATGAAGTCACAGCTTGTAAGGTATAATTCTCATTTTATGGTGTCAAATGAGATGGCACCAATGGGAAAATCATTCTGTCATTTAATGAATATATATTAAGTCCATACTGGGTTCCAGGAAATGTACTAGGTTTGTGAGGCACATTTAATAACACTACATATATTGCCCTTCCTTCAGAGAGCTGCAGTATAGTGGAAGAGGTAGGCATTCATCAAATAATCTCTTACAAATACCATTAGAACTTGTGATTAGTACTTTGGAAGAACAGTATAGGGAACTGTGGGACTATGAGGGTAGGTGTGGGGTCTGTCATCTGATTGGGGAAGTGGGGAAGAATGCCATCCTTGAATATATGTGCTGGAGCTAATATATGCAGTTTGAAAAGGCATTAACTATAGTAGGGAGTAGGAAGGCTCATTAGTCTGCTTTCATGGTGCTTATAAAGACGTACCTGAAACTGCAAAGAAAAAGAGGTTTAATGGACTTACAGTTCCACATGGCTGGGGAGGACTCACAGTCATGGTGGAAGGCAAGAAGGAACAAGTCGTGTCTTACATGGATGGCAGGAGGCAAAAAGAGAGCTTGTGCAGGGAAACTCCTGTTTTTAAACCATCAGGTCTCGTGAGATTCATTCACTATCATGAGAACAGCACAGGAAAGACCTGCCACCATAATTCAATCACCTCCTACTGGGTTCCACTCATGACACGTGGGAGTTACAATTCAAGATGAGATTTGGGCGGGGACACAGCCAAACCATATTGGAAGGAAAACGAAGATTCCAAGTCCTGAAGTAGGAGTCATTTTGACTTAGAACAAGTACTTTGTTAAGCTGTGTATAGACTGAACATGTCAAATGGAACCAAGTACAGATGCCCAAGAGTGAGGCAGGCCCAGCATGCCCAGGCTCTGCCTCATTGTCTGAAACAGTGAGACAACCTCAGGCAGACCAGAGGCCAAATCACAGTCCTGCACCACACAAGGGAGCCACTGCTGAGACCTAAGCCAGGTACAACTGTGGCCTCCTACACGGAGGATTTTCAAAATTCCACTTTTAATCCTTACCCATCTTCAGAGCTCATGTGTGAACACATTGGTAACTCTTCCATTTTATTTTATTTTATTTTGATGTGAAGTCCTTCTTTTCTCATAGATTTGCTCCATTTTCTCTATTAGATATCCTGAGAATGGCTCAGTGAGATGTCCTCCCACTTGGTCTGATGGAACACACATCAAATATGCAAATCCATCCATGCAATTTCTCTATCTGAGCTTTTATAATTTTCTATGACTTGAGACAACTCCAGCTTCCTTGTTGGGCATTTGAACCCCTAACAATTTGGCCTCAGCCCGTCTCTTCAGTTTTATGTCTGCAACTTGCTCTATGCAATGTGTAATCACATAACAAAAAATTCCTTTGGTTTTCATAAAAACATAATTTCCTCCCCTCATTTGGTGTGTAAATTACATTCTTCCTGATTAACTTAGCTTCCTTACTCGTCTTCCTTGTCCTTGTCTGCTTGATTTCATTTTACTTTTCAGACTTAGCTATCTTGTATCTCCTCCGGAAAACTTCCCCAGTGGCTAAGTAAGCAGATGTGGATTAGGGATTAGAAACATGGGATTTGGATTGAGGCAAATATGATAGTGAATCCTGGATCTTCCACTTACTATGAAAAAATATTTACCTCAGAGATCATTATAATTGATTTCAACTAGAGTAAGGACAATTGCACCTATATTCTTCAGTGAGAACTCAAGGAGTAACACATTACAAAGCACTTAGCAAGGAACCTGGATATAAAGAATATTTAGGATTATAAATCATGCTGCTATAAAGACACATGCACATGTATGTTTATTGCGGCACTATTCACAATAGCAAAGACTTGGAACCAACCCAAATGTCCAACAATGATAGACTGGATTAAGAAAATGTGGCACATATACACCATGGAATACTATGCAGCCATAAAAAATGATGAGTTCATGTCCTTTGTAGGGACATGAGTGAAGCTGGAAACCATCATTCTCAGCAAACTATCGCAAGGACAAAAAACCAAACACCGCATGTTCTCACTCATAGGTGGAAATTGAACAATGAGAACACATGGACACAGGAAGGGGAACATCACACACCGGGGCCTGTTGTGGGGTGGGGGGAGTGGGGAGGGATAGCATTAGGAGATATACCTAATGCTAGATGACGAGTTAATGGGTGCAGCACACCAACATGGCACATGTGTACATATGTAACAAACCTGCACGTTGTGCACATGCACCCTAAAACTTAAAGTATAATAATAATAAAATAAAAAAAAATTTCATAGTTGGTACTAACAATTATTGCTATTGTTGTTCATCATTGTTGCTGTATAGATGACTATTCTATGGCTCTGATGGAACATTTTTCATGACATTAAGCACAGTAGATTGACAATATATTTTTGCACCCCCATGTTTCACTTCAAACTACAAGATCCTAGGTCACACACCCTGACACATAACAGACTGAAATACAGACATAGATGACGTCTGTTCAGTCTTTGCTGTTCTCTGAACAGCGAATAAACTTTTTCTCCCCCAACTTGATATCCATACTCAGAAAAAGCTCATAACTTCCCAACTCATTAGCTGTGTAGGTGTTAGAATTTCTCCATTAGTGTCAAGGAAATAAAGCCAAATTGAAAGCAATTAGCCAATTGTATTTGGGTAGTTTTTTCCTTTTGGCTCATTTTAAATACAGACAGACTAAATTACCTCTACAGCTTGTCTTTGAAGTGTTGTTGTTTTTTTTTTTCTTTTTTAAATGCACAGATTGTATTTAGGTTATAAATAGAAAAATTGCATCTTTTCAATTTTTAAAAATATGCTGAATTCAATAAAATTATAATGGGTATTTATGAATCCTGGAACAGATAATAAATGCTTTTAGGACAAATTCTTTGGCTAGTATAACATATTAAAAAATAGCTTTTGGTACTAAAAACCTTAAGCCTTTTTTCAACCTTTCTACAAGTCTTCACTAAGCATTGATTCTGTGACATAAGAAACTTAAGAAAACTAAAAGTCATGTATTGACAAAGTATTAAGCCATAGAAGTCAAAAATGTAGACTCAGAGACTGAAATGAAAGCCTTTGATATTTCCTTAGCAAAATTTTGTATATACACTAATGTGTAGCACTAGAAGACTATAAGTGCCAAATTATATATTCCATTTCCTTTGTTAGCTTTATCAGAGATATTTAATTCAGCCCATTTTGGGGTCGCATGTGGGAATGGTTGGTTGGGCTGTGTAGCTCTCTTCCTAGGGGTAGAGTACGTATCTCTCTTCCTCACCAATAAGTATCAACTGCACAATTATTTAGCCATCATTGCCCTTTATGAGAGGGAAAACCTTTTTAAATATTTTTCTGTCACTCATGATTTGAACTGTGGTTTTAATGGATTTTTATTCAGGTTGCTGATGGGTTTTCCAGTGCTATTATGACAGAAACGAGAAGAATGCATTTGTGTGTGTGTGTGTGTGTGTGTATGTGTGTGTCAAGAAGCAAATGACTTTTAGCTGGAAAGAAGTGGAGTCTGAGGAAGATATCTAAAGGAAGAGCACATGAATATCAGGATTTTTCTAGCAGAAAGATGGTCTCAGAGAAAGGACGCTTTATAAAAGAACCTGGCAATAGAGAAAAAAAAAATCTGCTGCAAAAACCATTGTTTTACTGATGAACAGCTTTGTGGAATAAATCTTCTAAGACATTCACTGTCAATCTCTCATTTGTCAAAACACTGTGCCAACCTCCCCCACAGCCCCCTTAAGCCTGTCTCCTAGACAATAGGCCAATGCCATGAGAATTTGCTCTGTGACCCAGTTTCTCTGAGTGAGGCTCATCTATAGTTTATTCTTGAGAAACTAACTGTAAGATCAAAACGACCTCTGAGCACTTAGTGGGGTAGAAGAGAGGAGATTCTGTGTCAAATCTGACTGTGTATGACCCAGCACCTACAACTGAGACGGTGGGGAATGGACACTCCTGATGCATACTTGGTCAGTTACAAATCGTTGTATTAGTCTGTTCTCACATTGCCATAAATAAATACCTGAGACTAATCATTTATTAGAAAAAGACGTTTAACTGGCTCACGGTTATGCAGGCTGTCCAGGAAGCATAGCAGCTTCTGCTTTTGGGGAGGCCTCAGGAAATTTGTAATCAAGGCAGATGGAAACAGGGAAGCCAGCACTTCACATGGCTGGAGCAGCAGGAATAGAGAGAGGAAGAAGGTGCTATACACTTTTAAACAACCAGATCTTGTGAGAACTCACTATCACAAGAACAGCACTGGGAGGTTGGTGCTAAACCATTAGAAACTGCCCCCTCCCTGATCTAATCACCTTCCACCAGGCCCCACCTCCAGCATTGAGGATTAATTTCCACATGAGATTTAGGTGGGGACACAGATCCAAACCATATCAATCATCATCATGGAAATTCATGTATTTTGTACCTCTGTTTACAAATGATGTAGCAATAGTCCATGTAAAGCACAAGAAATATGTGTTATATGAGATATCCTATAGTTTTCTTTACATGATATGAGCATCAGGTGGATGATATATTAACAAAAAAATTAATTTTTCGGTAATTTTAAGAAACTGAAATGCTCACACTTCAGATGTGAGAGAATAATCTACATACTCAAAGTGGAGCAGATTTATGTATTTCACATGCCAGCTGATCATCTCTAGTAAAAATAGACCCCGTTGTATTAGAGACAAATACTTCAAAGAAAATCTTTTGACAATAAAGTACAACTTTCTACTTTCTGACCTAAATCTTCACCTTTCAGTCCTGGAGAGTATTTATCGTAATCTTTTTTTCAGGGTGATGCACCGAACTACCCAGTTCTCTCCCTTAGGAGTTTTCCTCTTTTTTCAAACCTGAGAAGCAAAAGTGCCATAACAATTGTGAAACGATTCAGAAGAAGAATGTCAGCTTTTGACAAGTCAACTTTTATCTCACTTGAAGGGACAGGAGGAAATCAGCAGATGAAAGGAGAATTGATGATTGATGAGGCCTTTGGCACAAAAAGTCATATCTAGGTATGCTGCCCTTTATGGGTCACCCACTTTCTCTCTACTCCACCCATTACTCCAACTCAATGCTCATAAAACACCCCTCTGATAATTAGTCTTGTATAGCCTGTTAATTCGCAAATGATTGTAACTATAGCTCTCTCTTTTTTTCTCTCTCTTGTACATTGGCTCTCTTGGGCTGGCTGTGTGGTACTGAAAGTCTTCAGGGTAGTGATAAGTAACTGGAAAATTCATTTATAAAGAAAAATTAATTCCTTCCCCCATTCATTGGACTGCAGTTTGACTGAATTGAACTAATCAATGATTGGTTTTAATAGAATGTAGGGAACAATCTTACCTTAATAGTTTTTCTTTAAATTTTAAAACTTCTTTTCTTTTTTACCAAGAGTCCCCAATTTTAATGCTTTAGTTAACAATGGTTTATGTAACCCATTTGCAAAAGTCATGTTAAATGTTAAATGTAAATATTGCTAAAAATTATCCTCGAGCTGGTTCAAGATAGCAGACTGAGCACAGAGTTTTACTGCCTCTTATTCCCAAACTCCCTTTGGGACTGTAGAAAGTTATAAAAGAAATAAGAACTACAGAAAAATAAGAAATCAGTAGACCAGAATATTTGACAAAATCTGGAAAATTCCAAGCAGGTGGGCTGATATTAATAGAGAAATTTAGAAACCAAAACACCGGCAGTAAGTACAATATTTACCTAGGGAGCCCTCAAGGCACTCAAATCTGAGCTAATTGCACAAAGGACAGACTTGGGACACAGGACAATTATGAGTGTAATTAATTAAAGAACTCTATCAGGAATAAGTGGGACAGTTAAAATTTCACCCTTCAATTACCCTCTCTCCTATCTTCTATTATGTAAAATGGCAGTATTGTAGTCCCAAAATAAAAATATATTAACTCTTCTTTATAGAAAGGAGATGGATCCATAAAGATAGACTCAACATATTTCCGATGAAGTACATTATTCAGAGTATGATCTCTAACCACAAAGGGATTAAGCTAGCATTTATTTATTTATTTATTTTTAAACGATAACCTCCAAATCCCAAACTCCATAGAAATTAGGATACCTCTAATTATTCCAGGGTCAAAGAAGAACTCAAAATGCAAATTGAAAATGTTTAAAATGAAAGATAATGAAGCTATAAAACATTTTAAAGTGTGGAATACAGGTAAAGCAAATTTTTGAAAGAAATTTTTAGGCTTAATCATATATATTAGAAAAACTATCAAGGCTAAAAATCAGTGGTTGAAATATTCATTCCAAAATTCTGGAAGAAGTAAGTCAGATGAAACCAAAGAATGTACAAGACAAGTACCAAAAAGAAAAAAAAAATCAATGCAATTTAAGATAACTATGCTATATATAAAAACAAAGCTAAAAGTTTAATCATTGAACATACCAATGAAATAAATAAATCAGTAGGAAGAATAATCAAGAAAATAATAAAATCATGAATTAGAAATACTAGACATGAAAAAGGGTAATGAATAATTATAATGTCAAATGATGAAAGAAATATATATATATATATATATATATATATATATATATATATAGCATGACCAACTTCATAATAGCAAATTTTATAATTTGGATGAAATAGAAAACTTTACCGAATCATACAAGACTGAGAGAAATTCAATAGAAAATTTGATTACTTCAGTATTTGTTTAAAAATTGAATGCCTAATTTGAAATCTTCCACAATAAAACCTCAGGACAAGATGGCATTTCCAAAGAACAACACGAATCTTACCTAAACTTACACAGGAATAGAAAAAAGGGAGTAATTTCTGGCTCTTTTTTATAAGGCTAACATAATTTTTATTCTAAATATTGACATTTTCTTTTCAAGGAAAAAAGGATATATTATTGACAGATATTTCATAAGATCTAAAATGTTGAAATGTAGCTATCTGTTAAAAATATAAATAATAATATTATTTATCACATTAGCATTATTATTATCAATAAAATTTACCACATTAACAGAAAAATGAAACATAAATTGATCATTTTAAGAAATATGCAAAAGGCAAAATCATTTGACAGTATCTAACACATATTCATGGTTTTTTTGAAAGCATTAGAAAATTAGGAATATAGATTTTTATCCATCTGAAAAAGAATAGCTCCAAAAACTTGCAGCATATATTATGCACAAAGGTGAAATATTGACACCTTTCCCTAGAAATTGGAAAAAATAAATGAGTGTCCATTATCGGCACTTCTAGTCCACATTTTTGTAAACCAAGAAAAAGGAAGAAACAAACATTTTAGAAGAAAAATCATAGCTGCCAATATTTATAGATTATATTATTATGCAGATTGATAAAGGAGTCTGTAAACTATTAAAAAATAATATGTTTAGCAAATTTGTTGGATACAAATAGGCATTTTAAAAATCAAATATAGCTCTATATACTAACATTAAATACTTAGGTAATAAATTAATGAGTAACCATAAAAAACATTTAATATCTAGTAATAAATTTAACACTAGTTTTGAAAGAACCCCACCTCACCACCACACACATATATAAAAATCTATTGTTTAGAGAAATTAAAGAATCTCAGTAAATAGAGGGATGTGCAGTTTTCATGGATTCAAGCCTCAATATTGTAAGAATGTTAATTATCTCTAAAGTAAACCTCAATTAAATAAATTCTCAATAAAGAATTCCATCAGGGTATTTTACAGAAATTGACAAGCTTAATTTTAATTTTTAAGAAATGCAATTAACCAAAAATAGCCAGGTCAATCTTAAAGAAGAATGAAGTTGAAAGACCTATACTAACAGATCTGAAAAACTCTTATAAAACTATGCTTATTAAAACAGTGTGTTATTGGCAACAAATGGATAAACTGACTTTTAAAAGCAACTGGAGAGTACCAAACAAATTCAATCACATTTCCTGAACACATCAAAGTCTACATTAGTACAATGTTGTACCGAATTATTATAAATTGTACAATATATGTTGCTGTGTCAATTGGATAGTCATTTGAATAAAAATGATTCTGAACATTTATTTCAACCATAGCAAAACCGGTTTCAAATTAATTGTTGGTCTAAACATGAAAGATAATATAATAAAACTTTTAGAGGAAAATGTAGAAAACATCTTTCTGACCTTGGAATAGGCAAGACATTTCTTGACCAGAAACAGAAAATGATAATCATAAATGGTAAAATTGATAAATCGGATTATACTAAAATTAAGAACTATTTTTCATCAAAAGATACTATTGAAAGTAAAAATCAAGGCTCAGAGAGGAGATATTTGTAATATATATAGCTAATATTGAACTCAAATGCAAAAATATATCTATCTATCTTAAAAGAAGCCTTCCATATCAGAAAAAAAAGACTGACAACCCAATAGGAAAACAACAACAACAACAACAACAAATGAGCTCAAAACTTCACACAGGATAGCCAAATGGCAAATCAACATATAAAAGGTGTTCAACTTCATTAGCTGTCAGAGAAATGTGATTCCATATTCAACCATCAGATATCTACAATGTGAAAGACAATAAAATACCCAATGTTGGCAAGAATATGAAGCAAATTGCAGCTCTCATAATTGTTAGGGAGAGTAAAATCACTTTGGAAAGCTATTTAGTAGTATCTGCTGAAACGGAATAATTTCATACTCTATGATCTCGCAATTCCAGTTCTTAGTGTATACTGAGAAATGTTACATATGTTCATGAAAAAGAAAAAACTAGAATGTTCATAACAAAACTATTGTTAATAGTCCCGAGCTGGAGTCTATTCACATGCCTGCTGAGAGAAGACTAGATACTTTAAAACACAACAGAATACTATTCAGTAATGAGATTGAAAGATTGAGAATGACCTAGAATGATAGTAAGGATATCCACAATACGGATAAATCTTACAAAGCTAACATAGAACAAAAAAAGTGAGACACAAAAGAAGACATACTACAAGCTAAATAAAATAAGGTTTTATTTAGGATGTCAGGATAGTCAATACCCTTCATGGGAACAGGAAGCCTGTAACGTTGATAAGTGTTTATTAGAATTTTTCTTTACGTCTATAGGTGACACAGAAGGCTAAAGAGGTATACAGAAGGAGAAATGTTTCTCCCCCAGGAGGGTTAATTCTCTGGTAAAGTCTTCTCCACAGTGGGGCAGACTCAGCAACAAACCATTAACACAAATTAGCCAGGAAATGCAAGACTATGTGGCTAAGGATTTATTCTGGTTACGCCCTTATGATAAATGTGGCTATAAAAATCTGTACTTTCTGATCTGGTTGTTTCTTTAGGACAGACAGTGTCTGAATATATCCTTACTATAAATTGCTAGGATGAAAGTTTCTGGGTTAAATTGTATAATATTTAACACTCTTAGTGACTATTGTTTTAAAGACTGAGACCAAGGCATACAGTACTCTCTCTCTCCATCACCTCCTGATCCGGCCAACTTTCCCATTAAGGAGGGGAACTTGTGTAATTCACCACCCAAGCACCTTTTCATAGCTACTTCTCTTTAATACCCATCTTTGCCTCCTGTCTAAACTGCTAAATTTGCTTTTTGTTTACTACTGGGCTCTTGTAGTTCCATCTTTAACCAACTTAGACACATTTTTTGTAATGCAGCTTTCAATAAATGACATTACTTTTTAGAAATCTAGATAAATACTCACTGTAGTCCAGTGTCTGTAACTTTCACATGTGTTTTAAACTAAACTTCTTTATTAAGATTGTCCAATGAGTTATTTCCCCTTAAAATGAAAATAAAAATCACATCCAACTGATTCTACCTTTCCCAACTGACATGAAATGAAGCATACAAATAAAAGACTAAAAGAGAGTCAGGTCCACGTCTTAGTTCTGCTAAAACTCTTCCAGAAAGCCAGCAGCATCCCTGTTCATGGGTCTCTGATGCATGACTTTACTTATCATCAATTAGCCAGCTCTTGTTTGTTCCTGTATTTACCAAGAAAAGAGTTCTGACAGATATTAAGAGCTGATTAAGAAAGTGAAGTGAGTGAGGGAGCAGAAGGTTGGAAGCTTGAAATAGTGAACAAGACAAGGATGAGGACAGCAGGAAGGACTGGGAAAAGAGGGCCGGGTGGTGAAGATACGGTGGAAGATGGATCCAGGTGAATCATAGGAAGAGATACAGAAGCTCCTGGCTTTTTCCCAAGTGTGTGCAAATCCAAGGGAGTTTAAACATCTGAGATTCTTCAATTACAAAAGTCTGACTGAGCATCTGAACCTCTCTATTGATCCAGACCCTACTCAAGGAGAGCACAAAACTTCATTTTGTCATTTGGGATTTTAAGTTTTCAATCTCTAAAAATGGCTGGTCCAGAGTATAGCTAAGGTCTATGTATGGTCTTCATATTCGTAGATAATTTGTTTTAAAACTCCAGTGAGCACATGGGCTACTTTTTATGCTTTTCTGGGGGTCTTTATCTTGGTACTTATACAGTGTCTGGCATTCTTTAGGTAATTGTGGCTGATATGCTTTAATTCTTTTCCACATGCAAGTGGAAAGAAAAAACAATTGGAGGAAAGACCTTAGACAAACATTTGGTTTTTGTTTCCTCTATTTTGTGAAGTCTTCCACATTCTGCATGGAACATGACAGCAGTCCATGCAGGGACAATATGCCTTTCACACAGACAGGACTGAAAGAATTCCCAGCAGAAGTTCAGAACTCAACTCCAAGCTGTTGTTAAGCACTAAACCAATGGAGGCCCTTACTCTTGGCAACAATTTGGCCTTTTTCCCAAGATACTGCCCCCATTTTTCTTTTCAACCACAAACTAGGACTGTGGTTCAAAATAGAAAAGCACACTTAAAAAATAAACTGAAGCCATTGAGTGGGTTTCATTATATTGTAGAATCTTGAGACCCTTTGATACAAAGACAGGTTTCAATACAGCATAATTGGAAACATTTTCTAGGGGTAGAAACCAGACCAATTCTTATATTCTTTTACTCAAGGGGTCTCTGAACATTTTTGATGGCAATATTTATTCTATTCTATTTTGTAACTCTTTCATTTGCTGATATTACAGAGAAACTAATCAGAAATAGGGAAACATATTTAATTGCTCATTTTATTAGTTTCCTTGGGCTGTCATAACAAAATGCCACAGACTGGGTGGCTTAGACCACAGAAATTTGTTTTCTCACAGTTCTAGAGGTTAGAAATACATGATCAATATGCCGCCAGAGTTGGTTTCTGATGAGGCCCCTTTCTGTGGCTTGCAAAAGGCTGCCTTTTCATGCGGCTGTCCCCCTGTGCTGCACACTAGGAAAAAGCTGTGGGCTCTCTTCCCCTTCTTATAAGGATATTAGTCCTATAGGATTAAGGCCCCATCCTTATGACTTCAGGTAACCTTAATTGCCTCCTTAAAAGCCCTGTCACCAAAGCCAGTAACACTGGGGGTGAGAACTTCAAATATGAATTTGAGAAGGATATAATTAAATCTATAACACTGATATTTAATTAAATCTTTTTAAAAGCAGCAATAGAGTAAAAAGTGGATTATTTACCTATAGTTTTTTTTTTTTACATGTTTGGCTTTAACATAGAAAATTTTAGATTCAAATTTACTATCTTTCGATAAATTTCGAACTTTGTAAATCTATGTTCAATAAAGTATACTGCCTTTAACATTAACTAAGCAACATATAATTATTAAACTTGTCTCCAACAGTTCTCTTATAAGATCGAAGTTGAATAGAAGTAATTCTTATGTTATCCTGAGTTGACAAGTTGTATTAATCTGTTCTCACACTGCTGTAAAGATACGACCAGAGACTAGGCAATTTACAAAGACAAGAGGTTTAATCAACTCATAGTTCTGCATGGCTGGGGAGGCCTCAGGAAACTTACAATCATGGTGGAAGGTGAAGGAGAAGCAAATACCTTCTTCACAAGGTGGCAGGAAAGAGAAAGAGCAGGGGAAACTGCCACTTATAAAACCATCAGATCTCATGAGAACTCACTATCAGGAGAACAACGTGGTGGTCACTGCCCCCGTGATCCAATCACCTCCTACCAGGTCCCTTCTGTGACGCATGAGGATTACAATTCGAGGTGAGATTTGGGAGGGACACAGAGCCAAACCATATCACAAGTATTAAACAGTAAGAAAATATTTTGGTGTTCATTTCCTTGAGACTAGTGAGAGGTGAAGATGGACAACTTGACACTGAGAAATAAAATTTAAAAATTAAACCTTGTGTGTACATGTACACACGTGTGTGTGTGTGTGTGTGTGTGTGTGTGCGCGCGTGTGTGGCCATTTAGTGTAGGGGCCAAAAGTCCCTATAAAATCCTAAAAAAAATTATTTAATATTAATTATCCTTTTGGGAAAATCAAGTCAAAATTAAATTATGATTTAGAACAGGGGTCTCCAACCCCTGGGCCAGAGACCAGTACCAGTCTGCAGCCTGTTAGGAACCAGGCTGCACAGCAGGTGGTGTGTGGTGGGCAAGCCAGCAAAGCTTCCTCTGTATTTACGGCCACTCCACATCACTTGCATTAGTGCCTGAGCTCTTCCTCCTGTCAGATCAGTGGCACCATTAGATTTTCATAGGAGTGCAAACCCTATTGTGAACTGCACATGCAAGGGAAATAGGTTGCACACTCCTTATAAGAAGCTGATTCCTGATCCTGTGTCCCTGTCTTTCATCACCTCCAGATAAGACTGTCTAGTTTTAGGAAAACAAACTCAGGGCTCCCACTGATTCTATATTATGGTGAGTTGTGTAATTATGTCATTATATATTACAACGTAATAATAATATAAATAAAGTGCACAATAAATGTAATGCACTTGAATCATCCCCCACCCCCAACTGGTCCCTGGAAAAATTGCACTCCACAAAACGAGTCCCTGGTGCCAAAAAGGTTGGAGACCACTGATTTAGAGCCTTCAGTTCAGGCAGCTGGAAATATGTGAAATACATTTAAAGAAAAAAAAATCCCAACAGACTTTGAAATAAGTAAAGATATCATTCAACTCTCTGAAAAGCATGAATTACAAAAAAATTCATTCTCCAATAATGCTAGAGAAACAAGTATTTTATATCAAAATAAATTGATGAAACCACTACTGCTTTCAAAGTAGTGTTTCTTTCAAACTATGGATTGATACTGTTGACTACTAAAAACATTCCCTATGTCTTAATTTTGTTATTATCATAAACAGAAAACCACATAGCCAATGTTTCAATATTTGATGTTTTTATATTTTTCATGGAGATATTGTAGCATCTGTTGGATATTTCTTGAGTAACTTCAATTTATATCTGGTGTAATTTCCTCTAGATAAATTAACTATGTAATTTATAGTACTTTAGAGTTGATCTAAATTAAAATCATCTTATTTCTCTCTATCAATGCTCAGTGGAAGCTGCACTTAATGGTTCAAACTTCATTTCTGTCTTCTAACCAAAATGTGCTTGTCTTTTTGCTCTGAAAACCTCAAGATGATTTAAATTCCTGAATAACAGGTAGGAAATGTTTTAGGTGGTAACACTGATTATATGCTTAGGAAGTATGAGTTGGAAGTACTAGTAAATGGGGAAAATGGTTTCATAGCTGCAATATTTGTATACTTTGTTGCTGTACTTTCTCCAGTGAAATGACTTCTGTTGTGCTTAACTATTGGATTATTTTGAGTGATTTGCAATATTCAAGATAAAATGAAGTTGTTACCACCATGAAATTCTAGCCTGGAAATTGAAAGAAAAATCTCTTGAATTCATAGAACTGGAATGCGGGTGGCATTTAAGGCCCTTCAGTTGAGAAAATTGTTTTGGTCAGCAAAGCTGGGCTCAGTTTAGAGTAAATATAATTTGGAATAAATAAATCTCTTTCATAAGCAGGCTCAGAAGGTTGGTTCTAGCACCAAAGTCACTATGGAGATTTTCAGGCCTGCAAAAATAATGCTCTGTTAAATTTATATCTCGTTTACATTTTGTAAGCCATTAACTTGGCTCTAGGAGGCACTGTTGCAGATAGATGCCAATTTAATGAGGCAATTAACTCAGAACCTTGTTCCTGCCATGCTTTTGGCACAGATGCCTACACAACTGCAGGAAAACTTACAATTTTGGTTGTTCCACAAAAACATTATGTAGAATAAAAGAATGTTGCTACTGGTGTCTTTTTATTATTTGGACAAGTTTTTTTCATGTATACTTTTATCTTTTCTCTCCCCCATCATTCTAATATAGAGTTTAATTGTATCACATTAACTTTCAAATAGCTTATAATTTTACAGGTTGAGAAGGTAACATATGATGCCACAGTTCTCATGGTTTTGTCCACATTCAATTCACCATCTAGAATCATAGATCTTTTTTTGTTTTGTTTTTGAGATGGAGTCTCGCTCTTGTCGCCCAAGCTGGAGTGCAATGGCGCGATCTCAGCTCACTGCAAACTCCACCTTCCAGGTTCAAGCGATTCTCCTGCTTCAGCCTCCAGAGTAGCTAGGATTACAGCCGCCTGCCACTAAGCCCAGCTAATTTTTGTATTTTTAGTAGTGACGAGGTTTCACCATGTTGGCAAGGCTGGTCTCGAACTCCTGACCTCAGGTGATCTGCCCGCCTCGGCCTCCCAAAGTGCTGGGATTACAGGCATGAGCCACCATGCCCAACCTAGAATCACAGATCTTTAGAGAAATGTATGACCAAGGATCCTCTGCCCCCCGATATTTCATTTCCAAATGGGGAAGGGCTCAGGTGGAAGAATGGTGTGCAGCACTACTTTTTCAAACACAACCCCACGGGCATTGTCTGAATTCCATACTTTTCCTGCCCTGTACACAGTGTCACTAATAGCTTTCCTGTCTTTTTTTTTTTTTCTCCCTATCACATCAGCTTGGCTATAAATACTAGTTCCCTAAATTCGATCTTTATTTACTTGCTAACTGTCCACTTCAGTAGGATCTCATCTGCATCAGGCCAGGGATTTTTGTCTATTTTGCTTATTGCTATAGTCATCAAATATAGAATAGCGCCTGGCAAATAGTAAGCATTCAGTAAATATTATGTGAATTGAAAAGAGACGGAAAAACCTCTAAGAAGACTGCCTTTCACCAAGAGATCATTTTCATCAAAAATCATCCCACAGTTCCTTACAGATTCCTCTCTTTTCTGTTCTAAAGTAAGCCCCTCTTCACATATTTCATGAAAATATACACCCACCTCACCCGCTGAAAGTGTCTGTTGAAGTCAAACAGTCCAGAGTTTAAATCTTAACTCAGTTGTCTACTTAGCTATGTGGATCCATAAGTCACATAACATCTATGAACCTGAACCTCAGTTTTGTAATCAGTCATAAATATGATTGACTTGCAGATATGGTATAAGATTTAGAGATAGCCAAGATCGCAAAACCTAGGCATCTGTGAGAGGCTCAAAAGGGAAAGGTAGTTATTGCTATTCCTTTTATTATTACTGGAAAGTATTTTAATGTTCTTAATAAGAACAAGATTTAACTGATTTTTATTAATTACCTACTTATTTGAAGGTGTTTTTTTTAGGCTCTGTCATAGTGATGTTTACTTTTTCCTCTTGAAAGATGCTAGGGTAGAGGCAAATCATCATAATCCAGTTTGATTTGTGGGGGCGCTGGTTTCCCTCTCTTCTTTGGATATAATACTTCAGGGTCTCCACGGAAACTGATAGTGTTTACCAGGATTCCTCCTCCATGTTGAGCCCTGATTTCCAGGTTTTGTCCCCTTGAACCCTTAACAATTTTGAGAACTGCTTTCTTTGCTTCTCAGTATTGAGACCCCACACTTGTGGGTTAGCAAATGCCCCAAAGGGAAAAGCTACACTGGTTGTTGAGCAAACACTTGAGCTTTCCTTTTCTTCAGAACTTATATCTCTTAAGTTCAGGCTGTCTTGATTTTTCTGCAATGCCTTCAGTCAAATTTTGTAAAAAATATTTTCCCTAACTCTTCTTGTTTTTCTCATTGTGAGAGTTGGTCTGTAATAGTGTATCTGCCAATACCATAAGAAAAATCTGTAATATTAATATTTAGAAGTGATATATTATTATTCACAAGTGTTTTTCTCAAAATCATCACTATTTTGAAGCAATAATTCCATATCACCTTTAACGTTTGTAATTTGGTAAATTTCACAAAATATGCTCTGAGACCACAGATTATGCAGCTGAATTTCTAAGTAATGTTGGTCACTCATTGTAATCAATGTGTTTGAAGCCCTTCTATTGTCTTACTATCATTGAACTTCAATTTACATCTGCATTTAAATATCCCATATTTCACCCAAGCCTATTTAAAAAATGGGGTAGTATATTACATACAAGTGAATCAAGGACGATTTGTGATAATATTGACCAGGTTGCCTCTCTGATGCTGGCTGCATAAAAAAGAAGAACCAGCTCTCCTTTGAGATTTGGGGTGAAATGCATCTGTGTGCAGACAACTTTCAGTGCAGATTTGCCTGTACTACTTTATTTATTTAACATGGCTGGCTGACTGTGAGCCCCTCAATGTCAGGCTACATTAGCATGTGTGTACATGTAAAATTAATCAACAGACCCAGCAACTGGCAGCATAGTCCCCCTAGAGCCTGGGGTTAAACATCTGTCTGGAGTGAGGTTTCCTGAAAAGCTTTATATAATGGCCAGAGGAACTCCGAGTAGGCACTTAGTGTGGAAGGAAGGGCAAGACAGATACTTGAGGGGAAGTGCTGGGTTTCAGTGGACTGACAGCCTCGCCATTTTACCCAAAGGTTACAACCTTAGACTCCAAAAGCTTTTAAGGCTTCTTGCTTCTGTATTGCTTGACTGCCTTTAGCATTAAGCACTTATGACCAGGAGATTCTCAGCATATGTCTTTTTCAGCATTTCTCTAATGGAGATGAAAGTGTCTGAATCTTTAAGAAATATTTACCCCATAGATCACAACATTAACTTTGTGATAGGGGGCTGAACTATTTGTTTGTTTTTGGTTTTTTTCATCCTTTTTTACTGTAAAATAGAACCAGTAGGGTTTAGATCTATTTTGAGGTGGCTTAAAACATCAGCAAGTTTTATTCCTAATATTTGACAAAGTTTGTGATGTGTTAGCAGAAAGCATGGTACAATTGAAAGAACATGAGTTTTGGTTGAATCCTGAGCTCTGCTACTTATTAGCTGTGTGACTGAATCTGTCTCCTTGTTCATTGAATCACACCATGCCATCTCCTTAGGGACATTATCTGTCAATCTAGCTGGGCTTATATGGATTGTGTTCTATTTGGAAGGTGCTCTATAAGCTTTGTCACCCTGGAATGAGACTCAAGAGATCACTCTTATTTGGTTGGTTGTTTGTTACCATAAGTAATATGTTTAAAGAAATTGAGTTCTGTATAGATGCTCTACAAATATACAAATTATTAATAGTGGGGTAAAACAAAACTTGAACAATGGCAAAAATAACTCCTTCCACTTAGCTGTTGAAGATTGCTGAAGAAATGTAGCAAAATTACAACAAATCCATCTTAAGGCAATTTATTTAGAATAGAGACATGCATGGGAGAGTTCCCCCAGGGTGGAAGTGAACAGGTGCATCACCAAGTATCAGTCATTTGAAAGTGAGTTAGCTGTCATGGAGTTGAATCCCGGGGTTTCTTGTTCAATGTCTTTGCATTGAATGTCTGAAGGTGCTCTATTAGTGAAATAAGAAAAAAGTGATTAGGATTTATATGTGTTTCCTTAAATTAGTCTGATTTTAAATAACAGACTTTTTTTTTTGTTTTTTTTAAACCTGAAATGAACTCAATTTATACAGTATATGAGATCAACTGTCTTTCTCTGGGAAATGAATGGACTTGCAGTCAGAAGCTTTGAATTTTAACAATATTCTGCTCCTATCACTTGTGACCTTGGGCATGTTAATTAAACTTCCAGAATATCATCTGCCTCATCTAAAATGTGAATTACAAAAGAGATTAACTTCTCAAAACAGCTTCTTGCTCAGAGAGTAGATGAAGCACAGTGTAATATTTAGATTATTTGCTATCTTGATGGTGAAACAGCTAATTGAAATTTGGGGAGACAGTCACAGTCGGGTACAATTGTTGATCTCAAGAGTAAACGTGGACAGTATAGTTGTTTGTAGAATAATGAACCCACTGCAAATGCCCAATTCCTAATCCCCAGAATCTGTCAATATGCTACCTTACTTTGGGCTTTGTTGAGGTAATCACATTAGGGTTCTGAGATGGGGAGATTATCTTGAATTATCCAAGTGAGCTCAATGTCATCACTTGGGTCCTTAAAAGTGGAAGAGGGAGCCAGAAGAAATCAGAGTGATGCAAAATGAAAAGAAATCAATCTGCCATGGCTAGCTTGATTATAGACGGAAAAAGGAGATCTTGAGCTAAGGAATGTCAGTGGCCTCTAGAACTTGAAAATGCAAGGAAATAGGTCTCCCCTGTAACCTACAAAAAGGAATACAGCACAGCTGACATCTTAATTTTAGTCCAGTGAAGCCAGGTCATGCTTTTAACCTACAAAACCATAAAAAAGTAAAGTTGTGTTGTTTTAAGACATTGAGTTTATGGCAATTTGTTACAGCAAAAATTGAAAACTAATACAAGGCCTAACATGGTGACTAGCATACAGAAGCATCTCTATGATTGAAGGAAGGTTTGGATTTGTTGGGTAAATGAATGAATGAATGAATCAGTATGATAAACATCCATATGGAGCTTTTTGAGGAAAATGGCTAAATGGACCAAGAGCTTTTCACTTTCATGCTTCTTATGCATCCTTTACATTTACAATCAAGATTCTCTTCTTTGGGAAGGGTACCTCGCCCTTAAGAGCCCACCTCTCTGCCTATCAGCACGTATGCATGCTTGCCATAGCAGACATGCTGTGATGCAAATACTAGAGTACGAAGCCATCTTCCTAGAATGGAAGTTGTTGGAGAGAAGGATTTTGTCATCTTCATTTCTCTCTCCCAGTGCTCAGCCCAGACTCCAGCCCAAGTCAGAATGTAATAGATAATGGGTGAAAGAATGAATGGAATGAAGGATGGAAACTGGGAAATGACTGAGGGCTCCATTTGTTCAGGTTTGATCAAATACCTTTGAAAATTGAAGCATATTTGAGTACTAAGGTGCTAGGAAGTTTTGAAGAATGCCAAATCCTCAGTGCCTGCTTCTCCAAGTCTGAAGTCTTTGATAAAGCTACTTCTTCCGTTTTTGAACATGTTTGTATTAGTTGTAGTGTGCTAAATTCTGTAAAAAAACAATGCCAACATCTTTGTGCCAGCTTCACACACAGAAAAATTGTTTCTGGTTCACAAAGGTTTTTAAGTGGTGTGAGTGGTATTGGTGGTGATGATAGGAATGTAGCTTCTCTCAGACAATCACATTCATAGGCAGTAGCTGAAAGAGGCTGTCTCTTCATTGCATTAGTTCTCTGGTTTTCCTGGCCATCTATGAATAGTCAAAAATCAGGGAATATAATGAGAGCATTCATACATGCTCTTAACTACACTGGACCAGAAAAAGATACTACATCCACTCACATATCATTATAGAGTGCCAAGATCATGCCCCACCAAAATGCAAGGGGTTGGGAAATGTATTTTAGCTTTATGCAAAGGAGAAAAACAGGCTTTGTGAACATTTTGCCAATTTCTTATTTAGTGTTCCTCCAAAACCACTTTAGTTTTCTGTCCATGTGTAGGAAACAGTAATTTCATCCCCTGGGGAGAAAACCTAATGTCTAATGTAAGGTCCGATGTACTCAAAATCCAGGCTCTTCAGGATTTGAAAATAGTGTTCTCCAGTTGTTCCGATTAGAGTTCCCTATTATCTTGCCTTTAATTTAGCTATATCTAATCTATCAATCAATCTAGCTAGACAGCTACCTCTCAAAAAAAAAAAAAAACTATCTGTATCGAGCAGTACTCTTGGCTACATGGAATTTATCTCCAATGATCAATAATGCAAGTGTCTTACAAAAGCATCTATGGTGCTTACTTCTTTTTCGTCTACACATCACGTAGGCATGAGGTCATCAGTGTGTTAGACCAGCATGACATGATGATATTTACTGTGATGATCAAGATCTCTGTGGCTCCAGCATGGTGCAAATTGGGAAAATTGATCTCAGAGACACAGCAGACAAGAGCTGTCTTATAGGAGATGAAAATTAAAAACAATAAAAACTCTGCTTGTCATGTTTTCTATTTATTGAAATAGAGATAAAAAAAGTCTCTATGCAAATATGAATACAGGTATCAAGTATTTTATATCATTTATGACAACATCCAAGATCGTGGCTGCAATTAGAATTACTACTTGGTTAAGTTTATGGTAATCTGTTGCCGTTTTAAAAAGTCTTGTTCATTGGCCAAATTGGATGATTGATTGATAGATTAGATATAGCTTAATAAAAGATTAAATGCATATATTTATGCAGATAAAGATATACGTAGGTATATATTTGTTGCAGTAAATAAACTTACAAATAAAACATATTTTATTTCAAGGAGTGAGAGCTTAGAAACAGATAAGTAGCATTTATATTCAGGATAATATTACAGATGAATTTTTTATATTAAATAAAAAAACTAGCCAGCAATTCAACAGTGTTGACAGGCACAATCAGCAAGGGATAATATCTAGACATCAACAAAAGAGTTTTGAAACTTTGAAAACAAAGATATTATCTTATGAGCTGCCAGAAAGCAAGAAGTGATGAATTTTGAAGATAAATAATTTTGAATTTCAATACCAAGCCGCTGTTGAAAGAAGAATGTGGGAGAAGTTGAATAAAGATAATTGAATTTATGTCAATATAACTTGGTCAAAATGATTTTTACTTTAAAGGCAGAAAGTGAATGAATTTGAAATTTAGAGACCAAAATAATTTGTCAGTTGGTAATCTCTATTGCAAGGTTTAAAGCAAGAGATTTAGAACTTAAAGAGCAATATAAGTTTAGGGAATACAGTTGGTTTAAATGTTAATATAGGTTTAGTTTTGTTAAGCAAAATACAGTAATAAAAATAAGGCAATATAGCGCAACATGTAAAATATTTTTCAAAACATTTGTAACCAAGATATAATAGAAAAATTTATATAAGGATTATGAAGCAGTATTAAGCTAGTTCCTAAATTTTCTTTAGCAAAAATTAAAAGATTTACTCAGAAAATAGTAATTGAAGAAATAAAACAAAAAAAATTATCAAAAGTTACTTAAAAACTATTTGCTAAAGTATTTGAGAATATGAGGATGCTTTGTAGTATATTTTAAGAAGTGTAATGCAAAAAATAATTTGAGAAATTAAAAAAATTACTGCAAATTTATATAACAATTTCTATGTATATGTATATTCCATCAGCTTCTGGACTTATGTAATTATTCTAGTTGGGAGGAAATAATCTGATCTCATTAAATACCAAATACATTTATAAAAAAATAAGAATAGTGAAAGGTAAATTTCCAAAATTGTTGAGGATTATACACACACACACATGCACATATATATGTGTATACATGTGTATCCATATATACACACACACATACACATGTCTGTATGTGTGTATGTGTGTGTGTATATATGGATACACATGCATACAGTCATATATGCATACATATAAATTATATATGCATATATGTGTGTATGTATGAGTATGTAAGGTTAAATGTAAGTGTGCATATATAAGGGTAAATATACCTTATAGAAACATAAGTGGTGACAGACTAGATTCAGAAAACAAAATTCACATAACTTTGTTTATAAGAGGAAGACACAAATATACTAGAAACAAAATAATAATATAGGATTTACAAGGCTTGTATGGGGATAACAGAAATGCATGCATTCCTAACCATGGAATCAGATAATACATATATAATAGAAAAATTAACTTAAAGAATGTAAAATCATTCTAAAGAATATATAACATACAGTAAGAACTAACAAAAACACTAACAAGGAATGTATATATCTCAAGCAATATAGCACTGAAATATCTTGAGGAAATTGTTAGTAAAGCAAGTAGAATTACTTCTAGATACAATTGCAATTCCAAATTCTAATTTCTAATTAATTTATTTACCTAGATTATTAGACCAATATATCAAGAAAAATGTAATAGAGTAAGTGAGTCTGGACTCCAACAATGTATTGACCAGTGAACTCATAATAACATTATGTTAAGGAAGGAGAAATGTGGCTGGATATAATAAAATAAATTGGGTTTATAAGTGATTGAACAACTGAAACCAAGGGTCTTTGATTAAGAGATTAATATAAAAATTAAGGGAAATTTCAAGAGACATTCCCGGAACACTTTTTTCCTGCCTTCCTCTATGCAACATTTCAAATAATAATTTGGAAGAGTGTATGCTTATCAAATTTGAAAATGATAGAATCAAACTGCCAAACCCATTCATTTGTACTTCTATTTATTCATCTATTCAACATGGTTTAATGATTACTATTTGATGGAATCACTAAACTGGATGAGTGTAAACCTATCAAGATGAAGTTTAGTAAAATTCTCAATATGCTATTTCACTTAGGAATGTAAATTCAAATATATAACTATAGAACTTGTGAAAATGACTTTGAAGCCTATCTGAATGAAATGTTAAATGTTGTAAGTGATAATAAACTCAGTGTCAACCAACTGTGTCTATATATATCAAGAAACCTAATGTGAGCATAGGCTGCATAGATCACTATGAGGAAAAGACTCATTTTGTGGGCAAATAAAGTCTAAGAATAATCAAGAAACATAGTGAAATGCTGTAAAAGTTGCTAAAATAATTTTTTTAAAGTATGTTTCAATGGATTCTCTATAGAATGGCTACAGATGCGTAAAGTATATTCTTTGGATTCTATAAGCAGTTTCAAATATATGCGTGTGTATACATGTATATATAAATTGTTAGAAAAACAGCCAAAATAGCCCTGAAAAAGGAGATTCAAATGTAATTTATGAATTTTGATAAAGTTAAACAGAATTCAATGCATTATTACTCTGAATGATTAAGTAATTTTAGTGAAGAAAGGCAAGACATGTTTAGTTCATACACATTTCTTGCTTTACAATCAAGGAAAATAAATGTTTTAATATGACTTATTATTATTATTACCATTCTGTAAGTTTATAGGTTGAACTCTATCAACCTGGCTGTAAGAAATTCAGTCATATTGTGGGTGAATCTCCCCTGTAGAGTTTGTGAAGGAGGAAAAGGTTATAAGTTGTTTAAAAAACATTTAGAGAAGTGTTTTCCAGGTTGCAGTCATTCCTCATTATGTCTTATAGGCTCACTGCCTAAACATTCATATTTCCTTTAAGGTCTGTGGTTTCATTGCTTCTTTGCCAAGTTTATGTGAGGATTTTGCAATGGCTTCCAAGATCTCAATTTTAATGATCTGGCCTCTACTTTCTTCCCTATCAAATTGCCTGTCACTCTTAAACACTATGTATTGGAGCAGGGAATGAGTCTCCACCATTTAATAAGCTATCTCTGAATTTATGTCTTTTACTTACCTTGAGAAAATTTAGACAAGAACTCTGTCCCTAAATCTACCACTTTCTACCCTTAAAGTCCTCTATTCTTGGACAGTTTGGCACCATCGTTTCTACAAGCGTGTCTTTCAAAAAGAGAAAGGTATCATGTGGCATTTTACTTCTTGGTGCTTGAAGTTTTTCCTTCTGGATCTGTCGCTCTTCAGCTTTTATCAATAGCCACCCCTATCCCCAAGTTTTTAGAGAAGAAACTCAAAGACTTGACTTAGTAGCCTTCTTAGACTAGTAGTGAAAAAACTATCAATATCAAAGTGGTCTTTAATAAAACAATAAGGGCTCAATATAAAATGTAGACATGTGATGATAACCTTCAAGAAATTATTAACCTAATATGCCATATAAGAGGTACACATTTCATAGGTATTATGCTATCCATTTAACTATCATTTAGTAACATTTTACATCAGTATATGGTAAAATATTATAAGAACCCACGTTATTTCTAAAGATGTATAAAACAAAAATATACATTAATATAATAAATCACTATCCATCATTCTAGATAATAAACAAGAACCTGTTATTCTTCAAAACAAGATATTGATTAGCATACAGACTGCCATTCTTTCTATTTAATATCACAATGGAAAAATCAAGCAATATCTCTAATGGAAAAACATATAAGAAATACAGCAATAGGAGACAAAGGAATGAAAATAGCACATCTTACAGATGACGACTCTACAGAGGAATATTAGGAAAATAAAAAAATTAATAGAGAAAAAATGTAAAATTAACCAAATACATTGTATAAGTAATGTTTCTACAGAAAAATGATGGAAACAGTAGCAAAGATATTTGTATTAGTTTCCTGTGGCTACTGTAACAAATTTCTAGAAACTTAGTGGCTTAAAGCAACAGGTAAACTTCCTTTATGACTGTGGAAGCCAGATGTCCAAAATCAGTATCACTGGACCTAAGTCAAGGTATCAGCAGAATTTCACTCCCTCCACAGTCTGTAGTGGTGAATCTTTTCTTTGCCTCCTGTAGCTTCTGATAACTGCTGGCATTTCTTGGCTTGTGGATGAATCACTCCAATAATCTGTCTTTGTGGTCACACTGCCTTCTCTTCTTCTAGCTTAGTAGTAAATTCTCCATTTGTGGCCCTCTTATAAGGACAAATGTGATTGCATGGATTGCCCTCCTGAGAATCCAGGGTAATCTCATCTCAAAATTCTAAATTATTTCTTTTAATTTTTATTTTTTATTATATTTAAGTTCTAGGGTACATGTGCACAACATGTAGATTTGATACATAGGTATACATGTGCCATGTTGGTTTGCTGCACCCATCAACTCATCATTTACATTAGGTATTTCTCCTAATGCTATCCCTCCCCCAGGCCCCTACCCTGCCAACAGGCCCTGATGTGTGACGTTCCCCACCCTGTTTCCAAGTGATCTCATTGTTCAATTCCCACCTATGAGTTAGAACATGCGGTGTTTGGTTTTCTGTCCTTGTGATAGTTTGCTGAGAATGATGGTTTCCAGCTTCATCTGTGTCCCTGCAAAGGACATTAACTTATCCTTTTTTATGGCTGCATAGTATTCCATAGTGTATATGTGCCACATTTTCTTAAGCCAGTCAATCATTGATGGACATTTGGGTTGGTTCCAAGTCTTTGCTATTGTGAATAGTGCCGCAATAAACATACGTGTGCATGTGTCTTTATAGTAGACTGATTTAGAATCCTTTGGGTATATACCCAGTAATGGGATTGCTGGGTCAAATGGTAATTCTAGTTCTAGATCCTTAAGGAATTGCCACACTGTCTTCCACATTGGTTGAACCAATTTACCTCCCACCAACAGTGTAAAAGCATTCCTATTTCTCCACATCCTCTCCAGTATCTGCTCTTCCCTTTTTAATGATTGGCATTCTAACTGGCGTAAGATGGTATCTAATTGTGGTTTTGATTTGCATTTCTCTGATGAACCAGTGAAGATGAGCATTTTTTCATGTGTCTGTTGACTGCATAGATGTCTTCTTTTGAGAAGTGTCTGTTCATATCCTTTGCCCACTTTTTGATGGGGCTGTTTGTTTTCTTCTCGTAAATTTGTTTGAGTTCTTTGTAGATTCTGGATATTAGCCCTTTGTCAGATGGGGCAGATGGGGAGATTGCAAAAATTCTCTCCCATTCTGTAAGTTGCGTTCACTCTGACGGTAGTTTCTTTTGCCGTGCAGAAGCTCTTTAGTTTAATTAGGTCCCATTTGTCTATTTTGGCTTTTGTTGCCATTGCTTTTGGTGTTTTAGTCATGACGTCCTTATCCATGCCTATGTCCTGACTGGTATTGCCTAGGTTTTCTTCTAGGGTTTTTATGGTTTTAGATCTAACATTTAAGTCTTTAATCCATCTTGAATTAATTTTTGTGTAAGGTTTAAATAAGGGATCCAGTTTCACCTTTCTACATATGGCTAGCCAGTTTTCCCAGCACCACTTATTAAATACGGAATCCTTTCCCCATTTCTTGTTTTTGTCAGGTTTGTCAAAGATCAGATGGTTGTAGATGTGTGGCATTATTTCTGAGGCCTCTGTTCTTTTCCATTGGTCTATATATCTGTTTTGGTACCAGTACCATGCTGTTTTGGTTACTGTAGCCTTGTAGTATAGTTTGAAGTCAGGTAATGTGATGCCTCCAACTTTGTTCTTTGGCTTAGGATTGTCTTGGCAATGCGGGCTCTTTTTTGGTTCCATATGAACTTTAAAGTGGTTTTTTTCCAAGTCTGTGAGGAAAGTCATTGGTACCTTGATGGGGATGGCATTGAATCCATAAATTACCTTGGGAAGTATGGCCATTTTCACAATATTGATTCTTCCTATCCCATGAGCATGGAATGTTCTTCCATTTGTTTGTGTCCTCTTTTATTTCGTTGAGCAGTGGTTTGTAGTTCTCCTTGAAGAGGTCCTTCACGTCCCTTGTAAGTTGGATTCCTAAGTATTTTATTCTCTTTGTAGCAATTGTGAATGAGAGTTCACTCATGATTTGACTCTGTTTGTCTGTTACTGGTGTATAGGAATCTTTGTGATTTTTTCACATTGATTTTGTATCCTGATACTTTGCTGAAGTTGCTTATCAGCTTAAGGAGATTTGGGGCTGAGACGATGGGGTTTTCTAAATATACAATCATGTCACCTGCAAACAGACAATTTGACTTCCTCTTTTCCTAATTGAATACCCTTTGTTTCTTTCTCCTGCCTGATTGCCCTGGCCAGAACTTCCAACACTATGTTGAATAGGAATGGTGAGACAGGGCATCCTGTCTTGTGCCAGTTTTCAAAGGGAATGCTTCCAGTTTTGGCTCATTCAGTATGATATTGGCTGTGGGTTTGTCATCAATAGCTCTTATTATTTTGAGATATGTTCCATCAATACCTAATTTATTGAGAGTTTTTAGCATGAAGGGCTGTTGAATTTTGTTGAAGGCCTTTTCTGCATCTATTGAGATAATCATGTGGTTTTTGTCTTTGGTTCTGTTTATGTGATAGATTACATTTATTGATTTGCATATGTTGAACCAGCCTGGCATCCCAGGGATGAAGCCCACTTGATCATGGTGGATACGCTCTTCGATGTGCTGCTGGATTTGGTTTGCTAGTATTTTACTGAGGATTTTTGCATTGATGTTCATCAGGGATATTGGTCTAAAATTCTTTTATTTGTGTGTGTGTCTCTGCCAGGCTTTGGTACCAGGATGATGCTGGCCTCATAAAATGAGTTAGGGAGGATTCCCTCTTTTTCTGTTGATCGGAATAGTTTCCGAAGGAATAGTACCAGCTTCTCTTTGCACCTCTGGTGGAATTCGGCTGTGAATCTGACTGGCCTGGATTTTTTTGGTTTGTAGGCTATTATTTATGGCCTCAATTTCAGAGCCTGTTATTAGTCTATTCAGGGATTCAACTTCTTCCTGATTTAGTCCTGGGAGGGTGTATGTGTCCAGGAATTTATCTATTTCTTCCAGATTTTCTAGCTTATTTGTGTAGAGGTGTTTATAGTATTCTCTGATGGTAGTTTGTATTTCTGTGGGATCGGTGGTGATATTCCCTTTATCCTTTTTTTATTGCGTCTATTTGATTCTTCTCTCTTTTCTTCCTTACTAGTCTTGCTAGTGGTCTATCAATTTTGTTGATCTTTTCAAAAAACCAGCTCCTGGATTCATTGATTTTTTTGGAGGTTTTTTTGTGTGTCTATCTCCTTCAGTTCTGCTCTGATCTTAGTTATTTCTTGCCTTCTGCTAGCTTTTGAATTTGTTTGCTCTTGCTTCTCTAGTTCTTTTAATTGTGATGTTAGGGTGTCAATTTTAGATCTTTCCTGCTTTCTCTTGTGGGCATTTAGTGCTATAAATTTCCTTCTACACACTGCTTGAAATGTGTCCCAGAGATTCTGGTACATTGTGTCTTTCTTCTCATTGGTTTCAAAGAATATCTTTATTTCTGCCTTCATTTCGTTATGTACCCTGTAGTCATTCAGGAGCACACTGTTCAGTTTCCATGTAGTTGTGGGGTTTTGAGTGAGTTTATTGATCCTGAGTTCTAATTCGATTGCACTGTGGTCTGAGAGACAGTTTGTTGTGATTTCTGTTCTTCTACATTTGCTGAGGAGTGCTTTACTTCCAGCTATGTGGTCAGTTTTGGAATAAGTGTGATGTGGTGCTGAAAATAATGTATATTCTGTTGATTTGGTGTGGAGAGTTCTGTAGATGTCTATTAGGTCCGCTTGGTGCAGAGCTGAGTTCAGGTCCTTGACATCCTTGTTAACCTTCTGTTTCGTTGATCTGTCTAACAGTGGGGTGTTAAAGTCTCCAATTATTATTGTGTGGGAGTCTAAGTCTCTTCGTAGGCCTCTAAGGACTTGCTTTATGAATCTGGGTGCTCCTGTATTGGGTGCATATATATTTAGGATAGTTAGCTCTTCTTGTTGAATTGATTCCTTTACCATTATGTAATGGCCTTCTTTGTCTCTTTTGATCTTTGTTGGTTTGAAATCTGTTTTTTCAGAGACTAGGATTGCAACCCCTGCTTTTTTTTTGCTTTCCATTTGCTTGGTAGATCTTCCTCCATCCTTTTATTTTGAGTCTATGTGTGTCTCCGCACGTGAGGTGGGTCTCCTGAATACAGCGCACTGATAGGTCTTGACTCTTTATCCAACTTGCCAGTCTGTGTCTTTTAATTGGGGCATTTTGCCCATTTACATTTAAGGTTAATATTGTTATGTGTGAATTTGATCCTGTCATTATGATGTTAGCTGGTTATTTTGCCTGTTAGTTGATGCAGTCTCTTCCTAGCATCGATGGTCTTTACAGTTTGGCATGTTTTTGCAGTGGCTCTTACTGGTTTTTCCTTTCCCTGTTTAGTGCTTCCTTAAGGAGCTCTTGTAAGGAAGGCCTCTTGGTGACAAAATCTATCAGCATTTGCTTGTCTGTAAACTATTTTATTTCTCCTTCACTTATGAAGCTTAGCTTGGCTGGATATGAAATTCTGGATTGAAAATTATTTTCTTTAAGAATGTTGAATATCGGCCCCCACTCTCTTCTGGCTTTAGAGTTTTTGCCAAGAGATCCGCTGTTAGTCTGATGTGCTTCCCTTTGTGGGTAACCCGACCTTTCTCT
This sequence comes from Homo sapiens, assembly GCF_000001405.40. NCBI lineage: Eukaryota > Metazoa > Chordata > Mammalia > Primates > Hominidae > Homo > Homo sapiens. Next base: position 85,973,451 of record NC_000014.9, read on the forward strand.
CTGGCTGCCCTTAACATTTTGTCCTTCATTTCAACCTTGGTGAATCTGGCAATTATGTGTCTTGGGATTGCTCTTCTCAAGGAGTACCTTTGCGGTGTTCTCTGTATTTCTTGAATTTGAATGTTGGCCTGCCTTGCTAGCTTGGAGAAGTTCTCCTGGATTATATCCTGAAGAGTGTTTTCCAGCTTGGTTCTATTCTGCCTGTCACTTTATGGTACACCAATCAAACATAGATTTGGTCTTTTCACGTAGTCCCATATTTCTTGGAGGCTTTTTTCATGCCTTTTAACTCTTTTTTCTCTAAACTTCTCTTCTTGCTTCATTCCATTAATTTGATCTTCAATCACTGATACCCTTTCTTCCACTTGATCGAATTGGCTCCTGAAGCTTGTGCATGTGTCATGTAGTTCTCGTGCCATGGTTTTCAGCTCCATCAGGTCATTTAACGTCTTCTCTACACTGTTTATTCTAGTTAGCCATTTGTCTAATCTTATTTCAAGGTTATTAGCTTCTTTGCAATGGGTTCGAACATCCTCCTTTAACTCAGAGAAATTCGTGATTACCAACCTTTTGAAGCCTACTTCTGTCAAGTTGTCAAAGTCATTCTCCATCCAGCTTTGTTCCGTTGCTGGCAAGGAGCTGCGATCCTTTGGAGGAAAAGTGGTGCTCTGCTTTTTAGAATTTTCAGCTTTTCTGCTCTGGTTTCTCCCCATCTTTGTGGTTTTATCTACCTTTACTCTTTGATTATGGCGACCTACAGATGGGATTTCGGCGTGGATGTCCTTTTTGTTGATGTTGATGCTATTTCTTTCTGTTTGTTAGTTTTCCTTCTAACACTCAGGTCTCTCAGCTGCAGGTCTGTTGGAGTTTGCTGGAGGTCCACTCCAGACCCTGTTTACCTGGGTATCGCCAGTGGAGGCTGCAGAACAGCAAATATTGCAGAACAGCAAATACTGCTGTCCGATCCCCTCTGGAAGCTTTGTCTCAGAGGGGCACTTGGCTGTACGAGGTGTCAGTCAGCCCCTACTGGGAGGTGTCTCCCAGTTAGGCTACATGGGGGTCAGGGACCCACTTGTGGAGGCAGTCTGTCCATTCTCAGTGCTCAAACACTGTGCTGGGAGAACCACTGCTCTCTTCAGAGCTGTCAGACAGGGACGTTTAAGTCTGCCAAAGTTTCTGCTGCCTTTTGTTCAACTATGCCCTGCCCCCAGAGGTGGAATCCACAGAGGCAGGCAGGCCTCCTTCAGCTGTGGTGGACTCCACCCAGTTCGAGCTTCCTAGCTGCTTTGTTTACCTACTCAAGCCTCAGCAATGGTGGACGCCCTCCCCGAGCCAGGCTGGCACCTCACAGTTCTGTCTCCAACTGTTGCGCTAGCAGTGAGCAAGGCTCAATGGGCGTTGGACCTGCTGAGCCAGGCATGGGATATAATCTCCTGGTGTGCCACTTTCTAAGACCGTTGGAAAAGTGCAGTAATTGGGTGGCAGTGTCCCAATTTTCCTGGTACAGTCTGTCACACCGTTCCTTGGCTAGGAAAGGGAAATCCCCCAACCCCTTGTGCTTCCCGGGTGAGGCGATGCCCTGCGCTGCTTTGGCTCACCCTCCATGGGCTGCACCCACTGTCCAACTAGTACCAATGAGATGAACCAGGTACCTCAGTTGGAAATGCAGAAATCACCCATCTTCTGTGTTGATCACACTGGGAGCTGCAGACTGGAGCTGTTCCTTTTCGGCCACCTTGGAACAGACCTCCAAAATTCTAAGTTTAATCATATTTGTAATGTCCTTTTTGTTGTTGTTGTTCTTACCTAAGGTAACATTCAGCGACTCCAGGGATTACAATGTCATGGGCTATTAATCAGCCTACCAAAATATTCATCTACCAAAAGAACATAATTACCAAGCTGAAGTATTAATTCAATTAGAAACGCATAATTCATTTGTGAAATTCCTTGGTTGGCAGTTAGATAAATAGAGAAAAAATAAATAATTAAATAGATCTATTCTGGTTTTTTTTTTTGAGTGAGTGACTGATAATTAAAGTCTTCATGGAATATTTTATAGAACTTGCCAAATTATTAGAAAAATTAAAATAAGAACATATTAATTTAATCTATGATTAACATATTTTAAAATTAATGATGACAAATTTACCATGCAAGTTTTTCAAATATATTAACATTTTTAATGATCAAAATCTTTTGGCATAATAGTAAAAACCGTAAAAAGTGACCAGTGGAAAGAAAATTAAAATAATTGACAACGTAAGTCCTAACTATGATCAAAAAGGAATACAGAAAATAGTAAAACATTTTCTTATTGGCTTTAATTCTAAGTTTAAAGATGAATTAATGTATCTTCTTCTTCATTCCATATGTTGAAATAAGCTGCAAGGAATACACTTAAATGGAATCAATTTGTAAAATTAAGGATGGCAACAGAATGTAATGTTCTTTTCAAATCTTAAGAAGATTAATCAATAATGACTGTCATGATAACACTAAAAGTATAATGTATGGTTGTATAGTATGTCATTCATAAAGTTTCCCAATAAAATTGTGCCAGGGAGAATTTTGGATGCAAGTAATAGAAAACCTTGCCTAGGGTGTCTTAAGCAATAACAACAGTTAATTATCTTAAATAAAAGGAAGCCTGGAGGTTGGCAATACAGGGTTAGTACAGCTCAATATTTTTACCAAGAGCATTTTTCTACTCCAGTGTCTGCAGCTTGTTGCTTTTTTGATCACAGGCATATTGAAATATGGTTTCCAGATGGCTGCAACACCTCCAGACATCATGACTTCATTCAAAGCCAATAATCATAGGAGATGTTGATAAAAATGGGTTTTTCCACAAGTTATTATTTTTCCTTTTTGTTTTTTCCAGCAAATGAAAGAAACAATTCCCTGAAGACTTTTCAGGAAACTTGATTATAGACTCAATGGCAAGAAATAAGTGATATGGCCACAGCTAGCTGCAAAAGTCTGGCAAAGAAAGATGAAGTCTATATGCTTAGATAGTCATTATTTATCTTTGGGATTGAGCACGTAATTCTTCTAAACGCAATTAGTGTATGTTAGCCAGGAAAAAATGAGTAGAATGGCTATTGGTTAAGAACTGAAATGTGTGTGGCAGAAATCTATTACATTAATGCAGTACACAGGGGATATTATATGATGATAGAATAATATATCAAAATGTGGATACAAACAAACTATATAATGCTAAAATGCACTTACTAAATAAATGAAGGTAAATTAAAATGGTGCTCAACATTCATTCATTTATTCATTCATTTGATGATTAATTACTGTTTACTATATATCAGTTATTATGCTAAATCCTCAGTGTATATTGTATTGTCAATGAAATGGTCTCTGCCCTACAGAAGCTGAAATTGAATGGTTGCCCCAGTAAAAATTGAATAAACTCTAGGAAATCTAGAATACTTTTATGTCTCTGGTGGCATTTAAAACAGAATCAGTCTCCTTGGAGATCAATCCTCAAACTTTTAATGGCGTGTGTAAAACTAGAAGGTCAATTCTATGAACATATTTCAATCTTTCAAAATTGTATACGATCATTTAATGAACAATTAGAAGCAACCAGGTATCTAATAGCAAGTGCATGGCTTATTCAACCATACTTTTCAATGCATTAAAATTCAAAAAGGGCATTAAAAGGTATGGTTTTGGACTATAAGCTTATATAGAAATTTGTAGGTGAAATAACAACATGAAAAGAAGATAAAAACAATATATTGAAACTGACTACAATCTTACTGATCACAGGTCTGAGTACAAGTTTTTACTACTTACATCATAACTCCTCTTATGGACCATCATCAATACCTAATCTGGAAAATTTCCCCTGCTCCTTGTCATATATTCAAAATTAATAGATATTTTTTCTCTTAACACTAATAAGTTTTTAATTACTTCCTATCTTATCTGTTATCACAATGAATCAAATTAGTTAGGTATGCTTATGTATCTGGTTTTTCAACACCTATTTAAGGGAAGAAACAATAGGCCATTCATCTTTATATTTCTGGGACCAGAGACATAGCACTTTTGTGTCCTCAATATCCCCAAATATGACTATCACAGGGAAGGTGCCCACAAAATGTTTGCTGAATGAATCTAGTTAAGTCCTCAATAAATACCAGCTGAGTGAATGAATGGAACTTCATAGAACTATAATCATATTGATGATCTGCATTACATTTCAAATTGTTTAATACAATTTAACATTCATGATATGCACTTTTTCAGGTAAAATGTAACACCTTGACTATTGTACATTAGGATGTTCTTGAAATGTGAAATCTAAATAAATATGTATACAAATTTGGTATCTCTTTTCGTGGCAGCTCTCCTTGGCTGAGATTTCTGGATCCCCTGTGGGATCTACTGAACTCAGTATCACACGTAACTTAGCTTTGTTTGATTCAACCTGCCACACAGTTCACCAGCCTGGATCTTGTTGATGTAGCTCATTATCCATAAATCACTACCTGCATTGTCTAATTTAAGATCCAGGGTAACTGCATACTTGTGTTTTGTTGTTGTTTCTTTTTTTGGGGGGAGAGGAATTTACATGAAAGCAGAACAGAGAGTACCATGATTATACACTAAATAGAATAAGAGAACAGAGTATCATTACTTTTTATTCTCTCATTCTTTTCCTCTCAACAGATTACCCACAAAGTACTGTTCACTGATTTTGTCTCCTTACCAACATTACAAAATTATGTGTTTTATTTAAATATGCCACCAGCAAATCATCTGAGCATTCCGCTTGAATTAACACCAGGTTTATACACACAAAAAGAATAATGAATGGATGGTTCAAATAAAGAAGGTGTGCATACGTGTTTTGCTAGGGTCTCTGAAATTAACCTGAAGTAGCCTGGATCTCTGTTTCAAAGTGTTAATTACAGTGCCAGGGCATTTCTATTTTTTTTCTTCTTTTTGTGGAGGTTTTGATGTTTTCTCCAATAAGGACAACTATCTAGATTGCTTTAAGTGAATGTTCTTAAAAGCTGCTGGCAAAGATAGACAAATCTAGAAAGCCTTGATGTTGCATAAACAATATTATTTTCATTACATGTATTTCTACACATTCCCATGAAAAATTAAATTTTGGCTCCTTCTGAGAGCCAAAGGTGAGTGTGTGTGAAGTGAGGGAGATTTATATGAAAGGACACAATGCAAAAGATGAAAATAATTCTATCCTCTTTCCCTTAGACAAATGGTTTGGGTTTAACTGCCCTTGTTTTTGTTGGATGTGAATATGTTAATCTTCTTTTTCAAAACATACAGACTTACGGAAATGGAAGTGAACATCTGTTCAACTGTCAAGTCACCAGCTAAATTCAAGTCTGAGAAAAGAAGACAATCTGTTTAAATGAAACTTTGTGTGAATGAAGGCCAGAGTTTTTGGCACTTGTGTTTGCAAAAAAAAAAAAAAAGAAAAAAATTTTAAACAATTGTTACTAAAAAAAAAAATCTTTTTCTAGGATGACCTTTGTTTGTTTAAACTGTTGGAAAATCAATATTTAAAATGAAATCTAGAAACTGAAGTGTGCCCTCTGCAGGATCACCAGAATGATGGGAAAACTGAACACAATCAACTCATGAACTCCCCAAGGTCAGAGGTTTGGTCTAATTCAATAACTAATATCTAGAAGGTATTCTAGAAAAATGCATGTTAACAGAGTGAGCAAAAGTAACAGTCAAAGAAACCCAGGAATCACATTTCATGCCTATATTAGTCTGTTCTCACACTGCTAGTAAAGACATAACTGAGACTGGGTAATTTATAAAGGAAAGATGTGTAATTAATTCATAGTTCCACATGGCTGGGGAGGCCTCATCATCATGGCAGAAGGCAAAAATGAAGCAAGACACGTCTTACATGGCAGCAGGCAAGACAGCGTGTGCAGGGGAACTGCCCTTTATAAAACCATCACATCTCATGAGACTTACTATCACAAAAACAGCATGGAAAAACTCCCTCCCATGAGTCAGTTACCTCCCACCAGATCCCGCCCATGACACATGAGGATTATGGGGGCTACAATTCAAGATGAGATTTGGGTGCAGACACAGCCAAATCATATCATATCCTCTGTTTTCCAAAGATCTTATATAATTTAGTTCTACTTTAGAAAAATTAATCCAATGATAGTTGGCAGTATATACAGTTGTGTAAAAGATGGGTAATTTTTTGCATACTCGTAAGAGTTCAGAAAATTAAGATATAAGCTATTGGTTAAGAGAGGGAATAGCCTCTCTCATTATGACAAAAATTAATAGTTGATTATTTTTTTCATATATGATAAAAATCTTAGTCCATATGTGTTTCAATTTAAAAGACATGAGAAGATAATATGATTTTTCCTCCAAAGTTGACTGGTTGGCTATTAGACTGCAAATCTCATAATATAATTACCTTGGTGGAAACATAGTAATTTAAATATTGGACATTAGATTTGCAGGTGCAGGAAATCAATTGTGTCAATATACAAAAATTTTATTATACTATTACAATGATTCACACTAAAAATATTTGGCGGGGATTGATATATAAATATACATGGCAATGTATTAATTTATAATGGTGGTGATTTCTCTAACTACCTTCACCCCAGCTATATATCATATAGTCATAGTTGGAAACCACCGAGGAGGGTCACTCCAGCTGAGAGAGTCAAACTGTCAAGTCCCTACACTCTGACATCACCCTGCTCAAAAGGGTTCTCCATCTGCCGTTGCTCTCTTTTCTATCGGTCAATGCCTCATGTATAAGGAAACATGATCTTCTATCATTTACTGTACTGTTCTTCTCAATGTTCTGCACTTGCTTTTTTTGGACTCAGCTGTCTACCATATCCTCATCTTCAAAACTTTCCCACAGTATTTTCTAGAACTATCCATCTAGAATAATAATAATAATAATAAAACCTATCTTCAACTTCTACATTGCCTGCCATAAGTGAAACTTGACTCATCTGAAGATATCACCTGTACTGTTTCCCTCTTAATGCTGGTTGCTTATTTTCGGACACACACACACACCCCTGGATGGTGAGGTGGTATTTCTGAACTCCCTAAACTGCAGTGGCACTTCTAGCAATGAGACACCATTCTCTTGTAAAACTAACAAAAAACACATGCACATACTGTATTGGTTTGTTTTCAAATTGCTATAAAGAAATACCTGAGACTGGGTAATTTATTAAAAAAAAAAAAAGAGGTTTCATTGGCTCACGGTTCTGTAGCCTGTATAGGAAGCACAGCAGCTTTTGCTTCTAGGGAGGCCTCAGGAAACTTACAATCATGGTGGAAAGCAAAGCGGAAGCAGGCACATCTTATATGGCTGGAGTAGGAGCAAGGTGGTACAGATGGAGCCACATACATGTAAACAGCCAGATCTCTTGAGAACTCATTCACCATACAGTACCAAGAAGGGATGGTGCTAAACCATTCATGAGAACTCTGCCTCCATGATCCAGTCCCCACGTCCAAAAATTTGACTTAAGATTTGGTGGGACACTAATCCAACTCACCTACACACACACACACACACTCTCACACTAAACACATTTGAGATTCATTTGAGATTCATGAAATTTCACTATACAATTCCAACTGCTTTCTTACTGCTATCATCTAACTTCTGGTAATTGGTTCACTAACATATCTTCATCCAAATTCTGTCACTGCCATCCTTCATGACGTATGAACCCTCTATGCTTAACATACTTGTCTCCGAAGAATCTGTCCTCTGCCCTGTCGTACATCCGTATCTCTCACACTATGAATTTTGTTATAAATGCAGATTATCTCTACTACAGAATTGCTAATTCAGTTATTACACTCTCTGAGTACAACTTGCTTTCCTAGCTATGGTCATTTCTGTACTTCAGTGAGAGTCCCAGTTCATGGCATTTCCAAATTCGTAGAGTTCTTTAGGCGTCTCATTTTTGTTATCAACATTACTTTCTAATCATAAATCTTGTTCAGAATTTCTTGTTAACAACTTCTTTTCATCATTATATCAAAAGTGTCAATTCTTCTCCGCGTATTTTCAAACTTGAACTCAGCCTCCCAGTTCCCAGCCAAAGAACAATCTTATCTCTTCACATAGAAAATATGATATCACCCTCAATTTCTGCTTCCACCTATACAAACCTATCTACACTTACCTCTATTTTGTCCTGCTTCCTTCTGCTTAAGCATAGGTACTTGGGGACTGTTTCCTCTCACATTCAAAGAAATCTTTTCTTATGTGAGTTCTCCATTATCTCCTATCTATTCGTCAACATTCTCACATTAAGATCCTAATTGTTCCAAGGAAAATGTTTCTGCTTTTTTAGCTTTATGGATTTTCTACGTTGATTCATTTTCATGTAAATAGAAAGTGTGGGCTAAACTTTTATCTACCTTATTGAATATTAAGTAAACTAAAATGCTTAAAAAGCGATTTTTCATACCGAAGAACTAAACTTTTCTCTGTACTTGGACACTTTGATAAATCATAATTGGTAGTTTACAGATGGGAAGCTTACTTGCAAATGTTCTAAAGATGAATGCTTCCTTTTGTATGACATTTTGATATAAATTAAGATCCATGTGTTTCATATATTGCTGAAAAAAAAATAGTGTTAAAACAATACTTCCTCTGCTGAATATATGTGAAACTATATCTTTGATTAGTGATTCTGTCTCCTCTTCCACAGCAAAAAATAACCCTCAAATTTCTGTAATTCTTTCCTGCTTCCTTTGCTTCTGCTATGAATGTTTTCTTATGACACTGGAAAAAGTTTTAGTAGCTAACTATATATATTCACATACATACATATGTGTGTATATGTATATCTATATATATGTGCATATCATGTGTACATATTTATACATACACATTTATATCACAATGACAGTAGATATAGCATTATATGGCTCCTCTCCCACCTGTTATTTTAGGAGCAGCTGTAATTCTTAAATAAGCGTTTATTCTATTGATGTCCCCAGAGGTTGTCCCCATTTGCGCCCAGGAACTCATTCCTTACCCGTAATGTAGCATCTGCTGCTATTTTTGTTTCTTATTTTTCCTGTGAGGAGATGCTGCAGGAACTACAGACCCAGGAAATCAACTGTTATGACTGACTCTCAATTAAAATCAGTGCCTGCCTCTGAGCTATTGATGATTCTAAAAAGTACAGCATCCACTACCATTACTTCCTTATGTATAAGGTAGGCTATTGATCCTACTGCCATGTGCGGTAGTACTGATTCTCACAAGTTTTGGTGCTATTTCCCAGCTCTGCACATGCCACAGTAATTATCAGCATTTGCCTTAATATATGTTGGGTTGTCCCTTGAAATGAGAATTCTCATCTTCCCATTTACTATCTACTAAAAATCCAGGCCAACATCTGGCCCTTCTTGGCATAGATTGGGATTCAAAGGGCCTACCATGTATGAAGCAGATTATTGATTTTGGAGTAAGAAAGATCAATGGGAGTATATCCTGATCTCAAGAGTTTTACTACACATCATGGGAAGGAGATGTGTGAACAACTATGTGGCCATGGCTCTAATGGAAAAATGTAGAAAGTTCTGAAAGCACAAAAGAAGAGATATCTTATTCTGTCTGAGCATTACAGTTTGTCACAGAAGAGAAAGTCTTTCACTGGGTTTTAGATGGTGGAATAAATTCACTCAAGAGAGAAAAAAAAGGAAAGAAATCCCAAGCATAGAATTGTATGAGCAAAAGGAGTAAGCATGAACATTTATTCTAATTCTGGGAATCACAAAATACTCCCAACGGCATTAGAGTAGAGGTTAAAAATCTCAAATGTCTCTATGGGTCAGGAGGTACCAAAGTCAAACCATCTAGATGTTGGGATGTAGAAAGAGATTTTAGTCACATGCCACATGATAACATTTTGGTCAATAATAGAGCATGTATATGATGGTGGTAATACCATGTTCTTACTGTGTTTTTCTATGCTTAGATATGTTTAGATACACAAATACTTACCATTGTTTTCTAATTGCCTACAGTGTTCAGTACCGTAGTATGTTGTAGAGGTTTATAGCCTGGGAAAAATAGGCTATACCATAGAGTGTAGGCATGTGGTAGGCTATATACCACCTAGCTTTGGGTAAGTATACTCTATGAGGTTTGCACAATGACAAAATACCCAATGATACATTTCTCAGAATATATCTCCATATTTAAATGACACCAGATTGTATTCATAAAGTACATTTGTAAAAGGCTTATGCACTTCTGTCTGTGAAAGAAGCAACCAGTGTTCAACTCCAAATAATGGTTGCCATGTTGGAATAATAGATTGGCAAAGACACATCTTTTTTTAAATTTAAAAAGTACATATTTTTAATATGAAATTTTAAATCTCAAATGTATAGTTTTATAATATTGGTACTAATTATATTTTTATTTAATTTTTTGAATCTCTCAGGGCTGTCACTCTTTAAGCAAAATAAACAGATTTTTGAGCATCATCTCTTTTTTGGATCATCATTTTGCAAGTGGAGATTGTAAGTGTTGGATGAGATGTCATATGAGATAGTTATATTAAGTTTGTTTCTCCTAGGTCTGAAGTAATAGGCCAATCAGGAACCATTTTTTGCCTTACTCTAAAATGTTCCACCACTGTTATTGACAATTATTCTCTACTCTTTTTTTTTTAAGATTCTTTTTGACTCTGTCTCCTTCTATCTCTTAATCTTGGATTTATCTCTTGGATAACATTTTTCTTGGGTCCATTTGTTCTTGGTCTCTTGGAGACACTTTCTTTGTCTCATTGGCCAACATTAATTCCTTCTGCTGTTTCCTCTGGGTTCAAACTACATCAAGATGGCTTGTGTTTCATAATCATTCCCTCAGAAATTAAATTCTGTATTATTGTTCAAGTTCTTTGCCAGAGAATGTGGCTTTCACATGGAAGAGGGGATGTATAGACAAATTTGTTCCAGGTTCAAAGCGGCTTTGCTTAATATTCTAAGGAAGTAGGAATATATGGATCTAAAAATAGAACGTTATTGAGGATCTACAAGCAAGAAAGTAGCAACATTCACTTTCAGTTTACATAGCAGTAGTATGAAAATGGATCATGAATGAAAAAATATCTAACTCTCAAGGAAATCGTTTTTCAGCAACTTCAACCTTTATCATTCAAACCTTTTTTGTGAAGGCCTGCACCAGTTGTCTCCATCATATTATTTATCCCTAAGTAATAGCAGTATCTCTCTCTTCCTCTCTTCTCTCTCTTTCTCTGTCTCTCTCTCGCTCTTTCTATCTATCTATCTATCCTTATTATTTAATTCCACTGTACTAGCAATGTATTTTAATTCTTTTAAATTTAAAAATTTAATAATGTATGATTGTGACACAGAACAGATTCTGTGTGTTCACAATATGAACATCTTGGTAAATGTCCTATGTTCACATAAAAAGAATCCACGTTCGGCCAGGTGCGATGGCTCACGCCTGTAATTCCAGCACTTTGGGAGGCTGAGGCGGGTGGATTATGAGGTCAGCAGTTTGAGACCAGCCTGCCTAACATGGTGAAACCCTGACTCTACTAAAAATACAAAAATTAGCCGGGTGCAATGGCGGGCTCTTGTAATCCCAGCTACTTGGGAGGCTGACGCTGAGGCAGGTGAATCACTTGAACCCGGGAAGTGGAATTTGCAGTGAGCGGAGATTGCACCACTGCACTCTAGCCTGGGCAACAGAGCCAGACTGTGTCTCAAAAAAAACAAAAGCATGTATTGCTGTGCTTCAGTGGAGTATTCTATAAATAAATATCAATTAGACCAAGTTGGTTGATAGTATGTTCAGGTCGTCTGTGTACTTACTGATTTAATGTTCTATCAGTTGGTGAGTTTTGAAGCTTCCAAATATAATTGCAGATTTTTCTATTACATTCTCAGTTCTATCCATTATTGTTTCATATATTTTGAAGGTCTACTATTGGATCCATACAAGTATTTAGGATTATTATTTCTTGTTGATAAATTATGCCCTTAATAAAATTTGTAACATTCTTCATCTTCACTGGTAATAACCCTTGTTCTGATGGCTACATTTTCTATTATTAATATAGAAACATAAGCTTTCTTTTGGTGTTTAAATAGTATTATTTTTCTCATCATTTTGCTTTTAATCTGTCTTCATGTTTAAAATTAGTCTTTTGTAGATAGCATGTAATTGAATCTTATATTTTTAAATCCAATTCAGCAATGTTTGACTTTTAATCGAGTGTTTAGGCCAATTGTACTTTTGTAATTATTGACATGGTTGGATTTTAATCTATTATTTTGCTACTTATTTTCTTTTTTTCTATTCCCTTTCCTTCTTTTCTGTTTACTTTTAGATTAATTGAATCTCAGGTTTTTGTTTTTGTTTTTGTTTTTGTTTTTTTGAGACAGAGTCTCACTCTGATGCCCAGGCTGGAGTGCAGTGGCACAATCTCAGCTCACTGCAACCTCCGCCTCCCGGGTTCAAGCGATACTCCTGCCTCAGCCTCCCGAGTAGCTGGGACTACAGGCACGTGCCACCACGCCTGGCTAATTTTTGTATTTTTAGTAGAGACGGGGTTTCACCATGTTGGCCAGGATTGTCTCGATCTCCTGACCTCGTGATCAGCCCACCTCGGCCTCCCAACGTGCTAGAATTACAAGTATGAGCCAACACGCCCAGCTTCAGGTTTGTTTTTTATACTCACAATTGGATTATGGCTTCTAAAAGTATTTATAGCTATTTGAGAATTATTATTCTTTTAAATTGTTTTTGAATTGCCTACCCTAGAGTTTACAATATGTATCATTAATTTATCACAGGCTACCTTCAGGTAATATTATGCTACCTTTCAAACAGGAAGAAATTTACACAGTATACATTCAATTCTTCCCTACCATTCTTTGTATTATTGTTGATATAATTTTACTGTTACTTATGTAATAATTCCACAATACATTTTATTATTTTAGAGTTAAACAGTTATCTTTAGAGTTTTTAATAAGAACATATATTTTACTTTATGCTTATTTTGAACATCCATGGATTGTTTATTTCTGTGTGTTGATTGAGTTTCTGTTTTGGTATCACAGTCTTCCTGCCTGAAGAATTTTCCTTAAGATTTCTTTTTTTTTTAAGTTTATTTTAACTTTTATTTTAGGTTTAGGGGCCCATGCGTGGGGTTCTTATAGAAGTAAACTATGTGTTGTGAGGGTTTCGTGTTCAGATTATTTAGTATCTCAGGTAGTAACTACAGTACCCGATAGATTTTTTTTTTATCCTCTCCTTCCTCCCACTCTCCACCTTCAACTAGGCCCCAGTGTCTCTTGTTCCCCTCTTTATGCCCATGTGTCCTCATTGTTTGACTCTCACTTATAAGTGAAAACAAACAGTATTTGGTTTTCTGTTCCTGCAATCATTTGCTTAGGATAATATCTCCAGCCGCATTCATGTTGCTGCAAAGAACATGACCTTATTCTTTTTTACGAGCATTTCTTATAGCCCGAGTTTGCTGGAAATGAATGATTTTGACTTTTACTGAGAAAGTTTTAATTTTCCCTTCATTTTGGGAATGTTTTTGTTGGGTATAAGACTCTGGGTTGATAGATAGTTTTTCAAAATTATGTATAAACCACAGTTATCTATTACTCTATTGTCTTCTGATTTCCATAATTTTTGGATCTTTTCTGTGTCCTTCTCTTCTGCGTGTAATGTATCCTTTCTTTTTTTTTCCACTGGATGCCTTTAATATCTTCTGGTTTTTCTGTTTTCAGCAGTTTGTCTGTGATGAATTTCTATCCTCCCTCCTCCTCCCACCTTGCTGGTGCTTCTCTGAGATTTTTAGTCAGCAATTTGATGTATTTTATTATATTTGGAAATTCTGGGTCAAATATCAAATATCCTGTTAGAGATAGAAGTGGTCAGGTGGGAGAGAGAGATTGAGATTTTAAGGAATTGGCTTAGGCTCGCAGGCAGGAATTTCCAGCAGGTGTCAATGTTGCAGTGTTGAGTTCAAAGGCTGTCTGTGGACACATTACCTGTCTTTTTAAGGAACCTTAGTCTTTTCTCTTCAGGGCTTCAACTGATTGGTTGAGGCCCACTCATGTTATGGAGAATAGTCTGCCTTACTCAAAGTCTAGTGATTTAAATGTTAATCACACCAAAAAATTTTCTTCAAAGCAACATCTAGACTGATATTTGACCCAACAATTGGGCACTATAGTCTAGCCATGTTGACACAAAAGACTGACCATTACAGGCGGAAGCTAATCTAGTGAGAGTTGAACCGGATTAAGGTTCAGTTATTTCTACAGTTACTTTCCATGAACTTCAGCTTAAATTCTCCAAATGTTGCATTAGTGCTTAGAATGGAGGCAGGGTGCTGGAGGAATTCTTCTTATAATTGTGCCTCCACCGTCTTCTTTCAGCCTTGCCAGAATATGAACTACATAAAGCGTTCTTTTACTGCACTCTTGCTTCTCCCTCAGCATTAGACTGTTCTTGCTTAGTGCTCTGTGCTAGAATAATTTGTGGGGCAGGGAGAGTTCTCTGTTGTTCTACAGCATCTTTAATCTTAGTGAGGCGTTGTTTATCTTACCCTTAGGAGAAGGTTTCACTGTTTCTGTCAAGTAGAAGCCAGTTTCTGCTTTGTATATACAGTCTGCTAGAATGCTGTCTTCTTGTCCGTCTTCCAGTTACAGGAGATGACTACTTGTTATTAGCACGTAATCTTAGGCTCAAGGCATTTCCTATAATTTTCCCAGTATTTTAATTTTTTCTTTCATTCTTCCCTCAACAGCAATGTGTCTTTACCTGTGCCTTGTGATCAAGAGGGTTTGCTGAATCTTCCTCTGTAGCTTAAGATATTTGCTTCATCGGAGAAAAGGGTTTGCAGAAATGCATCGTGTCTTTTGCCTGTGTCCTTTGAATTACTAACCACCTTTTTAATCCCAATCACCAGCAAGTGTGGGCTTCTTGGTTTCCCGCCCTGCCATCATTCTTTCTCCTTAGCACCTGGTAGAGGCTTGTGGAAAAGAGGTTATAAATGACTGCAGATTCCTTTTTGTTTCAGGTGCTCCCAGAAATTTTGGATTTCCATGTTACCCTACCTTTGAGTTGGAAGCTGATGTTTTATCTCATCAATTTACATGATTTTATGCAGCTAGATTGGTGTCTCTTCTTAACACGCTCTGCTAGGGGAGACCACCCTTTGTTTCTTGCTTTCGAGGAGAGATTGTCCTATTTTTTTAGATTTTTATTGCCTTGAGAACTCACCTTTTAAAAAGTAAAAGTTATGATTTCAAAGTTTATCTGGATTTTTATTGCTGTCAGAACAGGAACAACATTCTTTGCAGCATCTACATCCTAGAGAGAAGTAGCATCTTTATATTTACTTGTTATTCCCCATATCACCAAATAAGATGTGGACAATCTTATTGAATATGTTTGTTGCTTAATTATTCCACTTCACACCACATAATGCAGACTGAAGTCACGAGGCTAATTAAATGCTAAAAATATTTATTGATTGATTCAGTGTTAAAGATCATTTCACCATCTATGTATAAGATTTCCCCCGCTAAACTGGATCATATAATAGCTAGAAGCTGTATTCTGAATTTTAAAATAAAATAGGCATTGGTTTCCTATTTGCAATCGGTTTTGGCCATCTAATTAGTTGTATTTGTTTTACAGAAACTTACAGTTTAATGAGCATTACCTTGATAGCTCATTTCTTATGGTGCCGTTTCATTATACCTCTGTGGTTTCCCCAGACTTTCCTCAAGTTTATGATCCAAACATCCTTTCTCTCCATAGCTCTTTAGTCGAGAATAAAATTTTCATTATTTGCAGTGAGAGAGAGGCTAAGCAGCAACTGAAGCTTCTATTGTTGATTATGTTTTTAATGTTATTACCATTAGGAGTACTAAGCATTGATTAAATGTCCATTGTGCAATAAACTAAGTAAGATAGCAAAACCTGGTATCCCTGCGTGGGAAACTTACATCCTTGAAAAACATGATAGACAGTTCCTCTTAAAAAATATCCAGTAGTACTTAAATTTGCTTTGTGACACTAAAAACCTCAGACTTGGTGGAAAGTTGGTTGTCAGCTGATTTAAAGTCCTCAGGTGGGTCTGAGTTCCTGTACAACATCCCTTTGCTTGAATGGTTTCTGTGCTTTTCCAGGAAGCAACACCCATTATTACATAGCTCTAAATGCTTTCTTCTCCTGAGATGAAGCCCAAGATAAGTTATGGGTGAATTTATCTTAGACAGGGGGTATGGTCAAGATAACCCCTGAATATTAGGGTCATTATTTTGAGCACAAGACAGGAATTATTTTTACCCACCTCTTCTTGTGCAGAGGGGAAAAGTCAGGACATAAGATTAGGTCAGTAGGATGGTTGGGAGGCATTTTAGCTAAGCAAGGCATTAAGGAAAGACATCTTTTTGGCTGTCATTCTGTAGTCGGTGTTTATTTCTTGGTCAAGATGGTAGGGAGGACAAAACTGAGCATGATAAAGGTGATCATGTGTTTCTTGTGTGTAAACTCCTAACTCATCACTAAGTTTTGACACAGAGTGTTAAACTGAGCGCATTTTATTTAAAGGACATGTCAGGGTGTGCATCCATTATTTATAGAGAGTAATATGCGCTTAGTAGGATGTGAATTCATAAGCGGTAACTATTTTTGTATTGCATTAGTTTTTGGGGGGCTGTGTGATACTGTGAAACATATATTTGGTCTTCATCCCATTTCCTAGCTTATGTTTTCCAAGAGTGTCTTTTGTATACTAATAAGATGGCTGACAGCTGGGGGGCTCTAGATAGCCTCAGGTTCAGGGCTGGTTGCCATGTCAAACAACCTCGTGATTATCAGATTGGAATTTTTATTCTCTACCCCTACTCCATTGACCTCCATTGAGGAGATAAGGGCTGAAGGTTGAGTTGCCAGTGATGTCGTCAGTCATGCCTATGTAATGAAGCTCCCATCAAAATCCAAAAGGATGAGTTCTGGGGCTTCCATCTAGCTGACCATGTTGGGGTTCCTGGAAGGTGGTGCACCTGGAGAGGGCATGGAAACTCTGCCTGCTTCTCCCATACTTCTCCCTCTGCATCTCTCCCATCTGGCTGTTCATTTGTATCCTTTGTAATATCCTTTATAATAAATAGGTAAATGCAAGTAAAGTGTTTTTCTGAGTTCATTGAGCCACACTAATGAGTTAATGAAATGTGGGCAGGGGGCATGGGAACACCAATTTATAACCAGCGGGTCAGAAAACAGGTCACAACCTGTGCTTGTGACTGGCATCTGAAGTGGGGGACAGTCTTGGGGGAGTGAACCCTCAACCTGTGGGATCTGACGTTTTCTTCAGGCAGATGGTGTCAGAATTGAATTGAGTTAGAAGACCCAGAGGACCCAGCTGGGTTTGCTGAAGAGTCATCTGCAGATTTGGTTATCGGTAGCGAAAACCCCTCACATATCTAGGGTATAGTTGGAGAAACTGAATTTGTTTTTTCCTATGTCTTTACAGGCTGCCATAATAAAGTACCATGGACTCAGTGGCTTAAACAACAGAAATTTATTGTGTCTTAGTTTTGGAACATAGCAGTGCAAGGTCAAGATGGTGGCAGGGTTGGTTCCTTGTAAAGATTGTGATTGAGAATCTATTTTGTCTCTTTCGTAGCTTCTAGTGGTTTTGTTGGCACTTCTGGCTTTCCTTGGTTTAGAGCTGCATTACTCAGATCTCTGTCTTCATATTCACAGAGAGTTTTTCCTGTGAGTGTAACAGTGTCCAGATTTTTCCCTTTGCTAAGAACACTAGTCATACTGGAGTAAAGGCTCATCCTACTCCAGTATGACCTCATCTTACCTCATTGCGTCACCAGTAATCTTAAGATTGTTGCAGATGTCATGAGGTAAGATGAGGTCATACGAGGGTAGGATGGACCTCTGAGGCACTGGGGGTTAGAACATCAACATTTGAATTTGGCAGGTGATACACTTCGACCCACAACAGGTATGTAAGCAATAAGACTAATGCTTTAAAAGATTCTGATCCATGAGCTTTGGGAATCCATCCTTGAAAACGCAATGATTTAGAAATTACAAACAATTATAAGCAAAATTCCAACAAAGCATAGTTGTATAACAAATTAGGAGTGTCAGGACTAAGCTTTCTGTATAATGTTTTGAATTCTCAGATATAAGAGAGCACTCACCTTGTGGCTTTAACTTTAATCTTTGCAGGATACATGCAAAAGGAATAAAAATATTTTTGTTAAGGAAGATTGCAAAGAGTTAAGTTTTAGTTTTATAAATAAAGAGAAAAGTGGTGAAAATAATTCAAAACAAAAATAAATCAAAATGTCATGTGTAATGAAATGGCAAGAGATTTATTTTATCATCTACAGGTTGCTTAGCTTGTTTTTGTGCTACAGTAACTTTCCAGGGGCAGCAGAGAGAGGTGGAAAATGTATGGTTATGCTTTTTATTCACGACGTAACTTTGGGTTTGCTGTTTTACCTCTGAGTCTTTAAACTACATATGTAGCATTCTCACAAGTAAAATGGGAAAAGTAAATCAACTTGTAATGAAGGCTTGATGAAGCTTAGGCTATGCTAATGAAATATTAGGTCTATTCTTTCACTGTTTTTCCCTCCAGATTTTAACCCCTACTTTCCTGTTAATCAGGAACGTGATTAACAGGCACTGACTTTGGGGAAAGGATGAATTTGTAAAAGTACATTTGTGAAGGAAATATGCAAACATACTCATTATGAACATAGACACAATTGGGTAAATAAAATTTAGAATTTCTCATATTACTTCTCTAACAGAACCCAGTTTATAATTTTTTAAAAATTAAGATAATATGGAACAGAAACAAATTTGGAAAATCAGACCTAAAAGGTCTCTAGTACATTTATCTGCTTAAAGTTATATTTGTATTAACCACACCCCATGTTCAATAAAACCTTAAAGCTCCTAATATTTAGATTTTATTTTTAGATTTAAGTATTTAAATAGCAAATTGATTAAAACTTTTTCTGGTAATCAAATCTAATGGGAGAAAAATCATAAAGATTCCTGTCACACAACGGCAATAAAAATCAATGAGTACCTTCAAATGTTTGCAAGAAAACTTCAAAACAAAACAAAACTTGTTAAGCTCTGCATCAATAAGCATTGATGCAAAAAAATTATTTTTTATCCAATCACTAAGCCCTGTTGAAATTTTTCAAGTGCCTTAGGTCCTAAGAATCTAATGATACCTTAGCACGAATCTATAATATAAGGAAGAATGAGAAATGGACTATTAAATTTCTAGAAAAATGGAATTTTTTTTGTAACATGTGAGTGTGTATCTCGTGTCTTAAATAACATTCTCTTTTTTGGAATTTCAAATTTATTGACTGGTTTTAATGCAATCCCAATTTCAATAATGGGTTGGTCAGTGTCTGAATAATAAAAATACACATATTTCCCATTGAACAATTCCTCCTGCAGTTTTGTTTCATGATTAGACCCTGTGAAAAGGTCATTAGCAGATATCCATTAGGCAATTTACAATATTTGCTTAAACTCACTTTGGTGAATGAATTATCTTAATCCCAAACTAATTTCCAAAATATCCTGTAAAGTCAAAGAGCCGCTTCTATATTTTCAAAAAGACAAAGAAAAAAATATTTACTGGTTACTCATTACTAAGCAAACAAAAGTAGTTGAGAATATTTAAAATTAAACCCAAACCTTTAGAATGAGTTATGTGACCTGTTCATTGGACCACAACTAAAAGGAAAAAAATAGTAGGTGTATCAGTTTGACTTTTTTTATTGGTTACATTAAACTATTTTAAGATCCTTTGTCACATTGATTTCTTCACTTACTCATTATTTGTTTTTGTTCATTAAATTATGATTATTTTTGGCCCAAGTGCAAAAAAGAAGATATTTTATTAAATTGGGTATGCAAATCTAATTGCAAACACTACATCTAGAGGCATTTGGACATTTTTTTTCCCACCTGGTTTTCAGATTTGTTTAAATACTGAACGTAGGTATGAGTCCACAACCTCTTATCTATAATTCTTAAATCCAAAAGCCCTGAAAAGTAAATTAAAAAAAAATAATTTCTTAAAAGCAAAACCTGACCTTATG
Organism: Homo sapiens; assembly: GCF_000001405.40. NCBI lineage: Eukaryota > Metazoa > Chordata > Mammalia > Primates > Hominidae > Homo > Homo sapiens. Next base: position 85,993,671 of record NC_000014.9, read on the forward strand.
TGAATCAATGTGATGGTAAAACCTGAGGTCATTCCCACTAAATGTGAAGAGTCAGATGTTTCACAGAAGAAATGGTGCTATTTTGATTATTGGCCTGCTGAAAAGATTTAAGGTAGATGCACTGTATTACATTTACAAACTCTCTAAAATTATGAATACGTAAATAAATCTGGCCCCAAGGGTTTCCAATGAGAAACTCCAGACCTGCATTTTCTCCCTTCTTCCCTAGAAGAACCTATATAACTTCCTAAATATCACAAAAGTATTAATCACAGTGTGTGTTTTGTACGTTTATTTATTTGATATTTGCTATAGGAATGATGCTGACATCATAGTGACCCATTCTGTGGATAGGGAGACTGATACCTTTTGAAAGACTGAAATTATTTTTCCCCACTAGAGGACTTAAGTCATTACAATTAACTTAGAATAGATTTCCCACATGTTCATATGATAAGGCAGAAGGTAAGACCATCAATGTTGGTAATAATTTCAGTAAGACCTGTCTTCATTTTGACTATGGGTATTGTTATTATGTGTGTTAATGAAATAATTCATTTCTGACATGCAAAATAACTCATTAAATATAAGTGTCTTTTGGCTTGAAAACCCAATTCATTCTGCTAGAGTGATACATAGGTAAGAAAGTCTGGGATGCTACAGGGTCAGATGAAATTTTAGCTTTTAAGATTGGAAAGTTCTATGTTAGATGGAACAGGTCTCCTGGGAGACAGTTTCATTATATCCTTGATGTTAGCAACATTTCTCTGATAGAATTTTCGTTTTCCTAGTTTCATTCCACTGGTCTTGGGCATGTCCTTTTGCACTACTCTAAATAATTCAATATTTTGTAATAGCTCCTAGTAAAGGGCTCTTTTCACTTCCATTTCTTGCCCTCACGTTATCCAATAAAACCTTTAGTTTAAATTTGCTATTCTTTAATATCTTTTAATTTTATTCTCTGGACCTTAGTCTATGATTCATCTGCCTTTTACTACCCCAGTTTCTCTACCAGATATGGTCAGAGCTATCTAATGAGAATAATAATATGCTTTTATACAAAAGTAGAACCAAATGCAGCAATGCATATCTTTTTTGCTAATAGTTCTGGGACATTATAGGTTGTTTCTGCCAACAGCCAGTTGCCTCTCAATTCCCAGTAAGACAAATTAAACCTAATGAAAATGCTGACTAGAATAATTAAAAGTCAAGAAATAGCTGGATTTTTTTCCCTTTAACAGATGCAGACACCAAACTTACTTTCTATCCTATAATTAGCTAACATTTGACATTTTGTTATTTTCTTTGTTTTCCTTGCCTGCATTTTCAAAACCACTGTTTTACATGTTCCGAAATATCTTACTTGGAATATTTCAAATGCACCTTCTTGCATTGTTGCTGTCCTCTTTCTTTTACCTTATTAATGGCTTTAGGGAAAATGTATTGAGAACTTTTCTGCTCTTTTTGTTGTACCTTCGACTTAGTAAATCATTGTGCAAGATAAGAGAGTGAACATCACATGAGTTCTACTCCTATTGAAACTTTCAATGTTGTAAAGAAACAGACATATACAAAAATTAGAAAAAAAATACCATGGCCCCTAGTTAAAAGTAAATATGAGTGACCGGAGACAGGGACCTGAGATACGAAGAGATGAGTGTAAACTACCATCAGACTTCCTAATAAAAATTATGAGGATGCCACCTTAAATTCACTTAACTTATAAATTGGTTAAGATTAGAGTCAATTTTGATATATGTAGCAGATTAAACATGACCACAAATTGTTTGCAGCTTCTCCCCTGGAGTTATGGAGACCATTTTTTCATACCCTTGAATCTGGGCTGCTTTTGCAACTTGCTTCGATCAACAGAATCTGATGAAAGTGATGTGGTAGTTCTGAGCCTAAACCTCAAAACTCTTTACAACTTCAGTTCTTGTCTTCTTCAAACACTGAAACTACCATGTGAAGATTGCAGACCTAGCCATGCTGAGGATAAGAGACCCTGTTGCAAGAGGGGTACCTGAAGAAAACCGACAGCAATCATCAGGACTGTGACAGGCCATCTTCGCCCACCCTAGCTCCTAATGGCACATGAGTGCCAGCAGGCAAATGAGTGACCCCAGACATGACCAGGAGAAGAATTTCACCTCTGAGCTCAGACAAAATTGCTGACCATAGAATCATGGGCTAATCAGTTTACTGTTATTTTGAGCTACTATGTTTTGGGGTTGGTTGATTATGCAGCAAACGGTAACTAATATGTACAAAAGCAAACATATAGACAAGGCCAGAAAAATTTGGTTTAATAAAGGGAATAATTTAAAAGTGTTTTGTATGTTAATACACTGTTTGCAGTTTCCCTGGAGGTGTACATTGGTCCAACTCTAATGCTGATAATACCATCATCAAAATCAAGCCATCGTACCTCAGTCAAGCTCTTGTCTGTGCAATATTCAAATGGTTGGGTTGAAGATATTTAACCCTTTGTTTTAAAAGGGTTATTGGAAGTTTTGCAAAGAGTTGAGAAGAATCAAATCCACAAAATAATTAAACTTGCTACTAGAAAAATCAGGTACTTACGTGTAAATTTTCAGGTGCTTTCTAATTTAAATTTTATTTTCATCATAGTAGTAGATGTACACATACATTTTTCACTCCTACCATTTCTGTTCCACTTCTCAGAGCCAACCACACTTAAGTCTTTTAGCTCTTTCTCCCATTTACTTTTATGCCTTCGGAGAGCATAGTTAAAAGTGATACATTTTGATGTTTCAATTTTAGATAGTATCTCTTGATTTCTTATCATGGCTGAAGAGGATGTAGCAGCCATACATATATCACCACTCCAGCTATACATACTTCCCCTTTCCCCTTTTCCTGCATATAGTGCTTTAAATTTAATTAATATTCAGCATTGATTTATGATTACAACATAAATAAATATTCTTCAAAGTAAAGCCATGTAATGCTTACTTTCTTACTTACAATCTTCTGTATTTTCTCTAAAGTTAATAATTGCTTCCCTTATTTATTTTCTTAGTCTTCCATGTCTCCATTACTAATTAATTGCCAAATTATCTTCTGGACTTATAAAACTTGTCACAAAATGATAAAACACATCTGGGAATCAACATACTCAACTTTTTCCTTGTAGACAAACTATAGTTTAAGACATCTAGTTTCCTGTCCAATATGGACTTTTCTCCAGGCATAATGGACAGCTGTTAGCCTAGTCTGAAAACTTTCCCTAACTACAATCCTGGGAATTCCCTTCCTCTCTGCCAGGCTGGTGCTACTGTTTCCTAGATCCTGGTTTTTCTTTCTTCCTTGGATTAATGCTTTTTTTTGTTGGATCTCATTCCCTAGTAACTTCTTCGCAAAGGATAAATGGCAACAGAACAACTCTGATTTAGAAACCCAGGAATTCCATACACCCTGCAGTCTAGAATTCGAACAGTCACACCTAAGGCAGGGCAGAGTACATTCTGCCCAGTTTTCTGGGCAGCTCTCACATGAAAGGACAGTTTTTGAGACACGGTCTGAAAATCTGTTAATGCATGCTCACATATGATTGTTGTTTTGTACTGAGTATAGTATTATAGAATGGATATCATTTTTTCTCAGAATTCTGAAAGCATTGCATCAAAGTGATGTATCTTTTGATGTTATCTTTTTAAGCCAAAACTTTTTTTTTTTTCTTCTGTAACATTTGGAAACTTTTACCCTGGTTTTCTACAATTTCTACATGGTGTAACCTGGCGTATGTCTCCTTTTATTCATTTTGCTGAGCTTTATGCAATCCCTTTTTATTTCAATACTTGTGCCCTTCCAGAACTAAAAAAACTGTATTTATTTGTTCATTTGATGTATGCATTTTCCTCTTAGTGTTTCCAGTTCTCTCTTCCTAGAATTCCTTTCATTCATATTCTGAGTTTATATTATAATTTGACTATTTTCTTCTCCAATTTTATATCTCTTTGCCTTTTGTTTTACTGTTTTCTTAACTTGGTTTTCCCAGTGTCTATTATATTTTTAAAAATCTTTGTCATATTTTCAGTTTTTTTGAGTTTCTTCTTGTTATCTTAATGCTTATTTTAAATATTCTGTTGTTCAATTGATGCAGTATATTTTTCTTATCTGATACTAATTATAGTATTTTTATAGGCTTTTTCGGCCATAGGCGTTGCCTCTGTTCCCTTGAAGTTCCTTTGTTTTGTAGAATTGGTTTGTTCTCTTTCATTTTAGAGGCTTTGCATAAACATATCATAATCCTTGGCCAGCCATTTCTGGAGAGGTCTTTAAAAATTGGAACCTGGCTTGTCAACTGGTGGCTTTCGCTGTAGAAAGATAAGAGTGCAAAAAATGTGGCATTTTTATTGGAAGTTCCCCATATGTCTATTTTTGTAGGTTTTACAAATCATAACTGATTTCAGAGTTTGGATGTGAATTGTAATTTGGCCTCTACTTATGGAGGCGTGAGCTTCAGCTTTGAATGGCTTTCTAACCATCTATTCATCTGTTCTCCAATTTCCCACATTTTATTTATATCTCATAGTACTCAAATGATTCTCCCCCATTCATTCTCTTCATTTGTGTGGATTTATGATTTTAAAAATAATTACTCATTCTTAATGGAGGTTCTGAGGGAGATTGGAGATTTACATACATGGTAATCTACTGTGTTTTACCAAACATGTTTTAATAGTTTCATTCTTGGTCTGATAAATATTTAACTTAGAAAAAAATATTTTTAGCTGGCAATACATTTAATTGGCATAGAATTTAAAAGATTATGCTTCTCAATGAACTATCTGGCCTCCGTTTTAAGAGGCACTTGTTTTCAGCTTCTTTTTTTCTTTTTGAGACAGAGTCTCGCTCTGTCACCCAGGCTGGAGTGCAATGGCGCAATCCCGGCTCACTGCAACCTCCACCTCCTGGGTTCAAGTGATTCTCCTGCCTCAGCCTCCCAAGTAGCTGGGATTAGAGGCGCCCACCACTAGGCCCAGCTAAGTTTTTTGTATTTTTAATCAAGACGGGTTTCACCAGGTTACCCAGGCTGGTCTCGAACTCCTGACCTCAGGTGATCCACCCGCCTCGGCCTCTCAAAGTGCTGGGATTACAGGCATGAGCCACTACACCTGGTCTTTCAGCTTCTTATATCGTCTTGTGAGTATATAACTCCCATTCTGCCCTTTGATGTTTGGCACTGGACAATAAGAATTAAAGATCCTTCCAGATTAGTTTATGTAGAAGTATATCAGTCCTTACATTAATTTCATTATTCTAATAAGTGATTGTTGCATTGAATGAATATACCATAATTTATATGCATTTATATAACAATCCCCATTTTGATGAGTATTTCAAATTTTTTTGTTATAACATCTAATGCTTCAATTACTATTGCTATAGAAACAACATTTAATCAAGGAGCATATATATCTGTAGGGCAACTTACTAGTAGAACTGTATTTTTAAAATGTAAGTTTCCATGGAAATTATTCAAATTTGGATTCCAAAAAGGATTAAGTGAAAATATTGTTTTCCAAAACCATTATAAACACTGGCTTCATAATATTTTCAATTTTTGCTAACAGATAAAAAAATTACATTGTAGCTTATGTGTTTTTTTCATCTTTTTATGAAGGAGGTTTGGTAGCTTTTCATATTTTTAGAAGCCTTTTATTTTATTTTATTTTGCTTTTCTATGAGCTATCAGGTCACATTTTTTGCCCATTCTCTATTTGGTTTTAGACAATTCTCTTCTTGATATCTAGAGGCTTTTTTTTTAATTAAAGCATTGTGATATAAGCTGTAAATTATTCACCAAATTTGTTGTCTTTCATTATTGTTTATGTGATGTTTTTGCTATGCAGACTTTAAAAAATTGTTAAAATTAATTATATCGGTGTTTCCACTTATGGATTCTGGATAATCTTTTTCTAATATATTGAGGTCTTCGCCTCTCAAAAGTATTAATATTTGTCATGTATTATTCTAATCCTATTATGTTGGCATTTTTTCCTTCCTGGAAATAATTTTGAAGTAAGGCAGGAAGTAGAAATTCAATTTTTATTACTAATGGCTACCCTTTTTCCCAGAATCATGTATTAAATAATTTTTCTTTTTTTCCAGTAACTTGAAATTTTATTATTACCATATCATGTACTAAATTCCTATATGAATTTGGCATATTTCTTGCACATCCTGTATTGTTCTATTGATCTGTTTGTCAATTTTTCAACTGGTGCCATATTATTTTAATTATTGCAGGTTTTACCCATGTTTTAATACAAATGAAAACTAGTTCTCATTAATATTTAAGTTTAGAATGTTCCTATGTCTTCTTTCTTATTTAGTCATATAGTTATATGATAGAATAATCTTACCATTTTACAGAAAGAGAGTTTGTTGGTGTCTTCATTTGACTTTGTTAATTAGAGTTTAATGTGGGAAACTCCATTATGTGAACTCTCTTATACACACCATCGTTTATCTTAGCATTTAAGTTTTTGTTTGTGTCTTCTAATAGCAGTATATACATTTTTAATATTAATCTTGCATATTTCTTAAGTTTATTACCAAATCTTTATTATTTCCAATTCTCCTTAATATTTCTCAGTGATTGTTGTTTACATAACATGTCTATTTTTTCTGCAAATTAACTTTGTATCGAGTCACCAATTAAACTATATTATCATAAATATTATTTTCACTGTAGGTTTCCATTGCTTTTTTAAGTTAACAAACATGTTCTTCAAATAATATCATTTTAAAGTCTCCTTCCTTTTCAAGCTTTAAATTTAATTTAAATTTAAATTAACAAATCTTTGCCTGATTTGTTGTCTAGTACCTTCTAAAAATGTTAAAATCAGTTATTCTGCATATATATGTATACATGTATATAACATATAATATTATTTTCTTACCAAGCTTTAGAATATTCTCGATAGATTTAAAAATACCTCTTTTCCTCTTATATCTTTTTCCTCTCTCTCTTTTTTTTTTTTTTTTTTTTTTTGAGAAAGAGACTCACTCTTTGTCCAGACTGGAGTGCAGTGGCACAATCAGGGTTCACTGTAGCCTTGGCCTCCAGGGCTCCAGCAATTCTCTTGTCTCAGCCTCCTTAGTAGCTGGGACTACAGGTGCGCACCACCATGCCCGGCTAAGTTTTCTCTTTTTTGTAGAGACGAGGTTTCACCATGTTACCCAAGCTGATCTCGAACTCCTGGGTTCATGCGATCCACCTGACTCAGCCTCACAAAGTGGTAGGACTACAGGTAGGAGCCACTGAGCCCATCTCCTCCTTCTCTCTTTCTGAGCCCTCATTCTTCCTCTACTATTTTAATGTTGCCATGTATGGTACAAAGAGCAAATGCCAGGTGTTTGTCAATAGAAATGAATGTGGGAAAGAGTACCCGAATTTTCCCAATTTATGGTTTGTGATTTATAAACTCTGTTAATCAATTTCACAGTCACCTTTTGGCAGAATGCTCCAAGGGAGAGAATTGGTGAACCCACCAAGAATGGGGTTGTAGGACACCTGACCCATTCTCTTCATTCAAACAAGGGATCAGATTAGTGATTATGGCTATATAATAACTCATTTAAAAAACTTTTTATTGAGGTAGGGCACATATACAATTAAATAATAGGATATATAATGTTAAATACGTATACATTGTACAAATATATGTCTCTGACAACCACCACTGAGATAAAAGTATTGAAAATTTCCAGCATGGCACATGTACCACTTTCATCTCAAGAGCTCATCCTCCCTATAGCCTCTGTTAGTTTCACCTCTTCTTGAACCTCGTATAATGGAATCACACAATAGGTACTTTTTTGCCCAGCTTCTTTTACTCAACATAGTATCTACTCTGTGTACATCAGTAGAGTGTGTGTGTGTGTGTGTGTATATATATATATATATATATATATATATATATATATATATTTTTTTTTTTTTTTTTTTTTTTGAGATGGAATCTCGCTCTGTCTCCCAGGCTGAAGTGCAGTGGCACAATCTCGGCTCACTGCAAGCTCTGCCTCCCGGGTTCACACCATTCTCCTGCCTCAGCTTCCCGAGTAGCTGAGACTACAGGAGTCCGCCACCACGCCCAGCTAACTTTTTGTATTTTTTGTAGAGACGGGCTTTCACGGTGTTAGCCAGGATGGTCTCAATCTCCTGACCTCAGGATCCGCCCGCCTCGGCCTCCCAAAGTGCTGGGATTACAGGCGTGAGCCACCATGCCTGGCCAGTATTTTATAATTTTTATTATTGTTTCATATTATATTTTATGAACATACAATGAATTACATAGATGCTATTGTCAATGGATATTTGATTGTTTTCAGTATTTGGATTTATTTTAAAAAAGGACCTTTTTTGTTTTTTTTTGAGGCGGAGTCTCGCTCTGTTGCCCAGGCTGGAGTGCAGTGGTGCAAAAAAGGACGTTCTTATACAAAATTGCCATTACTTGAAAAAAACTGTTTTGGATATTTTTATTTACTTACGGATATTAACACATTCTTTTCTTGGCTCTGTACCTAAGAGCGGTATTGATGAATCATATGGTAGGCATACATTTAGTTAGCTTTAGTAGATAATTCCAAATATTTTTTCAGTCTGCCTGTATCAATTCGCACTTCAACCAACGATGTAATAGAACTCCGGTAGCTTCATGTCCTTGCTGCTTGGTACCATTAGACTTGTTAGTACTAGCCATTTTGGTGGTAGGAAAGGTACAGGCTGAGGTTTTAATTTGTTCTCTTCTGTTGAATAAATATGTTATGCTCAAAAGCCATTTGGATATCCTGTATTTTGAAGTGCCATTCGCGTTTTTGCCTAGTTTTAATTGAATTTGTTTTTACTTTTTTATGGTGGAATTTCTTTATTTATTCTGGATATAAGTCATTTATTAGATACATACATTGGAAGTGTATTTTTCTCAGTCTTTGAATTATCTTCTTGCTTTCTTAATGATCTTCTGATGAGAAGAAATTCTTAATTTTAATAAAATCCAATTATTATTATTTTTTTCCTTTTAGGGTTAGTTGCAAGCTGTTTACTCCAATGTCATGAAGATATTGTGCTATGTCTTCTCTTAGAAATGTTATTATTTTGTTACATTTAAATCTATGATTAATCTTGAATATTTTTGTGTATGATGAGAGTTAGGGCCTCAAGATTCACTTTTTCAAATTATCCTAGCATCATTTGTATAAAAGGCCATCTTTTCCACAACTGAATTGTAGTGACATCTTTGTTATTAATCAGGTGACAATATGTGTGGGCATCTATTTCTAGACTCTATTGTCTTCTTTTGTTTATTTCTGTATCTTGAGCCAATACCATAATTTATTTACTATTTAGTGTTTTACTATTTAGTTATTTACTATTTAGTGTTATACTAAATCACTGTGTGGTAGTATAGATCTTTCAACTTTGCTCTTCTTCAAAATAATCTTGGTTAATCTAGGTCCTTTAAATTTCCTTACATCACCTTGTTAGTTTACACATCACATACACACACACACACACACACACATTCATACACACACGCATATACACATAGTGTGCTGGGTTTTTACTGGGATCAAATTGATTCATGAAACTTAACATTGGCTGAGCTTTTTTGCTAAGTACTTTTTATTCAATAATTTTTGCAACAATTGTGTGATGTCGTTGCAACAGTTGTGTGACATTCATACTATGTTTATCATCATTTTACTAACGAGTAATCTATGCTTAGAGAGTGTAAAAAATACCCAGGTAAAGTCAGTATGCATCAAATAATACAGACATGATTGGCTCAAATACCTATTGCATAATTTCTTGAAAGGCAGTGCTTTTTTTAGAAGTTCTGTGAGATCTTTCATTTTGGAACATTGAACAAACAATTGAATAATGAATAAAATAAACAGTATGAATGTAATTCAAGACTATTTGCCCTTGGAGTTGGAGCATAACAAGGAGTTCCCAGTATCAGTTTAACACACTACTGGCTGTTTATGGTAGATAATAATTACATGACAAAATATATAATTTTAGATTATTAGTGATAATAAGAAATGGGCCTGTCACAAAAATAATTACCTTTCCCTTCAAGATAATATGACATAGCTGTGGCACTTAAGCTCATTTAGTTCTAAAGATCCTATGGCTAGAGATCTATTTCACCTTAATTTTAAAACAGGTCAGATAAGAAGAATATAAGAAAATATTTGGTATTTCTTCTTTTTTCCCTATTACTTGCTTGACTGAAGATACTGGGCAAAATTGGGAGAATATAATTATTTTTTCAATCTGTATTTATTGATCTTGATAACTTCAACCTTAGCATCCTCATTATACTAAAATAATCAGTGGGTGATAATTTTTGCTGCAAATAACATGCTAACAGATTTTCAAAAATAAAGTGTTTTCTGTTTCCCTTTTCTTCATGGGCCATTGCTGTATTTTCCACCTCCTTTATGTAATCATTTTAGTATCCAGTTGTGTCACAATGCCCACTGAATGTCCAAGGTTCAGCTGTGACTCAATCCATGACTACCTTCCCACGCAGTTTGCACAGTCAAAGACAGCATTCTTTGCTTTGAGGCTAACTAAAAAATCCTCATCGTCTGATTGTAAATTCTTTTGACAAGTTTTTTTGACCTAAATTTTTGACCAAACTAAATTAATATTAAGAAAATTAGAATAGTGAGAGCGCCTGATTTTCAGGACATTAAATTTCTCAATGGAGATAAATTTCTCAGTTACCATATAAATGAATACGGTATTTGACATAGACCTTCTTCTCTTTCTCATTTCATTTAACTTTATTCTTTTGAATGTGCTGATATGCTTGATTTTATTAAATCATTGGTTCTCAAGCACTTCCTTTAAGTTTCCTAAGGAAGGGCTTTATACCTCCTGAATCTTTCCCTTAGACTCTTTACCTTTACTCCCCAGCAGTAAACTTTGCACTTTTGTGCAAAATTCCATTATCCATATGGTAGAAAATATACCTTTTCAGTTAAGTCTGGTTTTAGGTGAACATTTTAATGGTTGTGATTCTGCATAGTTTTTTTTTTCTTGTTTTACTTTATTGGTTCTTGGGTGGGTCTAAGCATGTACTTCTATGTGTAAACTCCATCTTTGGAGAAATATTAACAAGGATCTTCTGGAAAAGGCTATCATTAAAAATCTTCTGAAGGTAAATACATGTTGCACCAGAGAGGAAATAATGAAAAGTGAATCTAAAATCTTCATTCAAAGCATACTTGACTACAGTTGACAACTATAAAGAAGCTCCCTTTGAAAATCGCAATCATTCTTCATGAGGGACGTCAGAGAGGGAAAGCTTGTCTTGTCTTGTCACTGAGCCTTCCTCAGTCCTTAGAACAGTGGCTGGGACATACAGTAAAGGTCACTTGTTGACTGATTAAATTTATTTTCCATTTATTGGATTGTGATCGTGCAGTCCAACAGAGGTTGGAGAAACCTTTACAATTAAATGTATCGTGGGGAAATGAGGGCCATGAATTTAGGTGGAAGCAAAATTGAGGAGAAAACTGAGTAAATTATTAAATAAGGTTGATCATTATTCTTCAAGTTCATCTGTTATTTAAGAAATAGCGTCTTCAGTAGGCAAGTACCTAATGAAGGCAGAGTTAGAAATGTAAAGCAAAGCAGTGATGAGAAAAACGTTGTCAGAAGCAGAAGATCATGTAGTTTCCAGCTAAAATGATCTTCTAATTACTGCCCCAAGAATCATACTGAGCTAGTCGTATAGGGAGAAACATTCCTGTATAATTCCTTAAAGTCCTTAAAAATCATCATCATTATTATTATTAAAATATTATTATAGTTACTATTTTTGAATATGTGAAGTATGGCAGGCATTGTGATCATCGCTTTATGTAATCATCACAAAATGTCCTGTGAATTATTATTCCCATTTGCAGAAGAAGAAACTGAGACAAAAATTAAATAACTTGTTTGAGGTCATACAGCTGGTAAATGTCAAAGCCATGACCAAGGTTTTCTTATGACAACACTAATGCTCTTAAGCACTAAAGAGCTTTGCATTATAAGAGTAAAATCTCTGACAATGTACGCTTTTCCCTCAAGATTTATCAGCTCACCTTAGTTTGACGTCACCTTCAATTTCATAAGTTTAATGTGTAGATTTTAATAATATAAATAAAAATGTTCCCATTGGATGGAAATCAAGCTTTCTCCACCAGCCACTCTACCCTTCTTTCAAAAGAACCCTAGGAACCCCTGGAGTCTGGGATCAAACTAATGCTAGGTTAGAGTATGTGGTTTAGAGTATTAGAAATAATGGAATTGATCAGTCATCCCCAGAAGTTTCAGCTCTGGGAACAGAGTCATCTTCAGTCATACGACCTAGGTCTCTATAAATAATGAAGTGGTGGGTGTATTGTGGTATGGGGGAAAAGCATCAGAACTGCATACTGATTTCTGAGAAGTTATTTAATCTTGAAAGAAACCAGGAACTTTTAAATGGTCTGTACTCTAGCCAGACTCCCTATATTATCTTCATTATTTATGAATTACTGGAATCTTAATACTTATTTTATACTTTTGTAAATCATCACCCTTCTACTCATTTCTTAATTATTTTACTATAAATGTGCATATTCTTATTCCTCAAGTTTCCTTCTGTTTTGCTTTGAAGAAATGTAATAATATTTCACATTACTGCCTTTGTCCCCAAGACATCTGCTTGGTACTAAGAATCCCAAGTTTGCATGAAGAAAGAGAAAATATCTGCTAAGTGGTGTTATATAAGCAAGTGACTTCTTTAATGGATCCTGGGCTATTCTTTGTCTTTAAGGAAAATAAACTACTACAGCCATTAAAGCTTTCTAACATTACTGATGCCTAGGAAGTGTTAATCTGCAATTAGTCAATTAAGTGATATTTTTGCTACACTGAGCATTACTGTTTGGTAGTTTGACAATCTGTCTGTTGAAAAGGGAAGACAGCCTTTTGAGAAAACTATTTGTAGTCACTGGGTAACATTGATTATCTATGTTTGCCAATGCCTGGAGAAAGGAAAATCATTATGAAAGACTCAGATTGCATATAATTATGTTGATAAATATGTTTGACAATGTTGAAATGTATTATTTCCCTTTACTTGAAAGAAAATTGTTTGCCAATCTAAGGAAGGGATAAATGACATACACAAGGCAGACTAACTCCTTCTTTATCTTTCTTTATTTCCCTGCAAAGCTAACATCTCTACTCCTCTGCAAGATGACCTCCTCCTGCATGCACACAGCAGCCACTGGCTCATAGCAGCCCGAGAGCCCCCAAATCCCTCTGAAAATTGCTGTGAAACAGAGGTTTGCCTCTCTTTCCTGAGAACCAGAATGAGTCAGAAGCCCAGTACACATGGGAACAGTTGAGCCTTTGGATCTTCTGTGCAGTTTCTCCTTTCTGATAAGTTATTCTTTTCTTGCAAATGATTCTCTCCCAGATAACAATCTGAGCAGGGAGGAAAAGAAGAAAGGGACAATTTGTCTATTGAGTCAAACTTCAGGCAGCATTTGATGTACCCTAGCCTTGGAAAAGGGCTAAAACTGCATTTAGTTTGTGGCAAATGTGAATTATCATCTTTCTATGTCAAGTTGTTCATGTCTTTTGATAACATAGCAGGTGATACTTACTCAGAGTATTAATCATGGCATTTAACCTACTCTGAAAGAAAACCAAAATACCCTTAGGGAGAGCTTCCATTACCAGGATATCCAATATTCATTTTGCCCTAAGTGCAACCTCCAAAGATGCAGTCCTATTTAAATAATCAATTCTTCTCAATCACCCCACCCAACAATGACTGGAAATTACCCCAAAGAAAAGAAGAATGGAATAATCAACTTTGAAAGAAAGCCCTTTTTATATTAAAATTGGAACTATTTTTTCTCACTCTCGTCGTTTATATTTTTCCGATACATATTGTAAGCAAACATATACATCAGTTCATATCACTCGTTGAATTTGTCAATCAAATCTAAACATCTATAGGGGACTGGTATTTGTTTAGCCAAAAGAAGCAAAATAAAGAGAAATAAATTATAAAAAGCAAGTTATAAATGTAGCTTAATATTTGTGATAATTTTATTAATCAACATAATTTGCATCTTTGCAACAGGTGTCTTGAGTATATTTTTGTTATTGAACATGGGTCAAAGAGTGAAAACTAACTCATAGAGTTAGAATTTGTATCTACATATTAGTATCATTGGTCCCAAGGCAAAAGCCCTCTTTCTTTCATTTAAAAATAAATATATACTTTGGAAAATTAACTGGTTATTCTAACATTGCAAAATATCCAAGTCTGCATTCACAGTGAAATAAACTATGTTTGGGCCTTGGAAGAGCTCCATGTAATGATAATGTGAATTACTTTAGTTTGTTATTTTTATTGATCAAAAAACTTGACAGTAGCAGAATCCTGCTTCATTATAGTGCTGTATAGAGCAAACTATACCACAGCAACAGCCATCAGAGGAATAATTTATGATTATAATAATTCCAATGTTTTTATGACACTTTGCCCTGTATTCTTTCAATTGATCTTTACACAAACTTTATGGTTTTGGCAAGAGAAAATAAAGACCTAGATATGGTCCTTTAGTGCTTTACAGAAAGTCTTTTTCTTTAGTTACATGGATATATGTGACTTCAATGTTTAAGTAGCTTGACTTTAGAGAGTATTAGAGTAAATATTGATAAATCTGAATAGGTGTCTCCTGGCATTCTATGTCAGTGTATCTCACTGGCATGGCCTGTACTTTCCTGAAATGCTAAGTCAATGTATAGCACCTGGATCTACACATTAGTATTATAGGCACTGAGGCAAAAACCCATTCCCTTTGAAATAACGGTGACCTTCCTGATAGAGGTAATATCTCCTCTGTTCCTCCCCAGCAACTTTCCAGTCACCCACAGGGATCCTCTCAGCTAAATAGCCATCAGCTTCCTTTCTAATTTTATGGTGGGAGGATAGGAAAAGGACATACTCCCTGAGGCATTTGGAAAGTTTAATTGTATTTTTGAAGCTAGTTTCTCATACAGGATGCAAAATTTTTCAAAATATAATGAATTTAAATAAAATGTAAGATAAAATGAAGGTGGCCATTCCTGATAATTAAAACTATCTTATTAAGTGATTTGCAGTATATGTTCTCTACACAATTGATGTGTGTGATTATTTATTGATTTACCTGGGTTTTGTTGTGGCATCGTTTGTACAATGAAACCAAAATGCCACTTTTAGTCTTTCACCTTAGTTAATTAAATAATTTCCTGGTTGATCTTGTTAATTCCATAGGCTTGAGGTTGAGGGGAGGGTATTTACTTTTTCTGTTGCTATCTCGTTGTTAGTGATTACGTTTGAAGTTATTTGTACTTTTTAAAGAGACATAAACAAGTAGTCTGAAGGTATTGTATGATAGATTTTTCCAGGTAAAATATTTCAGACCCCCAACTTGTAAGTTGCAATGAATTCCTGTTTAGGGTGATCACTGTCCCTCAGGGTTATGTTAGCTATAGCTGGCAGACAGTAAGGGGGAAGTGGGGCACCCAGAGTGTTGAGTGCTTATTTATTCTTAGTGTGATGAGACAAGGGGTATCATTGAAGGTCATGCAAAACATGTGTTACTTATGTCAGTTGAATGCCCAGATATAGATAATATATGATTTAAGCATCATAATTGACTCTTTGTTCTCGCTGTCAACACTTTAGGGTGACAATGGAGACAAGAGAACATAGGCCAATGTAGCATGTGCATTTTAAGCGCACTTTTCTCTCTTTCTTGGATTGATAAACTTATTATGAGGGTGTATTAGTCTTAGTTCTCCAGAGAAACAACAAATTAGGAGCATATATGCATATATATGGCTTATATGCATATGGTATTTGTTTACATTGTTACAAAGGCTGAGAAGTCCCAAAATCCGCAATCTGCAATTGGCAACTTGAGACCCAGGAGAGCCAATGGTATATTTCTAGTCTGAGTTCAAAGACCTGAGAACCAGAAAAGCTAATGATCTAAGTAAATTCCAGTCTGAGCTCCAAGGCAGAACACTCATGTCCAAGCTCAAACACAGTCAGTCAGAGAGTGGATTCTCCCTTACTCCACCTTTTGCTCTAGTCAGGCCTTCAAGGGATTGGATGAAGTCCACCCACATTGGGGAGGGCAAACTGCTTAACTCAATCTGTATTCAAAGGTTCATCTCATCCAGAAACATCCTCACGGATACAACCAGAATAATGTTTAATGAAATATCTAGGCGCCTGTGCCCAGGCAAGATGACACATAAAATTAACCATCAGAAAGGGACTAGCTAAGGTCAAGGTTAAGGCTTTTGAAAGAATGATTTGCTTAAATTATCTTTCTTCTGTATAATTTCTCTATTGAAGATCCATGCACATTGCTCTGGAATGTGATTTGTCTCAGATCAATTCAATTCACCACACATTTATTGAGCCCTATGCTTACAAGATATAATGCCAAGCTATATGGGAAACTGAGTGGCACAAAAGCCTTAAGAGTGTATAATCTGGTATTGAGAGATGAATATCCCCAGTTGCAGTGAAAGGCTGAATATAATAAGCAAAATAAGACAGACATCAATTATTTCCAAAGGAGGACAAAGAAGGGAAGAATTTATTTCTACCGAATCAAGAAATACATAAGAAAAGGTTTAAATTTGCCTGGATTGTGAAAGATGAACACCAGGGCTTGAAAGTGGCTAATTTTATATTATAATGACTGTTCCAATTTGATACAAATATGTTTTTGAAGCTCAGAAAATTTCTTGAATGAGTGAACGTAAATAATAGTGGCAAAAAGCCAAAAGAGAACACTAATTTTATCACAGGATTTGCCCTTAGCCATTTTTGAGGCAGAACTACTTTGATGGAATTCCCAAGGAATTCCCTGAACATAAGACGTGCAGTTAAGGTATTTGTCATCCTTCTACCCAGCTTCTACCATAAAGGTATGGTCATTCAGAAGGTGGAGTATTCATTGAGTGTCACCCAGCAGGGAAAGAACATAGACCATGAGACATCTTAAAATATAAATTTCAACCATTTTTTTCTGCAGAAAGTACTTACTCTCTGCAAAGAACTAATGTTGTTTTATGAAGTATTGAACCTGGAGTAATGATATAATGTGCCTTTTAGTTGCAACCTGTCTGTGTTAGGTCGTAAAAAATTATCTTGGAAACATAATTTTAACAATTAGCTTTCATATTAAGTCAAAAATTATTGCACAGACATTATTTCTATTAGCTGTATGTGTAATAGAATAAGACTGTACTAATAAACACTTCTGTAGAAATTAATATTTGATTTATATTGATCCTGACTCATAATTCTAATCCTTAACAATTAATGGGTACTGTATGTATGTGCAAGATGGCAGGAGAGGACAGGAAAGGTGGATTTTTAGCAGGGTAATAGGGAAGGGTAAGGAGTAAACAAGATATCGGTGTTCTTTACCACAAATAAAGTCTAAAAGAGAAAACCAAAGTTTGCTACTAGAATAGTTAACAATGATGTGTGTTATTCATGTAGCAGCCATTATGTATTAAGTTCTGTGCTAGGCATCTCAATATTGAGAGATCCCATATTATTTACAACCTTATATAAGAAAGAATCTGAGATTGAGACAAAATTTAGTAGTTTTTTCTTTTTCATTTTTTTAAATTTACACAGAAAGCAAATAATAGAGCTCAGATTCAAATAAGAATTAATTTTACTTCAGTCATTCCAAAGCTCATACGCTTTTTAACATATCACATGGTTCTTATAGAGTAAAGCCTACATCAGTTTATTTACTTCATCATTGAGATGTCTCTTGCATTCTTCACCCCTTTATATACTTCCTCTGTCCTTGACTTGGCTTGAATGAAATCTTTCTTATAGCATTGCAATGCTTTTTTCAATCTGATTTTTCTGCCTCTAGTTTTCCATTTATGCCAGTTGTCTATTGATTGTCTCTCCACTTCAAATGCACTCTTGTTTGTGCATTTATATCACCTAGGTTTGTGATATAGCTGAAACCTATAAACATTTCTCTTTTGCCCACAAACACAAGGTTTGCTCTGTTAGTCAAAAGTGCCACACAGACACTGCAAATCCATAGCAGAGGAAGAGGTTTGTCTTTCTTATCCTAAAGGGTTGTTTTGTTTGTTTATTTGATTAAATGCCCAGAAAATTGGCAATGCTTGGTGCACAGTAAACAGTAAGAAGGATGTTAACTTTGCTTTAATATAAATAATAATTTTATTACAACAGAGATGTCTCCTCAAGAAATGAGATACTTGTGCATGTACATATTTCCTTACAGAAAAATGTGTTCAATATAGTTAGCTCTTCCTGTTGCAAGTGATCCTCCCACCTCAGCCTCCTAAAGTGTTAAGATTACAGGCATGAGCCACCGCACCTGGCCATTAGCTATTCTCAATCATAAGTCAGAGCAAGGCAGAGTGAATGGTAAATGAGTGAATATTGCAAAGGAACTCAAATTCCAGATAAGAAGTCTGGGAAAGGTAATTGTTAAGATCCTTTGACCCTTGATAATTTATTCTTGATTTCATAGAAAAACAATCCAATGAAACATTTACTGCCTGTCTTCTTAAATACTCATTTGTGTGTGTGTACCTTGTCTTACCATTGTGCTATTTTTCCTTCTAACAGTGTTCTCAAGGATGTACCAGTTATACAGTAGAGTTAATTTATTTGTAGTGAATAGGGATGCAAATTCCTACTTCTAATTTTCAGTTTTAATCACCAGAAAATGCATGGCTGCTTGATGGAAAATACTAGAGTTTAATATGAAAACCTTCCTGTCAACATTTCAGTTTTCCCTCATTGCCTCGTTTCCCTAACAAAGACTCCACATTCTCCAGTGTTTAGCAGACAATAAATCAGTGCTGTGGCTCATTTAACACTCATATTGGAAGGGATTTATTCTCTCTAAAGCTTCAGAAGTTGGGCCAAATACTCAATTTTTATACATTCAACCCCTCAAATCCAAAAGATGTGATATGAACCAAACTAACACAAACAAACTCTCTGGGGGAAAAATAATACTGTGGATTTAAAATCACTAATAGATAAAATGAGGACACATTCCTCTGGGTGGTATAGAATTTCTCTCCTCTGCTCCAGAGGGTGCATTGCTTTTCAGCAGCATAAATCTATCTCCTTTGGTCAAAGAGATGATTTAGTCTCCAGAGCCAAGACAAAAATCCTGTTGGATATTAGAATTTGGAGAGTTCCATGGCCTCCAAACAGGAATTTATATACCAGAGCTGGTAATGGTCCATCTAGTCGAGCCTCCTGCTTCCTCCTGCATCGAATGATGGATGTGTTAGAAGACAGGAATAAACTCACCGTGATGCCCCTAATTGAGAAAAAAAGCCACACCAAGGAAATTTCGTCTTAACTCTGGTACTGGGTTATTTTATTCCATCATGCCTGAGACCTGATAGCTATTTACCTCTATACTACTGTTACAGAGAAATTCTTTTATTTTATTTTTATTTTTGGTAGGAACACACTATTAAATTTCTCATAAGCATTTAATTCTTAATTGAATCTTATTAACTTCTGCTGATTAACAACTCACTGTAGAGTGAACAAGCAATCACATTCCACCTCTTAATTTTGCTTAAAAACTTCCAGCTAAATGTACATAAAATAGTGATACCTCTTACTTTATTTCTTAATATTATATGTCTATAAAAAATGTGACCCACTGGAAGTCAACACATAAAAAATTCTCTGTAATTAGTTATAAAATGTATTATTTAGTTATTAAACTACAAGGAGTGAAAGTTCAATTCATGACTTGTGAGTGTTTCAAGCCTACTCTGTATTATTTGCTTAAACCTTTTAAGAACCTCATATTTCTTTACTAGGAGAAAATTGCCACTGAGCTAGACTACATTAACATGAAATGTGTTTAACAATATCCTTGCTTGGAAACTACTAACAATGTGTTAACAGTTTTCCAGGACACTGTGGACAGTGCATTTTATTTTTTTTGACAACAGGACTGCAAACCACTTTATTCAACTCTGTATTACGTTGTTAAGCCTCCGATGGAAGGACTTTAAGTAAACAGTCTATGTCATCAAAGGACTCAACTCACTGTCATCACCTATAGAATGTTGAGCAATAAGGGCAAGGTCAAATCTTGCATTAGAAGTCTGTGCTACTGTGGGTTCACTGCTACTCAGGCTTTGAGAGCAGGCATTTATGCTTGTTGGCAGACTAATTAAGGGAAATGATATGCCAAAAGAGTTCTCGCCTCATCATTTTTTAAAATGTGTTTACTCATAACTGTGCTTGGATTGGTGGTCAGAAGGGCTAGAAGAAGCACTAATCCTCCAACAATTCTCTAATTCTTTTTGCACGAACAGCTTACATTATCACCTGTTTTGAGTGAAAAGCCATAAATTGGTCCCAGGTAATTGTAAATCATATAGTCAAATATGAAAGCTCGTTCCTCTGAATGATAATAGGTTAACAATCAAATATTTATTTATATGATTAATGTGACTAAAATGGGGTTTATTTAAAGAGCATAGAATGAACATCAAGAGAACAGGACTTCTGCCTGCATGCCCCAGATTTGAATCCTTGGCCCAAACAGTCATTTCTATGTGCAATTAGGCAAGCCATGTATTGTCTATTAACCTACTTCATGAGAGTGCGATGCGAAGATTATAACTTTTAACATACTTTTAGATCATTGTTTATATTATTACCACTATCGTCATATTTTATGATTTATAAATTATGTGATTAATGTGAATACATAAATTATGTGAACAGAGTATTCTACGACTAAACTACTTTTAAAAACCAAAGCAGATTATGATTTGTTTGAAAGATAGAGAAAAAGAAATAAAACTTTGACAATAATATGTTGCTCTTATATAGCATATTCCATTGTTTTCCTTATTTGAGTCTCACAAACATCATGTAGGGTATGTTAATTATTATTATAAAACTTTGAGAAGAGTGTATTTTTCCCTCTAGGAACTAAGCTCCTTTAGAAAAAATAATGTGAATGTACTTTTGTACTGTTACAAGGTAGTACTAGACTGATAAATATGTCCTCACAAATGGACGTAGCACTTGAAAGGTTTTGGAGCTATATGGCTCTGTACATGTCATTATTATATTGTTTTTAAGTGAATATCATTTTCTCCAAGCCCATGCATATGTGTATAAGCTTCTGTTAGAGGTAAACAGGTAGATGACAAGTTGTTTCTTTGCTTAAATTTTAGTTGCAAGGCAAATTTCCTAACAGCCTCTGTTCCATGTACCTGAAGAGAAAAACAGAAGACAGGAAATGTAAAAACTGGCAAGAACTTAATAAAAATTTACGATGAACTCTGCATGCACTGACATAGGCAATGTGAAGACCCTAGGATGTATACTAACACCCAAGTATGCAAAATCTACAGGGTCAAGAATAGAATCTGATATATAACGAATGCTTCATGAATATTTCCTTATACACACACACACACATCTATTACATTTTAGAGGATAATTTATTTTATTTACTGTGTAGTTTTGAAAAATGTTTAAGTGATACAAAATAATTGCACATATGCAGTACAAAATAATTACAGTCATTTTGATACGTGTATATAATCTCATGAGCAAATCTGAATAATTAGCATATCCATCTCCTGAAACATTAATTATTTCTTTGTGTAGAGAACATTCTAAATCCTTTCTTCTAGCTATCTGAAAATATACAATAAATTTTTATGAACTATAATTACCTTATAATGCTATAAAACCTTAGACTTCTCCTTCTAGCTATAATTATGTATCCATTAAATAACCTCTCCTTATCCTTCCCTCCCCACTACCCTTCTCAGCCTTGAAGAGCCACAATTCTACTCTTTATTTTTAGAAGCGAAACTTGTTATCTCTCACATATGAGTGAGAACATGTGATATTTGTATTTCTGTGTCTGACTCACTTCAATTAACATGATGTACTCCAGGTTCATCCATGTTGCCATAAATGACAGGATTTTATTCTCTCAAGGCTGAATAGTATTCCACTGTGTATATATGAACATTTTCTTTATCCATTCATCTGCTGATAAAGACTTAAGTTGACTCCATATCATGACTATTGTAAAGAGTGCTGCAATAAACATGGGAGCACAGATATCTCTTTGATATACTGATTTTCTTTCCTTTAGATAAATACCCAGCAGTAGGATTACTGGATCATATAGTATTTCTATTTGTAGTTTTTTGAAAACTCTGATACTGTTTCCCATAACGTCTGTACTAACTGACATTCCCACCAACAGTGTATAAGAGTTCCCTTTTCTCCACATCCTTGCCAACATTTGTTATTTTTCATTTTTTTGATAAGAGTCATTCCAACAAAGTTAGCCATCTCATTGTGGTTTTGATTTGCATTTCCCTGATGATTAGTGATGTTAAGAATTTTTCCATATAATTATTGGCCATTTGTATGTCTTCTTTTGAGAAATGTCTATTCAGATACTTTGCCCATTTTTAATGGAATTATTTGTGAGGTTTCTTTTTGCTGTTGACTTATTTGAGTTTTTTACATAGTCTGGATATTAATCTATTGTCAGATGAATAATTTGCAGACATTTTCTCCCATTCTATAGGGGTCTCTTCACTCTCTTGTTTCCTTTGTTGTGCAGGAGCTTTATAGTTTGATAAGACTGCATTTATCTATCTTTGCTTTTGTTGCCTATGGTTTTGAAGTCTTATCCGTAAAATTTTTGCCCAGAACAAAATTCTGAAATATTTTTCCTATGTTGTCTTTTATTAGTTCTATTGTTTGAGGTCTTATATGTAAGTCTTTAATTCATTTTGAGTTGACATTTGTACATGTAGAGAAATAGATGTCTAGTTTCATTCTTATGCATATGAAAATTCAATTTTCACAGCATCGTTTATTGAAGAGGTTGTCCTTTCCACAGTATATGTTCTTGGCACCTGTGTTAAAATCAGTTGCCTTAAATACATGGATTTATTTCCAGGGTTTGCCATTCTATTCCATTGGTCTATTTGTCTCTCTTTATACCAGCACCATGCTGTTTTGGTTGTTATAACCTTGTAATATATTTTGGAGCCAAGTGGTATGATGCCTCCAGCATTGTTTTGTTTTTGCTCAGAAATATTTTGGCTATTCAGAGGCATTTGTGGCTGCATACAAATTGTTATCTAGGATTTTTTTTTATTTCTGCGAAGAATACCTTTGGTATTTTGTTAAGAATTGCATTGAATCTGTAGATCAGTTTGGGTAATATGGTCATTTTAAGAATATTAATTATTTTAATCCATAAACATGAGATGTCTTTTTTATTTGTTGGTGTACTCTTCAATTTCTTTTATCAATGTTGAGTAGTTTTTATTGTAGAGATGTTTCACCTCCTTGATTAAATTTATTCCTAGGTATTATTTTTTGTAGCTATAGTAAATTGGAATCCTTTCTTTCTTTCTTTTTCAGCTATTTCATCATTATTGATGTATAGAAACACTACTCTTGGTGGAGGCAGTTCTAATGGCTTTCATTTGGCCTTTCTCACCATAATAGTCCTCACCCTACAGATCAGGGAACCAAGGTGGGGATTCTGCCAGCTGCTGAATAGGTCTATTCAAATTATGCATCTGGACCTGGGGAAATAACCAGAAGATGGGTTTGGGAACCCATGTAAATTGAACCTGAGCTTGAACTCCATTAATCACCTGACCCTCGTAACCCCCTATTTTAAATGGAGGGTCACAATGATGTTTCAGGTCCTGAAATCAATGTCAGTTCAGAGTCAGTGTCCAGCAGTCCCAAAAAGTTCTGATTATTTTCCTTTCCCCAGTATATATTTACCTAAGTAAGAGGTCAGAGTTTCCTTTGGGGAAGGATGTAAAAGATTGACAGTTTAAATTGTTGGCAGTATCCTGGGGTCCTTCCTCAAGGGGACTCAGCCTCCCCTTCATTCAAGGGGTTCTGGGTCTATAAACTGGCTCAAGTCTGGAAATTGATTGAGGGTCTATGATTCTCTATTTTTATGATTCAAGTTAGACTTGTGTTCACTTGATCTAGACTTTTTCTGCATATACAGATCACGTAAGAATGTAACAGGCTTTCCATTTATTTTGCTTCAAGGAGCACCATGATTAATTAGACAATGTTGTAGGTCTACATGGGTCAGACTATTCTGATTGTTGTTTTGCCTCTGCTGTCTCTTGCTGTAACCATGTCCATCTTGCCTTTGGCAATTGAGTGCTGCCATTTGGCCCCTACCACCTTGGGATCCAGTTACTCCCATTGCATTTAGGTTTTAAAATTAAGTGACTGTGGTTCTCACTGTATGGTCTGGAATACATAGAAGAGAAATCTCAGAGGTCTTCAAGGATGCTGGTTCTCTCCTCACAAATCTGTTTCTCAGAGTATTAATGAAAGGTGTATCTTCTGGACCTTCCCAGTGTGGGTGAGTAGGTTTTATGTGAAAAATCCACTTTAGCATTCTAACTCCCTAAGCCTTTGAATCTCTTCCTTTATATTAAACCAAGGAAGAGAAGGCATTTCTAGCTCTCATGGTGATCCATATTTCAGCCAACCAAACAAATAATTAGAACTTTTATTAACTCCCCAAGCTGCAACATTAAATCCCTGCTTAGTGAGCCGATGTTAATAAATTCAACCTGATCCAGCTTTATTTCCTTCTCCTATTATCCTGCAACCTTAATATCCATTCCCATACAGGTTTCCCCAGTTTTCTGCTTGTATACAAAATAGAACACTCAGCTAGTTCTTTGGAGTACAGCACACTTCCTCATTGCACCTCACCTTTAGGGGCCTCTGGGACTTGAGTCCAGTCATTGTTCTAGAAGAAAAGAGGCATGGTGGGGGTGGGTTCCCAGGAGAACCAGCATTGTCTTATTTGTCAACTGCCTCAGCAGATGCCATTATTGTTTCTTCAGGCAATGCATGGTTAATTCCTCCAGACAGAGGCAGAAAGATGAAAACCACTGTGAGGGCTGTTGCCACTGCCACTGGGAGTAGGGAGGCCACTTCCCCTGGCAAAAAAGGCTCATCAGAATTTAGGAGCTCATTGTCCCCAAGCTTCATCGGAGTCCTCCCATACATCCTTATTCCAATGTACAGTATCCTATTCTTTTCCAATCAATGTCCTCATTTTAACAGTAGTCACACTACAAGGCTGAGAGTTCACCTTTTGTTGTAAGTCAGCTAATGACATGATGAGGGCTTGTGTTTGATTTTCAACAATCGACCTTGTGGCTACAGGAGAGAAGATTCTCCTTCAGAGAATACTTAGAAGCTTTTAGGCTATTTATGTGCATCTGCAGCTGAGAGTCCAAATCCCTGAGCTTGTCCTTTAATTCCATCTATTTGTTTAGTGATGTCAGGAGCAATCAACCAACATTTCTTGGTTTTCCACAAATATTTGAAGTAGAGTCCTTAGCATTTGAAGGTCTAATGAGATTAGAAAGCCAATTGTAGAAACCTCAAAACCGATTAAAATTCATCTTTAAAATTCCGTTCCTTTAGAACAACTTCTGGTACCAAAATCTCTATTAGTCAGGGTTCTCCAAAGGGAAAGAAACAATAGATCTATATAAAAGAGAATTTTTGGGGGGAGTTGGCTCACACAATCAGAAAGGTGAAGTACCATGATATACCATTTGCAAGCTGGAAAATGAAAGATGCTTGTAGCATGGCTCAATCCAAGTCCAAAAGCCTCAACAACAGGGAATTGACAATGCAGCCCCTAGTCTGAGGCTAAAGGTTTGAGAGCTCCCGGAAGACCACTGGTGCAAGTCCCAGAGTCCACAAGCTGAGTAATCTGGGGCCTGATGTCTAAGGACAGGAGGAACAAAAGGCAATTCAGTCTAAAAGGGAGAAAGAGAAGGAACAAAGCAAGTTGAATATCCACCCTACTTCCCCAAGCCCTGTTCTAGCCAGACCCTCAGTTTATTGAATGGTACTTTTCTAATTAGTGTCCTCACTTTAACAGTAAACACCCTACAATGCTGAGAGTTTACCTTTTGTTGTAAGTCAGCCAATGCCATGATGAGGGCTTGTGTTTTATTTTCAACAATTTCAACCTTGTGGCTACAGGAGAGGAGGGTCTTCCCACCTACTGAGGGTGGGTCTTTCTCCTCCAGTCCACTGACTCACACGCCAATCTCCTCTGGAAATACCTTCATGGACAGGTCCAGAAACAATGCTTCACCAGTCCCATCTAGGCCTCCCTTAATCCAGTCAAGTTGACACCTAATATTAACCATCACACAAAGTGAAAGAAAAGTCTCAAAAATAATTCATAAATAATCTTTTCTGAAATATTTGGTTTACCAGAAGGAGGAAATGCGTTGCCAATTGCAATTTAATTCACTGAATCAATTTCGACTTGATTACATCCCTTTATAGTTTTCTTCCTTTCTACATTCTTGCCCTTTCTCTTCGCATTTTGTACACATGAAGCACACTGTCTTTTCAACACTCAGTTACCTAGTATTTTTATAAAGGTGAAATATTGTTACAGAGAACATCAGGGGTTATCTTGAAATAATTACAATAGTAAGGCTGAAGGTGATAGAAGCTAATATTTATTTCAGGCTTACCAGTTTGAGATTTCAGTTTATATCCATTACAATTGGAATGTCAGCTCAAAAGTGGCAGAGATTTTAAGAGTCCTGTGCATTGATGCTTTCTTGATGTCTAGAGTAGTGCTTGTAGGCACTCAGTGAATATTTATTGTATTGTCAAATGGTCTCAAATTCTACAAACAATGCAGCAATGAAGATATTATTCAATATTCTATCCTACTGCTTGAAGACTGATAGGTTGTGCCACGCTACTGGCTTCTCTCATTTTCCAGCTTGCAGATGAGTTATGTATCTTTCCAAACATATATAGGTAAGAAATCAGATAAGCATGAAATCTGGATCTCCTGAAAGACGATCTTGGAAAATTACTTTCATTTCATCTAGACTGCTCAATGCACAGAAATTTGTAGAAGTATGTTGCATGATTACTTATACCTACTGAGCAAGAGGGCACACAGATTCTCTAGATTAATTAGGATTGGGGGATAGTAGACTTACATAAAAGGATCCAGAAATCAAACCTAAGTCTGATTATAACCATGTGTTTCCCTGTAATCTATATTCCCTGGCAAGGAGAAATTAATGGAAAGAGGGTAGAGTTAAGACATAAATTCTGAATGTTATCTAATGTTTATAGTGTTACTTTATGTGTGTGCACATGTTTGTATGTGTGGGAGAGTGTGAGAGAGAAAGTGTAATGGAGATGGCTTGGAATGTATCTTAGATTCTTCTCTGATGAATTATTCATCTGTTAGAGTTTTAGTGATTGCATCTTTCATAATGTTTGTATAATTGCTTATCTAGGTAGACTTGATTTTTTACACATCTTTGCACAAACATAACTTTGCATATAACTCTGTTTCTGAAAGCACAATATAATGCTGATTTAATTATTTGGCTGGAAGTACTGCCCTTCACCCCAGATAGTGAATATCCTAATGAGAAAAGGAAGTGAGTCTTATTTCATACATGCCACAAGCATTGTGGGGCTTCAATTAATGTGTGTTGAATTAAATTGCTAGAGATGTAACAACTACTTTAGTTTCAGAATAATAAAAGCAAACACTTACCGAACACTGTATGCCAAGCACAATAGTCTAGGTGATATATCTAGAGCATCTAATATCCTCAATAATCCAACCAAATAAGGACTATTATCATCATTCACATTTTCCTGATTAAAAAAATTAGGGTGAGGTAATATGTTCAAGGTTATGCAGGTAGTAAAAAGAAAAATGGAAATTTATACAAAGGCCCAATTCTTATTTGTTTTTCTTGGGAGAAATGAGGCTCATCTCTTTATCTTCAGGTAGTTACTTCCTCTTAATGAATGGAGAAGCAGTGATCTGTGCCATGCTGTTTGTGAAGTACTTAAAAGTACAATCCGAGTCTTATGACAGCCAATCTAGTGATATTTCCACTACTTCATTAAACTCTGACCTACTTGTAGATGACAACACATCTGCCTTGTTGAAAGTCATATCCCAGAACTTGGTATAGTGACACTCATATTGTCTGTAGCCAATAAATATTTTCTGAATTAATGATTGAAACACAATAGAGCTCATTGAAAGTCATATCCCAGAACTTGGTGTAGTGACCATCATATTGTATGTAGTCAATAAATATTTGTTTGCTCAATTAATGATTAAAACACAATAGAGCTCCCTCAATTTCCATAAGAACTTGATCCTAAGTTAAAAGGTAACAATTTAAGACACACCATTGCAGTGTTAAGGCCTCCATCTATAAAACAGCACATTCTTTATTGCCTTGCAGACCAATAATCATTAACAGACTGGATATCAAGTTTGAATAATAATATACTGAGCTAGGTTTTATAAGGACATTAATTCACATGCACAACTACATCAACCCCTGAGGACTTCGTAGAATGTGAATATAGACATTATGTGATTCATGCCTTAGCTAGGCACCTCTGGGGCATGTCATGATGGCCTGCATTCAGCCACAAGTTGGTGAGAAATATTTGGAAACGTCAGAACTAGCAAAGAACATAAAATGTGCAATTGAAAACTCACCCAGAGATTTCAGTGAGGCTAACTCTTCTGAGATCTGCAAGAGGCAGTAAGCCAAACCTCAGCACTGTCTCAGTGATCAGATAAACACGTGTTTGCATGTGACAGTAGCCTATAACAGATGATCTGTGGGAGCCTGCCAGGGAAGGTGACCTGATTAGCACTTGACTGGGTGCTCTTCCCTGCTTTCTGCCCTGGGCCAATTTCTGGTTTTGTTGCTCAGACAGGCTTGCTTCCTTTGTAACACCGGTATGCAGTCACAGTTTGGGTCCATTTATTTCACACTCATCAATTTTTTTAGTGTGTAATGGAAGGCTTCACTTGGAGCACTAAGACGTAGGATGGGCGTAGCAAACCTGTGCACCACACGCAGAAGGTTAAATCAACCTCATTGCCAGGTAAAAATTGAAAATTGTCAGGACCCTAATGCCAACATTTTTTTCTCCCCTGCCTTTTTTTTTCTTTTAAAATTTATCATTGAAATGGAAAAAAAAATGTTTATTTCAATGTGCAGGTATCTTCATCCCTCACTCAGTTTATGACTATCAAGAAGGACAGTTTGAACCATTAAAAGAGAGTTAAAGAAAAATTCTGTAAGCATGGCTTCTATCTATAGCTCTTCCATGAAGTAGCTAGGCACTCTGCCTTGTGTGTAAGGTAACTTCTGCAACATGAGAGATAAATGGTCTCTAGTGGTCTGTTTTATCCTCTATGATTCAATAATTTTTTTGTTTGACTATTATCTTTTATTTTTTTCTGAAAGAATCACTCATTATGCTCAACATAGTAGCCCTACAGAAGAGAAATCTATAATTCCTAGAATCCATACCTCCCACCTTTTCTCATGCTACGTGGAGTTCTGGGGTTTAAGTATGACGTGGTTTGGCTGTGTCTTCACCCAATCCTCACCTTGAATTATAATAATCTCTATGTGCCAAGGACAGGGCCAGGTGGAGATAACTGAATCATGCAGGTGGCTTCCCTCATACTGTTCTTGTAGTAGTGAATAAGTCTCATGAGATCTGATGGTTTTATACATGGGAGTTCCCGGGCACAAGCTCTCTTGCCTGCCACCATGTAAGAAGTGCCTTTGCTTCTCCTTTGCCTTCCATCATGATTGTGAGGCCTCGTCAGCCATGTAGAACTGTGAGTCAGTTAAAACTCTATCATTTATGAATCACCCATTCTCCAGTATGTCTTTATTAGCAGCATGAAAAAGAACTAATACAAAGTGCTTTGGTGTGTTTGAAATATTTGCTATATACTAAGTATTTTTCAAGTATTAGATCTCTTGTCTGTTTTTTTTCTTATTTTCTTTTTCCCATGTAAGTTTAGCGCAGTGATGTTAAAAAAGTAAAAGTATTAAAAGCTGCTAACATGAACTGCACAATTAGCAACAACTTTGAGACTTTTGCATCTGACCATGCTGTATGATTTTATTAAACCTGCAATCTCACACAAAAAATTTAGAATTCAGGATACGATGTGTTTAAATATAGCTCCTTGAAGGCATCAGAGCATGTCCAAGGAGCCATGACTTGAGAGAACAAGATACCATAGATTAGATAAATTCATTGAAATGAGCCTGATGTTCCCTAATGCTTTTCTTCTTAAAACCAAGGGAATAGCAGATAATGGGTTAAAAATCTAATGAAAAATTTCTGATGGTCTCAGGAAAAGAAGCATTAGAAATGTAGGGCCTACCAAGGAGCAGGGACCCTGGCAAATATCTCTGGGTTTCAGTTTAGTTTCCTGAAAAGTTACTTCTCAGAATAAATGCGAACAAGACTAGGCCAGACCTCACTCAGGCATGAATTATTTCAATTACAGACTTAGTCAAGGTGCTCTTCTAAAAGAACATTATGTATTTTTTTCTCTTGAGGGAGAAAAATACATAATATCTACAGCCTCTACAATGTTTCATACACTCAGCCCAGAATTTACAAAAAAAATTACAGCATGCCTACCGAGAGGTTCAAAAGATTAAAAGTATGCCAAAATACAGACAACAGAAGTATATAGATTATTATCAGTCATTTAACTTTGTCACTTATTAACTTTAAAATAACTATGAGGAAAATGTTCAAGAAAATAAAACACAATGTGAATAGATTTATCAAAGTACTGCAATCTAAAAAATTATGTAATTAAAATATTAGAAGTGATAGCTACAACTAAAATTTTTAATTTAAATGAGCTAAACAGCAAATTAGAAACAATGATAGGTCTTGAATTAATTTTTATATAAGGTGTAAGGAAGGGATCCAGTTTCAGCTTTCTAAATATGGCTAGCCAGTTTTCCCAGCACCATTTATTCAATAGGGAATCCTTTCCCCATTTCTTTTTTTGTCAGGTTTGTCAAAGATCAGATGGTTGTAGATGTGTGGTATTATTTCTGAGGGCTCTGTTCTGTTCCATTGGTCTATATCTCTGTTTTGGTACCAGTACCATGCTGTTTTGGTTACTGTAGCATTGTAGTATAGTTTGAAGTCAGGTAACATGATGCCTCCAGCTTTGTTCTTTTGGCTTCTTAAATGTTAGATCTAAAACCATAAAAATCCTAGAAGAAAACCTAGGCAATACCATTCAGGACATAGGCATGGGCAAGGACTTCATGTCTAAAACACCAAAAGCAATAGCAACAAAAGCCAAAATTGACAAATGGGATCTAATTAAACTAAAGAGCTTCTGCACAGCAAAAGAAACTACCATCAGAGCGAACAGGCAACTTACAGAATGGGAGAAAATTTTTGCAACCTACCCATCTGACAAAGGGCTAATATCCAGAATCTACAAAGAACTCAAACAAATTTACAAGAAAAAAAAACCCCATCAACAAGTGGGCAAAGGATATGAACAGACACTTCTCA
Source organism: Homo sapiens (assembly GCF_000001405.40). Classification (NCBI taxonomy): domain Eukaryota; kingdom Metazoa; phylum Chordata; class Mammalia; order Primates; family Hominidae; genus Homo; species Homo sapiens. Next base: position 86,025,272 of record NC_000014.9, read on the forward strand.
AAAGAAGACATTTATGCAGCCAACAGACACATGAAAAAATGCTCATCATCACTGGCCATCAGAGAAATGCAAATCAAAACCACAGTGCAATGCCATTTCACACCAGTTAGAATGGCGATCATTAAAAAGTCAGGAAACAACAGGTGCTGGAGAGGATGTGGAGAAATAGGAACACTTTTACACTGTTGGTGGGACTGTAAACTGGTACAACCATTGTGGAAGACAGTGTGGCGATTCCTCAAGGATTTAGAATTAGAAATACCATTTGACCCAGCCATCCCATTACTGGGTATATAACCAAAGGATTATAAATCATACTGCTATAAAGACACATGCACATGTATGTTTATTGTGGCACTATTCACAATAGCAAAGATTTGTAACCAACCCAAATATCCATCAATGATGGACTGGATTAAGAAAATGTGGCACATATACACCATGGAATACTATGCAGCCATAAAAAAGAATGAGTTCATGTCGTTTGTAGGGACATGGATGAAGCTGGAACCCATCATTCTCAGCAAACTATCGCAGGGACAAAAAACTAAACACCGCATGTTCTCACTCATAGATGGGAATTGAACAATGAGAACACTTGGACACAGGAAGGGGAACATCACACACCAGGGCCTGTTGTGGGGTAGGGGGAGGGGAGGAGGGAATAGCATTAGGAGTTATACCTAATGTAAATGGCGAGTTAATGGGTGCAGCACACCAACATGGCACATGTATACATATGTAACAAATCTGCATGTTGTGCACATGTACCCTAGAACTTAAAGTATAATAATAAAAAAAAGAATTTAGAACCTGGTGAAATTGATATTTCAAAATATCAGAGAAAATATAAATAATTCAATAAATGGTGTTGAGATAAAAAAAGAAGCAAGATAGGAAAGATTAACTGGAAGCTAACTAGGTAAAAATTATCATAACTGACAGAGGGAAAAACTTATAAATACAGAAAAAAAGCTTAGAGATTCGTATGAGACACGTTAAAAAATTCAAGCATCCATAAGTTTAAAGTACGAAGAGAAAATAAATAGAATGTGGTAACAACAATATTTGAACATTATTTGGAGAGATAGTTCCAAAATTGATGAAAGACATCAAGCCACAGATTCTCAAATATCTAATTGCACATAGCAGAATATTTACAATAAAACCCCACTGAGATAGATTATACAAAATTACTGAAAGCCAAAGATGAATAAGAAAAAATTACAAAAGTAAGATACAATATGTTCAAAGGAGCAATAATTAAATTACTGGCTTGTTTTTCAGTAGAAAAAAATAAAGCCAAGGTAAAGACAATAATTACCTGACCTGATGAAAAGAACAAATTCAACAACTATTCCTGTGACAACACAGGTTTGAAAGTGAAAGGAGGACAAGATATGCTCGGCAACACAATTCAGAAAAGCACTTATATGGCTGTGCTAATATTCAATGAGGTAGCTCTAAGGAAGTGTATATTATGAAAGATCTGTTTCCTAAAATAAAGAGTCAGTCTTCTGAAATAATTTAGCACTTTAAAACTTGTGGTCATCTAAAAACATATCTTAAAAAAGAAAAAAAAACTAACAAATAAAAGAAGAAATAGATATATTTGCAATTAGAAGGGGAGATTTTAAAATGCTGTCTTGTGATACTAATAGAACAACAAGCAGGCAAACAATTCTGCAAGGCTATCCATAGTAAACTAAGTAGACTTAATTGCTAGATATAGAACCATAAACCTTAAACTTCACAACGCACATTGTTTTTCAACCTTAAACTTCACAATACACTTTTTTTTTAAGTGCACATGGGACATTTAACCAAAATTAACAATATGCAGATCTGTAAAACAAGCCTCAAGAAGTTTTAAAGCATTGTTCATTCAATTTGACTAGGTGTAGTTGTCTTGAATTTAAAAGTAAATCAACATTACAAGGCATAGGAGGCTTCATGCATACCAAATTTACTTAGCTTTAAGAAAAGATAAAAATATGCAATACAGCATGAATACCAGGAGCATAGCAGTAATATCAGGCACACCATCTCATGTCTGCAATATGCTCTTGGGATGTGCATGCTAATGACCAGTTTAGTTTAGAGAAGCTAGCCTCTCTGGGGCTCCTTCAGCTTTTATGACATGTTGATTACATAATACCCTCCTGAATGTGTGCTTTGCTTCCATTGTCCAGAGTAGCTCAGTATCATCCATAACAGGTTACTCAATAAGCAATCTCAACAATAAAGTACAGGTACTCATCAAAACATAGCACTCATTGTGAACCTAGTATATTCCTACACATTTCTTAACTTATTATAAAATAATTCTACATGTATCATTCATGTACAGGTCTTTCTGAGGTTACAGAGAAGAATTCAGATCAGCTACTAACTCACCTTCCAGAACAGAAAATGATTAATATGAAGATAATTATAACACATTAAACTTTTTGGAAATTAAACAATGCATTTCTAAATAAATCATGGTCCAAGAAAGAAAGAGAACAAACAAAATTGTGGGATATAGGGAAAGTTGTATTTAGAAAGATGTTAGGATAAGTCTAGGAAATTAAACACCATAAAGTATAGAAGGAAGGGAAAATAAGATTTAAAACAAATCTATAGTAGAAATAATAAACAAAGCCAAAGGTTATTTGAAAATAAAACTGCTAAAATGAGCAATTAACATAATAATACACAGATCACCAATATTCAAAATAAAAAGTGGACCTTAAATCAAATTTTATATATTAAAAAAAGCACAATAATATTATGAATGTCTGTGTTAACCTGAAATGATGAGATCTATACATTTGGAAAGAAATGCTTTATTTCTTAGAAAGGGTTGCAGCCTGCAGCCTCACCATCCTACAGGCTGGGAAGAGCAGCCTTTGGCAGAAACTGAAAGCAGACACTTGATGGGAGGGAAGGGTAGAACAGGAAGTTCCACCCTAAGTATGCATATTTAACAGGTTATAGGAGGAGCTATAAATATTAATGAAGGGGGCACACATGCATAGTAGGCAAATATGCATTTTACATGTACCCCATGTCCACTTTGGAGTAGAGCCTTAACGTTTAAATATATTATGTTTAGGCCCTATACATCAAAAGGTGAAGCTGGGTCATGAAGGTCATGAAGGCCCTCAGTGTGCAGCCTCTGTAAACCTGCTAAAACTATTCTATGGTAAGTGTTGTTTTATCAGCAGAGAGTTACTGAAATTCATCTCTTGTCCAATCAAAGCTGTAATTATGGTCTGTGAAATGGGGTGGAGCATCAGTGAGTATCTGGTAGTCAGTGGGCTGCAATTTTTTCAATATTGTTTATCTAAAGGCTGCTAGAGGAAAAAGAAAAAAATCTTGTGGCAGTTTGAACATAGTTTATTTTTTAAGTGTAGAAGTGCATGACTTAACCCTTATTTGGTATGGCCTTTGGTTTTGTTTAGAATTCGATATCTTACTGTCACAAAAGTTCGTTCCATTTGTCTGATCTCTATTTTAACTTCTGTATACTATATATTTGGAAATCTACATAAAATGAACAAATATTTTGAAATACCATATCTACTAAAAACTGGATACTTAATTAACATACTTCTCTGTGATATTGTGAAATGTATATTTAGTCTTCAGTATGCTGGCCAGAACTCCACAAACCCTGGGAAGGTCTGCAGTGATGTGTGTCTTTTGTGTGCTAATGAGATGACTGGTGGCTGGGGTCCCTAGATAGTTTCAGTATGGGGGTTAGTCACCCAGAAAGACCTAGGAAAGATTAGAGAGTTGGGACTTTCAGACCAACTTCAGTCTCTGGGGGAGAGGGGCTGAAAGTTGAGTTGATAACTAATGGCCAATGATTTAATTAATCGTGCCCTTTTTTTTTTTTTTTTTTTTTTTTGAGATGGAGTTTCACTCTTGTTGCCCAGGCTGGAGTGCTATGGCGCAATCTCAGCTCACTGCAACCTCCACCTTCCAGGTTGAAGGGATTCTCCTGCCTCAGCCTCCCCAGTAGCTGGGATTACAGGTGCCCGCACCCATGCTCTGCTAATTTTTTTGTATTTTTAGTAGAGTTGGGATTTCACCATGTTGGCCAGGCTGGTCTCGAACTCCTTACCTCAGATGATCTGCCTGCCTCGGCCTCCCAAAGTGCTGGGATTACAGGCATGAGCCACCGCGCCCAGCCTAATTGTGCCTTTTGTAATGAAGCCTTCATAAAAACCCAAAAGGGCTAAGACAGAAGAACTTTTGGAAGGCTGAACCTGTGAAGATTCCTAGAGAGTGGTATGCCCGGAGAGAGCATGGAAGCTCTGCCCATCTTCCCCCATGTCTCTCCCTACACATCTTTTCTATCTGGCTGTTTATCTGTATTCTTTGTAGTATTATTAATAATAAATCCATAAAGATAAGTAGAGTGTTTTCCTGAGCTCTGTGAGCCACTCCAGCAAATTAATAAAACCAAAAGAGGAGGTTGTGAAAACCCCAACTTATAGCTGGTCAGTCAGAAGCACAGATCACAACCTGTACTTACAAATGGCACCTGAAGTAGGGGGCAGTCTTGTGGTACTGCATCATCAACCTGTGAGCTCTGATGTTACCTTCAGGTAGATAGAGCAAGAATTAAATTGAATTAGAGGCCACTCAGCTGGTGTCTGCTGCAGAATTAATTGGTTGCTGGTAGGTAGAAATCCCCACAGATTTTGGTGGCCAAAGATGCTGTGTTAAGTGGAGCTAGATGCATGAGAGTAAGAAAAAAAAAAAAAAAAGAGCCAAGAAACACTTCGGGTTTGTGTTTTTCCTTGAATCTCAACATTTCCACAATAAAATACAGGCCCAGGAGTTCACCAGTGAATTTTTTCAAACATTTAAGAAAGAAACAACATAAATATTACACAAAATATTTCAGGAATAAATAATGTGAAAACAATTCACAAATTATTTTCTAGGGTCAGGAAAACATTGATATCAAAATACCTAGCAAAAAGAAAGGAATGTCACAGGCCAATCTTTCTCAGAAGCACAGTTGCCAAGTTCCTTAAAAAAATGAGAAAATTAAACTCAGTCGTTTCTACAAAGATAATTCTTCAGGGTTATGTTTGTTTATTCCAGAAATGCAAAGTTTCTCTAACAGTTCAAACTCAACCATGGAAATTAACTTTATCTACCCACTTACATACCAAAGTAGCAAAATAAACCAAAACAAAGTACTTGCAAGTAACAAATGTTGGTGAGGACATGGTACAACTGGAACTCTCATACACTGTTAGTGGGAATTCCATTGGGTACAACCATTTTGATAAATTGTTTTGTAACATCTTCTAAAGTTTAATATATGTATATTTTATGACCCAGTAAGTATACTCCTATGTGTATTTTCAACATAATTGCCGAATTATATTTAAAAATGTCTATATATGAGAATATACAAAGCAGCATTATTCATGATAGCCCAGAGTGGAAATAATATAAATGTCCACCAAGCATGAATGGAAAATATAATTTGTGGTATATTCATCCCATATATTGATAATACTATAAAATTTAAGTTCATACAATGATATGAAAAAATCTCAGAGACACAAATTTGAGTACAAAAGCTAGATATGAGGGTGCATATGCTCTGCAATTTCTGTCATATAAAAGCAAAAATGAAAAAAGCTAATCAATGGTTATAGAAGTCAGAATAATGTTTATTTTAGGGGGGATAACATCTGGGATGGGCCTGAGGCAGTCTTTTGGAAAGCTGGTAATTTGCTATTACTCAATCTGGATGGTAGTTACACAGATGTGTTTACTTTTCAATAATTATGAAGATGAACTATTATGATTTATGCATTTTTCTTTCTATATACTATATTTTAAAATAAAAGAAAATGAACAGGACTATTCTTCCTCAAACAAAGAGATCGTGTGATGAAGACTCACCAGAGCTGTTCTCTATAAGCTTGAAGAGCAATGGTATCAGGTAGGTCCAATTCCAAGTGACCAATTGGAAAATGGAAAATTATCTAGTTATATTTCATAGGGAATTTGGGAATTCCCTATGAATTCTAGTTATATTTCATAGGGAATTAGGTGGGTAACCAGAGGATTGAAATTGAGCCAGCCAATGTTTTTAAAAACATTGTAACAGTTTGGCTACAGAGATTTACCCCTAGGGAGATTAAATGGCTTTACCAAAATTTTAAATAAGATATTCAGCCATTTTATCATTGGCTGTATAATCAGTTGAGGGAAACTGAGGATGCTTAGATGAACAAAAAGGTGGAAGTGAACAGTGGGTAAAGAAAATCACATTGCCAGTAGGCTCACGTCCTGTGCTCAAATTGAAGCCATATCCATCTTACTTTTTTGGCGGGATAGTAGAACAATAGGTAATAACTCATAACTATAAATTAAAAGTAGAAACTCTGCAGCATAGTTGATGGGGCTACATATAACTTAAAGTTAAACCTACTCAGGAAAATAGGAAACACAACCTTATTCTTACATAAATATTTTCAGCTCATGTTATATGATGGCCATGTTTCACTTATACATCCATCAATTGTGTGACACATTTGGAAATTGAAGTACAATTGAGAACCAGAGAATGAGTAACAAATATCTTAACAAGCAAAGTTTTGTTAATTTGCTCACAGGAAGCTATCTCCAAATCTAACCCACATCCTTTGATTCTTAACTTAGATGCAAGTTTAATACTTTTGGTTTATGTGCTCTCCATAAAATTGCAACACCAAGATTGGGCATTCCGATATTCTAGAACACCAATATTTTCCTTAAGCACTTTATTTCAGGGATTGATTAGTAGCTTCAGTCATTCTCAGCAGGAGAGTGTTTTTTGGTTTGTTTGTTTGTTTGCTTTTTGCCCCATGTTCCTCCTTCACTGTCCCTGAAAACAGAAGCCCTCTTTATGCTTTCACTCAGCTCTAACAATGACTTCCTCATGATTGTCTGTCCCATCTCCCATGCTGCCAAGGAAAAAGAAAAGTTTTGCTTGGATCTTGTGGGAGGGCCCTGTGAAGCAGGTGGATGCCTCTATAGAAAACAGATTAAATCAGGGTAATCTCTCCCATGTTGGTAGGTGAGAGAACGTTAAAAGATCTGGGCAGAGGAGCTGCCCAGAAGCAGTGGTTCTAAGTGATCCAAACAGAGGTAATGAAGAATTCAGGAACACAGTTAGACCAGGCCACAGAGGTGGCAATAAGTAGGCACCACTGGTGGAAATACAAGTAGAAGAAAGTAGGAGAGTCAGTAAAGGCTAATACTTTCTATCAAAATGACTATGCTTGTTGCTTTAATCCGTTCTTGCGTCTCTGAAAAGGAATACTTGAGACTGAGTAATTTATGAAGAAAACAAGTTTAATTATCTCACGGTTCCGCAGACTGTACAGGAAGCATGGCACTAATATCTGCCATTAGGGATGGCCTCAGGGGCTTGCAATCGTGGCAGAAAGTAAAAAGGGAGCAGGCATACCACATGGTCGAGAGAGAGGGAGCAAACAGGAGAAGGGGGAGGTGCCACACACTTTTAACCAACCAGATCTCACATGAACTCAAAGCAAAAACCCAGTCATCACCAAGGGGATGGCACTAAGCCATTCATGAGGAATATGCCCCCATGATCCAAACAATTTCCACCAGGCCCCGCCTCCAACACTGGGGATTACATTTCAACATGACGTTTGAAGGGGACAAACATCCAAATTGTATCACTTGTTGAACATTAATACTGCAATAAATTTGTGTTTTCACAACATTTTGGAAATGCTTATACATTTTTATATTAGAAATGCATGAATTTTTGACTCATTTAATTCATGAATAGCTTATTGTATGAATTATAAATATAAAAACATTTTATATTTATATTTTATAACAATATTGTAAATAGATATAAAAATAAAACATCAATATTTAGGTGTCACACAAGAGAGATATATACATGTATACATGAATATATGTGTGTGTCTACACATACTTGTGTACACACATCTATAATACATAAATTAGTTAAATGCAAATCACTACTGGTACAGCAGAGTTTAGGCACCTAATAATAGTGGAAGGTAGGAAGAAGCAGGTTCACGGGTGTTAGTGAATAACGACTGTGAATCTAACAGATACAAAAGTGAAAACAAATACGTCAAAAGGAAATAGAAGAAATAAAGCCACCCAGTAAAGGGCAAATCCAGTCTCCGGAAGAGATCTCCACCATGGCCTGGATCAGTGTTAGTATTCACAATGATGACATGGAGGAATGTGAAAAACAGTTATTACACTTTTAAAAATTTAAGTACCAAATAGTATAATTCTTTACAAGTATAGCTAGTTTCCAGATGTGTAAAGAAAACTTGCATCATTAAAAAATAATTCAAAAAGCAATTTTCTGAATATTTAAAGAATGTGCTTATCTATGTCTTACTTTTAAAACTATCCCCTGGCAGAAGTTCATTGAGTTTTTCTATTTAAATAGAAGAGGCTGCCTTTTGTTAATGCACTTTTGTTAATTGCACGCTTAATGAATCTCCACAGGAGTCCCACCATGAGAGGCACGATCCTATTTCTCAAATAAATATTTCTCAAGCTTCTACTGACATGTGGCCCCAGATGAACTTTTCTGTTTCTACCAGGGCTATCATAATGTGAAATCTTGGAGAAAGTCCACAGAAGGTTAGGTCTCTCTGTTGAGAGATATTAAATGTGAACTCTGTGAAGCTCCTCTTTTGGTGGCAAGTTGAGTATCAAGAGAGATTTTTATGAAGTGTGAAATAAATCATGGATTTTCTGAGTTTTAATTTAAAATATTATAAACAGTTGTATATTCTTTGTTATTACATTTTCTTAAGGGAGGGCCCCATGATGACATCTCTGGGCTGGGGAGGCAAAACATATGAATATACTGGACCAATCAAATGATAGGCTTCATACAACTTGGACAAGTAAGTCTATAGTCAGGTGGATTTTCAATATTATCTGAAAAGATGAATAGAAATTTATGAGCTTATGTGAAATTTATCTGTGTTTTGTTAGCATAGATATTTCAGAGTTCAGCTCACACATCACTGCACCCATGTTGAGGAAGGCATATAGAAGGAATGTCTAACACATTTTATTAATTGGGTAAGTAGACCAGTGTGATTTAGCAACATATACAAATACAGTAATACATATTGGAAGCCTTTTCATTACATTATAACAGGAGTAGCAGTAACTCAAAAATGGCATTATAAAAGTAAAGATCTTTGGAAGTTACTTTAATGAAAAAATGTAACTTGTAATTATCACATCTTTAATTATGACATTTAATTACGAGCTTAACATTGACCTTTTTCCTCAAGCATTTAAACATACCAACTGAGAATATCCTCAAATTACTAATTTTCTTGCTAATGTTTTTCTCATATTAAAAGAAAAAATAGTAAATTCTAGCCAAGTCAATGTCCACAGGTGTCAGATTTAAATTAGTGCATCCCTGAGGAATGATTTTTTGTTTTTCTTTAAAACATGTAAAAATAGTGAAAATTTGGCTTTATAAATATTGATATTGAACTTATCCCAAAATTCCATACAATGGTAATGACTGGGGAGCTAGTACAGGTTATTAAGATGTTTTATCAGCCTTTGAGACACTACTCGACTGTAGAATTACTGAAAATGCACCTCCCTCTTGAAATGTCATTTTAAAAAAGATGATGCATTTCTGAAAGACCCATCTGTTTTTTAAAACTTCATGACTATTTTCTACATACTCACTGATCCCCTACTTGTTTGATGGGAGCAACTGTTCGAAACAAAACTAAAATCAACCAGATACTAGGCTCTATCTATTCATAGATTGATTTCAGATTGGTTGCCTCTTTAGATGTCACATAAGGTAGCTCTGCTAAGTTCGTGGTCTCATCCCTGTTTGGGAATCTTGTTGTGTGTGAATTTGGCAGGTGGAAAGAACTTAGAGGCCGAGGATATCCAGGATGCACATGTTGCCAGCAGCTACTATCAAAGTTTAAGGTAATCTAGGGAATACTGATCCCCCTAGGTGAAGATCTTCATAGCTCAGAGTTTCATGATAGCATAAATTATGTTATCACTACTTCATCAGAGTACTGCTATGCGGCCTCCCATATTGGCAAGATATTTTATTATTCAAAGTTTATTGCAATTACTAGACACTTCCAAACCAGAAACCTATGATATCCCATTTTCCTCATTTGGGTCTTCTAATTTTATTTGCATGTATAACATCTGTTTAGCTCAGAGCAGTGAACAAGCAATTAAGACTTAGCTGATAATAGAAGCTTTGGGATTTTTATTTACATATGTTTCAAAGATTAACATAAATACACAGAGAACACACATACACGTAAGTACAAATGCACACATGTATGTGTTTAACTTTTAAACTATGTATATCCTTAATAATAATTATTAACATCTTTTACTTCCAGTGAATTGCCTTTTCATTTATTATCTTGTTTCTCAAGTGGGATATAAGTGTCATGGGGAGGATCTGAAAATGGACTCCATAGAAAGAGACTCTGAGATGAAAGGTAACTTGCAGATTTATTTGGCAGTGTTTTTCAGCCCTATATTACTAAGATAGTTAGAAAAGCAGGATTGAGCACATGGAGAAGCTGACCTGGAATGAAATTGCAACTGAAATTTTATTGGTTCTATAAGAAGCTCTGGAGTTGAGATGCCCTTTCACAGTGGGTGCTTCTAGTGAGGGTGCAGTAGGGGGTTGGAGAAAGGGGCAACCTAACCTTGGACCAAGCAGTTGCAATGGCCAAGGCCAATCCCAGGGATCAATGCAGCTATAAGCCGCTAGGGTGTGCTGTTCCTAACAGCTGGGGTATGGCTGTGTCATACTTGACACAGCACCAGTTATCACTATAGCCGGTTTTGGCTTTATTTATTTATTTATTTATTTATTTATTTACTTATTTTGATTTGTATGTCCCAAAACTTAGAATGGCCCCTAGAAGATAGTATGTGCTCAGTAAAAATTTCTTAAAATTGTTTATCAAAATCGTATAACTTATAGCTTATTAGATTGATGAAACCCTAACAAAATAGCTATGAATCACAGTGCAGAGTGAAGAAGGAAAAATTTTATCACTGTTCTCCCAATTATAATAAAATATAGATATAACATTACGCTTAATATAAAACTAATTAATTGTTAGAGAGGTCAGCAGGAATGCTTTTTCAACATTCTTCCAGTAGATTATAAGGAAGTACTTTGGAAAATACTAATATTATGGTCTAAGAAATCTCATTATCAAATAGAAACAAAGAGTGTATAGGTGAGACCAATGGAAAATTTTGAAATTTTAATCAATGTCTGTGAATATGATAACTCTGGAAAAAGGTATGTCGAGTTATACTAGCCTGCTTCAAATAAAAGTGTTTTAGGGGACTTCACTTAACACATGAATTATATATTACATTTTAAGCTAGTTTCTCAATTCATTGGTTAGAAAATTGTTATGTCTTTGATTTGAAAAGTCTTATTTCCTGTACCTGAATTGAAATTTTCAAAATATTTATGGAAAAATTCAACTAATTTAATCATTCTAATAACAATTAAGTCTATTCAAATATGACGAATGCTGATCTCTTCGGATACATATTAAAATTGGAATAATATGAAAGAGAATTTTATGGCCCCAGGACAAGCACAGAATACAAATATGTGAGGCATTACATGTGTATCCTATGTAGAGGGAACAAAATATCTGGCTGATTAATTTCTCCCAGCAAAATTTAATGCCATGGAAAATACAGCAACACCAATCAGAAATTCATGGGAAAATTTTAGCAAACATGAAGTGCATAGTACTACATGTTCAACGAAGTCAAGCTTTCCAACAATATCAAGCCTATGGAAAGTCATGTACCTATTAGAAATCAAGGAATTTTAACCCCGGGTTCTCTTATTGAGAACAGTGCTTGAAGATAAACTACAGCCAATCAAGCGGTGTCTGATGAAATTATGTACGGAAGGACTGCTGTTGTTCGCACATTTGCCCCTTCCAAATTCATGCTGAAATTTAATCTCCAATGTGATACTAATGAGAGTTGAAGACTTTAAGAGGTGATTGGGGCTTGGGGGCTCTGCCTTCATAAATAGATTAACGCATTAACTGGTTAATGAGTTATCATGGGAATTAGATTAGTGGCCTTATAAGAAGAGGAAAAGAGATCTGAGCTAGCACACTTGGCTTCCTCACCATGTGATACCCCGTGCCACCTTGAGACTCTATAGAGAATTACTACCAGTAAGAAGGCCCTCACCAGATTTGGACTCTCAATCTGGGACCTCCTGGCTTCATAACGGTAAGAAATAAATTTTGTTTTTTTATAAATTAGTTCCACATACTCTATTATAAGCAACAGAAATATGGACTAAAACAGGAAATTGGTACCAGAAATGGGATTGTTTCAGTTAACAAACACTTTAAAATGTGGAAGCAGCTTCGTAGCTGGGTAATGGGCAGAGGCTAAAAGAATTTGAAGGATCAGGCCCAGATTCTGGTGAGGGCTTAGAAGACAAGACTAAGGAAGGTTTAGAACTCCTTTGAGGTTGGTTAAGTGGTTGTGACTAGAATGCTGATAGAAATATGGCCAGTAAAGGTCATTCAGATGAGATTTCAGATAAAACTGAGGAACAAGATACTAGAAACTAGAGGAAAGGCCATCTTTGTTATAATTTAACAAAGAACTTGGCCACACTGTGTCCATGCCCCAGGGCTTTGTGGAAGGCCAAACTTGAGAGTGATGAACTAAGGTATCTGGCCACAAAAAGTTTTGTAAAAATTCGGGAGAGGAAACCAAGGTTGGAGCCCAGTGATCATTTGCTAAAGAGATGAGCATGGATAGAAGAGAACTAGGTGCCATTGCTCAAGACAATGGAAGAAAGATCCCCAGTGACCTTTCAGAGATCTTTGAGGCTGCCCCTTCAATCACAGACCCAGAGTTTTAAAAGGGCAGAATTGTTTCGGAGGACAGGCCCAGGACTCTTCACGGACTTGCTGCCCAGCCTTTTCAGGACCCTGTTCCCCATACCCTACTACAGTGCTCCACAGCCACAGTTCCAGAATGTACAAGTCATAAACCTTAGGAGCATCCACATGTTAATTTTGAAGGCTTGCAAAAAGCAAGAGCTGTAGAGACTTGGAAGCCTCCACCCAGATTTCAAAAGATGTTTTCAAGAGCCTGAGGCCCCAGGCAGAGACTTGTCACAGGGGCAGAGCTACTGCATAGAGCCTTGCTAGATTGTGGAGTTGAAGTTGCTTCAGAGGGTCTCCACCAGGGCGACACCTAGTGGAGCTGTGGGAGCAAGACTACCACCAGGACACCAGACTGAGAAATCACTAGCAGTATGCAACACCCACCTGGAAAATCTTTAGGCACTGAACTTCAACCTGTACAAGCGGCCATGTGGGCTGCATCCAGAAAAGGGTTTGGGTGGCCTGAGGCTTTGGGGGCCCAACTCCTGTCCCACTCCAGGAAGCAGCACATGAAGTCAGAAAAGACTATTCTCCAGGTTTGAGATTTACCGTCTGCGCAGCTAGATTTTGGACTTGATTTGGGGCCTGTTATTCCTTTCTTTTCAACTATTTCTCCCTGTTGGAATGGAATTGTCTATCTTATGCCTATATTGAATGTTGGAAGCACATAACTTGTTTTTATTTCACATGCTCACAGATGAGACTTGGAATTTTGGATTTTGAGTTGGTGCTGGAACAAGTTAAGACTTTGGGGATATGGAGATGGAATGAATGTATTTGTATGTGAGAAGAACATGAGCTTTGAGAGGCCAGGGGTGGAATGCTATAGTTGAATATTTGTCCTCTCCAAAACTCAGGCTGAAATTTAATTCTCAGTGTGGTTGTATTGCGAGGTCGAGCCTTTAAGAAGTGACTGGGTCCTGAGGACTCTGCCCTTATGAATGAGTTCATCCATGCATGGATTAATGGATTATTGGATTATCACAGGAATAGAATTGGTGACTTTATATGAAGAGGAAAAGAGATCTGAGTTAGCACACTCAGTATCTTCACCCCTTGATTCCCTGGGCTGCTTTGGGACTACTGCAGAGAGTTCTCACCAGCAAGAAGGGCTCACCAGATGTGGCCTTTCAACCTTGGATTTCTCAGCCCCAAGTCTGTAAGAAATAAACTTTGTTTCTTTATAAATTTCCCAGTTGCAGGCATTCTGTTATAAGAAACAGAAAATGAACTAAGACAGACAGCCATTAGACGCTTGAAAGATATTTAAGTGTAAAACTGATAGTGAAAAAAAAAGTAGGATTAGATTGCAAAACAAAATATAAATGTAGATTTTTTGACATGTAAAAATGACACAAAAAACTTAGGAGAAAAAAGGTGTAAAGAAGTTAGGAGATAGAGTATGTTAGTGTTGTCTCTTTTCTAACAGCTGAGAAGGCAAGAGATAGATTCATAAACATATTTTAATGTACTCAGGAGAATGAATTGTTGAGAAATGGGTTACAGGAGTAGAAAAAGCATTAAGAAAGAAGAAGAAGAATGTTAATTTATTAGTGCTTATATTAAGTAAATAATAGGTTAAAGAAATAGAGAACTACATTTGTATTAGGTAACCTCTTCGTGATTTATTGTATAAAAGATAATGTTAAAAGTACACAATAAATACAAATATTCCTATATATTAGAGGGTCCACACCCACAAACACACACACACACCCCAGCACACACAGCAATGCAATTTAAATACATGCCAAGACTTGTAAGTTAAAACTATAAAATAGAAATTATAACCTAAAATAGTCTGACAGAACTAATATGAAATATATCAGTCATATCATAAATATAAACTGAGTAAAGGCACATGTTTAAAGGCAAGATTTATAAAATAGCATACAAAATAAAGCCAAATCTAGGCCATAAATCTAGAATAAAGAGACACAGATAAGACAATGACTTAGAATGTTTAAAAATAAAAGGAGAAACAAAGGTATATTAGGCCAATGCAAACAAAAGAAATGCAATTCACATTTTTATCCCAGAGTTTTTATGACAGTGTTCCAGATAACATAACATAAACATTCATAAAGCAAATATTAAAGAATCGACCTTAAAAATACAGATAAACTCACTATTAATAGGAGACTTTAATTCTCTCTCAGTCTATGAAAGATTATATAACTAAGAATGTAAAATATAAGCAAAATTAGAACTGACTGATACATAATTCCGAAAATGATAAAAATGGAAAATATAGCCTTATTTCAGGTGTCCATAGGACATTCATAAACATTAACCATACATTACTTGGCAACAAATTCTAAGTTTTTAAATGCCAAAGAGTAAACATAGCAAAACATCTGTGATCACAATACCAAATTAAATTTGCAAATTAATAACAAAATCAGAAACAAAATGATCCTTTTATAGATAACATTCTAATAATCTTTATAAACTACTCTTAATTGAGAAAATACAAACATAAATAGTAGAACTTAAGAAAAACAAAATAACAGATAAAAATACTATTACTCAGAACCAATTAGATCTTGTAAAATATGTGCCACAAGGAAAATTTTTAGTCTTCAATTATTATATTAATTTAAAACATAAAGGAAATAGTGAAAACTTTAAAAACAAAAAAGTTAGAATAAAAATAACTAAAGACTTAAAGGGAATATGAAGAAACAATTAATAAATATAAAAGAGAAATTAGCAAGAAAAAAGAATAGAATTATAAACAGACGCAAATGCTTTTTTTGAATAAAAATAACAAAGTAAAAAATTGAACTTATTTAACTTAAGAACAATGTAAAATCAAAATGCAAAAAAATTAAGAAAAAAATTCAAGTTAAATGAAGCAGTGAAAATTTTAAATTGCATAACACTAGCAAATAAACTTAAAGAAATAGATAAGAATAGGTAAGTTTTTAGGAAAATAGATTTTACCAAATTTGACTGCTGAAGAGATAAAAGTCTACAAAGATCACGTTCCACGAGGGAAATACAGGGTGCTATGTAAGAACTACTCTCAAAAGAAATAACACCACAGCCAACTATTTTACAAGGAAATTTTACCAAACATTTAAAAAGTGAATATTTCCATTGCTATTTAAACTATTTCAGAACATGGGGGAAAAATAAGGAAGGAAAATGGCCAAACTCATGTATGAAGCAACTATAATATTGAGCCCAACATTTAATATAAAAAAGGAAATTTAACTTATCACTATTAATAAAAATCCTAAAAGAAACACAAATGCAAAATCCTGTGAAACGTAAAAATAAAAACGTGACTAAGTGGAAATTATTCCAGGAATACTAGTGTATATTAATGTTTGTAAATCTATTAATAAAGCAGTGAAATGGCAGGGGGTAAAATGCAGTGATATATTCCTTAAGTAAAAATGAATGGATATTTGTTAATATGGCAAAATATATGTATTTCAGACACAAAACTGAGAACATGCTTGATGAAGAAACACTTGATGAAGTCTTTCAAAAGTCAGGAACAAGAAATAGACACAATGAACACTAGTAACAAACATCAGACAGCAGGTATGTAAGATAAAACCACAAAGATGTATAAAAATTGAAAAGGAAGAATTAGTATCTTAACAACAAATTCACATATAAAATATTAGATTATATATATACACACACATATACACACACATATACATATATATATTTAGAAGGTTGGGGAATTTTATTGCTCGAACAAAGAATCTGACAAAAGAATCTGAATATATAATGCATGTATGGGACAACTTCACTGAAAAGGGTGGGGGAATAAGATGCTGACCTAAGGAGCTTTGGAAATGAGTGAAATCTATAAGTCTAAAGACAAAAAGAATTGTACACAAGCACGGTGCTATAGTTGATAAAGTCATTTCCCACGGGGAACATAACTCTCCATTCCCTAAACTCAGAGTGTTCATAGTGCCATTCTTCCAAAAATTACAATATAAAAAGGGAATAAAAGGTTAGCTTGATAGGAGATAAAGCTAAAAGGAGAAAAACTAGCTCAAAATCATTGACCAAGGTTAAGAATAAGAGTGATTAATTACATTTATTTTATTATACTTTAAGATCTGGGGTACATGTGCAGAACGTGCAGGTTTGTTACATAGGTACACACGTGCCATGGTGGTTTGCTGCACCCATCAACCCATCATCTACATTAGGTATTTTTCCTAATGCTATCCCTCCCCTAGCCCCCAACCCCTGACACGCCCCGGTGTGTGATGTTCCCCTCCCTGTGTCCATGTGTTCTCATTGTATAACCCCCACTTATGAGTGTGTATGCTGTGTTTGGTTTTTTGTTCCTGTGTCAGTTTGCTGAGAATGATGGTTTCCAGCTTCATTCATGTCCCGGCAAAAGACATAAACTTATCCTTTTTTATGGCTGCATAGTATTCCATGCTGTATATGTGCCGTATTTTCTTTATCCAGTCTATCACTGATGGGCATTTGGGTTGGTTCCAAGTCTTTGCTATTGTGAATAGTGCTGCAATAAACATATGTGTGCATGTGTCTTTATAGTAGAATGATTTATAATCCTTTAGGTGTATACCCAGTAATGGGATTGCTGGGTCAATTGGTATTTCTGGTTCTAGACCCTTGAGGAATTGCCATACTGTCTTCCACAATGGTTGAACTAATTTACACTCCCACCAACAGTGTAAAAGTGTTCCTTTTTCTCCACATCGTATCCAGCATCTGTTGTTTCCTGACTTTTTAATGATTGCCATTCTAACTGGCGTGAGATAGTATCTCGTTGTGGTTTTGATTTGCATTTCTCTAATGACCAGTGATCATGAGCTTTTTTTCATGTTTTTGGCCACATAAATGTCTTCTTTTGAGAAGTGTCTGTTCATATCCTTCACCCACTTTTTGATGAGGTTGTTTTTATTCTTGTAAATTGGTTTAAGTTCCTTGTAGATTCTGGATATTAGCCCATTGTCAGATGGATAGATTGCAAAAATTTTCTCCAATTCTGTAGGTTGGCTGTTCAATCTGATGATAGTCTCTTTTGCTGTGCAGAAGCTCTTTAGTTTAACTACATCCCGCTTGTCAATTTTGGCTTTTGTTGCCATTGCTTTTGGTGTTTTAGTCATGAAGTCTTTGCCCATGCCTATGTCCTGAATGGTATTGCCTAGGTTTTCTTCCAGGGTTTTTATGGTTTTTGGTCTTATTTAAGTCTTTAATCCATCTTGAGTTAATTTTTCTATAAGGTGTAAGGAAGGGGTCCAGTTTCAATTTTCTGCATGTGGCTAGCCAGTTTTCCCAACACCATTTATTAAATAGGGAATCATTTCCCTATTGCTTGTTTTTGTCAGGTTTGTCAAAGATCAGATGATTGTAGATGAGTGGCATTATTCCTGAGGCCACCGTCTGTTTCATTGGTTCATATATCTGTTTTGGTAACAGTACCATGCTGTATTGGTTGCTGTAGCCTTATAGCATAGTTTGAAGTCAGGTAGCGTGATGCCTTCATCTTTGTTCTTTTTGCTTAGGATTGTCTTGGATATAGAGGCTTATATTTGGCTCCATGTGAAATTTAAAGTAGTTTTTTTCTAATTATGTGAAGAAAGTCAATGGTAGCTTGATGGAGATAGCATTGAAATTATAAATTACTTTGGGTGGTATGGCCATTTTCACGATATTGAATCTTCCTATATATGAGTATGGGATGATTTTCCCATTTGTTTGTGTCCTCTCTTATTTCCCTGAGCAGTGATTTGCAGTTCTCCTTGAAGAAGTCCGTCACATCCCTTGTAATCTGTATTCCTAGGTATTTTATTATTTTACTAGCAGTTATGAACGGGAGTTCACTCATAATTTGTCTCTCTGTTTGTCTATTATTGGTGTATAGGAATGCTTGTGATTTTTGCACATCAATTTTGTATCCTGAGGCTTTGCTGAAGTTGCTTATCAGCTTAAGGAGATTTTGGTCTAGATAATGAGGTTTTGTAAATATACAATCATGTCATATGCAAACAAAGACAATTTGACTTCCTCTCTTCCTATTTGAATACCCTTTATTTCTTTCTCTTGCCTGATTGCCCTGGACAGAACTTCCAATACTATGTTGAATAGGAATGGTGAGAGAGGGCATCTTTGTCTTGTGCCGGTTTTCAAAGGGAATGTTTCCAGCTTTTGCCCATTCAGTATGATATTGGCTGTGGGTTTGTCATAAATATGTGTTATTATTTTGAGTACATTCCATCAATACCTAGTTTATTGAGAGTTTTTAGCATGAAGTGGTGTAGAATTTTATTGCAGGCCTTTTCTGCATCTATTGAGATAATCATATGGTTTTTGTCATTGGTCTGTTTATTTGATGGATTACATTTATTGATTTGCACATTTTGAACCAGCCTTACGTCCCAGAGATGAAGCCGACTTGATCGTGGTGGATAAACTTTTTGATGTGCTGCTGGATTCGGTTTGCCAGTGTTTTATTGAAGATTTTTGCATCGATGTTCACCAGGGATATTGGTCTGAAATTTTCTTTTTCGTTATGTCTCTGCCATGTTTTGGTATTATGATGATGCTGGTCTCATAAAATGAGTCAAAGAGGAGTCCCTCTTTGTTTATTGTTTGGAATAGTTTCAGAATGAATGGTACCAGCTCCTCTTTGTACCTCTGGTAGAATTCGGATGTGAATCCCTCTGGTCTTGGGCTTTTTTTGGTTGGTAGACTATTAATTATTTCCTCAATTTCAGAACTTTTTATTGGACTATCCGGGGATTCGACTTCTTCCTGGTTTAGTCTTAGAAGGGCGTATGTGTCCAGGAATTTATCCATTTCTTCTAGATTTTCTAGTTTATTTGCATAGAAGTGTTTATACTATTCTCTGATGGTAGTTTGTATTTCTTTGGGATCAGTGGTGATGTCCCCTTTATCATTTTTTATTGTGTCTATTTGATTCTTCTCTCTCTTCTTCTTTATTAGTCCGGCTAGCCATCTATCTATTTTGTTAATCTTTTCAAAAGACCAGCTCCTGGATTCATTGATTTTTTGAAGGGTTTTTCATGTGTCTATCTCCTTCAGTTCTGCTCTGATCTTAGTTATTTCTTGTCTTCTGCTAGCTTTTGAATTTGTTTGCTCTTGCTTCTCTAGTTCTTTTAATTGTGATGTTAGGTTGTCTATTTTAGATCTTTCCTGTTTTCTCCTGTGGGCATTTAGTGCTATAAATTTTCCTCTAAACAATGCTTTAGTTGTGTCCCAGAGATTCTGGTATGTTGTGTCTTTGTTCTCATTGGTTTCAAAGAACTTCTTTATTTCTGCCTTAATTTTGTTATTTACCCAGTAGTCACTCAGGAGCACGTTGTTCAGTTTCCATGTAGTTGTGTGGTTTTGAGTGAGCTTCTTAATCCTGCTTTCTAATTTGATTGCACTGTGGTCTGAGAGACTGTTTGTTTGATTTCCGTTCTTTCCCATTTGCTGAGGAATGTTTTATCTCCAATTATGTGGTCACTTTTAGAATAAATGTGATATGGTGCTGTGATGGATGTACATTCTGTTGATTTGGGGTGGAGAGTTCTGTAGATGCCTATTCAGTCTGCTTGGTCTAGAGCTGAGTTCAAGTCCTGAATATCCTTGTTAATTTTCTGTCTTGTTGATCTGTCTAATACTGACAGTGGTGTGTTAAAGTCTCCCACTATTATTGTATGGGAGTCTAAGTCTCATTGTAGGTCTCTAAGAACTTGCTTTATGAATCTGAGTGCTCCTGTATTGGGTGCATATCTATTTAGGATAGTTAGCTCTTCTTGTTGCGTTGATCCCTTTACCATTATGTAATGCCCTTCTTTGTCTTTTTTGATCTTTGTTGGCTTAAAGTCTGTTTTATCAGAGACTAGGACTGCAACCCCTGCTTTTTTTGTTGTTTTTGCTTTCCATTTGCTTGATAAATATTCCTTCATCCCTTTATTTTGAGCCTATGTGTGTCTTTGCACGTGAGATGGGTCTCCTGAACAGAGCACACTGATGTGCCTTGACTCTTTATCCAATTTGCCAGTCTGTGTCTTTTAAATGGGCATTTATTTAGCCCATTTACATTTAAGGTTAATATTGTTATGTGTGAATTTGATCCTGTCATTATGATGCTAGCTGGTTATTTTGCCTGTTAGTTGATGCAATTTCTTCATAGTGTCGATGTTCTTTTCAATCTGGTATGTTTTTACAATGGCTGGTACTGGTTGTTCTTGTCCATGTTTAGTGCTTCCTTCAGGAGCTCTTGTAATGCAGGCCTGGTGATGACAAAATCTCTCAGCATTTGCTTGTGTGTAAAGGATTTTATTTATCCTTTGCTTATGAAGCTTATGCTGTATATGAAATTCTGGGTTAAAAATTCTTTTTTTTAAGGACGTTGAATATTGACCCCCCCAAGGTCTTCTGCCTTGTTGGGTTTCTGCAGAGAAGGCCGCTATTAGTCTGACAGGCTTCTGTTTGTGGGTAACCCGACCTTTCTCTCTGGCTGCCCTTAACATTTTTTCCTTCATTTCAACCCTGGTGAATCTGACAATTATGTGTCTTGGGGTTGCTCTTCTCGAGGCATATCTTTGTGGTATCCTCTTTCCTGAATTTGAATGTTGGTCTGTCTTGCTAGGTTGGAAATGTTCTCCTGGATAATATCCTGAAGTGTGTTTTCCAACTTGGTTCCATTCTCCTTATCACTTTCAGGTACACCAATCAAACGTAGGTTTGGTCTTTTCACATAGTCCTATATTTCTTGGAATCTTTGTTCATTCCTTTTCATTCTTTTTTCTCTAATCTTGTCTTTATGTTTTATTTCGTTAAGTTGATCTTCAATCTCTGATATCCTTTCTTCTACTTGATTGATTCAGCTATTGATATTTGTGTATTCTTCACAAAGTTCTCATGCTGTGTTGAGCTACATTAGGTCATTTATGTTCTTCTCTAAACTGGTTATTCTAGTTAGCAATTCATCTAACCTTTTTTCAAGGTTCTTAGCTTCCCTGCATTGGGTTAGAACATGCTCCTTTAGCTTGGAGGAGTTTGTATTAATCACCTTCTGAAGCTTACTTCTGTCAATTTGTCAAACTCATTCTCTGTCCAGTTTTGTTCCCTTGCTGGCAAGCAGTTGTGATCCTTTGGAGGAGAAGAGGCATTCTGGTTTTTGGAATTTTCAGCCCTTTTGCACTGGTTTTTCTTTATCTTCATGGATTTATCTACCCCATGGTCTTTGATTTCGGTGACCTTTTGATGAGGTTTCTGTGTGGATGTCATTTTTGTTGTTGATGCTATTCCTTCCTGTTTGTTAGTTTTCCTACGAGCAGTCAGGCCCTTCTGCTGCAGATCTTCTGGAATTTGCTGGAGGTCCACTCCAGACCCTCTTTGCCCAGGTATCACCAGCAGAAGCTGCAGAACAGCAAAGATTGCTGCCTGCTTCTTCCTCTGGAAGCTTTTTCGCAGAGGGGCACCGCTAGATTTCAGCCGAAGCTCTCCTGTATGAGGTGTCTGTTGACCCCTGCTGGGAATTGTCTCCTAGTCAGGAGGCATGGGGGGTCAACGACCTACTTGAGGAGGCAGTCTGTCCCTTAGCAGAGCTCGAGTGCTGTGCTTGGAGATCTGCTGCTCTCTTCAGAGCCGGCAGGCAGTAATGTTTAAGTCTGCTGAAGCTGCCCCCACAGCTGCCCTGTCCCCCAGGTGCTCTGTCCCAGGGAGATGTGAGTTTTATCTATAAGACCCTGACTGGGGCTGCTGCCTTTCTTTCAGAGATGCCCTGCTGAGAGAGGAGGATTCTAGAGAGGTAGTGAGGCTACCTCAACTTTGCAGAGCTGTGCTGGGCTCTGCCGCGTTTCAAATTCCTAGTGGCTTTGTTTATACTGTGAGGGGAAAACCGCCTACTCAAGCCTCAGTAATGGTGGATGCCCCTCCCCCCACCAAGCTCTAGTGTCCCTGGTGGACTTCAAACTGATGTTCTGGGAGCGGGAATTTCAAGCCAGTGGATCTTACCTTGCTGGGCTCTGTGGGGTGGGATCTGCTGAGGTAGCCCACTTGGCTCTCACTTCAGCCCTCTTTCCATGGTAGTGAATGGTTCTGTCTCACTGGTGTTCCAGGCACCACTGGGGTATAAAAAAAAACTCTTGCAGCTAGCTCAGTGTCTGCCCAAAGGGCCGTCCAGTTTTGTGCTTGAAATCCAGTGCCCTGGTGGTGTAGGCATCCAAGGAAATCTCCTGGTCTGAGGGTTGTGAAGACCATGGGAATTCACAGCACAGTCCCTCGAGGCTTCCCTTGGCTAGGAGAGGGAATTCCCCAACCCTTTGCACTTCCTGGGTGAGGTAATGCCCCGCCTCACCCCACTTTGGCTCACCCTCTGTGGGCTGCACCTACTGTCTAACCAGTCCCAGTGAGATGAGCTGGGTACCTCAGTTGGAAATGCAGAAATCACCCACCTTCTGTGTTGATCTTGCTGGGAGCTGCAGACCAGAGCTGTTCCTATCTGGCCATCTTGCCAGCTGGAAGTGATTGATTACATTTCTAATAGGTATTCTTGATACGATGTGATGTGAATTTTTCTTTATCTCTGTGATGTTCCTCCAGAAACATGTAACAGTATGACAAATCAAATATATTTTGAAAAACCAATGCTTCATATATATAGAATTTTCCAGTGAAACTCACCTTATAAACTATTGTTAAGGTCTAATATTTCATGAGGGAAAAATGTATTATTGCAAGATAGTCTTACTAATCTTTTATGAAGTAAATAGATATCTTACAAATTAATTTTGGTATAACTGTTAGTGCTTTAGGATGAGTTTTCATCCATCTTCCCACCCATGGAATCACTTGCTAGTGCTAAACAAATAATATTTTATGGATTTTCACATTTCATAAAGGATAGTGATTGCAAAATAATGAGTTTAGTCTTTTGGTCAAAAACCTACTAATTTTAAAATATGAATTTTTAAATGTAAGTTTTTACTTAAAACTTGTCAGACGACCTAATTGTATGAATTAAGCAAGTCACTTTTATTTCAACCTTTTTCAGTGGGTTGAGGCAAAGATCAGGTGATATGTGTGTAAGAGCACTTTGTAAATTTTAAGGCAGCAGAAAATTATAAGTTATTATTATGAAGCAGTCATTTGCTAAACTGTACGCTAGGATTCTCAAAACAATAAATACACTTTCTTAAAAAAAGTCACCTTTTGTTTGTTAGAAGAGAAATTGGTAAAACCTTTAACCTTGTTTTTGTTTTCATCAGATGCTGTCATGCTTGAGAAGTAGTCACGTTAAGAGTATGACAGCATACTTTGGGGGACTAATGATTGTTCAGGGCAAGACTATGGACAAAAGAAATAAAAATTTAAAAGGCAGAGAGAATAAAAGAAGGTATATGGTGAGAAGAATATATACTTTACCTTCAGAGCCACAGAAATAGCTTATTTGTATAGATTTTTGGTTAAGAATATTTTTCAAATCATTTAAATAATTGCTTATTGTAGTTGTAATCATATTAACTTTCCAAAATTTGGAAGAATAATGTGAAAATTAATAAGTTTTAAGCTTGTTCTAAGATACTTACATGAAATGCCATGAATAATGACAACATATAGTAATAGTTTATGCTTGTATTCTAATGAGTTGAATTAGCTATTTTTTCTGGTAACACAGTCTTCTGAGATTGTGACATGATAGTTCAAGTCAGCATGTTATCTGAGTTTCTTATTCTATGGTTTCTTTTCCACTTAATGTATTGACCCAACTCTATGATTGCTGATACATCATTCACTCACTCTCGTTTTTATATGTTAAGATTGATGTTTGTTTCTATATTCAGGATTCAGCTTCTTTTCTGACTTGCTGAGTGTCTTCTTAGGAGTTATGTATTACAAAATATGAATAAATAGAGTCTAACTCTGAGTTTTTCTCAGGAAAGGAAATACTTTTACAGGTTTTGAAATTACAATGATAAATTTTTGTGTACAAGCATGATGTTATCACACCACAGGCAAAACAGAACAAGAGTTGACAAATCAGTAGTTCCTTCAGTTGATTCACAGCTTTTCCACTGAGGTTTGGATTTAAACCAAATTGATCGTTGCATACTTTTCATCAACTCAACTAGGCAAGTTCATAGTAAATAGAAGCAAAGAAATACTGAAGATCAAAGGATTTTTGCATGTCTGCCCTAACCTTGGGCTATGTCACTCTTAATAACAACAGATGGTATTATTCCCTCTGAAGTCCTGTTTGCTGATGCTATAAATGACTAAAAACTGAGGTTTTAGTGAAAGTGCTGACAAAGACTCTACTAGATCATTTCACAAGATGGCATTAACTTTCGTTACTGGTAACTGTAAAGGCAGTGTATTTTAGCTGTGTTATATTTACATTGCATTGCCTATAATTCAATATCCAAAAACATTTTAACCATTCATGGGAAAAAAGAGAAAGTTAACATTGAACAAATTACCAAAGATTATCATACCAGCAAAATGTATAGTCACTGATAACATTTTTTTCTTGTCTACAGTAAAATTTGAAATCTTTAAATTTCAAAGTAAAAGAAAATCAGGAAGAGTGTTAAACTGAGGTTCAGAAAGAAAAACTCAACTGACCTGGCAAAACTTCTCAGCAGCCATTTGCTTAGTCTTGGTAGATTCTGGTTTGAAAGTTAATTAGCATCAAATAAGACAGCTGGTACTGATTCAGCAGAGACTGCATACTCCCTCCTCCTGCATATTCCCGCCTCCTCTTCCCTCTCCCTGCATTGACAGACTTTCCTAAACGCAGCAATTTGCCCCATCCATTGACGGCTTTCGGATGGCACTAATATTACTGAACATCCAATGCCTTAGTCGTAATTATAGTATGTTAGAATTAATAAAGATTTAATGCATGTAATGATATAAACATAGCTACAGATATAGAATATAATAATAAACTGATTACCAGAAATGAATTCTCTATATAATGCTGTACCCCAATATTAGAGAATAAGTTAAAAATGAAGTACTCTTAGAACTCGGATTTTCTTATTCCTGGTTAAGCATTTTTTCAACTGTACCTTACTTCTATTGCAAGGGTAGTTGTAGTCCTAAGTGTGGTGGTGATTGTTAGTATTGTAATGGAAAAAATAGCATTTGGATTTGGCAAACTCTTAATACATATTATCTCATTAATATATCTCTGTGGATTTAATAATAAGCTGCTCTCACTGAAATCCCAATGATGCTGATTAAGAACCTGAAGAAATAAAGAAACTAATAAATACACATTATGTGAGAGATATTATGCACAAAATTTTATAGAAATTTATTTCATTTTCATAATAGTTCTCAATTTAAGTTTTTGTATTAGTATTTTTATGCAAACAGGAAATAAGGTTCAGAGAAGAAAAATAACTTCTCCAAGATGTATAACAAGTAGTGATGAAATTGAATTTGAATCCACCTTATTGTTAACTTTCCATCTGAGCAAGCAAATAATGTGTCCAAGGTTAAGCAGTAGCATTACAATGCAGTTTCAAATGCAAGATATCAGATTCACTATCACTTGCATTTTCCATAACATTGCACTTTAGACTTTTTAACAGAGGTTTCTCAGCATTTTTTTATGAGAAGAAACTATTTTTCAATTTTAAAGCCTTGAAATTCTAAGTAAGGTATACTTCTTGTCAGTATGAATATATGCTGTATCTGAGAAAGGGGAATTTGTCAACATCAATAAGTTTGAACGCCTATCCAATGTAACACTCAGGTCTCCTTTGAAGATTTATATTATTTGATTAATAACTTTATTATATGTATTCTCATGTACATTAGATGATGTACATGTATAGTTTATCTAATCTATCGATCAGTCTTCTATCAAATAACTGTATTTGCTTATCTATTATCAATTTGACTCGATGGGGTTGACATGAGTTAAAAATGTAAATCTAGGCACATTTCTTCTATCTTCACTAAATTAAATGCTGTGAAAACATGTTCATTTATTATCTTCTGTAGCATATGATTCGTTCCAAAGAATTAATGATCCAATTGGCCATGTATAAAATTTTGTAATTTTTCCAAAGAAGAAGGGTGTGCATTGAATTTTCTAAGCATGCAACTCAAACTATATTCTCCTTGGTGGAAAAAATACTAAGTTTTAAGAAAGGAATTGGAGGATATTCTAGGGTCTCAGCCACAGGAGATAAGGGGCTATTGTGTTTTGGTGAAGAAAAGTAAAAATAATAATATTATACTAACAATACAATGAAGAAAATGTTATCAAGAAAAGGAATTTAAGCATGACCATAGAAAATTCTATGAAGGTATTGCTCCAAGGTGCATCTACAGAGAGGTATCAGATAAAGGCAGCCCAAGTTATAAAAAATATATATGGTTTTGGAATTCAAGAGGGATAAAATAAAAAATCCTGCATTGTGATTTGAAAAATCACTTTGACCTAACAGACGTTAAAATAAGTTCACGTGAAAATGTTGAGAACACACTAATGAATAATGACCTCAAGGAGTTAAAAACTTACTGGAAGAGCTGGCCCTAAACATAACACATAATAAATTAGTGAACATGTAAAAAGTGTTTTGAGGCAGGAAAATACAGAAGTCAAGAGTATCACTTGTGTATTAGTCAGTTTTCACAGTGAGAGCTACATGAGATTGGGTAATTTATTAAGAAAAGAGGTTTAATTGAATCACAGTTCCACATGGCTGGGGAGGCCTCAAGAAACTTACAATCATGACCCAAGGCAAAGAGGAAGCAAGACACATCTTACTGTGGCAGAGCAGGAGAGAGAGGGGAGTGGGGAACCACCACACACTTTTAAACCATCAGACCTCGTGAGAACTCACTCACTGTCATGGAAAGAGCATGGAGGAAACCAACCCCATGGTTCAATCACCTCCTACCAGGTCCCTCCCTAACATGTGGGGATTACAATTTGAGATGAGAATTGGGTGGGGACACAGAGCCAAATCATATCAACTTGAAAGATTATTTTAAGGTCATTGCTGATAATAATCCAGTTAACCTTTCTGAGAGATTACAATATGCCAGCTGCTATGCTATGGTAATTTGAAACATTATCTTAACATCACTTGAATAATCCAGTGAAGCAGATTATTAAATTCCCAGATTACAGTTCAAGATTCTTAGAGAGTTGAATTACTTTGTTCAGAGGTATAAGAGATAGAGATAAGACCAGACTCCAGGGCTGTGTAATGTGAGAAATGCTATTTTCCTGACAGAAATTCAACTGCTCTCTTTGCCACACAATTACTGCAAGGTGCCTGTTAATCCATGCTGCCCACACATTGAGCTGTTGATATTTATTAATGTTCAATACAATATAAAGAGTGAATTAGCTGCGGCTGATAAAATGCACATCACTTTAAAATATACCTGAATTTATATTAGATTTATTATTATTATGAATCAAGGATATTAAAAGTAGAGCCATATTAAGAAAGTTCTCCGCTAGTCATATTTTGCTTTTTGTTGTCTAATATACATTTCCCCACTGAACCTTGTTTTTCTTTCTGGCAGTAGCCTCTCAATGACTCTCAGTGTATATGGTTTGGTGAAGCTGACACATTCATGCCTTCTGCCTTGTATGATCCAGACCTAACAAATGAGTATATTTTATCTCTTAGGTCATAGCAATTGTTTGAGGACTATTACTCAATTTGTTCCAATAAGACCCAATTGGAGACTTTAAGAAAAAAGACACTCACTTTTCTCTTTAGTGACTAATCTGCGGGGCATAAATTTAGAGATTTTGGTAAGAGTGGACAGCTGAAGAAAGTCCACCTGAGAACAATTTGATATTTGTGTCGATTTACAGGGAAAAAAAATGACAACAGCAAGACTAAACATAGCATGTCCCATGGAATGTATGTGATACACTTATATTAAACATTCTTTATTGTCTCTCTGAAATTTAAATTTAAGGAGACATTATTTTATCTGACAACCCTAAATGCAAGGAAAGCAGAGATGAGACTTGAGTAAAGAGAGTCCAATGACATCACCTGAATTTATAATCTAATGTCACCAAAAGTCAGCTGACCCTTTAACCTTTAAGTTATATGATACAAAAGATCATTTATGTCACTGGTAACAGAAGAAGCACTACCTAAGAGGATGTTCTAAAAAATAAGAAGAAAAATAATTCGTATGCTTAAAACTGTTTGAACCACTAATATAAATAGAAGACATCAAATCACGTTTTAGTATGTTTGTGAGAATAATGCAAAAGAGAAAATGGACTTACACAACATTTTGGAGTTTGCAAAAGGGCCATTTGAGATCGAATTCTAAAATTATTTCATATTTGGTACATCTAGAATGCAAAGGTCAAGGTTATTTTTCATGAGAAGGGATTAAGCAGCCAAAGGAGAAGAGAATGTATTCCTCTGTAAAGCCAAAAAGAATCCAAACATAAAATGCATTGAGTATTTTATATCAATATCTGAAAAAAGCACAAAGTAGTAATGCCAATAACAAACATTCAGATAGAAAAATAATGTAAGAAAATACATTGGATAGGTAATGATGAAGCCTTTTCCAATTATCCTCCCCTCAGTAATTTCTCTCTCCTATATATTTTTATATCATTTATCATCTATACCATTATTTATCTCCCTTTACTGCTTTTCATGCAATGATGTCTCTCATATTATAAAACACATTTATTCTTTATTATGAGATTATAATTTCTGTAAGAACAGTGTCAAGAGGAAACATCTTGGGTGATGAAAATGCTTATTATCTTGATAGCAGTGATGGTTTCAAGGTTGTATGCATATGCTAAAATTGATTAAATTGTACAGTTTCAATATGTGCAGTTTATTGTACTTTAATTATACCTGAAAATATTTTTTTAAAGCGTGTGGACTTGGTTGAAAGTTACCTGAAGACTCTAATACCAGGCTAAAAATTAGAGAATAGAGGAAAAAGTGAGGACCCAAAGGAGTTAGAGCAAGAGCTCAGCTTTAAAGGAGGCTTTCTTACAAAAGATGATCAATAGTTACAAACATAAGGTGCAATATATTCTGTGCTCCAAAATTAATTGACCCACCTCAGGAACTTGGTGTCAGAAACCTTCAGGCAGTAGTCAGTCTTGTCTGTTTCTAGAGATCTGTTTTGGAGTTGATTCATGGATTGGTATATGGTAAAGATAAAGCACTTGGTTCCAATCCCTGGAGATTCTGGAGATTTAGAGCTAGAGGAAAATGACAAAAACAAGGGACATTGGGAAGTAGCTCCTGAGCTAGGAGAAAAGATCGTAGAGTTTTGAAATCCATAAGAAAAAAAAAAGGTATGTATTTTGTGGAATAGAAAGAGCACTATCAAGAGCTATTGGCAGATCAACTAAAACAAGGACAGAGTTGGTACTATATCCTGATATAAGACAGTGAGTTTCATGATAAGCCCCATCTGCTGGTGAGGATAAGATTGTGTAATGTACTGCCAGGTTTGATTGAGGATGGCTCAGTGGTTGGAAGAAGCTTGCACCTAAAACCTCAAGTTGAAAAGAGGTGAGACAGGAAAAGGCTAAGACACAGAGCAATTTATTACGTTTCTATGCCTGTAAACTCCTGGCATAGTGTTACTGGCAAATCAGGCACTTAATAGATGTATGTCAATAGATTGCCACATCAATAGACTCAAGGAATTTGCATATGATAACAAGGTTAAATATTTCATATGACTCATCTGGAAAAATGAAAGATAAAAGATATGATTAAAGTCTACGAGATTTGAGGGATCTGAATTGAGTGAATGCAAATGTCCTCATTAAATGCTTGATTATTAATATGATGAGGCTCGCTTTAAACTTGAAAGAGACAATTGTGAATAAATAAAGGTAATAACACTAATTTTTTTAAAAAAGGTTAATAAACGTTTGGACCTATAATGGAAGAATGAGCTTGAGTGAAAAATTTAATGTAATTCAATTACATAAACATTTGGGGACAATCCCAAGCTCATTTGGGGTTGACATTATGCAACAAAATTATGTGCTCCTAAAAAATTCTTCGACTTTTTCCCTTAAGAACTCCATGATGAAATTCAGCTCATTTTTATCTTGTTTTTTTATTAAAAAATACTTAACTTGTTGTACATAGTGTTTTACTGAGTTACTTTGAGCATTTTCCTCAGATAGAAATGATTTAATTACATATAAAATAACTTATTGACAATCAATGACATTAAGTAGTATTTCATATTTTTACTTAGTATTTTATTTGATTAAAAGTAATTCCTATATATTTTCCCCTTTGATTGCAGACAATAGTGAATTCAGGTTCCAAAATAGCTACAATAGTGATTTATGTATAAATTATATATAGATAATTTAGCACATAAGCCTGTTTGTTTTTGTGCTATTTAATATAAAACTTACTAATAGTTGAATAGTTATGTCATGTTTCCATAAACAATAACTCTTCATTTTTCATTTTTTATTTTACTTTAAGTTCTGGGATATATGTACAGAACATGCAGGTTTGTTACATAGGTATATATGTGCCATGGTGGTTTGCTGCACCCATCAACCCGTCACATCTAGGTTTTGAGCCCCACAAGCATTAGGCATCTGTCCTAATGCTCTCCCTCCCCTTTCCTCCCACCCCCCGACGGGCCCTGGTGTGTGATGTTCCCCTCCCTGTCTCCATGTGTTCTCACTTAAACAGTAACTCTTGATCAAAAGTATTGGACATCTAAATGGTTTTATCCAAATCTGCTTTACAGGAATCCAAGTACTTTTATTAAAAATATTATTAAAATGCAAAAAAATTCAGTTGGCTTAAAACTCCAATTTTTTTGTGGGACTGTCATTCTGTGCCAATATGTGTGAATGGCTTCTATTCTCTAAAAACTATCTACAAAAATAAATTACTGCAAAGGGGGGTTCACTGTCAGTATTTTAGTTGACCTGACAGGACAGCCAATGTCTTCCGCTTTCTAGTGTCAATGCGCCAGCATCCCCTAGTGGGCATTGTTAGAAATAAAACTTAATTCTACTGATAAGAAAGGTGAAGGAGGTTTATTAATGTATTAGGTTTATTTTGTTGGAATTCATTTGCATAATTAAAATAACTTTGCATTTATGAGTGCATATTGTCAATAAAACATTACTCTGGTTGGGATGGTACCAGCTATCATCTATTGCCCTGAAATATTTGTGTATTTAAAAAGTTTACATACGCAGTATTTTTGGATTTATATGTGTGTGTACAAAGTAATTTAAGCTATTCATCATTTATATTTGTTTGAATATTCATAATTTATATTTGCATGTTTGACAAACATTTTTAATTGAGGTTTGTGCTATGTATAGTTACAATTACAGACAGAAGTTTGACTCAACTGGAATTATTGTGGCATTAAAAATAAGCATTGATTTCTATATGAGACTGATTTTATTCAAATCCTAATTTCCCTGGTGATTAGCCTTGTGACCTAGAGAAATTTTTTTACCCCTTTGAAATCTTATTTTCTTCATTCATAAAACAAGGGTAAAAATGTACATACTGACTCAAAATTTTTAGGGAAGGTTTTCCAGAGTCTGGTAACACGTGTGATTAACAACTCATATGTTTAAAACGCATAAACATGTACAGAATTTTAATATTAAACGTTAAGAACAATGTAAAAAAGCTAAGGAATTCTTTTTTTCTTTTTTCTTTTTGTTTTCTTTCTTTCTTTTTTTTTTTTTTTTGAGACAAAGTTTCACTCTTGTTGCCCAGGCTGGACTGCAATGGCGTGATCTCGGCTCACTGCAACCTCCACCTCCTGGGTTCAAGCAATTATCTTGCCTCAGTTTCCTGAGTAGCTGGGATTACAGGCACCCACCACCACGCCCAGCTAAGGTTTTCGTATTTTAAGTAGAGAGGGGGTTGGCCAGGTTGGTCTTGAACTCCTGACTTCAGTTGATCCACCCTCCTCGGCCTCCTAAGTGCTGAGATTACAGGCAAGAGCCACCGCGCCAGGCCAAAGCTAAGAAATTCTAAGCATAAAAATGCATTATAGATGGTGCTTTGGGCTGAAATAAACACAAAGTAAATAAGTGGATATTTATTTTTATAAGAATAAATTAAATACTTTTTCTGTGTTATTGAAGAATATCTGATATAGGTTAGCTGTTGAGAAGTTTACCATAAGAGCTTATTAATTAATTTATAGGATATACAGGAGCTCTAAAAAAAAGCCAAATCAAATGCTAGAGCTTATTCATGAAATGGTTTTGAAATTGGGCTTATAAAAATGCTTCTTTGTGAAACTGTTTGTAGATATGAAAGAAAACCCTGCTAGAATTCATTCTTAAGGCATTAGATTATCTCTATATGTAGAACTAGTTCTGTATATTTTGTCTGAATTAAGAAGATTTTTAGAATGTTAAAATAAAATGTTATTATGGAAAGTGAGTGAAAATTTGAGATTATCAGGTAAATTTCTTAATAGTAAGGTTTTGAGAGAGATTTATTGAATGCCTGAAAAAGTGGGAACAGAAGAAGAGTGAGGCACAAAACACTCAATGGGTGCAGTTGACAGAAAAAAAGGCTGAAAAGCAAACTTCATCTTTTGCAGTTAGGCCCTATGATATCTGGAAGCTATCTGGAAACATTGTTTTGGTGAGTGCACTTCAGAATTTCTTGGTTTCATGCTTTATAAACAATCTGGTTTATGGTTCACTGAATAAAGCAGATCTTCTTTGACCACAGTGGTCTGTGGTAAAGTAAAGCCTTTAGCCAAATGGATTCCAATATTCATTCCCATTGGCTATGCTCTTAAGTTACCATATGTTACATGGTATATTTGCATATCTATTAATGCTTCTATGTTCTCCTCCCTGCAAGATGAGAACTTCCTTTGAGCATCAGCAATCTTTCCTTTATATGCAACGCAGTAGAGATAACCAGGTCAGATTTTTCCAATAAGTTTGCAATAGTTAGTTATAAGGAAAATTTCCCAAATATTTGTGTCTGTAAGAACCACCTACAGTTATGTGAAAAATACAGATTTTTTTTCTGTATTTTCTGAGCACCGAATCATAAATTTCTTTTAGATGTGTTTGGAAATCTATATTTATAAGATGCAACCAAATTTATTCTTATGGTTTTAAAAACTTCATACATAAATTCATAATCATAATTTGGTTATATTTAAAACAAATGTATAATGAGAATGTGAGCTCAGAGAGTAGAATTTAAACATTAAAAACTACTAGAAGTCATTAAACAAACAGTGAAATTGTAGTGGTGATCTCTTTCCAATAACTTTAATTGTTCATCCTTTAGATTAGGATAATGAAACTGACTTTTTTTTCCCCCAGACTGCTCTTGGTTTTAAATAGAAAATGACCAAAAGAAAACTTAGTAATTCACCTTTCTTTTATCTTCTTATTTTATTTTAGCCTGATATAATATTTCCTGTGGCAAGGAAGAAAACCACTAAGCTATCAATAGCTCTAAATTTCTTAAATTTAGGTCTATAGATATCCAGATTTCATGAAAACAAATGAAAGATTTGAAGTTATTTATTAGCAACTTTTTCTTTTGCTATGTAGCAAATTACCATAAATTTAGCAACTTAAAGTGACAAAATTTTATTATCTCACAGTTGCCTGGGTCAGAATTCCAGCAAATTTTAACTTGGCTCTCTACTTAGGATCTTATAAAGCTGAAAATACGGTGTTGTCCAGATGTGTACTTATCTGGAGTCTTGACTAGAGAAAGATATGCTTCCAAGGTCACTCAGGCTGTTGGCAGAATTCATTTCCTTGCAGTAGTAGACTAAGGTATCCACTGCATTCCTGGCTGTCAACCAGGGACCACTCTCACCTTCTGGAGGCCACTCTTAGATCCCTGCCACGTGCCCCACTCCATCTCAGCAATGGAGAATCTTCTTCACATTAGTTCCTTCTTGCACTTTAAATTTCCAATTCCCATTCTGCTACTAGCCCGAGAAAATTCTGCTTTGAAAGGGCTCATGTGATTAGATCAGTCTCAACCAAATGCTCTCCGTATTGTAAAAAGTCAACCACTTTGGGGCTTTAACTACATCTTCAAAATCCCCTCACAGCAATACCTGGAGTCATATTATTGAATAACCTGGGGATTGGAACATTGGAATGCCATCTTAGAATTCTACCACTGTAGCTCACTCACTGAAGCAGTTTTTTCAACTTGTAAATGTCTTGTAATATATTACAAAGTCTGTCTCTATACTCCTACTGGACTTCCACAATTTGTACAAGTCAAAATGAAGAACATTAGTTCTAAAGAACAGTCAAGAACCATTGTGCAATGTTGGATAAAAACATGTTACTTCTACACAGAGGTTCAGAATCTTTTCTGGTCAAGAATCTCTTTGAGAATCTGACAAAAGGTTGTAACTTATTTTCCACTTCTTGAAATACACACATTTCAGTCATTATTTGAATGTTAAGAGATTCTGATCTAAGTGAAAGAGAACAACAATGAGATTATCCAATGTCTATATATGCCTCTCTGATAAACCTATTAGAAAATAATGTTGGTCAACTAATGTTAACATAAGACTTGATTCACTTATCCAGTGCTAGTATGATGTATATTTTAATCTAGCTCTCTTAGAAACTATTCGTTTGTCAATCAATAAAATAATTTCTATTTTTTTAATTCTAAAATATTTACTTGAAAAATAAAGATTGAATATATTTAGGACGTACAATGTGATGTCTTTATATGCATATAGATTGTGTATTCATTACTGCAGTCAAATTAACACAGCTATCATCAATACCCATGTTGTTCATTAGATTTCCAGAACTGGTTCATGTCAGAATTGAAAGTTTTTACCTTTTAACCATCATCTCCCCATTTCACACACCCTGTCCAAACCCTGGACGCCATTGTTCTATTCTCTGCTTCTATGAGTTCAACATTTTTTAGATACCACAATATGAATGAGAAAATACAGTATTTGTCTTTTTGTGCCTGGCTTATTTCATTTAGCATGATGTCCTCTAGTTCATCCATATAATTGAAAACGACAGGCTTTCCTCATTTTGGCTGAATAATATCCCATTGTATCAATATACCACAATTTCTTTATCCATATATCTGCCAGTGGACATTTAGGTCATTTCTATACCTTGGCTGTTGTAAATAATGCCGCAGTGAACACGGCAATGCAGATATCTCTTCAACATACTGATTTAATTTCCTCTTTGACAAACTGATTGCATTTTCTTTGAATATATACTTACAAGTGGGATTGCTGAATCATATGGTAGTTCTATTTTAGAATTTTCCTAAAATAAAGCAAAACAAAACACAATGAAACAAATACTGAACTATGTTAGCACGTGGGATAGACTTCTGATGCTGCACCCAGCTAAATTTAGACTCAAAATTTTTTAAAGGAAGGAAGCAAAAGACTGAATTTAGCCTGACCAGTTGTTGAAAGAAATGAATTAAATCCTCTGTTGTTTGCAAACCAGATTATGTGTCCATTCTGAGAAACTCATCCTGCTCTGTTTCTACTTTGCCACGTAACATGTAGCTAAATATGTCACACCCTCGTGACCAAAGGAATTATGATGCCTTGGAAAATACCTGAACTAGTCCTAAAAGACAGCTTAATCATCTGACAAAATAACAGTATCTGCTTCGCTGTTTGTAAAACTCGGGCTCTAAGTACTGTATTTTTCTTATTATTACTGAATAAAATAGCACATGAATGAAAAAACAGGGAAATGTACTGGAGAAATGTATTAGGTATCCTCAGTGGATACCCAGTGCCTGCTGCCTCAAAGGTCTGTGAAGGAAGATTTGATTTCTTTCTCCTGAGACACAAAATTGCAGGTCCAGGATGTGTGTTACTGTGTAACAGTGATTATCTTACTTCATGGCTCTGTGGCAAATGCATGCCTGGTTTGTGGAAAGATGAAAATTAAATACAGACATCAGAAGATTGAGAGTGAAAGGGATTTGTTAGGTGTTTTCACTAAAATGCTAAAGAACTTCCATTAGGCTACATGTTTTAATAATTAAAACATTGCTTTAAATTGGCTTCAAAACGTAAGAATATCCAGAGAAACTAGAAAGGGTATTAGGAACTAATTACATTAAAGTATTGAAGATCAATTTCTCATGGTTTGGTAGCTTCATATTATTATTTCTTTAAAAACGATCAAGGCAAATATTATAGAAACATATCAAAAGATGCTTTTCTAGGGCTCTATATTAATAGTCAGTACTAAGAAATTTTTTTAATAGAATTTATTGAGTTAGCTCACCTTGGTTTTAGGAAAACACATGGCACCTTTTAGGAAGTTTGCGGAAGGAAACTTCTTGTTTTTCTTCCTGACCAGAAAAAAAAAAAAAAAGCCAAAATGACATTTACTTATTAAAAATGATCAGTTTGGAAGTGTGAAGGACTGGATTTCAAAACAGTACTTTCCAATCTGGATGAAAGATAATATTCATATATGATCAATACAATCTATTCAAATCCAATCAGCATGATTTTTATATTTTCCCTTTTTCTTCTTCTAGAAAAATCACATTAATATTTTGATTAAATCAACCACATAGAAACCCCGAGCTTCAAAATGAAGTGAATTTCCACCAATTTCTTTGTGCAGCTAGGAAATTTTGGAGGTTCCTCTTGTTTTCCCACACTAGAGGGAGAGGGCATGAGTGAGACTAGGCTGATCTCCACGCAGAGTGACATGTTATTCATATTGTGACATCATTTCATGTGCTTTTCAGTGTAATTGGATTTCTTCCATCTTCTAGAATCTACAGTTTAGATCTTGACTCTTATTTCAGGGATTGATTCTAGTTTGTCACATATAAGATCAAGGTTGAAGAATATTTTCTTTAGCGAACCGTATCTGTGGCAACCATGCAAATGTTCCTTTCGAGCTTCCAACTGACGGGACTGTAATGGAACAACGGCTCTAGCTGCTTCCTGCTGCATGGAAAAAAAATCCATTGCCACACTGACCAAAACCTATATTTCCCATAGGCTTCTCCATGCAATGGACTGAGCAGGATGGGGATACCAAGACAGGTTTGCTTCTGGAAGCAAACAGGACTCCCGAGCTGGTTGACTTTGGTTCAAGAACCCTTTGATGACTTTGCCAAACTGCCTTACTTTGCAAGCTGTTCAGAATATTTACAACATCTCCCCTTTTCTATCTTCTTCAGTTGGGTGTAAGACTCATACTGTGGATCAACAGCTCTCCTATTATTCCATGACTCTTTTTCTATCTTCTTCCTCAGGGGTTTTCCCCTAACAAAACCACTGCGTGTTTAATCTAGCCTTGGAGTCTGCTTCTCAAAGAACCTGAACTATCACAGTTTTTTATGTGAAGTTATATAATTATACTATTTATAAGGCAGAGAGAAAGAAAAGGAATATTTTTAAATTTTTATAGAATT
The DNA here is from genome assembly GCF_000001405.40 of Homo sapiens. Classification (NCBI taxonomy): domain Eukaryota; kingdom Metazoa; phylum Chordata; class Mammalia; order Primates; family Hominidae; genus Homo; species Homo sapiens. The sequence continues at coordinate 86,063,700 of NC_000014.9, forward strand.
ATGGAGTATTTCAGAATTACGTATCTGTACAAACAAAAATGAGTCTAATAATAAAGTAAGATTGAAAAAATTTGGGTTCATCTTAACATTCCAGGACCCTATTATGGTGGTAACAGATTTAAAACTATAAGAATGTTTCTTTTCCTACTTACTGGATTTTATTAAGTCACATCTTTTCAGCTATGTAAACAAAGTTTGTGATATCTTTACAAAATAATTGAATTTATGGTTTATATCTGAATTCACGGCATGGCATGGATGAGTCAAGCTCTAGTATATCTTCAGTTTATTCCAACTGTGTTATTTGATGTGAGTTTCCTTTTTGCTTACCTCCAGCTCAGAAATCAACCTTAACCAAACTAAAGGTAAAACAACCTGCTAACATCAAACATGAGAGCATCCCCATCTAATAGGCTCTATTGACACCACCTTCCTCTGCCTATAGAAAACAAGCTCAATATTGCATTCTCAGAGTTATGTGGAAAATATATTCTTCCTTGCTCAATATTATGGACAATGGTGAGCAAGAAAAGAAGTTTTTAAACATTTTAAAAGTAGAAATCCATTTACATATACAGTTTTATGATTATAACTCTCAACGGTTATTTCAACATCTTGACTTAAAGTTTTAGGAAACTCTTAAACTGAATGTAAAGATAATTTATCTTCTATATATTTTTAATGAACAGTTCGGTACTTTAAGTTAAATATTTGAATATGCGTACACAGACACAAACGTATATTTTTTGTACATAATACTTTGTGTATGATTTTTAGTTATGATTTGTTTAAATTACACAAATTTTAGATACACATAATTAAATTTGAAACAAATTTTAGTGGAAACACAAAGTGTGTAAGTTGGTACTAGTATATTATAGTTTTAAAAAATCACTGTTGTTTATGTATATACACACACACATTTATATGTATAAAATATTTGTTATCCTTGATCACTTACTTTGTCTTAAAGAAATGTGCTGTACACAGACATGGAATCAACCTAAATGTCCACCAATGATAAACTGGATAAAGAAAATGTGGTACATACATACCATGGAATACTATGCAGCCATGAAAAAGAATGAGATCATGTCCTTTTCAGGAATGTGGATGGGTCAGGAGGCCATTTTCCTTGGAAAACTAACACAGGAACAGAAAACCAAATACACACTCTCAGTTATAAGTGGGAGCTAAATGATGAGAATGCATGGACACATAGAGGGGAACAACACACACTGGGGCCTTTCAGAGGGTGAAGGGTGGGAGGAGGGAGAGGATAAGGAAAAACAACCAATGGGAAATAGACTTAAAACCTGGATGATGAAACAATCTGTACAACAAACCCCCATGACACAAGTTTACTTATGCAACAAACCTGCACTTACAGCCCTGAACTTAAAAGTTAAAAAAAAAGTGCTGTAAATTAAGAGTGTACTTCCAAGGAGGACAAAATTTGCTGAAAAATCAATTAAAATGGGAAATGGGATGAGGTATAGTAATTCAAACAGAGGTTTTGTCTATATTTTGCCAAATAAATTTTTTCTTTAGCGTAAATTGACATAGAATATTTATTGTATGCATGTACCAAGCCAAAGTTTGATAGACCTGTAGCTCACTAAATTAATGTGTTTTCATGGTGTTGTGGAAACAGTTTGACTCTATTTTAGTGCTTTGCCAAACGATATTATCTCTTTTAGGCTAGCTCTCTTCAGTGTCAGTTAGCGGTTAGAAGTACAGACCTTAGAGTGTAACCTTGATTTCCCCATGTGCATATTTATTTAATTAGGCCAATTTTCTTACATATTTAATCTTTATTTAAATATACAGTATTACAGAGTGTTACATCTACAGTTTGTCACGTGTATGTACATGTGTATGATCTTTATTTGCAAAAGTAGTGCCACTGACAGTGGTTTTGATTAACTTGTGGATGTGGTTGAGAAAATGTACGCATCATTAACAGTGCTTTCCACATTGAACATATTACATTTGTGGTTGCAGGAGCTGTTTGCAAAACCTGTTGTGATTTGCTCTTGTCTTTTTCTGTTTGGTGTGAAATCTTTATCCAGAAAAAACTAATCTAGATTGTGGCAAAACCTACCTCTAATAGGGGATTCTGCTCTGTTAGAATGTAGGACATGTCACTGCAGTGATGCAGAGAGAAGGCTGGTAGTTTTTTTTTCCATCATTATTGATCTTTTTAATTTTTAATTTTTATGGTTACATAGTAGGTGTATTATTCATGGGGTATGTGAGATATTTTGATACAGGCATATAATGCATAATAATCACATCACGGCAAATGAGGTATCCATCACCTCATGCATTTATCCTTTGTGTTACAAACAATCCAATTATATGATTTTAGTTATTTTAACATGTACAATTAAATTATTATTGACTATAGTCATTCCGTTGTGTTGTCAAATAGTAAATCTCATTCATTCTTTCTAACTACTGTTTTTGTACCCATCATTATTATTGATGATAGTCTATCATTACTGCAGTTTAGCAGTAGAATTTATTGAATGAATTGTTAAATTGTACAAAATAGTTTTACCAAATATAGCATGGTCTATCTGATCATACCATGCTAAAGTACAGCATAGTCAGATAGAAATTAACATAGTATGGAATGGGAAAAATATCAAAATGCTGTCACTTTTTGTGGAAATAACATATGAATACAACTTATAATTTTTAAGTTATTAAACTATGTATTCAGGGTGTACACAAGAAAAGTAAAATGCAATGTTAGTGTTGTGTTACATGAATTATATTTTTGGGTTTTCCAAACTTCTTAGTTTATAGTGAAAGCATTATTCAGACATTGAAGCCACCGCTATTTATTGGTGCTTTCTGTTAATAACTCTATGACACTTCCACCTTCTAAGTCCTCACAAAGGCACTGGGAAGATTCACATTCATAACAAGTATGGAACCCAGAGTGGGGGGTTGTAGCTATGAAATTTACCTCTTAAACCCATAGCATATCTTTGGCAATGAAAATAAGTTACATTAAAATTTCCCCCAAGCCCTCCTCACCTTTGAGAATAATAATGTTCTTAATTCTACTAAAACATTTGAAAAGCTAGGACGAGTCCAAGAATCTGCCAAGAAGGGAAAACTACCAGGTGTTTAAATGGCGAGCATCCATGGGATACAGTTGAATGAATAAAGATGAATAGGGATGAAACATTTAGTTTGAAATAAATTTAAGTGAAAATTAATCCAGGCTATGACTGAAATATAATTTAATCTGTTCATTTTACTCTAGTTAACCCCTACATATAAAAATAAGCACTGAGAAAACAGGAACTTGGTATAATATATATTGTAAAAACATATGGTCAGTATCCAACAAGAGTGTCAACCTCAAAACCAAGAAAACATACTGCTCCCACTAGACAAAAATTAAAATTGGGAAGCCTGTTAAGTGCACAGCCAGAAAAAAATATGATGTATATTATAGGAAATGGGAAAGATAAACCAAACAGGAAAAGATAAAATATAAAGTTGCCAACTTTGTAAGAAATTTCATCAAGATGGGTCCTTATCTTTCACAGATAGATAATCATACCTATGATGGAAACTGTAAGCAAAGGATTGAGCCAGAACAAAATACTTTTCAGTTTCTGTTTATTCGTTATTTTTCTTTTATAGGAAACAAAATATCAATAGAAGCATAACTGGAGGTTTTTGGGATTAAGCCCTCGGCCAGTCATGTCTGCAGAGAACATATTTTCCTTGTTTCTAGTGGCAAATTATTTAGACGTTATCTTGGATTTTCTGAAACTTATAATTTCAAATATTTTCTTTATTTTAGACCACGTATCAAGGATTGAGTTTTGGTACATAAATAGTTTAGCATTTGCTTTTCTCTGAAAGATAGTGTATTAGTGTTCCCTAGAGAACAACACCAGTAGGGTGTGTGTGTGTGTGTGTGAATATGTGTGTGTGTGCATATGTTTGTGTGTATGTATAGAGAGAAGGAAAAAAATAAGTTAATTTATTTTAAAAAATTTAAAGGAATTCCAGTAAGTAATGCATATAACATACAAAATATGTGTTAATTGACTGTTTATGTTATCAGTAAGGCTGCCAGTCAACAGTGGGTTATTAGTAGTTAAGTTTTGGGGGAGTCAAGATTTATACACAGGTTTTTAATTGCTTACGGAGTTAGTGCCCCTCACTCCAATGTTGCTGAAGGTTAACGGTACTAAATTTAAAAAACAGTTATTCTTAAGTAGATCACATACACACATGTAAAATTACAACATGTGTTCTGTGTTCAAACATGTAAAGACATAACGCCGCATATTGTGCTTGATTTTAAATAATTAAAATTCTGCAGAAGTATAGTTTGATAATCGTAATAGATATTCCTAGGAAAGTATAAAGCCCAATTATTTTATATTTAGGTTGTTTCCAATATTGTTTTAGTTGTAAACATATGTGAACTAAATATGTCTAGCATTGGCATAATCATATTACCAGTTCACCTCTTTAATATCCAAGATGTTATGTTTGCTCATGCTCATCAGCTTCTTAATCTTATCATAGGTAAGGATGCTAAACACATTTCTACTGATTTCAAATTATTTAAAATATGTGAATAATTCTGTATATTTTTGTATTTAAGTGGAAAAATAGAAATTAATTCCATATATTTAATCATGATTTTTAGTATAATATTTTATGACCACATATCATAAAATCATTCCTATAAATGGTCAGAATTGTTAACATATGTTTAAAAGACTACTGGAATGAAAAGGATGTATTTTGGATATGAGAATGACATAGGACATGAATTTTGGAGTCCAGGATGAAATGCTATGGACTGAATTGTGTCTCTCCAAAATGCATATATTGAGATCTATCTTAGACAGCTCAGGCTGCTATAGCAAAATATCATAGATTAGCTGGCTTATAAGCAACAGAAATTTATTTATGATAGTTCTGGAGGCTGGGAAATACAATATCAAGGTGCCAGCAGATTCAATGTCTGGTGAGGGCCCATTTTGTTTTCCATAAATGATTGTCTTTCCCCTGTGTCCTCACATGGCAGAAGGAGTGAGGGACTTTTCGGGAATCCCTTTCGTAAGAGTACTAATCCCATTCATGAATGTTCTGTCTTCCAGATCTCATCATTTCTCAAAGAACCCACCTCCAAATACCGTCACATTGGTAATTAGGTTTCTACATATGACTTTTGAGAGGACATAAACCTGCAGTCTGTAACCACCCCTAACCCCCAATGTCATGGTATTTGAAGATGGGGTCTTTGGGAGACTATTAGATTTAAATGAGGTCATGAGAGTAGAGATTAATGTCCTCAATCTCCAACGATGGGATTGGTGGCCTTCATAAAAAAGGTGACAGAGTGCTTGCTGTCTCTTTCTCTCTTTGCCATGTGAGAACATAGCAAGAAGGCATTTCTGGCAAGAAACCAACAATGCTGGCACCGGATTTCTAGCTTCTAACCTGCCACCCAGTCCATGGAGTCTTGAGCAGACTAAGAAAGATACAGTAACAGAGAAGTAAGATTAAAATAAATATTCAAAAAAGCCAATGTTAAAGAAAAAATGAAATCCTTCAGTTAAATATCAAACCTGGTTATTGAAACTAAATGCTATGCAAAGTCACTGAGCTACTTGTGAAATATCAATATTGCATTATCAGCTGATTGAAGTGTCATATTTGCCCCAGTTTTGTCACTTGGATTCCATGTTCATAGTGTACATAGCATATATGGCCAGAAATTTTCAAAGTGCCTGAATATGTGTTGCCAGTTGTAAATACAACTATGTATTTGTCATCAGTTGATGAATCTCGTCTTATATCTTACTCAAATAGGGTAAATTTAAGATATCTTTAAATTTATTATAATGTCATTAAAATTAAAGAGCACCTTATAGTTTTATGCTTTACACATTTCATAATTTACTTAACAAAATAATTTATGTAAATAAACCACTAGATTAAAAAAAAAGTAATTCTAGTGGTTACACATTGGTCCCCAACCTTTAAATTTTCAGGTAAATTCTGTTATCATTCATGGTGGATGTGGTTCTGTCTTAGGCACTAGATATAGTTTCTTAGCCTTATCTTCAACAGCTGTGAAAGAAATCTTCTAGCCCTCTCTGATTTTAATTTAGATGTGGAATAGTCTATCCTGAAGCTTCTTCATCTATAGAGCCCTCTCCACTTAAACTTTAAGGAGCATGACTTGAGATTAGGAAAAAATGTTCTACAAGTTCCTTAATTGTTCTACCGAATCTCACAAGAAGCAGACAGAAGATTTCAGTTGGGTTTAAAAGATTGATAAGCAGATTTCAAAATGGCTCCAGGGCAGATCTTCAAACCATAAATAATACTCTCACTGAGAAATCATGCTTCTAAATATTTTAACTATCTGGAGAGAGTGCTCCTTTCTCAGAAAAGTATATGATGACCTTTCCTTTAAAATAAACTAAATTTATGTATACGTTAATAGTAAATAATTGGTATTCTCAATTTCATACATAATTGGTTTATTTTTCTGTCTTTGACTATTGACTAAGAAAGCACAGGCATCCATCTTAAAACGCCACAGGTAAGACGTCTTCAGAGGCCACCCCTCTAGACTGTGTCATGGAGGTATTGTCTGTGTGCACCCTCATAGAGGTGATGGAAGAAGGTGCATATAATTTTCCCAGAAAAGGATATTGCAGTGAATTATATTTTGCTAGATAAGTAGATGACTAGAGATAAATAGAGATAGCTAAGATAGAGGAAGAGATAGTCAGTGAATGGACTCAGATAAAGAATGCCTTAATTGTGTACTGGCTCTGCTACTCCTAACTGAACTTGAGCGCATCGGTTACTCTCTTTTTATGAAAATAGGATTGTAAAACCTATGAGATGATGGATGACAAAGTAATCTAATATTAGTGACTCAAATGGCACATCCTTGTTTAAATAATCCTAATGCAGTCTGACACATCCTTTAAAACACATGGGGAAAAAGGAGATAATGAAACTCCCGGTTGGAATAATGTGTGTTTGTCTATTCATCTAATTCTTCTTCCTTGAGAAAGAACTGTATTTGACCCAGCATTTTGAAAAGTTGTACCAATATTTGTATACAGCTTTCATATTTTTTTTTTCTCTAATAGGTGCTTTTTTTTCTGAAGCTTTGGTAGTGTAACTGTAAGAGTCCTGGAATTGGAAAAGCAAATCCAGAAGTTGAGTTCCATGACTTTTTTGCTGTTTGCCTTTGGGTAAGTCTACGATATCCAGTTTCTGCATCTCTCAATTTTGTTATAAAGACTAAATAAGGTAGTATACATGTACACATGTACAGCTAGACTGTAAATCACTATTCAAGTATGTGTTGTTTTCATCATGTTTCTATAGAAAAGAGGAAACTTTTCTATTATGTAATACGTTTTTAATTTACAAACTATAAACTTGATTACAATTTGTACTTGCCTTTGGCCATGCTGTGTTTTTTCTAATCGACGAGTGACTGTCATGCAAGAGGTTGGGGGGAAAAGAAAACCCGCATTCTTCACATAGCCCTTGCATTTAAGAGGTTAAAAAATTGTTTTAGGTCACAGACACCTCTGGTTTTCACAGTTTATCATGGTTTCATTTGAGCTTGGTGCCATGAAAGGTGTGATTGGTCTTAATATAGAGTTTTATTTCTAATTATTATTATTATTATTATTATTATTATTATTATTATTATTATTTTGAGACAGTCTCGCTCTGTCGCCCAGGCTGGACACTCTGCTCACTGCAAGCTCCGCCTTCCGGGTTCACGCCATTCTCCTGCCTCAGCCTCCTGAGTAGCTGGGACTACAGGCACCCGCCACCATGCCCGGCTAAGTTTTCGTATTTTTAGTAGAGACGGGGTGTCACCGTGTTAGCCAGGATGGTCTTGATTTCCTGAGCTCGTGATCCGCCTGCCTCAGTCTCCCAAAGTGCTGGGATTACAGGCGTGAGCCACCGCGCCCGGCCAGTTTTACTTCTTAAAGAAAACATCCAAGACAGAAAGATGTGCTTTGTTGTTGTAGTAGTAGAAGGAAGGAAGGAAGGAAGGAAGGAAGGAAGGAAGGAAGGAAGAAAGGGAGAGAGAGAAAGAGAGAAAGAGAGACAGAGAGGAAGGAAAGGAAGGAAGGAAGGAAGGAAGAAAGCAAGGAAGAAAGGAAGAAAGAAAGAGAAAGAAAGGGGGGGAGAGAGAGAGGAGGAAAAGGTAAAAAACATATATTAAATGTTGACACTGGCACCAATATTGAGAAAAGTATCTTCTAAAATCGGAGGTAAACACTACTACATTTTACTGTGCTTAAACATTGTTTTAATGTCCACCAAATGTAGGCACAGAAAAAAACCAACGTACACACATTTTACAGACTCTGACTAAAGGGGAAAACAATTCTAAAGCAGATGTTTCTTTTCTCCCTTTTGAACAAATATTTTATTGAAATTCTTCACACCAGACTTTATTAATTAATCTGAAAAAGAGAGTGAGGGTTGATGCTGATTCTAATCACAGGAAACAGATAACAAACTGTGGTCCATTTTTCCTGTCTCTGTCTGACATCAGCATCTGGTTCCTTGGCAGGCTCTGTCAACCTTTGCGTTGACATCCTAGGAGCTGCCTCAGCTCTGTCAGTTTCCTGGATGTCGCCGTTGGGCTGAGGCTCACCACAATCATTTTATTTTGTTGTTACTCGCACTGGGTCTTAATGAAATTCTTCCTTCTGCTTCTGCAATCATAGAAACATTATATGCAAAGTCAACTTAGTGATGTTTTTCTTTAATCCTGAGATGTCCATTTAAGTGCTTTATTTTTTAAGGTTGAATTTTAACTTAGATATGCTTTGAATTAGCCTAGAAGGATGGCTAAATGCAGGAGAGTCAAATAACTCCAAAGCAAAGCAAGAAGTTATTTACAGGGCCGTTGGAGTGCATAATGGGCCCACTGATGTGAAACCAAACCAAGGAAGGCTAGAATGAAAGGAAATGCTCCTAAATTTAGTCTCATTACTGGATTGCTTTGCTGAGGAAGGGGAGGACAAACCCAAGGTGGTGTCTAACACAATTGATCAAGAATTTAAAAACCTAGTACAGAGGGGAAATAGGAACAATCAAGGGATTACTCTTCTCACTTTCAAAAGTTTAAAGTTGCAATTAAATTTAATATAGTCATGGAATCTTGGAATGGTTTCAAGTGAAACACTATGTGTTGCAAATTAGACTATAAGACATTAGTAGCAATCATGTTAAAAATGTTGTCTTTATTATATATTTTGTATCATATATTTAATTTACATAATTTACTTAATGATCACAGCCATGCTACTGCTTCCTGGCAAGGAAAAATGGTATGAACCAAAGGGTATTTAAGTTATTAAAAATTTCAGTATTTTCACTTCAAAGCAGAGTTTTGGTCCTGGCTTCAAAATGTGGAAATGTTCTTTAAAATAGATTTATTTTTGTCTTTTTATAGTAAAATACATATATTTTGCATTATAAAATATTCAAACTATATTGAAAGTCATAAATATGGAATCTTCTCCATTTTCTTTTCCTTATACAATCTCCTCCCAAGAGATATCCACTGATCAACATTCTTCCTATGCATTTACATGTGTACAATTTACACAAAAAATTTATTTTTTAGACATAAATAGGATCATAATATGTGTGTTAGGACACTCGGTTTGATATACAACAAAAATGTTCTGGAGACGTTTTAATGTCAATTCATACTTTTTTTAATACCTGCATCATATTCCATATTGTGACTATTCTATGGATACATAACATACAGTTCCCCTTTTGAAGGACAATTGGGTCATTTCCAATATTTCAGAATGATGAGACAATATCACAATAAACCTTCTTATATATTCATAGGATTGTGCACATGTGTAAATATTTATTAAGAATAGAATTGTTGAAATGGAGCTTCTGGATTTAAAGATAGAACCATTTAAATTATTGGTGTATATTACCAAATAGGCTCAGTGAAATGTTTACTAATGTATTCTCCATCAATATTAGAGGTTCTGTTTCCCCACATCATTTTCCAACTCTTCCAATTGTTTATCTCTGTAATGAGATACCTCATTGTGTTTTTAGTGTATATTTCCCTGATTATGAATAAAGGTGAACTACTTTCATTTTTTTCACTTGTATTTATTCTACTGTGAATTGACTAATTAAATCTTAGACTCATTTTCCATTTAGTACATTTCATTTTCCAAGTTATATATGAGAATACTATGTATTCTGGATAATAAATCTTTGTTTATTAAATATGGTACCAATTTTGGCTTCAAGCCATAATTTGTATCTTAATTTTTTGATAGTTGACTTTATCATAATGAAGTTTTAAATTTTGACATAGTCAAATCTGTTGATATATAGCTTTTGGTTTGGGCTCTTTTTAGGTAGAGTTTTCATAATTCAAAGCTACTCAGAATTTTATTTGATATTTGTCTTTAACAGTGGTTTGTTTAGTTGTCTGTTCTTTAAACCATTAGTGTGTATCGCAGTGTGTAACATGGAGTAGTGTTCTAACTCAATTTTTTATTCTTCACTTATGGCAGTAATTTTCCACCAATTGTTGACTAAGAAATAATTTCTTAAATTATTTAAAATGCCCCCTTTATCTTAAATTTAAATCTCTTTAAACAAGTTGTTTTATTTCATTCTATTTCCTTTGTTGATTTGTTTTACTGCAACCCAAAATGATAAATACTGCAGTTTTATTTATTTTTTTGTTATTGTTTTTGTTTTATTATTATACTTTAAGTTTTAGGGTACATGTGCACATTGTGCAGGTTAGTTACATATGTATACATGTGCCATGCTGGTGCGCTGCACCCACTAACTCGTCATCTAGCATTAGGTATATCTCGCAATGCTATCCCTCCTCCCTCCCCCCACCCCACAACAGTCCCCAGAGTGTGATGTTCCCCTTCCTGTGTCCATGTGATCTCATTGTTCAATTCCCCCCTATGAGTGAGAATATGCGGTGTTTGGTTTTTTGTCCTTGCGATAGTTTACTGAGAATGATGATTTCCAATTTCATCCATGTCCCTACAAAGGACATGAGCTCATCATTTTTTATGGCTGCATAGTATTCCATGGTGTATATGTGCCACATTTTCTTAATCCAGTCTATCATTGTTGGACATTTGGGTTGGTTCCAAGTCTTTGCTATTGTGAATAATGCTGCAATAAACATACGTGTGCATGTGTCTTTATAGCAGCATGATTTATAGTCCTTTGGGTATATACCCAGTAATGGGATGGCTGGGTCAAATGGTATTTCTAGTTCTAGAACCCTGAGGAATCGACACACTGACTTCCACAATGGTTGAACTAGTTTACAGTCCCACCAACCGTGTAAAAGTGTTCCTATTTCTCCACATCCTCTCCAGCACCTGTTGTTTCCTGACTTTTTAATGATTGCCATTCTAACTGGTGTGAGATGGTATCTCATTGTGGTTTTGATTTTCATTTCTCTGATGGCCAGTGATGGTGAGCATTTTTTCATGTGTTTTTTGGCTGCATAAATGTCTTCTTTTGAGAAGTGTCTGTTCATGTCCTTTGCCCACTTTTTAATGGGGTTGTTTGTTTTTTTCTTGTAAATGTGTTTGAGTTCATTGTAGATTCTGGATATTAGCCCTTTGTCAGATGAGTAGGTTGCGAAAATTTTCTCCCATTTTGTAGGTTGCCTGTTCACTCTGATGGTAGTTTCTTTTGCTGTGCAGAAGCTCTTTAGTTTAATGAGATCCCATTTGTCAATTTTGGCTTTTGTTGCCATTGCTTTTGGTGTTTTAGACATGAAGTCCTTGCCCATGCCTATGTCCTGAATGGTAATGCCTAGGTTTTCTTCTAGGGTTTTTATGGTTTTAGGTCTAAGGTTTAAGTCTTTAATCCATCTTGAATTGATTTTTGTATAAGGTGTAAGGAAGGGATCCAGTTTCAGCTTTCTACATATGGCTAGCCAGTTTTCCCAGCACCATTTATTAAATAGGGAATCCTTTCCCCATTGCTTGTTTTTGTCAGGTTTGTCAAAGATCAGACAGTTGTAGATATGCGGTGTTATTTCTGAGAGCTCTGTTCTGTTCCATTGATCTATATCTCTGTTTTGGTACCAGTACCATGCTGTTTTGGTTACTGTAGCATTGTAGTATAGTTTGAAGTCAGGTAGTGTGATGCCTCTAGCTTTGTTCTTTTGGCTTAGGAGTGACTTGGCGATGTGGGCTCTTTTTTGGTTCCATATGAATTTTAAAGTAGTTTTTTCCAATTCTGTGAAGAAAGTGATTGGTAGCTTGATGGGGATGGCATTGAATCTGTAAATTACCTTGGGCAATATGGTCATTTTCACGATATTGATTCTTCCTACCCATGAGCATGGAATGTTCTTCCATTTCTTTGTATCCTCTTTCATTTCCTTGAGCAGTGGTTTGTAGTTCTCCTTGAAGAGGTCCTTCACATCCCTTGTAAGTTGGATTCCTAGGTATTTTATTCTCTTTGAAGCAATTGTGAATGGGAGTTCACTCATGATTTGGCTCTCTGTTTGTCTGTTGTTGGTGTATAAGAATGCTTGTGATGTTTGTACATTGATTTTGTATCCTGAGACTTTGCTGAAGTTGCTTATCAGCTTAAGGAGATTTTGGGCTGAGACAATGGGGTTTTCTAGATATACAATCGTGTCGTCTGCAAACAGGGACAATTTGACTTCCTCTTTTCCTAATTGAATACCCTTTATTTCCTTCTCCTGGCTGATTGCCCTGGCCAGAACTTCCAACACTATGTTGAATAGGAGTGGTGAGAGAGGGCATCCCTGTCTTGTGCCGGTTTTCAAAGGGAATGCTTCCAGTTTTTGCCCATTCAGTATGATATTGGCTGTGGGTTTGTCATAGATAGCTCTTATTATTTTGAAATACATCCCATCAATACCTAATTTATTGAGAGTTTTTAGCATGAAGGGTTGTTGAATTTTGTCAAAGGCTTTTTCTGCATCTATTGAAAAAATCATGTGGTTTTTGTCTTTGGTTCTGTTTATATGCTGGATTACATTTATTGATTTGCATATATTGAACCAGCCTTGCATCCAAGGGATGGAGCCCACTGGATCATGGTGGATAAGCTTTTTGATGTGCTGCTGGATTCAGTTTGCCAGTATTTTATTGAGGATTTTTGCATCAGTGTTCATCAAGGATATTGGTCTAAAATTCTCTTTTTTGGTTGTGTCTCTGCCTGGCTTTGGTATCAGAATGATGCTGGCTTCATAAAATGAGTTAGGGGGGATTCCCTCTTTTTCTGTTGATTGGAATAGTTTCAGAAGGAATGGTACCAGTTCCTCCTTGTACCTCTGGTAGAATTCGGCTGTGAATCCATCTTGTCCTGGACTCTTTTTGGTTGGTAAGCCATTGATTATTGCCACAATTTCAGCTCCTGTTATTGGTCTATTCAGAGATTCAACTTCTTCCTGGTTTAGTCTTGGGAGGGTGTATGTGTCGAGGAATTTATCCATTTCTTCTAGATTTTCTAGTTTATTTGCGTAGAGGTGTTTGTAGTATTCTCTGATGGTAGTTTGTCTTTCTGTGGGATTGGTGGTGATATCCCCTTTATCATTTTTTAATTGCGTCTATTTGATTCTTCTCTCTTTTTTTCTTTATTAGTCTTGCTAGCAGTCTATCTATTTTGTTGATCCTTTCAAAAAGTCAGCTCCTGGATTCATTAATTTTTTGAAGGGTTTTTTGTGTCTCTATTTCCTTCAGTTCTGCTCTGATTTTAGTTATTTCTTGCCTTCTGCTAGCTTTTGAATGTGTTTGCTCTTGCTTTTCTAGTTCTTTTAATTGTGATGTTATGGTGTCAATTTTGGATCTTTCCTGCTTTCTCTTGTGGGCATTTAGTGCTATAAATTTCCCTCTACACACTGCTTTGAATGCATCCCAGAGATTCTGGTATGCTGTGTCTTTGTTCTCATAGGTTTCAAAGAACATCTTTATTTCTGCCTTCATTTTGTTATGTACCCAGTAGTCATTCAGGAGCAGGTTGTTCAGTTTCCTTGCAGTTGAGCAGTTTTGAGTGAGTTTCTTAATCCTGAGTTCTAGTTTGATTGCACTGTGGTCTGAGAGATAGTTTGTTATAATTTTTGTTCTTTTACATTTGCTGAGGAGAGCTTTACTTCCAAGTATGTGGTCAGTTTTGGAATAGGTGTGGTGTGGTGCTGAAAAAAATGTATATTCTCTTGATTTGGGGTGGAGAGTTCTGTAGATGTCTATTAGGTCCACTTGGTGCAGAGCTGAGTTCAATTCCTGAGTATCCTTGTTGACTTTCTGTCTCGTTGATCTGTCTAATGTTGACATTGGGGTGTTAAAGTCTCCCATTATTAATGTATGGGCGTCTAAGTCTCTTTGTAGGTCACTCAGGACTTGCTTTATCAATCTGGGTGCTCCTGTATTGTGTGCATATATATTTAGGATAGTTAGCTCTTCTTGTTGAATTGATCCCTTTACCATTATGTAATGGCCTTCTTTGTCTCTTTTGATCTTTGTTGGTTTAAAGTCTGTTTTATCAGAGACTAGGATTGCAACCCCTGCCTTTTTTTGTTTTCCATTTGCTTGGTAGATCTTCCTCCATCCTTTTATTTTGAGCCTATGTGTCTCTGCACGTGAGATGGGTTTCCTGAATACAGCACACTGATGGGTCTTGACTCTTTATCCAATTTGCCAGTCTGTGTCTTTTAATTGGAGCATTTAGTCCATTTACATTTAAATTTAATATTGTTATGTGTGAATCTGATCCTGTCATGATGATGTTAGCTGGTTATTTTGCTCGTTAGTTGATGCAGTTTCTTCCTAGTCTCGATGGTCTTTACATTTTGGCATGATTTTGCAGCGGCTGGTGCCGGTTGTCCGTTTTCATGTTTAGCGCTTCCTTCAGGAGCTCTTTTAGGGCAGGCCTGGTGGTGTCAAAATCTCTCAGCATTTGCTTGTCTGTAACGTATTTTATTTCTCCTTCACTTATGAAGCTTAGTTTGGCTGGATATGAAATTCTGGGTTGAAAATTCTTTTCTTTAAGAATGTTGAATATTGGCCCCCACTCTCCTCTGGCTTGTAGGGTTTCTGCCGCGAGATCCGCTGTTAGTCTGATGGGCTTCCCTTTGAGGGTAACCCGACCTTTCTCTGTGGCTGCCCTTAACATTTTTTCCTTCATTTCTACTTTGGTGAATCTGACAATTATCTGTCTTGGAATTGCTCTTCTTGAGGAGTATCTTTGTGGCGTTCTCTGTATTTCCTGAATCTGAACGTTGGCCTGCCTTGCTAGATTGGGGAAGTTCTCCTGGATAATATCCTGCAGAGTGTTTTCCAACTTGGTTCCATTCTCCCCATCACTTTCAGGTACACCAATCAGACGTAGATTTGGTCTTTTCACTTAGTCCCATGTTTCTTGGAGGCTTTGCTCATTTCTTTTTATTCTTTTTTCTCTAAACTTCCCTTCTCACTTCATTTCATTCATTTCATCTTCCATCGCTGATATCCTTTCTTCCAGTTGATCGCATCGGCTCCTGAGGCTTCTGCATTCTTCACGTAGTTGTCGAGCCTTGGTTTTCAGCTCCATCAGCTCCTTTAAGCATTTCTCTGTATTGGTTATTCTAGTTATACATTCTTGTAAATTTTTTTCAAAATTTTCAACTTCTTTGCCTTTGGTTTGAATGTCCTCCCGTAGCTCAGAGTAATTTGATCATCTGAAGCCTTCTTCTCTCAGCTCGTCAAAGTCATTCTCCGTCCAGCTTTGTTCTGTTGCTGTTGAGGAACTGCGTTCCTTTGGAGAAGGAGAGGTGCTCTGCTTTTTAGAGTTTCCAGTTTTTCTGTTCTGTTTTTTCCCCATCTTTGTGGTTTTATCTACTTTTGGTCTTTGATGATGGTGATGTACAGATGGGTTTTTGGTGTGGATGTCCTTTCTGTTTGTTAGTTTTCCTTCTAACAGACAAGACCCTCAGCTGCAGGTCTGTTGGAGTACCCTGCAGTGTGAGGTGTCAGTGTGCCCCTGCTGGGGGGTGCCTGCCAGTTAGGCTGCTCGGGGGTCAGGGGTCAGGGACCCACTTGAGGAGGCAGTCTGCCCGTTCTCAGATCTCCAGCTGCTTACTGGGAGAACCACTGCTGTCTTCAAAGCTGTCAGACAGGGACATTTAAGTCTGCAGAGGTTACTGCTGTCTTTTTGTTTGTCTGTGCCCTGCCCCCAGAGTTGGAGCCTACAGAGGCAGGCAGGCCTCCTTGAGCTGTGGTGGGCTCCACCCAGTTGGAGCTTCCCGGCTGCTTTGTTTACCTAATCAAGCCTGGGCAATGGCGGGCGCCCCTCCCCCAGCCTCGCTGCCGCTTTGCAGTTTGATCTCAGACTGCTGTGCTAGCAATCAGCGAGACTCCGTGGGCGTAGGACCCTCCTAGCCAGGTGTGGGATATAATCTCGTAGTGCGCCGTTTTTTAAGCCCGTCGGAAAAGCGCAGTATTCGGGTGGGAGTGACCGGATTTTCCAGGTGCCGTCTGTCACCCCTTTCTTTGACTAGGAAAGGGAACTCCCTGACCCCTTGTGCTTCCCGAGTGAGGCAATGCCTCGCCCACCTTTGGCTGGCGCAAGGTGCGTGCACCCACTGACCTGCGCCCACTATCTGGCACTCCCTAGTGAGATGAACCCGGTACCTCAGATGGAAATGCAGAAATCACCCGTCGTCTGCGTCGCTCACGCTAGGAGCTGTAGACCGGAGCTGTTCCTATTTGGCCATCTTGGCTCGTCAATACTGCAGTTTTATAAAGATACCCTCATTTGTAAGTAAGTAATTTATTGTTTTTCTCATAAGTAATAATAGTGATATTATTTGTCATTAAATTAAAATAAGAAGAAATCAACTAGCTTATAAACCGTTCTATATTCCTATATCTTCAAACAAATCTATTTTGAAAGTGCAAAATAACAAAATTAGAGATGGTGTGGTAGACATGGGCGAGTTAAAAGTCAGTCTAACTTTCTTTTGTCATTAAGCTGAATCATTCCTAGTAAGCCAAGAAAAGCTTGGTTCTATCCTGTGCTGGCCTGTGTAATTTGAAAGTCAGGCTCTTTCTTGGTTTTCTGTCAGTTTCTGTTCAAATGGATGTGGTTTCCTCAATTGCCATATTAAAAGCTAGATACACTAACAGTTTATGGGTCTTTTGTGAATGATTTACAAATTAACTGTGGAGCCGGACAACTATTGTCATTTCATCAGTGATGAAATTTCTCTCAGGGCAACTTTTGGCTGAGAAGAAACTTCAGTGCATGTTATTCATGAGTGTAAGTGTGCCAGAGAGCAATCCAAAGTATATTCCCACTTATCACACCCCATTAATAGAAAAACACAAACTCCTGAGATGAATTGTCTTATTTCTTTTAGAGTACTCTGCTTGGAATAATATGCGTTTATTGGAATGATTTTATACCAATCAAAATGAAAAGAGCTAGTCATGCCGGGGATATTCCTATTCATTTTTTCATTAATTTATGCATTTATTTGAAACACATTAGTTGAATATCTGATATAAGTGGTATGATGTAATTGGGTGGTTATCACGCCTAATGGGGAACTGAGGAAATTTGCATGGAAAAGAGAATGTTCATAAGGACGTCATTACTGAATGGTATAGTGTATTTCTTGGGGTCTAGAATCTAGAAGGGGTTTGGGACACTGAAAATCTCAGCATAAACTTCTGCTCTGATAGTCCAAGGGCAATCCTGTGACAAAGTTCATTGGTACTAAAGGCATTAGAAGGAAACATAAGCTAGGGGAGGGGCACACTAATTGGTAAAGAAATATGAAGAGCTCTTCTCACATCCCTCAGCAGACAGATACTACACCCAAAAATATGACTCTGTATTTTAAAAGTGCAGAGAAACATGAATGCAATTCACTTCTTTATTAGTTTCTTGTTGCTGCTAGAAGAAATTATCTCAAGTATAGTGGCTTAAACAACATGCATTTATGATCTTACAGTTCTGGAGTTCAAAAGTCCAAAATGGGCTTCTTCTGGAAGCTTTAGGGGAGAATCTCTTTCCTTTCTTTTTCCAGCTTCTAGAGGTTTCCTGGTCCCCTCCTCTATCATCAGAGTCTGAAATTACATTGTTCTGATCTGAACTTTCATCCTCACAGGCTTCTTACTTCCTCTCCTTCCTATTACATCTCCTGCACCGACTCAGACTCCTCTGCCTTCCTTCACTTACAAGGACCCTGGTGATTACATTGGGTCCACATAGGTCATCCAGGAAAATCTCCCATTCTCAAGGCCCTTCATTTAATCACACCTGAAAGGTGTTTTATCTACATAAAGTAACATATTCCCAGGTTCCAGGGATTCAGATTTGGACATCTCTGAGAGGCCATTCTCCTTACCATATGTATTAGGCCATTCTTGCATTGCTATAAAGAAATACCTGAGACTGGCTAATTTTTAAAGAAAAGAGGTTTAATAGGCTCACAGTTCTGCAGCCTGTACAGGAAGCATGATACTGGCATCTGCTCAGTTTCTGGGGAGGCCTCAGGTAACTTACAGTTATGGCAGAAGGCAAAGAGGGAGCAGGCAGGTTATGTGGCCAGAGCAGGAGCAAGACATGAGGACAGCAGCAACTGGACGGTCCTAAACCATTAATCCAATCACCTCTCACCAGCCCCCACACCCAACATTGGGGATTACAATTCAATATGAGATTTGGGCGGGGAAACACATCCAAAATGTATCACCATACCCTCCAACAAGTTTACTTTCTGATTACATCAGCCAAAATCAGCTTCAGTTGTTTTCAGTGAAGAACAATGATTGAAACACCAGAGTTTCAGGTGTGCTTAGTGTAACCAAAGACCACCCTAGACCTACTGAGTAAGATTGTCTGAAAGTAGACAAGTGAATCTGCATTTATTTTTGGCCAGGTGATTCTAATGCATAGTAAATATATGGATCTATTATTTTAACGTCACATTTATATAAAAATAGTTTTTAGAGTCTCTTTCAAGAATGCGCTTATAATTTGCATTTTCAGCTTACTCTAGGACAGTTTGGAAAGTAATGGGATTTAGTGCAAAGATCCTAGACTTTGGAACCAGACTTCAACTTGAATATCTGCTGTCATCCGGTTTTAGCTCTAATCCTTGTATTAGTCTGTTTTCATGCTTCATGCTCCTATAAAGATACCACCTGAGACTGGGTAATTTATAAAAAAAAAAAAAAAGAAGTTTAATTGACCTACAGTTCTGCATGGATGGAGTGGCCTCAGGAAACTTACAATCACAGCAGAAGGTGAAGGGGAAGCAAGGCATGTCTTACTTGGTGGTAGGAGAAAGAGAATGTGAAAGAGGACGCACTAGACACTTATTAAACAACCAGATCTCATGAAAACTTCCTCACTATCACAAGAACAGCGTGGGAGAAACCACCCCATGATCCAATTACCTCCCACCAAGGTCCTCCCTCAATACCTGGGGATTATAATTTGAGAGGAGATTTGGGTGGGGACACAGAGTCAGACCATATCAATCCTTCTCAGCTCTTTCCATTCACAATTAAGGTTGATCAAGTCCATTTCCCTCTAACAGCATGTTTTCTCATTCATAAAATGGGCCAATATCACCTACCCTCAGTATACTAATATAAAGGTGAAATAAGGTATTTATTCAACAAATAACAGTGCCTAAAGCATAATAGGTATACCAAAAATAGTTCTTTAACAAAATGCTGTACAATACGTATATCCATGTAAAACAATATCAACTACAGTATATAATTAACTTTATATACTGTAGTTGATATTTTTCTTAACTTTCTTATACTTTTGCATTATCTAACTATCCTTTAGTGAGAACAGAGATCCAGAAATTATTTCAACCCCTCCTCTGTCCAGATGTCTTTTTTCTCTGCATTTTACTTCTACAACTTCTGGATGCAGGCTCTGTTGCCTGTTGATTTTTGCCCAGAGTCTTTGATGAAGAGGCTGTGGCATGTTAATCTCTGTAATACATTTTTCTGTGGGCTTTTTCAGCCAGTCTCTCTTTCATCTGGACCTCCTTTAGCCTTCAAAGGCACAATTCAGGGCCAAACCTGAGGTAGGTTTAAGGCCTGGAGTCAATCACATTGTGGGGGCCCCTTCCTTTCTGGTTTAAAGGAGAAAGGGAGAGGTGATAAGACATAAAGAGAAGGGGTCCTTAAGCTTAAGAAGCATGAAGGCAAAAGCATCAGTATTCCAGGTGCCTGGATTCTGTGTTCTCTAACATTTGTGGGATAATTGAACACATTTGCTGTTACAGTCTCCGAAATTCACAACTGGGTGATTGTTAAATATTTTTTAAAATAAAGAATTGGGATCAGAGGCTTTCCAATGGTATTTCTAGAAAACTATCAGTAAATTTCTTACTTTTCCTTCAAACATTATTTCATAGTCAAACATATGTTATTTTCAATTCCCCAAAACTGACATACACATTTATAGTTGGCATCTGATAAGGTTATTTTTAGAAAGAGAAACTGAACTGTATTAGTGCTGAAAAAAAGAGCCAACCACAATCATAATATATCCAGGAAAATAAGTGAAACATCTGGTCAACCAGCTGTATTTTGATGTATGCATATCATAAGACTAAATTTACTAATTTTGTGAATGATTTTCGCTCTCTGCCTAAATATATTGATTATAACTCCATTTTCTTTGGAATGTGCATGTATGTAATTAGAAATGAGTACAAAGACACACTAGCAGGTGGGCCACTACAGTGCTCTGTTGAGAGTTTAGGTCAGATTTCTATGACAGAATGTCAGGTATACTACAAAAAAATTAGTAACATTTTTTATGAAATGCCTAATAATTCATTTGAATTCAACTTTGATTAGGCAAAGTCAATTTCTTTGTTCCTAAACAAAGACTTCTAAATAAATTTGTAAACAAGATGTCTAAACAAATGTGTAAAAAATCAACCTATATTCACCTCCCTTAACTATTTCCCAGTTAGAATTAACAGATGCTTTTGAGGGCAGTGTCTATAGAACTATTTATTTTATCTCACCTAATTCACATATTTCAGCTTTAGAGGGGCTAAAACACTCACAGAGTAGTTCCCGTGATTTTAAACTCGGTTTCTCAGTGTCTTGCCCTGCAGGAAAATGAAGTAGAGAAGTATATTTCTACTTCTCAAAAGGACAAGAACTACTCCTTTTTCTTTTCTTCCTAAATCTTTTTTTAATTCAAAATAAAGGTATTACATTAATGTATGCATATATTAGAAACATAAAGATTCTTCTTTGATAAGTATAAACTGGACAGTGTTTCATGCTTTGACTACTCTCTATTTACAAATAGAGAATATTTACAAAGAGGGAATGTTTTCTTTCTTTATTTTTCAGGGATATAAGAAAATCAAGATACTTAAAGATTCAAAACTAAAATTCTTCCTTCCACCTGATGTTCTGCTTTCTTTTAAAGGTATTAAGCATTAGGCACCTGCTATATGCCCAATATAGTATTATACACAATGAGAGACACAAAAAAATCTTGGACAAGTTATTTGTTCATTGAAAAAACAGAAGAAAACAAAATTTCTTGTTTCTTAGGTGCTGACTCCTCTAGAAGTCATTCAAGTCATGAGGTACTATCATAAGGTAGTAAGGAACTTGTTCCAGACAGCATAGAGAGAAGTCACCATTCCTCTTTTCTTTAATGTGGCTCCCCCAAGTTGTGTAACATCCTGCAATTTGCCATTCCCCAAGACAAGAATATGAATCCCGAGCTTCCAGGCACGAGAGGGAAGGATTCACTTTCCTAGTGAATATGAGCAGAGGGTACAACGTGAGAGGTGACTGTTGGCAAAAAAAAAAAGAAGAGAGAGGGGCCTGGCAAGTTAGAATGTCCCCACTTTACCTCTCACTATACTGAAAGGGGCAGACAAGGTGTGGGGGGATATTTGGAATATCCTTTCTCACTGAAGCTGGGAGAAAGGCAATATGTTTAGGGGCTACTCTCATGTCAGAGGGCAGGAGTTGGAAATCATGGGTAAAGATGTGGCTGGTTTGGGGTAAATGTAGGAGATATTGGTAGCTGTACCAGACTGGTGAGAGAGGATGGGGAGTAAGGCCCTGGGTACCAGTCCCATGGGAGGGGCTCCAGAAAGAGGAGGGTCTGACAAGGATGCCAGGGAGGAGACATCTGCATTACATATGTTCCTTTTTTTTGTACCAACAAGGAAATATTTATTCTTATATTTTTTAGAAAGCAAGTTCAAAAATTGTATATATATTATAATTTTAAAAGCTAAGTATATTCATATGCATAGAACATACTTTATTATTTTAGTTTATTTTTATTTTTTATTATAGTTTAAGTTCTAGGGTACAAGTGCACAACATGCAGGTTTGATACATAGTATACATGTGCTATGCTGGTTTGCTGCACCCATCAACTCTTCATTTACATTAGGTATATCCCCTAATGCTATCCCTCCCCAGCCCCCCACTCCCTGACAGGCCCCGGTGTGTGATGTTCCCCACCCTGTGTCCAAGTGTTCTCATTGCTCAATTCCCACCTATGAGTGAGAACATGCGTTGTTTGGTTTTCTGTCTTTGTGATAGTTTGCTGAAAATGGTGGTTTCCAGCTTCATCCATGTCCCTACAAAGGACATGAACTCATCCTTTTATGGCTGCATAGTATTCCATGGTGTATATGTGTCCATACGTTTCTATTTCTTCTGTACTGCTGCCTTTGAGGGGGATGAGGCCATTTGAAGTTATATTTTAGCATATAATTTCACCTTAAAATGCAAGACAGTGTTGGTATCCATGAATTAAAGAGTCTACTCCATTAAGAGTCTACTCTATTAGATTCCATGCCTATCTTTCAAACAATCTTTGAGAGAGAAATACACTCGCCCATCACATTAATTTCTCAATTTTATTAAAATGCAGTCTATCATTTTGACTACTTTGTAAAATTTACACAGATATGCATTTACACTTTATTTTCTGTCACAACCTCGATTTGACAGGAGAAAAAATTTGTCAACATTTTTCAAATGAAAAATAAATACAAAATGCATTGCTCTCAGAAAAGCAATGAGAAGAAAATGTGAAGGGTGAAATATGAAAATATACTATGACCTTAATTGGCACAGAAAAAATTAAAATGTTGAAAAATGTAGCATTATACTTAAGATTTGAGATCTATGTGATGAATTCTGTATTTCCAACTAGAGGAAACTGCCTTCATGCTAGCAGCAAATAACTGGGCTTTCTGTTATTTGGTGAGCAAATTACTAGGAGTTGCAAAATAAGAGGCATGCAAAATCATCTTAGAGCTGACTTGTTCTGCAAAGTTCAGTGAATGTAAGGGGTGAACGCTTTGTCTGGCAAGGAATAAGAGAGATCCAGGAGGTTAAAAAAAGTGGCTGCCACCCACTGCTGCCTATTAAATAAGTATTATAATATTGGCAGCAGCACCTGGATTTTACTTAAAGTGGGGGAGAGAAAACTGAACCCCTGGCAGATTAAAGCAACAGTCATGCTGAAAATGTGAATACACACACACACACACACACTCTCACACACACAGAGAGTATATAATTTTTTTCATTTGTTTCTCTTCAGGCAAATTAAAGTATGAACTTTCCAGCTAATTACTCTTATCCTGAGTCCCAGGGAGTCGACCACCTTCACAATAATTTACAGGTTTTCTCCCTGCCAGTTCTGTTCTGTGTTTCATCCAAAAAGGCAGATACCCCATTTGTATCAAATTATGCATGACAGTTTGGGAAGTAGGTTGGGTACTTCTATGAAAGCCACAAAAAAACAAGCTATTGTGTTTCATTACCAACACCACTTTCAGTTCTGGAGGCAAGAGCTTTTGCTGTTTTCAAAGATATTTTATCTCAATTTCGTGTGCCTAGTTGTGAAGAATTCAAAGTTTCCCTCAGAAAGGTTTAAAGGGTTTGTAAAAAGTACACCTCCCAGGATGCCTTCTGTTCCTTGAATTTAGAAGAACAGAGAAAAGCAAAAGATGAAACCAAACAGAGACAATGGAAAAGATTAAAAAACAACAACAACAGAAACAAATCATGGTATATGAAATCAACTTTAGTTATTCTGCAGATGAGGAGTTTTTTCTCACTTCAGTTAACAGTTCATTCGGAATGCAATTGACTTGCATTGTTGGGATCTTTTATGAGTTTTATATATGTATGTATGTATGTATAACTTTGTTAACTTTTATTTGTTTCTGGGCAAAGAATATGGGCAATATCACCTACCTCAGTAGGCTAATATAAAAGTAAAATAAAGTATTTATACAACTTATTTACAACATAAATAAGATATTTATGCTGAACTTCAACTAGTTCGGTGGGGGAGCATTCCATTCTTGGCTGACTGCTGAGGCTATGTGGTCTTATATGCAGCCTCTACCAGAGCCAGAACTTTGTCTCAAAAAGAAAATAAACTCATGCCTAATAAAGCATAGCTTTGCCTCATAATCTTATAAACTTCATACAGCCCTTTTCTCAGCATTTTCATCAGTCATAGAATTAGCTGGGTCAAAAAGAAGGGCACTTTGCACTTTAATCAAAACCAGCTGAAGATATTTTTCTGGCCCTGGGTCACACCCATAGTTGACAGCCTCCTTGGTTACTGGTTAATGTAACCAAGCTTCTCATCCAAATGTGTTGCATGTTAACTCTAAATTCAGGAGACCATTACATAACAATAAGTGGTCCAGGAGCAGCGATGAGTCCTTTACTTTACAGATAGTATCCTGACACACCACAGATTCCTTGATCCCCAGAAACTTTAGAGCTAGCAAACACCTCTGTTTTTTCATGATGTTTAATCACTCTGCCTCTTGAACGTGTCTAAGACTCGATTTCTTCACAGTCTCGAAATACAATTAAGATAATATGGTAAATGATGAAGACTTGTATAAGGTTCTATGGATTGGATTGTAAAATGGTCAGAGTTCCTGCCAACTAAATTGTGTCTCAGAGTAAGAGAGCTGAGTTGATCCTGAGACAAAATAATGAAAATATATATTCCTTCGAAATGACAGTAAAGTAGATATAGAAAAAAGAACATACTTCATTCATGCCAGGTATCAAGATTTTACTCATTTGCAGCATCAGCTGCAATTAAAGTCTTTATCTGACTATGTTTATTGATAGTCCTTGCTGGTCTCCGAAACCTATCTACTTCTGTACCAGCTGAGCTGGAGAGATAGAAGGAATGTGATTGGAGTCCTGCCTTGCAAATTTTACATCTTTGATATTGGTGGTAATGTTTGTGATTCCACTAGAAATATAATCACAATTGACCCTTGCTCAATGCAGGCATTTGGGGACTGACCTCTTGACATTCAAAAATTTGTGTATAGATTTTGACTCCCTAAGACCTTTTCTAACAGCCTACTATTGACCAGAGGCTTTCTGATAACATAAACAGTTGATTAAAACATAGTTTTTATATATATTATATGCTGTGTTACTACAATAAAGTAAGCTAGAAAAAAGTATTATTAACAAAATCTAAAAGAAGAGTAAACATTTGGTATTCATTAAGTGAAAGTGGATTATCATAAAGGCCTTCATCTTTGTTGTCTTCATGTTGAGTAGATTGATGGGAAAAGGAATTGGTCTTGTTGTGTCACATGTTGCAGAAGTGGAAGAAAATCAATGTATAATTGGATTCATGCAGTTGAAACTCATGTTATCCAAGAGTCAACTCTATTATAGTATTATTTACTTTGACTTTTAAAAAACATTCCAGAGACTTCTTTATAACCTTTCACATCAGAACAGCTTATGGTCCAGGGGGCTAATATGGGAACCTGCCAGTTTCTAAGGACATACTTCAAACATGCATTTTTGAATTGGGTAAGTGTGCATGTGATATTTTTTGACTCCTAGTAAGCCTATAATATTATAGACAAATATTATAATGCAGTTTGTTGCTACCCCTTATAAGTTGCATCTCTAGGTCACATTGACTTTCTGTAATCTCAAGAGTTAATGGAAGCCAGGAGATCCAGCATCCCCTACTGCAAAAAAAAAAACAAAAAAACAAAACAACAACAACAAAAAAAACATTTTCTCTGTATTTCTCCATCTCCTTCCTTAAGGAAGAAGATTTATAGAACCTTTATAGAAGCTTATCTTTACCATTTGTGAAGATAACAGTTACTTTCTCAAAGTTACCAGGCCTTTTCTGGGTTTGTAGGTACATGGAATAATTTTAAAATAGAAATTGGGTGAGAAGTCACAAGCATCTACCATGATTGGTTATAAAAATCAAGTAGGACCTCGATGGGATGCCCATCTTGATGATATGTGCTCTACAGCCCCTATAATTACTTAAGTGCTGTCAATTACCTCTGCAAGCCTCAACATTTAGGTTCCCTTGGTGGTCTGCTGCCTCTCATGGCCCCCACACTCAACTTACCTCTGAAAGTCATGTTGGTCTTCGACCTCCTCAACTCTGGAATCTTTTTATTCCCATTATGTCAGGGAGACCATTTTGATGGCCCCATCACCTACCACCTACTAAAATAATTTTTAGAAACGTTTGTTCTTTTCCTACCAATGCATTTTAAAAGGCTTTGGTGTAGAAGGTACATTCTGGGTTCTCACTAACCATAGTTAATGGTTGAATGACTGAGCAAGAAAATTTCACTCAGTTTTTATAATCTTTCTTGGCTTCTTGATTTCTTATTCTATGATCTACCAAATGGTATTTATCATCTCAGTGATGTAATGAGCTATGACGGAATCCAGATTGTAACTGCTAAAATCAACACGTGGAATCAAGTCTTTGTTAAGTGCACTCATGGTGATGAAGTCAACTTAACTCAACTTAACCAAAACATTATATTCTCCTATCCTTCATCAAATACTCTCAGGATCTATTTTGATATTTTCACCAGAATTTTGCAAATCAAATGAACAAACTCCACCAACATTTTATTTATTTATTTATTTATTTATTTATTTATTTATTTGAGATGAAGTTTCTCTCTTGTCACCCAGGCAGGAGTGCAATGGCACGATCTTGGCTCACTGCAACCTGCGCCACCCAGGTTCAAGTGATTCACCTGCCTCAGCCTCCCAAGTAGCTGGGATTACAGGCCCCTGCCACCACATCCAGCTAATTTTTATATTTTCAGTAGAGACAGGGTTTCACCACGTAGGCCAGGCTTGTCTCGAACTCCTGACCTTAGGTGATCCACACTCCTTGGCCTCCCAAAGTGCTGGGATTACAGGCGTGAGCCAGCGTGCTGGGCCTAACATTTTAAAAATGTAAACATTTGTTTCCAAAATAAACTGGGAGCTTATTCTAGCTATAGAAATGGAGACAAAAGGATTGGGAGACTGGCTGAGAGCTCATGAAGAAGATTTGGTTTTAGATTCAGGGTAATTCCTTCAAGTGAGGAAGTCATAAACATTTTCAAGCAAAGCAGAAGTTCTTTGGGTGACACAGGCGGTTTGGTGGAGACTGGGCATTGGAGCATCCCAAATGCACTACATCGTGCCTTGTAACTCTGTCTCAATATCAGGATCCCACCTCTTATCAATATCTGAAATTTTGCAGACGATATTAGGAAAGACTATGAATTTGACTCCTTTTGTAATTCAGCAACATGAAGCCTTGAACTTTGCATTTAGATTTTTATCACTTTTATTCTGTAGCTGCTAAGAATGAGAGATTCTTTATCATAGTCCTGGAAGATTCTTAGGGTTTAGTTATTTTACCAGGTAGTCAGAGGTTGTAGCATGGTGGGGTATTCAGCTGTTTAGACTTGTTCAAAGCAATGCTCCACAATCAGAGTTCTCAAAATTTCATGTTCTTTCTATAGCAACTATCATTTTGTTTTCTTAAGGCCAACCCTCAATAAGCACTTAATTTCCGTCTATAACCAGTGAGAACTTAGCTTTCTGTTTCATCTCCTATCTTTTCTCTAAATAGTAATTATATTTTCACTTGGCAGGTAACCAATACCAGATTACCTGTTTTCCCTGAGGGTTTCTTGCCTGCAACCCACTTTCTGTACCCAATTTCTATACCAGTGACGGTTTTTTAATGCAGACATCAACAAGAGATGCTGCTAATTTTAACAAGAAAGGACTTCTTAAGGAAGTAACATAGATAGGTCACAGAATCCATTGGGAGGCTGAAGAATCAACTTCAGATAATGAGAAAGAAACTTGAGGAGCTGGATGCAAGGTAATGACTCATCCTGGTTTTCCCAGGGATCTCCCTATTTTAGCACTGAAAGTTGATACCTTGAAAAATCCCTCAGTCCTTTGCAAACTAGAACTACTGGTTACCCTCACTGGGTGGCTACAAAAGTAGCTAAGGACACAGCACAGGAACAGTCTGGCTAAATTGCCACTGTCACTACCACAGATGTCAGAAACTGTCTCTGATTCCACTGTGACCACTGATTCTAGAAATAATGTACCATTACCCACTTCCAAATTCTAAATGGTCACACAGAGTCTATATTGGGCACTAGCTGCAGAGTCAAAATTTATATCCAGATCATCTCTTTTAACCTCTGGCCTCTTCCTACTAAATGCCAAAGGTCAACTTTTTTGGGTTTCTTAGCTTCTTTTATCAGAGGCTTAGCTCTTGGCTTTCACTAGAACTCTCATGAGGATACGCAGACCCCAAAAAAGAAAAAAAAAGACATTCTATTATAGGGGTAAGTAAACAAGATGAGTGAAGAAAGGTAATATGGTTTGGCTGTGTCCCCACCCAAATCTCATCTTGAATTGCAGCTCCCATAATTCCCACATGTTCTTGGAGGGACCCGGTGGGAGGTAATTGAATCATGGTGAGTAAACAACAAGATGAGTGAAGGAAGGTGATATGGTTTGGGTGTGGTCCTCACCCAAATCTCATCTTGAATTGTAGCTCCCGTAATTCCCACATGTGGGAGGGACCTGGTGGGAGGTAATTGAATCATGGGGGCGGTTACCCCCATGCTGTTCTCATGATAGTGAATAAGTCTCATGAGATCTGATGGCTTCATAAAGGGGAGTTCCCCTGCACAAGTTCTCTCTTGCCTGCTGCCATGTAACATATGACTTTGCTCCTCCTTTGCCTTCTGCCATGATTGTGAGGCCTCCCCAGCCATGTGGAACTGTGAATCCATTAAACCTTTTTTTCTTTATAAATTACCCAGTCTCAGGGATGTCTTTATTAGCAGTGTGAGAACTGACTAACACAGAATGAAACCAAAAGAACACTGGAGTTATCAAAAATCATATAAGATCATAGTACATGAAAACCATCAGAATATGAGAAAGCTTATTTAGCAGTTTGGTATAAAGCTATGGGGGTAGATAATACATAGATTATAGTATACTTGATGAGTGAGCATAAGGATAGACTAATTCAGCATTTACCACCTACGAATTTCCAAATGGGTCAGAGTGTGAGCTTCTCAACTGAAGTCATTGATGTGTTGGGTTCATTTCTTTTATTATTTGATCATGCTATTTTCAATGGATATTGTTTAATGTTTTAAGGAAATACAATACAAAATTAAAATTAAATTGAAAATAAAGTATCTGATGTAATTTCTCTGAAACATTGAATTTGAACTTCTAACTAGTAAGCCTTAGAGATAATTATATAAAACTGATGATCAGCTTGAAAACAGCTCATTCTCAGTTTCATGGAGAATAGTCTGCACCATCTAGTCTTGTGTACATATGTTTTCTCTACATTGACATTCACTTGTTACATCGTGGTAGAGGATGCGAATTAAAAGAAAAAATTTTAGCAATCAAAAACCTTTCTAGTTTCCCTTAACTTCTAATTAGCTTTTGTGGAGTTGTTAAGGTACTGGTCAGGCTGGATAAATGATGAGTTCTAAGAAATAACCTCCCTCGGCCGGGCGCGGTGGCTCACGCCTGTAATCCCAGCACGTTGGGAGGCCAAGGCGGGTGGATCATGAGGTCAGGAGATCGAGACCATCCTGGCTAACAAGGTGAAACCCCGTCTCTACTAAAAATACAAAAAATTAGCCGGGCGCGGTGGCAGGCGCCTGTAGTCCCAGCTACTCGGGAGGCTGAGGCAGGAGAATGGCGTGAACCCGGGAAGCGGAGCTTGCAGTGAGCCGAGATTGCGCCACTGCAGTCCGCAGTCTGGCCTGGGCGACGGAGCGAGACTCCGTCTCAAAAAAAAAAAAAAAAAAAAAAAAAAAAAGAAATAACCTCCCTCATTGTTTATCTTTTACCTGATAAACTGAAAATTAATAGTGACTTTGAAATCATCTTCAAAAACTCAGACAACAACCTTTATGGTTTAATCTCCACATACTGCATTTCTAAGACTTTTAAAATGCCATCAACTTCAAGAGAAATTATTGTGAATATAACTTAGCAAAAAAGTGGCATGCATAGTTGTAATAAAAATGTATATATCTATGTGTCAGTCTTTAGAATACAAAATTGAGCATTTTGTAAAAATTACATTGAGGCACAGTGCAACATTTGTTCAATTTTAACAAAATAAGCTTCAAGCATGAAATCAGAAGCAATATTATTAGAACAAAGATGACCTGATGACTTTTAATCTTAGGCTTTTTTACTTGGTGAGTTTTGTAATGAGAGACTGATAACCCCAGCTCAACATTTTCAACCATAGAGTCCAGATGAGTAAAAGATAGGTCTACAATCTTTTCAAACATGTATGTAGATGTTTAATAGATCTTTTAGTTGCCGCAGTCACTGTGTTCTCTGTTGCTGACCTCCAGCTTGCATCTGAGAGATGTAGGTGAGATTTTGTTATAAACTGGCTCCAACCTTTGCCTGGGAGGAACAAAGGTGTTTAAAAATAGCTGTTCTTTTGATGCCTCCTGCACTGAGCTCCAGAAGGATGTGCATTTATTATGACACTCATTTTGTGCATTATTAAATGAAATAGTAGAGAGAAGTGTATGACATCACTTACATGGCAAAGCCATTAATAGGCCAATGGCAGAGGCCACATTTCCTCTTCATCAAATTCTGACAGCTTTAGTGTCTATAATGTCACTGTCTATTTTGAAAGAGTTGCACCTATTCAGGCTGAATTAAAAGTCACCAATAGCAAAGTGTAGCCTATCAACAGGTAAATATTCATCATTAATCAACCAATTAATGTGTCGTACTTCTGTGGACACGTCAGCTCTCACTTGAATATTTTTCTTTGTTTTAACCAAGAACTCAACACAGCTCCTTGATGTGGTAAAACTACTAAAGAAGAAGGCAACACAATTGTATGCTGAATGGATTTTTCTTTCTTAATCCTAAGAGCAGTTATTGAATTAGTTTTAAACATTTGATATGAGATTGACTGAATGTTTACTAGACTTGACCTTTTAGGCCAATCTTGCTGGCTTATCTGGTTTTCTGGGAGAATACAAATCCATTGTATTTTACAAAAATGTGAAAAATCTGTTTTACAGCTATTACATTGTCAAGAGTTACCAAAAATGTAAAATACAGGCATGAAGGATAATAATGTTTATGGTCCATTTTATTTTAGCAGGCTTAGCCCAAGAATCAAGTAAAGTATACAGAAGATGAGAATTTGATCATGAGGAGAGTTTATTTCTCGAAATCAGAGTGAAGTACACAGATTAATTTTCTTTCCATGAATTTATATTTTGATGTTTTACTTTCAATGACATTTTCTTCTTGGGACATCTTGGAGATACTTCTATCAAAATATTAAAATTACTCTTCCTCAAACATTAAAATTGTTATCAACATTCTTTTTCTTTTCTTTTTTTTTTTTTTTTTGAGATGGAGTCTCACTCTGTTGCCCAGGCTGGACTGCAGTGACGTGATCTTGGTTCACTGCAACCTCTTTCTCCTGGGTTCAAACAATTCCCCTGCCTCAGACTCCTGAGTAGTTGGGACCACAGGCGTCCGCCACCATGCCTGACTAATTTTGTATTTTTAGCAGAGATGGGGTTTACCGTCTTGGTCAGGCTTATCTTGAACTCCTGACCTTGTAATCCACCCACCTCAGCCTCCCAAAGTGCTGGGATTACAGGCCACCATGCCCTGCCAACATTCTTATTTTACATAAAGGATCCAAGGAATTATGTGTTTCCTAAATACTAATGTAATATTTAGTCACTTATTTTATTTTATTTTATTTTTTATTTATTTATTTTTTATTATTATTATACTTTAAGTTTTAGGGTACATGTGCACAATGTGCAGGTTAGTTACATATGTATACATGTGCCATGCTGGTGCGCTGCACCCACTAACTCGTCATCTAGCATTAGGTATATCTCCCAGTGGTATCCCTCCCCCCTCCCCCCACCCCACAACAGTCCCCAGAGTGTGATGTTCCCCTTCCTGTGTCCATGTGTTCTCATTGTTCAATTCCCACCTATGAGTGAGAATATGCGGTGTTTGGTTTTTTGTTCTTGCGATAGTTATACTGAGAATGATGATTTCCAATTTCATCCATGTCCCTACAAAGGACATGAACTCATCATTTTTATGGCTGCATAGTATTCCATGGTGTATATGTGCCACATTTTCTTAATCCAGTCTATCATTGTTGGACATTTGGGTTGGTTCCAAATCTTTGCTATTGTGAATAATGCCACAATAAACATACGTGTGCATGTGTCTTTATAGCAGCATCATTTATAGTCCTTTGGGTATATACCCAGTAATGGGATGGCTGGGTCAAATGGTATTTCCAGTTCCAGATCCCTGAGGAATCCCCACACTGACTTCCACAATGGTTGAACTAGTTTACAGTCCCACCAACAGTGTAAAAGTGTTCCTATTTCTCCACATGCTCTCCAGCACCTGTTGTTTCCTGACTTTTTAATGACCGTCATTCTAACTGGCGTGATGTGAGATGGTATCTCATTGTGGTTTTGATTTGCATTTCCCTGATGGCCAGTGATGGTGAGCATATATTCATGTGTTTTTTGGCTGCATAAATGTCTTCTTTTGAGAAGTGTCTGTTCACGTCCTTCGCCCACTTTTTGATGGGGTTGTTTTTTTTTGTAAATTTGTTTGAGTTCATTGTAGATTCTGGATATTAGCCCTTTGTCAGATGAGTAGGTTGCGAAAATTTTCTCCCATTTTGTAGGTTGCCTGTTCACTCTGATGGTAGTTTCTTTTGCTGTGCAGAAGCTCTTTAGTTTAATGAGATCCCATTTGTCAATTTTGGCTTTTGTTGCCATTGCTTTTGGTGTTTTAGACATGAAGTCCTTGCCCATGCCTATGTCCTGAATGGTAATACCTAGGTTTTCTTCTAGGGTTTTTATGGTTTTAGGTCTAACGTTTCAGTCTTTAATCCATCTTGAATTGATTTTTGTATAAGGTGTAAGGAAGGGATCCAGTTTCAGCTTTCTACATATGGCTAGCCAGTTTTCCCAGCACCATTTATTAAATAGGGAATCCTTTCCCCATTGCTTGTTTTTCTCAGGTTTGTCAAAAATCAGATAGTTGTAGATATGCGGCATTATTTCTGAGGGCTCTGTTCTGTTCCTTTGATCTATATCTCTGTTTTGGTACCAGTACCATGCTGTTTTGGTTACTGTAGCCTTGTAGTATAGTTTGAAGTCAGGTATTGTGATGCCTCCAGCTTTGTTCTTTTGGCTTAGGATTGACTTGGCGATGCGGGCTCTTTTTTGGTTCCATATGAATTTTAAAGTACTATTTTCCAATTCTGTGAAGAAAGTGATTGGTAGCTTGATGGGGATGGCACTGAATCTGTAAATTACCTTGGGCAGTATGGTCATTTTCACGATATTGATTCTTCCTACCCATGAGCATGGAATGTTCTTCCATTTGTTTGTATCCTCTTTTATTTCCTTGAGCAGTGGTTTGTAGTTCTCCTTGAAGAGGTCCTTCACATCCCTTGTAAGTTGTATTCCTAGGTATTTTATTCTCTTTGAAGCAATTGTGAATGGGAGTTCACTCATGATTTGGCTCTCTGTTTGTCTATTGTTGGTGTATAAGAATGCTTGTGATTTTTGTACATTGATTTTGTATCCTGAGACTTTGCTGAAGTTGCTTATCAGCTTAAGGAGATTTTGGGCTGAGACAATGGGGTTTTCTAGATATACAATCATGTCGTCTGCAAACAGGGACAATTTGACTTCCTCTTTTCCTAATTGAATATCCTTTATTTCTTTCTCCTGCCTGATAGCCCTGGCCAGAACTTCCAACACTATGTTGAATAGGAGTGGTGAGAGAGGGCATCCCTGTCTTGTGCCAGTTTTCAAAGGGAATGCTTCCAGTTTTTGCCCATTCAGTATGATATTGGCTGTGGGTTTGTCATAGATAGCTCTTATTATTTTGAAATACGTCCCATCAATACCTAATTTATTGAGAGTTTTTAGCATGAAGGTTTGTTGAATTTTGTCAAAGGCTTTTTCTGCATCTATTGAGATAATCATGTGGTTTTTGTCTTTGGCTCTGTTTATATGCTGGATTACATGTATTGATTTGCGTATATTGAACCAGCCTTGCATCCCAGGGATGAAGCCCACTTGATCATGGTGGATAAGCTTTTTGATGTGCTGCTGGATTTGGTTTGCCAGTATTTTACTGAGGATTTTTGCATCAATGTTCATCAAGGATATTGGTCTAAAATTCTCTTTTTTTTGTTGTGTCTCTGCCTGGCTTTGGTATCAGAATGATGCTGGCTTCATAAAATGAGTTAGGGAGGATTCCCTCTTTTTCTATTGATTGGAATAGTTTCAGAAGGAATGGTACCAGTTCCTCCTTGTACCTCTGGTAGAATTCGGCTGTGAATCCATCTGGTCCTGGACTCTTTTTGGTTGGCAAGCCATTGATTATTGCCACAATTTCAGCTCCTGTTATTGGTCTATTCAGAGATTCAACTTCTTCCTGGTTTAGTCTTGGGAGGGTGTATGTGTGGAGGAATTTATCCATTTCTTCTAGATTTTCTAGTTTATTTGTGTAGAGGTGTTTGTAGTATTCTCTGATGGTAGTTTGTATTTCTGTGGGATCGGTGGTGATATCCCCTTTGTCATTTTTTATTGCATCTATTTGATTGTTCTCTCTTTTTTTCTTTATTAGTCTTGCTAACAGTCTATCAATTTTGTTGATCCTTTCAAAAAACCAGCTCCTGGATTCATTAATTTTTTGAAGGGTTTTTTTGTGTCTCTATTTCCTTCAGTTCTGCTCTGATTTTAGTTATTTCTTGCCTTCTGCTAGCTTTTGAATGTGTTTGCTCTTGCTTTTCTAGTTCTTTTAATTGTGATGTTAGGGTGTCAATTTTGGATCTTTCCTGCTTTCTCTTGTGGGCATTTAGTGCTGTAAATTTCCCTCTACACACTGCTTTGAATGCCTCCCAGAGATTCTGGTATGTTGTGTCTTTGTTCTCGCTGGTTTCAAAGAACATCTTTATTTCTGCCTTCATTTCGTTATGTACCCAGTAGTCATTCAGGAGCAGGTTGTTCAGTTTCCATGTAGTTGAGCGGTTTTGAGTGAGATTCTTAATCCTGAGTTCTAGTTTGATTGCGCTGTGGTCTGAGAGATAGTTTGTTATAATTTCTGTTCTTTTACATTTGCTGAGGAGAGCTTTACTTCCAAGTATGTGGTCAATTTTGGAATAGGTGTGATGTGGTGCTGAAAAAAATGTATCTTCTGTTTATTTTGGGTGGAGAGTTCTGTAGATGTCTATTAGGTCCACTTGGTGCAGAGCTGAGTTCAATTCCTGGGTATGCTCGTTGACTTTCTGTCTCATTTATCTGTCTAATGTTGACAGTGGCATGTTAAGGTCTCCCATTATTAATGTGTGGGAGTCTAAGTCTCTTTGTAGGTCACTCAGGACTTGTTTTATGAATCTGGGTGCTCCTGTATTGGGTGCATTTATATTTAGGATAGTTAGCTCTTCTTGTTGAATTGATCCCTTTACCATTATGTAATGGCCTTCTTTGTCTCTTTTGATCTTTGTTGGTTTAAAGTCTGTTTTATCAGAGACTAGGATTGCAACCCCTGCCTTTTTTTGTTTTCCATTTGCTTGGTAGATCTTCCTCCATCCTTTTATTTTGAGCCTATGTGTCTCTGCACGTGAGATGGGTTTCCTGAATACAGCACACTGGTGGGTCTTGACTCTTTATCCAATTTGCCAGTCTGTGTCTTTTAATTGGAGCATTTAGTCCATTTACATTTAAAGTTAATATTGTTATGTGTGAATCTGATCCTGTCATGATGATGTTAGCTGGTTATTTTGCTCATTAGTTGATGCAGTTTCTTCCTAGTCTCGATGGTCTTTACATTTTGGCATGATTTTGCAGCGGCTGGTACCGGTTTTTCCTTTCCATATTTAGTACTTCATTCAGGAGCTCTTTTAGGGCAGGCCTGGTGGTGACAAAATCTCTCAGCATTTGCTTGTCTGTAAAGTATTTTATTTCTCCTTCACTTATGAAGCTTAGTTTGGCTGGATATGAAATTCTGGGTTGAAAATTGTTTTCTGTAAGAATGTTGAATATTGGCCCCCACTCTCTTCTGGCTTGTAGGGTTTCTGCTGAGAGATCCACTGTTAGTCTGATGGGCTTCCCTTTGAGGGTAACACGACCTTTCTCTTTGGCTTGTAGGGTTTCGACTGCAAGATCCGCTGTTAGTCTGATGGGCTTCCCTTTGAGGGTAACCCGACCTTTCTCTCTGGCTGCCCTTAACATTTTTTCCTTCATTTCAACTTTGGTGAATCTGACAATTATGTGTCTTGGAGTTGCTCTTCTCGAGGAGTATCTTTGTGGCATTCTCTGTATTTCCTGAATCTGAATGTTGGCCTGCCTTGGTAGATTGGGGAAGTTCTCCTGGATAATATGCTGCAGCGTGTTTTCCAACTTGGTTCCATTCTCCTCGTTACTTTCAGGTACACCAATCAGACGTAGATTTGGTCTTTTCACATAGTCCCATATTTCTTGGAGGCTTTGCTCGTTTCTTTTTATTCTTTTTTCTCTAAACTTCCCTTCTCGCTTCATTTCATTCATTTCATCTTCCATCACTGATACCCTTTCTTCCAGTTGATCGCGTCGGCTCCTGAGGCTTCTGCATTCTTTACGTAGTTCTCGAGCCTTGGTTTTCAGCTTCATCAGCTCCTTTAAGCACTTCTCTGTATTGGTTATTCTAGTTATACATTCTTCTAAATTTTGTTTAAAGTTTTCAACTTCTTTGCCTTTGGTTTGAATGTCCTCTTGTAGCTCGGAGTAATTTGATCATCTGAAGCCTTCTTCTCTCAGCTCGTCAAAGTCATTCTCTGTCCAGCTTTGTTCTGTTGCTGGTTAGGAACTGCGTTCCTTTGGAGGAGGAGAGGCACTCTGCTTTTTAGAGTTTCCAGTTTTTCTGTTCTGTTTTTTCCCCATCTTTGTGGTTTTATCTACTTTTGGTCTTTCTTTGATGATGGTGATATACAGATGGTTTTTTGGTGTGGGTGTCCTTTCTGTTTGTTAGATTTCCTTCTAACAGACAGGACCCTCAGCTGCAGGTCTGTTGTAGTACCCTGCCATGTGAGGTGTCAGTGTGCCCCTGCTGGGGGGTGCCTGCCAGTTAGGCTGCTCGGGGGTCAGGGGTCAGGGACCCACTTGAGGAGGCAGTCTGCCCGTTCTCAGATCTCCAGCTGTGTGCTGGGAGAACCCCTGCTCTCTTCAATGCTGTCAGACAGGGACATTTAAGTCTGCAGAGGTTACTGCTGTCTTTTTGTTTGTCTGTGCCCTGCCCCCAAGAGGTGGAGCCTACAGAGGCAGGCAGGCCTCCTTGAGCTGTGGTGGGCTCCACCCAGTTGGAGCTTCCTGGCTGCTTTGTTTACCTAAGCAAGCCTGGGCAATGGCGGATGCCTCTCCCCCAGCCTCGCTGCAGCCTTCAGTTTGATCTCAGACTGTTGTGCCAGCAATCAGCGAGACTCCGTGGGCATAGGACTCTCCAAGCCAGGTGCGGGATATAGTCTCCTGGTGCGCCGTTTTTTAAGCCCTTTGGAAAAGCGCAGTATTCGGGTGGGAGTGACCTGATTTTCCATGTGCCGTCTGTCACCCCTTTCTTTGACTAGGAAAGGGAACTCCCTGACCCCTTGCGCTTCCCAAGTGAGGCAATGCCTCGCCCTGCTTTGGCTGGCACACGGTGCATGCACCCACTGGCCTGCGCCCACTGTCTGGCACTCCCTAGTGAGATGAACCCGGTACCTCAGATGGAAATGCAGAAATCACCCGTCGTCTGCGTCGCTCACGCTGGGAGCTGTAGATTGGAGCTGTTCCTATTCGGCCATCTTCCCTCAAATATCTAGTCACTTATTTTAAAGGAGTTTGCTGTATTCTAGTCTCCTGGTATATATATACATATATGTATGTATGTATATATATATATACCAGGGTGTAATGTTTAACATTGAAGTAAATGTCTAACATGTTTGGCAAACAAAGAACCAGCTCTTTCATTTTATTAAGATAGATATCTGTACATATCTTAAATGTGTGTTTTGAGGCATATGGAAGAAGAAAGGAGGTGACGAGTTGCAAATCAAGATAGTATTGAAGATGGTATGTCCACAGTGCTAGATGTCAAGCATCTATCTATCTGTCTATCTATCATCTATCTATAATTATATATATATCTATTTATATATGTATATATAAATTTGATGCAAAAATAATTGCGGTTTTTGCCATTGAAAGTAATCTTAATTTTTAAACTGTCACCTCTTTTATTCTTCCATATGCCCCAAAACACACATTTAAGATATGTACGGAAATCTATCTTAATAAAATGAAAGGGCTGGTTCTTTGTTTGCCAAACATGCTAATATACTTTGTATATGTGGATGGGAGTGCAGGCAGACTCTAGGAGCTGGAGAATGGTTTCAGATTGAGAGTCAACAAGAAAATGAGAACCCTAGTCTTACATCCACGAGGAAATGAATTCTGGCAATAATACTGAGATTGGAAGGGGACTCAGATAACATTGCAGTTTTGGCCAACAATTCAATTTCAACCTGGTAAGACTGCACAGAGGACCCAACTAACTAGTTTCTGGACTTTTGACCCCTAGAAAAAGTAACATCTGAAATTTGTGTTGTTTTATGCTGCTAAGTCTATGCTAATTTGCTATGTAGCAACAAAAAGCAAATACAAAATATATAATCCTTCCTATATCTTGTAAGCATTTTATTACTCATGAGAACACGGTTGGCCTATCCACTGAACAGCAAGACAAATGTAGTAATAATTAGTCATTGCTGATGTTTGACTGATTGTGTTATGTAAACACCATAGATGTACATGTATTTGCTATTATGTTGTTATGGATATACAGTGAAATCTATTTTATTTAACAGCTTGTTACTTTGACTTGTAAGCTTTAAATATTTTGACATATGGTATATATGCTTCCACTTGTACTCTAGCTCAGGGTATAGGAAATGTTGGTGATGGGCATGGTCAACTTCCTGTTCTAATATTCAAAGTATTTCCACTGTTTCCAGTATCGAGTTAGCATCTCCGTTCTCTGTGCTTCCTCCAAACACTATCTGCATAACCAGGAATCATATAAATCATGCCAAATTATCATTTATTTATTAGTGAGTTTCTCTTTCTACTAGATGAGCTTATCTCAGTATCTTTAGTCAATAGTGACAAGCACAGTGCTTGACATCTAGCACTGTGGACATACCATTTTCAATACTATCTTGATTTGCAACTCGTCACCTCTTTTCTTCTTCCATATGCCTCAAAACACACATTTAAGATATGTACAGATATCTATCTTAATAAAATGAAAGAGCTGGTTCTTTGTTTGCCAAACATTAAACATTTGCATCAACCAGTCCAAACCATAGGGTGTTGTTGCATTGAAATCTGATCCTTCGGGAAATATTAATGAAAGTGATTATTT
This sequence comes from Homo sapiens, assembly GCF_000001405.40. NCBI lineage: Eukaryota > Metazoa > Chordata > Mammalia > Primates > Hominidae > Homo > Homo sapiens. The sequence goes on from NC_000014.9 coordinate 86,103,656, forward strand.
CTATTCCTTGCAAGGCAATTGATTATTAAGTGTTTGGCAAGCTTAATCTAATTTCCATAAAACTAAAATTGAGGCCCTATAGTCCCAAGTAATGTAGACCGAGAATCAACATTTAAAAAGCAGAAAAAAATAAATATCATTTGGAAGAGTAATGGAAAATATTTTTTTTTGTCTCAGAGAAATCTGTATGTGACATTTGCACATGAAGAATCTCAAATGAACTTGACAAATGTTTTAATATTTTTAGTGTCCACATAAATGCTTCCAGTAATTATTTGTCTTGAGCTAAAAATTTTTCATAACTGTTACTTCACATTTTATTCTTGTTAATAATAATAGTCATTTATTATAGTAAAATGTTGACAATAAAACCAAAGGCATACTGAAGAAAATAAAGATCATTCATGCGAACAGGACTTCATAGTGGCTTTGAACAAGGGTAAAAGAGTTTGTCTGCCTGCGCCTAACACCATGACCTCAAATTATCAACTTAAACTCTCTCTTTGTTTCATCAACATTTGACAACAATATTCACATAATTGTATTATTCTAAAGATTTAAAAATTAATGAATTTAGAACGGAGCCTGGCATATAATAATTACTTAGTAGGTTTTAAATATGTTGGTGGTGGTGATGTTGATGACGATGATGTTGGCAATTGAAAGACAATTACTTTTCTTGAATTTAAATCAATAAATGCTTCTACTATTATTACTTGTATTGTTGTTATCAACAATTTCACTGGATTAATCCTAGAGCAATTAAAGATATAACTTCAATAAAAATTATATCATAAACTGTATAAACTATATGTTCTGATCTTTTTCTGTTATATTATGGAAATATTCTTTAAAATGCACATTATCTTATAAATAGAAAATATTTTAATTTTCTTTTAATCTAGTTTAATTTTTTGGATGTTTAGTCATTACTATCTAGGCATGAATAATATATAGGAATCAGTTTCTACATCAGAACTTTGAAAGTATCATCAAATAGTAATTATTTGATAACAATTCCATATTGAGAGTTGGTTCTGATTCAAAACTCAACCCTGTTGTTTATATCTTCCCTACCCCATCGTTTGCAGAATTTTTACTGAACACTACAATGACTGCATAAAAAGAAAAATTGATAGCAGAGTTGGAAACTAGCAAAAGATGACATCTCTAAGCCTGAAAGCCAGAAGGAATGTTGGGAATATATTGTTTAGAGGATAACTTTGCAGAAAGGTCAGCAAACATGCAAGCTACAACATGAGAAGAAATCTGTTCCAGAGCTCAGAGTGGGTGGGAAGGACAAAGTGGGAGCTGCCAGGGCAGAAGGGAAGGCTGGTGAATAGTCTATAATGGAGATTCTGGCTACAATTAAATCACTTGAAGACATTTTTATTAACATACTCATTTTGAGAGCTCACCCCAGAGGAATTAAATCAGAATCTTGGTCGGGAAGAGGGGTGAGGTTGGGAGTAGCCCACACATTGCCTTTTTGTAAAAACTTTCCAGATGATCGTATGTGTGTAAAAATGGTTGTGAATCATTGGTTTAGGAAGCAAATATAAAATATGCTTGTGTTTCCTGGAAAGCACAAGGTTGCCACAACAGAAGGAATGGCTCTTACCCTTGTTCTCAGTGTCTACACGTGTGGGTGGTAGGCTAAGTAAACTGAAGGTACTTCTACAACGAGATTGACAACTAGTATCAGCATGCCTGTGAGGGAAGACGAGGCAGGGTTGGGCAGTGACCCAGCAAGTATTTTTTATAACACATGAAGCTTTTATAGGAAATTCTTTTTTTTTTTTAATTTTTTTTTATTATACTTTAAGTTTTAGGGTACATGTGCACATTGTGCAGGTTAGTTACATATGTATACATGTGCCATGCTGGTGCGCTGCACCCACTATCTCGTCATCTAGCATTAGGCATATCTCCCAGTGCTATCCCTCCCCCCTCCCCCCACACCACAACAGTCCCCAGAGTGTGATATTCCCCTTCCTGTGTCCATGTGATCTCATTGTTCAGTTCCCACCTATGAGTGAGAATATGTGGTGTTTGGTTTTTTGTTCTTGCGATAGTTTACTGAGAATGATGATTTCCAATTTCATCCATGTCCCTACAAAGGACATGAACTCATCATTTTTTATGGCTGCATAGTATTCCATGGTGTATATGTGCCACATTTTCTTAATCCAGTCTATCATTGTTGGACATTTGGGTTGGTTCCAAGTCTTTGCTATCGTGAATAATGCCGCAAAAAACATACGTGTGCATGTGTCTTTATAGCAGCATGATTTATAGTCCTTTGGGTATATACCCAGTAATGGGATGGCTGGGTCAAATGGTATCTCCAGTTCTAGATCACTGAGGAATCACCACACTGACTTCCACAATGGTTGAACTAGTTTACAGTCCCACCAACAGTGTAAAAGTGTTCCTATTTCTCCACATCCTCTCCAGCACCTGTTGTTTCCTGACTTTTTAATGATTGCCATTCTAACTGGCGTGATGTGAGATGGTATCTCATTGTGGTTTTGATTTGCATTTCTCCGATGGCCAGTGATGGTGAGCATTTTTTCATGTGTTTTTTGGCTGCATAAATGTCTTCTTTTGAGAAGTGTCTGTTCATGTCCTTTGCCCACTTTTTGATGGGGTTGTTTGTTTTCTTCTTGTAAATTTGTTTGAGTTCATTGTAGATTCTGGATATTAGCCCTTTGTCAGATGAGTAGGTTGCGAAAATTTTCTCCCATTTTGTAGGTTGCCTGTTCACTCTGATGGTAGTTTCTTTTGCTGTGCAGAAGCTCTTTAGTTTAATGAGATCCCATTTGTCAATGTTGTCTTTTGTTGCCATTGCTTTTGGTGTTTTAGACATGAAGTCCTTGCCCATGCCTATGTCCTGAATGGTAATACCTAGGTTTTCTTCTAGGGTTTTTATGGTTTTAGGTCTAAGGTTTAAGTCTTTAATCCATCTTGAATTGATTTTTGTATAAGGTGTAAGGAAGGGATCCAGTTTCAGCTTTCTACATATGGCTAGCCAGTTTTCCCAGCACCATTTATTAAATAGGGAATCCTTTCCCCATTGCTTGTTTTTCTCAGGTTTGTCAAAGATCAGATAGCTGTAGATATGCGGCGTTATTTCTGAGGGCTCTGTTCTGTTCCATTGATCTATATCTCTGTTTTGGTACCAGTACCATGCTCTTTTGGTTACTGTAGCCTTGTAGTATAGTTTGAAGTCAGGTAGTGTGATGCCTCCAGCTTTGTTCTTTTGGCTTAGGATTGACTTGGCAATGTGGGCTCTTTTTTGGTTCCATATGAACTTTAAAGTAGTTTTTTCCAATTCTGTGAAGAAAGGCATTGGTAGCTTGATGGGGATGGCATTGAATCTGTAAATTACCTTGGGCAGTATGGCCATTTTCACGATATTGATTCTTCCTACCCATGAGCATGGAATGTTCTTCCATTTCTTTGTATCCTCTTTTATTTCCTTGAGCAGTGGTTTGTAGTTCTCCTTGAGGAGGTCCTTCACATCCCTTGTAAGTTGGATTCCTAGGTATTTTATTCTCTTTGAAGCAATTGTGAATGGGAGTTCACTCATGATTTGGCTCTCTGTTTGTCTGTTGTTGGTGTATAAGAATGCTTGTGATGTTTGTACATTGATTTTGTATCCTGAGACTTTGCTGAAGTTGCTTATCAGCTTAAGGAGATTTTGGGCTGAGACAATGGGGTTTTCTAGATATACAATCATGTCGTCTGCAAACAGGGACAATTTGACTTCCTCTTTTCCTAATTGAATACCCTTTATTTCCTTCTCCTGGCTGATTGCCCTGGCCAGAACTTCCAACACTATGTTGAATAGGAGTGGTGAGAGAGGGCATCCCTGTCTTGTGCCAGTTTTCAAAGGGAATGCTTCCAGTTTTTGCCCATTCAGTATGATATTGGCTGTGGGTTTGTCATAGATAGCTCTTATTATTTTGAAATACGTCCCATCAATACCTAATTTATTGAGAGTTTTTAGCATGAAGGTTTGTTGAATTTTGTCAAAGGCTTTTTCTGCATCTATTGAGATAATCATGTGGTTTTGTTGTCTTTGGCTCTGTTTATATGCTGGATTACATGTATTGATTTGCGTATATTGAACCAGCCTTGCATCCCAGGGATGAAGCCCACTTGATCATGGTGGATAAGCTTTTTGATGTGCTGCTGGATTTGGTTTGCCAGTATTTTACTGAGGATTTTTGCATCAATGTTCATCAAGGATATTGGTCTAAAATTCTCTTTTTTTTGTTGTGTCTCTGCCTGGCTTTGGTATCAGAATGATGCTGGCTTCATAAAATGAGTTAGGGAGGATTCCCTCTTTTTCTATTGATTGGAATAGTTTCAGAAGGAATGGTACCAGTTCCTCCTTGTACCTCTGATAGAATTCGGCTGTGAATCCATCTGGTCCTGGACTCTTTTTGGTTGGTAAGCCATTGATTATTGCCACAATTTCAGCTCCTGTTATTGGTCTATTCAGAGATTCAACTTCTTCCTGGTTTAGTCTTGGGAGGGTGTATGTGTGGAGGAATTTATCCATTTCTTCTAGATTTTCTAGTTTATTTGTGTAGAGGTGTTTGTAGTATTCTCTGATGGTAGTTTGTATTTCTGTGGGATCGGTGGTGATATCCCCTTTGTCATTTTTTATTGCATCTATTTGATTCTTCTCTCTTTTTTTCTTTAATAGTCTTGCTAGCGGTCTATCAATTTTGTTGATCCTTTCAAAAAACCAGCTCCTGGATTCATTAATTTTTTGAAGGGTTTTTTTGTGTCTCTATTTCCTTCAGTTCTGCTCTGATTTTAGTTATTTCTTGCCTTCTGCTAGCTTTTGAATGTGTTTGCTCTTGCTTTTCTAGTTCTTTTAATTGTGATGTTAGGGTGTCAATTTTGGATCTTTCCTGCTTTCTCTTGTCGGCATTTAGTGCTATAAATTTCCCTCTACAAACTGCTTTGAATGCATCCCAGAGATTCTGGTATGTTGTGTCTTTGTTCTCGTTGGTTTCAAAGAACATCTTTATTTCTGCCTTCATTTCGTTATGTACCCAGTAGTCATTCAGGAGCAGGTTGTTCAGTTTCCATGTAGTTGAGCGGTTTTGAGTGAGATTCTTAATCCTGAGTTCTAGTTTGATTGTGCTGTGGTCTGAGAGATAGTTTGTTATAATTTTTGTTCTTTTACATTTGCTGAGGAGAGCTTTACTTCCAAGTATGTGGTCAATTTTGGAATAGGTGTGGTGTGGTGCTGAAAAAAATGTATCTTCTGTTTATTTGGGGTGGAGAGTTCTGTGGATGTCTCTTAGGTCCGCTTGGTGCAGAGCTGAGTTCAATTCCTGGGTATCCTTGTTGACTTTCTGTCTTGTTGATCTGTCTAACGTTGACAGTGGGGTGTTAAAGTCTCCCATTATTAATGTGTGGGAGTCTAAGTCTCTTTGTAGGTCATTCAGGACTTGCTTTATGAATCTGGGTGCTCCTGTATTGGGTGCATATATATTTAGGATAGTTAGCTCTTCTTGTTGAATTGATCCCTTTACCATTATGTAATGGCCTTCTTTGTCTCTTTTGATCTTTGTTGGTTTAAAGTCTGTTTTATCAGAGACTAGGATTGCAACCCCTGCCTTTTTTTGTTTTCCATTTGCTTGGTAGATCTTCCTCCATCCTTTTATTTTGAGCCTATGTGTGTCTCTGCACGTGAGATGGGTTTCCTGAATACAGCACACTGGTGGGTCTTGACTCTTTATCCAATTTGCCAGTCTGTGTCTTTTAATTGGAGCATTTAGTCCATTTACATTTAAAGTTAATATTGTTATGTGTGAATTTGATCCTGTCATTATGATGTTAGCTGGTTGTTTTGCTGGTTAGTTGATGCAGTTTCTTCCTAGTCTTGATGGTCTTTACATTTTGGCATGATTTTGCAGCGGCTGGTACCGGTTTTTCCTTTCCATATTTAGTACTTCATTCAGGAGCTCTTTTAGGGCAGGCCTGGTGGTGACAAAATCTCTCAGCATTTGCTTGTCTGTAAAGTATTTTATTTCTCCTTCACTTATGAAGCTTAGTTTGGCTGGATATGAAATTCTGGGTTGAAAATTGTTTTCTTTAAGAATGTTGAATATTGGCCCCCACTCTCTTCTGGCTTGTAGGGTTTCTGCTGCGAGATCCGCTGTTAGTCTGATGGGCTTCCCTTTGAGGGTAACCCGACCTTTCTCTCTGGCTGCCCTTAACATTTTTTCCTTCATTTCCACTTTGGTGAATCTGACAATTATGTGTCTTGGAGTTGCTCTTCTCGAGGAGTATCTTTGTTGCGTTCTCTGTATTTCCTGAATCTGAATGTTGGCCTGCCTTGCTAGATTGGGGAAGTTCTCCTGGATAATATCCTGCAGCGTGTTTTCCAATTTGGTTCCATTCTCCACATCACTTTCAGGTACACCAATCAGACGTAGATTTGGTCTTTTCACATAGTCTCATATTTCTTGGAGGCTTTGCTCATTTCTTTTTATTCTTTTTTTCTCTAAACTTCCCTTCTCGCTTCATTTCATTCATTTCATCTTCCATCGCTGATACGCTTTCTTTCAGTTGATCGCGTCAGCTCCTGAGGCTTCTGCATTCTTCACGTAGTTCTCGAGCCTTGGTTTTCAGCTCCATCAGCTCCTTTAAGCATTTCTCTGTATTGGTTATTCTAGTTATACATTCTTCTAAATTTTTTTCAAAGTTTTCAACTTCTTTGCCTTTGGTTTGAATGTCCTCCCGTAGCTCGGAGTAATTTGATCATCTGAAGCCTTCTTCTCTCAGCTCGTCAAAGTCATTCTCTGTCCAGCTTTGTTCTGTTGCTGTTGAGGAACTGCGTTCCTTTGGAGAAGGAGAGGCGCTCTGCTTTTTAGAGTTTCCAGTTTTTCTGTTCTGTTTTTTCCCCATCTTTGTGGTTTTATCTACTTTTGTTCTTTGATGATGGTGATGTACAGATGGGTTTTTGGTGTGGGTGTCCTTTCTGTTTGTTAGTTTTCCTTCTAACAGACAGGACCCTCAGCTGCAGGTCTGTTGGAATACCCTGCCGTGTGAGGTGTAAGTGTGCCCCTGCTGGGGGTTGCCTGCCAGTTAGGCTGCTCGGGGGTCAGGGGTCAGGGACCCACTTGAGGAGGCAGTCTGCCCGTTCTCAGATCTCCAGCTGCATGCTAGGAGAACCACTGCTCTCTTCAAAGCTGTCAGACAGGGACATTTATGTCTGCAGAAGTTACTGCTGTCTTTTTGTTTGTCTGTGCCCTACCCCCAGAGGTGGATCCTACAGAGGCAGGCAGGCCTCCTTGAGCTGTGGTGGGCTCCACTCTGTTCGAGCTTCCTGGCTGCTTTGTTTACCTAAGCAAGCCTGGGCAATGGCGGGCGCCAATCCCCCAGCCTGGCTGCCGCCTTGCAGTTTGATCTCAGACTGCTGTGCTAGCAATCAGTGAGACTCCCGTGGTCATAGGACCCTCCGAGCCAGGTGCGGGTTATAATCTCGTGGTGCACTGTTTTTTAAGCCCGTCGGAAAAGCGCAGTATTTGGGTGGGAGTGACCCAATTTTCCAGGTGCTGTCGGTCACCCCTTTCTTTGAGTCGGAAAGGGAACTCCCTGACCCCTTGCGCTTCCCAAGTGAGGCAATGCCTCGCCCTGCTTCGGCTGGCACAGGGTGCGCGCACCCACTTACCTGCGCCCACTGTCTGGCATTCCCTAGTGAGTTGAACCTGGTACTTCAGATGGAAATGCAGAAATAACCCGTCTTCTGCGTCACTCACGCTGGGAGCTGTAGACTGGAGCTGTTCCTATTTGGCCATCTTGGCTCCTTGATTTAGGAAATTCTTGAGGAGAAAAAAAATAAGATGCCAAATAGTCAAATATACCAGGCAGAATAATAAATATAATGGATTTAAAGTTTTAATAGTACCATTCATATAAGGACACATAAAAACAGTTATGCTGTTTGTAGAAGTAAAACAAAATCATAGACAAAAAATGTTAAAGGTGAAAAAATATATATTCAGGAAATGCAAATATAGTAGTGTTTGCCATACAATATCAACATCATATAAAATTAAATTCAAAGAAATACCACTCAAAGGGACAATGATGAGTCATTTTATATTGATAAAGGGTGCAACCTACAGACATTTTCAAAATATTTTAATGTGCTGAATAAAGTTGCTTCAAAATATTTCAGAAATGTTATTTAACACCTATGAAACTTTTTATAGAATATTTTGTCGAATATCAATATTTCAATATCATGGAAATATAATAATGCAGAAAATCCATAAGAAAAACAAAGTAAACTTCAAATTTGAATGGAATATGAAATACTGAAGACAAATATTTCTATCATTCTTTATATTATTAACATATTTTTTAAAGGAAAGGCAAGTTTCATATATCTGCAATTAATTTACTGTTGTATTTGTCAATCTACCAGGACAGAGTTATGAGATTACAAAGAACACAACATTCATCAGAATAAAAATATACCCTTGGTTGTTAAAATGTATGTTTCATGTGTAATAATTCATTGAGTTTTATATTCCTAGGACACTAAAGGTAAATATATTTCCAGTAAAAACAAATAAAATTTGCTCTCCTAAACTGGTGTCTTTCAGATAACCAATTATCTTATAAGTTACATTTTAAACACAAAGAAAGCAAAATTTTAAATCAAATACACTGATTAATTAACTACTTGTAAAATTGTAAGAAGTCCATCCACTGTGAAACGAGGAACTATAGGCTGCCTATGTAGTGCAATGACGGGAATGGTAAAATATGTTACCAATGGAAAAACGTAAAAGTATTTGGAAGTATTTCAAAACTCTGGTTTTAACCTTTACAACCACCATCCATGATAGAGGAATCATAGTTGCAGGTGGATAGGCACCTACGAAAGGGGCTAGCTAGCCAGCCCCCTTCCAAGGAAAAGATGGGGTGAGGATTGTTAATGTTTTCCATCTGTGGTATTAAGACTGCAGACTTAGTGGAAATCTTGATATTCACCAAGATCCCAGAGCAACATGGTATCTTGGTGATAAAATTCACATCTAGTGTGTCTAAGTGAATAGTCTCAAAGAATGTATACATACTCTAACTTTGTACAGGCAAATGTAGCCAATAATTTCTAAGCTCCTGAAAAAATGGGACAGTAGGAAGAATTGGGAGGGAGTGTATCTCAGAAGAGGGTGGGACTAAGAGGACACGGAAGACATGGAGCTCACAGTCACTACTGAGGGCCACAACAGGGACCATTGACACCAGTAACTGACACCAGTGCAGAATGCTCAAACACTATCAAAACACTATCACTTCAACTGATGCCGGCACAGGATACTCCAATGAAATAAAATATAAGACAGTAGATGTCAGGAAGAACATAGGATGGCATGAAAACTGATTTCAGAACAGTATCAATTTCCTGCTCTCTCCCTTCTCTCTTCTGATAGCCTCTCCCACCAATTTCAGTAAAATTGATCACCTTTGGGGGACAGGTAAAGAAAAGGGGCAAGAAATATGTTAAATTTGATTAATACTTTTACAAAAAAGCGACTGTATATTGAATTTGGAATTATTGAATTCCCTTGAAATGCCATTAATCTGAGTCATTAGTAAAATACAGAATTACTTGTAGTTACTTACCAGAAAATTAGGAAAAATATATTTCTGGACATCTGAGTAGTAACTGAAAATTTGAAAGCTACCAGGCATTTATCCCTCTTGATTATCTGACCAATAATTGTTAATATAGCTCTCACTGGTGATGCTTCACGGATGTTGTAAAAAATCTGCCAATGCATTGCAAACATAGTATAAGTGAGTTGAGAAAATGTGATATTATAAATGTTGTAAAATACACAAAATTTTAAGAAATTAATAAAATTTATGTTGGAGGATATGTAAGAGCACAGACACAAGTAACTGAAATACATATATTTTTGATATTGTAACTTTCCAGCATCAGATTTATTGAGGCATAATTGAAGTACAGTAAGAGTCACCTTTTAAGGCATACAGTTCAATGCATTTTCACAGATGTTCACAGCACATCACCAGTACCACAAGCAAGTTATAAAATATTTTCCTCCCCAACAAAGTTCCCTTGTGCCTCCTTACAGTGTTTACCTATAGTCTTAATTAACAGAACTAGAACTAGACAACTTAAAAATTGAAGAATAAAAGGAACACACAAAATTGATGAAAATAGAAAACATTAGAAATCAGTGAATGAATTCAGTGCTAGTGGATGAAGATCAACCTGCTGATATTAATACAATTTTTTAAAATTTTATTTCACGAATATGATTCACATTTTTATTATGTTTCGAAGTTGAATTCCTTGACGAAGTTTTTTGTGCCAAAATGCTGAAGTGCTGTGGTCCTTAATAAGGGGACAGAAGTTCTTGTGTTACATCCATGTCTTATATATTACCTCAAAATATCAACATCCTCCTCCTCCTCCTCACCATCATCAGTCGCTGAATCCCACTGTACTCCTAGAGTGGCATGGTGAAAACTGAAGATCTGAGGTTAACAATTGATTCCAAAACAGTTCCCACTATAGTGGCACTGTCATCATGCCAAGCTGCTTCCTTAACCCCTAAGTGTCCTTAAGGAGCTGATTCAAACTTACAAGGTGATTGCCTCATATCTGAGGTATGAGACCTTCAAACCCTGAGATGATTTGTTTTATTCAGTGTCAAGATAAGCAAAAATTTAGGTGACTCGAAGTCGCAAAAATATTATACTTCTAGAAGTGAGAATGGTTGATGCATTAACCTTATTTTTAACTTTTATTTTGGGTTCAGGAGTACACATGCAGATTTGTTATACAAATAAATTGCATGTCATGGGGGTTTGGTGTACAGATTATTTTGTCACCCAGGTAACAAGCATAGTATCAAATAGGTAGTTTTATGATCCTCAACTTCCTCCACCCTTAACATTCAAGTAGGCTTCAGTGTCTGTTCCCTTCTTTGTGTCCATGTGGACTCAATGGTTAACTCTCACCTATAAGTCAGAACACGCAGTATTTGTTTTTCTGTTCCTGTCTTAGTTTGCTTAAGATTACATCCTCCAGCTCCATCCATGTTGCTACAAAAGACATAGTTTTATTCTTTTTATGGCTGCCTACTATTCCATGGTGTATATGTACTATTTTTTTTTAATCCAGATTACAGTTGATGGACATTTGGGTTGATTCTATGTCTTTGCTATTGGGAATAGTGGGGTGATGAACATATGCGTGTATGCATCTTTATGGTAGAACAATTTATATTCCATTGGGTGTGTGTATATATATATATATGTATACATGTGTATATACATATATATACACATGTATACATATATATACACATGTATACATATATATACATATATATACATGTATACATATATATACATATATATATATATACACACCCAATGGAATATAAATTGTTCTACCATAAAGATATATATATATATGGTGTGTATGTGTATCATCTATATATATATATATCATATATATATATGGTGTGTGTGTGTATCTATCAATCTATATATCTACTGATATCTATCTACTTATAGATGATAGAGAGATAGATCAGTAGATAGATAAATATAGATATATAGATATAGACATAGATATAGATATAGATACAGGATTGCTGGGTTGAACGGTAATTCTGTTTTAAGTTCTTTGAGAAATCACCTGATTTGGTTTGGCTCTGTGTCCTCAACCAAACCTCATGTTAAATTGTAATCCCCATGTGTCAGGAGAGGGGTCTGGTGGAAGGTAATTGTATTGTGGGGGCAGATTTCTCCATGCTGTTATTGTGAAAGTAAGTTTTCACGAGATCTGGTGGTTTAAAAGTGTTTGGCACTTCTCATGTCACTCTCAGTCTCTCCTGCCACCATGTGAAGAAGGTGCTTGCTTCCTCTTTGCCTTCTGCCATTATTGTAAGTGTCCTGAGGCCCTCCAGTGATACTTCCTGTTAAGCCTATGATGCTGTGACTCAGTTGAACCTCTTTTTTTTCATAAATTGCCCATTCTCAGGTAGCTCTTTATATCAGTGTGAAAACAGACTAACACAGAAAATTGGTACCAGAAGAGTGGGGCATTCCTATAAAGATACCTGAAAATGTGGAAGCAACTTTGAAACTGGGTAATTGGCAGAGGTTGGAAAAGTTTGTAGGGCTCAGAAGAAGACAAAAAGATGTGGGAAAGTTTGGAACTTTTAGAGATTTGTTTAATGGTTTTGACCAAAATACTGATAGTAATATAGACAAAAAAGTCAAGGCTGAGGTGGTCTCAGATGGAGATGAGGAACTTGTTGGGAACTGGAATAAAGGTGACTCTTGCTATACTTTAGCAAAGAGACTGGTGGCATTTTGCCCCTGCTCTAGAAGGGAGAAATGGTTTTGTGGGCCAGGCCTGTGCAGCCTCAGGACATGGTGCCCTGAGTCCCAGCTGCTCCAAATCCAGCTGTGGCTAATAGAGGCCAAGGTACAGGTTGAACCGTGGCTTTACAGGGTGAAGCCACAAGCCTTTGTGGCTTCCACATGGTGTTGGGCCTCTGGGTGTGCAGAAGGAAAGAGTTTGACAACCTCCACCTAGATTTCAGAGGGTGTATGAAAACACCTGGATGTTCAGGCAGAAATATGCTGTAGAGGCAGAGCCTTCATGGAGAACCTATACTAGGGCAGTGTGGAGGGGAAATGTGGGGTTGGAGCCCCCACACGAAGTTCCCACTGGGGCACTTCCTAGCAGAGTTGTGAGGAAAGGGCCACCGTACTCCAAACTCCAGGATGGTAGATCCACTAATACCCTGACCCCAGAATGGTAGATCCACCAACAGCTTGCAGTGTGTGCCTGGAAATGCTGCAGGAACTAACCCCAGCATGTGAAAGCAGCTGCAGGGGCTGTACCCTGCAGAAGCATGGCATCAGAGCTGCCCAAGGCCTTGGGAGCCCAGCTATTGCATCAGCATTTTCTGGATGTGAGGCATGGAGTTAAAGGAGATTATTTTAGAGCTTTAAGATGTAATAACTGCCCTGCTGGGTTTCGGACTTGCATGGGGCTTGTGGTTCCTTTGTTTTGGCCAATTTCTCCCATTTCGAATGGGAGCATTTACCCAATGCCTGTACTCACATTGTATCTTGGAAGTAATTAACTTGCTTTTGCTTTTACAGACTCATAGGTTGAAGGGACTTACTTTATCTCAGATGAGACTTTGGACTGTAGACTTTTTATTTATGCTGACATGAGTTAAGGCTGGGGGACTGTTGAGAATGAATAAATGTATTTAAAAATGTGAGAAGGACATGAAATTTGCAAGGGGCCAAAGGTGGAATGATATGGTTTAGATTTTTGTCCCTGCCCAAAGCTCAAGTCAAATTAGAGGTGGGCCCTGGTGGGAGGTGATTGGATCAAGGATGAATTTCCCCCTTGCTGTTTTCATGATAGTGAGTGAGTTATCAGGAGATCTGATGTTTCAAAAGTGTGTGGCACATCCCCCTTTCTTCTCTCTCTCTCTCTCCTGTCTCTATGTGAAAAAGGTCCTTGCTTCCCCTTCCCCTTTTGCCATGATTGCAAGTATCCTGAGGCCTCCCAGTCATACTTCCTGTTAAGTCTGCAGAACTGTGAGTCAATTAAACCTCTTTTCTTTATAAATTACCCAGTTTCAGGTAGTTCTTTATAGTAGTGTGAAAACAGACTAATGTATCACCAAACCGCTTGCCACAATGGCTAATTTCCATTCCCACCAGCAGTGTATAAGCATTCTCTTTTCTCTGCAAGCCCACTAGCACCTTTATTATGTTTTTTGAATTTTTAATAACAGTTATTCTGACTGGTGTGATTTGTGATGTTAAGCATTTTTTCATATGTTTGTTGGTTGCTTGTATGTCTTCTTTTATCTGTTCATGCCCTTTGCCTACTTTTTAATGGGGTCGTTTTTTGCTTGTTAATTTAAGTTTCTTATAGATTCTGGATGTTTGACCTTTGTTGGATGCATAGTTTGCAAATATTTTATCCCACTCTGTAAGTTGCCTGTTTACTCTGTTGATAGTTTCTTTTGCTGTGCAAAAGTCCTTTAGTTTAATTAAGTCCCATTTGTTTATTTTTGGCTTGTTGAAATTGCTTCTGGCATCTTCATCATGAAATCTTTGGCAGATCTTATGTACAGAATGGTACTTCCTAGGTTATTGTCCAGGGTTTTTATAGTTTTACATTTTACATTTAAGTCTTTAGTCCCTCTTGAGTTGATTTTTGCATACAGTGAAAGGAAGGGGTCCAGTTTCAATTTTCTGCCTATGGCTAGCCAGTTATCTCAGCACCATTTATTGAATAGGGAGCCCTTTCTCCACTACTTGTTGTCAACTTTGTTGAAGATCAAACGGTTATAGGTGTGTGGCATTTTTACTGGGCTCCCTATTCTGTTCCATCAGTCCATGTGTCTGTTATTGTACCAGTTCTGTGCTGTTTTGGTTACTGTAGCCTTGTAGCATAGTTAGAAGTTTGGTAATGTGGTGTCTCCAGCTTTTTTCTTTTTGCTTAGCATTGCTTTGGCTATTCAGGCTCTTTTACGTTCCCTATGCATTTTAAAATAGTTTTTTCTAGTTCTGTGAAGAATGTCATTGATAGTTTTATAGGAATAGCATTGAATCTGTAAATTGCTTTGGGCAATATGGCCATTTTAACTATATTGATTCTTCCTACTCATCAGCATGGATGTTTTCACAATTTGTTTGTGTCATCTCTGATTTCTTTGGGCAGTGTTTTGTAATTATTATTGTAGAGATCTTTCACCTCTCTGGTTAGCTGTATTCCTAGGCATTTTTTTCTTTTTGTGGCTATTGTAAATAGGATTGCATTCTTGATTTGGCTCTCAGCTTGGATTTTATTGGTGTATAGAAATGCTACTGATTTTTGTACATTAATTTTGTATCCTGAAACTTTGCTGAAGTTGTTTATCAGATCAAGGAGCTTTTTGGCAGAGAGTATGAAGTTTTCTAGGTATAGAATCATAGCATCTGAAAACAGAGATAATTCGACTTATTCTTTTTCTATTTGGATGCTTTTCATTTCTTTCTCTTGCCTGATTACTCTGGCTAGGAGTTTTAGTACTTTGTTGAATAGGAATGGTGTGAGAGGGCATTCCCATTTTGTTCCAGTTTTCAAGGGGAATGCATCTAGCTTTTGGCCATAAAGTATGATGTTGTCTATGGGTTTGCCATAGATGACAAAGTTATTATTTAGAGGTACATTCCTTCAATGACTAGCTTGTTGAGGTTTTTTTTAACATGAAAGGATTTTGAATTTTATCAAAAGCCTTTTCTGTATCTATTGAGATAATCATGTGGTTTTTGTTTTTAGTTCTGTTTATGTGATAAATCACATTTATTGATTTGCATATGTTGAACCAACCTTGCATCTCAGGGATAAATCCTACCTGATCATGGTGGATTAAGGTTTTGATGTGCTGCTAGATTCAGTTTGCTAGTATTTTGTTGAGGATTTTTGCATAGATATTAATCCATGCAATATCTATAGATACTCATCAAGGATCTTGGCCTGAAGTTTTTATTTTTTGTTGTGTCTCAGCTAGGTTTTGGTATCAAGATTATGCTAGTCTCATAGAATGAGTTATTGAGGAGTTCCTCCTCCTCAATTTTTTGGAATGGTTTCAGTAGGAATAGTACCAGCTCTTCTTTTTACATTTGGTAGAATTTGGCTATTAATCCATCTGGTCCATGGCTTTTTCTGATTAGTAAGCTTTTTATTATTGATTCAATTTTAGAACATATTATTGATCTGTTCAGGGATTCAATTTCTTCAGGGTTCACTCTTCAGAGGTATGTTTTCAGGAATGTAGCCATCTCTTACGGTTTTCTAGCTTGTGTGCAAAGGGGTGTTCGTAGTAGTCTGTGAGGGTTTTTGTATTTCTGTGAGGTCGGTGATAATGTCCTCTTTGTAACTTCTGATTGTGTTTATTTGAATCTTCTCTCTTTTTATCTTTATTAGTCTAATTGATAGTCTGTTTACCTTATTTATTGTTCCAAAGAACCAATTCATGGACTTGTTGAATCATTTGTATGATTTTTCACATCAAAATTTCCTTCAGTTGCATCAACCTTTTGATAACTGAGTGGTAAAGAATAAGCCTGTCCATTTTATCCACATAGTTTCTATCAGTGTTTTGTTTTGCTTTTTGTTTTTTGCAGTTTATATTTCCCCTCTTTTTTAAAATTAATTCACTTCTGCTAAACTGTAAATTGTTTCTTTTCTTTTTTTTTTTTGAGATGGAGTCTCGCTCTGTTGCCCAGGCTGGAGTGCAGTGGCGCGATCTAGGTTCACTGCAAGCTCCGCCTCCCAGGTTCACGCCATTCTCCTGCCTCAGCCTCCCGAGTAGCTGGGACTACAGGAGGCTGCCACCACGCCCGGCTAATTTTTTATATTTTTAGTAGAGATGGGGTTTCACTGTGTTAGCCAGGATGGTCTCAATCTCCTGTCCTCGTGATCCACCCACCTCGGCCTCCCAAAGTGCTGGGATTACAGGCATGAGCCACCACTCCTGGCCACTGTAAATTGTTTCTAAAGACAAAGAGAATCGTTAAATTTTAAGATAAATATAATTTGACAGGGAAATCAAGGTCACCCTAGACACAATTATATATGCTGAATCCAGAGAGGAACCTTGTTTCTGCCATCTTTAATTTTAAAAGAAAAGTCCTAACTCAATTTGGGGAAGAGAATTTGTTGTCAGTTTTTCATAGCTTTCCCTATAATCAATTGCTGTCAAACCGAAGTACAGCAAAACTTGAAAAATAAAGTACTTTGGTTTAGTAAAAGTGATTTTTTCTTATGAATCTATTTTCAAAGTCTGAGTGTGTTATAATTAGGATGTATTAAATTATTCACTAAAAACAACTGCTGCATCTCATCAGATTAGTACTAGTGACACATACAGCTATAAATGTATCTCTTCAATGAGGTAGGCAACAATAAGAATATTTCATTTTCAATGTTAAATGAATGAATTATATGTTAATTAATTTATATTTATTTATATATTAAATTTCTACTTTAGGGACAATAATGTTGGTGTAGAAACAAATATAACATAATTTTTGTTATTGTTATACTCACAGAAGACTTTGGGAAGCAAAATAAAGTTTTACCTGGTTAAATAGCAATGCAAGAGGTAAATTGAAATTCAAAGCAACCCAAGGACTGAGAGAAGGAAGATCATAATAGTTGAATAAACATTACACAGTGTTATAAGAATCAGATATGGAGACATTTACGAGAATTGAAATAGACTGAAAACATTTAACTCGGAGAATAAAGGATCTGAGCTGAGTCTTGAAGAAGACACAGCTTTGATGAGTATCAGATACAGCATTTGCAGGTAAAATGTAGTAGATAATGGGTTCTAATAATTATTTTTCCTAAAATAGTATATAGTCATTCAATGGCAGGCTCTATCCTCACTTTGTCTGGATAGAGGATGTTAGGGTACATCAAAGACAATCAATCACATTGCCCAAGCTTCAGCTGCTAGTTTATGCCAGAATCAGTTATGGCATCTAGGGTAAAACCTCTTCTCATGTCATCATGGCCACCCTGGTATCTTGGGGATAACCTAGTGAAGGCAGAGATGAGTTTGAATTATAGAATATTGGATTTTATTCACCTAAATATTTACACTAATATTTTGGAATAAGCAATGTGTCTCAAGTACAGCTCAAATAATGTGTTTCCCAAGGCTGTCTTCAGATGAAGCCCATTTACACACTGGAGCGCCTTTCACAATCAACACTTCCTTCCTCTGCTTCCTATGCCTATAACCATATTAGTATACCTTATGGTATAAGGGACAATAGGCTCTGGAGTCATTGTTTGGATTTTGATTTTGGCTCCTTTCTTCATTATTTTCTGTGTAATACTGAGGATCTTAATCTCTCTGTGTCTTTGTTTCTACCACGATATCTACATGAATGAGATCTACTTTATAATACAGAATACATTAAACCATAAATGTATGTTGTTTATTATATCTCCTAGTACGTACTGAATGCTCGCTATCAGCCATTTATATTTTGGTCATTAATAAATGCATTAAGATAAAAGACAATGCTAAAGGTCACCAAACATCTAAGATGCCTGATTTATATTATTCCTACAAAAAAGAGCAATGGTTATCTTAGTTAATAAAAATTTTACTTAACATATTATACTCTACGGAAAATATTGTTTATATTATTAATAATAATGGCTACCTTTTAGTGAATGGTTATCACATGCCAAGCACAATACTAAGCATTTCAATTAAGATAATATACAAAAGAAATGGTTATCTCTGTTTGGTGATATTATGAATATTTTTTCTTGTATCACATCTGTATTTTAGAATAAATATGTGTTACTCGGTTTAAAAAAAAAGGTTATAGAAAGATATTCTAACTATCCAGGAATACAAGACACTTCGGAGCTACAACTCATATTGCCTTCTTTGTGATGCGATACTGAATATCTGTTGTACTTCCAACCACAGATGGTATCATTCAGTGGTGTTTAAAAGGACTTCTCTTCATAAATTCTGTAAAGTACATAAAGATTCTTTTCATAGGGAATGTAGTTGTGTGTTACTCTATGATGAGTATTAATGTACACATTTGTTTTGCTAGGAAACCGAACATTTTTCAAAGATGTGTGAATTTATAATTTATTATGTGGATGAAAGATGTTCGTACATTATAACTCTTTTTCCTTCTAAAATTTACTGAAGGAGAAAAAAAATTCCAACTCTTAAATCATTTCTGAATACTAAAATGTAGAATTATGGCAATTCAAATGGTGTTTATTATATATGAAAAAAGAAAATGGAAATAATAAATTCACGGAAAGCTTAAACTAAGTGATAAAATAATTTCTAACCTGGAAGTTTCCTGGTCTTGGTGTCAGTTAGAGGGATTGGAGGGGAAAAGGTACAGAAAGAAGATACAAGCTGAGAAAATGAAGACATTCTCATGATTAACAGGCCATTAGAAGTGAATTATAAAACATATCCTGGAGCCAGAATATCATTTTACTTACTGTTAAAAATGGAGAATCTATATTTCAATTGAAAGAATGTTCACTATAAGCAAGACTTTCCTCTGTATCCTTAAATATGTGTCTGTGTAGTGAGAAACATTTTAAGTTTATAATACTTTAAATTAGAAGGCAAGAAGTTTAAGTCAGTAACTTATTTATTTGACATCATAACTAGAGATGAAGATGAAAGATTAAAAATAACATATACCTATAAATTGTAAGTTGTTCCTAAAATCATCAGTCTGTAAAAGTGTAAATTCATTATAAAGGTCGTCAATTTATAGAAGTAGAAAAGTGAGTCAACTTAACTCTTAGGAAATATACATAGTGTAAAATATTATTGATACATTATTTATTTAGAAATTTAAATAATTGCATGTATATGATATAAAATATATATAGACATTCATACTATGTACTTTTAGATAAAGAAAAATCAATATATGCATATGTGCATATATGTGTGTCTGCATATATGTATATACACACATATGTATGAAATTAATGTATACATTATATACAATATGAGCATGTTCTAATTTTAAAAAGAGTTAAAATGTCTTGAATTCAGTTCTCAGGCATGCCCTGTAATTTTTTAATCAACTCACTTCACTTGATTTTTTTAAAGTGCTTATCATCATCTGAAAGGCTTCTTTCCTTACAAGTAGGTTTACTGGCTTATTCTCTGTCTACTCTCAACTAAAATGTGAGCTTCCTGTGAATTTTTTTGAGTAACAAATAATCAGCTCCCAGGATAGGGCTAGGATCATAATAGAGACCTCTAGAAGTATTATTTGAATGAATAAATAAATCTAACATTGAACATCAATGCATAAACTATAATTTGTGAGCCTACATTTTATTGTCTTTTTCTTTTAAATCCCTAAGGCACATTGAAGGAATCTTTAATAATCCAATATTATATTAGTGAAGGAAATATTACTTGATTGTGGTAATTATTTCACAATGTACACATATATCAAATCATCACACTCTGCACCTTGAATATATTCAATTTTTACTTGTCAATGATACATAAATAAAGCTGACAAAATAAATTATTAATGAGAATATTGCACCACTTGAATGATTCCTCTCACCACCATGAGGGATGAGTAGGGACTGTACCCCTTTCATTTAAGCATAACGAAAGACAAATTTCAAAAAGATCCGGCCAAAAAAATTAATATGTGTCCTGGGGAACATGTGAAAAGTTGACCAAAAAAATCTAAGGGTGAGAGGCTGACTGTGGTAGTGGGAAGAAGCCTGCGATTTGAGGGATAACTGAACTCTTCCCCTTAAGTGTCCAAGTTTTGGCTATACTTGATGTCATGTGTTCAAGGAAGGCCATTCAGGGTGTGAACATTTACGGAGACTGAAGAGACAGAGGCTGGGGTTGTAGAAGCTGAGTGAGAAAGGTGATAGCATCCAGATTATATATCGACTTCCAAAGATTTTAGCTTTTATACTCGGAAAGTGGGGAGCAGTTAGAAGATTCTGAGCTGATGAGTGGCATGATTTATGCTTGAAATGGGTCGCCCTAGCTTCTGTGTTGAGCATGGGAAGTAGGAGAGAGAGGTGGAGGGGAAGACTAGTGTAATAATTCCAGAGATATTTACGATATCTGGCCCAGGTGGTAACCATTATCATGTTTCACCTGGAACATTACATGTAGTCCCTGCTCCCTTTAACTGTCCTTCTTACTCTCTTCTCCTCAATCAGTGATGTTGGATAGAAACTAAAAGTGAAAGAAAGAATGTGGAAGTCAAATGTAGAGTCTCAGTTCAGGCAGCCAGCTCAAAGCAAGACCACACTGAGGGCAGGAAAGAGCTTCAGTTTAAGAGACGTTTGGATTATTTTGATCATTACATTGGATTAAATTAATTAATAAATAAACTGAGACCGTTCTTGTGAATATAACTGACCTTAGATATATTTTTTAATTTCTTGGCCGGGCACAGTGGTTCATGTCTGTCTGTAATCCCAGCATTTTGGGAGGCCAAGGCAGGGTTGAGGGGCAAGGGAGATCACTTAAGGCCAGGAGTTCGAGACCAGTCTGGGCAACATGGTGAGATCTTGTCTCTAATAAAAATACAAACATTAGCCAGACATGGGGCAAGTGCCTGTAATCGCAGCTACTCGGGAGGCTGAGGCAGGAGACTTGCTTGCACCTAGGAGGCACTGTTGCAGTGAGCTGAGATAGCGCCATTGCACTCCAGCCTGGGTAACAGAGCAAGACTCTGTCTAAAAAAAAAATATATATATATATATATATATGTAATTATATATATTTAAATATATATATATGTAATTATATATGTATAAATATATATATATATTTAGTTTCTCAAGAGAGGACATAAGCTATGAGATTCAACTGATACTTTATCTGAGGGCAAGAGAAAACCAGTTTCAAGAGAGCTTGAATGGTAGCCAGAATTAAGAAAAAAAAAGTTTTTTGCTTTTTATTTTTTTCATTACATCCAATAAGTTCTGCTCTTTTAACAGATTGGCTAAATGGGAGTTGTATTTATGTCTGTGGTGCTGTTTTTCCTTGGAAATGTTACAAACTCTTGATACTGGGATATTAAAGGTACTAGGAAGCCCTGCAGCCCTGCAGTAATAAAACCTTATTTTATATTTCCTAAAATCTGAACATGAGTCCTTTTGAAAGTATTACATAAATGAAGTGAAAAAAGTATACTCTTGAAACTCATGATGTACATGAGATTGTCTTCTAGCTTTGTCAGTTCCTAGCAGATCATTTCATATTTAGACCTTCTCTTACCTGTAAATGGCAAGTAATATTTCTATTACAGGTATTTTTGAGAAGAAGAATGCAAATTATAATGTAGAAAAACTGCATGGTGATTAATAAAACCTTATTAATCTAATGTCTAACATCAATGAAAAAATTACCTTTTCTTTCTATTTTTGTTAGACTTTGAGTGTAACTGCTTGAAGTAATTACATCTCTCATTTCATGGAAAATTATCAACATTGATCTATACAAGACCCATCTCTTGTTGACTGAATGTTTTATTCATTTTTAAATTCATTCCCTACTCTCAGACAACATTTACTTTTCAGAAGTATTTTCTATGCATCATTTTGTTGATATATGCTTTTATAACATGTCTATTGTTGTTTGTGGTGCATATTATTTTAATTTATAAATATGGTATTGTATTGTAGATTTTATCTCTTTCTCATTGTTATTATTATTTTTCATCTCCCCATTGTTTCCTTCTTTAGCTCTGTCTACGTCTATATGACCACTATCTACTCTTGCTGCATTATCCTCAATGATGTGCACCCACCACGTTTTTCAAATACATTTCCCCAGTCATAGACAACCACACTACTTACAACATCTCATTCTCCAAAATAAAACTGTGATTAATATCTACACTCATGTCTCCCGAGGGGCCTATATGAGAATTTCTTTGGGATGTAAACCCAGGTGTAAGCAAATATTTCAATTTACTCAAAATTGTGCCGTAAATTGTCCAAAATGTTGCACCAGACTTGAATCCCACCAGTAATACAGAGTGTTCCTGTATTTCAACATCTGCTTATATTCCAACACCAACTTGACTTATCCAGCTGTTTAAAATGTGGGAGCTTAAGAAGCATAAAGCAATATCTGCTTGTTTTAATTTACAGTTTTCCATTTCTAATGTGGTTTAGAGTCTGTTGTTGTTTTGATGCTTTCAGCTTTGTCAAATGCTTTAATGTAACCTTTATTCATTTTTCATTTGTTTTCATCTTTCTTCTGATTATTGTTGATAATGATGATTTGCAGGAGCTCTTTGCATATTCTTAGTCAGTCCTTGATATTTTTTGATATTGCAAATATTTCTCTCAATTGGGCGGAGGGAAAATGTATGGCATAGTGGTAAAGGATATGGATTCTTCATTTACTTTCCAAGTAAGCTTAGACAAGTTACTTAACTAGATTTTTGTTGGTTTTCTTTTTGAGTCATCAGCAAAATGAGCATAAGTACTCTCTGGCACACAGTAAACACTATATAGGTATTAGCTCTTATCATCTCTTGTTTGATTTTATTCATGGTGTTTTTGTTTAAGATAAATTCTTCATGTTGAATTGTAATTGAATTTTTTATAGTTCGGTGTTTGTGGATTTTGTTTAGAAAGTCTTACTTCACTCCTATATCACAAGGTGTTACACTATCTTTTCTTCTGTTAAATTTGTTGTCTGACTTTTCACTTGTGGACCTTTAATCTATTGAATATATTGTAATTTTAACATTGAATGTGGTATTAGATAAGGATCCAGTTTTCTTTTTTCTCCAGCTTGAGCCATTTGTGACAATCTCAACTACAAAGCCCCATTCATTCGTGTGGCCACCTAACCATTTATATTTTTAAAATGTGACACAAACAAACTGTAAACTAAGAGTGTAACAATAGCTTTGATATTAGTGTTGAAATGGAGAATACAACTTGGAATAAGTGGGAAGGAGCACCTGAGTTTATGGTCTAATCTGCCCCCAGAGAAATCAAGGATTTTGTGAGCTATAATTTCTGATTCTATGATATTTCTATGATATAAGTAATCATTTGACTCTAATAAAATAATTTTGTCACCTTTCAAAAGGAATCTTGATTACATGCTAAATGACTGCATCCATATGGTTTTGGAATTGCTATTTAAAAGACAAAGCTTTCCTTTTTAAGCTCTCTCTGTGTTCCTTTCCCTCCTCACCCCAATATAAACTGATTTAGTTAAGAGTGGACGTGAATGGATTCTATTTCTTCAAGGAAATAAAAAAAACTCATTCACAATTACTGTAATTATTACGTATGGAACGGAGAAAGAAGAGAAAAGGAATGTAAGATGGTGATAGGTTAAAAGGATCACGGGCGTTGAAGGTAGATGTCTTTGGGATGTAAGTAAGTCTTGGCTAAATAATTTTTAATATACATGTCTACTCCCATACTCAGTTTTCTCATCCCTACTGCATACATTTGTGGTGTTATTTTAATAAAAGAATGAACCTCTTAAGTTTCTAGCCAAATGTTTGGTAATATAATAGTCAATACATGTTAATCTTCCTTCTTTTGCTTTCTTAAATATAAAATTAGTCAATTTACAACTATAAATGCAATTTTCTTTATAAAGATAATGTTTTAACTGGCTTACATTTTATGTTTTTCAGACTTGCATCATTTATATTTTTAATTCATCGAGGATGAGAAAATTGATTAACACAAAATCTTTTCATGTCTTTTCTGATGAGAGACTAGCTGAATCCAAGAAGAGAAGCCCTTGAAGAGTGTATTCTATTCTAGACAAGCATTCACACATTGGCTTCTTTGGTGCCAGGTAATTAGAATTTGTAATTTGGTCTTAATTAAACTGCAGACTACCCAAAGGCCTTGATCAGTGGCCTTTTGACTGCCTCCACCGTTTGGAGGAAACAAACAAAACACAAATTAGCCTTTAAAAATATGCCCATTGATTTCTCCTCATCTCCCCAAACATATACAACCCCACCAGATATATATTTATATTGGCTATAAAAATATGCCCATTGATTTCTCCTCATCTCCCCAAACATATACAACCCCACCAGATATATATTTATATTGGGTATAATGTCAACATATATCAAATGTGCCAATTAAACACAGAGCTCCTCTAAACTACCAAGCATGTTATTATTATTATTTTAATTTTTAAAACATTTCTAACTTAACAGAAACATTGGCCGGGCAGCACTAATTGTATCATTCCTATGTACTACCAACTTCTCACCAGTATTGAACTTGATCTTCAAAACTCTTCCCAGATAGGGCTATTTTTCCACTGACTCTATTGTTATTCCTTCCCATTTTCCCTCCTCTGTTTTTGATGCTTTTTATTTTGGTTAGCATGTTTCTGATCAGCATGAAAACTGCGCAGGAGCTTTTCTGTCTTGCAGAGCTAGTTAATGAGATTGTTGCTGCCTTCAGATTCTATAAAGGACTTCTCCAATATTGGGTGAGATTAAAGTCAAAATCAAGAGAATTTATATTTCAGTTGAATCTATGTAAGTCTGTTAAAAAAGTAATGGGCTCAGGGTCAAACATCAGTAATTGACCCTCACTCTACAGATTATTAATTGTATGACTGTATTTCTCAGTATCCTCATCTATAAAACCAGGTTAGCAAAAACTGCCTTCCTACTTCAAAAGGCACAAATAAAAACTAAACTAAAAGCCATACAAAACAAAGTGGATAGCTCATTTGCTTTACTTGGAATGACAATTCAACATAGTATTTTAAATTCCTGTCTTTTAAAACAGTGATTTCACACATATTGGCTCATTAAATTCTTCGTATTATCAAGAGTTGCTTAATACATTTGAGAACACAAAACAATGGCCTTTTCTGTGCCTTTTTTAGGTGGTAATTATTCTTTAGTAAAGTCGGGTTGTTTTAATTGAAAATGAATTTAGGTTTTTAATCAGGATTAGCACAAGTCGATGTGTTCTCAGTTGTTGAAAGTTAAACTAGTATTGCTATATTTCAATGATTGCTAGAATAAAGAAATAAAAAAAAAATAGACATGTTGAGTAAAGCTTTATGAGTTATATAAATGCATAATTATATTTGCATAGGTAAACAATACATTTTTTTTCTATTTTTGCTAAGTAATAAGTTAGTTAATATATTATGTAAGAATGAAAATGATTCAAATATTTGCCTGTTTCTAATCTTAGATTAAAGAATGAAGAAAGGATCAAATTGAGACATCCAGGGGGGAAGAGTTCCCTGGCAAAACTCCAATCTGCCTGAGCACTGAGGTGGAGCCACAGAAGTCCGGGTCATTTGCACCTGGGAGGAGCCTGGCCCCTCCTCTTCCTGTGTGGAATCTGGGATTTAATCTGTGAGGAGGGAAGGCCAAGGGCAGGAAGCACAGGCTCTCACTTCACTAAGAGTCTCTGTTTCCCCTTTTTTTCCTTTATGCCTAATTAATAAATCCCATTTTTCTCACTCTTCAAATAGTCTTCAAGCCTAAATTTTCATGACCATGGAACAAGGACCCCATCTTTAGCTGAACTAAGGAAAAGTCCTGCAACAAAATTCTTTGCTAAAAATACATGAGGTTGCCTTTTCCTTCTTAATCTTAAAAGAAATATATTTCAATGGTTAACGTTTTAGTAATTCAAAAATTATCAAGCATTTGTTCACAACCATAAGATGTGCATTGTTTTATATTCCTACTTAATAATAGACTATAATTGTCTAATTAGACTGCCGATGTTGATCTTTGTGGCTCATTGCATTGATTATAAGCAGTGTTTTGGGTTTGTGTGTGTGTGTCAAATTTAGGGTTTTTTTGGTATGGCTGCTGGTTGGTGTAGCCTGTATCCAGTATCCTGTATTAATTCTAATATTTGCATTTTGAACATATTTACAAGTTGCTAAAATAGCAAAGCTTCGAGATGAGCCTGGCTGATATGGCAAAACCCCGTCTCTACTAAAAATACAAAAATTAGCCTGGTGTGGTGGTGCATGCCTGTAATCCCAGCTACTTGGAAGTCTGAGGCAGGAGAATCTCTTGAACCCAGAAGGTGGAGGTTGCAGTGGGCCAAGATCGCACCACTGCACTCCAGCCTCGGTGATAGAGCGAGACTACGTCTCAAAAATAAAATAAAATAAAATAAAATAAAAATAGCAAAGCTATGTATGGTTTCTCTGAGTTTTGTAATTTATCATTGTTAACTGCAGAAATTTATTATATGAGACATATTATATGAGACATATAAGTGAATTTGGATTGGGTTTAATTTTATATTTTTGAATATAGTTCTTCAAGATAAATTTTATCTTAGACCTCAAGAAATAAAAATAAAATAAATTAGATATACAAACGAACACAAATGTATGCAGTCCTAGCCTAATTTAAGACATTAACTTGGATAAGTCAAAGGTATATGTTGCAATTCCTGGAGTAACCACTAAAAATAATACAATACTATTATATCTAGAAATCTAATAGAGTAATTAAAAAGTTTTATTAATCCCCAAAAAGGCAGAAAAGTTAGGACATACACATATACACACACACACACAGACAGATACAAAAACAATAGCAGTTAGAGACCTAAATAAAACAATCATCATAATTATACCAGGAAAAGACTGCTAAACAGAATTTTAAAAGGATCGATTTTATCCTGTCTATAAGAGATGCATGTTAGAAACAAAAATACAAGAAGATTGAAGCAAAAAGATGAAAAAAGATGATATACTAAGCAAACAACAGTAAGTTAAAGAAAGTTGGATGACAATACCAACATTGGAAAAACATCAACTTCAAGATGAAGAGGAATATGAAAGAAGGACATTGGATAATGATAAAAGGATGGATATATTTTCAAAGTATAATAGGTATAAATATATGAGCCCAATAAAAGATTATCAAATGTAATGAAGCAAAAACTGTCAGAATTAAAGAGAGATGTATAGAAATTCACAATTATAGTTGTTGACTTTAACTTCTCTCATTCAATAATGAATACATTACTAGACAAAGAACCAATAAAGATATGAAAGATGAAAATGACACTACCAACTCCTTAACCTAGTTTTTATTTATAGAACGTGGCACCCAACAACTACGGAATGAATATTTTTTCCAATCTCATGTAGAAAGTGCATCAAGATAGACCATATTATGGGCTATAAACAAATCTCAATAAATTTCAAAAACAAAATAAAATAAGTTTTCTGACCACAATAAAGTTATAATAGGAAACAACATAACCTTAAAAATGTTTTGAAAAGAACCAAACATTTAGACATTAATTAACTCATTTCTAAAGAACTTATGAGCAATTAGCAAGTATTTTTTAACCAAATAATAATAAAAGCGCAACACATCAAAATTAGTGGAACACAGTTAAAGCAGTGCTTTATTTCAGAACTTGTGACTCGATAAATTCTTATATTAGAAAGAATAATAACCTAAAGTCAAAGATACAAACTTTCATCTTTGGGAAGTACAAAAAAATATCAAATTAAACTCACTCAAGGAAAAAAATAGGTAATGAACAAAAAAAATAGAAATGACTCATGCTATAGAAAAGTCAATAAAAAAGGTAATTCTTTGAAAAATTTAAAAAGTATATATATATATAAAAGTCTAGCTAGATAGTTCAAGATTTAAAAAAAAGGAGAATACAAGTTACCAATATTGGGAATGAAGACAGGGATACCATTTCATACTCTGTAGGGATTAAAAATTAAATACTATAAATAAATTTATGCCAATTATTTTTTCAACTTAAATGAAATGAACAATGACTGAGAAAACACAATTAATTACCAAAATACATATAATAATGAATAGAAAATTTAAATAATTCTTGTATTAGTTTCCTGTTGCTGGTATAACAAATTACCACAAACCTAGTGACTTGAAACTACACAAAAATTTGTCTTATGTTCTGTAGGTCAATATCTAAAATGAGTCTCACTGGACTAAAATCAAGGTGTCATCCCGACTGCCTTTTTTCTAGAGACACTAGGGAAAAAACTGTTCTGCCTTTTCCATTTTCTAGAGAGCATCTGAATTAGTCGGCTCATGGTCCCTTTGTCTATCTTCAAAGCCAGCAATGACCAATTAAGCCTTTCTTGAATTGCATCACTCTGATACTGGCTTTTCTATCTTCTTATTCTACATTTAAGGACACATGTGATTACCTTGAGCCTTTCCAGATAATCCAAGATGAACTCCTTATCTTAAAATCAGCTGGTTAATATTTAAATTGCTCTCATAATTCTACTTTGTTATAAAAAGTAGCAATTCACAAGTTGTGGAAATGAAGATGTAGACATTTGTGTGAGGCCACTATTCTGTTTACCATAGCTCACTCTATATATTAAATCAATTAAATTAAAACCTCAGAACTTTGGCCTAGACAACTCTAAGCCCAAATGCTTTCATACTCAAAATCTATTCAACATTTATGGGAGAAATAATATAAATTTTCCAACAAATTATTCAGAATAAAAATATATTTACCAACCCCTGTTTGTAAAGTTCATGTTCTTGTACAGTAACACTAGATCAGGACATTACAAGGAAAGAGTAGTATACACCAATAATGTCATAAGCATAGATATATAAATCCTAAACAAAATATGAGCAAATCAAATGCAATACTATATGAAAGGAATTACACATCATAACCAAATGGAATTTATATCAGGAATGCAAGTTAGTTTAGTATTTGATGTATTTTAGTATTTAATCAATGCATGTCACAAAATTAATGAAGAAAAACAGAAGAAAAAACATATGAGCCTATCTATAAA
The DNA here is from genome assembly GCF_000001405.40 of Homo sapiens. Taxonomy (NCBI): domain Eukaryota; kingdom Metazoa; phylum Chordata; class Mammalia; order Primates; family Hominidae; genus Homo; species Homo sapiens. The sequence continues at coordinate 86,133,100 of NC_000014.9, forward strand.
TGTATAAAATGTATTTGACCATACTCATTCATAATAAAAGCCTACTAAAATAGAAGAGAACTTTCTCAACTTTATAAGAGATATCTGTAAATCTACAGGAAATGTACTTAAAAGTAAAAGAAGATTTTCCTCTTAAGATTGGGACAAGGCAAGGATTCCCCCTCTTTTCTCTTTTAATTCAACATTATTTGGAAGTCCCAGTAATTGTTATAAGAAAAAAGACAGAATGAATGAAGTAAACCTCTTTATTCATAGATGACAGGAATGAAAATACTTAGGGATACATTCAAAAATATTTGTGCAACAACTGTACCCTGACAACTCTGTCAGTATAAACTCTGTTGATAGATATTAAAGAAGACTTAAATAAATATAGCAATACACTGCATTCATGAATTGGAAAGCTCAGTATTGTTAAGATGTTAATTTTCCCCAAATTGAACCATAGATTCAATGTAATCCCAGTTACTTTTTTTCTTTTTGGTAAACAATGACAAGCTGATTTTAAAATTGAATTAAAACACATGTGTACACAAAAATTTACACAGAAATGTTCATAGCAGCATTATTCATAATAGCTAAAATGTGGAAACAATCCGAATGTCTATGAACCGATAAATGGATAAGCAAAATGTGGTATATTCATAAACTGGAATATCATTTATCCATAAAAAACTACTAGTACATGCTACCACATGAATGTACCTTGAAAACATTATACTGAAATGTTTGCAGTGAAAGAAACAAGTCACAAAAGACCACATATTAAATGATTCCATTTATGTGACATGTTCAGAATAAGCCAGTCTACAGAGATGGAAAGTACCTTGGTGCTTGCCTAAAGCTGGGAGAATAGGAAAGTTGGGGATGATAGCTAATGAATATGGGGTTTCTTTTTGAGGTCATGAAGATGTCCTACAGTTGACTGTGGTGATAGCTGTACACTTCAAATGGGTGAATTATATAGTATGTTAATTATATCTTAAGAGATCTGTTACCCCCAAAAAAGAAATCACAATAAAAAAAATTATACAGCAATGTAAATGGTATAGGACACCCAATGCAATTTTTTAAAAGGAGAGCGAAGTGAAGGATATATACTACCTTATATCAAGATTTAATATAAAACTATAAGATCACAATAGTCATGGTGCATTCTTGGCATAAGAATAGACATATAGATTAATGGAACAGAATAGTGAATCCAGAAATACACTCACAACATATGGTCACTTGATTTAAACAACATTCAAAGGCAGTTCAATGAAAAAAAACAAATGTCTTTCTAACAAAAGATAATGGAACAACTGTGTGTTTGTATGGGCAAAAATGAACTTCCACTATTACTTTACAATAATTAACCAATTTATAAACCTAAATATAAGAGCTAAAAGAGTTTCAGAAGAAAATTTAGGAGAAAATCTCTGTGTTCTTAAGAGTGTTCAAGAATTCTTAGATAAGACACAAAGAATCATTATCCATAAATAAAAAGGATTGATAAATTGGTTTTAATGAAAATGTAAAATGTTTATACTTGAACGATAATGCTTAAGGGATTCCTACATATGGAACGACAATACTACCATCTTGAAAACCCATGAAAGTACAAAACTCTCTAGAACAGAAATGTTACATAATGTACATAAATGAAAAAGAGAAAGGAGTCAAACATCACAACAAAAACCCACCACATTGTAAAGGTAAAAAAAAAAGAAGAGAAGGAAAAGAACAAAGAATACCTATAACAATCAAAAACAATAAACAAAATGAGCAAAGTAAGTCCTTACCTATCAATAACAACTTTGAATATGAATGATTAAAATTCCTCATTAAAAAAATATAGATGGGCCTCACCACCACGCCCGGCTAATTTTTTTTGTATTTTTAGTAGAGATACACCCCGTGTTAGCCAGGATGGTCTCGACCTCCTGACTTCGTGATCCGCCTGCTTCAGCCTCCCAAAGTGCTGGGATTACAGGCATGAGCCACCGCACCTGGTCGACCAAGAGATATTTTTAAGAAAAGTCTCATAAAAGCATAAAATTTTATATATGGCAAAGGCAATCAACATCTATAGAAAACTGATAAACACATATGACTCAGAGGAAGAAATTTCCCTCTATGTATTATTTACTATTAAACTTAATATGGCTTATAAGGCCTTGATCATCGAAAAAAAATATAGATGGGCTGATGCGCTGAATGGTAAAAAAGAAAAAAAAAAAAAAAAACCCAAGACCCAACTATATGCTTTTTACACAAAGTCACTTCAGTTGTAAAGACACAAATAGACTGAAAGTAAAAGGACGGATAACATCATTCCACACAAACAGAAATCAAACGTTTTAGGAGTAAGTAAACTTATATTAGTAGACTATAATCAAATAAAATAACGAGACAATGAAGGTCATTATATAACGACAAAGAGATCAATTCAGCAAGAGGATGTAAAAAGTGTAAATATAAATGTCCAATACTGGAACACCCAGATACATAAATAAAGTATTATCAGAACTACAGAGAGATAGAGACCTCACTACAATAATAGTTGGGGACCTTGACACCCTGCTTTCACTCTGGACAGATCATCTAGACAGCAAATCAACAAAGAAATGTTGGACTTAGTCTGCACTATAGACCAAATGGACCTAACAGACGTTTACAGAACATTCAGTTAAACAGCTGCAGAATACACACTTTTCATCAGCACATAGAACAACATCCAGAACAGACTATATGTTAGGCCACAAATCAAGTCTTAACAAATTTTAAAGAATAGAAATCATACCAAGTATCGTTCGAGACCACAATGAAGTAAAACTAGAAATCAATGACAAATAGAACTTTGGAAACTGAACAAATACATGGAAATTAAACACATGCTACTGAATGATCATTTGCTCAATGAAGAAATTAAGAAGAAAATTAAAACATTTCCTGAAAGCAATGAAAATAGAAACTCAACATATCAGAACCATGGGATATGGCAAAAGCAGTGTTAAGAGAGAAGTTTGGCAATAAACCTCTACATAGAAAAAGTAGAAAGATTTCAAATAAACAACCTAATGATGCACTTCAAGGAACTAGAAAAATCAATACACCAACCTGAAATTAGTAGAAGGAAAGAAAGAGTAAAGATCAGAGCAGAACTAAACAAAATAGGCTTAAAAAAATACAACGAATCAACAAAACGAAAGGTTGGTTTTGCAAAAAGATAAAATTGATAAACTACTAATTATACTAACCAAGAAATAAGTAAAAAGACCTAAACAAATAAAATCAGACATAAGGAAGGAGACATTACAACTGATAACCAAGAAATTCAAAGACTCACTACAAACTTTTGTGAACAATTATGCACTAATAAATTGTAAAACCTAGAGAGAGCGAATAAATTCCTGGACATAGGAAAGCTACCAAGATAGAACCAGGAATAAATAAAAAATCTGAACAGACCAATAATGAGTAACAAGATTGAATCTGCAATAAAAGGTTTTACAACAAAGAAAAGTCCAGTACCGATACATTTATTACTGAATTCCAACAAACTTATAAAGAAATACTAATACCAATTCTTCTCAAACTATTCCCAAAAAGAGATGGGGAAGAATTTCTTCCTAAATCATTCTAAGAGGTCAAAATTACCATGATACCAAAACCAGACAAGGCCAATCAAAAAGGAAACAAAGGCTAATATTTGTGATGAACATAGACTCAAAAATTGTCAACAAAATACTGGCAAACCAGATCCAACAACACATTAAAAAGACTATATCATGATTAAGTGGGATTTATACCAGGGATGCAAGAATAATTCAACATATGCAAATCAATATGTGACACATCACATTAACAGAATGAACTACAACACCACATTATAATTTCAACAGACACAGAGAAAAAATTTGACAAAATTCAACTTTCCTTCATAATTAGGGCTCTCAACAATGTAGGAATAGAAGAAGCATATCTCAATCTAATAAAGCCTATATATGACAAACCCACAGCTAATATCCTACTAAATGGGAACTAGAACTGGAAAAAGAATGCCCACTTTTACCACTTTTAATCAACATTCTACTAGAAGTCTTAAAAAGAACAATCAAGGAAGAGGAAATAAAAGCATTCAAACTAAAAAAGAGAAAGTGAAATTGTCCTTCTTTGCAGAAGAAATTTTCTTATATATAAAATATCCTAAAGACTACCAAAAAAGTCTTCAAACTGATACATTCAGTAAAGTTTCAGTATATAAAACCAATAAGAAAAAATCAGTAGCTTTTCTATGTACCAGTAATAAACTAGCTGAAAAAGAAATCAAGAAAGCAATCCCACTTACAATGGCTACTAAAAGTACCTAGGAATAAATTTAAATAAGGAGGTAAAAGACCTCTACAACAAAAACTATGACACATTAATGAAAGAAATTGAAGAGGGAAGAAACAAATGGAAAGACCTCCTATGCTTAGCGATTAAAAAAAAATATTGTTAAAGTGATAATACTACCCAAAGCAATCTACAGATTTAATGCAGTTACTATCAAAATACCAGTGACATTCTTCACAGAAATAGAAAAAAAGTCCTAAAATTTGTATAGAACCAAAAAAGACCCTGAATAACCAAAGCAATACTAAGCAAAAAGTACAAAGCCAGAGGCATCACAATATCTAACTTGAAAACATAGTACAAAGCTGTAGTAATCAAAACAACATGATATTGGTTTAAAAACAGGCACATAAACCAATGAAGCAGAATAGAGAACCCAGAAGTAAATCTGCATTATTTACAGCCAAAAGAGTTTCAACAGAGAAGATGCATTGGGGGAAATAATATACTCTTAAATAAATTGTTGCTGGGAAAACTGTATCTTCAGATGCAGAAGAATGAAATTAGACTTCTACCTCTTAGCATATACAAAAATCAACTCAAAATATATTAGAGATTTAAATACAAGACCTCAAACTATAAACCTACTAGGAGAAAAAAAAAACATAGAGAAAATACTTCAGGACATTGGTCTAGACAAAGATTTTATGGCTAACACATCAAAAGCATAGGAAACAAAACAGAAAAAATAGACAAATGAGAATATATTAAACTAAAAATCTTCTGTAAAGCAAAGGAAACAATCAATAGAGTGAAGAGACAGCCTATAGAATGGGAGAAAATATTTGCAATCTATTCATCTGACAATGACTAACATTCAGAATACACAAATGACTCAAGTGACACAATAGCAAGAAGAAAACCCAAATTTTACCATTAAAAATTAGGCAAAGATGGGCGAATCATGAGGTCAGGAGTTCGAGACCAGCCTGACCAATATGGTGAAACCCTGTCTCTACTAAAAATAGAAAAATTATCTGGGCATGGTGGTGCATGCCTGTAATCCCAGTAACTCAGGAGGCTGAGGCAGAATCACTGGAGCCCGGGAGGCGGAGGTTGCAGTAAGCCGAGATCATGCCATTGCGCTCCAGGCTGAAAGACAGAGTGAGACTCTGTCTCAAAAAAAGAAAAAAAAAAGTAGGCAAAGAATCTGAAAATACATTTCTCAAGAGAAGACCTAGACATGGCAAACAGGTATATGAAAAAATGTTCAACATCACTACTTATCATGGTTATGCAAATTAAAATCACAATGAGACATTTTGCCCAGTTAGAATGATTATCAGCAAAAAGGCAAAAATATCAAATGCTGGCAAGGATGCAAAGAAAAATGAACTATTAGACACTGTTGGTGGGACTGTAATTTAGTACAGCCATTATGGAAAACAGTAGGGAGGTTTCTCAAAATATTATAAATAGGACTACCATATGATCCAGCAATTCCACTACTCCTTGTTTATCCAAAAGAAGAAAAACAGTATATGCAAAAAAAGTATGTGTATGTGCACCCCACCCATGTTTATTACAGCACTCTTTACAATAGCCAAGATATGGAAGCAACATGGGTGTCCATCAACAGATGAATGGATAAAAATTGTGGTGTATCTCCACAATGGAATACTATTCGGCCTTAAAAATAATCCTGTCATTTGCAGCCACATAATGGAACGAGGGTTTGTGATGTTAAATGAAATAAGCCAGGCACAGAAAGCACCCACTGTCACTCATAAAATAGTTGATCTAACGGAGGTAGAGTGTAGAGTAGTGATGACCAGAAGGTGTTAGTGAAGAGTGGCAATGAAGAGAGGTTGGTTGATGTATACAAGCATACAGTTAGAAGAAACTAATTCTAGTGTTCAATAGCAAAGTAGGGTGACGACAGTTAACAATGATTTGTTGTATATTCTAAAATAACTAGAAGAAAAGATCTGAAATGTTTCAAACACAAAGATATGATAAATATGTTAGGTGATGGCTATCCTAATTACTCTGATTTGATCATTATATATTGTTTTCGTGGATCAAAATACCACATGGAGCCCATAAATATGTAAAATTATTGTGTATTCATAAAAATAAATAAATAGGGATTGGGGATAGGAGGACAGAAGTAGGTAGAGAAGTGATGGGACTGAGGAAATTAAATTAAAAAATACAATTTATATACCTGGGTCAAGTTACTTGAACAAGGCAGTTATGGGGGATGATGAGGGCATGTATAAATGGGATTATTTTGATGTATGCAGAGTGCAAAGTCAAAGGCAAGTAGGAAAATATAAACTGTTCACATAGTATCCCCAGGTAAAGCAGATGGAATATGCAACTCCCATCTCAACACATGTGAAAAAAGCCACATATGCTCGAAGCTGAAAGCACAGCGTACTTTTGATGACACATTGAATAGACAGAGTGTTGAAACCTTGATTTGTAATCCCTGTTGTGGCAGACATATTTGTGTATTTGAGCAAGTCACTTTCCTCTCTGAGTTTCTGATTTCTCTGAAAAATCAGAAATTTAAATCAGTTTCCAAGCTCTTTCTATACTTTAATGCTTCTTTCATGTCATCTTTACATCAATGCCACTAAATTTATCTTCATTTTATTTGAATTTCCTTTTATTTTTATATATTTTGCTCTTACTTTTGAAAAGGGCAATATGTTGAGAGTTTTAAGATCTTTGTTGCCTTCCTTTAATTAGGTTTGTTTTGAATTCAATATAAATATTCATTAATGGCCTTTGACATTTTGAATACACGTTGAGGCTACATTGGTGACCAGGTTCCTGTCCTCATGAACCACTTTCCAGTGGAGGAGACAAACACACCTCAAATTTTAAGTTGCATAAAGTTTGTAATTCTTTTACCAAATACAATTGACTAGCTGTTTTTTAGAAATTTGAAATATTAAAGAATATTATATAGAGAGATTAAGTAAATCTCACAGATTATTAGAAAAATTATTGTTAATTTTTGAATATGTGAACACAAAATGGTCACCAACCCTATACTGCCAACATATCCTCTTAATGGATACAATAAAATGGCAGGGGTCAGGTAAGGAAGAGAAAATCTCCCAGCATGATACAAGAATAGGCAATGTCCTTCGCCCAGCCGTGGCCATGTCTTTGAATCCTGCTGATAATCTCTCCCACTGGAGGCAGTTTAACTAAAAGAGCAAATAGGCTCAGCATATAGTTAGCCTAATTATCACTGGAAACAGCAAAACAACTCATTAACATTTTAATAATCTATGTTTTAATGAAACCTGCAAAGGTAAGAGGAATATGCACATGTGGTCATATAAATGAAAAATACAAAAACCAGTAGAGTTATTATATTTTCTTACTGCCAGGGCTGCCTTGCAGCCAGGGTAGCTAAGATAATGTCCATCTTGAGAACCCAAGGTCTTTTTCTTTCTTATTTCATTCATGGAAATAGTCACTGTTATCATTCATGTATTCTTCCACGACCCTGTTCTTTTGGTGTATCTAAATCTATCTCATATTTTAACAAGCTAAAATTCTCCATCATCTGTGAAGACTGCCCATATGGGCTTCTTTTGAATTAGTGTCTTGTCTCTCTAATTCTTTCAGTGGTAACTGTCCTCTTACGATAACTTAGCCTACCGTCTTAATATATACGGTATGCTCTCTTGCTTACTCCTTGTTTCATGAGGGTATGTTTTATTCCCCTAAACAGATTTTAAAGTTATGACATGCTAATTAGGCTGATGAAAATTATTGGTTGGCTGGGATGCTGTTTAAATATTTAGCCTTATTTAAATTATTACTTGTTAAATTCGGTATTATACAAAGTGGGATTGCGGAGTTAGAAGATGTCATTTTACTGTGCATTTTATATCACTGCTCAGGTGAATAATGTGAATGACAAGTTAGGATCTTCTAATATTTGCATTTAAACATATTTCTAATTCTTCAATTTTTTTTTCTGAAATATGATAATTAAGAGAATATGATAATTACGAGACCAATTAGTGGAATTAGGGCTGCTGGTGTTCAAAGTTTTTTTCTTCTACTACCCGTGTGACCAAAAGCAAATTTCTTTTCTGTGCTTCAGTCCTAGTCTTTGATTGTAAAATGGGGAGAATAATATCACTTTCTTCATGAAGTTATTATGAGAATTAAATATATTGATACAAATAAAGCACTTAGAATAGTTCCCAGAAAAAGGTTAATTGCCAATCAATGTTAGCTATAATTACAATTTTGGGATTTGGAACAAAAAGTTGTTTTCATGATTTTCTAGAGCATGAACATATCAAATGCAAAAACTCCAACTTCAGTTTATGGATAGTTGAAATGAATCCTATGGCAACTTGCAAATGTGTTCTATGGTTTTGTCCACCCGAGTCCCTCCTCTGACGGCAAGTTGGTGAGTGCTCTGGATGGAGCCAATTCTGCGGCTGGCTGCCCCCAACCCTTTGCCTTCAGTTACTGGCTCTCTTCTCACACAAGTTGTATGGGGTGTTCACACACTCAGTTGTTAGCATGGTGTCTCCTTATGAGAACATTCACTGCCCAGCCTGCCAATGTTTCTAAAAGCCCTTTTCACGATCTTTGTTTCCTGTATGATTTTATTAGACACATTTCATTCCATTCTCTGGAAAAGCTTATTTATTTTTCTTTTACAATGGTGTTTTCCTGTCCTGCTGAGTGCTCTCACTCCTTCCCCTATGGCATAATTTCCTGAGTCTGACTTTAAATAGTTCCTCTGACACATGTGCCCTGTGTACTTTCTGTGGAAGCTCATCATGAAATTTGCTTTATGTCACTGGTTAAATCATTTTATCATTCCGCAGATACTTGCTGAGTAACACCATATGCCAGGTCCTGTGCCTGGAGATTTTGATAGCAAGGTGAGCAAGAACCAGTCCTCATTTTTTTTGGGTTTTGAGCTGAGAACAATGGGACAAATATTAAATACATACATACATACATACACACATACATAATTCAAAATTATGGTAACTTATTTAAAGGAAAAACACAAGACCATAGGCACTGTAATTGAGAAACCTGATTCAAATACAGTTTAGCTGGACCAAGGGAGAATGTTATGCGAAATGCTTTGGTTTAAGGTGTCTCTGAGTCAACAAAGTTGTGATAACAAGGAGGCAGTTTTTTGAAGCTTAAGAAAAGCACACATGGTTTTTTTTTTGTATATACATATATATGTGTGTGTGTGTGTGTGTATATATATATATATATATATATATATATATATATATATATATGATACTTACTACCATATAAATGAAAGAGATGATGCTAAGATAGAGTGTAGAGGGAAGAGAGGGCCCAGAACCTACCCCTGGGATAATTCTAACTTTAAAAGTTTGGAAAGATAAAGAGCCATTATAGGAGACAGATAAAAAATAAACGTGTGCATATCTGAGGAGTATTGAGTTTGACAAGTCACAAGAGATGTCCTCTCAAGAAGGAGCTAATCATCAATTATCTGCCACTGAGAAAACTAGTTGGCAGGAAAAGAATGGAGAGGTATGGTAACCACGAGATTACTAGTGACCTTCGCAGTAACAGCTTCAATGATGGAGTGGGGATGAATGTCCGGGAGAGAATGACAGAGGAGAGGTGGAGGGAAAAGTAAAAATGTATCTTCAGAAAAGTGATGTAAAGATGATAGTTACTGCCTTCATATTTTCTCTTATTTCTTAGAAACTCAACCCACCAAACTGGGCAAACCCCATGGTTACATGGAATACAGATTTCCTTCTCCATCTTCTTTTTCAGTTGATTATGGCTTTGTAACCAACAATTGGCCATTGAGTTATAAGAAGAAATGTTGGGTGAGGGCATCCAAAAAGTCTTCCTGAAACAACACTGCCAAACACTGATTGTTGTCCTTGTCCTTTGTCCTGTCTTCCATCCTGTCATCTGAAATGCAATGCAATGGCAGAATATGGAGCTGTTGTTCTTGGCCAAGATGAGAACCACATCCTGTCACTGTGACTGCAGTGAATTGGAAGGGCACAGTTCCCTGACAATTTTACAGAGCTGCAATACCAGCCCTGGATTGTCAGCATTCCAATTTCACTTTAAGAGAGAGAAGTACATTTCTATCTGCTAAATCTCTCATATTTTTGAATTTTCTATCCTATAAATCCGAATATTATCCTAACTGAGAAAAAAGCCTGGCTGTAAAAAGGAGCAAATAATTTTTGCCATAAAATTTTAAAATGTGTTCAAATGCAGGGAATGCACAAAGAAAGAGTTAAAAGGTAAAAGGGGTTAAGAAATGTATTTGTTAAAAAAAAATGTAGATTTTGGCCAGCTACAGTAAATTACAGCTGACACCTGTAATCCCCACATTTTGGGAAGCCGAGGTGGGAGGATTGCTTGAGCTCAGGGGTTCAAAACCAGCCTGGGTAGCATAGTGAAACCTTGTCTCTAACTAGAATAAAAAAAAAAAATTCTGGCCGGGTGCGGTGGCTCATGCCTGTAATCCCAGCACTTTGGGAGGCTGAGACGGGCGGATCACGAGGTCAGGAACTGGAGACCATCCTGGCTAACATGGTGAAACCCCGTCTCTACTAAAAATATAAAAAAATTAGCCGGGCGTGGTGGTGGGTGCCTGTAGTCCCAGCTACTCGGGAGGCTGAGGCAGGAGAATGGCGTGAACCTGGGAGGCAGAGGTTGCAGTGAGCCGAGATAGTGCCACTGCACTGCAGCCTGGGTGACAGAGCAAGACTCTGTCCAAAAAAAAAAAAAAAAAATTCCCTGGGTGTGATGATATGCACCTATAGTCCCAGCTACTTGGGAAGCTGAGGCTGGAGGATTGCTTGAACCCAGAAGATGGAGGCTGCAGTGAGCTGTGTTCATGCCACTGCACTCTACCCTGGTGACCGAGTGAGACCCTCTCTGGGAAAAAAAATCTAGATAGACAGATAAATAGAACCTCAAATCCAAAGAGTAGATGAAGTTGTTATCTTCAGAAAGGAAAGAGACAATTCATTAAGAGTAATAGAAGAAGGGAATATTATGGGAGCAGAAGCAAGCCGTTTGTGAAGCTGATGTTTGGAAAAAGAGGGAATTCTAATTTGATGGATTCTATCCTTTTAATGAAGGCTTTTAGCTGATTGTAGGTATGGTACTGTTATTGCAATTCTGCTCTTAACTATGTATGCCAGAGAACTCTTAACAATGAACAGATGAGTAAGAATACTTATGACAATCACTTCTAACTCGCTGGTTTATAAATCTCCAGTCGGATTATCTTCTTAACTGATTCTCCGCAGCTTGTAAAGAAATGATTATTTTTTTGTTAGTAAATTAATGAATTCTGAGAGAAGACTGAATTTCTGGCAGATCATCGCCCTTAGAAACAAGAGAGTCCCTCCCATGAAATTCCTGGTACTTTTATTTTTCAAACGTTATCAATGGGCCAATCACTTTCTGGGACAGTGAGCATCAAAATATGACTTTTTTTCTTCACTGACATTAGGTATAGATTACATTGACCAAAAGAACCCCTAGGATATATTTTCGATGAGCACTAAAGTACGAGAAGAATGATATTTCTTCAGTTGAATTCAATCATATTGTTCAATGTTTAAAACTATGAAGAAAATAGAAAACAACCTCATATTTAGGGATTAGGAAAGTATCATATAGCCTCTTTATGTGATCTTTGATAATAAGAAAAATGTAATGAATATCTTGGCTGACTTTCCATTGATTGATAATGCCACATAATGTTAAATGGCTCACTGGCTGAGACAGTGGTTTCTATTTCTCTTGAATTTAATCATTCCTTAAGCTTCAAACTTATGCTCTGTATATACTATTTCTAAATTGTCCTTAGTAATGTCAGCAACCCACGTAATAAAAAGAGTTTCACTCATAAGAAGGGTCAGGGAAAATGAAATAGGTTGATCACAGTGCTCTCTTTTAAGCCCATAATAAATATAAATTGTGAACAGGTACCTCAATTTTTAGAGTTAGGTTCAATTTCTTTTCAGTAGGAATTGTATTACCTTAGTAATTCTGACTATTGAAGATAAAAGAATATTAAGTAGAGTAAGAAAATATATTCTGATGATGACACATCTAGAGAAGACGTTTTGGTACCTAAGCTTTTTGAAATGCTGAAATTTTAGAAGGAAAACTAAGATAATACAAAGCAATGGATTTTACCCTGGAGGTTTCTGTTGTATTTAAGATTAACAAGACAGACTCTGGTTGGGACTCAGTTTTTCTGTGTAGCACTAGGGTGGTACCTACTTCAGCAAGTCCTGAAATTTAACTGCATCAGTCCAATAAAGGGTAATAGGTTCTGGGTAAGTTAGCTGAGTCATCTCAGTAAGATACTCTTTAATAAAGCACTGAATAGTATTTTATAAAACATACCAAGTATATGGATAAGTAGTAGACTGAAATGGTTTGGCTGTGTCTCCACCCAAATCATCTTGATTGTAGTTTCCATAATCCCCCCATGTTGTGGGAGGGACCGGGTGGGAGGTAATTGAATCAAGGGGGTGGTTACCCTCATGTTGTTCTCATGATAGTGAGTGAGTTCCCACAAGATCTAATGGTTTTATAAGGGTCTTTCCCCACTTCTCTCTCCTAACGCTATGTGAAAAAGAATGTGTTTGCTTTCCCTTCCACCATGATTGTAAGTTTCCTGAGACATCCACAGTCATGAGGAACTGTGAGTCAATTAAACCTCTTTTCTTTATAAATTATCCCATCTTGGGTATTTCTTCATAGCAGCATGAGAATGGACTAATACATAGACAGATGATAGTTAGATGGATAGATAGATAGATAGATAGATAGATAGATAGATAGATAGATAGATACTGACCAACATGATGTGTCTTGTTTGGCTAAAATCCTATTTTTTTTTTTTTTCTGAAGGACTGCATTTTTTTTTCCACAAGTGAGAAGCTATGTCATTCATTTCTGGCAAATCATTAAGTCAATGTCTGTTTACGGTAATATCTCTATATCATTGCTTTCATTATCATTTTGACCTATTAGACTTCATATCTGAACTATCCCTTCAATCTATTCAAATATATTGAGTGTTTTCTTTATGCAAAGCACTGCCTTAGGTCCTGGGGGCTGTGTAAAATTGGACAGCAACACTAAATAATATGACAGCCATGCCAGTTGATGATAATTTCTCCAAAATTTTAAGAAAAGAGTAGATTTCTTTGAAACAAAACAATTGGGCAAGTATTTTCTTTAACTCATTAATCAACTAATATTGATGATTCATTATAACCCAAGCACCGCACTAAATTTTGAGGTAGCAAAGCAAGATAATAAATATACAGCAATAGGGGAGATTTTTCAGTTGTCTTTTATTGTAGACATCTTGCAAATTAATAGATATCATGCACACATTAATGTAGGTGTGATAGTCAATGAAGTTGAAACTAATTCCAGAACCAAAGTTTTAATTTAAGCCTAAGATATAACACAATACGTGGATCTTTGAAAAAAATAAGATAGCGTCTCTGAAAAGTAATTAGCCAGTGCCTGATATTTAATAAAAACTCATATTTGTGTCCTTTTTCCATAGTAAATAGAAAGAGTTCATATGTATCTAACACTATAAAAATAGTGTTTTCCAAAACTTCATTCTGAAAGATTATAAGCCATTACATGTTCTGCTAATATTTAGTTACTGTGATATTTTATTTACATTTATTATGTGATAAAAATTAAATGCACTTTAGAGCTTTCCCTGAAATACAGAAATACTTCTTTGTCCCTCTATGAGGAAAATCACCCTCAAAGTTGCGAGGAACCTAAAGTGGTCAGGCGACAGACTAAACTTTCAGTTGACTAGAACCATTATTTATTTGTGGAAATATTCCACCTTTGTGCAGTAAGATGTCTAAAATAACAGGATCCTAAGCCAAAGTTGCAGAGACAGGTAGGAAAACTTTCTAGTTTCTGAGCCATATTCTGGTAATGGTTCACTCAGACAATCAAGGGTAATCTCCCTATTCCAAGATCCTTAATTTAATCATATCTACAAATTCTCTTTTGCCATATAAAGTAATATTTACAAGTTCTAAGAGTAAGGAAGAAGGCATATTTGGGGGCCATTATTCAGCCTACCGTAAGTTAGTACTAAGTGATGACAATAGAAAGATCAACAATGATGAGAAGAAATATATGCCACATAGCCCAGGGGTCATCTCTGTTTTTCCTAGTGTAACTTTCTTGAGCCCATTGTACAAGCATGGAATGGGGGGATGGCAGCAGGGAAAGAAGTTTACACATTTAGAATGAGTTTTTCTGACCACCAGTTCTACACTGGATATCTTTTGTAATGGCTTTTGTGAGTAATTGAAATAGAACACAAAGATCCTCACACCCAATGCCCATTGTAGACAGCCCATTCATACTGATCTTCCCACAGAGCTTATTGTTATTAGTATTCCATCTTGTTCTTGTCTTTTCCTTGACCATTCCAACAAACACTCATCATTGCTATGAATCAAAGTGGAAACTTAACTCTCATTATTTCTTCTTTGAAAGAGAGGAGATAACTAATTGTGCTGTTCAATGTTCTCCCACTGGTTTCTCTTCTCCAGTGTAGGGGTGTAAAGTTGAAGTAGACTGCTTTTGGGTGATGTGAGAAGTTTATCTGCATTTTTATTCATTTTTAAACTTTATTAGTGAATTTATTGAAAGAAAATTCCCAAGGTCACATTACGTATGGATAGAAGAAAAGATGGCGATTTTGGTGGTTTAGGAACCATAGAAATCTAAGGCATGCAACTTACTTCTGTCTATAGTATCTAGTGAAACCCAACACCATATATATGATTTCTACTTTGGCGATGAAATTCTGTTGCCATGGCCAAGTCTATAGTTTTGTAGATTAGATCAGATAACACTCCATTCTTGATGGACAGCTCATTTTCCATAAGCTTGGTATCTCTGAGACAAAGATTAATCTTAACCAGGACCTGGCAGTATGCCAGATGCTATGTAACAAAAGTTTCGCAGTAAAATCATATTCAGAAGAGGGAGTGTGCCCTGTGATCCCACAATTGTGGCTTGACAGAAGGATCCACATCTGCTTGGGTCACACTGACCACCAGTGAATCTCCTGGTTATAAGACTTGTTTAAGACTGCTTTGGGCTGATGTAACAGAATATTTGAGACTGGAACAGACATTTATTTGGCTTACAATTCTGGAGGCTGAGAAGTGCAAAGTTGAGGGGCCCATCTCTGGTGAGGCCTTGCTTGCTGTGCCATCTCATGCAGAAGGCAGAAGGGCAAGAGAATAGGAACATGTGCACACATGTGAGAATAGGAACATGTGAGGGAAAGAGAGACAGAACTAGATGCCTTAAGCCCTTTTGTAATCAGCATTAATCCATCAAAGGTGGCTGAGCCCACATGACCTCAACACCTCTCAATAGACCCCACTTCTCAGCACTATTGCATTGGGGATTATGTTTTCAACACATGCTTTAGGGAGGACACATTCAAACCATAGCAAGGCCTAAATGAAAAATCAATGTTCACTGAGTCTTAGCCTAGTTCAGAATCTTCTCTTGCTTCTCATAGTATAAGTGATTATTCACCACACCAAAATACATGTTCCCTACATACACTCCAAAAATATCAAGCATTGTGCCTCTTGCTCAGCAATGAGATTGGAAATTTCAGCATCTATCCCTCATTTTGAAGAAGATATCTTCTTCAAAATGTGTGACATGCCCCACATCACCACATACCTAGAAACTTCACCAAAATGGCAGGATTCTTGATTTGTTTTAGCTTCTCACTCAGCTCTGGCATGCATGTCACGTTCTTTTACCAACCACGTATGTTATTTAATTTTCTTCAATTGCAGAGGAAAATACAAAAGGGAGAGAATATGATGCTAAGCTGTCAACAATCTGTGGTTCAAATATATTTAGAGGCAGGAATGTTCTTCTACATCTGTGTTTTTGATGTTTAAGCCAGATGAATGAATGAATGAATAAATGAGTTACAGCCTAGCTCATTTTGTGCACAGTGAGACTAAACTTTTATAGTATTCTTGAACAGAAAGCGTGACTTGCTTTTCCAGATTGCGTTCTTTGGAATAGATCTACTGCTTTGGAGTCAATGATTTTACCTCAGGGCTTAACAGTGTAACAATTAAATGACTCAAATCTATCACAGCTCAGGACATACGTGAAAGCCAAGATGATTTTACTGTCACTTTGACATTTTGTCAATGTCTGTGAATCTGAGCCACCTAGGTCAGCTGTTGATTTGCAGATTGATTCTCTACATCAAGAGGATTTCACTTTCAATTAAGTTGAAGAGCCACTGAATCTGGACTTGATGCCTGTTACCTTACCATGTTTTAAATGACTGAAGCAAACTTTTAGCAAACATTTTAAGGTGCCTGTGAGAGCATTTCTAACTTTCATTATGGTGTTAAATTTCCAGACATTTCCGGAATTTGGGAATCTGTTTAGTTTATCAGTTAACCAATTTGTTTATTCAAATTATCATTTAATTAATTATTTTGCCTCCTATATTGCTTCTTTAATACATACCTAAAGAAGTCACTTGGATTAAAGCAGCATGTGTCCTCTGAGATGGTTGTTATGTTCATTCTATTTATTTATCCATTAATTCAATAGATATTTCTTGAGAATCTCCTATGTGTCTGGCATTGTTATAAGAAGTTATGAAGACCAAAAACTTTCTTCTGTAGGAGAACTTACATTTCAAGAAGAAGAGATAATACATAGATAAATGAATAATTAAAATGTTAAATGTAACATACAAGTATATAATTAAATATCCTATGCATAGATTTAAATTAGATAGTGGATAGAGAGTAGCTTTATATTGACTGTTCAACCAAATCTCTATAGGGCAATATATTTTGCCAGGAATCCGAATAAAATGAAGAAAAAAGAAAAAAAAACTATGCAGAGTTGAGGGAACTGCACTACAGATAGAGGGGCCAGCCATCGCAGACGCTGGCAAACTATTTCTATAAAGAGCAAGATAGGAAATATTTTGTGACGGGACAGTATCTGTCACAACCACTCAATTCTGCTGTTGTAGCACAAAATTAGCCATCAAACATACAAAAATAAGTGTGTGCTGCCGTGTTCCAACAAAATGTTATTTACGAAATCAGGCAGTGGGCTTGATTTGGCTCTCAAGCTGTAGTTTACCAATCCCTGAGCTAGCATAAGGGTCCTAACATTCAAACAAACTTGACATGTTAAAAGAAACCCAAAGAAGACTACAATGATTGTACTCTTATAGCTTAGATAAAGAGTGGTATGAAATCAAGTGGAAATCACAGTTGTGGTAGGTTTATATGGAGAAAATCAAAATAAAAAGATTGGATCATATTTTAAGGTCATGACAAATTGTAAATTAGGTCTCAAATTCTTGGTATACAGGTATCCGTAATTCCTTTTGTATGCTCGGTGTGCCCCTCCTGTCTGTTTTGGGCTTGGACTCACGCATGTGTTGGCCAATGGCATGGTAGCAATTGTGACACACGAGGAAGCTTGACCAGCTCTTGTCCAATGGAGCAAATTTTCCTTTATGCTTCCAGGAAGCATTTTCATTTATAAAAGTTCAAGTTCACTCTGGCTGCTCAAGGAATAATTGATTACAAAGTGACAAGAGTGAAAACACGGTGACTTGTTAAGTCTATCCCAATAGTAGAGAAAGATTATGATGACCCAGATTTGGGTCATGTTGGAGTGATTCTATAGATTTGGGGGTATAATCAACAACATTTTACGGTGGGTTGGATGTAAGAAGTAAGAAAATAAGAGAAATCTGGGATTGCATAAGAATATCACAATCAATGTAATAGAATGGTAATGTTGGATTGTGAGATGAAGAAAGTCTGAGGGTCAACTATTTTTGAAATCAATTACAATTAAGAGATATGTTCTAGTCCATTTGACTTTGATGATCAATGTGATACTTAGAACCAAAACGAATTTCTAGTTTCATGGATAATTTAGTCTTTCTTCTGAGTCACTAGAGCCTATACCCTTTAGGTCTTTATGGAAAGATGCCAAATTTAGTCTAATACTTAACGTTTCCAAGAAAACAATATTAAGATGTAACAAATGGAACAGTGAAGAGAGAATGGATGCTGAGGTAGAAAAAGCTGAACTCCTTCAGAATTACACCTAAAAGTTTTTGTCATAAATCTAGTTTTACTCCTGTTTTTAGCTATATTTATGTACCTCAAAATGTATACTTTATACATAATAAGTGCAGTTTTGGGGAATGAGAATGTAATCTCCTTTTAAAAGAAGAGACTATGGAAAATACTGAGAATCCTGGCTCCACTATTAACTGACTCTGATCTTAGACAAGTTGTGTAACCTCTCCCTCTCAATTTCCTTCTATACATAATAAAATTTATTATTTAAAGTTCTTTTGAGATGTTATTGTTTTAGATTTATTGTTTTTTTTTTTCTTTTATTTTGGAGACATGGTCTCTCCTTGTCTTGCACAGGCTGGAGTGCAGTGGCGCAATCACAGCTCAAAACTAAAGAACCAACTCCTGGACTCAAGGATTCTCCCACCTCAGCCTCCCTAATAGCTGAGACTACAGGCATGTATCACCATGCCTGAATATATATATATATATATATATATATACACACATATATATATATATATATGTGTGTATATATATATATATACACACATATATATATACACACACACACACATATATATATATACACACATATATATATGTGTGTGTGTGTGTGTGTATATATATATATATATGTATTTGAGAGGGAGTTACTCTGTCGGCCAGGCTGGAGTGCAATGGTGCGATCTTGGCACACTGCAACCTCCACCTCCTAGGTTCAAGCGATTCTCCTGCCTCAGTTTCCTGAGTAGCTGGGATTACAGGTGCCCACCATCATGCTGGGCTAATTTTTGTATTTTAGTAGAGATGGGGTTTCACTATATAGGTCAGGCTGGTCTCAAACTCCCGGCTCTCAAAAGATCCACCCACCTCGACCTCCCAAAGTGCTGGGATTACAGGCTTGAGCCACCATGCCAGGCCTGAATATATGTATTTTTTATTTTCGTAAATACTGGGTCTTGCCTTAGCCTCTCCTAGTGCTGGGATTATATTTTACTTTTATTAGATACCATTTATAATATACAAAGTTTCCCCCTTTTTAATTAGTATAAAATTCAACTTTTTGAACATAACCTGAGGAGTGCTTCATGATGGGCTTGTGTCCACATTAATAACTCCAATTCTGTTCATTTTCCTTCTTTCTTATTGCCCTTCAACCACGGAGGCTTTTGTCTTTGCCTCTGAAACATACCCCTGTGTTCCTTATCTCTGAGGCTTTGTACTCTGCTCAGCTTCACGAGGTATAATTGTCTGTGATCTGTAGGATGCTAATTTAAATATCACCTACTTATGGAGGTTTTATCCATTCACTCAGATGCTCTATTCCAGGACTTTTCTATTTAGAACTAACTCATTAGCTGATACTATTTAATCCATTTAATAGTGCCATCTTTCTTTCTCACTGGACTATAAGTTCTATGAGACCATGGAAGTTGGTCTTGTTTATCAAAAAGTGAGGGCAGAGCAAAGCCTGAATCATGATGGACAATATGTATCGGATGGTAAATGAATTGATGAAATACCCCATCATCTTCAATACAGTTATTTCCATCATACATATAGTTAATATTATTTCTGCTATGGTTGAAATACCCCATCATCTTCAATACAGTTATTTACGTCATACATATAGTTAATATTATTTCTGCTATGGTTATCATTTTGAGATAGAATTTCTATATTCTTCATTGGTTTTCACTTTAAATAGAATGCTCAGGAAAAGTCTCTCAAAGATGCTGTCCTTATTTATTTCTACTTCCAGTGGAACTTATTTTCTCTGTAACAGAACCAATTAGTCTAGCAAGCTTGGGTTTGACAGAACAGTGTTCCAGTCGTCAACCATTTCTACAATTTAGCAAGCTGTCTTAGATATTTGGGCCCTGATTTCTACTTTACTGGTACAAAAATCTTTTTCATAGTCCCTTGCCACTATAGGCCACATTTCCACTCATTCACTTCATTTCTCCCTTCTTCTCTCTCTCCTCCCCTGCCTTCCTTTCTTATTTCCTGCACTTCCACCTTCCTGCCACTAGAGATAGAACAGCAAACAAGACAGAAAACCCTTCTGCTCTAGTGGAGCTTGCATTCAAGAAGAAAAGACAGGCAACCAAATACATGAGGGAACCATAGATCTATATTAGTAGAAAGCATTCCAGGCAAAGGGGGCAGGAAGTATAAGTATCCTGAGGTGCCAGTGTGCTTGGCATATTCAAGTCAAACAAGGATGGCAGCTTAGTAAGTAGGGAAGGTGTTGGAAATGCTGTTGGAGATGTAACCAGTAGTTAGACCATGTAGGACCTCTGTATTTTACTATAAATATACAGAAAAAGATTAAAATGTTTTGACAAGAAAATGGCTTAATCCGATATACATTCTGACAGGATTGCTCTGGTTACTGTGTAAGCCACAGACGTCAGGGGGCAAAGGTAGAGGCAAGAAACCAGACAGGAGGCTCCTGTAGTAGTCCAGGCAAGAGAAGATAATGGTTATGATCTTCAATCATAAAGATGTTGAGTATTGGAATACATTTTTAAGTTACAACCAGCAGAATTTGCTTATGAATTAGTTATGGGCTACGAGAGAAAGATAAATCAAGAATGATTCTACCATTCTTACCATTTCTCAACAACATGGTAAATGGCAATGTTATTTATTTAAAAGGGGAATAGTTGATTTGGCTAGAAAATCAAGAGTTCAGTGTTGACATGTTAAGTTTGAGATGTTTCGTAGATTTGTAGTTCTATGTAAATCTAGAGTTCAAGAAAAAGATGGGTATGTAGCTGTCAATTTGAGAGATATCTGTGTAGAGATTGTGTTAAACATCCATGGGATTGAATAAAGTCACAAGAAGTCTAAGTGTAGCTGAGAAAGAGGCTAGAGGATTAATTCTGGGCTTCTCCTTCAAAGAGGAAGAAAATGATATTGACTGAGACAATAAGACAAATGATGAGACTGAGACAATAAGCCATTGAGATGGAAGGAAAACCAAGAATGGTTTTCAGTCTTGGTAAGGAAATACATGTGAAGGCTGAAGCCATGAGAAGAGGCTGCTTGACTGTTTTCTCTCTTACTAGGTACTATCCAACCATTCTACCTGCATCTCTCTTTCTCACCATGTAATTACTATGGCTAATTTACCTTCTGGTAGATTCTATGTTCACTACCAGAATGAGTTGTTGGCAGAGAGCCAATCCTCTGACAACTTCACCTGAGAGCGATTTTTATTATCTCTAACATATGAAAGAATATAAGATGCAATTTTGAACAACTGGATATGTTACCTGAATTACCTCTTCTACGGTTGGGGATCATTGTGCTTTTCTAACTAAATCCATGCTAGTCCAATGAGATGATACATTTCAAAGCTCTTGGAATATTATAAGTAATGCCAGGATTCATTGCTATATTTGTAAAAGAAGATAATGGTAGTGAAGAAAGACAAGGAAAAGGAAATTATAAAGTTTATTTATTTTTTTTATTTAGAATGAATCACTGACTGTGCTTAGTTTCTATTCCTTTTCTTTAACATGAGTTTTCAACTTTGCTACTCATAAGTTTAAGTCTTATAAAGTGTTTCCTGCTGAAATGCCACGCTGACTGGAATTCGGCAGCAAATAAATATTGCTGTCCTCACTAATTTGAAACAGTATGAGTTTTAAACCTCTAGCTGCGGGAGATTTATTAAGATTACAATTTTCATCACCATCCCTTCAGTCCATCAAGATAGGTCAAAGCTGTATAAACTTAAAAAAAAAACCTACCAGCAATTTCCATTCTTTTAGACTATGTTTCCTGAACCGTCAATATTGTTAGAAGCACAAACTTGAAGTCAATGAAACGCATATTCACATAGCTTTGTAAATAAGTGAATCTGTTTTTGGATGGAATAAAAATTGTTGAGTATTTAATTTAATTATAATTCTATGAACACAAAGTTCCTCTTGGTAAAAAAGGCATGTTGGTGACACATCAAATTATGATTATGCTTATTTTCTAAATAGTCACTTTAAAATAACTAAGTAAAAATAAATATATATAATCCTGTTATTTATTCTGAAATGGTGAATATTAGAAAGGTATTCTTTTCAACTATTGTGATTTTCTAAGTACCATTTCACTAAGTTATCCAATTATTTTATGTATTAAGTTAGAGTAATTGGCCTCTGGTAAATAATCAAATGGCTAATAACTCACGTAATCTACCACTTGAGTTCATTAATACTCAAGTAAAATGTGTTTCAAAATACTTTAATATTTATAATGGGCAAGGCATAGAAATATCTTGAGCGGAAAATACTAGAACGGTTTGAGAAATACAACTTTTGGAACAAGAGCCAGCACCTGACCCCTCTCTTCTTGGATAGGTTTAATTAAAACACAAGTAAGTGTTAATGCTATACCTAATAGACCAGTCATAATCATTAAATTTTGTGAACAAATTGGATCTTTATGTAAAAAATACAATGTTAAAGGCATTGATTGAGTCTTTTTCTAAGATCCTACAGTGAATACTTTTATAAGACAAAAAATTAGATACCTTTTAAAGTTAATGATCAATTAAATAATTCAATAATCCCTGATACGTAACATTTTAGTCAATATTTATTCAGCAAGTGAATACATCTATCATATGTCTAAATTTTCAGATTGAAATTACTTACTGTTAGTGACATATGCATATTTAGGTATTGAAATGAGCAGTAGATTTCAAGAAAATTATCCTATAGATTTTGTGAAGGTAATATTTTAATTGTATTAATAAAACTTAAGAGAAAGTTTTTCACTTATCAAGTTTACCTTTTACCCACGTATATTTTCCCTCTGGAAACAATTGTTTTATTTTTATAATTTTTGAGATTGCTTAGGCAAGTAGGAACAGCACTGACCCATTTGTCACTTGTGACCCTAAATAAACCACTTGACTTTTTTATGCCTTCTTTGTTGCCTTTGAAAACTGATTAAAAAGGTTCAAAATTTATGTGGTAAAACTCCTCCCACTCATTACTCTTTTGCTTACTTTCATAAACTGCTCCATAAACTCAAGAAGTAAATATAGCAGCATAGCATTAACTGCCATAGCTCCTTTATAACTTATGAAGAGAGAATCTAATACTGCAATATCGAGCTGCTCTACTCTTGAATTGTCCAAGAATTCCAGGTACCTGGTCAGAGGGTCACTTCTATTTGTGCCTGTCTTTTTGAGGCAGGCAGACAGGAAAGCAATTTGGATACATTTCCATTTTTTCTCACTGTCCAAAAGAGTCTGCATTGAAGACTAACAGTGCCTCATCTCATAAACCTCGTCTACTCATTGAAGATGCCAGGTCCGTGGGACCAAACACAGGGTCTGCATTTATCTCTCACTCTCTCTCTCTCAGATGTTCTCATTCATATTCTTCCACAAAGTACAACATCTTGGCCTGACAGCTGTATTCAGAGGACTCCTCTGCCTCAGCTGTGCTGGGTGACAGCACTAATCTTCACCCTGGACCCTTAAGCCATTGTAATGAACCTAGGTTACTAGTCAGTTTTATTTACTCAAAACATTTTATTTCAGGATTCTGTCATTGAGTTTTGATTGGGTTCTCTCTGCTTCCCTGCAAATTTTCATTCTGGGAAGCAGGATCTGCTATCTTTTACTTTAGGAGTCACTGAGATTTGAAGCAAATTGAGCTGTCCAGAAGGTAAGTATCTCAGGTAACCTCATCAAAAGTTTCCATAGTCATCCCAGCACTTTGGGAAGCCGAGGCAGGTGAATCACCTGAGGTCAGGAGTTCGAGACCAGCCTGGTCAACGTGGTGAAACCCCGTCTCTACTAAAAATACAAAAATTAGCTGGGCTTGCTGGCATACACCTGTAATTTCAGCTACTCAGGAAGCTGAGGCAGGAGAATCGCTTGAACCCGCGAGGCGGAGGTTGCAGTGAGCAGAGATCGCTCCACTGCACTCCAGCTTGGGTGACAGAGTGAGACTCCATTTCAAAAAACTAATAAAAAAAAGTTTTCACAGTCAAATTTAAATTTGATTGAGAGAGAGAGAGAGAGAGAGAGAATCTTGCTGTCACCCAGGCTGGAGTGCAGTGGCGCGATCTCAGCTCACTGCAACCTCCGCCTCCCGGGTTCAAGCGATTCTCCTGCCTCAGCCTCCTGAGTAGCTGGGGTTACAAGTGCATGCCACCATAGCTGGCTAATTATTTGCATTTTCGTAGAGATGAGTTTTTTTATGTATTCTATGGCTAATGAATATTATCTACACGAGAAGGTCTGTTTCAAGAGGCCCTCAGTCGCCACTATGGTCATAAGAGATCTTCTTTTTTTTTTTTTTGAGACTGAGTTTCACTCTTGTTGCCCAGGTGGAGTGCAGTGGCATGATCACGGCTCACTGCAACCTCCCGGGTTCAAGCAATTCTCCTGTCTCAGCCTCCTGAGCTGTGATTACAGGTGCCCACCACTATGCCTAATTTTTGGTATTTTTGGTAGAGACGGGGTTTGACCATGTTGGCCAGGCTGGTCTCAAACTCCTGACTTCAGGTGATCCACCCGCCTTGGCATCTCAAAGTGCTGGGATTACAGGCATGAGCCACCGCGCCCAGCCAGAGATGTGGTCTTTTAAGTAATCCCCTCAATAAGTACTTCATTTGATCTTTCCTTAAACTGTTATTATAAGAGTTGTTTATATCAGAACATTGTGAATTCTAAAATGTTCTATCTATTCATACTAAGAAAATTCAAATTCTATCCATATTACCAAGTAGTGTGGTCCACATGGGGAAATGAGTCCTTTAGTCAGTGAATTCCTCATCTGCAAATTACAGATAGAATTTATGCAAGTACAGAAAATGATTGGTCTGTAATAATTAAAGGATGTTGTATATACCTGTCTTATTCATGTTATTATCTTTAATGTTTAATATTATTATATGCTAATTTTTAATTCAATGAAATTTATTTAAAAATTTAAATGAATGATTTAAGATGATTATTTTCTTAGTGTACCGAGTTTACTCATTTTTAAATTCAAACAAGTATTAGGTAATTCTTATAAAACATTAAAAAGTGCTGGCTCCAGTCAAATCAAACTGTCAGCATGCTAATAAGCGGCCTTTAAAATAAACTACCAACACTTACTTCTTTTAAGTAGTGATGACAGTTGAATGCAAATTATAATAATTTGAGTATTTCAATTACAGTTGAAAATACTAGTCCGTAGAAAAATAGACAGTTTCCTACTGTATGTGTATGACTAGAGCTTCATCCCCATATTATAAAGTGTCTCTTGGGATTTTATAACTTCATCTTATTACTTTTGTCCTACAACCTAATTTTGCACCCACACTTCCTTTTTAAAATTATTTTTAAAAGAAAAGTATAGTGTTGCTCATTACTACAGCTCTGGGTGAACATATAGCAACCCTCTATGGTACCCCCTCTACTTCAAGCGGCTGAATAAGGGAAATTTCTGACACAGATTATGTATGTCAGGACGGGGCAAAAAGTACTCCAGGTGGTATCAAGAAGCTTTTGTGTGTACGTGTGGTGGGCGGTGGGGGTGGCATATACAAGGACACATAACAATTTCACAGATTAGCTCTATCTCTTGATTTTTCTTGAAAATGAGCCGCCTTCCTTTCCTTTCTTTCTTGCACCTTGTCTTTTGTCAAAAGGTTAAACTTTGGTTTCCCTTCCCAGATCTCCTTCTTTTTTTATCAGTTGTATAGTATAAAGCATTGTGTAGTGTGAAGGTAGTAGCACTGAACAAAATGATTAAATTTGAAGTCTTATCCCACCATTTATTACTTCATAACATTAAATAAGTTTTCACCTTTAATCTCTTTATCTCAACTACATGACATTACTCCACTGGACATCATCATCTTCTTATATGATGTTACATTAATTGTGAAAATCCTGCTTCACGGTTAATTTCCAATGAATGTCAGCTGAATATAAATAGGCATTGGTGTATGGTTACATAAATAATGTTGGCTATATTTGAAGAGGAAGTATTATTTGTATTGTATGTGATTTTTGATGGGTTTTTAATTATATGTCTTGTCAAATTTTACATCAATTTAAACTGATTAATGTATTTATCGGATATTTCTCAAGTCTCTAGTATTTATTACACTGTGCTACAAAACATGGCATAGGAAACTCAGCCTGAAAAAAATAGCTACGAGTGTTCTCCCCATTTTTGTCAGCTTTACCTCTTCTTTGCTCCCAGAGACTATTTGAGCTTAGGGATTGTATTTCTTTCACTGTCTTATCCACAGGTTTTGTCTCATAACACATTCTCAATAAATATTTATTTAAAGAAGAGATGGTTGAATAAAGCTGGGAGAATTTAAGGGAGTTACTGATTTAGGACAGATGTGAGTGGATGCTCAGGCAGAGCTGATGTGCCTCAAGCTTTTTTTCTTCCAAAGGCTTGAACTTTTTTTTCTGCTATGAATTTAAGCACCCAATTGTATCAGCTACAATTTGAGCATCACTTTTACAAACAACAGCACCTACAAAGGAGTTGAAATTGACTATACTTGCATTAATAAAAACTAATATATTTGTGTGCATTTTCTTCTCCAAATTGTAGATACCAGAAGTATTGTAATTAAAACAAAATTAGTTTTCTTTTCTTCCTACCCCTCACTAAACATTGCCACACTAAAGCAATGGGATTCTAGGGAGGAGATTAAGACCTATTTGAGATCCTTGATGGAACTGGGTGGACTTTTTAGTGAGCCTCTCTGTGCCATTTAAGTGAAGAGCTTAACCAGTTTGCATTCAAGTTTAATACAAACAATGGTCAAAAAGGACAAAGAAGGGCATTACATAATAATAAAGCATTCTTTTTTATTTTTTAATTATGGCTATTCTTGTAGGGTTAAGGTGGTATCTCATTGTGGTTTTAGTTTGCATTTCCCTGATAATTAGTGATGTTGAGTATTTTTCATATGTTTTTTGGCCATTTGCATATCTTCTTCTGAGAATTGTCTATCCATATCTTCAGCCTTTGATGGGATTATTTGTTTTTTTTCTTGCTGATTTGTTGGAGTTCATAGTAGATTCTGGATATTAGTCCCTTGTTGGATGCATAGTTTAGCAAATATTTTCTCCCATTCTGTAGGTTGTCTGTTTATTCTGTTGATTATTATTTTGCTGTGCACAATCCTTTTAGTTTAATTAGGTCCCATGTATTTATTTTTGTTTTTGTTGCATTTGTTTTTCAGATCCTGGTCACAGATTTTGGTGTGGATGTGGTAAAAAGGGAGCACTTTTACACTGCTGGTGGGAAGGTAAATTAGTACAACCACAATGGAAAACTGTATAGAGATTCTTTAAAGAACTAGAAGTAGAACCACCATTTGACCCAGCAATCCCACTACTGAGTATATACCCAGAGGAAAACAAGTTATTATATGAGAAAGATAAGCACATGCATGTTTATAACAGCACAAGTTGCAATTGCAAAAATATGGAACCAGCCTAATTGCCCCTCGGTGAACAAGTGGATAAAGAAAATGTGGTATATCTGCACAATGGAATACTACTCAACCAAAAAAGAAAAAAAAAATGACATTTACAGCAACCTGGATGGAGGTTGAAGACAATTATTCTATGTGAAGTAACTCATTGATGCAAAACCAAATATTGTAGGTTTTCCCTTATAAGTGGGGCCTAAGCTATGAGGACACAAAGGCATAAGAATGATATGATGGATTTTGGGGAATTGAGAGGAAGTTTGGGAGGGAAGTGAGGGATAAAAGACTACACGCTGGGTACAATGTACACTGCTCAAGTGACGGGTTCACCAAAATCTTAGAAATCGCCACTGAAGAGCTTTTCCATGTAACCAAAAGCCACCTGCTCCCAAAAGCCATTGAAATAAAATTTTTTAAAAAATTACCTGTTGGATATTATGCTGATACCTGGGTGACAAAATTATCTGTACACCAATCCCCTATGACACATAATTTAGCCATGAAACAAACCTGCACATATAACCTTTGAGCCTAAGATAAACATTGGAAAGAAAAAAAAAAAAACGGAGAGGAAAAATAGGCGAAAAGTAATCTAAACACTGTAAATGATGAGATTGGAATTGTCAAGAAAAGCTTAATGGGCACGCTTAATGGTGGAGGCAGGATTTGAGTGGGGTCTTGAAAGATGAGTAGGATGTAGATAGGCTAAAAGAAAGGAAAGAATTTGTATAACAAGCACAACATAAATGATCTGTGGCAGTAAATAAGCTTGATGCTCACTAAAGCCATTGAGATTATCCTAGGAGGGCATTGTGTGCACTCCATTATTTTGCTGGCTGCAAATCCAAAGCAAAATGTTTTAAGAGATGCTTCCTGAACTTATTTTGCAATTCCTGCTCTGAATGCCCTGATGCCATAAAGTTATAGCAGTTGGAGCTATCTCACCTCTACCCTGCCTCCATTTGGTATACAATGCTATTTATCTAGATTTCTTGAAAGCTTTCTCTTACACACATCTTCAGAGTTCTCCAGGGGCCCTTCTGATGAAAAAGTTTTCTCACAGCTTGAGAAACAAACTCCAATTTGCCTTTTACTAAATAGTTCCAGTATGCCACGAGCTTTTGAAAGATATTTGTTCATGGATTATGTTCTGTAGAATACATGTTTCTATTTCACAGAATATACTCCATGGACAAATAGGTTTGGAAAGCACTGCATACTACACCATCTTCTGAGATCAGTCTCCAATAATAGTAAGTCAATCAAAATTGAAGCAGAAAACATATTAATATTCTCCAACTCATGGTCTCCTAAATTCATTTGATTATTGAACACCTTTCTGTTGTTTTTGAGGTTCTTTAAGAACTTTGCTTTCTAATTTATGGTTTATGAAAAGAAGCTTTAACTTCACCAAACAACCATAATCCATAGCACTTTTTCTAAGGAAAGCATTTTGCTTCTTAAATTACCACTAGACAAAATCAGAGAGGGGTAAGTAGCTAATAATTCATCTGCATTGATATTTTGTGGGCATGTAATCAAATCAATTTATGTGTCACTGAAAAGCTATTAGTCTGTTTAATATCATCTCGCATTTTTGTATTATGTTAATTGGCCCATCTAGTAATCAACTATGAGAAAACCAATCCTATTAGGGAAAAAACTTGTGCATGCATTTTACTTTTTAATGCGCCCCTAAAATTAAAGTTGAAGTTTAAATATCAAAAATATATTTCTCTACCTTTTTAATATCTATCTTCAAGTTATATGTTTAAATTGGTATTCTTTTATACTACGTATATTGTGTAACATTTTAAGGATTGATAGTTTTTCATAAATTAAGCTTAAATTTTCTTTTTCAATATGTAAGTTCATTAAGATCTCTTCTAGGTCAAGAGTTCTTCGATTTAGCCATACATACACTTGTAAAAGATTTCAAACAATTTTTTGAAGTGTAGTCATTAATGTATCTTTGTTTCGTATTAAAAAATTTGCTCTCTTCCAAAGACATGAAGTCTTACATTCGTATGAGTTTGGTCAAACTTGCTTTGTCTTGCTCATTATGTCTTGAAGTGTCCCCAAAGTTGCCAAAAACTTCATATATCCCATGTTGGGATCATCTCTTCTTTTTTTTCTAATTTGAGATTTCTAGCCTTTCTTTTGCCATTCAAATTCATTTTTAAATAAAAATACCTCCATTCTCAAATACTTGGAGAAATAATGATTTTTGATGTATTTTCTTTATAGTTCTTTCAAAATTAATCATATACTACATTATAAATCCTTTCCAGTTCATATTTGGGAGACATTATTAGAGAATCAATATTTGTTGAGACAAGAATCATGATAGTGATATCATCCAAAAATGTCCCAGAAATCCTTCTATACCTTGGAAGTATATAGATGTAAAATCTGGGGCCCTAAAACTTGCCTAATATCAGGCAGCTGAAAGGAGCAGAGCCCTGCTTGTAATTCAAGTTTGTCTAAGTCCAAGTATGTGATCATATTTCTGTAAAATAATGCCTTATTTTATTAATAAAATGCTAAGGATGACTCAATTTAGTATTAACCAAGGAAATATTACTTGTCAGACTTTCCAGATAATTCCTTAATAACCCAACTAAGACCACAATGGCTAAGTGCTACGCCACATAAGGTTGTGTGTGTGTGTGTGTGTGTGTGTGTGTGTATACACTCACCTATAAGATGCATGTGCATGTGTGTGCATATATAGAGAGAAATAAATATTAGCTGATATTAGAAAAAAGGAAATGATATCACCCTTATCAACAGATGTTAGCTAATTGCTAAATATGATAATTTGTGTTTTGATACACAATAAATTTGAATTAGCAAATATATTATTTTTGTTTGACTTTTTTTCTATTTGGGGAAGGTTATCATATTGATTTCTTAACTAGTTTGTGTGTGTGTGTGTGTGTGTGTGTATAAGAAATACTGACAGACGTTATCATCATTTAACAAACAAGAAAACATGCACGGTTTTCAAAGTTGGCTAACTCTGAAAGAAGGACACGTAAATAGATACTCAATAGTCTCAGCTTAATGTAAATTTGTAGATGAGAAAAAGTGATGTAAAGTTGTTACACTAAAGAGTAAAGTTTGGAGCTGACAATTAAATAGGGTCCCGAGGAATGGGAAGGAGTTATTCAGAGACTTCACTGAAAACAACTCTGCTCAGGTGGAATGACAGATGTCAAGAGCTTACAAAAAACTACCTTGGCCTGTTTAAAGGACATAAAGAAAACCAGCATCTTAAGCTGCAGTGAGCAAGAAGGGGAGTGATAAGAAGCATGATGAAAAAATTGGCACTCTAGATCTTGTTGGGACTGGTAGGATATAATCAGTTTTGTTGTATTTTGTACACAATGGTCACCCTGAAGGTTTCCAAAAGGGAAAACAATATAATCTGATTTACATTTTATAACTATTACTCTGGCTAAATGTAGAAACCTGATTACAGGAGGTATGGCATAAACAGTAGTTTCAACCAAATATTCAATTTGTTATATTTCTTGGAGCCGAATAGGGTCATGTCACTTGTGGGCTCAGTCAGCAAAGATTCTGCAAATAGTTCTCTATTCTTCACTTCTAATGGTGTGGCAATAGAGGAGGTGAAGTCTCGGTCATTCTGAGACTCTAAATGACTATGTGCAGCAGAGTCTCTTGAAAATTTATATGAGACATAATACATGAGCATGAAATAAATACTAGTTGGGTTAAGCTATTGCAATTTAAGGATTGTTGGCAACTGCAGCGTAACCAAACATACAGATAATACAAAGAGCAAATTGGAAAGAAGAAAGCAAGACAACTGTCATACTAGTCCAAGTGAGAAACAATCTTGAATTATAGTGGTTGCAGTGTAAGAAGGTCAAAGTAAAGTGAATTTAAATTGCATTTTTTGTAGGTAAACCACACAAAACTAGTGGGTGGATTGGATTGGGTTGATAAGTGGTTCCTATGTGGAATGAGTTTGTTTCATGAATAGTCTATTGAAGTCTCAGGTCGATTCCTACACTGTTCTCTGCTATCACTTCTGTTAGAGGAGCTAAAAGCCTGGAAACTACATTTTCTAGACTCTCTTGCCATTGGGGTTCCAGTTTATGCTCTGCAAATGAAAAACTCCTGTTGACGATTTAAACAAAAATTGAAGAGATGGAGAGTTGCATTGGCATTAGTGGGCAGGCATGAGGAATTTGGAAGACAGCAGGTAATAGATTTTGCCAGTAGCTTTCCAGTGTCAAAATGTGAATCAACCCACTTAAAACTAAGACCTTTATTTGGTTTCATCTGTGATTTCTGTACTTCAAAATTTCTGAAATGCTATCAGCAGTTCCCCTGACCTTTAAAGCCTTGGCTCTTCCAACAACGTCATAGCCTTCCCAGAGCTGATTCCATTTTCCACACTATTTGTTATTCAGTATAATATAGCATACTACTATTTTACAACAAGTCATCTCAGTAGTTAGAGGAAACCATGACACAGAAAGTTAAGGACATTGTCTATAACCTTTCATTATAATTGGTATAACTGGCCCATAAACCTAGTTCATGACTTGTGATTCATAAGTTGTGGTCTTTCTACTATAGCCTAACTCTCTAAATCTTAATATTCTCTGACTTAAAATGGGATTTTAAAAATTCTCTTGTAAACCTTAGAGCTGTGATTGACATTATTAGATTTTTTGCTATCGTTTTCTGGCAGTGAAATTTCTGCTTATGAGGAAAATAACGCAACACTTACTGGTTCACTTTTCTTGGTACATTTTTATTTCAATGTCTTTTCCATCTGATTGCCATTTAGCATAATGCTACAAAATCAAATTTCACAATTTGAAACTCTGAATTTGTTGGTTTAGCTTACAGATAAATGATACTATGCAGAACTGCTGCTATGAATCAAATAACACTACTGTAGGAAATGAGAAAATAGACATTATTAAAGAAGTGAGGAAAAAGAGAGTTAAAAGAACTGACTTTTGAGTCAAATGCCTTTTACTACAGAGTGAGGAACATTAGGGAAATGCCTAAGGTAAGCAAAATATTACAGCTGTAGATTTTTTTTTTCTGCAATAATAGTGTGCTCAAATATCCTAGGAACATATTTTTTAAACTTATCAACATAAATTAACTTTCTTCTTTCTTTTTCAAATTCAAAAATGTCTTTTTTATTTAAGACAAGTCTCAGGAATAAAGGAATGGACAACTGCATGGTTCAAAATAATTGATTAGAAAATGCAAAGATTCAGACAAACATACACTTAGATACAGACACCATGGGTAAATAGGACACATGGATACAAAAATAGAAGAAAACAGATCATGTTTTATGTTTTATTAAGTGGCTAACATGTTTGCATTCCACACCCACAATTGAACTGTGAAATCCTAATAGGCAGAAGATACATTTAAGCACAGTTCTATTTGGAGCATATACATTGTATTAGTCTGCTCAGGCTGCCATAACTACATACCAATGACTGTGTAGCTTAAATAACAGAAACTTATGTTTTTACAGTTTCGCAGGCTTGAAGTCCAAGAATAAGTTGCCACCAGCAGTGTTGGTTTCTGGTGAGGCCTCTCTTCCTGGCTTGTAGGCAGCTGCCTTTTTACTGTGTCCTTACGTGGCCTTTTCATGATGTGTGCAGAAAGAGAGAGACCTCTGGTGCCTCTTTCTGTTTGTATAAGGTCAGATTTGTGAATGAAGATAGTACTTAGTTTATCTCATGTTGGGCACATTCTCATCCATTCAAAATATAATTGAAGAAAAAACTGAACAGAATAGTATTGAAATACAGTGCCTCTGATCTCTGAAGATAAGAGGTATTTCTAGCCTTTGACAAAAGCCTGGATCAGTGTATGTAAAAATTAGAATATCCTTTCAATAATTTCCAATTAAAAAACTGTACAATATACTGAGAAAGGAGATGACAAAAGATATGATGTTTAAAAAGCAGAAAATTAATAAGCAAGCACACAGAAAACTAGTCCTCCTTATTGACAATGAAAAAGATAAAATCTATACCTTATTTCTCACCTATAAAAATCAAAGTGCAGACAATAAAAGGAGTGTCTTTATACATTGCTGTGCTGGATGTACATAAGAATTATGACTTTGGAAAACATAATAACAATGTATATTGGTGCCTTAAAGTTTTAGCCCCCATCAATCTGGTTTTGCTAATTCTGAGAAGAAATAACGAGTAAAACTGTAAGGGCAGTGCAGTAGACTGAAAAACCACCTCCAAAGATATCCCAATCGCTGGAAATTTTAAATGTTACCTTGTGCGGCAGAGACTTTGCAAATGTGAAGTCAAGGATCTTGAGGTTTGGATATTAACCTGAATTATCTGGTGAGTCCTACATGCTCTCTGAAGTGTATTCTTTATAAGAGCAAGGCAATGGAAGATTCAGCAGAAACACACACACAAGAACAGAGGAGAAGGTGATGTGGAGGTGGAGCAGAGCGAGATTAAAAAATGTTGACATTGAAGACTGCAGTGATGTGGCGACAAGCAAGGAATGACAGCGCCCACCAGATGTTGGAAGAGGTTACCTGCAAGTCCTCTCCTAGAGCCTCCGGAGGCAGCAGTGCCCTGCTTGCCCCTTGACTTCAGCTCACTGATACTGATTTTGGACTTCTGGCCCCCAGAAGTGTAAAATAATAAATTTGGGTTGTTTTAAGTTAGCAAGTGTGTGGTAATTCATAACAGTGGGCACAGCAAACTAGTACATTTTGATAAAAATGTTCATCACAACATCAGTTATAAAAGTAAAAAGAAAAAAAAAGTCAAAGAGTTCAAATTCCAAAACTATATAAATGGTTAAATTAGTTATGGTACATTTGTCCAGTTGGATATTATTCTGCCAGTAGGAGTAAAATTTGTAATGCATTTTAAATGACAGAAAATACCCATAATTAGTAATAAAATTGACAAAATCTATGTAACAGTAATTTCAAATGGTAAAAAGAAATAAAACACTATTTATTATAATAACCATTTTCTAACTAGATGGAAATTAATAATGGGCTAGTGTGATGCTCTCCAACCCAATTTTGGAGGTGCCTTAGATGTTGAAAGTTCAGTGTATGAACTGGGAAATCTCTGAGAAACGTGTGGGGTAAGGGAAGTAGCATGCAAGCGACACATTTTGCCTACCCTCTAGAGGATCAGTTCCAGTGTGCCATCACTGTACGATTTGCAGGTGCTGGGGTTTCCAAGAAAGACACAAGTCACACAAGCACTGGGTGAATCAATAGAGAAAACACAGAGAAAGATCTTCAGTAGTGACCACCAGTCCCCTGTGACCAGCAGGTCCTGGCTCATTGCCATCTCAGGGACATATTCTGCATGCATCCCTCTTGTGCTGCAAGTGAAGAACCCTATTGCCTCCCTGCCAGGAACGGATATAGCAGCGAGGATGGCCACGTGTCATATGACACACACCCATCAGCAAAACAAAGGAGTACACATCCAGACAGAGAAAGGTCCTTCCAAACAAGGTCACGTGCAGAGCACAGTCTATGAGGACTCCTCATTTCTTTATAAGAAAATGTCTCAGGCCTGGCGCTGTGGTTCACACCTGTAATCCTAGCACTTTGGGAGGCCGCGGTGGGTGGATCACCTGAGGTCAGGAGTTCGAGACCAGCCTGACCAACATGGGGGAAATCCCATCTCTACTAAAAATACAAAATTAGCTGGGTGTAGTGGCGCATGCCTGTAATCCCAGCTACTCAGGAGGCTGAGGGTGGAGAATCACTTGAACCCAGGAGGCGGAGGTTGTGGTGAGCCTAGACTGTGCCATTGCACTCCAGCCTGGGCAACAAGAGTGTAACTCCATCTCAAAAACAAAAACAAAAACAAAAAAAGAAAGAAAATGTCTCAGGCCCAAGGCCACACTTATGCTACTGTGCAAGGGACAAGAAGCTGCTCGTCATTGCCTTCTCAGCAGGAAGGCAGTCTTGACTTATCATTTTAAGGGTGCAACAACTCAGTGCTAAAGAGGTCATCTATCACAACTACGTGATGGCTGAGAGAGCATTGGCTTGTATTCTGTTCTCTCTGCCACATAGTACGGGACACATCCCTCCCTGCCCTTTACCACTTTAAGTGAAGAAAACCAGCAGAACTAGCCTAATATCCTTGGGGTCAAGAGTGCATCCAAAAAAGAGCACAGACACCTGGACAGCATGAGAAGGATATTGACAGATGAAGTCTAATTGTCAGCTTCAATAAAGGAAGGACTGAACTCAGAGGGGAGCAACTACAGAGGAATTAATAGGGAAGGCTTTGCAGAAGGGGTCTGGCAAACTATTGAGAGCACAGCACAACAAAGTTGCTAAAGGCAGTGACATAGTTTTTATATTTGTCCCCTCCAAATATCATGTTGAAATGTGATCCACAGTATTATATGGGGGGCCTGGTGAGAGGTATTTGGATCATGGGGGCATATCCTGCAAAAAGGGCTTAGTGCTTTATATGGTTTAACTATGTTCCCACCAAAATCTCATCTTGAATTGTAGCTTCCATAATTCCCTTATGTCATGGGAGGGACCTAGTGGGAGATAATTGAATCATGGGGGTGGTTTCCCACATGCTGCTCTCATGGTAGTGAATAAGTCTCATGAGATCTGATGGTTTTATAAGAGGAAACCCCTTTCATTTGGCTTTCATTCTCTTCTCTTGTCTGCCACCATGTGAGCTGTGCCTTTCACATTCCACCATGATTGTGAGGCCTCCCCAGCCACATGGAACTGTGAGTCCATTAAACCTCTTTCTTTTGTAAATTTTCCAATCTCGGGTAGGTTTTTATCAGCAGTGTGAAAATGGACTAATACAGTGCTGTTCTTCCGGTAATGACTGAGTTCTCTATTTGTTCACACAACATTTGGCTGTTCTCTATTTGTTCCCACATGATCTGGCTGTTCCTCTCTTTTCCCTCTTGCTTCCTTCCTCTTCAGCATGTGATGCCTGCTCCCCTTTACCTTCCAACATGAGCGGAAGCTCTCTGAAGCTTCCACTAGAAGCAGGTGCTGGTGCCATGCTTCTTGCACATCCTGTATAACTGTGAGCTAAATAAACCTATTTTCTTTATAAATTACCCAACCTCAAGTATCCCTTTATAGTAATGCAAAACAGATTAATAAGGGCAAGTTGTAGAACTTCTGCAGCTACTATGAAATCATGACCTCCTTTAAATCTACTAGCATCCACAAAAAACAGAACCAGAGATGTGCCCCTCTATTCTGTTGATGAAAGCAGATAACTAAACTCATACTAGGGATCATATAAATAAATTCACAATATTAACATGGTCAGTTTGGTTTGCAGGATGTATCTGAGAAAAAAAAGGATTTTTTTGCTTTTGGTTTATAAAAAAGTTTAAAATATTCACAAAATCAATAAATTATAAGGGAAAAAACATAATTATGGGTATTAAAGATTTGCTATGGGAAAAATGAATACAATATAAACCCATATGCAGTACTAAAAAACACAAAGCAACACACTATTTGCACATATAGCAATGTGCCTAGAAATCCCTAGAGACTCATCCAAAAAGCTACTAGTTCTGATAAATGAATTCAGTAAAGTTTCAGGATGCAAAATCAACATACACAAATCAGAAGCACTGCTATACACCAACAATGACCAAGCTGAGAATCAAACCAATAACTCAACCCCTTTTTCAATAGCTGCAGAAAAAAATACTTAGGAATATACCTAACCAAGGAGTTGAAAGACCTCTACAAGGAAAACTACAAAACACTGCTGAAAGAAATCATAGACGACACAAACAAATGGAAACACATCCCATGCTCATGGATGGGTAGAATCAATATTGTGAAAATGACCACACTGCCAAAAGAAATCTACAAATTCAATGCAATCCCCATCAAAATACTATCATCATTCTTCAGAATTAGAAGAATACTATCATCATATCAGAATTAGAAAAAAAGAATTATGAAATTCACATGGAACCAAAAAAGAGTCTGCATAGCCAAAGCAAGACAAAGCAAAAGGAACATATCTGGAGGCATCACATTACCTGATTTCAAACTATACTATAAGGCCATAGTCACCAAAACAGTGTGGTACTGGTATAAAAATAGGCACATAGACCAATGGAACAGAGTAGAGAACCCAGAAATAAAGGCAAATACTTACAGCCAACTGATCTTTGACAAAGCAAACAAAAACATAAAGTGGGGAAAAGATACCCTATTCAACAAATGGTGTTGGGATAATTGGCAGAAGAATAAAACTGGATTCTTACCTCTCACCTTATAAAAAATCAACTCAAGGTGGATCAAAGACATGAATCTAAGACCTGAAACCATAAAAATTCTAGAAGATAACATCAGAAAAAAACCCTTCTAGACATTGGCTTAGGCAAAAACTTTATGAACAAGAACCAAAAAGCAAATACAACAAAACCAAAGATAAATAGATGGGACTTAATTAAACTAAAACTGAATTAAACTGTAAATAGAGTAAACAGACAACCCACAGACTGGGAGAAGATCTTCACAAAATATGTATCTGACAAAGGACTAATATCCATAGTCTACAAGGAACTCAAAAAATCAGCCAGAAAAAAATCAAACAATCCCATCAAAATGTGAGCTAAAGACATAAATAGGCAATTCTCAAAAGAAGATATACAAATGGACAACAAATATATGAAAAAATGCTCAACATCACTCATTGTCAGAGAAATACAAATCAAAATCACAATGTAATACTACCCTCTTCCTGCAAGAATAGCCATAACCAAAAAATCAAAAATAACAGATATTGGCATGAATATGGTGAAAAAGGAACACTTGTACACTGCCAGTGGGAATGTAAACCAGTACAACCACTGCAGAAAACAGTGTGGAGATTCCTTAAAGAACTAAAAGTAAACCTACCATTTGATCCAGCAATACCACTACTAGGTATCTACCCAGGGGAAAAGAAGTCATCATATGAAAAAAGTACTTGCACATGCATGTTTATAGCAGCACAATTCACAATTACAAAAACATGGAATCAGCCCAAATGCCCATCAATCACTGAGTGGATAAAGAAGCTATGGTATATATATACTATGGAATACTACTTGGCCATAGAAAGGAATGAAATAATGGCATTCACAGCAACCTGGATGGATTTGGAGACTATTACTTCAAGTGAAGTAACTCAGGAATGGAAAACCAAACATTATATGTTCTCACTTATTAGTTTTATGCAAAAACATAAGAATATACAATGGACTTTGGGGACTCAGGGGAAAGTGTGAAAGTGGGTGAGAGATGAAAGAATACACATTGGATGCAGTGTACACTGCTCCAGTGATGGGTGAACCAAAATCTCAAAAATCACCGCTGAAGAACTTATGCTTACAAGTGAACACCACCTGTTCCCCAAAATCTGTTGAAATAAAATAAAATAATTAGAGCTTAAAAAAGTGTCAACTAGTAACACAAGGCACTGACACAAATTACAAAACATTACCGAACACTGCAAACTGATGCCAGCCAGAAATTACTGGTATGTCTGAAACAGTGATTTTTTAAACTAATTATCAGTCTCCCTGATATTCGCATAGAAAAAAATATTTTCACAGACAAAGATAAACTGTTACTGAACAGCTTGCTATGAAAAAGAATATTGATTATATTAAGGAGGATGTGGAGTTAAAAATAAAGACTCCAGTGGAAATACTTGATATTAAAACACACTATTTTTTAACAAAGAAGCTATTAAATTGAAAAATATAGCCATAAAACACACCAGTAAAATGGAAGATTACATTTAGAAAATTTCCCAAACGTCAGTGTGAAGAAATAAGGCCATAATTCAAAAGTATACATACATATGGAGAGAGAGAAAGAGTAACAGTCTAGAAGTATTGGTGTGGCCAGGCACGGTGGCTCACACCTGTAATCCCAGCCCCTTGGGAGGCCAAGTTGGGCAGATCACGAGGTCAGGAGATCGAGACCATCCTGGCTAACATGGTGAATACCAGTCTCTACTAAAAATACAAAAAATTAGCTGGGCATGGTGGCTGGTGCCTGTAGTCCCAGCTACTCGGGAGGCTGAGGCAGGAGAGTGGTGTGAACCCGGGAGGCGGAGCTTGCAGTGAGCTGAGATCACACCACTGCACTCCAGCCTGGGTGACAAACAGAGACTCTGTCTCAAAAAAAAAAAAAAAAAAAAAAAAAAAGTATTGGTGTAAATAGAATTCCAAAAGAGGATAAAATAACAGCAGTAGGGGAGGAAGTATTTGAAAAAACTATTACTGGGATTTTAACATTATTAAATAAAGAAGAAAATCCTTAGAAAACGTGTGGAGAGAAAAATATAATAGAAAAGGAAATGCATACCTAGATATAATATAGTTAAATACGTTTATCGGAACAGAAGAAAAATAGAGTTGCTGGAAATTAGACACAGATTTCTTACAAAGAATAACATTAATACTTAAGGTAACTAAATAAAGAGTATTATTTTCAAATAGGTGTAAACTTAACTTTGACCTTAGTATTTTATCAACACATACAAAGTTTCAAAAGTTTTACTATAAAAAGACAATCTTGGGTGAAAATAAAAACACTTTTAGATGAAGATCTCCACTAGGAAGACAAACACGTCCTATACAGGGCTAAGAGATAAAAATAAATGAATATAATACATAACCTATAAAAGTTTATTGTGGTAAAATAAGAAGAAGCAAGGGAGGGAGGAAGGAAGGAAGGGAGAGATATGATTTGGCTCTGTGTACCCACCCAAATCTCATCTTGCAGCTCTCATAATTCCCACATGTGGAAGAGCCCTGGTGGGAGATGACTGAATTATGGGAGTGGGTCTTTCCCGTGACGTTCTCGTGACAGCAAATAAGTTTCAAGAGATCTGACAGTATTATAAGGAGGAGTTTCCCTGCACAAGCTCACTCTGCCTGCTGCCATCCACACAAGATGTGACTTGCTCATCCTTGCCATCCGCCATGATTGTGAGGCCTCCCCAGCCATGTGGAATTGTGAGTCTAATTAAGCCTCTTTCTTTTGTGAATTGCCCAGTCGCAGGTATGTCTTTATCGGCAGCATGAAAATGGACTAATACAGTGGACTGGTACCAGTAGAGTGGGGCATTGATGAAAACATACCCGAAAATGTGGAAGTGACTTTGGAACTGGGTAACAGGCAGAGGTTGGAAGAGTTTGGAGGGCTCAGAAGAAGAAAGAAAAATGTGGGAAAGTCTGGAATTTCCTAGAGACTTGTTGAATGGGTCTCTGTGCTGTGTGCAGCCTAGGGACTTGGTGCCCTGCATCCCAGCTGCTCCAGCTGTGACTAAAAGGGTCCAAGGTACAGCTCAGGCTGTTGCTTCAGAGGGTGCAAGCCTCAAGCCTTGGCAGCTTCCACATGGTGTTGAGCCTGCCGTACACAGAACTCAATAATTGCCATTTGGGAACCTCTGCCTGGATTTTAGAAGATGTATAGAAATGCCTAGAGTCCAAGGTAAAAGTTTGCTGCAGGAGTGGGGCCCTCATGGAGAAGCTCTGCTAGGGCAGTGTGGAAAGGAAATGTTAAGTTGGAGCCCCAACACAGAGTCCCTACTGGGGCACTGCCTAGTGGAGCTGTGAGAAGAGGCCCACCATCCTCCAGACCCCAGAATGGTAGATCCACCAACAGCTTGCACTGTGCACCAGGAAAAGCTGCAGACGCTCAATACCAGCCCATGAAAGCAGCCAGAAGGGAGGTTGTAACCTGTAAAGCCACAGTGCCAGAGCTGCCCAAGAACATGAGAACTTACCTCTTGCATCAGTGTGACCCAGACACAAGACATGGAGTCAAAGGAGATCTTTCTGGAACTTTAAGATTTTACTACCCTGCTGGATTTTGGACTTGCATGGGGCCTTAGCCCCTTTGTTTTGGTCAATTTCTCCCATTTGGAATGGTTGTATTTACCCAATGCCTGTACCCCCATTTTATCTAGGAAGTAACTAACTTGCCTTTGATATTACAGGCTCATAGGCAGAAGGGACTTGACTTATCTCAAATGACACTTCGAACTTGGACTTTTGGGTTAATGCTGAAATGAGTTAAGACTTTGGGGGATGATTAGGAAGGGATGATTGGTTTTGAAATGTGACGATATGAGATTTGGGAGGGTCCGAGGCAGGATGATATAGTTTGGTTCTGTGTCCCCAGCCAAATCGCATTTTCTAGTTCCCATAAATCCCATGTGTTGTGGAAGGGACCCGGTGGGAGATGACTGACTTATGGAAGCGGGTCTTTCCCATGCTGTTCTCATGATAGCGAATAAGTCTTACGAGCTCTGATGGTATTATAAGAAGGAGTCCCCCGGCACAAACTCTCTTTGACTATCAGCATCCTTATAAGATGTGACTTACTTCTCCTTGCCTTCGGCCATGATTGTGAGGCCTCCCTAGTCACATGGAACTGTGAGTCCAGTTAAACCTCTTTCTGTTGTAAATTGCCCAGTCTCAGGTATGTCTTTATCAGCAGTGTGAAAATGGACTAATACAGGGAGGAAAGAAGGGAAGGAGGGAGTGAGGGAGGAAGAGAAGGAGGGGAGAGGGAGGGATGGAGGAAGGGAGGGAGGGAGGGAGGGGGGAGGGAGGGAGTTAGAGAGAGAAAGGAGGGAGAGAGGAGAAAAGAAAATCCATAATAAGAAATAAAACTTTACACAATATTAGGGTATCGTGGTCAGTTTCATTTATAGGATATAGCAGAGAAAGTTTATAGGATTCTTTGTTTTGTTTTTGGTTTATAGAAAAGTCTAGAATATTCACAAAGTCAATAAATTATAGGGGAAAATGAACATAATTATGGGTATTAAAGATTTGCTATGGGAAAAATTAGTAAAATTTCAATCCGTATGCAGTACTAAAAAACAGTCTGAAGCAACAAAATATTTGCACATACAGTAAAATGAATACACAAAATAAACTTTTGCCATTTCTGGTATGGCTGACCCTCACAAAGATAATAACTATAAACCCTGAACAATAAACAAAGAGGAAAGCTCTTTGAGAGTAAACAAAAGCATGGAGAGTTGGAAGTAGAGTTCAAATTTGGGAGAAAGAACTAGTGCAGAATGAGTTTTCTGTTTTATGATTTTTAACATGAAGGCAGGCCAAAATTTAATCAGAGGGTGATTGAAACTTTGATAGAAAACTTACAGTCTTTCTGACCTGAAGAACCAGAGGATAGAATGTGGGGTAGCCCACAGGTGCTGGAAAGTGAGGAGGGAACCTAGGAAAATAAGAGAGCCAGAGAGGTTGACAACCTGTGTATAAACTGTGACCACCTCTCTGACTGACCCCTGACACATGCCTGGGGTACAGCTGACTGCAAACAGCTCAGTTGGAGATAAAAAGAGCTGAACTCTGTTTGTTCTGCTGCTCAAGACACAGACTTTCAGTCTGAGTCCAACTGGGTTATTTCCCTTCTAAAATAAAAACATCACAAGTCTTCAGAGAACATGTAATTCATATATGGGAACTAAAAAAGTTGATGACATGGAGGTACATAGTGGTATAATAGATACCAGAGACTGGAGAGGGTGTATGTGGGCGGTGGGCAGGGGGGGTGCGAGTTGGGGGGAGATGGGTGAATAGAGATTGGTTAATGGGAAAAGCAAACCTACAGTTAGGTAGAAGGAATGAGTTGTAATGTTTGATAGCAGATTGTATTAGTCCGTTTTCATGCTGCTGATAAAGACATACCTGAGACTGGGTAATTTATAAAGAAAAATAGGTTTAATGGACTCAGAGTTCCATGTGGCTGGGGAGGCCTCACAATCATGGTGGAAGGTGAAAGGCACGTCTTACATGGCAGCAGATGAGAGAGAATGAGAGCCACGTGAAAGGAGAAAAAACTCTGATAAAACCATCAGATCTCATGAGACTTATTCACTACTATGAGAACAGTGTGGGGAACTCACCCTCATGATTCAACTATCTCCCACCAGGTTCCTCCAACAACATTTGGGAATTATGGGAGCTACAATTCAAGATAAGATTTGGGTGGGGACACAGCCAAACCATATTACAGAGTAAGGGGGATTTATAGTTAAAAACAATGTATTTCATTTTTCAAAATATTTAGAGAAGTGAGTACTTGAAATTTTCCCAAAACATAGAAATGGTAAATAATCTGGCGATGGGTACCCTAAATACCCTGACTTGATGATGACACATTCTATGCCTATAACATAATTATGTACAATACAATGTATCAAAAATTTCTTCAGAGAACTAGGTTAGATATTGTAGTTTCCACAACAAAACATTCCTAATGTCCAAGACACAATCCAAAGTACTCAAATTAATAATTAGGAAAATGTGGCTTATTCTCAAGAGATAAAACAATCAACCAAAATAAATATTTAAATGCCTCCAGATTTTGAATTAGAGTTTCAAAGCACATATTATTACTATACTCAATTAATTAAGCTACAATGTACAACATACTTACATTTATTAAAAATAAGAAAAAATGCAGCAGATAAATATAAACTATTAAAAACAAGAAAAGAAAATTTCTGGAACTGAAAACAAACAGTATCAGAAATTTAAAAATTCACTGGATAGCTGTATAATAGAATGTAGAATCTGTGAAT
The DNA here is from genome assembly GCF_000001405.40 of Homo sapiens. Classification (NCBI taxonomy): domain Eukaryota; kingdom Metazoa; phylum Chordata; class Mammalia; order Primates; family Hominidae; genus Homo; species Homo sapiens. Next base: position 86,177,777 of record NC_000014.9, read on the forward strand.
GTGAAGGTAGATTTATAGAATGTATCCAATATGAAACGAGATCAAAAACAATGGTCAAAACCTCAAGGAACCATGGAGCAGTCACAAAAATTCCAAATACACTACAAGATGCTGTGAGAAACATCTCTCACCTCAAAGAGCACATATTGTAAGAATCTGTTGTTTAGGATTCTAGAATAGGAAAGTATAAAAAATCAGAAAAATTATTGTCTTTAGCAGAAACAGAATAGTAATGTTTGGGAAGAAAGATGGGAGAGCTTTTTAAGGTAAACTAATGTTCTATATCTTGATACAGTTTTTCAGTTAAACAGGTATATACACTTGCCAAAACTCAGCGAATGTACAATTAAAAATTTTGCCCATTATTTTTAAAGTTTTATGTTAAATACTGTAGGCAAATACTAAACTCTAGGTAATGATACACATATTATATAAATAGACCAAAGTGTGCTGATACCTGCAATGTGCTTTGAAATGACCCCAATATGATAGATTAATGGATGGAGAGAAGAATAAATAGATGGATAATAGACATTAATGGTTGAATCTGGGTAATGGGTCTATGGATACTCACAGTACACTTTGTACAACTTTGCTATACATTTGACATGTCTTATAATTAAATGTTGAGTGATAAAATTAGAAATTTTGTATTACAGCATTATTTTTGTAGATTAAAAACATAAATACAAAGCATTTCATATTATGCAGCAATATTAAATAAGAAATTTAAAACGACTTAGTGTGTGCTTATTACAGGGGAGAGAAAGAGAAAAGTTGAGATGATAAGGGGAAAAACGTATTTATATAATTTGGGATGACCAATGGCAATGAACAGAGGTGTGAGATTAGATCAACTCTTTGCATCTAAGATCCAAAATAGTTGTAATGCTTTAAAAGCCTATGAGAGATAATGTTCAATAAGGCAACCATCATATATCATGTAGCCAAGTATGAGGTGAGAAAGGATTGTTGGTCTATATTAGCATGGCTTAAAACGACTGAGTGTATTTTTGTTACTAGCTCTAAATTTATGAACTGGCTATATCCATAATGGTTCAGTCTGGTTCTGATGAAAACATTTAAATCTCTATGTAGGTCCCGTATTAAGTAGTGTTACAAAAAGAAAAGAAATATGGTTCCTCTGATAGAGTCAGAATACATAAATACACACACACACACACACACACACACACACACACATATGCACACACACAAAAATATATTTTCAGTCCTTTGTGCCATGTGACTTTTGTACTATAACTTAACTCCTAGGTTTTAAATGTCCTTATTTGTAGAATGAGAGAGGCAGGATCGAATACTTCCTTAACTCTTTTTGTTAGCTGCATCATTTTCTGGGGCGGGTCAGGGGACATTAGTGTAGATTAAGCCCAAAAATAATTGAACTTGGTGCTTTTCTAATTCCATCTGTGTAATATACTTGTGATATGACTAAGGACAAATTACTCTATTACACATGACCTGTATCCGTATCTGTAAAATGGAACAAAAAACGTTCAGGCTAACGCAGTTGTGAAGATTAAATAGTAAAGCACTTGGTAGACTACCAATCATGTAATACACTTTCAACAAATATTTTAGTTAATAAAAATTTCCATCTAGTTTTTTTTTCTGTGAAGTTTTCTCAGATCATCAAAAGCTCACATTAGCCTTTTAACTTGTGTCTGATTTGAACATGCCTCGGAGAACTCAATAAACACTTGTTGTTAGCAGCTCATTAGATATAATTTTTCTCCTGCTTCATGTAAGTAGAACCCTTGTTCTGATTCACCTGACAGATGCTGAACTCCCAAAGAGAGCCTTGTTAAACATCCAGCCAACTGGAGCACTTTTCAGTTCCAACTTCAAACACACCCACCAAACAAGCATTTATTTAACAAGAATCTCAAAGCATTTGTTAGCAGTCACTGTCACCTGAGTTCTGAAGCAATCTTTCTGCCAAAACTAACTCACTCTGTCCCAAACCCCTGCACCAATCCTACGATGTTTTCTTCTTTCAATTTTACATTTTTCTTAATTTAGTTTTAAACTCCAAGGACCATTTTATAAATGGTGAGCTTTATGTAGCTTTTTTCTTTTTTTTTTCCTTGTGTTGCAAGAGTGCTGACTAGAAACTGACAACTAGGTACTGGAAGCCAAGATTTTTTTTTTTTAATTTTATTTTGGATTCTGGTTCCCCAGAGCTAGGTAAATCTTTGTCCATCACTCATCCTCCATGAGCTTAACGATCTCTATGCTTGTCTTTGAAATGCCGCCTCATGTGGTCATGCCCTGAAAATGGAGGCTTTGTTTCCCGACTGACACTTTTGTGCAAGACATACGGGTCATGCTTATATTCTCTTCTTGCTGCCAGAGAAGCATTGTAAGTTACAATTGATGATGGCACTACCCTCTGTGATCCGATATAATTTACTGTGAAATCACTATCCATTTTTGACACTTAAGCTCTGCTTGCCAATTTGCAAGTCTGCTTACAGACCATCTAGCCATGGGGTCAAGCAATTATTCCGCAGGCCATTGTGAATTCTCTGATGTGGCTGCTCTCTATGTTATTTGATTAAGAGTGTGGCCTGGGGACATATACACACTCTTTTTAACAATGAACAATTAGGTAGAGAGGATTTGAGCATCACTGGTGTGATCTTAAGGACCTAAGACAGCCCTTCTGTCCTTTCTTTTCTACCTTAAGATACTTCCCTATTGATACTTCAAAGCGTTTTAACAGGTAGAAAAAAGTATTTTATTTTACTATTCATGCTTATTCTACCGGTAGAGATTCGTATTTAAAAGCAAATGCCCATGAGTTAACGAAGATTATTGGAGCTAAGTTGAACTTGTGTTGAGCAAAGTTAGTCCGTGTATGGGTGGCATAATATCCCCCCTTGCCACCCACAAGTTCATGTCCTTCCTGGAACCTCAAAATGTGACTTATTTGAAAGTAGGTTCATTGCAGATGTAATTAATTAAGATGAGGTCAAACTGTGACAGGGTTGGCCCTTAATCTAATCTGACTGTTGCCCTCTTAAGAAAATGAGGTCAGGCACGGTGGCTCACACCTGTAATCCCAGCACTTTGGGAGGCTGAAGCGGGAGGATCACGGGGTCAGGAGATTGAGACCATCCTGCCCAAGATGGTGAAACCCCGTCTCTACTAAAAATACGAAAATTCGCTGGGTGTGGTGGCACGAACCTGTAATCCCAGCTACTGGAGAGGCTGAGGCGGGAGAATTACTTGAACCCGGGAGGCGGAGGTTGCAGTGAGCCGAGATCGTGCCATTGCAGTCCAGCCTGGGCAACAAGAGAGAAACTCCATCTCTCTAAAGAAGCAGAAGCAGAAGCAGAAGCAGAAGAAGGGGAAGGGGAAGAAAGGGAAGAAAAGAGACATGCAGGTGAAGGCATGTGACAATAGAAGAGATTGGAGTGATATACCCACAAGCCAACGCATGCAAAATTACTGCTGCCCATACCAGAAGCTAAGAGAAAGCAACGGAATAGATTCTCCCCTCAAGCGATCAGCGAGAGCCGAGTCCTGCCAACACCTTGATTTAGGACTTCTGGCTTCCACAACCGTGAGACCAAAAATTCCTGTTATTTTAGCTACCTGTTTTGTAGAAATTTTTAAGGCAGCCCTAGGAAACTTATTAGTTCAATTGTATATGCAAATCTTGATAACGTAAGGGCTCTGAGCACCAGGCTAAAGGACAGAGAAAGGGGTGGGTACCCTGAAGAATAGCCCTTTATCCCATGCTTAGTAGCCCACCAAAACCTTTTAGAATTGGGGATATTTTAAATGTAAATTTTAAGAATGAGATCTCTTTCTCTCCCCTTCATTTTTATCATCTCCATTTCTTCCTCATTCTCATGTAAACTTCATAGCCTTCACCCATGTTTTGTTAAGGTCATTTTGGGCCATGTTTTAAGAATTATGTTATTTCTATCTCTGTAGTTTTTTGAGCTATCCAATATAAATGTCTCTATAGTGGCAATGATTAGTAAAACATTTGATACAATAGTGTTCTTTGTTTATTCATTGACTGATACTGTATAAATAAACAGTTATTGTGTACATGACATTTCAAAGCAATCATTTTTAGTGGCCATTTGGATGTAGACAGTTTCATCTAAGATATTTTGATATAGACTAATAAAAGTCTTTATTTATTATTTTTATTTCAGATTTATTTTAGATACAGGGAGACATGGAGATTTGTTACATGGGAATATTGGGTGATGGGTGAAGTTTGCAGTACAGATCCTGTCACCCCGATAGTAAGCATAGTATGTGATAGGTAGTTTTTATACCCCACCACAACCCTTTAGTGGTCCACAATTTTTATTTTTCTCATATTTATGACTATGTGTGCTCAATGCTTAGCTCTCACTTATAAGTGAGAACATGTGATATTTGGTTTTCTGTTTCTGCACTAATTTGCTTAGGATTATGGCTCTAGCTCCATCCATGTTGCTGCAAAGGACACGATTTCATTCTTTTTTATGGCTGTGTAGTATTCTATGGTGCATTGTACTACATTTTCTTTATCCAACCTACCACTGATGGGCATGTGAATTGATTCTATGTCATTGCTATTATGAATAGCACAATGATAAACATTAAAGTGCTTGTGTCTTTTTGATAGAATTATTTCTTTTCTTTTGAGTATATACTGAGTAATGGGATTGATGGGTTGAATGGTACCTCTGTTTTAAGTTATTTGAGAAATCTCCAAACTGCTTTCCACAGTGGCTGAACTAATTTACATCCTCTCCAACAGAGTATGTGTTCCCTTTTCTCTGCAGCCTTGCCAGCATCTGTTATTTTTTGACTTTTTAATAATAGCCATTCTCACTGGGGTGAGATGGCATCTCACTGTGGTTTTGGTTTGCATTTCTCTGATGATTAGTGATGTTCACCATTTTTTCATATGTTTGTTGGCCACTTATATATCTTCTTTTGAGAAGTGTCCATTCATGTCCTTTGACCATTTTTGAATGGGGTTATATGTTTTTTGCTTGTTGATTTGTTAAGGCCCCTATATATTTTGGATATTAGGTCTTCGTTGAATGCATAGTTTGCAATTATCTTCTTCCATGCTGTAGGTTGTCTTTTCGCTCTGTTGGTAGTTTCTTTTGCTATGAGGTACCTTTTCAGTTTAATTAGGTCCCACTTGTCTATTTTTGTTTATGTTGCAACTACTTTTGTGGACTTAGCCAAAATTTCTTTGACAAGGCCAATGTCAAGAAGAGTATTTCTTACATTGTCTTCCAGATTTTTATAGTTTGAAGTCTTACATTTAAATATTTCTTCCATCTTGAGTTAATTTTTGTACATGGTGAAAGGGAGAGGTATGACTTCAATCTTCTACATATGGCTAGCTAGTTGCCCTAGCATCATTTATTGAATAGGGAGTCCTTTAAAATCTTTTAATTGGCATAAGTCAACACTTATCCCTACCCTGAGTCTTTTCTCATCCCTGATTTATGCCAATCCTTTGGTGATCCTCAACTAGATGGCAACATGGGATTTGAATTAGGAGTTGGTGATGCACGATGCCTTTGATGAATTGTCAGTCATGGATACAATTAGGCAAGGATGAAGATCAGAAATGAGATAAGACTAAAAAGTAGTTGTCCAGTGTTTTAATTTTGCACACTTTTTTTTTTTTTTTTTTTTTTTGAGATGGAGTCTCTCTCTGTTGCCCAGGCTGGAGTGCAATGGCACCATCTCAGCTCACTGAAAGCTCTGCCTCCAGGTTTCATGTCATTCTCCTGCCTCAGCCTCCTGAGTACAGCTGAGCTGGGTGGCGAGCTGGGACTACAGACGCCCGCCACCACACTTGGCTAATTTTTTTTGCATTTTTAGTAGAGACGGGGTTTCACTGTGTTAGCCAGAATGGTCTCGATCTCCTGACCTTGTGATCCACCTGCCTCAGCCTCCCAAAGTGCTAATTTTGCACACTTTCAACTATATTTCTCACATAGCACCTAAACTGTATATTTTTAAATACAGTCTAACAGAGGAAGGGTTGCAGGGAAGAAGTCATGTTCTTACCTTTACAGAATTAACGTTTACCTTCTATACAAACGTGTCATGAAAGTATCATTTCTGACACTTAAACCCATTTAATTCACCACTCTTCAGTATACTTTTTAGCAAACACACTTATTATAGTGTAAATAAATCTATTTCCTTGTACTATGTGATTGGCATCTGACGTCAAGGATAATCCCATTCACCTTTGGTATTTATCAGAGTCCAGTGCAATTTAGATTTTTAATAAATGTTATTTAATTTGATCCAATAAAAAACTTCAAAAAAGTTAGAAAAGGCATACATCCAAAATTTAACAGTGCTTTAACCACAGCGTGTTACTTCTGTATTGTCTGAACACTTTACAATGTGCATGTTTTACTTTTTTAACATAAAAAGTGAAAAATAAAATGAGAAAAGGTTAGGATCAAATCTTTTGATTTCAATTTGCTGAATTCTTATATAGCTAACTTTCTAAACTTTGAGTCACACAGGAAATGTGTAGAAAGGAAAGGAAGGAAGAAAGGAAGAGAAAGGGGTAGAGAAAAAGGGAGGGAGGCAAGGTGGAAGAAAAAAAGGAAGATGACTCAGAATAAATTCACTGATTCTGATTTGGTTTATTATATAATCATAAACTAGAAATTCAGTTTTGTAATATTTGTGTGACCCAGGTAAATGAGCATATTGAAATAAGCTATGTTAAATTATAATTTGAATTATTTGTGCAGTTGTTGAAAATCACAGTTTCACTTGTACTCATGGAGAGATACAAAAAAGCATTCATAATGCATCCATAAAATGAGTCAATGGTCTCCCTGAAGCAACTCTAATAGGTGTCTAGAGTAATTAGTAATCATCCCTAATTGACTGCCTCTTAATTGTGTAATAGTTTTATTATTCAGGAGGTGCAGATGGCACAAATGATGGAGACCAGTTTAACAATTACATGTCCTAGTTACATGCCACGGGTTTGAACAGACAAAGCCTGTATTGAAAACAAATCCAAAATGGAGAATTTGAGCAGGATATTGGGATACTTAATGATTACTTGTAGTTTGAGTTATAATTTTTGCATTTTGCTGATGGTTAAGAAAGTAAGGCTTTGAATAGAAAGAGGTGAAGTCTTACATTTAATGAATGTGTCAGAGCATGGAGGCCTCTGACACAGAAACCTTGGATAAGATAGGTGTGTTTCCATTTATATTAGAGTAGTAGTGATGAGTAAATGTTTTTTCTTTTCCTCTGTTGACTCTGAATATGTGGATATTTCTTCTAAACATGAATGGATAGTATTCACAAAATTTTGAGCTTTGGTCTTAAATAGTGTTTAAAAGCCATTATTCGTATCCATGATAGATCTGATCCAAGACTCCGGCAAAGAAAATCATGTCAAGAAAGGAGTGCTATACAATGTTTATTTTTCTATGGTTGTAAGAAAGAAAATATGATAGCAATTATGCCTTCTTCTGCTGTCTTCATAATATTTTGTCTTCTCTCTCAGAATGCAGATGGAAGAACAATGAGAACGTAAAGCATTCTCTTATTTTTGTTATCCCCAGTGACATATATTTGGCCAGAGATAACATTTCACAAACACTTTTTATCTCCTTGGCATTGTTGCATTGTTCCATAGTCATTTTTACTAAAATCTTAAACACTAGTATTTCTGATATATTAAGGTGATTTTTATATTGTAGCCTCTTTGGTTTCTAAAACTAGCTGAGTAATCCTGAGAGCCCTGGTTCTTGTATACTTAACTGTAAATTTGTTGGCATTTTACATTTATATGAATGTTAGTGAGCCTAAAATGACATGTATGTTAATATTTGTGGGGTGTATGTTTGGTTGTGTGTGAGTGTGTGTTGAACATATCTACATTTGTATGAGTGGGAGTAAGTAGGTGGGTAGTGACCTGTTAAACTCTGGAATGTGAGTGCAGAGAAGAGCATGGAATTCCTACTTATGGAGATCTTCCAAGAAGAATCTAGAGCCCCTGTTTTTCCAAGATGTTTAGATGTAATTTCATCTGCAGGCAATAGTGATGCCATGTGTCCCTGTCTCTCTTCTCTTTCCTTCCTTTCCCTTCCTTCCTTCCTTCCCTCCTTCCTTCCTTCCTTTCCTTCCTTCTTTCTTTCTTTTCCTTCTTTCCTTCTTTTCCTTCCTTCCTTCCCTCCTTCCTTCTTTCTTTCCTTCCTTCCTTTTTTCCTTCCTTCCTTCCTTTCTTCCTTCTTTCCTTCCTTCCCTCCCTCCCCCCTCCCTGCCTCCTGACTTTCTTTCTTTCTCTTTCTTTCTTTTTTCTTTCTTTCTCTTTTTCTTTCCTTTTTTCTTTCTCTCTTTCTTTCTTTTTTTCTTTCTTTCCTCTCTCTCTCTCTCTCTTTCTTCTTTTCTTTCACTCACTTGCAGTCTACTAAAGCCATAAAATTCTATGGCTGTATTTTAATATCAAATTTAGAATAATATAAGGAATTTTATTTTAAAGTCTGAAACTTTTCCATAGAAATCTTACAGAAACTCTAATGGCCTCATACAAATTCCAGAATGAGGAAATTATAGATCTTTAAAGTTTATTCCTGGTTTCCTTTATCATTATTTTCAGCAACACCTACACCCACCTTTATCAATGTCTTTCAAGTCCTGGGAAAAAAATTCTACCTCTTCGAGGAAGTACTATGTTCACTTCTCTCAAGCTAGAAGTAATCTCCTTTTTTTTTTAATTTAAAAGATACTTTATAAATAAGTATAGAATATTTACTTCTGATCCTTTTAAAATTGGTTTTCATTGTTATGTATGTGCCTGTCTTTCTTATCCTGCTACACTAGGCTTCACAGATTCAAATGTCCTCAGGTGCCATCCTATAAATGAATGAAGCATCCAGTACAGGCAATAGGGAGTGGTGAGGACTATGACTGAAGAGAACAGGTTCAGTCTAAATCAAGTTGTGTTAAAATGCTGTCCTAGACCATAAAAGAGGATAGAAACAAATGGAAGAACATTCCATGCTCATGGATAGGAAGAATCAATATTGTGAAAATGGCCATACTGCCCAAGGTAATTTACAGATTCAATGCCATCCCCATCAAGCTACCAATGACTTTCTTCACAGAACTGGAAAAAACTACTTTAAAGTTCATATGGAACCAAAAAAGAGCCCACATTGCCAAGTCAATCCTAAGTCAAAAGAACAAAGCTGAAGGCATCCCGCTACCTGACTTCAAACTATACTACAAGGCTACGGTAACCAAAACAGCATGGTACTGGTACCAAAACAGAGATATAGACCAATGGAACAGAACAGAGCCCTCAGAAATAATGCCACATATCTACAACCATCTGATCTTTGACAAACCTGAGAAAAACAAGAAACGGGGAAAGGATTCCCTATTTAATAAATGGTGCTGGGAAAACTGGCTAGCCATATGTAGGAAGCTGAAACTGGATCCCTGCCTTACACCTTATACAAAAATTAATTCAAGATGGATTAAAGACTTAAATGTTAGACCTAAAACCATAAAAACCCTAGAAGAAAACCTAGGCAATACCATTCAGGACATAGGCATGGGCAAGGACTTCATGTCTAAAACACCAAAAGCAATGGCAACAAAAGCCAAAATTGACAAATGGGATCTCATTAAACTAAAGAGCTTCTGCACAGCAAAAGAAACTACCATCAGAGTGAACAGGCAACCTACAGAATGGGAGAAAATTTTTGCAACCTACCCATCTGACAAAGGGCTAATATCCAGAATCTACAATGAACTCAAACAAATTTACAAGAAAAAAAACAAACAACCTCATCAACAAGTGGGCAAAGATATGAACAGACACTTCTCAGAAGAAGACATTTATGCAGCCAAAAGACACATGAAAAAATGCTCATCATCACTGGCCATCAGAGAAATGCAAACCAAAACCACAATGAGATACCATCTCACACCAGTTAGAATGGCGATCATTAAAAAGTCAGGAAACAACAGGTGCTGGAGAGGATGTGGAGAAATAGGAACACCTTTACACTGTTGGTGGGACTGTAAAGTGGTTCAACCATTGTGGAAGTCAGTGTGGTGATTCCTCAGGGATGTAGAACTAGAAATACCATTTGACCCAGCCATCCCATTACTGGGTATATACCCAAAGGATTATAAATCATGCTGCTATAAAGACACATGCGCATGTATGTTTATTGCAGCACTATTCACAATAGCAAAGACTTGGAACCAAGCCAAATGTCCAACAATGATAGACTGGATTAAGAAAATGTGGCACATATACACCATGGAATACTATGCAGCCCTAAAAAAGGATGAGTTCATGTCCTTTGTAGGGACATGGATGAAGCTGGAAATCATCATTCTCAGCAAATTATTGCAAGGACAAAAAAAAAAAACACTGCATGTTCTCACTCATAGGTGGGAATTGAACAATGAGAACACTTGGACACAGGAAGGGGAACATCACACACCAGGGTCTGTCGTGGGGTGGGGAGAGTGGGGAGGGATAGCATTAGGAGATATACCTAATGTAAATGACGAGTTAATGAGTGCAGCACACCAACATGGCACATGTATACATATGTAACAAACCTGCACGTTGTGCACATGCACCCTAAAACTTAAAGTATAGTAAAAAAAAAAGTGCTGTCCTAGACCAACAAAACTATGCTAATTCCCAGTCTCAGTCTGCAAGCCGGCATTAGAGATTACTGAAACTATCCTCTACCATAATAGTACATGTATTGCTCAACTTTATTTTATTTTATTTAACTTTTATTTTAAGTTCTGGGATACATGTACAGAATGTGTGTTATATAGGTAAAGATTACATAGTGTGTCATGGGGGTTTGTTGCACGTGTTTCATCAGCCAGGTACTATGCCTAGTATCCATTAGTTATTTTTATCCATTAGTTATTTTAGTTATTTTCCTGATCCTCTCCCTCATCGCATCCTCTGCCCACCAGTAAGCCCCAGTGTGCATGTTTCCCCTCTCTATGTCCATGTGTTCTCATCAGTCAGCTCCCTCTTATAAAACGAAAATGTGGTATTTGGTTTTCTGTTTGTTAGTTTGCTGAGGATAATGGCCTCCAGATTCATCCATGTCCCTGCAAAGGACATGATTTCGTTCTTTTTCATGGCTGCATGGTATTCCATGGTGCATATATACCACATTTCCTTTATCAAGTCTATCATTGATGGACATTTAGGTTCACTTCATGTAATTTTATTTCATTTTATTTTGAGATGGGGTTTCACTCTGTCACTCAGGCTGGAGTACAGTTGTGCAATCTTGGCTCACAGCAACCTCTACCTACCAGGCTTAAGCGAGCCTCCTGCTTCAGCCTCCTGAGCAGCTGGGACCACAGACATGTGCCACTACAGCTGGCTAATGTATATATAGAAAGATATACTTTTTGGTAGAGATGTGGTTTCGCCATGTTGCCCAGGCTAGTCTCGAACTCCTCAGCTCAGGCAATTCACCTGACTCAGCCTCCCAAAGTGTTGGGATTACAGGAATGAGCCACCACGACCCACCATAACTTTGTTTTCAATGTAGTCATACATTAGCATGCTAATCAATGTGTTAGTTCTTTAAGTTAGCAGAGTATTAATTATTGTCTCAGATATTTCTTTTATCTTTTGATCCCACCATGTTACTTTTCTCATATTTTAACTCTTGGTTCACAGAACTATCTTCTCCAAGTTGAGGGTTTCTTAAGAAGGTGAGGGAGAGGAACGTGACATACTAATAATGGAGCATGGAGTTTACTATCGAGAAAATACTCCACACACACTTGATGATTTTCTAAAATAATGAAGAAATGGAATTCTAGTGAAAGGACTATCATAAATTACCATGGTCAGGGGTATCATTTTGTGTGCTTTATGCAAAATCTTAGGTTAGATGTTAGGGAAATGTAAATACAGAGATAAATAGTTCTAACTACCTTTATAAAGATCAAACTCTGTTAAAGAAAACATGAAAAATGAATAATATATATTGTTATGACTCCTTCATTTAATATTTGAATGAACATGAGCTAGTGGCTTTATCTGTGTAGGCCTATGTATCTTTATTCTCTAAGAATAAAAATATGATGAGGTGGAGGAGGGATGGGCTAAATAAAGTCAAAAATCCTTTCCGGCCTGGAAGTCCAGTGAGAATCACTAGCAATATGTTTTTGTGATAACACAGAAGGAAAAACTATTTGTGCACAGCAGAAGTGTAATGGACTCCAATGTAAATATTTTTAATGCTTTTTTTTTCACTTTTTACTTTGAAATAAATTTGAACTTCCAAAGTCTCAAAATAATGTAAGTTTTTCCCATGTAATCTTCACTTAGATTCTCCAAATGTTACAATGTTATTACATTTGCACTCTTTTTTTTTTTTTTGCAATTTTACTCCTTCTATCTTTATCTTTCTCTCTTTTTTTCTGAAATGTACTTTATAGTAACAGAAAAATATTCTAGTTCCAGAACCAATCCAGGATCATATGTTGCATTTAGTTACCATATCTCCTTAATCTCCTTTACTTTGGAAACGTTTTTCTGTTTCTTTTTGTTTTTCAAGGTATTGACAATTTTGAAGAGTACCAAGGAGTTTTGTACAACGTCCCTCAGTTAGCATGATGTTTGCTTAGGATTGTATTCAGGTTGTGCACTTTTGGGCAGAAATACCAGAGTGGTGATGTTTTTGCTCTTTTTCGTGCATCCTATCAGGAGGCACATGATCTTATTACACATATAATTAATTTTGATCACTTGAGTAAGGCATTGTCTTTCTGCACTAAAATGTTTCTCTTTTTTGCTATGAAACTATTAAGGGTGTTGTGAGAAGATATTTTGAGATTATGTATCTTATTTCTCATCATAATTTTGCTCACTAGTCTTACATGAGAGAAGTTTGATGTCAAATTTTATATAATACTCAGATCACATAAAGTACAGTTACATACCAGCTTTATCTAGATCTTCTAATCATGAATAAACCTATCCAATCAAGAAACTGAGATAGTATTAATTATCTCCTTCCATAGCTTGAGAAGGTCAAGAGCCTCCTGAGTAATTCAGTAGGGTTACTACTACACAGGCTGATGAATATTTGAAGAAATAACAGGTAGTCTCTTAGGAATCTTAGCTATTTAGCACATTTTTGCCACCTCATGTTTCAAAAGTATTTCAAAATGTATCACACATGTGGAGCATTTGTTTTTGCTTTGTTTGATTATTGGCTGGTCTTTTGGCTTGTAATTCTATGGAATATGATAAACAGTTCTATGTAGACACTTTTTTATTTTAAAAATATACTTTTTTGGAGTATGAAGATATATATAGAGTGTTCCATTATGTTTTTGTCAGTGTTGGTGATGCAAATGCTGATACATGAAGATGCAAATCTATGAATTACTTTGATTTACCAAAAAAACAAAAGCAAAACAATTTAATGCTTGGTTTACTGACTGATTGCAAAGATTAGATTTGATTTCCTTTTTTTTCTTTTTAAAATTATCATTCTTTCAAGCATTAGCTGACAGCTTAAATCTCTGTCAAACATTTTATTAACGATATGAAGTTAGGGGTAATCAGAATATTTATAATGGAAGATGCAGCTTGCCTCTTATTCATAGACATCATGAACATCAATTAGCCTGAGTAATAACATAAATGACCCTTCAAAAATACAGACAAGCATAATCAAATGAGATTTAATTTAAAAGTAAAAAAAAAAACAACTAATCTGAATTACTTGAGACCCAATTATCCAGGAAACTTGGATAAAAGTCAATCTATTTTTCACAAAGCATATGGCAAATCATTTACGTTTGCAAAGTGACAGCAAAGCTAAACATTCCAATTGTTAAAATTAAACTATCTTAAAGCAGCATGTATATACATATTAGTTTTGGGAAAGTGTGTTTTAGAGTTAAAATACATTAAAGCATAAAGTTAGATAAAGAACTTTCCTGATATCTCCTTGCCCTTAACATAAGATGATTCATTCCCAGGCCTCTAAGGTCATCGTTTATTAGTAAAAGAATTAATCACTGTTATTGTTTTCAGGAGCTACTTGAAGAACTATTGGAAAAGCTGTTCAAAAATTTGAAACTGTGTGACAGTCAAATCATATTTTAGGAAATTTGAATATTTGTTGTATTAATCTGCACTTTCCAGAAAAAGAAAAACTAATAGGAGTTTACATATATGCAACTGTGTGAGTGTGTGTGTGTGTGTGTGTGTGTGTGTGTGTGTGTGTGTATAGAAAGAGATTGACTATAAAGCACAGGCTCACATGATTTTTGAGGTTGAGATGTCCCAGATCTGTGGTGAGCAAGTTGGAGATGCAAGAGAGCCAATAATATAGTTTCAGCCCAAGTCTGAGGCCTGAGAACCAGGAGAATCAAGCAGGTAAGTTTCAGTCTGAGTTCAAGTCTGAAGGCTGGGGGAAAACAACAACAACAATGTCCCCACTTGAAGACAGGCAAGGAGAAATAATATTTTCTTAGTCAGCCTTTTCTATTCAGGCCTGCAAAGGATTGGATGAGGCCCATCTGTATTGAAGAGAAATATTCTCACAGACATACCCAGTATTCTCACAAACATACCCAGTATTCTCACAGACATAACCAGAAATAATGTTTGATCAATCTGGGCACTTTGTGGCTCAGTCAAGTTGGTGAAAAAAAAAATAATCATCATATTTGTATTCAGTACTTATGCGGTATTAGAGGGAAAATATATCTGGAGACACGTAAAGTTTGGAGAGTATATTGAATATTAAAATGGAAATATCTTGCAGTCTTTCCAAAAGAGTTCACAACTTTGAAGAGAATTTCTAATGAACTTTAAATTTTGTGAAGCATTTTCCCAGAAGTTATGGCTGATGTTTCAGACACATTTGTGATTGCTTAAGAGTCAAGAAAGAGATGAAGTAGTCTAAAAGTGGGTCTTTGTGGGTGTCACCACGTTTAATGCATGAGCAGGTACAACCTGAACCTTCTGTGAAAATAAGGAAAATTGGCACAAGATTTGATGAAAAAGAATACAGAGTTCCAGTGTCACAGAGTCAATCCAGAAGGGCATGTCTAGCTGGGGGCAGAGGGGTGGGGAACTCTAACTCCAAGGAAATGCCTATGGATGGCATGCAGAACCATCCTGATAATAAGCTCAGTATTTACGTCAGATAGAAAACAATGGCATGAGCCAACATTTTGTGGTTCAATCCTATAGTTTCAAACAATACCTTTCAATTTGACATTCACATATATTTTTCTATTTCTTTAAGATTGGTTGATAGGGTATGTTTTCATAAAATTAGCTGTCACGAAATAGATTTAAGAAGAAAGCAAATGTTTTCAAATATAGTAATTCACAATAGAAACTAATAAATAAATACAAGTGGCTCTTTTGTAATACAGAAACAAAAGAAAAGCAAAGTCCCTGATAACCAAGAATGGTAAAAACTAATTTTGCATTTTAATATTTCTTTTGCTAAGGCTAAAATGATTTTAGAGATTGATAAAATTCCCTTAAAAATATATTAGGAATGCAGCAAAGAAAAATTTTAAAAAGTTTCACAGACACACACACACACACACACACACACACACACACACACTCTGAAAGAGGAAGGTTAAACCCATTCCAGGTTTCTTTGTGAAAGAAATTGTGTTTTCTTGTGGTTTTTCATTGGGAATCTAAAATAATATGCACACATTTTAAAAAATGCTTATGACAACATCCTTGAAAAGAGATGCATAAGATCAATGTATTTGCCTTCTCTGATTTTTCCTTGATGTCATTATTATTATTTTCTCTTGATATATTTTTGCACAAGGCAGAAAAAATATATATTTATTATTGGAGGGACAAAATCAAAAGCAAATACTTTCATTCAAGGTCTAACATACTATGCTTAGGATGATTATGTCACTAATAAATTCATGATAAATTGGCCTAATATTTACCTATGTTCAAATCAGCGAGGGATATTTTTTCATCATCTTTATCAGGATAAGTTCCTACTCATTCGAAAGATGGCAATGTGTCCTAGCAACCTCCTTCAATAATACTCACTCTTCCATAATTCCCTCCAGAATATAGCTCATCAAGTAATTTTTTTTTGAGACTGAGTCTTGCTCTGACTCACAGTCTAAATCCTCTTCCCTTCTCCTTCCTTTATAATTCCACTGAATATTATGTGTTGTGGAATTTTATCTGAAGAAAAATCATTCATACTTTAGTAATTTGGAAAATAATTATTTTGTGGTCATTCTCTGTTAAGCATGTATGAAATCGAAGCCCATACTGATGTCATTTTATTTAGGGCAACATTAAATGTCTCTTAAGGGAATATCTTAGTGTAATGTATAAAGTACACAATGGTAATTAATTATGCCTACTTCTCTATTTTTCTGCTCCCTTATCAGAAATTCAACATTTATAAACCTATTTTTGTCTTCAAGATTTATCTACTTAAGAATTACTTGCATGGCTCCAGCCTGTAATCCCAGCACTTTGGGAGGCCGAGGTGGGCAGATCACGAGGTCAGGAGATCGAGACCATCCTGACTAACACGATGAAATCCCGTCTCTACTAAAAATACAAAAACAAAATTAGTCGGGCGTGGTGGGTAAGGTCTTATATACATGGATTTGATTACAGAAACTAATATAATATCTTCTAAATAATGAAAACTAAACTAAACTAATCTGACTATCCACAATGAGGCTACCCTCACCACCTCCAGCTTTGTAAATACCAGTTTGTGTCACCATCAACTTTTACCTGGATCCTTGCAACAGCAACCTCTCTAAGTCTTTCTATTCTCAACTAAGTGCCTTGAGTAATGAGTTAAAATATAAGTAACACTGTGTCACTGTTTTGCTCAAAACTTTTCAGTTTTTCATTGCTCTCAAAGTAAAAGACAAAGTTCTCCCAAAGGCTCAAAAAGCCCTTCTATGATCTGGTTTGCCATGACCTCTTGCTTGCATCAACTATCTCTCTCCTCATCTCTCACTCCAGCTTCACTGGCCTTACGTTGCTTTCCAAAAACCACAAGCACAAACCTGCCTCAGGGCCTTTGCATTTGCTGTTTACACTAACACCAAAAAGTCACATGGCTCACTATTCCATTTCATCCAGTTCTTTGCTCAGATTTTACATTTGTAAGAACTTTCCTGATTTCCCTATGTAATATAGTAGCCACTACTCCCTTTCTAGCTCCTCTATTTCTCTTAGCACTGCCTCATTTTTCCTAATAGAAAGCAGGCTGCAACAAGGTAGGAACATTGTTTTGCTTACCATGGGTCAGTGCCTGACCCATGGGAAATGCTCAATAGATAGTAAATAAATGAATGAAGATATGAATAAACGAATAGGTGGATGGATACAGGAAAAAAGATATATCTTCTAAGTATATTATCTTTTTAAAGCTGTATATATAAGAAACATTTTATCAAATTGCATTTTCATTATGTGCAGTTCATTATATGTCAATTATACCTTAATAAAGGTATAAAAAACAGTAAACAAATTCAAAATTTTGTATATCAGTGGAATTCATCATGATATATTCAGGTGGTGACTAGCTACATGAATTGAGTCAATTAACTTATTATTATTTTCATTATCTTTTCTTCTTTTGCTTTTTCTTTTTTTTGAGATGGAATTTCACTCTTGTCACCCAGGCTGGAGTGCACTGGCACTATCTTGGCTCACTGCAAACTCCACCTCCCGGGTTAAAGAGATTCTTCTGCCTTAGTCTCCACATAACTGGAATTACAGGCAAGTGCTGCCACGCCCAGTTTATTTTGTATTTTTAGTAGAGATGGGGTTTCTCCATGTTGGTCAGGCTGGTCTCAAACTCGCAACCTCAGGTGATCCGCCCACCTTGGCCCCCCAAAGTGCTGGGATTACAGGCGTGAGCCACCGCACCTGGCCTTCATTGTCTTTTTCAAGGAGTGAACTTTAGCTAAGAGAAATCTTTGTTATTTCACATAGCCACAAACATAATATTCTTTGTCAGTAGATTCTGTCATCAGCTCTGACACCACAGAGTTTGATACTAGAGTCTTTCTGACAGCAGTCACATTTTCTGGTCTTCACTGGTAGTAATACAAACAGAAACATAAAAGATACAAAATAAAGTTAGAGACAGCAGCTAAAAATTCAATAATTTTCTTGTTACTAGGATCAAAAACAGGGTTTAATTTAACTTCCAGGCTTCCCGTTTTTTTTTTTCTTTTAAACAGGATATGTTTGAGTTTATTCTTTAAAAACATTAAAAAAAAACCTTCTTTGAAACTACAAAATAGTATTGAATCTTTAAGGAGTGCAGTTTATTTCTTCATGTCTGATTGATCAGAAAGTTGAAAGAGTAAATTCTGTTCTGTTCTTTTGTGTTTTATAGTTTATGAGTATGTACATATATATATATAATTTAAGTCTTTCTAGGATTTGGGGAGATGAGCAAGACGGGCATTGTTATTCTTGCTTTGTAATCAAGTAGCTGAGGCACAGAGAAGTTAGACGTACTGACGGTCAAAGAGGTATTAAGCATGGCTAAAACTGAGACCCCTGACTTCTCTCCTTAATGCAGGACAACACTGCTAAAATACGGTCATGTGTGCCTGTCCTAATCAGAAATTCTTAGCAGAAGTTCAGTTTTAGGACAGTTCTTAAAAAGTGGGAAGATTGAGTGGAGAGCGACAGTGGCTTATCTTAGGTGACCTGGTTTGTTCATCCATAAAAATCACTGGAGGAAGAAGAGATAAAGGCTTGAAATATAAAATAGAAAGTGGGCTCAGCATAAATGCAAGCCCTGAGCACCGAGAAAAATGAGTGGCAGGCAGCCAACAAGAACTGCTAACTCAACATCTTTTGAGAGTGGAATGAGATTCAAAAGTCTGCTCCCAACCTGCGTGGATATTATGCCAGGGAGCCTTCTAATAGCCAGGCGCTTTTTGAATGCAGCTATCTGCTGGAATTTTAAGATCACCTGGAAAAAGGTTGGGACACATTTCTAGAGAAGAAAACATTTTTATTGTACTTCCCAAGACTAAAAAGCATGAAGATAAATCAAACACAATAAAAATAAGTGAAAACTCTGCAATGTTTACAATCGTAATCAATACACAGATAAGGAAGGATGAGAGAGAGACTGCTAAATTTTATGACAAATTATATTGATAAGGTTTCTGTCACATTGGTCTCCTGATATGCAACTGTTTCAGGTACACTAGAATTTGAATAGCAAGAAAACCAGTAAGATGTCTTTGGTTAACAATCTATTATGATATCGTTTCAAGATGGACAACAACCCTGTAAATATACTGTTTTAGGAATTATTTTTCCAGGGAATGAATTGGATAAAGACAGATTTACCAGGTGACTTTTATGTTTAGTTTCTCTTTATTATTGCCATTATTATTGTTATTTTAAATAACTAACAGCATTCAGCTATCTTTGGTATATTTTATTTTTTGGAAATAGCATAAAGAGAAAAAGTAGGAAAGATGAGAAAAAAATAAAGTTATAAAAACAAATATTATTACTTGGAGTACTTTTTTCAGACTTTAGTTTCTCAGCTGCCTAAAATAATTTTGAAACTAGAAGATAAATAAATTTTCTATCAGTTCGTGATTTTTATGCTCAATGTACTAAAAATATATCCTTAAAAATAATCATCTAATTTATTATTTCTTCATCTTAGTTCTACTTAACTGATAATCTTGGAAGAAAACACTTGAAGATATAACAAAATGATTAAGTATTTAAGTTTATTTATTCAGCCTAAGAGTAATAGAACAGAGAAATTTGATGTTTAGTTGGTAAGTGAATTTATTTGCCAACAAACCTATCTGTCCTGGCAAAAAATTTGAGTACTGAAAGTGCTTAAAAAACATTTTGTTCTCCACTTGGACACAGGATGGGGAACATCACACACCGGGGCCTGTCGTGGGGTTGGAGGAAGGGGGAGGGATAGCATTAGGAGATATACCTAATGAAAATGACCAGTTAACGGGTGCAGCACACCAACATGGCACATGTATACATATGTAACAAACCTGCACATTATGCACATGTACCCTAGAAGTTAAAGTATAATAATAAAAAAATTTTGTTCTCAATCAATTATTTGAATTAATAGCACTAAAAAACACACCATTTGTGATTATTGAGAATTTTTACAACGGTTTTCTATGAAATAATTAGGAGCAATATTCTAAACCTAACTTCCTTAAAAAGTTTTATATTAAAATGTTATCTCGTACATACAGAGTGACTAACAATATCACCTATAGTGTCTGAAAACCAAACAATGTTAATACTGTTAAATGCATAGCACTTCATTCAATTAATGCAATTGTTTCTCATATTCAGCCTTAATTAATTTCTTTCTTTCTTTCACTTACAAGCTTGAAAAAATTAGGTTTTAAAAAATCAGATGTGGTGAAAGTGTATTCTGCTTTTAAAATCTATTGTCCATGCTGATAAATAATAACAACATGATTTGATAAATGCTGTAAAGATATCTGGTGCTAAGATCTAAGATGGAAAAACTATTCCTGCCGGGAGGAATAGGGAAAAAAAGAAAAAAAAAGAAAAAAAAAAAAAAACTCCTTCAAAGAAATCGTGTTTCACATGAGCTTTGTTTGTTTTATTATACTTTAAGTTCTAGAGTACATGCGCACAACGTGCAGTTCTGTTACATAGGTATACATGTGCCATGTTGGTTTGCTACACCCATCAACTTGTCATTTACATTAGATATTTCTCCTAATGCTATCCGTCCCCCCGTTCCCCACCCCCTGACAGGCCCCAGTGTGTGAGGTGTCCCGCCCTGCGTTCTCATTGTTCAATTCTGTTGCCATTGCTTTTGTTGTTTTAGTCATGAAGCCTTTCCCCATGCCTATGTCCTGAATGGTATTGCCTAGATTTTCTTCTAGAGTTTTTATGGTTTTAGGTCTAACATTTAAGTCTTTAATCCATCTTGAATTAATTTTTGTATAAGGTTTAAGGAAGGGATCCAGTTTCAGCTTTCTACATGTGGCTAGCCAGTTTCCCCAGCACCATTTATTAAATAGGGAATCCTTTCCCCATTTTTTGTTTTTGTCATGTTTGTCAAAGATCAGATGGTTGTAGATGTGTGGTGTTATTTCTGAGGCCTCTGTTCTGTTCCATTGGTCTATATATCTGTTCTGGTACCAGTACCATGCTGTTTTGGTTACCGTAGCCTTGTAGTATAGTTTGAAGTCTGGTAGCATGATGCCTCCAGCTTTATTCTTTCTGCGTAGGATTGTCTTGGCAATGCAGGCTCTTTTTTGGTTCCATATGAACTTTAGTTTTTTTCCAATTCTATGAAGAAAGTGATTGTCAGCTTGATGGGGATGGCACTAAATCTATAAATTACCTTGGGCAGTAAGGCCATTTTCACGATATTGATTCTTCCTATCCATGAGCATGGAATGTTCTTCCATTTGTTTATGTCCTCTTTTATTTTGTTGAGCAGTGGTTTGTAGTTCTCCTTGAAGAGGTCCTTCGCATCCCTTGTAAGTTGGATTCCTAGGTATTTTATTCTCTTTGTAGCAATTGTGAATGGGAGTTCACTCATGATTTGGCTATTTGTCTGTTACTGGTGTATAGGAATGTTTGTGATTTTTGTACATTGATTTTGTATCCTGAGACTTTGCTGAAGTTGCTTATCAGCTTAAGATTTTGGGCTGAGACAATGGGGTTTTCTAAATACACAATCATGCCACCTGCAAACAGAGACAATTTGACTTCCTCTTTTCCTAATTGAATGCTCTTTATTTCTTTCTCTTGCCTGATTGCCCTGGCCAGAACTTCCAACACTATGTTGAATAAGAGTGGTGAGAGAGGGCATCCTTGTCTTGTGCTGGTTTTCAAAGGGAATGCTTCTAGTTTTTGCCCATTCAGTATGATATTGTCTGTGGGTTTGTCATCAATAGGTCTTATTATTTTCAGATTCATTCCATCAATACCTAGTTTATTAAGAGTTTTTAGCATGAAGCACTGTTGAATTTTGTCAAAGGCCTTTTCTGCATCTATTGAGATAATCATGTGTTTTTTGTCATTGGTTCTGTTTATGTGATGGTTTACGTTTATTGATTTGCATATGTTGAACCAGGCTTGCATCCCAGGGATGAAGCCGACTTGATCATGGTGGATAAGCTTTTTGATGTGCTGCTGGATTTGGTTTGCCAGTATTTTATTGAGGATTTTTGCATTGGTGTTCATCAGAGATATTGGTCTAAAATTCTCTTTTTTGGTTGTGTCTCTGCCAGGCTTTGGTATCAGGATAATGCTGGCCTCATAAAATGAGTTAGGGAGGATTCCGTCTTTTTCTATTGATTGGAATAGTTTCAGAAGGAATGGTACCAGCTCCTCTTTGTACCTCTGGTAGAATTTGGTTGTGAATCCGTCTGGT
This sequence comes from Homo sapiens, assembly GCF_000001405.40. Taxonomy (NCBI): domain Eukaryota; kingdom Metazoa; phylum Chordata; class Mammalia; order Primates; family Hominidae; genus Homo; species Homo sapiens. Next base: position 86,200,270 of record NC_000014.9, read on the forward strand.
CCTGCACTTTTTTTGGTTGGTAGGCTATTAATTATTGCTTCAATTTCGGAGCCTGTTCTTGATCTATTCAGAGATTAAACTTCTTCCTGGTTTAGTCTTGGGAGGGTGTATGTGTCCAGGAATTTATCCATTTCTTCTAGATTTTTGTAGTTTCTTCTAGTTTATTTGCGTAGAGGTGTTTATAGTATTCTCTGATGGTAGTTTGCATTTCTGTGGGATTGGTGGCGATATCCCCTTTATCATTCTTTTATTGTGTCTATTTGATTCTTTTCTCTTTTCTTCTTTATTAGTCTTGCTAGCAGTCTACCAATTTTGTTGATCTTTTCAAAAAAAACCAGCTCCTGGATTCATTGATTTTTTGAAGGGTTTTTTGCGTCTCTTATCTCTTTCAGTTCTGCTCTGATCTTAGTTATTTCTTGCCTTCTGCTAGCTTTTGAATTTTTTTTGCTCTTACTTCTCTAGTTCTTTTAATTGTGATGTTAGGGTGTCATTTTTAGATCTTTCCTGCTGTCTCTTGTGGGCATGGAGTGCTATAAATTTCCCTCTACACACTGCTTTAAATGTGTCCCAGAGATTCTGGTACATTGTGTCTTTGTTCTCATTGGTTTCAAAGAACATCTTTGTTTCTGGCTTCATTTCGTTATTTACCCAGTAGTCATTCAGGAGCAGGTTATTCAGTTTCCATGTAGTTGTGTGGTTTCGAGTGAGTTTCTTAATCCTGAGTTCTAATTTGATTGCACTGTGGTCTGAGAGACAGTTTGTTGTGATTTCTGTTCTTTTACATTTGCTGAGGAGTGCTTTACTTCCAACTGTGTGGTCAATTGTAGAATAAGTGCGATGTGGTGCTGAGAAGAATGTATATTCTGTTGATTTGGGGTGGAGAGTTGTGTAGATGTCTATTAGGTGTACTTGGTGAAGAGCTGAGTTCAAGTCCTGGATGTCCTTGTTAATCTTCTGTCTCATTTATCTAATATTGATCGTGGGTGTTAGAGTTTCCCATTATTATTGTGTGGGAGTCTAAGTCTCTTTCAGGTCTCTAAGGATTTGCTTTATGAATCTGGGTGCTCCTGTACTGGATGCATATATATTTAGGAGAGTCAGCTCTTCTTGTTGAATTGATCCCTTTACCATTAGGTAATGGCCTTGTCTCTTTTGATCTTTCTTAGTTGAAAGTCTGTTTTATCAGAGACTAGGATTGCAACTCCTGCTTTTTTTTGCTTTCCATTTGCTTAGCAGAGCTTCTTCTATTCCTTTATTTTGAGTCTATGCGTGTCTCTGCATGTGAGATGGGTCTCCTAAAGAAAGCACACTGATGGGTCTTGACTCTTTATCCAATTTGCCAGTCTGTGTCTTTTAATTGGGGCATTTAGCCTATTTACATTTAAGGTTAATATTGTTATGTGTGAATTTGATCCTGTCATTATGATGTTAGCTGGTTAGTTTGCCCATTAATTGGTGTAGTTTCTTCCATATATTAAATAGATGAAACAGTCTTCTATGAGAATACAATAACATCTAGGATTTTCATAGCTAGAGAAGAGGAATCAGTGCCTGGCTTTAAATCATCAAAGGACAGAATGACTCTCTTGTTAGGGGATAATGTAGTTGGTCACTTTAAGTTGAAGACAATGCTCACTTATCATTCTGAAAATCCAAAGGCCCGTAAGAATTATGCTAAATCAACTCTCCTGTACTCTATAAATTAAACAATAATTCCTGGATGACAGCATAGTTTACAGCATAGTTTACTGACTATTTTAAGCCCATGATTGAGACCTACTACTCAGAAAAGATTCCTTTAAAAATTGAACTGCTCATTGACAATACGCCTAGTCACTCAAGAGCTATGATGGAGATGTACAAGGAGATTAATGTTGTTTTCCTGCCTGCTAAGGGAACATCCATTCTGCAGCTCATGGATCAAGGATTAATTTTGACTTCCAAGTCTTATTATTTGAGAAGTACATTTAGTAAGGCTGTAAGTGCCATAGATAGTGATTCCTCTGATGTATCTAGGGAAAGTGAAGTGAAAGTCCTCTGTAAAGAATCTACCATTCCAGATGTCATTAAGAACATTTGTGATTAATGAAAAGATACCAAAACATTAGCATTAACAAGAGCTTGGAAGAAGCTGATTCCAACCATCATGGGTGACTTTGAGGGGTTCAAAACTTCAGTGGAGGAAGTAATTGCAGATGTGGTAGAAATAGCAAGATAACTGGAATTAGAAATGGAGCCTGAATATGTGTCAGAATTGCTGCAATCTCAACATAAATATTGAACAGATGAGGAGTTGCTTCTTATTAATGAGCAAAAGAAAAAAGAAAAAATTTTTGAGATGGAATCCACTGATGGTGAAGATGCTGTGACCATTGTTGAAATGACAACACAAGATTTTAAATATTACATAAACTTATGTCACTAGGAAATAAACCATTACTATAACATAAAGCACTGCTTAATAAATCAGTGGCACAGTTTGAGAGGATTGACTCCAAATACAACTTTCAAGTAGAATTTGAAAGAAGTTCTACTCTAGGTAAAATGCTATCAAACAGCATTGCATGCAACAGAGAAATCATTCCTGAAAGGAAGAGCCAATTAATATTGCAAACTTCATTTGTTGTCTTATTTTCGGAATTGCCATAGCCACCCCACCCTTTAGCAACAACCAGCCTGATCAGTCAGCAGTCACCAACAGAGGCAAGATACCCCACCAACAGAAAGATTACAACTTGCTGAAGCCTCAGATGGTTGTTAACATTTTGTAGCAATAAATTATTTTTTATTAAGGTATCACATTGATTTTAGACATAATGCTATTAATAAACACTTAATAGATTACAGTATCATGAAAACATACTTTTTTTATACACTGGAAAACCAGAAAATTCATGTGATTTGCTTGATTGCAATATTTGTTTTATTGTGGTACTCTAGACCAAACCTATCCATCTTGGAGGTATGCCTATAGTTCCCTTTAGATATAGAAATGTATTCTATCTAAATAGGTTTCAAATAAATTTGTAAATGTATTGAAATTACAAATTATTGAGCTACTGAAGTAGTAAATTAACAAGCCCCTTTCTTTTCCTTTTTTTCTTCCTTTCACTAGTTTAACTTTCATGGATTTCATGTAATTTACTTTTGTGCTGAAAAATATCCCTGCCTTTTCTCAGGGCTAACAGAAACCTAAATATGTAGTGCATGGTTACTGAGCAACCCAACACTTGATTTCTAGGACTCCGTGTCTCCAGAATTAACAGTCACTGAAACTAAATTTAGTTCAAGGAGTTTTGGACTTTTGTGACTTATTATAATGTTAAATGAAGAAGGGGTTTAAGTAGCGGTATGTTCCGGTAGCTTTATGGAAGGAAAGGAAACAGGATAAACATTGGGAAGATATATGCTTGAGAAATCGGCTTGAACACTCAAAGGTGTAAGAGAGATACTGCTTTACTGACTCATTGGTTTTTAAAAGCAATTTGGAAGAGAACAAACACATCTGTAGAGTAATAATACAAAAGTAAATATATATTTAATGTAAAGCAGTTATATTTATTATATATCAAATAAGAACTTCACCAATATTCGAACCCTACATTTCAGTTATATTTTTTGAAATGAGAGATGCCTATTAAGTGCCTATTAACATTACTTCTAAAGTCCACACAGCTGTAGAGTCATGTGACCAGGAGGAAGTCCCTTTATGTGTGTAAGCAGAAGGTCTTAGAGGTGGAGTGGGGTAGAGTGGTTTCAGAGAAGTGATAAGGAAGGGGAAGTGGTTCTTGGTCTCTTTGCTCTATAAGGATCCATGTGCAGAGGGTGGAAATCTAGCAAGGCTTCCCAGCTGTCACTGCCTCTGAGACTTCTGGATCTAGTCCAGTTGTATGCTCTCTGCAGGATCTCTGGAGTCAGAGAATAAAATATGGGGACCTGTAAGACTGTTTTTGCATGTGATGCTAACTTCAGGTTTAATGTTACAAGATGAAGCTGGCCCTACTGGGGCAAGAAGGTCTGGGGGGTCATCAGTGTTACAGTATAAGTTCAAGTTATTTAAAGAATTGTTGCAGAAAGCTTTTAGAGAATTTTCAATTTAAACTATATTCTGAACCAAACTTGAAACTGAAACTATATAGTTCTAAGAAGATCCTTTAATTGAATATAGCAGTGGATTAAATGTAATGTGTGCTCAGAAAATAATTATGATGTTATTGATCAGTTGCTTTAAAGTAAAATCATGTGTTACTCCCATTTGTATTGTTGGCCCATATGCAGTAACAGAAACTGAAAATAAGACCAGCCTACTAAGTGCCAATCGCCTATAGAAAGGTTATTATTAGTATTTTTGCTGTATTTTCTGTTTGATCTCTGAATCTCACCAGGAATTGCTACAAAGGCTTTCCAGGCCACATAGTCATATTTAAAGATATAGAGTTCCTGTTTGGGATGCAGCCCTACTCCTAAGGTTCATATGACAAACGTAGCCCAGTTTATCTTCTTTACAATAAATTAAATTACTGCACTGATAAGCTTTTGCAAAGAAGTCCCCGGTCATTAAAATATTGTGTATTTTGGACCACATTTAATTCAGCTTCGCTCTTCAAATTTCTGGTATTTACTCATCCACAAACATAAATGGAAAGATTAATTCTCTGCCAATGTTTTTGTTTCATGTCATCCAACAAACCATGTATATGTTAGTTCATAACTAAGAAAGAGAAGCTTTTTTTTTTTTGTCATTTTCACTTGCCTTATCATTATATCATCATCACTGGAAAAAAATATTTCTAGCACTGACTTGTGTGTGACGCCAACCTAGAACTATAAGAAATGCACATAAAAGGTCATATAATTCTTTCCTTCAAAAAGATATCAAGCTTTACATCTTCTAATGAGTTTTATCTTTAACTGTCAGTAACTAGGCACCTACTCCAATGAGGCAGTTCTTGCCCTGGACTTAGTCGTTGACTTCAATAAATTATTTTTAATATCTTCAAAGAGGGTAAATTTTTGTCATTTAATATGTACTTTGTTATGGTTCCCTTGAGGGCATATAGAGATGAGATCAGAGTCATGGGGCCTCCAGTTCCTGGGACCCAATCCCAGTCACTATATGTACGGGCTGTGCGGCCTTGACCTTGTCTCAACATTCCCCAGCTTCACTAATGTCACCTGCAAAATGATAACATCAAGATTAGTTAGCCCATGGAGTGTAGGGAGTAATACAGGAGGAAATATAACATGTGGAAATCACTTCATAGAGTGACCAGTCCCTAATCAAGGTAATTATGTGTTAGGTTTAATCATTCTAAGTCAAGTTGGGTAATTTGGGGTAGGTTCAGTAATACTAAAGTTGAATAAAAGATGCTTTTACTTCTTGAATTGTTTTATACATTAGAAGAATTTTTCAAGAATAATCTATGAAATGAATTGCATAGTTGGAACAAGTATATGGACATCCAAGATCATGATGCTAAAAGACATAACATGGGTTACAAGTATCCTATCAATTCACTGGTTAATAAATTATATTTTAAACTTTTTAGTTACAATTTCTACATACTGCTTAAGAGAGCAAAGTTGCTCTGCCATCTTGGAGCTGCTAATCTAGAAAGGATTTAAACAAATTTAAAATGTTTAATGATGAAGTTGGGTGTTGGTCCTGATTTTGTGCATTTTGAGACACCAGAGATGAGGAATATGTGTGAGAGAATATTTGACTCTTGACATGACAGTTTCATAAATTTTTAACAGCAATTGTAGATAGTGTTTTTGAATTCCATTTTACCATAAATTTTACTGTAGTATGTTGTTTTTCTCTAGACATCTTGACAGCTCATTATAAGTTGAAAATTCTCCCATCCTCTCTAATGGGTATCCATAGCACAATTTTCCTTAACACATTGTGGTCCTATCACTGGTGACATTGTTTCTTTCTATTTTTAAAGTTCTCTGGTCATAGAGGTTGCTTATTATTTTCTTAACTCCCTGGGAACTGTGCACTTAAACCATAAAAGCCTCTCCTCTAAACAGAGCCTCACGTTACTACCTTTGCCAAAGGCTAGGAGGGATTTATCACGGTGCTACATCATGCGTTTGAATAGGAGCTGACAGAGATATATAATACGGTTTAGTCGAAGCAGTTGATGTTGTCGGAATGATAACTCTTGATCTAGGAAGCTCTGAAGTAATGAGGGGGGATAAATTTGCATGATTTGTGCCATAAGCAATATTTATAATGTGAAAAGGATTTAAAGATTAATACATTCCCAGAGCCACACATGAAAGAGACAGGAAAGGTTACTTGATGATAATCCAAATGCTCTATTTATTTGCAGTGCTTTCATCTGAAAGATTTTCTTACATTTATTTTCTTCTACCCTCATTCATTTAGTATACAAAGAAGACAGTGATATCTTCCTAAGTTCAAAATATTTGCTGCAAGTTTAACTCTTTTAATTAAGAAGAGGAGACACAATGCTAGTTGAAGAAATCATTGATTGCCTCTCATTAGTTAATGGCCTACAGTACTTTGTAAGTTCTTATGTCATTAACTCCTTGTTTTGAGAATCAAATAGCTTGAAGTATTTTCCACAAAATATCTGAATTATTGTTTTGTCTAATCATCAATTGGTAGGAAAAGAAACTGATCCTGTAGCCCCTAAACTATATAATTGCAAAGTTCGATTATTGAATTCTGAGATTGACAACACTATGAAAGATCTTAGAATAATTTCTTAGGAATTACTTGTCATGCACATGTCCAATAATATAGAAAGTTTTCAAAATGGCTTAATACTAAGTGCTTTCCCTTCCCATTCTTTCCCTTTCTTTTTAAAAATCAAATGAATCTGAGGTAGCAGGAGGGACTCAACTCTGGAAGCAGGACTCAGATATTAGACCAAATTGACAACAAGCTAAAACAAGGACACGGCAGAAGCCACTCTCCATAAGACATGACTGCCAGTGTGCCCCATCAGCTTACCATTGTGACAGCAACACCAGGAAGTTATTGCCCCTTTCCATGGCAATGACCCAATAACCTGGAACTTACCACCCTCTTTGTAGAAATATCTGCAAAATCTGTCCCCTACTTTGCATACAATTAAAAGTGAGTATAAATATGAGTGCAGACATGCCTCTGAGCTGCTGCTCTGGGCACACTGCATGTGGGGTAGCCATGCTTTGCAAGGATCAGGACCTCTGCTGGTACTGTACACTGCCGCTTCAATAAAAGTTAGACAGTTTACTGTCTAACACCACCAGCTTGCCCTTGAATTCTTTCCTGGGCAAAGCCAAGAGCCCTCCCGGGCTGTTATTAGTCTGTTCTTGGATTGCTATAAAAAACTACCTGAGATTGGGTAATTCATAAAGAAGAGAGGTTTAGTTGACTCACTGTTCTGCAGGCTTTAGAGGAAGAAGCATGGCTGGGGAAGCCTCGGGAAACCTACAATTATGGTGGAAGGGGAAGCAGGCACATCTCACGTGGTGAGAGCAGGAGAAAGAGAGCGAAGGGGGAAGTACTACATGCTTTCAAACAACCAGATCTCATGAGAACTCACTCACTATTATGAGAACAGCAAGGGGCAAGTCCACCCCTGTGATTGAATCACCTACCACCAGGCCCCTCCTCCAACACTGGAGATTACAATTTGAATAATATTTGGGTGGGGACACAGAACCAAACCATATCACAAGCTAAGCCCCAATTTGGGGGCTTACTTGCTCTTCATCAACTCCAGGTGCAGTGTAAAAATTAAAAACTTGTAAGGAAAGCATTCAAATGTGGGTTCAAGAGAAACCAAGAATTAAATTTGCGGGCCTGACGTGGTAGCTCACACCTGTAATCCCAGCACTTCGGGAGGCCTAAGCGGGTGGATCATCTAAGGTCAGGAGTTTGAGACCAGCCTGGCCAGCAGGTCAATACAAAAAATTAGCGGGTGTGATGGCGAATGTCTGTAATCCCAGCTACTTGTGAGGCGGCTGAGGCAGGAGAATTGCTTGAACCCAGGAGGTGGAGGTTGCAGTGAGCTGAGATCACGCCACTGCGCTCCAGGCTGGGCGACAGAGTGAGACTCTGTCTCTAAAAAAAAAAAAAAAACACAAAGAATTAAATTTGTTTTGATATCTACATATATTCTGATTTTAATTCCTGTGGCAAATGATGTTGTGATGGTATAGTTGTGTCTGCGCACTTCTAAAACATTTAAAACTAATTCAAAAGTGAGGGACTCTGTCAGTCAAACATAAGATTTTTTTTATGGTGCCAAATTGCATTCACCGCTATGAAATGTGATACTTATTCTTGAAGTCTGGACAGAGACTGAACAGTCAATGGTATGATTGGCCTCAGCATCAGAGCTGCCAAATAGGCTCACACTCTTGCTTGACTTTTCCATCACAAGTCTTCTTGCATAGTTTTCGTTGTTTTTTTTTGTTTTTTTTTTTTTTTTGGCAGATCGTATCGCAATCAGAAAAGAAATCTGGATATTATGACTTATTTTATAATATTCCTTTCAGGCAAAAATGAAGAAATTTATTCTCCCTTATCTCATGTCTCATGAAGCATGACCTAATATTACATCTATTTTACAAATGAGGGGACTCATTTAGAAAATATAGGCAAGGTAATATAAGAAATAAGCAAGGCCAGAACCAGAGATCTCCCAATTCTGCAATTTTTCTTCCATAGTGAAACGGTAATTTTTCTCTGGGTAATTTTTGTGAAGAGAAATTTAGATAAAAAATTATATTTTCCCCTTAAAGGCACACAATACATATTATAAAATGCAATTGATTAAAGATAATTATTTGGTTCATTGATAGAAATGTTAAAAACAGTTAAGGTTCACATATACAATGTAAAGATGTAGTCAATCATTAACAGTTATTATAGCAAATCAAACGGATCCAGATTAAATTGTTTCACAAGAATAGTGCTCTTGACTTTATAATCAAAAGTCTATTTTTTCTGCGTATAGTCTCTGTTCCATTTTAGTGGCTTTGAATGGTTGCATGCTTATTGATGTTTACGTAGATCCATTTTCAATTGAGCACTATAAACTCATTGGATAGGTTTCTCAGCCTTACTGACCTACACTTAAAAGAAAAATTAATGATCTGTCTATTTTGTTTTCTTCACACCTGATAATATATGTTGTAACTAAAATTCCCAGCCATAGAGTCAGTCAGGGCTCAATTTCAGTACTGAGGCTCCACTTTCTAGCTGTCTATTGAGTAGGTTACTACCCTCTGCTTAAAGACTGTTTGCTGGGTAGTAACTTCCCTGGTGAGCAGTCATTGTCTGTAAAATAAGGGTAACATTGTCCTTGTGCTACAGAATTATTGTCAGCATTTGCATAATACAATGGGACAATCCTTGCTATATAGTCAATGGTCAAAATGTTGATACTCTATTACTACTTTTGCCACATCTCCCTATGTCCTGCAGCAAGTGTAGAATAGTTTATATTGAAGATAGGAACTGCATCAAAATAAGGACCTCTGCAAAGCCTTATCTTACCACCCCAAGGCATGAGATTTCTTCCTTTTGACAATAATCATGACTATAATTTGCTCATTAATTTACCATTGACTTGCATTGTTTGTCATCATATATATTTGTGTGTCCTATTACCCCAACTCTGAAGAAACTATTTGAAGCAAAGTGTCTGTACTTTTAAATCTATGTAAATAATATGATATATTGTTTTTGACTCTGATAGATTATCAGAAAGTATTTTGTTGAAAGAATAGGCCACTTACAAAAAGTCAAATGACCTTATTTCCAGCCATGGTTCTTAGGCTCAGTAAACTACTTTTTCTTAGGCAAGTCACTTGATCGCGTCAAGTAATATTGCCCTCATTTGTAAAATTGTAACCCAGTCACCCTACCACTGATGATTATGAGTAATGATTCATTATCTTGAATCATACAAGGTAATGCAGATGAAAGTACTTTAAACTTTAAGCATGTGCCAAGTTAAGAAGTTAAAGATCTAACTTGAAAGTAAGAATGAGAGTTAGCTCTTATCATGATGTCTCAATGCATAATAGTAAAACATTTAGTTGCATTTATGTACTTATAATTACAATGTGATTTTGAAAATCCACTTGAATACAATAATGTACAGATGGATATGATCTGCTTATAAACAATAGCTACTGTTAGTACTATTCTGTGTCTCCTGAAGTCTACTGTTAAGTAGCAAGGAGGTATATGTGTAAATGGGAAGAAAATAAGCATGGAAAGGTAATTACTTGCATGAATGCTATGTCGCCAACACCACAAACCCCCATTAGGAACGAGGAGGTCAGAGTGAAGAAGAACTGAAGGGGGATGAGAATAACTTTTGTTATTTCTTCACTTCCAGATCGACCTTTCACTCTACTGGAAGAATAGTCTTGAAATCCAGCCTTACTTCTAGGGTTATAATAAACATAGACAAGGTTTATTTCCATTTCTTTCAGAGGCTGAAGTGAGAAATGTTGAAATACCACATGAAGGACCTTGGTTATAATGTTTCCAGCTGAGTCTGGAGGCTGAAGTGCCGAAAATTCTCACAAGGGATCCAGACTTCATGATATTTCCAGACAAACTCTGTAGCCTCTGGAGTCTGGGTAAACTTAAGTTCCCCTCAAAGTTGTTCCACCCAAAGGGGATTATTAATGGAGAGCTTTAGGCAAGTTTTCTTAATGATGTTTAGTATATAGTATATTATTGTTTGTGAAGACTGCTATGCTTTGGATAGGAAAGGAATGAATATTTTTCACTTAATGTCAAATGTTAACTGCATTACAGAAAGTGCTGTTTCTTCTCCTAGTTTTTTTTTTTTTTTTTTTTTGACCTCTCCTCAACAAGAGGCCTGTGGAAAATGAAGCGTTACCTGACTTAATAGGTTTCAATCTGCACTAGCTGCTTCAGTGATATTTTTGAGTCTATTAAAAGGGACTCAAAATTGCACAGCAGGAAGGCACCACGAAATATTTCCTTGCAGCTCTGTTTTCTAGATTATCCAAAAAGAAAAAAAATGAGTCATTTATTAGTTTCCTTTGTTGCTGCTCAATTAATGTAGAAGAGGCTGCTTCACACTAAAAAATTACTAGGATTACTAACATAGCCATGTGAATAATCAGAAGTGCTAAGGGAATGACCAGAAGGGCTAAAGAAATGAGACTCAAATAATAAAGTCATGATTATTTAAATAACAAGGCAGGAAAAAGCAGTGTTTAGTTTGAAAACTAAACTATTACATTCTAATGAAATATTTGGTTATTCTTTTGTAATAATCTAGACAACATGCCTTAGTATTCTTTGTTATTTTATTCTGTTAATACTTTAAAAATTAAATATTAAAAATCTACTTCAAATGATTGATACAATTTTTAAAATTATGTGATACAGAAAACATAAGCAAATCATTTCTTTCATATTCCAACTCTGTCTATATCCTCGTATCATTAATATTTTGGTTGATATCTGATGTAACACTGAAGCAGCTCCTATAGGTTGACTTTGTTATGTACAAAGATCTTGGGAAAAACAAGCCTTTCCCTTGCTGTGTGTTTTGGATATAAAACAGAATATATACATAAAATTGATTTTATTATTTGTCCTAACATTGTAGAAAAACACAGAAATACTATAAAAGCATGTAAGCATTGATTTCCATATAGATGCCCATTACATAATTGCAAAGTAAATCTTGTCTTTTAAAAGACCATTCTCTTTCAAAGAAATGTGTTTATTTTACCTTAAATCAGAGTCCTGTTTTTGCTTTTGTGGCACCAAATTAAGCAGAATAAATATTATGTGCAATATTACAGTGGTTAAAATATTTACTTCACACCTTTCTGTTACTTTAGGCGAAGACATAGGGGAAGTGACATAGAAAAGTGTCACAATTGTTTCTATAAATATATATAAAATATATATGGACAGGCAGAATCCTCACAGTGAGATTAAAATTTCTTTTGTTTAAACTTTCTTCACACTCTTCCCAGCATGGTTGGTAATTGACTGAATTTTAGCCAACAGATATACAAGATAAGTAGAAGTTTTTACTGAATGAACTTCTGCAGGCAGAAAGTAAATTTATTGTTCTTATGACTTCATTTTTAACTTTAAAAATTTGCTTTTGATTAAATAAACCGTCCCCATTCTCAACTTTGTGGTTGAAATATTTGTTCTCATAGTTTTCCGTTATTTATTTCATTTAACAAAATTCCCAGTACAGCTAGGGGAATGAATAGTCCAGGTTTACCAGGACCCCAGGACTTCCCGTGCTAAAACTTCCAGTGCTAAAACAAGGAGTCCCAAAACAAACTGAGATGATTGGTCACGCTAACTGTACAGGCGAGAAATTGCGTGACTATAGACTTCCTCAAGTCTAACTCAGAATTCTGCACTGCCAGAGGCTCTTGTGGTCATATTCCCCACTATTTCTCTCTTTGTTATATCTCTCCTTCCCCACTCACATAGTTATGTTTGGCTCCTCCAGGTTTGATGTGGAAAGAGGCAGAAAGATCTGATCAGATAGTTAGAGGTGAAATCTATCTCAGTAAGCTCTGAGATGAACTTGCTTTCTCTTACACCTTCGAATTCAATTTTACCAGATGAAAAGAGAAGATCTGCCTCATACATTCTTTCTGATATTTCCCTGTAGCATGTTGAGGTTTTGAGAATAAATTACTTTATCTGCAACAGTTTATTCTCATGATTAGAAATGTAGTACAAATTAAATTTGTATTAGCCACAAGCTACACTGCCTTAATGTGAGCCTTCTCTAAGACCTCAAAAATATAGTGGCACATTGAGATGCATTGTTGAAGTTATTGGAATTATTCCTTTGTCAACTTTTAATCAATAATTTCAAAACCTTGTATTTGTTGGGGAAAAGTGGGGAAGGAGAGAATATTTGGGGAAAAACGTGGGCTCTGTTCAGCTACAGTTCTCCCATTGGTAAACAAAGCATAATTCTAGGCAATGGCTATGCTACATTTCATTGGTCGCTAAAGAAATGTCAATAACTAATGGACAAAATGTAAGCCTTTCCTTCTGGACTTATTGTAAATTGACTGTAGATTTCATTTTGCTGTAGGTTTTCCGTATTTGCAGATAATCCAAGAAACTCACTAACTATGGAAAGATTCGTATTTTAAAATATTATCTAAGGTGTCCATGCTTTACTTCCTGGAAGGGAAAAAAATAATCTTTCAGATTTCTAAGTGTCTTTTTTGTCTTTCTCTGCATTTACTCAATTCTCTTCTGAATTGTTTCAGGATTTTACATTCCCTATTGATTGCTTAAATCACTGTGCCTTTACAAATCCCTGATACAAAAACATACACATTTGTATGTGACTCTCTTTGAGAAGAGATTTGGTATAAAGAGAGTGAAATCTAAGAAAAATATTTACCTCTATCCAGGCAGTGGAAAAATCAAAGCTATATTTCAGCTTAATATATTGGCTATATTTATACCACAACTAATTTTAATTCTCTAGTTTTAACTAGTTTCTATACACAAATAATTTTAGATCATTACAAAATATTTAAACATTTTCTGCTACAGAATTTAAATTACATTTTATAGAAATAGATAATAAATTATATGTATATTCTTATTTTGACACCATTCACTTTGTACTAATTATTATTCAATGTGGAGGTACTTGTCTTTGATCAATGGAATTGGCCTACATTCTTAACTGTGAAATATGCCTAAAATAACTAGGGTAATCATTTCTGCTTTCCTAAAAAGCAGAGAAGTTTTGAAATAAAAAGGAGCACTAAAAATATTTAAGATCAAATAGTTTTTTAACATTTGTTAGTCAACAAATTGTTTTACTATATCAGTAAACTTATAAAATACTTGCATTTATATTTGAATTTGTGTAATAAAAATATAAAAAATCACATATATTGTATTTTAAAGCAAAACCAGAAACTTCGTTATATTGACTTTCAATATTAAAAAATAAGGACTCTACTCTCAGTTCTTATTTCTATACATTGCACAGTTCTTAGCTGTATCTTAGTTTCTTAGTTATCCTACACATGTCCATGGTATGTTTTCTAATCAATATGTTTAACATATTATTATTTTGATATATTTGCAAAATTGCCTGCAATTTTCTATAAAGTTGCATTTTATGGTCAATTAATTTGCAGTTGTTAAAAATTTCAACTGATTATTTTCTGTCCATCATAATGTTTTTAATTCAGAAAATTTTCACTTTATAAATGCTAAGATATCTAGTAAGCTCAGGAGAAAGTTTACTAGAGGATATTCTCCATTCTAAATTTTTATTAAAATATATAAATATTTCAGCTGAAAATTTTTACAGCTACTCATTTCACTTTCTTTCAGTGGTATTCAACAATTACTTTCAATAGCCAAAACTTATCAAATGAATTGTCTCTACTTATTCTTTTGAGTGTTTAATCAAATACAGATTTTGCATTATTAAAGGTTGTCTCAATTCTATTCTAAAGACAAAGAAAAATAAGGAAACACGTATGTACAATGTGAGTTAGGTTTTGGTGTTCAATATATCAGCTTCATTACAAAAACGTAGTAGCATGGTTATCCAAATTTTGTAACATGGACAACTACAGCTTTAGGTTTTAGAACACTACAGCTTCCCCAGACACAATTATACATTACATCTGCATGAAATTCAATCATTAAGTACGTTTATTCTCAAAATATTTCTTAATTGGTATACATTTTATTATTATCAAACCAAAATACTTTCTGATTATTGAACTTTAAACTGAATTTAATGTGTATCGTCACCTCAAAACTAATTTCACCAACTGTTAACTTTTTAACTAAATTACAAAAGCATTCAAAAAACTGTTAGACATTTGCCTTTAACAAAAGCTATTTCAAGAAATTAATTCCATGAAGAGAATTTTAAAATTGAAACTTTATTTAAACCAATTTTCTACTTAAATTACCTCAGATAGGGACATAAACTTGACATATTCAACTGTTCGCACATTTCTGATATTACTTCAACACATTAACAAATATTACTTCATTTTCTTGTGCATTCACAAGAAAACTTGAAATGAAAAAATAAGACAAGTTAAGTTAGAAGGACAGTCACTTTATCTAAATAAACTGTCATGCTTCACAGAAGGGTATGCAAATGCAATTTCTGTAGCTGTATGTGTTAAATAATTCGTGCACGGACTCCTTTAAACAACATATCGGTTATCTATTGCTGCATAATAAATTACCCCCAAATTTAAGTAAAACAGCTCAGTTTTTTTCTGCATAACAGATGACCCCAGATTTAAGAAAAATGATTCCATTGCTGAAGGTTAGAAACCCAAGAATACCTTAGCAGAGTGGTTCTGGCTGAGTCTCTCACAAGGTTGCAATCAAGCTGATGGCAGGGAATAAAGTTATTTCAAGTCACGCCTAGGGAGGGCTGGAAAATTTGCTTCTAAGCTCACTTCTAGAAAGGCCTCAGTTCCTATCTGCCTGTGGGCCAGAGGCTTTAATATCTCTCTATGTGGGTTTCTCTCATAACAACAATTTTTTCCCTAGAGCAAGCAAAGAGAAAGAGAGACAGAGAAACAGAGAGAGAGGGAGAGAGAGAGACAGAGACAGAGACAGACAGACAGAGAGAGAGAGAGCTCACGTATGTGCAGGAGCTCAAGATAAAAACCACAATACCTAATGTTGAATACCATGACTTCTGCTATTAGCCACACTGACCAACCTTTCTATGAAAGGACCATACAAGGTTGGTAATACCAGTCAGAAATCCCTGAGGGACTTCTCAGAGGTTGGTTCCTACAGCTGCTAACTTCTGAAGTAGATGAAAATGTGAATGTTCTAGATTTCAAGTGGTAATGAATAATACCACAACCCTCATGGAATGTGGGAAAGGTGGACTGGCATTTGTACAAAATACAAATGCCAAAATACAAACTTTCTAGAGAAGTAGAAACTCAGTGCCTAATTTTTTCTCAAATATTTGTGTTTTTCCAAATGCATTACTATCAGAGTTTCTTAAAAAATAAAATATGTTACCACACAATGAAATAAATAGCAATAGATGACGCCATGTAAAAAATGACAACACACACACACCTCTGTAGCAGCAGTATTCCGACAACTTCCTATGTTCCTCAGCTGAACAGATCAGCCCATATTTCCACATGGATCTCAGAGAAACCAAACCTATAATTGTCCATATTTACCACTAAACCACCAGATGGAGACAAGGCAAATGTATGCATGCCGCAGTCTGTAACTTGGACAAGGACATAATTGGCTGGTACAAGTGACCAGCCAAGGTGAAGACGTCTCCCTTATGACACCAGAAGAGTTCACTCCTTCTAGCTGCTGGTTTCTGACAGTACTAGTTCTTTTATTCAAGTGTTAATGTAAAAACTGTAACCTAAAAGAAGTTGTTAGTACTTTGTATGGAGAAAGGATAGAGAATACTAATCGTCTTTTCCATTTAATTATCTGTTAGTGAGAACTCAAGTGCATTTGATTTTCAAACGTTATTAATGGAGACTTTGTAAGAAATTGGAAGTAATACAAAACCCATCCTTATTTATTTTAGTGTGATAATGATGACAATAACATCGTAAAAATGATGTATTTAAAATATAGAATAATTCCAGGAAAAATTATTACACGAAGGATATCCCTGGCTGATAGAAATCAACCAAGATGGGCCTGGCAAACTTAGCATATAATCCCACATCACCTTAAAAAGAACCTTATATTTAGACTAAAGAGTAAATAGAAATATAGGGTAATATAAACACTATAGGCCTAACATCTTCTAACGTTTCATGGTAGTAGTGAGAAGTCTGTCACCAGTATTTTTCTTGGTAAATGCATTGTCACTAATTCAAAGTTATGAAAAGACTGGCAAAGACGTTGGGTTTTCCAAGTCCGATTTGTAATATCAGTTACTTCTGAAAATACAAGCTAATTATCCCTATTATACACTGTTTGTCTCAGCAATAGAAATATTTTTATACAATGAGAGGGTGCTGTTAGTAAGAGTGTAAATAATGGATAAACTGGCAGATGGTAAAACGATTTGAACAAACATCAAGTAATAAATGGCTATTTTGGCAAATGTGAATGATGTACCTGTATCTCGCACTTTTAAAGAGTGTTCAGTAAGCCTGGAGTTGTTTTGAATGGTTTCCAAGAGCATCTTGGTGCTTCTCCAGAGAGGAATTAGGGTTCAGGCCATAGGATTTCTAGTGGAAGTGCTCTCCAGTCAGGAGACCTTAGACAGCTTCTTCCTCTGCTGCCACAACTTATTCAGTCAAGAGATAACTGCATTTCCTCAATGTGATGGCTCATGAATTTAAAAAAACTCATTGTATAGGATATCATTTTAAGACCAGCAGAGGCAGTAGCCGGAGCAGCGGCAGCCTGCGCCCTCTCTCGCCCGCCCTCCGCCGTTCCCCACTCGCCCCGGGGTCTCTTTCCTCCTTCTTCCTCCTCCTCCTCCATCCACCCCTTCCTCCCCTCGCCTTCCTGCCCGCCCCTGTTGTTTCGCCCCCGGCCTCCCGCCCTTAAGAAAATTATACAAAATAAATATAAAATAAAATAAAATAAATCATTGTAGAAAATCTTAACTATAGAGAAAACTTATGTACCTGCTACCCAGATTTAGCAAATAAAGAAATTTTGTTCCCTATCGCATACATTCGTCCATTGAAATTGATGGATTAGCGAGTCTTTCTAATATTACAAGATATTAAAGGGTAGCCTCTATTATAGTAGGTTGGTGCAAAAGTAATTGTGGTCTTTGCCATTCGTTTTCACGGCAAAAACGGGAATTACAATTACTTTTGCACCAACCTAATATATTATACCAATATATTTTGCTTGCTTTTTCTGGAATATTTTATTTTTCTACTAATTTATTTAGTATAGTTTCGTATTAGTATGAATTTCCCTGATGTTAAAAAAGTTGGTATATCTTTATCAAGCTGACGGCCTGCAGGATTTTCATTTCTATGTCTTGCCTGTTTATATCCTTTACTTTTTAAATTTACGTATTCATCTTTTTTTCTTTATGTGTAGGAATTTTTATATGTTTTGTATCATAATTCTTTGAACGCTAATACATTTTAAGTCTCCTTTCTATGTCAATGGTTTGTTTATAATGGTGGGTATAATATTTATTGTTGTAAATAGCTTGGCAATTTAATGCAGTTCTATATGTCACCACTTTGTTATATAGTTTATGCTTTACGTTTTTTATTTGTGAAGTCCTTCCTTCTATCTTGGGATAATCAATATATTCTCATATATTCTCCTCTATTATTTCTAGAAAATTTGAAATTTTACTTTTCAGATTCGTAGCCTTAATTATTTACTTTAATGACATAAGTAATAATTGACATTTTACCTTATGGATAAACAATTTCCTATATGCCATTTAATGATCCACCTACCTTTTTCTTAGCACTTTTAAGCTACCTACTCATACACCAATATTTGATATAAGCATGTTTCTATCTCTGGATTCTCTATATTGTCTCTTCTCTTTCAATTTTATGTCTATATTAAACTAATATCATGTTTTAAGTATTACACATTATAATGCACTGGTATAATAAACGCTGTATCCGTATCTTTCTCTATGTTCTTTGGTCGCCTTAGCTTTTTATCGTTCTACTTGGATTTTAGAATCAGCTCAAGTAAAATAACAAACCTCCACTGGACCATTAATTGAAATTTAATTAAATTTGTATGTCAATTCAAGGAAAACTGTTATGTTTATAATAGTGATTATTTTCATTCAAACACAATGATTTTCACTGATTTCCTTGTATTAAACTATCGTATTTTCAGACACATTTCTTTTGTTGAATTTATTGTTTTGTCGATTTGCATATATTTTCCCATTGTGAAAAGAGCCTATCTTCAATCGTATTTTCTGATTTGTTTGTATTAAGTTTGTTTTAACATATTGATCTTGTAACCAACAACATTGCCCTACTATTTTATAGTCATCATATTTTGTATATAGATGTTCATGGATTTTCAATGTTAACAACCTTCTACTAAAAAGAACAAGACTGTTTCTTCCTGTTTAATCCTAATATTGCTTACTTTTTTTTTCTTTCTTACTTCACTGCCTAGAACTTCAAGTGTAAAGTTCATTTTTAATTGATTTTTTCTGATTCTAATGAAAATAGTTTTAATACTTTATCAATAATATTATGTCTGCCATATTGTCTTGCCAGATACTCTATCCTGTTAAAATATTTCCTTGTATTGCAATTTTAAAAACTGTAAATGCATTTTGAATTGTATTGAATGCTTTCATAAATTGGTAGCACTGGGTTTCTAGTCATCCAATGTTTTATTAACATTATTTAATTTTGTTTACTATTGATTAGCATTTTAGGATTTTCATACAGTCCTTTTGACATATTGATATCAAGATAATGCTAACCTCACAGATATTTGACGAGTTTCTTCTCTTTCAATTATCTCGAAAAATTTTTGTAAAAAAAAGGATTAGCTAATCCTTAAACATTTGTTCTTGCAAGTCTTAGCTGCCTTATTAGCTCTCTGATCTATTCAACTAGGTATTTTTACATAGCTGAATAAATATATTAGTTGAATTGGTAGTAATGCTTTTCTGAATTGTCTAATGTACTGTTCCCTAGGAATGATAGTTGCCATTGTTACTTGCATCCTACTCTTATTCCTTTGTTGAGTTTATATATGACTTTGTGGACTTCTTTCAACAAAATTCTCTGAGTCATAAACTCAGTTTTTATATGTATGCAAATTATGTTAATTTTACTTTTGTTCTAAAATAATATACTAGCTGAGTATCTAATTCTAGGCAGATATGATTAAATTTTGTTATTATCATAGATGAGGGGTCAACCATTCTTCCAATAATTGTTTCTATGAAGATATTTTAAAATTTCCTTATATTTGCTTTATTGAGTATTTTTTCAGCATTTTAACAATATTATTCTATTGTCTTCTGCCTGCCATTCTTTGTAAGCATTAAGGCAGTGAATATTTGCATTACTTTTTCTAATTTGTCAATTTGCATTTCTAATTCTGATGTAACATTTTTATTAAAGCATACACTTTTAAAACGATGAAATTTGGGGGTCTTTAGGCTGCAGCTATGATCTCTGTCTTCAATAGTTCAACTGTAGGCCAGTATTTCTTGAACTGCTTCCTACTTCTCTAAGACAAGCTGATTTTTCTCTTTCTCAAATTTTGAACACTTTTGATCAGATGCTAATTTCAATCATATCTCAATTTAGTATTTTCTTTCTTTCCTTTTCTTTCTTTTTATCACATTTTATGTGTATTTTTCACATTTAGCTTATAATTTACTCCAGGGTTGAGTCCATATATATATATATACATAGACTTATTTCTTTAAAGAATTCTGCACAATGCTTTCTGTGCATACATACTCCAAAACTATTGTTTTGTGTGGATATTTAATGAACACTTGCTCTAGAAATACAACATTTTTTTTTTTCAGCATGAAAATCTGTATCTACCTCCTCTATTGTCTACTATAAGGACTGATGTGCCCTATCTGTACCCAGGTGGAAGGTCTTCTGCTAGAACAAATGTCCCCAACCTTTTTGGCATTGGGAACTGGTTTCGTGGAAGAACATTTTTTTCTGCAGACAGAAGTGGCGGAGCTGGAGGTGGGTGGTTTGGGAATGAAACTGTTCCACTTCAGATCATCAGGCATTAGCTAGATCCTCACTGGGAGCGCACAACCTAGATCCCTCAGGTATACAGTTCACAACAGGGTTTGTGCTCCAATGAGAGTCTAACGCCTCTGCTGATCTGACAGGAGGCAGAGCTCAAGTGGTAAATACTTGCTCCCCTGCCACACACCCCCTGCTGTATGGCTGGGTTCCTAACAGACCATGGACTGCTGTTAGTCCCTGGCCTGGGGGTTGGGGACCTCTGTGCTAGAAAACATGACTCAGCAGGCTAGAAGGGAGGTGAGACCTGGGGCTTTGGAAGAGGCTCTTTTTCCAAACGAAATTAAAATGTATAAACAAGGCTTTCATGTTTACTGCAATCAAATGGAGAATTCCATTTACATTTGGAGGACATTTAAATTTATTTACTCACATATTATTAGAGGAGGTAGATAAAGAAGTCTGAGAAATTTGAGGTGAAATTATTAGATTTAAACCAGAACGATATTACACTAAGTTCACATTTTGGTAAAGCTAAAACTTGATTTGTTTCTTCTTCATTTTGTCTTTCCATTATGATTGCCAGCATTACAAGATAGATTTGCTGCTAGATAGTTAAGATATATTTATTTGAAATCTGTCTTGATTATAATAAATTTTCTGCCTCTGTCAATATGAAATCTAACTTTTTGTGACTGTTGAATTTGCTCTTTCTTTAAATACAAAGAAAGAAATATGGGTGGAAACAAATATATTCATTTTCATGTCTCACCCCACCCTCTCAATATCACTGGCCTCACCAGCCTGGAAGGTAATAATCAAACAGATGCCCATAACACTGAAAAATATAACACAGACTCTCTGTCTGTGACTCCCACCTTCACCAGCTCCCCTGCACCCCAGTCTCCTGCCTGCCCTTTCTGCCAATGCTCATCTAATTTTGGCAAGGTCAAACAATGACTCGCATGTTCTTAGAGTCATTCCATTTGTTCTCTAGGCAACGGCTCTGCTCTCTCTGGGGGCGTTCACTCTTGCTGCACTGTTTTTAGCCCTGATGATGTGAGCTGGACTTTGGGTTATCTCATTTGTCCCTCAGTCATGATTATTGGCTTGTCAATACTTTATTGCTTCCTGTATACATGTTCTTACTTAGTCTTCCATCATTTTATTCCTACTCCTAGTGTGGCTGTTCTGAGGTTAGAAATAAAATTCTTACAATGCCCCTTCTACTATAAGGCTTTAGTTGGATGTATATTTTTATACCTTCACAGCTAGCCTCCCACTTCTGCCTTCTCATCCTTCCAAACTTGTCTCCAGGATAAGCTACAAAATTAATTATTTAGTTAAATTTAATTAGTGGAAGTAATAATAAAAATTTGGTTTGGAAAATAATATAAATTTGGAAGTAATAATATAAAGTACCAACTGGGCATCATCCACATTTCATTAGCAGAAAACTTCATAAAACCTGTTCTCACAAAATACCTTCAGTGACAGTGGGACAAACTCTGTTAGAGAAATTCAAGGTATGGGGACTTGAAAAGTTGTTGGAGGACACTAGAAGACAGACAATTATAGCTTCCCCCAGATCACTATGGGAGAAGAAATAATTGATCTGAAAAACTAGTGTAGGAGGTAGTATCACAGTTTAGTGAGTGGTTTTATGGAGAAAAGTAGAGAGAGGGAGAAATCAAGCTGTTGATCATTCATTCAAGTTTCTAGTGTGAGTGACATGGTAGGTGGTGGATTCACCAAGTAAGTCAGGAGAAGGAAGACCTTTAGTTTGGAAAATTACAGCTCTGTACCCTCAAAAATACTATACTTTTTGATTGCATGATCCTTATGACCTCCAGAGAGATAACCAGCAGTCACTACAATTATAAAACAGCAGTAGGAGAATTATAGGTTAGAGTTATAAATTTTGGAATCACTCTCACGTAGGTGAAAGAAAAGACTTGAAATTTACTTCAAAGCTTATATAGAGAGAGACAGAAAAAGCTCAAGGATTCTTGATATTTCTCTAGAAAGAATGCTTTTATATAATATTGTTTCATTATCTAACAACTAAGTATATTATTTATTCTATTTCATATTAATTCTTTTAAGTTATTTTTTAAAAATATATGTCAGATTCTATTTGTTTTCTGGGGTTATCAGAATAATTTTTTGTCTGTCAACATTAAAGAAAAGCAAGGGCAGGCCATCTAATAATTATAACAAAACAAAGCCCCACAGCTACAAATGTTTTTAAAAGCACCACATGCTTTTTAATTCTTAAATTTTTTTTGTTCTTAAGTGTCATAACATGCAGCAGCAAAAACCACCAACTAGAGAAAGAGGGAGGAAACACATGTCCACAAAATAATTTGATCCAACCATTTTCTTTGACTGTTTCTAAATTAGATACTAGCAGAAGAACTTAATCTCTTGGAAATTAGTAGAACTAAGTAACAAACACCACATTGCATTTTTAAACTACTAATTGACTACCTATATATACTACAGCCAGATTCCTTAAGAAGAAGTCAGGCTTTGACCTGGTTATGGAATAAACCCAGTGTAAGGACCTAATATTCTATCTTCATACACACCCCAGGGCCTTCTGCTGGAGAACATGGACCAGTAGGCTGGAGTAGAGTTAAGGCTCAGGACAATAATCTCAGACAGTACTAGGTGCATGTGTTGCCTGTCTTCTTACTTCTACTATTCATTTGTTTATTTCAAGTGCTTTGTGCAGTCTGACTTTATCAAAATGTTCAAAATATGTTGTCTGAATGAATGAATGAATCAATGAATTTTACTTTACCAGGAATGACTTTTTCACCATAATTTCTGAAGTCTAAAATGTCAGTTTTCTCCAATGATATGTCCTTATCTCTCTGTTTTTCTTATATTCTCCAATATCCCTGTGTGGCTTATGTGACTTCTTTATGGAACTCTCTAAAAATTTCAAAAATAGGGCCTGAAACTTTTGTACACTCTAAATTAACATTTCTTAATGGATAAATAAATGGATATATTCTACTATTCTGAATAGCACCACTATACACCCAGTCCCTAGACACAGAAACAATTTTATTGCTATTATTTTGATACCACTACTATTACTATTATTACCAACTTCTGAAAGGAAGTTGATATCCTTTCAGAAGTTGGTAATAATAGTAACAGTAATGCTATCAAAGAAAAATCTCTTTTCATAGATTATTCCATATTCATTAAACATGTAGTTATCTTAGTCTCTCGTCTCTAAGCCAGTATTTAAAAATATTTAATAAAAAGCCAAAATATAGCCATGCTATGCTATGTTTAGATAGATTCAGTTAATACCTATAGAACTTTAGTTCTAGTAGTTTAGTAGTGGATATCATAGTTATCTTCATTTTATGTATGAGGAAACCAAATCTCAGATAAATTAAGTAACATAGCCAGTATCAGAGACAAGATTTAAATTAATATCTGAGAGTTTGTAACTGGATCTTTAATATTGTCATATTCTGGAGGAGCCTATCTTATATGAGAGTAAAATCATCAATACTCTAACTTCACAATTCCCTGAACTTCTCCATGCCTATGTCCTAGTTCAGAGCTGGGCATTATTTCTTAGAATTGCTTCGCATCCGGAATCTAACATGCGTCTCTCTTTTTTTTTCTGTGACTGAGTCTCGCTCTGTCGCCCAAGCTGGAGTGCAGTGGCGCAATCTCGGCTCACTACAAGCTCCACCTCCCGGGTTCACGCCATTCTCCTGCCTCAGCCTGCCGAGTAGCTGGGACCACAGGCACCTGCCACCATGCCCAGATAAGTTTTTGTATTTTTAGTAGAGATGGGGTTTCACCATGACAGCCAGGATGGTCTCGATCTCCTGACCTCATGATCCACCCGCCTTGGCCTCTCAAAGTGCTGGGATTACAGGCGTGAGCCACTGTGCCCGGCCTCTAATGTGCATCTGTTACACAGTCTCTTATCATTCCAACATTATCACAGCTTTACCATCACCTCACCTGATCTTAGCTTCTGTAGACATTACTCATCCCTTTTTCTTATTATTCGTCATCCCCTTCTTGGCATTTTATATTTTACTACATACCAAAGGGAATGAGTTGTGACACTTTTAGTTGTAAGAACAGGGCCCTAACTCAAATTATTCAAGCAAAAATTAATTTATTGTCTCCAAACCACTGTGTCCAGAAATTTATTGACTCCAATGACACAGTCTAGGAGCCCAACTGATTCTGAGCACAGCTCAATTCAAGGGCCCAAATATCTCATTAGGACACTGTCTTTTTGATCTTTCAGTACAACATCCTGCCTTTTGTAGGTATATAAATTCCTGGGTATCACAAACAAACAAAAAGAAAACATTCTAAATTTGTGGTCTCCAGACTCCACAATCGCTTCAGCACCTTTTGAATCTCCTGTTCCTTGAACACATGCTACTCTTTCTCATTTCCGACACCAAGAATCACCAGTCTCCTCTAATTTCCTGCCCATCTTGTTATTCGTTGTTGATGTTTTCGTTTGGTTTTTGAGACAGGGTCTCTCTCTGTCACCAAGGCTGGAGTGCAACGATGCAATCATAGCTCAATGCAGCCTCCACTTCCTGGGCTCAAGCAATCCTCCCACTTCAGCCTCCTGAATAGCTGGGACCACACAAGAGCACATCACCAAACCTGGGTAATTTTTTTTTATTTTTTTATTTTTTGTAGAGATGGGGTTTTGCTATGTTTCCAAGGCTAGTCTTCAACTCCTGGGCACAAGCGATCCACTGGCCTCAGCTTCCAAAGTGCTAGGATTACAGGCATGAGCCACCACGTCTGACTTCCTTCCTGTTTTTAATCTTCCTTATTCTCAGATAATGTCTTCAACCAACTTAGATTAAGGTCATGTAAGTGTGGGCTCTTTTAATTTCTGACTACCCTCAATTTTCAAGCTTTCTAAATGCAGCTTTCCTTTTCAGAGGTTGAGATGTTTCCAGTCATTATTCCCTTAACTTTAGTAGTTATTCATCATGTCTTGTTGCTTTTTCTAAGTTTCCTGTTTTAGGCTTGCTAATGACTTCTTTCCTCTGCCTTACATATGTTCTCAAACCTGAAGAGCAGTCACAACAGATGTTGTGACTCCTGTTACTGTACTGCTGTGACATCACCCTCCCTTACTACTCAGATGGGCTTTTAGAAGTCAAGGCTCCAGTAACATCCCTGATTCTTGGTTTCTCATATGCTCTTTAGCTCATTGCATTATTGCTTTTGCCTCTTCTCTATTGAAATTATCTTGGCAGTTATTGCCAATAATGTCCTTATTGCCAAATTCAATTCACAAATTTCAGCCATTATCTTCTTACTGGAGACATGAGTTGGTTTTCTTGCTTTTTTTTTTTTTTTTTTAACTTGGCCATCATGAAAGCTCTCTTACTTTTCTGACTACCCTTTTCTGACTTTCTTTACAAAATTCTTAAAAATGGGTCTTTTCCATGATTCTGTCATGGATCCATTTTTGTTTTACCCCAAATATGCTGCTTGGGAGAGAATATCTACAAGCCAAGCACTGATCATCCCCTTGAATTCTGGGTTTTCATCCATTTGTTGCTTGGCCTCCTTCATGTATGCTCCACAAATACTTCAGATTCAACATATCTAAGTTCTTCATTCATTTCTCCACCTGATCTCACCAGCGTGGATGCTCACCTTCACACCAAGTAAAGATTAACTACTGTCATCATTCCTGTTATCATGGTTATCAGCATCTTCACATGATATTACTTATATTTCTGAAATCCCTTAGAATACAGGCATACCACAACGACTTTTATAACAGTACACCAGGTTAATGTATTTATTTCCATCTCTTAAGCAAACCTTATATAATTCTCTAAGGTTAGTATCATTATTCTAATCCCCTTCCAAAACAAGACTGTACATGGTTTGATGGAAGGACTATCACTAACATATTATTATATCTCCGCTTCTTTGCAGTGCCTGCATTTAGTGAGTTTACTAAATGTTACTAATTAAAACAAGTAAAGCTATAACTGCAACAAGCTTCAGATTTTAGCCTAATTGGGAAAAAGCCTTCTGTTTTGTTTCTTATTTTTCTTATTTCCTTCTTTATCATCCCTTACTCACTTGGTTATTTCATCCTTCCCCATGGTTGTAAATACATCTAGCACACACTACTCCCAATTTTTTTTTTATCTCTTGGCTGGGTCAATGTCCTGAAATCCAGTTTTGGCAACCCTACCCCGCCTTTTCTTCAGGAGAAATTTTCTGAACTCCTCTGTTTCTCTCTCCTCTTCTATTCAGTTCACTAATAAATGGTGGCTTTCCTCCAGAACGTATGCATATTCTGACCAGCATTTCCCATTTTTCCGTCCCCAAGCACTGTACTCCAGTCAACCAGCTGCCATCCACTGTATTGTTGTAAATGCCTTCCATCTCCCCCTGGCTTGAACTTCTAGCTGTGTTCTACCCTTAGCCCCCAGTAGTCTTTCCTCAACACAACAGATGGAGTAATGATCCCTTTAAAAATGAGTTCAGATTACATTACTCCTTACTTCAAAGTTTCCAGTAGCTTTCCATCTATCCCAGGGTAAAACTCAATGGTAAAATGGTTTGGAGGTCCCCAGATGATTGCCACCCCATTACCTCTTTGACTTACTCTTCTATGACTGTGTTATTTGGTGACGCTCCTCTTGCCACAGTACTTCTTTGTTTCTCTCCTACCACATCAGGTATGTTTCTACCTTAAGGACATTTCCCCTGTAGCTCTCTCTACCCTGGAATACCACTCTCCATGGTATCCTCACCATTTGTGTTTTCACCTTCTTCAGACCTTTACTTTTTAGTGAGGTCATCAATGATTTAAAATCACAGACAATCCTGACGTTATAGACTGAATTTTGTCCCCCACCTCAACTTTATACATTGAAACCTAATTCTCAATTTGATGTTACTTGGAGAGGGGGTGTTTTTGAGGTAATTCATGTCCTTATAAAAGAGGCCCAAGAGACTTTTCCTTTCTGCTCCTGTAATGTGAGAACACAGCAAAAAGCCTCCTCTAAATTAGGAAGCAGGCCCTCACAAGATACTGAATCTGCTGGCACCTTGATCCTGGACTTCCAGGCTCTAGAACAGTAATAAATAAATTTATGTTGTTTATAAACCACCTGGCCTATAGTATTCTGTTACAGCAGTGCAAACAAACTAAGAAACCCTTTTTATTGAGGGTTTGATCTCGGCTCACTGCAACCTCCACCTCCCGGGTTTAAGTGATTCTGGTGCCTCAGCCTCCTGAGTAGCTGGGACTAAAGGCATGCACCACTACACCTGGCTAATTTTTGTATTTTTAGTAGAAATGGGGTTTTACCACATTGGTCAATCTGGTCTCAAACTCCTGATCTCAAGTGATCCATCAGCCTTGGCCTCCCAAAGTGCTGGGATTACAGGTGTGAACCACCGCACCTAGCTCCTATTGTTATTATACATTTATTTTATGTTTTATTTTCCCCCATCCCATCCACACATACTCTCACTAGAATACAAGTTCTGTAGAGGAAGTGATTTTTTATCTGATTTTTTTTTTACTGTTACATGATCAGTACCCAAGTACCCAGTACAAGGCAGGCAACCATAAGCATTTATTGAATGATGACATCTGTATACATTTCTATTATTTACAATATTTTAACTGTCTGCAATGTGGAATGGCTTTTTGAATGATATGGCTGATAACTTGAATGAAAATTAATGAAAGAAGGAGAAAAAAAAAAACTTTTCTATTGAGAAATACCCGAAGAGCCATAGGTTATCATAGTAATCCAACTTTGTTCTGCTCTTCCAGAATTTTGGTTTGTTTTTTTGTATTGTTTTGCATGTGTTTTATCTTTGTTTGCCTTTGTTCTTTATTAGAAGCAGCAGATAGTGTTCTCTGCAATTAATAGCTCTACTTTGGGTCAGAGAAAGAAAGCACTCAAATCCTTAAACCTTCCCTAGACATGCTAGAGCTGAGAAGTAAACAAATGTGCTTGTTAGCTACAGCTATCACAAATAATTGGCTTTCCGAAAACAAGAAAATACAGAAAAGTTAAGAGGAAGTGAATAAATGTATTCATGTATATATTTTTTCTAATCTGGACAAAAATTTAAGGTTGAATTCACAGCCAACAGTAATAAAAATATGTTAATTCCTGAGATTTGAGGATTGTTACTGGTGATATTCTGAGACGTTATTGTTTTCTGTAGGCTATACTTTCATTTTTGCAAATGTTTATGCAGATGGATTGTTTCTGAGATCTGGTTCCAAAGCTTACATTAAATATTTTGTAAATATTACATGTAAATGATGATGGTAGTAACACCTGATTAAGAATAAGCCAAATACCGTGACGTTTCCTATTTTGCGGAAAGATTAAATTATGATTACTCAAAGAAAAGTGAACTTTAACTAGTTTCTCCATGGATTGTCAACTTTGTAGCATAATTATGAGTATTTATGTGTCATCACCTATCTTTTGTGACTCAACCAATGCAATCTAGTTTAACTAGTCTTGATATCTCTGTCATGCTTTTACTTATTGGAAGATATGCTTGTAAGTACTAGATCTAAAGTTTGTGAAAGAGATGAACAAGGTTAGTCCTCAGCTCATCTTTCTGTGGCAAATAGGCTATATTAAAAATATAAATTCCAGTCCATGAAGCCAGGTATCCAACATATTGAACAATACTTCCTGGTCTTGAGTGAGTTTGATGTTTTACTGTGAGTTCTCAACCTGCCCTGGGGACATGAAAGATAATCTCATTTTTCCCTAAAATCTTTTTGCATCCCAGGATAGTGCAAATTCTCAGTGGCCTAAAATAGCACAAAGACACCTTCAGCCCTTGGCTATTTGTCTGCCTCAATTACCGCAAAGCCTGCTGTCCCTGTGTTGCCTGGGGCCTGCTAGCTTTACTGTTTCTGTGTCCCACATAGAGCCCAAGAATCATTGACAAGCTTAGATTTAAGTAATATTTCTCTTGATGTTATTCCCTCCCAGGGCAAAGTCAGGGAAGTGGGACAGAAAGTAACAGACCTTTCTTGATTAGGAAACTCCTTCTTTCTCTTAAGAATGTTTCTGCTTCTCTGGTCCTTACAGGACATTCAGCATAATCTCCTCAGTGCCTTGAGGTTTTGAAAAAAAAATAGTGGCCTTAAAGAGAATTTTCTTTTTCTTTTTTTTTTTTTCTCTCTGTTGCTCAGGCTGGAGTTCAGTGGCATAATCTCGGCTCACTGCAACCTCTGCCTCCTGGATTCAAACAATTCTCCTGCCTTAGCCTCCCAAGTAGCTGAAACCACAGGTGCCTGCCACCACGCCCAGCTAATTTTTTGTATTTTAGTAGAGACAGGGTTTCACCATATTGCCCAGGCTGGTCTCAAACTCCTGAGCTCAGGCAATTCGCCCCTCTCGCCCTCCCACAAGTGCTAGGATTACAGGCGTGAGCCACCACGCCCAGCTGAGAATTTTCTCATGGGCAATTTCTGCTTTTTTCCTTGTTACAAGCTTCCTCTTGGCAAGAAAATCCACAAAAATAGTTTTCCCTGCTTGGATGAGACACATATAGGAAAATAAAGAAAGAAAATATATATGTAAACACCTTTAAAAAGTTACTGCACCAGATTTAATTATATTTGGGGTTTAGATTACCTTAACAATGAAAAAAGCACTACTGAATGAAGTAAATGTTTTAGACTTTCATCAAAAATAATTGAAGATACTAAAGCTAGTTATACTTATTTTATTTTAGATACAGGGTCGGCCTCTGTCACCCAGGCTGGAGTGCAGTGGCACAATTACTGCTGACTGCAGCCCTGACTTCCTGGGCTCAAGAGATCCTCCAACCTCACCTCCCCTCCCACCCCAAGTAGCTAGGACTACAAGTGTGTGCCACCAATTCTGACTATTTTTTTTTTTTCTAGAGATGGGATTTTGCTATGTTGTCCAGGCTGGTCTCAAATTAGATATTATCAAGAAGAGGAAATCATTTGTATTAGGATTCTCCAGGGAAACAGAATAGGAGACACACATAGATATACAGATATAGATGTTGCAAATTGGTGGATTTATTTTAAGGTATAGTATCAAGAGGCTGAGAATCTCCAGGACCTGCAGTTGGCCAACTAAATACGTAGGGAAGCTAATGGTATACTTCCAGTACAAAACCTGGCAGGCTTGAGAAGAGCCAATGTTTCTTTTAGTGTGAATGCAAGAAAGGACTGTCATCCCAGCTCAAAGCAGAAAGGCAGGAACAGTTCACTGTTACTCATGGGAGGGTCAACATTTTTGTTCTATTCAGGCCTTCAACTGATTGGATGTGGCCCACCCACATTAGGAGTAAAGATAGTACATGTATTACTTTCTTCAGTTTTCCTCTCTCACTGCCACTTAATAAATGTTTATAGGTTCCCTCAAACTTCTATATTTGAAAGTACTGTGTTCAGGTTATGATGTCAATGAGCAGTAAAATCTATGGCACATAGTGTTAAGTGAGGAAGAAAGAAATTAATCATAGTGGCTTAACTTAACGTACAACAGTAATGGTGAAAAAAGCTATAAGGAAAAATGTGTTGTGCTTTGAATGGAGTTGTGATAAAAGGCTAAAATACATTCTCAGACAGTTAGGTTTGGTGTCACATGTATTAGGCAGTTGGAATCAAAGAGATAGGTAAAGTCCTTGAGCTGAGGTAGGAAGCTTCCAACATTAGGACCTGAAAATGAGTCAGTGAAGACAGAAGGCAATGGAGGGAGAAGAGACGAGCTCGAAAAGAGTAAGGAGGCTCAAACTATCTAGAGATCTGAAGAACAATAATTGTCAATGTACTCTAAGATGAATAATATGGAAATATTGTTTTATTCAGTGCCATAGGGTTGAGATTTACTCAGATTTGTAAAATGTCCATATTGGACTTCATAGAATATTTTCAGTGTGGAGATAATACTTGAAAGTGTTCCAAAGGACCATACTAATGTCAGCTGTTCTTAACAATTATAAATGTTCTAAAGTATAAACCAATGCATTTTACAGTAGACTATTGCCATACTTCTATATATTTAAATAAAAACTAAATGATCATCCATTTGGAATGTCTTTTGGGTTGTTTTGCTTGGGAGAAAGTTTAAAACTCTACGAACATTTTCAGTGTTGGACTCTCATTCTTCTTAGAGACATCCTGAGAACAATCTCGCCAAAAAGAATCTGGCAGGGATGCAGAGACAAATTTAGATTATTGAGGACTGAAACTCTGGTAAAAAGGAAGAGAAATCTGAGTTGAAGCTTTTGACAGAATTTTCCTGCAAGACGTTTTTCTACATTGGAATCTTCAGAGGTCAAAATTAAAAAGCACATGAAAAATCTTTTAAAAATAAAAGTTTCACAGTATTAATATTCTGAGGAGACAATGATTAGTGTTCAGGACATGCCAGTGTCAGGATCCTCTGTGAATAATACCACAGGTTCTCACCTACAATTCTGTAAGCAAGGAGACTTAGAGTTGAAAGAACACTGCTAAATCTACAACCCAGCCTCAATTCAGTTTAGCTCCTGATTGAATTAAAATGACCAGCTCCACTGTACTTTCCTGGTAAAAGAAAGAAAGAAGAGTAGACCACAAAACAACCAGAAAACAAATAAAAAAAATGTCAGGAGGGAGTCCTTACCATCAATAATATTATTGTATGTAAATGAACTAAACTTTCTAATCAAAAGATACAGAAAAGCTGAATGGATAAAGAACAAGACCCAACAACAATGTATTGCCTACAAGAAACACATTTCACCTATTAAGATACAGGTAGATTGATAATAAAGGGATGGAAAAAGATATTCTATGCAAATGGAAACTAAAAAAGATGAAGGGTAACTATACTTATTTCAGACCAAATAGATTTCAAGGCACAAACTTTAACAAGAGACAAAGAAGGTCATTATATAATGATAAAGATGTCAGTTTACCAAGAGAATATATTAATACCAGCTTTATATATACATGCCTCCAACATTGGAGCACTCAGATATATAAAAAATATTATTAGAGGTAAAGAGAGAGCTAGACTCCAATACAATAATAATAGGTGGAGATTTCAATACCCCGCTTTTAGCATTGGACAGATCATCCAGGCAGAAAGTCAAGAAAAAAACATCGGACTTAATCTGCACTGCAGAATAAATGGACCTAATAGATATTTACAGAAAATTTTATCTGATGGCTACAGAATACATATTCATCTCCTTAGCACATGGCTCATTCTCAAGGATAGACAATATGTTAGGTCACAAAACAAGTCTTAAAAAATGCCCCTCCCAAAATTAAAATTATATCAAATGTCTTCTCTGACCACAATAGAATAAAACTAGAAATCAATCAAAACAGGAATCTTGAAAACTATATAAACAAATGGAAATTAAACAATTTGCTCCTTAATGACCAGTGACTCAATGAAGACATTAAGAAGGAAATTGAAAAATTTATTAAAACATATGAAAACAGAAACACAACATTCCAAAACCTGTGGGATACAATGAAAGAAGTAATGAGAGGAAAGTTTATAGCAGCAAGAAAAGTGAAAAAATGTTTTTCTATGTCAGAAAAGTGAAAAAACTTCAAATAAACAACCTAAGGACCTAGAAAAGCAAGCACAAACCAAATCCAAGATTTTTAGAAGGGAATAATAAAGGTTAGGGCAGAAATAAATGAAATTAAAACAGGAAAACTCATATAAAAGATTAACAAAACAAAAAATTGATTTTTTGAAAAGTTAAAGAAAATTGACAAGTGTTTAGCCAGACTAAGAAACAAAGAGAGAAGACCCCAATAAATAAAATCAGAGATGAAAAAGGAGACATTACAACTGCTACCACGGGAATTGAAAAGACTATTTGAGGCTACTATGAGCAATTATATGTCAATAAATTAGAAAAACCTAGAAAAAAAAAACAGATAAATTTCTAGGCACGTATAACTTTCAAGATTGAATTGTGAAGAAACCCAAAACCTGAATGGACAGATAACAAGTAGCAAGATTGAAACTGTAATAAATGCTCTCCTAGCAAAGAAAAGTTCAGGACCTGATGGTTTCTCTGTTGAATATCAAACAGGTAAATAAATAACAGCAAACCTACTCAAACTACTCCAAAAAATGGAGAAAAAAGGAATACATCCAAAATAATCATATTAGACCACTATTACCCTGATACCAAAATCAGAAAAAAACACATCACCAAAAAAAAGAAAAGAAAACTACAGGCCAATATCCCTGATGAACATTAATGCATACATTCTTAATAAAATACTAGCAAACTGAATTCAGCCACACATTAAAAAGATGATTCATTACAACCAAATAGGATTTATCCCAGGCATGCAAGGATGGTTTAACATATGCAAATCAATTAATGTGATGCATCATAACAACATAATGAAAGATAAAAGCTATATGATCATTTCAATTGATGCTGAAAAAACATCTGATAAAATTCAACATTTCTTCATGATAAAAATCCTCAAGTAACTGAATATAGAAGGAACATAGCTCAACACAATAAAAATGATATACAACAGACCCACAGCTAGTATTATACTGAATGGGGAAAAACTGAAAGTCTTTCCTCTAGGATCTGGAAGAAGACAAGGATGTCCACTGTCACCACTGTTATTCAACATAGTACTGCAAGTCCTAGCTAGATCCATCAGGCAAAAGGAAAACAAAGGGCACCCAAATTGGAAAGAAAGAAGTTAAATTATCATTTATTTGCAGATGTTATCTTATGTTTGGAAAAACCTAAAGGCTACATCAAAAAAGTATTAGAATTGGTAAACAAATTCAGTAAAGTTTCAGATACAAAATCAACATACAAAAATTAGTAGCATTTCTATACGCCAGCAACAAAGAATCTTAAAAAGAAATCAAGAAAGTAATTTCATTTATAGCAATTACAAATAAAATTAAATATCTAGGAATTAACTAAAGAAATGAAATATCTCTACAATGAAAACTATAAAATATTAATGCAAGAAATTGAAGAGGACAGAAAATGGAAAAATATTCCATCTTCATGGATTAGAAGAATAAATGTTGTTAAAATGTCTATATTACCCAAAGCAACCTACAGATTTAATATAATCCCTATTAAAACACCAGTGACATTCTTCGCAGAAATAGAAAAAACAATCCTAAAATTTATGTAGAACTACAAAAGACCCAGAATAGTCAAAGCTACCCTAAGCAAAAGGTATAAAATTGGAAGGATCACATTACCTGACTTCAGATTACACTACAGAGCTACAGTAACCAAAATAACATGGTACTGGCATAAAAGGAGACAATAAAACAGAATAGAAAATCTAGAAACAATCCATACATCTGCAGTGAATTCATTTTTTAAAAAGTTGCCAAGAACATGCATTGGGGAAAGGACAATGTCTTCAATACATGGTGCTGGGAAAACTGGATATCCATATGCAGATCAATGAAACCATATGCAACAATCAAATCAAAATGGATTGAAGACTTAAATCTGAGACCTCAAACTATGAAATTCCTATGAGAAAATATTGGGACACCCTTCAGGACATTGGTCTTTGCAAATATTTCTTGAGTAATACCTTATAAGCACAGGCAACCAAAGCAAAGATGGACAAATAAGATCACATCAAGTTAAAAAGCTGAACAGGAAAGAAAAAAAAACAGAAAAGTGAAGATACAGTCCACAGAATGGAAGAATATATTTTCAAACTATCTGTCTGATAAGTAATTAATAACCAGAATATATAAGGAGCTCAAACAACTCAGTAGGAAAAAAATCTTTCCTGCTGATTAAAAATGGGCAAAAGATATGAATAGACAATTATCAAAAGAAGACACACAAATGGCAAACAGGTATATAGAAAAGTTCTCAATGTGATTGATCATCAGAGAAATGCAGATCAAAACTACAATGAGAAATCATCTCACCCCAGTTAAAATCACTTTTGTCCAAAGACATGCAATAACAAATGCTGGCAAGGATGTGGAGAAAAGGGACCCCTCCATCCCCATACACTGTTGGTTGAAATGTAAATTAGTACAACCACTATGGAGAACAGTTTGTAGGTTCTTCAAAAAAATTAAAAATAGAGCTGCCATACAATCTAGCAACCCCACTTCTAGATATATACCCAAAGGAAAGGAAATTGGTGTATCAAAGAGATAGGTATCTGCACTTCCTCTCATGTTTGCAGCACTATTCAAATAGCTGATATTTGGAAGGAACCTAAGTATCCATAAACAGACCAATGGATAGAGAAAAAGTAATACGTGTACACAATGGAATGATATTATTCAACCATATAAGAGAACGAGATCCTGTCATTCATAACAACACCATGGAACTGGATGTCATTATGTGTAGTGACATAAGCAAGACATCAAGAAAAATTACATATGTTATCACTTATTTGTGGGAGCTAAAAATTAAAACAATTGAACTCATGGAAATAGAGAGCAGAATAATGGTTACTAGAGACTGAAAAAGTAGTGGGGCGAGGGTGGTGAGGGAAATAAGAATGGTTAATGGATACAAAAGTATAGTTGAATAGAATGAAGAAGATCTGGTATTTGATAGCCCAATGGGTGACTACAGTAAACAATAATTTATTGTACATTTACAAATCACTAAAGGAATATAATTAGTTGTTTGTAATACAGAGAAAGGATAAATGCTTGAGGTGATAGATACCCATTTACCCTGATATGATTATTATGTATTGTATGCCTATATCAAAAATGTCATGTGTCCCATAAATTTATCCACATATTATGTACATATAAAAATAAAAAAAAAGTGATACCTACTGTTTCATTCTGGATATTGGTAATTTGCATCGTCTCTCTTTTTTCTTTGTCATTCGTGCTAGATGTTTGGCAATTTAATTGATCTTTTAAAGGAACT
The DNA here is from genome assembly GCF_000001405.40 of Homo sapiens. Lineage (NCBI taxonomy): Eukaryota > Metazoa > Chordata > Mammalia > Primates > Hominidae > Homo > Homo sapiens. The sequence continues at coordinate 86,236,936 of NC_000014.9, forward strand.
GGCTTATTGATTTGTTGATATTCTTCAGTAATTTTTAAAGTTTTGTTTTAGATTTCATTGATTTCTTCTCATGGATTTTTGTTCCTTTTCTGCTGCTTGCTTTGGTTCTATTTTGCTCTCATTTTTCTACATTCTTAAGATGAGAGCTTAGATTGTTAATTTACTGCTAGAAATTTTCCTCAACACTACTTTAGCTTTTTCTCATATATTTGACATATTGCATTTATATTTTCATTAAGCTCTTTCTACTTTTTAAATTATTATTTTCTTTGAGTCTTTCTCTTTGACGCATTGATTAGTTTCCAAGTGTTTAAATATTTTCCTGCTATCTTTCTGTAATTATTTTCAGTTTGGTGTTGCTGAATTCTTCTATATCTTTGATTTATAGTTGGAAATTGTATTTTATTATTTTAAAGATTTTACTTTTCCTTTCTGTTTTTCATTATTTCTATTAGAAATTCAGTCATCATAACTCTAATTCCAGGAAGATGGATAAGATATAGTTTTCCCTATTTCTCCTGCAATGAACACAAATAACCTTGACATTATATGTAAAATAAACATAAGATTCTGAAATTTGAACAGAGGACAGCAAGATGGCTAGGCACCGAAGAACCCACGAAACAAGGAATAACAGGACGCTGAGTTTTCTGGAGTTTCATTTATCCTACATATCCTTGACTTGGATCAAAAGAATTTGACAATATGAACATGCCAATAGGCACAGATTTTTTAAAATCTCAAAAAGCATGCTTTCCCTAGACAAGTAACAGGAAAAAAAAAAAAGAATTCTAGCAAGACCGAAAACTTATAGATAAAAGCCACCCCGCTACAGCCATGTGCTACACAAAAATCTGTGGCTCACCTTCCTTCATGCCAACAAAAGCTGAGTGAGGAGCCTAGACTTCTATCCCTGCAGTCTGTAAAAAAGATTTCCGTTACCACCATCGGGGTGAGGACAAAGAAGTCAGGTGGGGAGCCAACACTTTTGCCTCTGCCCAGTGGTAATGAGGTAAAGTTTTTTTTCTGTCTTGTTACTGTATAAATGGTTGGGGGAAGGGTGTTGAAATCTCCAGCTGTGACTGTAGAGTTGTCTATTTCCCCCTTAAGTTCTGTTATACTCTGTTCTGCATGGTTTGCATCTCTGTTGTTTGGCACATGCTCATTTAGGATTGTTGTTTTCTCAGGGGATTGAACATTTTTTTTGGCATTATATAATGCTCATCTTTGTGTCTGATAACTTTTTTGTTCTGAAATTTAACTTGTTAAATATTACTGTGGCCACTCCTGCTGTACTGTATTACTGCCTATATCATTGTGTTTGAAATGAGTTTCTTATAAACAGCATATAGTTGATTCACATTTGTTAATACACCTTGCCAAGTTTTGTCTTTTAATTGCTGGCTTTGGATCATTTAAGGAAATTACTGTTATGTTCTTAAATATACTATTGTCTTTTTTATGTGCAGAAACCTTTATTTTTGTTGGTACACAGTACCCACATATATATATATATGGGGTACATGTGATGCTTTAGTACAAACATACAATGAATAATAATTCACATCATGGAAAATGGAGTAGCTATTCCCTCAAGCTAAGAATCTCATTTTAATTTGATTACTTCTATAAAGACGTATCTCCAAACAATGTCACATTTTGCGGTACTGAGGATTATAACTCCACATACACTTTCTGGGAACACAATTCAACCTACAGTACTTCATATAGTTTTTTTAGTGGTTGTTCTAATTATTACATTATACATACGCAACTCATCACCATCTATGAGTGTCATTATTTTTACAGTTCATGTAAATTATAGATATCTCACTTTACATCCCTTTACTACCTGACTCAATTTATAGTGTAATTGTTTTCACCGTTTCCTCTACAAAAATGTAGAAATGTATCAGACAGTGTCAAACATTTTGTGTCAAACCTCAAGCATAATTTAGAAAAATAAAGAGGAGGAGGAAAATCTATTTTATTTACCCATAGTTTTTTGCTTACACGGTTTTTTTTTTTTCTGGATATTCCAAATTTCTTTTATTATTTCCTTTGTGTTTAGAGAACTTTCTATAGTCATTCTTTATGAGAAAGTCTGCTGGTGACAAATTCTCTTAGTGTTTCTTCTTTTATGAATGCCATGTTTTGCCCTTTATACCTGAAGGACATTCTCACAGGACATAAGATCATGGATTGACAAAAAGTCTTTTTGGTCATTTAAAAAAGCTGTGCCACTTCTTTCTGGCCTACAAGGTTTCCGATGAAAAATCAATGCTTTTTAAAATCACTCTTCTCTTACAAGTGAAGTGTCATTGTTCTTTTTCTGGTTTCAAGGTGATTTTTTTGCCTTTAGTTTTTAGATAGTTGACTATGATCTTGATAGATCTTTTGGTGGATTACCCTGTTGGTGATTTGCTTAGTTTCCTAACTCTGTAGGTTTATGTCTTTTGCCAAATCTGGGATGTTTTCCGTCATTATTTCTTTGAGTACCTTTTTACCCCCACTGTATTTGCCCTCTTCTCCTGGATATCCGATGTCTCAAATGTTAGATGTTTTGTAATAGTCTTACAGGTACCCGAGGCTCTGTTTATTCTATTTTATCAAAGTATTTTCTTCCTGTTGCTCAGATTGAGCAATTTCTATCATTTTCTCTTCAAGTTCACAGTTACAGAGCTTTTTATTTAAAAAAAATCAATTTATTTGTTTCTTTTTTGTATCTTCTTTGCTGATAATTTCTATTTTGTCATCTGTTTCAAGAATGTTTATAACTGCTCATTGAGGCATGCTTATGATGGTTGCTTTAAAATCTTTCTCAGATAGTTTTAACACCTCTGTCATCACAGTGTCCAAAAATATGAATTATCTTTTTCGCTTCCAGTCTGACATCTTCCTCGTTCTTTATCTGAGAAGGGGTTTTTAATAAAAATAAAAACATTTTTGGTATTATATTGTGTGACTTTGGATCATATTAAGCCTTAGGTCATAGCTGGATTTTTCTGATACTACGCTGGCAGAGAAAGAGGGAGCACCACCTTTTTACTCCTATGTACAGGTAGAAATTTAGGTTCTTCACTCAGCCTCTGTTGGCAGTTGGGAGTGGTGAAACTTCTTGTATCCACTGGTTGAGAACAGAATTCACGGCTTCCCCTCGGTCCCACTGATATCTCCCTCCCTGTGATGGTTAAGGATGCTTTGTCACTTCCTCCCACATGGTCCACTTGATACTCCAATAGAAGTGAGGAGGTGTTTGACCTCATTACCATTGGGCAGAGGCAAAAGTGTTGGCTCCCCACCTGACTTCTTTGTCCTCACCCCAATGGTGGTATTGGAAATCTTTGTACAGACTGCAGGGGTAGAAGTCTAGGCTCCCCACTCAGCTTTTGCTAGCATGAGTGAAGGTGAGCCACAGATTTTTGTGTAGCGCATGGCTGTGGTAGAGTGGCTATTTTCTGTAAGTTTTCTGTCTTGCTAGAATTCTTTTTTTGTTGTTGTTACTTGTCTAGGGAAAGCATGCTTTTTGACATTTAAAAAAATCTGTACCCATTGGCATGTTCATATTGTCAAATTCTTTTGATCCAAGTCAAGGATATATAGGATAAATGAAACTCCAGAAAACTCAGCGTCCTGTTATTCCTTGTTTCGTGGGTTCCTCGGTGCCTAGCCATCTTGCTGTCCTCTGTTCAAATTTCAGAATCTTATGTTTATTTTACATATAATGTCAAGGTTATTTGTGTTCATTGCAGGAGAAATAGGGGAAATTAGATTTTATCCATCTTCCTGGAATTAGAATTATGATGGTTGAATTTCTTTTTTTTTTTTTTTTTTTTTTTTTTTGAGATGGAGTCTCGCTCTGTCGCCCAGGCTGGAGTGCAGTGGCGCCATCTCGGCTCACTGCAAGCTCCGCCTCCCGGGTTCAGGCCATTCTCCTGCCTCAGCCTCCCGAGTAGCTGGGACCACAGGCGCCTGCCACCACGCCCGGCTAATTTTTTGCATTTTTTAGTACAGACGGGGTTTCACCGTGTTAGCCAGGATGGTCTCGATCTCCTGACCTCGTGATCCGCCCGCCTCGGCCTCCCAAAGTGCTGGGATTACAGGCATGAGCCACCGTGCCCGGCCCAATGGCTGAATTTCTAACAGAAATAATGAAAAACAGAAAGGAAAAGTGAAATCTTTAAAATAATAAAATACAATTTCAAGCCATAAGTCTATATTCAAAGAAAATACACTTTAAATAAACAGGTGAAATAAAGCTATTCACAGATAAACAACACTATAGTATTTACCACCTATAGTCCCATGATAAAATAATAATAATAATAATAGGAGTTCTTAAGATTTCAAGATAATAATTATAGGCAGGAAATACAAGTTGATGGCAATGTTCTACTTCAGGGTTGCTGGTTTCATAACATATTTAATAAAAACTATTTGAATGGCCAACATATTCTTAGAACAAATAAGTAACTATAGCAAGATTGTAGGCTACAAAATTAATTCACAAGGGTCAATCATGTATTCATATGTCTGAAATAAAAAACTAGAATTTGATACTAAAAACACAATGCCATTTATATTAGCACCTTTCAAAATGAAATACTTATGTATAAGTCCATCAAAATACGTGCAAAAAGTATATAAAGACAACCACAAAGCTCTCATAAATCAAAGAACTAAACTAATTGAGAAATAATCCATGTTTATTGATAGAGACTAAAAATTGTCAAAGAAATCATAAATGTTTGAAGTGATGGATATTCTAATTAACCTGATTTGCTCATTACATGTTTTATGCATATATCAAGATATCTCATGTGTCCCATAAACATGTACAATTATTATGAATCAATTAAAATATTTATTACACATGAAATTAAAAGCAATTAAAATCTCAGTAAGACAACAAACATTCCTTAAAAAATTATTGTTGTTTCAATAGTTTTGAGGGTACAGGTAGTTATGGATAAGTTCTTTAGTGGTGATTTTTGATATTTTGGTAAACCCGTCACCTGAGCAGTGTACACTGTATCCAATATTTAGCCTTTTAGCCCTTACTCTCCTCTCACCCTTCCCCTTTGAATCCCCAAAGTCTGTTTTATCATTCTTATGTCTTTGCATCCTCATGCCTTAACTCCCACTTATAAGTGAGAATACACAATATTTGGTTTTTCATTCCTGTGTTACTTCACTTAGAATAATGGCCTGCAGCTTCATCTAAATTGCTGGAAAAGACATTATTTTATTTCTTTTTATGGCTTAGTACTAATCCATGTTGTATACATACTACATTCTCTATATCCACTGGTTGGTTGATGGGTACTTAGGTAGTTCCATATTTTTGCATTTGCAAATTATGCTGTTATAAACATGTGAGTGCATGTGTCTTTTTCATATAATAACTTACTTTTCTTTTAGTAGATACCCAGTAGTGAGGTTGTTGGATCTAATGGTAATTCTACTTTTGGTTCTTCAATGAATCTCCACACTGTTTTCCATAGTGATTATACTAGTTTACAATCCCACCAGCAGTGTAAAAGTGTTCCCTTTCCACCACGTCCACCCCAACATCTATTATTTTTTAACTTTTTAATTCTGGCCATTCTTGCAAGAGTAAGGTGGTATCTCATTGTGGTTATAATTTACATCTCTCTGATATTTACTGATGTTGAGCATTTTTATATGTAAAACAAATATATTTTTAAGTGAGCAAATGATCTGGGTGGACACCTTACCAAAATATAAGTGGTGATATACAGATATCAAACATGCATATGCTCAACATCATGTGTTAGGGAATTGCAAATTCAAACAACTGTGAAAATTGCAACATTTTACTAGAACAGCTAAAATACAAAAAAACTAACAAAAATCTAATTATAATCAATGCTGTCAAGGATGTAGAGCAACAGGTACCTCATTCATTGCTGGTGGGAATGCAAAATGGTACAACCACTTTAAAAGAGATAGTTTGGCAGTTTCTTACAAGGCTACGCATAGTCTTACCATATGATCCAAAAATCACACCCCTAGGTATTTACCCAGTTGAGTTGAAAACTATTGTCTACACACAAAAAGTTTCATTTGAATGTTTATTTATTATCACCAAACACTGGAAGAAACAAAGATGTCTTTCACTAGATAAAGGATAACAAGCTGTGGCACAATCATACTAGGGAATTCTATTCAGTGATAAAAAGAAATGAGTTATTGAGTCAGAAAAAGACAAGGAAGATGCTTACATGCATATAGCTAAATGAGAGCAATCAATCTGAAAGGGCTACATATTGTATGATTCTAATTATAAGACATCTTAGAAATCATAAAAATATAGACAGAAAAAAAATCAGTGGTTGCTAGGGGTCAGTGGAGGGGAGTCCAGAATTTTTAGGGATGTGAAACCCAGAATGAATAGGTGAAGCCCAGAATTTTTAAGGAAGTGAAACTACTCTGTATAATATTGTAATGGTGTATACATGTCACACATTTGTCAAAACCCATAAAGTATACAACAGAATGAACCCCTAATGTAAACTGTAGATTTTAGTTAAATGCATCCATATTATGTTCATTAATTATAACAAAGGTACCATACTAATGCAGGAAGTTAGTAATAGGGAAAACATGAGGGGTGAGTATATGGAACTTTATGTGCTATCTTTTCAATTATTCTGTATATATATATATATATATATATATATATATACACACACACACATATATATATGTATATATACACATATATATGTATATATATATACACATACATATATATGTATATATATACATATATATGTGTATATATATATGTAACTACTAAAAAATAAAACCTGTTGATTATTTACAAAAAATATGTCAGTTATTCCCTCCTTTTTTAGACTCAACACAGTCACAATCAAAAAAGACTTCAACATGTTGAGTCAGAAACACCCACTTTTCTGTGGATGTTGACAAACTGATTCTAAAGTTTACATGGAGAGGCAAAAGACTCAGACTAGTCAACAAAATATTAAAAGATGAAAACGAAGTAAGAGAAATGACACTACCTAACTTCAGGAGTTACTATAAAGCTACAGTAACCAAGATAGTGTTCTATTGGTAAAATAATAAAAAGATATATTAATGAAATATAATAGAGATTCTAGAAATACACATACATATAGTCAAATAAGCTTCGACCAAAACAGTAAAGGCAATATAATGGAACACAACTAGTCTCTTCAACTAATAGTTCTGTAACAACTGACATCCACATGCAAAGAAAATAAATCTAGACATACATAGACTCAATACTTTTCACAAAGATAACTCAAAATGGATCAGAGACCAAAATGTAAAATGCAAAACTATAAAATTCCTAGAAGATATCAGGAGGAAATCTAGGTAATCTTGAGCATAATAATGACATTTTAGATATAACATCAGAAGTACAATTCATGAAAGAAATAAATAATAATCTGAACTTTATTAAAATTAAAAAGCTTCTGCTTCATGAAAAATATGGTCAAGATAATTAAAAGATAATAAACATGAAATAAAATTTAAAAGAAAGCCCCAGAATGAGATAAAATATTTGCAAAAGATACAGTTGATAAGACACTGCTATTAAAATATACAAAGAACCCTTAGAAGTCAACGCAGGGTGTAAGGAAGGGATCCAGTTTCAGCTTTCTACATATGGCTAGCCAGTTTCCCAGCACCATTTATTAAATAGGGAATCCTTTCCCCATTGCTTGTTTTTCTCAGGTTTGTCAAAGATCAGACAGTTGTAGATATGCGGCGTTATTTCTGAGGGCTCTGTTCTGTTCCATTGATCTATATCTCTGTTTTGGTACCAGTACTATGCTCTTTTGGTTACTGTAGCCTTGTAGTATAGTTTGAAGTCAGGTAGTGTGATGCCTCCAGCTTTGTTCTTTTGGCTTAGGATTGACTTGGCGATGCGGGCTCTTTTTTGGTTCCATATGAACTTTAAAGTAGTTTTTTCCAATTCTGTGAAGAAAGGCATTGGTAGCTTTATGGGGATGGCATTGAATCTGTAAATTACCTTGGACAGTATGGCCATTTTCACGATATTGATTCTTCCTACCCATGAGCATGGAATGTTCTTCCATTTGTTTGTATCCTCTTTTATTTCCTTGAGCAGCGGTTTGTAGTTCTCCTTGAAGAGGTCCTTCACATCCCTTGTAAGTTGGATTCCTAGGTATTTTATTCTCTTGGAAGCAATTGTGAATGGGAGTTCACTCATGATTTGGCTCTCTGTTTGTCTGTTGTTGGTGTAAAGGAATGCTTGTGATTTTTGCACATTGATTTTGTATCCTGAGACTTTGCTGAAGTTACTTATCAGCTTAAGGAGATTTTGGGCTGAGACGATGGGGTTTTCTAGATATACAATCATGTCATCTGCAAACAGGGACAATTTGACTTCCTCTTTTCCTAATTGAATACCCTTTATTTCCTTCTCCTGCCTAATTGCCCTGGCCAGAACTTCCAACACTATGTTGAATAGGAGTGGTGAGAGAGGGCATCCCTGTCTTGTGCCAGTTTTCGAAGGGAATGCTTCCAGTTTTTGCCCATTCAGTATGATATTGCCTGTGGGTTGGTCATAGATAGCTCTTATTATTTTGAAATACGTCCCATCAATACCTAATTTATTGAGAGTTTTTAGCATGAAGGGTTGTTGAATTTTGTCAAAGGCCTTTTCTGCATCTATTGAGATAATCATGTGGTTTTTGTCTTTGGCTCTGTTTATATGCTGGATTACATTTATTGATTTGCGTATATTGAACCAGCCTTGCTTGCATCCCAGGGATGAAGCCCACTTGATCATGCTGGATAAGCTTTTTGATGTGCTGCTGGATTCGGTTTGCCAGTATTACAAAAATCAATTCAAGATGGATTAAAGACTTAAATGTTAGACCTAAAACCATAAAAACCCTAGAAGAAAACCTAGGCATTACCATTCAGGACATAGGCATGGGCAAGGACTTCATGTCTAAAACACCAAAAGCAATGGCAACAAAAGTCAAAATTGACAAATGGGATCTAATTAAACTAAAGAGCTTCTGCACAGCAACAGAAACTACCATCAGAGTGAACAGGCAACCTACAAAATGGGAGAAAATTTTCGCAACCTACTCATCTGACAAAGGGCTAATATCCAGAATCTACAATGAACTCAAACAAATTTACAAGAAAAAAACAAACAACCCCATCAAAAAGTGGGCAAAGGACATGAACAGACACTTCTCAAAAGAAGACATTTATGCAGCCAAAAAACACATGAAAAAATGCTCATCATCACTGGCCATCAGAGAAATGCAAATCAAAACCACAATGAGATACCATCTCACACCAGTTAGAATGGCGATCATTAAAAAGTCAGGAAACAACAGGTGCTGGAGAGGATGTGGAGAAATAGGAACACTTTTACACTGTTGGTGGGACTGTAAACTAGTTCAACCATTGTGGAAGTCGGTGTGGCGATTCCTCAGTGATCTAGAACTAGAAATACCATTTGACCCAGCCATCCCATTACTGGGTATATACCCAAAGGACTATAAATCATGCTGCTATAAAGACACAGGCACACGTATGTTTATTGCGGCATTATTCACAATAGCAAAGACTTGGAACCAAGCCAAATGTCCAACAATGATAGACTGGATTAAGAAAATGTGGCACATATACACCATGGAATATTATGCAGCCATAAAAAATGATGAGTTCATGTCCTTTGTAGGGACATGGATGAAATTGGAAATCATCATTGTCAGTAAACTATCGCAAGAACAAAAAACCAAACACCGCATATTCTCACTCATAGGTGGGAATTGAACAATGAGATCACATGGACACAGGAAGGGGAACATCACACTCTGGGGCCTGTTGTGGGGTGGGGGGAGGGGGGAGGGATAGCAGTGGGAGATATACCTAATGCTAGATGACGAGTTAGTGGGTGCAGCACACCAGCATGGCACATGTATACGTATGTAACTAACCTGCACAATGTGCACATGTACCCTAAAACTTAAAGTAAAAAAAAATTAAAAAAAAAAAAGAAGTCAACTCTGGGAAAACAAACAACTTGATTAACATATGGACACAGATTTGAACAGACACCTCACTGAAGAAGACATGCAAATGCTAAATAAGCATATTTTTTATATGCTTAACATAATACATCATTTGGAGAAATGCAAATTAAAACAAAAATGTGATACCACTACACATCATTATAATGGTCAAAATCTGAAACACTGACAAGCAAATGCTGGTGAGGATGTGGAGCAACAGAAACTCTCATTCATTGTTGACGGGAATATAAAATGATATAGTCATTTTGGAAGGTGCTTTGGCGGTTTCTTATAAAACTAAACACGCTAACCATACAATTCACACAAAAACTTACACACAGATGTTTATAGCAGCTTTATTCATAATTGCCAAAACTTGGAGTCAACTAAAATGACTTTCAATAGATGAATGGATAAACTGGTAAATCCAGAGAGTGAAATATTAAATACTAAAAAGAAATGAGATATAAACCCATGAAAAGACAGAGAACTTAAATGCATGTTACTAACTGAAAGAAGCCAATTTGAGATAGCTAAATTCTCTATTATTCCAACTATATGACACTCTGGAAAAGCCAAAACTATGAAGACAATAAAAAAAATCAATGATTGCCAGGGGTTAGGGGAAGGGGACATGAGTTGGTGGAGCACAGATAATTTCTCCAGCACTGAAACTATTCTGTATAATATTATAATAGTAGATACATGCCATCAGGCATTTGTCAAAACCCATAGAATGCATAACAACAAGAGTGAACCCCATTGTAAACTATGGATATTTTGTGATAATGATGAGTCAATGTAAGTTTTTCTGTTATAACAAGTACACCAGTTCATTGCAAGCTATTGATAGTCGGGGACGCTATGCATGTGTGGAGGTAAGGAGTGTTTAGGAATTCTCTGTACCCTCTGCTCAGTTTTGCTGTGAACATGTAACTGCTCTAAAAAAATGAAAATTATTTTAACTGCATATTTTATGCAATTATCTGTATGTGTAATTATCATGCTTGGTTAACAAAACATAAAAGTGGACCAAAAATTTGAACAAGGACTTCCTCAATGAACATGTTCAAAAGGATAGTAAATACATGTAAAGATAATCAAGTTTATTAGTTATGAGTCAAGAGTAAATCAAACAAGATAGAAACACTACTGCACATCCTCCAGAACAATGAAAATAATCTACAGACACTGCCAAATATTGGTGAAGTACAGGTCAACTCCAACTTTTGTATGTTGCTGGTGAAAGTAAAATTTAGTAAACTTCTTTGGAATACCATTTGGCACCAACTACTAAAGTTGAATATGGGCATATCCTAACCCACACCAATTCCACGTGTATGTGTATGTACGAGTTTATTTATGTATCCATGATTACCAGATACATGTGCTCGAAGGGTCATAACAGCACTTTTATGATATTCACAAACTGGAAACCACTCAAATGTCCCTCAGCAATTGAATGGTTAAATTAATCATGGTATGGTCTTACAATGGAATACCGTAAAGCAATGAGAATGAACAAATTATGCACATAAATATGCATAAATATCATAGAATAATGTAAGCTGAAGAAGCCAGTTGCAAAACTGTACACATTGTCAAGTTCAAAAAGAGTTAAAGCTAATCCATTATGTCAGAAGTAAAGATAAGGGGCCTAGCAGAGACTTCTAGAGTACGGTAACGTTCTCTTTTGTGATCTGAGTGCTGGCTTCATAGGGATGTTCACTTTAAGAAAATGTTTCAAGCTGTGCACTTACAATTTTTACTTTCTTATGCAGGCATATTATGTATTCATTAGAATAAGGTAAAATAAAATTCATAAGAGAATGTACTTGTATGCCATTGGGAAATTTTGATAAGAGAAAATGTCTTTTGGGGAAGAAAAATGTAGAAGTAGAGATATTTTCTTGACTAAAACTATGAAAGTTTTTTTTCCTGTTGTTTGTTTGATGTTATTGTTGTCTTAATATAATAATTTCTAGATAAAAGTTACTAGCAAATATGTTAGGAATGTATATATTTCAGTACAGTGGGCAAAAAAACATGTTCTGATGACTTCTAATGATTTTCTGATAAAGAACTGGTTTTTCACGTTGTGGAAATTTAGTGATCAGAAAGAGGTCAACATGTCTGAAATACTTTAGTGATGGATTTTGATTCATTTTAAATAAAAGAGATCACTAAAATTTTTAGTCATAGAACATTAATAGAATTCATTGGCACTTCGAAGACAGCCATAATGCTGTCATTGAAACCCCCATTAGTAGCTTCAAGGATATTGAGGTGACATGGTGATCCAGGTGACATTTGAAAGTTGCTTTTTCCTTTCCTGCAGGAAGATAAGGCACTAGTGCTCAGGGAGTATAGTATGGTTTGAATTAAGAAGTCTAAATGCCGAGAAGAGAATCCAAATCTGAAATTTCCAAATGACAGCTTAGATACTAAGTGCCAAATTTTATCCCTCTTATGCTGTGCTACTGAAAGACAAGAAAAACTAGATCTCAACAAAGGGACTTTTCAGGCTATCTCTAGTGATTCAAATCAAGAAATCTATTCACACTGGGGGCCATTAAACCAAATGCTGCCTGCTAGGCCATGAATTGGCTAATGCCAGAACCATTTGTACACATATCAGAACAACTGGTTGTGCTTCACCACTCTGGATTTGGAGAAATGGGCTAGAAGAAGGTGCTAGTTTGACTTGCTATATTTATGGGATCATAATATTTTCATTAACTATGTGAGTGTAATTCAGTGAATGTGTTAACACTTGGAAACATCTGAATCACATTAAGGGATAAAGTGCAGGCTCAGCATAGACTAAGATTGCCAGTTGCCAGCATATCCAGATTACTTTGAAAAAAAAATCGATACCATGCCTGAATACCTCCAAACATCTGGATATTCATAAATAGATGTAGGCACAACCTTATGTTTTGCCATCATATACAATTTGATGACACTGACGGATTAATCCTGATCATTATTCCTTGGGAACATTGACTAAGAAACATTATGATTTCATCATTGTAACATGGATTTTTATTGTGTTTTTTTATTTTTCAGAATATTATCATATGCACTATTTTAAATGCTGTATATGAAACCTTTTTTAATTAAGCAGAGATTTGTTTGTCTTACAAGGAGGTGAAAGAATAAGGGTAATTGACTCCATTAAGATCATAGTTGGTTATGTACAGATGAGAATCATTTTAATAAATATTCACGTTTACTTCCTGAAACTATAATACTTTGGAACTGAATATAATGTATAGGAGTTGTGGAGTCATGTATTTATTGAAACAGCAAACACAATAGTACATTTGGATGTGTTCTGACTTCTAAGAGATTATTACCATGATTCTCTTTCTGAGATTACACTGTAAGGAATATTCCATCCACACACTTAAATAACATTTCTATAGAATTAAAATAAGGGAGTTTTTGAACAAGAAAACCCTTGTATTCATTTCTTGATCAATGATGAGAGAAAAGCTCAAAAAAGCTTTGTAACCTGCTTGAAGCCACTTGATAACTTGGAGCCGGTATTAGAACTAGTTTAGTAATTTGGGTTAGCCATCATTCCCAGAGAGTGCACACTGACTTCTTTGTCTAAAGACAAAAAAGAAAAGAAATCCTACATAAAAAGAATGAGATGCTTCTTAAAAATTATTAATGACTGTATTTGTGTTGACATTTTGCCAAGATTATTAGAATTTTAGTCACATTTGGAATTTTGAAAAATTTTTGATAGTTTCTTTGCTTCTGTCCATCTGAACAGCAACCTTGCAATAATAACACTATTTTGTCTTTTCAAACAGGAGGCAGGGCCAGAAGCACCTTAATCTAGAAGGAGCATTTGTTGTAATAATTTAGGGATAAAATTTATGTTTTTTCTCTATAAATCTTAACCAAATTGCTTCAGTTTTAGTCATCCCTCATGATGCTAATTTTGTAAACTTTGTAACTTTTCCATTTATATAAACATTTTTACTTAAAATAAAATTCCTCCATGAGATATGAATTTGATTTTAGTGCATACATAAGTAATGTGTAAAAAAATATTTAAACCTCAGGGACAAGTTAATGTGAAGAGCAAAATTATAAGAAATGAAAAAAGTTCCTGATTGCAAAGTAAAGCAGTATCTGTACCTTGGAGTGCTTAACAAAACTCTACTTGTTATAAATCAATACTGTATTTTTCAATACATATTTTATTACTCTGCATATATAAATATGTAGTATATATATTAATCTTTGTAATCCTTTCCTACTCAGTTTAATTAGTTGCCCTGGTATTTATGGGTGAATATTATCAATCCAATACTAGTAATTGCATAATCTATAAAATAATATGACATGTTTTTAGGCCCATGAAATTAATTGATGCCAAATGAAAATATTTGTGTGGCTTAGCATTGTTTATTAATCAAAGTGCAGCCAATGAACTTCAGTTTCTTCTTACCTCTTTTCTACAGTGTATTCATTTATTTTTCCACAGGAATATTAGCACAAGAGAATCCCCACGCTGATTCTCTCTTTATTGACACAATAAACGGGTTTTTCCTACTGATTACCCATAAGACTAGTTCAAATAAGGTGACACTTCTTACTTTCTCAAACATTTTCACTTTAATAAAATTAAATATATGTTGCTATTTTGATATTTTTAATGTATATGAAGATCTTTTTATAGCTGTTTTTGAAATGTTCAGCTTCAACTTTACTTAATTTCTTAAATGAGTTGATTTCTCATTGGAATCACAATTGGAAAAACACACTATCTTTTGTTGATTTTTGTCTGTGTACATGTATATGCCCTTGGGTGTATATCTGCATTCATATTACTTTTTGACTTTTTTTAGTTACAGAGTCTTGCTCTGTTGCCCAGGCTGGAGTGCAGTGGTGCCATCATAACTGACTGCAACCTCAAACTCATGGGCTTAAGCAATCTTCTCAACTCAGCCTCCTGAGTAGCTGGGACTACAGCTATAGGTGCTTACCACTGGATCTGGCTAATTATTATTAGTTTTTTATTTTATTTTATTTTTTACTTTTTGTAGATGCAGGTCTCACTGGATTGCCCAGGCTGGTCTTGAACTCCTGGCCTCAAGCAATCCCCCTGCCTTAACCTGAAGCCCTGGGATTACTCTGCCTTTATTACATTAAGAAAAATACACATAAGGTGCTGCTGTTTTTGTAGAGGTACAGGTATATAAACTCTTGTGGTTTTGCATGCTACCAGGCTTGATAACTAGATTACTTGCCTTATTCCTGTCAGCAATTACAATTTCTGACTATAGACCTTAATTTCTCTGAATTTCATGTGGCCCTTTTTTTTCTACATTATGATCTTGACTTCATTCTCATTTTTTAAAAAACTTATATTTATTTACTAACTTTTGCCATGATTCAGAGTAAATTTATTAGTACGCACATTTTAATTTTAAAAGCCATGCACACACAAATGTTTCACATTGATAATAAAAAGGGAGGGACCCAGAAAGCCTGCCCTTGCAGGCAGGACTTACTCTGTCTCAGAACATGATATAATTTGTAACACTGCATCTGATATGATTCTGACAAAATATAGATCGTAGACTTTCTAAGCGACTTTGGCTGTTCTCAATGCTTCCTTTCACAAGGAATAGTTACTAATGTCTAATTATCAGTAAATCAATAGGTGTTTGCATCTTATTAACTCCTACACAAAGCAATTATTTAGGTATGTGAATCTCACATGGGTCCATCTCTCTGCTAGTGAGCTTATTTTTTAGTAGAGGTAAACCTGTGCAGTATTCTTCTGGCTATCAGCTTAAACACCACTTAATTAATTTTCGTCAGAAAGTAGATTAACTGTAGGGTTAGAAAAGTGATTATTTGATTATCATGAATCAACATGTTTTGGCACTGTTACTCCTTGTCAGGAATAAGAAGTTGACTGATTTGAGGCAGGCTAGATTTTGCTTCTTAGGGCCAAAATAAACAAACAAAAAGATCAATGAAAATGTGATGGAATTATCTGGGTTTTGTAGATTTTTAAATATTAGCTACTTACAAATGTTTTGGATGCTTGTCTAATCACCTTTTTTATACTCTGAATTTATAAGGAATCACTTTAGCATGTTAAAACTCGTAATGTTAAAGCTGAAAATGGCTGCTACTATTTTTTTCATGTATATGTATCTATTTACTTTGGAGATATCTGGGGATATTTACTCGTAGGATACCCACTGGCCTCCCATAAAGTGCAAAGAATCAGTAAACACTGAAACAATTACTGTGTAAGTGTTGGACCAAATATGCTAAAATATTGATTACTCTGGTGGTTTTTATAACAGAGGATTCAATATGGCCATTTTGAATATATTAAAATTTAATAACTACAGCTTATCAGTTGAAATGCTGTTGGTGATTCATTAGTGTGGATTCAGCCACACATTCGGAAAATACTTAAAGCTTAGAAAAACATACAAAAAATATGATACTGATATATATCAACCATAGAAATTTAATATGTTTCATCATGTTGTAATAGTTTTTTAGGTCATTTTTGTTTTAAAAGATAAATACTTAATATTCTTTCTTTGTATCCTAATTTTGTCTTTCCCTTGCAAGAGATAACAATTATCCTCAAGCAGATGGATGTGTGTGTCTCACAATTTGTGACTTTATAGGTAGGCATCTTCAACATCACATGCGTGTGCTGCGTTTTACGTACTTGTAGTTGACTTCATTCTGTATGTAATATTTCAAAATTAGCTTTTCTTCACGAGTTTTGTTTTTGAGATGTAAACATATGTGATACACATAGATCTAGTTAACTTTAGAATTTTACTGTATGACTTGTGATAATGTATTTATTTAATATTTAGTATCCATATGATGCAGTATGTTTGATCTTTTCAGTTATTCACTGGTGCACATATGCTATTAAAGGTGAATATTTTTCTAGTGTATTTACTTGGAAATTAAAATTTTTGGTAGTAAGGTTTGTATATCTTTGTCCTTACCAGACTCAAAGCATGGATTCTATTTTTGCTCAGATTAAGAATTAAAATACTGAAAATGTATCAGTAACTTTTATTGGACAGAAAAATGCACTATGTCATTTAAAAAGAAACAAATCATATAAAACTAAAATCATTTCAAAAGCTTCAGTCTAATGTTCATGGTTTCTGCCATAAGGCACATTCATTGAAACCAGATTCACCCTGAATCTGTTTTATTCTAAGCAATAGAAGTGTCTTTTGCTCAAGAGGGTGGGTGTTTCCACCTAAAACATGGGGAAGATCACATTATCAATCAATCAATCCTAGAGGGAATTTTCAGCAGAGACAAATCTAGAAGGAGGTCCTCACCCCATTAATGCCAGTGAAATGCCACCCTCGCTATCACACTTTTGGTCTTCATCAATTTGTAAAGCTGGACCCGTGGTATCCTTTCTAGCTTTAGAAAATGCAAGTGTAACATGCTTTATATTCTGAGTCCATTTGGATCTTTCTGACTGTCTTAAAAGTCAGCATCTTTGCCAAGAGAACATAGACAACTTAGGTACCTAATATACACATCATCTAATGTTAAGCTACATAGTAAAAAAATAAATTTTAATCTTGTTGATTTTGAAAGTTTTAACTGGTTGTACACATGTCCCCCAATTGCATTTTTCTTCTTAGCTCAGGCTATTGTGCAGGCCTTTCTCTCCAGGTTTCTATACTTATACTTTAGTGTCAGGGAGGCTCACTTGCAACCTGTTTCATTTCCTCAAGCACATCCAGAAAATAATATAGTCTGAAATGAAATTGCCCAAATTTTCTGTTCCAAGAGTTTTAATAGAGAAAGAGATACAAGAAAAAAATAGTGTTCACATTTGAAGACAGGTCTTATGTATTAATCTTTCATGTATCACTGGCAGCATACTCTATGCAAATCTGGACTCCCATTAGAAGGGCCACTGTATGGAATCCACTAAAGTGAATTGATTTAACAATAGATAAAGCCTCCTATCTCACTCTCCTGCATCCAGCCTCTTCTATCCCACATCTCACTTGCTGCCAGGATTCTCCCCAAAACAGAAATACGATCACACCAAGCCCTAGCTAATCCTCCAATTCACAAATCTGGTTCTAGCCGATACTAGAATCTCTCTTTTTTTTTTTTTTTTTTTTTTTGAGACGGAGCCTCGCTCTGTCGCCCAGGCTGGAGTGCAGTGGCACCATCTGGCTCACTGCAAGCTCCGCCTCCCGTATTCACGCCATTCTCCTGCCTCAGCCTCCGGAGTAGCTGGGACTACAGGAGCCCGCCACCACGCCCGGCTAATTTTTTGTATTTTTAGTAGAGACGAGGTTTCACCGTGTTAGCCAGGATGGCCTTGATCTCCTGACCTCGTGATCTGCCCGCCTCGGCCTCCCAAAGTGCTGGGATTACAGGCGTGAGCCGCCGCGCCTGGCCGCCTATATCAGCATCTTAAACTGTTCGTTCCTTTTCCGTTTTTATTCTTCTCTCCTCACTATAAACTTTACACTTTTGAACTTTAATTTTGAGTTATTCGTAAGGCTCTGCACAAGACATGCTTCCTCACAATGTCTATTCCTTGGGACATACGCCTTCTCCTGCCTGGAATGCCCCTGCACTCCTCTATCTAGCAACTCCCTTCTAATCCTGTAAGAGAAAGTTCTGATATCACTTTTTCTATGAAGGCTATGTGGTAGCTCTCTGCGGGTAGAATTAATCTCTTGACTATGACTTTTTTTTTTTAACCCTGTAATGCCTAACCTGGTTTTTACTAACTCTGTTTTTAGACTCTCCCTTTCATCACCTAGCCTTGTTTCCACCTGAATTGACTCTCCCTTAGCTAAGAGAGCCAGACAGACTCCATCTTGGCTCTTTCACTGGCAGCCCCTTCCTCAAGGACTTAACTTGTGCAAGCTGACTCCCAGCACATCCAAGAATGCAATTAACTGATAAGATACTGTGGCAAGCTATATCCGATATTCCCAGGAATTCGTCTGATTGATAACACCCAAAGCCTCCAGTCTATGACCTTGTAATAGTCTTAAAGCCCCTGCACCTGGAACTGTTTACCTTCCTGTAACCATTTATCCTTTTAACTTTTTGCCTACTTTATTTCTGTAAAATTGTTTTAACTAGACACCCCCCCCATTCCTAAACCAAAGTATAAAAGTTAATCAAGCCCCTTCCTCGGGGCTGAGAGAATTTTGAGCGTTAGCCGTCTCTTGGTCGCCGGCTAATAAAGGACTCTTAATTCGTCTCAAAGTGTGGCGTTTTTCTAACTCGCTCAGGTACAACAACTCCAGGATTCTGAGCTTCAAAGGTGGCTTATTTAACAAAATATAATTCTAAAACATTAAGAAACAGTGATTATACCTAATTTTATCTTTGTAAATTTGAGATGCTCAATATATATATTATATATATGTGCTCAATGTATTGATGACGTTTCTAATGTTTATTATTTGTTTTATGTTCATTAAACAAACATTTATGCAAAACATACCATCTGCAAGTTGTGTTCTACTTGATGGGAATATAATTTTCAGTTGCTTTTTCTTCCCCAAAGAATTGGGAATTTTTTATCTTCCCCCTGTATTATTATTGCCTGTTCTTTGAGTCTCTGGGTCACAGGATATATCTATGACTAGAGGACATGGTAAAACTAAGTGGCCTCTTCTGGAACTGAACTAGTGACAGGCACATCTTTGGGGCACTATCCTAAACAACTACAGTGACAATATTTCCATCAGTAAACTGTGAATGCATAAAATTTATGAAATAATTATCTAGTTTACTTCCTAAACTCAAGGAAAATCACTTGAATGGATCACATTTTGAGGGTAATAGTAATCCTGGAAAATTGGATCCCAGCCATTGAAGACCTAGTGCTGCTCTAGCTACTACATTTCACCTCACACTGAAATTTAGCCTTGCCTTTTATAGGATCTCCAAATACCACACAAACATATTTATGACAGCAGAGAATGCAGCTAACTTTCTCCAAACACTTGTACCAGAGATCCTTCCATTTGCAGGGGGCTAAAAATCCACACACAACAGCAAAACTTTTCAAATCATGTTGTCTTGGACAGACTACAAAGACCTCATCACAGTTCCCTTGTCATTTTTCTCCTTTTAGGAAATATAACTTTAAACTACTTTTGAATTATGTGAGAGGAGATAGTGTATATTTTCTAGTTTAAAAGCAATTTAAGGTAGAGTTCTCTGGCACAAAGGCAATTCAAAAATAACTGAAGCTTAAGAGTTGAAACTCCCCCTTGTCTGGTGTATATATTGAAGAGAGTTATTAGCAATCAGAGCTGTTTTCAAATGCTCTGTGCAAAGTTGCGTAAGTGTTTACTTTTATAAATATTTTTCAGGCAATGGGCGTGCCAAATTGAGGGTACTATTTGTTCAGTTAGAAAATCGAGTGATGATCCATTGGGTGCCATTTTAATTGTTAGGTCCTTTCAAATAACTAGAGGGGGAAGACCCTTAAATGCAAACAAAATAATGAAGTAAGGGCATCGTGTTACTTCATGTGAAATGTCATTCTGATGGTACCTTACTTGAGAGTCATTAAAATTCAGTGCTTGGTGTGAGAAACATTTTAGAATAACATAAAGATAAATTCTTTGGACCCAGAAAGACCTTGTTTCAAATCCTGTTTTCAACTTTTTTTTTTATTTACCTTGGCAAGTTCCTCAACCTACTATGCCTCAGTTTACTTATATCTAAAATATATGTATACCCATAATTATACCTTTCAAAGGCAGGGACCCATTTTTATTGAAATTATTCTTCCATATTCCCCCACCCCAAAATTAATTCATAGTTTTTAGAACATAAAGTGCCTTCCACATTAGAAATGAGGTTCATAAGAAATATTAGAAAATATTTTGACATTTTAAAAGATTTTGTGTCTTTCATAAGGTGATAAAATAACCGTTAGGTTTTGAATTTCTATAGCATATAGAGAAATAATTTACAGCAAAATATCATGCCCCAATTTCTCAACAAACTCTCAACCAAGAGACATAATAGTGTACCTTATGTGGGCATCTCTGCATATAACCTTAAGATTCAATTAGTTCTTAAGGAGCAAGACAAAATTACTCTATGCAAATGTCAAGGTGGCTCTCTTTAAGAAAACCTTAACATTTAAGGTTTCAGATCACTTTTAAGAACAGGAAGCATCAAATACGTGCTGTATCACTCTGAAAAAAGGTGAAGTCATATGCATCAAGATAAGAAAAGATGATAATCAATTAGAATGAAAAACACACACATACCTAGATGAAGGTAGCTGGAGACTTATTAGGAAAATGAGTGGCTGTGTATGTAAATGAGGAAAAATAAATTAATGAGATGGATCTCCAATCAGAGATGCCACCAGAACTGTCAGTCTGGAAAACATAGCTGAAGCATATCTTAAAATGGCATACCTAAAAACAGGCTGCTTAAGAAATTATATTTATTAAAACATTTGTTCTATATATGTCACAATTTGAAAGATCTGAAACTTAAGACTTATGCTCAATTATAAAGTAAACCTTGAGTTTAATATTATCTTTGTAGTCAGCAGGGGAAAAATATCATAGTGATTTCCTTGAGGAACACTTTGCCTCTCTCTGCTTTTATCTGCCGCTGATCCTAAAACCACAATTTGGGCACCCATTGAGTAAAACGTTTGCTCAACTTTAATTTTTCAGTCAGAATTGTGTAAGCTGAAACAGTTGAAATGACTGTGGTATGGGTTATTGTTTGTGTTGTTAATCATAGGTCCCCTTCAATTAGGGCACGAACAAGATTTTTTTTTTCTTTTGAATTGATGTGCATGGTCTGCCTCTGTGGGCTTCGTCTTCAACATCAACTCCTTCCTTCTTTAATGAGTTATCTATTCATAAATTGCTAATTTCTTGAGGTATTTTCACCATAAACTTTCATAAAGCATCAATGATTTTATGATTCTTCCACGCTAGCTTCACCAAAAATTTAACATTTGTTCTTGTTTCAATTTTAGCAGAATTCATGTTGCTCTGATAGGGACTCTTTTCAAACTGATGTCTTACCCTTCTTAGTGCCTCCAGCTAGTTTCTTTTCATGACATGTCATAACAAGTTAGTAGAAGTTTATTTTGGTGCAAAACATTTCTGAAATCCAGGCATAGCTTTTTAATAATATGCATTTTCCATGAACCTTTTGAAGTCCCTTTATTCAATTGCTTGGAACTCAGGCCTGTGATTAAAGACACAGCAAGTGTCACTGGGAAATATAGTCTATTTGTGGTCAGAAAAAGAAGATAAAATTAGTTTGGTGTCCAGCTAACTATTTCTGCTATACAAAGCAAAATGTTCCTTTGCAGTGGGCTACAATCATGCCACTCCATTCCAGCCTGTGTGAGAGAGCGAGACTCTGCCTCGAAAATAAATAACAAAATAAAAATACAGTTGTGTACATGAGAAGTAAACATCTATCATATTTAAGTCATTACACATTTTTAGTTTGTCTGCTACAAGAGCTTTTACTGCTTCATTGTTAAGAATAATTTATATGTATAGAAATACGCACCCAAATATGATTTAGAAATTTCCATAATCTGAAATAGGTTCCTTATAAATTTGTCTAGTCAGTCACCCATCCTCCTTATAGGCAATACATTAGTTATATGTATATTAGAAATTCACACAAATAAAACTGTGCAGCACATACCATTTTGGTTTGGCTTCTTTTGTAAATATTAGGTTTGTGAGAGTCATCCATGTTGTAGAGAAAGAAGTAATACATTCTTTTTTATTGTTGAGTTATAGTAACCATATTAAAATTGCCTACCCATTTTCCTGTTTATAGATATTTGGATTATTTTAAGATTAGGCTATTATGAACAAAAGTGCTATGAGTATTCTTGTATAAGTCTTTTGTGAACATGTATTTTCATTTCTCCTAGGTAAATACCTAATAGTAGAATGTCGGAGTCATAAGAAAGATACATGTTTTGATTTTGATTTTTTTCTTGTAAAATGTTGCCACAATTTTGTAACAGATTTATTGTATTATAGTCAAATTCCACCAGTAATGTAGAAGATTTTCATGTTTTCCATACCCTCATCAAAACTTGGTAATAATCACTTTAATGTATCCATTCTAGCTCATATAGGTATCTCATTGTTGTTTTAACTGCACTTTCCTGATGATTACAAATATTTAAAATCTTTTATACTGCTTAAAGTTTATCTTATTTTGTGTATAATAATATTTAAAGCATATGTTTTCAAATTTTTGCCCATTTTTTAATTGGTCTGTTTGTCTTTCCATTGAGTTTTAGGTGTTTTTTATATATTTTGGATATAAGTTCTCTGTAAGAATATGCACTGAAAATAGTTTCCAATATATAGCTCATCTTTTATACCTCTTAAGGATGTCCTTTAATGAACAAAAAAATTCTCAATTTTACTGAAGTCTAATCTGTCAATTCTTACGTTTTGTTTTTGAGTCATAAGAAATTTCTGTCTAACCAAAGACTATATTTATCTGTAATAAATATATTTATATTTTTACTGTAGGTAATGATATACACACTATATTTACCTATAGTATATAGCATTTACTATGCCATATTTACCCATGGTATATAGTATTTACTATACTATATTTACCTATAGTAAATACATTTGCAGCCTTTGTTGGAAATTTCTAGAAGTTATATAGCATTACATTTTACACTTAAGTTTATGTTCTATTTCAAATTGACTTTTGTGTACTGTGTAGGTACAATAGAGGTTACTTTTTTTTATTCTCAAAAGAATTATCCAGAATTAATAATCCAGAATGATTTATTGAAAAGAACTTCTTTACCCTATTTCATGTTTTTGATACCTTCCTAAAAGATAAATTTATCATGTAAGTGTGGGTCTATTTCTGGACTCTACATTCTGCTACATTAGTATAAAACCAATACCACACTGTTTCAATTACTATAATTTAACATAAATTCAATTCATATCCTGGTACTCTTTTTAGTGATTATTTTTGCTATTCTAGGTTCTTTATATTTCTAATAAATTTACAATCTAATTGTGAATTTGTATTAAAAATAGCTTGCAATGATTTTAAATGAAGTTGTGATGAATCTATAGATCAAATTTGGAAAAAGTCCACTTAACAAAATCGAGTCTTTCAATTTGTATTTAGTTCTCATTTCATTTACTCCAGACCATTTTCATAAAATTTTAATTTTATGGTCTTATATTCTTTTAATTAAATTGCCCCTAGTATTTTATGGTGTTGATACTATTATGAATGGTATTTTTAAAAATTTTCCAATTACACATTACTAGTGCCTAAGAAGACAATTTTTACATACAACTCACCCTTGAACAACACAGGTTTGAACTGCACAGGTGCACTTATATGTGGATTTATTTTTAGTAACTATACTGAAAACCTTTTTGGAGATTTGTGACAATTTGAAAAAACCATCAGAAACACTAAATAGCCTAGAAATACGAAAAAAAGAAAGAGAGATGTCATGAATGCATAATATATATATAGATATTAGTCTTTTAAAATCATTTACTACCATCAAATATACACAAATATATTATAAAAAGTAAAAATGTATCAAAAAGCACCAAAACATAGACTATACATGGCATGGTGCCGTCTATGTGGAGAGAAATTTAAACAGAGGTAAGGATGAGTATTAAGTCATAATTGCATAAAATTAACTGTAGTACACACTGTACTATTGTAATAATTTGGTGGCCACCTCTTGTTGCCATTCCAATGAGCTCAAGTGTTGGAAGTATCTCTTGTATGAGGCTACTCATCTCTGTGTGGACAGTTTTCCTTCCAGTAAATTGTATCACAGCGAAACGTGATCTCTCTAGTGGTTCTCTGTGTTTTTCACACTGCTTGGTGCAATATCCATGAATGTTGAATAACACTGTGGGACACACACAAAAGTTCTACTAGTGATGCTGGAAGGGCTCCCAGGAAGCACTCTTAACATTACAGAAAAAAGTAGAACACTTGATATACACAGTAGATTAAGGTCTGCAGCCTACCACTAAGATGGATGATTCCTCTTGTAAACAGAATGTGTAAATTTACAGAATGGGTAGTATAGTACAGTCCTGTAAATGAACTTTCCTTCCTTATGATTTGCTTAATAATTTTTTCTTTGCTGTAACTTACTCTTTTTGTAAAAATACAGTATATAATACACATACAAAATACATATTAATCGACTGTTTATGTTATCAGTAATGTTTCTGGTCAACAGTAGGCTATTAGGAGATGAGTGTTGGAGGAGTCAAAAATTACACATGAGCTTTTGACTGTGTGGGGAGCCAATGTCACTAACCCCTGCGTTGTTCAAGGGTCAACTATATAAACTTTATTTCTGTGACCTTGCTAAAGCATCCTATGTAACTTATGGTAGATTTTTGTTTATTCCTTTGAATTTTAATGTTAATAATCATGCCAACTCTGCTTGAAGAGTTTTATATTTGTTCTTTTCAATCTTCAAACCTTTTTGTATTGTTTTGTTTGGTTGTATCATATGAGATTATTTTCCAGCACAAGATTGAATAGAAATGGTGAAGGGAGAGATTCTTGTCTTCTTCCTTTGCTTAGGGAAGAAGCCTTTAATGTTTCACCATTATACTTGATACTTGTAGGCTATTTGTAGATGCTCTTCAATAGATAACACAAAATGGCCTTTTTATTCCTAGCTTGCAGCAAGTTTTTTTCAAGAGTGTGTTGAAATTTTATCAAAGGACTTTTCTGTATTTATTGAGATGATTGCATAATTTCTTCTGATTTTTAATATTAAACTACCTTTCTTAGGATAAAATCTGCTTCTTCATGATATATCAGCCTCTTATGTATAGACGGATTTGATTTGCTAATATTTTGTGGAAGGTTTTATATCCAGGTACACAAGACATAGTAATTTTTAATTTTATGTATTTGTCAAATTTTTATATTAAGGTTATTCTGACCTGATTAAAAACATTGGAAATCTTTGCTTCTTTATATTCTGACAGTTTGATAACACTCAATGTTTTTTCTTAACTGTTTCTAGAAGACACACTAGGCCTAGCGTTCTTTTCTTCTGTCTTCTTTTTTGTTGTTGTTGTGTCATTATGTTTGTACACGTAGCATAATATTTACTATCTTAACCATTTTTTAGAGTATATTTGAAGTTGCTTATTAGCTTAAGAAGCTTTTGGGCTGAGACAATGGGGTTTTCTAGATATAGGATCATGTCATCTGCAAACAGAGACAGTTTGACTTCCTATCTTCCTATTAGAATACCCTTTATTTCTTTCTCTTACCTGATTGCCCCAACCAGAACTTCCAATACTACATTGAATAGGAGTGGTAAGAGGAGGCCGGTTTTCAAGGGCAATGCTTCCAGCTTTTGCCCGTTCAGTATGATATTGGCTGTGGGTTTGTCATAAATAGCTCTTATTGGTATGTTCCATCAATACCTAGTTTATTGAGAGTTTTGAACATGAAGGGATGTTGAATTTTATTGAAGGCCTTTTCTGCATCTATTGAGATATCATGTGGTTTTTGTCTTCAGTTCTGTTTATTTTATGAATTATGTTTATTGATTTGCATATGTTGAAGCAGCCTTGCAACCTGGGGATGAAGCTTACTTGATCGTAATGGATAAGCTTTTTGATGTGCTACTGAATTCAGCTTGCCAGTATTTTATTGAGGATTTTTTCATTGATATTCATGGGGGATATTGGCCTGCAGTTTGTTTTTGGTGTAGTATCTCTGCAAGATTTTGGTATCAGGATGATGCTGCCCTCCCAAAATGAGTTAGGGAGAAGTTGCTGTTTTTCAATTGTTTAGAATAGTTTCAGAAGAAATAGGACAAGCTCCTCTTTGTACCTCTGGTGGAATTCAACTGCAAATCCATCAGGTCCTGAGCTTTCTTTTGTTGGTAGGCTATTTATGACTTCCTCAATTTCAGTACTTGTTATTGTTGTATTCAGGGATTTAACATCTTCCTAGTTCAGTCTTGGGAGGCGTATGTGTCCAGGAATTTATCCATTTCTTCTAGATTTTTAGTTTATTTGCATAGAGGTGTTTATAGTATTCTCTGATGGTTGATTGTATTTCTATGGGGTCAGTGGTGACATTCCATATCCGTTTTTATTGTGTGTATTTGATTCTTCTCTTTTCTTCTTTATTAGCCTAGATTACAGTCCATTTTATTAATGTTTTCAAAAAACCAGCTGCTGGATTCATTGATTTTTTTTGAAGGGTTTTTCACGTCTCTATCTCCTTCAGTTTAGCTCTGAACTTAATTATATCTTGTCTTCTGCTGGCTTTGGGGTTTGTTTACTCTTGGTTCTGTAGTTTTTTTAGTTGTGATGTTAGGGTGTCAATTTCAGATCTTTCTAGCTTTTCAATGTGGGCATTTAGTGCCGTACATTTCCCTCTTAACACTGCTTTAGCTGTGTCCCAGATTCTAGTATGTTGTCTTTGTTCTCACTGGTTTCAAATAACTTATTGATTTCTGCCTTAATTTCATTATTTACCCAGGAGTCATTCAGGAGCAGGTTGTTCAATTTCCATGCACTTGTGTGGTTTTGAGTGAGTTTTTAAATCTTGAGTTCTAATTTGATTGCACTGTAGTCTGGGAGACTGTTACAATTTCATTTCTTTTGCATTTGCTGAGGAGTGTTTTACTTCCAGTTATGTGATTGATTTTAGAGTCAGTGCCATGTGGCACCGAAAAGAATGTATATTCTGTTGTTTTTTGGGGGAGAGTTCTGTAGATATCTATCAGGTCCACTTGATCCAGAGCTGGGTTCAAGTGCTGAATATTCTTGTTAATTTTCTGTCTTGATGATCTGTCTAATATTGACAGTGGGGTGTTAAAGTCTCCTGCTATTATTATGTCAGAGTCTAAGTCTCCTTGCAGGTCTCTAAGAACTTGTTTTATGAATCTGGGTGCTCTTGTACTGAGTGCATATATATTTCGAATAGGTAGCTCTTCCTGCTGAATTGATCCCTTTACCATTATTTAGTGCATTTCTTTGTCTTTTTTTGATCTTTGCTGGCTTAAAGTCTGTTTTTGTCAGAAACTAGGATTGAAACCCCTACTTTTTTCTGCTTTCCATCTGCTTGGTAAATTTTCCTCCATCCCATTATTTTGAGCCTATGTGTGAGCACGTGAGATGGGTCTCTTGAATACAGTACACCAATCTTGACTCTTTATCCAGCTTGCCATTCTATGTCTTTATAATTGGGACATTTAGCCTGTTTAGATTTAAGGTTAATATTGTTATGTGTGAATTTCATCCTGTTATGATGATAGATGTTTATTTTGCAGACTTTTTTATGTAATTGCTTCACAGTGTCATTGGTCTTTGTACTTCAGTGCGTTTTTGCAGTGGCTGGTAACAGTTTTTCCTGTCCATATTTAGTGCTTCCTGCAGGAGCTCTTACAAGGCAGACCTGGTGGTGATGAATTCCCTCAGCATTTGCTTTGTCTGAAAAAAATTCTATTTCCCCCTTGCTTATGAAGCTAATTTTGGCAGACATTAAATTCTGGGTTGGAAATTCTTTTGTTTAAGAATGTTGAATATTGGCCCCCAATCTCTCCTGGCTTGTAGGTTTTCTGCTGGGAGGTCCACTGTTAGTCTGATGGGCTTCCCATTGTAGGTGACTTGACCTTTCTCTCTGGCTGCCCTGAATATTTTTCCTTTCATTTTCACCTTTGAGAATCTAATAACTATGTGACTTGGGGTTGATCTTCTCATGGAGTATCTTACTGGGGTTTTCTGGATTTTCTGAATTCAAATGTTGGCCTGTCTTACTAAGATGGAGAAGTTCTGGATGATACCTGAAGTATGTTTTCCAACTTGATTCCATTCTCCTCACCTCTTTTAGGTACCCCAAGCAGTCATAGGTTTGGTCGTTTTACATAATGCCATAGTTTTCAGAGGTTTTGTTGATTCATTTTCATTCTTTTTTTTCTAATCTTGTCTGCATATCTTATTTCAGCAAGATAGTCTTCAGGTTCCAAAGTTCTTTCATCTGCTTGGTCTATTCACTTATTGATACTTGTGGTTGCATTATGAAGTTCTCATGTTGGGTTTTTCAGCTTCATTGGTCATTAATGTTCCTCTCTAAACTGATTATTCTGGTTAACAACTCCTATAATGTTTTATCATGGTTTTTAGCTTGTTTGCATTGGGTTAAAACATGCTCCTTTAACTCAGTGCAAGTCATTATTACCCACTTTCTGAAGGTTACTTCTGTCAATTAATTCATCTTAGTCTCTGCCCAGTTCTATGCACTTGCTGAAGAGGTGTTGTGATCGTTGGTATGAGAAGAGGCACTCTGGCTTTTTGAGGTTTCAGTGTTTTTTCATTGATTCTTTCTCACCTTTGTGAGTTTATCTAGGTTCGATCTTTGAGGCTGCTGACATTTGGAAGGTTTTTTTGGTAACATTTTTCTTGATGCTGTTTTTGTTGTTGCTGTTTGTTTGCTTTTCTTTTAATAGTAAAAGTCTCAGGATACAAAGTCAATGTGCAAAAATCACAAGCATTCCTATACATCAATAATAGACAAGCAGGGAGATAAATCATTAATTAACTCCGATTCACAATTGTTACAAAGAGAATAAAATATCTAGGAATACAGCTAACAACGGAGGTGAAGGACTTCTTCAAGGAGAACTACAAAACCCTGCTCAAGGAAATAAGAGAGGACACAAACAAATGCAAGAACATTCCATGCTCATGAATAGGAAGAATCAATATAGTCAAAATTGCCATACTGCCTAAAGTAATTTATAGATTCAATGCTATTCTCATTAAACTACTGTTGATATTCTTCACAGAATTAAAATAAAAACTACTTTAAAATTCATATGGAACCAAAAAAGAGCTTGTATAGCCAAGACAATCCTCAGCAAAAGGAACAAAGCTGGAGGCATCACACTACCCAACTTCAAACTATACTACAAGGCTACAGTAACCAAAACAGCATGATACTTGTACTAAAATAGACATATAGACCAATGGAGCAGAATAGAGACCTCATAAATACCACCACCTATCTATAACCATCTGATCTTTGACTAACCTGACAAAAGCAAGAAATGGGGAAAAGATTTCCTGTTTAACAAATGGTGCTGGGAAAACTGGCTAGTCATATGCAGAAAATTGACACTGGACTTCTTACTTACATTTTATAAAAAAAATTAACTCAAGATGGATTAAAAGACTTAAATGTAAAACCCAGAACTATAAAAACCCTAAAAGAAAATCCAGGCAATAACATTCAGGACATTGGTACAGGCAAATATTTTATCATCAAATTGCAATTGCAACAAAAGCAAAATTTGACAAATGGAATCTAATTAAGCTAAAGAGCTTCTGCACAGCAAAAGAAACTATCATCAGAGTGAACACACAACCTACAGAATGGGAGAAAGTTTTTGCCATCTATTCATCTGATAAAGGTCAAATGTCCAGAGTCTACAAGGAACTTAAACAAATGTACAAGAAATAAACAACCCCACTAAGAAGTGGACAAAGGACATGAACCCACACTTCTCAAAAGAAGACAGTTATGCGGCCAACAAACATATAAAACAAACCTCAACATCATTGATCATTAGAGAAATGCAAATCAAAACCACAATGAGATACCATGTCACACCAATCAGAATGGCGATTATTAAAAGAAACGACACAGATGGTGGCAAGGCTGTGAAGAAATATGAACACTTTTATCTTTGTCTCCAGCTCTGCTTGTCTCTCTGGGTCTTTGCTGTCTTCCCACGGCCTCATCTCCTATTTCCCTGGCAGAACCAAAATACCAAAGGGACCATTTGGGACAGATCAGCTTGAGCCTCCCCCTTGATGGAAATGTAAATTAGTTCAACCACTGTGGAAGACAGTGTGGCAATTTCTCAAAGACCTAGAACCAGAAATACAATTTAACCCAGCAATCTCATTACTGGGTACATACCCAGAGATATATAAATCATTCTATTATAAAGATACATGCAAACATATGTTCATTTAATCACTATTCACAATAGCAAAGACATAGAATTATCCCAAATGCCCATCAATGATAGACTGGATAAAGAAAATATGGTACATATATACCATGGAATACTATGCAGCCAAAAAATGGGATGAGATCATGTCTTTTGCAGGGACATGGATGGAGCTGGAAGGCATTAACCTCAGCAAACTAATGCAGGAAGAGAAAACCAAACACCACATGTTCTCATTTATAAGTGGGAGCTGAACAATGAGAACACATGGACACAGGGAGGGGAACAACATACACTGGGGCCTGTCAGGGGGATGGGGGGAGGGAGAGCATCAGGATAAAAACCTGATGCATGAGGGGCTTAATATCTAGGTGATGGGTTTCTAGGGGCAGCAAAACACCAAGGCACAAGTTTACCTATGTATCAAACCTGCACATCTTGCACATGTATCTTAATATAAATTATTTTTTTTAAAAGTATAGTTCAGTTGTATTAAGTATATTCTTATTGTTATGCAACCATCCTCACCACTAACCATTTTCCAAACTTTTCATCCTGTAGAACTGAAACTCTATACCCACTAGTGAAAAGTTATTGTGTAATAGGGTTATTTTTGTTTGTTTATTTAATGGATGTAGATTTTTCATATTTTCTATTTATTCTTGTATAAATTTTGGGAAGTTGTGTCTTTTAAGAAATGTGTCTAATTCATCTACAAAGTCAATTGTAATGAAATATATTTGTTAATATGATCTTAACATTTCAAAACTGGTAGAATCTGTAATGACTTCCTTTCTTTCATTAATGATGTTGAGATTTTGTATTTCTTCTTTCTCAAATCATTTTTTAATTAATTTTATTAGTATTTTAAATAAACAATTTTGACTAGTAATTTTATCTATTTCATTTTCTGTCCTCTTTCCTTAAAAAATAAGCAATTTCTATATGGTTTTCTTGTTTTGTATATTGCATTTGCTTTGCTCTTTTGTTCTACTTTCTTATTTTGGAAGATTCGATAATTAATTTTAGGTCATTTTGAATCTTTTCTAATATGAGAACTTAAGCTGTGCCTTTTCTTCTAAGATTTATTTCAGCTGTTTTTAATAACTTTCATTTGAAAACTTGTCTAGTTTTTCATATGATTTTTCTTTTAACCACAGTCTAATTTAGAAAGATGTGCATTAATATGCAAATATTTAGGGATTTGACATTTATTTCTACTTTAATTCCCTTGAAGTCAGGAAACATAGCCTTCCGAATCCACTGAGACTTTTTTATGAACATAAACAGTATTTGGTTTATATTTTTGAGTGTTTTTATTCACTTGAACATGATGTATTCTGCCATTGTTAGCTGCAGTTTTCTATGTATATTAATTAGTTCAAGTTGGTCAATAACTTTTTTTCAAATACTCCACATGCTTATCTGTTCCACATTTGTAAATTTTCATGTCTCTCTTTAGTTCTGTCCACTATTTCGTATATATTTTTTGAAGCACATGTTAATTAAAATAAAATTTATTCTTCATAAATCACCTTTGTGTCATAATTACATGCTGTTCTTTACCTGCAATATTTCTTGTTTCAAAATGTACATTTTCTGGGAAAAAGTGCACACACATATTATTCAGATTTTGTGTGTGTGTGTGTGTGTCTATGTGTGTATATACTGAAATTAATTTATTATTTACCTTACTTTGGATTGTGTTTGCATTGTATATTATTTTTCCATTGTTTTTGGTCTTGTCTTTTTTTGTTTTGTTTCTTTTAAGATAGAGTCTCCCTCTGTCACCCAGGCTGGAGTGCAGTGGTGCGATCTCAGCTCACTGCAAGCTCCGCCTCCCGGGTTCAAGCCATTCTCCTGCCTCAGCCTCCCGAGTAGCTTGGACTACAGGTGCCCGCCACCATACCCGGCTAATTTTTTGTATTTTTAATAGAGACGGGGTTTCACCGTGTTAGCCAGGATGGTCTCAATCTTCTGACCTCGTGATCTGCCTGCCTCGGCCTCCCAAAGTGCTGGGATTACAGGTGTGAGCCACAATGCCTGGCCGTCTTTTTTATATTCACTGTAAGTCTCTGCTAGAAAGCATACAGATGCATCTTGATTCATTTTACCCATCCTGGCAATCTTTCCTGTTCATTTGGAGCAGCTACTCCATTTACATTTGAATTAATTATTAATATAGTTGAATTTAATTCTATTATTTTTCTAATTGTTTTCTATTTTCCCATTGCTTCCTTGTTCCATTTTTTCTTATATTTGTAAAATCGATTTTTTTAAACTTTTACTTTAAGTTCAGGGGTACAAGTGCAGGTTTGTTACATTAGTAAACTGTGTCAGGGAGTTTGTTGTACAGGCTATTTGGTCATTCAGGTATTAAGCCTAGTACCCATTGTCAGGCCTCTGAGCCAAAGCTCAGCCATTATAACCCCTGTTACCTGCACATATATGTCCAGATGGCCTGCAGGAGCCAAGAAGTCTGGAGCAGCCAAAAAACCACAAAAGAAGTGAAACAGCCAGCTCCTGCCTTAACTGATTGACCAACCTTATGACATTCCACCACTGTGACTTGTTCCTGCCCTGCCCCAACTGATCAATCAACCTTGTGACATTCTTCTGGACAATAAGTCTTATGATCTCCCCACCATGAACCTTGTGACCCCTCCTCTGCTAATAATAGATAACCACCTTTAACTGTAACTTTCCACTGCCTACCCAAGCCCTATATTGCTGCCCCTCTCCTATCTCCCTTCACTCACTCTCTTTTCAGACTCAGCCCACTTGCACCCAAGTGAATAAACAGCCTTGTTGCTCACACGAAGCCTGTTTAGGTGGTCTTCTATATGGATACTCATGACACCCGTTAGTCCTTTTACTTGATCCTTTTCCTTCTCAAACTCTCTAACCTCCAAAAGGCCCCAGCATCTGTTGTTCCCCTCTATGTGTCCATGTGTTGTCATCATTTAGCTCCCAGAAATGAAAACATGTGGTATTTTGATTTCTGTTCCTGTGTTAGTATGCTAAGAATAATGGCCTTCAGCTTCATCCATGTCCCTGCAAAGGACATGTTTTTTTTTTCATGACTGCATAGCATTCCATGGTGTATATGTACCACATTTTCTTTACCCAGTCTATCACTAATGGACATTTAGATTGATTCCATTTCTTTCCTTTTGTGAATAGTCCTGCAATAAACATAGGTGTGAATTTTTTTATACTTTATCTGCTCAATTGGCTTTCAACTTCAACTGTGTCTACTTCTTTGTGTTTCATAGGGTTTACTTAGGGATTGCAATATGCATTTTTACACATCACATTGTATTATCTTGAATTAATATTTAATCGCTACGTATAAGAACGATACAAGACTATATTTCTATTTACACCCTCTAATTTATTGTGTTAGTGTTGCCATACATTCTATTTCTATGTATCTTATGAACCCTTCTATATTTGTTATTAACTTTGTTCTATTCAGTCAATTGCTTTTTAACAAATTCATGAGCAGAAGAATGTTTTACATTTATTAACTTATTTGCTCTTTCCAACCTTCTTCATTGCTTCCAACAGATTCTAATTTGTATTTGGAATAGTTTTTATTTGGAAACTATCTTTGGCATAGTTTATTAGTTGAGATATTCTAGAGAAACAGAATCAGACCAGTAGAAAAAAAATATACCTAATATATCTCAATGTTTATGTATGAACGTATGAATGTATATATGAGTGTATGTATGTATGTATGTATGTATGTATGTATCTAAAGATATTTAGTTTTAGAAATTGGCTCACATAATTGTGGGGTTTGACAAGCCTGAAATTTTTGAGGTAGGCCAGCACACTGGAACTCATGAAAGAGTTGATGTTTCAGTCTTTAGCCCAAAATGTGCAGGGCAAGTGAGCAGGCTGGAAACTCAGTCAGGGTTTCTGTTTTGCAGTCTTGAGGCAAAATTCTTTTTTTTTTTTTCAGAGAAATTGTCTTTGCTTTTAAGGTCTTCAACTGATTAAATGAGGCCCATCACATTATGACTAGTAATCTGCTTTACTTAACATCTTCTGATTTAAATGTTAATCACATCTAAAAATTACCTTAATAGCAATGTATTAGTTTGTTTTCACACTGCTAGGCCTCCTAGGCCTTTAGGCCTGTGATGGGAGGAGCTGCCACAAAGGTCTCTGACATGCCCTGGGGACGTTTTCCCCATTGTGTTGTGATTAACATTTGGCTCCTTGTTAATTATGCAAATATCTGCAGTCAGCTTGACTTTCCCCCAGAAAATTGGTTTTTCTTTTGTACTGCATCAACAGGCTGCAAATTTTCCAAACTTTTATGCTCTGTCACTTCTTGAAGGCTTTGCTTTTTAGAAATTTTTTCCACCAGATGCCTTAAATCATCTCTCTAAAGTTCAAAGTTCCACAGATCTCTAGGGCAGGGGCAAAATTCTGCTAGTCTCTTTGCTAAAGTATAGCGAGAGTCACCTTTATTCCAGTTCCCAACAAGTCCCTCATCTGCATCTGAGAACATCTCAGCCTGGACTTCATTGTCCATATCACTTTCAGCATTTTGGTCAAGGCTGTTCAACAAGTCTCTAGGAAGTTCTCAACTTTCCCACATCTTTCTGTCTTCTGAACCCTCCAAGTCTCTAGGAAGTTCCAAATTTTCCTGTGTTCTTTTGAGCCCTCCAAACTGTTCCAACCTCTGCCTGTTACCCAGTTCCAAAGTCACTTCTACATTTTTGGGTATCCTTATAGAAGTGTCCCACTACTTCAGTACCAATTTACTATACTAGTTTGTTTTCATGCTGCTATAAAGAAATACCTGGGACTGGGTAATTTATAAAGCAAAAAGGTTTAATTGACTCAGTTACCACATGGCTCGGGATGCCTCAGGAAGCTTACAGCCATGGTGGAAAGGGAAGCAAACATGTCCTTCTTCACATAGCAGCAGGAAAGAGAAGTGCAAAGTAAAGGTGGGGAAAGCCCCTTATAAAACCATCAGATTTTGTGAGAACTCAGTCACTATCATAAAAACAGAAAGTGAGAGCTGCTCCCAAGATCTAACCAACTCCCACAAATTCCCTCCCCCAACACACGGAGATTAGAATTCAGATAACAATTCAAAATGAGATTTAGGTGAGGATGCAGAGCCAGACCATATCAAGCAACATCTAGACTAGTGGTTGAATAAACTGCTGGTCACCAGAGTCTAGCTAAGTTGACACATAAAATTGACTATCACTCATTTTTCACAGTGAGAGTCTCTAAGAGACAAATTCTCATGGTTTTTCTGAGAAACACTTTTTTGGCTTCCTTTTATAAATATAATCTTGCCTAATATCAGACTCAAAGTTAAAGATTCCCTTTCTCTTTTGTGTTTTCTGTTTGTTTGTTTGTTTTGTTTTTGGCTTGCAATATTTCTGATGAGGAGTCATTTGTCATTCTTTTTTTTGTTTGTTACTCTTTATGTTAATAGAACTTTCTTTTTTTCTTTCTTTTCCAGTTTGACAATAGTATGTTGAGCTATGTATCCTAATTGTATGTGCAATATTTTATTCCTAAGATTTATTGATGTCCTTGAATATGTAGTATTACATATTTGTTGAAATTTGAAAAATTTTCTGGATTATTTCTTCATTTTTCTACTATTATTTTCTTTCTTTTGTTCTATAATTCCAATTACTTATGTAGAAGACCATCCAATGTTATTCCATAGATAATTGGTGCTATTTTAATTTAAAAGTTTTTTTCTATCTTTTCTTCATTTTGGCAATTTCTATGGAGCTGTCATCATGTTTACTGATCTTTTATATCATAGTCTAGTTGCTGTTAATTCTAATTTTCTTCAAAAATTATTTTCTGTGTCTTAATTTTGTACTTTTCAAAATTTTTATTTATTTTCTAAAATGTTCCTTCTCTTCTCGTATCATAAAATCTATTTTTACCTTCCAAAACATATGCAAAAAAAAATATTAAAGTCAATGTCTTCCAATTCTGATAGGTGAAGTATCTGTGAGTCAGCTTTGTTATGGGACACATTTTTTGGCTTCTTCTCTTGTCTTGAATTGTTTTTGTTATTGTATTCCAGATATTGTGAATTAAAAAACAACGGCAATTAAAGTACGGCCTTTTTGCTTTGTTGTGGTTTTCCCCAGAGAGCTCAAGCCTTTCTCTCAACCTGTTAATTATGGTGAGAAGCCAATCATTCAGAAGCTTCCTAAAGCTGAGTCAATCTCATGCTACAACACCACTTTTATTAAACTGATCTGAAATGTGATTAGTTCTACACCTAACCTCTATTCCGATGACCATCTTTTGGAGTTTGTTGATATATGAAATAGAGTTATATTTCACTATAGTTGCACAGTTTGGGTTCATTTTTGTATTTAACTCCAGCAATCTTTCTAAACCCATGTGTCACCCTTTGTGCAAGAATGAATGTTATCTACTATACTGCTGAATCCCTGGCAAAATTCACAGAGACAGGAGAATTGTCTGATTGAGCAATTTATATTTGAGTTCAGGGCTTTTTCTTTTTCCAGTTTGTCATGCTAGCACACACTGTCATCTAAGGCTTAGCTGATTTCACCTCCTGCATACATTTTTACATTTTTTTTCCTATGGCAAGCCTTTCTTATATTCATATTTAGAACCAAGTTTTTTTTTTTTTTTCTGGATGAAATCCACCACAGCTTTCTACTCACATATAAAACGTTTGTTTCTATATGGTATTCAGTTTACCACTCTTCAGTAGCGCTATGATAAAGTTTGTGTTTTTTAATATGTCTGGATTTTTCTTATTGTATACCACAGGATTGAAGGTCTTCTGTACCAATGTACCAATTTGAAGCAGAAGTTCCAATATCCATCTCTATTAATGGTTTTTACATTTTATGTGCTTTGGTTTGGTCTTGAAACAGGAAGCTCTTGTATTTCAGAGTCTAAGAAGAATATTAAAATACTATACCATAAGCATTTATCAAAATTATATATTATAAATAGTGTAAGTTTGCCAGATTAGGAGAGAAATTATAAAATATCGATTTGTTTTCATTTCTAAACTACGAGTTTTCACATTAAGTGGGTTCCTTGCTAAACAGAAGAGCAAATGTAAGGAATAAAAAACAAACCTTTAAATATATGTGTAGTATTTTAAATGCTCAAATTATTAATATTACTTTAAGGAGAAATGATTAAAAATATTAACACCCAGTTGACAGATACATTGAAAAATATAACACATACTAGATATACAACTTGAACGGTGTCTAGATACTTCCAGCTGTAAAGTTGCTGGCTATATGATAGTTCATGTG
The DNA here is from genome assembly GCF_000001405.40 of Homo sapiens. NCBI lineage: Eukaryota > Metazoa > Chordata > Mammalia > Primates > Hominidae > Homo > Homo sapiens. The sequence goes on from NC_000014.9 coordinate 86,275,386, forward strand.
CCCTGTGGAAGTGACTAGGATGTCTGAGACATCAGAGAGTCACTTGGGAGCTCAAGGTAAACTATTTCCATATTTTAATAATGAGTAAACTAGCGCATTGTGGTGTACTTTTATGTTACTCAGCCAGCGACAACCAGTGGAATATTGGTAAATGGTAATCCCTTTTATTACTTATTTCTTTGGGTTTCCACATTCATTGTGGCATATCCAATGTCCTTGAAAATTCTGACAAATGTTTGTCTATGTGTCAAGCTAATCTTCTACAAGATAAGGTCTTTGTGGTAAGAGAATTCTATATTGTTTGTTCATTTTGCATTTCAAAAATGAAATTAATACAAGTTTAAATGAATATATGTTATTAAATAAAATTTGCTGGCATGGACTTAGAATTAAAAAGAAAACTTGAGCAACAAAACTAAGCACAGTAAAATATTATAAAAAAGTTTGATTTTGTATTTTTGACAATTTGAAATGGTTAGTCCTAAATTGAACTCTGTAATGTCTATTGCTACAGAAAGGCTTGTGTATAATTTTACTGCAAACAAGTTTGTTTAACTTCCTTATATAATTCTTGAAACATTTTCTAAGACCCTTACTTGTTTCAGGAAACAGGGAAGAAGCAACAGTGTAATTTTTCAGTCTCATTGAATGTCTTTTTTAAAAATAAGGCAATTAGAATAGAAAAAAAAATCAAGGGATAACATTTACAACAGCCAAAAATAGAAGGCAATTTCTATCCAATATGCAGCTGTGCTCAAAAGACCAGGAAACAATGAGATTTGATGGTGTTGGACTACCTTGATTCCTATACTTTTTCAAAATAACTGAACTCTAAAGTGCTGACGGTAAATGTTCTAGTCTTTGCAGGCTATATGATCTAGTTCTGAATTCTAATGCAAAATTAGCAGAAAAAAATAAGTGAGCAAATGGGTGTGGCTATGCTCCAATTAGACTTTATTTATACAAAAGGAGGCAGGTCAGATTTAATCTGCAGTCTCTAGTTTGTCCACTGCTGGTCTATACCTATCCCTAGACCACAATGCGCCCACATCATCACCTCATTCCATTATGGTTTCTTTAAGCTCATCTTCAAATTTAATATTTAGAAACCCCTTTCAAATTTTGTTTCATGGCTCCAACTACCTCTTCTGTTGTTTTCATGAAGCAATAAAAAGTGTATACTTTGGCTTTATGAGATCTTCCCTTTCTTCCCTTGTATCTATATATTGTAACTCTTTTAAACATATTATCCATAGTTTGAACAATTTAAATTCAAATTCCAACCATTTTTTGTCAATGTTCAATTTTGTTTCATTTAAAAGTTCTGTGCATTAATTTTAGTGATTATGGGAACCTTACAAGAAGGAAAGCAGACCAATAATACATGCTCACAAGGTAGATTAAAATAGTAAACTGACATTTCAAATGAGCTAAAATGTACTAGGAAAATAATGGAAACTAACTACAGCTTAAATTAAAATTAGAATACTCAGAGATAAGATTATTAGAATAAGAAATGAACATTTAAAAATTGAGTTTAAAACTTGAAAAGAATATGAAATAATTATAACCATAATAAAGCAAAAGGAGAAAGAAACTCAAGTTAATAAAGAGCCAGATTATTATTTAGTGCAACATGAACTATTAAAAAATTGTTTAAATCAAAACAAAACAAAGAACAAAATGAAAAGGCCTTGAGAAAGGATACATATACAATATAAGCAAAGAAGATAACACATTTGTATGACAGGGATCTTCAGAAAAGAAGAAACATCAATGGATCAAAATTCACACTAAAACTTGAAATTTATTTATTTTTGTTTAAATTGAAGAGGATTTTAAATTACTTTAAATAGGGATACACCATGTGGTTTGGGAAACTGGTCAAAACCAGCCAATTCTAAGATTAATTCTAGTAAAGTTATTATACTTTAAATAAAACCATCAGGTCTTGTGAGACTTAGTCACTGTCACAAGAACAGCACAGGAAAGAACTGCCCCCACAGGGTCCCTTCCTTAACACATGGGAATTCAAGATGAGATTTGGGTGGGAACATAGCCAAACCATATCAGTTAGTTTGTTCTACTATAACAATACCACAGATTGGGTAATTTATAAAGAACAAACATTTATTTCTTATACTTCTAGAGGCTGGAAAGTCCAACTTCAGGCTGCCATCAGGATGCATGTCTGGTGAGTGACTTTTACTATGGCAAAAGTAAAACCTCTTCCCTCAAACCCTTTTATAAGTACCCCAATCCCATCCATGAGTGCTCTGCCCTCCTGACTTAATCACCTCTTAAAGAGTCCATCTCTTAATATAATCATATTGATGATTAAGTTTCAACTTCTGAATTTGGAGGGAGACATTGAAACCATAGCAATAATATATTGCTATGGTGGTTGTGTATGAATATATTTTACATGTAAATTTCTAACAGGTGATAATTAATCAGGTGTGATCACAATATTGGAGTCATTCAAGAAAATATTGGCTGGGTGCAGTGGCTCACACCTGTAATCCTAACACTTTGGGAGACTGAGGTGGGTGGATCATGTGGTCAGGAGTTTGAGACCAGCCTGGCCAACATGGTGAAACCCCATTTCTACTAAAAAAAACAAAAATTAGCCAGGCGTGGTGGTGTGCACCTGTAATCCCAGCTATTGCAGGGGCTGAGGCAGGAGAATTGCTTTTAACCCAGGTAGTTAGAGGTTGCAGTGAGCTGAGATCGTGCCACTGCACTCCAGCCTGGGCGACAGAGTGAGACTCCATCTCGAAAAAACAAAAAGAAAATGTTATTTTTCAGAGATGCACTCTGAAATATTTAGAAATGAAATACCTGGAGGTTACTTTAAAATAACATTTTATCAAACAAAAAAATAAAGGATGAATCAAATATGACAAAATGTTGGTAATTATTTAATCTTAGGTTAAGTTTCAATGTACTATTCTATCTACATTTATGGATGTTAGAAAAACTCATTATAAAAAGTTTTAATATAAAATAATATTATTATGAGTCTTAGCAAATTCTATCACCACTAGCATTCAGATGATTAATGTTTATTAAAAGTCACTATATTTAAATTGATCTGGAAATGACAATTCCTAAAATAATAATTTGTTAACTGTTAAGATTTATCAGTGTGTGTGCATGCTTAAAAGTTATAAAAAAAACATTATTTTTAGATTGCCACTGATATGGTTTGGATTCGTGTCCCCACCAACATCTCATGTTGAATTGTAATTTCCAGTGTTGGAGGAAGGGCCTGGTGGGATGAGATTGGATCGTGGAGGAAGACTTCCCCCTTGCTGTTCTCATGATAGTGAGTGAGTTATCATGACATCAGGTCGTTTAAAAGAGTGTAGCACTTCCCCCTTAACTCTTTTACTTCATTTTCAGCCATGTAAGATCTTCCTACTTCTCCTTAGCCTTCTGCCATGATTGTAAGTTTATTGAGGCCTCCCCAGCCATGCTTCCGGTACAGGAACTGAGAGTTAACTAAACCTCTTTTCTGTATAAATTGCCAAGTCTTAGATAGTTCATTCTTACATTGCTATAAAGGACTAATACAGGAAATTGGTACCAGGAGTGGGGTATTGTTATAAAGATACCTGAAAATGTGGAAGTGTCTTTGGGACTGGGTAATGGGCAGAGCTTGGAAGAGTGTGAAAGGCTCTGAAGAAGACAGGGAAAGTTAGGAATTTCCTAGAGACTTGTTAAATTATTGTGACCAAAATGTTGATAGTGATATGGACAATGAAGTGCAGGCTGAGGGGGTGTTAGGTAGAGACGAGGGACTCATTGAGAACTGGAGCTAAGGTAACTTTTATTATGCATTAGCAAAGAGGTTGGAGGCATTGTGCCCCTGCCCTGAAGATCTGTTGAATTTTGAACTTGAAAAGATTATTTAGGTATCTGGCGGAAGAAATTTCTAAGCAGCAGAGTGTTCAATAGGAGGTTTGGCTGCTTCTAACAGTGTACACAGGCTTATATGTATGAGCAAAGACATGACCTGAAACTGGAACTTACATTTAAACGTGAAGCAGAGCATAAAAGTTAAAAAAAATTGCAGCCTAACCATGTGTCAGAAAAGAAAAAAACCCATTTTCAGGGGAGGAATTCAAGCTGGCTACAGAAATTTGCATAAGTAAAGAGTAGCCAAATGTTAATAGCCAAGTCAATGAGGAAAATGCCTCAAAGCCATATCAGAGACCTTCAAGGCAGCCTCTCCTTTCACAGGGCCAAAGGCTTAAGAGGGAAAAATAATTTAATGGGCTCAGCCTAGGGCCCTGCTGCACAACCTCAGGACACTGTTCCCTGTGTCCAGCTATTCCAGCTCCAACTGTGGCTAAAACGTCATTGGATACATCTCAGGTTGCTCCAGAGGGTGCAGGCCATATGCCTTGGTAGCGCATATGTGGTATAAGCCTGTGGGTGCACAGAAGTCAAGAGTTGAGGCTTGGGAGTCTTTGCCTAGGTTTCAGAGGATGTATGGTAATGCATAGATGTCCAGGCAGAAGTCTGCTAGAGGGGAGAAACCCTCATGGAGAACCTTTACCAGGGCAGTGCAGAGGGGAAATGTGGGGTTGGAGTTATCACCCAGAGTCCCTACTGGGGCACTGCCTAGTGAGCTGTAAAAGAGGACCACCATCCTCCAGACCCCAGAATGATAGATCCAGACAGCCTTCACTGTGAGATGGGAAAAACTGCAGGCAGCTGAGGGGACTACACCCTGCAAAGCCACAAGGTTGGAGACGCCCAAGGCCTTTTTTGGCCACTCTTTGCATCAGTATGGCTTGAATATGAGACATGGAGTCAGATGAGATTATTTTGGAGCCTTAAGATTTAATGACTGCCCTGTGGGCTTTTGGAGTTGCATGGGGCCTGTAGCCCCTTTGTTTTGCCTGATTTCTTCCTTTTGGGATGGTTGTATTTACCCAATGCCTGCCCTCCCATTTTATCTTGGAAGTAACTAACTTGTTTTTTTTTTTTTTTTACAGGCTCATAGGCAGAAGGATCTTGCCTTGTCCCTGATGACTCTTTGGACCGTGAACTTTTGAGTTAATGCCAAAATGAGTTAAAACTTGGGGAACTGTTGAAAAGAAATCATTGTATTTCGCAATGTGAGAAGGGCATGATATTTGAGAAGGGCTAGGGGCAGAATGATATGGTTTGGATTTGTGTCCCCACACAAATCTCATGTTGAGTTGTAATTTCCAATGTTAGAGGAGGGACCTGGTGAGAGATAACTGAATCATGAGGGCAGACTTCTCCTTTGCTGTTCTTGTGATAGTGAATGAGTTCTCATGAGATCTGGTTTTTAAAGTGTGTAGCATTTCCCCCTTCATTTTCTCCCTCCATCTCCAACCAGGTAAGACATGCCTGTTTCTTCTTCACCTGCCATGAGTGCAAATTTCCTGAGGCCTACCCAGCCATGCTTCCTGTACAGCCTACGGAACTGTGAGTCAATTAAAGCTCTTTTCTGTATAAATTACCCAGTCTTAGGTAGTTCTTTATAGCAATGTGAGAAGGGACTAATACAACCATCTAATATAATTCAGTCAAATTCCTAACAATTCTGAACTGTTAATGATTACCTTTAACAAATAACCCAGACTAAGAAATCAATTTTACAAAATAAATAAAATAAAACTGAGTGTTGATATCTATATATTCTTATTGCATAATGGATACTTCTCTTTACTAAATGTTTGTTTTTTCTTAATGTAGACAATGAGATTTTTTAATCATTGTTGGTGGCTTTAACAAAAATGGTAAAAAATATAATAAGGCATTCTGATTCATGCAGTCATTATGAATACACCATAAAATAAAGTCATCTTGCTAAAATTTCTTGGAAAAGAAGGCAAAGTTATCATGACTGCAATATCTTTGATAGCAAAAAAAATCAATATAATAAATTAAAAGTTTTATACCCACATATAAATGCCTTAGATACAGTCTAATCATTCCCCACATTCTTGTAAATTTCCCTAATGCCGGCTGTTTATGTTCCTCTATAAACAAATACTTTCCAGATAGCTAGGTTTTTTACGTTAGCACACAGTTAACTATAATATTTTACATGCCATAAATTTACACCTAAATCGTCCTTCATTTATAAAGATCTAGTCACATTTAAAGTTAATTTGCAATGTCCCCTAAAGCTCAAACCATATAAAGGTCAGTGAAGAAGTAATAATAATTATTGAAAAAATAGAACACGAGGTGAAGATGTTAACAAAACACTTTATCTAGATCTCATTACAAATATATTTTTAAACTGTAAGATCAGAATAAATAAGCCTGATAATTTTTAGAAATATCTACATAAGAGTCAAAAACAGCTAGGATGCTTAGTTTGTGTTTTTAAACTACTCAGTTTTATTAACAGTGACAGCAATTTTGTTATTCAAATGAACACAAAATTGCTTAGAGAAGGAGAGCTATGGAGATAGAAACATTGTTCTTATTTGAGATAAATAAACTTTGGTAAAGACGTCAGCTTAGTTCCTTCTTCTTTCAAATTATTATTAATATATTAGGATTTTAAATTCAAATTTTCTCCTCTGTGCTGACATTGGGAATCTATCTGTCCTCTTTGACCTATACCTAGGCATGGAATTCCCTGAGCGTCCCTCACCCCTTACTTGGGGTTTGCCTGATGGTGTGAACATATAATTTATTTTCCAAATGAAAACATATTTGAGAGTGAAATAAATAATTTTGAATAATCACACTAGTACAATAAACATAAATGGAAACTGCCTTGGACAAACTGGAACATCTGTCACCCTGTGTATGACACCTCTCTTCTGAATCACAGTCCATCAACACATTATATAGCACTGTTGTTTTGTCTTCAGTGCCAGAGCATGAGTGCGGGGCACAGATCTTCACTACAAAATCATCTGGATCCCAGAAAATCTGTCAGGTGTTCACTGAAATGTGGAGTTTGAACCCAAATGGAGACACTGAACACAAAGGCAGCTCAACTTAGCGCAGATTCCTTAGTCATCTCCTTGTTTTTAGGTTTGTTATATTAGGTTAGTGCAAAAGTAATTGGGCAATTAGTTATATATCCCTAACCTGTTAACTTGCATTCTCAGGGATGTCCCTTCCCTTGTTTCCCCTTCTTCAATTTGAAGACTTCTACCCAAATGTGAAGAAGGAGCAAGAGCTTGGGTCTGTCACCTGAGAGCTCTAACTAGATGTCTTTCCTCCAACATGATGAGATATGTAAATGAATGAATAGTATCAGCCCTTCTTCCTCTGTTTTCTTGATAATTGCAAGAAAGTCTGCCTAAACCTGAGAAGTCCATTTGGGAAGCTATTAGCCACATATGTCCATGAGCGCTTGAAACTGGCTAGTCCAAACTGAGATATACTATAAGTAAAATACACACCAGATTTGAAAGACGTGATATGAAAAAATAATGTAAATATCTCATTAATAATTTTTACATTAATTACATTTCAAAATGTTATACTGGATATATTTGGCTAAATAAGATATATTAATAAAATTCACTCACCTGTTGCTTTTTTCTTTTTTTTACTTTTTAATTGGCTACTAGAAATTTATTTGCCTTCTGTTGATAACATTAATGAGTGCTTTTTTTTCTGTCTTTTACTTTATATCTCATTCCTTGAGACAGTACCATAGCAGATTGTGCTTCTCAGTCAATATGTTTCCTTTTCTAGCCTATTGAAAAATTTTGCCATGCAACAATATCTCGATAATCTTGAACTCCCTATAGTATCAGTGAGACTTTTAAAACAAGACCTAATGCTCCTTGTGGTCATGACTACATAGATTGTCAATAGAAAAGCCTAACACTCAGCACAACCACAAGCACTACCTGTGATTGGAGTGGTGTCTTGAAAGGCAGGCGGATGGTGGTCCGTGCAATAAAATTCTGGTTTTACATTAATTTATGAAATATATCTCACATAACCTTGATTGACACTAAACTGCACATTGCTTTTTCTAATTGAACTTGTTAGATGTACAGTATACCCATGACCCTCATTTTGTATAGTTCACATCTGCCAAAAAGCAGTCACATTAATTGTAGGACTTTTTTTCTTCCTCCTCATCCTTCATTATCAATTGCAAAGGAGGCTCTTTCCCTGCCCTGAGAGAATATGACAGTTCTCTTTTTATAGTCTATAAGCACTTAGAATTTTATATGTCATACTTTGCATCTTTTAATAAGATATCATTCATTATATATGGTATCACGTGTGTATGTATGAAGGTGTGCATGAGATCCAATTTAAATTACATTATCTCCATCTACTTTCATCAGTTCATGTTGTTCACTAAAAGCTACTTACATGGCATTTCATACTTTCAGATGACCATTAGTAGATGTCAAGAAATAAATTACTATCAGAGGTAATCTGACAGTTACTAATGTAACTATATCTTTGCCAAATACATTAATATATGGCTCTCACATTACCACTCATAAAATTTAGAAAATAATAATCCCCCATCTTGATTTATGGATAGAAAATTCACTTCTGAATTCACTACCCACTACTAATAAATAAAGTGATTTTAAAATCCCGTTAATTCTTCACTCTGCCTACATTAGTTTCTGATCAATTTCATCCATCCCAGAAAATACACCTGCATAAACATGACTCATAAGAAATGAACTATTGAAATTCATTCCTTCACACACACACATACACACACACACACACACACACACACAAAACCCCTGAACAGTGATGGCTGATGGCTCTGAATAACTACCCACCATTATCTCCCCCATGTACAATTTTTGGTTTCATTGTCCCTAAGAAAGCTGAAAAAAGCCATTTAGAAAATTGCTGATGGCTTAGAAAACAGAGTGTCGCAAAATACATTCTGAGGCCTAAAGACTGCATAACAATGGAGAGAACAAAGAGATGCAGGTAGAAAGTATTCATCTGTAGAGCTTGTTCTCCTGCTTTTTTAAGCGATATAACTCTCTTGTGTGAATTTATTTCACATATTTATATGCTAAGAAAATATTTATACAGCAGGACAACCTGGTGGGAACTTGGCGCAAAGATGAATTGAACACGAACCTTATCCCTTATGACCCAACTTCCTCATGTGTGTGATTTGCCCTGTTCCAGAAATGGACTGCACAAAATAAGGTAAGTGCCACATGTGTGGTTCAACACGGCTCAAGCAGGGAGAGTTAGAGGTTATGAATATTAAAACAGATTGGTTATTCTTCTTCTCAGCAATATACATGAGAAGTGGGAACATTCATGAACGCAAGAAGATGTCATCAGGCTTCTCCAAATACACTGAGTGAGTAGAGAATGAATATGCTCTTTTTTTAACATTGCCAGTGAACTTTTAAAATTAGTTTTTAAAGAATTTAAACAAAGATTATTATGACTGTGAGATGTAACATATGCAGTGGCTGTGGAGGCCCCCTTTATGGTTGTTGGTTTTATTTTTCTGTCTTTGCCACTGTGAACTATGTACTAATAAGGAGGAAAATATAACTTGAGAAACATTGGTAGATGATCTGCAAATATATGTTTTTTTTAACAAGGAATATAACATACCTATATAAACAGAAACATTTATTATGTGAACATTTTTTGAAACTACAATCCATTTCCCCATGATTTCCTTCAGAAAAAAACCTGGGAGGATAAAAATCCATCATTTACAGAAATGCCTCTTAATTCTGCTGTGATTAACTGTCATTTACAACTTTATAAGGCCCCAACTGATTAGGGGCATGTTTTGAGTGGGAACAGGGAAAGAATCACTTCATGTAGCATAATAAGAAGGAGAAATAACTAAATGTTCCTCTTGCCTCTCCTTTGTACCAGTTTTGGCATTATGTAGACAAAACATGGAAACCTAATGCAGCCAGGTGTCATCAGCCTTCTTTTTGCCCTGTACCCTGCCCACTCTGTTGCATTGAATTCATTCCATTGGCAAGGGATGCTTCCAAAGTGGAACCATTCATAGCCTCCTTATTCACCAAAGGGACTCCTACACTGAAGACATTTGGTTAATTGCAAAACAATGGAAATGTAGACATGGTCAAATGAGGTCAATATAAAGTCAAAATATTAGTGATAAAACTAATAATCACGCACAGTATTTCCAGGCTGCAAAACCATGGGATCTACCATTGATTGAGACTAGGATAGGACTGAGATTTCATCATTTTGCTGGAGTTAATTATTCTCAGTTTTTCTTTGTCACCAGACTTTTTAAATAGGCTTTATAGATAATTATTCCAGGCTCTGACAAGGTGCATTCTTAGATGAAGAAAATAAAAGTGGACTGCAAAGAAAAAAAAAATATGAACCGTCATCTCAGTCATCAAACAGAAAAAAGCAGCAAAATTAGAATTTAATGCTTTAAGTGGATGTTGGTTTAGGGTTCCTCTTAATTTGGGTCACAGATATAGAAGAATAAGAATACTATATTTTGCTGTGTTCTATCTTCTGACCTAACACTATTCTCACATCTATTTAGGTAGAATGCAGCAAAACAAAGTTGGCATAAATGATATTACTTTATGAGCCCTTCCTAGGTCCCTTGAGAAATAATTTTTATGGTCAGAGGTTAAATCTTGAAAATCAAAATAAACCCTGGATTATAGCAGGTAGTTTCCATTATATGTTTGTTTTCTCATTAACTATAATGCCAAATGATTTGCAAGAAACTCATTTAAATGAGCCTTCCCCCAATCAATACATTTAGTTCATTAAAGACAACATAAAAGTACTATATTTTTATAAAATGAGGTAAAGTTTAGGTGTGTTTTTGAAATGCTCATTCAAATTATATTAGTCCATTGCAAAGGCACAGTTTAGAACACATATTATACTATTTTCCTTATGAAATAACACAAGATAATATAGCCGCTTAATTCATTACTCAGAAAGATATGTCTATTTCTCAACCCAAGTGTTGTTTTACTTATGTTTAGATTTTGTTAGTCATCTCAAAACCTGATTAAGTGTAGAAATAGATGGGGCATAAATGCAAAGTAAAGTTATTACATGCTCTGTAAACTCTCTACATATCTCTAAAGAGTCAGTGTCATTGAACAGGCAGTGTGATCTGCTAAACACTTTCTGAACTAGAAGTCAGTAAACTTTTGCCTGAGTTCCAAATTTATCGTTAATTAGTTAAGAGCCTATAGGCAAGTTTAGTCATCTACCCAGGCTTGAACTTTGAAAATAAATAAACTGGACTATATCATTTTAACATTCTCTTTTTCCCCTGTGTTCTCTGAACTACATTTCTTGTGCGATCCATTCTTTGAACAGACCCTCATAAGCTTCTGCTATGTTTTGGCCATTTGTCCTTCCAGGTGCAGGGGAAACAACCATGAATCTGTCACACAGCATCCCTGCTTTGGTAGAAAGAAACAAATGAGAGTCTATGAGGGTTGGGATGTATGCTATGAAGCAAACGGTGTGGTTCTTTGGGAAAGAATGCCTGGTGGGGGTACTATTTTAGATTAATTAACCAGGAAAGATCATCTAAGGGGTAGTATTTAGACTGAGAAATGAAGGGAAGGAAAAATGACCTGGGAGGAAAGAACTCAGAGCTGAGAATCTACACGTACAAGAAATGAGAATTAAGAAAAAGGGGAGGGAAGGGAAGGGAAGGGAAAGGAAGGGAAGGGAAGGGAAGGGAAGGGAAGGAGGAAGGGAAGGGGAGGGAAGGAGGAAGGGAAGGAAAGGGAAGGGAAGGGAAAGGAAGGAGGAAGGGAAGGTGAGGGAAGGAGGAAGAAAAGGAAAGGGAAGGGAAGGGGAGGGAAGGAGGAAGGGAAGGAAAGGGAAGGGAAGGGAAAGGAAGGAGGAAGAGAAGGGGAGGGAAGGAGGAAGGAAAGGAAAGGGAAGGAGAAAGGGAAGGAAATGGAAGGGAAGGGAAGGAAAGGGAAGGAAATGGAAGGGAAGGGAAGGGAAGGGAAGAAGGAAAGAGAAGGGAAGGGGAGGAATGAAGGAAAGAGAAGGGAAGGGATGAGGGAAAGAGAAGGGAAGGGAAGGAGGAAGTGAGGAAGGAAGGAAGGAAGGAAGGGAGGGAGGGAGGGAGGGAGGGAGGGAGGGACAGATCTTAGTGAGCCTGGAACCTGGTGGGCGAGAGGGAATACTGAGGTTACAGAGACCGGCGGAGGGCAGATTGCCTCATAAATCACCATACTTTAGTGTGTGAATTTTAATCCTAGAAGCTTGGTGATTGCATGAACTGATTCACAATTTTTAAACATCATGCTGGCTGTTGTGTGCAGAAGTCATTAGGAGAGGGAGGGTGGAAGCAAAAAGGCCAGTCAGGAGATGATTAGGATACAAGTGAGAGCTGATTGGGGTGGCAGTGGAGATGGAGAGAGGCGAATTGATTCAATTCAGGAGATGTTTGAAATAAGGAGTTGGCAGGCATTGCTATGATATCTCAAGGTGGGGGAGAAATCTAGAATAAAGTCTCAGTTTTTAGGCTTGAGCAAGTAAGTGAATAAGGGTGTCATTTACTTTAATGAGGAAGTACTGGAGAGAGTATTTGAAGGGTAAATCTAGAGTTCTGTTTTAAGACAATTATTCCTGTAGAGATGGACTTAAACATCCTAGTATAGATCGATAAGTCTGGAGCTAAGAAGTTTTGAGCTTTAGGGTTTCTCAATAAACTCTTATTTCTATATGTATGATGATAAGAGTTTATTGAGAAACCCTGAAGCCAAGAGACTGAATAATAACTGATCACTTGTAGTAGATCTTGCAGAAGATAAAGATGGTGTGAATGGTTTATTGGGAACTTGGTCAGGATTGGATGTTTTCAGAAGAGGTCAGTCTATCTAACTTGGGGTATATACTTCAAGATAGATCCAGTGCTCAGATTTTCATGGTCAGAAATTTGGTATGTCTACATGTTGAGAACCAATTCCTTTTTCAAGGAAACATTCACACCAACTATGTTCCTGCAAACTGAAATATGAAACCACAATTCTAATTTATTAATTAGTATATGCCAGTGATATGAACCAGATACTTTTTTAAGCAAAAGTAACCTGTTATTTTCACAGTAGGAAAATAAGAAGTGAGACTAAATTTTGCTCAGAACCCTTCTTAGGCTAATCCTTTAATACCCCTGTTCTGATGCCAATCCCATTCTAATTTGGCTTCAAGTATAGAATTTCCTACAGAGAAAAGAATGTCACTAATGCTAAAAGAATTAGCTAGAGGTAGTCTTCCTCTCTTCAGACATGGTTTACCAATAGCACCACAAATATTTTAGAGAAGACGTTCTTTCTTGAAGAACCTTTGATTGTGCTTGAATAAATGCTACTGATACTTGTCTCCGCAAATTATGTTATAAGGCTCCTTTTACTGACCAATCTCTTTTTTATGACTAAAATATTCTTTCTCTGAATATATTAATAATCTCACTAAGGTTTTTCTCAGGATTTTTAAGTGTATTTTCATATATCACAAAGTGTGTATTCATTGAATATCTGACCTCCCCTGTAGCAATGCTGTTTCTCTTTGGTGAGTTCCTTAGAGGAAATCTGTTGTTGCCCTATAAGATAATGATTCATTCAAGAAAGTTTTGGTAGTGCTTACTTGGCTGTATCTACTGAAATAATAACAAAGACTAAAATTATTTTCCACAACATTAATGAAAGAAAAATATAACATGTTCATGATAAATGTGAATTATCCATATATTTAATTAACCATATTATTTTTCAACCCCAATGCCAGTGCAACACAATACTTTTATGGTAATTTATTTCTTCAATTTGAGAACTGAGGTGACATTATTTAAATGTTTATTTCTTCTAATCTGAGAACTCAGAAGAAATTCAAAGTAATTTTAATTTATCTAACAATTTACAGATTTGAAGTTCAAAGCAACACTGCTGTGTGTGGGATTTCCAGGTTTGTAAATATTAAGACAGGATTTAGAAATGTCTGTCTTCTAACACTCGATCTTTTAATAATACTGATATCCCAGATTCTCTGGGTCTTTTCTGTGAGCCAGGCACTTTGCTAGATGCTTTATAGAAAATATCTCATTTAATCCGCACTCAAATGTAACCCTTATATAGCAGAATAAACTGAAGGATGTAGAGAGAAATCCTTTACTGCCATTCTTAGAACTATAAGACGTGGCTCAGGCTTTGCACTAAGTGAGTATGAGTTTAGAGTTCACAGACCTGAAGCCGTGGCAATTGATGATGGATATCCCAGTGCTCCAAATGTTCTTCATTTTAATGGCACCTCTGAAATGTGAAAATTCACCAAGGTTTTTTTTTTTTTTTAACTCATTGAGCCATTGCTCATTTCCATTTGTTACTCTCACATTATCTATATTATCATGTGAGTGGATAGTGTTACAATTCTTAATAAGATGACTTACAGTCATTTTACTTACAGTCAATTTTACATATAAAGTACTACACAATCTGTCCTGGAGTCATTATAAGGTTTGCATAATATTACACTGCATATACAGTATCCACAGTGTGCTGAACAACCCAGAAGGCATTCATTTTGATTTTTGTTTGTTTATTTTTAATTTGTTCAATATCTTTATTTTGGACTCAATCTTTGGCCACAGACGTGTTCCAGTTGAACATTATTCCTCACGCACTCAGACCTTCTGTTTCCTTTCTTCCAATTTCTCCCCACAGTTTTTTAGTCCACTTAGCCTCTTTATTCCTCATGCCCAGAAGGCCAACCCACTGTGTCTAACATCTCTCATGTGCGATTCAACATGATTCGTATTTCACATATTGTCAAGTTTGGAGGGGCAGGGATGATAGGAATTCTAAGAGTGAAATATGTAAAAGAAGGGAAGAAGCCTCTGAGAATGGTCTCAGCTTTGGTTGGGCCAGCTAAGAATGATGATAAAAATCAGTCACTGCAAAGACTAAGCTCCACTTAGTATATATCATGCATTGTATTATGCTAAAAGGGTCTTACATGGAATCATAGAAGTTCCCTTCCTATTCTAGTCCTTGCCATGCAGCCTTTTACTGTAGCCTCTAGGAGAGGGTAGAGTGGAGAAAAATATGTCTTAGCACACAAGCACCGAGAGTAAAGTTTACAACCTGAAATACATGCTCTTCAGATATCCTGTTCAGATGCTAAAGGCATGATAAGCTGATGAAGCCAGAAAAATGAGCTCTAGAATTTATTTATTATTTTTGTTTGGATCCAGGAGGCCTTCAGCCTCCTTCATTTTTTGATTTCTTTATAAAAACAACACCAGGCAGACATATATCTTACAATGAGCTCATAGCATTATCTTCTTGTGTAAAAAACAGCATGCTCATGTTGCTTGTTTTTCTCAATCATTGTCACAATAAGTGGCATCTACTTTTCTGTTATATCACATATAGTCATCAGTATTTCATTTACAAAGGAAAATACTTCATTAATTCTTATGTTACCATTGTTCAACCAGGATATGCCCTCAGTATGATGCATAGATGGTTTCAGAAGTCTGGATAATAAATTATCTCAGGTATTTTCTCTGAGAACTGTAGCAATGCTGGAGTCCCTAGCCATAAGGGTTTATTGCTGTTGCTGTTTCTGATTACCTTGTTTTTTGATTCTGATAAGCTGCATGCAGCTTTCACTTGCTTTCCCCATCACATCTCATTCAGTACCCTATTGTATTAGACCCTTATAATCCCATTCTGGCCTGCCTCTCTTTCTTTTCTTTCTTCCTTCCTTTTCTTCCTTTCTCCCTCCCTCCCTCCCTCCCCCCCTTCCTTCTTCCTTCCTTCTCTCTTTTATCTTTCTCTCTCCTTCTTATCTTTCTCTCCATCTTTCTTCTCTTTCTCTTTGGTTCTCTCTTTCTTCTTTTCTTTTTCTCTCTTTCTCTCTTCCTTCCTTATCTCCCTCTTTCTTCTCTCTTTCTCCTTCCTTCCCTCTTTCCCTCCCTCTCTTTCTTTCTTCTCATTCTCTCTCTGTTCTCTCTCTCTCCCCCTCCCTCTCTCTCTCTCTCTCCTCTGTTCAATCATTCCCCTCTGCCAAGCAACTGTAAGCAAACTTCCTAAAAACTAGAATTTTCCTCTGAGATATCAATTTGTCCTTTGCAAAAACTTTCTTCTCTGCCACACACAGAGTGATTTCTTGCAATGGATACAGTCCTCTGCAGCTTGACAAGGTCTTTCCTCAGGAGACTTCACTTTCATGAAGTTCTTCCATTCTGTTTGAAAATCTTCTTGACTTTTGCCTTCTTGATATATAGAAGACAAATTTCTGACTTGGTAATCAAAAGTTTTTAAGGCAAATATGGTGGTAAAATTCTTTCTGTGGTAGACAATTCTATGTATTCATCTAATCCTCTGAGTACCACCTACCAACAATAGGGTAGGATTCAGCTATTTTTGTATGACGTGATCCCACCCTTAGTTGACCACTGATGATTGGACCAGGCACCAAAACAGGATGGAGTAATCTGTTTAGAAGTTAGGCCTGGGCAGTGCGACTCAAGAAACTGATCATTAAGTACAGAGAGATTCAAGAGAACTAAATTAATAGTATATTTCTGAGTTCCAGCATCAATTTCTATGTTAAGTAACACAGTGTTTTATCTTTCCTAAACATCAATGTTCTTGTCTATAAAATGAGGCTGAACTAGATGTTGCCAAAGGTCTCTTGCTTGAGTTTATATGAATCCATTTTTTGTTGTGTTTTTTTTGTTTTGTTTTAGGTTATCTTTTCCAGAAATTATTTATTGAGCCTTCATAACCAGTCTAGGCACTCCTCTCTGCTGCCACGGTACCTTGTACAAAGCTCTAGTATTGTAATTTTCTGTTTAAGGTGGAATGCCACCATTAACCTATGAGTTTACTGAGACTGAGGACTTTGGAGGTAGCACACAGAGGAATAGTATTTTTAAGTAAACAATTAATCTCTTAATGATTACATACGCAGAAATATTGGGCTCTTAAACATAATTTATATTAAAATTACAGATAATTCTGCTTTGACCAGAGTTCTCTCTCTTCTCTGAAATATCTGCAATGTACTACAAGACTACAAGAACTTTACCAAAAGCAGATGTTGTAAAGTAAGATGAAGCCATCATTTGGACATGTGGAATGTCCAAAATTCTCTGTCACTTTTTGGCAGCTGGGACCATATATCTGCTTTGAGGTCTCGATTCAGAGACATGGACTCTTGTCAGCAGGAATATATTATAAATAGTTTATTTAAATCTCAAGATCACAGAGAATATTCAAACTTGTATTTAGAGTTTAATATGGATAACTACCAGTTCTGTTATTCTATTTTTAACTCTGATAAGATTGGCAAATAGTGTGTATTAGATCATATTAAGCTGTATTTAATGTTATGAAAACTGTTTTATATGTTTCATGTGGATAGCATATATTTTTGGATGGTAAAGTATGTTAAATTTTGGTACATTATTATTAGTGTTTTCAAGTCATATTTGAAGCCATACTTTCAAATTCTAGCTGTGGCCAAAATAAACTAATAAAAAGCACAATATGATTTTACTAATTAAAAAATTTTTGCTTAAGTAGTTAAAACCATGACTAAATGGTAGCCATGAATATAACCGTTTAAGCAAGATACTGTCAATTAATACTTTACAATTACACTTGAAAAAATACCAGAATTCTGTAGAATATTTCCAGTTTTGCCTAGATACACACCAAAATTAATTTTTCATCATATAAATATTCTATTACAACCACTTCTATAAAGCAAATAGAGTAATACTTCTAAGGATGCAGAAAATCCTGAAAATTACCATTAAATTCCTGTTTAAGTGATAAGTGGCAAATCCACCCAGTTAGATGAAGTTTCATCCCTCCTGGAGATATCCTATAATTGAACAATAGAGATCTGGATGTTGAGAGGTTTGACAAATGATAAAACCTGGGAACAGACCCACGGACACACCTCAGTGGAAAAAAAAAATTATCAAGACATTTTATGAGCTATGGGAAGACTTGAAGACATTTCAAAGTATTAGAGAGAGACAAGTTATTGAGAAAATAATCATTAATTTTCCCCCTTTTTACCTTTTCTGTGTAACCCTGTTTTCTTCTACCTCCCTGTCTTTCTTTTTTCCCTGTTCTCTCTTTCTACTTCTTAAAACATGCCCATTTTCATCACAGGAATGCTTGAGTTTAGAGGACTAAGGTGATCTTCTAAGCTCTGGGATTCCAAATTCCTCAAAATTGAAGTCCTTTTTTATAAGACAATAAGTGGTGTCTATGCTGAACATTTGAAACAACTATCACATATGATTCATTTGTCCTTCAGCTAAAATTCATCTTATATGTGTCTAAAACAACGTATCCTAAAATGGAATGTTGCAAAGAAGACAATCCGTTTCCTGAATTATTTCAGTCTTCAAATGTCTAATTCAACTAAAGATGTTCAATGACATTGATTAGAAACATACGGAAGACTTTAGATAACATTATAAATCTAGATAAATATAAATAAATGGCACAAAATACTTTTGATTTCTAACATAGATGTTTTGATTTATTGCATTTCATCATAGAATTTTGACTTAAACCTTAGAATCTGTGGGATCTTTGCAAAAGTACTTCATTTCTGAGCTACACACTTGAAATCTAATGTTCCTTACTACCAAAAGAATCAATGTAGATGGGCTTCTCCAAATATATCTCTCTTGTCATTTCTATTCTACATTAATACTCTTCATTGGGCTTCACCATTATGAAGATAAATTTTGAACTTTTTGTGTGACCTACCATGCCTTCTCTATTGTAGGACCTGGGAGCTTTTCTAACAATGTCTCATTTTGCTGCCTTCTTCAACTAGATCCTCCTTGGTAAAGAGAGGTGTACCTAGTGTGCATTTTGACCAAATATGAAAATTTGGGTATTGACATCGATATGCAGGCAAAACCAAGGGGAAAGTCAAATATCATCATCATGGATAGAATTAAATGCTGTACTACCAAAATAATCTTAAATTGTCACAATTAATTATAGCAGTTTTATCAAAATGTTAACAGACACATTTTTAAAATTCCACATTGTTATTCAAAAACAATAATTTATTAGCATGATCAGGTACTGAATTATTTCTGTGGTTATTATACTACGCACTTCCAATATTAACTAGACATTCATTTTCCTTTGAGGCTGGAGCAAAAATAAACTTTTTGTTCTGGCTCCCCACCATAGGATACTAGATTGTTGTGAAGAAGGCATTATGCCATTTTTTTCTCTCTGAGATGACTGAGGTATAATCTTGTCACCCTTTTAATTTCTGGACTGGAAAATGGGATTGATGATGGGACCTTTCACTGATGTGATCTCAAAAGTGAGGCTTAATATATCAGGTGACAAAATAATTTTCAGGAATTTTCAGGAGCATGCCTATTATATCATCTTCATTCAACATTTCATTTTGCTTTGTTTTAATTTCTAATACTTTTTTCATGAATTCAAATAATTCTACACAAGCCTATGGGGAAATGTCCTGATACAAGAGGCAAGAAGTATGGTCTTGGAGCAGTGATTGGTTTCAAGATAACAAAACAATATGCTAACCTCCACTTGTGAAACTGTTCCTATAAACTATAAAATTAATGAAGGAAGAAGGGAGGGAAAAAAATAAAAATAAAGTAAGCTTGCAGCATATTCGGCATTAATCATGGGTCAGCTTACTCTTTGCCTCATAGTCGTTTGCTGCCTATTGCTGCAGAATCAGGTAAACCCTGTCACAAATTATAGTTTCTCTTAACTATTAAATAGGTGCCATTTTAAGCATCAGGAAACATTAAGTTTCCCATTTGAGATATTCTTTCAGGTCTCACCTATAGGCGAAACTACTGATACAAGCTGGTCTGAAGGACCCCAGGAGGAGCTGATTCACCAAAGAATGCAGTTTGCACATCCTAATGATTTCATCCCGTTTACGCTCAAAAATCAATGACTCCAATTTTCCAGCCCCTCACTTTCAATGATGCTCTTAAAATCCCCAGCCCAGAACTCCTCAGATAGATGGATTTGAGGGCTCCTCCTGTCTTCTTGCTCAGCTTTCCTGCAATCATTAAAGTCTTTCTCTGCTGCAAACCCTACTGTCTCAATGTATTTGTTTATTACTGTGTAGTGGGCATAGGAAGGTGGTGGTCCTAAAACACTTGCATCTCAGCACCATATCATGTACACTTACCTGTGCCTTTGTATAGACTGATAGCAACAGTTTTAGAGTACAAATAAAAAAAATACATACTGTAGAGTCATATTAGTTCTGGATACTTAGAAAGTAGTACTTTATCTTCAATTAACTATTAGTAGTAAACAATATTGAGAACATTAGAATAGAATATACACGCTTCTATCTCTTTTGAATGTCATGTAGTTCTTTGGCTATAGAAAAAATATGTAGAAAGTAGTTGCTTCTCTTTCTACTCATAATCATTAATTCAGTTTTATATAAGCTGTTCTATAATTATTTTCTGAGCATTCAACTCAAGAATATGCATACAACTTTGTAAGCTACTGATCACTAAATTATTCATAGCCAATAACAACATGAGACTTTTGTATTGATTTTTTGTTGCATTCATGCCCTTGAATCGGATTCATTCATTCTCTCATTAGCTCTGGGAAATTCAGTAGTCATCTGTCTCTCAGTAAGTAAGTAAAGCAGAAAGAATGTTGGATTTATCATTAGACCACCAAGTTCTCAAGATAAAATAAAATATAATCTGTTTTCCTACACAAGTACAAATATTTGATGTGTGATGTAAAGAAGTATTACTTTATACACAAAAGGAAAATGTGTCAGGAAGGAAGTATGTGATTTCCAAGTTAAGGCTTTAAGAGGTATGTCTCTCTCAACCCCCATCATTCTGTCTCTCTCCTTTCCCTGGCTGGAGGCAAATAATGACATATCTCTAGGGAAATGGGGAAGCCAAGCTATGGAAAGTCTGGGCAGCTGAACCACCATCTGGAGGAAAGCCATCTGCTGCCATAGAACACCCTCTGTGAATCAGCACATGAGCAAAAACAAACTGTAATTGCAATTCTATTGTCACCACCCATTTGAGGTTATTTGGTTACACAGTCCAGTGCTCTCTCCCTCTCTGCACCCCCCACCACACACAGAGACACGCACACACACACACAAACACATAGTGATCCATCTTCTGTAACAGTGTTTTAATATTTTTATATTCTTTGTGTTTAAGGCTGAATTAAATATACTTATCTTTTTTTAATTAATTTATTTTTTTGAGACGGATTCTCCCTTTATTGACTAGGCTAGAGTGCAGTGGTGTGATCTCAGCTCACTGCAGCCTCTGCCTCCCGGGTTCAAGCAATTCTCCTGCTTCAGCCTTCTGAGTAGCTGGAATTACAGGTGCACGCCACCATGCCCAGCTAAGTTTTGTACTTTTAGTAGAGACGAGGTTTCACTATGTTGGCCAGGCTGGTGTTGAACTCCTGACCTCATGATCCACCCACCTTGGCCTCCCAAAATACTGGGATGAGCCACCGCACCAGGCCTAATTTTTGTAGTTTTAGTAGAGATACGGTTTCCCTATATGCTTATTTTGATATTGTATATGAACTTAGAGTTTTTCTTTTCATGACATTTTTAGGTGACAATGTTGAAATAGTGTTAAATCGTCCTCTCAAGAGGAAAAGAACTCTCAATTCCCAAATAGAATTTTTTTCTTAAAAGTGTTTTGACTCAGTAAAATTAAATGACAAAACACTTAAAAGTTATATTTAATGTTGTAAATGCTAGAACAATAAACACTTTTGTTTGTTACTGGAAAAGTGTCCCGATCCAGACCCCGAGAGAGTTCTAGAGCAGATAGGGTAACTCCCTGATGTTGCCATTGCATTTGTAGACTGTCACATTGCTGGTGAGAATGTATTTTAGCATGCTAATGCATTATGATTAGTGTATAATGAGCAGTGAGGACGAACAGAGGTCACCTTCGTCACCACCTTGGTTTTGGCGGGTTTTGGCTGGCCTCTTTACCACAACCTGTTTTATCAGCAAGGTCTTTGTGACCTGCATCTTGTGCCGACATTCTATCTCACCCTGTGACCTAGAAGGTCTAACCTTCTGGGAATGTAATCCAGTAGGTCTCAGCCTCATTTTACCTAGCCTCTATTCAAAATGGAGTTGCTGTGATTCAGACACCTCTGACATGTTGATGCTAGAACTTTGATGCACTCTGATCTCCATCAATCATTATAACTTAAAATTATTTAAACATAGTTAACTCCACGAGGATATATTGATCTTCCAAAAATTATTCTGCTGGGATAAATTCTCGGAAGTTATACTATTCTTTAAAGTATATAGTTGTATAGTTAATCAACAATCTTAATCACTGGAGCATTTAACTTTTGCAATAATAGACAGATGTTTATATTTTACCTCCTATTATTTTTGAAGAAAATGTAGTTAAACAGATTTTTTTCCTAAATATATCCAGAATGTTAATATATATTAGAAACATTGGGGTATTAACTCTAAACCCAAGTGAGGTGCTTTGATTGTATTACTCGAGGTTATTGAACTGATTGATAAGAATTAGAAATGCAATCACAGCGTTATTGCTCACACATGAGTTTAGGCATGCAGGAAATGACATTGGTGTGGGTCTCTGACAGATTTTCCGTACAAAGTCTGAAGTCAACACTGAGTGGCAGGTTTTTGCCAAATGCTAAAAATGAAGCTTAACACTTTGATAAATTATTACTCCTTCCATTATGTTGTATAACACCTTAAATCTCACCGACTTTGCACACATTGTTCCTTCTCCCTTCATTCACATCGTGTGTCTGATAAACCTGTCTTTTTAAATGCAGTTGAACCATCTTCTCTTTTCAAGAAATTTACTTTGAATGGCACTTCTCAATCTCTCAATCTATAATACTATGTAGCACACTTAATTTAATTATTTGGGGTGTAGGTGTGTGTGTATACTACAGTAGGTCAGTAAATATTTGTTGAATAATAGTGGAATAGTTTCTGTTTATTAGGCTTGAATACAACGACCATCAGGAAAAAAAAATTGCAGGCTTCTGGTTAGAGAGAAGAAAATGAGCCCATTTGTTGTCTTAGCTCAATCACTACTTTGTACTGAAATGCACATGTATATGCCTCAACAAGTGCTAATTTACAATATCAAGGAGAACTGAGCATTTTGTAGAAATGATAGGCTCATTGGTAGGTCTGAGGCATTTACTTGGCTTCTGGAAAGCAGGAAGCATGAGGGCAAATATTTACACATAAAAGAACAGAGGAAGCCTTGTAGCTTTGGGAAGAGCACAGTAACGGAGTTGGGGGAGTATTATACAAGCATTGCCTTACAGAGTCCCCAGCAGTAGAGCTCGCTGCTATGAGTAGGAGTGGAAATTTGGATATGCAGCAAAAAAATTTCCTGAAGAGCTAAGTGTGGTTCAGTTCTGGCACCAGTTCTCTGCACTGTTTATCTCTTTATCCCCTCCTGAGAGTGCTGATCACCGGGCATTTAACCCCTGGGTCCTGAGATTTAATAAGATAGATAAAAGCAACAAAATGTTTGATGTCTCTAGAGTTAGCTGGGACTGTTTCAGTTTCTGTGCCTCATTCTGGCATTTGGAAGAGGCCCTGGATGGTTTTGGCCTTCATCATCTAAAGTAATACTTAATGATCACCACTTTCTGTCTAGAAATAGTTATTTCTGCTCGTAGCAAACCCACCCAGTTAAGAGGCCAGCTCGGGAAATGGCTTTGCCTATTTCATAGCAGATGCTACTCAAGAGTAACTTAACCAACCAGGGCTGTCACAGTAAAATACAAAAGGACATCCCAGAAGCCAAGCCTATTTGAAGAAAATCCAGGGCATGCAAGAAAAAAAATCCAAGATGAGCAAACAAACAAACAAAAATAGAGCAAAAATGCTAGAATGTTTAAATATCTCTAGAAAAATGGAGTAAATCTACAAGACAAGAATAGACAAATAGAAGAGAAACAATAAAGTATTTTGACTGGCAAAATTACAGGGAAAAATTGATATGCCAAAGAATACAATTGAACTATTACAGACAGGTAAAAGATGTATAAGAAAAACAACACAGTAGCTAACATCTTAGTTACAGCATTTAAAAAAGGAAGGAAGAAAAGAAGGGAAGAAAATAAGGCAATAATAAAAGAAAATGCAACAGAACTAAAGTAAGGTAAAAAGTCTTCAGATCCAAAGGACCCATTTAAGAGCAAACATTCTGAATGCAGACAGACATGCATGTGGAGTTTCATAAACTGAGGTTAAATACAGTAAAATTCTGAAAAAAAGATTAAGACAATATATTCCCAGTGAAAGGTATCCGAGTTACCAGCAGTGAATTCATACGGCTCTGAAGCAACCTCAATTCTTGCCTGCTCAGAAGAAAAAATTTGGCTGAGGGGCCTAAGAAAGAAAAAGAGACGAGGCAAGTTTCAGAGCAGGAGTGGACGTTTACTAAAAAATTTTAGAGCAGGAAAGAAAGGAAAATGCACTTGGAAGAGACCCAAGTGAGCACTAAGAAGGTCAGGTGCAACATTTAACTGTGATCCTAGGATTTTATAAGCTGGCCCACTTCCAACATCTTGCACTCCTTTCATCCTTCCCTTAGGGTTGGCTGCCTGCATGCACAGTGCCTTCTTTACCCTTGGGAAGTGAGCATGCACAGTGTGTTTGGGAAGCTGTATGCAGCCTATATGAGACTTTCTTCCCTTTTCCAGTGGAGTGCCCCAGAAGGTCATACTCCACCATTCTGTCACTTAATTCACATGCGCAAGAAGTTGCATCTCTCTGGTGACTGCATTCAATTAACACGTTAGTGTGACAGGTGTGGACGGTCAGGAAATGACCTCTCTCTGGCACCAGCTGCCAGTTTATTATGTTTAGAGAGGCAATATGATAATTGCTGAACCATCACCCAACATTCTTGATGGTGAGGGAGAGCTCTCTCCTGCCCTGCTCATGCCTGTCTAACTACCTGCAACAAGTTTACATACAAAGGAAATGGAGCCATAATGGAATCTGAATAACTGTCATTAAACTGGATATACTAGGAATAAAAAGATTATAAAGAGGCCGGGCACCGTGGCTCAAGCCTGCAATCCCAGCAGTTTGGGAGGCCACTGCAGGCGGGTCACAAGGTAAAGAAATCTAGACCATCCTGGCCAACATGGTGAAATCTCATCTCTACTAAAAATACAAAAATTAGCTGGGTGTGGTGGCACATGACTGTAGTCCCAGCTTCTCGTGAGGCTGAGGCAGGAGAATCGCTTGAATCCGGGAGGCAGAGGTTGCAGTGAGCCCAGATTGCGCCATTGCACTCCAGCCTGGTGATAGAGTGAGATTCTGTCAAAAAAAAAAAAGACTATAAAGAAATATTTTGAAACAAAAATGATTTTGAATCAAAAAAAGTAAACTATTTTGAAGATAAAATAATGATTTTATGTATGGGTAGGTAAGGGTAGGCAAAAAACTTATTTTTAAAATACATTTTTGTGGGAAAAATAATCTTACATTTATAAGGAGAAAAAAATCCTATAGAATTACAAGAACGAGAAGGCATGGAATTAAATAAATCAAGAAGCTACACGAGGTTCTCTAGCTGTGCATCCTGGTGGTTGGGAGCAGAAAGTCATGGACTCTAGAAAATATGTTTTTCCAAGAAAGCAAGTTTCACTCAATAGATAGTTTAATTTTGATGACAGAGAATCTATGCTACATTAAAAGGTATAAACTGAGAAGAAAAATAGGAAGGCAATTTAAAACACAATGAAATGCAAAACGAAATACAACACGGAATTATTTTGAATTTCTAAAACATAAGAATCCATGAAAGTTTTGTTTTCTCTGAGTGATTCGTTTACAAACAACATTGACTTTTTTTTCTACATAAGTTTATTCAGACTTGGACAGAATACTATATTCAGTTTTCAAAATCAATCTATGGTCAAACATTAAAACATTTAACTTTTGACAAAAATGTAAAATAATTTATAGTAAGTAGAAATTAGAAGGTGTAAAGAGGGAGAGAAATAGAACCAAGTTCTGGCTGCTAATTTCTTTATCTTAAATAGTGAAGAGTCAAGAAATACTACTCAAAGTAGTGAAATAATCAAGATACACACATATTACTAAAAGACATAATGGTGACATTTAAAAGTCCTACAAGTAAAAGTATAAATATATAAATGGGGAGCATATTCGAGAAGAAAATGTCAGGGAAAGGGAAAATGAGCTAATTCAGTATGATTCATTATTGAGACTCAATAAATAGTCTTTACTTTTGAAAAATCAAGAAATGAATGTAAAAGCATATTACATATACCTTAGAGTTACAGAGTTGCCCCTCCTTAAAAAGAAACCAAAAAACATAACAAAGCAAAAGTCATCAAAGGTAAGTGTCTCTGGGCGGTGAAGTACATTTGGCCCGTAACATGTTTAAACTTTATATCAAGCTTTTCTACTGTGTGCATATTCTCCTTCGTGAATTAAAAAGCATCATTTGTCTGAAACTATTCTACATCTTTTGGTCTCAACCATTTTCTTAGCACACTTCCTGCTTTATCCACTAGGTATTTAGGGTATATAATGATTTGGGGTCATTAAAGAAATTGCAGATGATTAGTAAACACCTGAATTTAGCAAATGTTTTACAACAATAAAGAGCAAATTAAATACAAACCCTTGTGCTGAGCTATCATCAAAGGCCAAGCATTTCAATGATATTTTTCTTAATTTTAAAAATAATCCTGCCTAGTATAGCCATTTTACAGATGGCAAAACAGACTCAGAGACTGAAAATGACTTTCACAAAACCACAGGCTCCATTTGCTAGTTTTATTTCCCCCGCCCGCCCCTTGCTACTGTTTTTTTACTTTAAGGTTCATAACTGAGACGTTAACTTGCAGAATTTCTTTGGGAAATAGTCTCATATCCACAATGAGACCGAGAAAGATAAAGATTTCATGGATTCTTATGTTTTGGAAATTCAAAATTTTATATATATATATATCTCCCATATATATCCTCCGATATATATATATATCGGAATATATATATATATATCCCACAATCTGGGCTGAATTAAATTAAAGGGTTCACACAACTTGCAACATGTGTTCTCTGCGGATGATATGAGAGATCTGGAGGAGACATCCCAGCAGTCCAACATGCACTGGGGAAATAAATGGTGGCACCACCCAGCCCCATTCTGCGTGAGTTACAGTAATTTATTAATAGACATGACATCTTGAAGGGTTTCAGCTGAGGTTCCTGACAGAGAAGTTTCATGCGTTGGATGCCAAAATATACTATTTTGTTTTTATACTTTATGTTTTGCATTTGGCATTATCTAAAATATTTAAACAAAGCTACTAGCTAGTTGGAGTATATTCAAGAAATTTGCTCAGAGAATATCACAATTAGAAATCATAAGCCAGCTCAAAACAGAGGATGCTTTTTGATTACTATATTTGCATGAATTGATGCAGTGGATCTCTGTTAAAATAACTGACAATTTTCAACTGCACCTAAAAGCTCATGCTCCAAGAGACAGAATGAGTTAAGTAATTTGTAAAGCCCAGTGCAAAATTAAATTGTGAAGTTACTTTTTAAAAAATGATTAAGAATTTCAAGAGAGTGACTACAGAGCATTAAACAACGTGTGGAACTCTTCCACGTGTGGGGTTCCCTTTTATGGCACCCACAGGTCCTGTGTCCTTGGGGAGCTGACCCTGCCTAGTTAGTCAGCTTGGGAGATGCCTGTGATGGTGATTCAATTGCTAAAAGAGGGCAGGCAGTACCAAGGCTGTGTGTTCCTGCATCTGATGCTAAATGCTTCTGTCTATCTGTCCCAAGCTCTCTGTGGATTTATCAGATCTTTTAATGCTAAACTTTCTGAGCAATATATCACTCAAACCACCTTTGGTAATGCCCTACACCAGTAATTTTCCTTCCTATATTAGAAATTGTCTACAATGTTCAGGACAGCCTTTTGGTAGAGACACTTCTGCTCTACTCTGATTTTTGTCTTTTCTCTTTCTCTCGTGTATTCTGAAAATCACCCCTTCCTTTTGTAATCAGTGACTTCCCTATACATTTGTTGGTATTGGTCTTTCTTTGACATTTATGTAAAGCAGGTACCTAGATTATATAAATTTGTTGCCCCACAATGTGGATCCACTTATTATTTTTCTTATTTATTATAGAGATACAGAAATTCCAGCGAGACCTACATTCTCCCAGGTAGAACGAAATCTCAATTGTTACTCTGATGTTCTTTGCTGCCTCACTCTACATTGCTTTGATTGTACTGATGTGAACACTAAGACACAATAAGGGTAAGTCACTCAGCAGAATCCTACAGTGCCTTAAGGTAATGTTGTTGGTCAGCCCATGGTCTCTGGCCACCAGTCCTGTGACCTTCCCTTCCCCAGACTTGTCTGTCTACTCTAATTCTTGTTAATGCAATAAATGAACTCTGTGCAAGATTTTTTTTATTTTTGGAGACTGAGTCTTGCTCTGTCACCCAGGCTGGAGTGCAGTGGCGCTATCTCGGCTCACTGCAAGCTCCGCTTCCCGGGTTCATGCCATTCTCCTGCCTCAGCCTCCCCCCGAGTAGCTGGGACTACAAGCGCCCGCCACCATGCCTGGCTAATTTTTTGTATTTTTAGTTGAGATGGGGTTTTGCTGTGTTAGCCAGGCCGGTCTCGATCTCCTGACCTTGTGATCCGCCCGCCTTGGCCTCCCAAAGTGCTGGGATTACAGGCGTGAGCCACTGCGCCTGGCCCCAGCAAGATTTGAATGTACGCTGTAAAGGCCCATTTCTGAAATTCTTCCTTTCTTTCTTTTTCTCCAGGCCTAGTAAAATAATCTTCCAATCTTCAATTTCATCTTCTGTGAAAAGTAGTTTAACTCAATAGGTTGGAAACAGTGCTATGAGCCTCTTGATAGAAATGACATGAAAAACATCATGAGATGTTCTGACAAATCTGCTGCATGAATATGATGATTTCAAATAATAATTATGTTCATTAATTCTTATAATTTTTATGCCATGGTCTTATATTCTAATATTCTTTCTCATGCCAGGCACCATTCAAAAGGTTTTATATATGCCAACCTATATAGTCCTCACAACAACCCTAAAAAATAGTATACTTACTCTCCCCTTTTTAAAGATGAATAAATGGAAAATTAACTAACTTGCTCAGGTGCTGATAATCCCAATACTACACCCATCTCCTTGTCATGAATTCACTAATCGTTTTGATATGACATAAGTCTTCAATTCCCCTATAAATGCAATTTTCCTGTTCTTGATTTGATTTAAAACACCTCTAGAATCCTTTCTATGTCTAAAATTACAGTGTTGGAGAAGAAACTATCAGCTGTAAACGACATTCAGATAATTCCCATTAACTATCAACTATGTAATTTTGTGTTATTTTTACATCACTCTTGTACTTTTTTTGCTTAAAAAATTAAATGATTGCATACAAAATGAGACAATTTTGTTCTTATTTAATCCTTACTGTGAATACAGGCACAACAATTACATTATTTTGAAGCTATTGATTGCTCTTTAAATGTCCTGCTTCTGTAATGAGGATCTGCTGTAATCCACCACATTCTAAATCTTCCCCTCAATAACCGTTATGGCTTTAGTTTTCTGTTGTTTTCTGTTGTTCACCTTTAAAAACAATAGTGCCTCACAAGATTTGAAATGTTCAGATAAAGCA
This sequence comes from Homo sapiens, assembly GCF_000001405.40. NCBI lineage: Eukaryota > Metazoa > Chordata > Mammalia > Primates > Hominidae > Homo > Homo sapiens. The sequence continues at coordinate 86,305,154 of NC_000014.9, forward strand.
TTGTTTATTTGAGTGTTCTTGTTAAAGAACCCTGACTCAAAGTAAAATGTGTTTCACTAAGTTCCTTTAAGGATGGTTGTTTATATTGCTCATTCAACCCTCAAAAAATTTCTCTGTGGGGTGACACTGCATAAATTAAACAGTGCTGATTTATGCTATAATTAGTTATCTGATGCAATATCTTAAAATAATGTCTCAGAAAAAAATTGCCTTGTCTTTTAAAAAAAATTGGTTTAAGTAGTCTTAATACTTAAACTCAAGTTAGGCTGGTCTCAAGCTCCTGACCTCAGGTGATCTGCCCGCCTCCCCAAAGTGCTGGGATTGCAGGCATGAGTCAACACACCTAGCCTCAATTTTCTAAAATAAATTCTCAGCAATTTTAAAGCAATATAAAATATATTTGTAGCTTGTGCTCTTCTTTAGAATTGCCTCCTAGGAAGAGAGAGAATGGCAAACCAGAAATAAATGATGATGAAGGCTCTAGAACTTACAGAATTTTAAAGCGCATTAGCATCCAGTTTTTATTGTTATTATCAAGGATTTATTCCCATAATTATGATACAACAAAGATAGATTATAATTAGTAATATACAAAACAGTGATTACTGAAAACTATGGAGATATAGCAGAAGTTAGAAAAAATTTTAATTCACAAGGTTCATAAAGGTTTTGATGGAATTAAAAATATAATGCCTAGGCCGGGCACGGTGGCTCACACCTGTAATCCCAGCACTTTGAGAGGCCGAGGCGGGCGGATGAGGAGGTCAGGAGATCGAGACCATCCTGGCTAACACGGTGAAGCCCCCGTCTCCACTAAAAATACAAAAAATTAGCAGGGCATGGTGGCGGGCGTCTGTAGTCCCAGCTATTTGGGAGGCTGAGGCAGGAGAATGGCGTGAACCCGGGAGGCGGAGCTTGTAGTGGGCCAAGATCGCGCCACTGCACTCCAGCCTGGGCGACAGAGCGAGGCTCCGTCTCAAAAAAAAATATATATATATATATAATATACTATATATATTAAATATATATTTTATATATATTATATATAAAATATATATTTAATATATATAGTATATTATATATATATTTATATATTTTTATATATATAATTTATATATATATAATTTATATATATATAATTTATATACATATATAATTTATATATATATATATATATAATGCTTAACAGACTCCCTAGTTTTTCCATCCCCTCTAAAATCTCTAGCACCAAAGATAGCAGTGGTTTCTTAAAAAATCAATAATCACATTGGAACACAACAAAAGGAAATCTTATGTATAAGAACATTTTTTAAAATCCTGAGAGGCAGACGGCAGGTATGGTCCAAACTAAATAGGAAAATCTCAGCTCCAATGTACTAAGAAAGCATTGTTGCAAGGGGCTACCAGGAGAAAAAAGAGCTCTATGTCTGGTGGATGGATTCCAGTCATAAAAGTAGATCTACGTGTAAATTACAACGTAATTCATTGGGATATCATAAAAGGTGAAGTCACACCCTTGACACGTCTCTCAACACTCATACCCATGTGGTCTTGGGCTACTTGGAAATTGTGTCTGCCTCCTGACATGAGAAGCAGACAGTGGAAAGCGGGTCAGCACACTGAGTGACAGGCCATAGCAAATAAAAATGAGGAGCACTCCTACCTCAAAGATCGGGGGAAACAGCTTGCCGTTATGGACTGAGTGCTCATGCTCCCTACATTCATATGTTGAAATATTAATTCTAATGTGATGGTACTTGGAACTGGAGTCTTTGGGAGGTAATTAGTACAGAAGTTTGAAGCCTTAATGAATGGGATTAACACCCTTATAATAGAGATGACAGAGACATCTCTTTCTCTCTTTTTGCCTTGAGAGGATACAACAAGAAGTCTGCAGTCTGCAACCTGGATTCACCAAAACCCAACCATACTGCCACCCTAATCTCAGGCATCCAGCTTTCAGATTTTAAGAAATAAATTTCCGTTGTTTTTAAGTTACCCAGTCTATAATACTTTGTTACAGTAGCCCAAACTGACTAAGACAATTGCCGGTGTTCACATTCTTCCCACTAAACTTTCTTTCTTTCTTTTTTTTTTTTTGACAGAGTCTTGTTCTATTGTCCAGGCTGAAGTGCAGTGGCGTGATCTCAGCTCACTGCAAACTCCACCTCTCTGGTTCAACCGATTCTTCTGCCTCAGCCTCCCAAGGAGCTGGGATTACAGGTGCCCACCATCACACCCGGCTAATTTTTGTATTTTTTTTAGTAGAGACAGGGTTTCACCATGTTGGTCAGGTTGGTCTCGAACTCCTGACCTCAAGTGATCTGCCAGTCTTGTCCTTCCTAAGTGCTGGGATTATAGGTGTGAGCCACCGTGCCAGGCCTCTTCCCACTAATCTTTTTATAAAGAATACAAGCACCAGAATATAAGCAGCTCTACCTTCATAACTCCTCATCACAAACATATACTCTGGGCCTGGCGATTCGGCATTTGATGTAATGAGAACTTTAGCTATAAAGATGAATACACAGCCAGAAATTACCGAACATTTAAGGAAAGCTCATGCTGTGAAAACCAAAGAAAATTAATGTAAAAACACTCATGTGAGGTAACATAGTAAATAGGGAAAATATAACATCTTAAATGGGAAAGGATATTGGGTTCATACAAAAGAATCCACTTGTGATTTAAAAAAAGACTTGAAGTTTGAGAATTGAAAAGCAGAATTAAAAATTCAGAAGAACCCATTGGAAATCTTTACAATCACTAAGAGAGACCAGAGATCTCTCTCACAAAATACGGCATAAAAGAATAGGTAAAAATGTGTCTATGATGTTCCAAGAGAAAATGAAGAGAAGGTTGAGAAGATGTATCCAACAATATTAAAGAATACAACTGATTGAATTGATCAAAGATCAAAGATATGAATCATCTTACAGGGTCTATCCAGTGTCGAGAATAATAAAACACAAACACATTTACACATATATATACTTATTAAACTCATTGTAATAAAACCTAAAACTACCAAAAGAGATACAGATTACTAAAAATTTCCAGAGACAGAGGGGCAGAACTCCTTTTTAATCATACAAATGAATGGGAGTTAGTTTGCTATTAGTCTTCTGTTACGGACTAAATGCGCTCCTAAGATTCCTATGTTGAAGTCTAAAGCTGACACTCCCAATCTGATGGAATTTGGAAGTAGGGTTTTTTGGAGATAATTAAGTTTAGATAAAGTCATGAGATTCAGGCGGGCCCCCATGATGGGATGAGATTAGTGTCCTTATAAGAAGAGAGGGCCGGGCGCGGTGGCTCATGCCTGTAATCCCAGCACTTTGGGAGGCCGAGGCAGACAGATCACGAGGTCAAGGGATCAAGACCATCCTGGCCAAGATGGTGAAGCCCTGTCTCTACTAAAAATACTAAAATTAGCTGGGTGTGGTGGCGCATGCCTGTAATCCCAGCTACTCAGGAGGCTGAGGCAGGAGAATCGCTTGAACCCGGGAGGCAGAGGTTGCAGTGAGCCGAGATTGCACCACTGCACTCCAGCCTGGTGACAGAGTGAGACTCCGTCAAAAAAAAAAAAAAAAAAAGAAGAGAAAGGGAGACCAGAGACAGAGATCTCTCTCCACCATGTGAGGACACAATGAGAAGGCAACTGTATGTAAACCAGGGAGAGGGACCTCACGAGAAGCCCACCATGCTGGCACAGATATCAGACTTTGAGCCTCAGGAACTGTGAGAATACACATTTCTGCTGTTTGAGCTACCCATCTATGATATTTTCTTATGGCAAGCCGAGCAGACTAAGACACCTTCTCATCCACAATATTCTTAGCATGAAGACAATAGAGCAACAGATTTAAATTTTTGAAAGAAAATAACTTTAAGTGTAATGATAACATCTACAAAGTTGGTAAAATGAAGACATTTCAAACATGTAAGGCTTCTAAGAGTTTACACCATGCAAATTCTATCTCAAAGTATTATTAAAGATAGACAAGCCGGGCACGGTGGTTCACACCTGTAATCCCAGCACTTGGGGAGGCCGAGGTGGGCAAATCACGAGGTCAGGAGTTCGAGACCAGCCTTACCAACATGGAGAAACCCCGTCTCTCTTAAAAACACAAAAATTAGCCAGGTGTGGTGGCGCACGCCTATAATCCCAGCTAGTCAAGAGGCTGAGGCAGGGGAATCACTTGAACCTGGGAAGCGGAGGTTGCAGGGAACTGAGATTGTGCCACTGCACTCCAGCCTGGGCAACAAGAGCGAAACTCCATTTCAAAAAAAAAAAGATAGATAGTGGGTATGGTTGCACTACACTGTGAATGAAATTAATGCTGCCAAATCATACAGTTAAAATGGGTTACAATAGAAGATGTTATATATATTTTTACCACATATAAAGTGTCATTTTAAGATCCATTCTAACAAGACAAAAACATGAAACTAGGAAGAAGGCAAGGAATGAAATTAAAAATGGTGAAAAATTATTGTGAAGATAATTAAAGGCACTAGTCTCAGGAAATATAGAGTAATACAACAAAAATTAAGAAAGATTAGAGGAGGTTAGAGAATTATGCCATAATTCAAAGCTACATGTAATGAACTCTTCACCCCTAAAACACACAGTGAACACTGTTTTCAAGCAGATCAAACACATAGAAATGATCATGTAGTGAACTACAAAGAAAAATACAATATTTCAAAACCGATGTTACGCTATGTTCAACGACTATCATGCAGTATATTTGGAGATCAATAATTTAAAGTAGCTAAATCTGTGTATATCTGGAAATTAACACGAACCTATGTACATATTTATAAGAGGATGAGATACCAGATATCTTTCATATATATGTATATATGTATTAGATATACATACACACGTACGTGTATATGTATTAGATATACGTGTATATGTATTAGATATACATATACACACGTGTGTATATATATGTATTAGATTAGGGTCGTAATATGTGTATATATATGTATTAGATTAGGGTGGCAGTATGGTTGGGTTCTGGTGAACCCAGTTTGCAGACTGCAGACTTCTTGTTGTATCCTCTCAAAGCATATATATACACACACACGTGTACATACACACATATACACGCACATACACACACATGTGTACATACACACATATACAGACATGTGTACATACACATACGTGTACACACACGTGTACATACATACACACATGTGTACATACACACATACACACGTGTACATGCACACATACACACACATACACATATATGTGTGTGTATACACACATATATATGTATATACGTATATACACACAGACACACACATACACACATGAAGTTCTAAATAATTTTTGGTTTAAAGAAAGAAAATTGGACATTGCAATTACTTTAAAAAAATGCTTTTTGTGAGCAAATAAAATTATGGAAAATATATAGCCTTCTGCTATCAATTAACAAAATTGTCTCAAAATAGAAAACCTGAATAGAAAAACTACAGGATACATTAAAACAGCAATAAAAGAAATCTATCTCCTAAAAGTAAATAGACACAGATGCTTCAAGTGATATCAAGCTCTCAAGGAACAAATAACTCCTACCTTATAAAAACTGTTTAGAACACAGAAAAAAAGTTGGAAGCTCTCCAAGTCATTTTGCAAAGGGATTTATAAGGACAGCTGTGCTGTTGTCTTGGAAGGACAACTTTGCTGTTGTCTTGGAACTTCAACAGAGACCAAGAAGCTGGACAATAGTTGCCAGACCATTGCTGCAGAACACACTGGGATATTGTGAACACTCATGAAAGTTTTAGCCTATCACCCAGCTAAAACCCTTAAAATTGCAGTTGGGTAAATTGATCAGAAGTATTCCCTAGTGAGAATTCCACTGGAGAGAGTTGGTATACTATGAATCCCCGCCCCTTTCCCAAAGAAGAAGGGCTTCAGAAGCCTGATATGGGCACCCTGAAGATTAGAGCACTTAGGAGACTGGAACTTGCTTCCAGAAATTAATGAGGCAATTATTCATGAGTTTCTCTGTGAGTTGAACAAATCCAAGTATGGAAGTGAAGCCTTAACCAGCCTGAAATTTATCCCTTTCAAGAAGGACATCTGGAGTGGTGAGGTACCTACAAGAGAAAGAGTCTGTATAAGAGGGATTGATGGAAGCCAGGAACTGTCAGTACATAAGAAGCCAGCCGGATGGAGGTATCTTCTGCATCAGATAACAACAGTGTGACATCTTGAATAATACAAATTTCCAAGAGTCGACAAAAGCATTGCATAAGAGAAAAAGCCAAAACCAGACATCTATCACACAGATGGCCCTGAAACCGGATGATAATGAGCCAAAGAGCCACATAAGACTTTGTTCTTTCTCTCTAATCCTTACTACTCCCTAATCCTAACACTGGAGGGACCCCAAAGGGAGGCCAACTGTAGAAAGAAGAGATAAAACAAAGAAAACATCAGGAGAAACTGGCCACTTTCCCTCTGTTTTGCTATCAAGCAACCGAGTGTAGCTTTGATATGAGGCTGAACTGAAAATACAACAGGCTATCTGCTACTACATAAAAGAAATTTGGTAAGTACGAGTTTTGCACAACAGTCACTCCTGAACCATCTTATAATTCTACCCTTACTGAGTCCTTCAATATACCAGGGACACTCCAAATCCTGATAGCCAAACAGTCAGAATAACACAAATCCTTAAAAAATTTTAAATTATTAAAAAAATTAAGAATCTCTTATAAGTAAAATAGTAATAAATCAAATGATAAAAGAATTGCCTATAGTAGCAAATTAAGATCCATCCCCAGTAATAAAAAAATTTTTTATAGCAAAGAACATGTGTATATTTTCTACCTATGTACATGCATTTTACCTATCTACTTGCATTCTACATGCATTACATTTAAGAATGTAATTTTCTGTATTGATAAGCCAAACGAGAAAATATGATCTCAGTAAATGCCAAGTCTTAGCTAAAGGTAAGCAGTTGTCTGCTAATTAAATACAAACAATATCTTAGCAACTATAAAATTAAGGGAAACATCCTTAATAGGACATACCTTTCGGTTCTGGCAGCCAAGATGGCCGAATAGGAACAGCTCCGGTCTACAGCTCCCAGCGTGAGCAACGCAGAAGACCGGTGATTTCTGCATTTCCATCTGAGGTACCAGGTTCATCTCACTAGAGAGTGCCAGACAGTGGGCGCAGGACAGAGGGTGCAGCGCACCGTGCGCAAGCCGAAGCAGGGCTAGGCATTGACTCACTGGGGAAGCACAAGGGGTCAGGGAGTTCCCTTTCCTAGTCAAAGAAAAGAGTGATAGATGGCACCTGGAAAACCGGGTCACTCCCACCCTAATACTGCGCTTTTCCGACGGGCTTAAAAAACGGTGCACCAGGAGACTATATCCCGCACCTGGCTCAGAGGGTCCTATCCCATGGAGTCTCGCTGATTGCTAGCACAGCAGTCTGAGATCAAACTGCAAGGCGGCAAGGAGGCTGGGGGAGGGGCGCCCGCCATTGCCCAGGCTTGATTAGGTAAACAAAGCAGCCGGGAAGCTCGAACTGGGTGGAGCCCACCACAGCTCCAGGAGGCCTGCCTGCCTGCCTCTGTAGGCTCCACCTCTGGGGGCAGGGCACAGACAAACAAAAAGACAGCAGTAACCTCTGCAGACTTAAATGTCCCTGTCCCTCAGCTTTGAAGAGAGCAGTGGTTCTCCCACCACGCAGCTGGAGATCTGAGAATGGGCAGACTGCCTCCTCAAGTGTGTCCCTGACCCCTGACCCCCGAGCAGCCTAACTGGGAGGCACTCCCCATTAGGGGCAGACTGACACGTCACACGGCCAGTTACTCCTCTGAGACAAAACTTCCAGAGGAACTATCAGACAGCAGCATTCGCGGTTCACGAAAATCCGCTCTTCTGCAGCCACCGCTGTTGATACCCAGGCAAACAGGGTCTGGAGTGGACCTCTAGCAAACTCCAACAGAACTGCAGCTGAGGGTCCTGTCTGTTAGAAGGAAAACTAACAAACAGAAAGGACATCCACACCAAAAACCCATCTGTACATCACCATCATCAAAGACCAAAAGTAGATAAAACCAGAAAGATGGGGAAAAAACAGAGCAGAAAAACTGGAAACTCTAAAAAGCAGAGCGCCTTTCATCCTCCAAAGCAATGCAGTTCCTCACCAGCAACGGAACAAAGCTGGACGGAGAATGACGAGTTGAGAGAAGAAGGCTTCAGACGATCAAACTACTCCGAGCTACAGGAGGAAATTCAAACCAAAGGCAAAGAAGTTAAAAACTTTGAAAAAAATTTAGAAGAATGTATAACTAGAATAACCAATACAGAGAAGTGCTTAAAGGAGCTGACTGAGCTGAAAGCCAAGGCTGGAGAACTACGTGAAGAATGCAAAAGCCTCAGGAGCCAATGCAATCAACTGGAAGAAAGGGTATCAGTGATGGAAGATGAAATGAATGAAATGAAGTGAGAAGGGAAGTTTACAGAAAAAAGAATAAAAAGAAATGAACAAAGCCTCCAAGAAATGTGGGACTACGTGAAAAGACCAAATCTACGTCTGATTGGTGTACCTGAAAGTGACAGGGAGAATGGAACCAAGTTGGAAAACACTCTACAGGAGAACCAGGAGAACTTCCCCAATCTAGCAAGGCAGGCCAACATTTAGATTCAGGAAATACAGAGAATGCCACAAAGATACTCCTCGAGAAGAGAAACTCCAAGACACATAATTGTCAGATTCACCAAAGTTAAAATAGAGGAAAAAATGTTAAGGGCAGCCAGAGAGAAAGGTCGGGTTACCCACAAAGGGAAGCCCATCAGACTAACAGTGGATCTCTTGGCAGAAACTCTACAAGCCAGAAGACAGTGGGGGCCAATATTCAACATTCTTCAAGAAAAGAATTTTCTACCCAGAATTTCATATCCAGCCAAACTAAGCTTCATAAGTAAAGGAGAAATAAAATACTTTACAGACAAGCAAATGCTGAGAGATTTTGTCACCACCAGGCCTGCACTAAAAGAGCTCCTGAAGGAAGCACTAAACATGGAAAGGAACAACCGGTACCAGCCACTGCAAAATCATGCCAAACTGTAAAGACCATCGAGGCTAGGAAGAAACTGCATCAACTAACGAGCAAAATAACCAGCTAACATCATAATGACAGGATCAAATTCACACATAACAATATTAACTTTAAATGTAAATGGACTACATGCTCCAATTAAAAGACACAGACTGGCAAACTGGATAAAGAGTCAAGACCCATCAGTGTGCTGTATTCAGGAAACCCATCTCACGTGCAAAGACCTACATAGGCTCAAAATAAAAGGATGGAGGAAGAACTACCAAGCAAATGGAAAACAAAAAAAGGCAGGGGTTGCAATCCTAGTCTCTGATAAAACAGACCTTAAACCAACAAAGATCAAAAGAGACAAAGAAGGCCATTACATAATGGTAAAGGGATCAATTCAACAAGAAGAACTAACTATCCTAAATATACATGCACCCAATACAGGAGCACCCAGATTCATAAAGCAAGTCCTGAGAGACCTACAAAGAGACTTAGACTCCCACACAATAAAAATGGGAGACTTTAACACCCCACTGTCAACATTAGACAGATCAACGAGACAGAAAGTCAACAAGGATACCCAGGAATTGAACTCAGCTCTGCACTAAGCGGACCTAATAGACATCTACAGAACTCTCCACCCCAAATCAACAGAATATATATTTTTTTCAGCACCACACCACACCTATTCCAAAATTGACCACATACTTGGAAGTAAAGCTCTCCTCAGCAAATGTAAAAGAACAGAAATTATAACAGACTGTCTCTCAGACCACAGTGCAATCAAATTAGAACTCAGGATTAAGAAACTCACTCAAAACCGCTCAACTACATGGAAACTGAACAACCTGCTCCTGAATGACTACTGGGTGCATAACGAAATGAAGGCAGAAATAAAGATGTTCTTTGAAACCAACGAGAACAAAGACACAACATACCAGAATCTCTGGGACACATTCAAAGCAGTGTGTAGAAGGAAATTTATAGCACTAAATGCCCACAAGAGAAAGCAGGAAAGATCCAGAATTGACACCCTAACATCACAATTAAAAGAACTAGAAAAGCAAGGGCAAACACATTCAAAAGCTAGCAGAAGGCAAGAAATAACTAAAATCAGAGCAGAACTGAAGGAAATAGAGACAGAAAAAACCCTTCAAAAAACTAATGAATCCAGGAGCTGGTTTTTTGAAAGGATCAACAAAATTGATAGGCCACTAGCAAGACTAATAAAGAAGAAAAGAGAGAAGAATCAAATAGACGCAATAAAAAATGATAAAGGGGATATCACCACTGATCCCACAGAAATAAAAACTACCATCAGAGAATACTACAAACACCTCTATGCAAATAAACTAGAAAATCTAGAAGAAATGGATAAATTCCTCGACACATACACCCTCCCAAGACTAAACCAGGAAGAAGTTGAATCTCTGAATAGACCAATAACAGGCTCTGAAATTGTGGCAATAATCAATAGCTTACCAACCAAAAAGAGTCCAGGACCAGATGGATTTACAGCCGAATTTTACCAGAGGTACAAGGAGGAACTGGTACCATTCCTTCTGAAACTATTCCAATCAATAGAAAAAGAGGGAATCCTCCCTAACTCATTTTATGAGGCCAGTATCATCCTGATACCAAAGCTGGGCAGAGACACAACCAAAAAAGAGAATTTTAGACCAATATCCTTGATGAACATTGATGCAAAAATCCTCAATAAAATACTGGCAAACCGAATCCGGCAGCACATCAAAAAGCTTATCCACCATGATCAAGTGGGCTTCATCCCTGGGATGCAAGGCTGGTTAAACATATGCAAATCAATAAATGTAATCCAGCATATAAACAGAATGAATGACAAAAACCACATGATTATCTCAATACATGCAGAAAAGGCCTTTGACAAAATTCAACAACGCTTCATGCTAAAAACTCTCAATAAATTAGGTATTGATGGGACGTATCTCAAAATAATAAGAGCTATCTATGACAAACCCACAGCCAATATCACACTGAATGGGCAAAAACTGGAAGCATTCCCTTTGAAAACTGGCACAAGACAGGGAAGCCCTCTCTCACCACTCCTATTCAACATAGTGTTGGAAGTTCTGGCCAGGGCAATCAGGCAGGAGAAGGAAATAAAGGGTATTCAATTAGGAAAAGAGGAAGTCAAATTGTCCCTGTTTGCAGATGACATGATTGTATATCTAGAAAACCCCATTGTCTCAGCCCAAAATCTCCTTAAGCTGATAAGCAACTTCAGCAAAGTCTCAGGATACAAAATCAATGTGCAAAAATCACAAGCATTCTTATATACCAACAACAGACAAACAGAGAGCCAAATCATGAGTGAACTCCCATTCACAATTGCTTCAAAGAGAATAAAATACCTAGCAATCCAACTTACAGGGGACATGAAGGACCTCTTCAAGGAGAACTACAAACCACTGCTCAATGAAATAAAAGAGGATACAAAGAAATGGAAGAACATTCCATGCTCATGGGTAGGAAGAATCAATATCATGAAAATGGCCATACTGCCCAAGGTAATTTATTGATTCAATGCCATCCCCATCAAGCTACCAATCACTTTCTTCACAGAATTGGAAAAAACTACTTTAAAGTTCATATGGAACCAAAAAAGAGCCCGCATTGCCAAGTCAATCCTAAGCCAAAAGAACAAAGCTGGAGGCATCACACTACCTGACTTCAAACTGTACTACAAGGCTACAGTAACCAAAACAGCATGGTACTGGTACCAAAACAGAGATATAGATCAATGGGACAGAACAGAGCCCTCAGAAATAATGCCGCATATCTACAGCTATCTGATCTTTGACAAACCTGAGAAAAACAAGCAATGGGGAAAGGATTCCCTATTTAATAAATGGTGCTGGGAAAACTGGCTAGCCATATGTAGAAAGCTGAAACTGGATCCCTTCCTTACACCTTGTACAAAAATTAATTCAAGGTGGATTAAAGACTTAAACCTTAGACCTAAAACCATAAAAACCCTAGAAGAAAACCTAGGCATTACCATTCAGGACATAGGCATGGGCAAGGACTTCATGTCTAAAACACCAAAAGCAATGGCAGCAAAAGTCAAAATTGACAAATGGGATCTAATTAAACTAAAGAGCTTCTGCAAAGCAAAAGAAACTACCATCAGAGTGAACAGGCAACCTACAAAATGGGAGAAAATTTTCGCAACCTACTCATCTGACAAAGGGCTAATATCCAGAACCTACAAAGAACTCAAACAAATTTACAAGGAAAAAACAAACAACCCCATCAAAAAGTGGGCAAAGGACATGAACAGACACTTCTCAAAAGAAGACATTTATGCAGCCAAAAAACACATGAAAAAATGCTCATCATCACTGGCCATGAGAGAAATGCAAATCAAAACCACAATGTGATACCATCTCACACCAGTTAGAATGGCAATCAATAAAAAGTCAGGAAACAACAGGTACTGGAGAGGAAGTGGAGAAATAGGAACACTTTTACACTGTTGGTGGGACTGTAAACTAGTTCAACCATTGTGGAAGTCAGTGTGGTGATTCCTCAGGGATCTAGAACTAGAAATACCATTTGACCCAGCCATCCCATTACTGGGTATATACCCAAAGGACTATAAATCGTGTTGCTATAAAGACACATGCACACGCATGTTTATTGCGGCACTATTCACAATAGCAAAGACTTGGAACCAACCCAGATATCCAGCAATGATAGACTGGATTAAGAAAATGTGGCACATATACACCATGGAATACTATGCGGCCATAAAAAATGATGAGTTCATGTCCTTTATAGGGACATGGATGAAATTGGAAGTCATCATTCTCAGTAAACTATCACAAGGACAGAAAACCAAACACCACATGTTCTCACTCATAGGTGGGAATTGAACAATGAGAACACATGGTCACAGGAAGGGGAACATCACACTCTGGGGACTGTTGTAGGGACGGGGGAGGGGGGAGGGATAGCATTAGGATATATACCTAACACTAAATGATGAGTTAATGGGTGCAGCACACCAGCATGGCACATGTACACATATGTAACTAACCTGCACATTGTGCACATGTACCCTAAAACTTAAAGTATAATAATAATAAAATAAAATTAAAAAAAGGAGATACCTTTCTCATTAATATACTTAAAACCATATTATCAATATAAGAAATTACATAGTGTTGAATTTACCCAAGCAACAGTACAATATATTACTGGAGGTTATAACCACACAACAAACCAAAAACATTAATAAGTCTAAAAATTACTCTCCAAAATATAGAAAGGTATCCTAAAATATCAAGAAAATGGAAGCAAGCCAATAAAATGGATTATGTCTATGACTAGGCAATTTATAGAAAAGTACATAAAGATGACTAAGAATGTAAGAAAAACAAATTAACTTTAGCAGTAGCTTGACTAATGCAAATAAAAACAAAAAATAATGAAAGTTTCACAACTTGTAGAGTTTGGATAGATCTGCATTCTGACCCTCTGCAGAATTTCCTAAATAATAATAATAAAAATGTCCATGGTCTCAAAGCCAGCAATTCAACTGAATAGCCACTATAACACATGTATAAAAGACACAGAATATATATGTGTATATTTATGTATATATATGTGTGTGTGTATATGTGTGTGTGTTTATATTTATATATATATATAAACCTAAACTGCATCATAGCATTTGACAGTGTAATTTGAAAGAAAAAAAAAAACTCTGTATTTCCGTGATAGTGAAATATCTAAATTAACTATAAGATGGTAATGCTATATGATGTTCCATATGTCAATTATAAATAGACAAATTGGTTTTAGTTATATATTAAGGGAAGTATTTTATGCATATGCTTCAAAACTATTTACATAAAAAGTTACCGAATTGTATTATTTTATAAGGATACATATATATATATATATATATATATATATATATATATATATATATGAAAATACATAGAAAAACATCTGAAAAGGATGATACAGCAAACTGTTGACAGGTGTTTCCTGTAGGAGGGGACTGGGACTTGATGGTGGTCAAAGTGAGGTTTAGCCTGTCTACTATGTTGTAATTTTGTATAACAGTTAATCTATTACATGATATTTATAGTGAGTCAAAGGAGAAAGATTATATTATCATCTTGATAGATTCATTTTATTTCATTTTCTTTATCCTTCTTTGTATTCTGTCATTATAACTTCTACCATATGTGCATTGCATTTGTAGTCCAACAGATATCCCCATGGAGGAGCAAAAAAATATTTACTTTTCAATGCTTGTTAATGTGAAAATGCAAGAATACACTTCACATTTTTCGGAGAAGTGATCATATGGGCAAATTTCATGGCACTTGGCTATAATTGTTTTTGACAATGAGTCAGCTAACAGAGCTAAACATGCTTTTCCTTTAAAGATGCTTGTAATATACATATATTTAGATATATAAGTACTATTAAGATTATATAATATTGTACATTGTAAATATATGTTTAAAATAAATATATATCACTTCCAACTACTTAAATTTTGCCTAAAATATTTAAAAACTAAGATTTATTTAGAACTGAAATAAAGAAAGTTTCAACTGGAGTAAAGAAACAACGTTACCCTTCCTCTATAACTTTGGGCTCTTTCCATCCCCCACACTCCTCACCAGCTCCATCTTGTATCCTAGCAGAGAAAAAGTAGTAATTTCCCAATGTTAACAGTCAGCTGCAGCAGCAAACATGGAGGAGCATGCACTTCTGCACTTCATGAAAGGGGTGCCACTACTCTTAAATCTATGAAGAAGAAATTAAGAAGTGGCATATAAGGGTTGCATGGGCAGAGTTGGTTAATATTTTGCCCCTTAAGTCTTAACTTTGAGTAATGTTTGAGAGGAATCGAATTTGGCAGTTGTTACATTCAAGGGCTGATCATTCTGGTGTTTAATAGTTTGGAGTTGGTAATAATTATAGGACTTAGAATAGGGTTAAAATATGCCCAAACCCTACCTCTTACAACAGTCAAATATGAACGTATTACCACCAAGTATAGAGTTGGTAATTATCCAATGAATTGAACAACTTAACCCTACATTCATTTGAATGACATATTAATGTGTATTAATCTGTTTTCAGGATGCTGATAAAGACATACCCAAGACTGGGAAATTTACAAAAGAAAGAGGTTTAATGAACTCATGGTCCACCTGGCTGGGGAGGCCTCACAATCATGGCACAAGGTGAAAGGCACGTCTCATATGGTGGCAGACAAAAGAAGAGAATTTGTGCAGGGAAACTCCCCTTTATGAAGTCATCAGATCTTTTGAGACTTATTCACTATCATGAGAATAGCATGGGAAAGACCCACCCCCATGATTCAATTATCCCCTACCGGGTCCCTCCCACTACATGTGGGAATTGTGGGAGCTATGGTTCAAGATGAAATTTGGGTGGGGACACAGCCAAACCATATCATAATGTTAACCTCATCTGCGTGTGTGTACAAATAAAAGATATATCCTACCTATCTGATAAGCGGCGAGATCAAAGAGATGACTTAGTGAAATATCATGGTTTATGAAACATCTCAAGCACTTGGTTTCTCTGGATAGAAAGCAAAGGTGAGAAGGGATTGATGAGGGTTCTGAAGCAGTAGGCAGAGCCAAATCAAGACTTCTGAGCCATGTCAAGAATCTTGAGTTTTATACTGAGATCATCAGTCTTTAGACAAGAAGGCCTGTTGGTTCATAAAGGATTTCCAAGGAGATAGTTTTATGAGACTCAATTTCCAGGTCCTTAATTTCCAACTCCTTCATTTCCACACAGTCTCTTTCCTCAGCTGCGTGAGATTGCTCATGTTCCTATTAGTCTTTCTCATTTTACACACACACACACACACACACACAAAAACACTGTCCTTAACTGCAGAAAAAAATATTAAAGTTTTGCAGTAACTCCTTTAATGATTCATGGATATGTCTTAAACGCATTAGTCTCCTGTTTTCCTTTGCATTTAACATATAAATATCTGGAGTGTTAGAATGTTCTGAATTCAAAAGGGCTAATGCATTAGAAGTTACTGAACCTGATACTTTTAAACTTAGCTGACTATTTTCCTAGCATGACCGAAGTTCTCATGTTACAGGAAGTGAAACCCAAGCATGAAAAATTTACGTGATTATTTAAGATTGGGTGTGCATTACTCAACAATGTATTTAAAACTCATTTTATCAAAGTATAAAATATTTATTTCAATTACAGTAAATCCTCATTTCACCTTACAAAATATGTAATATTCTTATCTCTTATTAACCAAAAATAAACATCTAAAATTATGATGAAATGTTTAAAAATGTGGGCAATTTTTTGAGAGTAAATGAAAGCAAAACATGTTGAAGTCTCCTGTTGCAGTCTTCAAGAAGAACCATAAGACAAGAGCAAGGTGTGTGTAGGAAGGTAAATTTGCTAATTGCAGTTAACTTTGGGGAGCTATAAGATAGAAAGGAAATGACAGAGGGAGTTTTATTCCAATACATCAAGAATTAAAAAAGCACCAGAATATCATAAGAGCAGAGCAGATGGCTGCCTCTCTGCCTCCTCCATGTGCACACCCATCAGTTAGTTGATGAAGAAGGGTATTTTTTGAGCCTCTGGTGTGATGGTGGCCAATCAGTGTCTTTTCCTAGAAGAAGGTAATGTAAATCAAAGTCTAGTGTCCTTAATTATTCTCCTTAACTTGAAGTATACCAACTTTGGAAGGTCTGTGGGAAAGTTGAATTTTTATCCAAAGTTTTTATAGGAAAGAATATTCATCTTCTGGCAAAGTGAGCCCATTATTTCAGAGACAAAAAAAAAATGTTCCTGATGAAAAATAGGTCAAGCACCCCTGCCAGAGGATCTTAATTGCTTCATGAAGAAAATCAACCTTCCTATCACCTCTTGGCCTAATCTCCTTGTTTTTCTTCCTGTCCTCATCTTTCCTTTTCTCCTCCTCCTCCACCACCTCCTCCTCCTTCTCTTGTTCTTTCCCACTCCCCTTCCCTGCCCTTCCCACCACAGTTGTAGCTGGAAACAGTGTGTGAATCATGTAACAGGTGATGTTGATTAGCTCCCTGCAATTTCACATTCTGAGAATATCGCCCTCCGTTATTCCTCCTCAGAGCATTCTCTAGACAACTTCTCCCACTATATACCTGGAATATACATGGGGTATGTCTAGTCATGTAATGTTTGCCTTGTGATATTGCTGCAAAGTCAGATCTCTAGTAGAAAGTGTTGAATTATACAAACTGAGAGGGCACTGCACTCCTCCAGTAGACTAAGGAAGCTACTGGACTTCATCCTACATCTTGCAATGCACATCTTTAAGAACGTTCAAAACACAAAATACCCATAAGGTTTCAAATTTTTAAAAACAGTGTGGCAATTCCTCAGTGATCTAGAACTAGAAATACCATTTGACCCAGCCATCCCATTACTGGGTATATACCCAAAGGATTATAAATCATGCTATAAAGACACGTGCACACGTATGTTTATTGCGGCACTATTCACAATAGCAAAGACTTGGAACCAACCCAAATGTCCAACAATGATAGACTGGATTAAGAAAATGTGGCACATATACACCATGGAATACTATGCAGCCATAAAAAATGATGAGTTCATGTCCTTTGTAGGGACATGGATGAAATTGGAAACCATCATTCTCATCAAACTATTGCAAGGACAAAAAACCAAACACCGCATGTTCTCACTCATAGGTAGGAATTGCACAATGAGAACACATGGACACAGAAAGGGGAACATCACACACTGGGGCCTGTTCTGGGGTGGGGGAAGGGGGAGGGATAGCATTAGGAGATATACCAAATGTTAAATGACAAGTTAATGGGTGCAGCACACCAACATGGCGCATGTATATGTATGTAACAAACCTGCATGTTTTGCACATGTACCCTCAAACTTAAAGTATAGTAAAAATAAAAAAAATGACATTTTTGAACCACAGCTGTCTGAACAAATAATAAAGAAGGCTTGTTTCAAAACAAATTGGGAAAAACTTCTCTAACTAATATTCTGTAACAGATAAATGGAATGGACTTTTGTTTTAACTGGAACAACACATGTGAAATAGTCTGCGGACGATTGAAAGAAAAGTAGAATATTAGGCACCTCTTGTTTAGAAGAAGTAAACCTGGGCATGATGAGGACATGACTGCTTTAGGAAACCAAAGATGAATAAGAAAATTTAGTTTATATGTTTTTTGTTTTGTTTTGTTTTTCTGTTGTGGGTGTTTCTACTTTCTCAAACAATTTTTATAGTTCATAAGAGGTCTTTCATTTCTTTGGAAATGTGTAATTAAATAAAATACAGTTGTATATACTCTGCTACTACTTTCTATAAGTGTATATTTCTGTTAAAAATACATATTTTGCTGAATCATAAAGTCACCTTAAGTAGCCCGGTAAAGGAGATCAAAATGGATATTTTTGCATCAAGAAAACCGTTATCCTAAATCAAGTCAAAAATGATGCCCTGGAGTTGCTGACTGACTTACCTGCCTTTTCTCTTGATATCATGTTTTGTAAGTAAAATAAGACTTTCTAATCATATAGCATATTTAAAATGCAATTTCACAGTCACTATGTGAACCAAAAGCAAATTTCTGATTCCAAACAAGAATCAGAAAAACTTACTTAGATCTTAGACAAATCTACAAAAGAGCTTTCCTGGTATGATTATATATTTTACTAATAAATATGTCCATGTTGCACTTTGGGTGTCAAAGAGAGAAAGAATCTTTATAGCAGTACTTACTCAACAAATGCAGGCCCTTATAAAATCATGCATTTGGGTATTTAGTGAAAGGTCCTAAGATACAATAAATGTCATGGTGAGCAAATTATTACTTCTGTAATAATTTGCAGTAATAATACCGCAAGAGAAAAAAAAATAAGCCACTAAAATACTATCTTATTCTGTGGCTGCTGTATTATGAAGTAGTTAACTGCAATGTTAATGCAAAATATCAGTGTAAATTGTCAAGATTTTAAGGTAGTATATTAATATGACACATAAAAGGCTTGTATTATGTAGTATACAATACTGCACTGTCAATTTAAAGACTTATTTTAAAAGAAGATAATTCTGAATTATATTTTTGTCTCTATGCTGTGACAGCCTAAACTGAGTATGTTCTTTGCTTTTCATTCTAAAAATTAGACCTATGCCAGTTCATCCAAGGAGAGAAGAATGGGAATGGGAACTATCACAGGGAGTTTAGGACTATATTATAGTCTAAATTAAATACCCAATTTACCTGTAACGTGAGCCATGGTTTTCTAGCTGCACAGATATATAATTCAGCTAAAGCAGAAGCTAATTGCCCTGCTCTGTTCCTGGAATGCTAAAGGAAGAACATTCAGCGCTACATCAGGCAATACTCCCATAAAGCTAATAGATTTAGCAGAATTGAAAGGTAACATGACCCCTGGAATTGAAAGACTTGCTGGCAAGGTAGAAATACCGTAACCCTGGGATTTCTCAGTCTTGGTTTCATAGCCAGCTCATAGGAGTTTGGAGCTGCAGTGGACCACCTGGTCAGACACAGCTTTTCCAGAGTACGAATCCAGGACTCATAAGCTTTATCATTCAGTCAGGCTCACGGAGTAGTCTGTGGGACTACAGATAACTGAGTAAAAGGAGGATAGCTAAGAGTGGTGACCACTGAAAATTCCAGGGTAAATGGGAAAAAAAATGCTGCAGCTGGTAATTTTCTCATTTGTTTATAGAATTTCTCCCTTTTTCTCTCTTCTTGTTTTTCCAAGGAAATGCATAATTAAATAGAATACTACTGTGTATCATCTGCTGCTACTTTGTGTATTCATAACTACATTTCAGCTTAATATTCAAATTTTTGTCAGATTATAAAATTATGCTGAATAACCCAATACAATAGATGAAAATTGACATTTTTGCTTTAAGAAAATAATCATCTGAAATCAATCAAACAGACTGTTTTGTCTGTTTGTCTGTTTTGTCACTGGTGGTGTCACAGGGGAAGATGAAATAGAGCTATTCAACTTTACCAGTCTTGATATAGGTGCAAACCAGGTCACTGCAGTTAATAACCAGACATAATTAAGAACCATTATAAAAATATGCTGTACTTCTAATAATACAATTTAGAAAATAAATTTAATAAACCCTACATAGTTTCTTAGGCATTAATGTGTACATCCATATATTACTGTTACTATAATATTTGTTTGACCATAAAGACCAAAGAGACACTATTTTTTTAAGAGACTCTGTCTTAATGTCTGCATATGTAGAGAGAAATAGGAGGATATTGAAAACTGTAGTCAAATAGTTGGTAAATCCATTAGATATAGAGATTAAAATATAGCAAACCAAAACACAATCTAAGTCAACATTTTAGCAAACAAACTTTGACAGCCTCAACAAAAGTCTTCCCTTAGGCCTTCCCTTCTTAATGTAAGACGGGGAGATGTTATTTTTGCCAAAAGTTTAGGTAGTGCAACCTCCAGTTCTGACTAAATGTTTCTCTTTATTTGTCTCAATAGTTTAGTTAGCTCCAATTTGGTCCATTTTTAGTCATGTGGGTTTAGGTTATTTGGCAACTGAGAACATAACTAATAATTTCAATTATTTAAAAAAATGGAACTATATTTTATGACCAAACATCTGAGACTTTGCTGGTAAATATTGGAGTGCCTGATTTAACAAGATGGATTATTTGAATCTGCTTCTCTAATGACAACTTCTAGATGACAATTTGTTTTTCTTAAAAAGCCTTTGTGTTATTCATACAGATATATAAAATTTTTGGCTATGCTTATGATATTTCTTGTGATAAATATTTGACATTAGAGCAGCTAATTATTATGATATGCCTATAAGTAAATATATACATATACACATATATTTTGTCATCATGTGTAAAGGAAGAGGATATTAGTAATAAAATAAGTGTGCTATAATAAAATATTAGCATAATAATAGAATACAGACATTAGATATGGTTAAAATTACTAACGATCATTCTCTAATTTTTTAAAGTTTTAAATGTATTACTAACTGTGCCTTAATTAGGATACATAAACTGCAGGTAGCTTAATATTGAAATGCAGAAATAAATGCACGTACATATACACACATACACATGAAATACAGCTTTTAAAATCTAAATGTATTTTATCTAAAAATAGTAACAAGACAAAATATTAAATAAGCTCTATCATTATTCATACTTCACTTGTATGCTCTTATAAGATTTTACTTTAATGAACTTAGTATCAGGAGCTTTTGCCTTAAAATTAGTAAGATTAAAGCAGAAAGTGTTGTTGGTTATGGTTTATATCATAAAGGTCAGGAGGGACGGAGACTTTACTATTCTCCATTGTGCAAAGCTGGTAAGATTATTAAATGAAAAATTAAAACATTTTTCAAAAACTGCATTTACATGTTGAAGCCATCCAAAGACTGTATTTAATTTATGCTCCATTAAGGTATGTGGTTTTATTTGGTGATCTATTACATTATTGAGACCAATTCTAACAGCAGCTGCCATTTATAATACCTGGGAGATACCAAGCAGTTTATTAAAGTGCTTATTTTCACTAATAGGAAATCTGATCACTAGCTCCTTTTCTAGTGTTATTATGAGGGTGAAAATGCATTTTCTCTAGATTAGATCTGGGGGTAATTTATCTCAGTAGTAGATGTAGATTTACCCTTATTGTTTTAATATATCAAAAGCATAGGCTTTTAAAAAGTTGTTTAATAAAAGCAATCTGCAGAAAGTGCAAAAAATGAACATGCATCCTGCCAGGGATATTTCCCCAGGAGAATTAAGTGAAATAATGGATCCATTCCTATCCCTACTCCCCAATCTCTTATTTACTTGTCTTTTTTATTTCTCATAAGCACAAACATTGAAATTGAAAAATATAGGTGTCTTCAGAAATCTAGGTTTCTATACCATGTTTCTTCTGCATGGCTTATTTTGTTATTATTGAGCATAACACCAAGCTCAAGGGAAATTTGACTTTGGTTTTCTTTGCTAATGGGTGTAAGTAGAAGCTTGAACAAAACAGATCAGTAGGATCTTCCTTTTTAATACTATTGGAATCAAACGTTCTTAGATACTAAATATACTTCTAATTAAGCCAGTGTATTCCAGAATATTAAACCACACCATAACTTACTCTTATCTAAATTTAGATATCATATCCCTTCAAATGAATCTTCATACTGTATGAGATTACTTAAAACTATTATCTATTGTCACTAATAATAACAAATTAATAGTGATAATATTTTCATTTATGGCATGTTTTCTATATGCGAAGTGCTATGTCAAGTACTTTACCTGCAGTCTATTATCTCACACAGACAAGAGCTCCGTGCGGTTCATTGTAGTCATTGCCAACTGTGATTTCATACTTTTGCTGATTTCTCAATCTCTTTTACCTCAGCTTTTTGTGGCTATTTAATTTCTCCATCCTGCAAGGGCTCAAGAATAAAATCTTTGTTCTTTGATTTCCTCAAAATATAATTTACCCAGATCACTATTTGCAATCCACTTTTAATCCTATTTTGGAGATAATAGAGGTTGTATCGCTATACATTACAACTAAATATGTGCATGTAATTTAAAATATCCTGGCTTTTTCAGTCCTCATCCTTTCCTGCTCAAGCATGTTTTACTACTTCTCCCTTCCTGTTTGCTCTTCTTTTGGATTTTTTTGCCTCTTGCATTTTTTTGTCCCCTTGTCTTCTCATTCCTTGTTCAGCTGACATCTTTGGGCTTGATGTGTGTCCGGCAATTCAATAGTCCTTATAAATTAGTGTACAAAATTTCTGCTTCATCTATAACAATTTATATAAATATACATACACACACATTCTGATGAACTGCTGTATTTTAAATTATTAAACACACACACAAATGCACACACACAGCTTCACTGCTATACTCAGAAAAATAAATGTATCTAATTGCAATTCTAGTGCCTAGTCATAAGACAAGCTTGATCCATATCCATTGCAAAATAAATCCATTTCCACATAAGTAGCCTAATTAAGTTGGTCCCTGTTCATTATAGCTCAAACTATCAGGAGAAAATATGGTCCAGAGGAAGAGTGGTCAGGTTCGCTATTTGAACACAGCGTTCTTTCTGAATAGTGTGTTGTCTGCATGTCCTCATCCTGCCTGGATCTCCTATAGTGGTATAGACTTGGGCAGAGTTCCTAAAGGTTGGGGAAGAATTTCCCCCTACTAGGAGTTCTGCAATGACTTAACTGCTTTTATTCCCATAGTTTGCAGCTCTGTACCTAGAAATTGAGATGTTGTGAACTGCATCAAATCATCAAGCCTGGGGGTGACTTGGGCTGAAGTACGGCTCTCACTCTTTAAACCATGGGTCCTGTGTCTGTGAACCTGAAGCCACCCGGAGGAGGTTCCAGTTCTAATTCCCACAGAGGCTCTCTGGAGTTAATCTACGGCCCAGAATGTTTTCCTAATCATATACCTGTATGTATTTACTGCTGGAGTATATAATTCTAGTTTCCTCTCTTAGCTTTTAATTGAGGGATGGCAAGGGAAATATTTCTCATGCTCCTTTGAGTTTCCCATATTTTCAAATACCTTTTATGTGGTACACACTAAAGTTGATTAACCATAACAACTACAAAGGGAAACCTAGCTCTCATCCCGGTCTCTCCCTCTCAAATCTTCTGTATCCCATATATTTTAGGAAGCCACTGGAAAGTGTCCCACAAATGTTCATGATCAAGCTCACCAGGTGCTGCAGTTGTGGAACTGAAAGCCACTCATTGGAGAAGGTTTTCTTCTGCAGGAATATCGCAGCATGTTATGCTTTGCTGCTCTGCAAATTTCCGGGTAATTAACGAGCATTTCAGGGCCCAAGATCACACATCAGCTTCTTCTCACACGAAATAGTCCATAAGATGGTGAACTTTTTAAAAATTAAATTCTGAGATATATTCTGGAATTATGCTGAGATGGTAAAACAATGCTCAGAAAATATGGTTCTCTCTAAAATTCTATCTGAAGAGTCCATAAGAAATAAAATAAATGTTTCCCCTGATGGCAGGCTACTGTGAGCAAAATGATACAGACCAATGGTTCTCAACTTTGGTTGCACATCAGAATCACCTGAGAGCTTTTTAAAATTTCTAATACTCAGATCTTATCCCAGGAAAATTAAATCAGAGGCTCTGGGGGTGGAGCCAGGGCGTCGATACTTTTTCCCAAATGATTGTAATGTGAGTGTTTCAAAATCTTAGCTTCCCAAGTGAAGCTAAGGTTTAGAGCCTCTGATGGATGCACCATTTTATTTGCAATACAACCAAAGAAATTTTGATAAACACAATTTAATATCAGAATAGAAAAGACATGCAGTTATGAGTCCATTAACAATGGTGATATGTTCTGAGAAATGCATGTTTAAGTGAGTTGTCATTGTGGGAACATCACAGAGTGTACTTACACAAACCTGGATAACATAGCCTACTACACACCTAGGCTATATGGTGTAGCTTGTCACTCCTGGGCTACAAAACTATACAGCCTGTTACTGCAGTAAATACTGTAGGCAACTGTGACACAATGGTAAGCATTTGTGTACCTAAATATATCTAAACATAGAAAATGTACAGTAAAATATAGTATAAAAGATACAAAATGGTGCACCTGTATAGGGCACTTACAGTGAATGGGGCTTACAGGACTAGAAGCTGCTTTGAGTGAATCAATGAGTGAGTGTTAAGTGAATGTGATGGTCTAGGACATTGCTATACACTACTCGAGGCTTTATAAATACTACATATTTAGGTTACACTAAACTTATTTTAAAATGTTCTTCTTCAAATATAAATTTATCTTCATTTACTGTAACATTTTTTCTTCATTAACTTTCTCACTTTTAACTTTCAGACTCTTGTAATAACAGCTTAAAGTACAAACAGATCGTATAGCTGTACAAATATTTTTTCTTTCTTTATATCCTTATTCTACAAGCTTTTTAAATTAAATTTTTTATACTTCATGGTTAAAAACTAAGACACAAACACACACATTAGCCTAGGCCTTCACAGGGTCTGGATCAATGTCATTGTCTTCAACCTCCACATCTTGTCCTACTGGGAGGTCTTCAAAGCCTTCTTCTGGAATATCTTCTGAAAGACCTGCCTGAGGCTGTTTTACAGTTAATTTCTTTACTTTTTTTTTTGAGACAGTCTTGCTTTGTTGCCCAGGATGCGTCTTTATTTTTTTTTCTTTTTCTTTTCTTTCTTTTTTTTTTTTTTTTTTTTTTGAAACAGAGTCTCGCTTTGTTGCCCAGGCTGGAGTGCAGTGGTGCAATCTCAGCTCACTGCAACCTCCACTTCCTGGGTTCCAGCGATTCTCCTGCCTCAGCCTCCCAGGTAGCTGGGACTACAGGGACGCGCCACCACACCCAGCCAATTTTGTAGTTTTAGTAGAGATGGGGTTTCACCATGTTGGCCAGGCTGGTCTCAAACTCCTGACCTCAGGTGATCCGCCCACCTCAGCCTCCCAAAGTGCTGGGATTACAGGCGTGAGCCACTGTGCCAAGCCAGTTAATTTCTTTAATAAGTAGAAGGAGTACACTCAAAAATAATTAAGGGTATAGTATAGTAAATATATATACCAGTAACATAGTTCTTCATTATCATTAGAAAATTTTATGTACTGTCTGTAATTATACATGCTTTACTTTTATATGAATAAAAGTGCAGTAGGTTCGTTTATGCCATGATCACAACAAACATATGAGACAGCAATCACATGAGTAACACATTGCACAGTGAGCTTATGATGACTATGACACCACTAAATAACAGGAAATATTTAGTTCATTACAATCTTATGGACATCGTTGCATATGTGGTCAGTGGTTGACTGAAACATGTTGATATTACTGTATGTTACCCTTCTGATACATAACTGTAAATTACCCTTCTGATACAATTGATGAAAAAATAATAAATGTTAATGAAGCACTAAAGCTTAACCCTTAAATTTCTATAAAAATACACTGTAAAAAAACCTAACAGTCTTAAGTATTTAGTTACTCTTATTTAACTTGATGCCATTCTTAAAGAGAGGCGTGAAATATGTACAACATATATGTTCATAAGACAGATCTTTACTGTTCATAATGCTCAGTTTCCTGCTGCCTCTTTCCCGCTTAATGTCATAATCTTCTGTGACATCACAATTAATTCCTGCAGAGATGATTATAGTTACACTGAGAGGATTAAGATTTCAGGAAAGTGATAAACAGCAGGGACAGAATAAGGTCCTTTTTTTGTTGTTGTTTCCCAAGGATTATTAGCTTGGTAAGAGGGAAAGCAAACAAAACAAAACAAAACAAAACAAAACAAAACAAACAAACAAAAAACAGGCGGGGGGGGAGGTGTGGGTGGAAGAAAAACATGCCTGCAGATATTATAAAACAAGATAAAACTGTAGATTTGTTTCTTTCGTGAAAGGCCATTGACTCTTTAAATAGTTTTCTGTTGATTGCACTAGCTTAATTACTTACTTAAACAGTGAATGTTTTGTCAGCTCAATCAAATATTTTATTAGTATTGCTTAGTATTAAGATTCCAAATGTACATTGTGATTTAGATTCACCAGCATCATTATTGTAGTTATTGACTACCTGTGAATTTTTAGCACTACAAATACCTTCAACTTTAAAACAGAGATAAACTATATTTGGCCATCATGAAATGCATTAATTTTCATTAGGTTTATCAAGAATTGGGTTCTAAAGCAAGTAATTTTTTGTTTGTATAAACCATATTCTTTTGAATAGGGTTTTGCTTTTGAATGAAACATCAGTGTTCTTAATTCCATAGAAAGATATTCAAGGGTTATGTATTAAAGATATGTATCTATACTTTCTTGTAAACATTCATTGTATTACTTGACTCACAAATCTATCTTGGTATTATCTATTTACATATACAGAAAGTTAATATCATATATGGGCTGTGGCTTATTGTCCTATGAGAAATAGAAGAACCAGCAATAGAAGAGACCCAGATCAAGTTTGACTGAAAGGCAAACACCATTCCCAACTGGCTTTACCATCTGGTAAGGGTTTGTCAATAAAAATATTTGGGTAGCAGCAATTTTTCCAAATTCTTATTTATCTAGACTTCCAGAAAAAGCCAGACAAAATACATAAGGGGGCATTTACCCCCTCCCTCAACTAATAATTTAAAATCAAAATCACATTTAAGGCTCAATGGAGTTGTTTTTTATGTGTTCATTTTGTTTTGTTTTATTTTTTGAATTTCTCCCAGAAAGCATCGTGTTATTTAATAGTTATACAAATCATGCCCAGGCCTGAAAGATTCAAAATACTACAAAGTTTATCTGCTTGTTTCTGAGTGAGTCTGAGGTATCTTTCTTAGCAAACTAGCATGCCATCACTAATAAATGCTTAGTTTTCACAGCTGACATTGCTCATGAGATGGAAAATAAAAACATAATGAAAATGTTTATAAGCAACTTAAGGAACCTGCGACATGGCATTTTGTGAAGCCATCTTTTAGAAGTAAAAAGAACTTTCTTCATAATTACACAAATACAATTTTCATTCTGAAAGCTTTCTTGCTTTAACATTTTTCTAAATTATAATTAATTGATTTAAATCTTGCCTTAATGAAAGAATCCAAGCAGATAAGATTAATTTCTTAGTCTCTAACTACATAATATACCCAAGAGGCTATTCTAAAATGCTCAGCAATGCAGACTCCTATCGATTATAATTTATATAAATTATCTGTTTCTCTCCAAAACTGCTGAGGAAGTACACTGATACACAAATCAGTGGGCTGTTGGAAACATACAGAACATACTTTCTCCAAGTGGGTTATTATGAAAGTTGATTTAATTATTTCTTTTAGAAGTTTAATATGCAAAAAGCTAACTTATAGAAATATTCAGACCATTGCCAGATGCCTATGAAAATTGTTTTTCATTAAATTGGACTGTTTAAATTTTCCAGGTCCATGAATCCATACACAGTTTAATCATAGTCAAGAGGGAATTGTAACTCTGGAAAACTAAGCAGAACCCTGTAGCCAGAACTATAATGATAATTATAATGAAATAAGACCACACGATCAGGAGTTAGCCTACAGGAAGGTAATTCTAGACATTCAGAGTCTGACATAAAAGCTGCATCAAAGGCGGGCCTTGCAGAAAAGTCCTGAATAATTTTTTGAAAAAAACAGGAAGAAGAATCTACTGTCTTTAGCAGAGAAAGAGGTACATGCTGTCATCTTTGGTCTAGTCATGCCATTGAGTTAGAATTATGGTTTCAAATTTTATTTTCAGTTACCCAATCAAAGGAACTATTATCAAATACTTCTCATTGTGCAATGTTTGGATGTAAAGTCATGCAACTGATTTTGAAAACAATCTGCCAGATGAGTGACTTTTTCATCTGCATCTTCACAGAAGGCTTCAGGGAATGCCCTTTAATTCTCAAAATTCTCAAGCTCTTTAGGAAGCCTTGTTTTTTGTTTTTTGGGGTTTTTTTTTTCCAAAATATCTTCAGAATCAGTTCCTAAATAATGTAAAAATATTTTATTACTTCAGACATACACATCTTAAAAGCATTATGACTGAATTTTGTGGGTAGATGACCTAGTTGAGGATTTATGATTAACATGAAATAGAGAAACGTTATAGCTTAGCAACAATTGCCAATTAGTGTGTAATAAATGTAACCCCCCCAAAATATGATTAAATTGTGAAGTGCTCTAGTGTCCCATGTAGAGAATATGTGTGATGATGCTGCTTAGAAACTATCATGATACTCATGTTTGTGCAAAAATTAAGAATCCATTTTCACAACACCCTCTAAGCACAGAATGAATCTTCTCAACAAGAAAATATTTAAGAGATCTGACACTTTCCCTACATCTCCAAATACTAATCCTACAGATAGATTAGAGTTGCTAAAGCATTTTAGTTGCAAATGAAGATGAAGTCAAGTTAGAGTCAGTTTAATAATCATCTAAATAATGACAGAATTTTGCAGACATTGGAGGGAAACAAAGCTTTCTCTATTAGTTCATTTTTACACTGATATAAAGAACTGTCCAATACTGGGAAATTTATGAAGAAAAGAAGCTTGACTCATAGTTCTGCAGACTTAACAAGAAGTGTGGCTAAGAGGCCTCAGAAAACTGTTTACAATCATGGCATTAGGTGAAGTGAAAGTAAGCACGTCTTACTACGAAAAAGCAGGAGTCAGAGAAAAAGACCAAGGGCGGAACTGCCACACACTTTTAAAGCATCAGCTCTCATGAGAACTCACTCACTATCACAAAAACACCATGGGGAACCACCCACATAATCAAATCACCTCCCACCAGGCCCCTTCCCCAACATGTGGGAATTACAATTGGATATGATATTTGGGTAGGGTCACAGAGCCAAATCATATCACTTTCTCTGAGGATTTAATGAACAATATCTATCAATACATTCATCTTATATACTGAGTAAGTGCAGAGGCAAAGACTGGGCACTGAAGCCCGAGAAATACATCTTGCCTCAGATATACTGTGGGATGTACAGAAGTTTCAGATTGCAACCACTGGTCAAAATTTTACCTGATGCGCAGTAAAAAGGACTTGAAGTCTGATAATAGAAACTTTTTTGTCCTTCCACATTCTTATATATGAACATAATCATCACAATTCTCATTAAAGAATGTGGATTCAGTAATTCTCAATAAATGATTTCGTCCTCATTATGAACATCTTCATTCATTATTACAAAGATATCACAACTGAGAGTAGACCACTTTGTTATCACACTCAAGTTTATGGGAACTGAGGTATAACATCCTAGTAACTTCTTTCTTGCAAACTTCTGACAGAAGGAGACCTGTTTCAGCCAACAGCTGGACTATAATATTTGTAAGCTTAAAGTCAAAGGAAACTCAACAATGGATTAACTAGGGCAGATGACAATATGTTAACTCTATGCATATATTTTTGTTTGTTCTTTTCTTAAAGACATTAAAATATATATTTTACATCATTTCCCATCATAAATATACTTAAGTCCCATAATAATTTGCTAGAAATTAGAAGGAAATTATCTCTAATAGTGATTTTATACCAAGAATTGAGTAACGGTTTGAGATAAGCAAAAATACTTGCCATCCTTTCTAAATCTCATTAGACCATGGACAGGAGGGGGTTAATTTACAAATGACACTTCTAAAAATATTTCTACTATGCAAAACTAGTAAGCAGCTGGATTTCATACCATGTTACACCATTCTTTGTGGGATTTTTCTATTCCTTCATAAAGACTTAGTAGCTTTATATTCTATACCTACTAAGGACTTTGCTTCAGAAAGAATATACTTTTGAAAGAATAATAGTAACAATAGGTAATATTTATTAAACATTTCCTAATGCTAGTTTAATTGTACTGAAGATACTTCATTTAATATTCATAATCATAAGGTAAGATTACCTCTTTTATGATTCCCATTTATTCAGAGAAGGAAATCTTTTTAAGAGATTATGCGACTTGTCCAAGGTCAACAGAATTAAAGCCAGACCCTTTACAATCTGCACCATGGTGCCACTGCTTTAAACATTGCGACCAATATCAACTTGTGTTTCATCTAGCTTTCTTTCGGTTTCTTTTTTAAGGTAAAATCTTGCTTAAGATAATATCTCTCTAAAGGAAAGACCTTGTGTAAGACCAGACTCATCTCTCAAAAGGGACGACAATATTGTTCTTCTTTGCAGACTAAGTCTAACTTAACAGCATGTGGTTCTAGTGCTCAACGAATAAGTTTTTAAAAAATAGTTGCATGAATAAATGAATGAATATTTAAAAATAATTAAATCACCTTTCAGCCAAGCCAAAATTGACTGTTATTTTCACCTTTTTTAAAGTAGTTTTTTTTTAAGGTTTTAAATCTCTAGCATAAACAGACAGCTCATATTTGTATTTTGAAAATACTAGAGTGGTCTCAAGCTAAATGTTACAATGTGACTTTAGATGATTGATTTTTGACTTGATTAATAGTCTTTCCACAGAGACAACTCACAGGCTATAAAGTGCTTAACATTTCCTTGGCTTCAGAAGGCACTAGGGAAGGAGGTAAGTATGGACCAATTAGCAGGTGGGCACTTCAAGTGTACTTCTAGTTATTTATATGAATTGTGAAGGTCTTTAATATCCTCTTTGAACTTTTGACGCAGAAAACAAGATTTGTCTACTTGTATCTAGTTTAAACCAATTTATTTAGAACAAAAACAAGATACATTTCTGGATGAATCTCTTATTTGGGTTTTACATTCTTAGCAAAAACATAGAATCCATGAACCTCTGTTTATGAAACTATAAACTGTAAGAAGCTGTACTGCACACTAAGCAAACGTAGACATTTGTTCCCCAAAATGGAAGGGATGGTTTGATCCTTCATAGTTGAAAAATATTTCTTACCTCTTAGGACCATTATGTTTCATGACTTAAAAAAATTACATGTAATAATTCTACATATGTATGGGGCACAATGTTATGTTCTGATACATGTATGTATTATGTAATGATTAAATCAGGGTATTTAACATGTTCATGATCTTATATATTTTTCAATTTTTCCACATATAAATGAGATCATGCACTATTTGTTTCTCCATGCCTTAACATGGTGTCATTTCACTTAACATGATGTCATCCAGATTCATCTGGGCTGCCACAAATGACAGAATAACATTCTTTTTTATGGCTGTGGTGTTTCCTTGTGTATATGTACTAGTTTTCTTTATCCAAGCTGTTGATGAACACTAAGTTGATTCCATATTTTGGCTATTGTTAATAGTGCTGCGGTAAGCATAGGAGTGCAGACCTCCCTTCAACATGCTGATTACATTTCCTTTGAATAAATATTCAGTATTGGGATTTCTAGTCTTATAGTAGTTTTATTTTTAATATTTTGAGGAATCTGTATACTGTTTCTCATAAAGGCTATACTAGTTTACATTCACACAAACAGTGTACAAGAGTTTCCCTTTTTAAATTTGCTTACCAGCATTTGGTATTTGTCTTTTTCATAAGAGTCATTAGAATTGGAATGAAGTGATATCTTATGGTGGTTTTAATTTGCGTTTATCTGATGTTACAAATGTTGAGCATTTTTACGTATACTTATTTACCATTTGTATAGCTTATTTGGAGAAATATCTATTTAGGTATCATGCCCATTGAATTTTTTTTAATTTTTCATTTTTGTGAGTACATAATAGGTGTATATAGTGATTGGGTACCTAAGACATTTTGATACAGGCATGCAATGTGTAATAATCATATCAGAGTAAATGGGGTATCCATCACCTCAAGTATTTACTCCTGTGTTACAAATAATTCAATTACACTCAGTTATTTTAAAATGTACAATTATGAACATGTTAAATATCCTGATTTAATCATTACACGATACATACATGTATCAGAACATAACATTGTGCCCCATACATATGTAGACTTATTACATGTATTTTTAAAATTATTATTGGCTATAGTCACCCTGTTGTGTTATCAAATGCTTGGTCTTATTGATTCTTTCTATTTTCTGTACCCATTAACCATCCCTACTTCCCCTCCAACCTTACCCTCACTACCCTTTCCAGCCTCTGGTAACTATCCTTCTACTCTATATTTATTGCCCATTTTTTAATTAGGTTATTTGTTTTTTTGCTATTCAGTTGTTTGAGTTCTTCATTAATTCTGGATATTAATCTCTTTTTACACGTACAGTTTGCAACTAAGTTCTCTCATTCTTCTAGTGCCTTTATAGTTTTGGGTTTTACATTTATGTCTTTCATTTTAATTGATTTTTTGTATGCAGTGAGAAATAGGAGTCTAGTTTCATTATTCTGAATGTGGATATCCAGTCTTCCCAACAACATTTATAGAAGAAACTATCCTTTCCCTAATAGTTGTTCTTGGTGCCTTTGTCTAAAATCAGTTTGCTGTAAAATTGTGAATTTATTTCTGTACTCTCTTTTCTGTTCCAGTAATTTATGTGCCTGTTTTTATGTCTTCATTATGCTGTTTTGGTACATACTTTGTAATATGAAGTCAGACAGTATAATGTCTCCAGCTTTGTTCTTTTTTCTCAGAATCTCTTTGGCTACAACAAGAATTTGTAGCTTCATACAAATTTTAGGATTGTTTTCCTAATTCTCTGAAGAATGTCATTGGTATTTTGATAGAAATATCTTTAATCGTTGCCATTGTAAAGATTTTTCATCTTCATGGTTAAATTTATTCCTAGGGATTTTTTTATAGCTATTGCAAATGGGATTGCTTTCTTGGTTATTTTTCAGAGTTTGCTATTGACATGTAGAAATACTAGTTACTTTTGTATGTTGATTATGTTTTCTGCAGCTTTCCTGAATGTGTATATCTATTCTGACAGTTTTTTTGTTGTTGTTGCTGGAGCCTTCAATTTTTTCTATACATAAGATCATTTCATTTTCAAAAAGAGACAATTTGACTTTCTCTTTTCCAATTTACATGCTCTTTATTTCTTACTCTTGCCTAATTTTTCTGGATAGAAATTCCAATACTATGTTGAATAAAAGTGATGAAAATGGGCAACTTTGCTTGTTCCAGATCTAAGAGGGATCACTTTCAACTTCTATATTATGTTGATGATGAAGAACATTCCTTCTATACTTTATTTGTTGAGAGCTTTTAACATAATGGAATGTTGAATTTTATCAAATGTTTTGTTCTGTACTATTGAAATAATCATATACTTTGTTAAAATTTTATAAACGTTTAGTTTAACTTTTGGAATACATGTTCAGGTTTCTTAAATAGGTAAACATATGTCATGGGGGTTTGTTGTACAGATTGTTTCATCACCCAGGTATTAAGCCTGGTATCTATTAGTTGTTTTTCCTGATCCTCTTCCTCCTCCCACCCTCCACCTTTTTGGTAGGCCCCAGTGTGTGTTGTTCCCCTTTATGTGTCCATGCGTTCTCACCATTTACATCCCACTTAATAGTGACAATATGCAGTATTTGGTTTTCTGTTTCTGTGTTAGTTTGCTAGGGATAGTGGCCTCCTGCTCCTCCAAAGGATCTCTTTGTTTTTTACGGCTGCATAGTATTCTATGGTGTATATGTACCACATTTTCTTTATCCAGTCTATGATTAATTGGCAGTTAGATTGATTGCATGTCTTTGCTATAATGTATATTGCTGCAATGAACATACACATGCATGTATATTTATAACATAATTATTTATAAATTATTTATATTCTTTTGGGAATATACCCAGTAATGGGATTGCTGGGTCAAATGGTATTTCTGCCTCTAGGTCTTTGAGGAATTGACACACTGTCTTCCACAATTTACACTCTCACCAACAGTGTAAAATTGTTCCTTTTTATCCACAACCACAGCAGCATCTGTTGTTTTTGACTTTTTAATAATTGTCATTCTGACTGGGGTGAGATGGCATCTCATTGTGGTTTTGATTTGCATTTCTCTAATGATCAGTAATGTTGAGTTTTTTCTTTTGATTGTTGGCTGCATGTATGTCTTCTTTTGAGAGGTGTCCATTCATGTCCTTGGCCTACTTTTTAATGAGGTTGTTTTTTTCCTGTAAATTTATTTAAGTACTTTATAGATACTGGATATTAGACCTCTGTCAGATGCATAGTTTGCAAAATTGTCTTTGAATCCTATAGATTGTCTGTTCACTCTCTTGGTAGTTTCTTCTGCTCTGCAGAAGCTCTTTAGTTTAATTAGATCCCATTTGTCAATTTTTGCTTTTGTTACAATTGTTTTTGGTGTCTTCATCATAAAATCTTTGCCCATGTCTGTGTCCTGCAGGGTATTACCTAGGTTTTTGTCTTGGGTTTTTATAGTTTGTGGTTTTACATTTAAGTTTTTAATCTTCAGTTAATTTTTGTATATGGTGTAAGAAAGGGGTTCAGTTTCAATCTTCTGCATATGGCTAGCCAGGTATCCCAGCACCATTTATTAAATAGGAATCCTTTCTCCATTGCCTGTTTTTGTCAGGTTTGTCAAAAATCAGATAGTTGTAGGTGTATTGGCTTATTTCTGTGTTCTCTATTCTGTTCTATCAATCTATGGGTCTGTTCTTGTATGAGTACCATATTGTTTTGGTTACTGTAGCCCTGTAGTATAGTTTGAAGTTGGGTAGAAAGATGTCTCCAGCTTTGTTATTTTTGCTCAGGACTGCCTTGGCTATTCAGGCTCTTTTTTCGTTTCATACAAATTTTAAAATAGTTCTTTCTAATTCTGTGAAGAATGTCAATGTTAGTTTAATAAGAATAGCATTGAATCTATAAATTGCTTTGGGCAGTATGGCCATTTTAACCATATTTATTTTTTCTATCCATGAGCATGGAATAGCTTATTCATCAAGATCAAGTAGGCTTCATCCTCAGAATGCAAAGTTGGTTCAACATATGCAAATCAATAAATGTGATTCATCACATAAACACAGCTAAAGACAAAAAATACATGATTATCCCAATAGAAGCAAAAAAGGCTTTTGATAAAATTCAACATTCCCTCATGTTAAAAACTCTCAATAGTCTAGGTGTTGAAGAAACATATCTTAAAATAATATAAGCCTTATATGACAAACCTACAGGCAAGATCATACTGAATGAGCAAAAGCTGGAAGCATTCCCTCTGAAAACTGGCACAAGACAAGAAAGCCCTTTCTCATCACTCCTATTCAATGTAGTATTGGAAGTTCTGGCGAGGGCAATCAGGGAAAAGAGAGAAATAAATGGCATTTAAATAGGGAGAGAGGAAGTCAAACTATCCCTATTTGCAGATCATATGATCTCATATCTAGAAAACCCCATTGTCTCAGCCCCAAAGCTTCTTAAGCTGATAAGCAACTTCAGCAAATCTCAGAATACAGCAGCAATGTGCAAAATTTGCTAGAATTTCTGTACACCAACAACACTTAAGCTGAGAGCCAAATTCCAAAGAACTCCCATTCAAAATTGCCACAGAAAGAGTATAATACCTAGGAATACAGCTAACAAGGAAGGTGAAAGATCTCTATAAGGATAACCGCACACCTCTGCTCAAAGAAATCAGAGATGGCATAATCATATACTTTTTGCTCTTGATTCTGTTAGTGCATCATGTTTATTGATATGCATATGTTGAACCATTGATATGGTTTAGCTGTGTCACCACCCAGATCTCATCTTGAACTGTAGCTCCCATAATTCTCATGTGTGATGGGAGGGACCCAATGGGAGGTAATTGAATCATGGGGGTGGGTCTTTGCCAAGCTGTTCTCATGATAGTGAATAAGTCTCACAAGATCTGATGGTTTTATAAAGGGGAGTTCCCCTCCACACGGTCTCTTGCCTGATGCCATGTAAGACATTCCTTTGCTCTTCCTTCATCTTCTGCCATAATTGTGAGGCTTCCCCAGACATGTGGTTCTGTGAGTTCATTAAACCTCTTTCCTTTATAAATTACCCAGTCTCGGATATGTTTTTAATAGCAGCATGAGAACAGACTAATACAGCCATCCTTGTATCCATGGGATAGATCCCACTTGATCATAGTGAATTATCTTTTTAATTTGCTTTTGCATTCAGTTTGCTAGTATTTTGTTGAGGAATTTTGCCTCTATTTTCATCAGATACATTGGCCTATTTTTGTTGTTGCTGTTGTTCTGTCCTTGGTTGGTTTTGGTATCAGAGTAATGCTGGTCTCATATCATAAGTCTGAAGAATTATCTACTCCTCAATTTTTTGGAATAGTTTGAAAAGAGTTGTTATTAATTGTTTTTTAAATGTTTAGTAGAACTCATAAATCTATTAGGGCCTGTGCTTTTCTTTAATGGGAGATGTTTTTTATTACTGATTCAATCTTGTTACTCATTATAGTTCTATTCAGGTTTTTAATTTGTTAATGATTCTATTTTGGTAGGTAGAATATGTTCAGGAATTTATCTCTTTCTTCTAGGTTTTCCAATTTGTTGGCAAATAGTTATTCATAATAGTCTCCAGTGATCCTGCATTTCTGTAATATTATTTTTAATATCTCCTTTTTCAACTCTGATTTATTTTATTTGAGTCGTTTCTCTTTTTTTAATCTGGCTAAAAGTTTGTCAATTTTTTTTTTATCTTTTCAACAAACCAACTCTTCATGTTGTTTACCTTTGTATTGTTTTTATTTTCTATTTTATTTATTTCCACTCTGATCTTTCTACTAATCTTGGATCTAGTTTGTTCTTGCATTTTGCTTCTTTGAGGTATAGTTTTAGTTGGTTCATTGAGATCTTTGTGCTTTTTGGAAGTAGATGTTTATTGCTATACACTTCTTTCTTAGAACTGCTGTTGTTGTATCCCATAGGTTTTGGTATGTTGTATTTAAAGTTTCATTTGTTTCAAGAAATTTTTTAAATTTTCTTTTAAATTTCTTCATTGACCTGTTGTTGCTGTTTTTTTTTTCCAGAATAAGCTGCTTAATTTACATGTATTTTTATAGCTTCCAAAGTTCCTTCTATTATTGATTTCTAGTTTTATTCCACTATGGTCAGAAAGTCAGAAAAAATACTTGAGATAATTTTTTTTTAATTTGTTGAGAGTTTCTGTGGCCTACACATTATCTATTCTTGATAAACTTCCATGTGGTGTTGTGAAAAATGGGTATTCTGTAGCTATTACGTAGAATGTTCTGTAAATCTCTACTTGGCCTAACACGTGATCTATTCTTGATAAAGTTCCATGTCCTGTTGTGAAAAATGGGTATTCTGTAGCTATTACATAGAATGGTCTGTAAATCTCTACTAGATCCATTTGGCCTAAGATGCAGTTAAAATCCAATGTTTCTTTGTTAATTTTCTCTCTGAATGATCTGTCCATTGTTGAAAGCAGGGTGTTAAAGTCTCCTACTATTATTCTATTGCAGTCTTTCTATCCCATTAGATCTAACAACATTTACATTATATATTCACTGTGCTGTGTTCAGATATATTTATACTTCTTTTATTCTCTTGTCCATTTGACCCCTTTATTATTGCATAATGACCTCTATTATCTCTTTATATTTTTTAATTAAAGCCTATTTTATTTGATATAAACATAGATACTCTCACTCTCTTTTGGTTTTAATTTGCATGGGTTAATAATTTTCATCCCCTCACTTTCAATCTGTGTGTCTTCACAGGTGAAGTGATTACTTGTAGGCAGCATATAGTTGATTATTGTTGTTTTTGTTTTATGAATTAAGACACTCTGTATCTTTTATTTGGAGAATTTACTCCATTTACATTCAAGGTTGTTTTTGATAGGTAAGGATTTATTCTCTCCATTTTGTTGTTTTCTGCTTCGTTTGTTTTATATAGTCTTTGTTCTTCTCTTATATTTTGCCTTTTGTGGTTTGGTGATTCTTTTGTAGTGACAAGCTTTGATAACTTTGTCTTTCTCATTTGTGTATCTGTCATAATTTTTTTCTTCATTGTTACTATGGCCTTACATGAAAATATTTTAGATAAAATAAACTAAGCCAATAATAAATTAAGTTTTGTTACACATATTATATATGTACATATATGTGTATATCCTACACTTTTAACTTCCCCTCCCAATTTATAAATTGTTTCTTTGTTTATATCTTTTTATATTGTTTTTTCTTAACAACTTACTATAAATAGTTATCACTGACCATTTGACTTTTAACCTTCATACTACATACTTGAAAGTTTATATAATAACCATTATAGTAACAAAGTATTTTGAATTTGTTAATGAATTTTCCTCTACCAGTGAGACTATCTTTTCACGTGTTTTCATGATAGTAATGATTGCCCTTTTGCTTCCAGCTGAAGCACTCCCTAAGCATCTCTTGCAAGGCAGGTCTGCTGGTGATAATTTCCCTCAGCTTTTCCTTTTCTAGAAGAGACTTTCTTTCTCCATCTTTTCTCAAGGACAGTTTTGCTGGATATAATATTGCAGAATGGCAGGGTTTTTTTTTCCTCCCTTCAGCACTTTGAATATATCATCCCATTCTTTACTAGCCTGAAAGATTTCTGCTGGGAGACCTGCGTATAGTCTAATGGGGATTCCCTATATGTGACCTGACACTTTTTTCTTGCTGCTTAGAGTTCTCTCTTTGGCTTTGACTTCTGATACTTTTATTATAATGTTTCTTGAGAAGACTTCTTTGGATTAAATCTCTTTGGTGTTCTTTGAGCTTCGTGGATTTGAATTACCATACATCTTCCAAGACTTCAGAAGTTTTCAACTATTATTTTATTAAATTACTTTTTGTGCCCTCATCTATCTCTTCTCCCCTGGAATTTCAATGATGTGGAAATTTCTTTACTTAATGGCATTCCACGAGTCCTGTAGGTTTTCTTCAATGTTTTTTATTCTTTTTCTTTTTTTTTTCTCCTGAGTGGGTAATTTTTTTTTCTTCTGAGTGTGTTCTTCTGACACAAAAGACCAGTCTTCAAGTTCAGAAATTTTACTTCTGCTTGATCTAATTTGCTGTTGAAGCTCTTGATTGTGTTTTTTTAAATGTTATTCATTTAATTCTTTAGGTACAAGATTTATGTTTGGCTCTTTTTATCTCTTTCTGTGTGATATTTTGTTCCTGATTTCATTGAATTGTCTGTGTTTTCTTACATCTTAGTGAGTTTTCTTTAAATTATTATTTTCACTTTCTTTTCAGGGAGCTTGTAAATTTTCTTTATTCAGAGTCAGTTACTGAATAATTACTGTGTTTCTTTGGTGATGTCTTGTTTCCTTGCTTTTTTATGTTTCTTGTATCCCTGCATTCATATCTGTGCATCTGGTAGAATGGTTTTCTTTCTAATTTTATGAAGTGGCTTTTGTAGAGAAAGACTTTTACCTATAGATGTGTCCTATGGTGTTGGTTAGGTAGTGTGCTTTGGCTTTCATTTAAAGTAGACACAGTAGTGTAGTCTCCATGAAGTTTCTTCAGTTGTAGTCAATGTCAGCAATGCCTGAGATTGCCTCAGTGGCCTAGGCTGCTGGAATTTGTGTAGCTGTTCCAGCATCTTGGGTGGGGCTCCTGAGGTGAGAGGATGGTGAGCTGTTTTATGTGCCAAAGAAGTGCCAGTTTGGACTCAGCTTTCCCATGGGAAGGACCAATTGTCCAACTGTTCCTTGGGAGGCAAGGCACCACATGGACTCAGACACCAAGATGATGGCTGTTTCACTGGATTTAGGCTCCAAGTGCAGAAAGGCAGAGTGCTGCAGTCATTGGAATGGGGTAGATGAAGTGCTTCCTAAGCAGTTTTCTCCCAGGGGTAGGGCTCTGTAGCAGTTCAGCTGGGGAATTGTGCACTATCATATATGAGTATGGTACAATGGTGACAGAGCCTCGGTGATTGGGAGAGGCAGTGGCTACTGGCCCCTGGAGCAGAACACACTTTAGCAGTGCCTCTGGTTACAACACGACACCATGCAGCAGCAGCAGCTTGGATCACAGGGGGAGGAGCACAATGTGGCCCTTCTCAAGAGCAACACAACTATGTGAACTGTTGGTAGCTCCCCAGACTGGTCTCATGACCTGTAAAAAACTGTAGGATTCTCCAGCAGCAAAGATTGCAGATGCCTGTGGTGTCAATAGGGGATTCTGGAGGCTTTTGATTGCCTTTTCCCTATAAGGAGATGTCCCTCATAGTTTCAAGCTGATCCTGATTGGTGAGATGGGGTGGCAGGAGCAGAGTGTTTTGTTTTCTTCTCTCTTGGCCATCCTGAGTCTGTATGTTCCACAGGGTCTCTGCCACTCCTTCTCTGTACTTCAGCACGTTCCTTCAGACCCTGTAGTCAAAATGTAGTTGTTTGTTTGTTGTTTTTGTCCCTTTTTTGTGAGAGGATGAGCCATAGGTGCCTCTAGTTAGCCATCTTGCTGACATCACCTCCTCACTCAAGATTAATGACCTTTAATGTCTATGTAATACATTTCTTTCTCCTTAAAAAGACCAAAAAAAATTAGCAGTCTTTAAAGAATGTAATATTTGCACAGCACCTGAATCATCTTGAAATATTATGTAAATATAAAATCACTCACAAAGTAGTCAATATATGTAAATGACACAATTAAAAAAGACGGCTTGGGGCCAGGCACAGTGGCTCACGCCTGTAATCCCAGCACTTTGGGAAGCTGAGGCAGGCGGATCATCTGAGGTCAGGAGTTCAAGATCAGCCTGGCCAACAATGGTGAAACCCCGTCTCTACAAAAATACAAAAAAATAGCCACACATGATGGTGGGTGCCTATAATCCCAGGTACTTGGGAGACTGAGGCAAAAGAATTGCTTGAACCCCAGGAGGCAGAGGTTGCAGTGAGCTGAGATCCTGCCATTGCACTCCAGCCTGGGTGA
This sequence comes from Homo sapiens, assembly GCF_000001405.40. Classification (NCBI taxonomy): domain Eukaryota; kingdom Metazoa; phylum Chordata; class Mammalia; order Primates; family Hominidae; genus Homo; species Homo sapiens. The sequence continues at coordinate 86,346,766 of NC_000014.9, forward strand.
CAGAGCAAGACTCCATCTCAAAAACAAAAAACAAACAAACAAAACAACAGAAACAAACAAACAAACAAATGGCTTGAATTAGATATAAGAAAGACTAAGTTAATTTATCCTAGTCTTTTTTTTTAAACCAGGGCCTGGCTCTGTTTCCCAGGTTGGAGTGCAATGGCATGATCTTGGCTCACTGCAACTTCTGCTTCCTGGGCTCAAATTATCCTCCTACCTAAGCCTCCACAGTAGCTGGGTCTACAGGCATGCACCACCAGGAACTGCTAATTTTTTTTCCCTTTGGTAGAAATGGGGTATTGCCATGTTGCCCAGGGTGGTGTCAAATTCCGGGGCTCAAGATATTCTACTGCCTCGGCCTCCCAATGTGCTAGGATTACAGGTATGAGCCACTACACCCAGCAATTTACTCTATTTGTTTAGAAATACCAAACATGAATAAACCTAGAGAGGAGTTTTCAGTTTTCAGTTTCAGTTTCAGTTTTCAGTTTTCAGTTTTAGTTGTTTTCAAATAATAACAAAAAAGACTTTTTTATGTTTTTGATAGATGATAATAAAAATCCACATGCAGAAGCAATATTGACTCTGCTATGAGATGAATTTTCAAAGACGTTCTTTCTGATAAAATGATGCAGGTCTTGGAATGATGTAGCACATCACTCAGCAGGGGCTGGGACAGAGCAGTCACCAAATATCAGTCTTGATAATGATAGTCCAAGCCATTTACTTGAAATTCTTCCTGTTTATCCTTAAGGTCAACAATTGTCCTACACCTCTAGGAGTTCGGACTCATTTGCGAGTTACAGTGATGAGAAACATTTGTCACAGTTCAGAAATTGCTTCCTGAAGGCACACTGAAAGGCAAAATAGGTTAGACCAAGCACTCAGAAGTTTGAATACTTATCTGCACTCCAGCACTTTATTCAAAAACAATCTAAATGGCTTTTGATATAATATTCTGACACTTTTCATTTAGATCTTGTTTGAAAGAGCAAGGGCAGAGGCAATCAAAAATAAAATAAAAATATGGGGTAGGAAGAGTAGATATTGAAGCTTTATGAACATAAAAGATTCAAATTAAATTTGTGTTGAAGGTCTAAAGAGTACCTTGATGAAAACTCCAGGTAGTTATGACTATGGTAAAGCCTTTTATTATGTCTACTGGAAAGTGTACACAGGATAAGGTAAGCTAAGGTTGTTGTCTACACAGGCTGTACTATTTCTCAAGTCTGTAGCTAGCTGAGGTGCCAGAGGTAGGGCACTTTTATCTTTCTTTTTTTATTTTTTGTTGGTAAATAAGTTCCCATTTTTACAAGTTAGATTAGAACAGAATAGAATATGAACAAGAAAGATAAGCAAAAGCCCTCATCTTCATGACTGCAGTGCTCCTGATATGGCTGATGCTGACCCTCTGCTTATAGCACAATCTTGGCCCTGGCTTTAATAGTGATGAAGGCATACCCAGCATTGAGTTAAAGATAAAACTAGCCTCAATGTCCACATTTTCCTCAAATACACCCTGTGGAAGTTTGGGAATCTTTAAAAGGGGTTTGGTAATGTATTTTCTGGACTCCAATAATACTTTATAAATGCTGATGTTGCTCCAATAAAAAGACCTAGAATTAGGAGGGAAAATCACCCTCTGAAAAGGAAAAATAATAGAAATCAGACCATAATCTATATATTGAAATATCATTGAGGCATCTAGCTTAAAAAGTAGTTTATTATATATCACTGAAAAGTGTAGGAGAAATATTTTTTAAGTATGTAATGTCGAAATTTAGAAAAGGAGATTCAAAGGACAATATATAACATGAATTTATTTTTAGTCCTTTTGAGTGACTCTGACCATGCACATAATTAATTTTCTATTTTTTTCTCTCCATAGTTGAATGGGTTTATTATAATAACTTATTTTAATATATTTTTTAATAAGATTATCCCATTCTTGTCCAATTTCTAGGCTGTTGCCCAGGAGAAAATGGACTGACAAGTTGATTTAAGTTTTCTTTTATACTTGGACATAATAGTATCTGCCTCTTATGAATTTTGTCATTCTAAACTCTTCAGAATTCCGGATGAATTAAACAAATTAAATTTCTGAATCTGTAAATGTGAGAACATTGGTGGTTGTGATGGTTAATTTTATATGTCTACTTGACTGGGTTAAGGGATGACCAGATATCTGGTAAAACATTATTCCTGGGTGTGTTTGTGAGGGTGTCTACAGAAGAGGTTGCCACTTGAATCAGTAGACTGAATAAAGGAGATGTGCAATTCCCAACGTGGTGAGCATCATACAATCTTTTGAGGACCCAAATAGAACAAAAGGAAGAAGAGAGCAAATTCATTTTCTCTCTTTTAACTTGGACATCCATCTTCTCCTGTCTGCCAATGTTGGTGTTCTTGGTTCTCAGGCCCTTGGACTCAGACTGAATTACACCACGAGCTTTCCTTGGTTTCTAGCTTGCAGGCAACAGGCTGTGGGACTTTTCTGCCTCTGATTTATATAATAAGTGTCCTCATGTATTTATTCTATTTGTCTGTGTCTCTGGAGATCCCAGCCTTGCTTCTCACATCAGCTCATCTTCTTGCAAACTATTGCTTCCTGTGGTATGAAAGGAAGTTCCAGTTTCAGTCATATTGGATGGAAAATAGCTTTTTAATGTATGTTATCTGTAGTGTGTATGGTATGAAAGGCTCCTGTGATATGAGCCCCTCCATCTTTATCTCCCATAATTCCTAAATAAATTCTGCCCAGTCATACCAACAGGCTGAATTTCTCTGTTTGCTATAGAAATTACTTTTTCAGCCTGACCTAACCTCTACCTTTTGGTATCCATCCACCTTTCTATTGTCAGCCTTCTCTGACCACCTCTGCCAGGTTGGGGTCTGCTTGTCTGTGCTCTCATAGTTCACTGTGCTTAACTTTATTGCCATATTGCACTGGTGTATGTTGGTTTCCTTATCTTTTTACCTACTAGATTCTAAATCCCTAGAAGGCAGGACTTATCTATGTCTTTTACGGAACATACTAGGAAAATGACAGACCCTAGCTACTCTATAAATATTAATACAGGAATAAATAATTCAAAGCAGCTGGGTGTGGTGGCGCATGCCTGTAATCCCAGCATCTAGGGAGGCTGAGGCAGGAGAATCGCTTGAACCTGGGAGGTAGAGGTTGCAGTGAGCCGAGATCGTGCCATTGCACTCCAGCCTGGGCAACAAGAGTGAAACTCCACCTCAGAAGAAAAAAAAATGTATACATAAATGATAATACATAAAAGTAAAAAAATTAATTTTCCTCCAAGGATAAAACCATGTTGATATTCACAGTTATTCCATCTAATTCTGATTTGAAGACATAGTGCTGTAATTCTAATGAAAGATGATAATTAACATAACCCTTTAATGAATGAATGCAGCACTTTTTGATTTTAAATGTTTTAATTACTGTATTTTACTATAGTTATATTACAAAATGTGTTGAGCTATGGGAGAAAAAAATGAAATAAATTCTGAGCAGATAACTAACATGTTATAATGCCATAGCCTTTCCATCTTCCTTGTGTTTTTTATCTTGTTTTCACGTCATTTGCTGTAAATATTTTTAGAGTTCACTATGTGTCAGTTACTATTGTATGACTTGTGTAACTAAATGAACAAACATATAAACAATGTAATTTCAAGCACAATAAATAACAGAAGGACCGATGGTGTATGACGAAGGTAAATGATATTTCTTATTTTGAATAGGTGATCAGGGAAAGTCTATTTAAAGAAGGGATAAATTGTTGTCCTGGAGAGCAACAGGGTCTAGAAACATTCCTTCGTCAGTCTGATCTGGACTTTTGGTTCCTGGTTCTAGATCCGCTCCTACCTTGATGATCTCCAAAAACCAGCGTTCATGGTTGATTTTTAAAGAATTCCTTAGGAGATGGAATTTCAAAATTATGCTCACTCTTTATTTCATAAGTCTTCCCAATGCTGTCAGATTTCAAGATTCTTTATTATGACATTGTTAAATGTATTTTTTTCTTTCCACTAGTCAATTGGTGACATGTTTGCTGTTTTTCAGTGATGCCAGACCCAAGGGCACAGTGGGATACTTGTCTTCTACATTTGTACTTCTTGTCAAAAATTAAAACAAAAATGGTTGAAATTGATGAAGTGAAGTAAACCAGTATCTCTTTAACTTTAGGAAAAATGTTCATCAAATTTCATAACGACATTCAGGTTTATTACATCTCTTAAATAATATTAACCTGTCAGGTCTATTTCTTACTCACCTTTTCCATAACATAAGTAGGGTATCTATCTAATGAAAATACATAAATAACCAACTAGATGCCTCTTGAAATATTATATGGGATCATAAATTTGTTTTATTTTATTGTGCAATATTTTAAAATTTTATTTTGGGTTTAATATGATAGTCTTCTTCAACAAATGAATTACTTGCAAGGGACATTTTTAGTTGGACATAGAAGACCTCTGACAATCTAACCCTTGATACTGTAGTGATGTTGCCATGACAGAGCCTGGGGCTATAAGGCTGAAGCCACATGCAATGAAATGACCTCCATCAAGTGGCACAATTCCCATTGCTGTCAACTTGTTGACTTCACTGTCACACATATGACTTTCACCAAAAAACATTCAAAACAAACCACAGATACACAAAAATGCACAGAAGATGAAAGACACACTCAACACACATGCAGGCACACACGTACACAGCATTAATCCACAGGCTCGAAGAGCTTAAAACCAAAGCTTCTTCAGCTCGGAGAAAACTTGTAACAGTATTTAGACTTCTCATGTTTCTAAGTGGTAAAATCCTTGATAGTTTCCTCTAGAGCTCTTAGAATAGCCAGTTGCCTCATGCCCTCTTCGACTCTAGCACTTAGAGATTTTTAAAATTCCCTTTAGTTTGGCGAGTAATCACTATGATCATATCTGGAATTACTTGTGTTGATATCTCTAAATGTAATATATATGACTCTACTTTGAGCATACTGAAAATCTCCCTGGAGAGGGTCTTCTCCTTTTTCTTCTTTATATTGTCTAGAGTACTATACTTCAGAGAACTTCAGCTCAGCTTAATTAATACATTACTTCTCTATTTCCTTGTCAATAATTCAATTGCCTGAATACAAACATAAATATATATATATATAAAATTTTAAACATTAGTAATTAATTAATGAAATGCGATAGGACAATAGGTCAGAGAAGGCTTACTGATGTAACCTTTAAGTTGAGGCCAAGTGTTGAGTTGGGAAAATGATATTCTAGGAAGACTGATTTAGCAAGAAATTAAATAACCCCAGTGTGTGAGGAGATTAAAGAACATAAAAAAGGCCTCAAGAGACATGCAGTAGTCACATTATGCATGTGTTTGTAAGAAGGGCTTTAGAATTTGAATTTTATTCCAAGTGTAACTGGAAACCAGTAAAGAATTTCATGGAGGATGGTAGGGTTTTATATCTAAAAATAATGTCACATGGTTTTTTGCCCCTTGACTCCAGGTCTCATTGTTCTCTACTTTCCCACCCAGCTTCCTGGTTAAGCAACTTCAAATACAGTTTTCATTTTCACTTCATTCATAGTTGTAATCACAATCACTGTTTTCCATGGAGAGCTTGCCATATACATCTTATATACATTATGAAATAAATCTTTTATTGTCACCATAAATCCCTAGTCACAGAGGTATTACTAGTCTCACTTTAAGGGTAAGGAACCTACAGGCTAGACAGGTAAGATAGCTTATCCTATTCACCCTAGGTTTGCATGACTCCAAACACAATAGGAGATATTTCCTACTATACTCAACAAACCACACTATCTCTCGTTCTATCTCAATTATATTTAAACTCCTACATGTACTCTGTACAATTTTTCATTATCTGGCTGCATTTGTATATCCATATTCACCTCCCTCTACTCTCATCAAAGACTATGATCTTTTTTTCTTAACCAACCACCCTCATCTGTTATCCCTCACCACACACAGCATGCTTATTCTACCGCCTTGGATATACTAGAAAGTCTGCTGGTTAGCAGAAAAGTTAAGTCTCCATTCAGGCTTTTCCACTAATTGGGCCTCACTGAGCCTCAAAATGTTATCTTTAAAATCAAGATGATAATCTCCAGCTCACCTACTCTTGAGGAATTGAGTAAACATTAGATAAAATAATGTACATATTTTCTTTTAACTCTAAAGGACAATACAAGTGTATATTTTACTTTACAACTTGTTTTAGGATCTCTTCTTAGTCAGCAATGGCTTCCTCATGTTCTCTGTCTGTCCAAAATGTCACCCACCTTTCAGACCAGGAGCAGGGAAATGTCATAAATACTAAGGCTTCTCTCATTAAATGTAACTGCTATGTTCCATTTGTGCAGTCTCATAGTCATACTGAATTAAAGAGAAATTATTGTATTTTTGGAGTTTTTCATGTGTATAAATTTTACTTGGCTATCACTGATGGAAAATCTGCACAATTATCATATATTCCATTATCTATATTCTCACCATTCCTCCCATGGTGCTGGTAGAAAGTCAAACCCAGCAATTCAGAGAACAGACCTGAGCGATATAAAGACCTGGGTTGCAATCTTGTCTCTGTTACTCCTCAGATGGATAATATTGGGTGAAAATCATGAATTCTCTTAGCCTTATTTGAATCCCTTTTAATGTGGGGTTATTAATTGCATCTTTCTCTCTGTGTTGTAAAATTTAAGTCAAGAAAAGCCTGGATACTACAGTGGCTGCCTTTCTTTCTATCAACTGTCACTATTAACATGTTTCTTCTTATAAATATTATAATGTCTATTTTTCTGTACCTAGCTATCATTATTTTCCTAAAAGCTCAGCTAATGTGTGTTTGCTGTGTAATTAAATATGTCATCTCTTCCTTAGGACTTCTGTATGCAATTGATCCACTTTAAGCAATTGCACTGATCAGATTTTCTGTAATTGCTATTTCCAATCAGCCTAAGGAAAATTGTAGCCAGGTTGCGTGAAGCCTTAGATAGAAGTGGCATTCTGTTTTGTCAGCTGATAATACCATTTCCTATAGACTAAAAGCCGTATAATTTATTTTTAATAAATTTTATAAGTGTTATCACTGCATTTTGGTATATCTAATAGTTTTAAAAGCCATTACTTATCTCAAGTCTTATTTGTCAAGGAACATAGAAATAGCCTAACTCAAGAAGTGAAGCTAAAGATTGCATGACTTGTTGATTTGCTAGAGGTAACTGTTGGTTGAACAGAAAAACAAATGTTTCTTTGCTAACTTGTAAAAGGAAAGTATGGAACTGCCCCCATGTAAGTAAGTAAAGAATGCACCTACAGATGATTTGGGTTGCCACCCTTAGTCTCTGAAATTTATAAGCTAGAAATTAATTATTTTATATCACCACGTGTTTCATCACGTGTTTTGCATTATAAAGCATTTGGATTCTCTTACCATAAATAAATAACATTGAAATTTTTAGGGATAAAATATTAAGTAGTTTGAACCAAGAAGTCTTCAGAAAGCACTTTACAAAAAGTCTGCATCCCTTTGGTACTAGATTAATACATTTGATGTAAGAGAGTTTAATCATGTCGGTTCTTGTTTATATTCATAAGATTAACCTGATTGCTGAATCTGAGAATGGAGGATTTTGTTTAAAGGGCATTGTGAACATAATTTGGCTTCTAACTATCTGTAATTGAAGAGTTCAGCTTATTAAGCAGATTTGTCTTTAGAGGTGGTGTGACAGAGCCCCACCGTTGCTTTGGAATGTCTCAGAACACTGAGGTCAATTTAGCCAAGAAGCTCTTTGAAAAACTTTTTAATTTCTAAATCTCCAAATGTATTCAAGACTGGAGACACAGGAGAATAAGATCAATGTGACTTGCTCTGCTTCAATTCTCTTTTTCTCTTCCTTTCTTCTCCCTATTTCTTGCCCTCTTGTTGCTCTTTTCTTCCCCTTTCTTTCCTACAAGTAAATCTAGCACATGTGACAAAAACCTGGGGCAGAAACAAGGATGTTAGGGTTTAACAGCTCTGTCTAGGCTTTCACAGGCAAGCATCCCCAGGATAACCTGACTGATTTCCCCTGACTCTGGTGCACTCTCTGTCTGTCCCACCGCACAGGCACGACTAAGGGTGAGTGCAAACGCCTTTTCTTGGAAATATATTCAGAGGTCAGGCTGCCAGCAGTCAAACCCCAGTTCTTACACTCCATAGCTATGTAACAGTGGAGAAGTTGTTTAACTTCTCTCTACTTCCATTCTCACATCTGTGAAACAAAGATAATATCAGTATCTACTTGAGAGGTTCTTGTGTGTACTAAATAAAGCAATCTTTGTAACCATTTAAACCAGTGTCCTAAAGATATGAGTGGTCAGTAAGTCTTTGCTATTATTATGATACTCTTAATTATACCATTAATATACAGGAGATACAGGTAATGAGGTGGGAATTTCAGAAGGAAAAAATAAGCTTCAAAAACAAATTAGATTTAGGGGTAGCTTCTCGAAACTTCAGTTTCTTCATCTGGAAAATGGGAATAAATATGGTGTCTCCTACAGAATTATTTTGAAGATTCAGTGGAATAGTTCATTTAAAGCACTTAATACCCTGCTGCCTCACACATGGTAACTACTTGAGAAATTGAGCTATTATGATGGTGGTGCTGAATAAAATGGCATAAAATCAGGGATAATGGTGGAATGACGGTGATAATGTGCAGGTTAGAGGGGAGAAAATCACTTGAAAAGAAAGCGAAACATGTTATTAATTTTAGAAAAATATTTAAGAATTGTGATACTTCTTTACTTAAAACCCTTTAAGCCCTTAAGCCCTTGGCATTGCTGTATCTCAGTGCTTCCTGGATTTGTCATTTAGGTACTGCTTTCACCAGTTTTGTCATATGGTATACTTTTTTTTTTTTTTTTTTTTTTTTTTTAGATGGAGTCTGGCTCTGTCACCCAGGCTGGAGTGCAGTGGCAGGATCTCGGCTCACTGCAAGCTCTGCCTCCTGGGTTCACTCCATTCTCCTGCCTCAGCCTCCCAAGTAGCTGCGACTACAGGCGCCCGCCACCATGCCCGGCTAATTTTTTATATTTTTAGTAGAGACGGGGTTTCACCGTGTTAGCCAGGATGGTCTCCATCTCCTGACCCCGTGATCCACCCGCCTCCGCCTCCTTCTCCCAAAGTGTTGGCATTACAGGCGTCAGCCACCGCGCCCAGCTGGTATTTATTTACTTTTCTTTCTTTCTTTCTTTCTCTTTCTTTCTTTCTTTCTTTCTTTCTTTCTTTCTTTCTTTCTTTCTTTCTTTCTTTCTTTCTTTCTTTCTGTCTTTCTTTCTCTCTCTCTTTCTTTTTCTGTCTTTCTTTCTTTCTTTTTCTTTCTTTCTTTTCTTCCTTTCCTTTTCTTTTCTTTCTTTCTTTTTCCTTCCTTCCTTCCTTCCTTCCTTCCTTCCTTCCTTCCTTCCTTCCTTTCTTTCTCTCTTTCTTTCTTTTTTTTTTTCTTTTTGACAGAGTCTCACTCTGTCACCCAGGCTGGAGTCCAATGGTGTGATCTCAGCTCACTGCAACCTCCACATCCCGGCAACCTCCTGAGTAGCTGAGATTACAGGAGCACACCACCATGCCAAACTAATTTTTGTATTTTTAGTAGAGACGGGGTTTCACCATGTTAGTCGAACTCCTGACCTCATGATCCACCCGCCTCAGCCTCCCAAAGTGCTGGGATTACAGGCGTGAGCCACCGTGCCTGGCCTATATGGTATACTTTCTAAGTTAGTCTCCTCCTAAGGAATAGTGTTCAGAGGACCACATGTTTGTTCCCAAGTTGTATTTTTCTCAAATACACACCAAAACGAATGGGTAACTGTCAAAATTAAAAATCAGATCCTCTGTGCTCCAGGGAAACCTTTGTGTGATAGTTGGTGGTTCAGTTTGGGGATATACTGAAACTAACAAATTAATTTTTGCTTGTAATGTTACAAGTCAGATCTAATGAAGTCCTGAGATTAATCTCTTCTGAGATTAAGAGGGTCCAGCCACCCTGAATTCAGTTGTTTTGGTTTGTTTGTCTATTACAGGTATTTGTCACTTCTCCCCAAACCCCAATCCTTCTATCGTCAGCCAGCCAATCCTGGAAAACTTGTCACTTAATACTTGTCACAAGTTAATTGAAAATCTTCACATTTTACAAAGAGCTTAGATACTTTTGTAAAGTAGTCTTTTCTTATCCATGGAAAATATGTTTCTAGACTCCCAGAGGATGACAGAAACCTCAGATAGTACCAAACCCTATATATACTGTGATTTTTCCTACACATCTGTACCTACAATCAAGTTTAATTTATAAATTAGGCACAGTAAGGGGTTAACAATAACTAATAGTAAAATAGAACATTTACAATCTGACACTCTAATAAAAGCTATATGAACGTGATCTCTCTCCCTCTCTCTCTCTGTCTCTGAAAATATCTTATTGTTCTGCTCTCTTCCGTCTTCTTGTGATCTGTAAAACTGATAACACAGATGGCTGCTAAGTGACTAACAGGAAGGCAGCATAGACAATATGAAGAGGCTGGACAAAGAGAGGATTCACATTCTAGAATATCCTGAGATTTCATCGCAATACTCAGAACAGCTCCCAATTTAATACCTAGGAATTACTTATTTCTGGAATTTTCCATTCTATTTTCAGACTCTGGTGGACCACAAGTGATGGAAGGCTTGGAAAGTGACACTGTGGCGGAGGGGATACTATTGTACATTTTTACTTGTTATCTCATTGTGCAGGAGTGTGTTTTATTATCATTTTTGTTATCGTTATATAGTGTGTGCATGTGTATATGAGGTTAATTTATTATTTTTATTTTATTTTGCACAGGCTAATAAAGAGAAGCATGTGATACTTCTAAGCGTAGACCTTTGATCCCTTAAAAAACCAAAGTAAAGAACTGAAGTTACTATTTCTAAAGACCACCTCCTTCTTCCAATTTCTTCCTTATTTCCCCTTAATTTCTCTGGAAAATAGAGGTAATTTGAATCATTTAGCTCAAGTTGTCCAGGTAATTTTCTCACCTAACACTTCACTTTGTGATAGAGACTATTAATTGTTACAACTCTGGGTAGCTGGAGAGATAAGAGAGATGTACTGAGACAAGGACAGGCATAAAATAGCTCATTAAAACCCACTCACCTGCCCACACCCAGAGTGGTGGGAGGCTCAGGAGCTTTTATTATGCATCAATGTGATTCTCACTGATGCTAACCCGGGCTGCCAGGAACCCACAGCACAGTCCTCTCTCAACTCCCTCTGAGCTTTGGATAGGATTTTTCATTTCACACATCATTCAACTCCTCGCTCCAGTGACTCTGAAGAGCCAAGAACCCACCTGCTTGTGAGTGCACATTAGCACTAATCATTTAAATTTATAGTGTAGGGAGGTGGAGATGATCATACAAATTCTCAAAAAGCATACGCACTGGGGACTTTGAGAGTGAATTCCCTTAGAAATAATCTCAGAAAATGATGAAATGTGGAGCCAGAAAGTAGAATTCCTTAATTTAGCTCCTGACCACCCTTCACACATACAGTAATGTTTCTTTTGTGGAGCTTCTGTTACATGTTTATAATATGTAATTATACTTGAGTTCACAGTAAGCAAATATTATTTTTATTAAATTAAAAAAATCTCCTCTAGTCAAGTTTGCTTAATGCCTGACATTAAAGCCTATTGGACAGTAAGGAGAATCCATGTTTAATCCTAAGTGAGCTCCTGCTTAACAATACCCACAATCTCTAGTACTCCAAGGTGAATATTTTTTTTTAAAAAAAATTGGTATTATCTACTTGATGCCAGAACAACTAGTTTAAATTTAGGTAGGATAAATAAAAATAACATTTTAAAACCAGTAACCCAAGAGTGGGACCCACTTATGATATTAAAAGAAACTGAGTTAATAGTTGAGTATTTGTGAGAAATTTTTACTCCCATTGAAAGTATTTCTACTCTTATGGTGGGTTAATAAACTCAGGGATAACATGTTCCAAGTTACCATAGAACATCGGTCACCTGGCAAAAAATAAAGTTTAAATATAAAATAATCTTAGCCATATTTTTAACTTAAAATTGCATTTGAATTTGGATGCATAATGTTGAGAGAACATTTTCACTCTCTGAACATCTTTTTAATTGTCTACTCAATAGACAGTATTACTTTTTCCTCGCTAGCAGAATTCTGAGTTTATTCAAGAGTTGGACAACCGTTCATTTCATGGGCTCTCTCAGCCCTGGGTAATGAATATTAATTTGACTAGGGAACCAATCCTATTATGTCCAATTCAATTGTGGTAATTGGTTTAGGAAGAAGGATTTAATACAACACCGGACAATTAAATACAAAGAGTTGTTTTTCTAGGATGGGAAATTTATAATATAAATCCTTTTTCTTCTAATGTTTATAATGTCATGCATCCTTGGAGCTGCCACAGACATATGACTGAGCTACTATCCTAGAATAATCCACCTCCAGAATATATTTGTGTATGAGATAACAAATTGCCTACCGTTTAAGTAATTTACGGTCAGGTTTTCTGATACTCCAAACTGAAAGTCCACTGACTTCACTTTAACTTCAGGATTTTGGATCAATCACTATTCATGTTTATTAAGTCTCTTCCTATGCCTGCATTAATCAGATTAGGCTGAATAAGAAAAATAAAAGTTTATTTTTACCCACATTAATTCTGCTACATTTTTAGTGGATTTCCAGGTAAACTTTAAATATTGATTTAGGGATTTCTTATGCTACCATCTCATGCCTCTGCTAGCTGCATGCATGGGTGTCACTGAACAAGAGAGAGATGGAGCATTCCCAGAGACTTTTCACTTCCTCAAAACAATGGTGACAGCCACTGGCAGGCCACTGGCCAGACCAAGATATGTGATTAAAACCGAACGCAAGCATCAGGGGAGTGTAAGAAGCTCTTGGATATTTAGTGAGTTTTAAAAATCTCTGCCGTAGTGAACCTGCTCTAGATTTAGAAATGTTAGAAATGATAGACGCTGCAATGATAGATACTACAATGATAGACTATTTACATACAGAGTACAGACCTACAGACCAGGAAACGAGAATACACAATCCACCATACTAAGTACTTTAATTGAGATGCATATGTGGTCCTTTGGCAGTGGATTCGGTCTTCACAGTAAACTTGCACTAGGTTAATTCAGAAAGTTTAAGTGATTTGTCAAATTGCCATTAGTTTATAAGGGGCAAAACAGTGTTTAAGTTTTAATCTATTACTATGAAGTCTCTGTTGTTCTGAATAACTTCTGATTATTTGAAAATTAAGACTCAATCCATGCATAATACAGGTAGTACAAGTATTATTATTATGGTTATTTTAGATATAGGGTCTTGCTCTGCCAGAGTACAGAGACAAGAACATGGCTCACTGCAGACTCGACCTCCTGGGCTTAAGCAGTCCTCCTACTCAGCCTTCCAAGCAGCTGGGACTACAAGCATGAGCCACCACTTACCTCTCTTACTATATAAAAATAAGAAAAGATGCTTTTGATTCCTTTTAATTCTTTCAATTATTTGGAGGAAAACTTTTAAGAAATATAATTTTTTAAAAAGTAAACAAATAAAAAGTTTTATGGAATTTAGAACAGGAGAAAAAACAAGCAGCAAGAAAGTGAGGAGTGTATAGCAGGAGGGATTCTGAGTATGTGCACTGGAGTCTGATGGATCTATATGTGTATCCCAGCTTCATCACATGCCAGCTAGGTAACTCAGGGAAACTTTTTAAAGTATTTGAACTTGGATTGCTCTCCTGCAAAATAGGAACAACATTAGTATCTATTCCATAGAGTTTTAAAAAATGTGCTTGGTTTACAGAAAAAAAAACTACACTAAAATTGATAAATATTATTGTTTTATATGTAAGTACAGTTGTTAAATAAATTCCTCAATAATATATTAAAGAAACAACCAGGGAATCAAATACAGCATAGCCATCTATGTGAACCAGCATTTTCTTTTATTCTATAAGTTTGCTTCTCAGTCTGCAAATATTACACTTAAAATGCAGAATGGGTGCAATCAATAAATGTTTTATTTTACAAGTAAAATAGCCCATTCTTTCTTAAGCAAACTTTTTTATTCCTGTTTTTCATGTGCTTGCCTGGCATTTTACAATCATGTTACAATTTTGTTAGTGGGAAAAAAAGCGATTAAGTATACGTAAGTGGATATTAGGCAATTACAGCAAATGTAGTACCCACACCAATGAAGTGTGGAAGATTTTCTTAATAAAGTTTTGGATTACAAATTCTTCTGTATTGCATTTTCCAGTTGCCTATTGCACATCTATAGGAAATGATTCAAGGGAGATTCTGTGATATTGATATTTTAAGTACATGTTTGTATAAACAGCATCCTATTATTCAAATGTGGTTAGGTCACAATTGGCTACACTTTCATATTTTAAATATACAGACATCGAGAATAGCATGGGTATAAAAAAAATCTCTTCATGTCACTATCACAGATTGAATTGTGTCGTTTTTCGTTTGTTCATTTTTTGAGACAGTCTTGCTCTGTTGTCCAGGCTGGAGTGCAGTGGTACAATCTCAGCTCACTGCAACCTCCACCTCCCGGGTTTCAAGCAATTCTTGCACCTTAGCCTCCCGAGTAGCTGGGACTACAGGTGTGCACCCCCACGCCCAGCTAATTTTTTGTATTTTAGTAGACATGCAGTTTTGCCATGTTGGCCAAACTGATCTCGAACTCCTGAGCTCAAGCAATCCGCCTGCCTTGGCCTCCCAAAGTGCTAGGATTACACACATGAGCCAATGTGCCTGGCCTGAATTGTGTCCTTCTGAAATTCATGTTGGTTGGGGGGAGCTTCCTAACCCCCAGCGTGATTGCTGTTTGAGATAGGGCTCTTAAGGAGGTAATTAAGGTTAAATGAAATCGTAAGGGTGGGGCCCGATCCAATATAACAGAGAAACCAGGGCTGTATGTACCCAGGGGAAAGGCTGTGTCAGGACAGGCAGTCAGAAAGCTGCCATCTGCAAGCCAAGGAAAGAGACTTCAGGAAAAGCCAATGCTGCTGGCACCTTAATTTTGGACCTTAATTTCTATTGTTTAAGCTGCCCATTCTACCATATTTTGTTATGACAACCCTAGCTAGAAGACAAATACAGTCACCTAAGGGCAACTTTTGCCTTTAATTAATAGGTACTATCTGTTGCACTTCTGTATTTGTGTGTGTTTTCATGAGTACGTGTATTCTAACATGTTCAGTTTTGGAGGCTTTGTTAACTGGAAGAAGAGGGAAAGTTGTGCTTGCTTCTTCTTTAGGCAACCCTCCCTTCGTCAACACATTTGTGTGTGTGTGTGAGTACCTATCACATACTGAAAACAAGGATACACACTGGGCAATAATAGCAAAGAGGATAAATACATCCTATGTCTTTTAAAGGCTTAAAATTTCCAGGCACAAATAAATATTATACAAATAAATTCAATAAAATATGATCAATGTCATGGTGTGACAACACATTTTATGAATCTTGGTCTGTAGGCATGACCCTAGGTGGGTCAAGAGAGGCTTTACTAAGGAACAGAAATTTAACTAAATAATGACAAGGAGGTAGATGGCCAAAAAAAAAAAAAGAAAGAAAGAAAGAAAGAAAGAAAGTAGGGAAATCATACCCACACATCCACACACTTTCTTCTATTCTGAGACCTTAATTTCTGCATTAGGCTGTATACGGGCATTAAAGGTTTCTGTTTGGGGGTGTAATAGAGGGAGTTTCAACAAAATTAAGTAATCAACATCTGCAATAATCTGCCATCATTATCTGAAGAGATAGTTTTTAGGTATCCTACATTTTATTCTCTTCAAAATAAAACATAATGTTCATTGGAGTCTGATGGACATGCATTTGTATCCTAGCTTTGTTACATGTTAGCTGTGTGACTTAGGGATAAGATTTTAGCCAAGCAAATATTTTTTATTCAAACAGTTAATCAACAAATATTGAAAATAAATCTAATTCTGCCAGAGATTTAATGGTCTAGGAGAGGTAGAGGCCATAGCAGACCACAATTAGGAGCATACAGCCTGTGGGAAAAGATTAGGATAAAGAATGTGGGCTGATTTGTGAAAGATTAGGTTTTTACCACATAGTTACATTGTGTCACAAGTGATATATTGGACTAGAAAAGTGGAAGCTTTGTGTATTAGTCTGTTCTTACGCTGCTAATAAAGACATACCTGAGACTGGGTGATTTATAAAGGCAGGAGGTTTAATTGACTCACAATTCCACATGACTAGGAAGGCCTCACAATCATGGTGGAAATTGAAGGGGAAGTAAGACTTGTCTTACATGGCAGTAGGCAAGAGAGAGCTTCTGCAGGGGAACTCCCATTTATAAAACCATCAGACTTTGTGAGACTTATTCTCTACCACAAGAACCGTATGGGGAAAACCACCCTGATGATTCGATTATCTCCACCTGTCCCTGCCCTTGACATGTGGGGATTATTACAATTCAAGGTGAAATTTGGGTGGGGACACAGCCAAACCATATCACTTAGTAAGGGTTGCGGTAATGATAGCAGTGGTGGCCCATCTGGAGCAGCCGCTGCCATGACACCAGCTGCACTGGCAAAGGTGCAGCTGGGGCTGCACAATCCAAAAAGCCAGCAGGACCTAGGACCAGGTGGAAGCCCCGCCCCTACTGAAGTGGGGAGCCTTGCACTCCCCAGGTGCAGCAGCAGCTGCACAGCCATGGCTGTGAACCTGGGCATCCCTGTGCTCTTGGGGGTGAGGAGTGGGCAGGAGCCCCTCCCTCCCAGGCATAGCTGCAGCTGTCCAAGCCACAACTGCAGACCCTGGCATCACTGCACTCTCAGGGGTCTGGGAAACACACACCCCTGACCCCTGCAGGCTTAGAAGTGTCTTGCTCCTTCTTCCTGGCCTCTCCTTCTCCCAGCTCCTGCTTCAATCTCAGAGCAGAGTTAAGATTGAGCCCAGGTGCTGTTGCAACCTAGCTGAGCGTGTACATGCTTGGGGCAATGCTGACATGCCAGCCCTGCTGTCTCAGTCTGCTCCAGACTTTGGGCACTGAGCAGTACAGGAGGAAGGTCAAGGCAGGGCTGAGGACAGTTTGGTGCTGGCCTGCAAGTGCTCCTCAGCATGAATAGCCTGGGCACCATGAACAGTGGCAAGAGGCAGACAGGCTCCTGGGCAGAAAAGGGCAGGTCTCTTGTGAAGCCCCACCTTCAAGGACTGAAACCTGGGGGCTGGGTTGCCACTACCACAAACTGGAATGGAAACTTAGGGTGATTTTTCCAGGCCCACCCATGGCCACCGATGGACCAATCAGCACATATTTCCTCTCCTCTGAAGCTCATAAAAACCCTGAACTCAGCCAGACTCAAAAAGAGACGACCAAGACAACCAGCTGCAGAGAGGAGCTACCCAATCCAGCATCTCCTCTCTGCTGAGAGCTGAGCAGATGTTGGGACCACCGGCTGTGGAGAGGAGCTATGTACTCCAAGGTCTCCTCTCTTCTGAGAGCTGAACACTCATCAGGACACTCTGCCTGCAGAGAGGAGCTGCCCAATGTAGGTCTCCTCTGAGCTGTTCTGTTGCTCAGTAAAGTTTCTCTTTGCCTTGCTCACCCTTCACTTGTCTGCATACCTCATTATTCCTGGAAACAGGACAAGAATTTGGGACCCACTGAATGGCAGGGCTAAAAGAGCTATAACACAAACAGGGCTGAAACATGCTCCTTGTTCATCATGTTGTGGGTGACAAGAAGGAGAGAAGGAAAAAGGAGAGAAGAGCTGAAGCCCTTTGGGGAGCCCAGACCTAGGAGCTCCCCAAGCCAGGGTTGTAACACCCTCTTTGGGGCTCTGTGGTTCCTGGCATCACTGTGTTCCCTGATGCCAGCCGTGGAAGCTGCTTGTGGTATGCCCGGTCCAGCCACAGCCTCACAGGGAGCCAGCACCTGGGCCAGTGCCTGGAGCTTCCTGTCCTCCCACAGCCAGTGTGCCTGGCTGTGTGCAATGGCCAGACCCCACACTCACTTTTCACACACCCCTCACCACTCTGCTCACCCCTGACAGGTATGGGATCCAGGCCAGTAGCATGAGCCAAACATAGACCGCCAGGTTGAGTGGGCGGAACAAGCACAGCAGACCTGAGCAAAACTTAAGTAAAGGCACCACTGGCCACGGGGGTTTCCATCTGGAAAAGCCTCACCCCAAGGATCCTAGAACAGTAACAATAATGATGACCAACTGCTAGATATTGCTAAAAAAATAATAAATAAAAATAAATAAAAATGAAAACCTCAAAACAAAACAGTCAGGTGCAGTGGTTCATGCATGTAATCCCAGCACTTTTGGAGAACGAGGCAGGAGGATAGCTTGAATCTGGGAGTTCAACACCAGCCTAGGTATCAAAGTGAGATCTGATCCCTACAGACAATAAAAATTAAAAAAGAAAATTCATCCTGCATGGTGGCATACATCTGTAGTCCCAGTTATTTGGCAGGATGAGAGGATGAGGCCAGAGGATTACTTGAGCCCAGGAGGGTGAGGTTGCAATGAGCTATGATCATACAACTTGAACTCCAGCCTAGGTGACAAAGCAAGACCCCGTCTCTTAAAAAAAAATACATCTATTCTGAGTTTTGTGTTTTATGTCAAGTGACCTAACATCCAACTCCTTAAGTGTTGACATGGTGGAAGACGATGTGTTTTGGCATCACTTCCAAATCTGCCATTACTGTAGCCTTAAAGCATCTTGGCCTTGGGCTCCTTATCTTTAAAATGGAATACAATTCACTAGACCTAGTAGACTTTCTAGGATTGCTATGAAGTGAAAACGAATCAAAAAAGAGTCATCCTATACACACACAAACTCACAAAACTCATTAAAGGCAAAAGTTGGTCTTTGGCAGTCTGTTGCGATGGCTCATGTCTGTAATCCCAGTGCTTTGCGAAGCTGAAGCAAGAGGAATGCTTGAGACCAGGAGTTTGTGACCAGCCTGAGCAACCTAGGGAGACCCTGTCTCTACAAAAAGATAGAATAAAATAACCAGGCATGGTGCTATGTGCCTGTAGTCCCCGCTACTTGGGAGGCTGAGGCATTAGGATCACTTGAACCGAGGACATTGAGGCTGCAGTGAGCGAAGTTCATGCCACTGCACTCTAGCCTGAGTGACAGAGCAAGATCCTGTCTCAAAAGAAAAAAAAAGTTGGTCTTGGTGATATAAAAGAAAGATTAACATGGTAAGGCAAGAAATCTTTTTACTTCTTTGTGTTCCCAGAATTATTAATATTACATGGAGGCTTAGGGAAAGAACTTGATAATGTGTGTTGACTTATACAAAATTATTGAAAGTAAAGTAATTTTGGATGCTTTCAGCTTCAAGAGAGGAAGGAAGAAAAGAAATAATAAAGGAAAGAGGAAGGAAGGAGGAAGGAAGGAAGGGAGAAAGAAAGGGAGGAAGGAAGGAGGGAAGGAAGGAAGGGAAGAAGGGAGGGAGGGAGGGGGGAAGAAGAAAAGAGCAAGACAAGTAGGGAAGAAAAAATAAAGGAGGAAAGAAATTAAAACAACTTACACTTAACTTGTGTTAGCTTACATAACAAAAAGCTGAAAGTAGGCCTATCCAACTGAAGATAAACATAAATAGATTTGAGGAAATGGAAGAAAGATGAGTATTTCAGAAAACAGAAGGTCTTGAGTGCTGCTAAGAATGATAGTATCATGGACACAGATGAGAAGTTTGGGAGAGGAGGAAATTTTTTTGATCAATACATTATCTTTGATACTTCTATGTTCAATAAATAATTCTGATATACATTAAGTTTTAAAAGCAGTGCTTGAGAATATTTTTTCACGGAGCAGGAGTGAGAAGCACTTGTACTGGGCTGGCAGTGCCAAATGCCCCTTATCACCCCCGAGAATATTTTTTCACAAGAGTAACACTACATCTTTGAACTCTGGTTTTTCATAATGTGTTCATAAAGTGTTCATTTTTCCCTCAAAGCAAACAAATTAAGGTGTGCTTCCTTTGTAAAATAAATTATAAAACTTGGTTCATCTATCATGCTATCTTGTACAGTTCTTATTATCTAGTGCAACCAAGTGTCAATAGTACAGACATATTGAATGTTCTTAATGATGCCCTGAGGCTCAGCCGTATTGACAACCACATCTCTAACCACCAGCTAATAAACTGATCATGATTTAATTAAATTTGTATATTAAGGATGAATGGCCCTCTTTGCTATTGGGAAGGTACTTTCATTTACTCAACAGGCAATATTTAGAGACTATGATGCACTGGAGCTCAAAGACAAATTAAGTAAGACTATTTACATACAGAGTACAGACCTACAGACCAGGAAACAAGAATACACAATCCACCATACTAAGTACTTTAATTGAGATGCATATGTGATCCTTTGGCAGTGGATTCAGTCTTCACAGTAAACTTGCACTAGGTTAATTCAGAAAGTTTAAGTGATTTGTCAAATTGCCATTAGTTTATAAGAGGGAGAACAGTGTTTAAGTCTCAATCTATTACTATGAAGTCTCTATTTTTCTCAATAACCTCTGATTATTTGAAAATTAAGAATCAATCCATGCATAATACAGGTAGTACAAGTATTATTATTATTGTTATTTTAGATACAGGGTCTCGCTCTGCCAGAGTGCAGAGACAAGAACATGGCTTACTGCAGACTCGACCTCCTGGGCTTAAGCAATCCTCCTACTCAGCCTCCCAAGTAGCTGGGACTCCAAGCATGAGCCATCACATCTGACTTATTTTTTATTTTTTTGTAGAGGCTATGTCTTGCTATGTTGCCAAGCCTGGTCTGGAAATCCTGTGCTCAAGTGATCCTTATGCCTCAGCCTTCCAAAGTGCGGTGGTTATAGGTATGAGCCACTGTGCCTGGCCACTGCATGGATTTTTAGAAGTGTCTCATATACCAACTCAAATTCCCTAATCCACCCCTTCAGTTGCGGTCTGTATATTGATACACATATGTTGTTCACTTAACTAGTCAGGGTTATCTAGAGAAACAGAAGCAATTATATATATTATATATAATTATGAAATATATTTATATTATATATCATATATAAATATATGTTATACACTAAAGAGAGAGAAAGAAAGAGGAGATTTATTATGGAAATGGACTCATACAACTCTAGAGGCCTGAAAATCTCACAATCTGCCATCTGTCAGCTTGAGAATCAGGAAAGCCTGTAGTGTAATTCAGTCAGAGTTTAAAATCCTGAGACCCTGGGGTCGGGGCGGGGGCAACATAGGAGTGGGGGTGAGGTAGGCAGCTCTGGTGTAAGCCCCAGCATCCAAAGACCTGAGAATCAGGAACTCCAATGTCTAAGTGGAAGAGAAGACAAATTTCCCAGCTCAAGGAGAAAGAAAATTAGCTCTTCTTTTTTTGTTCTTGTTCTGTCCAGGGTCTCAACAGATTGGTTAATACCCATAACAGCGACCATGAATCTTCCTTATTCATTCTACTAATTCAATTAATTATCTCTTCTGGAAACACCCTCACAGACACACACCTAAAGTTTTACCAGCTACTTGGGTATCCCCAAACCTAGTCATGTAGACACATAAAATTAACCATCACCTCCAACAAACCTCAAACCCACCTATGGTACCAGGGTGCCTATCTTCAAAAGGACTCCCCGTCAGCCACATAGGGGCAATATCCAGCCTCTTCCATGAACAAGTAGGCCTTGTTCTAGGCCCGAATCAATCTGGATTTCTCCCCTCCCATTTCTGGTTTTGTGTTCTGTCATTCCCCTATACATACAAATTGGTCTGTCTCCTTCTCAGGGACCAGCTCTGCCAATCAAGGGGGAATTCAAACTGCTTGTTCTAGTTCATAAAACCTTTCATTACACCTTTTCCCCACAGCAACTGATGCTAGTAAGCTTTAGATTTTCTTAATTAAGCAGACCATGGGGAAGCAATTTATTAATGTTTCTTGGAAGTAAAGGCCTGCCCCAAGGTGACATGTAGTCACCAACCCTAGACTGAGTTTTGCAAAATTTAATGCTCCATCTCCAGTAAGCATGTTTTATCTCCATGAGAATAGGAAAACTGGATGTTCCTCCTTGCTGGAAATGGGTTTTTAAACACAAAACCATTTCAATCTCAAACCAATTAACACACCAGAGCCAGTTTTTGGCACGAATGAGACAATAATAACTGTGCTGATAGCCAGATTGAAACGCACATATATTGCTACTAAGAGCTGCCCCAAGACTGCATGAAGAGAGTGCTATACAGAGAAAGCAGTTTTGCAACAATTTCTTACTGATGGAGGGTTAGCTTTCCACCACTCTCACTTTGCCAGCTATCAATTCCTTTTCCAATCACGTATAAATTTTTGTGCTTCTTTCTCATCTTTACCTACTCCCATTTCTTGCCTCCATTCACATTACATATATTTTAGTATCCAGTTTGACACATTGGCTACTTAGCACTATAAAATTGTTTTGGGGTAGAATCTACATTAAAAAAGAACTTTCAATAATGTCATCTTCCAAGGGATTAGAAAACTAATATTTGCAGATAGATACATTCATTTGATGCTGAAATGCTAAAGAATACTGACATGCATTTTAGTACATACATCTAATAGTAATAAAAATCATAATTTAATCTTTATAGTCCTTATTTTATTTATTTTTCTGAAAAGGAATCCTATTTGTCTATCGCTTGACTCTCTACAAAAAACAATTATTATTGAGTTGAAAATTATTTCTTTTAATTTTTACAAAGTTTCAATAATAAAAATTCTGGCAGTATATTTATTTCTTTTTTATATGTACTAAGAGGAAATTACAAGTTGTATTACCTATGGCATCAAATTATCTTAATATTTTCTGTAGATGGTAATTTCCAGTTACTTAGGTCAGCAGCATGGGTAAGTGTGGGGAGGCTGCACTGACAATTGTGCATCTAGAAAGAAATGCTGGGGGTTTATAATATGTAATGTGAAAAAGGGAAAAGGAGACGGACACGAGGGAAAGATACACAACATATGCGTGTAGTTTAGTATGCCCCCAGCTTCTCTTTTTCTAAGATTTACATTTCTCCTATCCATTCTTATTATTGCCACAGAAGCAGCCATATTACAACCTAATCTTTTTTTCCTGAGCAGAGTTGATTGGTTTTCCAGGAAGACACATGGCTCAAACTTGGCTGATAATAAGATTATTCTAGCCACCAACAATACTGAGCTACCTGAAATGGCTGATTCAGTGGTAGGAACCAATCCCCAGTTGAACCAGCGGGACTCTTTCCCAAGGTTTCTGCCCTTGAACCCAACAGAGCTGGGGAACTAATTCCTTGGGTACTGAAAGAGTGATCCATAGCCATACTTCCTACTTCATAACCAGCATTGAAGATGTTCTACAGGGGAAGGGGCCACATAGGGAGATATGTGAAAAGGAGCAGGGGAAAGATGAAAGAAAATCTCTAAAATTGTTCGAATTATTGGATTAATTGATTTCTGAATCCAAGAGTTCCCCTTAATATGTTTCTCCTTCTTAAGCCAGTCTTTTTTTTTTTTTTTTGAGACAGGGTTTCACTTTATCACCCAGGCTGGTGTACAGTGGCATGATCTCGGCTCACTGCAACCTTCACCTCCTGGGCTCAAGTAATCCTCCTGCCTCAGCCTCCCAAGTTACTGACACTACAGGCGTGTACCACTATGCTCAGCTAATTTTTGTATTTTTAGTGGAGATGGGGTTTCATCATGTTGCCCATGGCTGGTCTGGAACTCTTGAGCTGAAGAGATCCACCTGTTTTGGCCTCCCAAAGTGCTGGGATTAAAGGCATGAGCCACTATGCCCGGCCTTAAGCCAGTTTTGATTGAGTAGCTGTCACCTTGACCAAACACATGTTAACTATTTTGTACTATACAGAAGAGTCAATAAACTGTGTCAGAAGTGCAGCAAGGTACACCGGCCATCATGACTTTGCAGATGTGCAGGTCAGGTAATAATCTAATACTTGAGAACAGAACACTGTGGTTATCTTGAAAGTCTCATGGATCAGGGACCCACCCCAAATTGTGTGGCACTGCTGTTCTGCTGCAGCTTCATCCTCAGCCATTTCTCTGGACCATAGCCAGTTCTCCAAACTGCAGAATACCCTCTTTGGAAGAATGAGGAAATGGTGCTCAGATTACATCAGATGTCCACTTTATTAAAAAAATAATATAAAGGACAATAACACAGGAGGCAGACTGAATAATACCAGGTTGGGATGGGTGACATTTTGTACCCAAAAGAGCTGGGTGCTCTATCATTCTATATACATAATCTGTCTCAGTAACCTGCATCATCTTTCCTCTCCCTTCCCTTACCCAGACCAGGTTAGCATTCTTTCCCATCCTGTATATTGGTAGTTAGAAAAAAAAAATGGAAAGATAAAATGAGTAGGGATATGAGATTTTCTAAATTTAAGTGAATCAACTTTCTAGATCTATGGACTTCAGACATGAGCTTAAGACAGACAAAGTATATGCAAGGCCTTACTTTTATTGTGCCTAATTAGGGATAGAATTAGCTTATCACTGTCAGCTAACTTAAACTCTTGAGTATGAGCTTTTCAATGACAATACTTCATATAACATACTTGAATGTGTATGATTATATGTGTGTATATGTGTGACTTGTTTTATTACCAGTTTATGGGCTTTTAAAAAAGATGTCTGGTGACATGGTTTGGCTTTGTGTCTCCACCCAAATCTCACCTTGAATTGTAATAATCCCCACATGTCAAGGTAAGGACCAGGTGGAGATAACTGAATCATGGATGTGGTTACCTCCATGCTGTTCTTGTGATAGTGAGTGAGTTCTCAGGAGATCTGATGGTTTAAAAATGTGTTTCTCCCTTCACTCTACAGTTCTCTCTCCTGCCATCATGTGAAGAAGGGTGTGTTTGCTTCCACTTGCAGCATGATTGTAAGTTTCCTGAGGCCTCCCCAGCCATGAAGAACTGTGAGTCAATTAAACCTCTTTTCTTTATAAATTACCCAGCCTTACATATTTATTCATAGCAGTGTGAAAACAGGCAAATACAAAAAATTGGCACTGGGTACTGGGCCACTGCTGTAAAGATACACAAAAATCTGGAAGCAACTTTGGAACTGAGTAACAGGAAGAGGTTGAAACAGTTTGGAGGGCTCAGAAGAAGACAGAAAGATGTGAAAAAGTTTGGAACTTTCTAAAGATTTATTGAACGGCTTTGACCAAAAAGCTGACAGTGATATGGACAATGAAGTGCAGGCTGAGGTAGTCTCAAGTGGAAATGAGGAACTTGTTGAGAACTGGAATAAAGGTGACTCTTGACCCTTGCTATACTTTAGCAAATAGACTGGAAGCAATTTGCCCCTGCCCTAGAGATCTGTGGAACTATGAACTTGAGAGAGATGATTTAGGGCAACTGATGGAAGCAATTTCTAAGCAGCAAAGTGTTCAAGAGAAAGCGGATTATAAGAGTTTGGAAAATTTTCAGCCTACCGATGCAGTAGAAAAACAGAACCCATTTTTTTGGGGAGAAATTCAAGCTGGCTGCAGAAATTTACATAAGTAACTAGGAGCTGAATGTTAATCACCAAGAGAATGGGGAAAATGCCTGCAAGCCATGTCAGAGACCTTCATGGCAGCCCCTGTCATAACAGGCACAGAGGCCTAGGAGGAAAAAATGGTTTCACTTCCCAGGGTCCCCCCTGCTCTATGCAGCCTTGGGACATGGTGCCCTGTGTATCAGCTGTTTCAGCTCCAGCTGTGGCTCAAGTGGCCAAAGTAAAGCTCAGGCCATTGTTTCAGAGGGTGCAAGCCCCACACCTTGGTGGCTTACACATGGTGTTGGGCCTGTGGGTGCACAGAAGTCAAGAACTGAGGTTTGGGACCTCTGCCTAGATTTCAGAGGATGTATGGAAACACTTCTATGTCCAAGCAGAAGTTTGCTGCAGAGGCAGACCCCTCATGGAGAAACTGTGCTAGGGCAGTGCAGGAGGGAAATGTGGGGTTGGAGTCCCTACACAGAGTCCACACTGGGGCACTGCCTAGTGAAGCTGTGAGAAGAGGGCTACCGTCTTCCAGACCTAAGAATGGTAGATCCCCCGACAGCTTGCACTGTGTGCCTGGAAAAGCTGCAGGCACTCAATGCCAGCCTGTGAAAGCAGCTTGGAGAGGGGCTATACCTTGCAAAGCCACAGGTGTGTAGCAGTCCAAACTGCTGGGAGCCCACCTCTTGCATCAGTGTGACCTGGATGTGAAAGCTGGAGTCAAAGGAGGTCATTTTGGAGCTTTAAGGTTTAATGACTGCCCTACTGGATTTCAGACTTGTGTGGGGGCTGTAGACCCTTTGTTTTGGACAATTCCTCCCATTTGGAATGGGTGTATTTACTCAATGCCTGTACTGTCATTGTATTAAGGAAGTAACTAATTTGCTTCCAATTTTACAAACTCATAGGTGGAAGGAAATTTTCTATTCTCAAATGAGACTTTGGACTTGGACTTTTGGGTTAATGCTGGAATTAGCTAAGACATTAGGGGACTGTTGGAAGGGCATGATTATGTTTTGAAATGTGAGCACATGAGATATGGGGGGGGTCAAGGGTGGAATGATATGGTTTTGCTGTGTCCCCACTAAAATATCACCTTGAATTGTAATAATCTGCATGTATCAAAGGCAGAACCAGGTGGAGATGATTGAATTATAGGGAGGTTCCACACATGCTCTTCTCATGATAGTGAGTGAGTTCTCACGAGATCTGATGGTTTTATAAGGGGCTTCCTCCTTCACTCTGCACTCATTCTCTCTCCTGCCACCCTGTAAAGAGGTGCCTTCCACCATGATTGTAAGATTCCTGAGGCCTCCCCAGGCATACTGAACTGTGAGTCAATTAAACCTCTTTCCTTTATAATTACCCAGTCTTGGGTATTTCTTCATACCAGCATGAGAATGGACTAATACATCTGGTAACTGACTTCAGATTAAAAGTATTCATAAAAACTCCTAAATTTAGTCTTTTTCTTATTTTTTTTTCTTGTTACTCTGAATTGGAGGGATTCCTTCCTGGGTAGAAATAAGTGTTTTTATGTCTTGTTAGTAATCATCTGAGGGCAGAAATCCTGTGTTTACATTCGCTTGCTGTTTCCCTTCAGGTAATTACTTCTTAGAATTCCTGCCAAACTGGTTCAACTCCAGGTCTCTTAAACAAAAGTCAAGGGGACTGAATAATAAACAGTCATCATAGGACCCTGATATTCATGATACAATTTGACCTTTACTCATGAACTTTTTTGTGATTCTGAACCACTTTGTCTGAAGTCCAGAATGAGATTATTACATAAATGACAGAGTAATTTGGCAAGTACCCATATGAAATAGGAAGAATAAGATGTGAAGAGAAGGGCTAGGTGTTAAGAGATTTGGAGAGGAAGCACGAATCTTTAGTATAGATGTGACATATAAGATGAGCTGGGATTTCGGGAGGAAGGATGAATTGAGAATCTTGAGTATAGATATGAAATAGAAGATGACTGGTTGACCATCATGTAGGACATAGGGCCTGCAGCAGGAAGGAGGAATGCCTGTGGACTGCAACCGCTCATGGGAAAAGTCATGTGAAAGAGTGGATCAAGGTGGTACCCCACAAAAAGCTGACCAAGGTGGATGAGTTTGCATTCATTAGAATACAACTTGCTCAAAGAGGCAAGAATGGGTTAATTTGAAAGAATAAAATCTATCTAAAATTCAGCACCTCCTGGACACAGTGCAATTGGCTCCCCCTGGCACATTAGGGCAATGTGCAAGATGCTGGTGTTGGCAGGAAATAGATTCTCAGTTAGGCAAATGCATCCCCTTCCTGCCACCAGCACTGCTAATGCTCTGGTTTGTGGCTGAGATTATGGAAATAGCCTCCTAAAAACTCCGCAGGCTACTCCTCTTACCTCTTCACAATATATCTGCCACATGTGAGCCCAAGAGATCCCTTCAATTTGTTAAGTTACATTCCATCACTCCTCTGCTCAACAACCTCAAATTGTTCTCATTAGTGAAAGCCAAAGTTCTTACAGTTTATAAAGTTCTCTCTGTTCTCCTTCTCCCACTCCCTACTGTTCTGACCTTGTCTATTTTCACCTTCCCTGTGTTCATTTCTCTCCAGCCACAGGTGACTCCTCCCTATTTTCCAAACATGTTAGGCATACATCCTTCTTGGGGCCTTTGCACCTGTTGCTCCATCTCCTGGCAGGCTGTTTTTCAGAAGGTCATACCTGGATCCCCACACCTCTCCAAGACTTTGGTAAAGTGTAAGCTTTTCAGAGAGGACTTCAGAGCTTGCTCTGTAAAGTGGCAGTCCTTGTGGGCACTGGAAATCTTTCTCCAATTATAATTTTCTGTATAGCTCATATGGAAGTTGAGGCACATGTGTTGGCATTTATTTATAGATTTTGTTTATCCTCTATCTCCTGATGCTTGAACACAGACTTTGCCTGTTTTATTCACTTTTTCATAGCACCTAATAGCATCTGTCATATAATATCCTCTCAATATATATTTGTGGAAGGAATGATTCATAGGGATGAGCCCTCCCTTCAATACACAGATATGCCAACAATTACAATTACTATTATATTTCTTAGGTGTATATAAATATATACATATATTTTGGGTATATACATATTTATATATATTTTATAAATATATATATATATATATATATATATTTTATAAATATATATATATATTTATATACACCTAAAAGGTATATACCCTAAAGGATATACCATAAAATAAATCAAGATATATATATATATATATACCCTAAAATAAATCATTCTGTATATATTTCTTATATATAGCATATACATATCTTGATTTCTTAAATATATTACATATATATAGAGATAGATGATAGATTTATTTTAGGGTATAAATATATATATATTCCCATAAACATATATTTATATATATAAATATATATATTCCCATAAACATATATTTATATATATAAATATATATATTCCCATAAATATATATTTATATATAAATATATATATTCCCATAAACATATATTTATATATATAAATATATATATTCCCATAAACATATGTGCATTTTTGTGTATATATATATATATATATATATCTCCCATATGTTTATGTATATATGTTAATTATGCTTATTATAACAGGAAAAAAAAGGTAACAGAAAGAATAAAATGAAAAAAAAGAAAAGAGAAGTATCACTGGTAGAGATACCAAAATACTTCAAAGGAAAAAAGTTTCAAAGGATATTTCAAAAATAATTTAAAATATTCTAAAGAATTACCAAAGAAAAGTCACTGTTTTTATAAGTGCTGAGTCACTGGTCACATGTAAGAGAAAATTTTTAATTTTGAGGAGATTGGAAAGAACACAAGAAAGGGTTTAAAAGTTAAATGGACCCAGGGAAGAAAGACAGGACTTCTTGAAGAAATAGATGATTCCAGGTCCAAGACAGGAAATGTACCTGGTACATCTTATCAGATCATAAATTAAGCATGTTATCAAAAAGTACTTGAGAGTCAATTTGAAGAAGACATCCTTGGCAAAAGAAGAGACAATTTGAACATTAATAAGAACAATAAATGTTATGGAATGAAAGAAATGAAATATGATTATATACTCGAATTCATAATGACAACAAAATGAGAAAAAGAAATCATTCATCACTGGGAAATACTACAAAACATGCTCATTATTTTCAAACTGGTAATAAAAAAACAAGCATTTATATTGCTGTTTTGATACTATCTATACAATTGATAGACTAAACATTAGATGAAGGGAGTTTTCTCCTTATAGATGTTTTTATCTGATAAAGAAGATATCATAAAATTAGAAATAATCATTTTGCAACTTTTGTATGAACTATTAAATCTTGGCACTGATCATCAACTACTGTTAATATAAAAATGAGAGACAGTTGGGCATTGTGTGCTTCCTAACAGCAAAACCTTCAACTGAAGCAGTCTTGACAAAAGAAGAAACAAAATAGATTCTCATCAAGCCTCTATAAACAGCTACCAATTCACAGAGGAACATATTACTCTGCAGCAGAGGAATATAATCAACAATATATAGAGCACAGAAAATGTACAAGGCAAACAACCCAGTATCTTCAATAAATAAACCACAAGAAAGACAGAAACTAGGCAGAGCTTATGAGAGAGACTTAAGGAAACATCAAACAATTATATGTGTGGATTTCACATAGATTGATGAAAAAAAACTTATACTCATGAGACAATTAGATATTTGAATTTTGAGTGGTTATTTGATATTAAGACATTATTTTTGACTTCAGTAAAGTTTCAGGATACAAAATCAATGTATAAAAATCAGTAGTATTTCTACACACTAATAATGTTCAAGCTGAGAGCCAAATCAACAACACATCCTATTTAAAATAGCAACAAAAATATAATAAAATAAAATACCCAAGGGAACATCTAACTCAGGAGGTGAAAGAACTCTACAAAGAGAACTACAAAACACCACTAAAAGAAATCATA
Organism: Homo sapiens; assembly: GCF_000001405.40. Taxonomy (NCBI): domain Eukaryota; kingdom Metazoa; phylum Chordata; class Mammalia; order Primates; family Hominidae; genus Homo; species Homo sapiens. The sequence goes on from NC_000014.9 coordinate 86,377,459, forward strand.
GATGACATGAACAGATGTAAAAACATTCCATGTTCATGGACTGGAGGAGTCAATATCATAAAAATGACCATACTGCCCAAAGCAACCTACGGATTCAATGCTATTTCTATCAAACTACCAATATTATTTTTCAAAGAATTATAAAACCCTTTCTAAAATTCACATTGAACCAATAAAGAGCCTAAATAGCCAAAGCAATCCCAAACAAAAAGAACAAAGCTGGAGGAATCACATCACCTGACTTCAAACTATACTACTAGGTTACTGTAACCAAGACAGCATGGTACACATACAAAATCAGTCAAACAGACCAATGGAACAGAAGAGAAAACTCAGAAATAAAGCTGCACATCTATAGCCATCTCATCTTCAACAAAGTCGATAAAAATAAGCAATGGGGAAGGCACTCCCTAGTCAATAAATGATGCTGTGATAATTGGCTAGCCATATGCAGAAGAATGAAAGTAGATCCCCTACCTGTTACCACATCCAAACATTACTCAAGATAGATTAAAGATTTAAATGTGAAACCTCAAACTATAACACTATTGAAAGATAATCTTGGAAACTCTATATTAGACTTCAGCTTTAGGAAAGGATTTATGACTAAGTCCTCAGAAGCAATTGAACAAAACAAAAATTGACAAGTGAGACCTAATTAAATTAAAGAGCTTCCACACAGCCAACTAACTATTAATAAACAGACAATCTACAGATTTGGAGAAAATATTCACAAACTATGCATCCAACAAAGATCTAATATCCAGAATGTATAAGTTCCTTAAACAACTCAACAAGCAAAAACCAAATCACCCCGTTAAAAAATGAGCAAAACCATGAACAGATACTTCTCAACAGAAGGTATACTAGCAGCCAACAATCATATGAAAAAATATTCAACATTACTAATCATAAGAAAAATGCAAATCAAAACCATAGTGAGATACCATCTCACACCAGTCAGAATGGCTATTAATAAAAAGTCAAAAGATAACAGATTCTGGCAAGGCTGTGGAGAAAAAGAAGAAGTTACACACTGTTGGTGGGAATGTAAATTAGTTTAGCCGCTGTGGAAAGCAGTTTGGAAATTTCTTAAATAAAAGAGAACTACCTTTCAACCTTGCAATCCTTTTATGCGGTATACATCCAAAAGGAAACAGATTGTTCTACCAAAAAAAATTCACACTGTCATGTTCTTTGCAGCACCATTCACAGGAACAAAGATGTGAAATCAACCTAAGAGCCCATCAATGGTGGATTGGATAAAGGAAATGTGGTATATATATATACCATGGAATACTACACAGCCGTAAACAAGAACTAAATCATGTTCTTTGCAGCAACATGGATGCAGCTGGAGGCCATTATCCTATGTGAATTAACACAGGAACAGAAAACCAAATACCATGTTCTCACTTAGAAATGGGATCCAAACATCAGGTACTCGTGGACATAAAAATGGCAACAATAGAAACTGGAGACTACTAGAGGTGGGGCGAGAGGAAGGGGCAAGGGTTGAAAAACTGTGGGGTATTACGCTCAGTACCTGGGTGATGGGATCATTTGTACTTCAAATTTCAGCATTTTGCAATATACCCATGTAAGAAACCTGCACACGTATCCCTTGAATCTAAAATAAAACTTGAAACAAAATAAAATAAAAAATAAAAATAGAAAAAAATACATTATTGCTAATTTATCTTAGGTGTGATTAAAACAAATGTTTTCCCATTTTCTTGAAATTCTGGTCGAAATTATATGATATCTGATATTTTCTTCACTATTCAGGTCCTCTACCTTCCCTCAAAATTCTTCTATAACAACTAACACTTTGAGTTTAGCTTGTGTTTGTCAGAAGCAGGGCCTGGGATGAAGTAGATGACTTGTTTGTAACTTATCTATTACAGAAGCGATCTTAGGGAGTCCCATAAGGGTGTGGAAGGAGAAAAGAGAGGGAAAGGCAAGATTAGTAAAAGTGCAAAACTCTTAAAAATAAGAAAACATATTTAATTACATTTGTAAGCTTTCTTCCTTTATCCAACTAGATTTCAACATCCTTGAGACAGCAAGAATAGATACCTACTCATTTATTATAATCATGGAATTTTGTTTATAGGAGATGCTCAGTAGTGTTTGTTAAGTGTGTGCATATATTTAATTGAAATTTTTGTTTAATTTGATAGTTCTTTTCCTTCAAAATATAGCTTGTCTTTTTTTACCCATGTAGCATTAGTATAGGAGAGGCCTTTATAATTTTCCATTGAAATTACTGAAAAATTCACTTAACCTAATATCCTTAAAACTATATGACCCACAATTAATCTTCTTTCTTCATTGTCACTTTCAAACTAAAATAGATTTAGTAAAACCTCAAAGAGAATTCAAAACTCCTTAACTGGATATTTATACTCCTCTGAAATCAGGGAAGAAGTGTCATTTCCTACCTTCATTTCTCAGTATTTCTGTATTGAAAGTACCTTTTCAATCAAACAAATTTATACACTATTTCTTGACTATACCTCAGTTTCTTCCACTTTTATTTGCTTCTTCAATGAAAATTAAATAAGAAAGTGTATAGCATGTGATGGGATTTTATCAACATTAAGATAGTTTAGGTTTAAAAGTTTTCTATTTCTATGCCTTCAAAATGTGAATTACATGCTGAGTCTCTGCCTACTACCTACTGAGAGATTTTGTTGCTGTTGCAACTGTTCATCAAGCTATTGAGCAGAGTGAAAGAATATTGTGAAATTCATTGAATGAACTTCTGTTATACATATGATAGTCAACCTCATGTGCATATTCTCAAGCGTTCAGAAATAGTTGTTTCTATTGGATTTCTCCCACTGTGTCATTTTATTGGTCAGTTTCCACAAGCCCCACATACGCTTCCTCAACACCTCCATCTGTAGAGATGTTTATCGCGTGTTAAAAAGAACATCACTATTCACACACTGAGGTCTTCTACTTTCTCTCAAAATCTCTCTCTAGTAATTAACCCTTTGTGCTTAGTTTGTGTTTGCCAGAAGTGGAGCCTGAGATGAGCACTGTGTGCAAGTGATTTACTGAGCAAGAACTCTCTGCAGAGACCCATAAGGGTGTGGAATGAAGGGAGTAAAGAAGCCAAGGGAGATAAAGTCTCAGCCTCAGCCAGTTTCTTCAGGGGAGCCTAGGAGTGGTACTTCAGAGAGTTTTTCAACTGGAGACATGGGAAACACTCAAAGAGTCTGAAAATAGGAGACCTGTGGGAATACTGAGGAGGCAGTCAGCTTGGTTGTCACAGAGATAGAGCGGGGTGAAGAGTACCACCTCTGAAGTCAGAGGCCTGAAGATTAAATTTTAAATCCTGGCTCCTCTGCCTTAGCATTCTGATCTGGAAAAGGGGAAAAAAATAGCACCCACCTCATAGAATTATAATAAGGATTAAGTGAAACAGTACATACAAATCATTTAGAACAAATGTTAGGATTGATTGGTAATGGATGCATTAATTAATAGATGTCCTGAAGCACTAGATCTGTTGTTAAAGATCCACAAAAGTCAGGAATAAATATAGCTCTGAGCAGGTAAATGATGATTATAAAAGAGTCAGTAGGGATTCAAGCTATAAGGTGGGGATTGTCTTAGGTCATCTCCCCAGGCTGCTGACTCTGAGATGATGATTTGCATGCATTGGGAAACGCTTATGGGAACAGCACCTAAGAAGTTGGAAAGAAGTAGAAATGGGATCTCTAGGAATACTTGGGAGGCAACACAGGGCCCCATTTTCAGGGAAAATGAACACAAAATTGGGACAGACTCAAAGTGCTGCTTGATCACGAGGGGGCTGAATCCCATGATTGATTGAATCAAAATGGTGTTTGATGTCAAGAACAAAACAAGATTCAAATGACTATAAGCAAAGTATGATATAACAGAGGAAACAAGAAGATTCATTTGATGATATATACTGTGAATCATCTCATTTAATTCTCACAACAACCCTATACAAATGACTAATATTATCCTTTTTTTAGCGATGAAAAACCATATATGAAGTTTAAGTGATGTGTCCAAGTTAACACATCTACTAAGTGGAACAGTTGTGACTAAACCCAGGTCTGTCTTACTCCTGGGCTTGAGTTCTTAACTTCAATGTCAAAATTTAGTTTTAAACCTTTGTCTACAAGAGAGTCATCATCAGGCACTTGACCATTAAAGCTCATGAGCATATGGCTTGTTGATGGAACATATCAAGTCTGAAGACTTCCTCCTGTCACCAAAAAAAGAAGTCACAATATGCTGAAGTTAGAATGTTGTTCCAAGCATTAAGTGTATTTATTAGTGGAAATACAGAACCAGTGCACAATCACCAAAAAGTTTTTGTCCTATCTGTGCCAAAACTCAGCATCCAATATAACTCACAGTTACAATGCTGAGTTTCATATGAAACTACTTTATATTGCTTTTCCTTTTTGGAATCTACTTTCATCCTACTTACCTAGATTCCAAAAAGGAAAAACAACATGTAGCAGGGAGCTGATCAAATACATTAGTCTAAAGCATAAAAACAAAGAAGTATGACTATAACAGGATTTGTTTTTTTTTCATTTTGATCACTATTAATGCGTCAGCAAGCATGAGACCATTTCCATTCAGCTACTGTATCAATGCCAATTCAGGAACAGAATCAGAATAATTGGCTCAATATGCCTCTAGTCACTTGTTTATCTAAGAGTAAAATAATGAGCGACATGTTGGCAAATTAGGTGAAAATGAATCCTGCTCAGAATCAAATAAAAATGCAATACATCCAACAGGATTTTTGTATTGAACTTCACCCCCTGCCCTAATTAACTGACTGGAATGACTTTCTAAATATTATCTTATTCAGCCTTTTGAAAGATAGGATGTTCCACTTAATGGGAAATCTGCATTTTATTGTAAAGCTGAAACACAAGACTTTGGTTTTACTACTCCAAATGGAAACAGATTTATTTTAGAATGATCTTTTATTTAGTGTAAAATTATAGATCCTTATAATTTTAAATCCAGAATGAATGCCTGGGGTAATATGCCTATACAGACAAACAGGGAAAAAGTTGTAACTATCAATATAATCTAGGCAATAGAATAAAAACTTATAAAGGTGGCATATCACTGCTGGCAAGCAGTTTTCAAAGAAAACAAGTGAGTGAATAAAACAATAATCAGAGTAATCCGACTCTGAAATAATTACAAATAGTTCCAACTTTTGTTAAAAATTAATCTGGCAAGGTATAAAGTTCCACAGGCTTTATAAATGTATATTTTGAAGGTGAGTAGACAAATAAGTTCAAATCGTTTTTAATCTGAATGTTTATTTCAATGATGGACTAGGAGATCTACACAGGGAAACCTAGAAAGTCCACCATACGTACTTAAATCCAGTAGAAGCTCAACTAATCCTTATAATGCAACATGAAAACAGGGATAATGTGGGTTTGGCAATCAGATAAGCATGAATTCAAATGCCAGTTGGAAAATTTATTAGGCCTCAGATGGCTTATTTAACTTCTTGTCCCTCAGTTTCTGCAGTTAGACAATCTATTTTTAAGAAGACAATTTGAAATAAGTAAATATAATATGTGAAAAAATCTGGAATTATACTTTGCAAAACATAGGCACATTAACCTCTTTCATCTTTGAAGAAGTAATTTTGAGAAACTGAAAGTCTCACTTCTAAAACAACTGTGAACTATTATTGACAGGATTGACAGCCTAATTAAGAAGTCTACTGGAGATGGTAGCAAAATTGGACTGTTGTCAACATGTGTAGACAACCTCAGAATAGGCAGAGACTGTTATCTGCAGGCTTAAAGGGAAGCTCTAAAGACAAAATGCCTTCCAGAATGATTTCAATTATTTTATGTGTCCTCAAATGAACCAGATAGTTCCATATTTAATTTTAAATATAAAGTTTTCTTCAATTTATTAGTTTTCCAAAGTTATACATAATCAAAAATGGCATGAAGAACTGGATGACTGAATAACTGGGTGATTGAATAATTTGGCAATTAAACTTGAAAACTAAACTTGAACAAAATTTTTAGTTGTAAAATTCTCAGTCACTTACTGAAACCATTTTAACCTCAAATTCCTGCAAATCTGAACATTACCAATTCTGACAATGGCATAGAATTTTAGTTAAGGAAAAATAAAGCCAAGAAAAAAAATGTCAGTGTGAATCTATTTTGAGTGACACCAAATATAATGGGGTAACATCAATCTTTATTAGGTAGCAACCAGAATTCTTGAGATTATGATGAGATTTCTTTTATCAGTCAAGAAATTAGAGTTCCAGGCAGAACTGTGCTATACTCCTATTTGTATATAACAAACTTATGCCATAGAATCATAAGATAATATCTCACTACCCATATTAGCAAAAAATAATGTTATGTTAATACATTTGATTATTAAAGACATACTTCTCTCAAGCTTCATATTACATTTTTCAAAGATAGAAATTTTACTAGAAAAATGATGAGGCTAGTAAAAAAATTCCAGTTTTCATTGAAAAACTGTGATATTTATCTTAACACTCCAAATTTGGATAGTCTGATGAATTGTCTTATATATATTGTTTATATAGATGTCCTCTGTGCGTTTTTTGATTAAGAGAAATTGGACATTTTTAGCCAAAGAAATTGTGAGGTTACCTTGAAATTAAGTCAAAGGAGTTTGGGCATATTTCTATATACAAAGTGTGTGAGGAAAAATGAACTTAAATATATTTTTATTAAATTAAATATATCTTGTTATAAAAGAAAATGCTGTGGCCAACGTAGATACTACAATGTACGCAACGGTTGGAATTTAAATATGACTGATAAATTACAAAGAACACTTCTATTTCATACCAGGAAACAATATAGAAAAACACAATATCAGTCTGAAACAGCTTTAAAAAATAATATAGGATTTATAGAATGGCAAATTGAAAAAATTGACAAATTCTTTTCCCCAAAAGCAATGACAAAATGGACAAATTTTCAAAGATAACCATTTAAGTATTATATGATATTATATGATAAATAAGATACACAAATTTAAGAAAACCTACTGAGCCTCAATAAAAATAGTGAAGTACAGTGGAATTGTTGTCTGGGGCTGCTCTATTCTACCCCATCCCAGCTCTGTGTTCCAGAAGTTCAACCTCAAAGTGCAGGGCATGGCATGACACTTCACTGCCAGAAAGTCTGCATACACATTGCTGTGTGCAGACAGGAGACATTGGAGGGGTGCTAATGAGCTACTGAATTCTCCTTAAAAGTATAACCTGGGATAGACTTATAAACTACCAAACGTTGAATGTATTCACCAAACTACCAAGATCCATTGGCAAAATTTGAAAGCCTTGCTTAATACCCCAATAAGTACAGCCTTTACTGATGTTTAAGTACAGCCTCTAAACCAGCATTGGATATGACTAAGCCATACTGATTCAAGAACTTCCAAAAAGAAGCCAACCTTAAACATAAAAACACAAATTAAATAAAACAAACGAACAAACAAAAACAACAACAACAAAAAAAACAGAGCAGAGGCATCAGTCACCACACAAGCCACAAATTAGTCCAAACAAGTTGCTAAACAAATTTTTAAAAAGTAAAAGTAGTGTTTTATAGCACTTCAGGATGACTATATTAATGACAATTTATTGTATATTTTCAAATAGATGGCTGAGTAAATTTTGAATGTTGCCAGCACAAAAAAACAATCAATTTATAGTGATTGATATTCTAATTACCCTAATTTGATCATTACAATTGTATACCTGTATCAAATATTACACTGAACTCCATAAATATGTACAATTAATAAATGTCAATTGAAAATAAAAAAGAAAAAAGAAATATCTACTCTGATAAAATGAATCAGAATATAAAGTTGCTGCAAAATGTTATCTGAAAAACCCAGTTTTCAGCATGATTTTTTATTATAACATTTAGCACACCAAGAATAGAAGGAGTCTTCTTTAAACCAATAAAGGATATCTACAAAAATTGTACAATATCCTCATAAGTTTGGTGAAAGACCATATGCTTCCTTTTAAAATCAGAAAAAGGCAAGGATGTCTGTTCTCACAACTTCCTATTCCATGAGGCAACTATTAATTCTATCACTAAGGGGAAAAAAGACATCAATAGATACTAATATAGGCCTGGAAATCTAGGCAGTGCAATTGGGCAAACAGACAAATGGGCAGCAGCAATAAAAGATGATGAAATAAAAGGGATTCAGATTGAAAAGGAAAATCTAAGATTGCTTTTATTATCATATGACCTGATACTGTACGTAAAAATTCCAAGAAAATTCACAAAAAAACTGTTAAATAAGTTCAAGATCAAGATCACGGTATTTAATACCAATATACAAATATTATTTTCTATGAATTAGTAAAAGAAAACTTTTTCTCTACTCACAAAACATTTGACATCAAATGTATGAGTATTTTCTCCCCATAACACCCAGTTCTCTCACTCTCCAGACTCCAACTGAATGTCCTATAATTTGATTGGATTCTAACAGTTAGTATCTGGATTTAATGTCAAACTACACAGGATTAATAATATAGTCCTGAAAGACAGTTTTCACTTCAGATGCCAGTTGCCAAGTATTGGGTCCTCAGGATACCCATACTTCTGTCTGACTTGGCTACAAAGTTGGGGCTTCCCACACACCCCACCCTCTGGTTCAATAATTTGCTAAAATGGTTCATAAAACTCCGGGAAACATTTACTTACATTTGCCTGTTTATTATAAATAATATTATAAAAAATAAAAATAGCCAAATGAAGAGGTACATAGAGTGAGGTCCAGAGGCGCCCTGTGTGCAGAAGCTTCTGTCCCTATGGAGTTTTGGGGCTGCCACCCTTCTGGCAAATGGTTGTATTCACCAATCTAGAATCTGTCTAAACCACATAGTTTATGGATTTTCATGTAAGCTTCATCGTGTATATATGATGAATTATTGATATAATCTTCAGCGCCCCTCTCCCCCCTGAAGGCAGGGACAGGTGCAGGGTGGTGCTGAAAGTTCCAAGCTTCTAATCATGACCTCCTGTCTCTGGTAACCAGTCCCCATCTGAAACTATCCAGGAACCTGCCAAGAGTCACCTCATAGAACAAAAGATGCGATCACTCAGGAAATTTCCAAGGATTTAGGAGCTCTATGTAACATGCTACTAGCACCCTTATCACTCAGGAAATGACAAGAGTTTTAGGCGCAAAGCAGAGGTCCTGTAGAACTTCTCAAGAGTTATTTTTGTGGAGCAGTTGAAGGTAAAGTGATACTGGACCAGCTTAAAGACAGATTTGTTTAAAAAAAAAGAAAGAAAGGAAATAATAAATATAAAAGTAAACATTACTGAATTTAAAAGCAAATGTACGGTAGAGGAAATCAACAACAAAATTTGATTTCTGAAAAAAATTAATTAAATATAAACTTTGCAAATTAAATCAAGAAGAAAACCAAAAAGTTAACAAATTTCTAATATCAGAAATTTAAGAGACATAATTACATATCTTAAAGACATTAGAAATAAAAAGAGAATATTAAAAAATTATGTCTATTAATCTAATAATTTGAATGAAGTAAACACATTTTTAAAAGACAAAAACTGAAAGAATAAATAGGCAAATCGTTAACAGTATTACCTGTGTTAAAAATATTGAATCCATTATTCTTTAAAAAATGCCACAATAATCTCTATATTCAGGTGATTTAACTGGCAAATTCTTCTGATATTTAAGAAAGGAAAATTAATTAAATGCAAAATCTTTTGTCTAATATAAAAAGAGAAAATAATTCTCATCTGTTTACATTAGTTTAAACAATCTGTATATCAAAACCTAGAAAGGACATTAAAATAAAAATTATGTCCTTTTATAAATATAATTGCAAAAATCTAAATAAAATATTAATAAATTAAAGACATGTAAAAAGTGAGGTTAAAATTTGCTAAGATCCTTACTTTTCTTGCTTAAGATACTATATATATGTTGTTATGAATTAACAATTATTATGAATTATTTATCTAATCTTCAAGGAATATATATGATATATATATCAAAACTTACTTCTGAAGATTAGAAAAATAATTTGTAAAATTGGTGCTTTTATCTACTTACAATTATTCTAACCATTTATATAGTTTCACCTATGTATTTTGATTGTTCGATTTTTAGATGGAGCATTTTCAAATGCCTCCTTTAGTTATTTCTATTAACTTTGGTCACTTTATTGGTCAAATTATTCAGTTTCTTAATACACACTTCACAACTAATAAGTTGTGTCTTACACATTCTACTTTATTAGTTACCATTAAATCTTTGACAAGCACACTTGAAACAAAGTTCAAAAGTTGTTAATATCTCGAAGTTTCTCCAGAACAAAATAAGTTTTGTTGAAACATTGTAAATATTATATTCCTTCACATCACCCAAGTCATTTTTGTTCAGTGTTTTAGTCACTTTGGATTCTTTATCCACAGAAAATTAATTGTGATTTTTAAAATGATTTGGATATTACCATGAATGGTTACTTAGGTTCATTATTGTTTAATAATTTTTTTTGTCCAAAATTGTATTTTATATCTTTTTTTCTGGATTTATTTCCCCACTTTCTGAAGTTGAAACTTTTAGTCTGTTTTGTGCTGCTGTAACAGAATACCTGAGACTGGGCAATTTACACATAATAGAAATTTATTTCTCATAGTTCTATAGGTTGAGAAGTCCAAGATCAAGTTTGGTTATCTGGCAAGGGCTGCTCTCAGCTTCCAAGAGGCACCTTGCTGCCGTGGAAAGGAAAGCTGTGTCTTCACATGACAGAAGGCGGAAGGTCTAGGCAGTCCAACACTGCATGAAGCCTCTTTCACGAGGGTCTTAATTCTATCCATGAGGAAAGGAATCCTAATGACCTAATCACTTCATAAAAACCCCATGTCTTAATGTCATCACATTGGCCATCAAGTCTTAACACCTAAATTTTGGAGGGAACACATTAAAGCCATAGCAAGCCTTTAGTATTTTTTCAAGTATTATTTGTAATAGTTAACCATCTCATTTTTTGTTAGGTGGAAAATAACTGGGTCTTTGACATCAACATTTTGCTAATGATATATCTGTGTTGTTTGATACTCATCCTTTTTTTCTTTGGTGTCACTTAGGATTTTTATTTTATTTTTGGTATTTTTAGTTTCATTCCAACATGTCTGGATGTGGTTTTGTGAATTTGCTTCCTCTGTAGTTCTTAAAGTGATATGTTTAATCTCAGGTTATGTGACCTGCCACTTTTTTGTTTTATCGTTTTATATTTCCTTGAGCATTATTTCTTAACTATTTTCTCTATTCTCTTATTCTTAAATTCCTAACAGATATATATTGGATCTTATAATTTATTCTCCAGGTCTACTCATTTCTTTTTTCATATCTTCTGTTTATAACTGTCTTGCATTCTGGAAATTATTACACAGATACATATCTCCTGTGTAACAAATTTTGTCTTCTGCTTTGTGCTTGAAATGATGTTTTTACCACCCATTCAATTTCAATAGTAAAGACTCTATTTTTAACGTGTAAAAAGTTATAGTTTGTTTATTTTCATTTATAGTATTTGCATATAATTTTAAACATATTATTTTAACACATTTTTAAACTTTTAAAGATTTTTCTGTTATTTCAAACTTTTGCAGAATAAATTTTTCTGTTTATTTAATCTGCTAATGATTGTTATATCAGATTATGTTTATTTTATAAAATTATGAGCTCACCCTGATTGCTGTTTTCATATGCTTACATCTGCCATTAGTGGGCATACCTTTAGACAATGTATATTTCTTTCTTTCTTTTTTTTTTTTTTTTTTGAGATGAAGTCTTGCTCTGTCACCCAAGCTGGAGTGTAATGGCATGATCTCGGCTCACTGCAACCTCTGCCTCCTGGATTTAAGCAACTCTCCTGCCTCAGCCTCCCAAGTAGCTGGGACTGCAGGTGTACACCACCACACCTGGCAAATTTTTGTATTTTTAGTAGAGATGGGGTTTCACGATCTTGGCCAGGCTGATTTCGAACTCCTGAAATCAGGTAATCCGCCTGCCTCAGCCTCTCAAAGTGCTGGGATTGCATGTGTGAGTCACCGTGAGCAGCTCGACAATGTTTATTTCTTGCTTTTCTCCTAGGTTCTGAGTAAATCTTTATCTATCTATCTATCTATCTATCATTTATCTATCTATCTAACTATATCAGTCATCTATTATCTATTTATTTATTTATTTTCATTTAGTTGATACCCATGTACTCACATATTACAGGCACATCTTGGGGGAATCACAGGTTTGGTTGTAGACCATTGCAAAAAAAGTGAATATCACAATAAAATAAATCACACTTTTTTTTGGTTTCCAAATGCATATAACACTCATGTTTATACTATACTGTAGGCTATTAAGTACGCAGTAGTACTGATGGCAGTGGCAGCACATCTGGAGTGGCCGCTGTGAGGATGCCAGCTGCAGCAGGGGAGGCTCAGCTGAGGCCATGCATTACACAGAGCTGGTGGGGGCCAGGAACAGGCAGGATCCTTATCCTTTACTGAGTTGATGGGGTGGGAGCCCCATGATCCTGGGCACAGCTACAGATGCCCAGCAGTGGGTCTGGACTCGGGCATCCCTGTGCCATTGGGGGCCTGGGAAGCCCCCTGTCTCTGCAGGCTTGAAGTGCCTGCTCCTGCTCCCTGGCCTCTCTTGGCTTTCAGAGCCTGCTCCAGTGCAGAGCAAAGTTGTGGCTGAGCCCAGACACTGCCATGACCTGGCCACGTGTGCGCAAGCTCAGAGTGATGCTGGCATGCCAGCTCCCTGCTGCCTTGGTCCCCTCCAGACTTTGATTACTGACAAGCATGGGAGGGAGGCCAGTGGGCTGAGGGCGGCTCAGCATGAGCCTGCAGGTGCCCCTCAATGCAAACAGCCTGGGCACCATAGATGACATGTTGATGATGGCAGGAGGCAGGCAGGTTCCTAGGCAGGAAGAGATGGGTCCCTTGTGAAATCCCACCTTCAAGCAGGGATGGCCAGAAGCCTTGGGGCCAGGCTGCCAGTACTGGGTGGAGTCCACAACCAGGAGCGAGAACTTATGGTGCTTTTTCCAGGCTAAGCCATGGTTGCCCATGGACCAATCAGCATGCACTTCCTCCCTTCTGAGCCAAGAAAAATCCTGGACTCAGCCAGACTCAGACACTCTTAGGACAACCTGCCTGCTGAAAGGAGCCACAGACTTCAGGTCTCCTCTACACTCGTTGGGACGATTTGCTTGTGGATAACTTATTCACTTCAGGTCCCTGCACTCATCAGGACGACCTGCCTGTGGAAAGCAGCTACCCACTTCAGGTCTCCTGAGAGCTGATCTGTCACTCAGTGAAGCTCCTCTCCATCTTGCTCACCCAGTTGTCTGCATACCTCATTCTTCTTGGACATGAGACAAGGACTCAGGACCCACTGAATGGCAGGACTGAAAGAATGGCAACACAAAAAAGGCTGAAACACACCCTCTGCTTGGCATGTTGGGGCAATGAGAAGGAGAGAAGAGCTGCAGCCCTTCTGGAGCCCAGAACTTGGGGCTTCCGGAGCCATGACTGTGACATGCTGTAAAACCCTCTTTGGAGCTCTGCGGTTTCTGGAATCTCAGAGCTTTCGGGCAACATTGTGTTCCCCTTGTCCAGACATAGGTGCCCGCAGTGAAAGCCTCTGGCAGTATGTCTGGTCCAGCCACAAACCTGCACAGAGCTGGTGCCTATGCTGGCACCTGGAGCTGCCTGCCTAGCTGCAGCTGGTGTACCTGGCTATATGTAGGGGCCAGAACCCACACTTGCTCGCTCACACACCCCTAGCCACACTGCTCCTGGCTCACCCTTGGCAGGCATCAGGTCCAGGCTGGTAGCACAAGCCGAATGCAGCCTGCTGGGCCAAGTGGGTGGAATGAGCCCAGTGGGTGCCAGCAAAACCCAAGCAGAGGTGCCACCGGCCACAGAAGTTTCCGGCTGATGAAGGAATACCCTAAGGATCCTCTGTCAGCACTATTCTAAAAAATGTACATATCTTAATTTGAAATACTTTATTGCCAAGAAATGCTAACAACCACCCAAGACTTCAGCAAGTTGTAATTTGTTGCTGTTTAAGGGTTTTGTCTTGATGCTGATAACCACTGAGTGATTATAGTGATGGCTGCTGAAAGTTGGGGTGGTTCTGCCAATGTCTCACAATAAGAGAACAATAAAATTTGCACATTGATTGACTCTTCCTTTCCTGAATAATTTCTCTGTAGCATGAAATGCTGTTTGATAGCATTTTGCCCACAGTAGAACTTCTTTCAAATGTGGGGTTAATCTTCTCAAATCCTGTTGCTGCTTTATCAAGTAAGTTTATATAATATTCTAAATCCTTTGTTGTCTTTTCAGCAATGCTCCCAGCATGTTCACGAGGGGTAGCTTCCATCTCGAAAAAAATACTGCTTTTTGGCTGATCTATAAGAAGCAACTCCTCATCCATTCAAGTTTTATGTTGATTGCAGCAATTCAGTCATATCTTAGTTAGGATTAGAAGTGGGGTCTAAAGATGTGACTCCACTTCTAACGCTGACAAGAGAGTCAGCCTGTCCTTTGAAGCTTTGAAGCCACATATTTACTTCTTGAAGCCTGGTATTTACTTCTTTGAAGCCAGGTATTTACTTCTTTCTAGCTATACACCTACTATACGGCATCTTCTTCCAATATAAAGCTGTTTTATCTAACTTGAAAATCTGTCATTGAGTGCAGCTACCTTCATCACCATTCTTAGCTAGATCTTCTGGATAACTTGCAGCAGTTTCTACATCAGCACTTGCTGCTTCACCTTGCACTTTCATGTTATGAAAATGGCTTATTTACTTAAACCTCATGAACCCACCTCTGAGAGCTTTAAATTTTTATTCTGCAGCTTTCTTACCTCTCTGAGCCTTTGTGGAATTTCAGAGATTTAGGGTCTTCCTCTGGATTAGGCTTTTGCTTAAGGGAGGAAGGCTATGGGCTGTTTTATTCTTTTATCCAAACTACTAAAACTTGTTCCCTATCAGCAACAAGGCTCTTCTACTTGCTTGTCATTTGTGTGGTCACTGGAGTAACACTTCTAATTTCCTTCAATACCTTTTCCTTTATAGTCACAAATTGGCTAACTTTTAGCACAAGAGGTCTAGCTTTTGGCCAGTGTTGTCTTTCGACATGCCTTCTTCACTAAGCTTAATGATTTCTAGCTTTTGATTTAAAGTGAAAAATGTGAAACTCTGTCTTTCACTTGAACACATAGACTCCATTGTAGACTTATTAACTGGCCTGATTTTAATATTGTTTTGCCTCATGGAATAGGGAGGCCTGAGGTAAGGGATATGGGGGAATGGCTGGTCAGCGGAGAAGTCAGCACACACACATCAAATTTATTAAGTTTCCTGTCTTATATGAATATGGTTTGTGGTACCCCAAAACAGTTATAAGAGTAACATCAAACATCACTGATCCCACATCATCATAACAGATACAATGATAATGAAAACATCTGAAAAAGTGTGAAAATTTTTAAAATATGACACAGAGACACAAAGCGAGCACAACCTGTTGGTATTGATAGACATGGCCCACTCAGGGGTGCCATCAACCTTCAATTTGTAAAGAAACACAATATCCGTGAAGCACAATAAAGCAAAACACAATGAAATGAGGTATGTCTCTATATAAACTCACACCCCACTCTGGCAGAAGTGTGCACTTAGTTTTCCAATATCATGAAACAACTAATACCCCCTCTACATACACGCACACACACACACACATACACACTCACACAGATCCTCAATCAATTGGCAAACTTCCTTTCTCATTCTTTGGGCCATTAAGTGGCATTTTTAAAACTACTTTCTAACAGTCTACAGAAACCATATGTATAACTGGGGTATCTGAAGGAAATTAAATTCCAACTTCCCAGCCATAAAAATGACATCTCTTCTTCTTTACATCAGTATGGGTGCTAATTTTTCAAGCCCAGTTCTTTAGCAAGTCTAAACCAATAGTATTTGTTGATTATTCCAGCTTTGAACTCTCTTTCCAATTTAAGACTTACATGCTCCCCTTCTTCTTTTCTTCTTTCTTCTCTTCCTCCTTCTTTCTTTCCTCTTTCCTCTTATTCTCTATCATTTTCTCATTCTTCTTCTTATCTTCCAATTCCTCCTCTTTCTTCTACTTTAGCTCATGTGTTTATTTATTTTATTTTAATCTGTCGTCATTTGGGTTTGTGGCTAAGTTGGGGAGCTGAAACATACCACCTCATTCCATCATCTTAAATGAAAAACCTCCAGAAAACTTCAAAATAAAATTAACATTATTTGAGTACATTGTTCATGAAAAATACTTGTCTGAACTAACATTAAAACTTTGTATTTGATTTGAATTCCATAATTTACAAATTGTTCCACCATTTAAGTTGGCTTAAAACTTGGTGAGAAGAAATTTTCTACCTCCCAAATGTAAACTCAAACACATATACACTCTCTCTCTCTCAATCCTTGATCTATCTTTCTTTCTCTCCCACTCTCCCTCTTTCCTTCTATGTTTTATTTAATTCTTAATTTAATTTAAGGCCACCAAAATCTAGTGGGAGTGATGAGGATATACAAGTCAGAGGTGTGTTAAGCCTCATGACATTTTTATTAGCTCTTGGCTATTTAATAGGACCTGCAGCTATCAGAAATATTTGCATTTGACTTACATCACAGCCAGGAAAGAGTTATAAAATAATATATTAATTTAAAAGATTAATTTAAGAAGTTATTTACAGACATGGTGGGTTCCTGAATAAAATTTAGCATTAGTTAAACTATAGTGAGGAAATAAAAAAAAAATCAACAAGTTAATATGTGCATGTTCCTAAACATTAGTTCTCTGAATTTAAAATTTCTGGAAAAAAAATTTATCAAACTTGCCATTAAGGTTTATTTTTTCCTGTTTGTTTGAAGTCATCATTATAATCCATATGTGTTCTCAGTGGTTCTTAATCATCAGTAACAGATGCAAATCTTCGTATTCCTAGTTTTTGCTGGGAATGACACAATAAAGCTTTGCATCTTTGTTCATTTTTGTGTTTCTGTAAAGGAATACCTGATGCTGGGTAATTTATAAACAAAAGAGGCTGGGCGCAGTGGCTCACACCTGTAATCCCAGCACTTTGGGAGGCCGAGGCGGGGGGATCATCTGAGGTCGGGAGTTAGAGACCAGACTGACCAACATGGGGAAACCCTGTCTCTACTAAAAATACAAAATTAGCCGGGCGTGGTGGCGCATGCTTGTAATCCCAGCTACTCAGGAAGGCTGAGGCAGGAGAATCGCTTGAACCCGGGAGGCCGAGGTTGCCGTGAGCCGAGGTCGCGCCACTGCACTCCAGCCTGGGCAGCAAGAGTGAAACTCGGTCTCAAACAAAAAAAAGAAAAAAAAAGAAAAAAAAGAAAAAGGCTGGGCACGGTGGCCCACGCCTGTAATCCCAGCACTTTGGGAGGCCAAGGCGGGCGGATCACGAGGCCAGGAGATCGAGACCATCCTGGCTAACACGGTGAAACCCTGTCTCTACTAAAAATACAAAACATTAGTCGGGCGTGGTGGCGGGCGCCTGCAGTCCCAGCTATTCGGGAGACTGAGGCAGGAGAATGGCGTGAACCCGGGAGGCGGAGCTTGCAGTGAGCCGAGATCGCACCACTGCACTCCAGCCTGGGCAACAGAGCGAGACTCCGTCTCAAAAAAAAAAAAAAAAAAAAGGTTCTGCAGGCTGTACAGGAAGCATAGCACCAGCCTCTGCTTCTGGTGAGGGCTTCAGGCTGCTGCTACTCATGGCAGAAGGTGAGGGGGAGCTGATGTATTCAGAGATCACATGGAAAGAGAAGCAGCAATGGAGGGGAAACTAACAGTGTAATTACTCACTCACCCCCTCCCCAGGGTGGTCATTCATCTCTTCAGGAAAAATCCACCCCCAAGACCCAAACATCTGCCACTAGACCCTACCTCCAACTTTGGGGATCAAATTTCAACACGAAATTTGGAAGGGACAGATATCTAAACTATGCATCTGTGTCACTCTGTAAAAACGTAAAATAAGAAAATGAGATATATTTGTTTTAGAAAAACAGTAATCTATTCTGTAGCTTTAAAATATTTAAAAATCAGAAATGTAACTGTAACCTTATAGGTATATTCACTATTGACTAAATTATTTACACATAAATTTATTAGGAATAATTTCCTCATAACTTTCTTGAAATGTTATATTGCTAACTGGGACAAATTCACTTCAAGTGTGTATTTCTCTGATGGATTTTTATCTCAGAATAGTTGACTGAGTTGGACAAAAATGTTGATTTATTTTGTAAAGGCTAGTATTTTTCAAGAACAATATGAGGCCATAAACTGCACTCAACAAGTGTTTCAATGCTGAAGCTTTGAGGAAAATCCCAATGCCTTGACTTTTATGTATAAACTAAAAGAGGGAGCATAGAGAAGTCAAGGAAACACGATAAAAATGATTCTTTCTTGCTTATAGCATCTTTGATATACATTTTTAGCCAGAAGGTTCACAGACATAGAGTCGATATTGATTTGAGCAGTGATAGGGTAACAGCTGCTTTCACCCAAGAATATAATTCTGCGTTGTGTAGTGGAAAAAATGAGAGTGGCTCAGGTGACTCATATTTTTAGCTGTGGGAAAAATCTATTGATTTTTATATTTCATTGCCACTTGGTTGAAAGTGGAAAATTTCTTCTTCATGTTTCTCTCTACTTTTTCAAATGAAAAATGGTATTAAGATTTTTTAAGGAGCCATAATTATTTAAGAATATAGGGTAGGTTTTTTGAATCATAGCGGGTACCTTGTTGGACTGTTGCAGGTTAAACACTTAATAATTTCCTAATAAATATTTATGATAGTTCAGTAGCTTTTCTAGTTACTATTGGGAAGTATCTATTGAAGAGGGACATGTAATTCCAATATAATATGTGTGTTTATGTGTGTGTGTGTGTGTGTTCAGGTACATGTACATTTTCTTTATTAACCATAAATACAGAGGAAAACCAATGCTGAATTTTCTAGTATGATCTGTAATTAAAATGGTATGTCACAGTGAACCCTGGAACACATTTTGAAGCAAAGTTGGCGTGAACTCCACAATCTTTCCAGTCTCTCGCGCCTGGAGAGTGCCGATTTCCACCTCTTGTCCCATCCTTCACCACTGAAAGGATATAGAGACTCGAATCTATGATGTTGCAGTCTTAAGACTGTGCTTTGGACAAACCAAGAGAATGAAAGTCAATAGATAAAGACAAAAGTTATTTTTGAACCGCAAGCAAGAGACCAACTAAAAAGTAAGTATCAAATAGAGGAAGAATGGAGTCAGGAAGAGTCCCCTGTGCAATGACCATGAACAGAACTTTAGAAACAGGGCTGGCCTCTAGGCTGCCAGGCTCGTGATGCAAATGATGCTAGTTCAGTTCAGAACTAGCAGGCCAAAGTACACTTATTCCCAGAGGTATAGCCTATGAGTGCTAATGTAAGTCTTTTTTTTTTATTCAACTAACATCTCAGAAATAAAAGTAAGGCAAACACATCACTGTGACAAAAACGTGATATAATTTTGATTGTGAAAATTATTCTACTACAGTTTTTCTCCATAATTCTAGGATTGTTTGACCAAATCTTTTTCTAAGGCAACTATTACCTATGCCATTACTCTCACACACGCCCTTGCTTATTTCCTATTTCTGTTTATTCCAACCCAAATCAGAAATGACTCCATCCGCTGAACATGCCACTACTGAGGGGCCACCTGAAGAGCACTATCATTGCCTGAACTAGCGAGTGTTTGCAGTCGTTGCATGTATGTGTGCACACACATGTATGCTTGTGTGCATGTGTGCATGCATGTATTTGTGAATTTTAAAGGCACTGTCTTTTATCAGTGGGAACCGTGATAAATCATTGTCAGCCATTTGGTAAAGTTGTTTTTATTATTGTTTAATAAATTGTTGTACCTCCCTTACTTTAGAATTCAAGCATTATTTTTTAAGGACTGAGCTATCTTTCTGTCTATATCTATCACTTTAAAGCATCATAATAAATATGTGGGGTATTATTATTGCTCTCATTTTAACAGATAAAGAAATTGAGGCACAGTGAGGATAAGCAGCTTGATTAAATTTATATGGCTGTTAAGGGAAGAACCCAGCATACCAACTGGGAAATGTGAAGTCAGAAACCAATCTCTAAACCAACATAATAGCTGCTTAAAGATGGCCTTAATAATCAATCCATTAATATTAATGGTTTATTAAATAACCATCTGGGAATGCAAGGATGTGTTCCATGTAAGTAAGTCTATTAATACCATAAACTAGATGAAAACAACAACAACAAAAAATGAAATAAAGAAAAATATACAGAGTTTATACAAAGAAAACGTTTGTACAAGCCAGGCACAGTGGCTTACGCCTACAATCCCAGCACTTTGGGAGGCCGAGGTGGGCGGATAATGAGGTCAGGAGTTTGAGACTAGCCTGGCCAACATAGTGAAACCCCATCTCTACTAAAAGTACAAAAAATTAGCTGGGCATGGTGGTGGGCACCTGTAATTTCAGCTACTCAGGAGGCTGAGGCATGAGAATCGCTTGAACCCAGAAGGCAGAGGTTGCAGTGAGCCAAGATTGCGCCGTTGCATTCCAGCCCTGGCGACAGTGTGAGACTCCATCTCAAAAAAGAAAAAAAAAATAAAGAAAATGTTTGTACATATACATATTTGATTTCAATAAGTGTTGAATGTGCATTTTATAAAATTTATAAGTTTTTTCTAATAACACATTTATCTAGAAATAAAAAATACTCTACAACAATATATATTTCTTTTATTTTTGTGGTTCCCATTTAATTCATGGGGGAATACAAGACATTCTTTTTTAAAACAAGAATTAGAAAAGAAAAACACAATCCTAGCACCACCACTGTTGGGAAAAGTCATTTTAGCTGACATTTCTATTTGTAAAAACATTTCAAATATTATATTTCCCTGTCTTTATATGAAAAATACAAATATTCCAAACTTGCTAAGCAAGCTGATTGCAGAACTAGCCCACTAACCACAAAACTTTCCAGAAAGAAGCTATACAACCAGAATATAGTAATACTCTCTTCTCTTAATTTAACCAGAGAAATAGTTTCTATTGTAACTTGTAACATTACACTGACACATGATTACAGTTGTTTCTCCAAATATTTTTATATATATATATATATAAATGCTCCACAGACCCCAGGCCAAACCCTGCTCTATGACTTAATGTGATACACAGACTTTCTCCTATAATGTCAAAGCAATCCAGCCTTTGCTTACAAACTAATTACTGGTGTGAACTGGTCGTTTCCTATTCTACTGTAATACGATATAATTTTATTTCTTCTCCAGGTTTGACTATTTTACCACAGCTTCAAAAAACTGTAAATTACAAAAAAAAAGCCACATTATTTTACGCCAAAAATATTTTCAAATGTATATCTCTACATTAGAATAAAACATGTAAAGTTAATCAACTTACTATATATAACAGAAACAATTTGAGAATTTACTGTCATGATATTAATAACAAAATATTAAGGCAATACAGAATTGGGATGAATAACTATATTTGAAAAGGTTAATTACCTCTGAGTTTTTGCATATACAATTCTTTATAAAAAGAATTTGAAAACTTTCACTGACTTCCAAATGGGCAAAGGACCTGAACAGATATTTCTCCAAAAAAGACATACAAATAAATGGTCAACGGGTATATATAAAAAAATGCTCAACACCACTATTAATGAGAGAAATTCAAATGAAAACCACAGCATTATCACCTCACACCTGTTAGAATGGCTATTATCAAAAAACAAAAAAAAAGGAAAGATAATAAGTGCTGACACGGATGTGGAGAAAAGAGAACCCTTGTATGTTGCCAGTAAGATGGCAAATTAGAACAGCCATTATGGAAAACAGTATGAAGGTATCTCAAAAAAATGACAAATAGAACTACCATCTAATCCAGAAATCCCAGTACTGGCTATAGAGCCAAAGGTAAAGAAATCGGTATGTCAAAGAGATATCTATACTCCTATGTTCATTGAGGCATTATTCACAATAACCAAAATATGGAATCAACCTAAATGTCTATCAGTGGATGAATGGATACAGAAAATGTGGTATAGATACTCAGTGTAATACTATTTAGTCTTAAAAAAAAAAGGAAATCCTGTCATTTGGAACAACGTGGATGAACCTGGAGAATATTATGTTAAGTGAGATAAACAAAGCAGAGAAAGATAAATACTACTTGATTTCACTTACATGTGGAATCTAAAAAAGTGAGACTCACAGAGATAGACAATAGCTTGGTGGATGGCAGGGGCTTGATGATGGAGAGAGGGAGTTGTTGAGCAAACAATAAAAAATTTCAGTTAGATGGGAGGATTAAGTTCAAGAGATCTATCGTATAACATGGTGACTTTAATTAGTAACAATGAGATGTATTTTTGAAAATTGCTAAAAGAGTAGATTTTAATTGTTCTCACCACAAAATTATAACTCTGTGATATAATGCATATGTTGATTAATTCACTGTAGGCATTACATATTTACAGATATTTCAAAACATTGAGTACAATAATTTTAATCTCTTCATTTAAAAATTCTATGAAGTAAACGCTGAAATTCTATTCCTCATAATACCATGCCAACGTGCCCTTAAATCTATTTCCCAGAAGTAATCACTTTTATCAGTTAGTTGTAAAACCTTTGTTTTTCACCTAGTAGGTTGAAATAAATATTTTTGCATAAGTAAATTATATAACCAATGGCATCATTAATGAAGAAACTACTCCTTCTAGATTAAGACAGCATTACAATTTAGAGAAATAAAAGAATTCTCAACCAAATGATACATCCTTATTAATTACTGTATAAAACACCATGAACCTTTCAAATACATTTTATCAGCACTCCTTTAAATACCTTTTTTTGGAATTGATAATGTTATATCTCTAAGAATAACCCTTTATACATGCTCAGTACGACGAAATTACCTCTATCCTAGGTAGCAACTCTCTAGTAACCAAACTGTAATTTTCAGAAAGTTCTTAGGTTGTATTTTTGCAAAAAAAAAAAAAAAATGCCTGTACTTTTGACATGTTAAAATAGGAGACCTAAAAGTGCAATATGTGCACAAATGTGAGTACATGGAAATATTTCAGGAGCTATACAATTGTGAAAACCACATCAATGAAAGACTGGATAAATAAAATGTGGCACATAAACACCATGGAATACTATGCAGCCATCAAAAAGGATGAGATCATGTCCTTTGCAGGGACATAGATGAAGCTGGAAACCATCATTCTCAACAAACTAACACAGGAACAGAAAACCAAACACTGCATGTTCTCACTCAAAAGTGGGAGTTGAAAAATAAGAATACATGGACACAGGGAGGGGAACATCACACACTGGGGCCTGTCAGGGGGTGGGGGGCTAGGGTAGGGATAGCGTTAGGAGAAATACCTAATGTGGATGATGGGGTGATGGGTGCAGCAAACCACCATGGCATGTGTATACCTATGTAACAAACCTCCACGTTCTGCACATGTATTCCAGAGCTTAAGGTACCATTAAAAAAAAAAAGAAGAAGAAGAAGAAGAAGAAAGAAAACCACATCTTGGTTAACTGAGGTACATGATTTTCCAAAATTGATCTGACTGACAGTGGGCCTGCATTGAAGGCACCTAACATTCTCTTTTCCCTCCTCCCTTTGAAAAAAACTGTTTTTACCTACTTTAAAAAAGGAAGACATATCTATCACCATCCTAAAATTTATGCAGGACTCCATACCAAACAATAATATTATTTTAGCAAAATCTGAATAAATATTTAAGTGGTTTTCATCAATTATATACTATAAATACTGAAGTTAAATCTAGAAGATTCTTGTAAAATATTTAGAGCTTTATTATTAGGGAAAATTAAAATGAATAGATTTCTATATATGTACATGCACATACATACATACACACATACATATATATACACATATGTATATTTGTTGTAATTGTTGCAGAGACATATGATAGAGGTATACATAATACTTTAAGCATAAGAATATACTGCACTGGCATAAAATTCTTCAAGAAGAGTGGAATGGAAATACAATGTCAGGAGAAAAGAAATTATTTAAAATTTCCCGTAATAAAAGTAAAACTTCTTAATGTATTTTTAAATAAATGAATATTGGTATATGATTTTTTACAATTACATTTCATCAGATGAGCATAAAGGGTGATATAACCATATTATTTAAAATTATAAAATTTACATTATATATGAAATTATAATCTTTGTAAGTCATACGAAAAAGTAGATATTGGTTTATAAGATTGTGAGGAAATACTTAGATCTTCAAAATTTTTCCAGGGCAATATGTGCAAAAACTTTAAATACCAGTTTTTAAAAATATAGTGGTTTCCCAGAATACCCTTGATTCATCAAAGGCTGGACTTTTTGAAGTGTAATTAAGAGAGATGGGAGAATTAGAACTGGGGATTCATCTCTTTCTACAATAGACATACCTTACAAGGCAGGAATGGAATCTAATATTGTGAGTGTCAGAATGCCTCTTAGGTTTCCTGGAGAAGAGCAAGCGAACAATTTAAGTATTCTTCTCTCTTTTACTCCAAGCTGACATATTACTTTAGTTTGCTTTGTTTTTTGCTTGTTTTGTTTGTTTTACTTCCTGACTGTTGCAGAGATCTGAAGCTCATTCAAGGAAATCTGCTCATCTCTTTCACAGGAGACTTTTATTTAATTAATTACTTTGAAATTTTCCTGTGATTTGATTATACTTCCTGTGCCTCTTGCCTCTGGGCTTGAAAATTTTCCCCATGAACAGAAAAACTCTTACATCTGGATTCACTGACTGGTGTGCATTTGGGGTTACAGGTTCTTTTCTCTGGCTTCTCCATCAAACTAATTCTATAGGTATTCATTTTTGAATAACTTCCTCAAAATTCATGGTACATGTATTTTTCCTAGGTATTTACAGATTTAATCCTTTCCTTCGCTTCTACTCTTATAGTAATTTTAATGCAATTTGAGAATGCAAAAATATCCCTAGTCAT
Source organism: Homo sapiens (assembly GCF_000001405.40). Taxonomy (NCBI): domain Eukaryota; kingdom Metazoa; phylum Chordata; class Mammalia; order Primates; family Hominidae; genus Homo; species Homo sapiens. The sequence goes on from NC_000014.9 coordinate 86,402,729, forward strand.
CATTTCTGACATTTTGCATAAATTTTTTTTTCAACATGCATTTAGCTTTGAGGCTTATAAAAAATTTGGCAAGTTTTATATGGCTTATTTTTCTCAATATGATAAGCTAACAACAGTGTAAATGTCAAATGCTTCCCTTTGTCAGGAGTTTTGGCACAAAAAGCAATTGAATATGCAAATGATTATTGGTGGCATTCTCCTGGTGCACCTACTAAATAACATGAGTGTGGCTATTTGGAGAATGGGTGAACATGGCAGTTTGCAAGGATGCAAGGACATACTTAAAGGTACTATGAATGCTCACGTGGGCTGTAACTGAGTTACCAAATTGTGGCTTTACTCAGGAGTACATAACACACTATGTGAATAAAATAAATCTCATGCTGTGATTCTTATAAAATAGAGGGGTCTAAAATGCAAACTTCTCAGGTTATACAATTTATTTAAATGGAAATAATTCAAAACAGTCTGTTTCTAGTTAATCTTTAAATATGCAAATAGGAAAGGTCATTTATTTCATTTATTTTTATTTATGCCATTTCCAGATGGGAACATAACTACCCATTATGAATTCATTCTCACTTTCCAGTCTCTTGACTTTACATCTTAGCTTTTGAAAACAAATTGATGCCTATTATAAATTGAATTATAACCACTGTAAGTTATTCCAGCCCAAGATGGTACAATTTTAAAATCTCCAGTAATAAATATTCTTATGCTTAAAGTATTACTTATTTTCAAGTTATTACCTTGTGCAATTTAGCCTTCATCTTTTCAAGGTATTCATATCAATAAAATCATAATGAATTTAAATAGTAATAATTCAAGAATGAAGAATTATATTTTATATACCTACATATTTTACCTTGGATTGAGAAATATCTCATGACTTTCTACACTATTAAAACGTAGTAGCTCTTTTTTTGTTTGTTGGTTTATTTAAAGAAACAACTTAATTTTTTTTTAAAATCAAGAAAGAAATATCCAGTTTTCAAAAGTGAAGTAGTTTTCCAGATATTATTCTTATTCTCTAGTAGATATGAGTGCTATAGAGAGACTGTTTCTAACACACCAACATGAAAGAGCTCCCTTAATGAGATCAACCAAAGCCCATGATTGGAGAAGTCAACAAATGATTGAAGAATAGTTCACTACTTTATTTATTTATTTATTTATTTATTTATTTATTTATTTATTTTTTATTTATTGAGATAGAGTCTCGCTCTGTCACCCAGGCTGGAGTGCAATAGCGCGATCTCGGCTCACTGCAAGCTCCGCCTCCCTGGTACACGCCCTTCTCCTGCCTCAGCCTCCTGAGTAGCTGGGGCTACAGGTGCCCACCACCACGCCCGGCTAATTTTTTGTATTTTCAGTAGAGATGGGGTTTCACCGTGTTAGCCAGGATGGTCTCGATCTCCTGACGTTGTGATCCACCGCCTCGGCCTCCCGAAATGCTGGGATTACAGGCCTGAGCCACCGCACCCGGCCATATTTATTTATTTTTAATCAGATGCATGAGCCTAACCTGCTGGAATTGGATTGTTCTTGCCAATTAAGGTTTCTTATGACCAGTGAAAGAAGCACTATCTCTGTTAAACTTATTCATATATTTAATCCAAAATTACTGAGTACTTCCTAAATGTTAATGCTAATTCTTATCTAGATTTTAAGAATCCAGAATTTTAAGATTTCTGTCCATATTTAGTACTAACCCTAAATGTATATGTTCCCACTGCTCATGGTTCTTAACCTCATTTATAGCCAGACTTTTTGAAGATTGTGTATATTTGTTTACCTCCTACAAAAGTATTCGTCCAGTCCCAACATGGAATTCCAACTATGCTAAAAATGTTGCAAAACAAAAGTTTTCTTAATGTCAAAAGGTGATAGGTCAATGGAAAGAAAGGCTGAGTAATGCCAAACTAGATGTTAGTAAGGTTGGATAGAGCAGGTTCAGTAGACTGCCGAAGGTTTGTTTGTAGTAGTTCAGTGAATCATAAATGTCACATTCCAACTTTTTTCCATAAAATCCTAAAGAAATTTTTTCTCAACCTTATTTAGTATTGGACATCTTTAAGAAAAAAAAGCCAGCAATCAACCAAGTAAACAATTAGAGCCAATTTTCATTGTTTGAGGATTCTTCTTCTCCATTAATTGCATCTTTATCAATACTTCCATCCTGATTGGAAGCTATTCCTCTTTCCCTGGTTTGGCCTCCTTACAATGTATTCATGTGAAACAATTAAGTTTCACATTTTTGCCAGTTTAAGTTAGCAAAATTTTGCCATTGTTGAGTTAAGCTTTCTGTTAGACTTTGTGACCCTGTCCTCCACCAACTCTGGGATATAATTTTTGTCATAGGTGTGGAGGCAATGGGGAAGGGACTTGAGGACGTTTGCTTCCCATTGCTAGCTAACCCCTTAGGCAAGGTCATTCAAGCGAAGCAAGAAGAGTCTCATCAGGCACAGATGGACAGGCTGCTGCTTCTGGCCAGCATCACTCAGCAGGCCTTCAGGGCTTAGATTCTCAGAGTCATCCAAATACATTCTCAAATGTAGGCTACTTTCACTTCTTACAGTCCTTTTTTTAAAAAAATTAATAGCTGAAGTTTTACATAAGAGACTTGATGAGACTAATTTCAAATTAGCAGATGACACAATAAACTTAGAATTTGATTTTTGCTGTGTCAGCCAAAAATGTACTGGGCTTCTCTGATACAGGAAATACCTCTAGAGATATCTACCCTTTCAATTTGCTGCCTTAATGTTTCATAATATAAGCAATCACATAAATTCCTCTCTTATCCTGCTAGAACAACATCCCATAAGTTTATATATCGCCATTTCAGCAAATCCTTAAATGTACTGTTTAGCATGAATGACAAAAATGCAAAGCCAGAGATGCAGGCAACACTGAGTCTTGAGCTGATTGATTGCTGTATTTAGTAATCATGTATATTTGTCCATATTGAGACACCCAACACAGGTTCTGGGTCTCAAAAATATGGGTAGTAAAAAAAATCACTCAGAACCTATGGCTATAAGTGTACATACATGCCCATTCTAGGAAATTAATATGAAATAATAATGTTCATAATTGAAAGGAAGTGTTGAAAGAATTGTGATATTTCCAGTGTACTGTGCTGCTTTCACAAGATACTTACAAAATATATTGCATGATATAAATATTTTGTAACATTGGTCTGCTCTTTTTGAAGCCTGTACAGAATTATTGTATCGAAAAAAGCAACACAAATTCCTGAGTTGAAACTTTCTCACCTCTAATTTTATGATGATTTGTCATTACAATTTTTCCTAAAGTGGAAAATCATAAGTTTTTAAATGATAGCCATTTAACGAATGGCCTTAATATATCATTTTTTCTTAACAAGGCAGAAACATAGTTTTAGAAATGAAAGATAAAGCTAGAAGGTCACTTTGGAAATATTAAAGGAGAGAGTGCCTTAAAAATTATGGTGGAGGCTGGGCGCGGTGGCTCACGCCTGTAATCCCAGCACTTTGGGAGGCCGAGGCAGGTGGATCACGAGGTCAGGAAATCGAGACCATCCTGGCTAACACGGTGAAACCCCGTCTCTACTAAAAATACAAAAAAAAAAAAAAAAATTAGCCGGTCGTGGTAGTGGGCGCCTGTAGTCCCAGCTACTCGGGAGGCTGAGGCAGGAGAATGGTGTGAACCTGGGAGGCGGAGCTTGCAGTGAGCCGAGATCCCGCCACTGCACTCCAGCCTGGGAGACAGCGAGACTCCGTCTCAAAAAAAAAAAAAAAAAAAAAAAAAAAAAAAAATTATGGTGGAGAAAATTCAAGCCCACTGGCTTAGAGCTTCATGCCTTTTGTTTACTATGAACTCTATACATATAGACATGTATTGGGAATTCCAAACAATATGAACTCTATACATATAGATATGTATCGGGAATTCCAAACAAAACAAAGACAATTTTAGTTTTCAAATTGGTATGCGATTTTACATAGTGACTTGACTTTATATTGATGTAATAACGGACTATTTCCACAGTGGCTTTGTTGCAAGGTTTTACTCTTTATGCTTTGCTCTTGAAGAATATAAATGCTATGTGCTGCACGCTATAGCAAGCTTTCTATTTCATCCCTACTGTTGACTACTAACCTTGCTAACCACTGCAGATTACACCTGGAAAATAAGGTATGATTATCCTTTAATCGTTTTGTACCTGTAAACTATACTCTAATGTAATACAGAAGCTGACACATAGCTCTCAGCCTTGCACACTTGAAATTCTATTTAATTATATACCATCATAGATTAAAACACTAATATTAACAACATCTTGCCATCTCAATGCCAAACAAAATTTAGATCCTGATATGGTTTGGCTCTGTGTCCCCACCAAAATCTCATCTCAAATTATAATTCCTATATGTCCAGGGAGAGACCAGGTGGAGGTAATTCGATCATGGGGGCAGTTCCCCCATGTTGTTCTTGTGATAGTGAGTGAGTTCTCATGAGAACTGATAGTTTTATAAGCGTTTGGTAGTTCCTCCTGCATTCATTCTCCTTCCTGCCACCTTGTGAAGAAGGTGCCTTGCTTCCCCTTTGCCTTCTACCATGATTGTAAGTTTCCTGCGGCCACCCCAGCCATGCTGAACTGTGAGTCAATTAAACCTCTGTCCTTCATTAAGTTACACAGTCTCGGGCAGTTCTTAATAGCAGTGTGAAAATGGACTAATACAGATTCATTTGGTAATTTTAAAATACTATTTCAAAAAACTCATTTTATTGGAAATAAAATATTTTACATCCATTTCCTCTGGAATCATTTTTACTATATATCCGTAGTTTTCAGTGGAGGATATGCTGCCTGTTTGATGTAAATGAACACATAAGGGCCAATGGATGTAGATGTGGTTCGACATAGATTTAATGAATACCTGTTAATTATATAGGAATATACTAGAGAAGAGCATGCCTACATAAATCATCTAAAATCCCTACCATTAAGGATCTTCAAATCTAGTAAGGGAGAATAGTGTGAAGCCAAAAAATCTGAGACAGATCTCACCTAATTTAGGAAGTTTATTTTGCCAAAGTTAAGGACATGTGCCTGTGACACAGCCTCAGGAGGTCCTGATGACATGTGCCCAAGGTGGTCTGAGCACAGTTTGATTTTACACATTGTAGGGAAATATGAGACACCAATCAATACATATAAGAGGAACTTTGGTTTGGTCCAGAAAGGCAGGACAACTCGAAGTGGGAGAGAGTTTCCAGGTCATAGGTAGATAAGAGAAAAATGGTTGCATTTTCTGAGTTTCTCATTAACTTCTCCAAAGGAGGCAATCAGATATGCATTTATCTCAGTGAGCAGAGGGGTGACCTTGAAGAGAATGGGAGGCAAGTTTGCCCAAGCAGTTCCCAGCTGAACTTTTCCCTTTAGCTTAGTGATTTTGGGGTCCCAGAATGTATTTTCCTTTCACAACAGAAACACATAGAGATAGTCACATAATATAGAAAAGTACCGCTAGCAGTATATGGAAAGAGATATTGATTCAGGTAAGGGTGAAATAAAGAAGTCCTCCTGGATAACTTGGGAGTTGAGCAAGTCTATTAAAAACAGATGGCAATTCATTCAGTACAGACTTCTTGAGTATAAGCAGAATATACCATCCCTTATTTTAAGAAATGTATAATATAGTTGTCTAAATATTTTTTCTTAATTGCAATAACAATTACAATTGATACAGGTATTCACAATGCTTTGGGAGCATACGGTTCACATCAGAATGTTTTAGGCTTTTGAGTTAAAGAGGATAATGGGTTCTCCAGAGAAGTGTTTCCATATCTGCAAAGTCCTAGGACCGGGAAACACCTGAACTGGCCTGCTCAGTCAGAGTGGAGTTCCATTTGAGTCTTCACATTCACTTTACCTTAATCTTTGAGAATTTCTCATGGTGAAATAAAATAGACAACGTGATAGTGCATAATATAGAATAAAAACCAGAGGGAAATACACTTGCATTGTGGTTCAGCAACTGTCTTTCAAAACGCATATCAAGGAAGCCAAGAACAAATTGATACTTTCATGTGGAGTTTTCATTGAATAAGGAGGGAAGCAAGAATCAAATTTCTCTGCAAAGCAGCATGGCAGTACAATAGCTTTTCTCACAGTGTTTATTCAATAAATCTTAATTAAGTTCCTCCTTTCATCTAGACACATCTGTAACAGACATATGATGAATGAATAAATGCACTGCAAAAAAAAGTGATAATTCTAATAAAAGAATCATCCTCCCTTTTGTGAGACCAACCAGCTCGGCTGTCTCTCTAAGTAAAGCTTATTATGTAAACAAGAGGCTCTACAGGTGACTGTATAGGGATTCTGTGTGGTTTTTCCATGTTTCCCATGTGCCATTAACTGGCACAATCCAGGACTACTTTCTGCAGCATGGATTGTTCTTAACATTCCAAACCTCCACTTTAGTAAGATAAGTGGGATGGTGGAAGATCTTTTCTCTAGCATGAGTAGAAAATTAATGCATTCATTATTAATAGCAAGTCCTAAGGTAGTTCAGAAGGCAGACATAAGTGAACTTACTGAAATAAATTCAATGGAATGCTACATTAGTGTCAAAAGTTTGGTGATGACTCTTCTGTAAAGGCAATTAGTATCTAATTAATAACTCTTGGATAATATCTAACATTCTGATCTCCTTACGTCTGCAGAGTTAAGAAATTGTAATAAAGAGATCAAGAAGTACAGTCTATACTATGAAATTAAAGTTACTAGCACAGTATGATATATACTCAGGCACAAATAAATATTTCTAGATAGAAATTACATAGGATTGCAACTGCCTACTATGATTATTTATTAAATGAGGAAGCGGGACATTTTTTAAAAGTAAGTTCTTAACTGGTTTAAATACATGTTGTTTGTTCAAGCTCAACTGAAAGCTTTTAAATAACCCAATTAGTAATCAAAAGCTGAATGCAGGCTTGATTATTCAGACAATTTAGGGCTTTGTCAATCCTCTTCAAGAACACTCTGATGCGATTCCACTTACAAAGTTAAATATAAATAGGATATATTTACAGGTGTAAAAATACAACAGTATCTTGATCAGGGTGCTATTTACATGAATGCATTTGCTTTGTGAAAATTAATCAGGCTATATGTTCATGATTTCTTTAGTTTTTAAAATATGTATGCTATGATTGAAAAATAGGTTTTGTTAAAATATTATGGTGCTGTTTTTTGTCCGTAATTATAATATATTCTTCAGTTATTGTTGAATGAGACAATATTGACTTCATGGGATATATATATATATATATATATATATATATATATATATATATACCTACACACATATATGCATACCTCTATGCACACACACACACACACACACTCATGTATTTACAATTTCTCATTATACATATATGTACATATATATGTGTGTGTGTATAATGTGAAATAGTATATAGAACTAGAAAAGAAGAAGATAGAAATCCAAATATGAAAAATAGTACATAAGCAAAAAACATGTGATAAGATAACTTTGGAAGCTTTATAAAGTTTTTAAGGTCAACAGGACTATTTCTTTGGGTGAAGTCATTCCTTTTCATATGTCTACAACTATCCTCCTGCTGCTAATATGCATAGTCTTCAGAAACTGGCTTAACCAGCACGATATGGATAAGAAGGGGAAACCATTTGCCTCTTTGTGGATCTTGTTAAAAGGAAAACAATGTAGTGACATGCTGGCTTGAAAGTCATGCAACCTGAGGTTTGACCCATGTCTAGTGTTAAACAGATGTACAATCTTGCATAAATTACTTCATATTCCTGGATTAAACTAGGTCATCTATGAAGAGAAGGCTGATTTCTAAAACCTGTACCGTGTATTAATATTTTGTTATATTTTAAAATTTCATTTAAAACAAACTTTTAATTATTGACCAGAAGAATATTGATTTTATAAATGATTTTTTGGTTAATACACATATACTTTTCTCAAGAATTATTCTCAAGAATTCTCAAGAATAATTCTCAAGAATTAAGAGCCCCATAAAAGGGGTAGTGTGTCATTTAGGAGTTGAGGAATCTTCCACTGGCGACTCTCTTATGCCTATGAAGTGTCTTGTGGATCATGGAGTAGCCTTAATCTGTGTTCCACTTACTTCAAGCTTTATTATAAAATGTCCCCTTTCTTTCTTGTTACTTGCTTTATAGTAAAGTTTATTCTTAATCGGTATTGTCCTTGAAATACTGAATACAGTAAGGTGTAGAGTTATCTTCTGGTTTGCATGCTCTTTTTATTCCAAGGATAAGCGAATACTAATTTAAGTGTTAGACTAGTAATAGGAGAGCCACAAAAATACAGAGACAGACGTGTTTGCCATTAGTCCACAGAAGGATCTGGATTCCTTCTGCATTGTTCTATTTGAGATTTAGGCTTGGTATGTTTTTACTTTCTTGAAATTTTTATAGTTTTAAACACAGTGATATATCCTATTTTCTGAGTTCACATATCCTTTTATTTACCCACATAAACTATTATATGTTTGTTAAGGCATATGGCAGATCCAGTAAGAGATAGGTCTTATGATTGATGAAAAAAACTAGGCAGCCAGAAACAATACGCTCACTTCATCAGATAATTTTGTATATGTAAACTTAAATGAAATACTTTTTTCTTATAAAACAAAGATAAATTAATTGCAGCAGACCTATTAAAATCTTATCTTCTGTTTGGGGTAGTGTGTCTAAGTGATGCTGATGGAGCTAAGGTTATTATTTCATTCTATATTTGAACAACAAAAAAACAAAATAAATATATCTGTTTCAGAAATAAAAAATGACTCTATGACACCAATACTGAATTTTTGAAACACATAAATATTATCATAAGTGGAGAGAATATAGGGAGTTTAGATTTACGAACTCTCTAGTATTGCCGAAAATGAATAACATTGTTATTTGGAATGAGAAAGACTACTTTCCTTTAACACCTTGTTTTCATTCTACTAAATATTTGCTACTTTTTGGGCATGACAGTTCCAATTTTGACTACTAGTTAGGAGGGTTGATGATGAAGAAAAAATATCTGGCAAAAAATATATTGATGTTTGATAGGGAGAGACCAAAAAGACCATTGCAAGAGAAAAGGCAGAAGGATTATGTAAAATTAATATCTTAACATGCTTTATAGTGCCTCAAATGATTTGCTTTATTACTATAAAGTTCTAGATTCTGTGCTAAGTGGTAAAGTAATAAAAAATTATACCATGATGTGTAAACATAGCCCCTACCCACCAAAATGATATAAGTGAAAAAAAAGCATGAAGGATTGAATTATGAATAAGATGGCATCTCAATCAGGCCAATAGCCTAGGCTCTTATTGGAGAGGCTTTGGGCCCCTTTCCTATGTACAGTATTAGAAACAACAGGATTGGTGTGAACATCTGGACTTTAATAGGTATTTACTCTTTCAAATCAGTTTATTAAGTCCCAATAGTGCCATGCATTAAGACAGAAAAATATAGAAAACATATTATTTGCTTACAAGGTGCTCATATTCTAATGGGGTGCAAGTATGCAAAAAGTATACAGTAAAAGATAATAAGTACTGTAATAGAGGGAATCGAAAAATGCTATGAAAAATATTGACTGAACCCCTTCCTTAGCCTTTAACAAGTCAATCAAGGCTTCTTGGAGGAGATGGTGCTTTGGGAAGGGGAGGCTGCCATGAGAAAATCAGAGGAATCACCTGTGGGAGAGAGATTGCCTTGTATGAAAAGGTACAGGTATGGATTGTATATTATGACACTTTCAAGCTACTGCATGTGGTTTGCATTAAAAAGAAGAAAGGAGTGTGTGAATTGGGAGATGGTGAGTGAGAACGCTGGTTCAGGTTAGGGTATGGTAGAGGTAGTAGACAAATCACAGAATGTTTACATGCCAAGGGACATCATAGCATTTATCCTAAAGAGGGTGGAGAACCAGAAAAGCATTTTAAATGGGGATGATATGATCAGATTTCTATCTTAGGAAAAACATCCTGGCCATGAGTGGTGGTGATAGGCATGGTGTGGGAGAGCTTTAGAGGAAACAGTAAATCTAAAAGGAAAGAATCTGTTTCTTCTGAGATAGTGCCCTTAATTGCTTCTCCTCTCATGATGACTTTATTTAACAACTCTATCTCCAAATTAGAATTATTTCAGGTAGATGTCCACATTGTACTTCCAGAATACCCTTAATGATCCTTACCTTTCTTCTGAGATCAACCCTTTCCTTCCGATCTGATTCATGTTCTCCCTTCCTCCCTTGGATTTAAGGATTCAGATAAGTAGTGTGGAGAGAAGGGACAGCTGGCACTCTGAGGACCCAGCTAACATACAATTTGGTTCTCCCGCTGAGAATGGTACATGGTGTCCAGATAAGGATAAATTGGGTACTCATAAAAAATATTATCCAAAAAAATCATAAATCATGTGGCTGATATTCATTAAAATATGGCTGTATTTATTATGTATTTGTTTCTGTAAACAGCCATAAAAAGAAGAAAGTAAGAATTGCATACAGGCCAAGAGATCCATTTAGTTTTCCAGCACAAGAAGAGTGAACTTCTTCTTTAGGATGCTCATTCTGTGGCCTGAGCTCAGGCATCATGTATGTGGCAGGCCGATGACGCTGATAAAGGATACATTGAAGACCCTACAGATGAGACTCAGTGTTTAGGATAGACAAAGGTGCCCAGTTAGCAGGCATAATAAACCATATTAATGTTTCAGATAGTCAGAGCATAGACATAATACAGAAACATTAAACCCAGTATCCACCACCTCCTGGCATCCTGCTGTAAGCTTTCTCAGAGACCTTCCACACCCAGGGTCTATCTCCCATCCTCCCCGCTCTCCTGCACCCATATCCCATTTATACCATGAGCCCTCTGAGTTTCAATGGAAGGTAGACTTTCTTTTCTTTGCACACTGAACTGTGTGGATATTAGGAGAACGATGATAAGCTCCATTTGGAAGGGGTCATAAAAGTGAACATTTTATTAAGAATTTGATCTTCAGACCAAGAGGTCAGGAAAGAGCTGACACCTGAGGTTAGGCTTGAGAACTTTTTATGAATTCCAGGTAGTTAAAAACATTTACTCACAGTGAATGAATTTCCACAGTTGTATAGATTATAGAGAAGGAAAATAAATATTTTGCCTAATCAGTCTCTCCCTGTGGCTAGGGTGGATTTTAATCTGTGGCTGTCAACTCAAAAGAATAAATCAACATTCATTCAAAAAGTTATCATAACTTTGTTTCAATGTTCAAATTGAATGTGGGGAGAGCAATGGCTACTGCATATTAAGACACTTTCAAGCAACTGCATGTGGTTTGCATTAAAAAGAAGAAAGGAGTGTGTGAATTGGGAGATGGTGAGTAAGAAGGCTGGTTCAGGTTAGGGTATGGTAGAGGCAGTAGACAAATCACTGACCATTTACCAATTCCAAAAAGTACATTTTCCCCAGACTAGTCTGTCAGTTTAGAGCTGGTGAAATCCAGGAAGAAAGGGCAAATGCCAAAACATGTGGATGCTGACTAGTCCCATGACACTTTAGCTCAGGCAACATTCCAAGCATAATAGAAATGACATTAGCGAAGCTGTTTTTTTGATTTTACAGAATAAATTTGAAACCCCTAATGGGCTAGATTATTCCAATAAGCACAGATACAACTACAAACCTTACAAGCCTGTTCCAAACAGGGCCTAACCTGGAAGCCTAGTAACTCATAATGGGAAATGTTTTGAATTTACACCTGAAAATGGCTATTGTGCTTAATGAAGCACATATTACAATATCATTTTATAGCATTGTTCATACAAGAATGGATCACAACTGATTACACTTGTATTGCAAATACAATTCCGCTCAATAAGTTACAGCTCAGTGCATCCATGGCTATGTGGGAAGAGATCCTTGACAATGGGCCCAGGTGGACAAGAAAACACAACTATGTTCATTATACTGAAGGCAGAGAAAAGAAACCAAAGCATACATTAACATGTCCTTAACAGTTTCTCAGTATTGTAGCTTTTGGAGAGGGAAAGAATTTCTTTTTATTTTCTATTTTTTACTTTATCCAGGGTGGAGGTGGAGCATAAAGTCTACTAATCAGAAATTTGTTCATGATGGTTACCTAAAGCATATAGCATTTTACCTTCATCTTTCAGAGGATTTTCTCTGCCAAGGAGAAATTTGATAAAGACATAAATATGTATGCCTTTTGTAGGTGAAACCATTAATGTTCAGGTTTTTTATAATAATAAAATTTGATTGATTGATTGATGTGAACATCTTTCTATATCCAAAAGTATTTTGTGATGCTGTTAGTAACCGTATGGTAAGCCTCGGAAAAAAATTTCAAAGGAAATTTTATGTGTATTTATTTGGTTACTGTATTAGTCTGTTTTCATGCTGCTGATAAAGACATCCCTGAGACTGGGCAATTTATAAAAGAGGTTTAATGGACTTAAATTCCACGTGGCTGGGGAGGCCGCAAAATCACGGCAGAAGGTGAAAGGCACATCTTACATGGTGGCAGACAAGAGAAGAGAACTTGTGCAGGGAAACTCCCCTTTATAAAAACATCAGATCTCATGAGACGTATTCGCTGTCATGAGAATAGTATGGGAAAGACCCACCCCCATGATTCAATTACCTCCCACCGGGTCCCTTCCACAACATGTGGAAATTGTGGGAGCTACAATTCAAGATGAGATTTGGGTGGGAACACAGCCAAACTATTAGTTACCAAGCATTTTAGTATTAACTAGGTACATGGCAAATCATCTTTCTTTGAAAGGGAGAGTGATGGTGTATTACTCAGGGTACCCTAGAGAGACAGAACTAATGGAATATATATATGTGTGTGTATGTGTATATATATATATATATGTGTGTGTGTGTGTGTGTGTGTGTGCATAGGAGTTTATTAAGTATTAACTCACACAATCACAAGGTCCAATAATAGGCCATCTGCAGGCTGAAGAACAAGGAGAACCAGTCTGAGTTCCAAAACTGAAGAACTCAGAGTCCGATGTTCAAGGGCAGGAGGTATCTGGCATGAGAGAAAGATGTGGGCTGGGAGGCTAGGCCAGTCTCTCTTTTTGAATTTTTGTACCTGCTTTTATTCTAGCTGCACTGGCAGCTGATTAGATTGTCCCCACCCAGTTTAAGGGTGGATCTGCCTTTTCCAGCCCACTGACTCAATTGTAAATATCCTTTGGCAACACACTCACAGACACACCCAGGATCAATACTTTGTATCCTTCAATCCAATCAAGTTGACACTCAGTATTAACCATCACAAGTCCACCCCTTGCCAACTTGAACCCATGCACATCTCTTGAGATTATACTTAATCTTCAAAGAAAGAAAATAATAAGGTCATAATTATACCTAACATAATACTACTATCCTTTGTACAACTGAAAACACACCAATTCCCAAATACTATTACATAAAGTTAACAATACTGAAATGCTGACATGAAGTCAACAAATCTTATGTCACATGATAAATGAGAAAGGAAATAAAATGAAGATATTTTTCTTAGTAAAAATGTATACATACACAAACATGTTTTTATACAAAAGAAGGAGGAAATACTCATGACAATTACTGTTCTTGTTTCTGCAGCTGATCACATAGTCGTAGCTGGTATTGATGACTAACTTCTTATAGTACCCATTCTGCATTCCCTTTGCTTTCAGTAAGCACCTTAGTAGGTCATGGTTTTTTTCCTGGTGGAGTGACCCAAACCTTCCTTCCTGAAGGGTCTTGGTCATTTGTAGTCCTGCCTGGATTGGGCTGTTGTAGTTTCTCATTGACCTTAATCACAGGGAATGGTAACCCTAAGAGATGGCCTAATGGATCTCCTGTATTCCATGCGTACTCTTCCTTACCTTTGTTGTGGAATAGTAGGCTGATTTCATCTTGACAGTCTGGGTCAATCATCCCAGCCAGCCCTGTAACTCCCTTCTTAGACTGTTGGTTTAAAGGTAGGAGGAATCCAAAGTGTGCAGATGGCAATCTTAACTTCCAGTTTAATGGAATCATTGATGTGTCTCCTGGTGGCAGCATTCCTCCCTCTGGAACTAAGACCCCTAGGCCAGCAGAACATAATGTTGCAGGAACAGGACACGAAAATTTTGCTAGTGGTTTACTAAAGGTGATGGTATGTGATGCCACTTCCACTCTTTGATTCCTGGACCCATGAATACTAGCTATGGGAGAAAGAGTCTAATATATTGGATGCTGATTCAGAGCACACATGGCCTTCTGGAGAACTTTGCCCCAGCCCTGCAAAATATTGTCACCTACTTGGCATTGTAATTGTGACTTCAAAAGGCCATTCCACCATTCTATCAATTCTGCTGCTTCAGGATGATGGGGAACCTGGTAAGACCAGTTAGTTTTATGAGCATGAGCCCATAGCCACACTTCTTTAGCCATAAAAAGTGAGTGCTTTGGTCAGAGGCAATGCTGTGTGGAATACCATACAGTGGATAAGGCATTCTGTGTATCCATGGATGGTAGTCTTGGCAGAAGCATTGTCTGCAGAATAGGCAAACCCATATCTGGAGTAAGTGTCTATTCCAGTGAGGACAAAACTCTGTCCTTTCCATGATGAAAGAGGTCCAATATAATCAACCTGGCACCAGGTTGTTGGTCTCTGCTGCTGGCAAATTGGGCACTCAGCAGTGGCCACAGTCAGGTCAGCCTTGGTGTGAGTGGAAGTCCATGTTGCTGAGCCCATGCTGCTATAAAGACACATGCACACGTATGTTTATTGCGGCACTACTCACAATAGCAAAGACTTGGAACCAACCCAAATGTCCAACAATGATAGACTGGATTAAGAAAATGTGGCACATATACACCATGGAATACTATGCAGCCATAAAAAAGGATGAGTTCATGTCCTTTGTAGGGACATTGATGAAATTGGAAATCATCATTCTCAGTAAACTATCCCAAGAACAAAAAACCAAACACCACATATTCTCACTCATAGGTGGGAATTGAACAATGAGATCACATGGACACAGGAAGGGGAACATCACACTCTGGGGCCTGTTGTGGGGTGGGGGGAGGGGGGAGGGATAGCATTGGGAGATATAACTAATGCTAGATGACGAGTTAGTGGGTGCAGTGCACCAGCATGGCACATGTATACATATGTAACTAACCTGCACAATGTGCACATGTACCCTAAAACTTAAAGTATAACAATAAAAGAAAAAAATAAAAATAAAAATAAACAGACTTGATGTAAAAAAAAAAAAAAAAGAAAGGAAATCCGGAAAAATACCAGTGCGGAGACAATTCTTTTAATGACATTTCGACTTGTGTTTTCACATGGTTCTTGGAGACAGAGTATGAGAAGTAAGTCTTTTTCTGAGTCCTTCTGAATACAATTACATCATTTCACATAAATGCATATTAATAAACTGGTAGCTGGTCATCGTAAAGTGTGGAATCGGACAGTCTCAAGTTACATGTATGATTTTGCCTTTATACATTTTAAGTTAAAATCCTCATAGTAATTGGAAAGAGACATCTGGCTTATTTGGACCATATATCACTTATAAGGATAGTATGGCATCCCGTCAAAGACTAATTCTTAATTTTGTCTCTCCTGTTTCTTACTGGATGTGCTAAGCTGTGCATAAGCACATCACTTAATTATGGCACTTACTGCTGTGTTATAATTACATAATTGAGTTTCTACTATGTTATGTATTCCTAGAAATAGGAGCTATGTTATGTACTTTTTTCTGTGTGTACAAGAAAGAACACTTGCCTCAAATCGTGCCAATGATAGAAGCCACAGCCTTGGCCATACTTGACATTTGTAAGGATGGATATGAATGTTAGATCAGTGAGTCTTTTCACTAAGATTTTAGACTTCAGACAGATAAAATATTTTTTATTTTTTTCCTGTGTCTAAAACTTTGAAAGTTAAAGGCCAGAGGTAAACATTTGTCATGATGTCCACAAAGTTTATTGCATGTTTTGTGTGTGTGTGTGTGTGTGTGTGTGTGTGTGTGTGTGTGTGTGTTTTGGTTGGTTTGTTTTTTTGTTTAAGCCTGTCTAACAAAGAAATTGAATTGAGGTATAAGAGAAACCAAAGGTAGTAACAGGAAGACAAAATCCTAATGGAGTTATTCTTTAGGACCCTATCATTTCTACCTTTGGGTTTCAGGAGATTTCTAAAATCTTTTTAAATTAGTTTGAGATGTGTTTCTCTTACTTGTAGCCATACAATTCCTAAGTAACATGGGAGGTGGATGGGTATTCCCAAACAGGAAAGTGTTTCCAATTAACATTTACCAGGCTGTAAATATATCTTATTCACACCAGTACATATAAAAAAAATTCTAACTGAAAAATAAATGTGAATCTCATGGAAATTCAAGAACAGGAAACCTAAACCTTATGACAACTGTCATCAGGCAGGCCTTTCTCGGGGGCGTAGAGTAATTGCTCATGGTATCTGTGTTTCCTTTTGTGCATCTAATCCATTTCCTTTTTTGACTAATTTGTTTTCGTTTACCACTTATGGACCCTGCTCTGCTAAATCATTGGCTTGATTGTGGCATTACGAAGGCCCCAAATTACCCCTTGAGCTCCTGGAATGAAAAGAACTACAATAACAATTATAGATAACACATAGAGCACTTATTATTTTCCTGGCTACCCACACAGTTTGAACACAGAAAGATGACTGAGGATCCACCCATCATGCAATCCTTTAGAGTTACTCAATCAGAAGCTAGCTGTGAAGGACTAGGGACCATGAGCAATCCATTTTGGTGACAGTGCTGGAAGCAGTAGTCCCTAAGTCCCATTTCCAGCAATAGCAGCTTAGCAGTCCCAGTAACAGCGTCCAACCATCGATAATGTTGGTGGGACAGGCTGTGGTCTGCTCATCACAATGACAACAGCAGTCTCTTCATGGCTCTACTCTATGGCCTCATTATTAATAGAAATGTCTCTAATCTGGAGCCTGCAAACTGGTCTACCAAACTCCCAAAGTAACTATAAGTTACATGGTCTGGGTAAGAATTCTGTTAAATTATACAGAGGTAGTTTCTCTTTATTTGCAACTCATAATGGTGATTATTAACAGTGCCTCTAGGCCAGGGGTTGGGAAACCTTTTCTGTAAAAGGCCAGACAGCAAATATTTTAGGTTTTGCTGGCCACATCCAGGCATATTCTTTGTTATTGCCATTGTCTGTTTTGTGTGTGTGTGTGTGTGTGTGTGTGTGTGTGTGTGTGTGTAGCTCACGTGCTCTACAAATAATAGGTTGTAGTTTTCAAATCCCTGGTCTAAGCTTTTAGCACTATTTCTTCTTACCTCAGTATCTTAGTTACCTAATTCCAGCATGCAGAGAAATCTATTTTGTGCTATTAATCTTCTTGAGGAAAGCTGTTCCTAAAGATAGCTTCACAATATGCTCTTGTAGCCAGTTGGCCTTCTCCTAAGGGAAGCTAGGGAGGAACACTGAAGCCAAGAGTTACTACTGGCATAAGTGCAACTACATGGAGAAAATTTCTGAGCTTTGCCAGCCTGACTGCCTGTAACCCAGGCCAAGCCTGTCCCAGGAGCCACATGACCTAAGCAATCCTTATAGATGCCAAGCACATAACTAGACTATAAGGGCAAAAGTGAAGAACCAACAACATACAGATTGAGTGTGCTTATCATATATTGTAAACAAATAAACCAACCTCAAATAGTCTGTTTAGCCTTACTTTTATTTCACTCCAGTGGATATGAAAGTAAGCCTAAATGGGCCGGGCGTGGTGGTTCACGCCTGTAATCCCAGCACATTGGGAGGCCGAGGCGGGCGGATCGCAAGATCAGGAGATCAAGACCATCCTCGCTAACACGGTGAAACCCCATCTCTACTAAAAATACAAAAACAAAATTAGCTGGGCGTGGTGGCGGGTGCCTGTAGTCCCAGCTACTTGGGAGGCTGAAGCAGGAGAATGGTGTGAACCCGGGAGGCGGAGCTTGCAGTGAGCCGAGATCGCGCCACTGCACTCCAGCCTGGGCGACAGAGCAAGACTCTGTCTCAAAAAAATAAATAAATAAATAAAAAATAATAATAATAATAAAAAGAAAGTAAGCCTAAATGGCTTCAGGAAGTGTGTGGAGCTCCTGTGTAAACTTGATGCAAGCCAGGAGAATCTGTCAATGGCTCCTCAATACAAAATATAGATGCACAAGCAAAAACCAAATAAACAAGCAGCTGCGTAAACAAAAAAACCCTCGAAGCCTTCTTATTGTTGAGGCCCAAATCTAGCTTTCTTTCACGAATCATGCTCTCACCTCAACTCCTAGGTCGTATTGTCTCAATCTTTTGCCATCACCCACCAGCCTGTTTCAGGCTTGGAGCACAGGGACCACAGGACAGCTGTTGTCCATTAGCAGAGCTGTGGGTAGAGTAGCAAATGGGTACGCATGGCTAGTCATATTCATTGGAAGAAAGCCACCAAGGACCAGGATTTTAGCAAGGGAATCCCATCATGATCAATATGAAATTAACTCTTTCACTAAATTAAAACTTCAGATCCTTACTGATTTCATGGTGTTTCTTTAACTTTACTTTTACGCGCTGACTTCACTGCTACTTGAGTGCAGCAGAAAATAACTAGGCATGGCCCTTGGCCTGACTCTTGAATTGGTAAGATTTCAGACCATGAGCCCATCCCATTTAAAGAGATTTAATTAAGCCCATCTAGACCACGGTGGAAATGTGCAACTTGAAATAGTAAATACTGTAATTATTTAGTTCACTGACATTAAATTATGTTTGATTTTGTATTGCAAATTATAGTCTCTCTTTTGTTTTTTAAATGAATAGAGAAGAATATTTTGTAGTTAGGCAACAGCCAAGAAAGAAACAAGTTTGATTATCCTCTGTGAGAATCTGTAAATTGTCTCCCTGGTCTTTTGGTGCTAGAAAATACTTGAACTATTTTTTTTTTCCTCAGCAGTCGGCCTGTCTAATGTGAACAACTTTATGCCATCTCTTGTCAGCATTAATGCTAAATTAGATAATAATTTTCTTTCAGGTGTTAAAAACTTGGACGCAGTGGAGGTCTTTATTACCAGCTCAATCATTCACATTTGATTATTATATTTTTCTCTGAATGAGACTTGATTTAACTAGTCTTAGTCATTTAACAGGAATGTTGGAATTTTACACATTTATGATTTAAATTTTCAATAATTTTATAACATTATGGGTACCATGAAAACTTGCAATAATGTCTACTCAGTTTTCAGGAGAATTTTCAGGGTTTGAAGAGTGATAGTAAGATCATGAGAAATAGCAATGGTAAAATGACTGTATTTTTATATCAAAACTAACTCTGATACTCTCCTCTTTGAATATTTGGGGAGTTGTTGAAAAAAGAATGTTTTAAAACAACAGGAATTTAGCCCAGAAGGTTAACTCTAAACATACCATCAATTTTTAACTTCAGGGGAAAAATATAAATTAGGTACACTGATGTCGGAGGTAGTTGCAATGAAATAGTTAAAAACCTGTTTTCCCAGGTTCAAATCTGGGCCTTGCCACTTTTATAGGTGTGCATTTGGGGCAAACTACTAACAAACTTGTGGATGAGTTTATGTGAGGCTAATTTTGCTAGTTAATATGAGGAGAAAATATACATTTGACAAGTGCTTCAGTGATTGCAAAATATTTACTAGTACTGAGGAACAAAGTTTTGAATTATTAATAAATGACTTAGAGTTTCCTCTGCCCCTTACCACGAGTGCATGTAAATCAGCTCGGCCTGCCATTAAAAATACCACAGACTGGGTGCCTTAAACAACAGAAATCTATTTTCTTACGGTTTCAGAAGGTGGAAGTCCAAGATCAAGATGCCAGCAAATTTGGTGTTTCTTGAGGGATCTTACCTTGGCTTGCAGATGACCGTCTCATTGTGCCCTCACCTGGCCTCTTCTCTGAGTGTGTGCATCCCTGGTGTCCTGGTGTGTCTCTGTCTTCCTATAAAGACATCAGTCAGTTGGATTAGGGCCCCACATTTTGACCACATGTAACCTCAATTACCACCTTAATGTACCACCTTAAAGGCCTATCTCCGAGTACAGTCACACTGAGACTTTCAGCTTTAATAAATGGATTTGAGGGGAACACAATTCAATCCATAACAGCGACTTCGGCCAAATCTTTTTTACTTCTCTATGCCGTGGAAACTTCATCTTCATAAGGAAAATAGAGTTATTGATGGTATAAAATGAAACAATAAGTTGATTCCTAGAGGGGTGGGACAGAGAGGGAGGCAGATGGCCCTGTTTCTAAGTGGTCCTTCAGCCTGGTCGTAGGTTTAATTTGGGAGCCACAACATAGCAAACTTAGCTGGCTGCAACTTGGACCTTGGGCATCATCAACTTCCTGTGGACCATCTCCTTAAACAATATAATGAAGATGTTTTACAACATAAGAGAAGAAATGGGTTGGAATAAAGTCTTGAAATACAAATATAGTATATTCCGTATTGTGATTACAGCATGTCCTCTGGGTTTACTAATCTTTGAGATGTAAACGCAAGACAAAAATTATATGGGAATATATGTCAAGTCAGCATTTGTATGTTGTATCATTAAAGGAAAAAATAAAAATGCTTTTGTATTCTTCAGATAATGCATATTGTAACCACTAGTAAAAATGCCCATTTTAAGATTGTTAGAAGCATTTCAGCATGGATGGTATGTTCAGTTAAATACACATGTTGCAAAATTTAATCAATGAAAAAACTTCAATGTAAAAAAGATGAAATAAAGTAAGTTTTCCATTAGAGGGGCCATGACTACTAAGAGTCTAGTTTGTGACATCTATTACTACTGTTATTATTCTCAGTTCACACTGTAGTATACCCAGTTGTAAGCAAAATCTTTCAATGTTCTTTACCAAATCACTGTTCTCATTTGCATCTTCTTTTGGACGCCAATTTAATTCAAAATATAAAAAAGGAAACTTCAAAAAATTTTAGAAAATGTAACCCCTTAATGCTTTGAGCATCTATGATATTCTCAGGCATTCTTGCTGTCCTCAGGCATCTCAGAAGCTAAATAGCAACATTTGATTCACATCCTTTGGCCCAAGCAAACTCCAAGTGCCCAGACTATGTTGTGTCATTTGTTTAATCCAGTAGAATTCAAGCTTTTCGTTTAACTTATATATCCCCTAAAGGATTTTTTTTAATTTTTAAAATTTAAATGTCCTCTCCCTGATTTTTTAGGCATCTTCTTAAAATTTTCATTTCAGTTTAAAAGTTGCAAAGAATATAGCTTGTTGTGTATTGCAAATATTGACATTGAAAAATAAATGTATTACAGAAAACTTTAAAATGCACTAATACAAATATGATTGTAATTTTATATCCCCTATTTTAAAAAAGACAAGTTCTTGAAGTAGTGTGCATTTAAATCTCCTCTTTTTCTCCTCAAACTATTTTTTTCATTCTAAAGTCCATTTGTAATTTTATTTTAATATAATTGTGTGCTCAATGTTTATCATTTATTTCTGTAATAATTATATATGCAGCATGCTTATATGTATATATAAACAATACAGATATATTAAAATTTATTTATATAATGTTATATATAACATATAAATATATACCTATATATTCATATATATATCTATATACCTATATATTCATATATATATCTATATACCTATATATTCATATATATATATTCATATCTCATATATACACAAAGAGAGAAAGATGTTTACAGAGTTCTTATGACTATGTAAATTTTTAAAAAATCTTCTGGATTGTATCACTAGTAAAAAATTGGTTAAAATAACATTTTATAAATTGTATTACATAATTATTAGGCATTAAAGGTTAGTGATTTTGTTAGTAATAAATTTCTTAATGAGATGGATTTTTTTTTCACCAGGTAGTTCCTGTATCCCTGGACAATTATTTGTTGCTCACAATAGAATATGTAGGTTATTAATTATATTTCTATTTCACATCTTTGTACGTAAAAGCATCAAAAAGCTTGTTCACATAAATGGTGTTTAAATTCATTACACATTATATGTAAAATATCACTATCAGGTATCAAACTTTACATTTAGTAACCTATTAGCTTGAAACTCTATTCTATCCTCCTTCTTATTGAAACACCAATTTACACCAAGACCAGGAAGTTAGTTGCTTAGTTTCATCATTTCCATAAGTTGTACCATGAAAAAAAAATTACTAAGGCCAAAGTCATGATCATTAATGACACTCATTACTCTTTTATTTAGAGGCATCATATTTAACTACGCACACTCAGAAATCCTTGGTATCTCGTAGTACTTCAATATCCACTTGTCAATGCAATAGCTTTGGTAATATGCTTTCATCTTATTACGTGATTTAAATATATTTTCACGGAACTCTTTGACCATCAGATGCACCAAGATATTTGTGATGAAGAGGAGAATCTCTCCATTCATTAGTGAGAATAACCAAAATGTGGAGAGTAAATAATGAGAAACAGACTGGTATTTCGAAGCAGACTTGCAAACACTTTTAAATATTTGGAATTTGTAAAATATGCAAAATTCAAATGCCTTCTCATGATTTGGTTTCCTGAATGAAATATAATACCACTGTCTTTAATATGTTTTCCAATGCTATTTTTAGTTGGTTTTCACAAGTTCTTTCTATGGAACAAAACCATTTTTTTTTTAATATTTAGGGGAAGTTCTCACTCCAGTTGTCAAACGTATGCTATATCTGAATTCATGGTATTATAATTTGTGAAAAAATTCAATTTCTAATGTCATTTTTCACCATTAACAGAAATGCTTTTAAAATAGGAAAGACATGGGGTCTACTGTGGGTTCATGGCACCTTGATTAATGGGGAATTACATTTGAACTGTTTGGAGAACAGAGACTTGTATACTCCAAAGCAATGCACACCACTAAGAATTGAGAATGCTCTGAGGTATACTTTTATAAGTGGGAAACGGGGCTATTTTGAAACAGGAATGAGCGTAGGAGAATGAACAAGATCACAAAATGCAGGTGTGTTCTCACTTTTAGGTTAAGAAAAAAGAAAAAAGAAATTAAGGATTGGAAAGCAACATTCTCAAAATTATCTATGCCCACACACTACTTGGAAACTTTTATTGTATCCCTCAGGATATGCATACCACATTCTGCAGATCATAGCTTTAATATAACTATAAATGTGCTATGGTGGAAAGCGCATGATTTTTACAGTCAGCTTGACTTCTTTTTGAACTCTGGATATATAATTTAGTATTCTTGTTGACTCCTTAACATCCCCAGGTCTCAGTTATTTTATTTTTAATCTATAAAAAGATATCAATACCTAGTGTGATATGAGACTTTTTGCAATAATATGTATGAAATACCTAGCATAATGTCTGGTAGGTAATTCAAGAGGCTGATCTCATTTTCCCATCCCTCCTACAAAGAATAATTTATTTTCCCTAGAAGTCACTCTAGCACTTGGTAAAATAAAGAAGATAGTAAATACTCCAATTAATCAGTCATCACTTTTGTATAAAAATATTTTTAAATTCCTACAATTAGCAAAGCAATGCAATCTACATGTACTTTATGGTCTAAATTATTAAAATCATTTTATGTTGTGGTTTTTGTACAGACATACAGAATGGAAATTTTGTTTTATTATACTTTTAAGTTCTGAGGTACGTTTGCAGAATGTGAAGGTTTGTTACATAGGTATACACGTGCAATGGTGGTTTGCTGCACCCATCAACCCATCATCTACATTAGGTATTTCTCCTAATGCTATCTCTTCCCTAGCCCTCCACCCCTTGACAGGCCCTGGTGTGTGATGTTCCTCTCCCTGTGTCCATGTGTTCTCATTGTTCAACTCACACTTATGAGTAAGAACATGCAGTGTTTGGTTTTCTGTTCCTGTGTTAGTTTGCTGCGAATGATGGTTTCCAGCCTCATCCATGTCCCTGCAAAGGACATGAACTCATCCCTTTTTATGGTTGCCTTGTATTCCATGGGGTAGATGTGCCACATTTTCTTTATCCAGTCTATTATTGATGGAATTTGGGTTGGTTCCAAGTCTTTGCTACTGTGAACAGTGCTGCAGTAAACATACGTGTGCACATGTCTTTATAGTAGAATGATTTATAATCCTTTGGGTTGTTTGGATTGCTGGGTCAAATGGTATTTCTGGTTCTAGATCCTTGAGGAATCAGAAATTTTGCATGCATAAATATATGTATAAGTTTCTATGGAAAGAACATGTTGTGGTCATACCTAGGATACTCTTGTCAGCCTGATCATCACATTCTCTCTTCAGATGTCATTTTGTGTGGGATGCAAATTGGGATGTTTTTCATAAGGAACTTTTATAGTTTCTTGCCAAGCATGGAGTAAGATGAAGAGGAAGAAGGAGCATTCCATGAATGCATTGCTTAACGGCATCAGGTGAAGATATCCTGATGCATCTTCCTTGCATTTGTGGCCTCTCCTATGGCACCACAAATGCTCAAGCTTTTTTGGCTAAAATGTACTTATTGCTCTCTATGTTTGAGATAAAATTGTAGGTAGACTTTACTACCAATAGGCAGCATTTGGGTGAAAATCAACATCATTTGCCTTTGTAATCTATATTATTTCTCCTGCCTTTTTTTTTTTGAGGGGGACACCAATTATCTTATGTATAAATGTGTTCTTTTTATTTAATCATATTTTATAGAAAGGTTATTCAAATCCTGGTGACTTAGGAGCCATTTGTCTTCCAGTGATGAAAATAGGGAAATATCAGTCTTTTGATATCTTTTATTTTTTTTTCTTTATGTGTTCTATTCTCCTTGATTCTAATTGAAATTAGAGTCTTGTTCTTTCACCCAGGCTAGACTGCAGTGGTGCAATCTCGGCTCACTGCAACCTCTGCCTCCCAGGCTCACATGATTCTTGTGCCTCAGCCACCTGAGTAGCTGGAATTACAGGTGGGTGCCACCATGTTCGGCTAATTTTTGTGTTTTTAGTAGAGATAGGGTTTCACCGTGTTGGTCAGGCTGGTCTTGAACTCCTGGCTCAAGTGATCCTCCCACCTCAGGCTTTGTAAGTGCTGGGATTACAGGCCTGAGCCACCACACCTAGCCAGTCTTTTTACATGTTTTTGATTGGTTTCCTTAACTTCACTCTTAGTGTAAAACAACTCATCTTCCTAATCTCTAACTTTTTAATTAGTAACAACTGCAGCACTATTACCATTTAAGACTATCGCTGTCTTTTTTTCTCAAAGAAAATAGAAGGTAAACATAGCAAAGAAATGTACACTAACAATCAAATAGGAGAAGGTTGAGGCCTTGTCATTAAAAGCTACAGTGATTAAATTGTCTTAGATTCAAGTATGCAACATTTCTGTTTGAGAATGTCATTGTACAAAAATAATTTATCTGGTTCTGCACAAAAGTGTTATTTGATATTTTGTTGGTTATGGTCAGCTTAAAATAATCACCTGCTATTGTCTCAACATATTTTGTGAAGACTAAACCAAGGGGCCATGTCCATCTAAAATGTACTTGGCAAAAACAGGAGGAAGAAATCAATGAAGAAAATAAGAAGAAGTATATTAAAGAAAATAAATGGAAAGAAAGGAAAACAAGAAAAGGAAGAAAAAGAAGTCAAATAATCTTTCAAAAAATAACTTACTCTCCAAAAAAACTTATTATTAATGTTAAAACCTGAGTGTGCCTTTTAGTTGCTAAAGACGAGATATCTATTTTTATACATTCTTCTGAATATATCTGAAGAGCAAAGCAAAATGAGTTGGACATTTTCAAAATTCAAAATTACCTGCATGACTTTCTGTAAAGGAGTCTAAATGTTTATTCATACATTCAATTATTTGTGAATTCTAGTCAATTTCATGCAGCCTGGAGTTTCAACTTGTAATATGTGATATATCAATATAGTTAGAGTATTTACTCTGGTCTCATTTTGTGAAGCTGCTTCTCCAGTGATCTATTTATTCTGAGCACCAAGATCCTGACTACAATTGTCAATTTGGTCCATCTGGTTTTGTGGAAGCACTGACAACTGGAAATACAGAGAAAACCACTGAAATTACAGAACATATACAATGAAATAAGCCAGATGCAAGTTGTTAAGCTGTTAACCTAAACACATATTTCAGTTTTAACAAGCCAAAATTAATAGACTAGTATACTTACAGCATGGTTGAAAACATTCTTAGCCAGAAGTGGATCTGAGATTTATGTATTTTCCTGAGTCTGTTTAAGTCATTTATTATATTATTATTATCATTATTCTTTTACACAGTAGTCACTATTATCTACTCTCTAATTCTTTATTGCAATTGCTCAAAATTTAGAATTTGAAGCATGGAGTTTCACAAATGTATTTATTTAACCTTTACTTTCTCTATATTTTCTCAAATCCATGCAATATGTATGATTTAGTGAATTTACAATTTTCAGTGCATACTCCCAAATGTATACGTAAATTTACTCATTTCCTAGGGTTTCCATAACAGAGCATCGCAATTAGGTGCTTTAAAACAACAGACATTTATTCCTTCACAGTTATGTATGCTACAAGTCTGAAATCGAGTTACTGGCAGAGCCATGCTTCCTCTAAAGTCTTTAGAGGCGAATCCTTCCTTGTCTCCTCCAACTTCTGATGGCCACATGAGTTTCTTGGCTTGTGGCCACATAACTCTATAATCTCAGCCTCCATCTTCATGTGGCTGTTCTTTCTGTATGTCAGTGTCTTCCTAAAGCATTTTCCTCTTAGAAAGATAACAGCCATATTCAATTCCTGCCCACCCTAATAATCTCATCTTTACTTGATTACATCTGTGAAGATCCTATTTAATACGGTTACTTAGGGTTAGAACTTCAACAAATCTTTTTAGAAAACTTAGAAAAATGACATTTTTAATCCATGATAGGTTGACTAAGTTTCCTAGAAATGGCATCTAAAAAGACGCCACCATTTTAGTACTATAATTTAATTTTCTCAGTAATAGACGAAACAAGAACACAAAATCAGTAAGCATATAGAATATTAGAACACCATGATTAACAAAATGACTAAGAGACACACGACAACATTCTACACAAGTTCATATGAACTTTAAAAATATACATAGGGTGTTTATCAAATTGGAATTTTTCTTCAGCCATAAGGCAATTCTTGACAAATTTCAAAAGATTGAAATCATAAAGACAATGTTGTCTAAGCTGAGTGGAATAAAATAACAAAAAGATAATTAAAAAGTTCTTAAGTATTTGGAAGTAAGAAAAATAGATCGCTTCTAAACAACCCATAGGCTAAAGAAAAAATTACAAAACTTCTTGTTCTGACTCACAATTTTAAAAGGCAATATTTCAAAATTTGTGCAATTCAATTAAACTGTTCTTAGATGCAGTTGATTGTCTTAGGTACATATACAATATCAACAAAGAAAGACTGAAAATTAAGAATCCGTCTTAAGAAGTTAGAAAGAGAACATTACAATGAATTCAAATAGGAGGTAGAAAAGGAAATAATGAATATTATAGACAAATTAGTAACATTTTTGCATGTGACAAAAATAATAAATAATTGTGCGTTTATTTGATAAAAAGAAAGCTGGAGGGAAGATATTTAAGTAATTTGCCTGAGATTGCTATGGGGTCAGTAGCAAAGTCAGAAATGGAGACACTCAATCCATTTCTCCAAGTGACTGATTCCCCTGCTGGGTATGTGTTTCCAACAAGACTTTTCCCGAGGTGGCACAATCGAATTCACTTGCTAGTTAAGGTTCTCATTATATTTCATACAGGAAGAATGAAAATTGAGCATAAGCTTTCAGGATACACTGTGATTATTGTGATACTGGCTATGGTGGATTTACCCAACAGCTGTAAGATCACAAGTTCAGAGGAAGTTAGACAAAATGACTTTATGTTTAGGGGTTCAAATTTGAGGATTTATATTTCAAAGTGCATTAGGGAATAACAATCAAAAAATAATAACAATAATACTACCACCTAAAAGCAGTGACCTTACATAGTAGTTGGAATGGTCATTGGAGAAAAATCTGAGTGGTGTGTGTCTCGCTCCAGCGCAACACATCATAAACATTCAGTGAATCAACTCTCCCATGCAAATAGGCTGCAGATGCAGAGTTAAACAATGGGAGTGATTTCTGGTGATGAAAGGTTAGGGAACCAGCCTGCATCCCTCATTGAATGCTATTGTCAGCTATATCTGCCATCTGCTGCATTACAAGATTTTGGCACTCGCTTAGAGGATTTACCCACCGGCCGAGTCAGGAGACACTTAACTTCTGTGACACGCATAAAACTATACAGGGAATGCGGTAGATTTCTTGTAGCCTGTAACAATATATTTTAAGTTTAGAAAAGTTACAGTTGGGAGCCTTGTTCTCTCAGATTGATTTAAATGCTCTATGTGGGTGTTTATGAGTTCCTGCTGGGTTATAGCAATGAAGTACTCAATTGTAAGAAGTCTAGAAACAAAAAAATACAAACCCCAAACAACAAAGACACCTCATCTCTCACACCTGTGGTTTCCTGGGTGAGGAGGTGGTTTATGTAACACTCCGGCTAGTGAAGGATTTGGGGAGGTCAGTCATCTGTCGCTACGGGGCTTTAGAAACTGAATTCCAAAGAAGGAACAACACATGGCAATATTAGAAGTGTAAGTGTGGATGAAGAACATAGATTAAAATTCAGCATACAGACACCAAACATATTAGTTTTGATGTGAGCAAGAAAAACAGGGACAGAGAGCGACATTGGAAGAAGGAGAAAATATATGGGTGTGTTTAGCGGAGACACACATGAATGAGAACCAAAAAGAAAATATTAAAAGAGGAAATTTGTATAGTCCTATTCTATAAATAGAAGTTTAGAATCAGCCAACATCCACAGAGCTTTCTTGAAATTTTGCTGTAGCATTCAGTGGTCCTTTTTGATACCTCCCTCAGGATGTTAAGAAAGAATTATGTTTCAGGCCAGGTGTAAGAATTTGGGGCTCTGAAAAAAATCCAAATTTAACACCTCTACCCAGAGATACCTACACAATACAAACAGTAAAGACACAATAAAAATGGGTATGTATTTAAAAATCTAGTCTGAAAGGAAGTCAGAGACACCCTGAAGGGGAAAATAGACTCTTGTAGACACTGCCTGATTTTCATACATAAACAAATGATTATATTACTCTACTTTTAGTTTATAATTACTTCTTGAAGAAAGCAAAATTTTATAAAGTAAGCTAACATTTTGCTCAGAAAGTCCTTGTTCCTACTGGATCGGAAAATAGCAGTTCTGTGGAGTGGCTTGGAAATGTTGGCTTATCTGAGAAAGTTAGGATACATTGGAATGTCAGCAGAGGTAACACACCTTTATTTCCCCCTTGGACACTGCCACACATTATATTGTGTAGTGGCCAGTCACTCCTCTTGCATGAGCCCTAAGCCCAAGAAGTCGTAACTGATCAGAAAATAGAATCATATCCTTGAAGTCAACACTAGCATTCTCCCTAGCACTATCTATCCCAATATGCCCCATGTTTACTCAAAGGCTACATCTCTCTACCCAAACCTTCGTATGCACCCTCCTCACTACATCCCACTTCACTGCCACTGTATTGACATTTTCATCCACACCATACCTATTGTTTCTAGTATAAGCAAATTCTGGCTTATTCTTAATCAACAATAGAGTGTTTTATTCTGACAATTTCATTGACTGACTGCAGGTACTCTAGATGTTGAAGAAATAGAAAATCACAAGAAAAGATCTCTGTTTCCATAAGCTCATAAAAGGGACAAACAGGTACTACTACTAGTACTACATAATATATTATAATAAAATATACTAATTGTGATAAAGTTTTCTGTTATAACAAAGTTTTCCACATTTGTGGACTTTTGAATGAAGGCATTTCTCTGCTATGATAATGATAGAGCAGTGGTCATAGAAGAGAACAAAATGTGCAACGTGGATTATAAAAAAAATTACAAATTCATTGTGCAGTAAACAAGGAGAAGGGAATTTAAATGGAGGAAAGTGCAAAGCCAAGACTCAGAACTGTGATGATCTGTGCAGGGTGGGAGGGTGGGAAGCTGAGGAGGAAGAAGGGGCTAGGGCAGTGGGTACTTTGTGAGGACAGGGATGATTGGTCTGATGAGTGGGATTAGAACTAGACTGTGAAGCATTCATGACTTTCTCATTAAGTCCCTTTATCTCCCTCTCAGAAAACTGGAAGTATTTTTGTTTTTGTTTTTGTTTTGTTTTGTTTGAGATAGAGTCTTCCTCTGTTACCAAGGCTGGAGTGCACCATCATGACCCACAGCACTCTCGACTTCCCAGGCTCAGGTAATCCTCCCACCTCAGACTCTTGGATAGCTGGGATGACAGGTACATGCCACCCAGCTAATTTTTTGTATTTTTAGTAGAGATGGGGTTTTGTCATGTTGCCCAGGCTGGTCTCAAACTCCAGGGTTCACCTGGTCCTTTGGCCTTGGCCTCCCAAAGTTATGGAATTACAGGTGTGAGCCACCACACCTGGCCAAGTTTTCTTTAAGCATGAACAATACACGAAAAGTTTTATGTTTTTTCACCTCAAAATTAAGTTAATAATTAGAAGAAAGAAAAGAGCTATAAAATAACTTAGCTCTTACTGAGCTTGTTTTTCAAGCTATAATGGAATAAAGCCTGGGGATTTTCATTTTTCTCATGGGCTCAACAATAATCTGAATAAGAGTAGGACAAGAAAAACAGAGGAACAAGAAAGGTGGGTGGAGATTGGCAGCAGGTGGGAGGGGAGCAAAAAGCAAATGATAAATGGTAGACCTAAATTCAACTATATTGGTAATCATATTAAATGTTAATGGACCAAACACTTAAACCAAAAGGCGCAGATTTTTCAGAATAGATGGAAAAGCAAAACCTAACTACACTCTGACTAAGAGAGATGTCTTTAAATATAAAGGCACAGACATGTTTAAACTAAAGTGTATATATATACATATATAATAAACTATAAATGTATGAATACTGTAGAAATTATGTTAATTTTAGATAAAACACACTGCAAGAAAAGATAATTACTAGGGATAAAGTGCAACATTTCACAGTGATAAAGGAGTCAGTGCCCTAAGAAGACACAACAGTTATAACCGTGTATTCATCTAATCAGAGAGCTTCAAACACATGAAGCAAAAATTGTATAACTTAAAGGGAAAAACAAACAATTTCATAATTATAGTTGCATATTTTAACACCCTATTAGTAGTCTATAAAAATTAGGCAAAAATCGGTAAAGACAGGTGATCTGAACAACACTACTAACCACCTGAACCCATTGATTTTAATAAGACATTATATGCAACTTCTGCAAGGTACACATTTCTTTCCAGTGTTCAAGTATACATTATATTCTAATTAGATGTCATTCTGAGCCTTTAAAAAAGTCTAGATGTTTATGAAAATGTTGAAATCATACGTAGTATATTCTCCATCTATGAGAAAATTAAATTAGGAACAAATTACCAAAAGTTGTCTAGAAAATCCATTAATACTGGGAAAACTTAGAAAGGACACTTAATTTATGATTTGAAGTTAACATAGGAGGAAATTGAAAATATTTTATCTTGAATAATAGTAAAATAAAATACATCAAAAATTTTGACATGCCCCTATAGCAATGCTTTGAAATAAATGTACATCTTTAAATGGTCATGTAAGAAAAGAAAGAAAGTCTAAAATCAGTGGCCTGAGGTAGCATTATAAGCAGCTAGAAAAGAAAGAGCTAAGCAAACTCAAAGTAAGAAAGACAATAATTGATATGAGCAGAAATTAACAAGAAATACAGCAAAAATTGAAAAAGTTAACATTTATACTACTCGTGTCCATTAACTCAAGATGCATATCTTGCTGATACCCTTCTTCCAGTTATTCTCATTCCTGCCGCTTCTCTGTCAAAGCTCCCAACCTCTCTCTATATCAGATGGAGGCTCTATAATACTCCCTTAGCACAGTCCTTGCTGCCATTTTATATTGTCATATGGATTCCTTATTCCTAAATATTCTGAAACCAGTCCTTTATTTATAGTATCCTTTTATAATCCTTTAATGCCATTGGGATGTCTTTCTAATTAACAATCTTTTTGTTGACCTCAATTTGAAATTATTATTAATATATTTATTTTTTTGAAGCCATGATCTGCTTTGCTACTTGGAAATCACTTTCTGATCAGTATAACCAGTCAAGGTGAATCCATCACAAATATATCTCAATGACTAGATCCAATTTTTGGCAACTTCTCACTAGCTGCAACTTTTCCACTTATGATATTTCTCATCATTTCATATGTACAATTGAGTCCAGTTGATGGCTTTTCTGAGGTCAGTGGCGCCTTAGTGGTCTAGGCCTCTCTTACCTTTAAGTTACCATTGCAAGCTGTCCTATATTGTATGGCTGTTTTTATCCAGATCACCCCTTCCATGTCTTTCCTCTTTGTTTACGCTTAGTCTGATAAGCACTGTTAGAATAATGTTATGCAATGATGTTTCAACCTGCTTCACTATGAATTAAATCTTGTAAGTCTTCAATTCTCTTTGATTGATGTTCAGCAATTCCTTTAATTGTGACAATGTGTGTTAAAACACCTAACATAGATCCCTGTGCTTAAGATTCCAATAGTCTCCTCTCTAATCACTTCCCCTGATTTCTGTACCACCTGCTGCGTTTTGTTACATCTTTTGTGCAATTCAAGCTTTCCTTATCATAGTAGTACTTTCAAATATTTTCTCTGCATGAATCTTTATTCCTCATTAATATTCCACCACCTTGGTTATCAATCATTCATTTCTAGAATGATTTTTTCAGAACCTCTTTGTGTTAAACAGGATAAAAGTCACAATCTTCTATCCTCTTTGGATGAAATAAATAGACTTATCTGTGTAGCCTTCTCTGTACATCAGTATTAGGCAAAGTCTAAAAATAGTATTAGAAATAATTAGAGATTCAATTCTTCTACTATTTATGTTTTAATTAAAAAAGAAATGCATATTTTTCTAAAATTCCATTATGTATAGTGAAGTGTATAAAATAAAAGACTAAAAGTGTCCATCCTCCAATTCTAAATTCAGTCTCTAAAGGCAAATGTTGTGAATTGACAACTTGTAGTAGTGTTGCCATTCATTCTTAGGCCTGTAACACATACATAGAGTCACAGGATAAACAGTGTGTTGCTATTTGCTTTATTCTACTCAACAATCTAGTTCTGTTATCTTTCTATGTAAGTCTATTCAGAGCAAATTATTTCATTTTGTTAACTAGACAGTATATATTGGCTAATCTATAAATTGGGATAAAAAAATAAGACAAATACTTAGGATCAAAGCTATTATTGACCTCCTATTCTACCTTCTTCAGAAGTAATGTAAGAGAAAATTAGTTTCCTCTGTGTGTTTAGAAAAACAATCTGTTTTTCCAAAATTTTTGACAACAGGAGCTTTGGAAACAGAAA
This sequence comes from Homo sapiens, assembly GCF_000001405.40. Lineage (NCBI taxonomy): Eukaryota > Metazoa > Chordata > Mammalia > Primates > Hominidae > Homo > Homo sapiens. The sequence goes on from NC_000014.9 coordinate 86,436,384, forward strand.
AAACATTCTCTCAGAGGAAGATTATATCACATATAACATAGAGCTTTCACTCTCAAAAAATAAAATAAAATAAACTTTTATAAATATTTGGTTGTTTGGAGTGAAATGACACAACTTGGCCTTTATGATGTGAATCTGCGGATAACAATGAGCTATAATGGGTCTCAATTGTACTTTCAAAGCCACTAATGTTTCAGTGGGTTTTTTGGCTCTCCAAATTGTGAATCTCCTGCACATCAAAGGTTGATAAAATCTGATGTGATTCATGCTTGTTCTTGTTTAACATAAAAGAGTACAATATATCAGAATGCCTTTGATCTTGTATTGTTTTATTACTGGTTGTTTCAGAATTCCTAAAGCTCACAAATCACATAATATAGAAGGCATAAAAAGGAAATGTTATACTTGAGAAATAAATCTAGGAAAAGTGAGATTACCAATTCTCAGTGGAAAATAACACATTGCATCCTCATAGGAGCTTCCATTTGTGATCATCCATTATTTTCATTTTTCTTTTAATGATAAATTAGGAAATACAATGCCAACTGCATTTTTTGTTGTTATTGTGTGACCTTTTGATATCTTTCTAGAATGTCCAGGTTTTCTTTATCAAAGTTGAAGGTTGTGAGAGGGAGGAATTTTATTTCCTATAAGTGATGTACTAAGTTATATTTGGATTATACTTATTGCAATAAATAAATAATATCTTAATGGGTCAACATCATTGGCTGAGAAAAAGTGACCTACTTTGGCATATTGACCATTGTTATGAGAAAGTCTTTTATCAGTTTTGATTGTATCTTTATTATAATTGAGATCATGCTCTTAATAATGACTAGAATGGAAAAATAGTACAGAAATATGCTATGCCCAGCTAGTGCTTATGAAATTGTTATAGACAGCAGGATTATATTATCTGCTGGATCTTTCCAGAGTTATCAATTTGCCATTGCTTATATCAACTTAAATCTTAACATTGACAGATTCTGGAAAGCATTTGCCATAGAGCTGCAATAGCAATTTTAGGGTAGAGAAAATTAGATAATCATGATAACAATGCTACCAATACATTTGCTTTTCTAAGATTTGGCATACGCAGAACTTTGCAAGTAATGTTCACATTGTTGTTGATAGCTGAAATATATATAGTGTACACACACAATGTTATGAATATGCATTTATTAAAATTATGAATGCTTATAAAGAAAAATAACAGATTTTCTGACTTACAGAATGATCCTTCTGAGATCATTACTACAGTTCACACCTAATGGATATCCTTTGGTCATTTTTCTCCTTATAGTAATGATCAACAATACCAATATTATAATAATAATCTTTGTAAAAAGTATTGTGTTGAGTGTTTTATATATACCCTATTATTTTAATTATTATTCTACTCAAGTAAGTACATTTTGTGTGTTTATTTTAAAGAATAAAAAACAAAAGGCTAGGCTAGATAAGTTCACATAGCATACCTGAAGTTATAGAGCTACTAAGTGGAAGAACAAGAATTTAAATTAATAACTGACTTTAACACACTCTCTTAAGCAGAAAACTAAACTAACTTGCTGTTCTGTAAGTTTTGATATAGATGATAAGAACAGGAGGCATGAAAACCTTTCTGGGAGAAACAAAATTCCCCATAAACTCACACATTTTCTTTTAAATATCACCTATTGATGACCTCTGCAATAGCCTGGTACTTGTGTTTATAACTTTTTCCCTTTGAAAGATTGCTCAGTGCTTCACCATCTGTGTGACTGCTCCACATTCCGCATTTTAACACTAAGTGATATGTACATTTTAAGGCCAAACCAAGAATATTTATCATGAAAGGCTTAGCAGAATTTCAAACTAACACAGAATGCAGAGACTTACTTTTAAAATCAGTAATAATTTAAAACTATACTTATTTTACTATATTAGACTAATTTAACATACTTCCAATTTTCTCTACTGAGTTTAAATGTAATAGACAGTACTTTCAGATTCTCACAATTACCCGATATCCTGAAGATAATATTCCTGAGTTTTATTAGGACTACTCACTTTCCCCAATAATCCTACTTTCAGTAATCTTCTCTGAATATTACTTTCAAAGAGGGCTTTTTTTTCTTAAAAAATCTTGAATACCTATGTGCAAGTGTGCCATTTTTACAATGTATGAAGTTATTTCAAAAATACTTTTATTTTCAAGTAGAATGTTTTTAAGCTCACTTAGATTTTTTTAAGCAAGAGAGTAAAAACAATAAAATAAGAATGACATACCTCACCAGTAGGAAATTATCATCTTTGATAATTTATTTAATGTCTTTTCTCTTATTCATATTTAAAATTTATAGATTGAGAGGTAGCAATGAAGACCACTTTGTATATTATTGTATATTAAAATATATAACCTTTAAAATATTACTTTTATATACTAAAATATATTTTGTATCTAAGTAGTATGCTATTTGAAGATAATTTTTAAAGCTATAACTTTTTTATTTTTATAAGTGTCATAAAGCATGTAACTAACTTTCTTGGATATATAGAATATTTTGTTTCAGAAAATAAAATACAATAAGTAAAGTTAGCGTCACATATTTAAAAATACATCTTTCATCACATATATGATCATTTTCTTTTGAAACTAATAATAATATCAGTAACAACATTAATATTAGTTACACAGCAGATAACACTTACCAAGTGTTCATTTTGTCACCATGGTAAATATTTTCCTCGTATTATCTCTCTTGATCCCCACAACAGCCATCATAAGAGGGAATAATATGTTCCTCATTTTATAGATAAAGATGTTGAGGTACAAATAAAGATTCCACAGCCAGAAATTGGTGGGGCTAGGATTGGACCCTGTTTAACTGATTACCAAACCTATGGTCCATACTATCACAGTATATTTGTACAATGGAATTTGCTGCCTTAATATATACATATTTTTTAGTTCTAGATACATGTTACTATTGCTGAAATATTAGCCATCTGTAGTATATGTGTGCAACACCTGTGTGATATTTTACAGTATGTTTAGTTGCATAATTTTTGTCACACAGAATGCTTTCATTTGTATCTAGCCAACTCCTCTATATGTTTCTTTGTTATTTCTTTGTTTACATTTTGCAAGGTAAGGTGTACATTGGTTCTTTGTTACATATTTTATACTTAGTCATGGAGTTTCCTGACAAAATTTTATTTTCAATGATAATTGTCTGGAGCTTTATAAATAGCTTTATTTTTACTATTTGCTGAGATCACTTAGCTCAGTGCCACTACTAATATTAGTGACCCTGCTTTCTTTGTCCATGAGGTTTTAATATTCCAATTCCTAGACCACTGTTAAGTAAAGGGCAGACCCAGATTTTAAGAACATCTGGTAGTCCTCCACCCTGGATTAGTAGCTCCATTTCAGCTGCTATCCAGGGAAGATTATCACAGCCTTTCAGATCTCCATTATTAAGCAAGGGCCCAGGATATGGTGCATAATATATGGGCCCCCGTGCAAAGGGAAAGTGTGGAGCCTCTTGTTCAAAAATTATCAAGAATTTCAAGATGGCAACAGGAGAGCATTAACCTAAGCACAAGCCCTTCTAAGCCCAAGGCCCTGTGTCACTGCAAAGGCCACATATCCATGAAGCCTGCACTGCATATCTTTTCATGTATGAAGACTTCCATCTCTATGAATTTAAAGCCACTGCATTGTCTGTTTATGTTTGTGGTATTCCAGGACCACAATGATCTAGTGCCATCACCAATCCCTGCAGTGATTTCTTTTACATCTTAGCCTATTAAACATTATATATATATATATATATATATAAAACCATTATACACTAAATTAACCATTATATAAAACCAACACCATGATTAGTGGTGAAACACTACAGACAATCTAGCTTAATAATAGCAGCATTATAGAAACTCAGATAACGTAACAGAAAGACGCATACATACATAGACAGGAAGCACATACACATGCATATACTAGGTTTTATATGCAAATTTATAGGTCCCATCTCTGTGAGTTGTGATGCAATCTAGTTATAATAGTTAATAAGCTAATAGCTATTATAGTTAATAATAGTAACATTAATAATAACATAGTTAAGAGAGTTAATAATAACAGCAGTATTAAGCTAGATTGTCTGTAGTGTTTCACCACTAATGGTGGTGTTGGATTTTAATTTAACATGATTTTCACATGTTCAATTCTATTTTTTAAGCCTTTTTCCAAAAATGGGTGTTAGATTATAAGGCCTTTATGTTGAACATCTATTCAGAAATCATATGATTATTGTATATTTCACATATTGATGTGATATACTATATTAATGTCTTTACTAATACTAAACTATTCATTTCTAGTGTGTTAGGAAAATCTACTATTACTTTTTTTCTTTCTTTTTTGAAACAGAGCCTTGCTCTGTCATCCAGGCTGGAGTGCAGTGGTAAGATCTTGGCTCACTGCAACCTCCGCCTCCCAGGTAAAAGCGATTCTCCTGCCTCAGCCTCCCAAGTAGCTGGGATTACAGATGCATGCCTCTACACCTGGCTAATTTTTATATTTTTAGTAGAGATGGGGTTTGGCCATATTGACCGGGCTGGTCTGGAACTCCTGACCTCAGGTGATCCATCCACCTCGGCCTCCCAAAGTGCTGGGATTACAGGCATCAGCCTAATTTTTGATGTGTTCTTGCTGTTGTAGGGGAGAAAGATTACAAAAGCCAATTGTCCTTTTTCTTTCTCCCCTTTCTAGAAAACAGAGCAAATCTAGAACTCTAAGGTATAGTCATTTCCATCTTCATACTTCCACCCACCAGCCCAATACCTTCTTCCTGTTTTAGGGGCTGAGTCAAAGAAAATACCTACTGAGGTGTGACTTTGACAGTAGAAATCAAGAAATAAAAGCAGAGTGGATCCTTAATGCTGAAGAAAGGCTGCTAGGAGATAGGAATAGAGGAATGGCCAGATATACTGTGGACAATGGAGGGAGGAAGTAATGAAGTCCAGTGGTTTTTATTCAGAGGTGGAACCTGCTTTCCACACAATGGAAGATACAGAAGCATGGATGGAAGTGGCATGTGGAACATAAATTCACCAAGCACCCAAATTTTTAGGGTCCTGATGGAGTGTCCTGAACATAGGCTATGAGTGGCTGAATGGCAGGAAGGTATGGCTTAGCTGCCTGGAACATCCATCTTTAGAGGAAGCCTAAGGCTAGTGTACTTAAAAACACATAGTGCAAGAGGAAAAATGGAGGCCACTAAGATGAAAGGATTGGAGCCATTCCTGATCTCAGAACATGTCATCACTAGGCTTTTTATGTGATACCTTGGGATTCGGGGGGCAGAGGGAGTGGGTGATGATGACTGAGTGGAGTGTGGAGTCAGCTTTAATTTGATTTAGAAAAATAAAGACATGAGATTATTCACGCTCCTGAATATTGCCAGGGCAAATTCACATCTGTTCTATGGGCATGTAAACTTCTTAGATTTTCAGTTAACAGGCTTTCGAATTCTACTCTCTTGTCTTTTATATGGAACTTCCGCATCACAACTCACAGGGATGGGACCTATAAATTTGTGTATAAAACCTAGCACATGCCTGTGTGTGTGCTTCATGTCTATGTGTGTATGTGTCTTTCTGTTATCTTGTCTGAGTTTCTATGAGAATTATGCTAGCTTCATTCAAGTACCTAGGTTATTTATCAAGCCTTTAAAAGATCTGGAAGAATGCTTACATTCTATGAACATTATTTATTCTATAGTGTATTAGTCAGGGTTGTCTAGAGAGACAGAACTAATAGGGTAGATGTATATATGAAAGGGAGCTTGTTAGGAGAATTGACTCACAGGATCACAAGGTAAAGTCCGACAATAGGCCGTCGGCAAGCTGAGGAGCCAGGAAGCCAGTCCGAGTCTCAAAACCTCAAAAATAGGGAAGCTGACAGTGCAGCCTTCAGTCTGTGGCCAACGGCCCTAGAGCCCCTAAATCACTGGTGTAAATCTAAGAGTCCGAAAGCTGAAGAATGTAGAGTCTGATATTTGAGGACGGGAAGCATCCAGCAAGAGAAAAAGATGGAGGCCAGCAGACTTAGTCAGTCTAGTCTTTCCACATTCTTCTGCCTGCTTTTATTCTGACTGCGCTGGCAGTTGATTAGATGATGCTCACTCAGATTGAGGGGGCTTCTGCCTTTCCCAGTCCACTAACTAAAATGTTAATCTCCTTTGGTAACACCCTCACAGACACACCCAGGAACAATACTTCCCATCCTTCAATCCAATCAAGTTGACATTCAATATTAGCCATGACATGTAGGCATTTTCTAGAACCATGCTACAAAGCTGTCTGGGCCCTATTTTTTTTTTTTTTTTTTCCCTACTCAGATTATCTTTCTTTCTCTTCCTCTCTCATCCATGTTACCACGGTATTGTTCTAAAACGATTTGCTACTTATTTTTCTTTTAATAATTGTTTTTCTAGGAAAGTGTCTATTTTGGTGAAATTGTCAATTTATTTAAATTATAAGACTGCAATAGAGAAGCAGTTTGTCCTAGTGACTCTCTGTGTTTCAAATTTCAGCTCTGCCGTTTACCAGCTATTTGACACAGCAATTTTGCCTCAGTTTTCTAATTTATACAAGTCTCTAATAATGGGAATACTCATAACACTTACTGCATGAGGGATTTTTTAGGATTCAATGAGTTAAGACATGGGAAGACTTCAAAACAAATGCTAGTCACAGGTCATGGTCACTAAACATTATATGACGACACTGTTACCTTCCATTTCAATACTCACTGCACACTCTGAGAGCTGTGCTCAAAGTGAAGTTCACTTTTATATTCTCTTCCTGCTTATATATATTATATATTATATTATATAATCATATATTATATATTATATTATATAATCATATATTATATATTATACCATCATATATAATATATTATACCATCATATATTATATATTATATATTATAATATATTATATAATCATATATTATATATTATATTATATTATATAATCATATATTATATATTATATAATCATATATTATATATTATATATTATATTATATAATATATATTACGTATTATATTATATAATATGTATTACGTATTATATTATATAATATGTATTACGTATTATATTATATAATATGTATTACGTATTATATTATATAATATGTATTACGTATATTATATAATATGTATTACGTATTATATTATATAATCGTATATTACGTATTATATTATATAATCGTATATTACGTATTATATTATATAATCGTATATTATGTATTATATTATATAATCGTATATTATATATTATATATTATAATATATTATATAATCGTATATATATTATAATATATTATATAATCATATATTATATATCATATATTATATTATATAATCGTATACTATATATCATATATTATAATATATTATATAATCGTATATTATATATCATATATTATATTATATAATAGTATATTATATATTATATATTATAATATATTATATAATTGTATATTATATATTATATATTATAATATATTATATAATTGTATATTATATATTATATATTATATATTATAATATATATTATAATATATATTATATATATTTACCATATATTATATATAATATATGATATATTTATCATAGATTATATATAATATATGATTATATTTTATTATATATAATATATGATTATATTTAATTATATATATAAAATATATATAAAAATATATATAATTAAATATAATTATATATTATATATTATATAATATATATATTTAAATATAATTATATATTATATATTATATAATATATATATTTAAATATAATTATATATATTTTTTATATATATATATAAATATTATATATTTATATATAATACATAAATACATATAAATAATATATATAATAAATGTATATAATAATTATATATTTAAATTATATACAATTAAATGTATATCACAAATAATTATATATTAAATTATATATAGTTATATATATAATTATATATGTAATTATATATACAATTAATTATATATTAATATGTAATTGATTACATATTAATTAATTCAGGATTGTACTTAATTGAGGATGATACATATATGCATATATTACATATGTACATATTAATTCTCAATTAATTAATGATACAAAGCCTCAATTATGGTGAATATGTCCGATACCTTACAAAATGCCTTGCACACATAGAAGGCAATTAATTAATGTTTATTACGTGAACAACTATGCAAAAAAAATAGTAAAAATTCTGATTTGAATATAATTGAACATATATCCTAGTGGTATTACAAATAATTGGGGATCCATATATGTAAATTATATAAATATATACACACATATATAGTATGTATACATATCTTTCAGCAATTAATTATCCCTAAATTCTCCAAAAAAATAAATATTATATCCTCACTTTAAATAAAAGGGCACATAACTTTAAGTGATAGAGCTGGGATATATATTAGGATATAACTAAATCTAAACCCTATTTCCTTTGCATAGTCTTCCATTAAATAACTATTGAATACATGCTTCATATGTGCCAGACATTTTGTTAGATATTGACTATGGCTCTCACCCCCTCATGCCTACACAGATAAATAAAATGTAGTACCAGTTAATTGAAGACAGTGTTTAAAAGGGGCTTCGGGGGTAATGAAGTTCATTGTTTTTAGCATACGTGTATACACAAATATTTATTGTCCATAAAGGTACCAGGATAGGCTTTGCAATGGAGCACATACTGAAGCCAAAGATGGAAAGAAGACTAGGCTGCCAACAGCTAGGAAAGAAGTGTGAAGAAAATGAGATTATAGGTAAAAGGAATAGTGATAGTTGAGGCATTGAAGTGTAGAGACCATATGGTTTCCCAAGTTTAATTTTACTAGAACCAGCCAATTCCCTAAGAATCTTTTTGAAGACTAGCTTGGCAGACAGCATGATATTGCTTCAATTTTACAACATACCTAACTCTTCAAGTTGTATTAAATAAAGAAATATAGATAATGCAATGCTCTTATTTTTCTGCTGTCTCTCATATCACTTTCCCTATCTTCACTCTGGGAAAGGATTCATACAAAGTGTTGCCTTCTTTCAATGATATAAATAAGCAATTCTCACTTATAAATGAGTCATGACATTAACTAGCAGTCAGAGTCAACAGACTTTCCTAGCAAATGAGCCTTAAATTATTTTACATGTCTGATGTTCTACACGTTATAGGCAGAATGTTCATAATGATGACAATAGAAGCCACATGCATGTACCTAGACTTTTATAAACCAGTAAGGTTTTTTGTGTTTGCTTGTTTGCATTTTAGTATTATTCTATTTAGGTTAAAGTATATGGATGAAACCAGAAGATGAAGTTGGAAACAAGATGTTTGCTCTCGGGTCCCCTTATTGTGTATACTAAGAATTTTTTTTTTTTTTCTGAACATACTAAGTGTTTAGAATCAGAGATCACTTGGATGGATTTTGTGTGCATTACTATAGAACAATATAAACAAATTCAGGAAAACAACAGTTTGATGACCATCCAAACTGTGGAGACATCTTCCAACATCTTTTATTCCCCTTAGTATCACAATTTTGATCATGTGAAAGCTAAACTTTGTACTTTTACCTGTCAATGTGCAAGGTTTTCTGAGTGCCTCATATTGTTTTAATTCTCAATTTTATGAATGCTTGCCATCTTAACAGAACTGTTGTATCAGCTTTTCCCTTCTTTTCTATTTGCTTCTGCAGATGTCTCAAGCAGGCCTATGTCACTCTTTCAGTGTGTTAACGTACTCTTCTCTCCCTCAGCAGATGCTGGGCCACAAAAGAGTATGAGTAAATGGACCTTGACTCTGAGACACTCAACCCAGCAAGAGAAAAGTCATGCAGTTATTCAGTCAACAACTTCTTATTGATATTCTTCCTTGCGTGATGAACTGCATACCAGAGATACTGGGAAATATTTACCATTGTCTGATATATTGAAATTATCCTTTTTTTTTGTCATTCCTGTCTCATTAAATATAATTTTAATGATTGCTTGCAATTGTCCACCTTTCTCAGAAACTGTCTAGTCAGTAATGTTTTTAAAATATTTGTCTTTTATATTAGACTTCAAAAACACTCATCTTTGTTCCCCTGGGAAGTGTTAGGTAAAGCTGCTATTTTTCTGTCTGAATGTATTTGCCTGAAGTCCTGTGAGACAACATTAACTTTGTAATTTTTAGTATCCTTATTTTGAAACTTTGTTTACATTGCACTTGATGGTCTACTTACTGGAGTCAGGATTTGTGATTGGTATAGATCTATATTTTTAATCTACATAATTAAGAAACTGATTATGACATTTAAAATAAGTATTTGGAAGGTAAAGGTCACCATATTTTGTGAGTTCGAACTTCGGAAAATTTCACTACCTAAATGTACGTACTACCCGTTGCTTTCAGAAGGCTGCTAAGAATAACATTGCTTTTCTGAATCGTGCCAGTCAGCCACAATACATCATAATGGAAAAAAAGAATACAATTTTTCTACTGCCTACACAACTGTGCATCTCAGTCAGTCCATGTGAACAGAAAGATCTAAAGAATATTACATTAAAAGGAATATGAAATTTTCCAGGCAACTTTAAAATATAGACTTTTGAACCTGTTGCTTATCTATTGCACTGCAAATCCCCAGTATTTCGCCTAATGGCCTCTGGAAATGTTTTATAATGAGAAGCAGATTCTGGAAATCCACATTGTGATCAAACTACTTTTGTCAGTGTCTTTCATGTAGCAATTATTAAATAAACAAAGCCTAATTCGATAGGTAAAAAATGTTCATTTCTAAGCCACACTGATTGTCAACTGTCAGCGACTGATATAGAATAACTCATTGTGGGAACACAATTAGAATCTTAAAATACTAACGGAAGAGTGCATAAATGGAATTCAAGGGGTTTTCAGATCCATTAAATACACTAAAACTTACTTACAATGTGCCTACATTCAACGCTTTTCTATACAATAACTGAAATAACTGAAAATTGGAAAATCCTGACCAATGGCCCAGAAAGTATTATTTCCTACTTTTAGAAATTTTCTCTCTTCTTCATTCATTGCCTTTCAAAGAGGTGATATAAATTAATCTTTTTGCCAACTATTTCATGGCTTTCTGTACAGGGAATAAAAAATATGTTAACAGAACTTAGCTGGCAATAAAATTTAGTCTGCTAGAAATGGGAAACAAGACAAAACCCACAATATATGGACTCTTTTACCTTCCATCAACCTTTGGGCTAAGAGTCTTGTGTCTCAGATTTCTGCAGATACCGCAAAGATGGAAAAATAATAGAGTTCACTATCCCTCACATTCTGAAGAGAAGTGACAGATTCCTTACGGCTGACTTAGTAAAAGATAGCAGAGCCAGTCAAGTGACTCAATCTTCATCAACCAGCTTTACCCCCTAAAAGAGAAAAGTAGAAATTTAAATGTGATCCAGTAAGCAGAGTTAACAAGGTAATGCATGACTTATCGACCTAAAGATTGGCCTTCCCGCTCTCCTGTCTTTGGGAAAAGAGAGAATGGAGTGTCCTAAATTCCTTAGGCATCTCTTCAGATGTGTTTCTGTTACAGGTATTTCAGAAGAGGACACAACAGAATATCCAGGCATCTGGACCTCTTCCACCACCTCACCCTGACCCAATAACACATACAAAAACTAAGTCCACAGATTGAGATATAACCTCTTCATCAATAGATCTACTTTAACGTTTTATAAACAGTAAGGTGTGCCTAGTGACTGCATCCTAACAGAAACTCAACAAAACAAGGACATCCTTTTCAGTTTTTAAATAAATTAGAATATAAATTTAGATGAGGGCATGCCATTTTTTATTTTTCTATTCTACCCTTCCACATTACCATGTTTATTACAATAGAAATTTTTTTGGAAAATCAAGGAAATGAGATTTCAAATTCAAGGGGAGAGTCTCTATCATATTTATTTCTGATGAAGTGTGTGTGTGTGTGTGTGTGTGTGTGTGTGTTTGTGTGTAATGAAGCCTAAGGATCTAGATAGATTCATTAACTTTAATAATTTCTCATCATAGAAACAGAATATGCAATATTAAATACTGCCTACTGGCAATAGGATAAGGTTTTTCAAATAAAAGAAAACATCTAAAATTCTTAAAATTCTCGCCATATAAAAACCTATTTACACAAGGACAATACTTCAAAAGAGAAGCATTGCTGCTATGACTGTAATTTCTCTTATCAACTCATCTAAGAAAGAAATGTGTCAAGATTCAAACTTAAAATTTCTAAGCAAATGAGGGCATAATAACTGGCTAGACATCCCTCGGTCATTTTGTTAGTGACCACATTTCAGTCTATACACAAAAATGTGGGGGACCTCTTGCTGGCTGCTGAGTTTCCTGCTGGATATCTTAGATAATAGCACCTATGGTGCCATAAAACTATTTCCCAAAATATTATGCCACCTACATTTACTTGTTTGCTATTGTTACAAAATGTTCTACTCTGGAAGAGTTTTTTGCTAGTAAAATGCTTAAACTTTTTTTCTCCCAACTACTCGGTAATTAATAAAAGCATGGATAGTACACCTTGGAATTGTCCCATCATCAACGAACTTCAAGGCAAGTACTTTAATTTATTTCTGTTACATTTTACCTCATCAGTATCTCTATCCTCATTCAAAATTAATTCATCACAAATGTGTCACTTTTGATTTTTTTTGCCGTCCTCAAAGTTTTCTCTCTAATGATTCTCTTTGAACTTGACTGTGTGATACTTGGTTAGGTTTACAGGGCTTGAGTGGGTCAGTGCTGACAAACGCAGCTTGAATTCCTTCTTGCATATGCAAATAGGAGAATCTGAGATCCTGACCATCTTCTGCTCATAAAGAAGGTGAAAATAACCTCTTTATTCCCTTTAGTTGATGCACAGAAAATGCAATTGTCTTTTTTTGTGTTTTTTTTTTTCCTCTAAGATAACAGAGGTATATAATCCCTGTGTTATAAAAGAAAACTGCAAACGGTGATAAATACAGGAAAACTAAAGATCATCTTGGAATTATTTCCTGGAAATGTGATATCAATATGTCCACTTTAGAATATTACTTTTTTATTAACTAGACAAGATTGGAAAGTTGGAAGGCACAGCAGAGCATTATCTGTAGGGCCTTGTGTACAAATGGAATACATCTGTGGGAGAACACCAGTCTTTGGGTGCTAGTTTACTGGACTGAGGTCCTAGCTCTATGTCTACACTTCATTGGCTGTATATGAAACTCTCGGTTTCCTCATCCATCAATTGTGCAAAATATCTACCTTGTTTGTTTTAGGGGGAATTAAAGTGCAAATGAATGCATATAAATGTCCTGGAATAATATCTTGCACAAAGTGGACACATGTAATTGTGGTGATGGCATTAGTGTTAATAGCAGTAATAGTAGTAGTAGAAAAAATAGTGAAAATGGGATAAAATATATGAAGCATCTGGGACCTCCTTGCAATAAAAGCCAACATCTCTCATGAGGCTTGACAGAACTTCTTTTTCCTTAGTCCTAACACTTAGGTAGCAACCTGTGACTTTCTGCATCCACTGCCTCACCTGACATTGGACCTGCAGGACTGTGCAATTCATAATCAGAGGCCCCTCCACATGGAGATGCAGGCTGCAGTCTGTGACTAAAGCAACTTTCTACAATCTACTATAGGACAAATAAAGTTAAACTTGGTATTTTCATTCCTTGGTAATGAACGTGGCTGCTTAGCTCTCTAAGAACAGCCCTGGAATATCTCCATCCACATGGTAACTGCTGTCTTTTAAAAACAGTTGGAGTTAATAGCAACCATCTGGCTAGGGCTCTGATCCAGCAAAAGGGCTAGTACTGAGGTTCTAAGAAGACAAGTCCAGCTATACCAAAGGATGAAGAAGAGAGCTCAACTAAGAGTTATATGGCTTGCCCTTTTCTTCATTGAAGGAAACAGGGGTAGGCTCAAATTATATATACATGAAAATACAAAACTTACTATTTGAAGAGACTGAAGATTGGTTAGAAAACTCCATATTTTAAAAATATTCAAGTAGGAGTCATACTATGTATTACTTTCATTTTATTTCTGATTAATTTTGAATACATGCTGTCATTGGATATGTGTGTGTGTGTGTGTGTGTGTGTGTGTGTGTGTGCACATGTGTAAGAATAACCCATAATGCATTTCCTATAGTTTATCTGAATGATCTTCTGGGTTCACCTTCAAATGAATGTCATTCTGGCAATAACATCATTGACAATTAGATCAGGAAACCTAAAATTATAACTCAAACAATGCCACATTTCTATGCTTTTCTGGATTCCTTCCAGAATGCTTTTAGGGAAAAAAAATATATCAAACTATTTATACCAGTGTCTCTGTTTGCATAAATGTACATTTCTAAGGAGAAATAAAGTTTGAAAATACAATTTCAAAATTGTGCAAATAAGCCTTTTTTTAAAAGACACTGGTCAGGTGGATCTGCCTAAGGACATTTGTCGATGATGTTAAAGTTTTTCACAGAGGAGGACTCGCAAGATGAAGAGTAACATGCTGCTTTGCACAAACCTCATTACCAAGAGAAGAAACAGCTTGACTTTGATATTTACCCAGCTATGAATGAGTTTTAAATGAAGGTTGCAGAAACAATTCTTTTTGCCTCTATTTTTTATTCAGTGAAACTCTTCCATTCACTTATTCATTCACTCTTTTTTTTTTTTTTTTTTTTTTTTTTTTTTGAGACAGAGTCTTGCTCTGTCACCCAGGCTGGAGTGCAGTGGTGCGATCTCAGCTCATTACAACCTCTGCCTCCCTGGCAGGTTCAAGCAATTATCTTGCCTCAGCCTCCCGAGTAGCTGGGACTAGAGGCGCACACTGCCTCGCCTGGCTAATATTTTGTATTTTAGTAGAGACGGGGTTTTACTGTGTTGCCCAGTCTGGTCTCAAACTCCTGAGCTCAGGCAATCTGCCCACCTCGGCCTCCCAAAGTGCTAGGATTACAGGCATGAGCCACTGCACCTGACCCACTTCTTTTTCAACAACTACTTTTTGGTATCTACATATGCCAGACACTCTTCATGCTATTTTTAATTCAGAAATGAATGAAAGGCAGTGCTGATGTCCACATAGTTCTTATATTATTGTGAGAAGAAAGAAAAAGAAGAAAAAGAAAGGATGAAAGGAAGAAAAGAAAGAAAGAGAGAGAGAGAAAGAAAAAGAAAGAAAGAAGACAGAAAGAAAGAGAGAGAGAAAGAAAAAGAAAGAAGACAGAAAGAGAGAGAGAGAAAGAAAAAGAAAGAAAGAAGACAGAAAGAAAGAAAGAAAGAAAGAAAGAAAGAAAGAAAGAAAGAAAGAAAGAAAAGAAAGAAAGGAAAGAAAGAAATTAAGAAAAAAGAAAGAGAGGAAGGAAGGAAGGAAGAGAGAGAAAGAAGGAAAGAAAGAAAGAAAGAAAGAAAGAAAGAAAGAAAGAAAGAAAGAAAGAAAGAAAGAAAGAAAGGAAAGGAAAGGAAACGAAAGGAAAGGAAAGGAAAGATAAAAAGAAAAGAAAAGAGATTCCAAGGAGTGACAGAGAGTGAGCAAGTGAATCCTAACAATGAGGGGAGATGTATACTGGGTAGGGTAATCAGGAAAGATTTCAGAAAAGATATTTCATGGGAAACTTGAATGATTGGAAAGAGCAGTCTCAGTGAGGGAAGGTTCTGCTTTCAAAGTCGTGGGAATAGTCTACATACTTCCTGAGGTAGAACTGTCCACAGAGAGTATTTAACAGTTTGGGGCAAGTGCTAACGATTGGTTTGGATAAGGAAGAAAACATATTCCATTGTTCAGTTTCCTTTTGGTCTTTAGACACTCTATCTGGTTCATGAACCCACCTGTACCCTTATCTTCCACAGGGGGAAAAATGTTCTCTTGTGTTTTTAGTCTCAGACAGTTGCACAAATTGATGTACATTAAAAAAAAATGTTTGGAGTTACCTTCTAAAATTAATCAAGCACTTGAAAAATGAAAATGCCATAGGACTTCAAAAAATATACTTTTAGTTCTTCTTAATTTATTTATTTACATGAGAAAACAGTCTTGCATAAATCAATGAATATCTTACTAATGACAGAATTTCTCCAAAAGCAAAAATGTGTTTGGAATAACCGAAGGTTGACGTTATGGAATGGATGACCACTACAAGAGATATGAGCCAAAGTTTAGCCCTGTACCTAACGTACTAAATCATATAAGACAGAACAGTGCAAGTGCATGTTGTGACAATGAATAGCATGCTACTTTTGAAATATTCTGTATTGAATGCCCAATTAGATGTTATTATAACTGAATATTTGGAATTATTTTATTAATCATAATCATGTCTCATTTGACTCTCACTGAAATCCTGTAAAGTTAAAAGGCCAGATCCATGATGTAATTTTAATCATAAGAAAACCAAGACTAAAAAAGGTAAATGACCTCATTTTCATTTAGCAAACACTTATGTTTTGGCTGCTATGTCCCATGAACTGTTGTAAATGATCGAGATACAACTAACAAAGAGCTAAGCTTTCTTTTCATGAAGCTCATAGACTAGTGGACAAAAGAGACACATAACCAATAACTCTAAGACAATATAATGCCATTATAGAGTTATGTACACAGTGCTAGGAGGACATAATTAGAGAGAATGAATCATATTCCTTCAGGGTCTGGGAAGGACATGTGTCTGCATATGGCGCTGATACAAATAGCATACCAAACGGGATATAAATGAAGTGGAAGGAGGGGAGAAGATAACATAGCATGAATTGAGTTCTTACCATATTGCCAGAACTGTGCTCATTTGCTCTTCAAAACAACCTTGTAGGTAGGAGTGAACATTTCAATTTTATAAATTAGGATATGGAGCCTGAGAAAAGTTAATAAGCTTATTCAAAATCACACAGTTAATAAGAGGTAGATTTGTATTTTCTTTCCAATCCTTCTGGCTTCCTGGGCTTGTTGTGCTATTCTGCCATATCTCACTGGGCTGGAACCCAGAGAAAGAATGACAGCAAATGAAGGCGGTGGATGGGAACACAACCGGACTAGGTCAGCACCTAACGATGCTGCAGGATCTGAGAGTCAGTGGCTTTGATTGACTGATGGTCTGTCTCTAGTTCTCAAGGGAACAACCATTTTTCCCAAGATATAAAAAAGAAGGCACAAACCATGAAGATATAAGAATAATAATTTCTGTTAAATTTTTCTAATTGTTATGGAATTACACATTTTATAGAAAAATATTGCAGGTATGTTTCAGTCTCTTAAGCTTCCCCTCACCCTCCTAATATTGGAAAAATAAACAAGTTATGTTATTAAAATGATGATTTTACATGAAAGTAGAATATAAGTCTTGGCTACAAATTACAAATAAATAGACTCTGTGGTTTCTACATTGAAAAATGCAGGTGTGATAACCCAAAAGCGCAATTGTAGGCATCACATACAGCTTCCACATGTATTATTTTATATCAGCAAACATAATTTTCCTGGAGCAAGGTATTATGGTGGTGAAAAGCATTGGCTTTGGAGTCCAAATATCTGTATTCAAATTGTTGTTTCATTGTTCATAATCTGCATGATCTTGCAAAAGACAAATTCTTCAGGCCTCAAAGTATAGCAGTTAAGAAAACAAACTTCAAAGTTACATAGAAATGAGGTATTATTTCAGCTTTGCTACTTGATAGCTATGTATAATTTGGACAAGTTATCTCTTTTATGTCTCAATTTCCTTATCTGTAAAGCAAAGATCATTATAGTGCTTATTGCACACTTTGCTGAATGAATGTCGAGTACTAAAGAAAGTTTGAGGCACATAAAAATCATTCAATAAATGTCTACTGAAACAGTATATTAACTTCTTATCCCTTTTATAAGAGAGCAACAAAAGTTTCCGAGCCAATGCAAAGGAGTAATAATCTGGAAAAATAAATTGAAACCCTATTCTAGTTTGTTTTCTTTGTTTTTTTGGAGGCAGGGTCTCGCTCTGTCACCTAGGCTGGAGTACAGTGATGCAATTAGAGCATACTGCAATCTTGAATTCTTGGTGTCAAGAAATCCTCCTGCCTCATCCTCCCAAGTAGCTAGGACTTACAGGTTCATGCCACCATGCCTGGCTAAATTTTGTAATTTTTGTACAGACAGAGTCTTGCTATGTTGCCCAGGCTTGTCTTGAACTCTTGATCCTCCCGCCTTGGGCTCCCAATGTGCTAGGGTAACAAATGTGAGCTACCACGCACAGCCCAAACCCTATTCTTTAGAAAGAAAGCAAGGCTCATCATTACAATTGTTCTTAAATTCGTATAAAATAAACGTATCTAATATTCTGAGAGAGCCAGAAACACAGAAGAAAGAAAGGAAAACAAAGAAAAACAGAAGAAAGGAAGGAAAGAAAACAGGAAGAAAAAAGATCAAGAGCTGGAAGACATTTCATTTTCACTATAATAAATCTGGACATATCACTGTTGATCTTGATTATAATAAAAATCTACTTAAAAACATAAACATAGGACACCTTCATACATTTCTAACATGGAGCATTTACAACTTTAATAGGTGTGGTCAAGAACAGGAAATAAGCAAGAATTTTGAGAAAAAAGGATTTCTTTTGAAATTTTAAATCTCTCTTGAAGTTTTCTTTCCTTCATTTTGGTGAGCTTATTTTTTAGAAAAGGGTTTCTGATAGTCTCACTGCTCAAATGTATCATCATTGATATCTATTAAACTTTATCCAAGTGCTGTAATACAGGACAAGTTAAAGTTGAGATTAATTTTCCTTTCTATTGGTCCTTCCAACTTAGCTAAGTGAGCTGCCTAAGGGACTGTTAATGCAGTAAGGTGTATGTCTAACTATGCCATTGATATTGATTTGGACGTGATTAATTTCAGCAAATGTACTGGGCTAATCATAAGCATTGTAACACTTAATAATTACAAGATTGACAAATGGTTATCAAAAATTGACTGAACAATGCAATCTAACAGTGACAGCTCTAGAGCTAAGAGATATCAGAGAATTTTAACCAGAGGATGCTATTCTTATAGAAAAATTAACTGAATGCACAGAATCTACCTTGGATCTCAGAAATCTTCCTAGATTTCCAGAAATAAAATTGGAAAACAATTTGGTGAAAGATTATGGGTTGAGCTTGTAAATATATTGTAAAGACAGAGAAATAATCACTCACTTAAGGTTAAGAAATGAATACTACTTTATATGACAGACATGGAAAATCATCATTCTCTGAGGAAGCTCTTTATTTTCTTATAATCTACTATCTTCAAGATCCTTTTTACCTTACCCCTTTAAAATGAGGCTACCCATATGCACTAGAAATAAATAGTGAGTCTGAAAACATGTATGATCTGTAATAGTGTAACATGACTATTTGTGTCAGCTTTTCAGCATTTGCTTTTACCCACAATAGGACCATGGATATACTACCATGATAAGACATTGGTAGGAAAACATGGCCATGGTTGGAATTGAAAAAACTGAAGAGGAAGTTGTAAGTAAGCAGAACTAAACACATGGGAAAGTATTTGGGAGAGAGTGAGAAAGCTGGAATGCAGGTGTATGAAGTGTGGCATGTGAGGGAATGTAGAGGAAAATGGCTTTGGAGTGACTTGCCTCCCACAATGTTCAGAGTAGAATTCTAGTTGGTCAATTGATTATGTGACTATATATATATGGTTGTGGTCAATGTACCCAAGTCTCTTAAGATATTAGTGCTGTAATTTTCTGAACAAGAGTTGCTAACCTTTCTCAGATACACTGAAGGTATGATTGATGAAACTGTCCCCAAAGCAACTTGAACATGTGATTTCCTCCTTTTAATTGCTTTTTTTTAAAGGAAAGGAATTAAGGCAAAAATAGTGATTATATCTTAAAGTCTTAAAACATGTGTGACCAAACAAACCATATTGGAATCATCTATACAAAAATGTAGTATAAAGTTTTAGCCTTAGAAAATAGTCAGGATTTTTTATGCTTATTATTACTTGCTGATAATAGTAAATTATTTATCATATAAAGGATAAATATGAAATAGCAGATTTTTTTCTAGAAAAAAAGACACGATGTGCATTGTGGTCATTTTTATTGGTAAAAAATTTGTCTCTGAAATTTTCTAGCACAATTCCTGTCATAGAGTAGCACTTAATGGATATTTGCTGACTGAATAAATGGATAAAAAAGGAAAGCTGTTTATTTCTATTTAAAAATGAGAAAAGTCCAGCTTTTTGTCTAGTCTCCTTTATAGCAAATACATGTTCTCATAGCATGGTCCCCACTCGTTTGGGAAGTTTTTACCACAAAGAGCTTCCCATCAATCCATAAAGGGGTAGAAAAACAGAAGGGGGAATAAGTATGGAAAGCTATAGAGACATACGGGGGTGAAAATTCTAGATGGAAATAGGCCAGCAAAGCTGGGCTGAGTCGTTCACCATGAACATGTGTTTTCCTGCGAAAGGTGAGATTACATGAGGAGCATATGATTCTGCTATGGCCCGGCATTGATATCATTCTGTATTTCATTTTTCTCACCCTCAACCTAGGCAAAGAGAAAGTGCTTGCTGACAAACAGGAGAGTTATTTGAGAAATGACAAACCAATTTCTACAACAACCTCCCTCACTCTTTCCCATTCTTAACAAAGAAATATTTGTCCTAACTTTGGGTTGGAAAGTAGGATGCAGAGAGTAGCTAGCCTGCAAAGACTTTTCAAACTGTGTGGATACTGTTTTTATTTTCTTTTTACGATAGACTGCAATGCTCAGCCTGGGGCACTTTTGTCCCCCAGGGGATCTTTGGCGATGTCTGCAGACATTTTGGTTGTTATACCCAGAGGAGCACTATTGATATCTAGTGGGTAGAGGCTAGGGGTACAGCTGGATCTCCTACAATGCACAGGATAGCTCAGGCAAAAAGAAATTATCTGACACTAAATGTCAACAGTGCTGAGGGTTCGTTCACCCTAAGCTAGAGTGAATGAACTCCCTGGAAATCAAGACATTTAAACCCAGTGGAAGCACTTGAAACATTTCTGCCTGTCTCACAGTCTTGACTGGATAACTATGTTTCTCATTATTAAAGTCCTTTCAAAAAGGATATGTTGCCAGTGCTCAGTGAACAAACTGAGGCATATGGCAGTTACAAGAGATAGGAATCAACTTTGGCACCTCACAATATTGTGGCTGGTTTTGTTTGTCAAATTATCATTGGACTTGAAAGTCTAATGTGACATTTGCATTTGTGCAACATATCATTTGCAGAAGTGGTGTCTGGATTTTAGTAACTTACAGTATATAGGCCATCAGGATATCCTATCCCTTCTAGACATGGTGTTCCATTTGTAATAAGCTATGTGGTTGAAGATAAATGATGGGGTTCAAAGTAAACTAAATACATTATTTTGGCAGAATTCCTTTGAGTAACAGTTGTGCAATACTGTTCAAATTGGAAACTGCCAGAATATTTTCTTTTTTTTTTTCTTTAAAAAGTGTGACAGGCTTCCTCCCTCTGTGCCATATTTTGATTTTTAGTCTGATGTGGTCTGCTGTTATTCGACTGCTTATATTTGCTTCACAATGAGATGCTGCCACATCATAAAATACATCTGCGTAAAAGATTCATCATAAATAAAGCACTTTACATAATAACAATAGAAAAACTTCTTTCCCAGGGGAGTTGGTATAGAGTGGATGGAGATGCTTATGGATAAGGTGCTACAAGAAAACATGGGTACACTCACATAGGGGTTAGTAGAAGATAACAGTACCTTACTCCAATGTCTGCCTTCCTGAACGCAGATCACCTGAAATGTTAAGAAAGTGATGAGAACTCCTTGATTTATTCAAAACATCTGACTCCAAAAGACAAAAATAGGGGAATTTCAAGTCCTTAAGAAAAAGTGTTTTTGCCTGTTTAATAAAGGTGAAGTTTTAAGTATGTTATGAATTCTAATGCCCATAAAAGTGGAAGTGTCTTTGTTATTTTGTCTACCTATAGATATCTAGATGCAGATATAAATATAGATCTAGATAATATAGACGTAGACACACTTACTACAGTCTGATATGCCTCATGCAAGTTCACAGTAGAGACTGTGACAGCGACACTCTCGGGACTCTTGTCTTCTTCATACATTGTTATAAGAAAATGGGCTGTTCTTAAAGCTGAGATCTGAAAATGTCTTAAGCAGGACTAGGTGTCCTTTTTTGGCCATGATGATTAATAAACAGTCCTGAAATACACAGGTTTTCCTGCAGGCGCACCCGTAATCAGAAGCCCAGCAGCAACCAGCCTGAGGCATTTGTCTTTCATTCATGTGGATGCAAGTATACACTGTTGTTGAGGATGCTGGCATCTTTTTCAAAATTGTATTTTAAATTTTGAATAATATTTTCACATTTCATTTCATTGTCTCCTGTCTCTTCTCCTTCCTCTCTTTGGGGAATGTTTAGCCAGAAACAGGAAGGCTGGTAATAAGGAAAATAAGACTCTAATCCATACGTGTATTTTTGTTAATTTAAGGAATGGCTTCATTTGTTTACTATCTTCTCTTTCATGTTTCTCTGCCAGGGAATTTAAAAATCTTCTATTTAGATTTCCAAATCAGATACCTGGATGTCATCTTGATTTATATTCTCTTCCAGTTAACCCTTGCATTCAGTCAGTTACCAAGTACAGGTAGATCTTCTTTCCAATCTTTCTCCTTTTAGTGTCCTTCCTAGAAGTGGAACTAAAATGGGCATCTTTGATGAAAAGGTATGACAGCCATTGATACTTGGGCCATCTTAGCTGTAGAAGCATCTAAATTACCTGCAGTTGAGATGATGCATGGACAGATTATTACAAATCGAATCACTTCTGTATTTATAAGGACAATAAGCAAAATTACCCTGCTAATCAGGCATGCTAATCATTGGGAAAATTTTATATTTAGGAAACATCTAGATCTCTACTATATATAATACATAACTCTTTTTAAGTAACATTTATACACACATGCACAAAAGAGCCTAGGCTGAAAATTTGCAAATGAAATTCATTATTGTTAGCAAAGATTTCTATCTCCAATACACTACACAAAACTTTGTGTAATTATATAATGTATATTGACCAATAAGATAATGTGACACTATTGTATTATTCCTTATTCATTCGATAAATTGTGTCTGCTTCATTTGCGGTAGATAGCTTTGTTTTGAGAAAATTTTATTGAGGATATTTTGTTTCTTTTTTGCAAATATGTGAACCAAGGGAAACGCAGAAAGGGTATGCCCCAATTCTATTCCCAGGTACATACCAACAAGTCCAAGCTCCTCTTTCCATTAATGGCCAGCAGATACAGCTTTGGACTAATATAATAAATACAGAAAAGAATATAAGTTGACTCTTGGATCTTTTTCTAAAATGGAAGTCTTACATTAAAGGTGATAATATGGTTAGCACCAAAATACATGTGTAGTTCTCTACTAAGCAGTGTAGATTACATAAGGGTTTCTCAGTCTTGGCACTATTAACATTTAGGGCCAGATAATTTTATTGAGGTGGGGCAGTATCCTGCTTATTATAGGACATTTAGAAGCACCACTGAATGCTACCCACCAGATGCCAGTTGCATCTACCTCCATGATGACATAAAAAACTTCTTCAGACATTGGCAAATGTCTGCTGAGGCACAAAAACAAGTTGACAACGACGAATTTATGTCAAAGTAGGAAATAGTCTCAGTCTACAAAAAGCCCATAAACTCACTGTGGAAAGACAACATACATATACAGCTGGGTGCGGTGGCTTACGCCTGTAATCCCAGCACTTTGGGAGGCCGAGGCGGGTGGATCACAAGGTCAGGAGATCGAGACCATCCTGGCTAACACAGTGAAACCCCGTCTCTACTAAAAATATGAAAAATTAGCCAGGCTTGGTGCCACATGACTGTAGTCCCTGCTACCCAGGAGGCTGAAGCAGGAGAATCGCTTGAACCTGGGAGGTGGAGGTTGCAGTGAGCTGAGATCACACACCACTGCACTCCAGCCTGGATGACAGAGTGAGACTCCATCTCAAACAAAACAAAACAAAACAAAAAACAAAAAGGCAACATACATATACAAATACACCAATTATGTTAATGTACAATATATGTACAATTGCTCTTAACAAATCCTAGTCCATATAGATATGAAGCCACATATGTCAACCTAGAGATTACAAATATTAAAGGATAAAAGGAGAGCAAGTTGGGAGTTCACCATGCCTTGGGCTGTGATGCAATACTTCTCAAACTTTAGAGTATGTGTCTGAATCACCTGGAAAGCTCCTTAAAACCCAAATCACTGGACTCTACCCCCCCAAGTTCTGACTCATTTGGCCTGAGTGAAGGCCTAGAAATTACAACTCTAACAAGTTCTCAGGTGAAATTGATGCTGTGCATCCCAGACACATTATGAGAACCACTGAGTTAAGAAATCAATAAGTTAAAAGGATAGCTTAAATGAAAAAAACTTATGCTTCAACACTTGTATAAAATTAGCCCTGAAATGGAAGAAATGAGGGCTTTAATCAGTGTATTAGTTCATTTTCAATCTACTGATAAAGACATACCCAAGACTGGGAAATTTACAAAGAAAAGAGGTTTAATGAACTTACTGTTCCACATGGCCAAGGAGGCCTCACAATCATGGTTGTAAACAAGGAGGAGAAAGTCATATCTTGGATGGTGGCAAGCAAAGAGAGAGAACTTGTGCAGGGAAACTCCCATTTTTAAAAGCATCAGATCTCGTGAGACTTATTCACTATCTGAGAACAGCATGGGGAAGACCCGCCCCCATAATTCAATTATCTCCCACCAGTTCCCTCCCACAACACGTGGGAATTATGAGAGCTACAAGACAAGATTTGGATGGGGACACAGAGCCAAACCATATCAATCAGTAAATATATGAATATATTATTCACAATGTTTACAACTGTATGCTCCAGGTACATAATGCAACTTTATCTCTGAAAATATTATTAACGTAAACACTGTATACATGTTATATCCAACTCAGGTTCTGAGAAAACTGGAAAGAACCCAGCGCATTATAGGAATTCAATAAAGGTTGACTCATAAAATTAATTGCCTAAAGTTTCAAAGGCATGTTCTTTCTGCTGTGATTTAAAGCATAGTTTGCTTTCTACATTGCTATTGTGGGAATATTTTCATTCACTACACCCTTGAATTATTTGTGTTCATTTTATAGGGTAGGTAGGAGCATACCTATTTTTGTCTTAAACTCAGTCTAACTCTTCTAACAGGAAAGAAGCCACAAACATCATTCTCCTCAGAGCTGGCCATTGCTGGGCAATGGATGAAATCCTGTGTACAATTTGCTAGTCTCTTTAGTAAGTCGTGTTTTTGTCTTCTTGGAATCCTCCCTTCCTTGGTAGTTATAGTTATTTTGTGGACTCTACATGCCTGCCTCCTCACCCAAAATCTTCTAGGAAACAATGAAAATAATTTGCCCAGTGTTGGTTAGATGTTTAATAACTGACTAAAATTACCAAGCTTATTTGACATGAAGTATTGACAAAAGATGTCTCTCATTTAGGGGATATTTTCAACTTAAGACTGTTGGCAGTTTTCTGCACAGGTCTCTCTGTTCTGCTTGGTGTTTCACTTCTTATAATATCATCTGCCTCTCCATTCATTTCATCAACATGTCTGTCATCAAATGATCCCTGTATTAGTACATTCTCACACTGCTATAAAGATACTACCTGAGACTGGGTAATTCACAAAGGAAAGAGGTTTAATTGACTCACACTTCGGCATGGCTGGGGAGCCCTCAGCATACTTGCAATTTTGGCAGAAAGTTTAGGAGAAGCAAACACCTTCTCCACAAGGTGGCAGGAGAGAGAGAGAGTGAAGGGGAAATATGATCCAATCACCTCCCACCAGGTCTCTCCCTGGACACATGGGGATTACAATTCAAGATGAGATTTGGGTGGGGACACAAAGCCAAACCATATTAATCCCCCTCCTTTATGGACTACACCCTTATTTCTTAAAACTCCTATGCTAGCCATGCTCAGCAAAATGACTCATGGCTCTCCTCATTAACCAGAAACCCCAGACACAATTCTATTAAAGCTATGTTCTTACCTCTTAATCAAATTTAAACCATTTCTCAGGCTCTTTCCTAGACTTTTCTTTTACATAAATTCAGTGGCCATAGGCCCTGGATTATTTTGGAATCACTTGGTTTTTCCAATCTGTTGCCTTCATGATAATCTTTCAACCATTATTTCCAAAGTAGATTCCACGAGACTTTTCTTAAAAGATACACATTGTATCTTTTTATATAGGATTTATAAAGGAATCAGTTTTAATCCTTGGTCACACTCTGCTTTGCATTATTTACTGTGTGTGAGCCTTCTCTTTGCAAAAGGATTGTGGACTAGCTCTGATCAAGGCCTATATTTTACACACAGTTTTTATAGCATCTTGCTCATTGCACAGTTAAGAGTTTAGTAAACATTTGCCAATTCAGTAAGTGCAACTCTCAACTATATTTGCATTAAATTTTAGTTCTTCTTCATTTAAATAAAT
Source organism: Homo sapiens (assembly GCF_000001405.40). NCBI lineage: Eukaryota > Metazoa > Chordata > Mammalia > Primates > Hominidae > Homo > Homo sapiens. The sequence continues at coordinate 86,463,100 of NC_000014.9, forward strand.
GAGGTACCAATAATAATCAAATGAGGGAAGATTTTTTGGATCAGAACTAATTCCAGATCACCATTATATTACTTCATTAAATCTGTCTACATGTATACTTAGTCCTGGGTGCTTACATATTATTTAATTAGTGCTTCTATGTTTCATATAGGATAGAGCTTTTCATTATTTTAATTTCTTAGTAGTTAACTTTGCAGTCTAGATTGAGCCCTTCCCTATGCTTGAATATCAGTTGTTTGCATGTGTGTGTGCATGGGTATGCACATTACCGATAGATGAAAGATGAAAAGGGTGAAAGGGGAGGGAATCTCAACATCCATGGGAGGATCCAGGAATGTTTGGACTGCAAAGTAGAGCTTGGAAACATTTGTCTCATGTAGACTTGGGTTTAGATTTAATGAGATAATTTTCCACCTAGGATTTACTGGCTTTCAGACCCTTGGGGAGCTTTATGTTTTAGGCAGTGAATTGTCTGACCAAGATTGATAATCTGATTTATTACAAATATTATTCTACACAAACGTTAGAAATTTAAGTGGAATATCATCTAGGGCTGGCTTTCTGCCAATTTGGAAAAAGAATAATAATGAAGTGAATGTTTAGTATTTATTGCAGTAGGCTTATCATCAAAGCTGACTGAGTAGACAGCAATAGAAAATTCCATCCCAGAGTTTCTCCCGTAAATGATTACTCTGAGGTATTATTTTGGATATCAAAATCTACTGGTGGCAAGGTTATACGTTTTTTTAAAAAAGGAATGAACTGAAAAACAGTATGGTATAGTTCAACAATTACTGGAATAGAAGTTTGTTTTCTACTCACTCGCGAGATGTCTCATTGCTCTGCATATATCTACCCACCTTTATCCTAGGATAGTTATAATATAGGTCCTATCAATAACATAAGCTTTCTGGAATAATCAGTGAAAATGTCTGTGGTCATGCAAGACAAAATATATTTATTGTGAATTAACATAACTTGCACACAACATTGGATGGCCTATTTTTAATCAGGAAATAACTATAGTGGGCAAAAGGCTTTGTCAGTTCCAAAGAACACAGTCCACAGTAGTCATTGTAGTAAAATAGGCAAGTAATTAAGCAGAAAAAACTTATTAGAATCCATAAGCTTGGTACTAAAAGCAATCTGGCTGCTGGGTCTTGATAAATAAAACCCCCTCCCAAATGCAGATGGCCAGGCAGAAACTCTTTGGATGCGGTTCTATTTAAATTTGACAGCCTATTTGAAAGTGACTGCCTGAGATCCACACCCCAAATTTAATTACCACTGCATCTGTTGTGATGCGGCTTGTGATGAACAAGCTGCCACTACTATGTTGTTGTAGAGGTTGTTGCCTCCCCTCATTTATCCTCAGGCAGTGGCTTCACACGCAGTCTGGCTGGCCATCACGCTTAGCCTGTTAGATTCCTGCCAGGCTTCATCTTGCAGCAAATACTGGCTGTTGGCTGAAACAGAAGCTGAGAGAGCGGTTCCTGTTACCCATCCGCCAGTCTCTCTCTGCAGGAGTGGGGAAATAGTAGGAGCAACACTGACTCAGTCACAAAATGTGTTCAGTCATCAATCCAACTGCATGATCTTCCTGAATGGTTTTGCCAGTTGCCAATTTTATGATGATCTGTGAGAGCGTTTGGTTATCTTTCCCCCTTCCCTCTTTTCCTCCCTCCCCCTTTCTTCTCTTTCCTTCTCCTCCTCTTTCTTTCTTTCTTTTTTTTTTCTTGATTTCATAGGCAGTTCCTTATTTTCTATATACATATACATAGACTAAGTAGGCACTTAGGAAATTTTTAACTTCCTATTTCACCTTTCTGTTTTTTAACTTCCTGATACCATTTGTTTTGACATTAAAGGACACCTTGCCTCTTTGGCTGTCCAATACATAATTTAGCTACACAAGGGACACAGCCTATTTAATGAGGCTTTTTTATTCATTTCCAATCAGGTCCTAATTCCAGGACAAAGTTTATTAAGCCTGGATTCCTAAAATCATCCGAAAGTTATCAGAAAGACTTCATTTCTATTCATAGTCCTACTCTAAGAAGTATTTTTGGCAATGAATCCCAGCATAACACTGCACCAAGATGCTGCATCAAGATACTGTAATCCCAGCTACTTGGGAGGCTGAGGCATGGGAATCACTGGAATCCGGGAAGTGGAGGTTTCAGTGAGCCGAGATCATGCCACTGTACTGCAGCCTGGGCCACAGAGCGAGACTCTGTCTCAGGAAAAAAAAAATACTGTATCCAAAAAAAAGAGAAAGAAATAAAGGAAGCAAGAGAGAAGGAAGGAAGGGAGGGAGGGAGGGAGGAAGGAAGAAAGGAAGGAAGGAAGGAAGGGAGGGAGGGAGGGAGGGAGGGAGGAAGGAAGGAAGAAAGGAAGGGAGGGAAGGAGGGAGGGAGGGAGGGAGGGAGGGAGGAAGGAAGGAAAGAAGGAAGGAAGGAAGGGAGGGAGGGAGGGAGGGAGGGAGGGAGGGAGAGGGAGGAAGGAAGGAAGGAAGGAAGGAAGGAAGGAAGGAAGGAAGGAAGGAAGGAAGGAAGAAAAAAAAAGGGAAATGAACCATCGGGACATAAAGTGAAAATCATTCTCAAAGTAAGTTTAGTACTTCAACAAATGTCTCCAGGAAGTAATAATTTGCCTGTGTATCTTTTGTCTAAGTCATCTAGGAGAAGATGAATTCTGTGTCAGACATCGCGGTGGTCCCTTTGTGTATATAATTTATATAATCTTCACCGCAAAACATCAACATGATATTGATGATCATGCCCAATTTGCAGGAGAAAAGTGAAGCTAGAGAAGGAAAGTTACTTGCCCAAGCTTACATAGGCTGCAAATTCATAAGTGGCTTGCAAATGCAGGTCATCTTTCCTCTCTATCTCACTGTCTTTTGGATATTTTACGTGCACACTGATGTTTGGATTGCATATGTGTTCATGTTAACTATACTTTCTGTACAATTTGAGCCCCAAATAGTTTTAATTAAATTCTTTTCTATAAACAGTTGAAAATACTTAGGCTTTCCTCCTTCACTGGTAGGATTATAGAACTAATTAGGAAAGGCCAGAAGTTCACGTCGTAGTAGGCTTTGCTCCTGCAGAATCATAAACTGCTCCCCAAACCTTGTACACCATTGTCCATGTTCTGCAAGGAAGTTAGACAAGAAGGCAAGGCCAAACCAAAGCCAATTGTTGCTATGTTAAAAAACAGCTGGAAGTTTCCATCATGCTGAAAGTATGTTTAGTAGTATCTCAACTGCCCAGAGGAACAAAAACATTTATCACTTACAGAAATTCTTACCTCTAAGAATACATTAAGTGGTGTTTCTCTTTACAAATGATTGGTCTCAGCATATTCTTAGATATTTCTCATTTCGCCAAATTATTTCCTCCAATATGTTACACAGTTTTTTAAAAAACTTGCTCATTGCATTCAATTATTTAGTCTACACTCTGGGAAGTGAAAAGCAATCATGTTGGTGTTTGATTTAAATAAAATGTTTTTGGAATAAAATTAGAAGAACAAGTTGATTTTCATCACCTTATATTTGTTGAATAAAGTGGCAATGCTCTTTATTTTACTTATGTAGGTGCAGTCTAAATCTGCTTTTATTTAAAAAGTCATTTGCCCCCCATCAATTGAGAATAATTTGGGCTGTATATGAAATAATTATGACTGACATTTTCAGAATTTCTAACAACAGGATCTTCAGAAATAATATGGCAAAATGCAATTAAGAACTAAGCTAGTTTTTGTTTGTTTCATTTTTGTAGTCATTAAAGGTCCCTAAGACTGCTGAAAAGATGATATCACTTAATAACTATGGACAAAAAAAAAAAAAAACTACTTGGAGTCAGACAAATCTAGCTTTTAATTCTTGCTTCTCCAGTTAACAAGGATGAAGTCTTAGGCAAGTTATTTCACCTCCCTAACCACACTTCAGCACTTGTTGAATGGGGATGGTGCTCTTATTTTATATCTGTTGTAAGGATTACATGAGATAATATAGGGAAAGTGCTAAGCAAAATAAATTAAGCAATCAATATACATTTCTTATAATGATAGTACAATTTTCTCTGGTTAGGTGACTTTTGGGGATGGGGTAAGAAAGATCTGTATTTGTTGCATTGATATACAGCTACTGGCTCCATGATCTTGATGATGATTATGCTGGCGGGATAAACCCCTCTGTCACAGCATTATGCTTTTCTTTTCAGTTTTCTTTTCTGTCTCTCAGGGTTATCATCCATTATCTATTGCTGATTTCATTGCGATAGTTACATGTTGTGCTCTCCTAATATTACTGCTTACTCATGATACATACAAGACCGTCAACATACAAAACTAATGACAATAAGAAACAGAATTAAATACAGCATGTAGGAGACAGAAAATAAAATTTCTGACTTCTGTTTTCAGATCAGTCATTGAATTGTTACTTGAAAGTAGACATTCTTCGAGGGAACTCGATAGGAAGCTATCTTTCAGAAATGCTATCCTCATGATCAGATCTGTTTTTAAGCTTACAAAAGCAGTTTTGTAACTTCCATAGTTTGTATATTTTTTCAAAATAACTGCATTGACTGGGGCTTCACTTGTATTCTGTGACATTTTCCTTCCCCCAGAGTAATATGGAAGCAGTTACCTTACACAATAGAAGCCTAAGTGTAGAGTAAAGCTGTTACATTCAGAGTACCAGAGAAGAAGGACACCAAACTAACAAAACATATTTTGTTTTTCATAAGAGATTTACTGCACATTTCTAAGAATAGGAATAGTAAAGCATGAAAAAAAAGTGTTTGTTCCAACTTGAGAGGCTTGAATGATAATATCATAATAGTATTTTAATTTATATTAGATCTCTTTATTATAAAAATGAGTACATAGTTATGATTATTTAAAATCATTGAGTATAAGTGACATATGCATGTCATGATAATTGTACATGGTAATTGTGAGTGGGAAGAGTATTGTTGCAATACAAAAAGATTAAGAAGATCCAAATATTTTATACAACAGGTTATAACCAAAGGATATTGAACAAATTGTATCATATTTTCTATATCTAAGATGACTGACCTAAAATATTTCAGTGAACCGAAAGTGCATTATCTCATTTTTAAATTAGTGAACCATTTTTAAAAAATACATAGAGATTCCTTGCTACCAACCTGATTTGATATCTTTCTCTTATTTCTATTTAAGTAATCTTTTAACCAACAAATGTCCCTAGGATTCAGCTTAAACGAGGCTGACATCATAATAATAGTATGATTATGTGATGGCCGTAATAGAAAATATTTTGTAATAACATAATATATGTATAATAAAATATAATAGTAAATAATTTTGAGCTGTTACTAAAACTCAGGGGCTGTGTTATGAACACTTAAGGTGTTATCTGATTTAACTTTATGGTGTAAATATGAACATAATCCCATGAAACATTGTATTTTGTAGAAAGCCTTCACCTTTCGTTTTTCTTTTTAATAGATATATTAGGATAAACCACCTACCATATGATTCACCCATTTAAACTGGTAGCTATTTTAGATAGGAAAGTCAGGGAAGATTTTCATGCAGAAGAGTCATGTGAGAAGAGTTCAGTATATAAGAAAGGTATATTTATGACATAATAGTGAGTGTATCCTTGAGAAGGCATTCTCACTAGAGTGAACAGAAAGCCCAAAGCTTTGGCTTGAGTGGGAAGAAGATATAAAGGACATTTTATTTTTTTAATTTTAATTATATGAGCTGATTTTGGAGGATTTTGAATATGGCTAGCTTATATTTCAAAAGAGTCACTGTATTGTTAGGTAGAGGATAGAATGAAGAGAAAAGACCAATTGGATGCTTTTTGCAGTGGCCAGGGACAGAGACAGTGATGACTTGTAGGTTTAGGAACACTGGAAGTGTGAAGGAAGGCCAGATTTGCACCATATATTAGTCCTAAGTTGCAACTTAATTTTGCATCCATTAATAATTTCTGACCTGGCACATGCAATTCATATCTGCCCTGTGGGGTTGGTCAGAGCCATGGACTCTGAGTCACAGATGTCTCTCTGACTTTGCTATCTTGCCCATTTCTTACACATGTTGTTTACTATGGAACGATAATTTTTAAACATTATCATGCATCAAAATCCAATGGGGCACTTGGTAAAATACAAGCTGCTGGGTCCCTCTCTCAGAGATACTGATTCAGGAGGTCTTAGGCAAAGCCCAATAATTTGCATTAAGAGATTTCTAGCTTATCATGATGCTACTGGTCTGCAGACTAGGCTTTGAGAATCACTCGTCTGGACCGTGGATTAGCAAACTTTTTCTATAAAGAGCCACATAGCAAATAATTTTAGCTTTGTGAATCACAGAATTTCTGTTGCAGCTATTCAACTCTACTATTACCTGAGATCAGCCATAGACAAAATGTAAATAGATGAGCATGGTTGTGTTCCAAAAAATGTTTTACATAGTAGGTGCCATGTGACCCTTGCTCTAGAACATTTATTCTAGTCCTAGCTATCTCTCCTACTGCTCAATATTCTTAGATATGTATATGTATGTGTATATCAGAAAATAATATACATATTAGTATACCAGCCTGTTCTTTAATATCTCAATGTTTCTCTAGTTTATTTTTTGATACCTTGCCAGTAATTTAAAAATTCACATTTCTAGTATTATATTATGGAAATGTAATAGTATCTTAAGTCCCCAATATTTCATTGGAAAAGTAGGAAGGCTTAGAGAAATTCTTTTAGGAATTATGTGTTAATTTTGGAGATCCAAAACACATTACAAAAGTTATTTGTTCTGTACTAAAAATTTTCTATTATAATCAGCCTTCTTATTTTAATAATAAGTCCATTACAATATGCCACAAGAAAAGACTGAGGAGGGGAGACCTAAATTAAATAAAAATAATATATTATCATTTTGCAGACTTACAAATGTAATGTAAATATAATGACATAAATAATATGAAATTTCCTGAAAGAGTGTGGCCTCTTGGTTTTTCAGAAATATTTTTAAGAATGAAAAGAAAATCACTACGTACCGTTTTCAATAGACTGACAATAGTTTGGCAGTTTTGCTATTTGTTTATAAATCTACAAAACATAATATGTCAATTACCGCCTTGTCTCAAAGTAACACATGCAACTAAAATAGTAATGTGGGGGCACTTCTCAGGAACATTAATTAAGCAAACACTGCCATACTGTACATAATTGATATTTGCTCGGTATTATATCCTGTTTCGTAAAATGAAAGTACCATTACTGTTTTTCCCCTTGCATTTTAGGGTGTAAATATTTAGGCTTGCTTGCTTACTTTGCAGATACCGTTTGCGTAGCTGCAAGTGTAAGTCGAGAAAAACTAAATAATTAAGGTGAGTTCACATTGTATGTGTCAGGGGTGTTTCACAAATTCAAGTCTGTGAACTCGGAATCCATCCTTTTAACTGTATCTTGCTGATTTCCTGGGTACTCAAGAATACAGTACTGTGAGAACATGGAGCAGCTCCCTCCGTGTGTAGTAATAATGTCTCACGTGGGTCAAACGAACCTAAGGATGGAGCATGAGTCATAATAACTCTGTGAATTATTCCAGTAAACACACCAATATATCTATCAACTAGGAAACTGCCAGCACCCCAGCCTCCCCACATTAATGCCTTAATGAGTCTGCAACTTAGTTGACAAAATAAGACCAAATAGACATAAGAGAAAATAGTAATAAAGTCTTGAGATCCCAGTCCTGTTACTGAAAAATTGAGTGTCATGGGAGTATCGAGTCAGATTCTCTATGGCCCTAAGATTTTATTTCCCCTAGACCATATCCACATTTCTTCAAGTTGAAAACCTTGTGAATCCAGGATTCTCTCTTTATGAAGTAGAAAACTGTACTTGCTAAATAAGTACAAGAAGGATTTTAATTGTGATGTTAGGGTGTCAATTTTGGATCTTTCCTGCTTTCTCTTGTGGGCATTTAGTGCTATAAATTTCGCTATACACACTACTTTGAATGTGTCCCAGAGATTCTGGTATGTTGTGTCTTTATTCTCGTTGGTTTCAAAGAACATCTTTACTTCTGCCTTCATTTCGTTATGTACCCAGTAGTCATTCAGGAGCAGGTTGTTCAGTTTCCATGTAGTTGAGCGGTTTTGAGTCAGTTTCTTAATCCTGAGTTCTAGTTTGATTGCACTGTGGTCTGAGAGACAGTTTGTTATAATTTCTGTTCTTTTACATTTGCTGAGGAGAGCTTTACTTCCAACTATGTGGTCAATTTTGGAATAGATGGGGTGTGGTGCTGAAAAAAATATATATTCTGTTGATTTGGGGTGGAGAGTTCTGTAGATGTCTATTAGATCCGCTTGTGCAGAGCTGAGTTCAATTCCTGGGTATCCTTGTTGACTTTCTGTCTCGTTGATGTGTCTAATGTTGACAGTGGGGTGTTAAAGTCTCCCATTATTATTGTGTGGGAGTCTAAGTCTCTTTGTAGGTCACTCAGGACTTGCTGTATGAATCTGGGTGTTCCTATATTGGGTGCATATATATTTAGGATAGTTAGCTCTTCTTGTTGAATTGATCCCTTTACCATTATGTAATGGCCTTCTTTGTCTCTTTTGATGTTTGTTGGTTTAAAGTCTGTTTTATCAGAGACTAGGATTGCAACCCCTGCCTTTTTTTGTTTTCTATTTGCTTGGTAGATCTTCCTCCATCCTTTTATTTTGAGCCATGTGTGTCTCTGCACGTGAGATGGGTTTCCTGAATACAGCACACTGATGGGTCTTGACTCTTTATCCAATTTACCAGTCTGTGTCTTTTAATTGGAACATTTAGTCCATTTACATTTAAAGTTAATATTGTTATGTGTGAATTTGATCCTGTCATTATGATGTTAGCTGGTTATTTTGCTCGTTAGTTGATGCAGTTTCTTCCCAGCCTCAATGGTCTTTACAATTTGGCATGATTTTGCAGTGGCTGGTACCGGTTGTTCCTTTCCATGTTTAGTGCTTCCTTCAGGAGCTCTTTTAGTGCAGGCCTGGTGGTGACAAAATCTCTCAGCATTTGCTTGTCTGCTAACAACACAACTAAAAGAACTACAAAAGCAAGAGCAAACACAATCAAAAGCTAGCAGAAGGCAAGAAATAACTAAAATCAGAGCAGAACTGAAGGAAATAGAGACACAAAAACACTTCAAAAAATTAATGAATCTAGGAGCTGGTTTTTTGAAAGGATCAACAAAATTGATAGACCGCTAGCAAGACTAATAAAGAAGAAAAGAGAGAAGAATCAAATAGACACAATAAAAAATGGTAAAGGGGATATCACCACCGATCCCACAGAAATACAAACTACCATCAGAGAATACTACAAACACCTCTATGCAAATAAACTAGAAAATCTTGAAGAAATGGATAAATTCCTGGACACATACACCCTCCCAAGACTAAACCAGGAAGAAGTTGAATCTCTGAACAGACCAATAACAGGCTCTGAAATTGTGGCAATATTCAATAGCTTACCAACCAAAAAGAGTCCAGGACCAGATGGATTCACAGCCGAATTCTACCAGAGGTACAAGGAGGAGCTGGTACCATTCCTTCTGAAACTATTCCAATCAACAGAAAAACAGGGAATCCTCCCTAACTCATTTTATGAGGCCAGCATCATCCTGATAACAAAGCCGGGCAGAGACACAACCAAAAGAGAGAATTTGAGACCAATATCCGTGATGAACATTGATGCAAAAATCCTCAGTAAAATACTGGCAAAATGAATCCAGCAGCACATCAAAAAGCTTATCCACCATGATCAAGTGGGCTTCATCCCTGGGATGCAAGGCTGGTTCAATATATGCAAATCAATAAATGTAATCCACCATATAAACAGAACCAAAGACAAAAACCACATGATTATCTCAATACATGCAGAAAAGGCCTTTGACAAAATTCAACAACCCTTCATACTAAAAACTCTCAATAAATTAGGTATTAATGGGACATATCTCAAAATAATAAGAGCTATCTATGACAAACCCACAGCCAATATCATACTGAATGGGCAAAAACTGGAAGCATTCCCTTTGAAAACTGGCACAAGACAGGGATGCCCTCTCTCACCACTCCTATTCAACATAGTGTTGGAAGTTCTGGCCAGGGCAATCAGGCAGGAGAAGGAAATAAAGGGTATTCAATTAGGAAAAGAGGAAGTCAAATTGTCCCTGTTTGCAGACGACATGATTGTATATCTAGAAAACCCCATTGTCTCAGCCCAAAATCTCCTTAAGCTGATAAGCAACTTCAGCAAAGTCTCAGGATACAAAATCAATGTACAAAAATCACAAGCATTCTTATACACCAACAACAGACAAACAGAGAGCCAAATCATGAGTGAACTCCCATTCACAATTGCTTCAAAGAGAATAAAATACCTAGGAATCCAACTTACAAGGGATGTGAAGGACCTCTTCAAGGAGAACTACAAACCACTGCTCAATGAAATAAAAGAGGATACAAAGAAATGGAAGAACATTCCATGCTCATGGGTAGGAAGAATCAATATCGTGAAAATGACCATACTGCCCAAGGTAATTTATAGATTCAGTGCCATCTCCATCAAGCTACCAATGACTTTCTTCACAGAATTGGGAAAAACTACTTTAAAGTTCATATGGCACCAAAAAAGAGCCCGCATTGCCAAGTCAATCCTAAGCCAAAAGAACAAAGCTGGAGGCATCACGCTACCTGACTTCAAACTATACTACAAGGCTACAGTAACCAAAACAGCATGGTACTGGTACCAAAACAGAGATATAGACCAATGGAACAGAACAGAGCCCTCAGTAATAATGCCACATATCTACAACTATCTGATCTTTGACAAACCTGAGAAAAACAAGCAATGGGGAAAGGATTCCCTATTTAATAAATGGTGCTGGGAAAACTGGCTAGCCATATGTAGAAAGCTGAAACTGGATCCCTTCCTTACACCTTATACAAAAATTAATTCAAGATGGATTAAAGACTTAAATGTTAGACCTAAAACTACAAAAACCCTAGAAGAAAACCTAGGCATTACCATTCAGGACATAGGCATGGGCAAGGACTTCATGTGTAAAACACCAAAAGCAATGGCAACAAAAGCCAAAATTGACAAATGGGATCTAATTAAACTCAAGAGCTTCTGCACAGCAAAAGAAACTACCATCAGAGTGAACAGGCAACCTACAAAATGGGAGAAAATTTTCGCAACCTACTCGTCTGGCAAAGGGCTAATATCCAGAACCTACAATGAACTCAAACAAATTTACAAGAAAAAAACGAACAACCCCATCAAAAAGTGGGTGAAGGACATGAACAGACGCTTCCCAAAGGAAGACATTTATGTAGCCAAAAACACATGAAAAAATGCTCATCATCACTGGCCATCAGAGAAATGCAAATCAAAACCACAATGAGATACCATCTCACACCAGTTAGAATGGCGATCATTAAAGAGTCAGGAAACAACAGGTGCTGGAGAGGATGTGGAGAAATAGGAACACTTTTACACTGTTGGTTGGACTGTAAACTAGTTCAACCATTGTGGAAGTCAGTGTGGCGATTCCTCAGGGATCTAGAACTAGAAATACCATTTGACCCAGCCATCCCATTACTGGGTATATACCCAAAGGACTATAAATCAAGCTGCTATAAAGACACATGCACACACGTGTTTATTGTGGCACTATTCACAATAGCAAAGACTTGGAACCAATCCAAATGTCCAACAATGATAGACTGGATTAAGAAAATGTGGCACATATGCACCATGGAATACTATTCAGCCATAAAAAATGATGAGTTCATGTCCTTTGTAGGGACATGGATGAAATTGGAAATCATCATTCTCAGTAAACTGTTGCAAGAACAAAAAACCAAACACTGCATATTCTCACTCATAGGTGGGAATTGAACAATGAGAACACATGGACACAGGAAGGGGAACATCATACTCTGGGGACTGTTGTGGGGTGGGGGGAGCGGGGAGGGATAGCATTGGGAGATATACCTAATGCTAAATGACGAGTTAATGGCTACAGCACACCAGCATGGCACATGTATACATATGTAACTAACCTGCACATTGTGCACATGTATCCTAAAACTGAAAGTATAATAATAATAATAATAAATAAAAAAGTACAAGCGGGATTATATATTCCAGGAAGGAGTTTAAAGGAAAGATCTTCTTAGACTCTAGGAATTCATTGATTATTTCATCCATTTAACACCTATTTATTGAGCAAGTACTGAGGCTGTTTTTTTTTTTATATTAAATTGGGGCATTTAAAAGAGGAAGTGAGGAACTATTAAAAACCTGAGACATTGTGTGTTTCTAGGCACTTTAGTGATAAAGTGCTTGTTTGGAAAGACCAAGCTAAAATTCAGATTCACTGGATTTTAATGTTACTCCAAAGACTGTTAAAACTACATCTATTTCAATATTACATTATGTATAGACTCATACATCATTAAAATGCAATATTTCTCTTTAAAAAATGAAATAAAAAAGAGATTTATTTCATGCTGACCTGGCTCTAACAGAACTCGAGTATTTTCTGAGAAGCAAAATATCTTTTCAAGTCATTACTACAAGTGGAAAATAAAAAGTGTGTAACTAGTTACTTTAATTGTTATATAAATTCTAAGTCAAAATCTATACAGTCGTATGTGTAATTATATACACACACGTGTGTGTGCACACATATACACACACACGCGTGTGTGCACACATATACACCCTTCTTCCTTTGACCTTTTAATCTAATCTTTTAGAATCTGGGAGGCAGAGGCGGGTGGGGTGGATCACTTGAGGTCAGGAGTTTGAGACTAACCTGGCCAACATGGTGAAACCCCATCTCTACTAAAAATACAAAAGTTAACCAAGTATGGTGGCACATGCCTGTAATCCCAGCTACTCGGGAGGCTGAGGCAGGAGAAGCGCTTGAACCTAGGAGGCAGAGGTTGCAGTGAGCTGAGATCACACCACTGCACTCCAGCCTGGGTGACAGAGCAAGACTCTGTCTCAATAGACAAATAAATAAATTAAATTAAATACAGGATCATTGTTACATTTTAGGTCTTTAGCAAATATTAAACTATATGACTACAATTTTAATAAAAATATTGAACAAGTCAACAAGTCTGGTGTCCCTTTTGAATAAGACAGACAACAATGGAACCACCTGGAAACTCTGGCAATACGAGGTGATGACACATAAATCATAGAAGTTAGAAAGAAGTAAATATCAAACACATTGCCTTCACTCCCGCTAAAGAAAAGAACATTTTTCACAATGTTCCTCTTGTTGCTTTAATGACTTGTTTATGTGCCTTCTAGGATTACACCCAAGTCCTCTCACTTTGCTAAATAATTTTATTTCCTTACTAGTTTGAACTCAGCAGTGACCTAATCCCACTGGTGAGTGATGGCAGCTAATGGGTTTATCTGAGGTGAATAAAGATAAATTAAGTAGCCTTCAATCGCACAGCTGACATGGGTGAAAGAATAAGGACAAACAAGGATATATACTTACAAGTTTTTATAAAATTTAATGTCAGCTTTTTTTTCCCCAAAAGATGAGAAGCTTTGAAGAAGACTAAACAGAATATACCTCATTCAATGTGTGCTATTCAATGAGCTCTGGAGTCGTATCATCTGCTCTTTCCAAGTCAATAAGACTAAGAAGCAAACAGCTCTAAAGATTCTGGCATCCCTAGTGTTTTTAGGAAGTGGATATCCCTGGTATATAATTTTCTTCCTATCCTAGCAGCCTTTGAAAGGCATACTGTATGAATATTCAGTCAGATAAAGTACATATTAAGTTAAAAAATACTTTGGAAAGTATTATGTAGAATGTGAAGCCAATTTTATGAAAGAGGTGTTAACTTTTGTAATTATATAGTCTAAATATATATTTATATGTAAATATACATATATCCTTATTATATATATCTTTTGTCTAAGTAGACATTTTTAGACAGAAGATAACAGTGATGCTGAGAGAGAAAAATCTAGAAAAATATCTTCAGGAATAATAAGCTATCATCTCTGGGACAATGACATTATGGGTGATTTCATTTTTAATTGCAGTCAGTGCAATTAACTACTGTTCATTTTTATACAATAAACGTATTTCACTTTCATAATTTAAAAAAATTGAATTCCTTCCCAGGAGTATCAACTTGTGACTGTATACTAGACTGGCCAAACTCGCAGAATTTAGACAATGAGGTGAAGTTTTGAAATCTAAGCACCAATATAGATCTTGAATTTGGCATTCAGGGCAAATTGATAAATAATAGATTCTTTAATTATTAACCAATCTTGCCCTGAGAAATATGCGCATTGGAACAGATGAATTCTACAACACTCATTCATTACAACCTACATATATATGCACACACACACACACACACACCCACACACACACAAACATATGTCAAGGGCCAGATCCAATGCCATTCCTTCATGAATAGATTCTTTATCTTCAACTCAAATTGGCCTCCTATCATTTCCATACCAGAAGCATCTCTTGTTAATAACCAGTGAATTGTTAATAACCATCTCTTGTTAATAGCCAATGAATTAGAAATATATTAGAAATAGCCAATGAATTAGAAATACATAACCTACTCATATATGTGTGTATATATATGCATATATATGTATATACATATATACATACATATACTCATATATATATATATGAGTAGGTTACACATATGAGTAGGTTACACACACACACACACGCGCGAACATGTCAAGGGCCAGCTCCAATCCCACTTCTTCATGAATAGATTCTTTACCTTCAACTCAAATTGACCTCCTATCATTTCTATACATGAAGCATCTCTTCCTTTATTATGTGACTATTAGTGTCCTTGTTCATAGGTGTATCTTATCCCTTCCAGGGGACTACAAACTCACTGAGAACAGAGCATATTTTTGAATAATTTTTGTGTTATAATATAGTGTTTTTCATAAAGTTTTGGTATCTATGGAAGACAGCAGCATTTAAAAAGCAGTAGAAATTAAGATTTAGTCTTAACTTGTTTTGGTCCAATTAACTTGTTTTTTCGGGGGGAGGAGTTATATTCCATGTGCCAGGCACTATTTTATGTATTTTCCATGTACTCAGCCTTTGAATCCTCAGAAAAATCCTATAAGGCAGATGTTATTATTATTTCCATTTTTCAAGTGAGGCAACTGAGGCTCAGAGAGGTGTAATGTTGTGATCAGTCTCACCCCTAACAGGGAGTAAAGCCAGGACTCAGGCCCAGAAATCTATTTCCAGAGTCCACACTAGAACCTCTCCACTGTGTTGCCTGACACAGAGTAAGTTCATGATAAACATTGGCTATTGCTAGTCTTGTTTTCATCAGAGGATTAATTTCACCCGTCAAATTTCTTTAATTGAATTTGAATTCCTTTAGGCAAGTTATTCACTGCCCAGTTTGTTGCTTCCCTCTTGCTCTCAATTGCCTTACACTTGTTTACACGACTTCCTGGACCCTGAAAACATCCCTCCATTTGTTTTTGTTAGTGTTGTTTTACAATTAGATTTAGATTATGCATGTTTGGATAGAATACCACGGAAGGAAGAAAGTGATCTGGTGTTTTCATTGCATCCTATCACCTGGAAGAAGATATTGATTTGTCCCATTTCCAAGTATGTTAACTTTGATCACCTAATTAAGAAGGTATCTTCCAGTCTTCTCTAATATAACATTACTATTTTACCTTTTGTAATTAATAAGTGTATTCTTTGAAGAGGAATTTGAGGATGTGCAAATATCCTTTGACACCTAAAATTTTAATTAATTTCTTTCTTTATATTAGCATGGAGTTAAAGATTAAGTTAAGTATAATTCAAGACTTACAACCCATTTCTACAAGTATTTATCATTCTGAAACTTTTTATTTGGAAAGAACTTTAGATTTACAGAAAGGTGCTATGTAGTACAGAGTTCCCATGTATCCATTCACCAAGCCTCTCCCAGTATTAATATCCTACATTACTATGACACATTTTTCAAGACTAAGAAATTAACATTGATACAATATTATTAACTAAACTACACATTGTATTCTGATTTCACCAGTGGTTGTTCTTTTTTTAAAAAAACTAACGTCTCTTTTCTGTTCCAGAATCCGAACTAGAATAATACTTTTGCATTTATTCAATTCAGTGCTCCTGTCTCCTTAGCCTTTTCTGATTTGTGGCAATTTTTCAGTCTTTCCTTTTGTTTGGTGATCTTGACCCTTCTGAAGAGTCTAGTCAGGTATTTTGTAGAAAATGCCTCAATTTTGGATTGCCTAATGTTTTCTTATGATTTATCTGAGAATCTGGCTTTTGCTGAAGAATATCACAGCGGAGAAATGTTCTCAGTGAGTAAAATCAGCAGGTACATGATATCAACATGGCTTATGAGTGGTGTTAGCCTTGGTCACAAGGATTAGCTGGTTTCTACCAGGTCGCTCTACATCAAGTTACTTTTAAAAAATTCTCCATTCTCCACTGATTCAAATTGAGAAAGTTCATTCAACACTCACGGGGAAGAAACTTGCTCTACCTTCTGAAGGGCAGAGTGTCAAAGAATATGCAGACAACTGCAACTTGGTTTTAAATATGCAGAAAAGATCTTTCTCTAAATGAGTCCTTTTACTTCTGAGACCCACTACTTGATCAATGGCAAGATTTACTCAGTCATTTCCTTTAGGAATCACATATTTGTGATGTATTGCTCTCTCATTTTCCCCTCTAACATCTAATCAGTAAACCAGTCAGGTTATTTTCACTTCTAAAGTAGTTCTTGTCTCCATCATCTTTTATTAACTCTCACTCCCCTAAAATTATCATACTCCACCGAACATTCTTTGTAGCACTAAGTAAGCAGGTACCTTAAGTATGAAAATGCATATGTGTAATTTTAATGCTTCACATAAATTAAAATTTTATAACTGTTTAATTTCTCAGAGCTGTTTTTAACTTTAAAGTTTGGGGGCACATGTGCAGGTTTCTCACATAGGTAATCTTGTGTCATGAGGGTTTGTTGTACATATTATTTCATCTCCCAAATATTAAGCCTGGTACCCATTAGTTAGTTTTCCTAATTCTTTCCCTCTTCTCAACCTCCACCCTCTGAAAGACCCCAATGTGTGTTTTCCCCTTCTATGTGTTCATGTGGTCTCATCATTTAGCTCTCATTTATAAGTGAGAACGTACAGTATTTGTTTTTCTGTTTCTGTGTTGGTTTGCTGAGGATAATGGCCTCCAGCTCCATCCAGGTCTCAGAGCCTTTAAAAAATAAATGTAGGCAGGCACAGTGGCTCACACCTATAATCCTAGCACTTGGGGAGACTGAGGCAGGTGGACTGCTTGAGCCCAGGAGTTCGAGACCAGCCTGGGCAAGATAGTAAAACCCTGTCTCTACAAAAAATACAAAAATTAGCCAGGCATTGTGGCACGTGCCTGTATTCCCAGCTACTCAGGAGGTGAGGTGGCAGGATCACTTGAGCTCAGGAGGTGGAGGTTGCAGTGAGGCGTGATGACGCCACTGCACTTCAGCCTGAGTAACAGAGTGAGACCTGTCTCAAAAAATAAAATAAAGAGTAAATGTGTGTTGAAATGCTCCAAAAAGTGGGCATATTTCTAGTGATTTCACACTTAATGTTCCATCTTCCCTTTTTGTTTACATGAAATAACCTTTGAAAAAGTGATCCAAAGAACTCACTTTGTAAATGCTGTACCTTGATCAGATTGATTAAGTATAACCTTTTTGTTTGTTTGTTTTGTGTTTTGTCTGGTTTGTTTGTTTGTTTTGCCTTCTATGTGGTTTTGCTTGTCTAAGTTGCTGCTCTGGGAAATATGTCACTGTCTACCATTCTCTATTTTGGCTTTTGGAAAAACTAATTACTTATCCTACTCAACTCCTATATCGTTTATTTGATATTACTGTTAGAGCATTTATGCTCTCCATTATTTAGTAACATATGCCATGTATTATATAGTTATATAGTATCTTTGCAATTATCAATTTCTTAATAATAGAATTTCTTTGACCTGTTTTGTTATCTTTAGGCTGTGCTTAGGAGCACTCCTTCCTGGTTTGTTGGTGACTGAATGACTCATATCTTGCTCTAGATAAGACAGTGAGCTCATTTAGAGCAAGGCCTGGACTGAGATCTAGGTGCTCTGATTCTCAGGCTTGTGCTCCCTGGGATAAATAAAAGCCATTCCAATTTTAGAAAAAGTATTTCAGTGAGATTTGCTGAGGACCAATTGACCATAGTAATAATTTTAATATGGCCTATTTCAGACATAAATTAACACTTCCTAGTGTATGGAAAAATTGTTTTCCAAATTCTGCTAAAAACCAAAAGTATATTTATTTCCCAAACTAGTATTCACCTAAAGCCTATTGGAAACCTCCTGGGAAGGAAAATGAATGTGTGTTTTTCTTCCAAAATACATGAGTAATAATATGGTAATTTCATTTCTGTTTCAATGCTCAAGTCATCTTCTTGTTTGTTTGACCCATTTCAACCATTGCCATTGTTTATGTCTTCATTGCTGTGTAAAATATACACTTTTAACTATTAAATGAGGAACTCCAGCCAAAGTATATCTGAAAGAAAATAAAAATCTATGCCGATTATAACTGCTAAGGAAGCTACAGTTTACCCATGGTTGCAGAAAGTAAATATGTGAGTAGATGTGCAATTTATATTCTTAGTAATATTTAAAAGATATTTAAATGTTGTTAAATGCTGATAACGGTGGCATTATGTTATTTTCAAGAACAGAGATATTTGTAAATACCGAACTCAAAAATTTACCATATATCAGAGTAATAGACAATGGCACCAGGAAAGAAGGCACCAGAACAACATGTGTAAGAGCATGACCAGCCAGCGGGCCTGAGACCTTGACCTTAGCTCCCTCCAGGGGCTGCTATGCACTGGCTGTGCCCTTATTCTGGTGTGAGGAGGGCAATTTTCCCCTTTAAGACTTTTCAGGTAAAGCCTTGGTAACTGCCTGTAATCAGACCTGAGAAAACACACATAGGTTTGTCACCAAGAGCCAAATTGCTCTGAGAATGCTTTTCTAGCACTTATTATGGGCAAGGAATTCTAAGTATTTTACAAAGATAAGTCATTTAATCCTTATAAAATACAACTAGATTCATGGGGAGGTACAAAATACACATAAGATACATGCTGATATGCACACAATACACATATGATATATGCTGATTGTGTATCTGCATGTGTGTTATGTGTATTGCATGGGTGTAGTATTTGAGTTGTCAATACATCATACCTGTATCTCTGCATTGTTCCACACTGCACCAAACTAACCATCTGACTATGTAATTATAGCCCCCAGTGTCACGCTGAGTATTGAAATATTGAAATGTGTATTATTTTCTAGTTCACTCCATTCAGGTTTTTCATTGGAAGTCATTTTTAAGGTATAATTTAGTACACTAGATTCATATTACCATTTCCATTTTACAGATGAGAAAATTGAGGCACACAGAGATTTAAATAATTTGCCCAATATCTCAGAGTGGGGAAGTAGCAGAGCCAAAATTTTATCTCGAGAAATCTGGCCTGAAACTGCTCTAAATCACAACAGGATACTCATTTAATTTTTCTGAGCCTAAAATCAAATTACATTTTTCATATCAACATTAGATTTTCATATCAACATTTTCCATAGCAACATTGTTGTATGGCTGTAATATACAGTGAGCTTTCTAGAAATGTAACTACCATATAAAAGGGGATTAAATGTGAGAATGTTGTACTTTCGTTTTCAAGTTTGCCGAGAATGGTTCATATTTCAGAAATTCACATTTCTAACAGCGACATTACCTGCAGTATTTGAGCTGTCAATACATCATACCTGTATCACTGCATTTGTTCCACACTACATAAACAAAAGCATCTGACTATGTAATTATAGCCCCCAGTGTCATGCTGAGTATTGAAATATTGAAATGTGTATTATTTTCTAGTTCACTCCATTCAGGTTTTTCATGGGAAGTCAACTTTATTAGGGTATAATTTAATACACTAAAATTCAAACTTTTTCTATGAATTCTGACAAACACACACAGCTGTGTAGGCAGCAATTGAGATTTGGGACCATTCCATCAACCCTCCAAATTTTTCCTCTACCTCTTTGGAGATCTGATCTTCCTCACAATACACATACGATGCATGCTAATACACAAAAAGTGTGTGCCAGTAGTTTATTCATTTTTAATACTGAAGAATATTTCCTTAAATGGATGTCCCTCAGCTGTTTATCCCTTCATCCACTGAAGAACATTTGAGTTGGTGTTAGTTTGGGATAACTATAAATAAAGCCTCTATCAACATTCTTATTCAATTGTGTGTGTGTGTGTGTGTGTGTGTGTGTGTCTATGTTTATATGAACATCAATTTTTATTTATGTTGAATAATGATGACCTAGGAGTAAAATTGCTGGATTGTATGATAAGCGTGTATTTAACTTTACAAGAAACTGGTAAATTCTTTGGCAAAGAAGCCATATCATTTGACATTCCAACTAGCAGTTTATGAGAGTACCATTTAATTTGCATCCCCACCAGCTCTTGATTTAATCAGGATTTTTCTAATTGCTTCTAATTGACATGTAGTATATCACATTGTGGTTTTAATTTGAATTTGCCTAATGACTAATAATGTGGAGCACTTTTTCATGTGTTGATTTGTGCTATATATCTTCATTTGTGAACTGTCTGTTCAAAACTGTGTCCAATCTTTTACTGGGTGGTTTCATAATATTGCTTGTTGAGATTTCTTAATATATTCTGGATACAAATGGCTTATTAAATATTTGTTTTACAAAACTTTGTTCCAATTTATGGCTTTTCTTTTCATTTTCTTAGCAAAGCCAATTGAATAAAGGTTTTAAGTTTTGATAAAGTCAAATTTATAAATTTTTTTATTTATAGTCCATGCTTTTGGTATTGTGTCTAAGTCTCCTCCAAGATCAAAAAGATTTTTATTCAGTGGTTGCCTCTAGTAATTTGATATTTCAGGGCTTAATATTAGGTCTTTGAGGTATGAGATATGGGTTGAGGGTCATTTATTTTCATTTGGACATTCAATTGTTCTAGAATCAGTTTTAGAAAACTTTGTTATTTCACCTTAGAATTGCCTTGCACCTTTGTCCAGAATAAATTGGCCATATATCTGTGTGTCTGTTTAGTAGTCGTTATTGTGCCTCTATTAATCTAGGTATGTATCTTTTTGCCAAGACTACACTCTCTGGATTACTATGCCTTTATAGTAAGTCTTGGAATCAGCTAGTATGAGTCCTCCAACTTTGTTCTTCTTTGTCGAAATTGTTTTGACTCTTCTGTTTCCTTTACTTTACCGTAGAATACTCAGACTCAGCCAGCTGATCTTTAAAAGTTCAGCTTGCTTTTTTTGATTGAGATTGTGTTGAATGTATAGGCTAGTTTGTAGAAAATGGATATCTCAACAATATTGGGTCTTTCAATTCATTCACATGATATATCTCTCCTTGGATTTAGGTTTTCTCAGTTTGTTTTGTTTAACCGTGTTAAACTTTTCAGTATTCAGATCTTGAACTCATATTATTCAATTCATGTCTAAGGGTTTCATTGTAAATAGCACTGCTTCATTTAAATTTCCATTTTTTTTTGTTGACAGAATATGGAAATATATTTGATTTTTAATAATATTTGATATATCCTGCAAAAGGACTACATTACAGCACCAGTCAAAGGTTTAGGAGACTGCAGACACAAAATGCATTTGATTAAAACTTTATGAGACTCTAAGCTGAAAGCTCTAAGTCAAGCAACTCTTGAACTGATTCACAGAATCTGCGTGATAATAAATGTATTGTTTAAAGCCGCTAAGTTTTGGGATAATTTGTTTTGCAGCTGTAGGTAACTAATGCAGTTATCTTCAGCCCGCTCCTGGATTCCAATTTCCCCATTGTAATTTTGTACTTAGAGGTGGTGAGGGGTGAGGAGGGAGTAATCCACCACCTGTGGCTTTAGGTCTTCCCTGAATATCTGCTCCTTTTGCTCTTGACCCTTTCCGGCAATAGGTTATGTGTGACGACAAGCTCATTAGCCTGGTGCTAGAAGAAGAAAGTCTGGAATTCTAGTCCAGCTTCCGTCTTAGGCATGCCCTGAGCTCCTGGGTTTCTAGGGTGAGGCTTTATTCTTCCCTATAGTTGTCAAGCTGCGTCATATCTTTGATGAGACTTGTGTAGCCGACTGATTTCTGCCTTTCTCCCCGGGACAGGAGATCACTTAAATTTCTGAATCTAGGATGATTCTCTGCCGCCCTCTATCCCATCCAGGGATGGAGAATTTCTCCTTTTACCCCTCTCTTAGCCACAATGCAACTTTCCCAAGCACTTTAAAGTTTTTGTTTCCTAGAAGACTTCAGGAGGAGGGCCGGCTGGGACACATGTCTTTCCTGCAGCAGCAGCTCCTCTCCTTCTCTAAGCATTTACCACTGAAGGAGGCTTTCTCCAGTCTCCGGCCCCATTCCCTACATTTTTTTGTGGGTACTCACTGGGGATTTATGGAAAAGAGCCTATGAGTGGCTTTTAGGTAGGCAGTTCTATACTTTCATGATAGCCCACCCTTGGACATTAGCAACAATTACCTATCTCATCTAAATTCTTTTTCCAGATCGTACAGGGGGTCCTCTTTCTGTGCTCTGCCACAGTGAGTCAGAACTTCTGGCCTTGCTCTCCTTGGAGACACCTACCTTGCTTTACATTTCAGGATAAGCAATAGCTCCATTAGCTCATCTCTTTTACACAATTAAGAAATGTTATATTATCTGGTCTTTCCTTGCTGTTAAGGGGGAAACAGTGGCCTTTCAAGGATATACATCCTAGGCAGAAGTAGAATCTTCCAACTAATTTGTATACTTACTTTTTTTATATGTCTTTTACTTAATCACTAAGGTATGACAAAATGTGCTTAGTTTTTATGTGAATAGGTAACAGTATTATTTGTGAAATTCATTTTCTATAACTAAATTAAATGTTCTTTCTTCCCAAATACTTTAAAAATATTTTCTATTTGCTAATTATAAAAAACTATCATTGCAAGAGTTCTGTACTGGCATAGTGGAGTAAACTACTAAAAGAGCATTTTTTTTTTTTTCTGCATAGATACACTTACAAAAAAAGTGAGTGAACAAAAGTAGGCTACCTTTGGAAGGTTGTTAAAATTTGGAAAGAACGAATTTCTCATTTGTTCAGCTTTATCCTGAAGGCAGGTCACAGTTGGTTGCATTGCACTATAGTTAAAACTTCAATATAAAAGCAGCAAACAATTAAACAATGTATTTAAAAGAAAATTTCAATTACAAAGACTTAAGAAAACACAAGATTCTTAGTAATAATTTTACCAAGTGATGTATAATCCTGAAAGGCTCTCCTACTCTGAAAACTTCAAAATGTTGCTTAGAAAATGTAACACCACTAGAAATGTGTACATGCGTGTATGTCCAAAAACTCAATATTAAGATATCAATTTTATTTAAATTCATCTGTAAGTCACAACCTTAATCATATCCTAATAGTGTGTTGTGATTAAATTTATAAATTGATACCAAAATATGAGTAAATGAAAAGAATATAGATTAGGCTAAAGTAGTTTTTAAAATGGAAAATTTATATATCTTATTTCAAAGATTAATTATAAAACTTCAATAATCAAAATAATGTGTCATAAGCATAAAGATAAAGAATCCAGAAATAGATTCAAGCCTATATGGTCAATCAAGCTTTGACAAAGGTACCAAGACAATCCAATGGAGAATGGAAAGCCTTTTTAACAAATAGTTCTGAAGTAACTAATCTGTATTTTAGAAAAAGAAGAAACAGAAGGGGAAGGAGGAGGAGAAGGAGGAGAAGAGAGGAGAAGGAGGAGGAAGTCCATTGCCTCTCATAATACACAAAAACTGGACATAAAATAGATAAAAAATCTAAATGTAAAAGCAAACTTAATTGAACTTCGAGAGAAAAACATTATATTAGACAAGTTTCCTAGATATGATACATCAAATTATCAACATAGTTTTATAAAAAACTATGTATCAACATACTTTTATAAAAAGTAGTTACTGTTATTTTCAAAATTAAAATATTTTGCTGTTGTAAAGAAACAAAAGAAAACATACACTGTTAAAAGACAGACTTGGGGAAAATACAATACATTATCTAACAAAAGGGTGTATCCAAAATATATAAAGAATGCTGACAAATGAAAAGACAGTCAATTCAATTTTGAAAAAAAATGTGTAAAATACTGATTTGGCATTTCACAAAGAAGATATATGAATTATGAATAAGCAAATAAAAATATTCTCAACATTATTAGTTATTAGGGTATGCAAATTAAAACCACAATGAGATAGTCCTCTGTGAGTATTGAGTGGCTAATAATTTAAAAATTGATAATACCAAGGACTAGCCTGAATGCGTAGGAATAGAAACTCTCATATGCTGCTGGAGGGAGTATAAAATGATGCTATTAATATTGAAAACTCTTTGGAAGTTTCTCCAAAAGTTAAACATATATTAATTTAAGAACAATCCCTTCAACGCCCAGGTATTTTTCTTTTCACTAAAGAAAAACAAAAATATATGATCACACAAAGATTTTCATGAATGTGCATAGCAGCATTATTCACAATAACCAAACATGAGAAACAATCCAAATTTCTACAAGTTGACTGGATAAACAGCATAGGGTAAATTTATACAATGTAATCTTATTGTATGGCAAAAATGGTCAAACTGGTAATACATGCAACAACATGGATGTGTGTCAATATCACTATGTTGAGTGAAAGCAGCTATACCAAATAGAATACAGTCTCATTCCATTTTTATAAAATTTTATAAAATTCACACTAATTTATAATATTGGACAGCTTATCAGTGGGTTTTCTCTGATAATGAAGAGGGTGATGGATTGCAAACGAGTATGGAAAATCTTTTAGATGTGAGGAAAATCTCTATGTTAATGGCAGTAGTTGTTTTACAAGCATACACAACTTTCAAAAGTTATATAATTGTACAAGTTAAATGGACACAATTTATGTTATTTAAGTTATACATCAATGAAGTTAAATTTTTAACATGTTGAATCCAAGAGGATCGAGACCTCTAGGTGTAGGTAGAAAACAAACATTCAAATGAAAATCATTAACTTCACTATAGAAATATCTGTACTCTAATAATGAATATTTATTCTAGCGGCCTAATTATGTAATATTCAAAGTACCTGAGCCTTCTTTTCTCCCTCTGTAAAAGGGATATAATGTCTAGCTATCTGAGCCACCATGAGATGAAAATAAAATATGTAAAATACAATACATAGCAGGTATTTGCTTCTGCTATTTTATTTTGGAAACGCTATTGGTTTTGCTTGTCTTGAATGTTTCTTGTGTATGACTCCAATTCCTTGGATTAGTTTTCCTGCTATATAGCTACCCTTTCAAACCTATGCATTTTTTTCCACTCAGTTTGAAATGTTTCTCTTTTTTATATTTACACTCTCAGATTTTTATTGACTCAATGGTATTTACTTATAGAATAATAATTGCATTAGTTTCATGGGGGAATGTCTAATGTTTAAATGCTGAATTGCCTATATATATTATACTCACACATATATACATACATATACTTATGAATAAATAAGAATTTATTGAATAATAAAATGCAAATGCCAAAGACTACATCATAATATAGTTTCTGTCTGAGTATGTGTAGTCAAAGAGGGAGCTCATCAATTATTTAAAAAGGAACATTTTTATAAGAAACCTGGGGTACAGAAACTGTGACTTTGCTTCCTATGAATTCCTAAATGCGTGCTTTCTTTGCCTTCTGACACATCCAAATGAGTTCTCAAAACAATTCGAAAAGCCAGTTGAGGGGAATATAAAGCCTTCAACATGTTAATCTGGAATATACATGGAATTTAAATCCTCAAAGCTGATCCATATCCAAAGGAAGAAATCTATGATTCTGCATCATTTAACTTTACTTCTACATTTAATAACGTAGAGCTACTACCTAAGGAATTACTAGCAGATTCAGCACCCACGAAAGGAAGAGTTTTCTACTTTGATTTGCTGACTGGCTGGGGCTCTGGCATTTGTAGCTAGGAGGTGTTGCCTTTAGCAAAATTGTGGTTCTCACAGTAGAACCTAAGGCATACCTGTCCACTGAGTGAGACACTTCTTTACTTTTTAAATTACATTCCTGTTCTCCCTTTTCTTCTAGAAATGTCTCAGTCAGCAAAGTCTTGTTTTGTTTTTCTTCAGTTCTGGGTATGCCACAGTTTCATGTAACATGAGCCTTAATTAAGGATTTATTAATAATAAATAATGACATACTTTCAGGTATTGACTACTTCTTATATTCTTTACATATATCATATTTAGTTCTCATGGACACTTTGGGAGATAGATACTGACTACTCCCTTCATTTTATTTATGAAAAAAGTGGGTCTTAGGCTTTTTTTTTCTCAAGAGCTAGCTTGAAATCTGGAATGTGATTTTAGGAATATTGATTTCAATGTCCATATTTTTTCCACTATAGGATCCTGAGGTAAACAGAGTCACTGAGTACCAGATGATTGAGAAGCTGACCACAGTGTGTTTCTAGAATAAACAGAAAGAGTTCCCCCGCAAAGAATCAAACAGAAGTCAAATACATTGACCTTTGTAAATCAATGTTTCTCATTCTGGGCTTATATATGGTTTGTGTCCCATCTGCCCGAAGCAGAATCAAGCAGAGTAAGAGATTAATAGTTGCCCTATTATTTCCAGGTTGCATGCCTGCTGTCTACTAATATCCTTTTGACATTTTGATGGATACGGGTCAGAAAACTATTGCAAGTCCGTAATTTTATTTAGCCATAGGTGGTTTGAGCCTTTTCTAATTCATTGCAAGTACATCTGAGTTGATGAAACACTTTATCTTTGTGCTCAGTAATTCTAAACGTACTTGCGCAGAAGTATGTATTTGTGATTCAGGAAAGATAAAATTACTTTTTCTTTTGAAGTAATAACAAAGCTGGGGTATATGGTGTCAGAATCCTGAAGGCTTGTATTCATTCATCAGCCCACAGCTTTAGCTAGACCAAGAAACACTTACTTAAAGTCCCATGATTTGGTATATACAGATATATGTGACCCACTGTTACTCACTGGGGCTCCTTCAGTTCTGGGTGGAAATGTTATCAAGCTATTCTTACACAAGGCTACTGTACATCATTGGGGAAGTCAGTCTTCTCTGTAAAATTTGGTTCTTCCAATGAAACTTATTTTTTCCTTCTCTGACATAGGAGGGGTTGAACTAGAAATGATGCTAACTCATTTTCAATTCTAATGTAATTGTATTCTGTATTCACTATTTTCAAATAAAAAAAGGAGGAATGCTTTCATTTGTATTTCATCTTCTATGGTGATACATTTGTGATGTCTTTTTCAGAAAAATCTTTTTTTTTTTTTTTTTAAGTTTCGGCTCTTCACAGATTAGTGTCTCTAGCAAAGTTACTAATGTGACTGCATATTAAACCATGAGACCTGAAAATTGAAACAGACATATACTTGCACACACACACACACAAACACACACACATTAAAATGATAAACTACATGTCCACTGAGCCAAAATCTATTATCCACCAATGAGTTTCTTTCATTTTTTCATAAATTGAAAGGGTTTTAAGCAACTGGAAAGGGTTTGGGGGAATGGGTAATACTTCTTATCTTAGGTTAAAATCTGATAATTATTTGATTTATTTAGTTAATCATCAACCTTTATTCAAACCAAAAAAAATCAAATTGATTTTATGGTTAAAATGTTGCCTTTGTAGTCAGACAGGGTGTGTTCAAATTTGGTTTCTACTCATTGCTGATAATAATGTCTTCACAGCTCTGTTATAAGAAGTGAGATAAACAATCTGATGGCAATTTTTTTTTTTGTATTGCTACCACTAGGTCTTTGAGTAAGAGGATTGGCTTGGATAGGTCATCAAACTCCACATCCTGTTGTTTAAGGGATAGATTCAGTAAGAAGTTCCACAGACTAATGGGGTAGTAATGCCATCATTAAGCCAAATTTTATTTTGATAATTATGAGGATCACCCCCACTGCCTTGTCTAAAAGTAGTAAAATAAACCTCAGTTGAGCCATATTACAAGACAGTGATGTTCATCTTGGAGACAAAGGTAGTAAATGCCGAATGTGTTAGATCATTTCTCCCGGCCAAAAACTACTGCCAATAATAGAGTGCCCAATAGAATTCTAATATATTCCTGAATAACACACATTCAACTTTTCTTCCTCATCCAACTAAGGGGAAAAAAAAGAAGCCATAGTCCATCATTACAGACACACACACACACACATACACACACATACACACATTTATATTTGATGTACACATTCATTTTTCATGTAGGATTATACAGTTCTATGCCCACAAACAGGCTCCAGCACACATTATTAATTTAGTGTCAGTGTAATTAAATGTGGCTACTTAATAAATAGATTCTTCTATTTTCTGTGAAGAGAGTATACTAATGTTTACTTTCATAGTCATTAGGGACATTCACAAACCTCCTCCTTCTTCTGGACATAGAGTAAGCTTGTAAGTCCCTGCCCCTTTGACGTTAGGCATGATTTATAACATGCTTTAGCAAATATGAGCAGATATATCATTCCAGCAGCGAACCTGAAGTAATCAAATGCCAGGTGTGCTCTGCTGTCCCTCTGCTGTGGTAATCACAGGAACACACATCAACATAAACGTTTGTTTCAGTGGCTCCTTCTGGTTTCTCCTTAACCACTACACTCACAGTTCTCCCATAAAATAAGTATATTTTGTGTTTTACATAAAATCTTTGCCTAGATTAATGTCCTGAAGTGGTATATATTACCTGAGGGAGAAAGAGGTGTTTCTTGTGTTAAGCCATTGAGATTTGAGGATAGCAAAATCCTGCCAGTCGTGGGGTATATAGTTACCAAATTAATGAATGAGATGTTTGACTTTTATCCTTTTCTTATTTATACAATTAGTTCATCATTGCATAGAAAAGAAAATTCATGTTTCTTGATATGTCCTATAATACTCTGCCTAAATTTCTCTGAACCTATAATTATTTCAAAACAAAAAGTTAAAAAAATCCACATTGGATATGTAATAATCAAATAACATGAAGTCCAGTTCACCCTTATTTTAATTCCACATACTATCATTAACTTCACATTTAAAATTGAATTGAAAACTGAACTGAATTTCTGCTCAATTTTGTTGTGCACTTGAAACTGTTCTAAAAAGTAGTCTATTCAAAAAAGAAAATATCGTATTGAAAAC
Organism: Homo sapiens; assembly: GCF_000001405.40. Classification (NCBI taxonomy): domain Eukaryota; kingdom Metazoa; phylum Chordata; class Mammalia; order Primates; family Hominidae; genus Homo; species Homo sapiens. The sequence goes on from NC_000014.9 coordinate 86,492,598, forward strand.
TGTCAGTTCCTTTAGTTAACTTCCCATTTGAGAAAATTCACAGGGATTTCTTTCTCTGCTTGCACAGCTATATTCCGTGTCCCCAGGCAAATTTTACTCATTGGATTTCAGTTCAAATGTCATTTCCTCATGAAAAAAAATTTCTGTCACTTGATTTTTTTAGTTTATAAAAACTATTCTCATGCATTTTACCTTTGTAACGTATGATAGTTATAATTAGCTAACAATAACTGTCTTTCACAATATCTTCTATGACTGTGGATTGTGCCGATTTTCTTGGGCACCAATGGATACCCATTATCTGACAATCTGACAAGTGGGTAGAACTTAGAAGATATGCAATAAATGTTTGTTACGTAAATGAATGAGTCAGACTTTTTCTTGTCAGAATTAAATGTGGAACTACTTTGAGTTTAAGAAGAAAACTCCAAAACAATAGTTACTGTAGTTACTGATACTAAGTAATGGGTAAAATGGAGCATCCTGTTTTCAAAAACAGAATCAAATGGCAAGACAAGGAAGAGATAGAAGAGGGTTTAGAATATTGATTTAAAAAATTGTTTCTTTTTGGAGACGGGCAAACATTACAGGCTTATTTTCAGAATATAATGTGGTCAAAACCGTAATTTAGGATATTCACTTTGACCCAAATATGCACATAAGAACATAGGAGTCTTAAGACAAATTGACTAAGTAGACTTTAAGTACCCACAAGGAGTTGATTACTATATATTTGATTTTGTATTCACAAAAACAAGCACATACCTGCACAGAGGAGGTAATCAATAGATATGTGTTGAATGAATAAACAAGGCGATGTTTATAGACAGGGCCTGAGGTCTGAGAATTGAATCAGCGTTCTAGCTGTGAAACTGTATTTGAAGGAAGGGAAGTATGGCACAGAATATAAAATGGTTCTTTATCAAAGCATGTTAGTTTCCATGCTTATTTTCAGGTAAAATTTGTGCTAAACCATCCTGATAAATAACTCAGCTTTATTACAAAGTTGAATATCCACAAATTGCCCATAGTGCTCAGTGGAGTTGCCATGGGTCAAATCTTGCAGTAGTTTCTAAAACTAGAAACAGGTGTTACCAACTCCAAATTAAGCTAGTATAATGATGTTTTTATGTCTTTTTTGGAGAAATCTCTACTCAATTACTTTGCCCGCTTTTAAAATTGGGTTATTTATCTTTTTTTTAAATATTGAGTTGTGTGAGAACCTTATATATTTTGGATTTTTTTTATTTTTAACTGATAAATAATGTACATATTTATGGGCTACACGTGATATTTTGATACATGAATACAATATGTGATGATTGAACCAGAATATTTAGAATTTCCATTACCTCAAACACTTATCATTTCTTTCTGTAGGGAACATTATAAATCCTCTCTTCTAGCTATTTTGAAATATGCAATAAAGTATTGTTAACTATAGTCACCGTATTGTGCTGTTGAACACTAGGACCTATTCTTTCTATCCAACTTTATGTTTGTACCTAAAACCAACCTTTCTTTATTCTCCCCAAAACCCACCCACACAACCTTTCCAGCCTTTGGACACTTAGGTTGACTCCTTATCTTGGCTATTGTGAATAGTGCTGCAATAAATATAGGGGTGAAGATACCTCTTTGGCATACTGATTTTTCTTTTCTTTGAATATATATCCAGCAGTGGAATTGTCAGATTGTATTATAGTCCTATTTTTTGTTGTTTTGAGAAATCGCTACACTATTTTCCAAAATTTGTACTAATTTACATTCCCACCAACAATGTGTAAGAGCTACCTTTTCTCCACATCTGCAGCAGCATTTGTTATTTTTTGTCTTTTTGATAAAAGCCATTCTACCTGGAGAGAGATGATCTCATTTTGATCTTGATATACATTTCCTTGATGTTTAAAATGTTTTTCAAATACCTGTTTTTTTGTATGTCATCTTTGAGAAATGTCTACTCAGATTCTTTGTTCAGTGTTTAATAAGATTATTTGGGTATCTTTTCTGTTGTGTTGTTGGAGTTCCTTGTATATATTAATATTAGTCTCTTGTCCAATAAGTAATTAGCAAATATTTCCTCACAATCTACAGGTTGTCTGTTGACTCTATTCATTGTTTCCTTTGCTGGGCAGAAACTTTCAAGTTTAATATAGTCACACATCTATATATTTTTTGGTTGTCTGTGCTTTTGAAGTCTTAGCCATGAAATCTTTGCCAAGATTAATGTCCTGAGGTGTTTCCACTATGTTTTCTTCTAGTTATTTTATAGTTTTTGGTCTTAGGTTTAAGTCTAATTTATTTTGATTGATTTTTTATATGATGAGAGATCAGAATCTAATGTAATTCCACTGTAAGTGGATATTCAGCTTTTCTAGAACCATTTATTGAAAAGGGTGTCCTTCCCCCCACAGATGTTCTTGGTGTCTTTGTCAAAAACCAGTCGGCTGTAAATATCTGCATTTATTTCCAGGTTTTCTATACTGCTCATAGATCTATATGTCTTTCTTTATACCAATACTATAACATTTGAGTTACTATAGCTTTACAGTATATTTTGAAGTCAGGCAGTGTGATGCCTCCTACAAGTTTATTGCCCTCCAAGGTCTTTTGTGGTTCTATAAAAATGAAGGGATTTTTTTTCTATTTTATTCTTTAACTGGCATAAAATAATTACATACATTTGTTATTGGTGTATAGAAATGCTATCAATTTTTGTATGTTGATTTTTATCCTGCAACTTTTCTTAATCCATTATCAGTTCTAAGGTATTTTTGATGGATTCTTTAGATTTTTCTACATAGAAAATCTTTCTACTTTTTTGCTATAGGCCTTTATTGTTACAAACTCACCTCTTAGCACTGCTTTTGCTATATCCCATAGGTTTTGGTATGTTGTGGTTCCATTTTCATTTCTTTAAATAACTTTTTATCTTGTTCTTAATTTCTTCGTTGAACCATGGTTGTTTAGAAGTATGTTGTTTAATTTCCATGTATTTGTGGACTTCCAATATCCCTCTTGTTAAGGTTTCCAGTTTTATTCCACTGTGTTTTAAAAATATTTCATATGATTCTGATTTTTAAAAAATTTGTTGAGACTTGTTTCTGTGGCCTAACTTGTGGGCTATCCTGGAGAAATGTTCCATGTGCTCAAGAGAAGAATGTGTATCCCGCAGCTGTTAGATAAAATATTTTGTAAATATCTTTTAGGTCTATTTGGTTTACATTGCAGAACGTTTGATGTTTCTTTGCTGATTTTCTATCTAGATGATGCTGAAAGTGGAGTGTTGAAATCCTCAACTTTACAGTTTAGGGGTCTATCTCAGTCTTTATCACTAATAATATTTCCTTTATATAAGTGGGTGCCTTATGTTGGCTTCATATATATTCACATTGTTATATCCTTTTGTTGAATTGACCCATTTATCATTAATATAATGACCTTCTTTTTATCTTTGTGATTTTTGTTTTGACTTAAAGTCTATTTTTTTTCTGACATAAGTATACTATTGGTATTCATTTGTGTGGAATATATTTTCAGTCTCTTCACTTTTAGTCTGAAAGTGAATTCACCAGGTGAATTTTATACTGGTGGCAGCAGACAGGATGAACTTATTCTCAGACTCCTGGGCAGTTTGCACCAGCTGTGGCAGTGATTGGGACTGGCCCACCCTTACGCCCCCAGAAGGCATGCAAGTGTATGCCAGCAGGGTTGGGCAGAAAGGGTCAATCTCCAGGCCTCCAAAAGATGTCTGTGTGTACTGGCAGTGGTGACAGCAGCAGGCAGGTTATTTTAATATTAACCACTTATCAGATATATTGTTCGTAAATAATTTCTCTCAATCTGTAGGCTGCCTTTTAATTTTATTAATTTCTTCTGTTCTGTGGAAATGTTTTAGTTTGATGAAGTCCCACTTCTTAATTTTTGCATATGTTGCTTGATCTTTTGGTGTGATATTCAAAAAATCCTTGCCAAAGTCAATGTCCAGAAGCTATTTGCCTATGTCTACTTCTAACAGCTTCATGAGATAAGGTCTTACATTTAGGTCTTTAATCCGTTTTGAGTTGATTTTTTAGTGTTTTATGTATGACAGTGGTCCAGTTTCATTTTTTTACATGTGGATATTTACTTTTTCCAAACAATTTATTGAAGAGACTATTGTTTCTCCATTGTTTATTTTTGGTGCCCTTGTCAAAAACTAGTTAACTGCATGCATTTGGAATTATTTCTGGGCTCTATATTCTGTTCCATTAGTCTATGTGTCTGTTTTTATTCTAGTACCATCCTGTTTTGATTATTATAGCTTTGTAATGTAATTTGAAATAAGGAAGTGTGATGCCTCCAACTTTGTTTTCTTTCTCAAGATTGCTTTGGCTACTGGGGATCTTTTGTGCTTCTATATATATTTTAGATTTTTTTTTCTATTTCTGTGAAGAGTGTCATTTGAATTTTGATAGAAATTGAATTGAATCTGCTTTGGGTAATATGGACATTTGAATGATACTAATTCTTCTAATCCATGAATACAAAATGCTTCCATTTATTTGTGTCTTCTTCAATTTCATCAATATTTTATAATTTCCAGTGTATAGAGCTTTCCTGGTTAATTTTATTCCTAAATAATTTATTCTTCTTAATGTTCTTGTAAATGAGATTGTTTTCTTGGTTTCTTTTCCAAATAGATCATTATTGTCGTAAAGTCAACTGATTTTTGTATATTGATTTAATATTCTACAGCTGTAATGAATTTATTTACTAGTTCTAAGAGAGTTTTATTGTATGTGTAAAGTCTTCAGGATTTTCTACATATAGCATCATATAATCTGCAAATAGAAATAATTTTACATTTTCCTGATTTAAGTGCTTTTATGTTATTGTCTGATTGCACTTGTTAGTACTTCGGAACTATGTCGACTAGAGGGGGCAAGAGTAGACATCCTTGTCTAGTACTGGGTCTTAGTGGAAAAACTTTCAGTTTTTTTCCCCACTGATTATACTGTTAGTTGTGATCTTTCATAAGTGGCCTTTATTATGTCAAGGGAATTTCCTTCTATATGTAAATTGTTGAGAGTCTTTAATCAAAAAAGCATGTTAATTTGTCCAGTGGTTTTTCTGTATGTATTAAAATGAACATGTGGTTTCTATCTTTCATTCTGTTAATGTGGTATATCACATTGATTAATTTGCATAACTTGAAAATAAAATCCACAATGAGATACCACCTCACACAAATTAGGATGACTTATCAAAAAGACAAGTGATAGTGAGTATTGGTGAGGACATGGAGAAAAGAAAGTCCTTGTAAACAGCCGATGGAAACATAAATAGGTGCAACCATTGTTAAAAACAGTATGGAGGTTTCTCAAAAAATTAATAATAAAACTATTATAAGATCAAGCAGTCTCTCTTTTCGGTATAACCCAAAGAAAATAAAATCTACACCTTAAAGGGATATATGTACTCCCAAGTCCCTTGCAGCATCATTTCTAATAGTCAAGACATAGAAACAATCTATGTGTCTACTGTGTGATGAATGGACAAATGAATTATGGTGATTACATATGTACACGCATATACATAGACATATAATGAAATATTATTCAGCCTTAAAAAGAGAAATTCTACTATTTGTGACAATATGGATGAAACCAGAGGACATTATGTTAAGTGAAATGAGCCAGATACAGAAAGAAAAAAAATACTGTACAATCTCTCTCAAATATGAAATCTAAAAAAAAAGTTAAATACATAGAAACAGGGTATAGAGTGGTGGTTACCAATAGCGAGAAGTCAGGGAATAAATAGGTTAAAGTGAACATAGTTCCAGTTATGTAGGATGAATAAATCTAGAGAAATAACATCTAGCATAAGGAGAATAGTTAATAATACATTGCATACAAGAAATAAAATATTGTATACAGGAAAGGGAATAGATTTTAGGTGCTCTTAGTACAAAACATTGGGAGGTAAATATGTAGAAAGATGGAAATGTTAATTGCTTTACTATAGTAATCATTTTATTATGTCTATCAAAATATCATGTTGTACAATTTAAATATAAATAACAAAAATAGCAACAACAAAGAAGAAATTGTGAAGGGCCATGGTATAGGTTTATAATGTGGGATAATATGAGCCCTATAGATTTTGAAACCAGATAATGGTTATTTCATTTCAAGGTAAAGCCACAGATTGAGTAAAAAAAAAGACTCCTGGGAGTATAATTCCATTTTAGTAGGACAGAGACAATAAAGAAACGATAAAATCCAGATCGAAAAGTAGAGGAAAACAGACACAAGGTTTTGAAGCATCTAAGACATGTGTTATTTTTTAACACTTCTCAAAATCAGTAGATGAGAGAACTCTACATCTGTGAAGTAAGTTAATCTACCCTGACCCCTCTATCTGTCTAAGAAGAAAGAAAATTAATCCCACTTATACGTGACAGCACAAAATGATTACGCTTATGCTCTGTGCAATAATTTTTGCATTTGAATCTTATGCAACATTAAAAGGCAAAAAAATTCAGAATAATAACACTTCTCCAGACAATAAAGTTATGCCCAATGTAAACACCCACAATAAAGATGATACTCTAATATTTCAAGTGAAAAAGAAAAAAATTAATTTATAGGATAAATCAAAATTAGAAAAGCTCAGAAATTATGTGATTAGAATAAAAAAGATTTACAAAGGTAGCTGATAACATTTAGGAATGGATTAGAAATTTTTTAATTATTTAAGAAATAAGACTAAAACTGGAAAAGAGAGCACAATAATAAAACATGATCACATATAAAAGCTTAAGGAAAGATATGAGAGAGAAAAATAAAATGGAATGTTTAAAAATTAAAACAAAAACAAAAACAAAAGAGGAATCCAGTTTAGATCTAGAAAGTAAAAAGAGACAGTCATTCTCACCATAACAACCAAAACAAACTGGATAATTTTAGAGCTGAGCACATGAAGATGCCCAGTGAACTAAATTTCAAAAAAGCGAGAAGTCCTTCACCAGAGAAAGTAAATTAATTTTGTTTTCATCCCTGCTGCAATTGCAAAAGGAGGAATCTTCCATAGACAGGGGATGAGGAAATGAGCCTCTCTTCTACTGAAATATCAATGACCACAAGACAGTCGAGAAAGAGCACCTAGGGATACATAGGGCATGCAGTAAGTTCAAGGTATCCACAATCTGCAAACACAGCAGATTGGAGTTGCCCTTAGGAGTTGATGCTTAAAGTAGGGCACGAGGACTGAGATCTCTTTTCCTTCCACTTTGAAAGTTCAGCAAATAAGATCTGGGAGACATCCAGATTGTCACAGAAGCTAGGGCTGCTACCCTGAGAAGGTCCAGGGGTGAGGCAACACTTCAAGATTGAAAGAGACACAGTAAACAGGATGGGCATGGAGAGCTACTGGAACTCTTCATGGAGAAAATAGCAAGATCTAGAGCAATCCTAGGTAGCACAGTGTCATTAATGAAGCACAGGCGCCTTTGCCAGCCAGCTTTTAGATTCTAGTCCCAGTTAAGAGGAAGGTCCTGATACACCCCTCAAATTATTTTAATGAAATCAACCAAATCTTCAGCACAAGTTGGTCAGACCTAGCTCCATTAGAAATGAAATCCGTTTGGCTTCTATTTTGTGGCATGGCACTAAAAAGTGTGTGCCCCATTCTGGAGGTAAATATTACTTACTTCAGTTTCTGTCTTCTTTTAGAGAAATGTCTGTCATGCAGTTAAAGATACTATGATTGTCAAAACCAGACAATATATTAGGTTGGTGCAAAAGTAATTGCAGTTTTCGCCATTGTACCTTTACTTAATGTGCATGTGGAACATTCATCTAAATAAATATCTGAATATTTTTTCGAGAAAATATAATTTAAGTGATTTCTCAAAAGAAAAACCCCAATAAATTCCAAAGTATAGAAATAATAAAAATAGCATTCTCTGATTATAATAAAAAATCTAGAAATTAATTTCAAAAAATCAGAAGACAATGCCTTTTCATATTGAAACAATGTAATAAAAAGCATAATATTAAATAATGCTGACTCAAAGGGAAAATATAAAGTGATTGTGGAGTTGAAAATAAGGCTGATAAAAATAGGCTACAAAAGATTTTGTGGCATATGTCTAAAACAGTTGTGAGTAAAAAATCACAGTATTAAATAACTATATCAATAAAAATGAGACAAAATTAAATAAATTAACGATTTCTAAAACCTAGAAAAAGAATGATAAAGTAAATAAAAATAAAGATGATGGAAATATTAATAAAGATAGAAATAAATGAGTTAGAAAACTGATATGCACTAAAAGAGAAGTAATGCATAAATGCTAAATCTAGTTTATTCATAAATTCTGTCACACTCTCCAAAGAAAAAATAAAATCTACATTAAATAAATAATTTTTTTGAAACACTTGCCAAAACTAAGCTTAATATATAGAAAATATAAGCAGAATAATTATCCTAGAGGAAATAGAGAAAGTAGTTAAAGAGCCCCTTTCCAAAAAGCAGCAATCCCAATTTACATCATCTAGGAATTTTACCAAGTTTTTAAAGATCAGGTAATTTTAATGCTTCATAAATTGTTTCAGAGCACTGAAAAAGAACAACCTCTAAATTTGATTTATACTATGAATATAACATTCATTTTATACATTGCACAAAATTGCTAAATTACAAATATATTTTAGTTATAAATATTAATGCAAAATTTGTAAATATAACACCAGCAAATAGAATCTAATAGCACATAAATAACAATACAAGATAAACAACCATAGTTAATTTCAGTAACGCAAGTATGGTTCAATGGTAGAAAGGCCATAAATATGGCCATAAATTAGGCCATATAAAGAGATCATAAAAGAAAAATTTTATGATTACTCCAAAGATATAGAGAAGGCATTTGCCAAAATTCACTACACATCATGATAAAACTACACTCAAAAAAATAGTACCTAATGGACACATTATTAACACGATAAAGTATGTATCTTAATCAATAAACAGGCACTTTACTTAAAAGGAAAACACTACAGGCCTTCCCATTATGATCAAGAAAAGACATGGTTGTGTCATGGTGTCAAAGAGAAACAAAAAAGCAAATAACAAAATCAGAATACAAGACCCAAGCTTTAAGCTGGGAACTCAGGAGAGCTACACTCTAAGAGAATGAGAACCGGAAGTAGAGGAAGTCTGGTGAAAACCACAGACTGGGCTAGAGTCAGCTAAGGCTGTCACTGAATTTAGGTCACCTGCTGCCACTTTATACTCCTGGTAGAGGATATGGTGAAGTTTATAGAGAATTAATAGTATCTAGATACTCTATATTTATTCTATCTATTGTTCTGCATTAGTTGTACACACATACACGTGCATACACACAAATGATCAGGTTGAAAAACAAACAACAGAAACAGATCCACAGGTATTTGAGTAATTATGGATATCAGTCATTGACTTTGAATTAACTTTGGTTAATATGTGCGAGGAAAGAGAGAAAAAAATAATTCACTGGAGAAAGGAAATCCTTAAAAAATGACATAGGAGATCTAGGATTAAAAATATAATAGTAATTTACAACTAAATAGATGGGTTTAACAGAAGACAGGATACAATAGGAAAGAAAATTGGTTAAGGGAATGACAGGGGTATAGAAAACATGCAAGTGGATTCATGGACATTATAAAAGAATTCAGACAACAGAAAAGAGCATGAGAAACACATCTGAAAAGTCCTGTTTACCTGGTGTCCCAGAAGAACAGAAAGAGAATGAGGCACAAGTAATATTAGAAGAGATGATGGCTGAGACTCTTCCAAAACTAATGTGTGACATTGGGCCAGTATGAAGAGGTGGAACAAGTAAAAATAAAACCTATGTATGTGTGCATAGGAACATCAAAATAAAATTTCTGTAAAGCAATTATTAAGAGGAAAAAAGCACCTAGAGAGAAAAGATGTGTCCATACAAAAGTAATACTGAAGTGAGTTCTTCCGGTAAAGGAAAATGATCTTGGGAAGAAACATGGAAAATCGGGAAGAAATGACAAAAAAAGATAATGAAAACAGGGAATATAATACTATTAAAGTGTAGAGTAACAGTATCACAGGAAATAAGATCGCATAACACTCAAATAAAATCCCAGCAAGTTCTACACATAAAAAATAGAATGTGTGAAATTAAGGTTGAAGGCTGTGACAGCATAAACATTCAACAGCAAAAGAGCACAAAGGTGATAATAAAAGTAAAGTAAAACAGGTAGAAAATTTAAAATACAGTTTATAAGGTAGATATATAAAGACAAATATAGTAAACATTATATATTAGTAAACTCAATAATACAATTAAAATTAAAACTGTCAGAGTAAAATAAAAATCATCGAAGAAAAAAATATTACCTACAAAGGATACCCCTTTCAGTGCCTCTCATAAGAAATGAGAGGATAATGAAAAAGCATTAACACACAAACAGTAACCTTTAAGAACTGGTACACATATATCACTGTCAAACAAAATAGACTTAAGGCAAGAGCCAATACTACAAAGTAAGAAAGATATCTATCTCATAATAAAATAAAGGTCATTTTTCCAGAAAGATATAAAAATTCTAAATGTGTGTGTCTCTAATTACATAGCATCACATATGTAAAGGAACAATTGATAAAGCTAAAAGACAAAGCTACAGAATTCACAGTCACAGTGGAATGGAAGACTAGTAAGCCCTTTAAATACTTGATAGACTAAGCAAAGTAAATCCTTATGAATATTGATCATTTGAATAACAATTAACTGATCAACATAATATACTAGACCAAGAAATGACAGAATACACATTCTTTTGAAATTTACAGAACTGTTTATCAATATAGACAGTATGCTAGGACACAAAGCAAGTCCAAACAAGTTGTAAAGGACTAAAATAATTTAAAATGTATTCAATGATCAGCGTGGAATTCAGTTAGAAAGCAATATCTAAAAAGAATAAATAAAAAATAATGTAATATTTGCTATTTTTAAGATAAGTCTGCAATTTAAAATAACCACAGGAAAATAACCACAATGGAAATTAAGAAGTGTTTTGACCTAAACTGTGATTTTAAAATGATATATCAAATTTGTGGGATGATGCTAATGTCATGCTTAATGGAAAATCATAAGCCTTAAGTAAATATATAAGAAAAAAAAAAAAAGAAAAGCCGAAAAGAAACCACTGATTTGAGCTTCTAACTCAAGAAGCTAGACTATTAAAAAAAAATCTCAAATCCAATAGAAGGAAAAAACATAGGAAGATAAAGTAATTAAAAACAAATTACAATAGATTCTGTAAAACAAAAAAAAAAAACAAAATAAAGATCTTTGAAAATGACTAACAAAAATTTGGACTCTAAGTAAAGATAATTAAGAATCAAAGAGAGAAAACAAAAATTTCAAATTTCAAAAGGTAGACACATAGTTGTGAAAATAAGAAACATCACTGTAGACTTTAAAGGCATTAATTATGGGAGCATATTATGAGATTTTCTCTGATAATAAAATTTAATTTAGATGAAATAGACCTATTCATAAGAAAAAAAGTATGGCAGTTGACACAAAAAACTAAAAAAAAAAACCTATATCTATTTCAAAAATAAATTTGTAAATATAAATATTTCAACAAAGAAATATCTAGAACTACAATATTTTACCGTGAATTTTTCTAAAATTATTAGGAATAAAAATTATCTTAGAAAAATGTTTAAGATATTTTGAAAAGATGGGATACATTTGAACTCATTTTTTGAGGTGAACATACATTTGGTACAAAAATGTGACAAAGAAAAGAAAACAAAGTTACCGGTCAAGCTTTCTCAGAAAAATATATGCTCAAGAAATAACAAATTTAATGCAGTATTACATTACAAAAAATTATAATCACAGCTGAATTGGGCTTATTTCTGTAATTAGGGATTGGTTTAACATTTAAAATAATAGTGTAAGTTAAGGATTAATAGAAAAATTAAATAAATTCAAAGTTGATAATCTAAAAAGATGTTGAAAATAAAATTCAACACATGCTGAAATGAATCTTAGTAACAAACTAGAAATAAAAAGCTCTTTCCTATTAGAGAAAACATGAAAGTTATTATTCTTATGTGATACTAGTATTAATACCAATATTTTAATTGATATAATAAATTTAATCAATAATACAATATTAATTATGTAATATTTTTTGTAATCTATAAATGAATCAAGAGTAAAGTTTACAGCAATTTATATTCAGTGCAGTAAAGAAGAGTAAAAAATGTTATCAATGGAAAGGAACAAACTAGACAGCAACTATTTGCATATGACACATTTGCATATTCAGAAAATGTAAAATAATATACCCAACATATTAGAATTAATAAGTTTACAAAGTCCCTAGGTTCAAGGTAATATAAATATACATTAAAAATATGTGCAAGTTCTCTAAGCTAAAAACTCCAAGGAAAAGGAAAATTAAAATCTCAAAAAGAAAAGATACACATCATGATAAAAAATTGAAGTCAATTTTGTAAATATGTAAAATCTCCTCAAATTGATTTTGTAAATCTCAATTAGAATCCAAGTTGTGTGTGTGTGTGTATGTGTAAATATTGTAAAAGATTCAAAATGTATATGAGAGTGAAAGGACCAGAAATAGCAAGAAAATCTTAATAAATAAAACAAAACATAAAACAGTATCAGTTTTCATTTCATTATTAAGATAGGAAAAATATATGGATACAAATGCATACATATTCAATCACTTGATTTATAAGAGTAGTGACACTGAGATAGAATTTCCTATCTCCAAGGTAAAACAAATCAAAATTTGGTGACATATTTGTTGGTGAGGCTGTGGAAAAATAGACACTCTCATACACTGATGATAGGAACAGAAAATAGCAAAATCTATCTAGGAAGAAATGTAGCCATATCAAACAAAAGTGCATTTACCTTCTGATCAGTTCTAGGAATTTTTCCAGGGATAAATTAGAAAAAAATGCAAAAATCTACATAATGTTTATTCAATAAATTAGTAGATTTAATAGGCTAGGACTCAAAACTACTCATGTGTCTATCAATAAGGAAATTTTTAACTAAGGTCTAATGTTACATACAGTTGATTATGATGCAGCTATAACAAAGAAAGAGGAGTGTCTCCATATACTTCCATAGATCTTTTAGATATATTATTCAATAAAATGCCAAGGTAAAGCAGGAAAAACATGAGCCAAATAAGTCTAAGAAAACCACATATAGGAACATCATTGTTGTCTTGAATCAATTTCTGCTGCTATCACAAAATACCATAGACTGGGTAATTTGTAATAAAAAGAAACTTATCTGGTTCACAGTTCTGTAGACTGGGAAGTCCAAGATGATGACACCAACATCTGGCAAGAGGCTTCTTACTGAGTCATAATATAGTGGAAAGGCAAGCTAGCACCTGAGACAGAGAGAATGGGGCCAAACTTGTCTTTTTATCAGAAGCCCACTCCCAGGATAACTAAGCCATTTTTGAGATAATGGTATTAAACCATATGTGAAGATGGACCCTTCATTAGTTAATCACCTCTTAGAGGTTCTACCTCCCAATACCATTATATTAGCAATTAAATTTCAATATGAGTTTTGGAGGGGACATTAAACCATGGCACTAGTCAAGCTGTTTAAAACAGAAAGTAAAAAATATATATATTAAAAATGGTCAGAGAAAAAGGTAGATTTACATTGAGGAAAACCACAAAAAAATGATGGCTAATTTATTAACACAAATAAAAAAAGGACAGAAAAATATAAAATAATTAAATTTATAATGAGAAAAGTTAAAATTATGTCAAAATAGAGCAACACATGCTTAAAGACCCGCGAGTGAAACAGAAACATTAGCAATATTAGAAACTGCTTTAAACTAAATGATAATGAAAATAAAACTTATCAAACTTTATGGCAAACAGCTAAAGCAAAGCACAGATGAAAATGTATACAGGCCGGGTGTGGAGGCTGACGCCTGTAATCCCAGTGCTTTAGGAGGCCGAGGTGGGTGGATCACCTGAGGTCAGGAGTTGGAGACCAGCCTGGCCATCATGGTGAAACCCCGTCTCTACCAAAAATACAAAAATTAGCCAGGCATGGTGGTGTGTGCCTGTAATCCCAGCTACTCAGGAGGCTGAAGCAGGAAAATTACTTAAACCCAGGAGGTCGAGATTGCAATGAGCTGAGATTGTGCCAGTGCACTCCAGCCTGGCCAACAGAGCGAGATACTTTCTCAAAAAAAAAAAAAAAAAAAAAAAAAAAACAAAGAAAGAAAGAGAAAAAGAAACTATAGGTACTTTTAAGTGCTCATATTTAATGTGAAAAATGTGTACAATTAATGATCTATGTTCCCGCATTATGAAGCTAGCACAAAAAAGGAGAAAAATTAAAACAAATTATGTACACAGAAGGAAGTAATAAAAATATGAGTTAAATGTCAATGACTTGAAAAACAGCAAAACAACAAAATCAGTGAAAACAAAATCTGGTTCTTTGAACAGATCAGTAAAGTTAGTCTCATCAGGAAAAAGGAATGTGCAAAAAATATCAAGATCTGAAATTAAAAATTACCATCACTCCTGATCATATAATCATTAAAAAGATAATATAATATTATAAACATTATATTAAAATCAGACAACATGTATAACATGAAATGTTTAATTTAAGAAACAATTAGCAATATTGACTCAAAAAGCAAAACATCACCACAAACAAAAACAGTAACAAAATAAAGACCCAGATGACATCAGTGGTGAATAAATTCCTGCAGACCTTTGAGAAGAATAATACCAACTGTAAAATACACTTTCAAAAAAAAAAAAGAGAAAAAAATCACTTTCCAGCTCCAGTATTAACAATGAAAATAGAAATTTTACTACAGACTCCATAGGTTTTAAAAAGATAATAAGCAAATATGAAAATAACTCTAGGTACATAGATTCATCAACATAAATTAGAAAAAAAATCATCAAAACACATAAACTACTAAAATGTGTGCAAGATGACATATCTTGAATAGTTCTATGACTATTAAATAAATTTAATTTGTAGTTTAAAGGCTACTAATAGAGAAGTCTTCAAGACAGAAAGTTTTATTGGTGAATATACTGGTTATTTAAGAAGAAATAACACCAATTCTACACAATCTCTTCTAGGAAATAGAATAGGAAGAAACACTTCCCAAATAGCATTGTCCTGACACCAAATCCAAACACAACATTGTCTTGAAAACAAAAGCAAACTATAAACCATATTCCTCCTGAATAGAGAAGAAAATCTTTCATGAAATATGAGCAAATTGAATCCATTAATGCAGAAAGAATAAATGGCACTATGATGATATCTAAGGTGTGCAATGTTGTTTTTCTCTAAAATCAATGATGTAATTGTAATTTTAAGAAAAAAAAGAAATACATCGTTATGTTAATACACAACTCACTTGGAAAAATTCAAAACCTATTCTTCATAAAAAACTCTCATCAAATTAGAAATAAAATGGAACTTCCTAAAACTGATAAAGGACATCTAATAAATTTTATGACTAAGGTAATACTTATTGGTGGTATTCAACATTGTCCTGGAGGACTTAGCCATTTTAATAAGGCTATAAAAAATATAAGACATATGATTGGAAAGGAAGAAGTAAAACTATAAAGACACTTTCACCCTGCTGTCTGCAAATGCAGATTATCTTAGCTCTATTGTAGGGAATCTAACAAAAATTGAAAACTTCTAGAATTTGTAAGTTACTACAACAAGGAGGTATTATACAAAGTCAATACAGAAAAATTAATAATATTTATGCATATGATCAAGAACTAAAAGTTGAATTTAAAATACCACTTAATTTATCAGAGAAATATAAGCAAAATATTTTAAAAGATGCTTCACTAAAATGAAAAAAACAAATAGCAAAAATAAACATAAAATATAATAAATCTCAATAATCATGGAACTACCATTTAAGACCTTTATTATATTATTACACACCTATTAATATGCAAAAACATAAGTTGTGGTAGTATAAAATGTTGGTGAAGAACTTAAATAATGGGAACACTCATAGAGTAATGGAGGAAAGTTAATTAGAGAAACTACTTTGGAAAAACATTTTAACATGACCTAACAAAGCTAAATATACGCTTTTCATCCCTCCATAAATGCCCTTAAAAAAAAAAAAAACCTGTATATATGTCAGCAGACATTTAAAAGGATTTTTAGAAGAGCATTGCTTAAAATAGCCCATAATGAACATCTTAAATGTGAAATAAAATAAAATAGATAAATAAAATATAGTCTAATAATACAATTATAACAATTAAAATGACTCAATTAAACTACAGCTGCCAACATAGATTGGATTTATATTGATGAGGAAAAGAAATGAGTAACATGAGAATGCACACAACTGACTGTATTTATATGAGGCCCCAAACCTAGCTATTTAAAATAATACATAGTATGTGCATATATACAGAGGTGATAACATTATAAATAAATCAAAGTAATGATTATCACAAAAGTCAAGGCAATGATTACCCTTACTGGGAAAGAAGGGTTCAGAACCAAGAACATAGCTCACAAGCTTAACTTGGTTGATGCTTAGGTGGCTTTTATTTTATTATTTTTTAAATATATATTTTATGACTCTTCTATATTCATTAGAATATATTTCATTAGAAATATTTCCAAGAACAAATTTTATAAAATAGAATAATACCACTTGCTTTTAATTTTCAAAGTTTATTTAAGTAAGACAGAAGGTTTAGATTACTGAATAAAGTAGTTAGTAAAATGACCTCTTTTCATAGCGTAAATAAATATGAATTGTATTTAGAAATAAAAAAGATAGTTTAAAAAACAGATTAAATACTGCTGTTTGCCTATGAAACTATGAGACTGTGTGTCTAGTTATCCTCTTTGAACAATCAGAATTAAACAAGAATAATTTTATGCCATCGTAAACTCAACAAAGCCGATATGCGCTACTGTGAGAGAGGGCGTCATGTTTACACGAGGATAAAAGGGAACGCCAACATTTATATAGTCCCCAAGACAAGCTTCTATCTCCCATGAAGAGAATAGAAATGTCTCATCCAGAAAAGATCACACAAAGACTATATACTTAACAATTTGGAGAAACTTTCTCCTACAGACAGACAGAACTAAGTCAGAGGAAGAAGCAAACATTCCACAAGCATTTATTGAGCACCTGATAGACACGATGCCACTGATGGTTAAAAAAAAAAAAAAAGTCATGATTTGTGTCTCAAGAAGCTCTCAGAGTAATCAAAGTATCTAAAAATATAATTGCAACATCTGTAAATAAATGAAGAATAACTCTACGCAGTAACAACACTGAATAAGAGGTAACAGACTTTATTAGAAAGCGAATTATGAGCCAACCTGAAAGACAATGCATTTGGAGTTTCCAGGTGGATGAACATGGCATTGTTTAATATTATTATCATGATCATAACATTATAGATAGCAGAAATTGTGTAATAAGAGTATAAAGATCATAATATCAATGATAAAATTAATATTATTTCATTTATCTTATTTGCAGTTATAAACGATTAAATATGAGGACTGTATCCTAATAAAATGCAAATGCTCCATTTCTCCATGCACTCAGCATATATTAAGGGCCGTTTATGTGCTTCAGCTTTAGCAATGACAAAAACACAGTTCCCGGCCAGTCTCATAGATCTCACAGACCGATAGTAATGATTCTGTGCATTTCATTGTCAGTTCCTTCATACTTCTGTTTTCTTATTTTCACCCTCACACTCCATTTACATCTTCTTATTTGGAGAAAAGTCCCCTTATAATAAGTAGAGTGTAGGAATTCCTTCACTCTTGGATAGGTTCACAGAGGCTACAAATTAGTCTTTCTTTTTAGAAAATTTGGCCTCCTAATAATAACTCCCTTTATGGAGGCCTCACAGAGACTTTTGCCTTTCCATGTGGTGTTCAGAGATTAATGGGAATGGTGTCCACATATTTGTGTTACTGCCAGACTGCGCCACTTATCTGAAGCCAGTGTCGAGACCCCGTGACGATTAATCACCTCTCCAGTCCCTGAAATAAAATCTGCATTGTACACTTTTTGGACTGAGGAGGGAGACAGGGAATGGTGTGGTTTGGGGCTGCTTCTCATCATTAATTTTCAATTATGACTGCAAGAACCATCCCCGTTAAGCCTCACATTGGAGGGCAGGGGGTAAAAAAGCCCCCAGGGAAGACTAATAATGGCCACATGGAGGGGGAAAATCTGGGACTTATAAACCCGTTTCTTTGAGAAAGAAAAATAATACACAATTTATAAAATTCCTCGCAGGGCGGTATAAAATATGTCCAAGCTAATTGAAAAAAAGTCACATAAAGGACAAAACGAGGAGGCTTTTTAAAGGCGTAAATAAAAATGACTGAGCCATACCTTTGCTTAGGGCTAAAATCATGAAGCTGACTTTCTTCACTAGTTAAGATAATTGTTTCCACTTAAAAAAATAATTTTATGACTGCTTCTTCAGTTCTACTGACACTTCTCTCTTAGCCAAAGGAAAATGTTTCATAGTCTTTAGAGGCCTGTTCAGGAGTTTTTCTGGTGTGAAACGGGCAAGCACAGAAGATCTATTCTTAAAAGAAAAAAAAAAAAAAGAAAAATCAGGCTCCCTCGTTAGACCCAAAGGAATCTGAATAATGAGAAACTAACTTTCTGTGTGGTGTTCTGTATTTTGGAAATGACTTTTATATAAAATATTCTCATCTCACAACATTTTATGTTGTCAGTTTTATAGAAATCTCATTTTCCAACAAAAGGAACTAAAGATCAAGAATAAAAATCACATGCTCTATATAATAGGTTAGAGGTGGTATAGTCCAATTTTCATCTCCTGATTCTAAATACACACTTTATGTGGCATTTTGATGCCTTTGAGTCTTTAGAGATTGGATATTAAAGCATTTATATAGTTATACTTTTTATATGAGCAGGCTGATATTATTTTTATTAGCAGAGAAGACCATCACACACACACACACATATGCACACACACACACACACACACATTATATCATATTGGATATTAGTCACTTTTGAATTGTCCTTCTTTTCTTATTCACACTTTCTTGATTTATTTTGTTGTTTCTTGAAGAGTAATTTATTAATGTGACTATTTTAGGTGGGGAAGTACCTATTCCCTCTACAAAAACTCTGTAGATCAATTTATTCTTTTTTTTACTTGGGCTTAGGCAATCAAGCATTTTCTCTAAGGATAGTGAATCCTGAATGAGCACAAGAAGGACCAGAGTCTTCTTAAAACGTGACCTTGGCCGTTGTTCTTATTACCTAACTTCTAGTACAAAATCTTGCCTTTGGTCATTTTACCAAGTTTACCCTTCCACTGTCCTATCAATTCAATGATTACCTGATATTCTAATACATTCCCTGGTTGTCTGAGAAATCAGTATTCAGTTCCTGTGGCTTACCATCAAGAATGTGACTAATCTATGCTTTTTTGCAGCCTTGAATATTCATGGATTATGAAGACTCTAGCTCGATGCTAGTGCCTGTGATTTTAGATTCCAATAAAAGAACTCAATTTTTTTAGATATGAAATTAAATTTTGACTCAAAACATTGAAGATAGATAATCTTCTAAAACATCTCCTGGAACTATGATGCAACGTTCATTTGCTAAATACTGCAGTATCAATGCCATTATAACCCTTTTATTACATGTTTCCTCATCTGCCCTTAGACAAAGGAGAAAACATACATATATGTAAACATATATTTATATATATGTTTACATATGCACTAGATAGATAAATAGATAGATAGATCTATATATATAGTAGTTCAAATTAGCACTTAATATTGGCTGAATAAGGTAAAAATTCAAGGGTGAGAAGACATTAAAAGTTTTTTAATGCACATATTTGATGACTGTGATGCATAAAGTATGAAATAAACAAATCTATTTATGTCTTTCTTATTTATCCCAGATAGGAGGAATTTTCTGCTACTAAAATATGTCTGTGTGTCATTTTAAATTGCAAATTAATTGGAAAGTCTTATAATAAGAGTATATCACAAAATGTAAAAAGGAATATGTTACATAAATGTTATCTTTAAAAAAAACTTCATCTTTATTAACAAAGGCTTTGAAATAAATTTTAGGCCTGAAACTGTTAACTTTATCTTATTTTTCCATTCCAGATATTTTTCATCTAGGTGTCTGATTTTTGAGTAATAATTCTGGTTTGGGAGATAAAAATGGCAAATGTCATAAGAAGTGATCCTGTTTTTGTGGAATTTTCAGCCTTATTTTTAAGGCTCATTATTACTCTTTTATACTGTTAATACTTTGTCCCCAAATGTGCTTTTATAGTAGCATAATACCAAAGTAAAACCGCTGGAGAACAGTAGATTTACGTAGTAAGTGTGTTAGAGGAAATCCCTCATTGAGTGGCAAAAGCACGTGTTAAATTTCAAGTTTGATGAGAGTGACACTAGCCTTTATTTATAATGACAGCTGCATATAAGCTATGGAGACAAACTAGATTTAGAATTTCCTGATGCTTTTGCTCTGACAATCATGTGGCAGGAAGGACCCTGGATTTGGATATTGAAGTAGAAAGTATAAATTTAGTTTCCCACTTACCCCTAGGGGTTAAGTGTAGAGTTTGACAGGTCAAGGCACTTGATGGAGTCAGAACAGGCCAGTATATGAAATCAAACATGCCCTACCTCCATTCTTGGAAATACACCGATAACCCACTTTACATTTATTGAATAGTTAACTTGGATTTGCATTAACCAAAAAAAAAAGAAGTTTTTCGGTGATAAAGGGAATATAAAGGAAAAATGCTCAATATTTGTTTTTAATTTTTGGTTTCACTCCTTGCAAATTTATAGAGAGGCCAAAAGGCAGGCAGAAGAAAGGCAGGAAGACAGGAAAGGAAGGAAGGAAGGAAGGAAGGAAAGGAAGAAAGGAAGGAAGGAAGGAAAGGAGGGAGGGAGGGAAAAGAATTAAAATCGAAGAGACAGGAAGAAAAGGGAAGAAGGGAAAAGGAAGTAAATGATTAATGCCTAAGTATTAGGCAATATGGCACATATACTGAATCCCAGTTGCCTGAATTCAAATTATGATCTGGGTTTTACAAACTGTGTGATCCAGGGCAAACTATTTAATCTGCTGGTGAGCCAGTTTAATCACCTGCAATACAGATCAAACACAGTAGCTACGTCATAAAGTTGTATTACGAGTTCTAAACATTGAAATAAGCAGTGTGTTTAAAACAATGCTTGGCAAGCTGTATGTAATGTTTGTTATTATAATTAATGTGCTATTAATGTAGTTTCCACAATCCTGATGACTGCCTCAGGTGCTTGCATAGAGACTCAAAGCAGTTACAGAAATGACTTGAGATCTCCTGGTATCCACCCCACTCTAGTTTCCTCTCAGGTCAAGAGACTACCTTCATAGCAAAGGTGATTGACACAAATCCCTCCACTATCATTGCCTGCCTTCTCACATATTCTGTATTCTTCTGCTTCTTTGCAAAATCTCTCTTTTGGAGACCCTCTGGTCTTCCTTGAAAAACTCTGGCTTCTGTTTAGTTATGTCTTCCCCAAATTCATACATGGAAGTTCTAATCTCCAGTACTGCAGAATGTCACCTTATTTGGAAATAGAATTGTTGTATTATAATAGATGGAATTGGTTAAGTTAGGATGAGTCCCTACTGGAGTCATTTGGGCTCCTAACCCAATGTGACTGGTGACTTCATACAAAGGGGACATTAGGACACACAGATAGAGACACAGGAAGAACACCAAGTGAAGACTGGAGTTAGGCTGCCATAGACAAAGAACCCTAAAGAAGTCAGAAACCACCAAAAGCTAAGTAAAAGACATGGAACAGATTCACCCTCACAGCCCTCAAAGGGACTTAAACTCCTCAATACCTTAATTTCAGACTTCTGGCAGTCACCAGGGTTGTGGAACTATATTAATAATACATTCATAATAATAACAAATTTCTGTTGTTGAAGTCTCCCAGTTTGTAATACCTAGCCTTAGGAGAGTAGTAGTCTCATGGAGGAGAAATGCTGTCAACTATGCAACTTGCTATAGTTTATGCATGTTGGAAACCTCCTTCTGTCTGGAAATATCTCCTTCTGACCATGGTGTTGAGGCTTTCTCATGGCCATTGACACTGACAGAATATATTGCTTGTATTGCTGCATTTTCCTCACTGCTTGTAGGAAAGATTCTTAGTGGTTGTCTTGAGTCTTCTATTGAGAGAAGCTGCTCTATATTATTCCATGATTTCACTTTATATTGGGGAAACAGAAGAAAGATAATGGCACTTGCAATTTGGATTTGTGAGTTTTGCCACTTCTAAAAGTGTAAACTTGAGAAAATTATTTAATGTCATCCTTCCCTCACTAAATAGTAATGAAATAAAGATGAAAATAAATCACTGAATTACTGGCCAGAAGTGAAATGATACATTTATTATCCATGCAGACATTTATTGAGTACCTACCTATAGACAGGAAACCAGGCAATGGATTTTTTTTAATGTGCAAAACAGAGCCTGCCTTCGAGGTACTTAGTATGCAGAGAGGAAGACAAATACACACATGATAACATAACTACAATATGCAATGAGAAATGGTTGACTAGAGTTGTTTCAAGGTTCTATGTGAACTCAAGGAAGGAAGGTTTAATCATTGTCTAGGCTGGGGGGGTGGGTGGAGGAATGATCAGACAACACTTCAATTAGCAAGTATGTGTGGCTGGAGGAAGCTTCACAAATGTCATGACATTTGAACTTAGCTGTAAAGAATGATTGGCAATTTACCAAATGGAGAAAGGATGATAAGGAATGGGTACCTGGAATGTGCATACACGTAAGGGCATGATTTTAGGAAAAGTCTCAGTCGATGTGGCTAAATGGCATGATGTACATATGAACAAGTAGCAGGAGATGTTCAGTTAACAGATGGATTTAAAGTATTTGCAAATCTTGAAGAACTCTATTATTAAGAATAAACAATTTCTATCCTCCAAGTTCAAGAAAGAAGTAAGGTAGATTACCATTTCTTTGGTCATGAATCCAAGTCTTCATCACAACTGCTTTTAAACCTTCTCAGTCTTTCAGTAACAACTTGTCTTCCTTAATCAGACAGCCCACCAGCAACCCCCTGGCTCCAGTGGCCATGCTTGTGAGTGTCTGAAAGGTCAACCAGTCTCTCAACACTACTGCTTCTAAAAGCCTGCACATCCTTGAACTCTGTACTTCCCCAAACCCTGTATAAAATCGTCAGTTTCTTTGTTCAGAGATAGTATGCCTTACAACTGTAGCTCTTTCTCGCTTGCTAAGCAATACTGATAATGGTTGCCTCTGAGTCTCCACCCAAATCTCATGTCAAATTATAATTTCCAGTTTTGAAGGAGGGGCCTGGTGGGAGGTGATTGAATCATGGGGGCAGACTTCTTCCTGGCTGTTCTTGTGATAGAGTTAGCAGGAGATCTGGTTGTTTCAAAGTGTATGTGCTTCCCCCTTTGCCCTCTCTCTTCCTCCTGCTCTAGCTAGCCATGTGAAGACTGTGCTTTTCTTTGCCTTCCTTCATGATTGTAAGTTTCCCGAGTCTTTTGCAGCCATGTCTCCTTTACAACTTGCAGAACTGTGAGTCAATTAAACCTCTTTTATCCATAAATTACCAAGCCTCAGGTAGTTCTTTATAGCAATGTGACAATGAACTAGTATAAATTATTTCTGCTTTGATTTCATATATTGACACTACTTAATGCCTTTATTATTGTACATTTTCCCTGCCTTTATTTTCTAAAATATTTAATAAGCACCTACTTTAAGAAGCCTATCTCAGTATGGCCCAAGGACACAGAGACTTGTTCTATTATATGTGGGAGTTGACCCAGAAATTCATCTAATGGATCATATGGATACTAAAATACTTTAACTGAACATGTGTTTCATAAATGAATGAGTGCAGGAGAACTAACAGTTGTTAAGTGTTTACAATGATACATAGATTACACTAGTTATTTCACATAATTTAATTTCATTAAACATCACAGCAGTACCCTAAGGACTTGTTTTGCAAACAAGAACTACTATACCAAAGGCTTAGTAACTTTCTCAAAGAAGAGGTGAAGCAACAATGTGGTTTCATTTTTGGCTGGCTTCAGAGTGGGTGGTCTTGCCCATTTAGGGCCTGCAATCTTCAACATCCAAGCATACCTTAGGAAGGCTTGAAATGAGAGTAACTCTGCCCAGACATGGTGAGGAACTTCTCTGTTGTTAAATATAAAGCTGAAATGTAGCCATGTAAACTTTCAGACTGGGAATCTGAAGCAAATCTCACACTAGAGTATGTACATACATTTGCTGATAACACTAGATATTTAAAACAATATAGTTTTTCTCTAATACTTTATTTGTATTAAATGTTATTTTTATAGAATTATAAATTATTGTTTTCCACATTTTAACTTGAAAGGAATATATAGAAAATAATTAGTCCTTAGGGAGTATGTATACTGATATTTATTAAGCAACTACTTACCATTTACATGTTTTATTCCAATAATCCTCTGTGACTGAAAATTGCATAATTTATATTTCAGGGCTAAGAAAACTGAGGCATGAGGTGGTTATGTAAATTCCTCCAGGAACTTATATATAGTATGTGGCAAAACCAAAATGATAACATTTGTTCTGTTTTAAAATTAACATTTTGGCCTGGCACGGTGGTTCATGCCTGTAATCCCAGCACGTTGGGAGGCCGAGGCTGGAGGGTCATGAATTCAAGAGATCAAGATCATCCTGGCCAACATGGTGAAACCCCGTCTCTACTAAAAATACAAAAAATTAGCCAGGCGTGGTGGCAGGGGCCTGTAATCCCAGCTACTCGGGAAGCTGAGGCAGGAGAATAGCTTGAACAAGTAAGGCGGAGGTTGCAGTGAGCCGAGGTGGCGCCACTGCACTTCAGCCTGGGCAACAAGAGCGAAACTCTGTCTCAAAAATAATAATCATCATCATAATAAAATTAACCTTTCATAAATACTTATAAATAAAATAAACAAATGGATAAAAGAAGTCTTGACAAGGTTCTGAACACTTTTCAGCAATACTTCCTTATAGTTAAAAGCAAATAAATTTTTCCTTTTGGTCAAATATCAAAATTAATAGAAAGATGCTAGAGATTTATGTGTATTCTTCCCAATTTAAGATTGAAAATGTCCTCTTCTTAATTATTTCTCATTGTAATTAAAGCTTAAGTAAGCCACACTCAAAATTACATATCCATTTCACAGAGAAGTATCTGAGAATGAGAAAGTCAATTTTGATGCTTGACATAATCTCAAAAATGCTAATTAGTTTTATGTAACACCTTCTATTTACTTCTCTTTACTGTTAACATGTTGATAAAATCTTCATCATTTGCAAAATTAGGAAATATAGAAATCACTCATTTTTATAAGAAACTGTATCAAGTTATTGAACTGTAGCAATGAGTAATTCTCATTTCTTATCCTCTGACTTTTGGAGTTCCACTCTCAAAAAACTACTTGCTGAAATTTGCAAGAAATAGTACTAACAGCCTGACTATACCAAAAAGGGAAAACAGTAAAATAATTTGTTCCTTTGTTGCTCTGAGTCGTTTGAAGTAAGTCCTCTGGGACATAGCACTAAGCATCAACTTTGCTTGTAGGCTTTAATATGACAGGATCAAAGAGCTTATTAGAATGAATTACTTGAGAGGACTCAATGGTTGTATTTCCCTAGCCTAGAAAAACAAACCAAAAGAAAGGCAGAAAACAATCCCTAAATCATAAGGGAACAGATTAGGAGCCACCGTGCTCCAGCTTAGTTCAATCAGATGGCAGGACAATATGTTGATGATTATAATCTCTTACATATGCTCAACCTCACTGAATTGTTAACAAGCTCTCTACAGTATTTAAACACACTTGACAGCTTTATGAACAAATTTTAACAAACAATGAGAATACTATTGAAAACATTTATATTTTGAAATAATTTTAGATTGACAAGAAGAATCACAACAGTTATACAGAGTTCGTTTACGTCTTCACCCAGCTATGGCTAGTATTATCTCTTTACATAATCATGATATATTCACGAAACCTAAGGAATCAACAATGATAGGATGTTTATTAACTAAACTACAGGTTTATTTCAGAATTCACCAGATTTTGCACTAATGTCTTTTTTCTTGTCCACGATGCAACTTAGCATAACACTTTGTCACAACGTATTGCCTCAACCTCCACCAAACTGAAAATTTCATGCTCTTTTTTGTTTGTTTGTTTGTTTGTTTGGTCTTTCATGACCTTGACACTTTTGAAGAGGCTTGGTCAGTAATTTTATACAATGTCTCTTAGTTTTGGTTTGTCTGATGTGTTTTCATGATTGCACAAGGATTATACATTTTGAGGGACACTATTTCGCTGAGAGTAAGTTGCCTCTCTCATCGCCTATCAGCCGGAGGATGACAACAATACAACTTATTATTGATGTTGTTAACCTTGATCACTTGGATAATGTGCTGTCTGATGGTATCCTAAGTAGTCACTAAATTTCTCTTTCCATAATCTATTCCTTAGATTTCAGTTTTTAAATCCAGTAGGAGTGTGAAAGAATCCACAGTCAAATGTTAAAACCACCAGATTAAGTAATAAATATTTTGGAAAAAATGCATTGAGGCTAGGCAAATATCCTGTTACTCTTTAACCTTTGCCCACTGATTTTTATCATACATCAATTGCCTGGAAGAATTATTACATGCTGGTTTAATGATGATTCTCTATTTTTCTCTTCCATTTCACATGTATTATTTGCAGTTCTTCTGTAAAAAAGATTCGGTCCTTTTCCCTTATTTATTAATCCTTTATTTACTCAATCATTTATTTATGTCAGTATAGATATGTACTATTAAACTCACACATTAATTAATATTTGTGTTTTATGTTAGGGACTTGGTACAATTTATCTTTATTACCACTATTAACCATTTAATAAATAGCTATGATGTACTTAACACTACATACTTTATTTTGAAAAATCTATTATAGTTTATAGGAATTATATTAAGCAAGAGGAAATAAAAACACAAAATCAAATTATCACCTTCCAGTTGGCATTCAAAGGAAAGTTCTTCAGTGTTTTTCTACTTTTCCCCCTAATGCCTTAAGGGGAGTCAAAAATTTGTTTCTATTTTTTATGAAAAAGTAAAGCCTAGGCAGAAAACATGGAAAATAAATTGAGAATCAAAATTTCAGAGTAGGTAAACATGAGAAGTTTCAAAGTGAGGAAAGGGTTAAAATACAAGAGGAGAAAGATAACCAGGGTTCATTTCCTTTCATTTCATGTATAACATAAAGGCCCAAGAATGAGGAATTGTCTAAATAAATTATGATAACCCATAGGATGAGATATTACACAGTCATTCAAATAATGCTTTTAAAGAATGTGCAACTGAATGGAAAAGGTCACAGAATAAAGTAGAGAAAAACAAACAAACAAATAATGGCAGGATAAAAAAGACACACACGAGTCTAACTTGACTTTTTACAAAAGAAATAGAATATGAAGAAAATGGATACATATTATATGTATGTAGATGCAAAAATATAGTTGTTTTTTTTGTTTTGTTTGTTTTTTTTTTTTGAGACTGAGTCTCACTCTGCTGCCCAGCCTGGGGTGCAATGGCACGATCTCGGCTCACTGCAACCTCCACCTCCTGGGTTCAAGCAATTCTCCTGCCTCAGCCTCCCGAGTAGCTGGGATTACAGGCATGCGCCACCATGCCTGGATAATTTTTGTATTTTTAGTAGAGACAGGGTTTCACCATGTTGGCAAGGCTGGTCTTGAACTCCTGACCTCAGGTGATCCACCCTCCCTGGCTTCCCAAAGCCTGGGATTACAGGCGTGAGCCACAGTGCCTAGCCAAATATGTACTTAAAAAAAAAAATCACTAAATGATCCTCAACACCTAGTCTATCACAGTGCCTAGTCGCCTACTTGGCATCTACTGAATTAATTATTGAATACAAGAAAATATTAATAGTGGTTATGGCTGGGCAGTGGAATAGTTGATGACTTCATATTTCTTCTTTATGTTCTTTGTGTATTTTCCAAGCTTTATATTCTGAACATATATTATTTGGCATCTCAAGAAGAAGTTGCAGTTAAAATAAAATTAAACAACAGTTGGTCTTCAACTGTCCTCCAACTTGCAAAAGTGACTCTTGAGAAGTGTTTTGCTACTGTATCAACTAGAGATTATTTTTAGAAAGAAAAAATATTTAGAAAAAAATCCTAAATTAAAACCGAACTGTTCTAATTAATCAACCTGAGAACTTGGCCGCTCAATACCAATGGTGTAGGTCACCTGAAAAGCAAACAGAATAATTGTAACTGCTTTAGGAGTCTTTGAAGTTATAGATTAAGCCAGTGGGAAATTAGCCAGATTGCCATTATAGCTGAAAAGTGCCGGAAGGCCTCGGCAGCCAGTGTAATTATGCAAGCTTTGTGAGCCTTGAAAATTTTGTGATTGTAATGTGTGCTCTTAGCCTTCATAAAGTTCTCCACCAACCTGCATTCTTTAAACTGCTGTCTGGCCCAAGGCTGAGCGATAAATTAGGAGAGAAAAACAAATATTATAGCAAACCTTTCCTTCATATCAGGAGTTTCTTTACCCCTTGTGTTCCTAAAGGCTGCTGGGGTAGACATGTACTTCACTCTTTAGGGACCAAGGTGGTGTGGAGACACTGCCCTTCCCATGAGGCTTTTCTTACAGGGCAGACACAGGCACCACACAGCTGTGTCTAATTATGGCTGGAAGTTCTATTTAAAAAGAGGCCAGCTGGGTGTAGACAGGGGTCATTGATAAGATTGGGGACCCGTCATAGTCTAGTAAAAATTCAGGGCAGTGTTCAGAGGGGTGGGAGAGGTGAGTCCCAAATGGTGCTTTGATAATTGTCTTAAGTAGATATGTTTGGGGCCCTCTTGACAATGAATGCTGCTCTAAACTCAAATGCTGCCCAGATGTGAAATGAGAAAGAAAGTACTGCCGTGGTGTGAACACGGACCTTTATTTAAGTAGTGAAATAAGTAAGAGAAGGGTGCAAACAGGGGAGACATATAATCAAAATGCCTTTACATTCGTACAAGGGCAGAACCATAAGTGAAGAATAAAAGATGACCTCAGAAAAAAGACTTTTGTTTCCATTTGAAGGCTCTTCCTTGGAAGGTAACAGGACTCCAGGGAGAAGGAGACTTGGCTAAGAACAAGCATATTCCAACAAACTCAAGGAGTAAAATTTGTCTTATGTGTGACCTTTGATTCTTCTGTAGATTCCTTGCCAAAGACAGCATTTCAGACAAGGAGCATCTGGTTTGGAGTATCTGACAAAAATATTGTGTAGAGGACAGTGGCCTTAAAATTTGAGGGGCAGAAATCACATTAAGAATTTAGTAAAACTATTGATTACTACCTCCCATGCAAATTTTCCCATTCACACAAAATGCATTATTCAGGGGGTTTAGACGTTCCCCTGACACTCTACTAAGGCACTTGGACCCCTGAGCCCTAGTTTAATAATCACTGATGTAGAAGTTGATGACAAGTAATTTCTAATAATGTTTTCTCCTAGGAGCTAAAGGAAATTCTCAAAGCTCTCAACTACCTTAGCTTGATTCTTTAAGAGAAAGATAGAATCTATTTTTTGCCAATAGGCACACCAAATGTATACAAAAGGTTATTTGGCAGTGATCCAAGTCTGAGAAATGCAGCCATCAATTTACTATCCTATGTTCAAACAGCTATTGTTCCCTTCCAATCTACTAGTTGGTTTGTAAAATGATCAAGGAACTTTTAGAATTGGTGGAATATGTCTGTGGAGGCAAGAATATTCAATTCACCAAAGAAACCTAGGGATGCTCTTTCCTAATGTTTTGATATATCATCACATAGTGTAAACACAAAGCTGCACAATTCTAAAACCCTTTAATTAAAATAACTGAAAATATTCTCAGAATTACAAAAGGAGCAATTATTTTAAAAGAGTTGATGTATTCACATTTAAGTTTTGTATTTGTATGAAAAAGATAAAGTATTGTCAACTATTAAAAAAACACAATATCTAAAAGAATTTTCAAAACTCCATTGATAGGACTTTCAAAAATAATATGCATCACAAGTTCATATTTGAATATAAATATTTCCATAGCCCCAGTGCAAATTTTAAAAATAATATCCTTATTCTGCTTTCTTCACTGCATTCAACTGTCTTCCTTTATGTTAGTTAGAGATAAATGCCCTTAGCAACTTTCCTAAAACTTCTCTATGAGCATTCTCCACTATCCCCAAAGGAATTGTAGAGTTTACAGAATATCTATTTAACCTTGGAATCTGACTTATTTTATACATATGTGTACACACACATACATATACACATGCACGCACATTTTTATTGATATTACCATTCAGTTTCATCATAATATTTATCATTTAATTCTCCGGGCATTTCAGTTTGCTCCATAGAGACTTGGAGAAGAGAAAAAATTCTTGAATACGTATCTCAGCTTGGTGTTTTAAGAGAAAGATAGAATCTGCTTTTTTCCAGATAGGATCTATTTTTTACAGACAGACACCAAGGCAAAGAGAAGTCAAATGTTGATGAAGGTTATTTGGTAGCAACTCAAGACTAAGAAATGAGTATTCTCAGATGAGGGTGTTTTCCCCATCCAGCTTCCCTTTTCAAGGCTAGTCCCTTCCTCAAGCTGATGAGCATGTCAGCTGCTGAATGTTGATAGCTGAGCCATGTGTTGAGTTGTCCAAGATGATGGCACATCCCAGGGGTCAGCTTTGGCCAATGACTGACATAGGCAAGGACACAAAGGACCAACCCTCCTCCCTCTTTCCTCACTTTGTAAAAACTCCAAAGGGTCACTCAGCCCAAGAGCTGCCCATAGAATCAGCTGAATCTTCAACTGCAATTGGAATTTGCTTGCTTTTCATGGTCCAACCCAATTTCTCTAACCTTTTGTGGGATTTATATACAATTTACATTTATAAAACTTTAAACTTTCTTTTTTAACAGCTTTTTAAAGGTATAATTGATGTACAAAGAACTGCACCTGTTTAATGTGTGCAGTTTGATGACTTTGAACATATGCACACACCCATGATATCATCTCAATCAAGGAAACAAATATATCCAACACCTTCCAAAGTTCTCTTGTGTTGTCTTCATTGTTTTTTGGGGTGTGGGGGGAGGAGGGAAGTTGATAAGAATATGTAGCAGGCGATCTATCCACTTCATAAATTTTCAAATGCACCATATCATGTTGTTCACAACAGGCACTATGTCGTACGGCAGATCTCTGGAATTTATTCCACTAGCATAACTGAAACTTCATACCCATCGAACATCATTTATGTGTCTTTATCTTAACCAATGTATAGCATTATAAAAATGGACCTAAAGACTTTATTTAGATTTCAGTGCTTCTCACTGGTGTTACTTTGTTCTTCCAAGATCCAATCTAGGAGATCACATTGCATTTAGTCATCCGGTCTCTTTAGTCTCCTCTAATCTGTGATGATTTCTCAGGCTTTCTTTGTTTTTAGTGAACTCAACAATTTTAAAGAGCCTTGACCAGGTATTTTGTAGTATTTTTCTCAATTTGTGTCTAATATTTTCTCATAATCAGTCTGAGGTTAACCAATGAAGCAAAATTATCTCCGAGGGGAAGTGCTTTTCTCACTGCATCTTCTGAGGGGTACATGATATCTGCATGACTTAGCAGTGGTGACATTGACTTTGGTCATTTGCTGAAAAGCTGAAAGTAGCATCTGCCAGGTTTTTCCACTGTAGAATTACTGTTTCTCCACCTTCTAGCTCTCTCCTGAAAGCACCTCCCAATAAAATTCTGACATACAATTCTCAGTCTCAGAGAATGTTTCTACAGGACCCAAATTAAGTATATTCCAACATTTACTCATCTTTCTTCAACCAATATCCTCAAAACACAAAATTGCTGAATAAGTTAGCCACTGAAATTCAATTTTGCTAACAAATATAGAATAGGAAAAATGTAATTACAATTAATATGAATTTTGTAGTCATGCTAATGTTACACAAGGAATATACACTTTTACAAAATTCACCAGCTAAGTTACCTTCACGGAACAGCTTTAATTCAAGGAGCTTATAGAAATAACCACATATATTAAATAGCCACATTCACATTATCATTTACCTTTATGTTGATCCTGGTGGTGGCCTAATGCACAAAATGCATGCAACGTCTATCATATATAGAACCTGCCCAAGGATCTACATTTTTATGTTCACCAATTGTCCAAACTACTAATTAGCCACATTAGAAATTCACACATTCCACTCTGAATCCTTTTGAACCAATCAGTGAAATCACACTTTACGAAAATCACTATCATTAGTAGAATTTACAGTGAACATTAATGGATCCGACATTCATGTCTTTGCCACATCAAGATTTCCATTGGAAAAAATCTCTGATAAAGCTCACCTAACTGTATAAAATTGCTGTCACTTCAATTTCAATGACTGTTCCTTTATATTCAGTAAAGAAATATTTATTCAAGGAGAATAAAGCTAGTAATTTTTTTCCCTCAACTTTCTTTATACAAAGTGAATGTTTTCTAAGAAAAATTCTCAAATTCTCCCTGGCTTATCACATACCCACATTGTGCTATGTGACTGTATCTGTCAAATTTTGAGTTATAGGATAAACTCTCTATTTTCTTCTCATAACTAAATTATCTGTTCTGATTGTGAAGAAAGTGATGCTTTTTAAAACATATTTTAGAAAGGCAGTAGTATCTAGTCTCAAAAACAAGCTACCTTCTATTCTAAAAAAAAAAGAACTCTACTTGGTACTTTTTATTAAAAAAAAAAACTCAGGAAAGGTGATGATTTAGATTATAAGCTTTGATGACGTTTACTGCAATCACCTCAGAAGACAAAACATCCTTCATTTTTGTAGGCAAAATCTTTGAGACAAGTGATGCCGTTGTACATATCATGTGTGATCATGATACCAGGTTATTCTTTCTTGACAGAGGACACAAATCCTCAATTGTCTCCCCTGCAGCATGACAGGGTCATTATCACTATAAATTGATCCACATGTATCAAGTCAAAATAAAAGTCTCTTCAGAGACTGAACAGACTGGTTTCCTTCATATGTCAATGGAATGGCCCAGGGAGCCACGTGGCTTTTGGCATCTCATTGATTTCTTTGTGTCACTGCTGGAATGTTACCTTATCTCTGAGGACTACCTTAAAGATTAAAAATATCACTCTTCCCCAAAGCTACTCTCTATCCCCCCTTCTTGCTTAATATTCTCTACAGCACTCATTGCTATGCTGATGGACTCTATTTTGCTTGTTTTAAAAATGTCTGTCTCCTTGTTCTGGAATGACACCTACATGAGGATAGAGAGTTCTTCCTTTTGTTCATGCTATATCTCTAGTGCCTGGAACAGTGAATGACACATACAGATATTTCATGAGTTTTAATTAAATACTTGGATAAATATGTTTGTTTAACAAATCTGTGTGGATTGTTTGCTAGCCTTTAGCCACAGAGGAAAAAGCAGATATAAACAATTGTAATTAATTTCTTCCAAATGATTTTTTGGATATTATACTACAAAGAACATTCTCCACTATATATCAAATAACTTATCCTCCTCTCCATCTCCTTCCATACATTAATCACTAATAAAATGGCTATATCTTTGCCAGACTCCTTTGGCCATAGCATACAAAGCAGCAAATTAATTTCTACAATTCAATAAGGTGATTCTTTGGAGGTCCATTTTTTTAGCAAGATTCATCACCTATAAATAATAATCCTTGAGCTTTCCTTTTTCACAGCTAAGATTTACTACTATTTCAAAGACCATAAATATATGCATTTCTACCTAATATAATTGTGTTGAATATTACCAGAGAGTAGCTTATGCCCTCCAGGGTCACATTATAGTTTAAATAGCTTGCCTCGTTCATGATTTTTCCAACTTGGTGTATCTCATTGGATATGTTGAAGGTACTTCTATTTGATACTAATTCTTCCAACCCTAAAAATGGCAGTAAATTGAAAGTCATAAGCATTTCTTTGTAACCTGTTCTAAATAGAAAGTTTGTGTGTGTAACAGGATATATCCCAGAAAAGTGCATGCTATCAAGACTTTAAAAGATCACTATGAAAAAGTCAAAGAATTATATCCCCTGTACTTATGATTGTTAGTTGGTTTATGTAGAAAAATATTGCAATGATATGCATCATCATCCTGACCCTGTAGGCCTGTTTTGGCCAGAGTATTTATATCTGAAAGGTGCCTTTCAAGTTAGACAAATGGTACAGCACAGCACCATACCAATTTCATTACATCACCATTACTGATGCTGTGCTTAATGTAGTCACTTACCAAAACTATCAACTTCTGCCATTTTTTAAAAGTTATGCTTTAAGGATTTTCTTCAGGAAATGTGAAACTAGTGAATTTGCCTTTATGTATAACTTTGTCAGGGCCCCCCCAAAATGATATGTCACAGGTAATAAAATAGGGCTCATGGTTAAAGGAGGTTGAAGCAACAGACTTGTTCATCATTTGTGCCATTTTGATGGTTACAGGCTGTGGCAACTGGTTCCATATATGTATATACATTCCCTGGCTGTATCTTTCCAGTGGTATTATGAAGATAGCCTTCAGGCTAAGGCAACAGAAATACTCATCCTATGACTTCAATGATAGTCATCACCTAGAGAGACAAATAGCAGGTCTGGATAAGTCCCTGCTGGAAATGTCTGTCTTTTGGTTCAGTGGATTACATTTAGTTGACTTGTTCCCAAAAGTGCCATGCTGTCTTCTTCCCCTTCCAGGTTCAATAGCTTATTATTCCAAGTAGACTTTCTTATTACAGGAAACTTTCCATTCAAGGAGACTCCAATTTACGGCCATTTACTTTTCATGTGTTTTTCATCACTTTTCTTGTCACTTTTCTTCATTGTCAAAGATGAAATGGGGACAAAGCCTGCCCTCTTTGACTAAGACGACTCTGTCCACCCATTCACAAGACAAGGAGGATGGAATTCGTTTCACATTGTTTGAAAATGGTGTCTTTTCCTTGCCAATCCAATCTTCTTGTTCTTGCAGTGAAATGACCATATTAAATATAGCCTATTTTTTTTAGTAGATTGACAAGTCCTAAACATGGAGTTATAACTACCTTCATTGTAGGGTTATAACAGTCAGAATTAGAGTGAAATATTTTATAGCTGGGAAAAGAATTGACTTTTACTATAGAAAGAGCTATTAAAAGCCCCAATTCTCTAAATTTCTCCTGTAATTAATAAATGTTACTATATGAAAAACAGTCTCAATTAAGAAGTTACTGGAGGAAATAATCATGAAACTATTAATAAAAGAGTGAAAATTTTAGCTAGTTTGCACAAAGCACATGAATTATTTGTCCCATGAATTTCCTAAAAAATATGTCTTTAAAATACTGAGGCTTAACTTTGAGGTGTATTTTTTAAATATTCTCACGCATCAGGGAAGTTTGATAATTTATTTAACAATGCCTCTTTCCATGTTTCATCAGTAGCAATGAAAAGAAATACTAGAATATTCATTCCTTCAGGTGGGAGTATTATTTCTTATAGGTTCCCTTAGTTCACGCATTCTTAATTGTCCCACGTATGTTACACAATTAATGAATATTTGGTGAATACATGAATGCACACACATTTTTCTAACGTCCTTTTATCCATCATTTTGTTTCTCTTTCTTACTGTCACTCCTTTATTCAACCAATATTTAGCAAGCACTTAGTGTGTCCTAAGATCCTTTCTAAACAGTTAAGACATTTCAGTAAACAGTATAGCAAATGATCCCTGCCTCATGAACATATTCTAGAAGCCACTTTTGATGATATAAATTCAAATGACTTGTCAACACATGTTTTCATTGCCATATATTGTTCTCTGTAGGGAAGGAGGAGAGTAGAGTGCATCTGGGTGGAATATTGTGAATCATATAGGATATATTATAATCAAATATGGAACTATAACTGAAGAAAATATTTTAGGGATTACATGAGAAGAGATGATCATTTCTCATGTTTAAGTATTCTCTCAGTCATTAGCTGCTATTTTTTTTCTAGGTATTCATAGGGTTGTTGGCTTTCTATGAATGTTATAAAACACTTTGGTTAGCCTACAGGTGCCCCTAACTTTTGATTAAATATAGATTGGCTGCAATTGACCAATGCCATCTGGAGTAGCAAAGGGGGTCATTTTTAACACCTGAAATCTTTTTCGCTGGGAAATGAGCAGCAATAAGCATCCTGTCAGGCATGTAGCTCAAGGTCCCTACCAGCTTCCCCTGAGAATTTCCCTGGAATGGTTGGGGGAGGTGGGTGAGATTAAATAGGTGCAAGTGCCTTCCTTTTGCCAACATTCATTCCAGGATTCAGTGGGAAACTGCCTGGAAATGTGGAATCATACAGATTTGGATGCAAAATCAGGTTATAAGACTTCAATATTCTGACCTATATTTTGTTCTTCTAATGAGTATCTTAACATTATGTTATTGTGATGATTAATTCAGATAATATATGTCACATGGTGAGGAAAATAACTAATATATTGTTAAAATAGATAAAATATATCAGTTTTCCTATATCAACTTTTAACAACAGGATAAAGAAAACACACTTTATTTTCATCCAACTAAAACGATAATACCCACTGGTTGGAAACAAGAAAAACACATAAAAATATAAAGGCAAAAAGAAAACTCTTCATTTGATACATCACAAAATTCTATTTTTTTTTCAAGTAGTTTGCTATTACAAAAATGTATGGCAATGAATATCTCAGCAACTAATCTTCACCTGTTTCTGATTATGTCCATGGAATAAATTCCTAGACATGAAATTGAGTCAAATTTTAATGTCAATATTTAAAGTCTTTTTCTGTATATTATTATATCCCTTTACGGAAAATCTTTATCAATTTACACGGCAGCAATATGATAGTCCCTAGATGATCTCACCCTGACTATTGTCTCTTAACTGTTTTCTATTTGATAAAATTGTACCCTTGTGCTTTTTTTTAAACAAAATTACATTCTGAATAATAATTCAGGCCACCTTAATTTTATTTCCATTTATTTGAATTACTTTAGGCTGAAATAAGTGTTTTCTGTTGGAGTTTAATTTTTTATAATCTACATATACTTAGTTTTAATTTTGGTTTTTAATCACTTGTTTTAGTGAGTAGAAAATTTATTCTCCAATTTATCTTTCCCTTTTGTTTATATGATTTTTGATAAATACTCTAATTTTTTATGGTGGTCAGCTTTAATGTTTCTTTTGATTTCTTCAATTATACTTAATCTGTAGAAGTTTTTCTGCATGAGATTAAATACATTTTAAGTTATATTTTCCTCAGTTTTATTTTTACTTTTTAAAAACTTTTTATATTTAACTCTTTAATCTCTTTAATTTTGTGACTGTTAGAGAGTGTATGAGTATATGTGTTTAACACATGGTGATTAACAGGTGATCACCATGTTTGACACTATTTAATTATTATCATTATCATAAGATTCTTTTAACTTCTTTACAATAAGTATGCAACTTGGATGGCAGGAAAAGTATTTGGTTATAGAAGGAGTCTCCAATCCCCAGGATGCGGCCTGGTACAGGTCCCTGACCTATTAGGAACTGGGCCTCACAGCAGGAGGTGAGCGGTGGACAAGGGAAGCTTCATCTGTATTTACAGCCTCTCCCTATCACTCACATTACTGTGTGAGCACTACCTCCTGTCAGATCAGCAACAGCATTAGATTCTCATAGAAGCATGAACCCTATTGTGCAATGCACATGTGAGGGATCTAGGTTGCACGCTCCTTATGACAATATAACTAATGTCTGATGATCTGAGGTGGGACAGTGTCATTCGGAAACCATCATTTCCAACACCCCTGGTCCATGGAAAAATTATCTTCCCCAAAAAGAGGTCCCTGGTACCAAAAAGGCTGGGACCATTGACTTATATGATTTGTCCCTCACACATTGAAATTGTCTTTTAGTGGCAATTCATACACTAGAGAAAAAAATCCAAGGCCAGCTTGAATTGTATTCTGCTTTCAGTGTTTTGTTTTTGTTAATGTGGACAGACATTTAGAGAAGGCTTTCTTCTCACTTTTAATGAAAGGACATAGGGGTATCTCAAGATTATTTTTTTCTGAATCTTAATGAAGCATTTCAATTAGTGTAGTTTCAGTTAGATGACTTTTTCATCTATTCTGAAAATTCTTCTTCAGTTATGTCCTTGAGTATTGTTTCTGTTTTAAAAGTTGTATTCTCCTTGAGCTTCTTCAGATCCTCTTATCATTTGAAGATTGGCTTTCCATTATTTCTTTATGACATCTGAACTTTATCCTTTTCCCTTCCTTTGGGGGAGCTTCTCCTATTCATCATACTCACTGATGTCATCTCCCAGCTTATCTTATTTAGCTGTTTTCTGCCTTGGATTCACCTTTAGGTTCTGCTACTGGATGTTTAGTTTTTCCATGTATCTCTCTTTGCTCTTAACTATTGTAGTGGGTTGAGTTGTCTACCCAAAAAGGTTAAGTCCAAGTCCTAACTCCCAGTACTGCTGAATATGACCTTATTTGGAAAGAATCTTAGCAGCTGTAATAAAGTTGAAAATTTCAAGATGAC
This sequence comes from Homo sapiens, assembly GCF_000001405.40. Taxonomy (NCBI): domain Eukaryota; kingdom Metazoa; phylum Chordata; class Mammalia; order Primates; family Hominidae; genus Homo; species Homo sapiens. The sequence goes on from NC_000014.9 coordinate 86,531,514, forward strand.
ATTATTCTGAATTTAGGACTGGCCCCAAATCCAATTACTGATGTCTTCTGAAAAGTAAGGAGAGTGAGATTTGAGACACAGTGACACATAGTGGAAGACTGTGCAAAGAAAGAGGTAGAAATGTAAAGCAAGGAACCCCAAGGATCTCCGGCAACCACTAGAAGATAGGAGAAGAACAGAGAACAGATTCTCCTGCAGAGCCTCCAAAAAAGACCCAACGCTCCCAACACCTTGATTTAGGGTTTCTGATCTCCCAAACTGTGAGGGAATAAACTTACCTTGCTTTCAACTGGTAAATTTGTGGTCGTTATGGCAGCCCTAGGCAACAATTTCCATTCATTTCATTTTTTTAAATTTATTTTCATCTGCTATGTATTAAGTGTCAATTATTTCAAGAGTTAGGTGTTAAGCTGTCAGTACTAAACCTTAATGTTATTTTCTTTTATTTTTTCTAATTTCACTTCTTTTTTAATTGAGTTTTTTCTTTCAAAGGTATTTTAGAGGGCAATAAGGAAGTTTTCACTGGGGATGCTAGCCAAATACCATTTTAAACAAAATTTTACTTATATTGATAAACAAGTATGTACATAATTATAAATCAAAGATACAGTTAAGATCAAACCACATTGAAAGGGCATGAGGAAAAGAAAATCTAACATGCTGCATTATATTTAATAATATTAATTGTTAGAATGATCCTTTATATTTATATCTTCAAGAAGAAAATCATATTGGAAATGTGTATCTTTTCCCAGTAATAGAAAATTCATAAAGGCTGTTTTCCTTTGGATTTTCTCAGGAGCAAACCCTGAAGCAAGGGTTACAATACACTTTGTTTATTTTGGAGTGATCCCAGAAAACACCAATAAAAGAGTGAGGAAGTGAGACCAGGATGGGAAGTCAGCCAGTAAGGGTTGTTATCAGGCAATAATACCACTGCAGCTATCTGGAGCTTAGCTGTGCTGAGGAACTCTGGGCACTAGTGCAAACCATGATATTCCACTCCAGGGATGGAGCTGAAGTATTTATACACCAACTGCTTTCTGTCATTAGACCTGCTCTTAGAGGTAGGGATGGCAATGTTCCCTGGGCACTTGTGCTAACTGGGTGGCAAAGCAGGCTCTGCAGGACTGAGAAATGACTTAGGGAAAGAAGTATGTGTTGTCAATGGGAAATTAAACCAGGGTGATGCATAGTGGTAGGCAGCGTGGCAGGGCACCCATCACATCTGCTGCAGTGGCGTTAAAATACAGGGTTTCTCTCAAAATACCTGAAATCCCAAGATTAGCCAAGGCTAGCATTATTTCCAAATAGACACAGCACTGACATGTTCTCTTGGCCTTTCTGTCATGCTTCCTAGTTGGCTGTAGCAGCTCCAAGCCTTGTGTTCTTTTCACTTCAATCAAAGAAGAAAGAGAAAGGATGTTCAGCAGAGATTTTCTCCGCAAGAGTTTTCCTTTTATTGGAAGGGGAAAATCTTCCCCAGAATCCTCCCAGATGACTTCTTAGTACATCATTGGTCAGAAAGAAAAAAGGAATGGGCCTATTCTCCATCAGATCAAGAAATTTTCACTCAATATATGAACAAAACTGAAGTTTGATAACAAAAAAGACATGGGGAATAAAGAAGGTTTGTGGAAGCAGTAGCCTAGTCTGTTACAAAACATAAAAGAAAAAATAAACTGGAAGACATTGCAGATGCAAAAACTCTTACCTCGGTTCTATGCTTTCATTCTTATATATATATAACCTGAGTAGGTGTATGCATCGCTGAGTTAGTTGCAGTGTAATAAGCTACCATTTTCACAATGTTCTCAAAATATAGGAGAATATAGATATTTAAGGTCACTTTCCTTCTTGTCACTTTTCTTTCTTGCAGCATGTACACACAGGCCTTAATCATTTTTTCCCATCTACATGTTTAAGCCTCTCAACATACATAACAAAAGTATGTATAAAATTAAAGGGCGTATGTTATTTTGAGGATGCTAAAAAGGACAGTGAGTCTCCCACTTCAATATTATTTTTGGTCTTATTTAAAGAGGAGAAAATGCTGTAAACATGAGTTTCTGTCATCTTTCAAAATATTCATATTAACCTGTAAGTGACCATAACAGCAAGGTCATGTTTCCCCATTCTGTTTCATTCCAACCAATATCCACGCCCCTCTAAACTTTACAGATCTTCATAAGCTTAATTTAAATTTAATTTGAATTAGGCAAAAACAAATCTTGTTCAGAATAACTTGAAGCATGATTGTGGATTTTTACTAACTTACTTTTAGATCTAAAATAAAATAAAATAAAATAACTCACACCATTTGGTCAGGGAATTGCTCATTGCTCTAACAAATAAAACCCTAAATTTTACAGGCTTACCACAATATGTTGATTTCTCACCTCACCCAAATGAAATCTAAAATTGCATTTTTGGTTGGTGGGTACCCACTCCTTTAAGTGGAGATTCCAAGGCCAGATCTCACCTTTGGTTTTGTCTTCCTCAACGTGTGGTTTCTAAGATGACTAAACTTGTGAAGATAGACAGGGCACGTAGGAGGGACTGTGAAAGATTTTTTGAGCCAGTCCTAGGCACAGCAGACAATGAACTAACCTCTAACATTTCCTTGGCTGGACTCAGATACATGATCACGCCTAATTGCAAGGGAATTTGGAAAAGTCCAACTTCGGGGCCAGTAAGAAAAGAACAGGCTTGATGATCAGCTATCATTCATTACTACATTCTCTCCAATTCTCCACCATCCTCTTCTCAGAGTGATAAAATGAAAGAAAATAAGTAGGTCATTCATCAGTAAGCAATCAAACAACAACTTAAATTGCTTTCTAAGGCTTAATTTGCTAAATAATTACATACTATTGTCAAATCAGTGAATATTGGATCTAATTAAACATTGAATGTATAAGTTATTTTAAAGTTGCAAATAAAACATTGGGTGTTAACTTCTTGCCAAATGGCTTTCGAGAAAAAGTTATTTATTTTTTCCACAAATGTTTATTAGTTGTCCAGTATGCACCAAGATTTTGTTTGTACTTGCATTTAACATTATATATTACTATTGCTTGTAATTGTTTCACTTTACCATATACTGATAACACCCTAGGAAGTAATTGTGAGGTTTAATTTTTCTCTTTTTAAATGTGAGAGAAGAAAGAGACTTTATCTTTAATCAAAAAACAGAGTACATGATGTTAATTTTTTTGCTCTCTATCACCAAAGTGATTGCTATTTTATAAGAATGAGAATTGTTCCATCTGATTACTGATCCAAAGGCTATAAACATAACTTTTATGAAAATCTATCATCTATATTTATTCTAAATTGTATCCAAAAAAAGCACCATCCATTGTAATTCAGTGTGATTCACTCTTAAGAGTTTAAAAGTTACTGCTCATGCAGTATATTACTTTCAGACACTTTAAAAAACTTTCCTTAGCAAATTGCAAAAACATGCATTTTTAAAGCAGAGTTATTTGCATGTGCTGTTTATATCATGGTTTTGTAACTTATTTTAAAAAACTAGCATAAGTTTGTGTGACAAAGAGCCTTAGCTTTAAAACATTTTCATGGAAATTTCATGACATTACAAAGGTATTTTAAATTATTACTTTATTTACTTAATTTTCTAAATGTACCTCTAATTTGTAGTTGATGGTATTTTTATTTTGTCATTTTGTTGTTAGAATTAAGATGCATTGAATGGGAGATATACCTAATGCTAAATGACCAGTTAATGGGTGCAGCACACCAACATGGCACATGTATACATATGTAACAAACCTGCACGTTGTGCACACGTACCCTAAAACTTGAAGTATAATACTAAAAAATAAATAAATAAATAAAAGATGCATTGATGCTTTGAACCACATAGCAGTGGCTATAGTTTATTCCTCAAAACTCCAGTATATTCATGGAAGAGTCAAATTTGCTAACCCAGACAAGGGATATTTTCCAAGGATGACAAAGACAAAGAGTGAAAAACTGCACACAGAAATATTTTTTAAAAGGTACCCACAAAGTGCAACAAGTGGTAAATTAGGAACAATAAACAGGCATATGTTTTCTGGTTTCAAGTCAAATGTTTCTTTCAGTAACCTACTTCCTGCTAAAAATAAAGAGATATCTATTTCTTCCTATTAAATATAAAGCTAAACATTAAACTGCTAAAATTGTTTCCTAGCCTTTTTCTTTTATTCTCAGTACTAGAGTAGTCTCTTTCTTGTATGGCCTACATAGGATAAAAAGAAATGATCTCATATATATATTTATTTATTTATTATAATAAATAATTAAAACAATATATATATTAAATATTTATATTTAATAAATACATTAAATATATTAAAACAATATAAAAAATATATTAAAACTAGTTTTATATATAAAATACAACACACACACATATATGTATATATTTATGTGTGTGTATATGTGTGTGTATGTTGTATTTTATACATAAAACAAATCTGTTAAAAAGTATCAGCTATACCTAATACCCTCTTTTTATGTATGTGAAGAGTTTGTTTGGGAGGAAGGGGCTATAAATCCATTTAGTTATGTATTTTTTGAAAAGCCAAGAGAAAATGATTGATGAGTTACAGAGTGGGATAGTTCCCATTGTGCAGCAGAGGTATCTGAGCATGAGGACACATACACACATACACACACAGGTAACTGGCACCTACACGTAGCATGAAGTCAACAATAACCTGCTGACCAAATATTTTGTCTTAAGGTAATACTCTTTACATGTATTGTTTCCAGTATTGTCTCATTACAATCAGAAAATTGGGCAATAGGTTCTGAATATTTAACAACAGTGACTATTAATTGAGTTGGGAGAGGGTTATTTTTTAAAAACATTCCCCCAACAACTTACCATGGGAACATATTGTGATGGTCAAGCTCCAAGATGATCCACAACAGTTCTCACCTGGCATTCATACCATGATGTGGTTGGTCCCTTTCACAGTGAATAGGACTGACCTACGTAACTAATAAAATATTGCAGAAATTATGGTGTGTGACTTCCTAGGCTAGGTCATAGATATTGTGACATCTCCCTTGCTTTCCCTAATATCATTCATTTTAAAGGAGGCTAGCATCAAAGCTGGCGACTGGGCCCTGAACACTCACAAGTAATTGTATGGAGAAGTCGCCATGAGAAGGAACTGAGGCCTCCCACCAGTAGCCAGTGCCCACTTGCCAACCTTGTAAGGAAGCCGTCCTGGAAGATCTTCCACCCTAGTAAAACCTTCAAATGCCTGCTTTCTTAACAGGAATCTTTAATACAATTTCATGAGAAACTGAACCAGAACCATCCTGCTAAGCAGATACAGAATTCCTGATACAAGGAAACTGTTTGATATAATAAGCATTTATTGTTTTAAGCCGGTATGTTTCAAGTAATTTGTTACTCAGGAATAGATAACTAATAGTAATATTTTGGCAATAAATAATAAGCTAATTTAATTTCTTCGCGTCAATTTAATTCAATTAACAAATGTTGAGTACAACTACTTGACACACACACACACACGTGTGTGTGTTTTATGTATATGTTTTGTATAAATATGTTATATATATGAGTGTCACCATCATATATGTATGTGTTATATGCATGTGTTTTAGGTTATATATATAGATGTATATATATGTATATAACATCTTACTGGGTGAAGGGATACAAAAACTGAGAGGAGCTAATAAGGAAGAAAGTCATGTTGATGAACAATTATAATAAGCATCACAATTGAGATTTAAAAACTATAGCCAAGGCCAGGCGTGATGGCTCACGCCTGTAATCCCAGCACTTTGTGAGGCTGAGGCTGGCGGATCACGAGGTCATGTGATCGAGACCACGGTGAAACCCTGTCTCTACTAAAAACACAAAAAATTAGCCTGGCGCGGTGGCGCGGGCCTGTAGTCCCAGCTGCTGGGGAGGCTGAGGCAGGAGAATGGCGTGAACCCGGGAGGCGGAGCTTGCGGTGAGCCGAGATCGCGCCACTGCACTCCAGCCCAGGAGACGGTGCGAGACTCCATCTCAAAAAAACAAAAAAGAACTATAGCCAAGTGATAGCTGTAATTTCAAAAAATGATAGCAACTAAACTGACTTCTATTGAGAAACAGAATTCTGCAGAAATGACTAGCTGAGGACAGTGAATGAGCCATTGTGATAGGCTAGGCTGAAGACAACTATTGATGTATGTCTAAATGGAACTCCTTAATTTTTTCTTTGTGTTAATGGTAGGCCTACTCTGTGCCCAGCAAAAAATAGGGTTAGCTAGGTAAAGGGGTGAGGCAATTGGGAGGAAAGTACTCCAGGCATAGAAAACACCCATGCAAATCCTGGAGAGAAAAGAGGACATTCCAGAACTGACAGATATTATATTTTCCTGGAATATAGACTGCCATGTGGCTTCAGGTTAAGGACTCCTGAAATGATCAGAAAGAACATTGAAAATAATTGGATAAAAGCTTAGTCTTATATACAGTTCATATTTTCCAGGATCTTCAGAAGAGACAAAAAAAGTCTCCATCCCTCCATCCTCTCTTGGACCTGCTTCAGTTCATATCCGCATGTTTAGTACAGATCCAAGCTGGATTATGTCTTTGAATAAGATGAAATGGAAGATGTGTTGCTTTAACATTCACTCAAATATAGAAATGATCTCATATGAGTTCCCCTTAATTTCCCTTCATATCTTCTTTTAGAGGCCGGTTTTGTTGCAAATATTTTTTTTTCTAGTTGAATGTCTGTTTTCTTAATCTAAATGCATTATTCTTTGGTAAGCCTTAGAAATTGAGTTGCTATAAATGATTCCGCACCTGCTGCCTATTAGTGAAGATGTTCAATGTTAGCAAACTTGAACCAGTTTGAGCAAAAGTGAGGAGCATATTTCAAGGTGTCTGTAACTGTGGCTGGAAAGGTTGAAATAATTGCATAAACAAGACTTCAAGAAGTCATTGCTATTGTGGGTTAGTACAATTAAGAGAATTACTGCAAGCTCAATAAAGATGCTACTACAAATGTAAATACTAAATTTTGCAACATAGTCTGTCACAAAATGTTAGATTTCTTTTTAGTATATATTCATATAACAATGAATCACCGTAGCTTCAGAAAGCCTCCGGTGGAATTGCCAGACAGGATGAATCTACATAAATATGATCTAAGTTGCTGGTTATTAATATTAATATCTACTATTAGACCCTATTTGTTTCTAAAAGCAAAATTCAAAGAATTACCTTATCAAGTACCACAATACATCGATCTGATCTGCTGCTTTTCCTATATATCCAAATGTCTATTTAAAACATAGTGTACTACTTGAAATATTAAAATATTATAAATCTATCAGTCTTCCTTCTATAAATTCCCTAAATTCTATTTGGAAATGTTTCAGTCTGCTGAAAAGAATTATATATTTATTTATATTGATACAATATCTGCACATTTTTGTTGATATCAGAAAATTTGTGGAAATAGAATAAGTAAGAATACTTACAAAATGAATACTAATGAACAGCGAAATGTAGTTTGCCTGTATATAACCCATATCAATAAAAATATATCACTCTGTTCATATAATCTTCTACAATGATCTTAATCCCATGAAGTGGGACTCTCTTCCCTGGTAGAAAACTCTAGAGTTACTGACCGTAGTAACTGTTCCTAAGATCAAAATAATTCTTAATCAAGGGAGTCAGATGATTAATTCGGATGGGATATGCACACTCTTCCACTAAGACCAAATCAGAAAATGGGATCTCTTTCAAAGCATGCTTTTAGCAGCCTGGCCTACATTTGAACCAGTGATTTGAGAGATACAATTCTTTGTGCTTTAAGTTTCGGAAAGTACATGGGAGGGAATCAGATTTTCCCAGAGAATATTATCTGAAGGGCTGTTCATGATTTAGGGGAGAGTATCAAGCTGGGAATTATCTCTCTAAGTTAGTGCCTGTGTATTTACCCTGCAGTCTGACCTTGCCTTGTGACTCTATGCTGCCTCATTTGAAGAACAGTACATAATATATATCCACATCAAACAAATTCACTGTAGAAATAATAGCTGCTACTTTATCCCTTTGCAGCCTCCCCCAACTTTGCTGCTGGTCCCCTCTAGAGCCAAAATGTCTTGTCCTTTTCCCTTAGCTCACAAAGCTCCAGGACACAGCCCGTAATTTATGATTGATGTTTAATGAACATTTGGAGAATAGAGCATAAACAGCCTAAAACTTAAAGGTAAATGTCACAAAAACATTTGCTCTTAGAGAAACTTTGATTTAGTTCCCACCACAAGAAAGTTCTCACAGTCTTGTCCTTCTCTAGTCCCAGCTGCCACTAGAAAATTCATACCCCATTATAACTCAAGATCCTTTTCCTCATTTTCTCTTTCAGGTTCCCAACACACTTTTCTCAGAATCAGGAAAGAAGTCCAAATTCCTATTACTGTCACATGCAGGGGGGAAAAAAAAAAAAAAAGAACTTTGAGTCACTTTTTCCATCTGGGTTATAACCAAAGACATTTTCTTGTACAGCCATTACTTCTAATTATTTTCTTTAGCAAAAGAGTAATTCTTTTTGTAAAAGGATGTTATTTTATTTTACTTTTAAGTGTTCCCAGGCAAAATTTCTCAAACTGGAGCCTGTGTTAATATAACTTATATGCCTCTTCTCATACCATACAGAGCAAGGAATACTAAAGGAATATATAATGTGAACATTGTTACCCTCTATCTCCAAGAAGCCAAAATGAAGAACAGAGATACTATAAAAGAACAACAACAAATCCATTTTAGTTCATAATGTGGAAAGAATTCACGATGCATGTCCTCCTTATTCTGGAAACATCCATCTTTCTTAAGAGAGTGACAATCACTTAATTTGGTAAAATTAACTTTGGCTTGAAAAATACACACTTTTTTCATGGCATCTAACATTTCTTGGAATTAGCTGATGAGTTTATGTAACCTGGATTCATAATACTACTTTTATGGATTCTATTTTTCCTTTTGAATGTTTGATGGATTTTTCATTGTCCTTTGTATGATCATCTAAATGGAATTTAAAACAATGTTAACTTTCTGAGGATATAAAATGAAAACTTGGGAACTAGCTTTGGTTAGAACACCACTATCCAGAGGCATACGTGCAATTAGATATTAACAATATGGACTTATTTTTTGCACATGACACAAGGCTAAAATCATCTGCAGATTTAACTTGAGGAAACAATTTCTTCCTCAGGGCATTTTGGCATTTTGGCAGAAATCTTGAGCTGCCTTTTCCTCTCCTCTTTTGGCTCTTCTCCCTGGGGCTCAGAGCCGGGACTATCCATTAAGATCAGATGCGTGTAATCATGATCAATTTCCTGCAAGTGTAGAAGGGCTGGGCACTTGCGATGTTGGGCCTCACATTTTTTATTCTGTTTCCTCGGGTGGTGTTTTTCTATCTGTAATAGCAGCTGGATTCCAACTATGTAGTGGAGAGTAGAAGAGAGAAATGAAACTCCTCTTAGGTATAAAAATATGCAATATTTGTCTGGTTTCTTTTTCTTTAAATGAATTCTCTGTAGTTCCAGTTTCCCTACTGCATGCAATGTGAAGAAAGCTATGGGAACGCAGGCTCAACTCAATGCACACTTATTTGATGCCACAAATCTGAAGAAATGTCACTTTATTTCAAATGTCAGTATCCAGCATTTCATGAAGAACAAATCTGCCTTAGAAAGTCCCCAAAGTACCTATAACTGGCTCTTGCTTACTTAAAGCCTCAGCTGTGAAAAGGCATCTTCATTTTTGTTAGCACTCAATATATTTGGGACTTGAAGGACACCTGGTACATTGGCAAGTTGTATATAAAATAACAAAAGAAGAGTAGGAGGAACTTTCTTCTTCTCCACAGGTGAGAAAGAATGATTTTTACACACACACCCATTTTATCCATGGACATAAAAATTGTGATTTAAACAAAATTTCTGAAAAATCAAATATTTTAATACTGTAATGTTATTTTTTTGCCCATTTTACCCAGAAACACAAAGATTGTGTCTTAAAAAAATTCTGAAAAATCAAATATTTCAATACCTTAATATTTTTTTCAGTTCCTTTTAGAAATACTTCCCTGGACCTATAATTTTCTGATACTTTTCTCTTAGCTTTTCGTTAAGAATGGAGATTTTTCAAATTTGTTCTATGAAGAATATTCTGCATCTTTTATGCAACTGTTCCCATAGAAATTATTCATTTTGATATTCAATTCTTCTAATATGCAGATATATACAATGCACTAGGAAAATCATCTCACTTTATTTAATTATTATTATGTAAAGGGAATGTATAAAATAATTTCTTCCTTGCTTGCTAGGAGGCCCACTGTTAAATTTTAAGTTTACTTGCTGTTAGTATTCTTAGCTCAGGCTTTCTGGTAAAACTTCCCACATCATCTTTAGTAACTAATGTTAATTGTAATTATTGTGGTAATAGAGAGGTTTACAATTGTAATTATTGTGGTAATAGAGAGGTTTACTTCCCTCTACCCAACTCAGCTACATCTCAGGGCAAGGAGTGTGGTGCATTAATAGTCATGCTGGAGCGTCGTAGGGAGGCTCCCTCATGGGGCATCTGGCAATTGTCAAATGTAGCAAGTCATGGCTTTCACCATATGGTTCCTACTTAGCAGCTGACAGTGAGGAGGCTCAGTGCAAGCAAACAGAAGTCCTTATTCATGTAAAGGTTTGATGGTTGACTGACCCAAGTTCTTAGTTCAGGTGATGTTAATTTTCTATTTATGTACAAACGGTACAGTCAGCTAGTGAGGGCTCCAGGCAACGGAACTGAGAATACCACCAATTACCCTTGCAATAAACTTTCTCTGGGCCAGCATTCTACTGGCTCCTCCTGGACAGCTGTCTTCTCAGAACAATTTTCTGAATGAGGCTCCCCATCTTTCTGCAGCTTCCTAATCTTTCTTCCTTCTTTTCTATCAAGCCTCTCTGACTTAATGCATGTATCTATTCATGCCTCCAGGCTGAGAGTTCCAGTTGTTATTTGGAAGTCTTCCATGGCTATTCAACAAGAAGAACCTAAATTCTTATTAAATCTTGAGCATATATTAGCATGAGAACATTTACCTCTCCTATCCTTGAATTCAGAGAAGACTCAGTCTTCAAAAACATGACCAAATGACATCCATCCCTGAAAGGAAGAATGCATTTTCTATTCAAACTGACAAAACTGTTTCTCCATTCTAGGGTGGTTTAAGTCCATTATTACAGTGAAGCAAATAAAAAAAGTGAAAAATACTTTTCCTAGGCAAATAGGTTGAAGATTCAAATTCTACTGATTTCTAAGGATCATTAGTGCATTACAGTTAATAATTAAATTTTGTGTACATTACCTTTATCCTTATAAAAATAATGTTATCATCCTCCTCAACATGGAAATAGAAAAATAGAAGCTCAGGAAAATAGTAACTTGTCCAGGATTGCAGAGTAGAAATTGGAAAGCCAGATGTTACACTCTACTTTTTTTAGTACTCTTCTTTGCCACATAGTAGCCTTCTCAAGTCAATTCCCTTCCCCATGTCATATTGTGTTAATGATTTTAGTACAGAATTGCTCCCTTTTTTTTTTGGTTATGTTTTTAAGCAACTCTTACTGATTAATTATTTTTAAATAAGGTGTGGTAAAAATCTTAAGTACTCCAAAGCATGTTTTATGTTTAAAGAAAACAATGAAAATTCCACTAATATTGTTAATCAATTAGACTCCCAAGCTGCAATAGATGATACATTGTTTTGAAGGGGATGAAAATACCAGCTAATATGTACCTTGGCTGTTTTAAATATGCTTAAAATTTGTCCTTAAATAATGCCCCCAAAAACCTGCAGAAGTTACTATATTCTATAAAGTGGTGAATCACCCCCATGAATAACTCTGATCTTAATTCTAGCCCTACATGAGGATTTTACTCATACATTTTAAAGAGATGGAACTTTTAGTCTCCATCATTTACCTTAAGAGACTTGAGAGACTCAAATTAAGTAAATGACTGGAAATGTCAAGTAATTAAACATCTGGTTTTTAATATGAAACAAATCACTTCATGCCTGTGGTCTCTGTCACTTGATCCCTCCCAGTGCTCTGTGTTTAAGCTGCTTCTGGCTATATTTAACCTCTTTGCCAAGCCAGACATAACTCCATGCTTCCCATGGTAGGCCTGGCCATTCTTGTCCCCAAGGACTTCTTCTAGGATTGCTGGGTCTGTGGCTCAGGCCTGAGTTTAGAGTCTAGTTTCTTTCTTGCTCTACTTAGGATAAAATATAGCTGAAGGAAGTGATACTGATATATGTTTAACTTCAACTGGGACTTTTAATTTTTTGTGTGTGAGTGAACAGAGAAACTCCCTCTGCTACCTGTCCCCTGAAAGCTGGTACTAAGTCTTTCTCATGGAAAGAACACTGTCTCATCTGATTTTTGAGATGGCATATTTGGACCTCTTATTCATTTTCTTTTTAAAACTCTTTAATAGGATATATTTTTTCAAGGGCTGCACCAACCACTGAAAAACAAAGTGTTTTTTCGTGTATGCCTAATGCAAATGAGGAAGATTTGGGTTTTTAGGGTACCCCATATATGAGGCAAAGTGGACAGACAAGATTTCTTCTTCATCCTAAAGCCACCACATCTATACGATTGGTAGCAACATCTTGCCACTAATAGTAAACAACTGTTGTTTTCGTCTCTGCAGAATCTGTGATCCCTCCTCTAATTTATACTTAGAGTCCTCCCCTCCTCAGTTTCAGTCCATGAGCTCAGGTGTGACCATCTCCAACTTTGTTTCAGGGCTAGGCCTAGCTAATTAGCTTGTTCCATTCCCTAGAGATAGTCACTAGTTTAGGTCAGAGCAAGTATAGACCCATGACATTTCAATTCTGGAATTTTCCTGGAAAAATTAAGCAGAAGAATCAATCTCTTTTTCTGCTGAACTTGCTTAAAGAAGAGAATACAAGCTTGAAGTTTCTGCCGGCTATTTTTTCACCACTGACAAAAAATATTGGCTTAATGAGATTAACGAACAAAGAAACACATAAAACAGATGCAGGAGATGATTCAAATTGGAGTATAATATCTAAGCACTAACAAACCCTATCTTTATGCTTTTCAATAGAATGAGTCAATACATTCCTTTTTTTGTTTAAACCAACTTAATTTAATTTGAGGGATTTTTGTTTTTATTTTTATTTTTTATATATATAAGCAGATGATTCTTGATCAACATAACTCTACTTCAAACGCCCAAATAATTTTAGTTCAGATGTAACCTTCGTTTTGACAGTGGTGTAAATTGCATTATCAAACTCCTATTTTGATCTCAGTTTGGTTTCTTGACTATTTTCACGTCAAATGAAGGGGCAGGAATTAATTGTGCTTTCTAAAACTTCTAATATCTCATGATTAATCTCTTGTGAGAAATGACTGGTTAAAATTCTTCTCTCCATAATATAAACCCATAATCTTTTCTGCCTATACTAAGTCATCTGGGCTTACCTAGTTACTAAAAAGACAGGTTTTTCATGTTTATGATTGCTAGATCAAACATAGGCATGAGACATACTTAAACTACCTATGTTTAAGTATTTATCTGGAATTGAGTGTTTATCCGAAATTTTAGGTTAATTGGATGTCTGTTATTTTTATTTGTTAAATCTAGCAATTCTCCTCATTGTGCTCATACAAACACATGAAAGTTCTAGCACTTTCTCTGGTTTCATTTGAATTAAATGCTACACATTCCTTAATTATAGACTTAGTTCCACTATTATCTATGCCAGCAGTATTTATCTGACTATTGCTTTTATTTATATTTGTTGTGGTTTAATGAAGCCTAACTGTGGATCATTCCAGGAAATATGAAAAAGGTGAAAAAAAAATTGGAGGTTCTTTGACATTCAAGGAGTATTTAGTTTGAAAAAGTCTAAGGGCTAGAGATAGGGGAGAAGTTTCATTCCATAATCAAATATGTCTTAAACAGAAGAGACAACAAATATAATCCATACTTATCCAGAATATACAGCTTGAATGATAGGGAAAGTTATAGGGTAGCACGTTAGATTTCATATAAGTCTAACTAGAAAGAAAATTAGTGTTATAATCAGCATTTCCTATGGAATGAAATAGAATACATTTCTGCCTATAGAGACGGCTGGTGTTTGAGAAAGGAAGATATTTGTTAAGAACATCATGAAAGATACTCTTGCATTGTTGTTTTTTGCAGGTGGGTCATGAAATATAATTTTGGGAGGTCCATGGACCTGAGGAAAGAAGACAGATGGCGAAAAGTTATGGAGTCATAGTGAGTGAGAATGGTTTCCAGAGAAAGACACGCTCATGAGGTTGTAGTGGAAAATCCACAGTGACAAATTTGTCACAGCAAGGTAGCAAGATAATTTTAAGAGAGAGATAGACTAATACTCAACTTTGAATTGTTTCCTGATCCTAACTGGGATGTGGATTCCCTCTATTATCTCAAAACCATCTCTAAATGAGGTGCATGCACAAGTGTTGTATTAATAAAACTGGGTTTTCCAGAAACAGAAGCTCTGGTTATAAGCAGAGTGAAATCTGAAGAAAGAAAAGGGAGTCATACGGACTTGAGAAAATGAGAGAGGGCAAAGAAGCTACCAGAGAAGGAAAGTAAAGCAGGATGAAGTCAGGGAAATTCAAGGTGTTATGTAGAACCTCAGAAAGTTAAGATACAAGGATAGACACAGTGGAAGATGGTGTCTCAAACATTTTTTTAAAAATTTTTAAGTTTTATCTAATAAGGAAGAGTGCTTGGGGATAAACCAGTGACGTGAGAATACGCTTTTTTGTAGACCTTTCCTTCGATGAGATAGGTTGCTTTATGTTACAGTGGAAGACGTGACATTATTTATGCTCTCTGATAAGGCCAATATAAAAGGGATCTTTGGATTGGATGGGAAAATAGATGAAGGAGTTCTCTTATCACTTATGGTCCACACTGTTTAAATTAAATCTCTCACACCTTTCTATGTAGGTACTCTTTCATGGTTCACTACACTATGTTCAAATTCCTAGAGCATTCTTATATGGATTTTGAGCTTCCTGAGAAACTAAGAATTTTATTCTGTCTTGATATCACTTATGACACAATATTAGAAACAATGTAGTGGAAAATCACTGGCCCAATTAGTGATTAGGTATGTACCAAAAAAAAAAAAAAAGACTATTTGCAACTCAATAACTGACAACAAAGAAAGAAAATGTAGACACAAAACAAAACAAAACAAAAAGGCAAGAAGACACTATTCAATTTATTGCAAGCTAAGATATATCTATAGAATTAAATGATTTTAAATAAGCTAATATATTCTTAGGCTATACTATGAGGGTAATGGAGAAAATGAAAATGATAGCAAGTTTATGACCACTCTTACTTATGTTACAAAAGCTAAGTCTGAAATATTACTCTTAATTCTCAGCTCCACTTAAAGATTAGAAAAGTGTTACATCATCTAACGAAAAGACACAATGGTAAATTGCTAACCATAACAATATTAAAATTTATAATGAAAAAACTATTAACCTCAGTTAAACAGTTTTCATTTTACATATTTCCTGTGTATAGTTAATATTTTTCAAATTATAATCACAGTGTGTACCATGCCTTATAGTGTTATTTTTCCCAGTTGCATTTTTTTAAAATTCTGCAAATGGGCAACTTTAATGATTACCTAATGTTCCATTGTGTGGATGCAATACTATAATAATTCCAAATTATTTTTAGTTAAAATTGTTTACAATTATCATGAAAATAAATGCTTTTATAAATCAGGTTTTTTATATTTTAAATCATGTTATTTGATTAGATTCATAGCAGTAGAATGTCTACATAAATGAGATGAACAACTTGCGGTGCATATAGATAGGGTCTTACACTTATTTAATCACCCATATTAATATATCATGAACTTTCTTCGAGTATTATTATTTCTGAGCATTTATAATTTAAGAGACTCAAAATAAACATTTGTATTTTTAAAATTTACCAGTGAGTTTTAATGTGCTCCCCAACATGTACTGAAACTTTTCATTAGCTAATAACCCTATAGTCATATATAATCATAATTATTAACATTAGCTATTTATATTACCTTTATCCAAACTTGTTTTTTAGTTGTTTGTTCAAACTTTACCCATCTATTATTGAGATTATAATGCTTCAAATCGGTTTATAAGAATGCTTTGTTTAGAATACTTTATATATATTTCAATTTATTATTGTCTTCTTAGTATTTTCATTTTAAGTTTGATATTGTTATAAGGGCACAGTTTGGAAAACTTTCTGTTCGTTAAAATCTTTATAAGTATCATTTGATGCATCTGGCAGTAAGTACAATATTAGAAAATCTCTACCAGTGATCCCTCTGATATTTTTAATTTTAGAGATAATTTTTAATTCATCTAATATCATATGGTTGATCTATGTGTAATAGTTTAGATTACTTTTTTTTTTTTTTTGAGATGGAGTCTTGCTCTTGTTGCCCAGGCTGGAGTGCAATGGTGGAGATGGAGTCTTGCTCTTGTTGCCCAGGCTGGAGTGCAATGGTGCGATCTCGGCTCACTGCAACCTCTGACTCCTGGATTCAAGTGATTCTTTGGCCTCAGCCTCCCAGGTAACTGGGATTACAGGCGTGTGCCACCACACCCGGCTAATTTTTGTATTTTTAGTAGAGACAAGGTTTCACCATGTTGGTCAGGCTGGTCTTGAACTCCTGACCTTAAGTGATCCTCCCATCTTGGCCTCCCAAAGTGCTGGGATTACAGGCATGAGCCACCGCACCTGGCCTATATTACTTTTATGAAGTGAAAGATGAAGATCTACATTGATTTTTTTTTCTAAATGATTAAGTAATTGGTTAAGTTCCATTTATTAATTTGCCTTTGCCTTCCTTATTGATTTGGGCTAACACTTGCATCTATTTAGTTATTTTATAAAATTAATTCAATTTTAATGAAACTTTTTATTTTTGCATATATTTTCAATTGAGTATAATAATTTTTAATGATGATTCATTAATTTAGTGTAAAAAGTTCTAAAATTCATTAGTCTATCATGACTTTTCTATATCCAAATTTTCTATGCTTTTCTCACACCTTTTCTAATCCAGATAAATTTAATAATTATTTTATTAATTGAAAAGTTACTGATAAGAGTTTGATTGAAATCATATTCACAGTAGCTATTTTTACTTTTGAGGCATATTGAAGACTCCAATCCCAAGCCACTTTGGTCAATGTGAATAGTCCTAATTAATGCAATCTACATAAAATGACTTGTATTACGTGTAGAAAGTATAAATGAATGAAAAAGAAATCTCTATGGACTTTCTTTCCCGGCAAGTTGAAAAAGGGACTCGTACTTTCATGTTGTGAAAGGAGTTACACTTTCATTGCGTAAAGTCTTTGAGATTGGTAAGTAATCAGCTGGTCCTGCCTAAATGAGGCTATCCTGAGTTGTGCAGTACTATTTTTGAATTAGATTTATTTCTTCTGGAGGCAAATTCTATGGGGATAAACATATCCCCTTTCCTTCCTTCCTTCCTTCCCTCCCTCCCTCCCTCTTCTTTCGTTCTTTCTTTTTGTTTCTTTCTTTCTTTTCTTTCTTTCCTTCCTTCCTTTCTTTTTTTCTTTTCCTTCCTTCCTTCCTTCCTTTCTCTTTCTTCCTTTCTTCCTTTCCTTTCCTTCCATTTCCTTCCTTTCTTGCTTCTTCTTTTTTTCTTTTTTTTTTTTTTTTTTTGATGGAGTCTCACTCTATTGCCCAGGCTGGCGTGCAGTGACATGATCTCAGCTCACTGCAACCTCTGCCTCCCAGGTTCAAGCGATTCTCCTGAATCAGTCTTCAGCATAGCTGGGATTACTGGCATGTGCCAACACTCCCAGCTGATATTTTACATTTTTGGTAGGGAAGGCATTTTGCCATGTTAGCCAGGCTGATCTCAAACTCCTGACCTCAGGGGATAGATTTTCTTTTTCTTCCAATATAACATTTTATCATGGGTTGTATGTGTATGTGTGTGTGTGGTTTTTTGGCGTTTTTATTTGTTTGTTTGCTTTTGCTATTTTACTTTCATTTGAATTGTATTTATGAGAAAAGTCAGTGTTTTCTCTTACACTAATAGATGAGTAGAAATTCTTTGAGTAACGCTCTTGCTTCCTTGCTCCATAAAACAAGTTTCTGAATATGATCCACCCTTAGGAACATATCTGGGTTGGCATTGCAGTGATTAGAATCTGATATTTCAATGCCCCAAACTATGGCTGCTTCTCAGGGAAGTAAGGAATTTGAAGCTAGTAGACAGGAATGGGCCACTGAGAAATGGACAGCATAGAGATAACTTGAACAGGTAGCGGTATAGGTTAAAGTCAATTCCTATGATACCCTAGCAGTGATATTGATAGTGGAAGTAGAAACTAGATGGTGGGCTGAGTCTGGTACTCTGGCTTTGAATTAAAACACTGATGAAGGGTCAAGGTAGATCCTGGATGGACCCGCCCTGTGAATACTCAAATTCAGAAGCAAATCCACTTTGGCATAAAAGTTGTTCAAGAAAGTTTGACAATTTTCTCACAGATTAACAATAAACATAATTTCACATAAAATGATTTTCAAATATAGAAGGTGATACATTATGTATGAAACTTAGAAAAGAATTTGTCAATAATCAATAATTACTGAAAAATTGATATATCAAGACATTGTGATTTGAGATACAAAATAGATGGTAGCTATGTAAAAAATGATAAAAAATAATGGAAATATAAAGGTGAGGAAACTCCTAATAAAGAAACAATTATGAAAAGGGAAACTTACAGGAATGAAAAATATAATTTAAAAATTTGATGGATTAATCAGCAGAAAGTATACAATTGGAGGATAAATTATCAACCTTGATCAATCTGCAGATGTATACTATATTGTAAATAATGTTGATATGCAGGAAAGAATGAAAGAAAAGTAAGAAATATGAAAGGCAAAATGAGGAAGTCTAACACATCTGATGGAGGCCTAGAAGGAAAAAAGAGAACAACTATAAAATAAGAAATATTTGAGGAGATAATGATTGTTAATTTCCATGAGTTGATATAAAACACAGATTTATATATGAAGGAATAAATAAAAATCCCAAGCAGGATTTTTAAAAAATCCGCCTTGTGAAGCTACAGAACACCAAAGACAAATTAGAAGATCATGAAAACTGCTAGAGAGAATGAAAAGATTGCCCAGAAAACATATTAGGACCGCAATTGTAATCCATGGCACAGTGAATAAATATTTACAAAGCCTTAAGCAAAATTAACAGTTCGTCTAAAATTACATGTGCTGTAAATATATAAAAACAAAATAAAAAGATTTATATTTACTTCAGAGAATTTACCACAGAAGTCATTCTCTAAATGAAATTCCAAACCGAAACAGTTTGAGATTGAAAAAATATATTGTTGACCAAATAAGGAGATAAATTCAGACAAATGTTATCTTATAAAATGTTAATATTAAGAAAAGGAAGAAATAAAAATTTAGGCAACAACATCATGTAAGCTGGGAGAAAAAAATGAGCTAAAATACTTTTTTTCATTATGAAAGTTGATAATAACTCATTAATTTTAAGTTTTAGTTGAGTTCAATATATGTAATAAACTTATACTTCTAAGAATTTACACAGAAAAAGTCATGTAAAATATCAAAGCCACTAAAATGAAAAGTAAAGGGTGAGCATAGAACAATAAATAAGAACAAGAGCAAACCTAAGTTCATTCAAAAGAGGAAAAATGAAAGAAAAAAGGAAACGAAAAAGTGAAACAAATAGAAAAACGAAGTCACTTGGCAGCAAAAATTTCAAATGGATTCATTATCAATATAAGTTGAAATTGACAAAATTTATAAAAGGCAAGAGATTGTCAACTGGAATAAAACAAACATATAACTAAATATAACGGGATATACAATAAAAACTTAAATTCCAAAATGAGAAAAAGCTTACGAGACAATAGCTATCAAAATAAAGCTTGGAAAACTATATTAATATATAGAAAAGTGTATTTTTTGATTAAAATAACAACCAGTAGTAGGAAAAGCAATAGAATAATGGCAAAGTACCTAATTCTGGTTTAATGCCAGGAAATTATAGCAATTTTGAACATCTATGTATCGAAGATTGTCTCAAATATATAAATCAAAAATTAATTGAGCCATAAGACATGTTAGACAAATCATCCTTAATGTGAAAAATTCAACATAATTTAATTCAATACACTGAGAAAATAAAAGTAAATTTATAAAGAATGTAAATACAAAATTGAAACTGCACACCTTCCTTACACCAAATACAAAAACTAACTCAAGATGGATTAAAGACTTAAATGTAATAGCCAAAACTATAAAAGCCCTAGAAGAAAATCTAGGCAATACCATTCAGGACATAGGCACAGGCAAAGATTTCATGATGAAATAGCCAAAAGCTTTTGCAACCAAAGTCAAAATTGACAAATGGGATCTAATTAAACTAAAGAGCTTCTGCACAGCAAAAGAAAGCATCATCAGGGTGAACAGATAACCTACAGAGTGGGAGAAAATCTTTGCAATCTATCCATTTAGCAAAGGTCTGATAGCCAGAATCTACAAGGAATTCAATTTACAAGAAAAAAACCAACAACCCCATTAAAAAGTGGGCAAAGGACTTGAACAGACACTTCTCAAAAGAAGACACTCAGGCGGCCAACAAACGTATGAAAAAAACAAAAAACTCAACATCACTGATCATTAGAGAAATTCAAACCAAAACCACAATGAGATACCATCTCACACCAGTCAGAAAGGCCATTATTAAAAAGTCAAGAAACAACAGATGCTGGCGAGGTTGTGGAGAAATAGAAACGCTTTTACACTGTTGATGGGAATGTAAATTATTTCAACCATTGTGGAAGATGGTGTGGTGATTCCTCAAAGATCTAAAACCAGAAATACCATTTGACTCAGTAATTCCGTTACTGGGTATATACCCAAAGTAATATAAATCATTACATTATAAAGGCATATGCACGCATATGTTTATTGCAGCACTATTCACAATAGCAAGAACATGGAATCAACCCAAATGTCCATCAGTGATAGACTGGATAAAGAAAATGTGGTTCACATACACCATGGAATACAATGCAGCCATAAAAAGGAATGAGATCATGTCCTTTACAGTAACATGAATAAAGCTAGAAGCCATTATCCTCAGCAAACTAACACAGGAATAGAAAACCAAACACCTGATGCTCTTACTTATGTATGGGAGTTGAACAATGAGATCACGTGGACACGGGGAGGGGAACAAAACACACTGGGTACTGTTGGAGGGTGTGGTGGGAGGGGGGAGACTATTAGAAAAATAGCTAATGCATACTGTGCTTAATACCTAGGTGCTGGGTTGATAGGTGTAGCAAACCACTATAGCACATGACTACCTATGTAACAAACCTGCACACACTGCACATGTGCCCCGGAACTAAAAGTAAAAATAAATTAAAAAATAAAAAGACAAAAACATTAATATTTAATCCAATTAACATACACATAATTCTGTATCCTTGATTTTATATCCAAAAATTAGAAGTAAACATTTTTCTCTATATTCATTAGATACTTACAAAATTGATTCTATACTAGGCTATAAAGCAAGGCATAACTTATTTCAAATAACAGGTATTTCACATAATAGGTTTTCAATTGTATTGATGCAAACTGCTTCCTTTCATGTGTCTCACAAAGGAACTTAAACAGGTAAGTACGGTTATCTAAGAGATATGTATTTCCTGTCATTGAAAATGTTATAGAAGCCACTTTTGAAGAAGAAAAGTTAATTGGACCCTACTGTCAAAAAAGCTAAGAAAATCCTGGGTCAAGGAAATCAATTTCCATAGTCTTGTATAGCCTTATGTAGGAGGAAGTAGAACAAAAGTTAAAGACCTCCTCCCTGACATGAGTCTAGCTTAAATCCAGCTGTGGCATTCACTGTAGTGTGGAAATTTGGGACAGGATAGTCTATCTCACAGTATCTCAGATTGCTTATTGATAAAATGTGAACATATAATATTAATGTAAAGATTAAATGAGATGAAACATACAAAGTCTTTAAAGGATTGCCTAGTATACATTACACATTCAGAAAATTTCAACTTTATTATGTATGTTCACATTGACTCTCTTAGAGAGGATTCATAGTATATGACATCCTCCAAACTTGTTCTCCACTGGGCTCTTTTGTTGTTGTTGTTATTAATTTGTTTCAGAAGCAGCTCAAGGAAATACCATTCTGTACAATACATTTTAAGAATTACTATTGCAGAGGAGTCGTTCTAAATTTATGATTTCAGACTCACTAAAATAAAAATTAACTGAGCGCATATTCATTCTATCAACAAATACAATTTGAATTCTTACTGTGGAGCAGATATTTGTGGATCCTGCACTGGCAGGTGGGAGTAAAGGCAGGGGCATCTTGTCTATCTTAGCTAAAGCACAGTAATTTTCAGAGTCAAAACATTTCAATAAATGTCAAAGGTCATGAGGATGGTCCCCAAATTTGGCAATTTCAATGATTTCCTTTTTCTTATTAGGAATTGTTTCATTCCTATACAGAGAATTATAGATTTTGTGTGTTACTTGTGTTCTGTATGTAATTTGCTTGTGCAGTATTCTCATGCTTTTTCAATGTCACATAATTAATACCTCACTCAGCAAATATGTTTGTGACTCTACACTGGCATTGTGCTAGACATTGTCACGAAAAAGTGAATGAGTGACACAATTCTGCCTTCATTGGGTTGCAGTCTCCCTTGGAAAAAAATTTCTAAATAAGCAGTGACAGTAACACAGACTGCCATGATATTTGAGAACACAGCATTAAGTAACAGCAGCAACAATTTCTATACAAATGAGTATGCTATTAATTTATGTAATCCATGTTAAATATTCTTAAGAATTTAAAGCAAACACAAAACCTTTTTTGTTGAGTCTCAGAATGCAATTTGTGTTACTAACTAGAACACTCTGTTGTTAATTTGAGTATATTAAGATTTTTAAAAAGACAAAAATGAGAGGTCTGTCATGGAGGCTAACAATTTCAAATCATATCTCCAAGGCAAATCTACGGACATTTGGAAAACAGGGACATTTCAAATGTCCCAAGGACAGAGACCCTTCTTACCCAGACACATATAGTTAAAGCAACTAAAAAACAATGCCAAGTACCTCCGTGTGTGTGTGTGTGTGTGTGTGTGTGTGTGTGTGATGTGTGTGATGTATGCACATCTATTTTTCCCTAACAAGACAATATGAATGACTTAGCATTTCTCCATCCTAAACTTCTTTTAAAAATTGCTCTAAGTTGCTTTGTTCATTTTGATCAGGACTTATTTGGCCACTGGAGATCTTTTGCAGTTCCATATAAATTTTAGGATTATTTTTTCTATTTCTGTGAAGAATGTCATTAGTATTTTGATAGGGATTGCATAAAATCTGTAGATCGCTTTGGGTAGCATGGACTTTTTAACAATATCAATTCATCTAATCCATGAACATTGGATATCTTTCAATTTATTCGTGTCCTCTTCAATTTTTTCATCAATGTTTTATACGTTTTATTATCGAGATCGTTCACCTCCTTGGCTAAATTTATTCCTAGGTATTATTTTGGGGCTATAATAAATAGGGTTGTTTTACTTTCTTGATTTCTTTTTTATATAGTTTGCTATTGGTGTATAGAAACACTACTGATTTTTGCATGTAGGTTTTGTATCCTACAACTTTACTGAATTCATTTATTAGTTCTAAAAGTTTTTTGCTATATTCTTTAAAGTTTTCTATATATAAGATCAGGTCATCTGTAAAGAAGGATAATTTGACTTCCTCCTTTCTAATTTGGATTCCCTTTATTTCTTTCTCTAGACTAATTGCTCTGGCTAGGACTTCTGGTACTATGTTAAATAAAAGATGAAAGTAACCATCCTTATATTGTTCCAGATCTTAGAGGAAAGAGTTTAACTATTCCCCATTCAGTATGATGTTAGCTATGAATTTGTCATATATGGCTTTTATTGTGTTGAGGTATGTTAATTCTACAGCTAATTTATTGAGAGTTTTTATTATGAAGTGAAGTTGAATTTTATCAAATGCTTTTCCTGCATTTATTGAAAAGATTATATACTTTTGTAATTGATTCTGTTGAAATAATATTTCATATTTATTGATTTGAATATGTTGACCCATCCTTGATGAATCTCACTCGATCGTGGTAAATGGTCATCCTAATGTGCTATTGAATTAGTTTTTCTAGCATTTTGTCAGATTTTTGCATCAATGTTTGTCAGCGATGTTGGCCTATATTTTCTTTTTTGTTATGTCCTTGTCTGGTTTTGGTATCAGGGTAATACCAGCATCATAGAATGAGTTTGAAAGAATTTCTATTTTAGTAACCAAGACACCATGATACTGGCATAAGAAATGGACACAGAACAATGTATCAGAATAAAGGACACAGAAATAAACTCACTATAGCCAATTGATTTTTAACAAAGATACCAAGAACACACAGTGGGGAAAGAACAGTCTCCTCAAAAATGGTGCTGTAAAAATTGGATATCCACATGCAGAAGAATAAAAGATCATTATCTCTTACCATATACAAACGTCAACTCAAAATGGATTACAGATTTAAATGTAAGACCTGAACCTATAAAACTACTATAAGAAAACATAAAGAAAATGTTTCATGAACTTAGCTTGGGCAATAATTCTTTGGATAAAAACTCAAAAGCTCAGGCAACAAAAGCAAAAAAAGAAAAATGGGTTTAAATCAAACTAAAAAGATTTTGCTAAACAAAGAAAATAATCTTTGTCTAAACAGACAACTTGGAGAATCAGAGAAAATACTTGCAAATTATGCACCTGGCAAGGATAATATCTAGAATATATAAGGAACTCAGACAATTCTATAGCAAAAAAAAAAATCTTATTTTGAAATGGGCAAAATACCTGAATAAATATTTCTTCAAGGAAAACATACAAAAATCCAGTACGAATATAAAAAATGCTAAGCATCATCAATCATCAGGTAAGTGCAAATCAAAGCCACAATGAAATATCATCTCACCTTAGTTAGAATGGCTATAATAAAAAAGATTAAAAAATAACAAATGCTAGTCTGGATGTGGAGAAATAGGAACCCTTATACACTGTTGGGAATGTAAATTAATGTTGGCATTATGAAAAATAATATGGAGGTCCCTCAAAAAATTAAAAATAGAACTATCATATGAGCCAGCAATCCCACTACTGTATATGTATCCAAAAGAAATGAAATCAGTATGTCCAAGAGATAGCTGCACCCTCATGTTCATTGCAACATTATTCTTCATAGAGAAGATATGAAATCAACACAAGTGTCTATCAACAGATGAACAGATAAAGAAAAAATATATATATATACACACACACACAGAAATACTAATCATCAACAAAAATGAATGAAATCCTGTCATTGATGGTAACATGGATAAACTTTGATGACATTGTGTTAACTGAAAATACAAGAACAGAAAACCGAGTACAGCATGATGTCACACATTCGTGGAATTTTAAAAAGCTGATCTCATAGAATTACAGAGTAGAGTAACGCTTGACAGTGGCTGAGAAGAGTAGGGAGTAGGAAGGAATGGGGAAAGATTGTTCAACAGATACAACATTACAGATATATAACAGAAATAAGTTCTGATGTTCTATTGCACAGTAGGATGGATATAGTTAACAATATCAGAAGAGAGAATGTGAAAGTCCTCACCACAAAATAATGATAAATATTTGAGGTCATAGATAAGCTAAATACCCTAATTTGATTTTTACACAAGGTATACATGTATCAAGACATCACACTATACCCATAAATCTGTACAAGTATTATGTACCAATTAAAAATAAAATCTAAGATTAAAAAAAGCACATAAAAATTATTCTAAGTTTTTGGCTCCTTGACAGCAAAAACACACTGAGAAATAAGATGTTCATTTGATTATGGAAATGCTGGAAAGCTGGAAGTCAACTTTAAGTGTATTCCCTTTAAGTGACCTTCATAATACAGTTTTTCTGCAAGTATTTCTGCGAGAGTCATCTGTGCTGCTAATTAGTTTTTAGATTCGCTTACCTTTTTCTGTTAATTGGAAGTTATCACTCTGCTTCTCATCCCCCATCCCTTAATATTATTCATTAAGAATAGTTACAAGAAATAATTATTCATGCTTATGTGTACAATTTGTTTATTTGGAAAGAATTCTGTATTGGTAAATAAATCCAGGCAACAGGAGTTGGCAGGAAGACTATTATGGAGACGTTTTGATAAGTAGTGTTTATGGGTGTGTGGCAAAGCACACCATTGCAAATTTCAAATTTTCAAATTTCAAGTTTTCAAATTTCAAGTATTTAAATTTCAAAATTTCCCAGGAATTTTGAATTGGAGATTGAGATAGAGTCAAGATTGGGACACCCAAAAGTGGTTGCCAGAGCCCTGAGCACTACACTTAGGGAACCCTAGTTTAACTATCGCTGGAGGAAAATGTATAGGTAATTTCTTAGATGTATAGAAAATAAGTGATCCTGATGTCAAATAGCACATGATAGAAATAATGTTTCATTTCTGATAGAAATAACATGTGATTCTACTGATAAATAAAGTATTCTTTTCAAAATTCTTCTCTATGTCAAGAATACAAAGGAATGGTTTTATAGAAAACTGAAGTTTTTTTCTAAATATATGTATGCACCTGTGTTCACATTTTGTGTATGGGTGTGATTCCTTTGGAGATATAAAAATCCTTTATCATATACACATCAGGTTCGGAATGGGTGTTTATAATTCTATTTGTTCTACAGTGAAAAGTGAGGCTTTAAAAAGCCATTACTAATGTTGCTATTAGTGAAAGATTATGTAGCTGCTATTTTGCTTTAGATCACAGTTTTTTTGGTTTTGTTTTTACATATGAGAATTATTACTCTCGTAGTATGTTCTCAGAGAAACTTCGATACGCACACACATGAACATGCATGCTAACATCCACTGTTTTGTATAAACAATTAGGTTTACTGGAAGAACACACAAAAAGTCAAGATGCATGTTGCATTGGATTTTTCATAAGGTGAGGAAGACGAGATACATCCTTGCTGTTGGTCAAGTGTGTTTGCACTGTTCCTGTTCCCACACTTTGCACAATTCTTTTCTAGGTCTGAAACCACTGACCCCCAACTACATACAGTGTCTATTAGTCGGGGGTTCTCAGAGAAACAGAATATATACCCAATATAAATCTCCTCACATATAAACATAAACACAAGGAGATTTATTACAGGAGTTAATTGAAATTGGCTCACACAATTATGGTGATTAAGAAGTCCCATCGGCTGGGTGCGGTGGCTCACGCCTGTAATCCCAGCACCTTGGGAGGCTGAGGTGGGTGGATCACAAAGTCAGGAGATTGAGACCATCATGGCTAACATGGTGAAACCCCGTCTCTACTAAAAATAAAAAAAAAATAAAAAAAAAATGAGCTGGGCATGGTGGCGGGCGCCTGTAGTCCCAGCTACTCGAGAGGCTGAGGCAGGAGAATGGCATGAACCCTGGAGGCGGAGCTTGCAGTGAGCGGGGATAGCGCCACTGCACTCCAGCCTGGGCAACTGAGCAAGACTCCGTCTCAAAAAAATAAAAGCAAAAAAGTCCCATCATCTGCTCGGTGTCTGCAAACTGAAGAACCAGGAAAGCCAGTGAGGTAATACAGTTTGCGTCTAAAGGTTTGAAAACCAGGAGTGTGATACCTGATGGCCAAAAAAAAAAAAAAAAAAAAAAATCCCAAGTCAAACAGCAAGCAAACGTATTCTTTCTGCACCTTTTTTGCTCTATGTAGACCCTCAAGGTATTGCATGATGTCCACTCACATTAATGAGGGTGGATCTTCCCTAGTCAGTCTACTGATAACAAATATCAATCTTGCAGACACAACTAGCAACAATGTTATGCCAGCCTGGGTAACTCTTAGCCCAGTCAAGTTAACACAACATTAACCATCACAGGACCTCTGGCAGAGACCGATAACTGTCTCCCAATATTTTTTGCCTCCTTATTCTATAGCAATAGAATTATATAGTTAGTTTTGTGTTGCAACCCAACAATAGGAACTTTGGATCTTGTTTTTCTTTGTGTAATAATAAACCTGGCATGTGGCACAAGTTTAAAACTCTATACTTGCTACATCTTTATGTCCTCGAGTTATACTCAAGTACATAAAGTTATAAGTTACATTATTAACTTGCCTAGTTTCTCCAGCACTTGGACCCTCATATTCATGTCAATATCTTTTGTCAGAGAGTTTTGACCTGGTAACTGGGACCTATTGACTTTTAAGGTCTGAAAATTTATCTAGCCATCTGGATCTTCAAAAATAGTTTGTTTTGGTTTTTTGTCTTACTGTGCATGCCTAGCTTCCCCACAGATTGGTAATGAAAATTTTATCCGTCCAAACAACCACATGAACCTATCACCACATCCCCACTGTTGCCTGTACTTCCACAGCTAGGTCACAGACCAAATCACTGTATGTCTGCTTCATGATAAGGAATTTAACCGACAATGGAACCAATAAAAATCCAGGATAGGGAAAGCTGTAGTATTTAGAAGTTCTAATGACATTAGAACAGGAAACCCCTCATAGAACCTACTTTCCACTCACATTTTTCTTTTTTAGGGGAGATCTATTTCAAAACAACATTTTAGAGAGAAGCCTGTACATAAAATGTATAAAGAGCATCTCTGATTAAATCAGGGTGAAATCCACAGAATTGTTTTGACTCCTATATGACAATATTGAGGCTCCAGAGCAGTAAAAATGACTTTAAAACACATCAGAGACAGACCTGGGGGGTGAAACCTGGGTTTACAGACTTTCTTTCCCGAGCTCCTTCTCACCACCACCTCATGGCCGACTCCATAGGCAATGCACATTCTTAGACGGAAATCCCAAAGTTTATTTGACATATGAGATTAAATTAAAAGCAGTTAAAATGTTTACTGATAATATTTGAGAGAAAGACTTTGCTTTTCTTCTGGTATTTAACTTGGTGGGTGAAAAATGTTCCCTTCCCAACCTTTTCCTTGTAATTAGAGGTAAGTCCATTCTCATGATGGTAATATGCTAATATGAAACAGAACTCTTGAGGAAAGTTTATTCCTAGAAGAATGTCAGAGTATTTGTTTCTCTGTAGTTTGGTGGTCTTCATTAACAATCTCCAATGAAAGAAATTTTGGTGGGATGCCTTTTACGTTAGCCAAGTATTAAATAGCATTCATATAACATACTGGCAAATTTAAAACATTAATGTTTATAACTGAAAATAAAACCCAGTAATTCTCAATGGATTAGAAAATATTAGAAACTATATTCCAAAGAAGTTATATAATTATGCTGATCTCATTTTGTATTCCCATAATTTTATTGGCTTATTAATTATTCCATGTATTTTGTCCAATAAAATTATTTAATTGGTAAAAGAAATTGCAGTTTGGGTAAAGATACAATTGAGCTCACTTTATGCATTTTGGCATATCATTCCTCTGCAAAATTTATAAATTACAATGAATGAGGTCATGTGAGTGGCAGTGGAAAATAAAATGCATCTATATATGCATTTTTAATAGGATTCAGCATATTTCAAGAACACAAAATGATTGCGAAGCAGAGGCTTTTTGTAAATATTGAAAAACAATGTTTAAGAAACTCTATTTCTAAAGCAACGTTGTCCTTCTCTGTTCTCTGATTCCATACTAAATCTTTTTACAAATTTGATTTGTAACTTACATCCTAATAATTTGGATTCTTTTGTTTTTGGGAAACTAAAACAAAAAATTCAAGGTAATGTTATTTATTTAAAACAATGTCATGGAGATAAATTGTCATTAAGGAATAGACAGCTAGATAGGAAGATAGATGGGCAGACAGATAGATATACTTAACTCTATGGACTCATAATTATACAGACACGTAGTTAGAGTTACAGCATACAATCTGTCTGAGAAAGTACAGTTTTTTTTCCTCTTTCGTTACCCTCGTGTTCCCAAATCTAGCATTTCGTGCTCTAGTTACATTAAACGGCAGATTTCAGGAATATTTTATGCTGTTTTTCATTTTCCAGTCTTTGCTTCTCCTCCTTCCTTGTACTGCATTGTCTTTCCTTCTTATATGCCTAATCAGCTGTGAGGGCAGACATTATTATCTCCTCTCTGAAGCTCTCCCTGGTCTGCCTTCCTGGAATTTATTTCTTCCCTGTACTATTTCCAGATTTCAAATTATTTTCACATATCAGACCTTAGCTGATAGTCTTAAATATTCTGAAGTCCCAGACAATCTGAAGTACACCGAATTTGGCAATCTGCTAGAGAAAATAAAGAATGGCATCGGGAAAAATTATTCCTCTGAAATCTGTCTGTTTTCCTGAATAAAATATTTCTCACTGGTCACAATGACTATGATTATTTATACTTTCTCAACATGCCTCAAATATATTGAACCTTCCCATTTAGCAAAGGTCTTTGCCTCCTATGTCCTAGGCAAATCCAATGCCATCAAACAGGAAACATGGATCTTGTGACATGCTTGTTCTTTCTGTCCTTCTAGGGACTATAATTTTTGAATCACAGAGCAAGTTCATAGTTAATTTGGCTAATTACTGACAGATAGCTCTTTAGAAGATCTGTACTAAGTTACAGTCAACTAGCAGAGCTCAATATCCCCTGCTTATGTATACTTTTCTCAACAGTTAGCTAATCTAATTTTTACTTTATGCCAATCAGATGTGCAAAGCTAGATTTCGTTGTTGGCTTTCATTTGGATTTTCCTGATCACTAAGGAGTTTGACATTTCTTATTCTCTTATCCATTCAGTTTTCACATTCTGAGAAATCAGAATATGTACTGTTTTTTTTCTTTATTTCTTTTTTTTAAAAAAAATACTGGATACATGTGCAGAAGGTGCAGGTTTGTTACATAGGTATACGTGTACCTTGGTGGTTTGCTGCACCTATTAACCCGTCCTCTAACTTCCCTCCCCGCGCCCCCCACCCCCCAACAGGCTCTGGTGTGTGTTGTTCCCCTCTGTGTCCATCTATTCACAAAGTTCAACTACCACTTATGAGTGAGAATATGCAATGTTTGGTTTTCTGTTCTTGTGTTAGTTTGCTAAGGATGATGGCTTCCAGCTTCATCCATGTCCCTGCAAAGGACATGATCTCATTCCTTTTTATGGCTGCATAGTATTACATGTGTATACGTACCACATTTTATTTATCCAGTCTATCTTTGACGGACATTTGGGGTGGTTCCACATTTTTGCTATTGTAAATAGTGCTGGAATAAACATGTGTGCATGTGTCTTTATAGTAGAATGATTTATATTATTTTGGGTATATACCCAGTAATGGGATTGCTGGATCATATGATATTTCTGCTTCTAGATCCTTGGGGAATCGCCATACTGTCTTCCATAATGGCTGAACTAATTTACACTCTCATCAACAGTGTAAAAGCGTTCCTATTTCTCCACAGCCTCGCCAGCATCTATTGTTTCCTGACTTTTTGATCATCCTCATTCTGATTGGCATGAAGTGGTATCTCATTGTGGTTTTGATTTGCATTTCTCTGATGATCAGTGATGCTGAGCTTTTTTCCTATGTTTGTTGGCCTCATTAATGTCTTCTTTTGAGAAGTGTCTATTCATATTCTTTGCCCACTTTTCGATGGGGTTGTTTTTTTCTTGTAAGTATGTTTAACTTCCTTGTAAATTCTGGATATTAGACCTTTGTCAGATCGGTAGATTGCAAAAATTTTCTCCCATTCTGTAGGTTGCCTGTTCACTCTGATGATAGTTTCTTTTGCTGTGCAGAAGCTCTTTAGTTTAATTAGATCCCATTTGTTAGTTTTAGCTTTTGTTGAAATTGCTTTTGGCATTTTAGTTATGAAGTCTTTGCCCATGCCTATGTCCTGAATGGTATTGACTAGGTTTTCTTCTAGGGTTTTCACATTTTTGGGTTTTACATTTAAGTCTTTAATCCATTTTGAGTTAATTTTTGTATAAAGTATAAGGAAGGGGTCCAGTTTCAGTCTTCTGCATATGGCTAGCCAGTTTTCCCAGCACCATTTACTGAATAGGAGATCCTTTACCCATTGCTTGCTTTTGTCAGGTTTGTCGAAGATCAGATGGTTTTAGATGTGTGGTGTTATTTCTGAGGTCTCTGTTCTGCTCCATTGGTCATGTCTGTTTTGGTACCATTACCATGCTGTTTTGGTTCCTATAGCCTTGTAGTATAGTTTGAAGCCAGGTAGCGTGACACCTCCAGCTTTGTTCTTTTTGCTTAGGATTGTGTTAGTTGTACAGGGTCTTCTCTGATTCCATATGAAATTTAAAATAGTTTTTTTTCTAATTCTGTGAAGAATGTCAATGGTAGTTTGATAGGAATAGCATTGAATCTATAAATTACTTTGGGCAGTATGGCCATTTTAATGATATTGATTCTTCATGAGGATGTAATGCTTTGCATTTGTTTGTGTTGTCTCTTATTTCCTTGAGCAGTGGTTTGTAGTTCTCGAAGAGTTCCTTCACATCCCTTGTTAGCTGTATTCCTAGGTATTTCAGTCACATTTTAGTGATTGTGAATGAGAGTTCATTAATGATTTGGCTGTCTGCTTGCCTATTGTTGGTATAAAGGAATGTTTTTAATTTTTGCACATTGTTTTTGTTTTCTTTAAATTTATTATTCATTTTCAGGAAGGTTTCTTATAGCCTTAAATATAAAATATATCTGAGTTTCAAGGTGGGAGATGGCATTTTCCAATCTATCGTTTGTTAACTCAGTCTAAGGTAGTGGTTATCAAAGGACACGGATTTTTCCCCTTGGAATTTTGGAAATATGGGGAGACATTTTGTGTTATCTTGGTGATTGGGGGGAGTTATATTGGCATGTTGTGGGTTAGAACCAGGGAAACTAGATTTTCTACAAAACTTTGATATGTTTCACTAGGTAATTATTTGACTAGAAAATACTTAGAATTATTTGATCCTAAAACTGAACTCCATTTTAAATATACCACAAAGTAATTTTGAATAGTTTTTCGTATACACTGTTTTCCCCAGAAATGCACCTATAATACAAATTTATGAAAGCATTGTGGGGAACCTTACCAAAAAATGTTGATCATTTTTGAAAATCAAATCATGGACACTAATGAACCTCTTGGTGTTTGAATATACATTGAAACATCCATTCATAAATTAACATTTGTAGCTTTGAAGTCATAGTAATTCTATACATAGATGCTAATATAGCCTTGACAAACAATTTACCATTTCAAATACTGAATAGATCATTATAAATTTAAATTATTCTACTTCACCTTATATTAGAGTAATATATTATACTTTTAAAAATTATATTTGATATTGAGTTATAGTATACATTTTTGTGAGCATAGAAAGGAGAGCTTTACACAATATTTATTGTTAAAAGGAGATTTGGGGTCTCCTGCTACATCAAGGTCTATATTAACCATATGTGAATAGCAATTCTTATTTTGGATAGAATCATATACACATCAAATTTTTTCCTTATGATTTATGCCTTTTAGATTTTTTTGAAGAAATTATCTATACTCAAGGGTCACAACAATATACACATACATTTTCTTCTATTAAAAAATACATATGTATATACACATATATTACTTCTATTAATTTTGTCGCTGTAACATCCATGTTTAAGTTTAATCCAAATAGAGTGCATGATGATAGATAACAAGATAAGTATGTAGTTTGATTTTATTTTTTATATTTTGAGCCAGTTTTCCCAATAATATTTGTTTCCTAAGAGTTTATACTTTATCTCCCTTTACTGTGGTGCTGCCTTATCAGATATCAATTTCCCATTATATATAATTCCTAAGAGATCTTTAATCATTTTTTGGTCCTATTTTTCAGTTCCTTCAGGAGTACTTTACATTTTTTATAATGTGTTTTTGGCATATTATGATATGTATCTGTACTATTCAAAATCTTGATTCTTTTGTATAAATTTTAAATGATTTTATTCAATTTATAAAAACTAGCCAGAATATTGCTGACAACCTGAATTGATACATTTATTGTGGGGGAATTGACATCTTCACACAATTAATTTTCTGCATTCATAAACATGTGTATCTTCATTTGTACATAATTTTTGTGTTATTTAAATTTTATTCCCCACATATACACTGTGCATTATATAAGTCAATTGTGATACATTTGATGTTTTTTGTTCTAACTCTAAATTATATATTATGTATTTCTAAGATGATTACTGTGATTATAGAGAATTATAATTGTTTTTCAAAGGTGTACATGAATCTGAGGGTCTTGTTGAAATATCATGTACTTGGAATGATTTCTGACTTCTGGTGTTTTTTTCTGTGTAAAGAATCACACTGTCTGCCCATATTGAGAGTTTTATATCTCCCTTTCCAATCTTTACACCTCTTTTCTTTTTCTCTTTCTTGTGTTATTGTATTGGGGGAGTTCCAGTAATATATTAAAAAATTGGTGATACAAGTCAAGTTGTCTTGCCACTAATCTTAAAGAAAATATATCTGAAGTTTCTACAGAAATTTTATATTTGTTGTATATTTGGGTCAACAACCTTCATCAAGTTAAAAAATATGCAAATATGCATTGATTCCTATTTCTTAGGAGATTGATGATATATTTTTAGAGAATTTACCATGGTTAACAGCACTGGCTCAAAGTAGACTGTTTTAGTTCAAACTGTGGTGCAATCACTACCCAAAGTATGACTTTCTGTCTTCCTCCCTTGCCTCTTATGTAAAATGTAGTCAATAATAATATTTTTCTCATATGGATTTCTGAGTGTTAAATCAATTAACATGTGAAAAGGTCTCAGTGCCTGGTACATGGGAAATGCTAATTGCTACGTATTATTTATTTGATTTTAAGAGAAATTTAGTTATAATTTATTCAAATATTTTATGTCTTTATATGCACATGTATATTATATATGTTTTTTTCTTTTTAAGACTCTTATTATGTGGATGTTTTTACTTATTTATATATGCCCTTCCTGTATCTTATTTTTTTTTCATTATATTCCATCATTGGTTGACCACAGATAATTCCTCGGCAAAATGTTCCTGCTCACTAATTGACACTAACTGACATTTCATCTGTATATATTCTGGTCTTTTATATTCTTTACTTATTGTCTTTTTAATGCTCAAAATTTTGACATGCTTCTTACATTGGCAGTTGGGAGATAGTTTTATTTCAATGCAAGGATTATTACTTATGTTGAATTTGTACATGTACCCAAATTCTTATTTGTACAGTAAAACTTTTAAGAAATATTTAAAATATTAAAGAGATGATGTATAATATCTCATAAAGTACATAAAGAGTATTACAGTAAATACTCATATGTCTAATTTTGAATATAGAATGGTGCTATATCTATTAAGGTTCCATCTACATATCTCCTTAATGTCATCTCTTGTAGTCACAGCAGAGGAATCCACCATTGTGAATTTTGTGCTTGCATTCTGTTGCTTTTTTTCTTTGTACAAATATTTAGTACAATGTCTCATACATATTTAAAATATATCCTTCTATAACTTGCTTATGTGTCCTTTTGTGACTTGTTTATTTCACTAAACATTATGCTGGTGAAATTTATGTTGCTACATAAAGTTTTAATTTATTTATTTTCAAAACTTTATAGTATTTTATTAATTCACTACAATTTGTTTATTTGTTCTTAGATTGATAGACCATAGAGCCTTTTCATAAAAACAATTCAATTCTAAATATTCTTATATATTCCACCAGGTACATATTGTCAAACATTTCTCCGTGGCCTAACTAACACTTGATACTGCAGGCTTTTTCATTTATTTTAATACGGTAGGAATAAAATAATGTTTCGTTATGATTCAATTTGTAAATCATTGACTGTGTACAAGGTTGAGTTTTCCTATTGTATAAGCCACGCCTTTTTCCTTTATTATAAAATACCCATTTGTGTCTTCTGCTTATACTTTAACTGTTTTGTGTTTTTATCTTAAAGATCTATAAATCTTTCATATGGACTTCAAATACTATGGCTTTGTCTGTTATTTTCATCCCAAATACATTGATACAGTTTGAAATGTATTCTGTAAACATTTTAAATAATTTTTCAATTTTTATTATTTATTTATTAATTAGATGAAATTTTGCTTTTGTTGCCCAGGCTGGAGTGCAATGGCACTATCTTGCTCACTACAACCTCCGCTTCCCAGGTTCAAGCGATTCTCCTGCCTCAGCCTCCCGAGTAGCTTGGATTACAGGCATCCATCACCCTGCCCAGCTAATTTTTGTATTTTTGATTGAGACGGGGTTTCACCATGTTGGTCAGCCTGGTCTTGAACTCCTGACCTCAGGTGATCCTCCCATCTCAGTCTCCTAAAATGCTGGGATTACAGGCATG
This sequence comes from Homo sapiens, assembly GCF_000001405.40. NCBI lineage: Eukaryota > Metazoa > Chordata > Mammalia > Primates > Hominidae > Homo > Homo sapiens. The sequence goes on from NC_000014.9 coordinate 86,568,208, forward strand.
AGCCACCATGCCTGGCCTTAATTTTTAAATATTTTTAATAAAATATTTTGCTATGCATATGTTTTCGTTTTATTTTAATGTATTTAATATTTTTTTATTTCTCCAAGTTCATAAATACATTTCTCAATATTTTAACTTCCGAACTACATTTATAACAACATTCAAAGTAATGTCAGTTAATTTAGTTTTGACAGAATAAACTTTAAAAGGTTTGCTTTGATATCTTTAACTGCATAAAATTAAAATAAAACTTTTTGGAATTAACTGACCTTCTCTTTAAAGCATCTGTGACACAGATGTAGATATGGAATAAATTAGATCTGCTGAAATATTTTTCTGTCAATGGACACAACACCATAGTAGCTATTTCTTCATTTTTCATACGTAAACTTAAATTATAAAGTGAATGAAATTTGTGAATGAAAACACAATTAGATCTAAATGAAAGGTCATGTTTTATAGAGTGATATGTGCCTGCACTTTCTGTACTCATATGTGTCTCTGAATTCAGTTTTCTTATATCAACTACTAACTTTTGCAATAGAGTCTAATGTTTCTTCTGCAGATTTCTACCTACTAGTTTTCATGTAACCAGTGACATACAAAGTGGTTTCTATGGTGAATGATAAATGTCAATAGATATTTGTGCAAGCTGTACACTCACAGTCTTGAGAGGCTAGCATTAAGTACTTAATTTTTTATTAAATACAAGCATTATTTTCAGAGCTAATTCATAATAAAATATTTATTCCAAAGCCTAAGAAGCATTACCAAACAAGTTTACAAAGTGGTTTTTGATGTTTGCAATACAATAAGTGAAGCCACCACTGCAGGAAAGGCATGAGACTACTCTTTATATGGTCTATGTTGGAGATTAGTCAAGTTTCATTCCACATATATATTTTATATACAACCTGCTTACAATTTTTCATAGTTCTACTGACCCAAACAGCAATACCTGATGGCTTTGTGGATCTCACAAGCCAACACTCAGGACCCGGCACACCTGGCTAGTATATTAAGTGGTCAACAGGAATCTCTATCACAATTACTTAGGTCCTGAAGGAATTAGGTATCCCTAGTTACTCCTTTCAGAGCACATTTGATTTACTAAAGAAATTATTCCCTCAAACAAGTTTTCCAAACTTTTAGACTTTTCTTCTTCCTTGGGAGCACCAATTATTCTTAGGTTTGGTCATTTAACATAACCAAAACTTCTTGAGGCTTTGCTTATTTTTTTTAATTCTTTTTTTCATTGTCTTCGTTGGATTAGGTTAAAAGCCTTGTCTTCAAGCTCTGAAATTCTTCTACTTGTTTGATTCTATTGTTGAAACTTTTCAATTTATTTTGCATTTCTCTCAGTTTGTCTTTCATTTCTAGAAGTTGTGATTGTTTTTTATTTATGCCATCTGTTTCTTTGGAGGTTTATTCACCAATATCGTGCATTAATTCTTTAATTTTTTAAGTTGGTTTTCATCTTTCTCCTGTGCCTCCCTAAGTAGCTTAATAATCAACCTTCTGAATTCTTTTTTGTGGAAATTCGGTGATTTCTTCTTGGTTGAATCCATTGCTACTGTTTTGGGGGGGTGAAAAAAAATACCTTGCTTTGTCATATTACCAGAATTGTTTTTCTGGTTTCTTCTCATTTGGGTAGACTATGCCAAAGGAAAATTCTTGGGATCAAGAGCTGCTGTTCAGATTACTTCGTTCCATGAGGTGATCGCTTGATATGGTGCTCTCCCCTTTCCCCTATAAATGGGGCTTCCTGAGAGCCAAACTGCAGTGATTGTTTTTGTTCTTCTGGGTCTAGCCACTCAGCAGAGCTACCAAGCTCAGTCCTGTGATGTGATCCTTCTTCAGGTCTCTCAGCTGTGGATACGTGCACTTCCTCTAGTGGAGGTGGCAGGGGAGTGAAGTGGACTCTGTGGGAGTCCTTGGTTGTCGTTTATTTAGTGTGCTGGTTTTCTCAAATGCTGGTTGTGCTAGACTTTAAGCTGCCACATAAACAGACACAAGACTCCTGGCTAGCCAGGATGTTACAGGCAGTAGAATTCACTGCTGTTTTCTCCTTTCTTGGAGCAGAGTTGTTCTTTTATGAGTTGCTGTAATGACTTGAGTTGGTTGGCTTCCAGCTAGGAGGTGGTGTCTTCAAGAGAGCATCAGTTGCAGTAGTATGGGGGATACAAGCTTGCCTTAAGGCTGCCTGGGTAAGTATTCAGGTTTCTCAGGGCATGGTGTGGTAGGTATAGAGCACCCAAGAGATTATGTCTTTTGACTTCAGCTACCAGGGCAAGTAGAGAAAGACCATCAAGTGCAGGCAGGGTTAGACATGTCTGAGCTCAGACTCTCCTTGGGCAGGGCTTGCTTTGGCAGCTGTGGGGACAGGTGTGTGGTTCTCAGGCCAGTGAAGTTATGTTTCCAGGAGGGGATTATGGCTGCTGTTGCTGTGTCATACAGGTTTCCAGGGAAGTAGGGAAAAGCCAGTAGTGACAGGCCTCACCCAGGTTCCATGCAGCCAGCAAAGCCCATCTCACTCCTATGGTGCCCCACCAACAGCACTGAGTTTATATCCAGGAAGCCAGTGAACAGGGCTGATATCGTGCCCCAGGCTGCAAGTATCCCTCTGAGAAAGCAAGCAGTGCTTTCAGTCCCCACCGCTCCCCACGTGTCACAGCTTCTGTTTCATACCTGGACTTCCCATTTGCCCCTGCTCCCTTGGATTCTGCCCAGGAAAATTCATGCTTAGTCTAAATTATTACAAAGCTCTGCTGGAAGTTTCCTTCTCCCTGTGGTTCTTCCCCAATTAGACTGGCAGCCCTCCCTAAAGACCCCTGTGAGATAAAGTCAGAAATGGCTTCCCTGGGCTTCCCTGGAGACCAGGAGTGCCTACAGGGCCTTTCTTGCTGCTGCTAATTTGTTCAAAAGTAAAATGAGAGTTTTCTGACTTAGAAGGTATCATTCCATTGCGTTCATAAAATAAACTGAGTCGCTTTTGCTCTTTCTAAGTTTTTTATTGTAACAACTTGTTTGTTGCAGGAATAAAGTGTTCTTCGAAAGTATAATAGAACTCAACTTCAATATCGTTTGGAACTGGGTATTTCTGACACATTTAAAAGTTTTGATAATATTTTGTTATTAAATTTTTTATTTCTTCTGACAAATATTTAATATTTTCTATAAATTTAGCTATTTCACTAGATTCTGAAGCATATTATTGTATTTTATAATGCTTAATGTTTATTGTGTTTACAGTTATCCATTTAAAATCTATACATTATCTTCTTTTTTTCTTGATCAGTTTTATTAGAGGTATGATCAAGCATACATATATATTTTATAGGAAACATGTATTAAATTTTATTAAATTTCAATTCTATTAATTGTTTGTTTTGACCTCTATTATACTGAATTTTGTATTTTTTTGCTTTCCATGTCTTTTCAAACATTTATAATATAGTTTCATTATATATTAAAATTACATTGACTCTTCCATTGTGATATACTTTATATACATCATTTCTATAAAATTGATTTTGTAATGTCCATTGAGGCTGTTTTTGTCACCTTAAACATAGTTTCCTTAATAGTCCATGCGCACTTGAAAAGAACAATTCTGTTTTTTATGTGTGATACCTTGAATTCAGCAATTCTATTTTTAGATCTTCAATGTTTCTGTTTATATTTGTGTACTTGATTCATCAACTAAATCTGACTATATATTTCTTGTTGTATGATGTATAGTAAAAAGTTATCAATAATATGTTCTCATTATAGTATTTCTTGTAACATTATATATTACTTTTCTTTTTCTTCTGTGTCATATTTTTCCTTCAAATTTTGTTTTGGCAGATTTTCAGAATGCAATCCTACTGTTCTTTTGGTCCATAGTTGCCTAGTAGATCTTCTTTCATATTATTTCAATCTGTTTTTATTGTTTAAAGTTTTTTTCTCTTATTTATTATAACCTCTTTGTAGTACAATCTGTGGTCTCTAAGATGAATAGAACATTGAGATAGTGGAACACTGGAAATGAGGTAGTTGTAAATTACAAGAGCAATAAATATAAATTTTTATATAATGCAGTACTACAAAAGGACTAAATGAAGTAGCATGATAAGAACTAAAAAATATTTTTAGTGAAAGAGTTGCACTGTAATGTATATATAGTAAGATATACCATATACATTTTATATAAATTCCTAAACTTCTTTTAAGTACTAAATATGGTGAATATGTGAGCTTCTCACTGGTTGAGAGGCTAAAAGCCTTACATTTTATGGGCACATAATCATTTTATTTAAACAATGCCTTAAATATGATAAAATGTTAGTATCATTTTAACTTTGTGTAGTGGTAAGATGGGTGTTTAGTGTATCAATTGCTGTGCATCTATTTTCAAAAATTTAAAAATAAATAAATAAAACCCCTCAAACTCTAAGTTGATTTTAAAAAAAACAATGTAAGTTGTAGAATGAGTCCATTTAGAAATTCTAAACAAAATAAAATATGCAAATATACAACATAATTTAAATAACTGAGAATTCGAATCTAAATTGGTAATGTTGAATTCCAATTTTTATTTCTTTAACATTAATAACCTTATTCACATTGTTTGAGACTCAAGAGACTCTAGAATTAAGATCAAAATTCTGTGACACCAAGCTTTATTAGTTTGTTCAGTTTTTGCTAATTGTAGTTGTAAATACCAAAAGAAATTCTTCAATCTATTCGAAATATTTTGACTAAGAAATAATACACAAGTAAAATGCCACTTTCCTATACCTAAAATAAGTGACATTTTCAGGGAAATTATTCGTCTTTCACATTACTAGTAAAGACACTTTTCTTCCCAAATGTTCAGATATTCTTGAGGTCTTCTTATCAAGAATCCATAAGTAGACAGTAATTAATTCCTGGCTAAAAATGCATTTCTTCCAGAAGTAAAAGACTCACTCAAGGTAAAAATTTGAATCCAGCACCCACTGTGGACTAACTTGTCTAATTAGTTTTATGCCAAGAAATTCATTATTGGTCCACCAATGGAATAAAAAGTATTTTCAAGTAAATTTAACAAAAATACAATTTTAAAAATTATTTTTAAATTAAAACTGCATCATCAATTTTATATTACCTGGCTGTATCAATTAGAAACTGGGTAAATAAGAGTTGGTGCAACTGAAGATGAGAGTGGGATAAAGACTTCAACTTGCCTATTGGTTTTGGCAGGGTGGTATTCGAAGTTCTCCCTGACATGAGCAGTTTTAGTCGGAGATCATGTTGGCATGCTAAAGACCAAAAGCAAAGAGGAAAGTAGAAATAGTGTTGCTAGGCAAATTTTTCAGTCATTTTTACTCTAAAGAAGAAAAGGGAAAGGGTCAAGACCCCAGAAAATATAAAAACAAGGAGACAATCATTTTTGTTTGTTTGTTTGCTTAAAGAGATTTTAGGCTGGAGAGAATGATCCAAGCAAGAGTAAAGACTTAAGACACAATGGAGAAAGAATATACTATTAGTAACCAATTCCTTGAAAGAGCAAGAGAAAATAGGTAATGAATTTCAATGCTGAATGGTTTTAATAGAAATAAAAAGTTTGTCTATTGTAATGTAAAATAAACAGACTGCCCCAAGATAGATAAGTATCAGCTAGTAGATTAATAATGGGAGTATGAGATATTTCTCTCTGGGGCCTCTATTCTCTCGATAATGAAATAGATTGAAAAAGATTTGAGAAGAGGAAATAAGAGAAAATGTAAAATAATTATCCCAGTGATGAGAAGCGCCATTTGATCAGGGAACTTTAGTAGGATTGCTTGATATTGTAGAAGGCCCAGTTGAGAGTTGTAGTCATAATTTTAAAACAAAGTTTTGCTCCAATCCGTATCAGTTACATAGGTGCAGGCACAAAATAAACAGAGACTCAATGTAATCAGGATAGTCACGTTGGCTGGAAAACATGATAAAGTGGGAAAGGGATAGGAAAGTTAAGTGTTCATGCAAGAAATATTTAAAGGGCTGGAGCATGGAATCTACTGGTTGATCTAGCCTATGGAATGCTCAGTTTTTCAAGATTCCACTGAGATGCCAGATCTACTACAAAATCCAAGTTTAAAATATACTATGAGTTGAAGCAGGAAATACAGGATAGAAACAAAATAGGGACAGTGACTGCAATCAAACCGCAGATCACAGCGTGCATGGACAGTTAACTCCGCATTTTACAAGTAAATATAGTGGGAAGAAATTCTTGGTAAAGATATTTAGCAAAGAAAATAAGCTAAAAAAGGAAGCATTTAGACTGCAATTCTGAGAATGTGTGGATTTGTTTTTCTGTCTATGCCTTTGATGGAATCTGTTATTCACCGTGTATCTTGCTGTACAACATATGAGCATAATGAAGACGGCAAAATCAGTCCTTAGGGAAAGCGATCAGTCAGTTATCCCGCAGATTCCATTCCATGATTCATGTCCTAGGTTTGCTCAAATTATCCCTCACTGGCGACTGCCCATGAGATTAGGCAGCTGAGAGTAAATAAATTTGAAGGAATATTTTAACACAAATGATAAATCAGGGGAACAAAGAAGGTATTAAACATATCCCTTGTTTTAAAATGTGTATTCTATCAGCCCTAGAAATCCTGTGTGACATTTTGTTAAGGAAGATCTTCTCTAAAACTTTTCCTTCAGAAGCAGTTCATCAGCGTCTCCAGTCTGGGAAACAACATTGTCTCTGGTAGCTGAATATTAGTTTAGCAAATTTCTTTTTTCCCTACCTCACAGTCTAACTGGTAGGTGTGACTAAAAGGTCTCTGAAATTACTCAGAATGATTGTGGCATTACTTAATAACTCTAAATGATTTTTCCCCTGAAAATCTGTCACAAATCTCTAAACAAACAGCAGTTATTATGGAAATTTTTAGATAAATTTACTGTACCATTAGTGGTATTTCTGAGTCACCTAGTAATGACATAGACAGTTAAAAAATTTTTTTAAAACACATAATTGGTTAGAAATAGCTTATTGACAGTGAATTTGGCCCTCACACAAGTTCAGTGGAAAAAGAGCTTCTTCAAAAGAGCCCTGTCAGCATAACATTAATCTAATTTTAAGAGTCTGTCTTTCCTTACTACTAATTTGAGTTTAATGAATCCATCTGGCTGGGCTATTTCTGATGAAAAGATATGTTGTGAGATAATAAATTGGATCTGCATGTGTGCTTCTGTGTGTGTGTGTGTGTGTGTGTGCGCATGTGTGTGTGGTTGAACCATATGAAATTATGAATTTCATAGGTTAAAAAAGTCATCAATTTCACATGGCTCAACTTCATAAATACATATTTATATTTGAATATTTATATAATATTCTGTGTGCTATTGTGTGACATATATTATTGTATTGTGATAAAGAATATTTTGCATTTTCACAAAATGTAACATTGGACACATATACACTATTTCATAATTTACCTTCCTCATGCATAGCAAATTTCCTCATTGTCTTTCCTGTGACAGTAACTGTCTTGAAATGGAGAATTAAAACCATTATTCAAACTATTTGATTTAACCAGATTAAAAATATATTGTATTTTTGAGAGAAATATATGAAGTTGGTAACATTCCAGAATATTTTTCCTACAAGAAGGACTCTCTCCTTTCAGAATTTTTTTATTCTATGGAAACTAAATTTTGCCAATTTTTGTGGGACTATATTGACATCAAGTTTTGACCAGTATATCTAGAGAGTCTGAGAAAGAGCCAGCTAGACCATTCTTAAGCAAAATGTGGGTAGCTGAATTTGTTTAGTAATTTTCTTCCTTTTTCTTCTCACATATATCTGTGACTGGTAGGTGCAAAGCAGTTAGTTCAAAAGCACTTTCTGTATAGTACACTGGGCTTAATTAAATCTCTGTTGACTTTGCTAGGTTTTATCTACTGCACTGTCCAACCAAGAGTAGTCTACAGACAATCAAACTAGAGAGACTTAGCACATTTTTACAGTTTATTGTTGCAATCAAATAAACCTTACAGAACATTAATTTATGCAGTATTTAAGACTCTTATTCAACTTTATAGCCTATATCATAATTAGACATAAAGGTAAATAATAAGCATGAATATCAAAAGATATTATCATGTCATAGCCAGCCCATATAGATCCATGTTTTAATTTTGTTAGCTCTATATTGTACACAAGTTAATTTGGCAAACTCATTGAGATTCCACAAGGTACCAAAGTAGACACAGATGCTAAGAAGGCAGTTCTAAACAAGGCGGCTTTTCTGTTGCAATGTTATGAATGGTAAGTCTTCTTTATATTTCAACACTATCAGAGTCAGTAACATATATGGTACAAACATTCTTATACATGTGTCACTGATTCTGGATCAGGAGCCCTACATATGTAGCCTTTATTTGATTCTACCTATATATGTCTGCCTAGTATTACCTAAGCTTCTGGGGCAAAGATTACAAACTTATTTCTCTCTTTCCTGGGCATACAGCCAAATGGTTTCCTGATCTCTTTTTTCTGGATAAGTGAGGATGTCTGATTGAGTTCTTGGTAATGGAATATGAATGGAAATTATGGATGCTACTCAAGAAAAACTGTTTCCAGCTTGGATACAGAGAAACATGCAAATAATTCTAAAGCACTAGACGATAATAGAGAGCAAAATATTGAAATATCTTGGGTTCTTGTGTACCCACTAGAATCTTGTCTCCCCAGTCAACTATATTGGATTCTGACTTGAATGAGAAACAAACTTTTATTTTCTCGAACTATTGATATTTGGAAAATGTTTGTTGAATAGTTAACCTACTCTGACTAACACAACTTTTGTGGTGAAGGTACCTGTTTTTTTAGCATACACTCCCACCCAATTCTGATGTTCCACTGTTGGAGATAGAGTTAAACTCACAAAATGGAAATATTTACAAGAAATTTAGAGTTTCCCATTGTGTTAACTCCTTGAAGTGACATAAAGCTAAAGTATGTGAAGACGACAGGTGCCTGCGTTATTATTGCCTTAAAATTCCTGTGCAATTGCAACTGAGTTTTGTTGTGAATATAATTAATAACATTAAATATTTTTCTATTGTGAGGAGAAAATGAATTCAGAAATCAGGAGAAATGGGGTACATGAATGCTTGGCAGAGTGTAAGAGATCATTTAGACTAGAAAATGAGAGAAGCAAAAAAGAGATGAGAAATTGAAGGGGAGCTTCCTTGATTTCAGAGTTGCAACACACTGTGATAGCTCTTCATAAATACTTGAAAAGGATATTTATTTATCCAGTATAACTCCAGAGAGCATAGTAAAGAGTCATAGATATATTTCATAGAGGGAGATTCCCATGTAATACCAGAAGAAATTATTGCTAATTATAGCAATTTCAATGAATTCTCTTCTAGAAATTCTGTATGCCTACATGTCACGTAAACTTCCCTGGATCATGTATTGTCCTTGTTACTGTACTTTCACTTCCCCTGCCATGACCAATTTTTTTTTTTTTTTTTTCAGATGGAGTCTCACTCTGTCGCCAGGCTGGAGTGGAGTGCAGTGGCGCAATCTCGGCTCAATGCAACCTCCGCCTCCCGGGTTCAAGTGATTCTCTGCCTCAGCCTCCCGGGTAGCTGGGACTACAGTCGAGCACCACCATGCCTGGCTAATTTTTGTATTTTTAGCAGAGACGGGGTTTCATCAAATTGGTCAGGCTGGTCTCAAACTCCTGACCTCGTGATCCTCCCACCTCGGCCTCCCAAAGTGCTGGGATTACAGGCTTGAGTCACTGCGCCCGGTGCTATGACCATTATTGTACGACATGTACCACTGGGTTCAAGCCCTCTTCTTTCCCCATGTTCTTCACTGTGCTCTAATGTCTGATGGGTCACTGACATCTCACTCAGATGCCAGGTCCTCCATGCCGCATTCGGGACTCTTACTCAACATTACCTCAGCTTTTATGACTGTTATTTTCTTTGTGTAAATATAATTACCATAAGATATAAACAACTAGAACATATCTTTATTTTAGAATTCCCTATATGTATTTTGTGTTTTGATGCTCACAAAACAGTCGAATAAATCAATTAATTTATGTCTTTGGAGATATTGCAGACTGGATGCCTCTGAGACACGTAAAAATTCTAAAATTTCTTCATTCTAAGTTGGCAAATAAAAATTTAATCAAGTCTCTTTTACTGGGTGGTTGATAAACTGGAGAAGATTTTGAGAGGCACTGTATGCTTCTAGAAGGCTGGAAAACTCAATAACCTGTTTAGGTGATCACTTTTTTTTTGCCTAGCTTGAGGCATTTTTTCTCTTCCACTGCCATACCATGTTTATTTTATTTTTCTTACCACCTGACCACATTTGAATTTTTCTCTGCTTATCTAACACCTCCTCCATGTTATTGCTTTCAATGCCCATCCCAATTTTATATATCCAAATGTCAGTATTTTGTCTTCATAAATGAAGTGATTCTCTCTTGCTTACTCTCCATATCTCTCTCTCTATATATATATGTGTGTGTGTGTGTGGGTGTGGATATACACACACAAACATACACACATATATTCATGCATACACATACATATATACATACACACATACATGCATATATGTATATATTTGAATATATATTTGTGTATATTACATATGTAAAAGCATAAATACATTATTTTATATATCGTATATGTAACATAATTACATCATTAAATATGATAAACATGTTATATCATATATAATATCATATCTAATGTATATTTAATATATCATCGTCTATATCCCCCATATAAAATACATCATGTATTATTGCATATATGCACTCCGTATATTTCTGAGATATGAAAGCTGTTTTCAAGTATGTATTAGTTGCATGATGAAAAATATATTAATTAAATCATCTGTGTCTCAATTCACTTACATTTTAAAGAGAAAACATTATAGCATTTATCTCATGGGTTGGTAAGAGATTATACTTGTAACTTCGTGAGAAAGGTTCCTTGCTCATAGTACGTCTAAAATAAATTGCAGCTCCTTTTTAATATGAAAATCATAAGTAGTTTACAGCAATTGGAATGACTTCTAGCTAACTGATGCTTACAAACATTTGTAGAATGGAGGTACACTATGCCCTTGACTATTTACAAATTTACTGAAAACAAACTATGTCTAAGATTTTATTATCGCAATACAAACCCTTGGAAGTTTCTCATTTCTCCACTTTATTAAGTGGAAAAACGAGAAATATGGTCATACTCACAGAACCCTTAAGGATTAAGGATTAAGGGTTTTGTAACACCATACTTCTACATGATGTGCCAAATTGATCTAGACGTTCTTACCTCCCAAGTAATTCAATCTCAGTATGCAAAACCCTTTCTGCATTGAACAGGGGTCTCATTCCACAGCTAAATAATTGTTATTCTCAGTATTTCTCAATAAGTGCAGGATGAATCAAAATAAAGACCCCTTTAAAAAATGTATCTTTAAATACTATAAGATTGACACCTAATAAAGCAGCTTACAAATCATAACAATGCTCTATCATAGTGAGTAATGGACCATATGCAACACACTCATTACCTGCCTGAATGTGGCTGTCTGCTGTAATTTCTGGTCTCTCACCTTGTAGCTCAAACCGGCACATAGCACTACGAGTCTCTGGGGCAAGTAACATTGTTGAATTCATTAATCCCCTCCCCTAAACAGTCTTGTTCATCCTCCCACTGAACTGTGAGCAAATGACTTGGGACTGAAAGACCTTCCACAGAGCTCCTCTGCTCTTTCTCAGCCTGGCACATATAACAAAGGTTTATGGTACACATATGAGATTGTTTATTGAGTGTTATAAGCAGAACATTTTCAGCGTAACCCGATAGGGACACTAATATGGTAGATATGTTTTAGCTTGATGTGGTTACCAAGTCATATGTGTTATCAGGAAAATAATTCTATAACTTGCCTGTAAAGAATGAAAAGATACATATAGATATTTTTAGTTCCCTTTAGTGAGTTTGAAAATTAGTATGTGAGAATCCACAAAAGTTGTCAACGTGTAGGTTAACATAACTCAGGAACTGGTCTATAATACACACTGGGGTATTTAAATCATTTAAAATTTTGTTTGGCAAACCGTTACACTGACTTGACAAATTGAGATTCCTTATTAGTTTCAGTGTTGCTCTTGGCTGCAGTCTTCTTGATCTCCCCCTCCACTCCTAATTTCAAGCTGGATAATAGCAGTCTTGAATATCCTGAAAAAGTTTTACGTGGTGGAAAAGTTGTATGTGGGGTGGGTGAGGTTAAATAAGAAAATTGTTATGTGTTAAAAGTTTTAATGTATGAAACAAACTCTCTTTGAATAGTGTAGAATATGCCTGACCTTTAGATTTTTCTATTTTTATTTTTTATTTATTTTTCCAGAATTTTTGGACGCTGGAACCAGTTTACATATTAAAAGAAGATGGTGTTGTTGACAAAGAGGTCTTGCCTGCCCTAAGAGATAGGGTAGTCACTTATGAACAAGCTATACTGAAAATCTCCAGATATGGTCTGGTCTTGAGGACACATAACCACAGGGATGGAACTTGGCGATGACAAAATCCCACTATCAACCATGCCAGGTTCTGACATCAGCAAGTTAATTATGGCCAACCAAAATTGGTGACTTTCTAAAGTACAGAAAGGAGACAATTTTAGCACAGAGGGGGCCTTTAGAAACACTGTATTCGGATTTTTTATTTTGCAGATGTGAAAATAGAGGGTAATAATATTAAATAACTTTCCCAAGTCATACAACTAGATGTAATATATGTATAAATTATCCATAAAAAGTCATTAATGTGAATTTAATATAAATTCTGCTGAGACTAGAGTTTAACAGCATACCACCTTTCCTTTATATGATGGTGTTTCCAAAGATTAGAAGCCAAACTACTTCTGAGAAATAGCACAACAAAATTTTCTATTCTTTTCCCCAGTGTGTTCTACCTAGATATTTGAATATTAAACAATCAACTTAAGATATATCATAATGCTGCTAATTGTGCATTAGACACAAAAAGCATAGGCATAACCATATTCCTAGAGTGTCAAAGTCCTAAAGAAAAAAGTAGATTTGTTCATTACAGCACAAAAATTATAGATAGTAAATATATTAAATGTACTCAGCTACTTACAGAGATACGAACATACACAAGAGAGGCTGCTGAAATGAGAACAGTCAAATGAAGATGTATCTTGGGGATTCATGGAGAGAATCAATATATAATAATCTTCTGAAGGAAGAAAAATATGCCATTAACCTTCTAAATGCTGACAGAAGACAGAAAAAAATATGTGAAGGGTTTATTTTAAGTGAGCAATTCATAGTATTGTGGCAGTTTAAGCATGAGAGGGAAGCAGATGGATAGAGAAACTCAAAGGCTTTGAATAGTGATGCTTATTTTTTATGTTAGACTATTTGGGGAAAGTGGTAGACTTGTTTAAAGAGTTATGCCATTGGAATCTTTAATGTAATGATTTTCATTGCTATTCCTAAAGTGAAAGCTAATCAAGAAAATGGTAGAAGCTGTGCAGGCCACACAGTGGTGTTGGGTTGATTGAAGCATGCAGCAGTTAAGCCCAGGAAAAGGACAGATATTGCTCTGGATCATAAGTATTGGGCTTAGGCCTTATATTGGATATTGGGTGTATAGTAAAGATTCAGCTTGTCAATGTAGCTTATGGAGAGAGTGGTACATGGCTTACAATAGTGAAATGGTTGTGTTGGTTTGAGGGGGTGCAGTTGGGATAACAATAGAGAAAAGTGAAATGACCAGTTAAGTCTCTTTTTCAATGCAGTTTTTTTAAAAGATATTCAGAAAGTAGGAAATGCAAGTATGGAGCTTGGAATATCCTCTACCCACCAAAATGCCAATACAAATAATGAAGATTTAAAAAAAAATCTGATATGGTTTGGCTCTGTGTCCCCACCCAAATCTCAACTTGTAGCTCCCAAAATTTCCAGTGTTGTGGGAGCGACCTGATGGGAGATGAGGAGATGATTGAATCGTGGGGGCAGATCTTTCCCATGCTGTTCTTGTGATAGTGAATGGGTCTCATGAGATCTGATGGTTTTAAAAACGAATGCTTGTGATTTTTGTACATTGATTTTGTATCCTGAGACTTTGCTGAAGTTGCTTATCAGCTTAAGGAGATTTTGGGCTGAGACAATGGGGTTTTCTAGATATACAATCATGTCATCTGCAAACAGGGACAATTTGACTTCCTCTTTTCCTAATTGAATACCCTTTATTTCCTTCTCCTGCCTAATTGCCCTGGCCAGAACTTCCAACACTATGTTGAATAGGAGTGGTGAGAGAGGGCATCCCTGTCTTGTGCCAGTTTTCAAAGGGGGAACACTTTTACACTGTTGGTGGGACTGTAAACTAGTTCAACCACTGTGGAAGTCAGTGTGGCGATTCCTCAGGGATCTAGAACTAGAAATACCATTTGACCCAGCCATCCCATTACTGGGTATATACCCAAAGGACTATAAATCATGCAGCTATAAAGACACATGCACACGTATGTTTATTGCGGCATTATTCACAATAGCAAAGACTTGGAACCAACCCAAATGTCCAACAATGATAGACTGGATTAAGAAAATGTGGCACATATACACCATGGAATACTATGCAGCCATAAAAAATGATGAGTTTATGTCCTTTGTAGGGACATGGATGAAATTGGAAATCATCATTCTCAGTAAACTATCCCAAGAACAAAAAACCAAACACCGCATATTCTCACTCATAGGTGGGAATTGAACAATGAGATCACATGGACACAGGAAGGGGAACATCACACTCTGGGGACTGTTGTGGGGTGGGGGGAGGGGGGAGCCATAGCATTGGGAGATATACCTAATGCTAGATGACGAGTTAGTGGGTGCAGCGCACCAGCATAGCACATGTATACATATGTAACTAAGCTGCACAATGTGCACATGTACCCTAAAACTTAAAGTATAATAAAAAAAAAAAATTTAAAAAAAGATTACCTTTACCAATAGATTACTTGCAGATTCATATCCACAGTAGAAATAACTTATTTCTAAAAAATAAAAATGAAAAATAAATAAAAATAAAAAAATAAAAAATAAAAAAATAAAAACGGGAGCTTCTCTGCACAAGCCCTCTTTTTGCCTGCTGCCATTCGTGTAAGATGTGACTTAACTCCTGTTTGTCTTCCCTCCATGATTGTGAGGCCTCCTCAGTCATGTGGAACTGTAAGTTCAATAAACCTCTTTCTTTTGTAAATTGCCCAGTCTCTGGTATGTCTTTATCAACAGCATGAAAACTAACTAATACACCATCTTTTAAAGTACAAATTGTCTAAATAGAGAAACATTCATTTAAAAAAATCTACTAAATCTTGGTAACCTGCTTCCTAACTTGTGCCCCAGCCCAGCTCTGTGTTACAGAAGCTCTACTCAAAGCATGTACAGCCAGAAAGGCATGGAGGTTCTCATTCTCCCAGCTTCAAGTCTGAGATGATAGTTTCACATCAGGAGGGGCAGGCTGTTGTTTCTTATCACCCCTCTCTTTCTCCAGTCTCCAGTCATGGGATGAGAACTTTATTCCATGGCCAGCAGGCCAATAATACTGAGCCTCTGATCACCCACACGCAGGCTGACCTTTAGGGTGGAGGTTCCATATGGGAGAGGCAGACATTCCTTCCCCAAGTGCCCATCATGGAGCAAGGATTTCACTTCAAAAAAAGTTTCTAGCCCCACCTTTAAGCAGTAGCCCAAGGATTTTGCCCACGTTGAAACACTGCCTTTAGGAATAAAGAGCTCCAGGACACTGGCTAAAATAAATGACTTTATTTAAACAGGGAGTGGAGAAACTCATTCCTAAAGGCATTGTTGAAAACAGTGGAGATATTGGTGGAAGGCAATTAAAGAGATTGGTAATTCCAGGACACAAGCAACATCGCAGAATAGCCAGAAGTTTAATAGAGAGAACCATAAGAAGAGGCAGCCAAGAAGAGCCCTCCTGGGTCACAGTCAACTTTGAGGATCTTGATGACTGTGCACCTGCCTAAGCTGTCACCCACTCAGGAGCAATCACGGTAGGACATGGGGCAGACTTGACAGCATTAACCAAACTGCACTCATCAACACAGGATAGAAGCTTCACTGGCAAAATGGGCTTAAAAGCAACCTCTGACCAAACACTGGCTAAACAATAGGTCTCTCTGACTCAAAGACACCTCCTAGGAAACTAGGCTTAAAAATAAAATTACACACATCCTTGATATTGTAGAATGTATACATGCCATAGGCTGCAGCCCTTTGGGAAAGATCAAGGAGGGAAGAACCATCCTAAAATTCCCTGGCAAAATGTGGGCAAAAACAAACATGTAAACTCCCTGAAACATGAGAGCAGCCTGCAAGCCACATATATATCCAATGCTAAAAGATACATATCTAACTGACTAAGGGAGATTAAGCACAACCTTTGATCAGTAAGTGACCTATGCTGTTATATAGGGTGACCTCTATGCAGCTAGATTAAAAGATGAAAACAAGGGTGGACAATGTATGCAGGGGCATTAGAGGATGCACACTTTGAGGGGAAAAAATTGCAGAATTATTTCAGCCAAGTCACTAAATATATAAACAAATTACCAATTGGTCAGCAACAATACTCTCTGGTGGGGGCTGGGGATTCGTCTACAGAATTTCAACAAAAAGTTATGAGAAATTTAACGAAACAAGAAAGTATAATTCATACATGGGGAAGGAGGAGAGGGAAAACAAAAACAAAGACAAAAACAAGCAAACAAAAACTAGGAAATAGAAACTGCCTTTGAAGGAAATAAGATGATAGCCTTAGCAAAGGCTGCAAAGCAGTGAGAACTAAAGGGTACTATATTTGTCGGATTAAAAGAAGGCATACAAATCATGATATTGATAAAAAAGTGAATCGATCAAGAAGACATAATGAATATAAACATCGATACACCTAAAAACAGCCTGAAATGACATGAAGCAAAAACTGGCAGAATTAAAAGGAGAAACAGACAATTCAGTAACAATAGTTGGAGCATCAATATCCCACTTTCAGTGATGGATGGAACGACTAGGTGGAAGATGAACAAAGAAATGGAAGATCTGAACAATGCTATAAAATAATGAAAACAATACTATAAGACATCTATAGAATACCCTACACAACAGCAGCAAAATAGACATTCTTTCCAAGCATACATGGAACAATCTTCAAGATAAACTTACGTCATGCCATAAAATAAGTCTCAATAAACTTAATAAAGTATGTTCTTCTTCCACAGTGGATTCAAATTAGAAATCAATAACACAAAGACATTTCAGAAATTCACAATTATACAGAAATTAAACAACAGACTCATTGATGACCAATGGGTGAAAGAACTCAGAAGGAAATTTTGAAAATAATTTGACACTAAAGAAAATTAAAACATAATGTACTAAAACTTAAAGAATGCATATAAATCAAAAATCAAAGGGAATTTTTATCTATAAACACATTAAAAAATAAGAAATTTCATGAAAGAGTAACCCAAGCTTCTGCCTTAATAAACTAGAAAAAGAAAATAAATTTCAAAGCAAGCAGAGGATAAAACAATAAAGATTAAGGTAGAGACGAGTAAAACAAGTAATGAAAATAAATAGAGAAAATAAAACTAGAAGTTGTTTTTTTTTCTTTTAAAGTTCAACAAAGTTAATCAAGAATCCATTTTTCTAGACCATTAGCTAGACTGATTAAGAAAAAAGACAGAGGCAGGGCGTGGTGGCTCACACCTGTAATCCCAGCACTTTGGGAGGCCGAGGCGGGCAGTTCACCTGAAGTCAGGAATTCAAGATCAGCCTGGCCAACATGGCGAAAACCCGTCTATACTAAAAAACACAAAAAGTAGCCAGGCATGGTGGCAGGTGCCTGTAATCCCAGCTACTTGGGAGGCTGAGGCAGCAAGAATTGCTTGAACCCAGGAGAAGGAGGATGCAGTGAGCAGAGATCGCGCCACTGCACTCCAGCCTGGGAGACAGAGTGAGACTCTGTCTCAAAAAATTAAATAAATAAATAAATAAATAAATAAATATAAAAATAAAAATAAAAAGGAGAGAAGACTTAAATTAATAAAATCAGAAATGAAAAGAGAAGGTTACTACTGACCTTACAAAAATAAAATGATTATCAGGCAATACCAATAAATTAGATAATCTAAATGAAATCGACACACCCATAAAAATAAAAACTACTGAAATTGGCTGAAGAAGAAATTAAAATCTCAATAAATTTGTAACAAGAGTAAGAGATTGATTTCATAAACAATAACAACAACAAACTTCTTATAAAGAAAAGCCCAGGACCAGATGACCTCATGGGTGAATTTTTATTCAATGTTTAAAAAATTATCACCAATCCTGCACAAACCCTTGCAAAAAGTAGGAGAGGAAGACACACTTCCCAATGCATTTTATGAGGGCAGTATTACTTTGATACCAAAATCAGATAAAGAAATCACAAACAAAGAACACTACAGAATGCCATCTCTTATGTATATACATATGAAAATCCTCAAAAAAATTCTGGAAGACCAGATTAAGCAATATGTTAAAAAAAATTATATACCATGACCACAGGGGATCTATTCCAGGATCGTGAGACAACAAATATAAATCAATATTAATAAAACAAAGGGAAAAAGAGCACACATTATTATCTCACAAACACAGAAATATGTGACAAAATCCAACACTCTTTCATGATAAAAATATTCAGCTTATTAGGAGTAGAAAAGAACTTTCTTACCCTGGTAAAACCTTTAGTATACATCATACTTAATGGCAAATGACTGAAAGATTTCTCCATAAGATCAGGAGTAAAACAAGAACATTCACTCTTGCCATCTCTAATGAACATTGCATTATGAGATTTAGCTGGGGAATTGGGCAAGAAAATGAAATAAAAGGGCTCTAAACTGAGAAGGAAGAAGTAAAACTATTTATTTGGAGATGACATAATCTTGTAAATAAAAATTCAAATAACCCCTGCCCGCCCACCACACACAAACAAAAGTATGAGATCTAAAGAAAAACATTTAGCAAGGTTGCAAGACACAAGATTAATATACAAAAATCAGTAGAAATGAACTACTAGTAAACATTCAGAAAATGAATTTACATAAATCATTGCATTTAAAATAGCATAAAAATAATACAATATATAGGAGTAAATGTAACAAAAGAATGAAGGTGGAGTGTTATCTCACAACATAACCAAAATCAACTCAAAATGAATCAAAAAACTAAATGTAAGAGTTAAAACTATAACACTTTCTGGAAAAAAAACTGAAGAAAATATCTTTTCAAGCTTGGGTTAAACAACAGTTTCTTAAGTAAGGTAAAAAGAAGTACATGTGACAAAAAAAAAAACAACAGGTAAATTGAGATCAACCAAAATGGAAAACTTTTGTACTGCAAACAATAGCATATGGGAAGTTAACATACAAAAAAATGGCAGTAAATATTTACAAATCTGATAAGAACCTGAATCTAGAATACATAAAGAACTCCTTAAATTTAGTAGTAAATTCAGTAATAAAAAGACAAAAGACAAGTCAATTTTTTAAATGAGCAAAAGATTTTCATAGACATTAATTAAAGAAGATATAAAAATCACTAATAGATACATGAATAGATGATCAATATCTCTCTTAGTTTTCTGTTGCTTATAATAGAATACCTGAAATGGGAAATTTATATGGAGAAGGGATTTATTTCTTACAGTTATAGAGGCTGAGAAGCCCATGGATGAGGAGCTGCAATCACCTGAGTCTTCTTGCTGGTGGGGACTCTGCAGAGTCCCAGGCAACACAAGACCGTCTCAAGCCTAATGTGAGAGGGCTGGTTGTGCTGGCTGGGGCATCTTTTTTTATAAAGCCAACAGTCCCACTCCTATGATAGCCTGTTAATCCATTAACCCATTACATTCATTAATCCATGAATGTATTAATCCATTCATGAGGGCAGAGCCCTCTTAAAGGCCCTACCTCTCAATACTCCCACATTGTGGATTAAATTTCAACATGGGTTTTAAAGGGAACAAAAATTCAAACCGTAGCAACATTATTTAGTGATAAGGGAAATTCCTATCAAAACCGTGATGCGATACCACTTCATACTCACTAGGATGTCTATAATTAAAAAGCTAAACAGCAACCAATGTTGCTGAAGATCTGGAGAAATTGGAACTATTATAAATTGCTGAGAGGGATGTAAAATGGTTCAGTTGCTTTGGAAAATAATGTCTCAAAATTTTAAACACAGCAATTCACTCTATGAGAAATGAAAACATACGTCCACACAAAACCTTGTACACCAGTGTTCACAGTAGCATTATTCATAATGACCAAAGTGGAAGCAAAATGTTCATCAACTAATCAAACGGATTTTAAAAATTGATATATTAATACAATGGAATAGTACTTATCAATTAAAAATGAATGCCTAACTGATATGGATTACAACATGAATAAACCTTAGAAACATTATGCTCAGTGAAAGAAGCCAGACACATAAGGCTACATAACATATAATTCCATTTATATGAAATGTCAGAATTGTAACTCAATAAAACAGTTAAAAGAAAAGAGAACATCTGAATGAAAGTGAGTGAAAAGGAACCATCTTATTTAGGGTAGGTTGACGACACCATTTATGAAACAACACTTATACATTTATATAGTTCTTATGCCTGCATGTATTTAAATATCATTTCTACTTAACAGAAAATAATCAATTCATTGTTACTTAGGTCTAAGAAAACCACGAATTTTTTTTCTATCAACCAGGACTTTGAAAAGAAAACACAGTGTGTATTTTCATATTTTCTCTTCTCATGGTTCCAGCTTTAGTCCACTTCTAACTTAACTCAGTTTTTTTTTCAAATGATCATTTGAACCTGAGTTGCTAGTACTGTTCAATATGGAGACAGTGTAATCTAGTATAATCTAAAGGTAAGATGTTCTGCATGTTCTAGAAAGAAATGTATATGTCCAGTTCTTTTTGAAGTCATTTTATTTTGTGCCTTAAATGCTGCCATTCTAGTCTTAAAATTACAGAATATATCTCAGGTGGACAGTGGAGTTATAATTTTTAGTGTACTTCTTAAAAGAAAAGATGAGTAGTCATTTTTATAAAGACTCTCTATAAAACACCTGTTGCTAAAAGGGATTCAGTTTAAATACTAATGCCTGGAATTTTATTCAGAATCATGTGGGAAGTGAAAAAAACGACTAGGTGTGTAAATAGTATGAGACTGGCTGTGGCTTAAATGCTGTTGCAACTTAGTGGTAGGTTCATAGGTGCTTATTATTTTATTTTAAATGTGAATTTATACTAGCTTATCATACAGTAAAAAAAATAACAAAATATATAACAAAAGAAGAAGCCATGAAAGACAGGTTGAATAGAAGTCACATATTAGAAGAAGAGGTTGTTGGCATAAATAAAGCTAGAATTTAAAAGAGAAAATGAGAAATTTACATTTAAAAGGCAAGAAGATACGTAATCAAATATCAATTGGTAAATGTCTTATGTAAAATATACGATGGTATAAAATTCATGTTTTGTTTCAGTCATGGGATAACTCACAGTCTATAGAGTCTATAGTTTCTCATAGACGAGAAATTAATCTAGTTACAGAGCAAGAAAAATACATAGATAGACAGATAATAAGATTACAATTTCTTCTCTACATAATGTCATTTTATTTGTTTCCTTACACAATCTTTTTGTTTTTTTCAGTTACTTTTCTCAGGTTAAATACATACCTCTTTTTTTTCCGTCTATACTCAGCTACTCTTATTAAATGGCTACAGTGACATAGATGAAATCACCTTTTTAAAATATCTAAGATCACAAGGAAATAAACACTGATATACAATTCCACCTAGAAGGTAAAAGTGTTTATGAAAACAGAATAGTAAGCTGCTTCTTACTTTCCTCATTGAGTTTCTTCCTCCAACTTAAAGACTGGGGGTGGTATGGCCAAGGAAGAGCGACATGAGGAGAGGAGCATTAAGGACGCTGGTAGTCTAGTGGCAGAGTGAAATGTATGTCAGACTTTAGTTCATGGATTGATTTCTAAAGTGAGTAGGCTCAGATTCTTGGTTGACTTCTTTTTAAAAAAAAAAAAACACCAATCAGACGTAGATTTGGTCTTTTCACAGAGTCCCATATTTCTTGGAGGCTTTGTTTCTTTGTATTCTTTTTTCTCTAAACTTCTCTTCTCGCTTCATTTCATTCATTTCATCTTCCATCACTGATACCCTTTCTTCCAGTTGATCAAATCGGCTACTGAGGCTTGTGCATTCGTCACGTAGTTCTCGTGACTTGGTTTTCAGTTCCATCAGGTCCTTTAAGGACTTCTCTGCATTAGTTATTCTAGTTAGCCATTTGTCTAATTTTTTTTCAAGTTTTTTAACTTCTTTGCCATGGGTTTGAACTTCCTCCTTTAGCTCGGAGCAGTTTGATCATCTGAAGCTTTCTTCTCTCAACTCATCAAAGTTATTCTCCGTCCAACTTTGTTCCGTTGCTGGTGAGGAGCTGCGTTCCTTTCGAGGAGGAGAGGCACTCTGATTTTTAGAGTTTCCAGTTTTTCTGCTCTGTTTTTTCCCCATCTTTGTGGTTTTATCTACCTTTGGTCTTTGATGATGGTGATGTACACATGGGGTTTTGGTGTAGATGTCCCTTCTCTGTGTTTCTTTTCCTTCTAACAGCACCCTCAGTTGCAGGTCTGTTGGAGTTTGCTGGAGGTCCACTCCAGACCCTCTTTGGGTAACAGCAGCGGAGGCTACAGAACATCGGATACTGGTGAGCAGCAAATGTTGCTACCTGATCTTTCCTCTGGAAGTTTTCTCTCACAGGAGTACCCGGCCATGTGAGATGTCAGTTTGCCCCTACGTGGGGGTGCCTCCCAGTTAGGCTACTCGGGGGTCAGGGACCCACTTGAGGAAGCAGTCTGTCCATACTCAGACCTCTAGCTGTGTGCTGGAACCAAGTTGGAAAACACTCTGCAGGATATTATCCAGGAGAACTTCCCCAATCTAGCAAGGCAGGCCAACATTCAAATCCAGAAAATACAGAGAACGCCACAAAGATAATCCTTGAGAGGAGCAACTCCAAGACACGTAATTGTCAGATTCACCAAAGTTGAAATGAAGGAAAGAATGTTAAGGGCAGCCAGAGAGAAAGGTCAGGTTACCCAAAAAGGGAAGCCCATCAGACTAACAGCTGATCTCTCAGCAGAAACTCTACAAGCCAGAAGAGAGTGGGGGTCAATATTCAACATTCTCAAAGAAAAGAATTTTCAACCCAGAATTTCATATCCAGCCAAACCAAGCTTCATAAGTGAAGGAGAAATAACATACTTTACAGACAAGCAATGCTGAGAGATTTTGTCACCACCAGGCCTGCCCTAAAAGAGCTCCTCAAGGAAGCACTTAACATGGAAAGGAACAACTGGTACCAGCCACTGCAAAAACATGCCAAATTGTAAAGACCATCGAGGCTAAGAAGAAACTGCATCAACTAACAAACAAAATAACTAGCTAACATCATAATCACAGGATCAAATTCACACATAACAATATTAACCTTAAATGTAAATGGGCTAAAAGCTCCAATTAAAAGACAAAGATTGGCAAATTGGATAAAGAGTCAAGACCCACCAGTGTGCTGTATTCAGGAAACCCATCTCACATGCAGAGACACACATAGGCTCAAAATAAAGGGATGGAGGAAGATCTACCAAGCAAATGGAAAACAAAAAAAGGCAGGGGTTGCAATCCTAGTCTCTGATAAAACAGACTTTAAACCAACAAAGATCCAAACAGACAAAGAAGGCCATTACATAATGGTAAAGGGATCAATTCAACAAGAAGAGCTAACTATCCTAAATATATATGCACCCAATACAGGAGCACCCAGATTCATAAAGCAAGTCCTTAGAGACCTACAAAAAGACTTAGACTCCCACACAATAATAATGGGAGACTTTAACACCCCACTGTCAACATTAGACAGATCAACAAGACAGAAAGTTAACAAGGATATCCAGGAATTGAACTCAGCTCTGCACCAAGCGGACGTAATAGACATCTATAGAACTCTCCACCCCAAATAAACAGAATATACATTCTTCTCAGCACCACACCGCACTTATTCCAAAATTGACCACATAGTTGGAAGTAAAGCACTCCTCAACAAATGTAAAAGAGCAGAAATTATAACAAACTGTCTCTCAGACCACAGTGCAATCAAACTAGAACTCAGGATTAAGAAACTCACTCAAAACCGCTCAACTACATGGAAACTGAACAACCTGCTCCTGAATGACTACTGGGTACATAATGAAATGAAGGCAGAAATAAAGATGTTCTTTGAAACCAACAAGAACAAAGACACAACATACCAGAATCTCTGGGACACATTTAAAGCAGTGTATAGAGGGAAATTTATAGCACTAAATGCCCACATGAGAAAGCAGGAAAGATCTAAAATTGACACCCTAACATCACAATTTAAAGAACTAGAGAAGCAAGAACAAACACATTCAAAAGCTAGCAGAAGGCAAGAAATAACTAAAATCAGAGCAGAACTGAAGGAAATAGAGACACAAAAAACCCTTCAAAAAAATCAATGAATCTAGGAGCTGGTTTTCTGAAAAGATCAACAAAATTGATAGACCGCTAGCAAGACCAATAAAGAAGAAAAGAGAAAAGAATCAAATGGATGCAATAAAAAATGATAAAGGGGATATCACCACCAATCCCACAGAAATACAAACTACCATCAGAGAATACTATAAACACCTCTATGCAAATAAACTAGAAAATCTAGAAGAAATGGATAAATTCCTTGACACATACACCTACCCAAGACTAAACCAGGAAGAAGTTGAATCTCTGAATAGACCAATAACAGGCTCTGAAATTGAGGCAATAATTAATAGCTTACCAACCAAAAAAAGTCGAGGACCAGATGGATTCATAGCCAAATTCTACTAGAGGTACAAGGAGGAGCTGGTACCATTCCTTGTGAAACTATGCCAATCAATAGAAAAAGAGGGAATCCTCCCTAACTCATTTTATGAGGCCAGCATCATCCTGATACCAAAGCCTGGCAGAGACACAACAAAAAAAGAGGATTTTAGACCAATATCCCGGATGAACATTGATGCAAAAATCCTCAATAAAATACTGGCAAACTGAATCCAGCAGCACATCAAAAAGCTTATCCAACATGATCAAGTGGGCTTCATCCCTGGGATGCAAGGCTGGTTCGACATACACAAATCAATAAACGTAATCCAGCATATAAACAGAACCAACGACAAAAACCATATGATTATCTCAATAGATGCAGAAAAGGCCTTTGACAAAATTCAACAACGCTTCATGCTAAAAACTCTCAATAAATTAGGTATTGATGGGACGTATCTCAAAATAATAAGAGCTATCTATGACAAACCCACAGCCAATATCACACTGAATGGGCAAAAACTGGAAGCATTCCCTTTGAAAACTGGCACAAGACAGGGATGCCCTCTCTCACCACTCCTATTCAACATAGTGTTGGAAGTTCTGGCCAGGGCAATCAGGCAGGAGAAGGAAATAAAGGGTATTCAGTTAGGAAAAGAGGAAGTCAAATTGTCCCTGTTTGCAGATGACATGATTGTATATCTAGAAAACCCCATTGTCTCAGCCCAAAATCTCCTTAAGCTGATAAGCAACTTCCACAAAGTCTCAGGATACAAAATCAATGTGCAAAAATCACAAGCATTGTTATACACCAACAACAGACAAACAGAGAGCCAAATCATGAGCAAACTCCCATTCACAATTGCTTCAAAGAGAATAAAATACCTAGGAATCCAACTTACAAGGGATGTGAAGGACCTCTTCAAGGAGAACTACAAACCACTGTTCAATGAAATAAA
Organism: Homo sapiens; assembly: GCF_000001405.40. NCBI lineage: Eukaryota > Metazoa > Chordata > Mammalia > Primates > Hominidae > Homo > Homo sapiens. The sequence continues at coordinate 86,594,245 of NC_000014.9, forward strand.
AGAGGATACAAACAAATGGAAGAACATTCCATGCTCATGGGTATGAAGAATCAATATCGTGAAAATGGCCATACTGCCCAAGGTAATTTATAGATTCAATGCCATCCCCATCAAGCTACCAATGACTTTCTTCACAGAACTGGAAAAAACTACTTTAAAGTTCATATGGAACCAAAAAAGAGCTTGCATTGCCAAGTCAATCCTAAGCCAAAAGAACAAAACTGGAGGCATCACGCTACCTGACTTCAAACTATACTACAAGGCTACAGTAACCAAAACAGCATGGTACTTGTACCAAAACAGAGATATAGACCAATGGAACAGAACAGAGCCCTCAGAAATAATGCCACATATCTACAACCATCTGGTCTTTGACAAACCTGACAAAAACAAGAACTGGGGAAAGGATTCCCTATTTAATAAATGGTGCTGGAAAAACTGGCTAGCCATATGTAGAAAGCTGAAACTGAATCCCTTCCCTACACCTTATACAAAAATTAATTCAAGATGGATTAAAGACTTAAATGTTAGACCTAAAACTGTAAAAACCCTAGAAGAAAACCTAGGCAATACCATTCAGGTCATAGGTATGGGCAAGGGCTTCATGTCTAAAACACCAAAAGCAATGGCAACAAAAGCCAAAATTGACAAATGGGATCTAATTAAACTAAAGAGCTTCTGCACAGTAAAAGAAACTACCATCAGAGTGAACAGGCAACCTACAGAATGGGAGAAAATTTTTGCAATCTACTCATCTGACAAAGGGCTAATATCCAGAATCTACAAAGAACTCAAACAAATTTACAAGAAAAAAACAACCTCATCAACAAGTGGGCGAAGGATATGAACAGACACTTCTCAAAAGAAGACCTTTATGCAGCCAAAAGACACATGAAAAAATGCTCATCATCACTGGCCATCAGAGAAATGCAAATCAAAACCACAATGAGATACCATCTCACACCAGTTAGAATGGCGATTATTAAAAAGTCAGGAAACAACAGGTGCTGGAGAGGATGTGGAGAAATAGGAACACTTTTACTCTGTTGGTGGGACTGTAAACTAGTTCAACCATTGTGGAAGACAATGTGGCGATTCCTCAGGGATTTAGAACTAGAACTACGATTTGACCCAGCCACCCCATTACTGGGTATATACCCAAAGGATTATAAACCATGCTGCTATAAAGACACATGCACACGTATGTTTATTGCAGCAATATTCACAATAGCAAAGACTTGGAACCAAGCCAAATGTCCAACAATGATAGACTGGATTAAGGAAATGTGGCACATATACACCAGGGAATACTATGCAGCCATAAAAAATGATGAGTTCATGTCCTTTGTAGGGACATGGATGAAGCTGGAAACCATCATTCTCAGCAAACTATCACAAGGACAAAAAACCAAACACCGCATGTTCTCACTCATAGGTGGGAACTGAACAATGAGAACACATGGACACAGGAAGAGGAACATCACACACCAGGGCCTGTTGTGGGGTGGGGGATGGGGGGGGATAGCATTAGGAGATATACCTAATGTTAAATGACGAGTTAATGAGTGCAGCACACCAACATGGCACATGTATACATATGTAACTAACCTGCACGTTGTGCACATGTACCTTGAAACTTAAAGTATAATAAAAAAGAAAAAAAGTTCAATTTATAAAATTGGACGCAGTAAGAGCTTAGCAACAATAATAATAAAATAGAACAATATAACAATAAAAACAAACCAACAGAAAAATAAAAAACTAGAGTCGTGTCTTTTGATCTAATGCAGAGGACTTTTTGAAATGTCTTACTTACAAGCATTAAACTCAGTGTTTGTTTTTTTTTTTTCAAAGCATTAAATTACTTCACAACAGAAGAAATAAGAGAGTACCATCATTTCACAAGCCTGGTGTTCACTGGTTAGCTGAGATGGCCCTGCTTCTCTGTCTGTGGCTCTTTGAGTCCGCTGGATTTGGCTGATCTAGGTCAGTTTCGATTTGACTCAGCTCTACGGAGTGGTTTCAGGTCAATTCTGCTTCCTATCTCTCTCATTCTTCTGAGGACAAATTCACCAGGTCATGTTTTACTTTTGAAGGTAACAGAAACACAAGATACGGCCAGACGCAGTGGCTCATGCCTGTAATCTCAGCACTTTGGGAGACTGAGGTAGGCAGATCACCTGAGGTCTTGAGTTCAAGATGAGTCCCGCCAACATGGTGAAACCCCATCTCTACTAAAAGTACAAAAATTAGCTTGGCGTGGTGGTGGGCGCCTGTAATCCCAGCTACTCGGGAGGCTGAGGCAAGATAATCACTTAAGCCCGGGAGGCGGAGGTTGCAGTGAGCTGAGATCACGCCATTGCACTCCAGCCTGGGCGACGAGGGCAAAACTTTGTTTAAAAAAAAAAAGAAAGGAAAAGAAAAAAACACAAGATACTGAGAACATGATATTGCTTAAACCTAGGCTCAAGCTGACACATTGTCACTTGGGCCCGGATCACATTGGTCAAAATAAGTCTCATGGCAAACTCCATATTCACATGGTGGGAAAATATATATACTCTACCACGAATAGTAAGATTTTTAAAGCCATGTGTCAAAGTTCACAGATACAGCCAGGGTTGAAGTCATGTGAATTCAATTGAGTCTACCTATGGGAGCCATATAACATTGCTTCCTAAATGGTATGTATCCAAGTACATACAATTCAGTGTTTGCATTGTCTCATTATGTCTACTAAGGACCATTTCCGCTTGAAATGTCTCTTTCATTTGCGTGGTATCATAATAATCATAACAATAAATTAGGTCATATTTTCTGGAAATTTATGAAGAGGAAAATAGCTGAGCAAAAGGATGAGTCACATTCCAATCCTGTGATGTTATTGGTCATATACTAAACATGATATCTGCATACTGGAAATAGGCAAATGGATTTTTTTCAGCAAAGTATTAACCTCCTTCAAAGCTTAGTTCAAGTTTCAAAGTGTTGTCTCTTTGATTCCTAATAAGGTCTGTATTGCTTTTTGATAGTTAATACATATTATTGTATTGCAGGATAGCAATGTAGTGTGATAACTTTGAAAACCAGGGCATTTCTTGTTTACGGAAAACATACACAGTCTTTACTCGAAACTTAAGATGGCACCAAAAGCCTTATATTGTGCTTTTCATGTTCACAATGAATGTAGGGCATGATTATCACATTAGAAACACAGAGAAGCAGTCTAGGTATCAATGCCAGGATGAGCTGTCTTCTGTTTAGGGGAATCACCAGGCTGACATCAAGGTGTCAGCTGGGGCTGTGATGGTGCTGGGGGCTTGGGATTCTCTTCCAAGTTCACTGGTTCTTGCAGAACTCCTTTTTTGGCAGTCGTGTGACTGAAGTTACTGTGTTCTCGTTGGCTCTTAACCAGGGGACACTCTAGGCTCCTAGAGGCCTCTCTCAGGTCTTTGCCACGTGGACTCTTCCTCTCACAACATGACTCTTTACTTTCTTTTAAGCAAGTGAAAAAATGATAAAGACCTTAAGGAATTAGGTCAGACCCACTCAGGATAATCTGCATTTTGATGAATTCAAAGGCAACTGATTGGGACCTTTAGTTATATGTGTGAAATTCATTTTGCCATATAACCTGGCATGGTTGTAGGAGTGATATTCTATCATATTCACATGCACACACACACACACCCCATATAAAATATATATATATATATATAAAACAATAGGTAAAAAATTATAATCTCAATGTTAAATAAGTACTTCCAACTGGTTTGGAAACACTTATTTTAACTAATATTAAATAATATAATACATGTGAAAAGGGTTCTATATGCACTGCTAGAATTGATTTCTTATTTTTTTACCCATGTCTAAGATTTAGGTAAGCATGAGAATGCCAGCTAATTCATTATTCCACAGGTATATAAACATGCTGAAAATCCCTTTCGTATTTTTCTTCCAACTGGATGTGTGGAGATTTTGGTTGAAACTATTCAAGCATACCTACGGTTCACGATTGTATTTTAACTCTATATATATATAGAGAGAGAGTTATATATATATATATAGTTATATAGGCATATTTTGATTGAGAAAAGAAAAGCCAAGACCTAGAAAAAACTCTTGTTGTTCAGTGTTATCTAAAAATAATGGTGGATAAGATGCCAGAGTGAAATAAAAATTTGGAGTCAGAGGAAGAAAAGAAAAGAAGAAAAACACTGAATATGGAAGATGAAGGGGCATTAAAAAACATGCTTTGGATGGTTCAAATATTTTGGCTAGGTTTGTTCTCAGTAGCAGTAAATTATAAAAGGTCAGCAACCTTTTATAACCCCAGGAATAATTCTTATAAGTGAGGAAATTCAAAATATATGAAAAGATATAAAAATGGCTCTTTTTTTTTTTAAAAGAAGACCACAATGGAAGCACACATACAAGAGCAAAGGGTTCTCAAGTGTTTTTGACTTTAAACTTGAACCTGTTTCTAAATATAGTCAGTTACAAACCAGGTTTCAGCCCTTCCCCCTTATTTTGCCTTCTTTCTTATCTTTTGCCTCTCTGCTTTTTTTTTTTTTTTGAAACCATTCCAGAAAATGCAAACTGAGAGAACCTTTTTCACCCTACCCCATCTCACTTATTTAGGAAGATGGCCTTCTACAAGGTTTCTACACTTACAATCACTTTTCCAGAACTTGGTAGTTTCTGGAATTTTTGTTGTTAAAATTCAAAGAAAAAAATATGAAATATATATGTGAAATGTGTATACTACATATATGTATATTTGATATATATTTGAAATCCATATATATCTCAATCCAGCCATATATTTTCACATACACAGAACATACATACACCTGGATTTAATGACACTGCTTTTAAAACCATAGACAGGAATCTCTACAAAACTTAAGTATCATTAAGCTGTGTATAGAGGACCTTTTAATGAGACAGGTATTCTACTTGCTTCTTGAGGCTCCAAGTTTTCCTTCTTCAGGACAGATCAATGATGACATAGTTAATTGACACTGTTTAATAAACACAACAGGAAGGAACAAGCCTCAGGCTTGACCCACTACAGGACAGCAAGAACAGCCCTTCAACCTGGGCTGTGGATGTTGCAAAGGGAGGAAGGTGCCTGCCAGTGATGAACTGGGAGGCTCCAGGTAAGGAAGCGCATTTGCAACAGGACTGTCTTCCAGGCATGCTTTACTTGTTGAGTATAAAAACTATGCTTCATCTTCACATTTCTTTTCTGGCACCTACTGAATGCTCGAGAAATGTTGATCAAATAATTTTTTATTTTTTAAGCAATGTCAAACTTACAGGAAAGTTGAAAGAACGGCACAAAATAATTCTGTTCACCCAGATTCCTCGATTGTTAACAATTTACATTTGACCCATTGATCAACCTCTTACCTCTTTCCATATCTCTCACCTCTTTCTATCTCTCTCTCTCTCTTTTTCTGTTTATCTATTTATCTGTAGATATATATTACAAATATAATACCCATCACCTCTAACTGCTTTTGTGTCTTTTACTCAAAAGAAGGACACCCTTTTATATGATCACAATATAGCCACCCAGTTCAGCAAATCAACATTGTTACAACACTCAACATTATCATTAATATGGAGAACCCCATTAAATTTTGCCAACAGTAAAAACAATGACACTATTTTTCTTTCTCATCCAGGATCTGAACCACAGTATCACACTGAATTTAATCGTGATATCTCCTTAAATTGAATGGTTCTGTAGTCTTTTCTCTACCTTTTATTACTTTGGCAGTTTAAGAGAGTGTAGGCCTTTCCTTCTATCTGCTGTCCCTCAACACGCACCCATTCAGGACTTCCTCATGCTTCCCAGGCTATTTATGTTTGGCAGAAAGACCACCAAATATGCACTGCTCTTTTCTGTACATCACGTCAGGAAGCACAGAATGTTAACTGCCCATTTCTTCTGATGTTTACTCTGATCAAGTGGGTGTCATAAGGTTTCTCCATATTTAGTCACCATCTTTTTCCTGAATAATGGGTGAGTATTTTGTGGGACAAAGCTCTACCATTATTCCTCGTTCCTTATCAAACCTTCACCTCCTAATCTTAATATCCATTCTTGACTCCCACCTGGAACAAATTGTTGAATGAAATTTCAGAGAGAATGTCAGATTGAACTGAAAATGAAACAGTCCTTTCTCATGTGTTTGTTTTTCTGCTTTGGGTTGTATCCACCATGGGTAGAGAGACGTTAGTAAAGAGAAACCTATGATTGTTGTCAGTAACAGTATGTAAATAGAACAACGCGAATTGATTAAACCTGCAAAGTAGTTCTATAGTTCAACTTCAGAGGAAGATTATTCTTTGCTTAAGGATGGCTCTGTCTGTTGTTAGTGAGTGTGCTGGAGAAGATAAAAAGTATCTTTCTAATATTTCGGGGTTTTGAAGTGGTACATATGCTGCCTTTCATGTGAGCATGCTAGTAACTCATAATCACTAGTCTATGCACTCTCTGCTGCATTGTGTGTTTTTATTTCCCAGTTCTGTAATGTTATACCTCAAGCCAGCATTCACTTTTCCTTTACATTTCTCTGTTTAACAAGTATTTGTTGAAAACCTAGTAAGTGAATGTACACACAAAAATCCTAGAAAACTGTTAGCAAACTGAATCCAGCAATATGCAAGATAATATACATCATGTGTAAATGGGATTTATCCAAGTTATGCAAGATTTGTTTGACATGCAAAATCAGTTGATAATGTAGTATACCCTGATAGTAGAATAAAAGGCAAAAACCACATGGGTATCTCAACAGTCCCAGGAAAAAGCATATGAAAAAAATCCAAGTCTCATTTATTAAAACAACAACAGCCTTCGATGCACAAATAGATGGGAACTTCTTCAACCTAATAACAGGTATCTACATAAACCTACGGATAATATCATAGTGTATTTTCTGGTGAAAAATAAATACTTTCCTTCTCTGACTAGGAGCAAGGTAAGGATGTCCATGCTTACTAATTCTATTAAATATTGGACTGAGGATTCTGACCAGTGATGTCAGGCAAGTACAAGAAGTAAAAGCATCCACTGAAAAGACAGAAATGAAACTGTTTATATTCACAGGTGACATGATCTTGTAATGCACAAAATCCTAAGACATCCACAACAAACTATAAGAACCAATAAGCAAGTTCAGCAAGGACACAGAGTAAAAGATCAATATACAATATATTGGAATCTGAACAGATGAAAAAAATCTTAATTAAAAAAGTCAGATGAGCAACAATTGGAGGAAAAAGACAAAAAGAGCCACAGAAGGAAAAACAATGGCAGCAATACTTAGGAAAGAGTGCTCTCTGGTCCACAGTGCAACCTGAATAATATTAAAGGTAAGATGGCAGTTTCACTTTTGTTTATATTTTGGTTTTGGATTTTTTCTTTTTTTGAGGAAAAAGCTTGGAAAGTTGTTCAGACCCTCTTTCTTCCAATTATTAATAGAAGAGCCAGATAGGCATTCCTGCACCTCATTTTTAATTAATATCACTATAAAAACACAACAGGCTCCAATGTGGTAAAGTTAAATGTCAAGTGAAATAATATAATGTTTGTTTATGAGTATTTATATATCTTACTAAGTAAACAAAAAAACATTTTATTTCTTCAGTAAATTTTCCTATTTCAGAGTACAATCCTCTGCTATTTCTCTGGGGTCTGGCAATGAGTCTAGCTCATTTCATAATCAATGACCCTGGGGAATAAGAGTGAGAAAAGAAGGAAAGGGAGCAATAACAGATTAAATATTTTTAAGCTGTAATGCTCCATTGTAAACAGTGGCTTTGCCATTGCCTCACCTTTTACCTAACAAGCTATGGAGCTGGGGCAAGAGGACACGCGGGGATGCAGCAGGCAGAGCTGAATGTGCTTTAAGTGGGGGATCTAAACAATAACAGCTTCTTCTCCCAAATAATGGTACATCGTACGCAAAATAATTAAACCTTCATATTAAGGCAGAAGGATAAACACAGTAAGGGGAAGTGTATTCTGGAAACTTTCTTGTTTTCTTTTTTTAGAAAGGTTAACAGTGAAAATAAATGCTGTTAATGCATAAGGTTATTTTAGTCTTTTGCTATTACACTTGTCAGTAATTTAGCAAACTTGTTCTTATTGTGACACTATGACTTGGAGCAACTTTCTAGTGATAGAAATGGCTTCCCACGTACTGGCCAGAGTACAAATAATCAAGGGAAAAACTACTTTCTGCTTCCCAGTTCCTGAGTCATGGGAGTTGAATTTGCAATAGTGGGTAACAAGTCTTCATATCAACTCATTTTTCTTACCTAGATTAGTGATATCCTAGGAACAATGAAGTATCCGTGGTTTTCCTAAAGAAGTTGTGTATTGATGCAGTAGGCGTCTGAGAATGATGAGGCATCCAGAAACAGTGAAAAACAAAGCCAAACAACACAACAATACTGAGTTATTTTTAGGTAAAGGTAATTACAGAATATCATATTTGAGAGAGTATGAAATAACTGTAAGGATGAGTAGCTTCTAGTCTGGACCTCCAGAAAAGACTATGAGGACACAATATAGCTGACACCCTGGGGAGACACTGCTGCTGCAGTGTCTAGAAGTTGTGGAAATAGGAGGCTGCCACTAGCCCAGATTTGATGTAGGGACTAGAAACAAGATTGGGAAGATGCTGTTAGGTGCTGTTGCCACACTATCTCTAGACCTTCTAGGTCAACTCCACCACCTTTTACAACTGTCATTCAGTGCTCATAAGTGATAATGGCAGAAACACCATGTCTCCATAACTTTGCTTGCCAGATGAAAATGCTGAAAGCAGCAGGAAGATGACCCTGTCTCTTACTAAACTTTCTACAACTTTCATCAGTGTACCTAAGTTACAGGTCCTAGTTCATATACAGAACTGTAGTTGCAAGGGAGATTACGAAAAGCATATTTCACAAAGGCCTATTAGGAAGATACAGGAATTTGTTCTAAGTACCAGTTGACAATATCTGCCACTGAAACTTTGAGAGTAAATTGCAAATCTCAAGAAAGGGACAAGGCAAAGGATCAGATATTTGTCCAGAGAAGGACTGATGTCTTTGTGAAGCCCATAAGGAGAATGATATTTACTATATATATTTTATTTGAGACAAGCTCTCGTTTTGTTGCCCAGGCTGGAGTGCAGTGGTGCAATCATAGCTCACTGCAGTCTTGAAGTCCTGAGCTCATGCAGTCCTCCTGTCTTCTATACATTTTTAATATGTTTCTATGTATTGTAATTTCCTTTTTTAATCCCACCTTTAGGAAAAACTTTTGCATTTCTCTGGTGTTGTTTCTTTGAACAAATAGACACAGTTAGTAAGGGGAAGCTAGCTAGCATTTCTCACATGTCCCCTTACCCAATGTGACACCATGTAGGTAGTACTATTACATTTCTGTGATCTTGGTTAGTGTGAATCAGTCTTGGAAATCTGTATCACTCAGTTTTCACACTGCTACAAAGACATACCTGAGACAGGGTAATTTATGAATAAAAGAGATTTAATTGACTCACAATTCCACAGACCTGGGGAGGCCTCAGGAAACTTACAATCATGGCAGAAGGGGGAGAGGCATGTCTTACATGGTGGCAGGCAAGAGACAGACGAGTGTGTGGAGTGAAGGAGGAAGAGCCCCTTATAAAACCATCAGATCTTGTAAGAACTCACTCACTATCACAAGAACAGCAAGGAGAAAAATGATCCCATTATCCAATCACCTCCCATTGTTTTCCTCCCTTGACATGTGAGGTTTATGAGGATTACATTTTAGGATGAGATTTGGCTGGGGACACAGCTAAACCATATCAAAATCTGATCTCATCTTAAAGTAAAAATTTTAAACCACTCAAGTAAAGGACAGTATGAAAGTTCATGGTGGATTGGCCAAATAAAGGCCCATCTCTGAGAACACTACTGTGAACTGAGCTGCCAAGCACAAGCTTTGAGAAATCAAAGTCTGCCTGGAAAAGTCAAGAAGAACTCCACAGTAGGGCTTAATTTTGAGCTGAGTCTTTAATAGGATTTTTTAGTTGTTTCAGAATTTCAGCTGAGCCCTCAAAGCTAAAATGGTATGAAGAACATACATATTCAAAAGAAAGGTGTTAGATAAATTATGATGAACTTACTAAGGCTGACCCCCTAAAAAAACCTTCCAACCCATCTAAGTCTATCACTGTTCTTCTGGGTATATAAGAGAAAAGGAGTTTGGCAGGAAGAGCAACTGGGGAGACAGTTTCTTTTGAAAGTTTTCTGTGTACTAGCAGGTCTTCCCCATATGGGACCAGACATGGAGTTGAAACACAGATGTCCCTTTAAGAAATATTTTTTCCTTCAGCTGCTATGAGTGTGGTTAGCTGTGAGTCACAAATGGAACCACCTTTGGAATATACCACATTAGAACCAAGAATATGCTCTCGCAGGGCAGCTCCTAGAAATGACTGAGCATGCCCATGGTACTAGGGCCTGATCATTTCTGCCCAACTGCTGACTGCTATAATGTGCAGCCTTGCTTCCTTTCTCCCCACTGGGTTGGCCAAAGTTTCATGTTACCGTTCATTGAAGTTCCTCCACTCTTATCTTTGCCACAATGTCTCTGTCTCAGGGGCTGAACTGTCACACCACAGAAGGCATATTTCCTCTAGATTTTTGAAGAGGGTATTGAAAGTGAGAAGGCCATTCTGCATGCAAGGTGTCTAAGTCCATTTGGGTTGCTATAAAAAATACCATAGACTATTTGGCTTATAAACAACAGAAATGTATTTCTGCCAGTTCTGGAGACTGGGAAGTCCAAGATGAAGGCATCAGTATATTCTGTGTCTGATGAGGGCCCTCATAGATAGCCATCTTCTCACTCTAACCTCACTTGGAGTCAGAAGAGCCAAATGGTCTCTCTTTTAGAAAGGCACTACTCCCATTCATGAGGCTCTGCCTCCATGGCCTAATCTCCTACCAAAAGTCCTATTTCCTAGTACAATTATCTTAGGGTAAGAATTTCAATGTATAGATTTTGAGGGGATTTAAATATTCAGATAATAGCACTTAGTAAGTAGAAACGGTTTTATGAGGAACGTGGTATAATTCCACTGCCCAAAAGGAAACCCTGTGAATCTCCTCTTGAGATTCAAGGGTGTCCATCGAGGTCTCCCAGGCTTGTCCTGTCTTACAGAATAACTTGGTCCAGAGAGCTTGCTGCCAGAAGCCAGGGAGCTTCAGAATAAAGATGCTGGAAGTGTGTACCTTTAGATGCAGAAGCTCAGTAGGAAGATAATCATAAATGGTCTATCAGAGATTGCTTGACTCATTACAGGGAAAAATACTTAGAAGATCCCAAACATAATATCACATGAGGAACCTTTAAGTATTCCAATAAGAAAAAAATGAAGCACTTGGGCTTCTTATATCCAGAGGATATCTTCTGAAGAATATAACTGCTTTATGATGGAAAAAGTAAAATCCTTTTCAGCTGCTTACTAAACCTCCCTACCCCCACTCCAACACTGGAGAAAAATTAGGCAGCCAATGCAGTAAGCAGGAAGGAAGGAGATAGGAATAAGCTGAAGAAATATCTTAGGAAATATCTCTTTTCTACCCCCACAGCAGGTTTCTGAGCCTTTTTCTGAACCATCTGTTGGGGAAGAATTTTTAATTGCATGAAAGACTGATGCTTGTGTTATTAGATTGAACTGGCCTTTTTAATACCTGACAGTGACCAGAAAAGCAATGTAATCTTTCTGAGAATTAAACAAAGGGCAGAGAAGAATGATTCAATAGAGCAGGTTTTAAAAGTCAACTTTAAGTTGAATAAATACATATGGTTTTTTGATGTTCAGCTAATAAGATGAATGTGTATGGGTATGAGAAATTCATTAAAAATAGTAGATAAATAAAATAAATGAGGAATATTCAAACCACTATGATGAAACCACAGCTCACATTTATGTCAATTTCTCCTTCATTCATATTCTATAAGCTTGTAATTTTACTGTACGCCCAGTGTTGTATCCTATTTTTTAACCTAAAATTTTATAAGAAATTCCTATGCAATTATATCACATTTACAATTGTTTTTAATAGTGGATAGGTCATTATAGCACCCTCAGTAAATGTGCTGTATCTTAGGAATCATATTTCTACTTTGGAATATTTAAATTACTTTTTATTTTTCCAAAATATTACCATAGAAACATAATTTTATTTTTATTTGTATTATTATTTAATAGAGACAGAGGTCTTTTTATGTTGCCCAGGCTGATCTCAAACTCTTGGGTACAAGCAATTTGTTCTTCCTGCCCCAGCCTCTCAGAGTTCTGAGACTCCAAGAGCCACCATGCATGGCCCACAAACATTTTTAGTTAGAACTTTTAATAAACATATTTTAAATTATTTATTTGACTATATTGCCAGAATATTTCTTAAATTCTTAACACAAACATGAAAATTTCTCTAGGACTTTCCATACAGATTGTATCAACTCACACTATCATAATTTCTGTGTGTATGTGTCCATATTGCCATATCCTTGATGACATTACACTCTTGAGAAATTCTGAAGGTCTAGTTAGGTTTCACTCTGAGAAAAAATGAGAAAGATGTCTCTTAATTTGTAATCAAATCTTGGATAAGCTTATTGCTATAGACTAAATGTGCCTGTCTTTCCAAAATTCATATGTTGAAACCCAATCTCCAATTTGATGGTATTAGGAGTTGGAGTCTCTGAGAGGTGATTAGGTTATGAGAGCGAAGCTTCATGAACAGGATTAGTGCCCTAAGAAGAGAGGCCACTCATTCCTTTCACCTGGTGAGATTATGAACCAGAAAGCCGGTCCTAACCAGACAGGGAATCTGCCAGCACCTTGATGTTGAACTTTCCAGCCTCCAGAATTATGGGAAATAAATGTTATGTTGATTTTATGATATTCCACCTATCATAATTTGTTTCAGCAGCCAAAGAGCCTTAGGCACTAAGATATAGAAAAAATGTAGGTTTTCTGCCATTTAAAGATCCATGAACCATCTATATGGTGGTATCCATTGCAATTTTCACTTTTCAAAGAACTCATTTTCTGATCTTGGCCTAAATAATATCTACTTTATACTGGGATTCATATAATAGATAACTGATATGTACCGTAAGGTCTCAGACTTCTCAGAGTATCTTTGGTTATCTTTAGCAAAACAAAGTTATTTTTCATTGAATAGGAATGAAATGAAGTAATACTGCTCTCATACAGCTTTACCATTTGAAGAATTGTGCCAAAGCTTTAAGTTAAACATGAAGCACCTGTAAGTATCAGGATGACTCTGGACTAACATTGTTTTCCCATCTCTTTCTAATGAGTTGCTGTTCCTCTAAATGTACTCATTAAAACATTTTACAGGAATGTGTAAAACCCGTTCCAGTTTTAGGGTATCTAATTTGGTGGTTAAAAAATTAGAATATGCATTGCACTTCTCTCTGTAAGCAATACACCCTGCAAATCAAAATGAACGCTTTCTAATTTCAACTTGAGATTGAAGAAACTGAAAAAGGAAAATAGACCAAAACAAAAACCCATATAAAACAAAATGGAGGAATCTTATTACGTTCTTTTATTAAATTGTGTACTTAGAAATTTTATTTTTCCAGCATCAATTTAACAAATGTGGGTTTCTTGCCATGAATTTAGCTCTCTCTTACCTCCTCAAGCTTTAAGAATAGACATTAAAGTGCACGATAAGGGCTTCAAGCTGTAATTTCCATTGAGGTTCTTGAAGTCATAAATTGCAAGTGGGAAACTAAAGATGAAATTACAACCTTTCTAATATCCCAACCAGGTATGTTTTATTTTTATACAATGAAGATTTCCACCAAGTCCACCAACATCAAATTTACACACAATTGCCGTTAAAAATAACTCTTCTAGCTTTGTATAAGGAAAAAGGCAAGAACAACTGCTGAGTTTAAAACTATTACCATTTTGAAGAACATTGCTTTAGGCACTGTTTTTAAATATTAAAATAAAAAGTAACAGATTAAAGAAACAGTTTTTCACTTTACCACACATGAGATGGTCTAAGTAGAAGCCTCTTAATTCATTTTGCTTCTTGAGAATCTTTTGTTAATTCCAGTGTAAGATGAAATGGAAAAAAAAGAAAATATGAATGGTTTCAAAGTTTATTTCTTTTATTTATTTATTTATATATATATATATTTATTATACTTTGAGGGTACATGTGCACAACATGCAGGTTTGTTACATATGTATACATGTGCCATGCTGGTGTGCTGCACCCATTAACTCATCGTTTACATTAGGTATATCTCCTAATGCTGTCCCTCCCCCTTCCCCCCACCCTACAACAGACCCCAGTGTGTGATGTTCCCCATCCTGTGTCCATGTGTTCTCATTGTTCAATTCCCACCTGTGAGTGAGAACATGCGGTGTTTGGTTTTTTTGTCCTTGCAATAGTTTGCTGAGAATGATGGTTTCCAGCTTCATCGATGTGCCTACAAAGGACATGAACTCATCATTTTTTACGGCTGCATAGTATTCCATGGTGTATATGTGCCACATTTTCTTAATCCAATCTATCATTGTTGGACATTTGGCTTGGTTCCAAGTCTTTGCTATTGTGAATAGTGCCACAATAAACATACGTGTGCATGTGTCTTTATAGCAGTATGATTTATAGTCCTTTGGGTATATACCCAGTAATGGGATGGCTGGGTCAAATGGTATTTCTAGTTCTAGATCCCTGAGGAATCGCCACACTGACTTTCACAATGGTTGAACTAGTTTACAGTCCCACCAACAGTGTAAAAGTGTTCCTATTTCTCCACATCCTCTTCAGCACCTGTTGTTTCCTGACCTTTTAATGATCGCCATTCTACCTGGTGTGAGATGGTATCTCATTGTGGTTTTGATTTGCATTTCTCTGATGGCCAGTGATGATGAGCATTTTTTCATTTGTCTGTTGGCTGCATAAATGTTTCTTTTGAGAAGTGTCTGTTTATATCCTTTGCCCACTTTTAGATGGGATTGTTTGTTTTTTTATTGTAAATTTGTTTGAGTTCTTTGTAGATTCTGGATATTAGCCTTTTGTCAGATGAGTAGATTGCAAAAATTTTCTCCCATTCTGTAGGTTGCCTGTTCACTTGGATGGTAGTTTCCTTCACTGTGCAGAAGCTCTTTAGTTTAATTAGATCCCGTTTGTCAATTTTGGCTTTTGTTGCCATTGCTTTAGGTGTTTTAGACATGAACTCCTTGCCCATGCCTACGACCTGAAAGGTAATGCCTAGGTTTTCTTCTAGGGTTTTTATGGTTTTAGGTCTAACATTTAAGTCTTTAATCCATCTTGAATTAATTTTTGTATAAGGTGTAAGGAAGGGATCCAGTTTCAGCTTTCTACATATGGCTAGCCAGTTTTCCCAGCACCATTTATTAAAAAGGGAATCTTTTCCCCATTTCTTGTTTTTGTCAAGTTTGTCAAAGACCAGATAGTTGTAGATGTGTGGCATTATTTCTGAGGGCTCTGTTCTGTTCCATTGGTCTATATCTCTGTTTTGGTACAAGTACCATGCTGTTTTGGTTACTATAGCCTTGTAGTATAGTTTGAAGTCAGGTAGGGTGATGCCTCCAGCTTTGTTCTTTTGGCTTAGAATTGACTTGGCAATGCGGGCTCCTTTTTGGTGCCATATGAACTTTAAAGTAGTTTTTTCCAATTCTGTGAAGAAAGTCATTGGTAGCTTGATGGGGATGGCATTGAATCTGTAAATTACCTTGGGCAGTATGGCCATTTTCACGATATTGATTCTTCCTACCCATAAGCATGGAATGTTCTTCCATTTGTTTGTGTCCTCTTTTATTTCATTGAGCAGTGGTTTGTAGTTCTCCTTGAAGAGGTCTTTCACATCCCTTGTAAGTTGGATTCCTAGGTATTTTATTCTCTTTGAAGCAATTGTGAATGGGAGTTCACTCATGATTTGGCTCTCTGTTTGTCTGTTATTGGTGTATAAGAATGCTTGTGATTTTTGTACATTGATTTTGTATCCTGAGACTTTGCTGAAGTTGCTTATCAGCTTAAGGAGATTTTGGGCTGAGACAATGGGGTTTTCTAGATATACAATCATGTCGTCTGCAAACAGGGACAATTTGACTTCCTCTTTTCCTAATTGAATACCTTTTATTCCTTTCTCTTGCCTGATAGCCCTGGCCAGAACTTCCAACACTATGTTGAATAGGAGTGGTGAGAGAGGGCATCCCTGTCTTGTGCCAGTTTTCAAAGGGAATGCTTCCAGTTTTTGCCCATTCAGTGTGATATTGGCTGTGGGTTTGTCATAGATAGCTCTTATTATTTTCAGATACGTCCCATTAATACCTAATTTATTGAGAGTTTTTAGCATGAAGCGTTGTTGAATTTTGTCAAAGGCCTTTTCTGCATGTATTGAGATAATCATGTGGTTTTTGTCATTCATTCTGTTTATATGCTGGATTACATTTATTGATTTGCATATGTTGAACCAGCCTTGCATCCCAGGGATGAAGCCCACTTGATCATGGTGGATAAGCTTTTTGATGTGCTGCTGGATTCGGTTTGCCAGTATTTTTTTGAGGATTTTTGCATCAATGTTCATCCGGGATATTGGTCTAAAATTCTCTTTTTTGTTTTGTCTCTGCCAGGCTTTGGTATCAGGATGATGCTGGCCTCATAAAATGAGTTAGGGAGGATTCCCTCTTTTTCTATTGATTGGCATAGTTTCAGAAGGAATGGTACCAGCTCCTCCTTGTACCTCTGGTAGAATTCAGCTGTGAATCCATATGGTCCTGGACTTTATTTGGTTGGTAAGCTGTTAATTATTGCCTCAATTTCAGAGCCTGTTATTGGTCTATTCAGAGATTCAACTTCTTCCTGGTTTAGTCTTGGGAGGGTGTATGTGTCAAGGAATTTATCCATTTCTTCTAGATTTTCTAGTTTATTTGCATAGTGGTGTTTATAGTATTCTCTGATGGTAGATTGTATTTCTGTGGGATTGGTGGTGATATCCCCTTTATCATTTTTTATTGCATCTATTTGATTCTTTTCTCTTTTCTTCTTTATTGGTCTTGCTAGCGGTCTATCAATTTTGTTGATCTTTTCAAAAAACCAGCTCCTGGATTCATTGATTTTTTGAAGGGTTTTTTGTGTCTCTATCTCCTTCAGTTCTGCTCTGATCTTAGTTATTTCTTGCCTTCTGCTAGGTTTTGAATGTGTTTGTTCTTGCTTCTCTAGTTCTTTAAATTGTGATGTTAGGGTGTCAATTTTAGATCTTTCCTGCTTTCTCTTGTGAGCATTTAGTGCTATAAATTTCCCTCTATACACTGCTTTAAATGTGTCCCAGAGATTCTGGTATGTTGTGTCTTTGTTCTTGTTGGTTTCAAAGAACATCTTTATTTCTACCTTCATTTCGTTATGTACCCAGTAGTCATTCAGGAGCAGGCTGTTCAGTTTCCATGTAGTTGAGTGGTTTTGAGTGAGTTTCTTAATCCTGAGTTCTAGTTTGATTGCACTGTGGTCTGAGAGACAGTTTGTTATAATTTCTTTTCTTTTACATTTGTTGAGGAGTGCTTTACTTCCAACTATGTGGTGTAAAAAATAAATAAATAAATAAAAAGTTCATTTCTTAAAGAAACTTCTTTAAACATTTTATTTTAGGCCTAATATATTATCTACTTCTTAAGGTCATGATTCTTTTAAAATCATGATTGCAGAAAGCCTTTTAAAACACAATATGAATATACTATCAGCCAAGATTTTAGGTTTTATATAATATCCAAACAAGTGTTCTCCAAAACCAGACTACAAAAGGGAGGTTGAAGGTAAAGATACTTCAATCACTCAAGAAGAAATTATAATTACATGTTGGGGACACGTAAGAACAAAGGACACATCATTTTAAAAAATGGAGGCGAACAGGACACTAAGCAACAGCCATTTTCAGGGGACTGGATAGGTGGAGACAGACCCAAAAATAATCATTCTGAAATAGAGCATAATACATGGTATAGAGAAGAAACATACAAAGTTTTCGGTGGATTCATAGGCATTCTCCTAATAAAAACTAAAACATGAATTCACACAAACAGACATTGTTTATATTCCCCAAAAAAGTGGAAACAACCAAAATATCCATCAGTCAGTGAATGGACAAGAACAATGTGATATATCCATACAATGGAGTTCAGTAATAAAAAGAATAGAATATTGACCGATACCTGCTTCTATGTGGATAAACATCAAAAACTTTATATAACTGAAGAAATTCAGTCATAAAATTCCATATATTATGTAAATCAATTTATGTAAAACATCCAGAAAAAGCGAATCTTTAGAGAAATAAAATTGGTGGTTACCTAACGCCTAGTGGCAGGGAGGACTGGAGTAGGGGCTATGTATGTATATAGATATATATATTTTTTGGGAGGGGAGTGGCAGAAATGTTCTTAAATTGAACTGCGATATTGCTTGTGCAGCTCTTTGAAGTCACTAAAAATTAAATTGAACCTTTAACTAGTCAATATTATGATACATAGGTTAAAATCAATAAAATGGAAATAAATTTGGTAAGAGTTCAAAAGAAAGAAAGATTGGTTGTAGTTACAGCAAGTACCCATGGAAGAGAAAGTATCACAGAGATATTTCAAAGCATAGGTATGATTTTATGTGTTGATCATATTTGTGTTTTTACAAATGAACTAAATGTGGCATAAGTAAAAGTCATACTCAAATTTGAATTAAACATCAATATAATAAGAAAAATAAATATCTAATTATAAGAAGTAAAACAAATACAAAGTTGAAAAGTAAGTGTCAGTTACAAAGTTTTGTCTTGTGTATCGGAACCCTCAGCACAACATGAGAAAACCACAGGTTATGTGATGCTCACTGTCTGGGAAGAGCAGGACTTAGTTATGCGACATTCAGAGTTATACAGATTGGAAGGGTGCTGTGTGCGGACATTCAAGCAAGAGCAGAAAAACTAGAATTTATGAATATGAGCAGGTCAGCCAGAGTTTACTGAGCTCATTATGATGTTCTATCCCCCTGCTAAATGCTTTCTATGCCTTATCTCATTTAATCCCCATAACACCCCTATAAGTAGTTATCACATGAACAGTATTTATTATACAAATGAAGCAACTGACATGACACCTGTTTATGCAGCCCCCAAATTCACAAACTAGGTATGTGTGAAAGTTGAGACTTCAACAGGCAAACACTTCAATGCTCATAGAAACACTCATAGCAAATTGGTTTAGCTGCTTCTTTTGGATTTTAATCCAGACACTCTGAAGCTCAGAATTATAATTTGATTTTTGTCAAAGGTTTAATTAGCAGTAGTCCTGCCCTTTGTATGCCACATTTAAATAGTGCTACTAGAGTTCCTTAAGGGCAGTCATTTTTATTAGGATTATTTGTCTTGACCCCCAAATCAAGACAGTAATCTGTCCTTTTCTGGTGCAGAAACATTATAAAAGATGCTATTAGAATTTCTGTATGTGTGTGTGTTTCTTAAACTTTGTGAAGACCAATATTTTAAGACAGGAATAAAATATGACAGATTCAACACAGCTGCTTATCTTGGCTCCTCTAAGAAACTCCCCTAAATGGCAAAAAGTAAATTAATTTTTAAATACATAAACATATAAACCAAAAGAGAATAAAAAATGTGACAACAGCAAATGAGAGACATCAACAATTTTGTGAGGATGGAAATCAGATGTAAGAATGCTCTATGACTTAATAGAGAAGAAGAAATTGAAATCAAAGTTCGTGCAGAAGCATATTGCTTCTTCCTGAAAAATCATGGAAAGGCTGTAAATTTGGAGGACTCAGAACAGTAAATGTAAAAGTGATTCACAGCCCTGAAAACATGGGAATGAGTTCAAAGCTGTGTAAAGACTTATCCCTCAACTCTCCCCACCACACAAAGACTCTTGAAGCTAGGTGGCCACATCTTGCCCCAACTTTGCAGGATTCCAGAAGTTTTTTTTTTTTTTTTTTTTTTTTTTATAGAGAAATAAAACCTGGAGGAATGGGAACTTGGAAATAGCTGGCACAACAAAGCAGAGGTTAGACCAGAAAGAAAGGGGAATTGAATTTTTCAGTAGGCTGAATGATGAGCTACTCCAAACAATGTTTGCTCTCAGTCAGATACTTACAGGCAGATGACTGAAGAACTTTTTTCTGGAAAAATGGAAAGCGCCACCCCCACCCCCCCAAAAAAAGAATGAAAATTTAAAAAAAGTTTGGCATTTGCCAAACTTGTGGGAGATTTGCAAAGAATGCAATTGATAAGTGTATTACCTTGCAAGGAAGTGAAAATGCTTTCACACAAATATCAAACCACCTTTTAGTGAATCTCTCTTAAATATAATGGATAGCTAAAAATCATTAGTCAATTGAAGAAAGCCTGCAAAATGACAGAGATGCAAATAGAAAAAAAAATCAGAAACAACAGAGAAAGTAGAAGAAAGCTTTATAAAAATATATGATCAATGCCCTTAAAAACAGTACTATTCAAATAACTCAGCCCTGTGTGGTGGCTCAGGCCTGTAATCCCAGAACTTTGGGAGGCTGAGGTAGGGCTGCAGAAGGATCACTTGAGCCCAGAGCCAGACCCTGTCTCAAAAATAAATGAATAAACAAAAAAAATTCTTTTTGTGGTCTTTATGAATGAATTGTATCCTTACTAGTGAAAAAAGTTCTCCATAAATAAACTAATACAAAAGGCAGGCACAATAGAAGACAAGTTTGATAATTGAAGGCTCCATGAAGAAAGTCCAGTGTTTCACTAATCGGAACATATTTTAATGCGTCATACAAGTAATTTCCAAGAACTGAATTACACAAGTCTCTAATTTGTAAAGATCCACGAAGTTACCAAGTTTCTAACACAATGAAGAAAGAAGCTTCCTCGTAGAGGTATTATATTGTGAAATGTGAGGATATGAATACTCCTTTTTAAATTGATACTAGCAGCTTCAAGTGTGGGAAAGGATTAGGAATAAGTCTCATAAAAAGTAACACGTTTAAGAACGGCATCCAATTACTCAAGAAAAAGACTGGAAGCCAGAAGGTAGTAATTGAATTCCTTTAAAATTCAGTGGGGAGATAATATACCTGGCTAACCTGTGAATAAATTATGTTAACATCAAAACATTTTCAGACATAAAGCATTTTTTAAAGTTTTACTCCAATGTGTCCTTTCTTAGAAAGTTTCTGGAGGTTCTGATTCTGCAAAGTGAAATCACACTAAGAAACGAGAAGAGAAATTATCCAGGGAACAACATCCAACACAGGAGATTGCTGATTGAGAACAACCAGGAGAACAAATGTGTACTTCAACCAGCAAGCAACCAGGATACATTGGAGCAGTAGGCTCAGAAATGATCAATATATAAATCAAGTTATATACATGTTCTCCTACTGATATCAAATCTCAGATATTACACCTTAATCCCAAATAGAAAAATTAATTGTTTCAAATTTTTTAAAAGAAAATGGTTAATTATAGAGGATGTGGCATAAATTTCCCTGCAATTTATTATTATTTGTTCCTCTAATCTCGTAAGAAATATCTGCTCGATATCAAGAGTGAATTTCAGGCTTTTATGATGTTGATGCTAAAAATTTAGATACAAATATAGATCTTTTATATTACCAATTTTATACTATTATTACTAAAATGCATTATTTTGTATTTGGTATCATCATATAGTGACATTTAATAACTGTTGAAGATGTGTAGAGATAATGGTTTTGGTGGTATATGTGATAAATTGATTTAATGTTTGTTTTGCTGAAAAAAGTAAGAAGTACTTTAAAAAACTGAAGAGAAGCTTTTTACTCCTTTTATATATTTTCCCTGAAACTTTTAGCCACCACAGTCATCAACCATTGATCATTTTGCAGACACACACACACACACACACACACACACACACACACACACACACACACACAATGTCAGTTACAGGTGAAAGCATAAGACGAAGACAAAAATGTCACTTCTTTCCATTATTTGTACTACAAAAATCTGATGATATGCTTGATACTTTTCTGTGTGCTTGTGTGTTGAGTTTTAGTTAAGGCATTTGTGACATTAACTTGTTACTGATGAAGTAAAAACTTCTACTAAATATTGGAGATAATATATACTATATTTATTTGAGGGAGAAATAGGTCATGGTTATACATAAGATAAAAAAGAAACCTTCCTCACTGTTCTTTTATGTATAGACATATATCTGTGCATCTTAATTGAGTGTCAGGTGCTAAGAAAATGTTAATTCCTCAGAAAATATTAAGGATTCAGCTAATCAGCCAATTTTAAAACAGTAAGATCATTACCTTAAACTATTATAGTATTAGTAAGTAATAATAATAATAATAATAACACAAAGGTTTTCATTTAAGATTTATTAAGTATCAAGGATTATCTTAGGTCTTTAAATGCATTAATGCTTTATAGCCTAAGGAATTGCTACTATTATATATGAGAAAACAGCACACAGATAGTAAATTCCAGAGTTGGGATTTTTATCTGATACACAAAATACTGAAGTATCTAAATGACATATTCATATAGTAAGAGTGTTTTTGTTCTAAATAATAGACATTGCAAATAAAGTTATATTTCTAAGGTATAGGTTTCTCATCAAATTGAAACTTTAAAGAGAGACATTGTCCTTTTATCAGGGATCATAAAAACGTTCTTTTCCTGATGAGGAGTTCTCTCTCTGTTTCATGTCAGCTACTTAAAGATATTAAAATAAAAGAAACATATTTTTTATTAAAGGCAAATTCATGCACCTGCTAACCAATATTTTATTTCAAAGGGAAAATTGTTATTTTATTCTGTTTGTATTGTCTCAGAAAGCAAACACAAATATTGTTACAACATCTGTGTTTCTATTTGTTTTTAGCTTTTTAGTAAATACTGTAAAATGAGTGCAGTAGCTGGATTTATATCTCCAAAGAGTAGTAAACAGGAGACAATTAAAGGGTAATTATTTCCACCTGCTGAACTTCATTTTGAGGCGACTTGATTAATTAACAGCAAAAATCTATCATCATTAGACCCAGAATCTTTTATTTTCTTTCTCAAAACACCAAAATACTATTAACATTAGTTTGGAACAGGGTCTTCTGTCCATTTTCTGGGTCATTGCTCCCAAACTCATTACCCATATAATTGGAAAATATGACTACTGATGATCAATGTGAAAACACGTTTTGTCTCGTAAAATTAGTAATGATTTTGTAAAATGGAAAAATGTACTTGAGAAAAAAGAGGAACCTAGTATTCTGGATTATTATACTGAATGATTCAGTCATTACTCATTCAAGAGAGGAAATATTTTTATTCTAATCAAATATATTTTTATATTTTTTAAAGAAAATATTGTTATATACTGAGAGATCTGCTTGTGTCCTGCATGGGTTTTAAATCTTGCTTCTTTAATACAAAAATTATACATGGCTATGTTTTAGGTCAATTATATCTAGATTTCTCCTGATTTAAAATTGTGTAGAAATAAGTAGCTCTGATCCTTGGCTCTTTTTCTCTCCTCTCAGATTATATATTGCAATACTGTGTGAACTTTCTAATCAAAGCATACTACTGGGGCATTTCCCATTTTTAATCTTCATTATATGTGTAAGGCAATAAAGAAAGGCCAGCATGGCAGTTGAAGAGCAGCGAAAATGCAAAGGATTGTTTTCTTCTTAAAAAATTCATGATCATGCTGGCAGAACAACCCAACAATGAGCGTTAGAAAATTTTGTAAATTTCGTAAATCCATATTGACAAGTTCAATCTTGCAAATGCTATGTGAATCATGCTCAAAAACTTCATTCTGCTTTTCATCTCTTTTGTAAAAGTAGAAAGTGTGCTGCAAATAAGCATTTACACTTCTGAAAGCTTAATTTTCTCACTTTTGAATTCACAGCATTACATTTGCCTTTGTCATTATGAGTACTGGTTTGGGGAGAGGAGGCACAGATCTCTCCAATTCTTCTTACGATTTGGTTGCTATATTTTATTAGAAATCATGCTCTGCTTGTTGTAAGTATGTCATTGTGGGATGTATTTAGCTAGTCTCCTTCCAGGACAGCAGCTGGGAGACTGAGAGGAGGTAATCCACAGTTAGGGTGTGTTTCTGCTGCAACCTCAACCAAGATCATCATGTGAATGACATGAGCCAGTTTTTCAAATGAATTAAAAATATAAATAAGTCCAGTTTATATGTAGATGAGTTCCTCTCCTTCATGATCTCTTTCCTGTGAAGTTACTCATCCACCCTACCCTCATTTTTTTTTTTAATTTGAAGGTGACACTTTTATATCATCTCCTGGTAACATCATATTTTTCTTCACTTTCTCTTTAATGAGGAATGCTTAGGAATAAGTGAATATTTACATGTAATGTGATTATCCCTCCACAAAGGAGGTTATAACATTGTTATCTATATAAGAATCTACATATATAGGTATTAAAAGTTACAGCTTAAAAAGAAATGCACAAATGATTAGATATTGCTAGATTTCACAGGTCTATGGTTAGCAACCTCACTTGAAGCTTCCAAACAATTCCTAAACCAAAAATAATTAGTAATTAATTTATTTTAGTCAATAACTTTTCAAGCCAGGTCTATCTGAAATTATAGTCTTTCCTCCTTCAGTTGCTTGTCTCAGTTATTATTCTCACTCCCAAAAGAAAGCATGCTGATTTCTTTTAATGACATCATATTAAGACTTCATAATTTTAATTTATTTTCTATGAAGTAGAAGGAGAAGAAGAACAAAGAGGAAGAAAGAGAGAGAGAAAGAGGAAAGGGAAGCCTGTAGGTACTTTGTAAGCGATATGATCTTTAGTGTTTAAGCATATGGGATTTGAATTATCAAGAAATCTGAATTATCAACTACCTGGGTTCAAATCCAAGTGCTGCCAATTTAGGAGTCCTGAGTTTGGGAAAATTACCTATCTTAGTTTGTGGCTCAATTTCCTACATGAGTTAATTACCCACATTTTGATTTTTCTCTTATACGACTTAATACCGTTCGAATTTCTTAGCATAGGGTCTTGCATATGATAAACTCTTAGATATTCTTAACAATTAAATAATAACTCCGTGGTCTTAAAACTAACTTTGGTCAGGTTTAAATCTAAACAGAACTCAATTTGAGATGCTGCTTATTCCATAAGAACACAAGCCGCCTGGCCAACATGGTGAAACCCCGTTCCTACTAAAAATACAAAAATTAGCCAGGCATGGTGGTGGGTGCCTGTAGTTCCAGCTACTTGGGAGGCTGAGGCGGGAGAATCACTTGAACCTGGGAGGCGGAGGTTGCAGTGAGCCAAGATCGCACCATTGCACCCTAGCCTGGGCAACAGAGCGAGACTCTGTCTCAAAAAAAAAAAAAAATGCAAGCCAATGCTATTAATGCACTTTGTTATCCTGGAATTTGGACTAAAAACTAGGCAATTTTAATTTAGGGAGTCCAATTTTAAACTCATAACTTACTGTAAAATTCAGTTCTTGAGGTTCCTTGATGACACATCTGGAAAAAATGGAATTCTTTGGCACAGAAAAAATTTTACATATGGTAATGTCTGATTTGTGATACTGTTGTTTGGCCTCACAGTTGATCCCGTGATAGAACAATCCAGATGTTGCAGTAAGCCATATGGCCAACATGGTCTTGCTAATGTATGTAGTAATGGATCAGCTCTTGGTGATGTTATCAATAACCAGATCAGAAGAGTGATGCAATGCAGATGGCGTATCATATTATGTGTTTATAGTATAAAAATGACTCCAGATCATGTATGCATGGCAGTTTTGTTCTATGGCCTTTCCATTATTGTTTAACAAGGTCTGAGTTACGAATAAGTGTAAATAACTTAAGAAGAAGTAATCTATATCCACCAGCAGCACCTGCCTGTGAGACTAAAATCTGAATCTGACCAATGAAACATTTTCAACAGAAAAATGCCAGCAGGATTTTAAGGGTAGGTAAAACAAGCATCACTGGAGAGGAAGATTTGCCTTTTCAATTTCCTACTTCAAAGTCTAGCCTTGCCACTAACTGTGTGAACCTGGGAAAGTTACTTAAATTCTCCATGTTTCAGTTTTCTAATCTGTAAAAAAGGAAAGATGTTAATACCCTCTCAAAGAGGTATTGTGAGATTTGAAGGAGTCCATGCATGAAAGCCACATACAATAGTGCCCGACACATGATAAACTCAAAATTGAAAACCTGAGCAGATATAAAAAACATATGAAGTATATAGAGATTAGGAAGAAAGGATACTCAAGATCTATCCCCAGTATGTATCAAGTAGTTGGCATAGTATCTTATCTAACCTTATTTCCCAGTCCCAAATTATGACCCCATTATAACTTTACTTCCTCCATAAAAAATATTTTAATTTTAATTTTATGATTATATTGTATGAAGACAAATATGTTAATATATATAAAACATGATTTCACCTAAATATTTAGGTTTGCTTTCTCCTGATTTTAAAAGAAATTACAATATTTTCACTGGTTCCTGAAATTCTGACGAGCCCGAGCCACTGTGGCTAATGGAGAAGCTGCCCTGCATCAAAGACCATTATTTCCATTTAACTTGAAAATCAGAAGGGTTAAGAAACTTAATGCATATTTACAAATTTAACATGTGGCCAAACAAGGACATAAATTCAAGTTTAACTCTGGAGGGCATGCTCTTCCCTTTTCATCTCGGTGCTTCTGCAGGGGAAATCCATCTGAAATGCACCAGGTTTTCCTTTGCCACTACCCCTCATCACACTCCCCGGGCCATCTTCTCCAGCTCAGCTTTCTCTTGCTGGTATTTCTCTTGCTAGGTCTGATCTCTTCCCTTAACATATCCAGAAAGTCCCTCTTTCTTCCAGTATTCAAATATTATTTATTCCCTTCTAGTTAGTAACCACATTAAAAGCAATCAAACAGGCTACATTTCAGGAAGGTATTAATGACCAATAATGGCATAGGCGCCCCCTTCAAGAATATTCCTATTTTAGTCAAAGAATCCTGAAGTTGAAAGTCTTTCATGTGAAAGATTGCCTTGATAATTGATTTTATTTGCTACAGCTGCAGTAACAAAGCACCACAAATTGGGTGGCTTAAAAAACAAAAATGGATTATCTCACAGATCTGGAGGCTAGATGCTCAAATTCAAAACATTGGCAGAATATGCTGAGGGCTGTTGAAGGAAGGATCTGTTATAGTCTTCTTTTCTTGGCTTATAAATCTGTCTTTTCTATTTTCTCTGGGTCTCTGCACATTGTTTTCCTTCTATGTGTGTTAGTACAAATTTCCCTTATTTATAAGGGGAAGTCATATTGGATTGGAGCCCACCTTAATGACCTCTTATTAACTTGATTACATCTGTGAAGACCCTACTTCCACCTAATGGTAATTTATGAGGTAATGGGGGTTAGGATGTCAACATATGAATTTGGGGTGATACATCTTAATCCATAATAGTAATATTATAGATTGAAATATAATAAAATACCAATTGTGGAGAACTTTTTGAGTAGAATATATTTGTTCAACTTCCCTGATAACATCTATTAATAACAAAGAAAAAAGTCCCATCAATTTCATCATGGGCAATGCCTGCATTCAGAACCAATACCTTCCTTTTCTAGTATGCCACCAAATACCCTTTGCTGACTTTCTATTCCACCCTATTCACCTCTAACCACCTTTCTGTTCTGCCCTTTGTAAATGAATACAAGCATATTAATATTATGAGATGAAGGACTATAATGCATCTAAACCAGGATTTCACAACTTTGGCTCTACTAGCATTTGAGGCCAGATAAATTTTTGTTGTCAGGGGATAGGCCATCATGGTAGGACATTCAGCCTCATCCTTAGCTTCTGCTGATGAGATGCTAATAGGGTCCCCTTCTCACAAGATAGGATAACCCAAAGTGTCTCTAGACATTATCAAATGCCCTTGGGCTGCATGGGAACGTTGGGGCAAAATCACCTCCAGTTGAAGATGACTTCTATGAACAAATGTAATTGAAAATCTTAGGCCAACAAGGTAGTAACAGTTACTTTATAGAAGCTTTATATTAGGATAATCCCCAAAGAAGTTTAATATCTTTTAGAACAAGTCTATAATCTTTTTCCTTTAAGACAAAGTAGGAGCTAAAAGAGGTTGAGCACCAACACCTACTAATAAAAACTTTATGGTACTTGAACAATAATGCTGACTGAACTTAATGGTTAATAAAACAGAATTGTGTCTTTCCCCCACTCCTTAGACTGGGAGCTGAATGATTTGCCCCTTTTCATGCCTATGATCTTTTAGAAACTATGCATGCTTATAACACTGATAAAGCCAATTTATTGTGATGTGTTTATTTTACCATAATTAGTAAATAACAATTATTTTCTGAATATTTTGTGTGAAATGTCAAGGAGAGAGTTCCATTTTAGAAGTCAAAATAAAGTCTCTTACTTCTATCCCTAGCCTGTTGTTTTACATCATTCCTGCTTCTGTAACAAAATACTTTATTCTGTGTAATTTATAAACAACACAAATTTATTTGTCACAATTCTGGATACTGGGAAGTTCAAGATCTAGGCACCAGCAAATTTGGTATCTGGCAAAGCCTGCTCTCTGCTTCCAGGATGGTGCTTTCTCACTGTATCCTTACATGGCAGAAGAAATGGAAGGGAGTAAGGGGCTTGGGGGTCTCTCCTCAACCTCTTTCTAAGCTTGTTAATATCATTCATGAGGGTTCCACCTAATATGGTTTGGCTGTGTCCCCATCCAAAACTCATCTGGAATTGTAGCTCCCATAATTCCTACGTGTTGTGGGAGGGACCCAGTGGGAGATAATTGAATCATGGGGGCAGTTTCGTTACTGTTCTCAGGGTAGTGAATAAGCCGCATGAGATCTGATGATTTTATAGGGGGTTTCTCCTTTCACTTGGCTCTCATTCTCTCTTGTCTGCTGCCATGTAAGATGTGCCTTTTGCCTTCTGCCATGATTGTGAGGCCTCCCCAGCCACATGGAACTATGAGTTCACTAAACCTCTTTTTCTTCATAAATTACCCAGGTATGTCTTTCTCAGCAGCAAGAAAATTGATTAATAAACACTCCTTATGACTTAATCACCTTTCAAAGGCCCAATATCTTGACATATTGGGAATTAAGTTTGAACATGAATTTTGAAGGGAACACAAAAATTCAAACCATAGCATTCCACACCAGCCCCCTAAAATTCATGTTCTTCTCACACAAAGAATAGCTTCATTTCATCCCATAGCCCCAAAAGTCTTAACTGTTCTCGCATTAACTTTAAAACCTAAGCCCCAAAGTCTCATCTAAATATCATCTAAATAAGATATGGGTGACACTCAGGGTACAGTCATTGAAGTAAATTAGTCTTCATTTGTGGACCTATGAAAATAAGCAAGTTATGTGCTTCCAAAATACAATAGTTGTACAAGCACAGGATAGATATTCCCCTTCCAAAAAAGAGAAAATAGAAAAGAAGAAAGGGATAATAGGTCCTGGAGTAATCCAAAACCCAAAGAGGCCAACATTAAATCTAAGGCTTGAGAATAATCTTCTTTGACTTTATTCCCTGCCTTCTAGACATACTAAGACAATGTTGGGCCCCAAAGGCCCCAAGAAGCTCTGTCCCATGACGATGCTGGGTGCAGCCTTCATGCATTGGAGTTAGGTACCTGCATCTCTCTCTGGCTGCTGTTGCACTCTAATGGCTGCCCCAGTCTGGGGTCTCTGGGGTGGCCCTGCCTCCATGGCTCCACTCAGCATTGCCCTAATGGGGACTCTGTGCAGCAATCCTGCCTTTGTGGTACTTCTCTCTCTGGGGCCCAAGGCTCTCTGAGGCATCCTTCGAAATCCAGATGGAGTCAGCTGTACTTCTACAGCTCAGGCATTCTATGTGCCTGCACAGTTAACACCATGTGGCCACTGCCAAAGTTTACCCCAGTACCCTTTGGCACAGTGGCCTGAGCCACACTTGGGCCTGGTCAAAACACAGCTAGAAAGGACAAAGAGCACTGTACCAGAATTCAGGAAGCAGAGATGTGTGGCAGCACTGGGCAGTGAACCAGTGAACCCCAAGGTCCCAGGGGTGCCCTGGGTCCCTCCTTGAAACTGTTTTGTCCTCAGGCTCCTGACACTCTGGTCCCGTGATGAAAGTGGCAGTCTTGAAGATCTCTGAAATGACTGAGGTCATTCTTTCATTGTCTTGTGAACAGTATCTGGCTTCTTATACCCATGCTAATCTCCTTATCAAATGCTTATTTTGCCAGTTTCTTGGCATTCTCTCTTGACCATGCCTTTTTATTTATTATTATTATTATTATCATTATTTGAGACGGAGTCTCACTCTGTTGCCCAGGATGGAGTGCAGTGGTGCGATCTCGGCTCACTGCAAGCTCGTCTCCCGGGTTCAAGCAATTCTCCTGCCTCAGCCTCCCAAGTAGCTGGGACTACAGGTGCCCGCCACCACACAGCTAATTTTTTGTATTTTTCAGTAGAGACAGGGTTTCACCATATTAGCCAGGATGGTCTTGATCTCCTGACATCGTGATCCGCCTGCCTTGGCCTCCCAAAGTGCTGGGATTACAGGTGTGAGCCACCGCGCCCAGCTGGCCGCCTTTTTATTCTTTACAAGCATAGCCAGCCTAAGAATTTTTGAAATCTCCGAGTTCTGCTTCTCTTCTAATTATAAACTTCATTGTTAATTTGTTAGTCTCTTCTTGCATTTTAGTATAAGCAATCAAGAGATGCCACACTACACCCTCAACACCTTGCTTAGATGTTTTTTGCAACAAATATCCTACTTCATCGCTCTTAAGTTCTGTCTTCCACAAAACATGGGACAAAGACACAATTCATTCAAATTGGCCTTTTCTCCATTTTCCATTTTTTATTCCTAATTTTCCTCTGAGACTTTATCAAAATTGTCTTCACTGTCTATACTTTCACCAACATTTTGATCTCAATCACTTAGACTGTCTTTAAAGAAAGTTCAGGGCAGGGCGCCGTGGCTCACGCCTGTAATCCCAACACTTTGAGAGGCCGAGGTGGGCGGATCATAAGGTCAGAAGATGGAGACCATCCTGGCTAACACAGTGAAACCCCATCTCTACTAAAAACACAAAAGAAGTTAGCCGGGCATGGTGGCATGCACCTGTAGTCCCAGCTACTCAGGAGTCTGAGGCAGGGGAATCGGTTGAACCCGGGAGGAGGAGGTTGCAGTGAGCCGAGGTCCTGCCACTGTACTCTAGCCTGGGTGACAGAGTGAGAATTTGTCTCAAAAAGAAAAAAAAAAAAAAGAAAGTTCAGACTGTACCTACAGTTCTCCTTTTCTTCTGCATCCACACCAGAAATGCTCTTAACATTCCATTCATGGCAATATAGGTTTTTTTATTTTTTTGAGTTGGAGTCTTGGTCTGTTGCCCAGGCTGGAGTGCAGTGGCACAATCTTGACTCCCTGCAACCTCAATATAGACTTCTTTAGCATTCACTTCTGAACTCTTTCAACCTTCACCCATAGTTCTAAAGCTGCTTCTATATTTTTAGGTATTTGTTGTAGCAATACCTCACTTCTCTGTACCAATTTCTATTTTAGTCTTTCCTGCTGCTATTAAAATATAGACTGGGTAATTTATAAATAACACAAATTTATTTCTCAGAGTTCTGGAGGCTGAGATGTCCAAGATTTTGATATCAGCAGATCTGGTGTCAGGTGAGGACACAGTCTTCGCTTACAAAAAGTTACCTTGAATATTGTGTCCTCGCATAGTAGAAAGGGGGAAATGGCCTAGGATGCACCTTCCAGTTTCTTTTATAAGGTTTCTAATCCCATTTATGAGGGCTTCATTTTTATGATTGAGTCACCTCTTAATATTGTTGCAATGGGAATTTTCAACGTGAATTTTGAAGGATACACAAACATTCAAACCACAGCACCTGTCACTATTCATGCTATACGTTTATGTTTGCTTGCTTTCGTTCATGGGTTCATTCATTGATTATTTCACTCAGTCTTTATTCATTAAATTTTGATGAGTATCTGTTGAATATAAGATGTTAGGCCATACATTGTAGGAGTAAAATTATTATAGATTAATAGATACATGTGATGAGTGTTATTATTGAGGAAAACACAAGATACAGAGGAAACAGAACTTGGCAAGTAAAACAAAATTTGCCACAGTAATTGGTTCAGAAGAGGAAATCTAGTCTAGGCTTATCTAATACAAATGTAAGTCAAGATTTTTGTTCTGTGATTTGGAAAAGAAAAAAATGTCCCTCTTCGACATGAATAAGAATTTCAGTAGCCTTGGTGGTTGCTGGCTGTTGACTCACAACCACAGAGAGAATCTGCCTTTGGTCGAGGAAGCAGAATCGCAGAGCAGAGAGATGAAAGGAAGCTTAATAATGCTACTTTATAGCATCATTAAGTAACCAGATAAACTTTTTTAAAAAAAATCTCAAAATATTACTATTTTCTTATACTGTGTCAATTATTTCTCTCTTTTAAGGAAATCATTTGTGTAGAGTGTTTACAGTTTACTGCTAAAAACATTCTATCCAATTTAATTCCTCCTTAGATGAAGACACCAACAAGGAAGTAGAAATATTGTGTTGTGTTATTTGTTTTGTTTTTTTCTGCTTTCAGTTTCTCTAGGCTCTTTATTTTATGTAGGTTAAACATCTCTCCTTGGTTAATGTGAAGAATGGAAAGTTTATATATGCCCCTTAGGGGACAAACTCCATTTATGTGCTGTGGGTAAAGCTAATTCTATGACTTCTGTCTAGTTGTGTCTTATTTGTACCAAACAAAGGTATAGCTTTATGCTGGCCTGAGGGCCTCTAATAAGCATCATGTTGATGGTCCAATCATTCTAATCCACACCTCACATTTCCATAACCATTACATAACCATAACCATGGTTACATTCCATAACCATAACACTTACATCTCTGTCTCACATCTCAGACTCCTGAGGAATAGTTTTGAATGTTGGTCTTTTTTTTTGGGAGCTGAGAAATAGAAATAGTCTTAGAAAATAAAATGTATAATTTTAGGCCTGGAAAACATTGTTTATTACAGAATAAAATGTGGACACTTCAAGCCTTTGAAGAAATTATGATAAAAATAAAAGGACTCCTACTTTTCCTGTATGTGTGACCTGTTCTACAATAGCCATGGAACTGACTTGGGTCCAAGTGGGACACAGTGGACCCTGCAAGCTTCTCAGATGCTCCACCCTCATCTGTGCTCTAGTCTGTCAATTCATTTTGGGAAGTGCAAAAATTTACTCATCTATTCTTTCAACCAGCCTGAAGAACTACTGCCCAAACATTTCTATAACACTCCCTCTATATCAATTTCCAGATTAGCAAACTCTGCCGATGGTTTGTTTTGATCAAATGCATCACTGTAGAAGACTGCATTTGACAGAGAAAAGTGTGACTTATAAATTTCTGAAAGTTGTCATCTTTTCTGTTGATGGTATTTATTCACAAATGCAAATGTTGGAAAAACCAATTCTTGGGATTTGTCTTTACAGTCTATCTCTTATCTATCTATCTATCTATCTACCTATCTACCTATCAATTTATTTATCTAAATTTATTTTTTATTATACTTTAAGTTCTGGGATACATGTGCAGAATGTGCAGTTTTGTTACATAGGTATACACATGCCATGGTAGTTTGCTGCACCCATCAACCCGTCATCTACGTTAGGTATTTGTCCTAATGCTATCCCTCCCGTAGCCCCCAACCCCCGCAAAAGGCCCCGGTGTGTGATGTTCCCCTCACTGTCTTCATGTGTCTCATTGTTCAAGTTCCACTTATGAGTGAGAACACGCAGTGTTTGGTTTTCTGTTCCTGTGTTAGTTTGCTGAGAAAAAGGCCTTCAGTAAAATTCAACACCCCTTCATGCTAAAAACTCTCAATAAACTAGGTATTGATGGAACGTATCTAAAAATAATAAGAGCTATTTATGACAAACCCACAGCCAATATCATACTGAATGGGCAAAAACTGGAAGCATTCCCTTTGAAAATCAGTACAAGATAAAGATGCCCTCTCTTACCACTCCTATTCAACATAGTATTGGAAGTTCTGGCCAGGACAATCAGGCAAGAGAAAGGAATGAAGGGTATTCAAATGGGAAGAGAGGAAGTCAAATTGTCTCTGTTTGCAGATGACATTATTCTATATTTAGAAAGCCCTATCATCTCAGCCCAAAATCTCCTTAAGCTGATAAGCAACTTCAGCAAATTCTCAGTATACAAAACCTATTTATCTAAATTTCTAAAGAAACTCCATCCCCTCAGTCTTTGCTTTGTTCACATAACATGTACATATTAGAAATCTCTCTAAGTCAATTTCAATAGATCGAATTTGTTCTCTTGATGGGTGCATTCGATGGTGTGACTGGGCCTAATATTTATAACCATTAGCCTACTAATGAACATTACTATTGTTTCAAGGATTGATGGTACAAACATGATGTTGATAAACATCCTTATATGCAAATCCTTACATTTTGTTGATTTTTATTTTTCTTGGGTCTAAATTGATTCATTGATGGGTATATTATTTTATTTGTTATGTACATACTAAAATAAATACTGACAGATTACATTTCAAGAAGTTTGTAACAATTTATATTTTCACTAGCCAGCAATATATTTTGTTATTTTTTTTAATTTCAGTCAAACTGATAGGTGTAAATGAATATAGTGTGATTACTCTAAGTTGCATTTCTCTGATTTGGGGAAGGGAAGGCATGTTCAGCAAAAGTTTTATATCTTTGCTTATTAGCATTTAAAATCTTGTACACAACATCCTCTTGTTTCTCCTCAATGTAGATTTATCTTATCCATATAGATACTTTTTTGTTCTTTGTATTTCTTAAATTACAAAAAAGCATTTAACATGCAGTATGCTATATATAATTTTCTATAACTTTTTTCTTTAATATTTTAATAAAAATTTAATAAAGTATAGCCTATGAATGTAAATTCATTTGTTTTTTATTGTTGTAAAACATTTCACTGTAGTCATATATCAGACTTTAAAAAAGATGCCTCTAATATTTACTCTTTTAAGATAACCTTTGGTTTAGGTTTTCCATGCATACCCTTAATAGAAAAGAAAGTTTAATTCTAGTTGTAAATCAATATGTAAATGTTAATATTAATTTATTTAGAATTTTATCAGTTCTTCAAGTATTAAATAATGTATTTTTAATCTAAGAATTTACATATTATATATTTATGGATTATTTTATCATTAAACCATTTGTAGTCCCCTTTGTTAAATCTCCTTTGGTTAAAACATAATTTGGTTGCATAAGCATTGTATTTATATTTTTAAAATATTTGTTATGAATTTTCATCATTTAATTAATGAAATGGAACTATGATTTTCCTTTCATGCAGTATCTTTGACTATTTTTGTTATACAGATTATGTTGATCTTATCAAATGAGTTGGAAAATTGTATTTTTCAAAGTTCAATGAGAAAAACAGATATTTAACTATTTTAAGCAGAGAGATATTTAACTTAGAAACTTGGTCTCAAAAGATTGGTAAAACTGGAGTAACAAAAACTGAAGGGTGACACTGGGAAATATTTAAAAGTAAGAATTTGAAATTAATTAGCCATCATCACAAAGCTTCTGTCATCTGTGAGCTTAGGCCTTCAAACACAAACACATTTAATGTTCATAATACTGGAGTAGTTAAGATTGCTATTGACAGCCGTTATCTTCATTTCCCAAGAGTAATTCAGGAACCCACATACCTGCTACAGCTGCTAAAATAATTACAGATACTTCTGGCAACAAACAGTTGCCCACAGTTTATTTGGGAGCCCACAGTTACATACGTCTGTTGCCATGGAAGGTGTTTTCAAAAGCATTCTGATATCCAGGAGTGTCTCCCATTGGCAGAACCTAAGCACATCGTTGGCAACAAGGAAGCTTGAGAAATGTAGCTTGCAGTTATCCAGCCCCAGTGACTGAGAACTAAAATAAAGCTGACTAGCAAGCAATCAAGTAACTGGCACTGAGTGTATTTCCTCTGTTTCTGTTCTCTGAAATAGTTTTTATAGGTTTGGAAGGATCTGTTCCTTGGAAATCTTTCTTGTTCTGATGTCTTCATTGTTGAAATAATTTTAACTACTTTCATATCTTTACTAGTTTTAGGGCTCTGCTGATTTCATCTAAATTTTTTAAATTGTTAAACTAGACCTGTGATGGTATTCTTTCCACATTTTAATGACTGCTTTTGTTCTTGCCATGTCCTTTTTTTCAATTGTAATATTTATTTGTGCCTATTACACTTTTTTCCTTGGTCAGTATAATCAGATATGATCTATTTTCATCAGTTTTTCAAATAACTAACATTTGCCTTCATTCATTTCCTCTTCTGTGCTTTTATATTGTTTGTGTTGTCTATTTAATCTTCATGACTACATTATCTTGTTGTTGTTTAGCACATTAAAATTGTTGTATTATCTTTTCATGTTAATTCAATATTTTATTAGAAAATAAGGTTGCTGAAATTTGTCACATGCTTATTGTAAGCATCTCTTCTTCTAACAATGGGCACTTTTTTCTTATAATGATGTGACTTGCTATGTTAATATAATCTCAGTATTAAACCATCCTTGCATTTTTGGAATAAATTTACAACTTGATTATTTTATTTATTATTTAACATATGGCTGTAGTCACTATGCCAGGTTGTTACTTAAAATTTCTTCAAATTATCAGTGTGTTGTCTCTTTTGTTCTGCATTAGATATTCATATAAAGATCATGTTTGATGCATAAATAAAGTGTGGCAAACTTTCTGGGATTCCATTTTTTACAAAGTTTAAATAGCACCAAAATTATCTGATGGGTCTTCAGAATGTGAAATCACCATTTGTGTCTTTTTCGATGTTAGCAATTCGATTGCTTTTTTTATAGTTTTCATTATAGTTAATGTATTCAATATACTCATATTCTTGAGCTTGTTCTATTAATTTCTATTTACCTCAAATATTAACTGCTTCAATAACATAAGTTTTCAAATATATTTTCATAGAGTCACATATAAATTCTCATGTCATAAAAGTCTTCTATATCTGTGATTATGTATCATTTCCCTTCCATAATTTTTAAAAATTATTTTTTACATCATTTTATTGTTAATTACAAAAAGTGAATTATTTTATCAATATTTTGAAATAACTGCATTTTAGACTTATTTAATATTGCTACCATTTTTCATGTTTTAAGATTTTTATGTTATTTCCTTTTATTCTTTTTGTTCTATTACCAATATCGGTCACCTTAATTTCCTTTTATTATATTTATTTTCTTAAGATAAAAATTAATATTCTTTATCTTAAAACTCCCTTTTTCAATAGTGATGGCAATTAAGGCTATACAATTTTCTTTAATTACAGCCTTTACTACGTTCCATCGGTTATTTGAGAAGAGTATTCTTTCCATTAATTTTTAATAGTTGTTAATGTAAATTTAAATTCTCTTTTAATCCAGTGATTTTATAGCTACATCTTACTTAGTTTTGAAGTAGTTAGGAGTTTCAGCAAACTTTTCTCATTTTATTGTTATTTATTTGGAAGAAGTTATTGTAAAATTTCTGCGTTAAATTATTTTATTTTCTGTTTAGTCTGTTAAGATTTTCTTTCTGAGTAAATTCTAACTTTTTAAAATAAGTTTCTGGATAATGTTATGCAGTTTCTTCTACTTCTTGCCATTTTTTTCTCAGTAAATAATATGAAATTACTAGTTTTATATTTTTATCAATTTCATTACTTATTTCTCATAGTTTTGCTTCAGATAGTAAGCTGGTATTTTAACTATTTGGTACTAGGCTTAGTACCTGGGTGAAAAAATAATCTGCATAACAAATGCTCATGGCATGAGTTTATCTATGTAAGAAGCCAAAACATGTATGCCTGAACCTAAACTCAAAGTTAAAAAAAAAAAAAGAAGCTAGTATTTTGTTCAATGAGGACAAATTTATTGTTTTATTTTTATCCTAAAATGTGCCTTATATAATTATACAATGCTGTCATTTATCCTATTTAGCACTTTAAATTTAAATCTGACCTTATCTGGTATTAAGAGATAATTGGTTAGGGTGGGATGTATGTAGGACTGCCAACCACTGGCTGACCTTTCCAGAATAACTCGCATGGTTATCATTTTATATGACAAATCATTAAGATTGTGGCTTTAGGGTATGGAGCTTATAAGATGCTCAGAGATCTTTAATAGTTATTGCCAAAGCCATGTCTTAGTCACATTTCCTCTATTTCTCACCATTTATTTTCATCCAGCACATTTAAGTTCAAAGTCAATTGTATCTATTTTTTAGTTTGATAATTAGTAGATGCAAAATATATATGACATGGTCAGTGAAAATATTCACCTGAGGCCAGAGATCTATTTGGAAAATGACTAGGTATTAATAAATGGAAACCCACTCTTGGAATACTAAGCCCTTTCTCTTCCTAAAAATAAATGTAAATATTTCTGTTTATATTTAAATCAGCACATATTAAAATGAATATTATGAGGTAGAGTAACCAGAACATTCTGAGTTGCACAAATCATATTTTCTATGTCATGCCAAGTATATTAATTCAAAATCTAACAAAAGAATTTTTTCCTCTAGCACCTCAGTGATAAGCTAATCTATTTAAAAAGGCAACATCTGCTAGAGCTGTAAAACAAATGAAAAATTAATTAAGTATTTGAAGGTCTTTTTTGAGACAATGGAGTTTACTCGTGTCTTAAATCCTCTTACAGCTTAAACTGTGTGTTCACTCTGGAAAAGACCTTTCCTTGTTTCCTGATCATTGTGTTTTCAGATCATTTTCTTCTTCTTGGCTGGCCTGGGAGTTTTGGATGGAGGAGCTGCAATGTCCTTCATTAAGTAATAAATGCTTCCTCAGCATCAAAAAAGCCAGTTAATAACTTTTTGATTCTTAAATCCTGCATTACTAAAATAGCTTGTGAAAAATACTTTTTTTTTACATTCAGTAAGTGTTTATATCTGTCTTGTACCTTACTTATGTCCACTTTTTAAACCTTTTTTGTCTTTCTCTTGGTTTACTTAATTATAATGTATTCTAAGTCAAGATACTTCCGAATGCAAAAGCACTTTTTTCAAAACATGTGTACTAAAATTTTTAAGCATCAGATAATATGAAAGTTTCAGTATTACATAAATAAAAATACAGTTTCTACCCCCTAGGAAGTTTGCACAAAAAAAATTTAATATAAAAGTAATGTATTGAACAGTGTGATGGAGTTTTGTACAGTATGTGGAGTGTACCAGTCTGTTTTCATGCTGCTGATAAAGACAGACTCAAGACTGAGTAATTTATAAAGAAAAAGAGGTTTAATGGACTCACAGTTCCACATGGCTAGGAAGGCCTCACAATCATGGTGAAAGATGAAAGGCACATCTTACATGGCAGCAGACGAGAGAGAAATAAGAGAGCCAAGCAAAAGGGGTTTTCCCTTATGAAACCATCAGATCTCATGAGACTTATTCACTACAATGACAACAGTATGGGGGAACTGCCCCCGTGATTCAATTATCTCCCACCAGGTCCCTCGCATACATGTGGGAATTATGGGAGCTACAATTCGTGATGAGATTTGGGTGGGGACACAGCCAAACCCATGGAGGCTTTTCTTCTTGAGGGTCATTTAACTCATTTGTGGAATATAAGGAAGGTTTCTAGGAGGAAAAGTCTCCTGATATCTGTTTAAATGATAAGCAGAAATTATTTATTATGGGTAGGAGGTATTCCACAGAGTAAAAGAGCCTGCACAAATATGTGTGTTGTAAGTGGTATAACACAATTTGAATATCAAATTATTTTACATAGTTATACATAAAGTTACTGTAATATAGTGATGGCAAGAAGAAGAAAAATGGAGAAGGGGCAGGAGAGGGAAGATAAAGTGAGAACAGTGGTAATTAACTACTCTGATATTTTTGGTCTATTTGTTCTAATATTTTACATATGTATTAGTTTGCTAGAACTGTTGTAAAAAAATTACATTTACTTGGTTGCTTAAATAACATAAATGTATTGCCTTATAATTCTGGAACCCAGAAGTCTAAGATCAAGATGTGGGCAAAGTTGGTTTCTTCAGAGCTTGAGGAAAAGACCTGTTCCTGGCCTCTCAGGCTTGTAGATAGCTGCCTTTACCCTGTGTTTAAAATCATTTTCCTTCTGCTCATATCTCTGTGTCCAAGTCATCCCTTTTTATAAGGACACCAGTCCTATTGGATTAAGACCCACCCTAATGACCTCACTCTAACATGATTGCCTTGTAAAGATCATATATCCAAATCAGGTTACATCCTGAGGTAATTAGGACTTCTACTTACAAATTTGGAGGAGACAGAGTTCAGCCCAGGACAATTTAACTGAGGTCAAACTACATTTCATCACCCTGTGCTTTTATGGAACACTCTCATGAGAACTTTATTTTTTTTTGTATTTTAACAGATCTCCAAATGAAGAGATCAAAATATGTTTTTAATAAAAAATTTATGATGAATTAAGTGAAACAAGTTTTAGAATAATATGATGCCAATCAAAAAAGCTTATAAATATATTTTTGTGTACATATGCTTGTGTGTATATATGCAACTCCTCTTTTTAAGTGCCTTTGTGTATGTGTGCATGTGTTTATAGAACTAG
Organism: Homo sapiens; assembly: GCF_000001405.40. Classification (NCBI taxonomy): domain Eukaryota; kingdom Metazoa; phylum Chordata; class Mammalia; order Primates; family Hominidae; genus Homo; species Homo sapiens. The sequence continues at coordinate 86,635,127 of NC_000014.9, forward strand.
GGTAAAACAGGATTGGGTAAAGAGCCTATGTACGAACATGTGTGTGATTCTGGCACTGGATGGCTTAGAGGGCAATTCCCACAAATTTGGAAGAAGCAATTGTATTTTTCTCATGAGTTTATTCCCCACCTCCAATCAGATAACAACATGGGATGGAGCGGGGATAGAGAATAAAGCAAGGGTCTTTCTCCTCCCTTCTCTGGGATTGCCTGTTATTTTGCTTTGGAAGCTGAAGGATGACCTATGCAAGAGTTTGTCCTTAGTCCACCTTCAATATACTCATAAAATTAATTACAGAAATTTATACCTGGTGTTAGACGTGGGTTTTTACTAAAGTTTAATTTACAAACCTTTTTATCACTTTTGGTTTATTTTATATTTTAATGGGGATATTTCAGCTTTCTTTAGGGTATGCTACAATGAAGAACAACCCCCAAATTTCAGTGACTTACAATATAAAGATTTATGTCTTACCATTGTTACATAGTTTCATGTTCCTGTGACTCGGATTCATACTGTTTTCATTTAAAGAGCCAGGCCAGGCCAGGCATGATGGCTCACATCTGTAATCCCCGAGCTTTGGGAGGCCAAGGTGAGAGAACTGCTTGAGCCCAAGAGTTTAAGATCAGCCTGGGCAACATAGTGAGACTCTGTCTCTACAAAATAATTTAAAAATAAAAAAATAGCTGAATACTGTGCAGCCATAAAAAAGAATGAGATCCTGTCCTTTGTGGGAACACTAATGGAGCTAGAGGCCATTATCCTTAGCAAACTGATACAGGAACAGAAAACAAAATACTGCATGTTCTCACTTGTAAGTGGGAGCTAAATGATGAGAACACATGGACACATAGAGGGAAACAACACACGCTGAGCCTATTGGAGGGTGGAGGGTGGGAGGAGGGAGAGGATTAGGAAAAATAATTAATGAGTACTAGGCTTAATACCTGGGTGATGAAATAATCTGTACAACGAACCCCCATGTCACAAGTTTACATATGTAACAATCCTGCACATGTACCCCTGAACTTCAAATAAAAGTCAAAAAAAAAATTAGCTAAGTGTGATGGTGTGCACTTGTAGATCTAGCTACTGGGAAGACTGTAGTGGGAGGATGGTGTAAACTCAGGCGTTTGAGATTACAGTGAGCTTTGATTACACCACTGCACTCTACTCTGGGTGACAGAGCAAGAGTCTATCTCTAATATATTAAAATCAAATCAAATCAAAAAGAGCCAGGCTGAAGGAGCAGTCCACATCTGGACATGTCATTCTTGTGGAAGAAGGAAGAGATAAAGGGGAAAAAAACGTGAAAGAAGGTGGAGGGAAGGAGAGGGAGAGGCGGGGGGGGGGGAGAGAGAGAGAGAGAGAGAGAGAGAGAGAGAGAGCAGACAATTGTGATGCTCGTAAAGGTCTTCTCAGGCATATTTCCCATCAATTCCACTTATATTGTACAGACCAAAGCAAGCTGATGGCCAAGTCTGATGTCTGTAGTTGGGAAATATGATCATCTAACAGGAAGATGCTATAATTCAAATGGTGCCAGGTGAGGGTATATTAATTATCCTCTCACAGGGATGGCAGAAAGTAAATGAAAATAATAATAATAATACAATCTCCCATAGTTCCACCTTTTTTGTCACAAAGATTCCTTCCCTCTTGGATGCAAAAGACATTCATTTGTTCTTGAAGGAAGATATCTCAAAGACCTCATCCAATTGTGACATTAGGCTCAAAGTTCAGACTCTAGTGGAAGTTCCTACATCAAATGTAGATAAGGCTTCTGTTCATGCTGGGATTGAAGAGCCATAAAGCTAAACTGTCTCTTCTGATACAGTTTATCTGTGTGTTCCCACCCAAATCTCATCATGATTTATAATCCCCAGGTGTTAAGAGAGAAACCTGATGGGAGGTTGTTGGATCATGGGGGCGGTTTCCCCCATGCTGTTCTCATGATAGTGAGTGAGTTCTTGGGAAATCTGATGGTTTTATAAGCATCTGGCATTTCCCCTGCTTCCACTTCTCTCTCCTGCCACCACATGAAGAAGGTCCTTGTTCCCACTTTGCCTTCCACCATGATTGTAAGTTTCCTGAGGCCTCCCAGCCATGTGGAACTGAGTCAAACCTCTTTCCTTTATAAATTACCCAATCTCAGGTATTTATTTATAGTAGTGTGAGAACAGACTAATACATCTTCCTTTTACCACAAAAACCCACAACTTAGAACGGTGGATGAAAGTGAGAATAAATTAGCATTTTTATGTACTAAGGTAGATCATGGGAGGCATACAGTTGGGTCCTGGTCCAAAGCAATTCTGAAATCCTGCTGTGCACATGTTTGAAGGCCTTTCAGTACTGGGAATAGGAAGTATTCCTTGGTTAGGTTCTGATTCTTTGTCCTAAAACAGCTCCTTAGCCTATTCCACTCCATGGTTCTTATGTCAGAGGCAAAGGAGAAATGCCAAGACAGCGAGATGGCTCTTAAAGTTGCTGCATATATAACTTTGTGCTCATTGAATTGGCTTACGCATGTTACATGGACAGTGCTGACATTACTGGGACAAGGAAGAGTGCTTTTCCCACAGAAAAGTTCTGAAAGTTATACAGCAGTACTTTGAGTGTAAGATCCTTGGAAGGGTGGTAAATAAAATCATTGCAAACAATAATAAAATTTACACCAGTGAATTTTTTTAATACAGAGCTGGGAACAATATGGCCTTTTGCTCAATGAAACAAAAATCTTAAATTGATGATTTCTAAACCACAAAATAGAATAATAACCTATGAGATAGAAAAATAGACAAATCTGGCCGGGCGCGGTGGCTCACGCCTGTTATCCCAGCACTTTGGGAGGCCGAGGCAGGCGGATTACCTGAGGTCAGGAGTTCGGGACCAGCCTGCCCAAAATGGTGAGACCCTGTCTCTACTAAAAATACAAAAATTAGCCCAAGAAAATACAAAAAGTAAGCCAAGATCACGCCACTGCACTCAAGCCTGGCCGACAGAGCAAGACTCTGTCTCAAAAAATAAAAATAAAAGAAAGAAAAATAAAAATAGACAAATCTTTTTTATTTCTAAGCAGTTAATACTATACTTTGGCTTTTTTTCCTTCACATGGACCAAAAGTGTTAGTTAAAAGTTTCTATTAGAAAGAATGTCCACTAAGAAGTAAGCTTGATCTATTTCGTTTTTACGGCTGATGTCATTTTGCTATTGTAAGTTGGACCGTGTTAAGTGAAAATCGATGCAACTAGATTTTATATGGTTTAAATAGTAGCTAACAAAAAATATTTTAAGAAAAAATTGATGAGGTGTTTTCAAACACTGCAGGTCTTCCTGTCTTGCACAAGGGTCAGCTCCTAATAAGAAGTTATTTTATTAATTGTGCCCCCAGAAGATTACAGTTATTTCTCCCCATATCCAACTTTTATTTCCAAAATCTAAGAAGGAAAAAAGGGAGGTTTCTGTGTCTGTGTCTTCAAAACCTATTGCCCTGCACTCAATTTTATTTTATTGTTATTCTGAAGGATAGAGCTGGGTCGATAAAAAACTTGAGAAAACTGAATTTCCTAGAAGGCTCTCTTGCAAGGACACAGAGCTGTGCTGACTCACAGTATACTAGTTTTAAAACTATAGAGACTGCTGTTGGTCAGCAATAAAACTCAGAGGAAGTTGGGGTCAGAAGAAAAGAAACAGAAGAGAAGCTCTATTATCTAATAGTAATAAAACATAATTTCTCAAAATATAGCATTGGTATAAGACATTGGATAAAGTCTGTCATGTTCTGAATAGAAATAAATAGGCTTTTTACCCTAGTTTTCTAAACCTTAAAGAGATGTCTGTATGCAGTAGAAATACTACCAAATACACAAATACTTTCTGATATTAATTCCATTTTAGAGAAATGAACCATTCTTAAAATTTCATGATGGGGACTTTTGAAAGAAGCATGGAAGAGTGACAGAATGCCTTACTTATGAACGTAAATCTAACAGTTCATTAGCAAAATAGAATAAATACCTGCGTTCTTAGATTCACTTAGTGTGAAGCTACTCAGAGAACAGATAAAACCAAAGACATATTTGATGGTGCAAACATCCCAATTGATGCTTGCCTTGTGCTGTCCACGTTTAAAAAATTTATTAAAGTGAAATATAATTCACATACCACAAAATTCTTCCATTTTTGCGGTTTCTAGTATATTCATGAAATTGTGCAATCATCACCACAGTCTAATTTTAGAATGTTTTCATTGCCTCCAAAAACACACTGTACCCTCTCGGGAGGTGGCCAGTCATTCCCTTCACCCTCAGCCCTAGTCAACCACTACGCTTTCTATCTCTACCTGTGGACCTATTCTAAACACTTCCTATAAATGGAATTAAACAGTTTGTACTTTTTATGGTTCAGTGCTGATGTACTGAACACTGATATCAGTGTTCAGTATCAGTGTATCAGTATTTTTATTACCAAATAATAGCCCATTGAATGGATATGCCACATTTTTTTGTCCTTTCCACAGTTCATGGGCATTTGAATTGTTTCTACATTTTGGTTATTGTGAATGTTGCTGCTGTTAATTTCTATATATATTTTCTTGTAGATGTGTTTTTATTTCTCTTATGTGTATAGCTAGGAGCAAAACTGCTGGGTCATGTAGAAACTCTATATGTAATTCTTAGAGGTACTGCCAAACTGTCTTCCAAAGTAGCTGTACCATTTTACATTCCAGCTGTTTGCATTTTGCATTTACATTTTAAAACCTTCATTTTCATAAAACTAACTTGCAGCAGCTGTGTTGGAATAGCAATGGATTACCTACAGATGAGGGTCAAAAAGTTGTTGGTGGTACAATAAAGAGAAGGTCAAACTAAATTAGCCTGGAAGTCCCATAAGTCTCTCTTAAAAGTGTCAGTAAATCATAACACATAATATAACAATAATCATAACAATGGGCTGTATAATCATAAGCTAATGTCCAAAGAGTTCCTGGTTGTCATTAATGCTTACAAAACCCCTGGGAGTCAGTCTCTCTTAACACGTCTAATTATAGCACAAAAACGTAGGTGCTATGAGTTTGTCCCTGGTAAAGAAGAAAGGAGATTCCCAGAGCAGCTTCAACTGTGCTTAGGACAGAGAGTGGCTCAGAGTTGTTGAAAGTCCTTTATTTATCACATTTAATGGGAGAAACTCTTTTATAAAAGAATTTGACAGTATAATGATAGAAAGGTGATATGGTTTGGCTCTGTGTCCCCACCCAAATCACATCTCGAATTGTAATCCCCACGTGTAAAGCAAGGGACCTGGTGTGAGGTGATTAGATCATGGGGATTAGATCAGCAGATTCCCTCCCTGCTGTTCTTGTGATAGTGAGTTTGTTCTCCTGCCATCTGATGGCTTAAAAGTGTTTGGCAGTTCCCTTCTCCTTCTCTCTCTCTCCTGCCACCATGTAAGACATATCTTATTTCCCCTTCACCTTCCATCGTGATTGTAAGTTTCCTGAGGCCTCCCCAACCATGCAGAACTGTGAGTCAATTAAACCTCTTTTCTTTATAAATTACAGAGTCTCAGGTAGTTCTTTATAGCAGTGTGAAAACGAGCTAATACAGAAGGGAATCTCCTGCTATGGAGTCTACCTAGCATAAAATAAAAACTAATTCTGCGTTGACTTTTCAACGTGGAACTAAACCTGGATATTGCTTTATCCGACTGAAGCTTTAGATGGAACATCTCAAGGGGAAATTAACTGGGATTAAATAAATAAAACAAGCACTAGAAAAAAATGTTTTTTAAATATCAAAATTCTCCTTAAAAGTAAAAAAAATGGCTGGGCGTGGTGGCTCACACCTGTATTCCAAGCACTTTGGGAGGCCAAGTGAGGGGATCACCTGAAGTCCTGAGTTCGAGACCAGCCTGGCCAACATGGTGAAACTCTGTCTCTACTAAAAATACAAAAATTAGCTGGGCATGGTGGCATCTGCCTGTAATCCCAGCTACTCAGGAGGCTAAGGCACAAGAATCTCTTGAATCTGGGAGGCAGAGGTTACGGTGAGCCGAGATCGCGCCACTGCACTCCAGCCTGGGAGACAACATGAGACTCTTTCTCAAAAAAAAAAAAAAAAAAAAGCAAAATAACGTTAGAATGAATTCTATTTAGTTACAATATATAAAATTTGCTCAGAGGCTCTTTGGTAGCTGTAAAGAGATAGAAAGAGTAGGGAATTTGCAAAAGCAAAATTTAACTGTACTTTTTTTTCTTTTTGAGACAGAGTAGTGTGCATTCTGCATACCTTTTTTAAAAACTATGAACATTTGACTCTTTAGTCTCACCTTGTAAGAAAAGCATACACTGATTTTGCCACATGAGCATTTTAGAACTGGTTCCAGTAATCTATGGTCAGCACTTTTATTAACCTCTTTTTTGGTGTATTATATGTTCTCATTTATGTGTGATGTGTTTTTAATCTTTCTCCCCATTATTTATAATCCCATCCTATTGAGTTTTCTCCTCCACTTACATATGGTGGGCTAACTCTTAATACAAGGGGAAAACAGTATGGGGAATGCTAAATAAAAATATAGAACTATCATAAAATCCAGCAATTTCACTTCTGAGTATATACCCACAAGAATAAAAGCAGTATCTTGAAAAGATATCTGCACTCCCATGGTCATTGTAACATTATTCACAATAGTCAAGATATGAAAATAACCTGTGTCCCTCAATGGATAAATGAATAAGGAAGATTTAATACACACACACACACACACACACACACACACACACGAATACTATTCAGCCTTATAAAAGGAGAAAATTCTTCCATTTGTTGAAAACATGGATGAACCTGAATGACATTATGTTAAATAAAGTAAGCCAAGCACAGAAAGACAAAAATCACATGATCTCACTTATATGTGGAGACCAAAAAAGTTGAGCTCATAAAAGCGGAGAGTAGAATGGTGGTTGCCAGCAGTTGACACACAGGGGTGGGGATGGAAAGATGTTCTTCAAATGGTACAAACTTTCATCTGGACAGAATGAATAAATTCTAGAAATCTACTGTACAGTATGGTGACTACAGTTAATCAAAAAAGATACTTGAAAATTGCTGAGTAAATTTTACATGTTTTTACCACACACCCAGTAAGTAGACGAGGTGATGAATATTTTAACTAGCTTGGTTTAATCATTCCACAATGTAGACATATATATATCAAAACATCAAGTGTATACCATAAATATATATACTTTCTATTTTTCAATTATACCTTAATAAAGCTCAAAAAATTTGCTCACAATTGCCTTCTGTGTTGTTCTCCAGATGTGAAACAACCATAACTAGTCCAGCTGGGTCAAAGATAAGCTACTTTTTTTATGTGTTCATGTGCAACTCTTCACAAGCTCTTTCTACCCTTGTGCGCTTTTCTGTATGTCACATTCCTTAAGGTGTCAATCTCATCCTGCCCATCCTTAAAACACCTGATAAAAATAAAAGTTGTTCTTTAAAAGCAACCATTAAAAATGTACCAGTTTTATTCTCCTGGCAGTTATAAACTTTTGTCTGGTCTTAACAGAAACTGAAGTACACATTTTCCCTATTGGATAGCCAGAGCTGGTGTTTTATTAAGAGAGTAACCCCTTCCATCCAGTATGCCCTGGGGATTATAGTAGGAACTCAAAATTGTTAAGCAAAAGACTGAATTTTGATTGCTTTTCTTTTATCACTACAACATAATTTAGAAGGAAATACAGATAAAATAAAATAATGCTGTTTGAAAACTGCAACTATCATATATATGTGTATATATATAAACACACACACACACATACGCATTTACTCCTGTTTCAAACAACTGCAAACTACCTAACAATGTCTTCTATATCCAAACTTTTTTAGCCTTATAACCATGCAGAGTGGTGGAACCTGGGTTTATGGTTGGGGAGATGCATTTTATTCCAGCTCTTCCATTAATCAATTAAACAACTTAGGTGTCTACCATAATAATGTTATGCCTTGGTTTTTGTGTTTTCAAATGGGCATAGTACTAATAACCGTTGACAATATTGAAAGATTATGGGGCTTCAATGTGATATCTGGCCCAGGTGTACATGTTCTAGATAGCCCAGAATATAAAATTACTGCAGTTTTTACAATGGTATTCCCTACCAAACTTCTGGGTCTTCTTTGCTTGAAAAAATTGCCGAGACTTTAAAGGTCAAATCTCTTCAAGTTTACATCAGGTGGAACTTTTCCGTATATTTAATATATTAATTTGAAATTTGTCATATGTAGGAAAGAATATATTAATCATATGTATATATTTTAGAGAATAATAAAATGCATAAACCTATCTGCCCACCACTCACCTTAAGAAAAAGATTAATTACCAGGAACTAAGAAGCACTCTGGGTGAGCTTCCTAATTGTTTCATTACTTTATGCTCCTGGACACTGTACTAACAATTTTCATGTTTTTATAGTGCTACAATCCATGTATGTATCATTTAACTTTAATGATTTGTTGTATTTTATAAATTACTCTGTGTGTATTCTTCTGTGACTTTTGAACAATAGATATTTCAGATGCATCTATGCTGGTATGTGTAACTAGAGTATATTCATTCACATCTGCTACTTTAAATATAACACAATGTGTTTATTCTTTTTGTCACTGATGGGCAATTGGATTGTTTACAGGTTTCTGTTATGCGAACACTACAGTGAACATTTTATAATATAATGACAAAAACATACAAGAGTTTCTCTAAGGTATGTATGTGATATTTCATCAAGGCTAGGCTAAGATGTTATCAGTAATACGATACAGGCCATTATTTTGCACAAAATCGTGCACAAATTATTTTAATTGAAAGAAAAAAGTTTTCAATTAAAATATATCAGAATTGCATTTTAACTTCAGACATATTAAACTATGAAAAAATGTGACTCAAAATTGATGAAACAGTATCTAGGTGTGCAATTGCTGGACCATAGAGAATACACACCTTCAAATTTACTAGGAATCATTCCAATTCCAAATTGCATATAAACGAAATTCCACAAGCTTGCAGATATAGTCACAGAGATTTCCATATCCACGGTGGGGTTTAGGGTCACTGTTTCTTTGCATCTTCCAGCTCCATTTTATTTTTTCCCATGGCCTCTTGTCCCAGGACAGCAATACATTTTAATTTTAATTTTAAACTTGACCAGTGTTTCCAGCCTTCATTGGGAAGCATTCAATCTACTGTATTGCAGGAACAGAAAACTACATCAGTGATCTCTATTGGATAACATAGCTATTGGAGCATTTGATGAAACCTTGCTTAATTCATCTTCCCTCCTCAAATTTTTGCTTATTTTACCAAATGGCCAAATGCTTGGAGTGTTTTACAATTCAGTGCACACTTTACCCCTTCTGTGCTTCCTGTCCAGATGGTCTCTGGAAGGATCAGGCACTATTTCTTCTGGTTTCAGGGAACCTCTATAGATTGTATTTATGTATTCATAATTTATTGATCCCAATAGATTGCAGCCTTCATTCGTGATGGTACCATTTAGAATGACCTAGCTGTACATTAATTGATTATAAATTTAAGATGAGAAGTCATATTTCTCCTCAAGGCATTCTTACTATCTGGTAGCCAAGACAATGATAACATCTTGACTTTCCTGTTTAGCTTTTGGCTCCAGATTTGCTTAGATTATAATTCCTCCCCTCCAGCCTTTTGTGGATCCAAGAGACTAGTCTTCATACGTAACTATTACAGGTATTCACAGATGTGTATTTATGTAAATTGGTAATAAAAAAGAATAGATATTACCATGTATAGAAATGGCAATATTCATCTCCATCATGCAACTAATTATAGATTTTGCTTCCTTAATATTCCTCAAATGTGTACTCTTTCTGCCATTGTCTTTGTTTAAACCCGTATGGGTTTCTCTTGACTATGGCAGCTCCAAACCATGGGCAGATTTTTGTAAAACAGAACCTCTCACTTTCATGGGCTCCTTTCAAGGCACTGGAAAGGAACATGACAAAGGTGTTCACATATTTATGTAAAATCTGCAAAATCTGTTAGCTACACGAATCACAGTCTATTAGAAACACCGTCCCTTTCTCCATCAATTTTCCCATTGCACTTCTAAGTTGCTTGGTTTGATGTATGCACGGACATTTTTGAATCTAGCAAGGAGGAGGTGAGCACTAAATATAGATGCTGATGAAGAGTACATGAAACACAAAACAGACCATTATAGCAGAGAAAACAAAGACAAATAGATTAATGAATAACAATAACTTAAATAGCCTCTGCACAAGAAAATGTAAAAAGCTAGAAATTTTTAGTACTTACACATGAAAAAATTTGATAAGGGTTTCACCAAATTTTACATCAAGCATAAAATATTTTTACGCCATTACCAATAAAGAACTACAAAGCTTAAACTAACTTTTATAAATTGTCAACCTAAAAACAAAGCAAGGTTTCTCTTTAAAATGGCTGACAGCTAGTGTGGGCAGCATTCACAGAAAGGAAAAAAAGTGAGGAGTAAATACTGACTCTTCAAGAGGATTGTCAGGATCCATCAAGCAAGAGAGGAGAGCCATGGAGAACAGGGAGGAGTAAATCTGAGCAGCAACACACCTGGGACCAGTGAGGAGCCAGGAGAAGCTCCTAGCACAGGGAAAGGGTAAGAGAGTAAGAGCTCCTCCAACAGGAACCTTTGCAGTTATGGGAATGGAAGAACCTCCCTGAGAACCCCCAGGCCTCTACACTGATACAGAAAACCTCCTGGGTTTTCTTTCAGAGAGGTACTACTTAAGACCACAGGGAGCCCCACAGGTCCTGGATGCCTGAGCAGCCTAGCACCAGCTGCCATGATGCCAAACGAGGCCACAGTCATGCTACTGGGGGAGCAGTCAGACTGTCCCACTCCTTCTTTCCAGACAATTATCTGCTTGGCTTCCAACATGGCAACCTCCACCATACCTGAATGCTGCAGATAGGCACAGCATTATGTTCCCCTGGGACCCTCCCAGACTGCAGACCATGTGACCCCCACCGGCCCCCACTCGCCCCAGCCAGGCTAAGCTACCTAGCTTGGTCTTCCAGTGCAGAGGTTCCATCTCTGCTTTAACTCCGATGGCAGGGACAGTGCTGTGTTCACTCAGAAACCACCTAGACTGCAGATCACGTGACCCCTTTCCCCTACTGCCCCTAGCCAGGCAGGTCTTGCCAGGTTGAACTTCCAGTGCAGTGGCCCTGCCCCTGCCTGAACCCTGTAGCTGGGCACACCTCTGTGTTCCTTCAGGAGATGCCTAACTGGCAGATCATGAGACTGCCTTTGCCGCTACTGCTCCCAGCCAAGCAAGACTTGCTGGCCTAGTGGTTCCTGAGTGAGAAAGGTGCCCCAAATCTCAGAACATTGAGAGGACTGAGACACCATGGTTCATGAGCCAGTGTGGAAGTGGGACAAGCCTCCCTCCATATGGGCAGTGAAGGAAGTGGATAGCCTATCCACCAGCTGTGGTATCTGCCTCAGGGAGCCCCATGGCAAGGAACACCAAACAAGGGAAATGCAGGCACAGCCCCACTGATTGGAGGGGGCTCTTCGAAGGCCCAGGAGTAAATCTGGTGAGAGGAGTCCTCTCCCTCCCCAACCCCACCACAGAGCCCACTGTGAACATGTTGAAATACAATCAGACACACATCTGATTAAGAGCCTATCTCTTGGCCATCACTCTTAAGTGCCATCTACTGGATCACAGCCCAAATTACAACACCGAAAATATTTTGCCAGTATTTAGCACCTGTGAAACTGGAGGCAAGAATCCAGCAACAAATAAAGGTTGTATACAAAGCCTTGGCCTAATGAAAGCACCCAGAAATGAAGCCAACTGACTATATTTAACTTATCCTACAGTTAAAGGAACACCTGAGACACTAGTGCCCCAGCAATGGTTCTTCACCAGACTGTAATGACCAAAATAACAGACATCTAAAATTCAGAATCTGGATGGCAAGGAAGGGAGCTCATTGAGACTGAAGAGAAAGTTGAAACCCAATCCAAGGAATGCAAAGAGTCCAGTAAAATGATGCAAGAGCTGAAGACAGAATAGCCATTTTAAAAAAGAATCAAATTAAACTCCTGTAATTGAGAATGTACTAGAATAATTTCCTAGTACAGTCAGAATCATTATAAGCAGAATAGGCTAACCCAAGAGAAGAATCTCAAAGATTGAAAGCTGCTTCTTTGAATCAACTCAGTCAGATAAAAATAAAGAAAATATAATTGATATAAACTAACAAAATGGCTGAGAAACATGAGATTATGTAAACAGACCAAATATATGACTCATTGGCATTCCTGAGAGAGGAGGAGAGAGTAAGCAACTTGGAAAGCATATTTGAGGATATAATCCGTGAAAAGCTCCCCAGTGTTGCTAGAAAGGTTGGCATGCAAATTCAAGAAATACAGAGAACCCTGTGAGATACTATACAAGACGACCACCCCCAAGGCTTGTAATTATCAGATTCATCAAGATGAACATGAAAGATAAAACCTGAAAAGCAACTAGAGAGAAAGGTCATTTACAACAGGAACCCCATCAGGCTAGCAGTGAACCTCTCAGCAGAAACCATAAAAAAACAGAAGGGTTGGGGAGCCCATTTTCAGGATCCTCAAAGAAAAGAAATTCCAACCAAGAATTTCATATTCTGCCAAACTAAGCTTCATAGGTGAAGGAGATACAAAATCCTCCTCAGATAAGCAAACACTAAGGGAATTCATTATCACAAAACCAGCCTTATACAAGCAGTTAAGTGAGTGCTAAACATGTAAACAAACAAAAAAAATGAGCCTGCTACCACAAAAACACACTTAACACAGAGCCCACAGACAATATAAAGCCTTTTCATAATCAAATCATACAAAACAACCATGTTGTTACATGATGATAGGATCAAAAACCTCATATTACCACTACTAACACTGAATATAAATGGTCTAATCACCCCCACTTAAAAGGCAAAGAGTGGCAATCTGTATAAAAAGACAAGACCTGGGCCAGCACTTTTGGAGGTCAAGACAGGCAGATCACCTGAGGTTAGGAGTTCGAGACCAGCCTGACTAACATGGTGAAACCCTGTCTCTACTAAAAATACAAAAAATTAGCCAGGTGTGGTGGTGTGTGCCTGTGATCCCAGCCACTCGGGAGGCTGAGGCAGGAGATTTGCTTGAACCCAGGAGACGGAGGTTGCAGTGACCCTAGATTGCACCATTGCACTCCAGCTTGGGCCACAAGAGCGAAACTCTGTCTCAAAAAAAAAAAAAAAGGAAAATAAAGACAAGACCTGATTATCTGCTGTCTTCAAAAGACCCATCTCACATTTAATGCGACACACGGGCTCCTAGTAAAGGTATGGAGAAAGATCTACTATGCAAATGAAAAAAAAAAAGCTGGAATCCCTTTCATATATTAGATAAAACAGTCTTTAAACCAATGACCATCAGGAAAGATAAGGAAGAGCATTACATAATGATAGAGTGTTCAATTCAACAAGAAGACTTAGCTATCCTAAATATATTTCCACCCAATGTTGTAGCAACCAGATTCATAAAACAAGTTATTCCTGATCAATGAAGAGATTCAGACAGCCACACAGTAACAGTGGGGGATTTCAACACCCCATTGACAGAATTAGACAGATCATTCAGGCAAAAAACTAGCAAAGAAATTGTGAATTTAAACTTAACACTCAAACAATTGGATGTAATAGATATCTACAGAATACTTTGCCTAACAACCACAGAATATACATTCTTCTCATGCTTACATGTAACATATTCTAAAATCAACCACATGCTCCATCCTAAAGCAAGTCTCAGTAAATTCAATAAAATCAAAATCATACCAAGTACACTCTTGAACCAGTGCAATAAAAATAGAAATCAATACTAAGAAGATTTCTCACAACTAGACAAAAACATGGAAATTAAACAACTTACTCCCGAATAACTCTACTGCAAAGTTAGAAAGATCTCAAATTAACAATCTAATATTGCACCTAGAGGAACTGGAAATAACAAAAATCAGATCATCCCAAAGGTAGCAGAAGGAAAGAAATAACTAAAATCAGAGAAGAACTGAAAGAAATTGAGATGCAAAAATTCATTAAAAGATCAATGAAACAAACAGTTGTTTCATCAAAAGAATAAAAAAGATTATTAGACCATTAGCTACACCACTCTTCTAGATTAACAAAGAAAAAAAAACAGAGAAGATCCAAATAAGTGCAGTCAGAAATGACAATGACGTTACCACCAATCCCACAGAAATACTAAAGATCTTCAGTGACTATTATAAACACCTCTACACACACAAATTAGAAATTCTAGAGGAAATGAATAAATTACTGGAAACACACAAATTCCCAAGACTGAACCAGGAAGAAAGTGAAAACCTGAAAAGACCAATAACAACCTCTGAAATTGAATCAGTAATAAAGAACCTACCAACCTAAAAAAGCCCTGGACAAGACAGATTCACAGCCAAATTTTACCAGACCTACAAAAAGAGCTAGCACTAATCCTACTGAAAATGTCTCAAAAGATAGAGAAGGACAGCCTCCTTTCTAATTCATTTTATGAAGCCAGCATCATCCCGATACCAAAATCTGACAGAGACACAATAAAAAAAGAAAACTTGAGACCAGTGTCAATGATGAACACAGATGCAAAACTAGTCAAAAAAAATACTAGCAAACCAAATCCAGTAGCAATATCAGAAAGCTGATTCACTGTGATGAAATAGGCTTCATTCCTGGGATGTAAGGTTGATTAAATATATGCAAATCAATAAATATGATTTATCATCTAAACAGAATCAAAAACAAAAATAATATGATCCCTTCAATGGATGCAGAAAAAGTCTTCAATAAAATTCAACATCCCTTCCTGATAAAAACCCTCAACAGACTAGACATCAAAAGAACATGTCAGGAAATAATGAGATCCATCTACGACAAACTCACGGCCAACATCATACAAAATGGGCAAAAACTGGAAGCATTCCTCTTGAGAACTGGAACAAGACAAGGTTTCCTGCTCTCATCACTCCTATTTAACATAGTACTAGAAGTCTTAACCAGAGCAATCAGGGAGGAGAAAGAAATAAAAGGCACTGAAATAGGAAAAGAAATTTCCTATTCAGAAAACCCTAAAGACTCTCCCAAATGGTCCTTAGGACAAATAAACAACTTCAGGAAAGTCTCAGGATGTAAAATCAATGTACAAAAATCAGTAGCATTTTTATACACCAGAAACATTCTAGCTGAGAGCCAAATCAGAAATACAATCCCATTTACAATAGGCACACAAAAATACAATACCTAGGAATACATCTATCTAAGGAGATGAAAGATATCTACAAGGAGAATGACAAAACACTTCGGAAAGAAATCAGAGATGACACAAATACACGAAAAAATATTTTATGCTCTTGGAATGAGGGAATCAATGCTGTCAAAATGTCCATACCGCCCAGAGCATTTAACATATTCAACAATGTTCCTGTCAAAGTACCAACATCGATTTTCACATAATTTGTAAAAACTGTTCTAAAACCCATACGGAAACAAAAAAGAACCTGAATAGCCAAAGTGATCCTAAGCAAAATGAACAATGCCAGAGGTGTCACATTACTTGGCTTTAAACTATACTATAAGGATACAGTAAACAAAACAGCTTGGTACTAGTACAAAACAGATACACAGACCAAGGAAATAGAATAGAGAATCTAGAACAAAAGCTGCATACCTACAGTAATCTGATCTTCCATAAAGTTGACAAAAACAAGCAATAGGAAAAGGACTCCCTATTCAATAAATTGTGCTGGGATAACTGGCTAGACATATGAATAAGTATAAAACTGGACCCCTGTCTTTCACCATGTACAAATAATTAACTCAAGATGGATTTAAAATTTAAATGTAAAACATCAAACTATAAAAATCCTAGAAGAAAAAATAGGAAATTCTCTTCTCAACATCAGCTTTGGGAAAGAATTTATGGGTAAGTCTGCAAAAGAAATTGCAATAAAAACAACAATTGAAAAGTGGAACCTAATTAAAGAGCTTCTGTATACCAAAAACTAATAATAATCAATAGAATAACAGAAAACCTGTAGAATGGGAGAAAATATTTGCACCCTGCATCCAACAAAGGTCTAATATCCAGAATCTACAAAGAACTTAAAATCTACAAGTAAACAGCAAATAATCAAACTTAAAAATGGGCAAAGGACATGAACAGACACCTCTCAAAAGAGGACATACAAGTGGCCAACAAACATATGAAAAAATGCTTGTCATCACTAATATCAGAGAAATGCAAATCAAAACCACAATGAGATACAATCTCACACCAATCAGAATGGTGATTATGAAAAATTTATAAAATAACAGATGCTGGTGATGCCATGGAAAACAGAATATTTCTACACTGTTGATGGAAATGTAAACTAGTTCAGTCCTTGTGAAAAGCAGTTTGGAGATTTCTCAAATAACTTAAAAGAGAACTACCATTCAACCCAGCAATCCCAGTATTGGGTATATATCCAAAGGAAAATAAATTGTTCTTCCCAAAAGACACTTGCACTTGTATGTCCATTGGAGCAGTATTCACAAAAGCAAAGACATGCAATCAAGAAGCCCATCATCAGTGGATTGTATATAAAAAAAAGGTACATATACACCATAAAATACTTTACAGCCATAAAAAATAATGAAATCATGTCATTTGCAGCAACATGGATGCAGCTGGAGGCCAATAACCCAAATGAATTAATGTAAGAACAGAAAATCAAATACCACATGTTCTTATTTATAGGTGGGAACTAAACATTGAGTATACATGGCCACAAAGATTAAAGCAATAGATAGTGAGGACAACTAGTGAGGGGAAGGAGAGAGATTGGTGAGGGCTGAAAAACTACCTATTGGGTGCTATATTCACTCCCTGAGTGACAGGATCATCCATACCCCAAACCTCAGCATCACACAATATACCCACATAACAAACCTGCACGTGTACCTTCCGAATCCAAAATAAAAGTAAAATATAAAATAAAAATGAAAAGGAAAAAAAGCCAAACAAATGTTCATCATGATAATTAAGACTAAAATATCTTTCACTTTTCCCTATAGAGAAATGTCATTGAAAGAAAATATAGCTAGATTGAAGGAAAAAAATTACAGAGAAGTAACCAGTAAGTTAATTCATAAAAGGTGTGTCATTGTTAAAAATTATATGATATTTCTAGTATATGTCAACTTTTAAAAATTTGTATTAATAATTTATTGTGATTTTTTTCTCTATGTGAAAATACCTATTTACTTGTGGACATAATTTGGCATTTTTTCATAAACAGTCCTCCCTCTCAATTATATAAACCTAAGTCCCCACAAAAGCTGTAGGCACCCTTCAGCTTATAATTGGTTTCTCTTTCTATATTCTCACTTCTTTCAATACATTCTCCATGAGTTCCCTCTTTGTAAAATCTAATCCTCTTTAACTAAACATATGTGATGCATATCGTAGGAATTCAGGAAACAGCTTTGGAATGAAAGAATACATGATTTAATTAAACTGCGTTATTCTCTAAATATTGGCTTTTCTCTCTTCCCCTATTAGACTGGTTACCGGTTAGGAATTTTTGCAACAAAATATACGTTGGACATACTACATGTTTCATAAATATTTGATAGATTAGTCAATCAATTAATGGACTAATAAACCTATAAATCATGAAGTTATCTCTGAGTCCTCATTATTTTATTTGTGGATTTTTTCTCTCATGTAACAAATTTTTGTCTAGAATATATGCAGAGATTTTTTATTATTATTACTTTTACTGTAATAAAGTTAAAAATCTCATGGGACATCCCTAAAAAGTGACTTGCTCCTGATCAAACTAGATCTAAAAGCCAAATTTCAAAAAAAAGGAGATAAATTAAAGTGATGTACTATTTCCCTTGCATTTTTTCTCTATAGCAAAAGGACAGTATATTCATCTCTCCTTCCTTTTTATTAGTGACAGTTTCTTTCACATATAAGAAATAATAAAATTACGTAAGGGCTAAAAGGCAGCTGTCTACCTGAGTAAAGAAAAGGAAAAATGAGCTCAAAACTACTGCTCAGGCTGGTCTTAGAAACAAGCGAATAAGACAAGGGACAGCAAGTCATGATGAGACAGCTGATTCCGGGGTGCAGAAAGGTTCCGATAGCAGTAGGTGGATTGAATAGCTATTGTATAAGACAGAATAAAAAGAAACTGAATTCTGTTTTTAGAAAATTTTCCTCCTCAGGAAGATTTATGTTCCACGAAATCACTAATAGGCACAGGATGGGACCTAAAGTTAAAGAAGGAAAAGAAAAAAAGTAATAATAAAAATGAGAAACTCTATGCTCACATCTATATCCTTGGCCCCGGGTGGACTTTCTCTTCCCAATAATTTAACAAAGGATCAAAGTGACAAGAAGAATAAACAGAATAAAAGTTTTCTCGTTTTAGATTTTCTTTTGTGCAATCACATGGTTAAAACCAGCTATGTATGTCTCTTATAACAAATTTTTCTTATTAAATGTTTTACTAATTGGAGACCTGAATAAATGGCCTATAAGGTTTTGCTCCAGTGTAATAGAACTCCAACATGTGTTAATATACAACATGAGCACATTATACTGTCAGGTTGTTGATGTAACTAAAAGAGGGGAAGTGTTGGGAGCCCAGGAAAGAATATCTCAGAATGAAAATTCCATTGGCGTTATCTAATAAACAAATCACAGTGGATTCTCGAAATAGAATAGAGTCTATTTCTTTTTCTTGCATATCTAAATGAACAGCTCCCAGAAGTACTATTTTTGTCCTGTCCCTCCATCTTTCTCCCTCATCCTCCTAATTTCTCATACAACAGCCCTTTTCCTCCTTCAAGGAATCTGGAGTCATTTTGGAAAAGTCCAAAGAGTCCACACCATTTTCACAGCCTACAAATATCAAGTCTCAAGGAGAGGCTGAATACTTCAGTTTTCAAAAGTGCTTCTGGTATTAGACAATACTCAACTGATTTTACAGAAAGAGCTGAAATTAAGAACTTCCAATATTATTACTCTTCTTTAATCAGTTCATTTTTAGGAAATACTTATCTTTCAGTGTTTCATAATTTAGATGATGTATGCAAAGATAAGCTAATTAAACTCTGAGAATATGCAAACATTAGTTATTATTACTGCCAACCAGTTTAGTTCTGGCAAAAATAATTTGAGACAGCATTATCATTATGTCCATTTTGCCCATAAAAAGAAATTACTAGTTCGCTCACACTAAGCTATTCCATTGTGAAACTGGAATTGAAATCCAAAGCTGCTTTCTAACACACCAAGCCATATTAAAATATCAGTTAGCAACAATTTTTTTAAAGAGACGTTTTCTATGATGGTGGTTACGAGAAATTATATAGAGCAGGAATAGGAAAACTTACTTCCCTTCCATTCTTCCATTCGCCATTGTTGCGGGGGTGACACATTTGAAACTTGTTCACTGGCGCCCCCTGGTGACAAACATTTCTTGCTGTTACAGGCCTCGTTTTGTTGAGCAAAAACATTTTTCCCTAATTGGTTATATGCGCATATATTAAATGACCAGGCTTCAAAGTTAGTGCAAATTTAAATAGCTTCTAAGTGGTAGAATGTCTTCCATTTTTACAACCCCTTGTTTTAATAATGTGGGGGTGATTAGTCTAAGTGCTGTTTCCAAAAGATTTGAGAAATTACCAGCAGAATCTGCCATCCTAATGAAGGTTCACAGGATCATCCCATTAAGAGCACATTCACCTCAAGGCCAATTCTCTACCCAGCACTCTCCAACACAGGTTGTAACTTCCTTTCTCCCTCTTTTGAAGTTTTATTCTCAGTGGCCTATTTCTGTTTAAATCTCTCCTCAGTGTGGTCCAAGGCGGTGGAAAACTTGAATCTAAGAGTTGTTGTCACCACTAAGAATGTCACAGAGATTTTATACTGACTTTATGGTCATCAGGCCACATTGTTTAGCATGGGATGACTACCTGCTATGACTGGAGACAATTCTAGGTGACAAAACTGACCTTTATTCGTTAATCCATATTCCATTCTAAAATTTCATGTTTTTTTAAACATATGCAGAAATGGGCATTTTCTTTATTATTACTCATAGATGCAGTCCCACTCTACCAGAGAGCAAATGTCTAAAGTCAATGACAAGGCAATCATTATATATTGGTGAAATTAAACCTGGAAAATCCCTTAGAAAATCCTACTGGAGACTGACATACTATCTCTCAATGCAGTGAATCCAACAGCAGTTTTTCCTTAGGCTGGGATTAGACCATTTTTTCCTTGGTTTAATGTCAGGTGGAGTAGCTGTATTAAGATTAAGGTATGTGCTATATTAAAAAAATGTATTGTTAGGAGGATGGCATAGTGGCACATGCCTGTAGTCCTAGCTACTCAGGAAGCTGAGGCGGGAGGATCACTTGAACCCAGCAGTTCAAGGCTGCAGTGTGCCATGATTGTTCTTTTGCACACCAGCCTCAGCTATGGAGTGAGACTCTGTCTCTCAAATAAATAAATAAATAAATAAATAAATAAATAATGCATCTTTAAATACTTGACACCTCATTACCCAGTTAAGATTCTCACCCTATAAGAGTGATGATGAAATTGGGATGAATTAAAGAAAGGCAATTTGATTTGCTTAACTCAGCTTTACTCAGGGAGATAGAGAAACAGCAGGTAGAATGGCTTGACCAAATTTAATTTTAATTCATTTATTTCTGCCTCTCTTTCTAAGGCATATATAGTTGATTTTATGTAAGTTACATGCACAGAGAATGGGATTTCATACAAATTAGACCGCCTACTTCAGAATGATTGCTATTTAGAGACAATCTTGAAACATACCAAATTCCTGTGGATGTAAATACCATTCCGTATTGCAAGTCATCTTGAAATTGCATTCTGACCTACTGCAAAATTTCAGGAAATATGGTATATAAAGATCAAGAAAAACTTATATAACATTATATATATATTTAATGCACACACATATATTGCTTGCTATATTTAACCATAAGCACAATTGAATTGGAGAATGAGGATATAATGGCACTATGGAAGAAAAGTGCTATATAAATCAGACGCTATAAATGTACTACATATAAAAAGTCCTAGTGCAATTTTAAAATTTAATAACTTTGGATGAACCTATGACAGAAGCAAATGGCAAGCATCATGTGAAAGCATATTTCATAGACTCTAATGCGAATATTTAATGCTCTTTTATTCAGTGCTTACTGGGCTCTCAGAAAGTAATGCATTATTGGCTCATTCATTTTCATAAAAGCAATGGTCAATATTAAACTTACATTCCTGTAGTCTTGTAGCATTGCATTTTTTTTCTGATCTCTGATGATGGCAATTTTAGTAGTGCCTTCTTTCAACATGATGCTACTTTTACTATTCTGCTTTGAATGCTTGACACTTGCAGGAAATTTCATTTCCAGATCAGTTTACACATTGGCTGACTTTCTGCTGTCTAATTCACCTGTTCCCATGGGAGTGCATCTATCTGAGCCTTAGCAAAGTTTCATGTTGCTCATTAGACTGCATTGTTTAGCATGTGATAAATATCTACAATGACTAAAACCATTATACATAACAAAACTGACCTTTATTATTCATCCATATTCCATTCAAATTTTATGAGGTTTTGGTGTGCTTTTTGTAATGTAAGCAGAAATAGGTATTTTGTTCATTAATACTCATACATTTCTGGTAATTCATTTTGTTGGAATGTTTTGTTTTTCCACTATGATTAATTTTACGCTAATCAATCTAATTCCTGTGGCCACGATAAATCCCAATAGTACACTCCTTTTAGCCTAATTACAAGGGGTAAAGATTAAAATGTATTAGCAAGAGGAAACAACGGGGTTATTTATCTTTTGTCTTTCTACAGAAAAAAATCAGAAATATTAATAAAAGACTACTTTATTGAAATATGGGCAGCATTAAAGGAACAAAAAAAGACAGTAGGGTACCAAAGAATTAACAACAGAGGGAAGGCATTGCCACCTCAAGGCAGAAGAGACAATGTAAGGAGATAGAATTACCAGAGTCTGGTGAGAATAGATTTTGGAAGCTGGAGTTTTCATCATATAATGATTTAGCTCTTGCCAGAGGTGTAATCTTGATGCAGGAAAGGAATAGAGAAGAAATAATTCTCTTCTGTCTCTCCTTACCCTCCTGTGTGCTTCTGGTGCTTTTCACTGGATGAGCATACCTGGAAACAGCAGGCAAGGACATCAGGGAGAGGCAATCTGAAAGGATCCTATTCCTGGATGCTGAACAGGGAAGAAAAGTGTGGAGAATGTTCTAGTAGGGAAAGAAGAGAATAACCAGCTGAGAGGCTTACCTGGCAGTTCCAGGAACCCCATTGGTTATCTGCCTCACCTGGAGGACCTCATATAGGGCAGTAACTTTTAGGCCATCTCCCTCCTGGTTTGCAATTTTTGAGTACTCACAGAACCTAAAAGACACTATGCCTTCTCAGACTGACCCCATCACAGGATGAGGGTTATAAAAGTAGCCTATTTGTTAGCTGTGTTCAAGTAAGAATATTCGACATGCTTTGAATAAATGATACTTTGTCAAGGAATGCTCCATTCATTACCGTTTTCAAAAATTATTTGTAAAGGAGCCCATTTCAGCCATTCCCATGGTGGAGTTCACCTTCCCTTGGATGACCTCTTGACCTCTTCATGGTCATTAATAATAGCTATGAGTTATTATCTTGGGTATCCTAATCTCTCCAGGTTTTACATTTCTTGTGCTTTAAAGATCTAGCTTCCATGATTAGTCAATGATCAGTTAGGTTGTTCCCTGAGCATGACTGGCTATGCCACCCCAAGCAAATTTCTCCCACCCTGAGGATGAGCCACTGGTCTCTGATCTCTTGGCTCATATCTGGAAGGCCATGATGGGTGCTGGACCAGAAGACTAACTCCCTGTACCAGTGGCCAAGCCAACAAAAGTGTATAGCCCCACAATGCACACGCAAGTTCACTGGCGTGGCCTTTACTGGGAGTAAAGCTCAGAGACAAGCACTCACAGGCATTCTAGATCTCCACTGAAGTTCTGGGAGGCAGGTCACAGGGATCTAGCAGGGCCAGACATCTGATTCTAGTGAGAGTTTCTCCCCCACAGTGATTGGCATGTGTCAGAGGCTTGGTCTGCAACTCTATCTTATTACAATCCTGGCTGATAGAACACCAGTCCCTCTCAGCATGATCACAGGTCAGTTGCAACTATATTACATGGCAGATCCAGTTGACATGAGCTATCACTTCACACTTAAGATGACCTGAACTCAGACGTAGTCCATTTCCCAAGGAATTTTCCAGGGAGGCACCCTAAAAGGAGTTGGTTTTGGGGAACTTAACCCTTAACTCTCATTTCTTTATGTTCTGTTTTTTAATGTTTATTTGGATGATTATGTTTAAAACATTTAAGCTGACTTAAAAAAAGCTTATAATATTCATATTGAAATTGGTATTCATATTTTATCAATGGTTGCACATTATCAATATACAAAGATTATATTTGTTACATTTAAAAATGTTAAATGCCATATAATACTTAATATATTAAAAATGTTAAATGCTATATAATATGTAAGTATTGTGATAAGTATTACATAGCATTTAACATTTTATAAAGTATAATTATTGTTTATATAGCATTATGATAATTACTATAATAATTATATGAGCCCGTAATAATCACGTGAGCTTACTTAGGTATCCCAGAAAGATTTATGCCCAAAGGATGGACTTCAGCTCATCATTGAAGTCACACACAGCTATTAACTGGAAACACGATTTAGGTCAGTAAAGTCAATATTTTGTTTTCATTTACTCATGACCACAATTTTCTGTCAGTAAGTAATAATGTGGTTGAATCTCTCCACTGTGTATATTTTACAGTTATATTCAATATTTTTATAAATTTACTGCCAGTCATAAGGATAAGCAGTTTTATAAAGTATCCTTTATAATAGAATTGTAGATAAGACTTGAGTGTATGGATCTAATAATAGTTGTTATACATTTAGAGATATTTCTAAATGACACTTTATGATGATTGTGGAAATGCCTGCACTTTTCCATTGTATGATTGGATGTGGTTATATCCTTTCTTCCAAATGATTCTGTCATCTAGAAAGCTAGAGATTAAATACCCTATAGGTTTAATAATTACTTAGAGTGTATACTTTCACCTCTGTTCTCATTCTGTCATTTAATGAATATTTATGGAGCTAGTGTGACCAACTGTGCCAGTTTTCCTGGACCTGAGAGGTTTCCTGGGACACAAAACTTTCAGTGCTAAAACTAGACAAGTCTCAAGCAAACCTAGAAGAGTTGGTCATCCTAAGCACCTACTGTGTGTCAGTCATACAAAGAGCCTTATTCTTACACAGCCATGTGCTAGTGGATTTTTGGATTGTGATAAATGCTAAGTAATAATATATATATATATAAATGGGTTGTAATTTTGATTAGGATGACTAGAAAAGATTCATTAAGAAGGGTGAATGCGAATAAAAGCATTAAGGAGATAACACATGTGCTGATATCTGGGGAAAAAGGCAAGAAGTCAAAGAAACAGAGTCGCAGAACCTGTGGTGAGACTGTTTCTGGTGTGTTCTAAGATCATCAAAGAGGGCAACTGGCACAACCCAAATGACTAAGGAGAAATCACTCAGAGATGAGATCAGAAAAGTAAGAAGGCCAGAAAATATTTGAGCAAATGGATCATTGTAAGGACTTTGGCTTTGGAACCATTTGACCAGAGATATAATGTGCTTTCACCTACATTTAAGAATCATGATGCAGCCACCGTAGTGGCCCACGCCTGTAATCCCAGCACTTTGGGAGGCCAAGGTGGGTGGTTCATTTGAAGTCAGGAGTTTGAGACCAGCCTGGTCAACATGGTGAAACCCCGTCTCTACTAAAAATACAAAAATTAGCCAGGCATGGTGTTGCACGCCTGTAATCCCAGCTACTGGGGAGACTGAGGCAGCAGAATTGTTTGCACCCAGGAAGGAGAAGTTGCAGTGAGCCAAGATTGCACCACTGCATTCCAGCCTGGGCGATGGAGTGAGACTCCAACTCAGAACAAAAACAAACAAACAAAAAATCATGATGCTACTGTCTTAGGAATAGATGATGGGAAAGGGGCAAGAATTAAGAATAGAAACCTGCTAGAAGGCTACTACAGTAAACCAAATGAAAGGTGATAGCTTGGGCCAGAGAGATAAACGTGGACGTGATGAAGATGCATCAGAGCCTGAGCACTCTCTGAAGGTAGCCTGGAACAGATTTCCTAGTGGATTAGACATGATACACAGAGGAAATACAGGAATGAAAGATGACACTAATATTTGACCTACTCAATGGAAATAATTAAGTTGCTTTTTATGAAGATGAGGAAAACTGAGAGGAATGGTCAAAAGCTCTATTTTAGGCATAATATTTTTGAAATGTCTATTAGATTTGCAAGTCAAGACATTGAGTAGGTAGGTGGCTATGCAAGCCTGGAGTTTAAGAGAAAGGAATGAGCCTGTTAGCATTGAAAGCCATGAGGTTAGGTAAGTATAGATATAAAAGAAAAGAGATACAAGATTTAAGCACTGGGTACTTCAAAATTAAGAAAAAAAAAAAAAAGGTCAAAGAGCAGCAGAGAAGTAGGAGGAAAACTAGGAGAGTATGCTATCCTGGCAGCTAAGCAAGTATCTCGAGGAGAGAGTGATCAATTTTATCTCAGGTTGTGCTGCTGATAGGTGACGCAAGGTAAGAACTAAAGATGGTTTAACAACGCGAAGGTCGGCTTAGTGATGTGGAGGTCACTGGGGACTTTGAAAAAAAGCAGTTTCAGTGGAAAAGCTTGATTGAAGTGAGTTCAAGAGAGAATTGGAGTAATAAATTGGAGAGAGTGTGTATATATAAAACTACTGTGGGTTTTGCTGAAAAAGAAAAGAAATAACCAAGACAGTAGCTTGAATTGAAAGCATGATAAGACAGAGAGAGAGAGAACAATAGCACGTGTGTGTGCTGCTGGGAATGATTCAGATAAAAGAGGAGAAAAGTTGATGAAGAGACAGAGGGAAGGGAAAAAACTTTAAGTGAGGTTCTTAAGTAGGTGAGAGGGTACAAGTGTTTGGGCAGTATACCAGTCATGGCTTTTACTATAAAATAAAAAACCTACTCTAGTAGGATGGAAGGGATTTTCAAAGACATAAGGACACTCACAGAATTTCTAGGCTGGACAACAGAAATAACATCCAAATTATATTGCAGGACAGCCCCATTAGAAACCTCACTGTTGCACTGTTGCTGCACTGACTGCTGTATCAGGCCCGGGATCTGATGGATGGACCATTGGCCTCTCTGATGCACACTAAGCTGTCTACTTCTGCTTGTCAGAGGGGAAGCTGTGCAATGTCTACTTCACTGTGCCTCTCCTTGCCCAAGAATGGTCTGATAGGGTGAGCTTATGTCATGCAGGTACAAATAGCTGGAAGGAACATGAGAATGACATGTATATGACATTTACTTTAGAGAGGTGTGGACTTACATGGAAGAAATTATCCAAACATAGGAAGGATGCTCAAATATATTGAGTGGTCAAAAATGCATGAAAAATGTCTGCTACAGTGTGGCACTGATATTTCAAGGCTTAAAAATGTCCTGAATTTTTAGCAAAGCATAAAGATGTCAAAATGTGTTCTTGCAAACATACAGATTCATAAAAATAGATTGGTCATTGCTAGAGATTTTCATTTTGTGAAGTCAATGATTTGTCTCTCCTTTCCCTCACTTTGCATATATCCATATGTCAATATCAATCTCTATCACTCTATATACATATATGTATATATGCACAAGTACAAATACATACACACACATTTTTTCTGAAATTCACTGGCATAAAATGGAATCTGCGCTTAAACATGGATGAATAGCAAAGACCTTAGTAAATTTTATACTGTTCTTCTACATCAACTGACGTAAGCAATTTCATTTGATTTAAAGTAAACACAACAGGTTAAACCCATTTTCGGATGCAATGTTTCTGCTTGTTTGCTGACTTTATCTTTGAATGATAATTTCTATTTCTAGAGCAATTGGAAAAATCTGTAGTCATAGTAGATGATTTGCACAAACTAATATATATTAAAAGAAGATTCTTTTTAAACCAACATGTAATCTGAGCAACACCAAATAGCTGATTATTTCACTCAGCAATTGCGCAACGTGAAATCCTTATTTAAACTTTATCTATTTCTATTTAAAGTCTCCATACCAGCAACTGAATTAATATATTTGCATAATAGAATGTCTTTCTTTGGAATAATAAAACCTTATGTTTTATGTATTCAAAACTTTTAAGAAGTCATCTCTTGCTTTTTCCTTCTACCTAAAATAAAACTCTAATTAGAATCAAAGTACGCTTTTTGATAGAATATTTAGCATTACTTGAGCAGTGGATTTATCACATTCTCAAATAAAATATTGAAGAGTCAATATATCATTCTGGGTTCTAACTTAAAAGTTAATGAATTTTCTTCTGTAGATAAATTCACTCTACAGCTTCAGTTAACTCACATACATCTATCCAGAAGCAATCAGACATTGTAGGATCAAAGAAGTGAAGTTCTGTAAACACCCAGACTTCATTCCATGTATACACTTCAGTGAGTGACTTAAGCAGGGTTTAGCTATTTGGATAGCCATTCTCTACTGAGGGAAGCTCTGTGCTCAAAGACAAACCGACGTCTATCCTCCCCGATGACTCCCAGAGACTAGAGATTATATATTAGCTATAGTTATACCCCAAAGCAGATTGTTACTCCAAAAATTAACTACAGGAGGTGTAAGCCAAATCTTACCAGAATAAGCAACCAAGGTGAAAACTGGACTAGGCTGGACAAATAAATATCAAAATATGTCAGCTGGAGAGGAATAGAAATTAGGAAAAGGCTAGGAGGGCCAACATCCATTCAGAACTCTAAAAATTCCAAAATCTACAAAACTTTGAAAGTCTGTTTGCCACATCTCTATCTTTCATCCAAGTGATATGAAGACCTTTACTATATGAAAATGTTCCCAGTTCCAGCTTACATACACAAACACGCACACACGCTTCACTCCATGAAATTTAGCCATTTATATATATTAAACAAACGCCCTCCAAGAGATTTAAAAGACTTAGGCAACCATGGTTGGCTATCATGGCTTAAGTAGTAAATTATTTTTATCGGTTTGCTTTTGTTTGTTCATTTTTCCCATATTTATTTATAATGAAGTTCAAGTAACTGTTAGGAACTTTGAAGAATTTTAGGAATGGCCAGAAGAAAAAACTAAGGACTTTTAGACTCAGAAGACTCTAGGTATGAATCATGACTCCACCGTCATTAATTAATCATGGCCTAATCTCTGTGTCTGAAATTCTGTGTCTGAAACATCACAGATAATAATGCCTCACGTAGAGAGTGGGCAGAAGATGAAATTGGGTCATGTATGTTAGTAAGGTAACTGGCATATCATAGGTGCCAAATTAAAAGTTAATTGTTTTTCATTCAACCTGCCCTCTGGAAATGGAAACTTGGAGGAGGGTATAGGACATGTAAAGAAAACATTCAATTACAGTATGACAATTTCTAGTAGACAACTGTGATGTGGAGATTAAAGAGGTGCACAAAAGGTAGAATGGCCAATTCTCTTCAGGGACAGCTTCTTGATTTGTTTTTTGAAATACAAACATGTTCATCAGGAGGACAATATTTAGTTGAGATCTTTCATACCTTAGAAATGGTAACATGTTTGTTTCAATGAGAGCTCTAAAATGGAGAAGGGAAAGATAGTGACACAAACATTTTTTTAAGTGCCCTGGAGGTTGGGTGGAGTTGAGGGAGGCATTCTATAAGCAGATATCAAGACTGAGAACACCTTAATTTATTCATTCAATACTTATTGGGCATCTCTCATGGCCAAGCATGTGCTAGGAATCCATTATTGAATGTAGAACACATTAATTATTTAGGAGCTAGATGCTGGGGTTCCAGGGGAGCAGAGACCATTAAGAACCCTGATTTTATTAGAACAAATTCTGTCTAATGGCCAAGCATCTGCCCTTAAAAGGTTGGAATCTTTCAGGTCAGCATTATTTATGCATATGACTTATATACACACTAATATACCCATCCCATCCCACGTATGAACACACTTTTTTTTTTTTGACACCAGCTTTCGACCTGTCACTGAGGCTGGAGTGCAGTGGCATGATAATACCTAACTACAGACTCAAATTCCTGAGCTCAAGTCATCCTCTTGCCTCAGCCTCCCAAGTAGCTGAGACCACAGGTACACACCACCATGCCTGGCTAATTTTTTATTTTATTTTTTGTAGAGATGGGGGTCCCACTGTGATACCCAGGCTGGTCTTGAACTCCTGAGCTCAAGTGATCCTCCTGCCTGAGTCTACAAAAATACTGGGATTACAAGTGTGGACCAACATGCCTAGCACACTTTTTTTTTTTTTTTTTTTACAACCAGAAAGGAGATCAAGGTATCAAGTATAGGCTGGGTGCCCAGTGGTTCATGCCTATAATCCCAGTACTTTGGGAAGCTGAAGTGGAAGAATAGCTTGAACACAGGAGTTCAAAACCAGCCTAGGCAACATAGTGAGACCCAATTCCTACAAAAAATAAACAAAATTAACTGAGCATGGTGGTGTGTGCCTGTACACCCAGCTACTTAGGAGGCTGAGGTGGGAGGACCCCTTGAGCCCAGGAGGCTTCAGTGAGCCATGATCACACCACTACACTCCAGACTGGGTGACAGAGTGAGACCCTGTCTGAAAAAAAATAGGTATTAAGTATAGAGTTTTCATTGCTTCATCCTGTACTCAGGTCTAAGAACAGAACCTCAGGAGGTACCAACAGTTAAGAGTACTAGTAGCCCTTGAACAACGTGGGTTTAAACTTCACGGGTCCACTTATATGCATTTTTTTCTGCCTCCCCTGAGAGAGGAAGACCAATCCCTTCTCTTCCTCCTCCTCCTCAGCCTACTCAACATGAAGGTGCTGAGAAACAAGATCTTCATGATAATCCAATTCCACTTAATGGGTAGTAAATATATTTTCTTTTTCTTATGATTTTCTTAATAACATTTTCTTTTCTTTAGTTTATTGAACGAATACAGTATAGAATACATATAACATACAAAATGTTATCACCAATTGTTATTTATTAGTAAGGCTTCTGGTCAACAGTAGGTTATTGGTAGTTACAGTTTTACCTTTTCAAGTCAAAAGTTATGTGTAGATTTTCAACTGTGTAGACCGTTGGTGTCCCTAACTCACATGTTGTTCAAGGGTAGACTATGCGTGCGTGTGTGTGTGTGTGTCTATATATAGACACACACACATATATAATGTGTGCATATATGTATATTAAATATGACATATATAATATACACAAATATATAGTTATTGCTACCATTGTAGGGTGAGAAAAGGAACAGTGAAGGAATTAACAGTGAAGGAATTAAAAATTCTAAAACAGAAAAAAATACTACTGAGAGTGCCAGTCCACGATGAGATATAAAGCAAGTGCCACAAATGCTAAAAGTAAATCAAAACACTAATTTCTTTATTTCTATATCAAGAAAGTGTTGTTACTACGAATGCCAGGAAAGAAGAAAGGAAGGGAAGAAGGGAGGGAGGGAGGGAGGGAGGGAGGGAAGGTAGGAAGGAAGGAAGGAAGGAAGGAAGGAAGGAAGGAAGGAAGGAAGGAAGGAAAAAAAAAACAAAAGAGCTGAACTAAACAAAGTTCACTAACATTTTGGCACTAGCTCACTGTCTTATCATGAACTGATAGTAAGAAGTTTGCAGACCAGCCATCAATGCACTAACCCCATTTTGAGTAACATAGCATTGGAGAATAAGAGAAGAGGAAGTTTTAAGGAGAGATGGATGGTTAGCCTTGTAAAATACTGCGTATTTCAGGCAAGATGTGGACTAAGGAAATGTCATCTTAGATGGTAGATGAAGCCTGGAAACTTTTGAAATAACAGTTTGGGGAGAGAAGTAATGTAACAGGTTGGTTACTGAAAAGAATAAAAACTTGTGTGACATTCAGCTCTATGTCTTCAGCTTCTTGCCATGATGCCTCGTGGCTGATAAACATTAATTATTCAGCAAGTATTTGTTGAGTGTAGTAGTAAAGAAATTAGTAGGTAGAAAATGGAGACAATAGCAACATATAAGTCACAATTTTGAGGAACATGACTGAGAACAGGAGGAGGCAATACTCCAAGTTTAGAATGATTTAAGTCCTCTTGATGCAAGCATTTTTAAGCACGGTGGGAACAGAGGAAGTGACCAAATATAAAATCTGAAGCTGAAAATGGAGTGGGGATATGAAGATGAAATGCGTGGAGGGATGAAGTGAAAGAGTTGGAAGAATGAAAGGAGATAATTGAGTCTGTTATTATTCTGCGTTTGTTATTTGCTAAGCTACCCAAAAAATGTTTAAGAAAATTGGCCAACCGTGATTCTACATTCCCCAAATACTATATCTTAGAAATATGACAATAGACTAATTATAATCATTATAACTATACTGGTCAGAGGAAAATTCATGACACCACCACCCCCACCATCCCTGCACACCTGCACACACCTGCACATAAACCCGTACTGGTGAGCTAGCGTTGGTAATGGTCCAATAGGATGTGTTACAAAATACAACTTCAACCATGCAAGGCAAACAGGGCAGATTTTGAGCCACAAAGAGCTTGCTTATTCAACACAGAGTGAATATACAGGTAAATAGCTGAAATGCCTTATTTGCATCTGAGTAACTAATGTGTCCTGCATTTAAGAATAGACCCCAGAACTGATTATAGGTAAATTTCCAGCTTACCGTTTTGACTTAAGTCAGAAAGCCCCCAAATCTTGGTCTTGAAATCACATCTGAGTGAGGAATAAAATCTAACAGTTTAAGGACACAAAATAACATGATTCTGGATCACAGCCTGCACCAAGAACTCACTTTACTAGCGATCAGATTTTATCATCTCTTTATGTATCTCACAATGAGAAAATGGCAGTGTTATTTGCAGTAGTAGCATCTTCTCCCCTGTAATGGCATTCATGTAGAAGTACTATAGGACTATAGGGTACATAAATGAATTTTTAAGTGGTAGAAAAATGTCTCCAATAACAGAAACCATCCTAAAATAAAGATTAATGACTTAGCAAAAGAAGGTCAAGAGCTGCTTTAGAAAAAGTTGGTCTCATATTGTTAGACAGGAGTTTCCAGTCTTTTTTTAGCATATGCATAAGCTAAAAGAACTTTGACATTCATATATATGTGTGTGTGTATATAGATACATATATATCTGTATATCTATATATGTATATATACATATGTGTGCATGTATGTGTGTGTGTATATATATATAATATCAGACTGATCCTAATTAGCATTGCTTCCAGAGATTAATAAAAAAGTATGAAAATAACATAGTTTAGCAATTCCATGGTCACCTCTGAATGCTTTGGGATTATTTATTTATACGTCATTTATACCTACCTGAAATCCTTCTTGAAGATAGCATATTCCTTTTTTTCTTAAACCCCCTATTTTGTTCTCTGAAGATCTTGAAATGTCTGGATTTTTCATTATGAGTTAGTATTATTGTAGTTATGGAGTCTCTTCAACAACCTAACTTCATGTTATTGTTACAGACAGCAAAGAAGCTTGTAACATAATGCTGTGAGTAGAATTTACATGATTTTCCTTGCCTTTAATCTACATTAATTATTCAAGAATATGTATGTTAACTAAATTGATTGATTAAGGAGTATATTTTGAAAGGTTCTGTATTAGTCCTGTTTTCATGCTGCTGATAAAGACATACCACAGACTGGGTAATTTATCAGGAAAAAGGGTTTATAGGACTCAAAGTTCCACGTGGCTGGGGAAGCTGAAGTCTCACAATCATGGCAGAAGGCAACGAGGAGCAGCTCACATCTTACGTGGATGACAGCAGGCAAAGAGAGAGCTTGTGCAGGGAAATTCCGCCATATAAAGTCATCAGATCTCGTGAGACTTATTCAATATCATGGGAACAGCACGAGAAAGACCTGCCCCCATAATTTAATCATCTCCCACCAGGTCCCTCCCACAACATATGGGAATTCAAGATGAGATTTGGGTGGGGACACAGCCAAACCATATCAGGTGTCTTTTAAAATCAGATTAACACAGTCATTGAAGTAGCAAGTGTTCTTTTCTCCCTCTCTCCCTCTTCCTTTTTCTTTTCCTTTTATTTCCTTCCTTCCTTCCTTCCTTCCTTCCTTTCTCTCTTTCTCTCTCTCTCTCTCTGTCTCTCTCTCTCGCTCTTTCTTTTTCTTTACTTCCTGTTTATTGTATTCAGAAAGTAGCAGCCTGGGGAAGTACCAGTGGTGAGGCAAAAGACAGTCATAGAAGACATTGAATGCATCACATAGTTTTCAGCTTAGAAAAGCTATATTAAACAACTTTATGAAAGGAAAACTCATTTGCCAAAAATCAAGAAAATTTCATGGCTTTTTTTCTGTGTTCTGCCATTTGACTAGAAATGAGAGCAAGGAAAATATTCTTGCCTGTACTGGAAAACTTACAATCAAAGATAGTAACAGTCTAGTCTTGCATTGACATTTTGAGTAAGGGTTACAGAATAGGTAACACTTCTGATCACAGAGCTTTCCCAAGAAGAGTACTGTGGGAAAGAGAAAACAGCCAAAATGTTCATGTGGCTCTTAAATATTAATTAGAATTTTGATATTACTGAGACATGGTAATGTTTTGCAAATGAAAGGGGTAGACACAAGAAATATTAAGTAATTTGCTTCAAGTCTCAATACTATTTTATCACCAGAACTAGAAGTACAATCTTTTCACTCATTAACTTAAAAATTATCTTTTGTGAAATTTGCATTTTATTATTTTCAGAATCATTGTGAGTTCCTTTATCCTTTGAATTTTTCATTCTTGATTTTTAAATGCATACTTCATTGAGCAGAATAGTTTCTAATACTAGTCTTGAGAATCATATTTAGGGGGTATATTTTCTGAACATTTACATAATTTTCTTGTACCTTTTACTTGAATAGCTCTGTACATATTTCTTTCAGCTTCTGTCTTTCAAAATTCTGTAGATACCACTTCATAAATTTATGACTTTTAATCATTCTGAATGTGATTCCTCTGTAGGCATTTTGTATTTACTAACTGAATGCTTGAAAGATTAATTTTTTTCTTTTTCCTTAAAATTCAAAAATGTATCTAGGTCATAGATTGGCATTGTCACCATTGTGTTAATTTTTTGTAGTGAGTTTTTAAATATTCTCATGAAAGCTTTTCATCAGCCCTGAAAAAAATAAGTGTTTTTGAGTGCATTTTTGAATGATACTTCTCATCCAATTGTCCTAGTGATGTATCGTTACATTTCCTCTTATTTATTCACTGTTTTTATTTACATTCTAGAGGAGTTTTCTTCTAAGTTTTTCTTTACTTCTTTGATACCTTTTCCTTTCCTCTTATGTCTTTTATGTTTGTGGATGGATAAACTTTATAAATCTGTTACTCTATACTAATCTCCATTTCAATCTTTTTAAAAAATTCTTCCCAGATAGATTGTCTAATTTCAGCTTCTTGTTATCTCCTTATAATTTCTTGAATTTATTGTGATAACATTCAATTGCATCAATATTCAGTAAGTCAAGCATATATCTTCTCTAATTTTCATCAGTTTCTTTTAGCCAATGAATCTCAGCTGCATGCTCTTCAGAGAGACATTCTTTGGTGGAAATATCTGGACAATATTTGTTATCTATTTTTTTTACTATCATTTCAAAGGCCTAGCATAGGTCTATTTTCCATGTACATATGGCATGAGGCCTGTTCAGCTTTCGGCAATGTGCCAGCTGGTGGAGTACCTTTAGCTCTTCTTATTGTGTGTGTGAACATGGGAAGCTTCGCCTCCTCAGCTCCATCTCCCAAGGTAAGACTATTTATGCCTAATAGTCTTCCATTCATGTTAGCTGCCTGGTGCATCTTCTCTGGGTTGGATTTTTCAGTTCTCTGACTTATCTTTGACAGATAGATATAGGTGTTCGCCATCCAGTGTAAATTGTTCCTGGCGTTCTTATCACCAGCTTTAATTATAATGCTTTCCTTAGCCCCTAAGCATCATAGGATAGGGTGCCTACGTTTATCCCTATCTACTTTTTAACCCATGCTGCCTGTTGACAGCTGGAATTAAAAAATCAAAAAATCAGTCATTTACATTAGTATGATGTCTGTATATCTATTTTATATTTGGCTTATATGACAATGCCGTGCTAGTTATCTTGTTGCTCACATTGTCCTAACTTTGTCCATTGGGAGTTCTTTTAATTATTTGATTTTTAATTTTTGTGGGTACACAGTACATATATATATTTATGGAGTATATGAAATATTTGAGTATTCATCTCAAGCATTTACCTTTTGTGTTACAAACAATCCAATTATACTCTTTAGTTATCTTTTAAAGCACCATTAAATTATTATTGACTATAATCCTCTCATTGTGCTATGAAATACTAGGTCTCCTTCATTCTTTCTGTTGTTTGTTTGTTTTTCTTTTTTCCGATTAACAATCCCCACCTCCCTCTTCACTGCCCCCGGCAACTACACTTCCCAGCCTCTGGTAACCATCCTTCTGCTCTCTATCTCTATGAGGTCAATTGTTTTGATTTTTAGATTCAACAAATAAGTGAATGCACACTATGTTTGTCTTTCTGTGCCTGCTTATTTCACTGAAGTAATGACGCCCAGTTCCATCTATGTTGTTGCCTCCTGCATCCCTCTGATATACATACAGTCGTGTGTGTGTGTGTGTGTGTTTGTGTGTGTGTGTTTTCTTTCTGAGGACTTTCCTACTTTCTGGCACTACCAGTTTCCTGAGGTTTACCTTGTGTATTTTCTTCCGTAACCCTAGAATCAGCCATTTTTCCAAGAAGCTGTGGTTCCTTTTATTAGAGAAAAATATTTAAGATGTAAAATATGAATGCTGGGAATATCTTTCATTAAAAAAATCATTCTAATGAACTGAACTGATGCTTACTTTCAGAATATCTGAAATTCAAGTTGATTCATGCTAATAATTTGTTTTGCTTTCCTGCTAAACTAATTAATACTGTGAATTCACAGAGCAAAAACAATGTGAGAGTTATGGCTTTTGGTTTAATGTTTTCCAGCAGAATTTAATATTTTAATATCCTGTCTAATTCAATTTTTAGCTTCTCCAATTGTGAGAAGTTATGTAAACAAAATCACAAATTTAAAATATTTACATAAACTGAAATTAAAGTCTACATTTTTACTTTAAAAACATAAATGAATGATGATGTATTTTTATTTATAAAATGTATATATCTAAAAACACTTTCTTTCTTTGTTTTTGAGGTCAGAAACAGAAGCTTTGCACTGTTAGGAGAAAAGCTTTTTTGTTTGCTTATCTTTTTGTGTTTTTTGTTTTCTTGTTGTGTTTTGTTTTTGGGCTTTTTGGCATTTACAGTCTCACAATTCTATCACAAAAATTAAAAAATAACATACAGCATTATTGGCATTTCTTATAAAACCTGTAACAAAAGATAATGTAATTAGGCAATAAACCATAGGCTCTAGAGAGGGGAATTAAAGTGGAATTAGTACAGAGAAAAAAATTACTTTCACATGAACTTTAAAAATATATGTGGAGTGAAATTCTAAGGAAAACCGTATTATTTGGAATTTAGATATATGAGTTCAATTCTGAATTCACAGGTGGTATAACCTGGGGCCAGTGACTTTCCAGATCTGACTTACAGTTTCTTATTGAAAACTGAAGAGAATGTCCTACTCAGCTTACCTGCCAGGATTCTTGTGAGATCAAATAACATAACTGACTCACATGAGGGCTATTTTTAAATCGCAAAATGTTATGCAAATGTAAATGTAAGACTTCTGTTAGGCTTAATGAATATGCATCATGACATTGTTAATAGGAACTGGAATTTTTAGACTGAAAGGAAAAATGTAGATAATGAAGTGATTTTAATGGTATGTCCATGAAACTTACAGCTCATTTTTTTAAATTCTAATGGCTAACACAGTACAGCATCAGTCCCAGTCAGTAAATGCTTGAATAAAAGCAAAAACATCAAAAATATTATTTTTAAAAATTTCTGTTCCTACTGCCAGTGGCCTCATTCAGCATGGCCTACTTTGATGGCCTTTGAGCCAAACAACTTCTCTTTGTATTCTAACCCATCCACCTCAGTAGTATTGTGTATTATCTTTCTAAAGCCCATTCATTGATCTGCAATACTCCATGTCTCCTCATTGCTCTAGAAAAATTCTAAATTTTTCAACATAATATTAAAACATCCAACTTACCTTTCCATGTCTATTTCTACTACTCCATCATACAAGTTATGTCTCAGCTAAAATTGGTTACTACTTTTTAAATGAACATATACTGCTTTTTTCTGCTTAAGAATGATAAGTAGTAGCTATTATGACAAAGCAGCAAGTGCGCATTTACCTCTTACAAAATAGTATTGCATTGGCAGCTCTACATAAAAGAAAATGAAAAAAGTTTGAGTACATATTTTCAAATTACTAACAATAGCATTCAGTAAATGAGAATTACCCAAGAAAAGACACTGGGCTATTATAGATAAATTACTGGTTTAGATTATTAGTTTATTGGGAATTTTAAAAATAAAGAATCCTGAGTATTGACAGGCAATCCTCGAGAGTAAACAGAGCTTGAGTTAGATCTTGATT
This sequence comes from Homo sapiens, assembly GCF_000001405.40. Taxonomy (NCBI): domain Eukaryota; kingdom Metazoa; phylum Chordata; class Mammalia; order Primates; family Hominidae; genus Homo; species Homo sapiens. Next base: position 86,673,158 of record NC_000014.9, read on the forward strand.
TATAACAGGGCATATCTGTGTATTGTCTGCATACAAGTGAACATTCTGATTCAGAACAAAAAAATGAAAAATATCTAATGGGCAAAATGATTGTGGTAATGAATGTCCCACAGTTTTTGATTTATTTATGAATTTAACAAATATTTACTGATCACCATGTACCAGGTACTTTTCAACCCACTAGGCATAAAGCAGAAAAGAAAACAAGCCCTTGCTCTCAAAGAGCTTCTGTTTTTGTGGCAGCAGGCTGATCAAAACAGAGAAACAAAAAGACTTAATAGATAGCAGACAATGCTAGGAAGAATAATAAAGCTGAGGATGGTGCTGGGAAGTGATGGAAGCAGGATGGTAGCTGTTTTATACAGGGAAGTCAGGGAAGGCCTCCCTGGTGAGTGCATGTCTGAGAGAGACCTGTGCACTTGGGGAGAGTGAGTCATGTGCCTACCTGGGAGAAGGCCAGTCTAGAGGATAGGAAATGCCAACACCCAGGAACAAGAGCATGCTTGAAATGTTCTGGAACAGTAACAGGGCCTTGCAGCTATACAGAGAGAGCATGTGAGGGAAAAGAGAGGTAGGAGGTGTGTTTAGAGAGGTAGCAGTGAATATGATCATGGAGGGCCTTTAGACCAGCAGATGGACTTTGGATGCTATTCTGGGAAAGACAGGATGTTGGAATTGGCTGTGAGCAGACAGGTAACATGATCTGACCTGGGTTTAAATTAATCACACTGACTGTTGCTGAGAATAGACTTTGGGAGGCTCAAGGAGGAAAGAACAGTGAGGAGGAAAGAGTAATAATAACAATCAGGTGAGAGAAGTCAGGGCTGGCTTAGGGCCGAAGCAGCAGTGATAGTGAGACTGGCCCTTTACTGATGCCCTGCTGCATTTGCCATAAAGCAAAACTTCACTTGGCCCAAAGGCTTTTGCTGTGTGATTCCGCCTGTGTCTCCAACCACATTTGGCTCCTCCTCTCTTGTTCCCGTTACTCTCCATGCTAATTTTTTCTGTGCAGTCTTTCAGCATAGGATCTTTGTAGGGGTTATTTTCTCTGGTATAAATATTCTTCCTGTCCTTATTCACCTAATTAAATCAGTGTCATCTTTTACATTTTAGTTTTCCATGGAAGCTCTCTCCAATTTACCCACTGTGTCGAATTCTCTGAATATGCTTCTCACATGTTGTATTTATACTTCAGAGCAGTATCCATAGTTGAAATTTTGCATGTATTTATAAGACTCTTTGCATATTATTAGTCTCTCCAGTCAGACTATGAGAGTGATGAGGGAAGGAACAAAAAAGTTTTCTCTGTTCACCATTAACTACCTCAATGCCTACTATAGTGCCTATATTTGTTGAGAAAGAAGGAATGAACATCCAGCAGGTAGTGGAACGGATCTCATGCATTCAGACTTGTATTTGGCAGGAGGATACATGGATTGGTGTGTCTTTGTATTGAAACTGAAGGGCTTTCATTTCTTCATCTATAAAATTCAGAATTTTGGAATTGCTGGGGTAATAGAGTGTTAGTTTTCCTCATCCTCTAAAATTTCAGCCAAGAGTAACATTACAGACAACACTAATGTCCCCTTTTGATTATGGTGTGATACTTATGTCATTACAATTACTTTTTGTTTTTAGATTAAGGAGAATGAGAAGTCTGAAAAATATAAGTATGCAACTGGGTGTGGTGGCTCATGCCTGTAATCCCAGCACTTTGGGAGGCCCAGCACTTGAGCCGAGGTTTTGAGCTCGGCCTGGGAAACGCGATGAAACATCATCTCTACTAAAAATACGAAAAATCAAACGGGCATGGTGGTATGTGCCTGTAGTCCCAGCTACCCTGAAGGCTAAGATGCAAGGATCACTTGAGCCTGGGAGTTCGGGGCTGCAGTGAGCCAAGATTGCACCACTGCACTCAAGACTGTGTGACAAAATGAGACCCTGTCTCAAAAACAAAACAGAATAAAATAAGTACGTACCATAGAAGTAGAATAGATTACCAATGAAAATGGGCACGAATGATGTAGAGCTAATTAAGATAAGAAAGCTTGAGAGGTGAGTTTCAGTGGCTCTGTGTAGGGGCAGAGGGGACTGGTGCCTCCATGTGGTGAAATAAGAGGTGTGTGCTCAGGAATCAGGATTCTGGGGCCTGAAAACAGTAGACAGAGCCTAGAGAATACTCATGAGTCAAACAGGTTTCTCAATTGTTATCCCAAATGAAAGACGAGACTAGCCCTTTATGGTTCATTTAGCACCCAGGAAAGTGGTCAGTTCAGAAGCTCAACACTGGCCTATTTCAAGAACCAAGGAAAATGTCCATCCAGTCACTGAGCACAAAGACATTAGCCCCAAAATATTTGAAGGAAAAAACCAGGACAGGAAAATATACACTGCTGATGTTTATCCAATTAATAAGCTTGAATCTGCTTGTTGTGTTTAGGTATGTTTGGGAAGAATGGTGATAACACTGAAAATCGGAGCAAATCAGGATTAATTCTGAACAAAATTTTCACAGGTGCCAGTGCAATGAGGGCAATAAGAAGAAAACTGCTTGAGATTACAGCTGCATTTCCTTTAGAAAATATAATTCTAAATCATTTAGAAAATATAATGTAATTATACTCTGACATATTAAATCATGTTATGGACTGACTTGTGCCCCCTCAAAATTTACTGGTTGAAGCCCTAACCCTCAATGGGACTGTATTTGGAGATAGAGCCTTTAAGGAAACAACTGAAGTTAAATGAGGCCATCTGGGTGAAGCCCTAATTCAATAGGACTGATGTCCTTATAAGAAGAGGAAGAGACACCAGGGATATATGCATACAGAAGAAAGACTATGTGAGGACAGGGTGAGGAGCCGCCCAGGAAAAAGGCCTCACTGGATGTTTCTGACACCTTGATCTTGGATTTCTAGCCTCCAGAACTGTGAGAAAATAAATTTTTGTTGTTTAAGCCACATTATTTTGTTATGGAAGCCCAATTTGACTAACACAGGTAAAAACAAAATGTTTCTTCTCTCATATGGATTTATGGGATTCCCATCTCTTCAATATCCATTTCTCTCAATACCACCAGAAGAACTCATGGGAAACATCTTTAATTCAACAATGTGTTCTCTCACTTTGAGAAATAATGAATGAAAATGTGTAAGGAAAGATAGTCCAGGAAATGGGAGCAAGATAATTAAGGATACAACCATGTGTCTCATGTGTCATGCCTGAGACATAAGCTGTGCATAGATTATGGGGATATAATATACGTGGCTGCTGTGTTAAAAATGTAATAGTTTTGTGAGCCGCACCAGAGGTTGGCGTGGGAATTGGAAAATATGAGTACTTCTGAATGGTAGCAAACAGTCTATTTAAATAAAAGCATACAAAACAAAACAAATAAACATTTATTGAGCTGATTGGATAACAGTTTTTATGAATGAGATCACGGTCTTATCTCGATGCTGTGGTCAGTAGCACCAGGTTACAAATAAGCCCTTCCACTCACTTTGTTTGAATTGGGATTTGTTTCCCAATTTGCTCCAACACCTGGGCTTCCTAACTAGTCACTGTTGGAAATTCTGCAGCATAACCCTAGAAACAACATTAGTGACATTATTTATATCCCAGAGAGAAAGAGTCTTTAAATAATGCACACACTCCTTTGACCTGCCCTCCATTTCCTTTTTTCTTTTTAAAACCATGAAATTATTTCAGCTCTACCAAATTTCCTGGGAAATGAAAAGTCAATGAAGTTTTTCATCTGACTGGATAACATTTTGAACCATTAGGCAACAAACTGAAGTTGGTTTCCAAGCATTTACTATTTCTTGTTGTCATTAATACTTTCCTATTGACAATAATAGCATTTGTCACATGAAACTTAATATTATTCAGTACAATAAGGCAGAATAAAGGAAGGAAATAAAGGGCTTCCTGTGTTTCTTTGTAACCCGTAATAAACCACATGGAACCTATATTATTGAATCTAGAAAGAGGTGTTTTCTTTGATTATATTCCTTGTATTATTTCAGAGCATCACTTGTCATGAGACTAAGATTTGGACACAGGACATTTTGGAATCTTAAAGGGCAGGAACTGATGAAGCAAAACCTATGAATTCAACTGGAGATTAACTAGTATAACAAACAGAAGATGAAAAAACAAAACAAACAAACAAAAAACACCTAGAAGGTAGTGGCCAAAGACACATGGATCAGATTAGCTTCAGTATATAAAGGGTCCATTATAACTGGGTAGTAGAATATGTAGAGCAGGGACTTCCTTTGAATTTAGTAACAATCATCTTCCATAAAATCCCTCAGATAACAGGTAGGTTGAAAACTCTAGAGAGGAGAGATCTCTAAAGTTCTAGAAAGTAGTTCAGGTTCTAGCAAAAAGGCAGGTTCCTCTTCCAGCATGGAACTAAGAGGGTATTCAGGAGACACAGGCAGAAACTTAGTAGGAAGCACTAGACAAATACAGCTGGACTGACAAGAGTCTAGCATCCTGGTAGACGCATAGACTCCCAGGTCCTAAATTTAAGTCCGCCAGACACATTTTCAATATCTTCTGATGGTAAGCTTCAGTGTCTCTAAAATGTTGACAACAATAAGAATCCCATTGAAAACCTGTTAATGTAAGAATTATCTTCCAGTAATTCTAGAATTAACCTGAGATTCTTCATTTCAAACAGGTTCCCAGGTGATGATGATGAGTCCACAGAATACACCTTGAGAAGCAAGGTTTTAGAGGTTATTCTGTTTTCAATCTTCTTACAAAACTTAAATTTATTGTATTTTTTTTTTTTTTACTAAATTGATCATGGGAAACATGTAAAGACTGCTCAAATGAAAATTTGCGCACCTCAGCTCGGGTGAATCAAATTCAGTAGGTGTGAAGTGGAGCCTAAGGATCTGGTTGGTTGCTGCTGAATTTTAAGTATTCCAAGGATTATGAAGTGCAGTTTAGCACTACTTTCCAGGGCACGAAATAAACCTGAGACAGCAGGTCGAGGATTTTCTTCTTATTATCTGCCAGCAGTCTCTGTGTATGGCTAGAGAATGAAGTGATTACAGTGTTCACTTTTTAAAATAATGTTATTTTGTAAAAAGTTTATTGCTCTACTCTCAGCAATCAATAGAACTACTAGACATAAAATCAGCAGAAAGTAGAACTGAAAAACACAATCAAGCAACAGATTCTCATTTACATATACAGAATATTCCACCCAACAATACAGATACTCAACTTACCATGATGGGGTCACGTTCCAATATCTTAAATTTATGATGAGTTTATCAAGACACAACCCCATCATAAGTTGAGGAGTGTACTGGATGCATATTGTTTTTCAATCATCTTAAAGTCAAAAAAATTATAACTCAAAACAGGTCAGGACTGTCTTGTGTGTGTGTGTGTGTGTCTGTGTGTGTGTATACACATACATATGTATCACTCTCCCCAACTCTTTCCCCTATCCACATATATGTATACATATATATAATATGTGTGTGTGTGTATATATATGTGTGTGTGTGAACACACACACACGCACACCAAAGGACAAAATTATAGCAAAAATTTAAAGATATAAATTGGGTTTATTTGTGATTCTAGAATCAGGCAACATTTTATTCCGTAAAAGAGAATAAATATTCCAATGAGCTGAGCAAGAGTTTGTTTTTATAGACAGAGAAGGGCTGAAGAAAGTAGAAATAAGGAACAAAAAGGGGATTGGTAACCTCAAAGTTGCGTTCTTTATTAAGTGGAAATAGGGAAACGGAACAATACAGAGATAGCTGATTGGTTAACACCAGGTTATTTCAGATTACCTTTTTCTTTGTTAGGATTAAACCAGAGAGGACTTAATTGAGATCCCAACTGAAACTGGCCTGTTTGGGAAATAAGACTCTTATCTCTCTCTTCTGATTTATCCAAAGGTCAGATAATAACTCAAATTCTGTTTGGAATCTTGGCATGAATGACGCCATAAATATTTTATATATAAATTATCATAAATTATGTTATGTTTTATAGAATATATAAAGTATTATTTTATATTTTATAAAATATATAGTAAAATAATTTACAAATTAAAATTTTTCAAAGGTTTATAAATTATTATTTTATAGTTGATATAATATATAATAAACTAAAAATAATATATAATAGTAAATATATATTAATGTATATAGTTTATATAAATTATAATATATATTTATAATATAATACATAATATATAATTTTATATAACAATGTATACATTTTAATAATTTCTATCTAATAATATACATATATAGTGCCTATGAGAAAATTCACCAAGGTAGCTGTATTAGTCTGTTCTCACGCTGCTAATGAAGACATACCTAAGACTGGGTAATTTATAAAGGAAAAACGTTTAATTCACTCACAATTCAGCATGGCTGGGGAGGCCTCAGGAAACAACAATCATGGCGGAAGAAGGACAAACACATCCTTCTTCACATAATGGCTGCAAGAAGAAGTGCCAAACGAAGGGAGGAAAAGCCACTTATAAAACCAACGGATCTCGTGAGAACTCACTCACTATCAGGAGAACAGCATGAGCATGAGAGTAACCACGCCCATGATTTAATTACCTCCCACCTGGTCCTCTCACAACACGTGGTGATTATGGGAACTACAATACAAGATAAAATTCGGGTGGGGACACAGCAAAACCATATCAGTAGCTCATATAATGGGCCATAAAAGAAACCTCAATCAATTTTGTAAAATTGAAATCATAGATAGTATTTTGTCTGACTCTAATACAATAGAACTAGAGACCAATATTAGAAAGACAACAGAACTATCTCTGGAAATTTGAAAATTACACAGTATACTTCTAAATTATTTATAAGTCAATAGTAAATCTAAAGAAAGTTTAAAAAATATGTTTTACTAAGTGAAAATGTAATATAGATAAATAAGTAGAAACAGCTAAAGCACTGTTGAGATAGAAATTTATGATACTAAATGCTGACATTAGGAAAAAGGAAATGTTTTGAATCAATTATTGAGTTTGTATCTCAAATAGCAAAATATATCCAACACAAGCAGAAGAAAGGACATTGTAGAGAAACACAGAATTCAATGAAACTGAAGATAGAAAAACAATAGAGAAAAAGCAATTGAGAAAAATCAATGTAGCAAAAAACTCATTCTGCATAATCAACAAAATTGATCAAAACCCCAGCAAGGCTGACAAAGATAAAAAGATGAAAAAGTCACCAATATCAGAAATGAAACAAGGGATATTACTAATAACCCTGAAGCCATTACAAGATAATAAGGGAATACAATAAGAAACTCTAGGCTCATAAATTTGATAATTTGGAAGAAATGGATCAATTCCTGAAAAACCACAAACTAACAATATTCAAACAAAATGAAAGAAACAAGCTGAATACTCCTATAATTACTAAATAAATTAAATTTATAAATTAAAATCTCCTGAAAATAAATTCCAGGCCCAGAGTGTTTTATTGAGGGAAACTATCAAATAATTAAAGAAGAACTATGACCAACTTTACACAATCTTTTCCATAAAACAGAACAGGAAGAAACACTTACCAACTCATTTCAAATAAAAGAAGCAAAATAAAAAAGTAAAAAAGGGAAAAAGAAGATAGAAAAAGTGAAAAAGTACAGACAAATATATTTCATTAACTTGGACATAATAATCCTCATCAAAATATTGGTGATTAAATCCAGAAATGAATAAAAATAACCATTCACAAAAACCAAGTGGAATTTGTTCCAGGTATACAATGTTTCAATATTCTAAAATCAACTAGTACAGTCTACCATATTAGCAGGTTAAAGATGAAAAATTGTATGATTTTATCAAATACTACAGAAAAAAGCATGTTAAAAAATACAATATGTATCTGATATGGTTTCGCTGTGTCCCCACACAAATCTCATCTTCAACTGTAGTTCCCGTAATTTCTAAGTGTCCTACCAGTGGGAGGTAATTGAATCCTCAGAGTGGATGTTTCCCATGCTGTTCTTGTGGTAGTGAATAAGTCTCATGAGATCTGATGGTTTTATAAAGGGCAGTTCCCCTGCAGATGCTCCCTTCCTGCTGCCATGTAAGATGTGTCTTGCTTCCCCTTTGCCTTCCACCATGATTGTGAGGCCTCCCCAGCCATGTGGAACTGTGAGCCCATTAAACCTCTGTCTTGTATAAGTTATCCCATCTTGGGTATGTCTTTATAAGAAGCATGAGAACAGACTAATACAGTATCAATTATAAAACTCTCAGAAAACTAAAAATTGATGACAACTTTCTCAACTATATAAACAGCATCTACAAAAGAAAACCTATAGATTATGTTATACTTAACAGTGAATAACTGAATGTTTATGATATAACATTGGAAATAAGGGAAGGGTATTAGTTTTCTACCACTGCTAAAGTGAAGTGCCACAGATTTTGTGGCTTAGAACAATTTATATTTATTATCTTACTGTTTTGGTGTTCCAAAGTATGACATCAGTTTCGCTGGGCTAAAATCAAGGGGTTAGCAGCAGTAACTCATTCTGCAAACTCCAGAAAACAATCTGTTCCATGCTTCTTCCAACTTCTAGAGGTCACAGTAATCTCTTTTCCTACATCTTCATAGCCAGCAATGCTTAGCTGAGTCTTTCTCACACTGGATCACCCTGACATTCCTTTTCTATAGTAAAATCTCTTTCTGTCTCTCTGTTATAAAGACATTTATGATTACCTTAGGCATGCAGAATAATCTAGAATAATCTCCCCATCTCAACATCCTCAAATTAATCACATGTGAAAACATCTTTGTACCATGTAAGGTGACATATTCACAGGTTCCAGGGGTTAGATATTGTTATCTTCAGGAGGGTGGGAGGGAGCATTATTCAGCCTACTACAGCAAAGATATGGTAGGCTCTTATGACTCTTATTTAATACAATACAGAAGTGTTCAGACAAATATGGTAAGAAAATGAATTAAACTATACATAGTGGAAAGGAGCAAATAAAACTGTTTCTTTGTGGAGCTGACATGATTGTTCATGTAGAACGATTCAGGAAATCAAAAAAAGTTTTCTAAAATTAATAATGAGTTCAGCAAGATCACAGATGCAAGATCAACAAACAAAAATTAATTGCATTTTTATATATGAACAGGTGGGGGCTGAAATTAAAAATACAATATCATTTACAATCACTGCAAAGCAAATGAATTCCTTAAGTGTCAAGTTAACACATGTGCAGAATCCAGATGCTGAAAATTACAAAATACGGATGAATTGAAGCAAAGGAGATCCACACAAATAGAAAGACATTGTATGTTCATGAATTGAAAGACTTATAGTAAAGATATTGATTATTCCCATATTCATCTATAGTCTTAATGCAATTTCTATATAATTCTGGCAAAGATTTTAAAGATATAGACAAATTCATTTTAAATTTGTATGGAAAGGCACATACTCTCAAACAGCTAAAATGATCTTGAAAAAATAAAAGAACGAGAATCACTATCTGATTTGAGAGATTATGGTACCTAAGATACTGTGGTATTGGTAGAAGAGAAGAAACATAACCCAGTGGAACAGAATATAGAACACAGAAAAAGACCCAAGTAAATATTCAGAACATTTTTTTTGGACAGTGATACAAAAGTAATCCGATGGGGAGAAGAATAGCCTTTCAACAAATAGTACTGGAGAAATTAGATATCCATAGGAAAAAAAAAGAGAGAGAGAGAGTGAGAGAGAGAGAGACAAAGAACTCTGACCTAAATCTGTACAAAATCTATATAAAAATTATCTCAAAAGATCTCACAATCTTTAATATAAAATATAAAACTATAAAACTTGATATGGTTTGGCTTTGTCCCTTGGCTGTGTCCCCACCCAAATCTCATCTTGAATTGTAACTGCCACAATTCCTACATGTCATGGGAGGAACCTGGTGGGAGGTAATTGAATCATGAGATCTGATGGTTTTAAAAATGGGCGTTTCCCTGCACAAGCTCTCATCTCTTTTCTCCTTCCATATGAGACATGCTTTTCACTTTCCATCATGATTGTGAGGCTTTTCCAGCCACATGGAACTGTAGATCCATTAAACTGATTTTTATTTGTAAATTGCCCAGTCTCTGGTATGTCTTTTTCAGCAGCGTGAAAACTAATACAGAACTTTTATTTAGAAAACATATGAGAAAATTTTTGTGAGTTAGGCAGAGTTCTAAAACTTGACACCAAAGCAAAAATAACTTAAAAATTAATAAAGTTTACCTAATCAAAGTTAAAAATTTCTGATTGGTGAACAATCCTGTTGTAAAAAGGATGGAAAACAAAACTTCAAACTGAGAGAAAGTATTTGCAAAATACAAAACTGCCAAAAGACTAATATCTAGTACATATAAAAACCTTTTAAAACTTCACAGTTAAAAAAAACAAACCAATTAGAAAATTGGCAAAATATGTAAACATGTGTCACCAAAAACAATACACAGATGGCAAGTAAGCACATAAAAAGGTGCTTCAACATGACTAACAGTCAGAGAAATGCAAATTAAAACCACATGATATATTACTACCCATCTGTCAGAATGGCTTTTTAAAAATAGGGACAACAATAAATGCTGTTGAGGAACTGGATCTCACACACTGCTGAAGGATATGGAAAATGGTATAGCCACTCTGGAACTCCAAACATGCAACTATCTTACAACCCAGCAATTGCCCTTGCGGGCATTCATAATAATGTATGTGAGAGGTCAAGCATACCATGGAATATGAGTTAACAATAAAGAAGAATGAACTATTGATATATGCAACATCTTGGATGTATCTCCAGGAAAATACAAGTGAAAAAGAAAGCCAATCCCAAAAGATTCCACAATAAATAGTATCTTGAGATAAATAAATTATAGAAATGGAGAATGGTGCCCTTAGGGATGAAAAATTAAAGATGGGTGTGGCTTTTAAAGGGCAACAGGAGGGATCCTTATGATGATGAAATTGTTCTGTATTTTTATGATATCAGTGTTTGGAATTTTTACTGTATCATTTGTATCTTGATTGTGATATTATACTACAGTTATACCAGATGTTTCTATTGGGGAACTGGGCAAGTGGTACACAGGACCTCTGTATTATTTCTAATAAGTACATGTGAATCTATAAATTTATTTTTTAATGCATAGTTAAAATATTTATTGTTATATATTTGTGTTTAATCCTGTATTTTCTCTCCATGTACTTTTTTTCTTTTTTAAGAATTCAGATGTATATAATCAGTGTGGTAGTTAAGAGTATTAGCAACAAAGCAACAATCATGTTTATGTTTTGTATTTCCTTAGATTTATTTCTGATTGTGTTGCTAATTTCAATGGGACTTTTCCCATTAAATTTATTAATTGGTTAATGTTACTGTATAACATTACAATTGGATCATTCCTTCCCTCCCTTCCTGTCTCTTTTCCTATCTCTTTCTCTCTTCTTCTTTTTATTCTTCCTTTCATTCCTTATTAACTGCATAAACAAAGCTGTGAGTTAATGCTATCCTTAGTTCAGGACACTTTAATAATTTTGTTCCATACAAGGCATCATCTTTTTTTATTTACATGCATATTTATTTATTCTCTTTCATGAAAATCTCTCATTTCTCTGCCTCTATATATAGGAAACCACTTTAATAAGTTTAAAGTAGACTTTGATAGTTATTTTATTACAAGATAAATTTCCTTCAATATGTGTGTGTGTGTGTGTGTGTGTGTGTGTATTTTTAATTTACAGAAATGTTATTAACTCATTGATTGTATTATTCTATCTTCTCTTTTCCCCAAGTACTTGTTTTGAAAGATCTATTCATGTTTCTATGTATTTAATTGCTCAACTACTTTTAATTGCTGTGACATAATCAGTGGTGTGCATCCACATTTTAATAATCAACTAATAGTCACGGGAACCCAGATTGCCTCCAACTCCCCAGCACTACATAAAATGCAACAATGGGCACTCTCATAAATGTCTTCTTATGGACTAGGTAATAATTTCCTTGGGATGTATACCTAGGAACAGAATGGCCAGTTAGTAGGATATGTGCACACTAATGTAACTAAGTACTGACAGATTGTTCACGGGAATAACTCCTCTAGTTCACATCTTATCCATACTTGGGTGAAGTTCTTACCTCTTTGCTAAGTATAAAATCAGACTTATTGATGTTTTAATATGCATTTTTCTGATTACCAATGATTTTTTGTTTAATTTTAATTTTTAGAAACAGAGTATCACTCTGTTACCCAGGCTGGAGTCCAGGGGCACAATCATAGCTCACTGCTGCCTGGAACTCCTAGGCACAAGTGACCCTCCCACCTCTTCCTCCTGAGTAGCTGGCATTATAAGCTCCAGCCACTGCACCCTGCTAATTTTAAACTTTTGGTCATTCTCTTGTTAACTTATTGGGAGAGGGTTTCCTGTATGTAAATATCCTTTTCATACCCTTGGCACATTTTTCCATTATTAATGTCTTTTTCTTGTTGATTTCATAAGTTCCTTATATCTTTGAATCTTTTTAAAGTTTAGACATTGCAAATAGTTTTTTTAATAAATTTTGTCTACTATTAATTTTTCCATAGTATTTTTTGATTGATAGGAGTTCTTATTTTGATGAGTCAAAATTATCGGTTTATTTCTTTATGGCCTGTGCTTTTAGAAGTTGATTAAAATCATTTCTCATCCCTGAAACAGAAAGATATTCTCATAATAGCATTAAAATTACACATATATTTAAACCACTTGAGTTCATCATTGTCCATAATCCAGTGTTTGTCCATATAGTAAACCAATGTTTTCATCATTTCCTGATTTATTTTTGGTGCCCCTACTTTTATATATTAATCTAAGTTCCACTGGTTCAACTATCTGTTCTTCTACCAACTCCACCTTGTTTTCATCCCCAAGCCTTTGTAATGTGTACTATACAGGGAAAGGCAACTTCCTCTTTTTATTCTTTTTTTTTAAATTGAACTTATTAATTATTCATGGTCCTTGATTTCTCCTCATAAATATGTAAGTAAACTTATCGAGGAGTTCTGAAAACATATCCAAAGGGAATATTCATTGAATTTTCAATTAATTTATACATTGACTTGGGGATAATTATTATCTTTAGGTTAAGAGGACTGTTGTTTCACTTTATAGTAAGGGTTGACAGATTTTAGTCCATGATGGACCAAATCTGGCCTGCTGCTTATTTTTATATGGCTCACAGTCTAATACTTTGAAAAATATTTTTAAATGGTTGAAAAATATTTTAAGACATGTGAAAATACATAGATTTTTAATTTCAGTGTCCACAAGTCAAATTTTATCTGAGTACAGCCACACCTAAGTTTGTTTACATGTTGTCTGTGGTCGCTTTCCTATTACTTTCCTTCAAAGTTAAATAGTTGCAATAGAGATCAGACACACAAAGAGAGTTGCAAAAAAGACCCATAAAGCCTAAAAAATTTCCTATCTGGTCCTATATGGCCTATCTGGCCATAAAGAAAAAGTTTACTAATATTTGTCCTGGAGCATAAATGGCTGTAGATTGAGATACCTTCTTTTGTTACAATTTTTACCATAAAGTTAACTATTTAAATCTAAACAGATCTTATAGGCTTGTTGCCATAGCTAATAGTATCCTATTTTTATTAATTTTTAATTAGCCTATTGCTGTTTTCAAGAATTTCTATTTGTTTAAGGTGATGTGACATCTATCAGGATTGTTGAACTATTTAGTTCAATTTTTGATTCAGTAATTTGTTCAACCTGGATGATTGTACTATGTGCAAATAATAAAAAGATTTTTTTCTTCTTTGCAATTCTTAAATTCTAATCCCCTTTTCTTTTTCTTAAAGCATTGTTCAAAACCTCCCAATCCTATATTTAAAAGTTTCGATGTTGGTAGACATTCTTTTATTATTGAACTTAAGGGGTTATATCTAAAGTTTATTTTCAAAATCACCTTTAAGATTTGGGAATGCAAACATTATCAATTTTTAAATGTTTTATTCTAATCTCATATTGTTATATTTATTATAAGTAAGTGCTAAAGTGAATGAAATACTGTTTCTTCATATATTATAATGATGATTTTATAATTCTATTAAATGTAAAAACCATTGTTAAATTTTCTGATGTTAAAAACTCCCTAACTCCTCAGATAAATTCTACTTAAAAATGACAGTATATTTAAATACACGAATTGCTTTTAGAGAGCTAATATGATATTTAGGGTTTCTGTAACTATGTACATATATAAAGTTAGATTTCAAATTCCTTTCATGTATTTTTCTTATATAGTTTTAAAACCAATAATTTATTAGCCTTATAAAGTAAGCACCACAGTTGTTTATTTTTTCCTACTCTCTAGAATAAGCTATATAAATTGAAATTCATTCTTCTTGGAAATTATTATAACTCACCAATAAAAGCATATAGACCTCAGTTTTGGTGGGAAAGAAGATCTTCCTCTACCATTTTATTTTCTAAATAGTAATTGTTCTATTCATGCACTCTATTTCTTTTTCAATTTTGATAAGTTTTCAAGTGTTTTTGTTTTTCATTTTTCTGAATTTTCTCCTTTTTCTTTTGAAAATTTAGCCAAATAACTGTTAATGTTTTTAGAAACAGTTTAATTGTGCTCATCTGCCCCACAGTTTTTGTTTTATTGACTTTTTATAGCTTTATTATTTCCTCCTGCTTTTACTTTATGTTGTTCTTTTTTAACTATTTGATTTATATGTGTAATCCATTTATTTCTTTTTTTCTTTTATTTATTTTTTGTTTGTTTTTGGGACAGAGTCTCTTTCTGTCACCCAGGCTGAAGTGCAGCAGCCCAACTATGGCTCACTGTAGCCTCGGCCTCTCTGGCTCAATCCATTCTCCTGCTTCAGCTTCCCAAGTAGCTAGGTCTACATGTATGTGCTAACGTGCCTGGCTAATTTTTGCATTATTATTTTTTTTTCTTTGTGGAGATGAGATTTTGCCATGTTGCCCAGGCTGGTCTTGAACTCCTGGGCTCAAGCAATCTGCCTGTTTCAGCCTCTCAAAGTTCTAGGTATTTCTTTAATACACTATTTTTTTAGGTTGAGTGGAGAGTTCCCATATACACACCTACACACACACATTCATGCAAGCACACGCGTACACACACACACACACACCTAGCTTCCCTCACTGTCAACATCTCACACTGATATGGACACAAGGCAGGAGGACAGGGTCCCTGGCAAGGGCTCCATCCTTAAGAAACCTAGATGGCCTTCGGCCTTCAATGAAAACAGGCATTCCTGTTTTCAGGCCCAAATGTTGCCTTTTCCAAGACCACTCTGGCCTGCTCCGTCCCCAGTTCTGTGCCCATAAGAACCTCAAACCCCAGGCTCCACAAGAGCGGCAGCGGCATGACAGAGAAGGAGAGAAGAGAAGAAGCGTCTGAACCTCGTGAAGAGTTCAGCTGGGGATGGTAGGAGAGGAGTTCGGCCATCCCTGAGGGAAATTATCTTCCCAATCCAGGGGAAGATTATCTTCCCAATCCAGGGGAAGATTATCTTCCCAATCCAGGGGAAGATTATCTTCCCAATCCAGGGGAAGATAATCTTCCCATTCCATCTCCTTTCCAGCTCCCCTTCCACTGAGAGCCACTTTCACTGCTTAATAAAACATCTGCATTCCCATCCTTCACGTCTGCGTGACCTGATTCTTTCCGGACGCCGGACAAGAACCCAGGTACCAAGAGGGCAGGATGTAAAAGACTGTCACCCTGACTCGCTGCTGAGCTGGTTAACACATCCTTCCATGGACAGCAAGGCTAAAAAAGGATTGTAGCACACGTGAGCTCTGCCACGGGGCAGGTACAAGGCCTGCTCCTGCTGGAAAGAAGTAACAGGTGGTTCCAGCTCACTTTTTTCTTGAATTATTTTTTGTTTGTTTGTTTGTTTTTCCATAAGGTTCCCATCAACCATGGGTTGTAGAAGTATTCCTACATGGTAGTTTTTGTGCATTTTTACTGATTGTGTTATTTTTACATTAGTTTCTTCAGTTGTAATTTCCATTCATTAGACAGAATATATATCTAGAATTGACACTTATGTGCAAACTTACATTTATTTTTTCATGAGTTTTTTTTTTTAATTTTCCATTTGGAACTCCAAAGCAAAGACAGAAATTCTTGTAGGTTCAATGGGTAAATAACATAGATTTACTCATACTGTTTAATGTTGGGAACAATAATTCCAAAATCCTAGTCAAGGTGGAATCTTGTGTAATTTTGAGGGTCGAAACACATAATTCATGTTTCTGATTGAGTTTTTATATTCAAGTACAAAAGACCCCTCGTTCATCAAATAATCATCTTTTGAACTTATAGCTCTGTATTATGTCCCTTTGTCTATTATGTTTTCTTTGCATTCTCTTTCTCTTCTAGTTGGCCATATTCTTTATTTGTTACTATTTTATTTTGTCATGCATACCTGCATACATCTGTGTTTGTTTACCTCACATGATGTAGAAATGAAAACTTCAACCAGAATTTCATCTTGGGAAAGTCACTTAATTCCGTTAGGCCTTATTTTTCTTATTTTTACAATGAAAATTTTGGAACTAAATGTAGTTTGGATTCTCTTTGCAAAAATCTATAAACTTATAATTATCAGATAAAATAAATAATTACTGGAATGAGAAATATATGCCAGAATAAAAGTAAAATTGCAAACTATATTTAGCAATTAGGAGTAGACTTCAATGTCTCTTACCCTTGGAATATCATATGAGGGTTTTTAAATAGACATATTTACCTACTTTTAACAGGTAGTTCTGATGGAAGAAGTTATCTAAAGAAAGGCTAGAAGCAGAGAAAAACATTTGCAGGAGATGTAAATTGATTGATGTATTGGTGCTGCAGACTGAAAGTTTGTGTCCCCCCAAAATGCATATGTTAAAATCCTTGCCCTCCAGGTGATGGTAATGGAAAGGGGGCTTTTTGGAGATGATTAGGTTATGATGACAGTGCCCTGTGAATAGGATTGGTGCCCCGTATAAGAGACCCCGGAGAGCTCCCTAGCTGTTCTTCCTCTATGTGAGGACACAGTGAGATGATGGCTGTCTATGAATCAGGAAGAAGGCTCTCATCAGACACTGAATCATCTCCCAGCACCTTGACTTTGATCTTCACAGCCTCAAGAACCATAAGAAATAAATCTCTGTTAACTAAAATCCACCCTGTCTGTGTCTATAATACTCTATTAGGGCAACCTGAAATCAGACATTGGAAAATCTGCTGCATGGATCTTTCTCCTCCCAATCCTCTCTTTCCCCAATAGAGCCTTGTAAGTGCTTTTACATTTCAGTGAAAGTAGATGAAATTAATACCTGGTGAGTTTCCTCAGTTGTTAAATAAGTTACTTGAATGCTGCTTCCAAGAATTTGACTGGGAACACAATCAGGGAGAAGACTATGTAACCCACATTATTACCCCATTAAATATTTTCCATGATTTCTTGGTTTTCTGTGGTTCCACAAAAACAAGCAAAAACATAATCCTGCATCATCTTAAATAATATTAGAGAGTTTTGACTGCATGTCTACTGACAGCCAATCATAGCAATACAAGGAACAAAATACCCACTATCCCTGACCTTCTGGAACAGTGTTGTACTAGGGAGGTTAAAACTCTATGCATTGGAGCCCTTTATCAAACAATGTTTAGCTCTCTTTGGTTCTTTAAGGATTCACATTTGTAGCGAATAGCTAGAAATACCAGTGCAGTATTTGGCATTGCATTTAATGAAATACAAAGAGACTGAAATTTTTTGATTGGCTTCTGTATTTTTTTTCAGGTCATTTTCATCACGTTGGACATAAATGACCCAACTTGTATTCTGGTCTGGAAAGAGGAGGCAACTCTCAGTTTGGCAGACATTAAGTTTATAATTTAAAGATTACTAAATGTATACAAAATAGAAATAAGCAATGAAGCTGGTAAGTTAGGTTCAACATTTGTGGCAGGTTAAACATTAGTGCTAAGGAGTCAAAACTTCATTCAACAGACAGTGAAAAACCATTGAAGATGTGTTGTACAAATGAGCAACCTGAGTTCTGCTCCGGAAAAATCAGTTTAATGCCAAATACAGTATGTGTGACAGGAGATGTCAGTTCCAAATTGTGTATATTGACATAAAACTAAATCTATCAATAAAAAATTATTAGTTCAGTTTATAAAAGCCATCCTATTAATGTAGCCTAAAGGACTCAGATACTTGAGTTCATGGTAAGTCTAGTTCTTTTGAGTATGTAGGTACAATAATCCAGATTTGATTTTAGATGTAAACTTTTTGCTATTTTTGTTTCTGTTCCAAGTGTAGAATTCTAATTTTTTAGCTGTTCTGTTTGTTTTGAAACTTGGTTAGTATTCTTATCATACATAATTGAAGTGTAAATGTCACCGTATTCCTTTAAAAACAAATGCCAATTAAAGTGAGAGATGTTGGCAACAGGAACGGGCTCACTTCATTTATTATAACATGTTTTGACCTTTTCATTATTTTGGTGGTAATTATTCTATTTTTTGCAACCAACACAAACTCAGATGGATTATTTGATACAGTACTTTAATTTGACTCAGAGGTCATACTTTCCTTTTACTTGGATAGATCGTTGATGCATTTCTTACCTCTATTTCTAAGCCTTCTTTTATTAATAGCTAATTTATAGGTTTGTTCATTGGAATTTCAGAAGAAAATCAACAAATGTAATAGCTTAAATTCTCTGTCTGGATTATTAATTTACTTCCATTAATACCAGTTTTAATATTTATATTGTTGCATTGCTATTGGGGGTTCACTTTTCTTTCCTCTAACAGAAGACTGACAACTCATTAAGAATAAAGATAGTATCTTACTCATCCTTCTATTTTCAGTATTAAGTACATCCACTGAGACAGATACTATTTTTAAATGAAAGAAACTGTGCTTATATCTGAAAACATCCATTTAACTACCCTTATTATTTTATTACAGGTTTCTAGAGAATAGTAAAGGGTTTTCATAGTCTTTGTATTACCTACAGCCTTAATAAAGTATTTGCTTAAAAATTTAATTAAAGTGAAGTTATTTAAAATATTTTTTATTTTCCACTTGTTTGTAGCTTGCCAATGAATTGTTATTTTATGTTAATGTACATACTTTTGAGGATAACTAGTCAGTATATTGCATTTTTTAAAAAAGCAAACAAAAAACCAACATGAAACAACTCCTAACACAAAAACAAACAATTCTCTTGTTTCTGCGTGTAATAAAGAATTGCTTCAATTTGGTTTGCTGATTTAATAAGTATTGTTTATCTATAAGGAGCTTTAGAAATGGGGTCAAACTGATCTAGAAAAATAAAGAAAATTACATGAGTAGAGAATTAGTACTAATTAGTAACTTCTTTATATACTATTAAAAAAAAGATGGCATAGAGATACTTATCTCTACCTAAGCCAAATAGAAAGCCAGTATTACCAGAAGAATGCAATACATTCTAATGAATAACAAAGTCCTCAAGGAAAATTAAACCCAGATAAATGGGATCAGAGATTGCATCAGTGGATATAACTGGTAATATATACATATGTGTGTGTATATTTTATATACACATAGGTGTATGTATATGTGTATATCTACAAATAAGAACCAGATATGAATGATTAAAGGATACACCAAACAAGTAACATAGCAGAAGCTGTGAGCAATGAATTGATAAATGCTTGCCTATGGACAGTTGGTGAAGTAAATAATTTATTTAGCCATAGAAAAAACAAATGGACTGAGAAGTTGGAACCAAGGAAGAAACAGAGATAAGGCACATGTGTGAAAAATGCAACTCTGATCAGAGTGTAGGAGAGAAAAAAATACAGGTGTTGACAGCAAATGACAAATTTCTAAGTTATGTGGGGAAAAAAATGGATTACCATATTCAAAGATGTG
This sequence comes from Homo sapiens, assembly GCF_000001405.40. Lineage (NCBI taxonomy): Eukaryota > Metazoa > Chordata > Mammalia > Primates > Hominidae > Homo > Homo sapiens. Next base: position 86,693,173 of record NC_000014.9, read on the forward strand.
ATTAGAAGCCCAGATGTGACCTAAGAGTATCCAGGGCCCTATTTAAGGCTGTGAACCATCTGCAACAGACAACCAATCTTCAGGACTGGACCTGAGTGGGCTCGGGGTTTTGTTTGGTCTCTGCAGTTCATTTTCTTAGCTGTACATGGGGAAACAGCTTGATGTCAGTTAGAGACCCATAAGCATGAGAATAAAGGGGTTTTGTTGATTCATTATTCTTTCAATCTGACTGGGGCAACCCTTACAGTTCATCAAAAGAAATGAAGATACATAGAGATTTCAGTTGAGCATTTAAATCCAGACACTGAATTTTGGTTTTGTCAGCTTCATATCAACCCACTCAGAAAATATGAATGTGAAGAAAAAGGTTTCAGTGATTGAAATTGGTTTCCATATTGTGGATCAGTTCATGAGCATTTGGACATGAGTCATTTCATGTTGAACAAACTATGCTTTCCTCTTTAAGCGTAGGCTTAAAATAAAATTAATTCTCATAGGGTTCATTTCATTATTCTAGGCTGGAATAGGCAATACCTTTGCTGGAGTAAGCAATGCAATAATGCCAATTATTTGCATGATTTAGTTATTATCTACCTATGTTACTATATCTGCTAATTTTTGAGCATTAATTTCTAAATCATTTGATATATGTAAGGAAACACGTATCTTAAATCAGGAGTTGGCAAACTTTTTCTATAAAGAGATAAGCAGTAAACATGTTTGGCTTTGAGGCAATATTATCTCCGTGACAACTAGTCAACTTTGTTCTTTTAGTGTTTCAGTAGCTATGAGTAACATGCAAATAAATCAGAGGGGCTGTGTTCTGATAAAACTTTACAAAAGCAGGGAGTAGGCTGGATTTGGCATATGGGCCACAGTTCGCTAACTCTTGTCCTAAATAGTAACCAAACTAAACTATTTCCACTCACAGTCATGAAATCTTTTGTATTTCTAGGTTACCTTCCACAACAGCATTTTTTCTAAGGCCATGACTACTTGTAGGTCAATACTCATTCTCCTAGTACCAGGGTCAGCTTAAGGGTGATGAATTAGGCTGTCAACTCCAGGCCATGTATGTCTCCACAATTTTCCAATTAGAAATAGGAAACAGGGAGGAAAGGGGCATTAGGATAATAGCATATGTTTCTACTTTAATGAAGCCACCTAAATTAAGTGGAGAATGTTGTATTCACTATTCATAAATACTAGCATCCTTTGCTATTAAATTTTCCAACTCTCTTTCATTTTTTTAATGTATGCTGTAACATAGATGTATCACATAAACAATGCATGTATAATATATCATTTTATCGTAAATAGATTAATATATCGTTAAAAAATGAGAAGTTCTGGCCAGGGCAATCAGTCAGGAGAATGAAATAAAGGGTATTCAATTAGGAAAAGAGGAAGTCAAATTGTCCCTTTTTGCAGATGACATGATTATATATCTAGAAAACCCCATCGTCTCAGCCCAAAATCTCCTCAAGCTGATAAGCAACTTCAGCAAAGTCTCAGGATACAAAATCAATGTACAAAAATCACAAGCATTCTTATATACCAATAACAAACAGAGAGCCAAATCATGAGTGAACTCCCATTCACAGTTGCTTCAAAGACAATAAAATACCTAGGAATCCAACTTACAAGGGATGTGAAGGACCTCTTCAAGGAGAACTACAAACCACTGCTCAATGAAATAAAAGAGGATACAAAGAAATGGAAGAACATTCCATGCTCATGGGTAGGAAGAATCAATATCATGAAAATGGCCATACTGCCTAAGGTAATTTATAGATTCAGTGCCATCCCCATCAAGCTACCAATGACTTTCTTCACAGAATTGGAAAAAACTACTTTAAAGTTCATATGGAACCAAAAAACAGCCTGCATTGCTAAGTCAATCCTAAGCCAAAAGAACAAAGCTGGAGGCATCACGCTACCTGACTTCAAACTATACTACAAGGCTACAGTAACCAAAACAGCATGGTACTTGTACCAAAACAGAGATATAGATCAGTGGAACAGAACAGAGCCCTCAGAAATAACGCCACCTATCTACAACTATCTGATCTTTGACAATCCTGAGAAAAACAAGTAATGGGGAAAGGATTCCCTATTTATTAAATGGTGCTGGGAAAACTGACTAGCCATATGTAGAAAGCTGAAACTGGATCCCTTCCTTACACCTTATACAAAAATTAATTCAAGATGGAGTAAAGACTTAAATGTTAGACCTAAAACCATAAAAACCCTAGAAGAAAACCTAGGCAATACCATCCAGGACATAGGCATGGGCAAGGACTTCATGTCTAAAACACCAAAAGCAATGGCAACAAAAGACAAAATTGACAAATGGGATCTAATTAAACTAAAGAGCTTCTGCACAGCAAAAGAAACTACCATCAGAATGAACAGGCAACCTACAGAATGGGAGAAAATTTTTGCAACCTACTCATCTGACAAAGGGCTAATATCCAGAATCTACAATGAAATCAAACACATTTACAAGAAAAAAACAAACAACCCTATCAAAAAGTGGGCGAAGGATATGAACAGACACTTCTCAAAAGAAGACATTTATGCAGCCAAAAAAACACATGAAAAAATGTTCATCATCACTGGCCATCAGAGAAATGCAAATCAAAACCACAATGAGATACCATCTCACACCAGTTAGAATGGCAATCATTAAAGAGTCAGGAAACAACAGGTGCTGGAGAAGATGTGGAGAAATAGGAACACTTTTACACTGTTGGTGGGACTGTAAACTAGTTCAACCATTGTGGAAGTCAGTGTGGCGATTCCTCAGGGATCTAGAACTAGAGATACCATTTGACCCAGCCATCCCATTACTGGGTATATACCCAAAGGATTATAAATCATGCTGCTATAAAGACACATGCACACGTATGTTTATAGCGGCACTATTCAGAATAGCAAAGACTTGGAACCAACCCAAATGTCCAAAAACGACAGACTAGATTAAGAAAATGTGGCACATATACACCATGGAATATTATGCAGCCATAAAAAATGATGAGTTCATGTCCTTTGTAGGGACATGGATGAAACTGGAAACTATCATTCTCAGTAAACTATCACAAGGACAAAAAACCAAACACCGCATGTTCTCACTCATAGGTGGGAACTGAACAATGAGATCACACGGACACAGGAAGGGGAACATCCCACACTGGGGACTGTTGTGGGGTGGGGGGAGGGGGGAGGGATAGCATTAGGAGATACACTTAATGCTAAATGACGAGTTAATGGGTGCAGCACACCAACATGGCACAGGTATACATATGTAACAAACCTGCACGTTGTGCACATGTACCCTAAAACTTAAAGTATAATAATAATAAAATTTTTAAAAAAATGAGATCCAGTGGGAAAATGCTGTTGGTATAAAACCAGAGTTGGTAAAACATCTTGGATGTCCCATTTGTCCATGTTCATTAACAGATGCATACTTGATGAAGATATCTTAAGTTGTAGAGTTGTGTTTAGCATTCAGACAGTACACTGTTAAGTGCTAAGTCATATAAGAGTTTGAACCACATGAAATTGCTGTTTTTAAGTCAAAAGACAATAGAATATTAGGAATTTCATAAATCTAAAAAAGTATTGAAGAAGATTGGCATTGACTCTTTCCCCAGGGAGTTAATAGTCTGTCTTTGCAAGCATAATAAATATTACCAATAGAAAAATAGAAGATGCATTAAGAGCATATAATGACAAAACTTAACAAGTGTAGGAGATTAGAGAAAGCACCTTGAGTAGGGGGCATTTAGGTGGAGACCAACAAGATAAATAGAATTTAGAAAAACAGAGAGAAAGAGAAAGGGCAGCAAGGGCTATAGAGAATGTCATAAGTTTTGGGAGCCACATGTCTGCAGGCTCAGAGGCAGGAGAGGATATAGATGTATTTGGTAATGGATAGCATGGTCACAATCAATTATGTTTCCCATATGCACATTTAAAGATTTTATATATACATATATATATACACACACACACACACACACTATTATATACTAATAGTATATGATTATTTTACAGTATATATATCTTTAAATTAACTTATATAAATAAATTTTCCCTCCCAAAAAAATCTTTGTGTAACGGGGTCATGTCCAAAAGATTGTGTTAATCCTCCACAGCTCTGAGAAGTGTTGTTCTAAAGCAAGAACTCATAGCTTAGTTTGTTTAGTCTGAAAACCGCTAACAACAAGGAAATTCATAGATAAATCTTCAAGTGAATTCACCTTCAAGTTACCCTTCAAAACCTGGGCTTCTTGTCAAGCCCTCCATCTCCTCTGCCTCAATCTCTTCTTCCTTTCGTTACAGTATAATTAGATCTTTCTTCTCTGACATTCTACCAACACTATTTTCATGATGCCACCAATGTACACTTTTGCACCTCCCTGCTTTGTAAGTGCATCTGAGGATTAAGGTACATTCAAGACCTGCCCTTCTGTAGAACATACTTGCTAGGAGTCCTTGTTTCCTCTTTGTGAAGATCTAATGACAGCTGACACATTGAACACTGTGTTATTTCTCTCCAGGTGCAGGGACTTTCTTGAGCCTCTAGAACTGCTCTTGTAAACGGTTTTAATGGTAGGCCTTTGCTACTAATGTTCACGTAATAAATGCCTACCTGGGTAATAGAAGACTTATGTGTAAAAGAAGACATTCACCATAATCTGGTAGTGGAGTTTGGGGGATATCATTAACCCTCTCTCCCACAAAACTTTTGGTAACTACAATTTACCAAAAGTAACCTAAGAGATGTGTACAAGCAAATTGAGTTAAGCCAGCTGACAACAGTTTGAAATCTATAATTAAAGTATTCTGTAGACCAAAGGGCACATATATTTTATTTTGGGAAGCTGAAGTGAAGTATGGGCAAAGAAATGTCCTGCCTCTGTAAACAAAGCATTGTAAAATACTTTAAAAATCATCTTCACTTTGGAGCAATGAATGATAGTTGCTAACTTTTGATTTTCCCCATTTACAGCTTCCTAAAGCCCTTTAATACACATTCTTCCATTAGATCCTTGCAGTGAAGATGTGGCATTGACATAATTTCTGGCTAGGCAAGAGGAATAGGCAGGCAGAGAGACAGTCGTTTGCTACTTACCCAACCCCTCTCCTTGACTTCTACTCCTCTCCATTTCCCAAAACCCTTCTTGGGAATAAGGGTTTGAATTGTGAGATGCCTCACTCATAGCAACAGTATCTATTGGCATTGTGTTGCTTTTTGTTTAAAAAAAAATTCCAGAGGAGACAAGACAGGGAATCTGCCCATACCTTGCTCATTGATGAAGGGAAATTGTATCTGCTCCAAGGTTAAATCAAGGGCAGCAAATGTCGATTTGTTTTCGAGAAGTTCAGGCATTGAGGGAGTTGTTAACATCCTATTCTACTTGAATCAAACATCTGCGTTTACTTGTGTTGGATAATGAGAAAACCGGGGTCTCTTAAATATAGTCCTTTGCTATAAATAGACAATCTATTTTAAATTTAATTGTTATCATTGCCAAAGCATAACCTCAGAGAGGCAGACTGATGTCACCAAAATGCTCCTTAACTGAGTGGTAGGCACCTGGTTCTAATCGCTGCTCTGGTACTCATTAAGTATGTGGCCCAGGTGGATTAATTTCACATTTTCAGGACTCTCCGTTCTCTAGAGTGTCCATTTTCTCTACTTATTCGTTTCCAGGGTTTCTTCCTTTTCCATTCTTAGCGAGGTTGCCTTTACTCAGGACCTTCTTGGAGGATTCTAAGAAGCTCCTATCTTGCTGACATTTTTCCCATCTCACCTCTTTAGTCACTCCAACCTCTAACAAATATACTTTTCATATTGCTGCCAGCAGCTTCTTATTAAAATGCACATCTTATCACATCATTCTCTCAAAGTCTTTCAAGGATTTCTTATATTTCAACATGAAGGTCTAACTATTTAGCTTATATAAAGAAAGCTGCAGAAACTAGGCATGACTGTTCATTGCCCTTTCTAGGGAAGTTTTTTACAGTCCAGTCATTCCAAAATTATTACATTTTCCTGAATATATCCAATCTATTCCGCTGTAGATTTTTAAATACTGTATATTACCCTCTTGTCCTCCTCCTACAGAATCACTTGGCTCACCCCTTCTTGACATTCTCTAAGAGGCTCAGACATTACCTCCTTCTGGAAGCCTCCCCCAATATCTCCCATCTGGATCTGGGCCCATGACTTTGCAGATGTTGCACCTTGAGAGCCCATTCAGCATAAAGCTTTGCAGCAGGCATTGTTGGTGACTATTTCCCTTTTTCCCTCCAGCTACCTCGAATTAAATCTGAACTTTTTCAGGGGAAGGGCTGTGCTTTCATCTCTACTTTTTCTGAAATATACTTGATAAATGGCTGTTGTGGAAGACATAAATACACGATGACTAGATAAGAGCATTGGACTCTATTATTCCATTCATTCATGAATACATAGTTATTCAAAATCATTTTGCCTACTAGAAAGTCACTGGTATGGAGTTTCATCTTTGTTTTGATCCAAAAAACAGAAGTATAGATTAAATAAGTCTTTGCAGAATAAAAATAATGCTAAATCCTAAATTTGCACCTTAAAATTGCACCTCACTCTCCACTGCCAACCCCAATGTCAGTTATGCTCAACATCTGGACGAGTCTAATTGCATGGGGATGTAGGTTAATAAGATGCCAATTGTAATTCAGGGAAGATAAAAAGTGAAATAATGAGCTTTAGAGCAAAGAGGAAAAATAGAAACTGATAAACAGAAAGTACTTTGAGTTGACTATAAATTAAATTCATGAACTACTCATTATAAATGGTTTTTCTCAAATCTGATATCAATACATAGAGAAAAAAATTATTTTAAAATGAGAAAGCATAAAAGAAGGTCCCACATTCAATACAATATTTAACAAACAAAGAATACTATGATATAACCTGTGATAAGATATCAACTATAGAGCAACGCAGAGGAGAGAGTGTTTTGGAAGTTAAGCAATGTGGATTTTCTTCCTAGATAACTAACTATGCGTAACTGCTATGTGGCTTTAAGTTGATTTCTCAATGTCTCTGAAATTTAATTTTTTCCCCTGCCTATGGAATTAGGAAGTTTATTCATATAATTCTTATTTCCTGCCAATTTATCATTCTATGAACCAGTAAACACTGTGCAGCAGTAAACAATGAATCTAGGCACATACACAGAGATGGTTTATTCTCTCCTGCAAGAAAAAATGGAGAATCAGGGGATACCCAGTTACCCTAAGGGATGTTTGGGGAAGAACAAGAAACTCCAGTTATTTGAGAATCTAAACAAAATGTTTATGAAGGAAATGTAGTCAGCTTCTAGACGAATGGGCTGGGTATAATCAAAGGAAGGATTGGTGTTGAACTATATCCCCTTTCTAGCCCACCAGAAGTCACAGGTTTTTCTAGGAGTCATGGATTTTCTCCTCGCCACAAATTCCTATGATTGTGTAGCTGATTGAGACCTTGAATCATCTAGTGCCCTCCCCCATTCCATTCATCTGAGGCCAAGAAGGTAAGTAAGTGATTGTCAAAAGCTAGTGAGCAGGTCGGGTCTATTTCCCAATGGATCCTTTTCTTCTGCCCTCTGCTGCTCCTTTTGCCTAAAGGATGTTTTGTAGCTATTTCTCTACCCCATACCCTGCCACACACCTGTACCTTTCCAGTCCTTCCTTGAAAGAGAACAAAATGAGGACTCTGCTAATTTAGGTGACAAATTTAAAATCAGTTTCATTGAAATTGCTTTGATATCCTCTCACACCTAAAGAAAATAGTCAAATTATACAGCACAGGCCAGGCAGGATGGCTCAGGCCTGTAATCCCAGCACTTTGGGAGGCCAAGGCTGGTGGATTGCCTGAGGTCAGGAGTTCGAGACCAGCCTGGCCAACATGATGAAATTCCATCTCTACTAAAAATGCAAAAATTAGCCGGGTATGGTGGGGCGTGCCTGTAATCCCAGGTACTTGGGAGGCTGAGGCATGAGAATTGCTTGCACCCAGGAGGCAGGGGTTGCAGTGAGCCAAAATCACGCCACTGCTCTCTGTCCTGGGTGACAGAGAGAGACTCTGTCTCAAAACAAAAGCAAAACCAAACGAAACAAAAAAATTATAGTCTTCCTCATCCAGCATCAACAAGAAATAAATATTTTGCAGAATTAAATTTCTCAGCCCTTTTAGAGACACCATTTTATGAAAACCTTTTTATGTATTTATTTTTAAAGAAAGCAATTGATGGTTTGGTTTGAACATGACAAAAGGTTGATCTTTTTATTTTCCATGACCATAGTTATGCAATTATCATATTAAGATTTAAATATAATCATGGAAAACTATTGGCATAGATAAGACAGTCTCATTTGGCTCTTCACAAAATTGCTCCATTTTGTGCTATATTTTCTCTTAAATGCTTTTTTCGTCTACTTTCTTGCAAGCTTTTCACCATCAGTAGTTTGCGCTTCCCTTTACTCAAGCACTCCCTCTGGCTTCTGGCTTTAGAGTATTGAATGCTGTAAAAGCACAAAAATAAATCAACAATGAGTGAGATGCACAAGCTTTTGTATGATAAGACTTTTACCACTAAGAGACCTGTTTTTATCTTGATCCCTTTTTAATAAAAATTAAAATAAATATAAATAAATAACAGTAACCACTGTTTATTAAATTGTTATCATTTTCTAAGCACCTACTTGGAAGAAACAGAGTTGGTGATATGGTCATATTTGCCTTAGAATCACAAGTAATTTGTAGATAATTGTCCCAAATTGGAGTCAAAGATGCAGCAAAAAAATAAAATGAAGATCAAAAAGGTTAAGAATATAACAAGCCAGAAGAAAGGATATAAATGGGATAAAATACCTAATTTGGTCTTACTAGATTGTTCTTACTTTTGAATTGGCCTCATTCTGTATGTTCTCCCTCACCTGCAACTTGCTTGAGTCAATAACTTTTAATTATGTTTTTCACAAGTGCAAGGAAAAGTAAGTTGCTTTATTTCTGTAGCTTCTGTATTTGATTCCATCTGCTTGCAGCTCTGTAACACTCCATTTAGTTAATAGTTATACCACCCATAATGCTAGGAGAAATGATTTGTAATTAAAGACTTAAATATTTTAACACTCTACCTTAAAATGCTTCTTAGCAAATGTTATTGCAGCGGGAGAGTCATGTAGAGAACTTTTCACCTTTCATTTGTTAAATAAGTTAACCTATATTACTTTATGTTACATTGTTAAAGAAGACATTATAACTCTTGGAATTAGGTGCTGCAATCTTGGTTTGGTTTAAGTGTTATTTTTAAATTAACTCCATTGCATATTTTTATTAGAACTGATAGAATTCACTTTTAGCTGATTCTGAATTATTTTATTAATAAAAAATCCTATTTAATTGCAAAGCACAAGTTACTTTAAACTTTTCTCTGGACGAAAGAAAGCTTGGCTGTTAAATTAATATTGCTGTAACAGAATTTGCTGAGAAAGACAATAATGTTCGATTTTCACAAGGTCTATGACGATCAAGAAATTTCACTCTTTGGACATTACTACTAAAAACCATCAGACAGTTTATGTTGGGCCTGCAAGAAATTCATCCCTTCATGCTACTGGGGTTGCTAAACTAATTAATGGTATGATGATGTTGCAAGGGACTCATTAGAACTAAGTTAAGGGATTACTGTCAAAGAGTGTAACTAACACGTAATGAGCAGTTCCAAATCCTGGTTATCAGCCCTACCTTTTAATGAGATCACACAATTGGTTGTTTCTTGTTCATTTTGGGATGCAATTGGAAGCAACAATACTGAATAAATACTTTAAGCTATAGATCTTTATGCTGTAGATTTTCTTGAGAATTTTTGCTAAAGAATGCAGAAATTCTTAAGTTTAAATCTTGGTTTTGCCATTTTCAAGTTGTGTAACCCTTGGCAAATTATTTGACATCTCTGAGCCTCAGTTATCATCTGTAAAATGAAGCCCAAGACAGCTATTTTACAGTACTTATTTGAGAATTAGAGTTAATAATTTTAAACAATCTAGAACAGTGCTTGACAGGTAGCAGATATATGTCTTGTTTGTTTTTACTATAATTCCTATTTTTCTTTCCCAATTGCCTCTAAATTATCTTGATGTGCATGCATATTTTTGAACTAAATTGTGTCATCAGGGGAGAGCATTCAATTTACATTTTTTGCTATTATTCAGTTTACTAAGCATTTTTACAAATGTTTTTGTATAGAACGTTATGCAAGATCACTTATATCTTATTATGATAAGGCAACTTTTATATCAAAGAACATAAAAGAGTCTGAGGGCTTTTTAATTTTACCAAACTTAAGGCAAAGTTGTTATACATGTAATTTGTAATTTTATTGGAAAAACAGAACTTTCATTGGATGAAAATATACATTTTTTTTAAGATAGCAAAGCTTTTACTTAGCCCTTGAAATATATCTATTCCCTAGGGCAACCATTCTCTAATTTTAAATTTAAGGTCTAGTACATAGTTCAGTATTCAGGGTCTCCTATACCATAGAAATTAAATCATTTTAAGAAAACAATTTTAAAATTAATCTATGTGTTGTTATTGATGATAATTATTATGTAGGTACAAAACTTCTGTAGATTTTTATGTCAATATTTTCCAAATAGTTTTCATTTTTAAATCTGTGAAGACTTTTGTGTTGATGGGAAAAACAGGAAATTTAATTTTATGCTCTTCTGTTTAAGTGGTTTGTTTGTTGTTTGAGTTACAGTGTATTCACCAAAGCCTCTGATTTTAATCCCGTCCATTGTACACAGAAACATTCAAACATATCTCCTTTCTTCACACAGCGACTACCAACTACACCATCAAGTGCATTTCAAACCATAATGAAGGGACTGTAGACAGTCACACATTTCCCAAGATGAAAAACACTTAACATGGAACCACTTTAAATCAGCCTCTGTCTTCTTCAAATGCGAATACTCTTATCCCTCCAACCTGGATGCCTTGGCTGTGACATTTAGAGCAGAGATGACTTTTCATTGGCTTTCAAGGTGTTGCTCCTAACTACTTGCATCAGAGTAACCCATAATGCTTATAAGAAATTCAAATTTCTTCACTTCATTGCTGTAACCTGAATCAGAATCTCTGCATTATTTTGAATTTGCATATTTGATGACGTTATTTGTTTTCGTTCTTCACGCTAACATTTGGGAAGCACTGAGAAGAGGGGATATACTTGGTAGAAACGTTTTATATCAACTACCACAAAAGGGAAACTCCCTACTCTCCTTACTGGTTCCATGATCAAAATAGCAGAAACCAGAATCATGTAAACATCAATCACAAACATATACAATTCTGCACTTCTTCTGGGAAAACTGCAAATAGACAAAGCTTAATTTCTGAACTAAAAAATTACATTTTAATTAAGTATATTTGCTTGTTAAAAATATTTTTACACTTTTGGATGCATTAAACAAATCTTATTTAATCTACTATTTTAGTGAGTGTTCAACATTTCATTATAATCGCTTACATATATTTTCTGTATTTTTCATTAATGTTATTAAAGATTAGTATTTATTGAGCACTTGCCACATGCAGACACTGTTCTTGGCATTTTACATCAATTATCACACTTGATTCTCCCAATAAACCTATCTCAGCTTAACAGATGGAAAAAAGCTCAGGCTTGGTAAGATCCAGTACATCACAGATAGTGATATAGTTTGGCCATGTCCCCACAAATCTCATCTTGAATTCCCATGTGTTGTGAGAGGGACCTGGTGGGAGGTAATTGAATGATGGGGGCAGGTCTTTCCTATGCTGTTCTCATGATAGTGAATAAGTCTCACAATATCTGATGGTTTTAAAAGGGGAGTTCCCCTGCACAAGTTCTCTCTTCTCTTGTCTGCCACCATGTAAGATGTGCCCTTCACCTTCTGCCATGATTACAAGGCCTCCCTAGCCACATGGAACTGTAAGTCCAACAAACCTCTTGCTTTTGTAAATTGCCTAATCTCAGGTATGTCTTTATCAGCAGTGTGAACATGGACTAATACAGACAGTGAATGGCAGAGTTAAGAATTTAACCAAAATCTGTATGATTTCATGTGCTATGGTTCAAATGCTTGCCCTCTCTGAAACTCATTGAAATGTAATGGCCCTTGGGACAGTATTAAGAAGTGGGACCTTTAAGAGATGTTTAGATCATGAGAGATTCACCCTCTTGAATGGTCTAATACAGTTACAGTTACTGTGGGATTAGATTTCCCTTTGTTTCTCTCAGACCTTCTGCCATGTGATGTGTTGTGTCATGTGACACTGGCATTTTGGATGCATCAGTCACGTTTCCCTTTGGTCTAATACACTCTCTAGCCTCCTGATCTGTGAGCCAAGTCAAGCTGAGAACTGCTTAGAGCAAACCTTCCTCCCATTCTATTCAAAGTCACCCCTCTTCTCACTGAGAACAGTGCATATCTGATTGCCTTCTTTGGAGAGGCTAATCAGGAACTCAAAAGAATGCAACCATTTTTCTCTTATCTACCTATGATCTGGAAGCCCCTTCCCATCTTCAAGTTGTCCCGCCTTTGCTTTGAATTGTCCTGTCTTTCCAAACTGAACCAGTGTTCATCTTACATACGTTGATTGATGTTTCATGTCTCCCTAAAATGCATAAAACCAAACTGTGCTCTGACCACCTGGCACACCTGTCGTCAGGACTTCCTGAGGCTGTGTCACAAGCACATGTCCTCAATGTTGGCAAAATAAACTTTCTAAGTTAACTGAGACATGTCTCAGATATTCAGGGTCCACAAAATAAATTCCTGTTTATTATAAATTACCCAGTCTGTGATATTCTGTTATAGCACCATGAAACAAACTAAGACACCACATGCCATTTTTCATGCTTTTATGCATTAATTATCATTTCCTCTCCACATAGTAAGTTTCTAAGAGCAGGGGCTATGTCTTCCATAACTTTGTATACCCTTCAAATTTATCAACATCAGTATCACAAATGCTATGCAACAATGAAGTCAAGAGGACAAATATTTACCAATTTGATTCCCCCAAATTCTACCACACAGATGTGATCAGTTGACAGTTTCATGCATTAAAGATTTGGGTCTATAAATTTACTCTATGTCTCTGCTGATTGCCAATCTTACCTATTTTTTTCTATATAAATATCCCACAATGATAGTGACAGTAGATGAAGGCAGATATACTCAATTCACAAGCTAAGAGTCCTGGTTAGATAAAATGTCAAGATAAACGCTCATAATAAAGTGAAACCTAAGTCAGTGGATTCAATATTATATAATTATTTGTGTAGTTAATACTCAAAATCCCATATGCTTTCTCTCATTTAATTTCTATGTTAATCATGTTACATCTAGAACTGCCATTATTTCAAATCATAATTTATTGAAGTCATTAAGTGATTAGAAACATAGAACTAGGGAATAAGAAGCAAACATGAGTGAGTTAAATCCACCTCAACTGTAACTTTTGCACATTTGAAAAACTTTGGGGCTGTGTGCAGTGGCTCACACATGTAATCCTAGCACTTTGGAAGGCTGAGATGGGACGATCACAAGGTCAAGAGATCAAGACCATTCTGGCAAACATGATGAAACCCCCTCTCCACTAAAAATACAAAAAATTAGCTGGGCATGGTGGCACATGCCTATAGTCCCAGCTACTTGGGAGGCTGAGGCAGGAGGATTGCTTGAACCCAGGAGGCGGAGGTTGCAATGAGCCAAGATCATGCCACTGCACTCCAGCCTGGTGACACAGCGAGACTCCATCTCAAAAAACAAACAAACAAAAAAATGGGCTAAAAGCAGAACTTTGCTTCATTGATTCAAAGTTGGAAAGGAAGTCTAGAACTCAAAAGACATCCAAGTCACCATCCAAGACATTTATAGTCCCAGTGTTAAAGTTGGTCACTTTATTTGTTTAACAAAAAAAAGCCACTAGAAAATAGTCATGCTTATCTAAAAATGCCTCTGGGCTCAAGATTTCTTTTTATGGACTTCCTCCCTTCTTTCCCCTTCCAGATAGTATCTAAACTACACCAACTTGTGATATGACTCAATATATTCAACCTGCTCCTGCTCAAGCTGGCTATATGTGCAGCAATAAGAAGAAAATGATGTTGCCAACAGTCATTAAATTGCTTATAAATACCATCAGGATTCAGTTAATAGAATACACAATTTTATTAATGTCATATATCTATGATCTTTCAATAAATTATAAAAGTCAGCTACCTGACATTGTATGGTATGATGCACACATGGATAACCCTAGTATGGCCTTTCTGTAACCACAGCTGTTGCCCTGTAATTTTGTAGTCCCCTCTCACTTTGACTCAACCATATGACTTGCTTTGGCCAATAGGATGTTAGCTGACTTGACAACCAACAGAGGCTTGAAAAATCTCTTGCACATTTATACTTCTATTTCTTGCTTCTCTGCAATCACTATTAGAAAAAGTTTAAGCTAAACTGAGAACAAGACTGAGCTAGCCTGCTGGATGATGAAAAAACATAGGGAACACAGGCAAATTTTCTCAGCCAAAGACTCAGATGTGTATGAAAACACAGCCAAAATCAGCAACACTGTTTAGTGAATCACCTAGCTGATTGTAGAAAATAGGTCAGCTGAGCTGGTCCTTAAGATGATGAGAAATAATAAAGACCTGTTCATTTAAGCCACTAGATTTTTTGGAGAGTTAGTAGTAACAGCTAAATGATATACATGGAAGATTATTTTATTAAGAGTACTTAAAGTATACCAGGCCTGGCATGGTGAATCATGCCTATAATCCCAGAACTTTGGGAGGCCTAGGGGGTTGGATCACCTGAGGTCAGGAGTTCAAAACCAGCCTGGCCAGCATGGCAAAACCCCATCTCTACTAAAAATACAAATATTAGCCTGACGTGGTGGTGGGTGCCTATAAGCCCAGCTACTTGGGAAGCTGAGGAATGAGAATCCCTTGAACCTGGGAGGTGGAGGTTGCAGTGAGCCAAATAATGCCACTGCACTCCAGCCCGGGTGACAGAGCAAGACTCTGTCTCAAAAAAAAAAAAAAAAAAAAAGTATATCAATTACACAGTATTTCTGTTTTTTTGTGTGTATGCAGATATGGAGGAGGCTATCAAACTGCATATATTTTGGTATAAAACTTAAAAATGCCAGTGTACCTAAAGGTTTGTGAGGAGTTGTAAAGTATTAAAAAACAGACTGATTACTCTAAATTGTAGCAATCAAAAAAGTACATATGGATTGGATTTACAAGTCAAGTCAGCAAATAATAATTTCATTATTATATCGCTTCTTGTGAAACAATAACAGCATCAGAATAGATTTTTATATTCAATTAGCAACATAAAAATAATTTATGTTCATTCTCTGCAGATACATGATTTTGCATAATTATTTCAACCTTCATAATAGAAATTATAAAACCTTGACTGTTCTCTTTTAAAATCTCTTTAGCTCCTGCCTTCTACTGAAAACAGTTATTGGCATTTTCTCCCTCTGGTTTTAACCCAAGTTGAAAATGAATACTTAATTATTCTTCTACAGATTCTATGTCCTGTGGCCGAATGCAAATATGGCATCAGATTTCTCATAAAAAATTTTAGCCACACCTGGCAAAACTCTGTTTAGCCTAAGTTACTTCCTGATTATACATTTACAGAAGAGGACAAAGTACAGAACCTGACTTCAAGCCTTGATGAAGTCAAGGCCTAGCTGCATGACCTTGCACAATTAACTTCTTTCTGTTTGACTCTGTTTACTCATCAGTGAGATGAGAGTGCAAAAACAATCTTTCATCTCTGTGACTTTAGAAAGCAGAATGCAGATTTAAGAGTATAGGACTTAGAGACAGGCAGGCTCTATCCAAGCTCAGCCACTTACCATGTGGCCTTGAACTCTTTAATCCATGAGCTTCCACTTTCTCATTTGTAAAATCAAATCAACACATTTTAAAGGGCTCTGGAATGGATTACATGGATTAAAATACTCTTCTCTGTTGTAAACCTTGGGTCTTCAAGAAGAACCTCAATAAATAGCAACTCTCTTCTCTACCAGGTTCTGAATGTTTTAAGCAATAAGGCAAAAAGTAGATAAGGAAGCCAAAATATCCTTAACATCAGTGGAGAAAAGGTACCTTTAAGCACGAGCCAATGGGTCTCCTAAGGAAAGGCAAATTTTATCCACCAATCAGGCAGAGCAGGAGCAAAATGGTAGTTAGCAAATGAGAGCCCAGGTAACATTTGGCACAAGGCATAACAGATGGAAACTCACAATTTTGAGGAATAAACTTGCTCCCAAGAGAAATCAAGGGCAGAACTGGGCCAAACAATTGGACTTTGCAAATCACCAATTAGAGGTCACTTTACCTTTCTTTGGGCAGAATGAGGGCAACGGTAGAGGCCAATGATGATAATGATTGAGCTCTCTTTCCAGAAAGAAAACTTTAGAATGGAGAAGAAGTAAGGCCAGCTAATAATAAGCCCTTAATATCCAGTAGTTATTGTGATTATTTTTCAAAATATTACATTTGCTCTTTTAGATCACTAGAATTTGTTTGGATCTCTTTGCTCTGCAGTAACTTTCACTTACATTCAGAGAGATCAGTTGAGATTTCCACAATTAATGCCTATCATGCTGAATTGTTTTCCTGAACATACTTTTATCCAGAACACTTGGTAAAATTCTACCCAAGGTACTAAAGGTTACCTAATGTTATTCTTATATTTTTAAATTCTAATTAGAAAAGCATTAATGATGAACATATCGTGATAGGGATTGTATATTAATGTATCTCAAACATCTGTAATAAATATAGAATGAAAGGCCAAGATTTGGGAATAATAGTGAAATGTGGCTAAGATTGATGGATCTATACAGATTAAATAAAATTTTACCAAAATTTTATTTTGGTAACATATACAAGAATATGTATATGTTACCAAGCCTTCCACAGATTTTACATTTTCTGAGACATGTAAAAATTCACAA
This sequence comes from Homo sapiens, assembly GCF_000001405.40. Classification (NCBI taxonomy): domain Eukaryota; kingdom Metazoa; phylum Chordata; class Mammalia; order Primates; family Hominidae; genus Homo; species Homo sapiens. The sequence goes on from NC_000014.9 coordinate 86,710,259, forward strand.
AAATAATTTTTTTTTTTGAGAAGGAGTCTCACTCTGTTGCCCAGGCTGGAGTGCAGTGGTGTGGGATCTTGGCTCACTGCAACCTCCTCCTCTAGGGTTCAAGCAATTCTCCTGCCTCAGCCTCCTGAGTAGTTTGGATTACAGGTGCATGCCACCACACCCAGCTAATTTTTGTATTTTTAGTAAAGAAAGGGTTTCATCATGTTGGTCAGGCTGGTCTTGAACTCCTGACCTCATGATCCACCCACCTCGACCTCCCAAAGTGCTGGGATTACAGGCATGAGCCACTGTGCCCAGCCAAAAAATAAATTCTTACATTCGCAAAAACAGAGCATTTGGGATTAGCATCAGTCAGAGCAAAAAAGTAAAATCAATTTGTCCAAGAAGCATACTGAATTTTCTGCATATTTCCTATACATAAAATTCCACCTAAAGGCTTGTATTGATAGCTATTGTCATGATTGTAGAATATATCTCACATTTGACCCCAACTCTCTCACTCTCTTAGTTTCATATTCTGTGAAGTTAAGTAACATTTTGCCTTCCTAACACAACATGTTATCAGATTACAATAAGACATAAGTAAAGAAGTGCTTTCAAATAATGTCAATACTAACAAATTCTAAGTCACTTTTAGGTAGGTTTTTAATCTTTCTCTGAACTTCAGTCTCAAGTTTCCTGTGTTCTACACTGACTTTTCTACGTTATCACTACTTAGGTGGGTGATGTAAAGACAGCCTTACAAATTCACACAGAATATCATAGGAAAACTACATAATGTGAATATTGATGGAGAATCCACATGGAACCAATTAGGAAGAAAGGAGCATATTAAAAAATAGTGTTACCTTATTCACTGGGCATGCTTAAGTTGAGAGGTTGATGGAGTGGGGAGAAGAGTTTCTGATTCGATTCCCTTAATATTGACAATGTAAATATTGCCAACTCTACTGATACTGGTAGAGAGAGGCTAAGTTTACCAGCCTTTAATATCCAGGTGAGTTTCCTTCTAGGGAGACCCTCTTAAGAATAAAGACAATCTGGCTGCCCTGTTTGTGTATTCAATTAACCTGTCAAATCTTAGAATCCTATTCTAAGAATGTGAATAATTCAAGTTAAAAGAGAATTGATTCTACATATAACTGATATCACACAGTATTTGTCGTTCTGTGTCTGGTTTATTTCTCTTAACATAATACACTTCAAGTTCATCCATGTTGTTGCAAATGGCAGGATTTCCTTCCTTTTAAAGATTGAAATAAGATTTTGTTGTATATATTTACCACCTGTTCTTTATCCATGTAACCATACAGGGACATTAGTTGTTTCCATTATGTCGTGTTCTTATCACAAACACACACACACACACACACACACACACACACACACACACACACACAAAAACAACAATAAACTCCAAAAATAAGTTTCTAGGAGGAAGCTTTTGGAGGTGATGAATAAATTTATGGCATTGATAGGGATGATGATCTGATAGTTTCACAGGTGTATAAATATATCCAAACACAGCAAGTGGTACACATAAAATATCTACAGGTTCTTAATGCCAATCATACCTTAATAATGTGATTTTTTAAACTTTTTTTTTAAGAGAAAGAATTTAATTGTCACAAGAATTATTTTAGCAGGAATAAGCTGGGCATTCTAGTCCCAAGAACAACATCATCCCTGGCACAGAAAGTAGGGGGCAGGAAAAATAAAGATCTTTCTTCTCCACTCTACATTAAAGCTACAAAGATGCTTTCTGATAGGAGGACATGCTGTTATTTTGTTTTAAGGTCTTCTGTAGAATGGTGTCATTTAGTTCAGCTTTTAATGTGGCCTTAAATTGCTGTTTTATTACCCTTGTTGACATTCTGGAAGCATGAAATTAGCAAATCACATTAAAGAAGCAAACAAAAAAGCAAGAAACCTCAGCCTAGTTAAACAATGCCAGCATAAGCCACATACTTGAATAATATTCTTACCTTAAAACACCGAGCATATATTTATTTGGACTTTTTCATTTTTCATAACTGATGAACTCATTTTATGAATAATTGCATATTCCATTACATTGCAAATGCATGCACCCATGGTGACCTTGAACAATGCTTTGCAGTTGTATTGCCTAAGAGAAAGAAGATTGTTTTGTAATACTTCTGCTTCCCTTTGAGAAATAAGATTCCTTTTGACTCCACTTGATGAAAGAAAGCATCCTGTTCCTAACACAACACTTGTCAATATCTTTGCTGCTTCATCTAGTACAGCACTTCCTTCTGTTATATTATAACAGTGATAATTTTATTTCAGACAAAAGTAATTTCATGGTTACAAAGTGAAAAGTATTTCAGTCAAGATATCTTTATTCTGTGTGCTAACTCAAAATGTACATAATTATGTATTTTTGAAATCAAACTAAAAGTAGTTATGTAAAATAAATTAGTGTGTTTACCTTCTCTCATTAAATAAGGAAGACAATCTCAAATATTCATTTCAGTGAAGTGTGATGAAGGGCAGACTTTTTATAGCATGGCTTTTTATTTTTGGCTTTCTGACATCCATTTCCCCTTTCTAGCAGTGCCCTAATTTCAAAATAAGAAATTAGCTCTTCTTCGTTGGTATTGGGCTGGTGGATTGTAATCGGAAGTTCTTTCTCCACAAACGCAAATTGGGCTAATCTGATGATCCTGTCATTCACTTGGAATGTTGAGCAAAAGATCAAAAGGACTGAAAATTCTTGGAGTTTCTGTTACAACAAGTGGCATCGGTGTTCTACATAATGCAAGAATGAGCTTGCTGGGCTTGACTCTGTTTGCCACATGGGACAGGCTGCTTCATCATTCTGCCTTAGTTTCCTCATTTATAAATGGAAAAAACAATAACAGATAACTCATAGTGATGATTTTAAAAAACTAACAGATGCAAAACAATTAGTAGTTGCTCGGTGTTGGCTATTAATTTTGCACATTCCAGCAGTTGTAACCTACCGTTTTGCTTTCCAACGGCACAATTTTTTTACAGCTGCAGCTTCCAGTCTTCAGCTCTGCTTTGGTATCTCCTCATTTCCAAGTTGACTTTCTGTTTTCAGTTGATTCTGTGAACCTCCTTTGATATTGTAATAAATTATATGTTGTCTGACTTTTTCAGAGTCATTTTCTGATGCCTATAACCGAGGAACTTTTTCTGATATATGCACCTATTGATATGGTGTACTTTTTGGACAACTCTAGAATACAAGATAAAGTTCTTAATAAAAAAAAATCAAACTGTAGAAATTCACAGATAAAGAGAGTAAACTTTAACCACTAACAATGAGACAAAAATGACCTCCAAATAGTAAAAGTTTGAAAATGTTTCTTTGGCTTTAAGTTCTCTGCAAAATGACTCAATTAATTATCAACTGTGGCCAGCAATGTAGCGTGTTTCTTCTTCAACAAGTAAATCTAGGTCCTGAGATATATAATATTACTAGGAACTCTCCTGGGAATAGTAATGCAATTAAGGTCATAATTAAAGCATTCTTTCATCTTTTGGGTCCAACGGGTAAAGCAGGAAACAAAGACTTTAATGAGAACCCAGAGGAAAAGAGCAAATTATTAAAAGAATGAGGGAATAGTTACATAAGAAAAGACTAGAAGAATTAAAAATTTTCAGAGCAGCGAAGTAAGGTCCTGTTAAATCCTGGTTTTAAATGCATATTCAAGAATCTTTTACGAAAGGTGTTTCATTTCTCTTCCAGATCTATATTAAGTAATTTTACTTGTGAAATATAGGTTAGACAGTAGGAATATGTTATCAACTTGAGTTTTATGGGAAACAGAAGCATAGAATCAAAGCTAGTTTGAAAATGGATTTAGTGTCATTTTAGTGCTTCCAGAATTTCTTGTGGTGAAGAAGATGTGACACAGCTTGGCCCAGAGTAACCTGAGGCTCATAGCTATCTTATTCATTCATAGGAGTGGAAGAATAGATTAAGGTCTTCCTTTGTCCACATCAAATCATTATTATTCAAGTGCCTCTACCAGAAGCTTCAAGGCATCTTTTCTCACCAGTGCCAAGTTCAGGCTTGACAAGAGAAACTTGAGAGGGTTTCAGGTGCTTGTTAGCCTCGTCGTGGTTTGGGCCAGAAAGTGGGCAGAAGAGCTTTTCAACTGAAAGTCCACTTAACTAGCAGTTTGAACCAAAATAACATTTGGTGACATTTTGAACAAAAATACACAGGGCCACAGATTTCAATTCTCATAGTCACCCTAAGCAACAACAGTTTTAGGGCAGATGACAGTTTTTGGCTTGTTTTAATCTAGAATCATTCCATCTTCTCTTTCCATTGGTAACTTTTCATTCCATAACAAAATTGTTCATTTTTGTTTCTAAAGGAAATATAGCATTTTGACAGATTTGTACTGATGGTAAAAACTGATAAGAATAGAAGAGTGTGGGTTCCAATCCACAACTTACTACACTACACAGTTCTTATGACTTTAGGAATGATCTGAGATGTTGGTTTCAGCCACATCCTCTGAAACATGGGAGCTGTAATGAGGGCTTCCTCTCTGACCTTGATTACCAGGATACAGAGGTTACCAGATTGTCTAGACTGTCCTCTACAGCACCCAAAATATCACAGTTAAGTAGGATTTGATGATAAAGATATGATCCTTATTTTTGCTAATGAAATAAAAATATAAAATGATATAAAGTCCATAATAAAGACACAAATTTTAAGCAAGTATTTATACAGGACTAGTCTATGCCAGCCATTCTTCCAGTCACCTTAAATGTTTAAACTAGTTTAATCAACATAAGTATCTACAGGGCAGGTACTTACATTATTACATACATTTTACAAATAAGAACACTGAGGCCCAGAATGATTAACTAAGTTGCATAACCAGTATGAGATAGAGTCAAATTTGGACCAAAGAATTCTGGCTATAGAGTCTGTATTCATAATCGCTGTACCTTCTGCTTAACTGGAACATTCCCACAGGTAGTAAAACTAGCAAAATGGGAAGTTAATTCAGTAAAGGTAGTGAAGCTCTGACCTAATACACACTTTTTCTAGACAACTTCTTAAAATTTCTTCCAGACCATGATTTTGTGATGCTCTACACTGATGAAAAAAGATGCTAAAATGCTAGGATGGGTGGCCAATATGAGCAAAAATCATGTCCATTAAGTCCTTGAGGGCTTTTCCATCCAGTTCCAGGTGTTCACAGAGCTGTTTATACTTTTTTTCCTGGGAAAATAACAAAGTCAAGATGGTCTGATACTGATAGTTGAGTATTCAAATTCTCAAGTTGCAAATGACAAAACTCTTCTTTTGGGGAGTCTTTTGCAGCTATTGACATCCAAACCAAAATTCTAGGTTGCCCACCAAATCTTATTTCAAGGCAAACCATTGTATAGTGGGATGCAGAAAGCAACCAAAGAAAAAAAAGAAAAAGCAAGATAAGTCTACTGGAATATGTGTATTTCTAATTCCAGAGTGTAGTCAATGACAGTGAGGGAAAATAATAGGATTGCATAAAATCCAACTGTAGGTGTAAATCGCAACGCATTCTTGAGGTGTCTTTCCAATTCTTAACTGCTAATACCTTGAAAAACAAAAAACGAATACCAAGTCCCATTTTGTAAAGTCATTCTGTGATACCTTGCTAAGAAAGGCCAAGAAAGGACAAACTAGGCTATAAATATTGGCTTCTGAAAAGTTCCTTTATACCAGAAGAATGAATAGCATTACTTAACCAATAGGGTTGTTTCTACAAACATATTTAGATCACTTTTTGAGCCAGGTATTATACACCCCAGTGAACTTCACTCAGAAATTTAGGGGAGCAAGTGTTTGAGATGTATGGTCCCACTCACACTATGGATATAGAGGACACTCACGACATGTGGTCATCCATTTGTTTTTACTTTCAACAAATATTGATGAAATATCAATTCCATGTTAAGCACTGTGCTAAAAGAAGAAATTTATCAGAAAGCACAAAACAACTCAGTCTTAAGTGGAGGAGATGGGTATTTTAAACAATAAAATTTAATTTAAAATTTTTTTAAATATTAAAAAGTGCTGTTCTACGTTGAAAGTAATTGGTAAGGGTGATAGAAAACAGGGAAGGTTTTTATGAGCAAACAACAACTGTCTATTTCTGAATATTTTCTGGCTCAGAGATATCTCAACCTTCCAAGTAAATAAGCAGTGCAATTTCATGAAACGAATACTAGCATTAAAATTAGACAGGAGTTAAAATAAACTTTCAATTGGTCAAGTTCTTTCATCTTCTTGACCTTCAGTTCTCTAGTCAGTAAAATGGAATTGACACTGTCTTAAAGGGTTGTTTACAGAAGTACAATAATGTCAAGTGTGTGGCACATAGTAAGAATTCAATGAATTATAGAATTATATTTGGTATTGTGTTTATTTCTGCCAATGGTAGCCATAAATAGTCGTGTTTGTTGAGTCTCAGTCTATGTGACTCTTTAGGAATGTAAAAATAAAATATTTAAGCTAATATATAAATTTATACTGGAGCTTATAAATTTGTATAATATACAAATTTACATTCCCTGCCAAATTAGGAGATATGCAAATATGGAAGCTATCATTGGTGTATTTTGTTCTCTGTCAAATATAAAATAAAGTCAAGAAGACTGGCAGTTTCATTGGGAAGTAAGAAGACAAAGTAAGTAACTCTGATTTCAATGCTTTTGAAATTAGAGGTTCTGTGTTAATTGTCTGTGAAAGTGTGGACATGAAAGATAACGTGGCTGTCCATAAAAAAGGATGAGTTCGTATCCTTTGCAGGGACATGGATGAAGCCTGAAACCATCATTCTCAGCAAACTAACACAAGAACAGAAAACCAAACAGGGCATGTGGAGCTGAACAATGAGAACACATGGACACAGGGAGGTGAACATCATACATTAGGGCCTATTGGGGGCTGGGGAGCTAGGAGAGGGATAGCATTAGGAAAAATACCTAAAAATACCCAATGTAGATGACGAGTTGATGGGTTCAGCAAACCACCATTGCACGTGTATACCTATGTAACAAACCTGCAGGTTTTGCACATGTATCCCAGAACTTAAAGAATAAAAAAAAAAAAAAATTAAAGCAATCACATGCCTATCCAAGTATATACCATTCTATGACTTTCTGAAAAGGAAAAAAAAAAACCCTTAAAAATTAAATATTTAATCCTTTAATTTTATAAATGAAGCTATAATAATGAAGTCTCATACAGATGCTAACCTAATCCATCTTGGAAAAAGGTATCTGTGATTATTAATAATACAATGGACTTCTAAAAAAAAAAAGAAAGATAATGTGGCTGTCATCATATGAGTCTCCATGTGATTTCTTGAACAATTTCATCTAAATACAACATTTCAATCAAGTCTCATGCATTGATCTGTGCATAATAGAATCCAACACAGCTATTTTCTTCTTGAAAACTTCCATCAGAGAAAGAAATTTAGGAAACTTCTCTGGCTGAGCGTCATTCAAAGATGAAAATTAGTGTTTTTTGTTTTGTTTTGTTTAAAAAAGGATTCAGTATTTTTAAGAAAGAATCGGTAAGTTGATCTAATCAATTTTTTACTCTTAGAGTTTAGAAATAAACTAGATGGAATAAAAGCAGAATTTCAAGAGTTTTGAATTGGATGGAAATAGGAGCTTCTTACTGTCTGTTTCCCATTCCTGTATAGGGACAGAAACCCAGGGACCTGATTGTAAGTAATCTGGCAACTTGGGCTGGGCCATGAAGCTAGAGTTACTCTGGGGCCAATATTGTTTTTTGTTTGTTTTTGTTTGTTTTTTGTGTTGTTTTTTTTTTTTAAAAGGAATCTGGGAGCAATTATTAAAGACTGAGTTCTGAAAATTCCTACTTCTCACAGGAAGTCTAAAGGGAATTTGTTAAATTGAGATCCATGTTAGCCTGCTTCAAAATTGCCCACAGAGCTTTGTAAAAATTACCAATTTTCACTGAAGAACTGTGGAATTAGATTATCTGTGGATTGGTCTTCAGAGATCTGCTTTTCTAAGAAGTTCCCAGGTCATTTGTATGCTGCAAAAGTATGAGTAACACTAGGTAGATATCCTGGGGCTGGGTTACTATACTCATCCTGTACAATAAAACATGGCACAAGGATCATGGAGGGCATGTGTACATGGAGGTTTGAAGCAGATTTTAGAAAGGAGAGATTGGGTAGATTTTCCTGAATGCAAAAGCAAGCAGCCTCTTTAGAAATTGATATTGTTCTACTGTCATGGTCACACCTGGCAATGACACCAGTAATCTATGAAATGTTACTCAACTAAGAGGTATTTCTCTATCTTGCATGTTAAATTTTTTTCCAAGCAAGATGCTGTGGAGTAAGTCATTTCAGTGATTTTTCCATACGAATGTGTATTTGTTTTAAAAGTCTGGTTTAGAAATAAATATACTTGTAACTAAATTTTATATCTGGCATATTTACTAACCTAAATAATGTTTCTATCACAAATATAAAAGAAAAATTACACAGGATATTTGTTTAGAATGCCAAGGAAGACATCAACAAGACTATTAAAATAGGGTTATGGCTGTTGCAACGGGGGGAGATTGATTGAGTTCAACTCCACTGGGGAAAAAAAAGTAGGTTTTCTTTTAAGGCTGGTGTGTGTTAATGGAAAAGTACCACATGACCTTGGGTGGTGAGTTGGTCAATGTAATTAGACCACCTGGTTGTTTCTTATCAAAGTTAAGCTCCTACTCTCCCAGAGAGAATAGGAGACAGGGGCCTGTCTTTCTTGATGATTATATCTCAAAGGGATAGCAACCATCTCTTTTTTCTTGAGAAAGACATTTCTGAATTGTAGGAGATTTACATCTCAAAATCACAGAAAGAGAATTTACCATTGCAAAGTTTCTAAAGTAAATGCTTTTAAGAAAAGGGACATCAGGGGCTTATCATCAGAAAGAAGCCTGTCTAAAGTTATGTCAAGCTGAAGAGAAAGTTAAGGATATCTTGGTCACAAAATATAGAGTAGAAGATGATGTTTTCTTAAAGGCACATGGAAGATTTTGTTGTTGTTGTTTTTTCAAATTTTGAGATGATTAATATATTTCCAAATAATATAAGCCATTCTCCTATTGTGTGTTCTTATACTTGTGAGAACGGGGTCATTGATTCTGCGATCACCACTGTATATGAGTGACATATAGAAATATTTTACTTACAATTACTTTCTCTGTCTGTTCAGATCCAAAATGGTTAAATATAGAGATCGAACCTGAAATATTAACCATCTTGGTGTTCAAATAAAATATATATTTAGCTTTGTATAGAGTAGGGATTGAGGCTCTTCATCTTCCTCTGGTTTTCATCTTCCTCTGGAAATTTGGTAGGATATGTGCACAACAGATCTTTTCTGTGAATTTACAAACAAGGGAATGTTAAAGTACATTCTCAGTATTTGATTATGTTTGCTTATCTTAGTCTCTAACATGCTTTGGGTGTCACTTTTGCTTTAGAAGAATCTAGCATGGAGTATAGGCATGACATTTGCACTAAAAATTAATCAAAGGTATACCGTAAATCAAAGCTAATCATATATTATCAGCATTGAAACCATGAGTCCCAACTGCATATTTTCTCTTTCCTCATTTTCTCCGGTAGTCCATTTCTCACCCACACCACTCATGAATGCTTTGTTCTACTCTGCTCTTTTTCAAGTGTTTGCATGTAACAACATCCTTGCCACTTATTGTGAAGTGCTGTCAGTCTTACAAGGTGCTCTGTGCCTGTTCCCAGTTTCCACAACATCCTGCAGAAATCAATACAAAGCCGCCAGTTTGTTAATAAATCTGCAATTAAAATGTAATGAATTTTGAATGAGAAATGATTTTTTAAAGCATGACTGAGGACCATGCATTAATAGTGAAATGAGAGAAGGACAGCAGAAAGCAGACTTCAGTATTTAGCTCTTGACTTCGCCTTATATTTTCCATGATCTTGGAATTTACAACTATGAATTACATACATTTCTCTCTACCTCAGGTTCATCTAGGCAAGAAATACATGGTGGATTAAATAGAGAATGAATTTGAGGAAACTTTTAAAGGTCAAAAGGTAAATTTAGTTATTAAAAATGTCTTGAGATAATTTATAAATCTGAGGGCTGTAGTGGTTCCATTCTAAATAAGTCTTAATTAAGGTAATTTTATTCTGTATTCCTATAGTAATTTTTCTAGGAGCAAAAATCCCAGTTCAGTCTTTAATTAAGGCATCAAATGTTACTGATTATTTTCACAGTTTAGTGAGTAGTGCTTAACATTTATATCCTTCTATAAAGAAGGCGAGAGAGAATTTTCACATCTCTAGAGTAAGACATCCTTTTATGAGTCCAAGAATAACAGCTGTCCTCCTTTGCCCCAGAAGAGCTACAGTGCCTCCCATTCCAAGGACCATGGCAAGTATTCCCAGATCTCCCACAGCACACCAGCCATTAAGTAATTCACTTCTATAACACCGACACTTCTAGCTACCATGTCCTCTACTCCCTCAGCTCCTCCCCTTATTTCATGAAGTCTAGAGTACTACCACAATCTTCTCATAAATGTTTTCACCTTCTATTCCACCCAATTTCCAATGAACCATGTCATCATCTTTCTAGAATACATTTTCTTTCATTCTCCTTCTGTAAAACATTCAGGAGCTTCTCCTAATCCAATAGAGAAAGTTCTGTTTGACATTCAAAATCTCCATAATCTGGTTTTGGCCTATTATCCTGATAGTTTTTTTTCTGCATTTGCCTCCAATTAAACCACTAACTAAAGAGCTGTTCACTGTGATTTCCTCCCCTGGCATCCTCCAGAGCACCATCTTTTTGTGCAGGTCTAAATCATAGCTTTAAGTTATCAATCAAAGCAATAGCCTTGACCCCTTCCTGATGCTACCAACATACCAGATCAGGCCCAGCCAGAATTCACCTTCCCCTTCTTTCAACCTCTGTAGAATTTTAGCTCTCATTTCCTTGATAACACTAGCATTTTGTTTTGCTGTTAGCAATATTTTATTTCTCTTTAAAAATTATAAACTCCTTGAAGAAAGGGCCATGGCAGACTCATTTTTCTTTCTTGCACTAAGCAAAGTGCCGGGCACAGTATCTTGGGCATAGGATGCCTTCAAGAAATCTAACCAATTCTTTGATCGAGTACTAATAAACAATACAATTAATAAAATAAATGTTGCTATTTTATTGTCAATAAGCTAAACTTCTTATAATCGTTCATTTTACTTATGTTAGCTCTGACTTATTTATTTTTGTGTACATTTTCTTTATATTTTATATTAAAGTTTATATCGGTATTAAATCAAATAAATCAAGTTACAATTTAAATCCTTAATGCGTTAATCAAGTTATGATTAAATCCTTAACGCATTAAGGATTATTTTTATTTTCATCACTCTCAAACCCCAAACTCTTAGTTTTCTGAGGAATCTTTAAACTTAGATTAAATTTACATTGTAAACCAATGGAGCAACATCACATTTCAAGAATAGTAATATTTAGGCCAGATGTGGTAGCTCGTGCCTGTAATCCTAGCACTTTGGGAGGCCGAGGTGGGCGGATCACTTGAGGTCAGGAGTTTGTGACCAGCCTGGCCAACGTGGTGAAACCCCGTCTCTACTAAAAATACAAAGATCAGCCAGACTTGGTGGCGTGCACCTGTAATCCAAGCTACCTGGGAGGCTGAGGCAGGAGAATCACTTGAACCTGGGAGGCGGAGGTTGCAGTGAGCCAAGATCACGCCACTGCACTCCAGCCTGGATGACAGAGCATGACTCCATCTCAAAAAAAAAAGAAAAAAAAGATAATATTTAATTCCAAGGCAGTGATATTCAGGATTGACCTAGACCCAATTATATCTATGTATGAGAACAATGGGAAGACTTTTTCATCTCCAGAATGGATGTCTGCTTATATAAATCAGAGCATCAATCTCTGTTGTTCAAAATGGTTTTTAATGTGCAAATAATGAAAGTTTCATTCACATAGGAAAAAAACATGTTTTGCAAGGATGCTTAAGTTCCCAGTCATTAAAAAAAAAAGAAGTCAGTTTCCTATGGCTGAAATAGAATCTGGAAATATGAAGTAGATGATTTATACTGCCGATTGTACAACCATATTGAATCGTTTCTAAAATATAATAAACTGTAGTTAAGTGCAGACCTGCAGTTGCTGACCTCTTTATTACCTGATTCATTGTGCTACACACACTTTGGAGAGAAAATGAGTTCATCAATCAGATGATAATGTTTACTAGTGCATAGCTTTCTTCTGAGCTGATGACTTCTTGTAGCAAAAGGACATGAATAGCTTTGTAAGCATCACTTGAATAAAGATTTTTTGCCATTTCTATGTGATTCACAGGCTACTGGTCTTTGGTTCTAAACATATAATCTTTCTGTTAGTCCAACCTGACAAATCACAAATGCAGAGGAACTTAAAAAATTCAAGGTCTGCAAAGTTCTTTGAAGTCAAAAGCTCTTGTTGAGGAATTCACCTTGATCTATCTGTGGAACATGCCGCACTGACCTATGTAATAACTTCCTTTAGAGGAGTGGTTCTTTTGTATTAAAGTTAGTTACATGCCTTGTATTTGGAATATCACCATATTGCTATATCTGAAAAGTGTTTCTTATGTAAAGAAAAGCCCTGAAAATATGTCCAAGTGTTGGTTGCCCTCAATTCAGAAAAGGTCTCCATTAGAATACGTGTCCAGTAAAATCTGTTTCTAGCCTTCCCAGCCTTCTCCCTAATTCCTCTTGCCTTTCAATGCTTGTGCACAAAAGCAAACAGCTAGTAAATTATTAATTCTATTGCATTATTTTTAGTGTCACTCCTTCATTTTCTCATTCTTGCTCAAAAACCATGAATAATTTCCTCTTCTTTAAAAAGTAAGGTCCATATTACCTAGCTTGGCATTTTAGGCCCTGTTCATACCTGGTAGAATCTTATATTCAACACCTGTTCTACACCTGAGCTTGTTTCCAAATTAGTTTTCCAAAATAATATGCATAGATTTCCACCTATCACCTTTTTTCCAAACAGGCACTAAACCTTTCTTTCATTCCTGTTATGCCTGCTTTCTCTCTGTGTGTATGGCCTGACTCATCATTGACACTGTAAGCCAAGACTTACACCCCTTGGAACCTCAGCTCTGGGCTGAAGGAGGCTCTCAATGAATATTCAAGATCATGATACTAGTGTTTTAAGGTCAATTGTTCTATCAGATAATGTAAGATAAAGTAGTCATCTGAAGCATTGTTTAATTTCAGAGCCTAATGTGGTGGGGGAGAGGGACAAGGAAAGGCAGTGGGAGGATGGGCAGGATGTATTAGCTTCCAATCCATGGGGCTCTTTTGAAGGTAGAAATAGATAAATCATTTGTTTAGCATAGGGCCTAGAACTTTGTAAGAATTCAATATATAATGCATCAAAAATATAAGGTTGTCATGGTTCCTTTCTTGTAGACATCTAATATAGCCAAAAACATAAAACATTCACTTTTCCAGCCCATACAATTGTGGAAAAGTATTCTGAGGCTGTCTGCAAAACTTAGCTTTCTTGATAAAAGGGATAAACATGGTTAATCTTTTGCTATCTTCTTTCTTCCTGCCTTGAACACAGAGGAGACAGAACTGAGAAAGCCACCCTGTGATCTTATTTAGGCAGGCCAAGAGAATCACAGAGAATGGCATCAATACACTATTGTTAGTGGTATTTTTCTTTCACTGGCAGTCAAAAGAATATCTATCTGATAAAAATGCGGCTATTAGTTTTTTAGGAACTTTTACTGCCTGTACCCATAACTAATGAGCTATGTTCAGAGCAAAGAAGAATAGTTAATCAATTGCTGCTTCATAAACACATTAGCCACATGATCTCCTGTATTGAATATATATCCATTGTAAATAAAAATTGCCTGAATTTCACAAAATTGTTTGAATACCAAAAAAGTAAAGTCTCCAAATAGTTTTATGTGGGAAAATGAATGATCAAATGGTGAACATTATTTTGTAAGGATTTAGCCTACGAAGATCAATTGCTTACATTACTGAGCATTAAATTTGTGCTAAGAAAGCACTGAGCCAAGCACTTTTGAATACCACCACATTTAATCCTTTCAACTAAACTATATAGTCAAGATTACAAACTTGGATTCCAAGGAAAAATGCTTCAAAGTGGTAAGCAACTTGCTCAAGGTCAAACAGCTAGATAGTTGCAGAGGTGGGAATCAAACTTGAGTTTGTTCAATTCTAAATTTGTGATTTTAAATATTTTATATATTCTATTACAGCCTAGCCTAATACAGATAACTGAAAATATACAAAATCACTTTGTAATTTGGAAGCTTTTTTGTCTTGTATTGTTAACTAGAAAACTATATATTTCAAAGGTGTTTTTCATTCATTTAACCAATATTTATTTAATGAATACTCTGTGTAAATGTGTACTACTCTGTGTGTATGGTATACCGGAGAATATAATATTGGACAAAATAGACATGGTTTCTGCCCTAAGCAAATACAACTTACTAGAAAAGGAAAGTGGTAAATGATTCTAAAATAAACAATGATTATCAACATAGTTCTTATAAGAGAAATTGAAGATCACTTAAGTCCATTTTGTGGCATTAGAGATTCTTTGGAGAATCATCTAACTGAGATTTGAAGGATAGATAAGAACAAGGAAACCTAAGGGAAAAAGGAAAGATTATTCTTAGTAAAGAGAATAGCTTGTGACATTTAACTGAAAGGGTAGATGTAGGTAAGACGTAGGAGACAAATTATAGTAAGACATGAGAAACTTAATAAAGAATTGTTTATTTATGTGCCTTTCAAACTAAAAGAAATAGAAGTTATTGAAATAAGCTTTAAGTGTCAGAACAACAAGATCAGATTTGCATTTTAGAAAGGTCACTTTGGCTTGTGCAGTGGCAGATAAATTAGAGGCATTTGCTTGAAAGCAAGGAATTTGCAACATTCTATGTAAAAAATGGTCGCAAAGTCCGGAACTTAAGTGTGAACATTAGTGTCTGGAAATGCGAGGGGCGATGAATATCTTCTGTGACTCCCAGACCTCAGGCAGCTAGGGTGCAAAGGATGAAGCAATCATACCTCTGTCCACCACAGTGAAAGTGATGCTTTTAGGGGAGTTTTCATGCAAAGAGGTGAGGAAGTCGGGTGCTTTTTTAATGAAAGAATGTGAGTTTGGTTGGGTAAAGTGCAAGGGTAGGGGGAGCAAAAGAAGGAAAAGGGAGAGGCTTGGTAGAGGATGGGTCAGATTTAAACAAACAAACTGCATGGTGTTTGGGGGTGGATAGGAATATGAAAGGGTATTGACAACTAAATAAATGTAGGGTTTTGGCTATGACCTTGAAAATTATGGGTGAAATTCCCAATGAATGGATTTATTAAAAAAATCAAGATTTGAAGAAAATATCCTCTATAATTCCTTCTTGAATGAAAGGAACTAAGGACCCCAAAGTGGCAGCTGTGTGAAGCCTTGGCATCCTCATATCAGGTTGGTTAATTCTTGCAATGCTGAGCAAGACTGATAGGCACATGGAAGAATGACTAAGCACAACATAGTTCTTGCCTTCAGGGAGTTTACCGTGCAACTGGAGAGACTGAGAATGCTTTTTTCCCAAATAATTTACTTGTCAATTTTAAAGTCATTATGACACATTTTTTCCCTCTTGTCTCACGTTGTTTATTAGCTGCCTTTTCTTTCCTGTTTTTATGTCATACATGACCTGGGAGCAAATATATAATGTTTCAAATCAGGTCTAAAGCCTTTCTCTGTCTTAGGGGCAGCAGAGGATAAGTTATCTTGATCGCTAATTTGATAGAACACGTAACAGCTTTGCAGATGAAAATTAGGAACGGAGTTTGGGAATCAAAAGAATAAATCACAAAAGCAAAATATCACAACTTAAAGGCATGCATATCTGTGGCATGTGAAACACTGTTTAAAGCATTGATATCAGCACTGTTCAATAGAAATATTATGTAAGTCAGAAATGCAAACCACGTTTGTCATTTTACATTTTCTAGTAGCTACATTTTAAAAAGTAAAAATAGCATGTGAAATTAATTATAACGATACATTTATTTAATCCAACATATTCAAAATACTATCATTGTAATGGGTAGTCAATACAATTAAGGATATATTTACAATTATATTTTATTTCATACCAAGTAGTTGGAATCCAGTGGGTAGTTTATACTTATAGCTCATCTCAATTCAGACAAGTTGCATTTCAAGTTTCCAATGACTACACGTGACTGGGGTCCACCATATTGAAGACCGTGGCTCTAGATACCTTGTTTAGTATGGATTATCCAAATGCTAAACTCAGGAAATAATATTTATTTTTGAGTTTTTAAAAAAGGTTTACAAATATACACTTGTAACTTCATTAATAAGAGTTATAATATATTAGTTTCCTCCTAGGTTTAGTCATGTAGATGAATTCATTAAGTCCTATAGTCAGTCAATAATCCAATTGCCAGGACTTGAGCTTGGATGTCCTAAGGTATTTTACAGTCTAGTAAGGGAAATAGAACACAAGGCATGATAAGCCAGATCACATTACTTACTTCTTTCTCAGAACCTAAAATCCAAAGTTCTTAAAGTGGCCTTGTCTACTGCAACTCTGTGACTCCATCTCCTCCCACCCACTCTTGAACTTACTCTGATTTGTCACACTGGTTCCTCACTTGGACTTGATTATGGCAAACATGTTTTTGCCACAGTTTTAGCATGTGCCCATCCTCCTGCCTTCAATATCATCCACCTAGAGGACCCAATGGCTTCTTCCTTCAAGTCTCTGCTCAAAGGCTATCTTAATTAGAGAGGCTACCCTGCCCACCCTACTTAAAAATAGCACCAGCCAACAAGCTTTATTTTTACCCTGTTGTGTTTTTCTCTACAGCACTTCACCCCACTGTGATGCTTAATTTTATCTATCAGCTTGGCTGGGCCACAGTGCCCTGATATTTGGCCAGATATAATTCTAGATGTTTCCATGAAGGTTTATTTGCGATGAGATTAATATTTAAAGTAGTAGACTTTAAGTAAAGCAGATTGCCCACCATGGTGGGGGTGGGCCTCATCCAGTCAGTTGAAGGCCTTAATTGGATAAAGACTGAATTTCTCCCATGTAAGGGGGAATTCTTCCAGCAGATGGTATTTGGACTTGGACTGCGACTCCTTTCTCTGTGTCTAAAATCTGCCATATCTGGTGCATATTCTGAACTTGCACCTGAATTGACATGACTGTGTAAGCCAATTCCTTAAAATAAATCTTTCTTTTGTCTCTATCTATCTATCTCTCCATCTATCCATCCACATCCTGTTGGTTCTGTTTCTCTGGAAAATACTGACTAATACAAGCTAATAGACTTTTTAAAAATTTTTGTTTGCTGTATGTTTCCTCAATTAGAATGTAAAGTTAATGAGGGTAGGACATCATCTGCATTGTTCACTACTATATTCCAAGCATAAAGGACCTAAACAAACTCAGTAACTTTATTGAGTTATTGAATATATGAAATCACAAATTCTGCTCATGTTGACTGCTTTGAGTGGAATAATTTTGCTTTTGTGTAGACAGCACTGGACAGTATCAGCTACCTTACAATAACAGATACTATTTGGTATCTTCATTTATTTAAGACTCATAAAAGATATTTCTTTAAATGTGGTCATTTTACCTAATAACAAAATCTGTTACATATATACTAAGGTAATATGTACCATGTTCCAAAGAAGATTCTAAAAACATGTGTTCACCCTTGGATGATCATATCTCTCTGAAATTTCAACTAGATTGTATTAGTTCAGCATATGTTCAATAAACTGAAGCAACAAGCCTATAAACTGCTAGGCTAAGCAAGAGAGACTAGGTATCAGATCTTCAAATGACTCTAATACCAAAATGTATTTGCTGATATAATCCCAAAGAAAAAAAGAAGAAAATGACTAATGAGATGTTTGTGTGCATGGTACCCATATGAAATGTTCAAAAAAGAATACACAGGGTTATAGCAGGTGCCCACTCCTCTCCCTGGAACATCATCTGCCTAGATGTCTCAATGGCTTCTTTCTTCAGAAGCCCTCAGGAAGGAACAAGATATTCATGAAGATTCATTTAGTGGTTAATGTTATTTATTTATTTTCTTCCTGTCACTGAATCCTAGTTATTACATCACACATCTACTTCAGAAGCTAATGGCCTCATAAACTTTTCTCTCCAATACAGGTTGTATTTACAGAAACAAGGAAAAGCAGAAAGACACATACACACATGGCAAAAATCTAAAAGATTACTCACTGTTTTATAGATGAGTTATTTTACAATGATTTGCATGTGGTATCAGGAGGTATTAAACACACACACACACCAACAGTTAATATTCTCATTTCAGTTTTCTAGTCAGAATAAAGAGGCTATGACATGTTAAAAGGAACAGAGCATTTGTATCAGGGATGGAGACTGAAGCCCTGACACTGTCACTGATTAGAACCCAGCCTGAGGGTCATGTTAACGACTCTGGTCCTCGGCTTTCTCAAACTATAAATGAAAGGATGCCTTTCAGCTCAAAATACTCTTTATTTTTCTGAAATAAATTATCCAAATATGCTGAATCAAGGAGCTGATACTTTTTTTTAAGAGATGAGGTCTGTCTCTGGGATCTCACTGCTGTGAATAGTAGTGGCTACTCACAGTGCAATCATGATTTACTACAGTCTCAAACTCATATAGGCCCTTGCCACAGAGCTCCACTGGAACTGATACTTTTTGAGGAACATTCTGGATGTCAGAGACTTGCAGGGACTTGGGAATAGTAATGAGGACATCAATTCTGGTGAGAGCACAGTCCCTAGGCGAGACTGATCACATGGAGAGTGATGGATTAAAGAAATAATATGTATTAAGAATAATTAAAGCCAGATTTCTTTTGGAGATAAGATTTGCAAATATGCAAAAGGAGAAAGAACTCTGTGATGATAGGTTGAAATTAAAAATAATTGTAGAGGCTGGGCGCGGTGGCTCACGCCTGTAATCCCAGCACTTTTGGAGGCTAAGGTGAGTGGATCACGAGGTCAAGAGATTGAGACCATCCTGGCCAACATGGTGAAACCCTGTCTCTACTAAAAATACAAAAAAAAAAAGCCAGGTATGGTGGCGGGTGCCTGTAGTCCCAGCTACTCGGGAGGCTGAAGCAGGAGAATCACTTGAACCCGGGAGGCAGAGGTTGTAGTGAGCCAAGACTGCACCACTGCACTCCAGCCTGGGCAATAGAGCAAGACTCTGTCTCAAAAAAAAAAATTGTAGAATTAGTAGTTTATAAATATCTAGATGAATATAGAACAAAAGTAATTGTAAGTGCATCTGTTTACATACCATATATGTGTTACAGACTGAACATATGTGTCTCTCCAAAATTTTATGAAGCCCTAATACCCAGTATGGCTGTATTTGTAGTAAGAAAGTTATTAAGGTTAAATAGGGTCATAAAGTGGGGCCCAAACCCAATAAAATTAATGTTCTGATAAAAAGTGATGCCAGAAATCTTGTTCCCTCTCTCTCTGCCATATGAGGATACAGTAGAAAATCAGCCATCTGCCAAACAGAAAGAGAGACCTAACCAGGAATGAAATGGGCCTGTACCTTGATCTTAGACTTCCAGGCTTCAGTACTGTGAGAAAACAAATTTCTATTTTGTAAGCCACACAATCTACCACATTTTATTAGGACAACCTGAACAAATTAGGACCATATATATACACAGCTGTGTCCACAAAGAAGGTCTGTGAGCAGCAACACTTCAATAGCCATGAGCAAATCTGGCACCTAGATCTTGGTATCTAAATACCATTTTTCATTAAAAAGAACCAGGGCTTCTTGGAAAAGTGACTGATTACAGAAATGAAGCAGAGAAAGTATTAAACGTTCCCAAAGCATCTTCAAATGGCAGAGAGAAAAGAATGATCAAAGAACGATGAGTAAAACTCAAAAGGGCACATAAAGCAGAATAAAGAAGCCCATTGGCCACATGGAAGAAAACTGGGGGCATTGACAGAAATAGTTCAGTAATGTGTTATAACCATTGCATCAAACATGAAACCATAAGTCCATATTGATATACATAGTTAATGTATAAATAAAAATGTGATAAGAAATGGATATTTGTATAGTTTCAAACACCTTCCCGCAAGACTCTTGTTAATTACAAAGACTAAAAGTGTAATTTTACAGTGGAGAAGGTAGCAAATACAATCTTAGTTGAGACACATCGCCTGCATACATCATTAGTAGAATTACAAACAAATCACCTCCTGATAGAAGAGGAATGCAACCCCACTTCTAAATATTATTACCCAATTTGAATAATCTGAAGCTAATTATAAAAAAAGACAACTTAACACTCTACAAAATTCCTGGTCTATAGCTTCAAAAATATCAAAATTATAAAAATCAAAACCTCAGGAAGGATTCCAGAGTGAAAGAAACTAGAAATCCTGATCACAAAATACAATGTGTGATCCTGAATTGGATCTAAAAGAAATTATAATTTCACATAGTACAACTTTAACGAATTGTGAGGATTAACGATGGTAATGTACCAGTGTTAATCTTCTGATTTAGACTAATATACCATAGCTATGTTAGAAAATGCCCTTTGTAGGAAATATACACTCAACTATTAGGTATGATCATCAGATAAGCAACTTATGCACAAGTGATGAGAAATACAGATAGTTATTTGTTCTGTAGTTGCTACTTTTATGGAAGTTTAAGTATTCATTTTTTTTCATTTTAGAAAAGTCATAAATTAAATGTTAAGTGCTATTGTAACAAGTGCCAGCTTTCTATCCTTCAGGCTACTAAAACCATGAAACTCTCTGCGTGTCTATCAAACTCCAGGACCTCGCATCCAAAGAGCTATTCCCCAAGCTCCAAAATTACCTGAACCATCTTCTCGTTACACTAACAAAGCTATCATTTCCTCTGGCCACTGGAAGATTTAGTGAGTTTTTGGAGGAATAATATCTTATTGCTTTAAGGCAGCATATTTTAAATGATCTGGTAGCACCATGCTGTATACCCCTCTCTCTGCATTGTTTTAAAATAAAACTCATTTGCTCCAAAGAATGAATATCAAGTGAAATCTATCTTGAGTGAAGGTGGTTTTGGCAAACATTCAAATACAGTGGTAATTCTAGACACAACACCAAGTTCTAAAATACAGTCTCTGTCAGGCCTCTGAGCCCAAGCTAAGCCATCATATCCCCTGTGACCTGCACGTACACATCCAGATGGCCGGTTCCTGCCCTTAACTGATGACATTCCACCACAAAAGAAGTGAAAATGGCCTGTTCCTGCCTTAACTGATGACATTATCTTGTGAAATTCCTTCTCCTGGCTCATCCTGGCTCAAAAGCTCCCCTACTGAGCACCTTGTGACCCCCACTCCTGCCCACCAGAGAACAACCCTCCTTTGACTGTAATTTTCCTTTATCTACCCAAATCTTATAAAATGGCCCCACCCTTATCTCCCTTTGCTGACTCTCTTTTCGGATTCAGCCCACCTGCACCCAGGTGATTAAAAGCTTTATTGCTCACACAAAGCCTGTTTGGTGGTCTCTTCACAGGGACGCGCATGAAATTTGGTGCAGTGACTCGGATCGGGGGACCTCCCTTGGGAGATCAATTCCCTGTCCTCCTGCTCTTTGCTCCATGAAAAAGATCCACCTAGGACCTCAGGACCTCAGACCCACCAGCCCAAGGAACATCTCACCAATTTTAAATCCAGTAGGCGGCCTCTTCTTACTCTCTTCTCCAACCTCTCTCACTATCCCTCAACCACTTTCTCCTTTCAATCTTGGCGCCACCCTTCAATCTCTCCCTTCTCTTAATTTCAATGCCTTTCATTTTTCTGGTAGAGACAAAGGAGGCATGTTTTATCCGTGGACACAAAACTCCGGCGCCGGTCACAGACTCGGGAAGGCAGCCTTCCCTTGGGGTTTAATCACTGTGGGGACACCTCTCTGATTATTCACCCATGTTCCATTGGTGTCTGATCTCTGTGGGGACGCCTGCCTTGATCATTCACCCACGTTCCCTTGGCGGCAAGTCAATTGCAGGGACACCTGCTTTGGCTGCTCACCCACATTGCAGCCCAGGGCTGCTCCCCACCCCCTTCTCCATGTCTCTACCCTTTTCTTTAAACTTGCCTCCTTCACTATAGGCAAACTTCCACCCTCCATTCCTCCTCCTTCTCCCTTAGCCTGTGTTCTTAAAAACTTAAAACCTCTTCAACTCTCACCTGACCTAAAATCTAAGTGTCTTATTTTCTTCTGCAACACTGCTTAGCCCCAATACAAACTTGACAATGGCTCTAAATAGCCAGAAAATGGCACTTTCGATTTTTCCATCCTACAAGATCTAGATAATTCTTGTCGTAAAATAGGCAAATGGTCTGAGATGCCTGACATCCAGGCATTCTTTTACATATCAGTCCCTCCCTAGTCTCTGTTCCGAATGCAACTTGTCCCAAATCTTCCTTCTTTCCCTCCCGCCCATCCCCTCAGTCCCAACCCCAAGCGTCGCTAAGTCTTTCTAATCTTCCTTTTCTATAGACCCATCTGACGTCTCCCCTCCTCACCAGGCCGAGCTAGGTCCCAATTCTTCCTCAGCCTCCGCTCCTCCACCCTATAATCCTTTCATCACCTCCCCTCTTCACACCAGGTCCGGCTTACAGTTTCGTTCCATGACTAGCCCTCCCCCACCTGCCCAGCAATTTCCTCTTAAAAAGGTGGATGGAGCTAAAGGCATAGTCAAAGTTAATGGTCCTTTTTCTTTATCCGACCTCTCCCAAATCAGTTAGCGTTTAGACTCTTTCATCAAATATAAAAAACCCAGCCCAGTTCATGGCCCCTTTAGCAGAAACCCTGAGACACTTTACAGCCCTAGACCCTAAAAGGTCAAAAGGCCGTCTTAGTCTCAATATACATTTTATTTTGTTACCCAATCTGCTCTTAACATTAAATAAATCTCCAAAAATTAAATTCCAGCCATCAAACCCCACAACAGGACTTAATTAACCTCACCTTCAAGGTGTGCAATAATAGAGTAAAGGCAGCCAAGCAGCAACATATTTCTGAGTTGCAATTCCTTGCCTCCACTGTGAGACAAACCCCAGCCACATCTCCAGCACACAAGAACTTCCAAACGCCTGAACCGCAGCTGCAAGGTGTTCCTCCAGAACCTCCTCCCCCAAGAGCTTGCAACAAGTGCCAGAAATCTGGCCACTGGGCCAAGGAATGCCCACAGCCCAGGATTCCTCCTAAGCCATGTCCCATCTGTGCAGGATCCCACCGAAAATCGGACTGTTCAACTCACCTGGCAGCCACTCCCAGATCCCCTGGAGCTCCGGCTCAAGGCTCTCTGACTGACTCCTTCCCAGATCTTCTCAGCTTAGCAGCTGAAGACAGACTGCCTGATCACCTCGGAAGCCTACAGGACCATCACAGATGCTCTGGGTAACTCTCACAGTGGAAGGTAAGTGCATCCCCTTCTTAATCAATACGGAGGCAACCCACTCCACATTAACTTCTTTTCAAAGGCCTGTTTCCCTTGCCTCCATAACTGTTGTAGGTACTGACAGCCAGGCTTCTAAACCTCTTAAAACTCCCCAACTCTGGTGCCAACTTAGAAAATACTCTTTTAAGCACTCCTTTTTAGTTATCCCCACCTGCCCAGTTCCCTTATTAGGCCGAGACACTTTAAACTTTCTGCTTCCCTGACTATTCCTGGGCTACACGCTGCCTTTTCCCCCAGCTCAAAGCCTCCTTCACATCCTCCCCTGTATCTCCCCACCTTAGTCCACAAGTATAAGATACCTCTACTCCCTCCTTGGCAACCGATCATGCACCCGTTACCATCTCTTTAAAACCTAATCACCCTTACTGCACTTTATCCCATCCCACAGCACGCTTTAAAAGGATTAAAGCCTGTTATCACTCACCTGCTACAGCATGACCTTTTAAAAGCTATAAACTCTCCTTACAATTCACCCATTTCACCTGTCCTAAAACCAGACAAGGCTTACAGGTTAGTTCAGGATCTGCGCCTTATCAACCAAATTGTTTTGCCTATCCACCCCATGTTGCCAAACCCATATACTCTCCTATCCTCAATACCTCCCTCCACAATCCATTATTCTGTTCTGGATTTCAAACATGCTTTCTTTACTGTTCTTTGCACCCTTCATCCCAGCCTCTCTTTGCTTTCACTTGGACTGACCCTGACACCCATCAGGCTCAGCAAATTACCTGGGCCGTACTGCCTCAAAGCTTCACAGACAGCCCCCAATACATCAGTCAAGCCCAAATTTCTTCCTCATCTGTTACCTATCTCGGCATAATTCTCCTAAAAACACACGTGCTCTCCCTGCCGATCGTGTCTGACTGATCTCTCAAACCCCAGCACCTTCTACAAAACAACAACTCCTTTCCTTCCTAGGCATGGTTAGATACTTTCGACTTTAGATACCTGGTTTTGCCATCCTAACAAAACCATTATATAAACTCACAAAAAGAAACCTAGCTGACCCCATAGATCCTAAATCCTTTCCTCACTCCTCTTTCCGTTCCTTGAAGACAACTTTAAAGACTGCCCCAACCCTAGCTCTCCCTGACTCATCTCAACCGTCTTCATTACCCACAGCTGAAGTGCTGGGCTGTGCAGTCAGAATTCTTACACAAGGACCAGGATCACATCCTGTAGCCTTTTTGTCCAAACAACTTGACCTTACTGTTTTAGGCTGGCCATCATGTCTCCGTGCAGCGGCTGCTGCCGCCTTAATAATTTTAGAGGCCCCAAAATTACAAACTATGCTCAACTCACTCTCTACAGCTCTCATAACTTCCAAAATCTATTTTCTTCCTCACACCTGAGGCATATACGGTCTGCTTCCTGGCTCCTTCAGCTGTACTCACTCTTTGTTGAGTCTCCCACAATTACTATTGTTCCTGGCCCAGACTTCAATCCGGCCTCCCACATTATTCCGGATACCACACCTGACCCTCATGACCACATCTCTCTGATCCACCTGACATTCACCCGATTTCCCCATATTTGCTTCTTCCCTGGTCCTCACACTGATCACACTGAGTTTACTGATGGCAGTTCCAACTTTCCTACACATCAAGCTCAAGGATTTGCACCTGCCCAGGACTGGCAAATTGACTTTACTCACATGCCCCAAGTCAGAAAACAAAAATACCTCTTAGTGTAGGTAGACACTTTCACTGGATATGTAGAGGCCTTTCTTACAGGGTCTGAAAAGGCCACCACAGTCATTTCTTCCCTTCTGTCACACATAATTCCTTGGTTTAGCCTTCCCACCTCTATACAGTCTGATAACACACCAGCCTTTACTAGTCAAATCACCCAAGCAGTTTCTCAGGCTCTTAGTATTCAGTAGAACCTTCATATCCATTACCGTCCTCAATCTTCAGGAAAGGTAGAACGGACTAATAGTCTTTAAAGACAAACGTCACCAAGCTCAGCCTCCAACTTAAAAAAGATTAGACAGTACTTTTACCTCTTGCCCTTCTCAGAATTCAGGCCTGTCTTGGAATGCTACAAGATACAGCCCATATAAGCTCCTGTATAGATGCTCCTTTTTATTAGGCCCCAGTCTCATCCCAGACACCAGACCAACTTAGACTGCACCCCAAAACACTTGTCATCCCTACTATTTTCTATCTAGTCATACTCCTATTCACCGTTCTCAACTACTCATAAATGCCCTGCTCTTGTTTACACTGCTGGTTTACACTGTTTCTCCAAGCCATCACAGCTGATATCTCCTGATGCTATCCCCAAACCACCACTCTTAACTCTTAAATTAAGTAAATAATCTTTGCTGGCAAGGCTATGCCAAACCTCCTTAGGCACTCTCTAATTAGATGTCCTAGGTCCTCCCAATTCCTAGTCCTTTAATACCTGTTTTTCTCCTTCTCTTATTCCATTTAGTTTTTCAATTCATACAAAAGTGTATCCAGGCCATCACCAATAATTCTACATGACAAATGTTTCTTCTAACAATCCCACAATATCACCCCTTACCACAAAATCTTCCTTCAGCTTAATCTCTCCCATTCTAGGTTCCCACACCGCCCCAATCCTGCTCGAAGCAGACCTGAGAAACATCGCCCAGTATCTCTCCATACCACCCCCAAAAATTTTCACTGTCCCAACACTTTACCACTATTTCATTTTATTTTTCTTATTAATATAAGAAGACAGGAATGTCAGGCCTCTAAGCCCAAGCTAAGCCATCATATCCCCTGTGACCTGCATGTACACATCCAGATGGCCGGTTCCTGCCTTAACTGATGACATTCCACCACAAAAGAAGTGAAAATGGCCTGTTCCTGCCTTAATTGATGACATTGTCTTATGAAATTCCTTCTCCTGGCTCATCCTGGCTCAAAAGCTCCCCTCCTGAGCACCTCGTGACCCCCACTCCTACCCACCAGAGAACAACCCCTCTTTGACTGTAATTTTCCTTTACCTACCCAAATCTTATAAAATGGCCCCACCCCTATCTCCCTGTGCTGACTCTCTTTTCGGACTCAGCCTGCCTGCCCCCAGGTGATTAAAAGCTTTATTGCTCACGCAAAGCCTGTTTGGTGGTATCTTTACACAGACACACATGAAAGTCTCTACTTAGAACTCACAGCATCAGACAGAAAACACAAACAAACTGGCTAATAGATCAGTTGAGATGCAAGAGAAAAGTGAAAAATCTAGAAGAGAATACAACTATCTCTCCGTATCTGTGGAAAACTGGTTCTGGGACCCCTTCAAGATACCAAACTCCCAAAATTCTCAGGTCCCTGGTATAAAATAGCATGATGTTTGCTTATAATCGATGCATACCCTTTCATATACTTTCAGTCAGGAGTCCCCAGACCCCAGTCTGTGGCCTATTAGGAATCTGTCCACACAGCAGGGAGTGAATAGTGGGCAAGCGAGCGTTACTGCTTGAGCTCTGCCTCCTGTCAGATCAGCCGTGGCATTAGATTTTCATAGGAGAGCAAACCTATTGTAAACTCTATATACAAGGAATCTAGGTTGTGCACTCTTTAAGAGAATCTAATGAATGCCTGGTGATCTGAGGTGGAAGAGTTTGATCCGGAACCCGCCCTACAGCACCCCCGACCCCATCCATGGATAAATTGTCTTCCATGAAACCAGTCCCTGGTGCCAAAAAGATTGGGGACCACTGCTTTAAATCATCTCTAGATTATTTATAATGCCTAAGATAATGTAAGTACTATCTAAATAGTTGTTATATTGTATTGCTTCAGGAAAAATGACAAGGAAAAAGTCTGTACATATTTATTACAGATGCAATTTAAAAAAATAGTTTCAATCACAGTTGGTTGAATCCAGGGATACAGAACCCATTGACATGAAGAGCCAACTGTGTAGCAAAGTGTGCTACCATCTCCATGAATGCAAATTCAGAGAACTTCCCCATATAAAGGGCTCCTCTTTCACCCCCTTACTCCATCTTTCCTTCCTCCTCCTCTTTCAGGTTGTTTGTGTATTGTTTATGCCAAAGTAG
Source organism: Homo sapiens (assembly GCF_000001405.40). NCBI lineage: Eukaryota > Metazoa > Chordata > Mammalia > Primates > Hominidae > Homo > Homo sapiens. The sequence goes on from NC_000014.9 coordinate 86,737,975, forward strand.
TAGGTCAACATTTATTCATTGAACCTCTGTCACTAGCTAGTCATATCCTTACTTTGGGTTTCTATGGATGAGTACAGTTTGTATAAACATCTTCAATGTATTCTTCTCTAATAATGATAAACTTTGCTTCTTAAAATTAAAAAAGGGAGATTTTAATAAATCAACAGAAAAATTTCTAACTTCAGGAATGCCAATCCTCATTTACTCTTTTGGCACAAATTACACTGAATTTGAGAGACTAGTTTTTAATAAATTCAAGAAAAGTATTACTTTGGCAATGTTGACCTCTACCAGAGTCCTGTGACCCTAAAAACAGCAAGAGATAAAGAAATTCATGCACTTTTTTGCATCCAGGAAATGGCTTATGGCAAAGAACCACCCTTCCCTTATGACTTAGATAAGACTCAGGGAAGACCTATGACAAGGCCAGACATAGATCCTGTTGACAAAAAAAAAGCAAATTCTGTAAAATATTTGAAGAAGTTTACTCTGAGCCATGTATGAGTGACCATGGCCTAAAGCACAGTATCAAGAGGTCCCAAGAACATGTGCACAAGGTGGTTGGGTTACAGCTTGTTTTTAAATGTTTTATGGAAATATAAGACATCAGTCGATAATGTGAAGTATACATTGGTTCAGTTGGCAAGGCAGGAAAACTTGAAGAGGGAGGTTTATGGGTCATAGGTGGATTCAAATATTTTCTAATTGGCAATTTGTTGAAATAGTTAAGTTACTACCTAAAGACCTGGAATCAATAGAAAAGAGTGCCTGGATTATGATTAGGGGTTGTGCAGACCAAGGTTCTTATCAAGCAGATGAAGCCTCATAGGTGGCCCCCTTAGAGACAATAGATGGCAAATGTTTCCTATGTAGATCTTTAAAAGATGCTAGACTCTCAGTAACCCCTTCAGTATTGGGAGGGCTGGGAAGGACAAAGACCTAGTTATATCAATAGAAGCTCCTCGCAGATGCAAATTTTCCCTACAAAAGATGGCTTTGCAGGGCCATTTCAAAACACAGCAAAGAAACTTATTTTGTTGTAAAATATTTTGATTTCCTTCTTTATCTGTAATGTGATGTTATACTAGAGTCAGTTTGGAATTTCGTATCTTATTGCCACTGTGAACCTCAGAAATTTTGAGACAGGTCTCAGTTAATTTAGGAAGTTTATTTTGCCAAGGTTGAGGACACATGCCCATGACACCACCCCAGGAGGTCCTGACGACATGTGCCCAAGGTGGTCAGAGCACAGTTTGGTTTTATACATTTTAGGGAGACATGAGACATCAATCAACATATGTAAGATGAACATTGGTTCTGTCTGGAAAGGCAGGACAACTGAGAAGCAGGGAGGGGTCTTCCAGGTCATAGGTAGAGAAGAGACAAATGGTTGCATTCTTTTGAGTTTCTGATTAGCCTCTCCAAAGGAGGCAGTCAGATATGCATTTATCTTAGTGAGCAGAGGAGTGACTTTGAATAGAATGGGAGGCAGGTTTGCTCTAAGCAGTTCCCAGCTTGACTTTTTCCTTTAGCTTAGTGATTTTGGGGGCCCAAGGTGTTTTCCTTTCATACCACAAGAGTCTATTTTATCAGTCTTAGGGTCTCTGTTTTAGTGTTAATGCTTCTCAGTTGAGCCTGAACTCTAAGATGAGGAGAGGGTAGTGAGGCATGTCTGACCCCTCACTTCTCCTCATGGCCTGAACTACTTGTTCAGGTTTCTTTGGGTTTCCTTGGCAAAGAGGAAGGTCCATTCAGTCCGTGGAGGGGGCTTAGAAATTTATTATTGATTTACCATCCTCCATGTTTCATTATTTGCCTCAGAAATGATTAGAAGAGCTGCTTGGACCCACTGACCAATCTAGATGAAATAGCTGACTTAACCAAACTTCACTTAAAATTTTCCTGTTCAAACAAGCACCTGAAGCTAGACCTACCCTTAGCCTGAGCCAGCAGGAAGCCTCTTATGAAAGACCCCTCCCAGAGTTGACTCACCTCAGGGTAAAGCATTCATGGATGTCTCATTCCCTCACAGCAGGTTCTTTCTAGTCTTGGTTACCTCTCCCTGTAAAGTTAAATTTCTTCCTGCCTGGCATTTTCAGATCTTAGGTCAGAGCATTCTCCTTGATGTCATAGTCTTCCTACCCCTCCTGCAATAATCTCTTCCAATCTTTTACCTAACTTTGGACTTGTTTTTATTTGACAACTTAGTAACACTTACTTGTTCAGATTTCAAATGTCTCGTTCTTTCCACTCGCCCTCCAGCTTTTCTGTGTACTACATATTATGCCTCCGGAATAGGAACTTAATTTAAGAAAAAAATTTTCTTTAGCATCTATTTAAAATATCAACATTTTCAAATAGCGTGTCTATGTCAAAGCAGAAGTTGCAAAATGTAATTGAGATGATACCCAGAAAGCACGCAGGACTGCATGTGGTGCAGTGTAAACCGAAAGTAAGAGGTGGCAGGTAGAATTTTCTTCTTACTATTCTAAATGTTATATAATGTAAATCTTAGCTCACCATTTCTATGACAAAATCTTTCTTTTGCTCCTAACACCTAAGGTAAATTTAAACTCAACATAACTTACACAGCCTGTTATCATCGGGATCAAATCTATTAACTATGACTAATAGCTTCTTAAGTAGCCATTTGATGACTGGAAAGAATGCTTCATTTTGCTTTATTGAACTTCCAAGTCCAGCTAATATAAAGCCTTTCTACTCTTACATGAGGTATTTCAACTCCTCAAATGTCTCACCTTCTCATCCTCCAATTAATATATACAATAATTCTTGCATATTAGTAATATTTTGAAACTCTAATGAAGTATCAAAAAAAAGTCTAAAATAACCCTTGTTACACATCATCATTCTTAACATCTTTTTTCAGTATTTATGTCTTTGGTATCATTTAATCCCATTTTATTATAATGCTATTGAATAAATACTTCTATGTAATTAAAGTATTTTATAAACATGCTTATCAATGATTACCTAATAGTTGATTTTATGCATAATATCTCATTTATATGACTACTTTAACAGTGTTTTGTTTTTCCTATCATCTATTTTCTGGCTATTATAAATAAGATTGTGATGAGTATTTACACATATGTGCATTTATCAGCTTTTTGATAATTACCCACAGTTGCATTATATTTATATTAATAGAATAATTTGCCAGTATCCATATCACTAGATCAAGTATATAAATATTTTTAAAGTTTACACTTCCAAAAGTACATGAGAGTTCTGTTTGTACTTACATACATGTCAGGATTGCATAGGCTTAGGTTTTAAATATTTTGGTGGTTTATTATCATTCCATTTACAATGAAAATAATAGTAATTATTTTTTGTTTGGCTTTCTTTAATTTTTTTAATGTTTATTATTTGGAGGTACACTAGTAGATGCATATATATTTTTGTTTTTTATTTTTATTTTTTTTTGGAGACAGAGTCTCGCTCTGTCACCCAGGCTGGAGTGCAGTGGCACGATCTTGGCTCACCACAAGCTCTGCCTCCCGGGTTCACGCCATTCTCCTGCCTCAGCCTCCAGAGTAGCTGGGATTACAGGCGCGAGCCACCAGGCCCGGCTAATTTTTTTTATTTATTTTTTATTTTTTGTAGAGATGGGGTTTCACCGTGTTAGCCAGGAAGGTCTTGATCTCCTGACCTCGTGATCCGCCTGCCTTGGCCTCCCAAAGTACTGGGATTACAAGTGTGACCCACTGCGCCCAGCCTAGTAGATGCATATATTAATAGGGTACATGAAGTATTTTGATACAGGCATAGAATGTGTAATAATCACATCAGGGTAAATTGGATATTCATCACCTCAAGCATAAACAATCCAGTTGTACTTTTGTGGTTATTTTAAAATGTACAATTAAATTATTATTGACTATGGTCACATTCTTGCACTATCAAATAGTAGGTCTTATTCATTCTTTCTAATGAGTTTTTGTACCCATCAACAATACCCACTTCCCATCCATGGCCCCACTACCATTCCCAGCATCTGATAACTATCATTCTACTCTCTATCTTTATGAGTTCAATTGTTTTAATTGTTAGCTTCCACAAATAAAAGAAAACATGCAAAGTTTGTTTTTCTGCACCTGGCTTATTTCACATAAACTTAATGACCTCCAGTTTCATCCATTTTGTCACAAATAACAGAATCTCATTCTTCTTTATGGCTGAATGGAACTCCACTGTGTATATGAACATTTTCCTTATCCATTTATCTGTTGATGGACACCTAGGTTACTTCCAAATCTTGCCAATTGTGAATAGTACTGCAACAAACCTAAGAGTACAGATATGTCTTTGATATACTGAATTCTCTCTTTGGGGTATACACCCATCAGTGGGATTGCTGGATCATGTCATTGTTCTATTTTCAGTTTTTTTGAGGAATCCCCAAACTGTTCATCATAGTGACTGTCCTAATTTGCATTCCCACCAAGAGTATATGAGGATTTCCTATTCTCCACACCATCAGTATCATTTGTTATTGCTTCTCTTTTGGGTATAAGCCATTTTAACTGGGATGAGATAATATCTCATTGTAGTTTTTATTTTCATTTACCTGATGATCAGTGATGCTGAGCACCTTTTCATATACCTGTTCACCATTTGTATGTCTTCCTCTGAGAAAAGTCTATTTAGATCTTTTGCCCATTTTTAAATTGAATTATTAGCTTTTTTTTCTATAGAGTTGTTTGAGTTCCTCATCCTTAGGCAGGTAGTTTGCAACTATTTTCTACAATTCTGTGGATTGTCTCTTTACTTGTTTGGTTGTTTTCTTTGCTTTACAGAAGCTGTTTATCTTGAGATGACCCCACTTGTCCATTTTTGCTTTGATTGCTTGCATTCATGGGGTGTTAAAAAATCTTTGCCCAGTCCTATGTCCTGGATCATATCCCCAGTGCTCTATTTTAGTAGCTTCATAGTTTGAGGTCTTAGATAATTTTACCCATTTTGTTTTGATTTTTATATATGGTGAGAGATAAGGGTATATTTTCCTCTTCTACATATGGATGTCCAGTTTTCCCAGCACCATTTATCGAAGAGACTATTCTTTTCCCAAACATTCTTTCTGTATGTTTTTGGCATCTTTGTCAAAGATGAATTCACTGTAGATATGTAGATATATGATTTTGTTTATAGGTTCTCTATTCTGCATTGGTCCACGTGTCTGTTTTTTTTCCAGTACTATGATGTTTTGGTTATGATAGCTGGCTGTAGTGTAATTTGAAGTAAAGTAATGTGATTCCTCCAACTTTGTTGTTTTTGCTCAGGATAGCTTTGGCTATTCTGGGTCTTTTGTGCTTTCATATAAATTTTAAGATTTTTTTCCTAGTCATGTGAAGAATGTCATTGGTATTTTGATAGGGATTACATTGAATCTGTAGATTGCTTTGGCTATGGATATTTTAAAAAGTATTGATTCTTTCAATCCATGAACATGGAATGTCCTTCCAGTTTTTGGTGTCTTCTTCAGTTTCTTTCTTTGGTGTTTTATAGTTTTCATTGTAGAGAATTTTCATTTCTTTGATTAAGTTAATTTCTAGGTATTTAATTTTATTTGTAGCTATTATAAACAGGATTAATTTCTTGATCTCTGTTTTAGATTGTTTGTAGTTGGAATAGAAATACTACTAATTTTTGCATGTTGATTTTGTAGCCTGCAACTTTGTTGAATTTGTTCTGATTGTTTTCTGGTGCACTCTTAAGGTTTTTCCAAATATAAGATCATATCATCTGCAGAAAAGTATAATTTAATTTCTTACTTTCTAATTTGAATGCCTTCACTTCTTGCTCTTGTCTGATTGCTCTAGCTAAGACTTCCACTACTATGTTGAAAAATATTAATGAAAGTGGGTATCCTTGGTGTTTTCCAGACGTAAGGGAAAAGACTTGTTTTTTCCCTATTCAGTATAATACTAGCTGTGGGTTTGTATATGGCTTCAATTACATTGAGATACATTCCTTCTACACCCAGGTTTTTGGACATTTTTATCATGAACGAATGATCAGTTGTATAAAATGCTTTTTTATTATTAATTGAAATAATTATATGGTTTTTGTCTTTCATTCTGTTGATATGATTTATCACATTGCTTGACTTGCATATGTTGAATTGTCTCTGCATCCCTGGGATAAATCTCACTTGGACATGCTGAGTGATATTTTTAATGTGTTGTTGAATTCAATTTGCTAGTATTTTGTTATGTATTTTTGCACCAATATTCATTAGGGATATTGACCTGTAGTTGTTGTTTTTTTTTCTTTTTTTTTTAATGTGTCTTTGTCTGCTTTTGGTATCAGAGTAATACTGGTCTTGTAGAATGAGTTAGGAAGCACTTGCTCCTACTCTATTTTTCAGAATAGTTTGAGTAAGATGAGTACTAGATTTTAAATGTTTGGTAGAATTCACTAGTGAAGCTACTGTGTCCCAGACATTTTTTTCAAGTTTCATTTCTTGAGAGAGTTTTTTATTGTGGCTTTTGTCACATTACTTGTTATTGGTATGTTCAGGTTTTGGATTTCTTAATGGTTCAATCTTGATAGGTTGTATGTATCTAGGAATTTGTCCATTTCTTCCAGATTTCCAATTTATTGGCCAACAGTTGCTCATAGTAGCCATTAATGATCTTTTGAATTTCTGTGGTATTGGTTGTAATGCCTCCTTTTCTATCTCTGATTCTATTTATTTGGGTCTTCTCTTTTTTCTTAGTTGGTCTGGCTAAAGATTTGTCAATTTTGCTTATCTTTTCAACAAACAAACTTCTTATTTTCTTGATCTTTTGTATTGTTTTCTTCATTTCAATTTCATTTATTTCTGTTCTAATATTTATTATTAAATTTATTTCACTAATTTTGGATTTCTTTGTTATTGTTGGTCTAATTCTTTATGAGGCATTGTTAGGATGTTTATTTGAAGTTTTTCTTCGTTTTTGATATAGGCAGTTATAACTATAAACTTTCCTCTTAGTATTGCTTTAGCTGTATCACATAGGTTTTAGTATGATATGTTTCCATTATTGTTACATATATATATATACTTTAAGTTCTAGGGTACATGTGCACAACGTGCAGGCTTGTTACATACGTATACATGTGCCATGCTGACCTGCCACACCCATCAACCCATCATTTACATTAGGTATTTCTCCTAATGCTATCCCTCCCCCAACCCTCCACCCCACGACAGGCCCCAGTGTGTGATGTTCCTCACCCTGTGACCAGGTGTTCTCATTGTTCAATTCCCACCTATGGGTGAGAACATGCAGTGTTTTGTTTTCTGTCCTTGTGATAGTTTGCTCAGAATGATGGTTTCCAGCTTCATCCTTGCCCCTGCAAACGACATGAACTCATCCTTTTTTACTGCTGCATAGTATTCCAGGTTGTATATGTGCCACATTTCCTTTATCCAGTCTATCATTGATGGGCATTTGGGTTGGTTCCAAGTCTTTGCTATTGTAAATAGTGCCGCAGTAAACATACGTGTGCATGTGTCTTTACAGTAGCATGATTTATAATCCTTTGGGTATATACCCAGTAATGGGATCACTGGGTCAAATGGTATTTCTAGCTGTAGATTCTTGAGGAATCGCCATACTGTCTTCCACAAAGGTTGAACTAGTTTACACTCCCACCAACAGTGTAAAAGCATTCCTATTTCTCCACATCCTCTCAGCATCTGTTGTTTCCTGACTTTTTAATGATCACCATTCTAACTGGCATGAGACAGCATCTCATTGTGGTTTTGATTTGCATTTCTCTGATGACCAGTGACGATGAGCATTTTTTCATGTGTCTGTTGGCTGCATAAATGTCTTCTTTTGAGAATTGTCAGTTCATATACTTTGCCCACCTTTTGATGGGGTTATTTGTTTTTTCTTGTAAGTTTGTTTAAGTTCTTTGTAGATTCTGGATATTAGCCCTTTGTCAGATGGATAGATTGCAAAAATTTTCTCCCATTCTGTAGGTTGCCTGTTCACTCTGATGGTAGTTTCTTTCTCTGTGCAGAAGCTCTTTCATTTAATTAGATCCCATTGGTCTATTTTGGCTTTTGTTGCCATTGCTTTTGGTGTTTTAGTCATGAATTCCTTGCCCATGCCTATGTGCTGAATGGTATTGCCTGGGTTTTCTTCTAGGGTTTTTATGGTTTTAGGTCTAACATTTAAGTCTTTAATCTATCTTGAATTAAGTTTTGTGTAAGGTGTAAGGAAGGGATCCAGTTTCAGCTTTCTACATATGACTAGCCGGTTTTCCCAGCACCATTTATTAAATAGGGAATCCTTTTCCAATTTATTGTTTTTGTCAGGTTTGTCAAAGACCAGATGGTTGTAGAAGTGTGGTGTTATTTCTGAGGGCTCTGTTCTGTTCCATTGGTCTTTATCTCTATTTTGGTACCAGTACCATGCTGTTTTTGTTACTGTAGCCTTGTAGTATAGTTTGAAGTCACGTAGAGTGATGCTTCCAGCTTTGTTCTTTTGGCTTAGGATTGGCTTTGCAATATGGGCTCTTTTTTGGTTCTATATACACTTTAAAGTAGTTTTTTTCCAATTCTGTGAAGAAAATCATTAGTAGTTTGATGGGGATGGCATTGAATCTATAAATTACCTTGAGCAGTATGGCCATTTTCATGATATTGATTCTTCCTATCCATGAGCATGGAATGTTCTTCCATTTGTTTGTGTCCTTTTTTATTTCATTGAGCAGTGGGTTGTAGTTCTCCTTGAAGAGGTCCTTCACATCCCTTGTAAGTTGGATTCCTAGGTATTTTATTCTCTTTGAAGCAATTGTGAATGGGAGTTCACTCATGATTTGGTTCTCTGTTTGTCTGTTATTGTTGTATAGGAATTCTTGTGATTTTTGCACATTGATTTTGTATCCTGAGACTTTGCTGAAGTTGTTTATCAGCTTAAGGAGATTTTGGGCTGAGACAATGGGGTTTTCTAGATATACAATCATGTCATCTGCAAACAGGGACAATTTGACTTCCTCTTTTCCTAATTGAATACCCTTTATTTCTTTCTCTTGCCTGATTGCCCTGGCCAGAACTTCCAACACTATGTTGAATAGGAGTGGTGAGAGAGGGCATCCCTGTCTTGTGCCAGTTTTCAAAGGGAATGCTTCCAGTTTTTGCCCATTCAGTATGATATTGGCTGTGGGTTTGTCATCGATAGCTCTTATTATTTTGAGATATGTTGCATCAATACCTAGTTTATTGAGAGTTTTTAGCATGAAGGGCTGTTGAATGTTGTCGAAGGCCTTTTCTGCATCTATTGAGATAATCATGTGGTTTTTGTTGACGGTTCTCTTTATGTGACGGATTATGTTTATTGATTTGCATATGTTGAACCAGCCTTGCATTCCAGGGATGAAGCTGACTTGAACGTGGTGGATAAACTTTTTGATGTGCTGCTGGATTCAGTTTGCCAGTATTTTATTGAGAATATTCACATCGATGTTCATCAGGGATATTGGTCTAAAATTATCTTTTTTTGTTGTGTCTCTGCTAGGCTTTGGTATCAGGATGATGCTGACCTCATAAAATGAGTTAGGAAGGATTTCCTCTTTTTCTATTGATTGGAATCATTTCAGAAGGAATGGTACCAGCTCCTCCTTGTACCTCTGGTAGAATTTGGCTGTGACTCCATCTGGTCCTGGACTTTTTTTGGTTGGTACGTTATTAATTATTGCCTCAATTTCAGAGCCTGTTATTGGTCTATTCAGAGATTCAGTTTCTTCCTGGTTTAGTCTTGGGAGGGTGTATGTGTCGAGGAATTTATCCGTTTCTTCTAGATTTTCTAGTTTATTTGCCTAGAGGTGTTTATAGTGTTCTCTGATGGTATTATTTATTTCTGTTGGATTGGTGGTGATATCCCCTTTATCATTTTTTATTACATCTATTTGATTCTTCTCTCTTTTCTTCTTTATTAGTCTTCCTAGTGGTCTATCAATTTTGTTGATCTTTTCAAAAAACCAGCTCCTGGATTCATTGATTTTTTGAATAGTTTTTTGTGTCTCTATCTCTTTCACTTCTGCTCTAATCTTAGTTATTTCTTGCCTTCTGCTAGCTTTTGAATGTGTTTGCTCTTGTTTCTCTAATTCTTTTAATTGTGATGTTAAGGTGTCAATTTTAGATCTTTTCTGCTTTCTCTTGTGGGCATTTAGTGCTATAAATTTCCCTCTACACACTTCTTTAAATTTGTCCCAGAGATTCTGGTGCATGGTGTCTTTGTTTTCATTCATTTCAAAGAACATCTTTATTTGTGCTTTCATTTTGTTATTTACCCAGTAGTGGTTCAGGAACAGATTGTTCAGTTTCCATGTATTTGTGAGGTTTTGCGTGAGTTTCTTAATACTGAGTCCTAATTTGGTTGCACTGTGGTCTGAGAGACAGTTTGTTGTGATTTCTGTTCTTTTACATTTGCTGAGCAGTGCTTTACTTCCAACTATGTGGTCAATTTTGGAATAAGTGTGATGTGGTGCTGAGGAGAATGTATACTCTGTTGATTTGGGGTGGAGAGTTCTGTAGAGCTGAGTTGAAGTCCTGGATATCCTTGTTAACCTTCAGTCTTGCTGATGTGACTAATATTGACAATGGGATGTTAAAGTCTCCCATTGTTATTGTGTGGGAGACTAAGTCTCTAAGTAGGTCTCTAAGGACTTGCTTTATGAATCTGTGTGCTCCTGTTTTGGGTGCATATATGTTTAGGATAGCTAGCTCTTCTTGATCCCTTTACCATTATGTAATGGCTTTCTTTGTCTCTTTTGATCTTTGTTGGTTTAAATTCTGTTTTATCAGAGACTAGGATTGCAAACCCTGCTTTTTTTTTTTTTGCTTTCTATTTGCTTGGTAGATCTTCCTCCATCTCTTTATTTTGAGCCTATGTGTGTCTCTGCACGTGAGATGGGTCTCCTGAATACAGCACAGTGATGGGTCTTGACTCTTTATCCAATTTGCCAGTCTGTGTCTTCTAATTGGGGCATTTAGCCCACTTACATGTAAGGTTAATATTGTTATGCGTGAATTTGATCCTGTCATTATGATGTTAGCTGGTTATTTTGCCAGTTGGTTGATGCCGTTTCTTCCTAGCATCGATGGTCTTTACAATTTGGCATGTTTTTGCAGTGGCTGGTACCAGTTGTTCCTTTCCATGTTTAGTGCTTCCTTCAAGAGCTCTTGTAAGTCATGCCTGATGGTAACAAAATCTCTCAGCATTTGCTTGCCAAGAAGGATTTTATTTCTCCTTCACTTATGAAGCTTAGTTGGTGGGTTGAAAATTCTTTTTTTTAAGAATGTTGAATATTGTCCCCCACTCTCTTCTGGCTTATAGTGTTTCTGCCAAGAGATCTGCTGTTATTCTGATGGGCTTCCCTTTGTGGGTAACCTGACCTTCTCTCTGGCTGCCCTTAACATTTTTTCCTACATTTCAACCTTGGTGAATCTGACAATTATGTGTCTTTGGGTTGCTCTTCTCAAGGAGTATCTTTATGGTGTTCTCTGTATTTCCTGAATTTGAATTTTGGCCTGTCTTTCTAGATTGGGGAAGGTCTCCTGGATAATATCCTGCGGAGTGTTTTCCAACTTGGTTCCATTCTCCCCATCACTTTCAGGTACACCAATCAGACGTAGATGTGGTCTTTTCACATAGTCCCATATTTCTTGAAGGCTATGTTCACTTCTTCTTACTCTTTTTTTCTCTAAACTTCTCTTCTCACTTTATTTCATTAATTTGATCTTCAGTCACCCTTTCTTCCACTTGATCAAATTGGCTATTGAAGCTTGTGCATGCATCATATAGTTCTTGTAGTTTTCAGCTCCATCAGGTAATTTAAGGTCTTCTCTACACTGTTTATTCTAGCCATTCATCTAATCTTTTTTCAAGGTTTTTTAGCTTCCTTGCAATGGGTTCGAATATCCTCCTTTAGCTTGGAGAAGTTTGCTATTACTGACCTTCTGAAGCCTACTTCTGTTCAGCTCATCAAAGTCATTCTCCATCCAGCTTTGTTCCATTGCTGGCGAGGAGCTGTGATCCTTTGGAGGAGAAGAGTTGCTCTGGTTTTTAGAATTTTCAGCTTTTCTGCTCTGGTTTCTCCCGATCTTTGTTGTTTTATCACCTTTGGTCTATGATGTTGGTGACCTCCAGATGGGGTTTTGGTGTGGATGTCCTTTTTGTTGATGTTGATGCTATTCCTTTCTGTTTGTTAGTTTTCCTTCTTACAGTCAGGTCCCTCAGCTGAAGGTCTGTTGGAGTTTGCTGGAGGTCCTCTCCATACCCTGTTTGCCTGTGTATCACCAGTGGAAGCTGCAGAACAGCAAATATTGCAGAACAGCAAATAATGCTGCCTGATCCTTCCTCTGGAAGCTTCATCCCAGAGGGGCACCCGCCTGTATGAGGTGTCAGTTGGCCCCTACTGGGAGGTGTCGCCAAGTTAGGCTACACTGGAGTGAGGGACCCACTTGAGGAGGCAGTCTGTCCATTCTCAGAGCTCAAACACCATGCTGGGATAACCACTGCTCTCTTCAGAGCTGTCAGACAGGGACGTTTAAGTCTGCAGAAATTTCTGCTGCCTTTTGTTCAGCTATTCCCTGCCCCCAGAGGTGGAATATACACAGGCAACAGGCCTTGCTGAGCTGTGGCAGGCTCCACCCAGTTCAAGCTTCCCAAGCGGCTTTGTTTACCTACTCAAGCCTCAGCAATGGCAGACACCCACCCCTTCCCCAGCCAGGCTGCCACCTCACAGTTCGATCTCAGACTGCTGTACTAGCAGTGAGCAAGGCTGCATGGGCATGGGACCTGCTGAGCCAGGCATGGGATATAATCTTCCAGTGTGCTGTTTGCCAAGATCGTTGGAAAAGTGCAGTATTTGGATGGGAGTGCCCTGATTTTCCAGGTACAGTCTGTCATGGCTTCCCTTGGCTAGGAAAGTTAAATCCTCCAACCCTTTGTGCTTCCCAGGTGAGGCAATGCCCTGTCCTGTTTCGGCTCACCCTCCCTGGGCTGCATTCACTGTCCAACCAGTCCCAGTGAGATGAACCAGGCACCTCAATTGGAAATGCAGAAATCACCCGTCTTCTGCGTCGATCATGCTGGGAGCTACAGGCCAGATCTGTTCCTATTCAGCCATCTTGGAACAGAGCCATTATTGTTTGTTTTAAGAAAATTTTCAATTTCCTTTTCAATTTCTTCATTGACCCACTGGTCATTCAGAAGCACATTGTTTAATTTCCACGTATTTGTACAGTTCCCAATATTCCGGCAGCTGGGCCCAGTGGCTCATGCCTGTGATCCTAGCACTTTGGGAGGCCAAAGCAGGAGGATTACTTTGGGCCAGAATTTCAAGACCAGTATTGTGTTCGTTATTAATTTCTAGATTTATTCTATTATAGTCAGAAAAGATACTTGATATTATTTCAATTTTCTTAATGTTTTAAGACTTGTTTTCTAACCTATATTTTATCCTTGAGAATGATCCATATGTTGAGAAGAATGTGTATTCTGCAGCCATAAGCAGAAACATTTTTAAAATATCAATTAGATCAATTTGGTCTATAGTGAAGACTAAGTCTGATATTTTATTGTTGATTTTTTATGTAGAAGATCTGTCTGATGCTGAAAGTGGGGTGTTGAAACCTCCAGTTATTATTGTATTGGACTAATCTCTATCTTTAGCTCTAATAATATTTGCTTTATAAAGCTGTATTTATACAGCTACAGTATTGGTTGCATATATATTTATAATTATTATATCCTCTTGTTGAGTTGACCCTTTATTATTACATAATGACCTTCTTTGTTTCTTTGTATAATTTTTGTCATAAAATCTAATTTGTCTGATAAGCTGTATTAGTCCATTTGCACACTACTGGGTAAATTAGTGTGTATTATAGTATACCCAGAATGGGTAATTTACAAAGAAAAGAAGTTTAATTGACTCACAGTTCTGCATGGCGTGGAAGGCCTCAGGAAACTTACAATCATGGTGGAAGGTGAAAGGGAAACAAAGATCTTCTTCAGATGGCATCAGGAGAGAGAATAGTGAAGAGCAAAGGGGGAAGAGCCCCTCATTAACCATTATATCTCATGAGAACTCACTAATGATCATGAGAACTGCATGGGAGAAACCATGTCTATGATCCAAACACTTCCCACTGGGTTCCTCCCTGGACACATGAGAATTATGGGAATTACAATTTGCGATGAGATTTGAGTGGAGTCACAGAGCCAAACCATACAGTTCTGCCCTTGGCCCCTCCAAAACCTCATGTTCTCACATTTCAAAACACCATCAAGCCTTTCCAACAGTGCCCCAAAGTTTTAACTTATTCCAGCATTACATTAACCCAAAAGTCCAAGTCCAGTCTAATCTGAGACAAGGCAAGTCCCTTCCATCTATGATACCATAAAATTAAGCACAAGTTAGTTCCTTCCAAGATACAATGGAGTTATACAGGCACTAGGTAAATACACCTGTTCTAAATAGGAGAAATTGGCCAAAACAAAGGGGCCACAGGCCCGTTGCCACTCCTAAATCCAATAGGGCAGTCAATAAATATTAAAGCTCCAAAATCTCCTTTGATTCCATGTCTCACATCCAGGTCATGCTGATACAAGAGGTGGACTCTCACAGTCTTGGTCATCTTTACCACTGTGGCTTTGCAGCCTCCTGGATGCTTTCACAGGCTTGCATTGAGTGTCTGCAGTTTTTCCAAATGCACAGTGAAAACTCTCAATGGATCTACCATTCTGAGGTCTGCAGGATTGTGGTCCTCTTCTCACAGCTCCACTAGGCAGTGCCCCAGTGGGGACTCTGTGTGGGAGCTCCAACCTCATGTTTCTCTTCTGCAATGCCCTAGCAGAGGTCTTCCCTGAGGGCTCCACTGCTGCAGCAAACTTCTGCCTGAACATGCAAGCATTTCCATACATCCTCTGAAATCTAGACAGAGGTTCCCAAACCTCAAATCTTGACTTCTGTGCACCCATAGTCCCAACACCATGTGGAAGCCACCAAGGCTTGGCACTTGCAGCATCTGAAGCAATGGCTTCAGCTGGATGTTGGCCCCTTTAGTCATGGCTGACACTCAGCACACCAAGTCCTGAGACTGCACAAAGCAGCAAGACCCTGAGCCTGGCCCACAAAGCCATTTTTTCCTCCTATGCCTCCATGCCTGTGATGGGAGTGGATTCCTTGAGACTTCTGACATGACATGAAGACATTTTGCCCATTGTCTTGGCAGTTGACATTTGGTTCATCATTACTTATCCAAATTTCTGCAGCCCATTCGAATTTCTTTTCACAAAATGAGTTTTTCTCTTCTATCACATCATCAGGCTACAAATTTTCTAAATTTTTGTGCTCTGCTTCCCTTTTAAACATAAGTTCCAATTTCAAAGCATCTCTTTGTGAATGAATATAACTGAATGCTTTTAAGAGCGCTCAGGTCACATCTTGTAGGCTTTGCTGCTTCAAAATTTCTTCTGCCAGATATTCTAAATCATCTATCTCAAGTTCAAAGTTCCACAGATCTCTAGGACAGGGTCAAAATGCCACCAGTCTTTTTGCTAAAGCATAGCAAGAGTGATCTTTGCTCCAGTTCCCAAGAAGTTCCTCATCTCCATCTGAGAACACCTCAGCCTGGACTTCATTGTTCACATCACTATCAGCATTTTGGTCAAAATCATTCAACAAGTATCTAGGAAGCTCCAAACATTCCCACATCTTCCTGTCTTCTTCTGAACTCTCCAAGCTGTTCCAATCTCTGCCTGTTACCCAGTTCCAATGTTGCTTCCACATTTTCAAGTGTCTTTATAGCAGTGCCCTACTCTCTGTGGTACCAATTTACTGTGTTATTCTGTTTTCACACTGCTATAAAGAAATACCAAAGACTGGATAATTTATAAAGAAAAAAGGTTTAATTGACTCACAGTTTTACATGGCTGGGGAGGCCTCAGGAAACTTATAATCATGGTGGATGGTGAAGGGAAATACGGACCTTCTTCACATGGCAGCAGGAGAGAGAAGAGTGAGGAGCAAAGTGGGAAGAGCTCCTTATAAAACTATCAAGTATTGTGAGAACTCACTCACTATCACAAGAACAGCATGGGAGAAACTGCCTTCATGATCCAATCACCTCCTACTGGGTTCCTCCCTGGACACATGGGGATTATGGAGATTACAATTTGAGATGAGAATTGGGTGGGGACACAGAGCCAAGCCACATTATAAGCATAGCTACTTCTGATATTTTTTGGTGTCCATTGGTGTGAAATATCTTTTTCTGTCCCTTTATTTTCAGTCTATGTGTGTTTCATAGGTGAAATGTGTTTCTTGTAGGCAACAGATTGATGGGTCTCTTTTAAAAAATCCATTTAGACACTCTATGTCTTTTGATTGGAGACTTTAGTCCACTTATATTCAATGTTATTTATAAGCAGGAACTTTCTCCTGCCATTTTGCCATTTGTTTTCTGGTTGCTTTGTGGTCTTCTCTTCCTTCTTTTCTTCCTTCCTGCCTTCCTTTTACTGAAGGTGGTTTTCTCTGCTAATATGTTTTAGCTTCTTGCTTTTTATTTTTTGTGTATCTGTGGTATGTTTTTTGATTTGAGGTTAGCATGAAGCTTGCAAAATATCTTATAACCCATTATTATTTTAAACTGATAATAACACTGATTGCATAAAAAAACAAACAAATAAAAGGAAAATAAAAACTCTGCATTTTAACTTCATCCCCTTGGCTTCTAACGTTTGTGTTTCTATTTATATGTTATTGTCTATGCCTTGAAACATTGCAGTAATTATTTTTCATTGGTTCATGTTTTAGTCTTTCTACTTAAAGTAACAGTAGCTTACATACCACAATTATAATGTTATAGTATTCTGTGTACTTACTCTCACCAGTAATTTTTGCATCTTCAGATGATTTCTTATTGCTCATAAAGAGCTAAAGGAATGTAACTTTGTTTACATATTTAACAATTACCTGATTATTAGGCATTTGTATGACTCCATTTGTTTTTTATGTTTAAATGATTTTATAATAAGCATTCTTGCCTGAAAGCATTTGTATTAGTTTCAGATTATTTCCTTAGGTGAAATTTCTCAAGATTGAATTACTGAATTCATATGAGGCAATTTGCCACAGGGATCTGTCCCGATGTAATTGTGTGAGCTGGTTAAGCAGTCTTGGTAGGGCTATTGTCCTCATGTCTGATGCTGGAGCTTGGAGTCTGAAGGACAAGCAATCAGGAAGGGAAAATGTATATGACGCAGTGAGTAAGAGCAAGAGGAAGTTATGAGATAAATTATATGTATCCCTGACTGAAACCTGATGAAGGTACAGAAAAAGACCAAAGAAAACATAAAATGCATAAAATATAATAATAATGAAGGTTAATTCTTTCAAAGCATTTACTATATCCAGGCACTGTTGTAAGTAAATAATACATAATAAAACATTTAATTCCTCACAATTAAATGAGGAATTAATTAATATTTACACTAAATAGTATTAAGCTCTGTGAGATTAATGCTATTCTCCTTTTCATTGATGAGAAAAAGTGAGAAACAGTGATATTAAGTAACTACTAGAGGATTCTTAGATAATGTGTTTTTTTCCTGGGTAATTTTGAATTAAAACATAAAAGAAGTAATGCCTTTATTTATTACTATGTTTTTGTTTTGTTTTCATTTATTCTTTGATACCTTCTGTAGTCAAAACATGATCATAAGTAGACATCTGCTGTTAGCCAATCTGAACCAGCATAAGGGGTAGAAGGCAGGAAAGGTTTATCATCATTCTGAATTTGAAATTTCTGACATAATTTTGAACAACTAGACTTTTAAAAACTTTGTTTTCCTTATTCTTATATAGTGTGTCTATTGCGTATATGTGTTTTTAAAAAATATTGTGCATTTAATCCCAAATTGTTGAAACTGTTGTCAATGAAGAAAGCTGAGTGTTTTGGTTGCAAAATTTGGAAAAACAAGAATAAAAGGGGAGTAGGAAGTCTCTCTTTTTGATGTATAAAAGCACCCATTAAACTTTAGTAGATATATGTGAACCTGTTTTAATTCCCCAAATTCAATCTGCAGAAACAAGGTTAAAACAATAAAAAAATTATTACTTAATAGAGAATAATAAATTAATGTGTCCTGAATGCAGGGACACAGTCAGATTAAAAAGTAATAATAATAATAAGTGTAGGACCCCAAGGTGATGCCTAGAGATTCTAATTTAATACATTGCAGTGGAGTCAGGGAATCTATGTTTTCAAAATACCCAGATATGTCTAAAATATAGCTGAATTGGGAACTATGACTCTTGACATCAGTGAGGCTCATTGAAGTTTTAAAACCAGTGATATAAAAGGATCAGATCTGTATTTCAGAATGACCAGTTTTTCTTCCTTTGCCATATTGGAGAATGAATTAAAACAGAAAAAAAAAAGATTGTAAGTAACTTTATAAATTAAAGATTTATGTGGGTCACAGGGGCTCACACCTGTAATTCCAGCACTTTGAGAGTCTGAGGCGGGTGGATCACTTGAGGCCAGCAGTCCAAGACTGGCCTGGCCAACATGGCAAAACGCCATCTATACAAAAAAAAAAAAAAAATTGCCAGGGGTTGTGGTGCACACCAGCGATCCCAGCTACTCTGGAGGCTGAGGCATGAGAACCACTTGAACTGTGGAGGCAGACGGTGCAGTGAGCCAAGATTGCGCCACTGCATGCTGGGTGCACACTGCTCACTGTGTGACAGAGTGAGACTACGTCTCAAAAAAAAAATCTAATATTTCCTGAGGAGATAAGATATAGCTTCTTTATATATAAGTAAAATAATTTTTATATCAATATGTGAAATACTTCTGCATTAGAGTTGATTCTCAAAATTGTGCAAAGTAGACCTTTATATTAACCTTAATTTATAAACAAAGAAACCCAAACTTTCTGCCTCTAAGACTCGCCTTGCCATAGAAGATTTATGGCTTCTTCCTTACCAGGCATTTGGTGGTAAGAGGCCCTGAGTTTGTATATTGCCAGAGTCAGTCTTTGTGTTACAAGCCAAGACATTCATTTTCTCAAATCCTCAGCTTCTAATTTTATAAAAAGGAGATAATAAACCAGTATCTTTTAAATTAGATGTAAGGAATAATAAAATAGGGAATGTGCTCAGCTGGTTTTTGATACACGTTAAGAATTATTACTATAGTTAATACTACATCAATGATCATAAAAGGCAAAAATCTTTATTAATTACGTTTATTTTTTCTATTTAAATGCTAGAAACAGGTAGTGTTCTCAAATATATGTGGAGTAAGAGAGAAGCATGGAGCATAAACTTCATTTTCAGCCACTTTGCATCTATTGATAATCATAACCCTTGGGGAATTATCAAATGCAGTGCTTCTGAAAGTTTTATGTACATACAAGACACCTGAAATTTTTTGACAATGGAGATTCCAGTGGCATGTGTCAGAGTGGGACCTGAGGTTCTGTTTCTCTAATACCCAAAAATATGAGTGCTGTTGGCCCTTAGTGCTAGGTTCAGTAGCAAAGATCTAGATGATGCTTGATGCTACACATGAAGCAAGTGAGCCCCAGCTGGAGGAACAACCTGAGGAGCCCCAGAACTATTTAGGAGCCGAGGCAAAAATAACCCCATACAACACTGCCAATGTTCTTCTTACTTTACCATTGAGGCTTCCACTTGAACGAGAGAGTACTTCCAAATTTGCAGTTGGCCATGCAATTCCTTGGGCATGTTGTTCTACTTGTGTATTTCTATATATTAAATACACAAACAATGCTGGCTCAGACCATGGAATTAAATTCACAATATAATAATAGGTTATGATGAGTAATCATAGAAAACATAGTTGAGGCTTAACAACTGTTTGGTGCATCAAGGAGTTTTTCACTTCTTTGGGTAGATCCTAATTTCTGTCTGGGATCATACTAATGCCTGAAGAACATTGCTTTTCATTTCTGGTAATATAGGTCTGCTGCTAATGAATCCCCTCAGCTTTTGCTTGTTTAAAAATGTCTCTATTTTGCCTTCCTTTTTGAAAGATGTTTTTACTATGTATAGAATTGCACTGATAGTTTCCCTTTTTTTCAACACTTTAAAGACATCTCTTCATTTTCTCCTTCCTTGAACAGCTTTTGAAGAGAATTCTGCTGTGATTTTTATCTTTGTACTTCTATAATGAGGTGGGGCTATTTATCTTGCTGCTTTAAAAATGTTCTAATTATCTTCTATTTTCAGCATTCTGCTTATGCTATTTCTAGAATAATTATTTTGTTCTTTTTGCAT
This sequence comes from Homo sapiens, assembly GCF_000001405.40. Lineage (NCBI taxonomy): Eukaryota > Metazoa > Chordata > Mammalia > Primates > Hominidae > Homo > Homo sapiens. Next base: position 86,758,315 of record NC_000014.9, read on the forward strand.
TTGTTGTATCTGTCTATATTTTTTTGTATAAGACAAAAAAATAAGTATATATGTCATTAGATATTGGTCCATAGCTTTTGGATGCTTTGCTCAATTTTTAAATTGAAATTATTACTGAGAAAATTGTAGATTATGATATTTCATATATCATTTACTTAATTTTCCCCAGTGGTAACATCTCACAAACATTTTGTGTTATATTTCAGCTAAAATATTGGTATATAATCCACTAATCATGTTCAGATTTTTTCAGTTTTACTTGTACTTGTTATAAGTGTGTGTGGGGGGTGTGTGTATTTAGTTCTATAAAATTTTAGAACATGTATAGATTTGTTTCCCACACCTCAGTTATGACACAGAAGAGCTCCATTACCACCAGAACCCCTAGTATTCCTCTTTGATAACCCACACATCTCCCTTCCCTCTACCTTCATCATTAACACTCAGCAACTAATAATATGTTCTCCATTTATAAAATATTGTCATTTCAAACATGTTGTATAAATGGAATCATGATTCATGTAAGCTTTTGGGATTGACTTTTTTAACTCCTCATAATTCCCTGGAGATTCAACCAAGTTGTTGCAAATATGAGTAGTTCATTTATTTGTAATAATATCAGCTGAGTAAAGGAAATACTGAATAGTATTTTGTGGTTTGTATGTACCACAGTTTGTTTAACTATTCACCTGATGGGTTTTCTCTAATTTTTGGCCACTATAAATAAAGATGTTATGAATATTTGTATACAGGTTTCTATGCCAACATCATTGTTTATTTCTTTAGTATAAAAGCCCAAGAGTACAATTATTGGGTCATATGATATGCCTTGATTTTTAAGAAATTTTCAAACAGTTTTCCAAATTGCCTGCTCTGTTTTATATTCCCATTAGCAAAGCGTAAGCGATCAGTTCTCTGCATCCCCACCAGCACTTTTCGTTGTCCTTAGTTTTTTTTTTATTTTAGACATTATGATAAGTATGTAGTTATATCTTATTGTGCTTTCAATTTGCATTTCCCTGAGAAATAATCATGTTGAACATTTTCTAGTGTGCTTCTTTGTAATCTATATATGTTTATACATAGCTTTTGTTCATTTTCTAATTTTGTTGTTAATAGGTTTTTTGGTTTTTATTGTTGAGTTTTAAGAGTCCTTCATATATTCAAAGTATCAGTCTTCTGTCAAATATGTAGTTTCCAGATTTTTTTTCTGTCACTCTGTAGCTTTTCTGTTATGCCTTTAACAGGGTCTTTCATAAAGAAAGCATTTTTAATTTTGATTAAGTTCCATTTACTGATGTTTCCTTCTGGTATAATAATTAAGAACTATGCCTACCCATAGATAGGGCTTTGCCTTTTTTCCTAAAAGACTTTACTTTTTTCCCTAAAAGTTCTATAATTTTACATTTTACATTTAAATCCATGATCCATTTTGAGTTTATTTTTCCACAAATTGTCAGACAGGTCCAAATTTCTTCTTCTTTTTTTTTTTTATTTGGCCTATGGATTTTCCATTGTTTCAACATCATTTTTTGAAAAGACTTTTCTTCCTCCATTGAAATGCCTTTGCAGCTTTGTCAAAAACCAATGGAGCAAATCTTTTTAAGTCTATTCTGGTTCTCTATTCTGTTCCATTAATCTATGTGTATATATTTCCATCAATTTCATACTACCTTTCTTATTGTAGCTATATAGTAAGCCTTAAGTAGATTGATTCTCCCTCTTGTATTCTACTGTCTCAAGACTATTTTAGCTATTCTAGTGCTGTGACTTTTCATATAAATTTTACTATAAACTTGTCTTCATCTACAAAAAAACACTGCTAGAATTTTAATACAAAATGCATTAATCCTATTGATCACTGTTGGGGCAATTGCATCTTTACTGTATTGATTTGTCCAATTCACGAATGTTGTAGGTCTCCCTATATATTTAGATCTTCCTTGACATTTTTTATCAGCAGTTTTTAATGTTCAGTACGTAGATCCTGTATATCTTGTTAAGTTTATATTAGTATTTCATTTTCTTTGGAGAGATTTTAAATGGTTTTATGTCTATAATTGCAGTTTCCACATGCCTATTTTTAGTATATAAATATGTGATTGATTTTTGGGTGTTAGTCTTCTATCCTGCAATCTTGCTCAATCAGTCCTGGGAAATGTTCTACAGAGACCATCATGTCATATACAAAAAGACTTTTATTTATTTCTTCCCAATCTGTGTGTTTTATTTCTTTTTCTTGCTTGATTATAGTAGTTATAACATGAAGAACTATGTTGAATAAAAGTGGTGAAAATAGACATACTTATCTTTTTCTCGGTATCAGAGGGAAACCATTCAGTCTTTCACCATTAAGTATGATTGCTTTAGGATTTAATATAATGCTATTTTTGCTTCAATTGATAGGATTGTGTTTGTTTTTCTTTTTTTCTTTTGCTTGTTGATATAGTGGATTATATTGAAATCAATAAAATAAATTTCACTTTGTTATGGTGTATCTTTTTTCCACAAATTGTTGGGTTTGATTTTCTAATATTCTATTGAATACTTCTGCCTCTAAATTCATGAGGAATATTAGTCTGTAGTTTTGTTTCTTTTTTTGGACTGCCATTGCCTGGTTTTGTTATTGATATAATATTGACTTCATAAAATGAGTTGAGAAGTTTTTCCTTATCTTCCATATTCTGGAATAGATTGTGTAGAATTACTGCTAATTCTTTAACTGTCTGATACTTTTCCTGGTGAAACCATCTGATCTAGAGTCCCCTCCCCTCCCTTCCCCTCCCGTGTCCTGTCGTCTTTTTTCTTTTTTTGGACACAGTCTTGCTCTGCGGTCCAAGCAGCAATTCCAGCTATTCTGGAGGCTGAGGCACGAGAATCGCTCCAAAAACAAAAACAAAAACAAAAGCAGGCTGGAGTGCAGCAGCGCAGTCTCGGTTCACTGCAACATCCATCTCCCAGATTCAAGCTCTTCTCCTGCCTCAGCCTCCGCAGTAGCTGGGATTAGAGCCGCATGCCACCACACCCTACTAATTTTTGTATTATTAGTGGAGATAGGGTTTTGCCATGTTGGCCAGGCTGGTCTCGAACTCCTGACCCCAGGTGATCCACCCGCCTCGACCTCCCAAAATTCTGAGATTACAGGCGTGAGCCACCACGACCTGCCTGGAGATTTCTTTTTCAGGAAATTGTTAATTGTCAATTCAACTCATTTAATGGTTATAGGACTATAAGTTTAATATTTTATGTTTGTGTGTATGTGTATGTGTGTGTGTGTTGTTTGTTTGTTTTGAGACAGAGTTTCGATCTGTCACCCAGGCTGGAGTGCAGTGATGCAATCTCAGGTCACTGCAATCTCCACCTCCCGAGTTCAAGTGATTCTCATGCCTCGGCCTCCTGAATAGCTGGGATTATAGGTGCACACCAGCATGCCCAGCTGATTTTCATATTTTTAGTAGAGACGGGGTTTCATCATGTTGCCCAGGCTAGCCTTGAACTCCTGACCTCAGGTGATCCACCCACCTCGGCCTCCCAAAGGACTGGGATTACAGGAGTGAGTCACCTCACCCGGCCTTGTGTGTGTGATTTTTTAGGAAATAATCAAGAGAAAATATATCATAATATAAATTTTTATAATTGATTCAGAATGATGTAAAAAACATGAAATAACAATGATAGTCACATTTTCAAAGGACTTAGAAGGTCTACCTTTATGAGTGGCACACAGGTCAGGTTTTATTAATTATTTCTGCCAAACTTTCTAGATAGAAGAAAAGACATAAAACAGTCTCATTTATGGACAGACTTTTCCAAATTCTAAATATAATATTGGAGAATTGCAATCATCATGTATCAAATAGATAATAAGGGAAAAAATGTTTTTCTCAGGCTTTCAAGAATGTTTCCACATTAGGAACTCTACCAATATCATTTAAATTACAGTGTAATATTGGAAAACTAGTGATAAAAATCACTATTTATAATCAATATAATAAGCTGCTTAGAAAACTTAAATTATCTAAAATTTTGTTAAGATTAATGAGGGAGTTCAGCACATAAGAAATATTTAAAAAATAAACAAAATTTGATAACAAAATATAATGCAGAAATAAATTCCATTCAAATAAACACAATAAAAAAATATGCTTAGAAATGAATCTCAAATGATATATGCAAACCATATTTGAAAAAAATAAAATTTTTGTAAATGACATGAAATAAAGGTTAAACAGGGAGATACCTCAAGTTTGTGAATTATAGCACCCGATATAACATTATCAATTCTTCCAAATTAATCTACAATGTCAATATAATCAGAGTCACAGAGCCAACAAGATTTTAAAATATATTTGAGAAACTGATTCTTAAATTTATGAGGAAGTCAAAATGTGTCAGAAATAGCCAAATAAATTTTGAAGAAAGAAAGCCAAATATATTTTTTTGAAATATATAAAAATGCAATTTGAGGATAAGGCATTTAGAATGGTGTTACATAGGCCCTATACTATACCTTAGATTCGTAAAATACAGTAGTTCACAAGTAGATCCATGTATAAATTCAAACTTAGGTTATAACTGAGGGAGAATTTTAAATCAATGACAGAATGATCACTTATTCGCTAAATTGGAGGACATAAAGTTAGATTCATACCTCTCACTATTGATATACACAACAAATTCCAGATGGAGAGAAATTCTAACCAAACCACAGAGGTACTATAAGAAAGTACAGGATAGTGTTCTTAGGATTATTTGGAGGGGAAGCCTTTCTAATATAATGCACAATATGAACAATCTATAAAGAAGCACATGGGGGCCGGGCGCGGTGGCTCACGCCGGTAATCCCAGCACTTTGGGAGGCCGAGGTGGGCGGATCACGAGGTCAGGAGATCGAGACCATCCTGGTTAACACGGTGAAACCCCTTCTCCACCAAAAAAATACTAAAAATTGGCTGGGCGTGGTGGCGGGCACCTGTAGTCCCAGCTACTCGGGAGTCTGAGCCAGGAGAATGGCGTGTACCCGGGAGGCGGAGCTTGCAGCGGGCCGAGATGGCGCCACTGCACTCCAGCCTGGGAGACAGAGCGAGACTCTGTCTCAAAAAAAAAAAAAAAGCAAAAAAGAAGCATATGGATCAATTTGACATAAATTATGTTTCCTATAGCATAAAATAATAGTAAACAATGACAAAAGATAGTTGGTAGACGTTAAAAAATAGTTGCAACATGTATAACAGAAAAAGGATTAATATTGATAATGCAAAAATTCTTACAAGTTAAAAAGAAACAAATACCCCAGCAGATGTAAGGACAAAAGATAAAGGTGGGCAATTCACAAAAGAAATGCGAACAGGCAATATTCCTATGAAAATATTTGCAACATTACCAGTAGTCAGGGAAATGCAAACTGAGACAATGAACACTATTTCTTTCCCATTCATCAAGCTAACAAAATGTTACAAGATTACTATTTTGTAACCTGAGGAGGATTCAAATCACACACTGAGGTAGGAATTAGTTTAGGAATAATTTTTGGAAGAGTTTTCCATATTTATGACAATTTTCATAAATGAAAATTTTTATGGAGAAATTTTACTTTTTAAGAATCTATCATATTTCACAAGTGCACCAAGATCCGTGTACAAAGATGGTTATTGAAATGTTATTTTTTAATAATGAACAATTGAAGGCGAACTCAATGCTCATCAATAAGGCTGGAGAAAAAATAAAAATATAAGACATACCAGGTCGGGCACTGTGGCTCAGCACTTTGGGAGGCCGAGGTGGGTGGATCGCTTCACTGCAGGAGTTCCAGATCAGCCTGGGCAACATGGCAAAACTCCATCTCTACCAAAAATACAAAAATTAGCCAGGCATGGTGGTGCTCGCCTGTAGTTACAAAAAATACATGCATACATATGGATGGATAGATAGATAGATAGATAGATAGATAGATAGATAGATAGATAGACAGGTAGATAGATAGGTAGATAGATGAAATACTAATAAAAAGAATTAAGAAGAAATGAAAATATCTAAACATATTGTTAAATTTTTAAAAAATGAAAGAGAAAAATATAGGGACAAAGAGAAAGAGTTAAGGAAAAATATGTATGAAAATAGTTTAGAAAATGTTAGTGTGTACAGGTGTGTGTTTCAGTAATGTACATGTTTTTATATATGGACATATATGAATAAATGTCCACAATTTATAGAAAATGGCACAAATACCACTCATTTCAAAAGAAGTCAGGCTACTCACTCGATCCCTTTGACAGGATTTATGTCAGCAAGACAGCTGGCTCTGCTTTGAACTGCTGAGGGACTGGAAATTTAAGAAGCCAGTGTTCACTCTTACCTTGCTTTCATTTCATATTTAGGGAATTGCTGCTTACTCTTGCAACTATTTTCTTTGTGTGACATCCAGGAAATGCTGACAGTTGAACTAATATTCAATCATGATATGATTTAAGGGGAAAAAAATAAATTGAGAAAGAGGAAAGAAAATGGGGAAGAGGTTAAGAAAAACAAAAGGAATGAAATTGGCATGAATGGGGCAGAGGATGATGCAAAAATGGTTTCAAAATAATTCTGAAAGAAAGAACAAAAAATAAGTTAAATGTGTCCCCATGTTGCCCATGGCCCACATGCTCTTCCTGACCAATGTTGTCCATATGGATATAACTTCTCTATAGTGTAGACTGAAAAGAGATGTTGCCAACAGATAGTGTTGGATCACAGGTATTTTTGGGGAAAATAATAAAATGCATTATACTAAAAATAAAACCAATCCCACACTACAAGATATGATTTGTAAATATGCAAACTATACACAAAAATGAAGTAGTCATGTTAACACTGAATGTCTTTACTTCAATTTCAATGTTTTCCATTGAAAATAGTGATCTTTATCTCAGTTGTGTGTTCCAAGAAAGCAGAAGAGGTCTAAAAATTCTTCTATTTTTTTTTTCTGATGAACAACAAATGGCTACACTGCTCCCACAAAGTTTATTATCAGAGCTGTCTCTTACAACTCACAGATAAGACCACCTTCTTCTTTTCTAAAGACTCCCATAAAACTCACAGACTGCCTTGTTTACTTCCCTCTATAAATCCCTGGGTTCCTTTCCTTTTCTTTGGGACGATCTTCATTGATGAAAGTCCTCTCTACTCCAATAACCTGAATACAATCATTGCCTTAATTGTTGAGATTTTTGTCTTCCATACTTCCATCTATCTCTTAGCTTAGTGTTTTTTGGAACCCCTGGCCATTTCCTTTTATATTGTGCTATTTACCATTTCATAGCTGCTCCTTTCTTTAGGGGGCAATTTTTTCTCCTTATTTTGGTTCTAACATGTACACCATTGTAGTATGCACGTTCTTTCTTTCTTTCTTTCTTTTTTTTTTTTTTGAGGTGGAGTCTCGCTCTGCTGCCCAGGCTGGAGTGCAGTGGCATGATATCAGCTCACTGCAACCTCTTCCTCCCAGGTTCAAGAGATTCTCCTGGCTCAGAATCCCGAGTAGCTGGAATTACAGGCATGGACCACCATGCCTGGCTAATTTTTGTATTTTTAGTAGAGTTGGGGTTTCACCATGTTGGCCAGGCTGGTCTCGAACTCCTGACCTCAGGTGTACCACCCACCTTTGCGTCCCAGAGTGTTAGGATTACAGGCGTGAGCCACTGAGTAGGCACTTTTATGTGTATTTTTCCACAATAAAATCTGAAGTTTTCTATATCAGGAACCAATGCCACATTATACCTCTGAAAATGATCATAGTACCAAAAACATTGTAGGTGTTTTTTACATGTAAATTTTAATAATAAATGCATGATTGCATGAATGCAGTAGGACAACTTATGTAGCTGACATGAACATTTGCCAATAAGATATGCAGTACTTATAGTTTTTCCAATCCTTCTTTAGAAGTATTGGTTAACAGCAGAGGAATTGTTTATATCAAATACATCTCATTGATGAATTTTAGTTAAAAGTATTTTGGTGTTCTCTTCAGTTACATTAGAAAATAATTACAGTTGTCTTCTCAACCCCTAACTAAACTGATGGTAAATGGTGGACGACAACCTGAAATCTTATCCCTGTCTTCATGTATCAGTTATCTGTTATTGCATGATTAACTTATATAAAAACCTAGTGGCTTAAAATAATATTTATTCACCTAAGGCATCAGTGAGCCTCTTGCGTAGTTCTCTTTTATTTTAAACTAAAATCAGCTGTGTGTCATTTTAGCCTCCACTAATTTTGTCTGGCTTCTGCTGGGGCTCATTCACATGTCTGATGATTGGCTGACTGCCATTCTTGGGTGACTGACATGACTAGGACACCTCTCTTGCATCATCCAGTAGGCCAGTTTTGTTTTGCATTCATAGCACAGCAGGAGTACAAGAGAAAAATTGGAAGCACTCAGATCTCGTAGGGCCTAAGCTTGCAAGTGGCACACAACTTCATACTGCAGGCCAGATTAAGTCATGTGGCCGGCACAGAGACGAGGATGGGAAAAGAGAATCACCTTTTGATGGAAGTTGAAAACTCACATTAAATAGGGTGTACATACAGGGAGAGATGAAACATTAGAAAAATTTCTGCAATAAATCTACAACACATAATTTGGGTAAAACTGTGCAATTTTGTTGTTCTTTGAGATAAGTAAATAAAAAGCCAATCCTAGAGAAGTAGTTTAACCCTGAAGAAATTGAAGACCACAAGAGAAACACTAAAAATAAAAAAGAAAATGAGCACTAATTTTTTTTTTATTGCCTGCTTTGAGGTACAGTGTGTCCTTAACACATTTGATTTATTGGGTCATAAGATTCTCCCTATGACCACCCCCAAGATAAGATGTTATATCTATTACTTTTCAAATGAAGACTCTTAAATAAGAGAGTTTTAACTATGTCACTTTGTTAATGAGTGGCTATACCACAATTCTAATTCAATTCAAAAATTCATGTTCTTTAATTGAACACACTGCTGCTGAGGGCTGTACTTCTGTCTTCTCGGTTGTTTACCTAATTCCCCAACAGAACAGTAAGTCTTAGGAGACAGAGATCTTGCATCCTTTTATAATCATCTATTACCTCTAGTAGAATGATTCTACTGGTTTACAAGTACGAGTATGTTCAAATGTATTATTTTTATTTTTATTTTTTTACTTTTGAGACAGAATTTCACTTTTGTCACCCAGGCTGGAGTGCAATGGCATGGTCTTGGCTCACTGCAACCTCTGCCTCCCGATTCAAACGATTCTTCTGCCTCAGCCTCCTGAGTAGCTGGGATTACAGGCACCCACCACCACACCCAGCTAACTTTTGTATTTTTAGTAGAGACAGGGTTTCACCATGTTGGCCAGGCTGGTCTGGAACTCCTGACCTCAGGTGATCCACCCACCTTGGCCTCCCAAAGTGCTGGCATTACAGGAGTGAGCCACCGCACCTGGCCCAAATGTATTATCATGTAAAAACAAAAACAAAATCAGAAAACCTCTCAATTCGTTGGATTCCAAATAACAAATAGAAAAGCCTGTATAAATGGGTCTTTAAAAAAAGAGTCATTTTTTTTAAAAGAAATGTTCTTGGCATCAACAAGGACACAATAACAGTATTTCCACCTTTATGATTATAGTGTCAAAGCTCATAAACTGTGGTACAATTTATAGGGATAAAAAGCAAAGTTAGTAACAGTGAGTGGTAGGGGATGCAGTCTTTCACTATAGTTCCAAACTGAATAATTCTGTAATAAGGTAGTGAATAAAAAAATATGTTTCCATCAAGTTATCCTATTCACGAAAGACAGATCTTTTCAGTGTGGTCCCCAGGAAGATGAGGTAGCTGCAGGAAATCTTGGTTACTCCTGCTTTTTCTCCCTTTTGTTCAGGAGGCAGAAAAAAATCTTCCCAAATGAACCCTTTAAATATGAAACGATCACCAGAGGCTAATTGAAACAACAGACAATTGAAACAAATTATGCATTCTTCCCTTAGATAAGAGACTTAAATCATAAATTCTTCAAGACTAGAAAGTGTGAAATAAATTGAAATGCAACTAAGTGTCAGAATTAATGATATTTCCAAGTTATTTATTGTGTAATCTCTTGAAATGCTTTGAGGTTTTGGGAACTCTGGATTTATCTTAATCAAATGTAAATAAATTAAAAAAAAAATTTTTTAACGTAGTCCTTATCGTTAGCTTCTCAATGCCTACCTGAAAATGCAAAATGCAAGCCTTTCTTTTTCTCTGCTTCCTGCCCCCACCCCGCATCAACCCATTCTTTCTTAACTAGCATTTGGTTTAGCAGTAGGGAGGACAGCATGACTTGCTTCAAACCATGCTAAATCATTTGGTTTAGCAGTAGCCTGGACAGCACCCCTTGCTTCAAAGCAACAAGTCAGTTCTATCTTCCTTTGCTATTATTATGTGAAATATATTGAAACAGATAATTATATTGAGTCTCATGCTGGAATCTGCATAATGTTCACAAAAATTTGCTGGTGCAGTCACCTCCAAGAGCTGAGGAACTGCTGCTGTTAATAAGTTGTTCAGTGCCAATGGACATTGACATGATTTGTTTGGTTGCCACTTTGTTCTGTCAAATAAGTCTGTGATTGGCTAACGTGACTGATGCATCCAAGGTCAGGGGCCTGCGATAGGACCTAGTGAGGGACATTGTGCATTTGTCTCCATTGATCTATTCAGCAGGACTCGATAATACTCTGACACATGTAGACACTGGGTAAATAAAAAAATGTTCCTATTTCTTGAGAAATAGTTGGAGCTAATGGGTGGCATAAAATGCCAAGTTCTTCTAAACAAATCAAACTTTATATTTCTTTTATAAAATTTTGGTTTAGATAGAACAAATATCTAGATATACTTTGAGATAAAACATACTTAAGTATGCAGATGCCAAAAGCTCAGTGGAACAATTTAACATGTTATAAAAGGAAGGTATATCATCTACCTTCAGAGTCATTGTCAATACTTTAATAATAAAAAAACCTGTTTATGAAACAGCAATTTATTAAAGATGAAAATGATACAGTATATATCTTCCCAAACTTCAGGGAAATTAATTCAACTTATTTCTTTGAGGTGGACTGAGATGTATCATTTGATTTGGTTTTATGTATTATAAATTCAAGAGAGAATCTCTGATCCTAATGCTACTTAATAGGAATCTAATTATCTAAAAATACTGAATAAAGAAAATGTGGCACATATACACTTTGGAATACTATGCAGCCATAAAAAAGAATGAGTTCATGTCCTTTGCAGGGACATGGATGAAGCTGGAAACCATCATTCTTAGCAAACTAACATAAGAACAGAAACCAAACACCACATATTCTCACTCATAAGTGGGAGTTTAACAATGAGAACACATGGACACAGGCAGGGGAACATCACACACCATGTCCTGTCGTGGGGGTGGGGGCCTAAGGGAGGGATAGCATTAGGAGAAATACCTAATGTAGATGACGGGTTGATAGGTGCAGCAAACCACCATGGCACCTGTATACCTATGTAACAAACCTGCACGTTCTGCACATGGATCCCAGAACTTAAAGTATAATTTTAAAAACTGTATATATATATGTGTGTGTATATATATATATATGTGTGTGTGTGTGTATATATATATATGTGTATATATATGTGTATATATGTGTATATATATGTGTATATATGTGTATATATATGTGTGTATATATATACATATATACACACTAGAAAGAAACAAACATGTCCTACAAAAATAATACATATATGTGGGTGTATATATATATATATATATATATACACACGTATGTATACGTGTGTATATATATATATATATATATATGTATATGTATATATACACTAGAAAGAAACAAAGAAACATGTCCTACAAAAATAAAAAGGTTAATTTAGTGCCAGAAGCAAACAATGTAGACTACCACTTCAGGACTCAAGGAATTTGCTAAATTTCCATTCCAATATTAGGCAAGAGTTTCTTGGAGATAAAAGCCGTGATTTCGTACGAGCTAGTGTCATGTCACACTATGTGTAAATCCACCAAGTTAATGTCATAATAAAGTTGTACAACTTCAAAGGAATTACATAAATAAGCAACCTTACCAAGAAATGCACTTCCTTATACATTAGTCAAGATCAAGTCCTGTGGTTGGAAAAATCAGTTATTTTCTGTTATAAAAATTTGGGTTACATTTTTTAAAATCTTACCATTAGGAAATGTCTGAGTGGGCATGTCTGACTTGATGAGCATATATTAAACCATCATGACTGCCTTGTATATGTTGTCTAGACTTGATTATAAATTCCAAAAAAAGCAGGAAAAGTGTATCATTGTAAGTTGAAATTCTAGGCCATTCTGCCAATATTTAAAGAAAATGAACCTTTTCTTAATTATAAAGTAAGCAAATGTCCCATTGGCATGTCTCATTTCACGTTCTTCATCTCCTCAGTACCTCTTTCTCCCCACCACCATTGCATATTTTGATATAGGCAATGCCTAAGCAAGTTTTAGCTGTAGCCATATGTCTGCCTTATGTTTTAACGAGCCACTCTTACTACTGCAGAAAACTAAAAGGAAAATAATAACTGAGTTTTTATATTTTGTCTTCTGCTAACTTTTATCGAAACTTCAATAAAGAGTTCATATAAAAATCTTTCTGTTGATAGCCAAGTAAGATGTGTAGTTTAGTTAACACTCTTTTATTATTTTTGATTTCCTGTTTTCAGTGATGTAAGATTTTATATTTACAGCATATTTATGTACATTACATATATACATTACATATTATATTTTATATTTACTGGGTGTAAAGTATAGAGAGACATTTGATTCCACTTCTTGTACATCTTAAATTATTTCAAAATAAAAAATGAAACCGTCTATTGCACACGTAGCGTTGGGCATGTTCACATGATATTACATCATTTAATTAAATTAATTTTAAAAAGGTAATTATTTTCTTATTCAGACAAATTGGTTTTTGTGAGGGGTCACACTTGAATTTCTAAATATTCTCATCAATAAATAAATGAAAAATCTATGGACCTGTGTCCATTCTGACAACAAAAATAATTATACTCCAAAAAATATTATCAATCAATCAGAAAAATCAGGTAATGTATTTCCACTGTAAGTCACTTTATCCTGACCAAAATAGGACAGTTCTGTTCTAACCTGCAACTCATTCCTCTTGATTTCAACTCCTAAGATTTTTTCAGATTCATTAGTTTTCTTGACTTTTTCATAGTCTACTTACATCAGCTTTGCCTAGAGACTGCCTTTGAATTGTTATTTGTACTTTTTGTCTTTCCTCCCTTATAATCACTTCCTCTTTCATAGTAATTTTAGTTTTCACACTGTAAATTGCTAGAAAATAGGAATTGAGATTATGTATTTGCTTTAGGTTGGGTTCCCTAAGATGTAATTCCTGAGACAAGAATTTGAATTTGAAGGGATCAGGAGAAGTACCTGTAGGGGAATGGCATCATGAAATAGGGAAAGGATACACAGCTCAATCTCTCTGTGAAGGAAGCAATGCAGAATATACCTCAGAGCTACCTATAGGGAGAGAAAACCAGGATGTTTATTTTTAAGTTGATCCAGCACTGGTGGAGGGCTGCTCCTGGGAAGGAGAAACTACTAGTAGTCCAGGAGTGGGTGAAATGGAAGAAGGATGTCAAGAAGAGTTTTTCATATTCTTGCAGTAAGCTGCTGTCAGCAACTATGTGACTGGTGAGGGCTGAGGGGAAAAAGGCAGATGTATTAGTTTGTTCTCATGGTGCTAATAAAGATATACCTGAGACTGGGTAATTTATAAATGAAAGAGGTTTAACTGGCTCACAGTTCCACATGTCTGGGGAGGCCTCACAATCATGTCAGAAGGCAAATGAGGAGCAAAATCACGTCTTACATGGTGGCAAGCAAGAGAGCTTGTGCATGGGAACTCCCCTCTGTAAAACCATCATATCTTGTGAGACTTATTCACTATCACAAGAACAGCAAGGGAAAACCCATCCCCCATGATTCAATTACTTCCCACCAGGTCCCTTGCATGACACTTGTGGATTATTGGAGCTGTAATTCAAGATGAGATTTGAGGGGAAACACAGCAAAACCACATCAGCATGTCAACAACAGTGTTTGCTATAACATTATTTTGCACACTATTGTCTAACACAATGCATGACATAACAGGCAGGAAAAAATTACTTATATTATAGCTCAAATGGTAATCTTTATATAAATGTAGCTTAGAAAGCAGTAGAAAAAATAAACCCCTAGGCATGCCAGGATACAACAGACTTATGGCAGGACATGTTGGCTCACACCTGTAATCCCAGCACTTTGGGAGGCTGAGGTGGGTAGATCACCTGAACTCAGGAGTTCCAGACCAGCCTGACCAACATGGCGAAACCCTGTCTCTACTGAAACTACAAAAAATTAGCCAGGAGAGGTGGTGCATGCCTGTAATCCCAGTTACTTGAGAGGCTGAGGCAGGAGAATTGCTTGAACCCAGGAGGCAGAGGTTGCAGTGAGTCGAGATCACACCATTGCACTCCAGCCTGAGCAACAAGAGTGAAACTCCGTCTCAAAAAACAAAACAAGAAAAAAAAAAACAGACTTATAACATTGGCCATGATCATTAGTAGATATATTTCTTGTCTCCGAAATAGCTACAGTTCATAAATTTTCCTCTTATTAGGAAGGTAAACATTTCCCAATATGGATGGGTTCAAGCTTTTTTTAAGCATGGAGGTTGAAAAGAACATAAATAATATTTTAGTTAAGGTAATACTTTTCAACCTCAAGCACTATTGCTTTTAAACTTACCTATTTTTGCCTCCAGTTTTATATTGAAATGTATTGTCATAGAGCTATGATGATAGATTATAACTTTCTTACAGGTAGCAATTGCATCTTATTCCTCTAGCATCTGTTTTGGACATACTAGGTGGTCAAACAAATGTGCTTCAAACTAATTTGTTATTAGATCTGGTTAACTCTATATGTTTGGCTTCAATCAAATAGAAGGCAGACATATCAGTCAAAAATGCACAGAAAAAAATAACAGTTAAAAACATTCATGTTCTCTTTCTACTCTTTTTATTCTATGATTATTCTTTCCTCAGCCAACTCATGTCCAAATACCAAAATACTTTTTTTTTTTTGGAGACTGAGTTTTCTTCTTGTCGCCCAGCTGGAGTGCAATGGTGCAATCTTGGCTCACCACAACCTCCGCCTCTCTGGTTCAACCCATTCTCCTGCCTCAGACTCCCGAGTAGCTGGGATTACAGGCCCATGTCACCACACAGGCTAATTTTTGTATTTTTAGTAGAGACGGGGTTTCACCATGTTGGCCAGGCTAGTCTTGAACTCCTGACCTCAGGTGATCCACCTACCTCAGTCTCCCAAAGTGCTGGTATTAGAGGCCCAAAAGACCTTTGCTTTTGGTATATATTTGTCTAACTTGAGCTTTTCATTACTTCACAAAAGCTCCTTCTGTTTCTGACGAAATAGGAGAGGGACTTCTAGGAGAATAGGAAAGTGATGTGCAACTTGAAAAGAGAGTGCTGAATTGTGTCACCTGGGCAATATAACACAGTGAAACTAATCAGGACCCTGAGAAGAAGTCAACTCTGTTGCCCATGATCTGAAATTGGTCCATGTCATACCCCATTAGGGTCAGTGGGCAGTGACAAAGGGGATGAACGTTGTAATCAGTGGTGCTGTGTTCTACGCTGCCACTTAGTTTCCTGATCTCTAAGTGTTATTTTCTTCATCTGTATCCATCTGATACGGTTTGGTTCTGTGTCCCCTTCTATAATTCCCGTGTATTGTGGGAGGGACCCGGTGCGAGATGATTGAGTCATGGGAGCGGGTCTTTCCGATGCTGCTCTCGTGATACTGAATGGGTCTCATGAGATCTGATTGTGTTAAAAACGAAGTTTCTCTACACAAGCTCTCTCTTTGCCTGCTGCCATCCACATAAGATGTGACTTGCTCCTCCTTGCCTTCCACCATGATTGTGAGGCCTCCCCAGCCATGTGGAACTGTAAGTCCATTAAACCTCTTTCTTTTGTAAAATGCCCAGTCTCAGGTATGTCTTTATCAGCAGCATGAAAACGAACTAATACAGTAAACGGGTACCAGTACAGTGGGATGCTGCTGTAAAGATACCTGAAAATGTGGAAGCGACTTTGGAACTGGGTAACAGGCAGAGGCTGGAACCATTTGGAGGGCTTAGAAGAAGACAGGAAAATGTGGGAAAGTTTGAAAGTCCCTAGAGACTAGCTGAATGGCTTTGACAAAAATGACAGTGATATGAACAATAAGGTTCAGGCTGAGATGGTCTCAGATGAAGATGAGGAACTTGTTGGGAACTGGAGCAAAGGTGAGTCTTGTTATATTTAAGCAAAGAGACTGGTGACATTTTGCTCCTGCCCTCAAGATTTGTGGAACTTTGAACATGAGAGAGATAATTTAGGGTATCTGGCAGAAGAAATTTCTAAGCAGCAAAGCATTCTTGGATGACTTGGGTAATATTAAAGGCATTCAGTTTTATAAGGGAAACAGAGCATAAAAGTTTGGAAATTTTGCAGCCTGACAATGCAATAGAAGATAAAATCCCATTTTCTGAGGTGAAATTCAAGCCAGCTGCAGAAATTTGCATAAGTAATGAGGCGCCAAATGTTAATCCCCAAGACAATGGGGAAAATGCCTCCAGGACATGTCAGAGGTCTTCATGACAGCCTCTCCAATCACAGGCTCAGAGCCCTAGGAGGAAAAAGTGGTTTCCTGTACTGGACCCAGGGTCCCTGTTCTCTGTGCAGCCTAGGAACTTGGTGCCTTGTGTCCCAGCTGCTCCAGCCATTGCTGAAAGGGGCCAACGAAGAGCTTGGGCTGTGACTTCAGAGGGTGGAAGCCTCAAGCCTTGGCAGCTTCCATGTGGTGTTGAGCCTGTGAGTGCACAGAAGTTAAGAATTGAGGTTCGGGAACCTCTGCGTAGATTTCAGATGTATGAAAACGCCTGGATGCCCAGGCAGAAGTTTGCTGTAGGGGCGGGATCCTCATGGAAAACCGCTGCTAAGGCAGTGCAGAAGGGAAATGTGGGATGAGAGCCCCCACATAGAGTCTCTGCTGGGGCACCGCCTAGTGGAGCTGTGAGAAGAGGGCCACCATCCTTCAGACCCCAGAATAGTAGATCCACTGACAATTTGCACCCTGTGCCTGGAAAAGCCACAGACACTCAATGCCAGCCCATGAAAGCAGCCGGGAGGGAGGCTGTAACCTGCAAAGCCACAGGGGCTGAGCTGCCCAAGACCATGGGAACCCACCTCCTGCATCAGTGAGATCTGGACATGAGACATGGAGTCAAAGGAGATCATTTTGGAGCTTTAAGATTTGACTGCCCTGCTGGATTTTGGACTTGCATGGGACCTGTGGCCCCTTTGTTTTGGCCAATGTTTCCCATTTGGAATGGCAGTATTTACCCAATACCTGTACCCCCATTAAATTTAGGAATTAATTAGCTTGCTTTTGATTTTACAGGCTTGTAGACAGAAGGGACTTGCCTTGTCTCAGTTGAGACATTGGACTGTAAACTTTTGAGTTAATGCTGAAATGAGTTAAGGCTTTGGGGGACTGTTGGGAAGGCAAGATTGTTCTGAAATGTAAAGATAAGAGATTTGGGAGGGGCCAGGGGCAGAATGATGTGACTGTTGGGAAGGCAAGATTGTTCTGAAATGTAAAGATAAGAGATTTGGGAGGGGCCGGGGCAGAATGATGTGGTTTGTCTCTGTGCCTCCACCCAAATCTCATCTTGTAGCTCACATAATTCTCATGTGTTGTGGGGGGGACCCAGTGGGACATGATTGAATCATGGGGTGAATCCTTCCCGTGCTGCTCTCATGATAGTGAATGGGTCTCACAAGATATGATGGTGTTAAAAACGGAATTTCTCTGCACAAGCTGTCTTTTTGCCTGCTACCATCCATGTAGGATGTGACTTGCTCCTCCTTGCCTTCTGCCGTGATTGTGAGGGCTCCCTAGCCAGGTGGAACTGTAAGCCCAATAAACCTCTTTCTTTTGTAAATTGCCCAGTCTCAGGTAGGTCTTTATCAGCAGTGTGAAAACAGACTAATACACCATCTCATGGTAAATTTCTGATAAAAAATGGGGAAATGCATTAACATCCCCAAACTCATGCATGGCACATAAGAGATACCTGATATATATGAACATTTTACTTAACTTCCTGAGGTTATGCTAGTGTATTTCCAAATAAGTTTCTGCCTATGGTTATGTCCTGTTTCTATTCACTTTGTCCTGCAATATCACTTCAGGTCTTACCATAATGATCCTATAAACTTGTGACCTACCAACCTGCATCTCAGCTTGGCTTCTTTTGAATATGCCTTCAAGTTGATGCCTATCTGTACTCAAATGAGCCTGTCAGTGGAAGCAGAGGAAACTACCTTTACTCCTTCACTCTTAATCCTCCAGCCTGGTGGAGGATTCATGAATCCACTCACCAAGTGGGAGTGGACTTATGTTGAATCACTAGGCTTCTGAATCTAAGGTTTCGTTAGCTGCATTAAAAGCATGGGCAACTCTTGGCCAGAGCTGATTATGGACCTGAAAGACACAATCCAGAATACTATAGTCCCAAATGTTTAAATCTTGTAAGCCAGATTCTAAGATAAGATTAGTATGTTTTTGGCTACATGCAGAATAATTGTATCATGTTTTTTTCTTTTTATTTTTTCTCTTAGCAAAAAGAATGAGCTTGAAATCCATTGTGTTAGTTGCATCATGTTAGGTTTAGCTATACCTTTTTATTGTCTTTATTTGGAAATTAAGTATGGTTTAAGGAGATGCATATGAGTGCCAAGTCAACAAGGGGTAGACTTGTCAATTTAATTTTAGGTGTCAATTTGACTGGATTACCTAGAATACCTAGACACCTGGTAAAACAGGTTAGGTGTGTCTCTGATGATGTCTCCAGAGGAGACTGGTGTGTAAGTCTGAGTGAACTAGGTGGGGAAGACCTTCCTTCAATGTTTTGAGGGGCATAGAAGTAAAAATGCAGTAAAAAAAATACAAGAAATATCCCCTATCAAATTATTCAGTCATGGATGATTTCTGCCCCTGCACACTTAATGCCAAGCTTGCCTTTTTAAAAAAATGTCCTTGGTCAGAGAATAAAAAGTTTATGATGAGTTCAGCAACCTTGTGAACCAAAGACACTTGCTGATATAGAAGTTCTTGCAGTGTTACGAAAGACATTAAATGGTGACCTATTCTTGGTTTAATTTTACCATTGAAGAAGTTAGAATTCTTATGTTTATCACTAAATTTAACACACAAATAACTAGTGCATGTTTCACTTTGGCTAATGGATAGCATTTTCAAAACTGTCCCTACTGTTTTTTTCTTTTTTTTTTTTTTATCAGCTCTATACAATTCTTGCCCCTGTTAGATCCAAAACTTTTAGAACATATCTGCTCTACTGATTTGTAGAACTTATCTGCTCACTTGTGTATTAATGATTGGAAAAAGCAAAGGATTTTGTAAACTCTTATATGAAGATTTGGTGGACTTGGCAGAATAAAATGGATTTCAATTTAATCCCCAAACTACAATGACAGATTTGGAATTAGGTTTAATCAAAGCTTCTAAAAGTGAATATCAAGGTTTAACCAATAATGTCTATTTTTTTTTCACTCAGCTCAATTCATTTGAAAAAAAATCCAGATGAGTGAATTGGTCATGTGATATGGCAATGACAAGACTTCAGTTTAAAAATGAGTCATTTGTTTGCATTGGCATTCCTTCTAGTTGGTGATATTCCAGGAACTTTTATTGAGTTAAAACTGTATTTTTCTGAAGAAGGCAGTGAAGCTACTGATGTTAGAAAATAATCAGGTTCATAGGAAGGTAAAAAGACACTTTCACAACAGTGTTGCTTTTCGATTACCAGTATTGCTTTGTGAACCCAAAAGTATGTGAGATAGGTCTCAGTCAATTACAGAGTTTATTTTGCCAAAGTTAAGGATATGCCCATGTGAAAACCTCAGGGTGTCCTGATGACATGTGCCCAAGGTGATCAGGGTACAGATTGTCAAGGAGATATAATACGTCAATCAATACATGTATGATTTACATTGTTTCCATCTGGAAGAGCAGGACAACTCAAAGAGGGGTTGGGGTGGTGATTACAGGTCATAGGTAGATTTAAACATTTTCTGATTGGCAATTGATTGAAAGAGTTACTATCAATGGAAAAGAATGCCTGGGTTGTGGAGACGATGGTTTCATCCCTGCAGATGAAACCTCCAAGTAGCAGGCTTCGGAGAGAATAGATTGTATTTGTTTCTTATCAGACTTAAGTTCTGTGTGGATGCTAATGCTGAAGGGGTATAATGAGGCATGTCTGACCTCTCTTTCATCATGACCTGGACTAGTTTTCCAGGTTGACTCTGAAATGCCCTTGGTGAAAAGGAGGGGTCCATTCAGATGGTTGGGGGGCCTTACAATTTTATTTTTGATTTACAGCTTCCACCAAATTTGTGGACTATATATGAGGGCATGTAAAATGCATTTCTACATACCAAAAATAACATAGAAGAATGCCACAGAATGTGTGAAAATTGAATAAGGGATGCTCACATTGGTGTATATAGAATTATAGAATTTCAAAAAGAGCAGCTCCATACAGAAGATGAATCTGAAAGTACCCTCCTAGGATAGCCATGCCCTAGAAGAAAAAAAAAGGCAGCTATTCATTGTGATGCATGACTTCAAAATGTAGTTAATAATTGTGCAAGTCAGCTGGCTCTTTTGAACAATCTCCATGCAATTGCCAATAATCTATCACCGTAATACACTTTTCATATGTTGAATTTGTCCACCACTATTGTAAATTGTTAGCATTATATTTTTACAACTTACTATGCCACGTGGTCTATCTTCATATCATTTCCCATATTGGAAGTATAAATTGTGTGGTAAAGACTTTTAAAGAGTTATAATTTGTTTTATGCCGTTTTTGTTAATTTGACTCCATGAAAGTGCATTATTTCAAAACTGACTTTGTGTGTAAGCATTGTGCTTGTACCTAAAAATGTTGAAACTTCCCTGATAAATGAAGAGATGTGTTTTCTGTACATCTGCATTTGTGAAGGGTAAAATTTCTTGAGATCTCATCTCCTTCAGCAAACCCATATGCAGTGGTGACTCACCTTGGTTCAGATCCATCTTGTCAAAAGACCCAGGTATTTCATCATGATATTTCAGATGACTGCAGTTATAAAGCTGGGTACCCACAATTACCAATCATAGTGGCATGTATTTATACATTTGCTTTTTGACCTATTTCTTTATGAATATGGTTCACTGCTCATAAATGTTATACATGTGTCATTAGTATACCTGAGTGTTTATGCTTGCAAAATTACGCATGTTATTTTTATGCATGTTATGCCTATTTTATTGTGTAAAGTAGCCTATGATGTGTTGTCCTGCTTTTATACTTTTCTCAAATAAATTTCCTTTGAAAATGTAAATAGATGTATATTAAAGAAATTTTTAAAATACCTTTTCTGGAATTATATTTTGAGGATTTTGATCTTTTGGGATTTCAACATTGGGGTTTATGGTGTTTGGGATTGTGCCTTTTGGAATATGATCAAACCCACTGCTGGCACAACTCCATTTTGATTCAGTTGACTCTGAATCCCTGTGACCCGCAGTTCAGCTAAAGGCCATGTTGTATGTTTTTATATCCCACATTCTGTAGAGAAATATTCTCAAGTCATTTCTGATAAATATTTCTGAAAATTAACACATTCAATTAGAGCATTCAACTGTTTGGATGAGGTCCACCCACATTATGGAAGGTGACATGTTTTACTAAATGTCTGCTGGTTTAAATGTTAATCTCATCTAAAAAAAAATTGTGGCTACACCTAGACTGGTGAATCTGATCTCGCTTTTATCTTACACCCAATTAGTCGTTCTCTTCTCCATGTCAGTGTAAGATCAGAAATCAATTCTTCTTCTGTGAATTCTCACTGAAAAACTCCCTAAGCAAGACATTTTTGGGTCTTGCAGACTTGACTCAAGATATGGGATATTTGAAGGATAGTACATTACAGTTTGTCTCTCTCCAGTCCCCCTCTAAATACTTTACACCTTTTCATTTTCCAACTTATCTACCTTCAGGCTTCACAGGAAATACAATTCTCAAATCTTATTACGCAGATTAGCTTAGTTTTGTACCATCCATGGCCTCAGGGCTTCCTCGAATATTCAAGATTCATTAAGAAGCTCTGAGAAAACATGAGTCCCTTTCTCCAACTTGAGAGAGGTGAATACAAGTTGTATGGAGCTTAAAGCTTAAAGGATTTTATGGGTCTTCTTTAAGAAAAATAGTTTTAGAAATATTACTTCTGCAAATTTTGTAAAAGCAGGAACATGCAAACACACTGTTAGATCCCTATTTCAAAGACCTTAGAAAGACTCATGCAAGTGAGGGGCCCTGAAGCTCAAATATCTTTTACTTCATGATAAATCCTTCTTCATCCAAGTCCCACTTTTAGTTGAATAGAATAACTGGCAGAGGATTTGAAATTTCCAGCTGGTCCATATTCTTCCTTAAATAGTCTTTGGAAGTAAGGAGGGGTTAGTAGCATATTTATTTCCCCTGGGATATGAATTGTTATATATACTTTGGAAAGCAAACACCACTATGGTCAACATTGTTTCTAAATTATTATGTTTCATTTGTCTTAGACCTCCATCCAATGACTTCTATATCCTTAAGCATAATAAAACAATTCAAAACCTGTCCTATTTTTTTGGCCAACTACTTGGAAATTCCCCTAAGTATGGACGTGTACTTTTGATCTCTAAATCAATGTACATATCTGAAAAGGCACAGCCTATGAACATCTGCCCTCTATTGGAGCTTTGTAAATATTTTCTTGTATAAATATGAACATCTGATTTTGTCATGCCACAGACCTTACTTTGCTCCTGGACTTTCATGCTTTCCTCTGTGTTCCAAAGTTCCTGGGTAAGAATAAAATCTCCTCATGGACAAGAAGTACAGGGCTTCTCCTGACATGTTGATGAATTATCTTAAAAATTTAGCACAAATATTCTAATGGTCCTACCCTTTGAGGAAAGAGTTAATAGTGAATCACTCAGCAATTGATTAAATGTCTTTGATTACACTTTCGCCATTGCTCTGCCTTTCTCTTGGTTTACCTAAACCAGTAAAATCAAAATGCATGTTTCTTCCTTTTATTAGCTGCCCCAGGGCTCATTACAGAGTCTCTGGTAATGTAACTAACATTGTACTGGGTATCAGACACCTCCCGTTTCTGGTTCTGCTATTTTCTCCCTGTGAGAACTTGGAATGCCTGCTCCATTTTTTAATTAGGTCAAATGTATGTAATAATATTAACTTTGTAGGCCTCAAAAAATTACTGTGAGAATCAAACTAGATAATTTATATGAATAATTTTAAATATCAGTGCTTTAACCTCACATGTAGAGTAGATATTTTTACATTTTTTCTCATTAATTCATTTTTGAATAGTTGATGCCAGTAGTTATTATAAACTGAAATTAAATAAAAAGATACATTTAAAAAATATCTCACTCTATATGTTCCCTGTACTCTATTTTTGTCTCCTATTCTTATATATTAGTCAGTGTTCTCCAGAAAAACAGAACAAATAGGACAAGCATCTGTCTGCCTATCGCTATCTATCTATCATCTATCTATCTATCTATCTATCTATCTATCTATCTATCTATCATCTCTCCCTCGCGCGCGTGCTCTCTCTATGCATCTATCTAATCTATTGATTTATTTTAAGGCATCAGTTCACTCAATTGCTGGCAAGTGTGAAATTTGCAGAACAGCCCAGCAGGCTGGAAATTCCAGAAAGAGTTGATGTTGCAACTCAACATTAAATCAAACATGATCTAGAGGCAGAATTCTTCCTCTTGTGGGAACCTCAGTCTTTTCAATTAAGGCATTCAACTGACTGGATGAGGTCCACTCACTTTATGGAGGGTGACATGTTTTACTCAATTAATGTTAATCATTTACTCATTTAAATGTTAATCCCACCTAAAAAACAACTGTGGCTACATATAGACTGGTGCTTGAACAAACAATAGGTTTCAAAGCCAAACGGGGCTGACATATAAAACTATCACACCATATATAATTATTTTTTTAAATAAAACTTTATTTTCAAATAGTTTTAGAAAAAAATGTATAGATAATACAGAGAGTGCCCATATACTCCACATTTCTATTATTAATATCTTACATTTGTATGGTATATTTGTAGCAATTAACAAGCCAGTGTTGACACATTATTATTCAGTGAAGTCTGTACTTAATTCAGATTTCCTTAGTTTTACCTATGTCATTTTTCTGTTACAGGATTCCATACCAGATCCCACACTGCGTTCAGTTATTGTATCTCCTTGGGCTCCTCTTGACTGTGAGTTTCTTAGATTTTTCTTGCTTTCCCATCTTGACAGTTTTTAGAAGTACTGGCCAGGTATTTTGTAGAATATACTCAGTTTAAATTTGTTTAATGTTTTTCCCTTGATTAAAAGGGGTTAATTGACTTTGGGGAGTAAGATCACAGAGATGAAGTGTGATTCTCATCATATCATATCAATGACACGTATTTGTCATATGACTTACCATGGTCAATATTAATCTTGATCAATCAACCAAAGTAGTACCTAAATTTTGTTTGACTTTTTTCTTGTATTCTTGGAGACCTATTCTATGAATATAATTGTTAATATGTGTAAACATGCATTTAAATATATACATACATGTATTTTTATATGTATATATATGCACTTATGTATTTTGCTTAATATATAATGGAGATTATGTTATACGATTATATTCAGAAAGGTAAGATCATTCCCAAGAGTTGTGTAATGTTCCATTGTATAGGTGAACTACTTTTTAAAACTAACCTTTATTGAAAGACATTAGCTTGTGATATGATTTGGCTCTGTGTCCCCACCCAAATTTCATCTTGAATTGTAATCCCCATAATCCCCACATGTTGAGGGCAAAAACTGGTGGGAGATGATTGGATCATGGGCACAGTCTCCCCCATGCTGTTTTTATGATAGTGAGTTTTCGTGAGATCCGGTTATTTGATGAGCGTGGGACTCTTCCCCCTTTGTGCACTTCTCTCTTGTTTTCTGCCATGTAAGATATGCCTTTGCTTCTCCTTCACCTTCTGCCATAACTGTAAGTTTCCTGAGGCTTCTTCAGCCATGCAGAACTGAGTCAATTAACTTCTTTCATTTATTAATTACCCAGTCTTGGGCATTTCTTTATAGCAGTGTGAAAATGAACTAACACAGCTTGTTTGCTGTTGTTGACTCATAAACAGTGATCCAATGTACATCTTTATGTATACTGAGCTCATAGTAAAGAAAATCTGTAAGATAAATTCTGAGAAATAAAATCCTGTGTGCATTTTTAATTTGACAGATACAGCAAAACTCCTTAAAAGTTATAACAATTTAGGTTCTATTTCTAAATTTCTATTTCCTCAGAAATTTGCCAATGCGGTATATTATCAGATTTTAAAAAATCATTTCTGACTTACTAAGTGAAAGTGCAGTATTTTATTGTAGTTAAAATTTGCAGTTCCAATAAATGAAGGCAAGTATCTTTCCATGTGTTTAAAAGACATTTGCTTTGTTTAATAATAAATATCCTGATCTTTTGCTCATTTTTCAGTTGAATTGTTGATAATTTTCTCATTAGTTGAACATAGAAAATCAGCTCATTAGAACTTAATTTGTAAATATTCCCTAGTGTGTCTAATGCTTTGCTTTTTAAGGTCTGTTTTTAAATTCTATGGAGATTTTTTATGTATTTAAGTTCTTAAGATTTTTCTTTTATATTTTCTACATTTTACATTACACTTCGAATGGTCTTTGAATATTCCTTCTTATTTTTTCTTTTTAGTAGTTCAAACTTTAATCTGACCAGAATTTATTTTGGAATAAGAAATGGGAAGGGATATGTTTCTCACCATAGATGGCTGCTTGATTGCTTATTAACTACTCCATCATTTCCCAATTGATATGCAATGTCAAATTTGTTTTATTATTTTTGACTCTATATTATGTTCCATAGTGTCTCTACCAGGCAGTTGTAATTTACCGTAGGTCTATAATATGCTTTGATATCTTTTGGGACTATTTCCCATATAGTTTTGAATATTTTAGGATTCTCCAGAACATAGTTATTTTTCACAATGTGTTTTACAATCAGATAGTATAGTTCTAAAAAAATAAAATTATGATAATGTTCCTTTCATTTATGCAAATTTTTTCTTTTGTGTATCATTTCTTCATGTAGTCTTCATGTATTCTGTATTTTTGTTGCTATGTAAACAAAATATTTTCTTCCATGAGATTTTTTTCAGCTGTTTCTAAATAGAAACTTCGTCAAATTTTACATAAAATATATAATCCCGTCAGATAAATTTCAGATTTACTTATCAATTATGATAGTTTGACAAAATCACTTAGTGTCCTTTCCCATTTCCCTAAGTTACTTTTCAAAATACTATTCATTCTTCTCAAGCTGCTGACCCCACCTCTTTCTACCATGTTTTATTCCACTCTATACAGTCTCTATTTTGTTTCAATTTCCTATTCATTTTGTATTTCTCAGTTATCTTTAAACTTCTCACTTTTCTGTTATCGCTACTTGACATATATGATCCCTTTAAGACCCATCCATTCCTCGTATCCATCTTGAAAATTCCTACTAACCTTTAAGGAACAACTTGAATTTAATTTCTTCTCTGTTACCCTTCCTAACCCTGGATCCAGGCAGAGTTAGAGCAACTGGCTCATCGCTTCATTCTAGTGTATATCATGTTGCATTTAGTTATCTGTCTGTCTAGTTAAATATATATCCAGCAACAATTTAGTGATTTTTTCATATGAGAAGCTGAACAAGCACTGGCTGAGTGAAAGTTGAGTATTAATTTAATGAATACTTTTTTTTGTTACAAAAATCCTGCAATATTTAATTTTTGTTAAATATCTAGAAATTATGACATGAATATTAAATACTTATTCTGAATTTCTTGCGATTCTGCAGATTGAAAAAAACTGCTGTTATGTTTAAAATAAGTCAACAGCTGATTACTAACAACTGTAGAATATCTTGAAGCTAACCTTTCCTTAAAAAGAAAGATACTTATCCGTAATTTTTGCCCACTGTGGAAACTATAGATTTTTGTGTGCAAAGGCATTTATTTTTCATGGAAAAAATAACTTCATTTAACATGGTTAAAAAACAAAATCAAAGCTAGAATTTGTATTTACAGTTATTGCCTCAAACCTTAATCAAAAGCAACAGAGTTTTTTGTTTTGTAATTTTAAGGCGAAAGTGTATGGCAAATCAAATAAATGTTTGATCATTCCATTTGCTTACACTGAATACATGAGGCCCTTCGATGTTTAGTACATAAGCGAACAGATTTGCCAATCATGGAAGCAAAGGGGTCGGATAAAAGCTAAAGCATCAAATAGAATCTTAAATTTACTTTTAAAATATATATTACCTTAAAGAATCCAGATTCATAAAAAATACACATGGTGCCTTTCTTATTCTTTTCCAAAATCATATTCAGCTATGTAATATATTGTTAACAAACAGGCTAGTTTTATTTCCAGACTAACACCCAAAATAAGATTCACCTGTGGCCTTTTAAAAATGCATATCTGAGTGAGTGCTTCACCTGAAACCTACCTGATCAGACTTTTTTGTTTTCAAAGTTTGGCACACAATGCCCTAGAGGTTCCCCATCACCAATGGCAAACATTGGCAAATGGCTTCTTTAACATTTGATAATCACAATTGACCTTTGATATGGAGGTTTATCACCGTGTTTTATTTGAGGCTAATGTTATCCATGAATCTCCAGTTACAGAACCTTTACTTTGTTAAAATTATCACAAAAAAGCCTGAGTATCAAAGAAGAAGTTTGAACAGCCGTCTCGAGGTCAAGGAAATAACATTAATTATGAAAGTACCTAACAGTATTTGGGCTCATACTAAAAGTCACATTTACATACTCCAATAACCTGATTATTAGCTAGTAGTATCTCAATTTTTAAGATGAAGAAATGATGCAAGGTGACTGATGTCATATAGCTATTAAGACCCTGTGCTGGGATTTGATCCCGAAGATTTGAACTCCAGAATCTACACTGGTCACCATCAATTGTCATGTATTAAATCCAGCCCCAGGGAGATAATATTAGTTGGGGATATATGATGATTTTATTTTTCTCTTCAGCTTGATATTGACTCTGTTTTTGGTTCTTCTTATTATTTGTGTACCTATGGAGGTGATAACAATGATAATAAATTCACCCTGATGTTACAGATACTTAAGGAGAAAATAAAAAGACCTTTATACTAGATCATTCAGTTAATTTTGTTTATAACAGAGATGGTTACCTACAGAGGGAAAGAGGAAGCCCTGTATATATGTATAAAAGGAAATAGGTGGTAAAAACTTCCAAGTCTGAGAGAGTGGTCAGAAATCTCTCCTATCGCTTTTGTTATTATGCTATTTAATGTATGTGTTTCTTTACTTGTGGGTTGAAAAGGAATTGCGTGGATGAAATTTTTGAGCTTCTCATGGGTATACTAGATGTAGTGGTCTTTTTTCTCTTGGATACTATAAAGAGAAGGATAAAATGATAGCAAATGTGCACAAAATCAGTCACTAGCTCCATTGAAATGCAATTGATTCTGTTTTCATAAGAGATGTCACTATTTTAGCAGTCCTTCTTATGCTTATAAATGCACAGAATAATTTCTAAACAATACAACTTAAATATTTTCACACAAAATTGGAACATTTTCTTTGTTCCTCTGTTGATTAAACATCCAGTCAGAAGCAAGTGCTGATCTATAAAGGTAAGAAACCTCATCTGCAGTAGAGGAACAGACACGCTGAATAGATTATGTGATTCTTCACAAAACGCCCCATGCTGCCTACATCACAGTCAGAAATCTTTCATTTTGGTTTTATATAAATATTCTAAATGGCCAGTACTTGATTTTTTTTAAGGAGCCCAATTATTCTTGAATAACAGCTGTGCAAGCTGTGAAGTAAGTAAATTAATCTTTTGAGCTTTTGGTAAAAGTGTAAGATCTTACAGTCAGCACGGA
Source organism: Homo sapiens (assembly GCF_000001405.40). Classification (NCBI taxonomy): domain Eukaryota; kingdom Metazoa; phylum Chordata; class Mammalia; order Primates; family Hominidae; genus Homo; species Homo sapiens. The sequence goes on from NC_000014.9 coordinate 86,787,614, forward strand.
ATATATACGGTTTTGTTCGTTGCTATAACATCCATGTGCTCTGGTCCATTTTAAGCAATGTTAAAAATGTGGTTATATTCCAAATTGGCTTTATGTCTTTTTCCCTTCAGCATCCATGTAAAATGAGCCCCTTATTTAGTGGAAATCTTCTTGTAGTCTGTGCTTTAGCTCAAGAAAAATAAAGAGCTTATCTATCATTGGAAGTTGGGGTATTGAGGGTAGATGAAAGGCCAGCTGGCTCCAATTTTACCATATGCATCATTAAAATATTTGCTAGCTACAGAAACTTTTCCAGCAATCCTCTACTACTGGTTCACATACTGATCTGATATGTTAAAGCCGTTCATGGCTGGAGCTGCCAAAGCCCTCCACAGACATATGCAATGTACACCAAGGATTACATCACCCGCCACTGAAGGGCAGCCACCTCCCTGATGAGACACAGACAACTGTGCATTTAATGGGGCATAGCAAGTATGTGCGATAGGTATGATTTTCAGTCTGAGAGCTCAGGAAAGGAACTCAAGTTTAGAATAAATGTAAGCAATAGAATGAAATTGTTAGGATGCTTGAAGAAATAGTTTGATATACTTTTTTTGGTAGTGGTGATTCTTGGATCATAAAAGTTACAAATTTTACCAAAGTGAGGTTTAATTAGTTAAAAAATTAAAAAATAATCATGCCAACTTTCATATAAGAATAAATGCAGGGAGTACAGAGACAGTGAGGGGGAAGAAAGGAGGCTGGAAATTTTATCTCATACATTAATTTCAGCACACACTTGATATCATTCTCACACAGTATAGTAAATTTTCCTGACATCACGGTGAGTCACAGACAAGAACTGTCCAGATAATCTATTGGAAAGCTGAAAATGTGTTTAGGTAGGAAACATAATAACTTTTGTTTAGTAATCATGAATAGCTGTTTTTTGGAGTTATTTTTCCACCTTATTAATGAATGACCTCAGTTCACATAAAATGTTCCAATTTTATGTGAAAATATTTAAGTTGTATTGTTTAGAAATTATTCTATGCATTTATAAGCATAAGAAGAACTGCTAAAATAGTGACATCTCTTATGAAAACAGAATCAATTGTATTTTCAATGGAGCTAGTGACTGATTTTGTGAACATTTGCTATCATTTTATCCTTCTCTTTATAGTATCCCAGAGAAAAAAGGCCACTATGTCTAGTATACCCACGAAAATAATGAACTCCCAGCTCTACTGAGGTATAATTAACAAAAATTGTGTATGTTTATGGTGTTAAATGTGATGCTTTGTTATATAGACCAAAAATAAAGTTAAGAGTTCTCCCCTCCCCAACCATCTGAATGGACTCCCTCCTCTAGGCCAGGGCACTCCAAAGTTAACCTGAAAAACTGATTCAGACCATGATGGGAAGCAAGGGGTCAGACATGCCTCATTATTCCCTCCTCCCTTTTGGAATACAGAAAAAGCCGACCACGTTTAACATCAACACAGACCGTAAGTCTGGTAAGGAACATTTATAATCCATCCTCTCTGAAGGCTGCTATCTGGTGGCTTCATCTACATGATAAAAGTTTGTTTCCCACAACCTGTTATTGCAACCCAGACACTCCTTTCTATTGATAATAACTCTTTCAACCAATTGCGAATCAGAACATTTTTAAATCTACCTGTAACCTGGAAGCCCCTTCTTCAAGTTGTCCTACCTTTCTGGACTGAAGCACTGCATATCTTAAATGTATTTGACTGATGTCTTATGTCTCCCTAAAATATGTAAAACCAAGCTGTGCCTCAACTACCTTGGGCACGTACTCTCAGGGTCTCCTGAAAGCTGTGTAACAGGCCTCGATCACTCATAATTGGCTCAGAATAAATCTCTTCAAATATTTCAAAGAATTTTTAAAAATACTAAAATATTTTAAAGCTCAAAAATTCCATCCACTCAATTCCTTTTCAACCTACAAGTAAAGAAACACATCCATTAAATAGCATAACAACAAAATTTATAGGAGAGATTTCTGACTGCTGTATCAGACTTGGAAATTTTCACCACCTATTTACTTTTATATATATATACAGAGCTTCCCTTTTACCTCTGTTATTAACCATCTCTGCTATAAACATAATTAACTGGATGATCTAGCATAAAGATCTTTCTATTTTCTCCTTAAGTATCTGTATCATCAGGGTGAATTTATTGTCATTGTTATTACCTCTGTAGACACACAAATAATAATAAGAACAAAAAGCAGAGTCAATATCAAGCTAAAGAGAAAAGAAAAATCATCATATATCCACAACTAATATGAGAATTTTTAAAATATTTGAAGACATTTATTCTGAGCCAAATAGGAGTGACTATGGCCCATGGTATATATGACAGATATATGTATATATTGTGAAATGATTAACACGATCAAACTAATTACCATATCAATCAGCACACACAGTTATGACTTTTTAGTATGTGTGATGAGAACATTGAAGCTACACTCTCTTACCAATTTTCAAGTGTGTAATACAGTATATTATTAACTATAGTCACCAGGCTGAACAGTAGATCTCTAGCATGTATTCATCCTATCAAACTGAAACTTTGTACCTTTTGATGAACATCTCCTCATTCCACAACTTACCCCACAAGCCCCGGGCTACCACCATTCTACTCTCTGCTTCTGTGAGTTTTTCAGATTCCACAAACTGATGAGATTGTGCAGTGCTTTTCTTCTTTGACCTGGCTTACTTTATTTCACTTTGCATAGTATCTTCCAGGTTCACCTGTGTTGTCACACATGACAGGATTTCCTTGTTTTTAAAGGCTGAATAGTATTTCATTGTGTGTATATACCAATTTTCTTTATCCATTCATCTATCCATGTTAATTCCATACCTTGGCTATTGTGAATAATGCTGCAAAAAACATGGGTGTGCAGACGTCTCTTTGACACACTCTTCTGTGGTGAGCAGCTATATGCAAACATACTTCCAAAGGTCAAGGGAACTGAGAGGCCAAATAAAGAGTGTAACAAGTACAGTTTCTCAGAAAGAAACATTTAATAGGGACTTAGGAACAGAAGCCATATCTTGGGTGGCCATGAGACAGTAGACCCCTCATCTCTCCCTCCAGAAAATATCCTTTATAAGTTTTTTTGGTAAAGCATGCACCATGTCAGACTTTCTTGCATAATGTGTGACCTCTGAGGAGGTTAGATAAGCATTTTCATGAGGTGCTATCTATGGTACAGGCACTTTTTTGCAGAGTTTATTTTTTAGAGGTTATCTGTGCTGTGGACATTGTTTAAAGACCTTGCTGCAGTATGCAGGAATGAAATGGTTTGACTTTGTGCCCCCACCCAAATCTCATCTCAAATTGTAATCCTTACATGTCGAGGGAGGGACCTGGTGGGAAGTGATTGGATCATGGAAGCGGTTTCCCCTATGTTGTTATCACGATAGTGAGGGAGTTCTCATGACATCTACTGATTTTAAAAGTGGCAGTTTCCTCTGAACACTCTCTCTCTCTCTCTCTGCTGCCACCTTGTGAAGGAGGTGTCTGCTTCTCCATTACCTTCCACCATGATTGGAAGTTTCCTGAGGCCTTCCTGACCATGCGGACCTGTGAGTCAGCTAAGCCTCTTTTGTTTATAAATTACTCAGTCTCAGATAGTATCTTTTTAGCAGTGTAACAACTAATACAGAAAATTGGTACCAGGAGTAAGGCACTGCTCTAAAGATAACCTGAAAATGTGGAATTGACTTTGGAACTAGGTAACAGGCAGAGGTTGGAACAGTTTGGAGGGCTCACAAGAAGACAGAACGATGTGGGAAAGTTTAGAACTTCCTAGAGACTTGTTGGATGGTGTTGACCAAAATGTTGGTAGTGATATGGACAGTGAAATCCAGGCTGAGGAGGTCTCAGATGGAGATGAGGAACTTACTGGGAACTGGAGTAAGGGTCATTCGTGCTGTGCTTTAGCAAAGAGACTGGCAGTATTTTGCTCCAGCCCTGGAGATCTGTGGAACTTTGAACTTGAGAGAGATGATTTAGGGTATCCAGTTTAAAAAATTTCTAAGCAGCAAAGCATTCAAGAGGTGACATAGCTTATAATGAAAATGTTCAGTTATATGAGTTCATAGAGATTGTTTGAAATTGGATCTTATATTTAACAAGGAAGCAAAGAATATATGCTTGGAAAATTTACAACCTGACCATGAGGTAGAAAAGGAAAACTCATTTTCTGAGGAGGAATTCAAGCTGACTGCAGAAATTTGCATAAGTAACAAGGAGCTAAATGTTAATATCCAAGACAATGCACAAAACTTCTCCAGAGCATGTCAGAGACCTTCACAGCAGCCTCTCCCATCACAAGCCTGGAGGACTAGGAGGGAAAAATGTCTTCCTGGGCCAGGCCCAGGGTGCTGCTCCTCTGTGCAGCTTCAGGACTTGGTGTTCTGTGTCCCAGCCACTCCAACTCCAGCTGTAGCTAAAAGGGGCCAAGATACAGCTCAGGCCATTGGTTCAGAGGCAAGGAAACCAAGCCTTGGTTTCCATGTGGTGTTGGGCCTGCAGGTACAGAGAAGACAAGAGTTGAGGCTTGGGAACGTCTGCTTAGATTTCAGAAGATGTATGGAAATGCCAGGCAGATATCTGCTGCAGGGGCAGCATCCTCTTGGAAAACCTCTGCTAGGGTAGTGCAGAAGGAAAATGTGGGGTTGGAGCCCCCATACAGACTCCCCACTGGGGCACTGCCTAGTGGATCTATGAGAAGAGGGCCACCGTCCTCTAGATCCCAGAATGATAGATCTACCAACAGTTTGTGCAGTGCACCGGGAAAAGCAGCAGGCATTCAATGCCAATCTGTGAAAGCAGCCACAGGGGCTGTACCCTGCAGAGCCATAGGGGCAGATCTGCCCAATGTCGTGGGGGCCCACCCCTTGCATCAACACGCCCTGCATGTGAGGCATGGAGTCTAAGAGATTACTTTGGATCTTTGAGATTTAATGAATGCCCTGTCAGGTTTCAAACTTGCATGGGGTGCTTGGCCCCTTTGTTTTAGCCAATTTCTCCCTTTGGGAATTGGAACATTTATCAAATGCCTGTACACTTACTGTATCTTGCAAGTAACTAACTTGTTTTTTGGTTTTGCAGGCTCACAGTGGAAAAGGGCTTGCCTTATCTCAGATAAGACTTTGGACTTGGACTTTTGAGTTAATGCTGGAATAAGTTAAGACTTTGGAGGACTGTAGAAAAGGAATGATTGGTTTTGAAATGTGAAAAGGACATGAGATTTGGGAGGAGATAGGGACTGAATTATACAGTTTGGCTCTTTGTCCCCCCACAAACCTCATCTCAAATTGTAATACATAACCCCTTATCAGATGTGTCATATGAACATATGTTTTCCTATTGCACAGGTTATCTCTACACTCTGCCGATTATTTCTTTATCTATGAAGAAGCTTTTTTGGTTTGATCCAAACCCCTTTGTCTCTTCTTGCCTTTGTTGCCTGTAGTTTGGGATCATATCCAAAAAATCTGCTTCAAAGCCAAAGTCAAGAAGGTTTTTCTTCACGTTTTCTTCTAGTAGTTTTTCAGTTTTGCATCTTATGTTTAAGTTTTTAATGCATTTTGAGTTAATTTTTGTATCTAGTGCAAGATGAGAATCCAATTTCATTCTTATGCATGTGTGCTGATTTTTTTCCTAGTTGGGTCTTAAAAGCTCTCTTGGAGAGTGGCCATAAGCCAAGACAGCCACTTTCTAGAATAGCCCTGATAAAAAGAAAAGTTAGGGTCATGTATGTCAATTAGGTGAGACACAGGGAAGGCAGCACAACAAAGCACAAAATAACAGGAGTAGTTACAGATTCCAGGAAGAAGAGGGTTGCCCATAAAATCTGATAGGAAGTCAGGAGATGGCAGTGAACTCAACTAACAAGTTAGAGGGTGGAGAGAGAGAGAGAGAGAAAGAGAGAGAGAGAGACAGAGAGAGAGAGAAAGACCCCAAAAAGTAGGGCATTATCCAAGGAGATTTCTCACAGAAAGTTCTAATTGTTGAGTTTGGAGCAAGCAGGCATGAATTCTCTGGAGTCATCCTGACAGAGGTATCATCACTGCAGCATATCCGTGCAATCTATGTGAAGCGAAGGGTTCAATGGGGTGAGTGAAGTCACTCTTATATGGCCGATCCATAGGGATTGGGTCACCAGTAGACAGTTGCTTACAGCAAATATCTTGGTCTGCCTCCTTGAGGAACTGGGAGGTGAAGAGCTGGAAACCATTAAAGGTAAATAAGCCTTACTTTTGATGTGAGAAAGTCCATCTTACATTTATAATACAAGACAATGCAACATAAAATTATAAGGATTTACTAGGATATGAATATCCAGTTTTCTCAACACCATTGACTGAAGAGTCTTTTCTGTCTCTCTTGTGTGTTCTTGGCTCCTTTGTCTAAAATCAATTGAACAAAAACACATGGGTTTATTTCTGGGCTCTCTATTCTCTTCCATTGGTCTGTAGTCTGTTTTTAAGCCAGTACCATGCTATTTTGATTACTATAGATTTTACTATATTTTGAAGTTAGGTAGTCTGTTGCCTCCAAGATTTGTTCTTCTTGATAAAAACTGCTTTGGCTATTTGAGTTTTTTGTTGTTATTGTTATCATTGCTGTTGTTTGGTTCTATAAGAATTGTTTGTTTTTCATTTCTTTGAAAAATATCATTAGAATTTTCAGAGGGATTGCATTAAATCTGTAGATCCCTTTGGGTATTATAAACATTTTGACAACATTGATTCTTCTGATTGATGAACACAGAATATCTTCTAACTTATTTGTGTCTTCTTCAATTTTTTTCAACAATGTTTTATAGTTTTCAGTATGCAGATCTTTCAGTCCCTTAGCTACATTTATTCCTAAGTATATGATTGTTTTTGATGCTATCACTCATGAGGTTGCTTTCTTAATTCCTTTTTCAGATAACTCATTGCTTGTGTATATAATCACAACTGATTTTTGTGTGTTGAATTTGTATCCTGCAGTTTTGCTAAATTATTTAATAAGTTATAACAGTTTTTTTGTAGTCTTTAGTTTTCCTATATATAAGATCATGCCAGTTGAGCTAGTTGATAATAAGGATACACTTCTCACAAAAAAGCAATGCTTTAGTAGCTGTATCTGTAGAAGAGTTTTATTACTTACACAATGGGCACACTTTTTATAAACAACATTATTTATGATCTTTAAGTCAACATTATTGCCTACTTTGAAACTGAGCACTATTCTTCAGTGCTATTGTGCAATAAGAAGTAGATTTGCATTTGGGATTTGAGTAGGTTTTTTAACCTCTTTAAATCTCACTTTTCTCATTTTCCAATTGAGAAAAAAGAAAAAAATTTTTGAAAGAGTGTTGTAAAGATTAACACTAATGCATGCAACCTATGAAATGTAGCTGTTGGCACTCTGTGGTCTCCCACTAAGAAAGATAGTCCCATTATCATTAACAGGACTTATTCTAATGTTCATTCTTTGTTTACTCTCAGGGACCCTAAGCAAAGATATGATGATTCATTTATAGGATATATTTTTGACTTTTCTAAAATACTCTGAAATGACCAGTTGATTAGATAGAGCCCCACCAATTACACTGTATCTGATGTAAATTTTCCCAATTTGCAAAGTGTTTGATATAATAAGAATAACATAACCATTAAATAATATAGTCAGTGGAATTATATGTTTTGGAGTACATAGTTATGCAGTGAAATTTTGTATATATAAAAGTGATTTCTCAAAAATTTTTACATTTTGCAGTTGGAGATAAATCCTGACATCAGAAAGAAGCCTCATGCTCACTTTCTACCTCATTGCTCACTGGCCTATCAGAGATGTATTTCCCAAGTTTCCCCTGGAGAAATGAGGCATAGACCATTGGCTAAAGAGAATGAATAATGATTCTTAATAATAGACTCTTGAAAGCACAATGATAAGTCTTAGAAGTATAGAAGAACATTTTATTTAAATTGTATTTTTCTGTAAGGTACAATTTTCTTTTGCTCTAAGTTTTAGTGAATTCCTTAATGATTTCTATTATAATGACAGAGGAAAAAAAGAAATCTAAATATTACCTTTTGATGATCTGACCAGTTTCTCTACATTTTGAATATATTCTTTTCTTGTTTACCATTATATTTAATTGCTTAATTTTTAAATTATTCTAGTTCTTATCAAGTAGTTTATGCATATATGAATTTGGGTTCTTACAACATCATTAATGTTTTCCATTGATGAAGTCATTCCAGCTGTGACACTTACCTTTACAATGTTCTATGTCTTCTTTGTCATTTGTTTCTTTTCTCACAAGTAGCAAAATTTTCTCATAATTACTAGAACTATTTACTCTTATCTGTTTCCCCGCTGAAGCCTCAGAGGAAAATGATTTTACTTATATTCATTCATAGATCATCGAAACTCTAACTTTCATCTTGGGGCAGGAATCTATTTTTAATCTTAAAAAATAAGTAAAGTTATCTCGCTTACTGGGTAAGACTGGATCATGACAGAAGAAAATCTAAATTTGTGACATCTTGGTTCAGGAAACAGTCAATTGCCTTGTTCTTCATTCCTGTCTTTACTACGCTGTGCCTGAGAGGCCCAGCAATTAATTTTGAAGAGATGTTGAAATTTCACATAATTGTGGTTTCTTTGTCCATCAGTCTTTCCTTTCTTTCTGTCCAGGGACCACTGCACATTCTCTCTTTCATCAGTCTCTGCAGCGACCCAGGGACAAATGACTGATTACATTTTAGCAAGCTGGTTCCTGCATTTCTGGAGCCACTAAATACTCCAGTTAAGTGACAGACAGTCACCACATTTTTTATCTTCGTTTTGCTGATGTGGGAGCCCTCTCCGTGTGTCCTATGAATAGTTCAGCATCCTCAGGAGTGAGTCTCATTTCTGTAATGCTTCATATGTCATCCACCCATTGTCACACACATGGCTCCAATTTTAGTACTTTATTTCTAGTTGGCCCAACAATTTAGTTTATTTTTCCCTGATTGTATCAATTTATTTTAAGTCTCCTATTTCTGTGTTTGGATTTCAACCCCTGTCATTCCCACACCCTTTGGGTGGGTAATTTTGTTTCTCTATCAAAATATTTGATCTGATTCCCCCCTGTGCTTTTTATCCTCATCTGGGTTTCATCTTAAGATTTCTTTTTTTTTTATGCCTACAAAGTATTTTGAATGCCTCATAAACATCAACAGGCTCTTTTTGAATGAGCCATTTTGAAGTAGGCTTTCGGGTTTTCACATCACAGTAACTCCTTGTAAAAATTCATAGCCCTGGTAATGTATCCTTGGACTAGGGAGGAGGACTTTGGTCAGTTTGTCAGAGCGGGTTGCCAACAATGACCACTCTTATATTCTACCACAGAGCACCCTTCTCTACATGGATGCTCACAAAACAGAGAAAGGGGAAAAAAGTAAGACGGAGACTAATAAAGAGACCGAGAACAGCCTGATCTCTCTTTAATCTTTGGACTCTGTCTTTCAAAATCCTGATCCAGAAATATATTTGACCCAGAGGAGGTTTTTTTTTAAAGCCATAATCCATTCTGCCTTCAAATATAACTTAAAAGTTCTGAATAAAATGGAATACAATATTCTGTTTGCTTGAGTGTGATAAATAAGAATAATAGTATTCTACTAACTGCTGCTGCTGATGACAATGGTACTTACTGAGTTGTCAATACATGTAGGTTTTAAGATGAAAACTGTTAAGATATAAACAAAATAGGATAAAGTTGGGATTACTTATTGTGCACTATGCTCAACCTCATTACTACTTCTCCTCACCTAGAGCTTTTAGGGACATAATGTTTTTATCCAATAAGCTAATATTTTTAAAGCACTCTGATTTTTATTTTTATGTCAAATACATCTAGCTAATGTTTTTGTTATTAGGTATATCATACACTCTTATTTTAAATAATTTGTTCCATTTTGGAACATATACAGCTATAATTTTTTTGTGAATTCAGATTAGAAGATAAATATATAGCCTCTATCTCTCCTTTTCTCTCTCTTTTCCTGTTTTATGTTGCATGCATGCACATAAATACACACACATAGGCCCGGGTAAAACTAGTCAGTTAGTTATAAGCAACATCAAAAGTTATGATGCACAGTATTCACTCATTTAGCCTAAATCATAACAGACCCAATATACATTTGATGCTTACTAAATATCAGACTGTATGCTATTAATATTTGTTGGTGATACCCACAATAATAACACTATTCATCATCAATAATGAAGATGAGATGTACCCTGTTACATTAAAATTATCTTTCAATGTGTCTAAATGTTGTAGTATTAGAAATGGTCAAGTGTCCTCAGAGCTGAGACTGGAGAATGACACCTTCTCTTTGGGGAATTCAGGTAAAAAATAAACAAGAATGTGTAATTCTGTAAAGAACTTGGGCATGGAATCAAATTGACCTCTTAGTCAATTCTTTCAATGTAACATTTATGTGACCTAGAAAAAAAAATCCCAATCTCTACCTTAATGTTTTCATCTGAAAAATTCAACAGTAATTACTACCTCCAAGGAATGAGTTGCTTTGAAGATGACTGATATAATGTAGAATAACCTTCTGAGAAAGTTTTAAAACATGATGATTTCTCTCTCTTTCCTGGAAAAAGATTAGGAGGTCAGAAAGCATGTGGTTATGGAAGAATAGTTTTCCCATGGCTGGACCAGGAGGGAGCAAGCCAGGTAGGGTCTATACATGATAATCAAAATTTGGGAAGGGCTAGATTGTTTCATTTGTCAAAAGTCTTACTTGTCATAGAACTTTGGACTTGGGAATTGAAACTATGTCTAGTCACCCAGTTTAAGGTTCACTGCATAAGCTTGACTTTGCTATTTCAGAAAATTCTTGCTCTGAGGGAAAAAGTTGCAAGTCATTGTAATTGCTTTAGGAGCTTCCTAAAAATTCATTTATCTGAACAGCTTGCATCAGTCAGGGTAAATGGTACCTTCTCAGAGCACTAGACTCATCCAACAAGTGTTTGAGCTTGTACAAATCATTTTGTCTTCTGGATCTACCAACCTTAAAGTATTGTATTATGAACCTTGCTTGATCCCAATCAGATCTATGCATTGATGGTCCGCCTTAAACCAACCTTTCCCACTCAACTTTACAAATAGTCTTTTCCTTGATCTTTCTTTTTTGAGATGTTACTGAGACTATCAAAGTGGTGATCTTTTCCCACCATAAGCAAAAACATGGCTTGTGTTATCATGAAATTAATTTGGTGATTTTTTAATGGAAATTATCAGTCAATAAACTTCATCTTCAATTGCTTTTAAAATTTGTTGTTTTTGTTTGAAATCTGCATGATTTCATGAAATTTGAATTATCAAGAGTGTAAGTTTGCCAGTAAGAGAATAATAAACTAAAGAGACAGAGAGAGGTAGAAAAATTAAGACAAAGCCTGTTGAAAGCATCTAGGAAAAAGCCAACAAATTGAACTGAAGTAGTGGAAATGCAGGTAGAAAGAAGTGGAAGAATAGAGTGACAGCTAATGGAGGACCAATAGGGCTTCTGAAGGGGTAAGACTTAGAAAGAAGAAAGTAGTGTTATATGACTCTGAGGTTTCACGTCTTAGAGATTTGGTGAATCAGTGAACTCATTAACTATAACAGAGAATGAATATGTAAGAGTCATAGGGTGAGGGGGGATGAGTAATAAGATTAGTGTTTAATTGTTGTATTTGTAAAGTCTATAGCAGTGGATCTCAACTGGGAGCAATGCTGCCCCTTATCTTCAGAAAGGGAACATTTGTCAATGTTGGGAGACATTTTTGGTTGTTATAACTCAGGGTGCAGTGATACTGGTATCTAATGAGTCACAAGATAGTGGTTTCCAGGAATGCTGCCAAACATTTCACAATGCACAGAACAGCTCTCGCAACAATGAATTATCCTGCCCAAAATATCAATAGCACCAAGATGGAGAAACCCTATAGAGACAAATATAGAACAAAAATTGTTTGTTAAAACACTTGAATTAATTAGGTCCATATCAAAGGGTGAATTAAAAACAGTTTATTATAAGCAATAGAAAAATGGTGTTATTCATGAGAACATGTTTTCATGAGAGAAGAACAGACTGGTTGTTCTCTCTGAGCACGTGAAGTACTTTTCTTCTTTGCATTCTTATAGTACTTTATTAAGCACCTAGTTCAAGTCCTTTTGTTTTCTCCTATGACTAGTTATATTACATCCCAGTCTATTACATTTTCAATTTCTTATGTGAAATACATTTGTAATTCAGATATTTATCCCTTCAATTTCTAGTATATCACTTATTTCTACACACAGAGTAGGCATGAAAAAGTGCATGCAGGATTCAACGCCTCTTCCTCAGCCTGATAAATGAATCAAGCTGCATTATTCTGCAAGTATATGCGTAAGTTACATTCAAGGATAATTATTAAAAACACGTAAAATTATGACTCTCACACGGAAATAAAATGAACACTGGTTAGGGATTTTTATTAAATTCATTAATTAAGGGAACTGGACAGATACTATAATTGATACAAAAAGGAAGTCAAAGAAGCAAAAATTTACTTGGAGAAAAGACTGTTGAAGTAAAAGAACAAATAGATGGCAACTGCTTTTTCCATGGGGGCAGGGGAAGATAAGTCAACTGAGTCTCCACTGGGCAAAATAGGTTTGCATGAGTATAGAAAATACTTATTTTGTTTTGGCCTCAGTTATTCACAAATTACAAAATAGCCCCCTGAGAATGGAGTCGGTTATCCCCCAAATTTTTTGTAGACAGTTCATAGTTGTCCCTTGCAGCACACTTTTTGTATAGTTATTATTATGTATTCTCATAAGTAACTAAACCTTTTAGATTAAAAAAAAGTTTGCAGAAGAGAATAACCATTTATTTTAATCTATTATGTTTTTCCCTTTAATTCTGTCTTTTAATACCATTGCAATCTTGTTTAATAGAGAATTACTTTAAAAATTGTAAAATGCTACTTCAAGTTTTGATTTTTATGTAATAGCTTATGGTATTATTTAAAATACCACTATTGAGTGACGTGGTTTCCTTTCATTTGACAAAAATTATTTTATGGTACATGAAGACTAGGTTGTTACTCATTTCCTCAGAAAATATTTTCTGAGAAAAAATATTATATTAGCTATTAAAAAGTACTGGAATATTACATGTATATGTTTGTATAGTACTACTATCAATCCTTATCTATGCTTCCCATTATGTAAATAATAATTTTGAAATAGGTAAAATTAGTGGACTAAACAATAAGATTACAATGAAAAATATATTCTAGGTAGTTTCTTGGAACACTGTAAGTTCTAGAATAAGCTTCAGCATATTTTTTCTATGACATTCCCAATTATTTTTTGGCCTGACAGTTTTATTCATTGCTTAAATTAATTTCCAGTTTCTCAGATTGTCAGCGAAGCTCAGATCCTACTGTTTACTCCAATAGTAATTTCCTCCAGATTTTGTTTTCTAAGCCAGGGACCACACAAAAGCTTTATTTAATTTTTTTTTTCAAAGCTCTGGCACTTGCAAATTTTAGTTTAAAAATTCCTTTCCAAGCTTTGTATTATATCTCCCTGAACAGTAATCCTTCCTTTACTTGCCACATTATGCTTTTATTCTTGAGAATAAACCAAAAGCACTGGGAAGATTATATGTGGGCTTAAAAAATATATATCTCCTTTATTTCAAGGGGTGCCAAACCCTTTTAGGTGATTATACTAGTTTATGATCCAAGCCCTTAAGATAAGTAAGTTTAAAAAATAAAGAAAAGAAGCAGCACTGAAAGAGACTGTTAGGTAAACCAAATTGTCCAAAAGTCTCCAATGACTGAAATATTTTGCAAAGATGATAAGAATGGTCATGATAATAAAGTTCAATTTATTGAATACTTCTCATATACCAGAAACTACTGTAAGTGCTTCACATACAGTATGTGATTAAACCTTCATGTGATCAGAAATTAACCTCTGTTTTTTATACTCATTACTCATTCTTTTATGCAACTGGGATGACATTCTATACTTTTGTCCTTCCAGTTAGGGTACACATGCAACAAAGAAGACTCAGTGTTCTACTTTTGAATTTTAAATAGATATTTAAATTCTTAGCACACATTTTGTATGAAAGTAAATGTCTGGAGGAGTTTTATTCTCCTTAAAATAAAAAATTCAGAGCCTGGAATGACTGAAGGCATAAAATTTATGTCACAAACAGTAGGCATTGAATAACACATGGTCAATAATAGCCTATCTTTCTCTCTATTGAGTGAGAAAGACGAAATGCACCACACAGTAAGGAGATGATTTTACCAGGCTATTGCTATAAGGAGGAAGTTAATTAATGAAGGACATCTTAAATAAAAAGAAGGAGGCTTGGGATTTTATAAAGGCAGGAAAACAAGGGAGGCATGAATAAAGGTGAAGGTTGGTCTTATCTGGGAATATTTCTTTGCTATAACTTTTTCTGGAAAAGAACAGGAGAAAGGAATTTATTAACCTTTGCTGCTTTCTAAAAACATAGATAAAGTTCAACATTATCACCACATTTGAAAAATGTCCCATGAGCAGGATTAAGAGGTAGAGTCAGAGAAGAGAACAAAAGAGTTAAATGCTGGTAGGGCTATTGTGGAGGCCCTTTGTACCTTAATCTCACACACACTCATCACACACCATTAGTTCAAAATCCAGATTTGAAATCTAGGAAATATGGGAGACAGAGATGAGCATGAAGATCTGAAGCAAGGGAGATGTGTATCATTGGTGAGTGTAGCAACAGGATGGAAATCTATCATCCCATCTTCCCACTTCTCTTCGTCTTTCCCATTCCCATCCCCAACTCCTGCAGGGCTGAATGTCAATAGAATGCACATGCAACACAGAATATCTGTTTAGAAAAGACTAGACACAGCCCCAGCAGCATCAGTATGCTTCCATAGAGGTGCAGTAGGGGTGCAATTTCCTGGCCAACAGTAGATGGAAATCTGGTCTCAAGTCAACAATTTACACTGTGCATCTTGCCCATTTCTTGTTATTGTTGTGAGAGCCTTTGGAGGAATCAGCAGGCTCTGGCCTCTTCCTCGTACTTCTTAAGGAACAGAAATTGCATTTATCTTGGTTTGTCAACATACCACTAAAGTTCAATGAATTTATCTAAAGAATACAAAGCTCAAGACATCTGTGAGAATATCTATGACTCACTTAGATCATGGTTTCTCAATTTTGGCAATATTGACATTTGGGGCAGGACGATTCTTTGTTGTGGGAGATGAGAAGTGTTAGGTTCTTTCAAATGTCTCTGACTTCTACCCATGAGATGCTAACCCCAGTTGTCATAATCAAAAATAACTTCTTCCCTCATTGCCAAAATGTCCTTTGTGGATAAAATCACTCTTGATTGGTTGAGTACCATTGTCTTAAACCATGACTTGCCCTCCAAGGTGATTTGTTTAGACATAAGCACGAAACACCATTCTGGCCAACAAGAAAAAAGGAGACTCTTCTCAAGGGACTTTATTTTTGTCTTTGGCTGCTCAAGCTACCATAATAAAATACATAGAATGCGTGGCTTAAACAACAAACTTGTTTTCTCACCAATTCTGGAGGTGGAAAGTTATGATTGTTAATTTTAGGTATCAATTTGTCTAGATTAAGGGATACCTAGATAGCTGATGAAGCATTATTTCTGAGTGTGTCTTTGAGGGAGTTTCCAGAGGAGATTGGCATGTGAGTGGGTGGACTGAGTGGGGAAGATCTGCCTTTGACTTAGGTGGGAACCATCCCAACTGGCTGGTGGCCCAGCTGGAAAACCCTTATTCTCCTGCCCTTGGATATCAGAACTCCAGGTTCTTTGGCTTTTGAACTCTAGGACTTAACTCAGCAGCCCCCTGGGCTCTCAGGCCTTTGATCTCAGATTAAAGTTATACCATTAGCTTCTTAATCCCAGGTTCTGAGGCTTTTGGACTTGGATGGGGCCATGCTACCAGCTTCCCTCGTTCTTCAGCTTGCAGGCAACCTATTGTTGGACTTAGCCTCCATAATCTTGTGAACCAATTCTGCTAAAAAATCACCTCTCATAGATTTATAGCTACATCTTTTTATATATATATATATTTGTATCTATATCTATCCTACTGGTCTGTCTCTCTGGAGAACCCTAAGTAATATAGAAGTCCCAGATCTAGGTGCTAGTTGATTCAGTTTCTTGTGAGAGCTTTCACATAGCAGCCTCCTTCTAACTATGTCCTCATATAAGGGAGAGAAAGGAAAGAGAAAGCGATCTTCCTTTTCTCATAATGACTTTAATCCTATTGGATTAGGGCCCACCCTTATGATCTCATTAAACCATAATTACTTTCTAAAGACCCATCTCTGATAGGGTTATACTGGGAGTTAGGGCTTCAGCATATGAATTCAGAGAGGAAGAGCATTCAGTCTATAGAACTTTCTGAAAAAGTTCCCTCCCCACCCCCAACCTGCTTTTATAAGGAATCACTGTGCCCTGTTTCTTCTTTTTATTATGGGCATATGAGGAGTTGATTCGTGGATCTACTCTATTTAAACTGCCTTGAGGGAAGTATTAATATCTAACCCCCTGATGATGAGGATTGAGGAGTAGAAACATTTTTTAATATCTCTGCCTAGAATAAATTCATTTCAACACACTGCCACTTGCATATTCTCTGTTTGTCTTCTAATTTGCTCTGGCTCTCTAAGCAGTGATTAAGTCTATCACTTTCAATGTACATTGTTCAACAAAAGATTAAAACACCACAGCGATGGTTGAGTGTCCTTCAAAGGCTTGGTTTTAGGGTTATCTGTAGGAAACTCAATTCATGGTTTGTTCTGTTTGCCTGCAGAAAATAATATTCATTCTGTCTATATCCAGTAATGAAGAGAGGAGGGGGGTCTTTATCTGGAAGGGATACAAGGTATTACCTGTATCTTTTCAAAGAGAGACCCAGAATAGATTCTTTTTTTTTTTTTCTGAAGTATCATTATACCTTATCTTGCCATAGAGGGGAGAAAATGAAAGGAAATTCATATAAGAAGTTGGGAATACTCTAGCAGCTCCAGGTTTTTCATATAGAAAAAGGTTGAGATGAAGATTTGCTGGGCAGCATGTCAAGAAAGGGTATCAAAGTCATCTTGATGTTGCAGTGTTGTGGCTCCATGAGGGCAGGTTGCAGCCGGGAAGGACCACCTTAGGCAAGCCTACATGAGGACACAGAAGTAAGACTGTAGGGCTAGACAACAGGCCTAACACTAGCGTGGCAACTTGAGAATTTTTCTATTGACACAACAATTTAGTGAGAGAGTCTCACTACCTGAGCTTCAAGACCTCACAGGCTCACTTGTCTTATCATCAGATGAAGATGACTTCCTGCCTTGCCCCAGGATGATCTTGAGATCAAGATCTGACTACTGTAAACCTAGCATTTTGCATATGTATTTTTGTGCATGTTGGTGCAGGTTTATAATCATTAGTTTTCTACTGAGCAAAGCATGTCTCTCTTTTTAAATGATTGTGACCTCCTTGAGGGAAAGAATTCTCTCTTTTCTTTTTATGTCCTCTGTACTTAGCAGAGCTAACGAACAACTAAATCTTTCTGGAGGCAAAATGAGAAACTATTCAGGTGTAGCAGCGACTTTCAATCAGATTGCTAGATAGACAAAAGTACCAAATTCAAGCCAACTTTATTATTTGGAAGAATGAGAATACAAATTTCATAAATGGTTATGATCACCTTGGCCACCACTGTATCCCTGGTAATGTGACTAGTGCCTGGCAGGTAGGCAGATGTCACTCAGTGAATATTTGATAGGTAAATTGGAGAGTGACTGGATTTACTTCTATCCTTTAATCTATGACTACTAAACATGAGATATTTTAATTTATTTGTAAATTGTTTCAATTTTTTTGTGAGCTAAACTTGCCTATGAATTCAATTCAGCTTCTTCTAATTCTCCTTGTTTGCCGATCAACAAAAACATTTGAAAATTGTCTCTAATGAAAACTTGATGCATTCCGAATCAATGAAGGCAAAACCCTGAGGGGATCTGAATTCTGGATCAAAGGAAAATGCAAAAAGAAGAATAGTTTACTAATCCAAAACTGAACCCTAAGGTAAAACATTAACTCTCTGCCTGCTGCTTTAATTGGTGAAGTGAGCAGATAATCAATATGGAGGATTGTTGAGAGCAGGGCATTCATTTCAGTGACGATCAATACCAGACCTGCCTTCAGGGGAGAGAGACGCCCTCTAAAGCTATGCCACCTGCTCCTAAAATCACTTCAAAAGGAAAGGAGGGAGGTTTTCTTCACACAATGTAAAGCTGACTTCTGAAATGGTATATATATTTGAAAAAAAAAAAACAATAATTTACCCTAGGCATCCTATTGGATGGAACTCACTGCATTTTATATAGAGGGTTTCCTCAAAACTATATGCATGAAAAACAAGGTAGAAAATGGTGTCCTTAATTTCATTTATAAAATCTTTAAAGTTATTTCAGCAGTTTAGAGTTGTGAGAAATGACCAAATAAAATAATACCACATGCCCTTATTTAACCCTTAATACTGCTTAATCCTTTTTTGCTATATATTATCGCAGCTCGCTTCTTGAGAGTTGACCAGGCAAATATGGTGAGTTTGATCAGACAGCGATTGGTATTCCCATTTGACAGATAAGAGGATAGATAGTCATAGAGGTTAAGCCATTTTTATAGAGATTATCAAGCTAAAATTTTAGAGTTAAAACAGAAAAATAACGTTTTCTGCCTATATTAGAAAATAGGAGGAGTGACAACAAAGTGATACCAACTTTAACAAAAAGAAACTAGAAAAAGAAAAGCAAATAAAGTACAGAAGGTAGAAAAAATGAATAACAAAGATCAGGAAAGAAATCAGTGAAGTAGGAACATAAATCATTGAGAAAAACAAGAGATTAAAAAGCTGAATCTTTGAGATGCTCAATAATATTGATATACCTCTAGCCAAATTATCAGAAGAAAAAGAGCAAAGACACAAATTAAAATCAGGAATGAGAGCGGTGACATTACCACACATTCTACAGATATTAAAGGGATAATATGTGAGCACCATGAACAATGCTATGCCAGTAAATTTGACAAGCTAGATTAAAATGGACAAATTCCTGGGAAAGCTGAAAATATGAAAGCTTACTCAACCAGAGCTAGAAAACCTAAAGTCCACTGTGTATTAATAAAAAGAAAAAAACCTGGCAATACTATCTAAAAATCTCACAAAGAAATATTAGTCTTAGATGGTTTTACTGGTAAATTCTATCAAACATGTAAGGAATAAATAATATACAAGTTCTATGCAAATTCTTCCAGAATATTTAAGAGAAAGCAACACTTTCAATTTATTTCTAACATACAGAAATTAGGCAAAAACATTACAATGAAACTATGGACCAATAACATTCATAAGCGTAAATGCAAACAATTTAAACAAAATATTATTAGCATATACAATTATGGAGGCTGGAAAGTCCAAGGTCGAGGCCCTGGCAGGTGAGGGCCTGGTCTCTCTGTTTCCAAGATGGTGCCATGTTGCTGAACTTTTTAGGAGGTGGGAAAGCTGTGTCCTCACATGTGGAAGGCAGAGGGGCAAGAGAACCAAAAGCTGCCTGAAGAAGCCTTTCCTATAAGGACCTGAATCTCACTAATGCAGGGGCAGACATCATGGCCTAATCACCTCTTAAATGCCCCACTTCTTCTTTTTTTTTTTTTTTAATTATACTTTAAGTTCTAGGGTACATGTGCACAACGTGCAGTTTTGTTACATATGTATACATATGCCATGTTGGTGTGCTGCACCCAGTAACTCGTCATTTACGTTAGGTATATCTCTTAATGCTCTCCCTCCCTGCTTCCCCCACCCCACAACAGGCCCCGGTGTGTGATGTTCTGCTTCCTGTGTCCAAGTGTTCTCATTGTTCAATTCCCACCTATGAGTGAGAACATGTGGTGTTTGTTTTTTTGTTCTTGCGATAGTTTGCTGAGAATGATGGTTTCCAGCTTCATCCGTGTCCCTACAAAGGACATGAACTCATCATTTTTTATGGCTGCCTAGTATTCCATGGTGTATATGTGCCACATTTTCTTAATCCAGTCTATCATTGATGGACATTTGGGTTGATTCCAAGTCTTTGCTATTGTGAATATTGCTGCAATAAACATACTTGTGCATGTGCCTTTATAGCAGCATGATTTATAATCCCTTGGGTATATACCCAGTAATGGGATAGCTGGGTCAAATGGTATTTCTAGTTCTAGATCCTTGAGGAATTGCCACACTGTCTTCCACAATGGTTGAACTAGTTTACAGTCCCACCAACAGTGTAAAAGTGTTCCTATTTCTCCACATCCTCCACTTCTTAATACTATCACATTGGCCATTAAGTTTCAATGCCTGAATTTTGGAGGGGATATATTCAAACTATAGAAATATATTTATGATATCTATTATAACCAAGTGAAGTTTATCCAAGAGTGTAAAATTGGTTTAATATTTTAAAAATCAATGCAATTCACCAAATTAACAACTCAAAAAGAAAATAAATTACTTCAATAGACACAGAAAAAGCACTTGACAAAAGCCAATATCCATTTTTATCAAATCTCTCAGCAACCTAGGAAAAGAAGATTTATTCAATCTGATGGAAAGCATATGACAAAAACTTACATAAAGTATTATACTTAATGGTAAAATGCTAAATGCTTTTTTTTCTATGATCAGGAACAAAAAACAATGTGCACTCTCAGCACTTCTATTCAGTTTTGGACTAGAAGTTCAACAGTGAAGTCAGGAAACAAAAAGAAATAAAAATATCTAGATTTGAAAGGAAGATGTCAAATTGTTTTTATTTTCAGAAAATAAAACTGTCTGTTTAGAAGATCTGGTGGAACCCAACAAGATTATCTACAAGGACTAATAAATGAGTTTAATAAGGTGGCATGATGTAGAAAAGCAAAACTAGGTGCAGTGAGTCTATCCCAACAGAGTACTTGGCCAAACTGTTTACACCTGCCAGGGCAGTAGCTGATAGAAGCTTTAGATCTCCAGATTCACTTACTTCTGTTTTTTCCAATAAGTCATATGTGAGGTCATATGCCCCTTTCAGCTTTTCCTCCACCTCATGGACTGCTGGAAATATTCCTGGCTTTGACATTACTAAAAAATCCTGCTGGTTGGAGAGAGAGAGAGATATATATATATATATATATCTCTTATATATATATATACATATATATATATATGTATATATATATAAGAGATATATATATATATCTCATATATATGTATATATATATAAGATATATATATTTTTTAGATATATATATTTTAGATATATATATATTTAGATATATATTTTAGATATATATATATATTTAGATATATATATTTATATGTATATCCTCTATAATATATGTCTGTCTGTCATCTATCATCTATCTATATATATTTTTATATATATAATATTAATATGTATATCCTCTATAATATATCTGTCTGTCATCTATCTATCATCTATCTATCTCTATCTATCTATCTATCTATCTATCTATCTATCTATCTATCTATCTATCTGTATTTTTCTACCTACCTACCTATCTATTGTATATACCCAGACTCAGGCCCACAACTGTCTCTCTGTCTCTTTCTCTCTACCTGGACATGAGAAAGCTTTCTTAAATATGGCCCTGTTGGTCCACAGACTCCCTGTGTTTTCCCTTGCTGTACCTCAGAGGAGTGCTGAAGTTTGCTTTGCTTAAGTAGGCAATAAAACTTAGAACTACCTGTGAACACTGTGTGACTTCATTTCTTTAAGCAATAAACCTTAGAACTACCTATGAACACTGGCTCCGGTTAGGTGTATTTGACGACTAAAACCTGGTGGCAGGAAGGGTGGGAAGATAAGGTCATTAATATACAGAAATCAATTGCATTTTCATATACCAGCAACTAAAAACTGGAAAATTAATTTTAAAAATTCCACATAGGATAGAATAAAAATTATTAAAAACTTAGAAATAAATTAGACAAAATATTTGAAATGCATGAACATTGAAAATTATAAAATGTTGCTGAGAGAATTTAAGGGAGACCTAAATAAGTGGAGAGATTCAGCAGGATCTCGTTAAAAATTCCCTAGGTATACATGTGCCATGGTGGTTTGCTGCACCCATCAACCCATACTCTAGATTTTAAGCCCTGCATGCATTAGGTGTTTGTCCTAATACTATCCCACCCCTTGCCCCCAACCCCTGACAGGCTCCGGTGTGTGATATTCCCCTCCCTGTGTCCATGTGTTCTCATTGCTCAACTCCCACTTATGAGTGAGAACATGCAATGTTTGTGTTAGTTTGCTGAGAATGATGGTTTCCAGCTTCATCCATGTTCCTGCAAAGGACATGAACTCCTCCTTTTTTATGGCTGCATAGTATTCCATGGTGTACATGTGCCACATTTTCTTTACCCAGTCTATCACTGATGGGCATTTGGGTTGGTTCCAAGTCTTTGCTATTGTGAACAGTGCCACAATAAACATGCATGTGCATGTGTCTTTATAGTAGAATGATTTATAATCCTTTGGGTATATACCCAGTAATGGGATTGCTAGGTCAAATGGTATTTCTAGTTCTAGATCCTTGAGGAATTGCCGCACAGTCTTCCACAATGGTTGAACTAATTTACACTCCCACCAACAATGTAAAAGTGTTCCTATTTCTCTACATCCTCTCCAGCATCTGTTGTTTCCTGACTTTTTAATGGTTGCCATTCTAACTGGCATGAGATGGTATCTCATTGTGGTTTTGATTTGTATTTCTCTAATAACCAGTGATGAGCTTTTTTCATGTTTTTGTTGGCTGCATGCATGTCTTCTTTTGAGAAGCATCTGTTCATATCCTTTGCCCACTTTTTGATGGGGTTGTTTGTTTTTTTCCCGTAAATTTGTTTAAGCTCCTTGTAGATTTTGGATATTATCCTTTTGTCAGATGGATAGATTGCAAAAATTTTCTCACATTCTGTAGGTCGCCTTTTCAAACTGATGATAGTTTCTTTTGCTGTGCAGAAGCTCTTTAGTTTAATTAGATCCCATTTGTCAATTTTGGCTTTTGTTGCAATTGCTTTTAGTGTTTTAGTCCTGAAGTCTTTGCTCATGCCTATGTCCTGAATGGCATTGCCTAGGTTTTCTTCTAGAGTTTTTATAGTTTTAGGTTTTACATTTAAGTCTTTAATCTATCTTGAGTTAATTTTTGTATAAGGTGTAAGGAAAGGATCTCCAGTTTCAGTTTTCTGATATGGCTAGCCAGTTTTCACAGCACCATGTATTAAATTGTTTTTGTCAAGTGTGTCAAAGATCAGATGGTTGTAGATGTGTGGTGTTATTTCTGAGGCATCTGTTCAGTTCCATTGGTCTATATCTCTGTTTTGGTACCAGTACCATGCTGTTTTGGTTACTGTAGCCTTGTAGTATAGTTTGAAGTCAGGTAGCGTGATGCCTCCATCTTTTTTTTTTTTTCCCTTAGGATTGTCTTTGATATATGGGCTCTTTTTCAGTTCCATATGAAATTTAAAGTAGTTTTTTCTAATTCTGTGAAGAAAGTCGATGGTAGCTTGATGGGAATAGCAGTGAGTCTATAAATTACTTTGGGCAGTATGGCCATTTTCATGATATTGATTCTTCCTATCCATGAGCTTGGAATGTTTTTTCCATTTGTTTGTGTCCTCTCTTATATCCTTGAGCAGTGATTTATAGTTCTTGAAGAGGTCCTTCACAAGTTGTATTCCTACGTATTTTATTCTCTTTGTAGCAATTGTGAATGCGACTTCACTCATGATTCAGCTCTCTCTTTGCCTATTATGGGTGTATAGGAATGCTTGTGATATTTGCACATTGATTTTGTATCCTGAGACTTTGCTGAAGTTGCTTATCAGCTTAAGGAGTTTTGGGGCTGAGACTATGGGGTTTTCTAAATATACAATCATGTCATGTGCAAACAGAGACAATTTCACTTCCTCTCTTTCTATTTGAATACCTTTTATTTCTTTCTCTTGCCTGATCTCCCTGGCCAGAACTTCCAATACTATGTTGAACAGGAGTGGTGAGAGAGGGCATCCTTGTCTTGTGCCAGTTTTCAAAATGAATGCTTCCAGCTTTTGCCCATTCAGTATGATATTGGCTGTGATTTTGTCATAAATAGCTTTTATTATTTTGAGATATGTTCCATCAATACCTAGTTTATTGAGAGTTTTTAGCATGAAGGGGTGTTGAATTTTATTGAAGGCCTTTTCTGCATCTAGTGAGATAATCATGTGGTTTTTGTCATTGTTTCTGTTTATGTGAAGGATTGCATTTATTGATTTGTGTATATTGGACCAGCTTTGCATCCCAGGATGAAGCCGACTTGATCATAGTTGATAAGCTTTTTGATGTACTGCTGGATTCAGTTTGCCAGTATTTTACTGAGGATTTTTGCATCAATGTTCATCAAGGATATTTACCTGAAGTTTTCTTTTTTGTTGTGTCACTCTCAGGTTTTGGAATCAGGATGATGCTGGTCTCATAAAATGAGTTAGGGAGGAGTCCCACTTTTGCTACTCTTTGAAATAGTTTCAGAATGAATGCCAGCAGCTCCTCTTTGTACCTCTGGTAGAATTTGGCTGTGAATCCATCTGGTCCTGGACTTTTTTTGGTTGGTAGGCTGTTAATTACTGCCTCAATTTCAGAACTTGTTATTGATCTATTCAGGGATTTGACTTCTTCCTGATTTAGTATTGGGAGGGTTTATGTGTCCAGGAATTTATTCATTTCTTCTTGATTTTCTAGTTTATTTGCGTAGAGGTGTTTATAGTATTCTCTGGTGGTAGTTTGTATTTCTGTGGGGTCAGTTGTGATATTCCCTTTATTATTTTTTATTGTGTCTATTTGATTCTTCTCTCTTTTCTTCTTTATTAGTCTCAGTAGTGGTCTTTCTATTATGTTAAGCTTTTCAATAAACCAGCTCCTAGATTCATCGATTTTTTGAAGGGTTTTCCACGTCTCTATCTCCTTCAGTTCTGCTCTGGTCTTAGTTATTTCTTATCTTCTGCTAGCTTTTGAATTTGTTTGCTCTTGCTTCTCTAATTCTTTTAATTGTGATATTAGGGTGTTGATTTTAGATCTTTCCCACTTTCTGAGGTGGGCATTTAGTGCTATAAATTTCCCTCTAAACAGTGCTTTAGCTGTGTCCCATAGATTCTAGTACTTTGTGTCTTTGTTCTAATTAGCTTCAAGGAACTTATTTATTTCTGCCTTAACTTCGTTATATACTCAGTAGTCATTCAGGAGCAGGTTGCTCTGTTTGCATGTAGTTGTGCGGTTTGGGGTGAGTTCCTTAATCCTGAGTTCTAACTTGATTGCACTGTGGTCTGAGAGACTGTTTTGTATAATTTTTGTTATTTCGCATTTGCTGTGATGTGTTTTGCTTCCAATTATGTGGCCCATTTTAGAATGAGTGGTGTGGTACTGAGAAGAATCTGTATTCTGTTGAAATGGGGTGGAGAGTTGTGTAGATGTCTATTAGGTCCACTTGGTCCAGAGTTGAGTTCAAGTCCTGAATATCCTTGTTAATTTTCTGACTTGTTGTTCTGTGTAATATTGACAGTGGGGTGTTAAAGACTCCCACTATTATTGTGTGGGAGTCTAAGCCTCTTTGTAGGTTTCTAATAATTTGCTCTATGAATCTGGATGCTCCTGTATTGGGTGCATATATATTTAGGATAGTTAGCTCTTCTAGTTGCATTGAGCCCTTTACCATTATGTAATGCCCTTCTTTGTCTTTTTTGATCTTTGTTGGTTTAATGTCTGTTTTATCAGAGAGTAAGATTGCAATCCTTGCTTTTTTTTTTTTTTTTTTTGCTTTCCATTTGCTTGGTAAATATTCATCCATCCCTTTATTTTGAGCCTATGCATGTCTTTGCATGTGAGATGGATCTCCTGAATACAGCACACCGATGGGTCCCAGGCCCCTTGCACTTCCTTGGTGAGGCGATGCCCCACCCTGCTTCTGCTCATCCTCCGGGTGCTGCACCCACTGTCAAACCAGTCCCAATGACATGAGCTGGGTACCTCAGTTGGAAATGCAGAAATCACTCACCTTCTGCATTAGTCTCCCTGGGAGCTGCAGACCAGAGCTGTTCCTATTTGGCCATTTTACCTCGCTACTGAATCTAAGATTTTCTAGGTATAGAATCATATCTCAGTGAAGAGAGATAGCTTGACTTCCTCTTTTCATATTTGGATGCCCTTTATTTCTTTCTCTTGCCTCATTCTTCTGGCTAGGACTCCCAGTAGTATATTGAATAAGGGTGTTGAGAGTGGGCATCCTTGTCTTGTTTAGTTTTTAAGGGGAGTAGTTCAAGGTTTTGCTCATTCAATATGATGTTGGCTGTGGATTTGTCATAGACGGCTCTTATTACTTTTAGGTGTGTTCCTTTGAAGTCTAGTCTGTTGAGGATTTTTATTATGAAGGGATTTTGGATTTTATTGAAAGCTTTATCTGTGTCTATTGAGATGGTCCCATGGTTTTAGCTTTTAATTCTGTTTATATGGTGAATCACATTTATAGATTTGTATATGTTGAACCAACCCTGCATCCCAAAAATAAAGCTTACTTCATCATGCTGTATTAACTTTTTCATGTGCCGCTGGATTTGGTTTGCTGATACTTTGTTGAGGATTTTTGAACGTATGTTCATTAGAGATATTGGCCTGATGTTTACTTCTTTGTTGTTGTTTCTCTGCTAGATTTTGGTAGCAGACTGATGCTAGCTTCATAGAATGAGTTAGAGAGGAGCCCCTCCTCCTCGATGTTTTGGAATAGTTTCAGTAGGATTAGGATTAGTTCTACTTTGTACATCTGGTAGAATTTGGCTGTGCATCTGTCCGGTCCAGGCCTTATTTTGGTTGGTAGGTTCTTTATTACTGATTCAATTTCAGAAGTTGATACTGGTCTATTCGGGGTTTCGATCTTTTCCTAATTCAATTTTGGGAGATTGTATGCTTCCAGGAACTCATCTGTTTCCTCTACATTTTCTAATTTGTGTGCATAGAGTTGTTGATAGTCTCTGAGGATCTTTTGTATTTCTGTGGTATCAATTGTAGTGTCAGCTTTGTAGTTTATGTTTGTGCTTATTTTGAT
This sequence comes from Homo sapiens, assembly GCF_000001405.40. Classification (NCBI taxonomy): domain Eukaryota; kingdom Metazoa; phylum Chordata; class Mammalia; order Primates; family Hominidae; genus Homo; species Homo sapiens. The sequence continues at coordinate 86,814,913 of NC_000014.9, forward strand.
TTTCTCTAGCTAGTGGTCTATCAATCATATTTATTCTTTCAAAGAACCAACTATTGGTTTCATTGATCTTGCATATGAATTTTTGTATCTCAATTTTATTAAGTTCTCTATAATGTAATTATTTCATTTTTTTCTGCTAGCTTTGGTGTTGGTTTGTTTTTCTGTTCTTTCCTTTAGGTGCTAAGTTAGATTATTAATTTGAGATTTTTCCAACTTCTTGAAGAAGGCATGTAAGGCTATAAACTTTCCTCTTAACAATGCTTTGGCTGCATCCTAGAAATTTTGATAAGTTGTATTCCTACTGTAATTAATTTCAAAGAATTCTTTTTATTTCTGCCTTAATTTCAATGTTTACCCAGGAGTTATTCAGCAGTAAGTTGCTTAATTTCCATGTGTTTCTGTAGCTTTGAGAGATCTTAATATTGATTTACATATTTATTGAACTGTGGTATAAAAGTGTACTTGACATGATTTTTTAAAAATTTATTGAGACATACTTTATGACTGAGCATGTGGTCAATGGACACTTCTCAAAAGAAAACATACAAGTGGCCAAAAAACATGAAAAAATGCTTAACATCACTAATCATCAGAGAAAGGCAAATTAAAACCACAATGAGATACCATCTCACACCAGTCAGAATGACTGTTACTAAAAAGCAAAAACCAACAGATGCTGGCAAGGTTACAGGGAAAAAGGAACACTTGTGCACTGTTGTTGGGAATATAAATTAGTTCAGTCACTGTAGAACTAAGTCTGGAGATTTCTCAAAGAGCTTAAAACAGAGCTGCTATTCAACCCAGCAGTCCCATTACTGAGTATGTTACCAAAGATAAATAAATAATTCTACCAAAAAGACAAATGCACTAGTATGTTCATCACTGCGCTATTCACAATAGCAAAGACATGGAATCAACCCAGGCACATGTCAATGGTAGATTGGATAAAGAAAATGTACATATATACCATGGAATACTACACAGACATAAAAAAAGAATGAAGTCACGTCATTTACAGCAACATGGATGCAGTTGGAGGCCATAATCCTAAGCAAATTAACGAAGAAACAGAAAACCAAAGATCACATTTTCTCACAAGTGGAATCTAAACATTGGGCACACATGGACATAAATATGGGAACAGACTACTGGACTACTAGAGCGAGGAGGAAGGGAGGGAGTGGGATGTGTGTCGAAAAACTACCTGTCGGTACTATGCTTACTTCCTGGGTGACAAGATTCATGCCCCAAACTTCAGCATCACACAATATGCCCACATAACAAACCCGCACAAGTACCTTCTGTTTCTTAAAAAACAAAACAAAAAAAACCTTGAAATTGTTTTAAAAAATTAAAAACAGAATTTTAAATTAAATAATATTTCTAATTTATTAAAGATTTTCAAAATAAATGACCATCACAGTTTTCATCCATACCACATTTAGGCAAATTAAATATATTTTCAAAATAATACTTAAATGCATTCAAGAAACTCCAAGGAAGGGACTTTAAGAAATTACTGTTACATGACTGACAACATGATGAAAACTTAGAAGATAAATTTACAAATGGAAATTGCTGCTTAAAATAAGAGATGAAAAGTTTATTAGAGGAACTTTTCACACACACAAAACAAACTTATCGGTTCCATGCATGTTCAGCAGAAAAGATCAAATATAAAGAATCACCAGAATCTGATATTTGTAATGTCAACTCCTGCTAGATCGTTCTTTTTTTCTAATAACCTATTTAACAAATTAGAACGTTAAAAATGGTTTCTATTTTGTACCCATTTATCATCCTTCTTCAGGCCAGGCATTGCTCAGGCAAGAATGGTGAACACATTGACCTCTGCAAGACTCTGGGTTTTGGTCAAGTCCCCAGAGCATGCTGCAAAATGAGAAATGATGCCTCTTGACTTCAAGGTCATAGAGAAGAACAAAGTCCTCTAATAAAACAGTCGGAAATTATCTCCCTACTGTCACAAAGCAAAGTCTTAGATGTACTTTGAATTGTTTTTGAGTTTGGTGGGGAAAATGCTAGGCAGAGTAAAAGTAAGAGAAATGCAATAAAACATTTTTATATTGTATAATTATGAATATTTTTCTTGTCCATAAAGGAGGCACCAGAATAGTGCAGGTTGAACCATTAAATTTTGGACTGGGACAAAATATTCAGCAAAAAATTTTAATCTTTAATAGAGAGGACATTGTAAACAAGGACAAGAGTAGTTTTATCATTTTTGTATCTAATATTTTGAAATAGAAGTTTGGGGCACTACGAAACAAACTTTTATTAATTGAGGGATTGTAGAAATTTTCCTAATAAAATATGCCATCACGTTTTGTTGTAATCATCCCCAGCACACCACAAAATACCATCTGATATACCTATTTTTAATGTCTGAATCTTCTACTAGGCTTAAAGTTTCTTGAAGAGCTATCATCAAATCTTCTTATTCCTGGTTCTTGGCACAAGGCATATAGATCAAATAAAGCCTTTCTAAGTAAAATAAAATATAAATGAACAAAGCCACCTTTTGCTTCACTTCTCTTTACAAGAATCAACCATGGTTGCATCTACTTTCAATGGCTGTCTATTAAGCTACTGATTTGGAGTTGCAGTTTTCAGAAACTAGAAGCTCAGAGGAGGAGCCCTGCAAAGCACATCACAGAACTCCAAGGAACAGAAACACCTTTGCAGGTGTCACCTCTGAGGGAATACAGCAAGTTACTATTTTTGTGTGTGCTGGAAGAAACTAGAGGCTGAAGCCAATTGCGGGGGCTACCCTGACAAGCTCTTCTGGGGCCATATAGCTAGGAGCAGCAAGCAAGCTGGAAGAGGGAAGTTTTGTTTTTTCTTCATCTTCCTGCCTTCCACTTTCTCTAAAAACCCCTTTGGGCAGTGAAACCAAGAAGTCAGGTGGTAAAAATAAATCTATTTTGTAAAGTCATATTCCAAACATCACAAAGCAAAAAATAGAAGAGTAGATAAGAAGGAAAGAGACAATAACCTAATAGCCCATGAAGCTGTATATTAGACTTCAAACTCAATTACAAACTCCTTGAAACCAAAGACCTTCTCTAGTGTCTATCAAAATGAGCAGAAAATTAAAGGTGCTTGAAACTCTGTGCTGAATTGAAATAATCTATTCATTTTTAAATTAATTCTACAAATGTCTATGGAGAACAAATATTTATTACAGACTCACTGCAGGCTACTTCAGATAAAAATATGAATAAGATACCATCTCTCCTTTCAGATAATTTACAACCTAATGAGAAAAATAGATTGTAAACAAAAGCAATAAATAGCTTTTAGTAGTCAGTGTGATATTTGTACGATGGGGACCAAGATATTGGGAAAGGGAGAAAAATGATTCAGATTGAAAAGATGGATATTTATTCCACTTGGTTAGTAATAACCATCATTCCAGCTATTGCTCTAGGCTTTGGGGATGAAATGGTGACTGCAAGGGACAAAATCCCTGCCCTTAACTGAGCTTATGGACTGGTGAAGCGTATAGACAAGGAAGAACCTAGCCTCATCTGCTCTAATGTTGTATCATAAAGATATTGATCATAAGATGGGTTCAGCAGGCCAGTCCAACTACGTAGCCAATCATTAATGTCTTCCCGTTCTATGTGTATCATCGCTAAATTTCTGTGTATGCTCGAAAATGAGAGGAGCTCACTAGACACCATTCATGCTTTTGATCTAGCCTCAAACAGCATAAAGAGGCAATGACTCTGCAGTGACCCCAATGGGCAGCACAATTCAATCACTCCAAAGAATTATACCTTGCTATTTAACTGGTCTGTCAATGGTGTCACCATCTCCAGATCTGGCAAGAAAACCAAATATCTGCAAAATAGGCAGATAGCACAGTACTTTTAAAACTACAGAAACTCTACTGCTGGTATATGATGGGGGGAAGTGGACTTCAACTTGGGATCCTGATAGATCCCTGTCTGCATTGTGAATCACTCACTTACTCACCAGTATACTACAGCCTAATTATTTAAATTGTCCGTGCCCCTGTATCTCATCAGAAAAATGAGAATAATATAGGACCTATGTTATATAATTATTTGGGGGAATAAATAAATATCTTTACAGTCCCTAATACCTTATCTGGGCTTTCGTAAATTCAGACATGATAAGCCCATACCATTACACCCTTTACATTCTTCGGATTGGTTTAATGGTGAATTCCACTATCAGGTCAACTCTAAAAGTTGTGTAGACTAGATACCAATATCACAGTATAGCTGAAGAAAACAAACAATAAATTATTATTTTTTTTCCTTTTTTCAGTGGGGGATAAAATCTTATTATTATAAATCCATGGCAGAGCCTAGTCTACAAACTCGGCCTCTTGATTCCTAGTAGTATTAATTATAGATGTAAAAGGAAAAGGCACATGCATTTCAGAATAAATGTGCAAACAGAGAAACAAATAAATAAATGAGCCAATAAGTGAAGAAATACAATGATAAGCTGGTGTGTTTTTATTACAGCAATGCTCGATCATTTTGATTAATATTATGTGAAAGTACAAGACCTTAATAATAAGGCTAATTTCAATGAAAGGTGGCACACAATTGTTATTAACCACTTCGCGCCAACATGCAAACCCACTGTATTCAGAGCGTAGAACAGACTGTATGACTTTTTTTTTTTTTTTTTGAGACTGAGTCTTGCTCTGTCACCAGGCTGGAGTGCAGTGGCATGATCTCGGCTTACTGCAACCTCTGCCTCCCGGGTTTAAGCAATTCTCCTGCCTCAGTCTCCGAGTAGCTGGGAAAACAGGCCTGCACCACCACACCTGGCTAATTTTTGTACTTTTAGTAGAGACAGGGCTTCACCATGTTGGTCAGGGTGGTCTCGATCTCCTGACCTCGTGATCTTCCCGCCTTAGCCTCCAAAAGTGCTGTATGACTTTTTAGGGTTATCTCTAGAGAATAACACATATCCACACTCTCTCACCCCAAGTGAGAATCTTTCAATACTAAAGCAACCATTTTGCACATATTTTCAGAGAAACAAAACAATGACCAAATCAAAAATAGGCATGCTATCAGGGAAAGCTGGTCCTCCAGCTCAGGTTTCCTGCAATTATGAATAGAGAGACTTGAGCCTTCAGGGGTTACTTTGTTTAACTTTAAAAAAAAATGAATAAAAATGCAATAAACTCTAATAGAAAGCATGCTGTTCTTTTGTTTCCAGAAGGAATTACAAAATTATTCCTAACTCGATATGCCTCACTCCATGAAAAGGGAAATATGAATAAGGGAAGGAAGAAAGAAAATGACTACAGTTTTGTTTTAACTTTTCAGAGCAGCAAACAGTAACAAAGACATTTCCATTTGAAAAGAAAAACACATATTTCTCCCCATGGCTAAGGAAAACCACCTTATTAAACTTCATAGCCATGGAACACAGTTGGAAAAGTATTACTCAGTGGGAGCTTTTAACTTGCAACTAGTGGGTAACGAAATCTCCAGAGAATGAGTAGGTCCTATGATATCTTAAAAAGAGATGGAAAAGAGAAAAGCACAGTGAAAATCCAGTGGAGGTTGGTGGCCTCAGATTACAACAATTATAGGAACAAATGAGAAACATTTACTTACCTAGAAAGTTGCTGAGCTTTGTAAAGGAATCAAACCTGTTCTTCTGTGAGGCAACTCTTAATTTTTGAGAGGACCACTGACCAATGCTATCTGTTAAAGATGATGACAAATAGTGTCATGTAGGTATACTCTGAGATGTCACCATAATGCACCCTCCTAGTCTCTTTGACAGTGGCAGAAGCAACCTAGCTAAAAGAAGTACAAAAGAATGTTATAGCACACCATACTAGTGAGAAAATAGTATTTGTTCAGGATTTTAACACACGTATTCTGTTTTCTTTGAAGACTGTATCTAAGAAATTGTCTTGGTTTATGTGTTCTGCTATTTCTCCAAATACAGTGGGGTAAGGACTTCTCTGAGCTAAGTGTCTGATCACAGTACCCACTGAAAACTATGACACCTTTGGCCCTGTCAGGGTTCACTTTTTGATTTGGTCACTGTTTGGTTTCTCTGAGAATACGTGCAAATGGTTGCTTTCATATTGCAAAATGATTGCTTTAGTATTGAAAGATGCTCACTTTGTGTGTGTGAGTGTGGCTATGTGTTATTCTCTAGAGATAACCCTAACCCTCTGGACTTGGCAGATATGGCTAAGAATCTTCAGATGGGGAGCTTCTTCTGGATTAACTGGAGAGATCCAGTGGAATCACAAGCATCCTGATGAGAGAGAGGAAGTTAAATCAGAAATACAAATAGAAGGTGTGATGATGGAAGCAAAAGGCTGGATGATGAGAGGAAGAATCCAGAAGCCAAGGAATGAAGACAACCACTAGTAGCTGGAAAAGAGAAAGAAATGGATTCTCCCCTCAGAGCCTCCTGCAAGAACCAACCCTGCTGACACCTTGACTTTTGTCCCACGAAACCAATTTTAGACTTCTGACCTCTAGAAACTTAAGACAATAATTTTTTAAGCCACTAAATTTGTAGTAATTTGCTCCAGCACTGACAGGAAACAAAGACACTTCTTTTTCTTCATAGCCATTCCTAAAGCAGCCTCCAATAACAAACAACAAAGGAGGCTTATTTAAAAGCTCATGTTCTACATGCTTGAAAATATCAATTGTTTTAATGTGAACCGGGACTGTATTAGGCAATGCAGATGATCTGGACAGGGAAGTACCTTGATCTTCCATATCATTGATTTTTACATGTTGCTTCAACATGTATTCAATGAGATGAAACTAATTTCTCTGGTGAAATATCTCATAGCTTTTCTTCACCAATGACCCCTCATGCACAGTATGCAGCAATATATGTGTGCCTATGAGCAATATCAATTTCTTGAATGACTGAATGTGATCTTCTGAAATAGGAAGCTTATTTTTATTTAAGGCTCTTAAATCTAGATAATGAAATTGCCACTCACTCCAGTAGACAGCACTGTAATGTGTCTCATTTGGTTTCAGAATTTTAACTGGTTCTGACTGCCAACTGTAGGAAGCCACCAGCTGATTGACCTCAGGGTTGAGGGTATGCGTCTTTTCCATACAATTTATGTGGGAATGCCAAATTGTTTTTTAGTACAGATATATTTACCATGGAACTTAAAAAAATGATTTAAAAGATGGTATGTAATCAGTTATAGCAGAACCAATTTATGTTTTATCAGTTATAAGGAATTATATGTGAAAACCTAAGTTAGCTGTACTTATGTTTTTGATTTATGTCAGTGATATATTAGTGCCCCTTATGGACTAGTAGCAGTGAGATATCCAGCAACCTGCCCCAAGTCTGTCTCTGATCCCAAAATACTGCTAAATGTATTTTGCATTTAAATACATTAAATGAAATAAAGTTTAATTTTCCCATTTGAGCCAGAAAAGGAAGGCTTCATCAGGAAACACTTAGTGTTAATTATTTCACATAATCAAGAACTAAAATGACTTTCTTTTTAATTATTTAAAATTCTTTAATTTAAAATGTCCACTTTTATACCAGCCTTCTCCTGTTCTCCAGGTTATTTAAATCAATGAGACTTTGTAAAATTCATATTACATGGAAGTAAGAAAAATCTTTGTCTGAAGAGCTAAAAGACAAGGGTTCTTTGGTCACATAAGGCAAGATATAGAGGAAAATTTCAATGAGTGTCAATGCACATAAGTTCTAGTCTAAACTTTGCCATTAAATTTCATGAACTTTAGGTAAAGCCTTTATAACCAAGAAAATTATCCTTGAAGTCAAATGGACATGAATTCAATTCCAGGCTAACCTACTAAGTAAAATGAGTTATTTAATGTCTCTAAGTCTCAGGCTAACCTACTAAGTAAAATGAGTTATTTAATGTCTCTAAGCCTCAGATTTTAATTTGTAAGCTGAATGAAAGCAAAGATAATCATGAAAAGTGTTTATTCATACATCAAAACATTGAGCACTTACTCTGTTGTAAACACTGCGTTGGACTCTCCAATTAGAGGGGTGGCTATTCCTTGGTCTCTCGGGCTTATTGTAAGAATTAATGAAACAGTGCTTCTAAAGTCCTTGCACAGTACTCGCACCTAGTAGCTGCTTAATAAATAATAACTATTATGAGTAGTTGACCTGGCAGTGGTAAAATTAGGGCCATTTCTAAGAATTCCCCCTTTCCATTTTCAGTGTCTTTCTCAATGACATATTAAAATGTTATTCATTTTGCCTGATGAGTGACAAGACACTGATAATTATGAAAGCATTATAGAAATTTTTGAAATGTTATGTAAAGACTAGGTGTTAACCTTCACAAATGTTATAATTTGCTAGGTCCCAAGGAGAAAGAAAACTCAAACACACTCTCAATGCCCACATGTAACATCCAGTTAGACAGCCAGTAAACAAGGCTGATTTTCAATTTATACAGGGAATTGAATTTTACAGCATACAAGCTCTAACATGTTGTAAAAGGGGAAAGCTCACTCTCCCTTTAGAATCTGCCTCTTGCTGCATGAGAAAAGATTCTCTTAGCTTTCTAAAGGTACTGCTCCTGCTTTGGATTGGTGTCAAAAAAGGACCCTTGTACCTGGCTTTGTGCTGGGTACTATTCAGAGAAACTATACAGAATCTTTAACTTCCACCACGTTTCAGACTTAAATGGAAATGATTCCAACAAACCAGTGTAACTGAATATAGATAAAGTGTTCCTGCATGTGAACAAATGACTTGAATAATGAATATAATCCACTGGGGAAACCCTTGGTATTATAAAATTTGGTTGGATTTTAATTCCCTGTCTCTCAGGAATCCCCATCAGGGAAAGAATCCAAAGTCATAATCCTTTTTTGCCCCAGGACATAGGCAATGCTAGTGCAATTGTTGCTTGGAGTTTTAACTAAGGCAAGAAGGTGTTCTAGAGAGTCAGAATAAGTAGAGATTCTATATTCATAGCAACACATTTTCCGATGTTGGTTTCTTTCCTTTCTTTTAAAGTTCAATCACAATGTATATTGTTTTAGCCATTTCTCTTGTCACTGATCTCTGCTACATTATGAACTCAAATCTCCTACAGAAAATTTATTTCTTTCCTGTTTAATAAATCTTCCTACCCTATTCTAAACTATTAAATTTAAAATCTATTATTTTAGTGGGAGGTAAGGTCAAGAATGCTTTTAGGAAATTATTAAGGTCATTCGGGTATCACTTGATGTATTTTTATCCAGTTTCTAAATCTGTTTTTCTGATTTCACTCTCCCTTGGGGGGAAGGTTAATTTTATATAATAGCAACAAATAAGAATATTAAGAAGAAATATACTAAGAGAGTGGGCCTAGTTTTTTCCCTAAGCCTAACCGCATCGCCTTCTGCCTTATCTGACACTAATTTCCCTCTATCTAATCTTCTGTACTCTGTGTATTTTGCTCCTTTCCCAAGTATTTTCTGGCTTGCAACCATAATGGTGACACCCTAAGCTGTTCTACAAAACAGACTATATTTAAGGCTTGTAATATTTTGCCATCAATATTACTTTCTTTATAAAAGCATCCAGGGAAAGGAGAAGTGAAAAAATCCAATGCCTCTTACCATTTGTCTACTATAAAGTGACACTATAAAATAAACCTCACTCAAAATTTCTTGAGAAGATCTTGAAACTTTGATGATGATTTTTAAAATTTATTTAAGGAATTTTAAATCTCAATCATCTGAAAAGACCCAGTCTAAAAGCCATCTTCACTCGGTTCTTTAAGGTACTCTTCTCCTGATTTTCAGAAAGATGAAGGGGAGAGTCAGAAGAAATACTGGGCAAGAAAAAGAGTTTTGAAGGAGGAATACAATCATTCCCATGGAGTAAATGAGATTGTAATCATGTCATTGAACTGTAATAGATAGAACATCCTTCCAAATAAAAGTTAGCATATCACAAATGTGCACTAAATCATGCTAAGTCAATCATGCTAAGAAGAGGAAGAGTGTCCATACAGTAAGATATACCCAGTCATCATAATTAATGCCTGTGTCCTGTACTGGTGAAGGCAAGTTGTTTTCATGTTACAACAATTAGGGATAAGATCACTTCTGAAACCGAATTGTTACAAGCAGTTATGTAGCTCATAGAGATGTTGCACTTTGAAAAAGAGTTAAAACAGAATTTAAACAGCACACTACAGGAACTGCTGAACTACTTTAAAGAAAATAATAATAATAGTTACTGTTGTATCTTAAGTAGAGTGAATTTGCAAGAGCATTTAATAAAAACAAAAATGTATGATTTGGATTACAGTAGTTTTATTTTACTTCTTGTTGCTTAATTTCCCAACTAGAATCAGAGATACGAAAGTCAAACATAACATATTTAGCAAAAGACTAACCAAAACAAATGGATGCATAATTGGTAAATACATTTCAAAGAAAACACAAACTAAGGAAGTGATTTTGTCTTCTTTGGATCCTGGAGTTTTCAACCATCAGTTGAAAGATGGATGGTTTAAAATGGGAACCATAGAATGAGGTCAGAAATAGGAAATGTTTGTTGTCACCTATAATCTGCCACAAATTGTCTGATCTGTCTAGCTTTAGATAGAAATTTCATTCACTTAGTTGTATTTTTTTCAGTTATTGGGGAGGAAACCAGAAGAAATGAGATAAGAATGATTCAAGGATGCGTTTAGAAGAAATGCTGAAAGTGTAACAAGTGCAGTTTGGAGACAGGAATGAATTTGTGTTTTATTTTGATTATAATTAAAAAATCATCAGAAGACTTTAAACAAATATTTAAGATGATCTGATTTGTGTTTTAGAACTTTTGCTTTCCAGCTATAATATAGAGTGCAGAACACAGGACAGTTAGGATCTTCTGGAAAATGAGAGATCATGAGTCGTTTGCGCTAAGGTGGTAGCATCGAAGATGGTAAGAAGTGTTTGAACTCAGGTTACTCTTTGGAGGTGACAACGGGGCTTAAAAAGAGATTGCAAGTTGGTATTTGGTAAAAAATTAGGAATCGAGTATGACTCCATATCACTGTATGTGGTGCCATTTGCTGGAGTTAAAGGCTCTAGGGTAGAAGTGGGGGCAGAAGCAAGTGTCTTTGCCATATTAACAATTAGATTCTTGGTAGAAATCCAACTAGCAGTAGTGAGTACACTGTTAAATTTGAGTTTAGCAATGGGAGCAAGATGTCCAGGCTGCAGTTGGATATTTGAGGATCAGTAAAATGTAGGTGGTATTAAAGCCCTGAAATAGTGTGAAATGACCTGAGAGGAAGTATAAGATAGAGAAGAATTTAGAGAAGCCTAGCTCTGGGCCACTTAAAACCCAGCAAGATAGTATAAAAAGTTGACAAAGTATAAAGACATAGAAAAGTATCATGGAGATGAAAGTGGGCCAAGAGAAAAGGGAGGTCAGTGGTTTTTTATACTTTGTTTTCCTGTGGTTGGTATGAAGGCCTGTGTTTATATAAGAGGGGAAATTATCTGGTAGAGAAGGAAAAACTGATGGTGCAGGGAAGGCAAAATAAATTAAGTAATAAAGTCCTTCAGAAGTAGTGCGATAAAACACAAAGAGCCAAAAGAGGAATTGGTTTATTTGTTTGGTAAGAAGGAGAAGCAGAAGAAAGAGAAAGAGGAGGGAAAGGAGAAGAATGAAAAGGAGAAGCAATTACATATTTTCTTTCTGATTCAGTGTCAAATCATAAATAATTCTTTCTTGATTGAATATACTTTTAAGTATGTGAATAAGTGATGTGCAGAGAATGAGAAAAAGAAGAGACCTAAAGTCTCTAGAAACAGAAGTTTTGGATATTGGAAGAAGCCAGAGAAAGCATGAGATTGTTGTTTCTGTAAGTGTGAAAATGAATTCACAGAGAAGGTAATGGAATATTCCGTCAGTAGCAATAGCTCTGTTGAGTCATGATCCTAAATTTAAAGTGGAATGACACAGTATGGTTGTATGCTTTTTCTCCAGTAACACTCAGCTATCTGGATGCAGATGAAAAGTTAAGGAGAGAGTTGATTTTAGCTGGGACAGGATATTTGCCAGAAGAGAACAGAAATAGAGAGGCAGAGGAGGGAAGAGGCAGGAAGAGGAAGGCAGAAGAGGGCAGGAGAGGGCAGGGGGTGGGGGGCAGGGGAAGGGAGGGGAGGGGAGTAGAGGCAGTTAAAGTTATGGGCAAGGGAGTGGCTGTAATGTGGAAGCATGGAGCCTAGCCTGGAAAAATTAGAAAGTGAGTCCCTGGTAGGTTAATGGATAGACAAAGAGTATTTAAACCCATGAATTTAATGTGGTAAGACGGTTAGACAACAGAATATTTGAAATTGTGGTTTCTAAGGTGATTAATTTGTTTATGGTTCTGATATTTAAAACATAAATGTGTGAGTTTGTTCTAAGGTAGAAAGAAAAGAAGATATAACGTGCTGAGAAGACAGGGACATTTTCATAAATGTTTTAGTCACCAAGAATAATGACAGGAGGTGTAGTGTAGTAAATGAGAGTGAGCCAGGTGCCAGAGTCTTCAATGGACAGATTCCCATATACAAAAGGCATTTTGAGAGGTACGGTCTGATGATGTGTGTGTGTGATGGCTAATATCGAGTGTCAGCTTGATTGGATTGAAAGATGCAAAGTATTGCTATTGGCTGTGTCTGTGAGGGTGTTGGCAGAGGAGGTTAACATCTGAGTCAGTGGACTAGGAGACACAGAGCCACCCTCAATCTGGGTGGACACAATCTAATCAGCTGCCAATGCAGCCGTAATAAAAAGCAGGCAGAAGAACATGGAAGGAATAGACTGGCTGAGGCTTCTGGCCTCTATCTTTCTCCCATGCTGGATGCTTCCTGTCCTTGAACATCAGACTCCAGGCTCTTCAGCTTTGGGACTCTTGGACCTTCAACCACAGACTGAAGGCTGCACTGCCAGCTTCCCTACTTTTGAAGTTTTGGGACTTGGACTGGCTTCCTTGCTCCTCAGCTTGCAGACAACCTATTGTGGGACCTTGTCTTGTGATCATGTGAGCCAATACTCCTTAATAAACTCCCTTTTATATATACATCTATCCTATTAGTTCTGTCCCTCTAGAGAACCCTGACTAATACAGTGTGACAATGAATGTGCCAATTCTGAAGAAGAAAAATAAATAATAAGGAACTCAACTTTCACACCACCAGACCCTGAGATTCTTGGGAGTGAGGTAGAGACACTTTTTGTAACACAAGAGAAGCACAGGGTCACTTCCTCAGAGTCATCACATATTTTTATCAAATAACATTATATGGCTAATGATTTCTCTCCTTCATCAGACTTCTTTCTGAATCATTTAGGTCATGTCTTCAAAAAATATTGATACAGATGTGTATATTCAAAATAAGTGTACTCGCTGTCCAAAATTCCACGTGAAGCTAATCTAAATTAGTTTTAACATAAAATTTATTCAAATGAATGTAGACTGGCTTGGCAGAAGGTCGTGAACTTTAGAATCTTAAAAAACTGTGAGTGTATGTATTTTCATGCATTTTCTACCTACTTTTCCTTGTATAAATCACTAAATGCCTCTGAGTGTTGATCTGTCCACTTGAAAACTAGAAATTAATGGTATCTCTTTGCAGAACTTCTGTAAGGGTTAAAATTGTTTCTATCTAATAATTTGAATAATTTTATCACATATCAGGCTCTAAATAAGTAGTGATAATTATATTATTTTAAAAGGATATTACTTTATTATTTCATCATATATTATTACGTATGTATTAATTATTTTTATTTTGTTTATATTGTGTAATTTTTATTTATTTTATTTATTGTTAAAAAATAATGTTGCTTAGCAGATGTATCTATTTTGTGTGAAAAACTGTAACTTATTTTAATTTAAAAAATTAATTTTCATTGATTTTGAAACTAGAAGTTAAAACATATCACGAGGTATTTACTAAGTTTTCTTATATAAAAATAATAAACAATTTCCATAATATCTCAAATACAGAGATCTGATTTTATATTAAGAAAACAACATTCTTAAACTCATCACTTCTTAGATCCTAATAAAATATTCATTCCAAATTTCTAATAAAAAAATTGTTCTCATTTCTTCTTAAAAAGTAATAGCTATGCATGTAATATAAGATGATGAACTAAGTAAAATTATAAACAACCACTTTCCTTCAGAATGTAGGAGTCATGGGCAACCAAATAGCAATGGAAATCATTTCAAATCTCTATTAGATAGCATGGCAGCATAACAGATCACTCGAAAACTTAGCAGCTTAAAACAATAAACACATATCATACTCAGCCTCTGAGGGTCAGGAATCTGGGAGCAGCTTAGCTGAAAGATTCTGGCTTAGGGTCTTTCACCATGTTGCCAGCCAGGGTTATAGTTTTCTCGAGGCTCAACTGGAGGTAGAGGATCCACTTCCAAGCTCTCTCACTTAGTTCTTGGCAGGCCTCAATTCCTTACTGACTTTTGGACAGAGACCCCTACTCCTCACTATGTGTGCCTCTCTACAGGCTACATTAGTTATATGGTAGCTGGCTTCCTCCAGGCAAATGATGAGTCAAGGAAGGAGATAGAAGGGGATATAGAGAGGGAAAGGGAGAAGAGAGAGAGGGAGGGAGATGCCCAAGATGGAAGCCAAGGCTTTATAGCATAACATTATAAGTGGCATATGATCATATGATCACTTTTGCTATGTTCTATGTGGCACACAGACTAATTCTAGTACAATGTGGAACAGACTAAGTAAGAGTGTGAATACCCAGGGGTGGGGGCCATGAGGAGCCAACTTGGATGCTGGCCAACACAAAATGTAAACTAACAAAGCCGTTCTACACTTACTTTTGAAAAAATAGGAGAAAAATTAGGGAATTTTCATTCGCTTGTCTCACTTTTGCAATGGAAATGGATGGAACTTTCCATCTCAAAGCAAACCAAACCTAGATTTATGTAAGTTGGATAGTCTTGTTGGGCTATTTAATTTGTTCTTTCAGAGTTTAAAAATGACAGGAAGATGACCTTTAGTCAAATATTTAGAAAGGCTAAACTAGACTATGGCTTTTAAATTCAAGTTTCTCCCATTTAGTTGTGGATTTTGTCATGTAAAGGTAAATCAAAATGGCTCAAAAATGCCTCAATTTGCCTAATATTTGAATATTATTTCTATTCTCTTGTTCTCCAATAATACTTTCAGTTCTTCCTCTTATCTTCTTAAAATGATCCATCCTTTTGTACATACTGTAGCCACAGTCTTTGGTGATAACATGCAATGGTCATCAGCATTTCATAAATAATTCTTTTTAACTTCTAAAGTGTTTGAATTATCCTGAGAAGTTTAGATAGCAGCACAAAGAGGATTATAAGCTAGTGTTAGATGATAATAAACAAAGTTTTTTTAGAGCAGGAGTTCAGAGAGGTGAAATAAAACCACCAAATAACTTTATGAAATGAACAACTTTCACAAAGATTTAACTTCTCTTCTTACTTGCTATATTTAGAACCTGCTCAAATATACAGAATTTGGTATCTGAGCTACTATTAAAAATTAGGCTTTTTTTTGCCTCCTATATAAATACTCTTGAGAATGTACAATACATTCAACAAAATCCTATTTCATTTGATACTGAAACAAATGAAACTAATGATTGGCATTTATTTTGAACCCATTTATACCTGCAGTTGTGTATGTGTAGTTTTAAGAAAAAATATCTTAAGCTCACAAAATTGAAAATGGAAATGAGACCTTTGGAATGAAATCCCTCAACTCCTTATTTCTTTTGTCAGTTGAAAATTATAAATATTTAGAATATTACTATTTTTTGTGCTGTTTCAGTGGTAAGATATGAAAGCACTAACTGACACTTTAGCTGAAATGAAACTTTTTTTAAGCACAGAATGCAAAAGAACATTGCTTTTGTGTAAATATGTAAACTTACAAATTTATTTGTAAAAAGAAACATAAAACAATAACAAGTAAATTTTAACTTCAATGCTGGACTTCAAGATGGCTGACTAGAGGCATCTGGTACTTGGCCTTCTTCACAAAGAAGAATAAAAATATTGAGTAAATAATCACACTTTGAATAGATAATCTAAGAGAGAACACTGTGGTTCAACAGACAAGTAGCAGGAAATACCTAAGGCAAGGAAGGAGAGGGAAGTGAGGCAGGCTGCTTAACTGGATTAGCAGGGAGCCCAGAGAGGCTTCCAATGGGAGGAAGGATAAGAGACCCTCAGTGGTCCACATCTCCATGTGGACTTTTGCAGTCTTAACCATGGGAGAACCCCTCGACTCCTGTGGGCACTAAGACTAACATATGGAGCTGCCTGGAGACCTTGCAAAAGCATTGCTCCAGGGAGGGAGATCACACTGAGTCCCATACATCTTCCAGGTCTTAAGCAATTAATTACAGCACAGTTCTATTGTGAGAACTCAGGCTCCATTAGATTGCATCCTGCAGTGAAGTCCAACAGCCCCTGCATCTCAACATCCCTGGATTGACATCCTTAACCTGTAGCCACTGCTACTGCTGACTGCTCCCATCATGGTCAAAGTGCAAGGCACTGGCAGTGACCTCACTTCTTCCAGTAGCAGAGCCACTGCACATTTACAGATGCCCAGAGGACAGGCTATCCTGCCTATAGCTGCCACCAGGAGCCCAAGCCTACATTCCTTGGCTGCCTGCCTATGGTTGATGCCACTAAAAGCAACTCCATCCTCTCCAGCAACAGGAACATGGTACAACTGATGATGATCCCACCTGAGCATTCCACCACTGGTCTGGGGATCACCTCACCCATTTCTGCAATAGCCAGCACCTGCACACACCACCGAGGAGCCTGAGGACAGGACCTCCCAGCCCAGCTCTACCTCCCCAATACCTAAGTATACCATCTATGAGCCTGGGGACTGCACATTCCCACCTACCATTATTGCACTTGAGCACTCCTACAGGGGCTTGAGGTTGGATCCACCTGACCTGCTGCAACCAATACAGCTGGCACCCACCTACATGTACCACCTGCAGGCCTGTAAGCTCCCCACCCAGCCCATCACAGCCACCACCAACATCAGTGTGGACTGTTTGAGAACAGATTATCCCACCACTGCTATTGCCATTGCCCACACTACACATGCTGTCCAGGGGCCTAAGGCTTATTGCTCACCCACCCAGCCCATTGTTGCCACTGTCAGCATGTGAACAAGTCATCTAGAGGGCCAATAATTGACCCACATGGAACTGCTAACACTGGCACCAGTGTACATCACTGTGGGACCCAAGGACAAACATGTTCAGCCTTTTACTGCCACCATTGGGTCCAAGCACTGGTCAACCTGGCATCCCCATTCCCAGCAAAACTTCACCACAGCCTCCACTAACAACTAAACTCTAAGCCATAGAGAAAACCACAGACATCACTGATCCCATTTATATCTGAAAAACTTATACAGAGATTACACTACTGCATGAACACAGAATCAAAGCCTAGTGCCCTACCCAGCCAACACCACAGATGCATTTTCATGAAAAAGTCCTCCTCTATGAAAGCATATTGAAAAACTTGGAAGAAGTGACTGTTTTAGCAGATAAACAGATATCAACGTAAGGGCACAAGAAACATTAAAAAGTAAGAAAATAATGATACCTCCAAAGAACACAGTAATTCTTCAGCAACAGATTCCAATAAAAAAGAAATTTATTAAATTACAGAAAAATAATTCAATTAATATTAAAGTAGCTCAATGTGATACAAGGGATTACAGATACACAATACAATGAAATCAGAAAAGCAATTCAGAATATGAAGAAGAAATTTACCAAGGGCTAGATTATTAAAAAGAAGCAAATAGAAATTTTGGAAATAAACAATTCACTGAATAAAATAATAAACAACACATTTGAAAGCTTCAACGATGGACTAGATCGAGTAGATGAAAAAATTTAGAACTTGAAGACAGATGTTTAGTAATAACCCAGTGAAACAAATATATATTTTTAAAAAATGGACAAAGCCCATGTGACACATAAGATAACATGAAGTTACCAAATATTTGAATTTTCAGTATTCTAGAAGGCCAAGAGGAAATCAAAGTAATATAAAACCTATTTAATGACATTATACCTAAAAAAATCCTAAGTCTGGTAAGAGATTTAGTCAGCCAGCTACAGGAAGCTCAGAGACTTTGAAATAGAGACAATTCAACAATGTCTTTTCAAAGGAACAACAACAAAAATAAATAACAAAAATGTCTTCTCCAGAGCACATTATAGCCACACTATCAAAAGTCAAAGATAAAATAGCATTCTAAAAACAAGAGAAAGGCATCTAATCACTTGTAAGGGAGCTCCCATTATATTAACAGTGGATTTCTCAGCAGAAGCCTCACAGGATAGGAGAGAATAGGATAATATCTTCAAAATGCTGAAAGGAAAAAAAGAGACTGCCAGCCAAGGATAACATACCCAGCCCCCCAAAAAATATTATTTTTAAATGAAAGAGAAACAAAATCTTTCCCAGACAAGCAAAAGCTGAGAGAATTCATTACCACTATACTGGTGCTAGAAGAGATATTTAAAGGAATCCTAAACATGGAAACGAAAAGACAGTATCTACCATTATGAAAACATATGGAAGTATAAAACTCATTGGTACAGCAGATACACAAATGGCAGTTAGAAATAAATTAAACATTCCCAGTACAGAAACAAAGATATCAAACCACAATGATAAATAATGAAAAAAAGAACTAAAGATTAAAAAGAAATAAATTAAAATGACAGGAATAAGCCCTCACATATCAATAATAGCCTTGAGTGTAAATGCATTTCTGCTTGTAAGATATAGATGTTAAATAGATGTTTAAAAATCACCCAACTATATGCTGCTTTCAAGAAACTTGCCTGTAAAGATACATATAGACTGAAAGTAAAGGGCTGGAAAAAAAATTCCATGTAAATGGAAAACAAAAGCAAACAGGAGTAGCTATACCTATATCAGATAAAGCAGACTTTAAGTAAAAAACAGTAAAATTAGGGTTATTATATAATGATAAAAAGATCAATTCAGCAAGAGGATATAACAACTCTAAAAATTTATACAGTCAACACCAGGGCACCCAGATTAATAAAGTAAATATGTCTCCAAAAAAGAAAATCTCAAGACCGAATATCTTTATTGCTGAATTGTAACAAACTTACAAATTCTTCTCAAACTATTCCAAAAAATTAAAGAGAATGAAATTCTCCCTAACTTATTCTATGAGGCCAGCACTACAGTGATACCAAAACCAGGCAAGGATGCAACAAAATAGAAAACTACAAGCCAATATTCCTGATGAACATAGTTACAAAAATCCTGAACAAAATACCAGCAAACCAATGCAGCAGCACATCAGAAAGATAATACCCCATGATCAAGAGGGATTTATCCCACAGATTCAAAGATGATGTAACAAATACAAATCAATAAACATATCACATCAACAGAATAAAGAACAAAACACATATCATCATTTTAACAGACACAGAAAAAGCATTTGATAATATTCAACATACCCTTTGATGAAAACTCTCAACAAACTAAGCATAGAACAAACATACCTCAACATAATAAAGGCTATATATGACAAACTCACAGCTAACATCATACTGAGTGGGGAAAAGCTGAACTATCTTTTTCTCTAATGGCTCAAACAAGACAAAATGAAATTATCTTTTTTGGAAGATGACATAATCTTACATCTAAAAAAACCTAAAATCTCTATAACAAAAACCTCTTAGATAAATAAATTTAGTAGCTTTAAGATACAAAATCAATATACAAAAATCAGTAGCATTTCTATACACAAATAATGAACTAGTTAAGAAAAAAATCAAGAAAACACTGCCATTTACAATAGCTACAAAAAATACTGAAAAATACAAGGAAACCTATAAAACACTGATGAAAGAAACTAAAGAGGACACAAACAAATAGAAAGGCATTTGATGCTCATGGATAGGAAGAATAATATATTTAAAGTGATCATATTACACAAAGGACTCAACAGATTCAATGCAATCCCTTTCAAAACACCAATGTCATTTTTCACAGAAATAGGAAAAATCCTAAGATTTATATGGAACAAAGAAAATGCCCAAACAGCTAAATTAATCCTGAACAAAAAGAACAAAGCTAGAGACATGACACTGCCTGATGTCAAGATATATACAAGCTTATTGTAATTCAAACAGCATGGCATTGGTGTAAAAACGGTCAAAGACCAATGGAACAGAATAAAGAAACTAGAAATAAATTCATATATTTATACCCAACTTATTTTTCATATCAAGAACATATATTGTGGACAAGAAACCTTCTTAACTAAATGGTGTACAAAAATGTGAATATCCATATGCAGAAGAATGAAACTGGATGCCTGGCTCTCACCATATACAAAAATCAACTCAAGATGGATTAAAGACTTAAACATAATATCTGAAACTATAAAACTACTAGAATCAAAAATAGAGGGAAACATTTCAGGACATCGGTTTAGGAAAAGATTTTATGGCTAAGATAAGACATCAAAAGCACAGGCAAAAAGTAGACAAATTTTACTATATTAAACTAAAAAGTTTCTGGACAACGATGGAAATGATCAACAGAGTGAAGAGACAACCTGGTAAATCAGAGAAAGTATTTGTATACTCTTCATCTGGCTAGGGATGAATATCTGGAATATACAAAGGTCTCAAACAACTCATCAGTAAAAAATAAAAGTAAAAATAATCCCATTAAAAAGAGGTTAAAGGACATGATTAGATATTTCTCAAAAGAAGACATACAAATGACCAACAGGTATATGAAAATATGCTCAAAGTCATTAATCAGGAAAATCCAAACCAAAACCAAAATGAGGTATCATCTTACTTCATTTAAAGTGGCTATCATTAAAAACAGATAAAAAATAATAGATGCTGTCAGGGATCCAGAATAAAGGGAACTCTTATATACTGTTTATAGGAATGTAAATTAATACAGTCTTTAGGAAAACAGTATGAAGATTTCTCATAAAAATTAAAAATATAACTACCATATTATCCAGCAATCCCACTACTGGATATTTTTCCAAAAGAAAGGAAATCAGTATATCAAAGAGCTACCTGCATCCCCATGTGTATTGCAGCACTATTCACAATAGTAAACATATGGAATTAACCTCAGTGTCCATCAATGGATAAATGCATAAAAAATGGTATATATTCACAATGGAACATTATTTGGCCATAAAAAAGAATAAAATCATGTCATTTGCATCAACTTGGATAGAACTGGAGGTCATATGTTAAGTAAAATAAGGCACAGAAAAACAAATATCACATATTCCTACTCATATGTGGGAGCTAAAAATTTGATCTCATGGAGGCAGAGTGTAGAATGATAGATACAAGAGGCTAGGAAGGGTGTTTGGGTGGTGAGGAGAATTAAGATAGTTTGGTTAATGGGTACAGACATATAGCTTGAAAGAAGACATAAGTTCTAATGTTTGATGGCAGAGTAGGGTACCATACTTAACAACACTATTATATACATCCAAATGGCTAGAAGACTTGAAATTCTCCCAACATATAGAAATGATAAATACTCAGGGTGATGGATACCCTAAATTATCTGGCTTGATCCCTGATCATTACATATCCTATGCATGTAACAAAATAGCACATGTATCCCATAAATACGTACAAATATTGTTTATCAATTAAAAAAAGACTTTAATCCTCAGTGCCTAGGCATCTGGAAATCTATTCCATACAGACATTCTGGCTTGGGGCCATGTTGTCACGTCAACAGTGTTGCTTGAACAAAGAGTCTATAAAAAAGCCAGGCCTTCTCTCTCCAATATGGACCACACTAAACACATTAATTTATAAAAGAAAAATAAATGCTCTTTAGACTTCAGTACTTTATATCCTATTCATAACAAATTGTCATGCACATCACCGACAATTGGGACATGATATTTTGTCATAAACCTCAACTAAAGATCAGAATTCTGCAAGAGTAAGGGTCTTTTCCAAGCGAATATGGAACACAGGGACTGTGCAAGGTGGCTGCTTCTGCAGATCTCTCTTGGTATGCAGGGTTTTTTTTTTTTTTTGCCACAGTCGCTTGAAGTTTGCAAGAAGTGATCACCCACCAGTAGATAGGTCACTGTGGTTTTGAAGCCCTGATAAAGTATTGGTATTTGTTTAAAGAAAATCTTGTCTTTATAGGTCTACAATTTTATCTTGAGCAGACGCCTATGTAAAAATCTTTTAATGGTTATTATTTTTGAGAGGATTGGTGTCTCTGGAGAAAAAGTGTTCCTGCAATAAGAAATATCCAGATTTGCTAATCTATAACTTCTGGGTCTTTTTAAACTAAAAATGATGAAATGGCAGAGTGTCACTAAACATGGTAATTCAGAACTGATTAAAATAAAAATACACATGGTTGAAAATAAGGGCAATATTATTAGATAATACCATGATTATGGTGATATCATTGCATATGTTTATGGTTGAATACATAAATCTAATTATTCTGACTTCATCTTTTCTTGGCGTGTAATAATTTCTGTCAATTTATGGAAAATCTGGTAACTACATAAGAGGAAAGCAATGGCTGAGAACACTGAAAGAAAGAAGCAATGTTAGGCAGCAATGCTTAGATCCTTGAAGTTAAACCCTGTAACTATTTACTTTGCACAATTATGGCAACTCCTGTGATCTCACCAGTGTATCCCAGAGTGAGTCAGTAAGGTTCACACCAACAGTTATTGATGAACTGATTGTTAGCCCATGGCTAACAGAGGGAGAGGCTATTCAAGGCATAGCTCTAAAAATAGCAGTCCTTTACTAAGCACCTACCGTATCCAAGCTATAGTGTCTTATGTTTGGGACATTGGGGTAGAGGTATGATAGGACTTATTTCCAGTGCTCAAAGAAAACCTTTCTAGTACATTACTAGGGGAGAAATGGAGGTGTACACAAATAAACTCAAATAATAAAAAGGGAAAATTTTGCTAGAGGACAGATGTGGGAAAGGCCACCTCTCAGGCTGGAATTATCAATCCTAGTATGAATATGGACACATTCTAAAGCCCCTTTCCAAAGTCTCAGTAAAAATTAGAGTCCTGGCTACCATTGAATTTTTATAACAGTATGAAACAATCCTACATAAAGCAATGTCCAGAGGATCTGGACATAGAAATACTGTCTCCAGCTAGGCAGCTCCTCATAGTGGGTGTATTTACTTGGTCTGGCCAACTGAGATGCAAACATTAAAGCTATTCATTTGGTTTGTTTGTCCGAGGTCTAAAAAATTATTAATTTAATTTGTTAACCCCAGGTCAAGAAATGCTATTTCACCAAACAAGAAATGGTCTCCTTAGTGGAAAAATTCATTTAAAATTAAAATATATTAATAAGTCATAGCTGCAAGCTAAGGGATTGAAACTTCAGCCAATCAAAGGGGACTTTCCCCTAATTCAAAATGAGTCACAGCTGCAAGCTAAAGATTGAAACTTCAACCAGTCATATAGGGAGTTTAAGCTTTAGCTGCCGCCTGATGTTTTTAACCAATCAGGCTCGCCAACCCACAAGTGGATAGAAAATAAGCTAATCCTATAGGACAGAAAAAGGAAAAGAGGAGGAGTCATAAGGGGATATAAGCACAAGACACCCAAGCCAGAAATGGCAACCCTTGCTGGTCCCCTTCCACCACATAGAAGCTTAGTTTCACTTTTGCTTTCACTTTAATAAATCTTGCCGCTGCACAAAAATAAATAAAGAAAATATATTTAAATATATGTAAATATATAAGTATAAAAAAGATCTTAGTTGAAAATTTATTTAAAATTAAAATATACATATAAATATATGTATACATATAAATATGTAAGGATGTATATGAATACATATAAATATATGTAAGTATATAGGATATATATTTAAATTCTTTTTATATATAAAAGGAAAATTAAATGCGTATAATGTACATACAGATTTGACTTTACACAGATCTCTTTGATGTACTTTATGTTTTCAGGCATGCCACTTCACCTCTTAATCTCATTGTATTTATCACTAACATGGACTGTTATGAGGATTTATAGAATATTTTTGAAGCACCTATCACAGTGCATTGCATATAGTAAGTACCCTGTATTTGATGCTCAAAATGAAAATAGAATGTTAAGTTTGTGTTTCATCTCAAATTTAATACATATACTAATGCAGTCACTCATCAATATTCAGTGAGTGCTTCTTATTGCTAAACACTCTTTTGGGTATTAAGGATTCAGAAATGATAAACTGACACAGTTCTTAAGGGATTTACATAGTAGCTGGGGAAAGCATAACAGTAACAAATAAACAAGATCATGAAATAGAAAAATGCAACAATTTTATATGGCTGGGCATGACACAAATATTAAGCAAATCAGGTATATACTAAGTTATAATTATTGTAGAAGTCTAGTATCAATAGGAAATTCTCCTTTATTAGAATACTTAAAACACTTAAAGTATTGTACATTAGGTTGATATGTCACTGGCCAAAATTTTCTTCTTCTCCTTTTACGGTTCTTGTTCTTCTTCTCTACTTGCATGTTCCAATTTCATATTACATCACATTTCTCATGTCCTGTTGTCAGAGCTAGGAAGCTAATTATCTTGGTCTCTATTTGTTTGAAGTTTAGATTGTAATCCCAACTACTCTGAAGGCTGGGGTAGGAGGATTGCTTGAGCCCAGGAGTTCAAGATCAGCCTGGAAAACATAGTAAGACTATGTTTCAAAAAACTGTGTAAAAAAAATTTAAAAACATAAATAAGTAAATCAATAGATAAATTTTTGCCTATATTATATAGATTCAAATACTGGTCTCCCATCAGTCTATCTCTTTATGTCGCCAATTACTTTTGTTAAAATCTGTGTAATGTTGTACATCCTGTCTGGCAAAAGCTTTTTTTAAAACATCTTTGGAAAATATTGTAAGGGGGACTTCATACGTATCATTGTATTTACAAAGGAAAATGACATGCATATTCTAGTTGGGTGTTAGTCAGTATTAATCAACGATAGTTCAAAAGGTTTTTATTCTCTTTGTTGTTTCAAATCTCATCCCAAACAACTTCCAAAGCCAGCTTCTATGGCTGAATTTTAAAACTATGATCTGACAAGAAAATGTTACCTGGATGGACATTTTTCTATTTAAAATCACATTTTCATGAAATGTTAATATGAATGCTTTTCTCTGTTACCTTGATTAATATCTAAGTTCTGGTTCCACATGTCAGAACATGACGTAAATCCATGGCACAGACATAGGAATACTTATTAATGTACACCGATAACTTTTTTGAGATAATGTGTTGTTAAAATTGCCACCATTAAGATGTATCAGAAGGAGATGAAGTGTAGCTCAGTGAATTTTGTGGTGTTTCTCCTTTTGCAAATAATAATCACACATAAGCAGAATTTAGAAATGTGATTGTGAAGTCAGTTCTACTTGCATAGCCTCCTAGTCAATCTCCCTGCCTGCAATTTTGCTAACCACTAATAAGACCTCCATAGTAAGCCATTATCTTTCTTTTAAATAATGTATTTATTCAACAATTGCAAATATTAAAGGAAGTTTCACATTGAAACAGATTGAAATTCTTAATACCTTTGAAGAGTAGCACTCCAAGTTAAGAAAAAGTCACAAAACTGGCTTTGTTATTAATTCACAATGATCAATTCACAATGTGATCAATGCAGTGATCAATTCAAGTGATCTATAGTATGCAGTTTGTTTAACAGTGCAGTTATTTGGGTTCTATGTTTCTATGCTTTTTAAATTTTTATTTTTATTTTATTTATTTATTTATTTATTTAATTTTGAGATAGAGTCTCACTCTGTCCCCCAGGCTGGAATGCAGTGATGCAATCTCGGCTCACTGCAAACTCCACCTCCCGAGTTCAAGTGATTCTTGTGCCTCAGCCTCCCGAGTAGCTGGGATTACAGGTGCATGCCACCATGCCCAGCTAATTTTTGTATTTTTAATGGAGATGGGGTTTCACCATGTTGGCCAGGCTGGTTTCAACTCCTGACCTCAAGTGATCGGCCCGCCTCAGCCTCCCAAAGTGCTGAGATTACACACATGAGCCACCACACCTGGCCCTATATTTCCACACTTGAAGAGTAAAATAACACATACATAAAAAAGAAAGATGTTCACTGAATTCATGGTTGATGGCTAGAACATATTACAGAAATGTTGAAATAGAGGGGGAGTGACAAGGCTAGGCAACTGAAAGAAAGCTAAATGGCCTATCAAAGACACTGGCTAAGCAGTAGATTCATAATCTTGTTCACTCACATGCCAAGTTTCTTCCGCCCCAGAAGAATAGTTATTTATACAGGTCACCAGGTGTTGTATAAGATTTGTTGCTTGGTGAGTTGACAAAATTGGAAAATTGGTCGCAGTATGTTTCAATCACAGATTTCTTTTGCTTGTTTGATCAGCATTAATGCCAGTGAATTCTCTGTAGCCTCAATTATTACCACGTTGCTTTCTTCATCTAAAAAAAAAAAAGGGAATTGAACAATGAGAACACTTGGACACAGGAAAGGCAACATCACACACCAGGGCCTGTCGTGGGGTGGGGGGAATGGGGAGGGATAGCATTAGGAGATATACCTAATGTAAATGACGAGTTAATGGGTATAGCACACCAACATGGCACATGTATACACATGTAACAAACCTGCACATTGTGCACATGTACCCTAGAACTTAAAGTATAATAAAAAAAAATATATATAAAATACTTAAAAAAAAGTCGCCTTGGAAGCCTGGAAATTATTTATTTTCCCTCCACCCTTCTCACATTTTTTAAAAAATTAATTTAGATTTTTTTGATCCTATTTCAATACTCTTTAAGCAGCTCCTCAAAAGAAGCCCAGATGACATAAAACGGACATTCAAGAATCTCTGATTTCCAGTTTCATGAAAATATTATTTTCTCAGGTATGCACAAATTCTTGCCATTTCCTGAGTTTTGCTACATTCTGTTATCTTCCTGGCTCTCCTCTTCTTGATATATCCTTCCAGATCTAGCTCCATGTTATCCTCTAGGTGAAGCACTTCATGAGAGGTCACTGGGTTTTCCGTACTCCCAGAGTTCATGTCAGTATCAGACAATGTTTGAGTCAGCTGGAGTCATTTGCTTACCAATCCATCTTCCCCACTGCATTGTGAGCTGCTAAAGCACAACAAGGTTATCTTCTGCTTTAGTTTCTCTATGCTTCGTGTAGTGCCTGGTGTTTCCCTGTCTGAAACTCTCTCCTTAACACCCTCTTTAAGAAATTCCTATCGTCTTAGAACTAGGTAAGTCTTCTTAGGTGTGTGGCTCTGGTGATCTCTCCGTATCACACACGCACATGTTCATGCACTCTCCTTCTCTCTCTCTCTCTCACACACACACACAAATACACACATAAAGTGACAGAAAGTTGATGTACATGAAAAGGAAAATATTCAGAATCTTGGAGGGAAAATAGCCATCAGCCTTTGTTTCTGTGGACGTTAGAATAAAACTCAATCATGTATTTGTTAAAGATGTAATTCTGGGCTATAAATCAGCGAAAAGGTTTTTCAAATGTGTCTTTTCAAAACAAAGTTTCATGAGAATGTCACAATGGGCTTTGGTGTTTATAATGACTACCCCAAAGTGTTTAGTTGCTGCAAGTTTAGTGGCAACGTACTGTATCTCGCCATTAATAAACATATTACATTTGAAACTTTTGGCAGAATATGGTTCAGCAATAATAATAATTTGTACTCATAGCTCAAAACTAATAACTCAAAGCACTTCACAATGTGCTTTTTAATTTCTGCTCATTCCCATATGCTACTTATTTCATCTTCATCCTGCAAGGTATGTGAGTATATTACTTTCATTTAAATAATAAAAATAAATGAAATATTTAATATGAAAATAAAACTAAATAGTCTTTTATAACTGTCTAGAGTAACTGGAGAGCTGGTATTAGGGGCAGGAAATATTATAAGGAATATTTGTATTTTCTCTAAGCTCTAGGATCAAGTAAGGGTGATGGCAAAAGGGTTCTTACAGATTAAATGCTAATTTGAGTAATTGGATTTACCTGGGGTCTTATTTCTGAGAACAATTGAAGAGTCTTGTTTATAGAGGAGAGGGGCAGAAACAAATGCTATAGAAACTGGTCAGTTGATCTTCCCTATGGAGTTATAAGACCTATCATTAAATCTTAGTGTTCTGTCTGGGAATCTCTGTTTGTCTTTCCTACCTCTGTACCTGGGTTCTGAATGTACCTTGAGAAAATAAACCAGGGGTTTTCACTGTGTTTACCTTGTTTGGTTTTCTTCTCAGAATCACAGTCCTGCATCAACTGTTGACTTAGATCTGAAAGACAGTTGTTTCAAATACTTTTGTCTAATTTTCTAGTTGTTTTAGAGTGGGAGGGTAAGGATCGTTCCTGCTACTCCCTGGCTATAAGTGAAAATCATCTCTTTTAATCAATATGTGTATTCAGATGTTCTTTTTTCTCATCTTAGGTCCGGAAAATGATGTTTTGTAAGAATTATTTTTCATCCAAATTGTAAAATTTATTTGTGTACCGTTTTTTCGTAATAAACCCTCATCTTCTTAATGTCTGCAGGATCTGTTTTAATTTCCCCTTTTTCAATCTTGATATTTATAATTTGTACTTTCTTTCTTTGATCAGTAGAGTTAGAGCTCAATCAATTTTGGTTCTGTTATTTCAATGCATTGTATTTTCTTTTGTTTTTCAGAAATCTATGCTGTAGCTAAACTCAAAGTCAGCAATGAGGGGAGGGAGAAGAGGAACCTGAGCCAATGTTTTTGAAATGCTAATTCAGTCCCTCACACTAAGTTGCCTCTTATTCTTATGTCCTCCTTCCAGAAAATTGTTCATCACCTCCATTGACTCATATAAGTGTATCTCTTGACTACAGGATGGGCACTGCTCCATTTTTTCATTTTTGTCACTGACATTTTGGGATTACAGAGGAAGAGTACACATAAACTTGGTAGAGGTGAGAACTGAGTGAAGGCTGAGTATTGTATGCTGTTGTTCAAATCCTTCCATGAAGGAAAGCTTTCTTGGGAATAAGCACCACTCTCCGATCAACTTTGGGCTCTCTTCATTCCTGTCTACTTCCCACTCTTCAATCCCAAATTTCCAGTCACATTCTGATGCAAGACCATCTAGTTCTCTTTTTGCCTTGTCCTTTACAGGCTGTGACTACAAGACCAGAACTTTCTCAACCAAAACATTCCATCAAGCCTCATTAAGAATTTTCTCAGAATGAGGACAATCTGCCTCAGAAATATGTACTACAATTACAGAGTCAAATTTTTTTTTCCAAAATAGTATTTTGTATTTTATTCTATACGGGTGAGCACTTACTCTCTTATGCTTAAAATTGTTCAATATCTTATTCTCACACACATAGATGCACACATAAATAGAACCATACACACACAATACATGCAATCAATTTATAGAGTATGCATCACTATATTGACATACATATACCTATGTTAATATTTGTCAATGTAATTAATTTGGAAGGGTGTAAATATAATTTTAACAGGAATTTCTTTAGCAGAATGGAAGTGTGGGACATGATGAGGGGAAATATACATATAATTTTTTTCTTTAATTATTTTTTACTGACTTTATAATACCTTTTTATGTAAAACAAAGATATTTAAAATTTCGTGCTTGTCTGGTGTTCCATTTTATTTTAGATAGCTTCCAAGTTGAAAAACATACTAAGATACGTGAAAGATAATGGAAATTTTGTTTAAAGCACCATCCCACAATAAATATTTCAGTTTCTTAGAGACCAGCCATGAATTTTTGCCCAGTAATAAGCCTATAATATTGGAATTTTAGGAAACATGGCAAAATATTTTAGAGTGGGAGATTATTATGTGGTATCCCACGAGTCATATATGCGCATACCTAAAAGTGAGATACATCGTTGAGCTATGTTACTCTTCCTTCCAGGAAGTTTATTGGAATCCTGCCGTGTAATACAGATTTCAGCAAAGCTTCTCTAGGTGAAGAGTCTGAAGCCCTATGGACCATGAGGCTCTCATATTATAATATTGAGAAGGATGGAAAAAGAGCCTGAGCTTTGAATTCAGAAAATGCTGGGTTCGACTTGCAGCTTACCACTTCCTGATAATGTAACCTTCCATATTCTGTTATGTTACTCTAAGCATCCTCCATCCTCATCTGTGAAGGTGGATGACCACCTTCTCAGACGGTGTAGAGAGTGCATCAGGTGAGGTGAAATACAGAGCACTCAGCCCTGTGCTCTGCGGAGGTGCCCTAAATGGGACCCTCTCCATGCCTTCCCTTTACTTCTGATCACCTGCCTGGAGTTATATTCCTAACTTTCCTAACTTTCTATTTCTAGGGATCACTACCATTACTTAGTCCTTTCCACAGGAGGGCCCAAGAAAGCTAATGGATTTTGTCATCTAAAAGGATTTGCAGGGAAAGCGAAAATCCTTGAGGCACCTGGAAGTAGACAGATGATTTTCCTACCTTCATTTCGTCTTCTCCCAAACTTTTGTCTATGCCTTTCCAGAAGGAATAATTTTCAAATTATGATTCTTCTTCATCTATTGTGGTTGCCCATTTGGCATTGTAGCTTTCTCATTTTATTCTTCTCTGTTCTTTCATACAAGCAGGATGGGATGGGCGTGGTCTCTTATTATTTTTTGCTTCATTGAAATTATAATCACTTAATTGTATTCTCTTTCCTACTGATATGTATAATTTTTGTTTCTTTTTTCTATCATGAGAGAACATACTGATAGTTTAGGTTGCTATTTACTCTAGTCCTGAGGTTCTTTTCCATACCTGTTTTGATACTTGTCTGCAGAAGGCATAGTTTATTTTGCCATTTTCTTAGAAGAATACACAGCCCTTGAATCCACTGGGCTCTCAGTCTATCTCAGGAGACCATGTCTGCAAATGGTCCTATTTGTTTGTGGAAAGTTCAGAAATTATCTATCTTTTTTCTCCTCAAGATAAATATAAGCTAGTATAAATTCATTTTAATCTGATCAGTTATTGGGTTGACAGTCTACATTTGGATATCTGTATTTAGCAATCAAATTGCCTGAATCTTAATAAGCTTGGTCAAATTTATGGATTAAGGCCACAAGTAAATAATTATTATATAAGCAATTTCATGTGTTACCATAGTAATGGAAATGAAAGAAGCTTGCTTATGTTTAGCATGGAAGCTTAAAATAAAATACAGTCTTTAAAGTGTCTATGCTTAGGAAATGGCCAATAACATCTCATTTTCTCTCCAGAGTCTTTAGATTCAAATTATCACGACATTATTTGTATTGAGCAGCTTTTTCTACGTTCCAAATAACTTGAATATTAGGAAACAAAAATCTATCAATAATAATAAAAAATCTTCACATATCATGCATCTTTCAGTGTATCCTATCCTATGCTGAAAACTAGGAAAGAGGAGTGTAAGACATGTTGCCTAAGATCGCGAAGATGGTTGCCTAACTGGTGAGACATCTATCTATAGAATTATATGGATTTACACATATGCTTACAAAACAAAACTCCACATTTCATAGAATGGAACTCTAATTAGTGTGATGTAAATAAGTGAGCTGCAAAGAAAGGAGGATTTAAGTATTATAGAATAGTTTAGAAATTCTTAGATGAAAATGTCAGGAGTTTAGCTAAAGCATTGTGGGAATTTAATTAATTGAAGACACATTGTAAAGACTCAGTTATGGTCTGTACATGTACCTAGGTGACTTAAGAGATGCAAAGATGAATAAAACAGGATTTGTGTGTTTTGGAAACTTCATAATTTTGTGGCATGTGTAGATGCATAGCTAAGCCTAGAAGAGATAATGTGATGGGCACCACAATAGCAAGTGAACTAGGAGGCTAGTGAAGTAAAATATTTAATTCCCATAAGAAGATTTTTAAAATTTGTTGGGGAACATGTAGTTGAGCTAGCTCTTGAGGCATGGGTAGAAATTCTACGGGAAGAATTGATGAAAATGCCCTGGAGGGTAATATGGAGGAGAATCTGCCTGTATTTATTGTACACATAATCATAATTAATAATAGAAACTCTATTCCATGCCTTTTGCCCTTATACTGTGTAATCCTTTTCCACTCTGATTCTGGCCTCAGCAAATTACTTTCTTATGCCCATGAGGTGTTAGTGAATGGAGTATTAGCAATGTAAAGCAGTCAGCAACTCAAGAGGTCAATCTCCGCGGCAATCTTCAACAGTTGTGCTTGCTCTCTGTTCCCTAGGATAGCCTGAAAGAGGATAAAAATCGTTTGGGAGACAGATGAGTCACCCCTGCCAAGGCCATCTTAGGACCATTAAGAGACAGATGATTCCCTAGATATGTATGTGAGTGCAGCTATGGCCAGAGATCAGAAGAACTGCACATTTAAGTTCAGCACAAATCACTAAACTTGCAGATTAGACATCAATTGTACTTGGTTGTTATTTTAAGCCACAAAATTTTGGAAATCATTTGTTATGCAACATCATTATTGCAGTAGTCACTGATAGAGTAGAAGGATGGTTACCAGAGGCTGGTAAGGGTAGTGGGGGGTTGGATGAGGTGAGGATGGTTAATGGATACAAAAAATTAGAAAGAATGAATAAGACCTGCTATTTGATACCACAACATAGTGGCTCTAGTCAAAAATAAGTTAATTGTACATTTTAAAATAACTAGAAGAGTATAATTGGATTGTTTATAACACAAGGAATAAGTGCTCGAGGGGATAGATACCCCATTCTCCATGATGTGATTACCATGCATTACATGCCTGTATAAAAACATCTCATGTACCCCACGAATATGTAAACCTACTATATACCCACTAAAATTAAAAATTAAAAAAAATTACAAATCACTGATACAGATATTATTCCAGGTAAAATGAGATGAGAAATGTGTTTGTGGTCTGTCTGAAGACATTCAAAATGAAATTTAAATAATAGCTATTGACTAATTTAGGTGGATTCTATGTTAGGTACTTTTTTCAGTTGCTTAAATGCCATCATAATTCCTATTTTGTTCACACGGAAACTGAGGCACAGACACCACCCCATTTGTTAAATATGTCCCTAAGTTCATATAGCTGCTACGTGGTAGTTATAGGTGAGAACAATGCAAGAAAATACAGCTTGTACAGTATGAAATCTGAACATAGATCTATGACTCACATTAAATTTGAGAGTCGGCGATGTTGTCCAGATCACAGGTTTAATCTAGCAGTGTAAGAAAGGTCAAGACTATATATGAAATTGGTAAAGAGTAATATAAAAGAAGGTCAAAGAAAAGGCATAGTACGCATCAGAAATTGAGGGGCAGACAGAAGTGAAGTAAATGATAATGGAAAAAATATGTTCGGAGAGGAGAGAAGGAATCTAGAAAAGAGTGATGAAGGAGGAAAGAATTGGAAAAGCAAGAACTCAGCAATAGTGTTTCCTATTCCAGAGAAGCTAGAATAACTTACTGGCAGGTTAGCTTCTATTCATTTCCACAGTTCCTACAGAGTACTGGAGGCCAAGCTGCAGTGGATTCAGAAGAGGATGGGAATTCAAAAAGTTAAAGGAACAGTTGTGGCCTCATTTTTCCTACCTCAGAAGGAAAAGTAAAACTAGAAAGAAGAGTAAAGCTCTTATTACTAAGAAGAAATTGGAGGAAAGGAATTATAGAAAAAATCTGAAAGAACAATAGTTAATGGGATTAGATCAGTTCAAAGATGAGGAGGGATGTGATCAAGAACTAAAATGGAGTAAGTGAGTAACAACTTCTTCCACTGAGAAAAGTGACAGTTGGAGAGAATAGACATATGTGTCATTAAATATGTATATCAGTAGTTTGGAATGTAAAGGTTTTCATGAGTGGTGCCTAGATTTTTCTCAGTGAAGCAGAAGATTAGTTTCTCTGCTGAAAATGAAAGCCATAGAGGGTAGCTAAAGTGACTTAGGAAGGTGGATACGATAAAGGAGTTTACATATGTTAAGGAAAATAATTGATCAGTGATATTAAATTCCCAGTTGAGTTCAGATACTATTAATTAAGTGCACAATTATGTAGTTCCCAGACATCAGATGCCGAAATAAAGGATTTAGGAGTGGTTGAGAAAGAATATGGAAGGGGAAAGGAATGACACAGTGGAAGTTGCAAATGAGAGCAGCAAAGTAGTCTATCTTGGGTCCAGACTCAGTGAGGAAAGGACCTGAAGATAGGGAGAAATCAATAAGAAACATACACCCCTAACCGCTACCACTAGGCTCAGGCCACATCAGATATATCTGTGTTCCTTGAAAACAACAAGTATGTTCTCATTTGAGGTCTTTGTTCCATTCATTTCCTCTGCATGGAACAGCCTTCCCAATATCTTTACTTGCTGATTCTTTCTCACTATTCAGATTTTAGCTTAAATGTCACCTGCTCATGAAACTACCTCTGTGCACCTTATCTCAGTTGCCACCCCTACAAGCCCAAGGTCATCTCTCTTGCATTATTTTCCCAGCTACCTGTGTCTATCACCTGTCCTACTTACTAAAATAAAACCTATGTCAGGGCATTAACTTGGTGTCATTCACCACCACCTTCTTACTCTTAACATGGTGTCTGGCACCTTGGAAAGATTCAGAGAATACTTGCTGTTGGATCAGTGCTAAGTTCAGAGAATGTAATATAGGAGATTTAATAGGCAAACCAGTCCTGAATAAAGAAAAGTTGTAGAATTTGGCCACAGGAGCCGTTGCTAAAGTAGAGAGTAAGTGAGGGCTATTGTCATTGAGGAAGCCAAGGGTGAAAGTCTAGAGAATTTGATCCAATGACCAAAAGATTATTTAAATCAACAAGATTTAGAATGCTGAGGAAGATGGTAAACCATGACTTTGATTCTGCAGCAAGTACAATGAGTTTCTAAGGAAGCTGAGAAATCTTAGGAAAGCTGCAAGTGTCACCACCATCTCCTAGACTATGAGATACAGAAAAATGATCAAGCAACATTTGGAGCCTTACACGAAAGTGTGGACCACAGAGAGAGTGAGGAGAGAGACAATTTTTAATTGAGACAGAAGCGGTGTCTGAAAAAAGTGAGGGTAGAGAGAGCTGAGTTTTAAAAAAGTGATTAATTTCAGATACAATGCGCATTTTTTAATGATCTCTCAGCTTAGCTATATCATGGGTAGAACATGATTTTTAAGAGTTTGAGTCAGAGATAGCACAGACATAGTGGTGGAAGTGCAGAGATTAGCAAACATGGCCACTCAATACATATTTTTTCAATTAACAAATCAATAATGCTAGCTCGCATCAGGATCCTGCACAGGTGGCCTTCATTCGATTTCATTTTCTGTCTTAGGCCAGGTGCGGTGGCTCATGTCTGTAATCTCAGCGTGTTGGAAGGTCAAAGTGGGTGGATCCCATGAGCTCAGGAGTTCGAGACCAGCCTGGGCAACATGGCGAGACTTCGTCTCCGCAAAAAAAATACAAAAATTAGCCGGGCTTGATGGCACATACCTCTAGTCCTGGCTACTTGTGGGGTTGAGGCAGGAGGATCACTTGGGCCTGGGAAGTTGAGGCTACAGTGAGCTGTGATTTCACCACTGCATTCCATCCTGGGTGACAAAGTGAGACCCTGTTAAACACACACACAACCAAAGAAATTTCTCTCTTGGTGAAAATGTTGATGTTTCTATCATGCTTTAAAACTGTTCTATCCCATGTAATAGCCACTAGCCACATGTGGCTATTTAAATTTCACATTGTTAGGATTAAATAGTTTTTTAGTCACACTAGCTATGTTTCAAGTTCTCAGTAGCCACACATGGGCAAGTGGCTCCAACGCTAGACAATGCAGACATAGAATATCTCTATAACTACAGAAAACTCTATTAGAGAGCAATGACACAGAACAAATACAACCGTGGCCTCTTTTCTAAATGCACTCATCATACATCATTCGTTTTGACCTTCCACCTTCCAATTAGTTCTATGCTTATTTATTCCTCTAAGACATTGGATAATTATATTAAAATAATGTATGTGCTCATTAATACTGTATGTTCCCTGCAAACATGCTTCAGCATTCAACACCAGGCCACCTACAGTTCAGGATTCACAACCTCGACTCCCACCTATCCTGACTTGGTTTGACTTTGGCAAATGAAGTTGTTAAAATCCCAATGTGCCTCAAGCTTATATCTTTAAGTTATGAAAGTGAGTAACAACTAATGGTTTCTACCAGAAAAAAAAAAATATTGCTCTAGTGCTGCATTGCAGAAGATCGAGGCAACATTATATTCCCTAAAGGGGGAGTATGGGTATGAAAGGCCAAAATGAAAACAAATGCTTTATTCTAGCCCTTCTGAATCCAGGTTTTATTATTTGCCAAAGTTGATTTTGTAAATTTATTAAAGAAATTTGTATTTTTGGTTTTAATTGTCAGTGGCGTCACTTAACTGTGCATTAACCTTTTCCTTAATTGACTTCCTCTTTATGGTTTAGATATTTAGTAGTTTTTTTTCCTTCCTTTTCATTGCAGTAACTATCAATTACAGCATTTAGCGATCATAATTAACACAAAGTTTCTCTTTCTCCAGAGAGTAACCAAACTTCTTTATTTATTAGCTCTCTTCTGAACTTTTTGGTAAAGCTTATTTTTAATTTCCCAAAATTCAAATGTGTATCATATTCTGTACATTCAAGGTAAATATTACAAAAGGAATGTAACTTGTATACATTAGTGATGCATGCACACTTAAAATTTCTGAATAAGCAATGTATTAACAGCCCCCGCAGTTCATCAGCTTGGAAATTGAAAGGAAAACAAAAACACAGCAAATGTGCATAGGCTTTAAAATTCTTATACTGTTCTTACATTCAGGAAGAAATTGGTGTTAACCAGATGGCAATAATATTGTGGCTTATAACTTCCTAGAATGTGTTTCTAAAAATTGATTGATCTAGAATTTCAAGCTTCACTTTTTAGCAAATATTGAAAATATTCATGAATTGTGTTCACTTTTAGAATTTTCTCATCAAGAACATATGATAACTGTATTATACAATTTTGCTACGAGGTAATAAAGGAAGTGGATTCTTTGTTGAGTCTTCACATCTAGGACCTTTGCTTTTTTCTTATATTTGTTGTCTGCTAATAATCAAGCCTAGATAGTCTGCAAAACTGATTGTTCCCTAGATAGAATTAGAAAGGGCTAAACATAGGTCTTTGATTTGAATGACCAATAAGAATAAAATAGAAGCAAGAATAAAGATCTTGCCTGTAGTTTATCAACTCCCCAGATGTTGTAAACTACTTTTCTCAATAACCCAGCTATTTACAAATATGGTGTGCCCAGCCTCACCTGAGCCCACATTTGTAGTGAAGTGGAGGAGTTTTTTAACTTTTTAATCAAGTGTTTTGGTATTGGAGAGGTATAATGAGATAATGTGTGGTTCACATGAATGAATGTCAGTTTAATGAGTTTGTGCCTGTCTCAGGATGAAACATGCATTTTGGCTATGATGGTACTAGACTGTTTACAACATAGACTCGGAATGCCTGGGGTAACTGTGACCTGGGCTAATGCATCA
This sequence comes from Homo sapiens, assembly GCF_000001405.40. Classification (NCBI taxonomy): domain Eukaryota; kingdom Metazoa; phylum Chordata; class Mammalia; order Primates; family Hominidae; genus Homo; species Homo sapiens. The sequence continues at coordinate 86,852,660 of NC_000014.9, forward strand.
TGGAAGGATAATTTCCTCTGCCTTTTTCCTTTTTAAACAAATTGCAGCCTCATATTTCAACCAAATGACCTTTCTAAAATTCCACAGTGACTAATTATAAGAGAACGAGGGGCATTTACTATTAACAAAAAATAGTTTAAGTTTTGCCATAACCTTGGGAGACAACATAGCTGATGATGTTTATAATCTGCGGTGATTGGAAGGGGGTGTATTCCAAAGGTGGTTGCAGATTGCTTCTGGCGCCGTGCTGCTGAGCTCAGTCTATTCAATGCCACAAAGTCAGCAGCTTAAAATTCCCTGTCTGTTTTTTATGTCACTAATAATTTCAATTGATACTGTTCGAATGGAGGAGGAAAGCAAGCAGGAACAGTGAGGATGGGGGCTCAACCATCAATATGAGGAAATAGAGATAAGAAAAGGTGAGAGAGAATAAATGAAGAATAGCTATTTATTCATACCCAAAATATTTATGAGGAACCTAAGATGTATGAAGTGTGAGGTTGTGGGCTTTCGCAGTGCAGAGCAAAGGAGACATACATAGTCCCTGGCTTAGGAGGTGCTTACAGTCAAGTTGGAGAGACAGACCAAAAATAAAACAGGTAAATAATAACATACTCACAACTTGTGAAGTGGTCTGAAGAAAATGAATAAGGTGCACAGATAAATAATAGTAAGAACTTCTCCAAAGATAAGAGAATGGCTTTTCAATTGAAGCTGAAAGTTGAGAAGGATGCAGGCATTTTAACATCTTTGAAAAGAGGAAAAGGAAACAATGTGAATGAAATTTTTGGAATGTGAAAAAGATGAGTGTGCTAAAAATGAGTTTTAATAGATGAGTTTTAATAGTATAAAAACTTATGGTAATGAGTATGCTGGTGGGACTGAGAATTAAAGCAGCAGCAGGGAAGAGGAAAGAGGTGGTATTGAAGATAGCTGTGAGGTCTTGTCACATCTTGAATGGCAGATCAATGTTCCTGATTCTATGTGATAGGATTTCTTTAAGATTTTGAGTAGCTGACACTTCTGTTTAATATTGTATCGGGAGTGAATGGATTAGACATGGTCAAAATTGGAAGGGTAGAGATCGGTAAGATAATTGCAGCAGTTCAGGCTAGAGACGGTGATATTGGTGGAGGTACAACGTGAAGGAGACATGGAGAATTCTGACAAATTTATAAGAAAAATACATTAGATATACAATTGGATTGAGGGTGGGTTTGGAGAAATTGAAAATTTCTCCCAGGTTTCTGACTTGAAACTTGGTTAATGAGTTTCAATATGAAAGTAAGCTTATTGTAGGTTCTAGAGTTCTGGAAATAGACCAACGTTAGTGCATTAGTGATTTTTTTTTTTTTTTTGAGAGAAAGACAGAGAGAGAGAGAGAGAGAGAATGTAACTAGCTATCAGTCTGAGTCTGAAGGCCCAAGAACTAGGAGAGTTTCAGTTCAAAAACCAGTAGGCCTGTGACCCAAGAAGAGCAGCTTCAACTGATTGGATGAAGCCCACCACTAGAGAGAAGGCAATCTGTTTTATTTAATTTACCAATTTAAATGCTAATCTTATCCAGAAACGTCCTCACAGACACATCTAGAATAATGTTTGTTTATATATCTGGACACACCATGGCCTAGTCAAGTTGACAGATAAAATTAACCATCACAGCTAGAAATAGAAATTTGAGACTTACAAGTACATAGTACTTAAGCTGTAAATATGGATAAGTTCGGTTAAGGAATTAATATATAGAGAAGAACAGAAAGCCTGGGATTAGTCCCTGAGATCCACATTTTTTTTCTTTTTTGTCTTATTTTAAGTTCTAGGGTACATATGCAGGATGTGCAGATTTGTTACATAGGCAAACGTGTGTCATGGTGGTTTGCTGCACCTATCAACCGATCATCTAAGTAGTAAGCCCAGCTATTTTTTCCTGATGCTCTTTCTCCCCATGTTCCCCCCAACAGGCCCCAGTGTGTGTTGTTCCCCTCCCAGTGTCCATGTGTTCTCATTGTTCAGCTCCCACTTATGAGTGAGAACATGCAGTGTTTGGTTTTCTGTTCCTGCATTAGTTTGCTGAGGATAATTGAAGAGCCACAAATTTTAAAAGCTGAGAAAGGCAGGAGTAGCCTGAGAAAGAGATCAAGAAGGAACATCTGGTTCAAGAAACATCTCAAGAATGGGAACCAGATAAGCCAAGAGAGGCATCATTATCTCCTATTTCCTACTGAAGGAAATACAAACTTCTGAGCCTTTCTTTCTTAATATGATCCATGAATTTATCCTTATTACTCACCATTTTTCACACTTTGCTGTGCTCCTGGTAATCTTTTTCATAACTGGAGTGCCCATTCAATCCTGACTCTACTTGTCTTGTGGAACCACGCTTGTTTTTATTATATGTAGACATCTTATCTCCCTTATTGAAAGTTCAACTTCTTGAACAATTAGATTGTTATTTTCCTTTTAATTTCTCGACAGGACTGTAAGAATGCACCCTTTGTATCATGTGATAGTTGTGGTCAATGGACACTGCCTTCTAAAGGGTTTCTTATGCTGCAAGTTCAGGAAAACTAAAAATATAGCCTTTCCCACTTTCCAGATGGTTTTGCATAAAAGGAAGGTTTTGCCATATAGAAGTAGTAGCTTCAAACATTGGAAGTGTAAATGAATTTTGGATTGTCTTCTTGCTCCTTTGTCTCCTCAAGGAGAGCTGTGACCTTAAAAGCAATTGTGGTGGCTAGACAGGCTTTCCACCTTCTAGCCATTGGCTCTGTGCGTATGGCATGAGATGGTGACAGAAGCCAAGGCGCCCTGACCTCTAGAACATGAGTCTACAACCACCAGGGTGTATATTTCATGTGTCCTCAAACTACAAAGAGCAAATAATTTTAGTGGTGCCCATCTGACTCCCATCTTTCAACAGTTTTAGAAACACCTGATTTCTTTTATTAAATTACTTTTGTCCCAAATACTCAGAGTTACTACTATTTTATTCATTGAATTTTAACTAAGGGAAATATGGTACAAATTCAACTATAAAATGTTTGAAGTATAATTAATAAATAAAATAAGAGGCCAATTATGACATCGTTGAGACATCAGCTACAGCAAATTCTTAGTGAATCTCTTCTGCCAGGTTCTGGGATGCTCTACAATTAAGAGATAAAGAATGTAATGCAGGTAATAATGGAGACTCTAGATTGAGACAGAGGCAAAGGACCAAAGAGGAGCAGAACCATAAAGAGAGCTCATATGTGGAGTCCAGACTGTGCAGGTCAACAAATGCATCCCTAAGTTGCCAGGTAGAAGAAAAGAAAGGTTGATCATCCCAGGAAAAGGCGATAAGGAAACTCACTTCAAAAATGTATTTTTTTTTTAATATTTTCAACACTCAAATGAAAAGGGCTGAAGGATGAAATGCTGTGTCTGTTTTTCTCATACAGCAGAAGAGTGAACCTAGGACATTCTAATTTCTTTTAGCAACTACACTTAAGTCCCTAGCATATTCTATATTTCTATTAGAGCCTTTGCCTTGATATCCTTCTTCATGGTGGCAAGACAGCTATGGCAGCTGCAAGTATTATGTCCTCAAACTACAAAGAACAAAAGAAATGAGAGGCTAAAATTTTCTTTATGTTTTCCTATTTTTATACCAAGAAGAAAAATTATTCCAAGAGCTGGCAGCCTATTTGCCCATGCCAGGTTCAAGGAGACTGAGAAAGCAAATGTCTATTCATACAGAGAGTAGAAACTTAATGTCATAAGTTGAATTTTGTCCCATAAAAATTCATGTGAAGTCCTGACGCCCAGTACATCAGAATGTGACCTTGTCTGGAAATACGGTTTTTGCAGATTTCATTAGTAAGTTAAGGTAAGTTTAGGATGGAGTAGAGTTGGCACCTAATCTAATATGACTGATGTCCTTATAAAGAGAAAGCCATGTGATATGGTTTGGCTGTGTCCTGACCCAAATCTTGTCTCATACTGCAGCTCCCATAATCCCCAAGTGTTGTGGGAAGGACCTGGTGGGAGGTAATTGAATCATGGGGCGGGTTTTTCCCGTGCTGCTCTCATGATAGTGAATAAGTTTCACAAGATCTGGTGGTTTTATAAAGGGGAGCTCCCCTGATCAAGTTTGCTCCTTCTTCACCTTCCACCATGATTGTGAGGCCTCCCCAGCCATGTGGAACTGAGAGTCCGTTAAACTTCTTTCTCTTTCTTTCTTTCTCCTTTTTTTTTTATTTTTTTATTTTATTTTTATTTTTTATTTTTTTTGACAGAGTATCGCTCAGTCACCCAGGCTGGAGTGCAGTGGCGCAACTTTGGCTCACTGCAGGCTCCAGCCTCCACCTCCTGTGTTCAAGCAATTCTCCTGCCTCAGCCTCCCAGTAGCTGGGATTACAGGTGCCCTCCACCATGCCCAGCTAATTTTTTTGCATTTTTAGTAGGGACAGGTTTTCACCATGTTGGCCAGGCTAGTCTCAAACACCTGACCTCAAATGATTCACCTGCCTCAGCCTCCCAAAGTGTTGGGGTTACAGGCATGAGACACTGTGCCTGGCCTAACTTATTTTTCTTTATAAATTGCCCAGTCTTGGGTATTTCTTACTAGCAATATGAAAATTGACTAAGGTACCATGTGAAGAGATGGACATACACAGGGAGATTGCCATGTGAAGTTTAGAGTATGGTTGCCCCAAGCCAAGGAACTACCAGAGAATAGGAGCAAAACTTAAAGCAGATCCTTCCTTAGCGTTCACAGAAAGTATGGCCCTGCCAACACCTTGATTTTAGACCTCTGGCTTCCAGAATTGTGAGACAATACATTTCTGTTACTCTAAGCCACCCAGTATATTTTACTTTTTTATGGCAGCTCAGGAAACTAAGATATTCAGTATTTGTAAAACTCTGTGGTTTTATTTGCATGTGGTTAGTAATTTCTTTTAACTATGGATAATTAGAACAGATAACACATCTATAGTTAATAATACTTTAAAGAATTCTAAAATATAGGGTAAAGTCATCATAAACCAGGAAGTAAATTTAGAAATATTCTTACTGATGTCTTTCAAAAGACTCAGTGTTAATAATGACTTTTCTTTATGGGGATAATTCCATCTTCTGTAGTTACTCTGACACATGCTATGTGCCTTTAAGAATGAGGCCTAAACAACACCATATCCCAATCATCTTTGTACCATCAGTGCACATGGAGGCAGAACATTTTGCTGCAGTTGAGAAGTGAAAAGGATAAGAAACATTCATGCAAGGCTTTCTGAAAGGTGTAAATGTCGAAACTATGAATTTAATTATTAAATAAATTCTGATCTATACTTATTTAATTTTGGTATCACACCGTATTTTTTCATTTCTAAAAGAGAAATTAGAAAAGACGCAAAACTTATTGGGAATAAATTGACTAATTAAGGCCATCACATTATGGTTTCAAAGTGTGTGATAAGATCTGACAGCCTTTCTGCCAGTTTTTGAAAAATCTTGCCAAGTAGTACTTAGCACAAGAATAAAACTTATTTCACTCAAGATATTTCTCGTGTCAGCATATTCATTGGCTTAAAAATAAGTAGCATGTTTCTAAGATCCAGCCCAGTAACCAAAAGTATGTGAAGAATTCATTTATAAGAAATCCAAAGAAAACACATACATATTAGATTTACTAGTGCATTCGGATGGAAAAATTCTGGAAGACCAAGGCCAAAATCAGTTTTGCTGCCATGGAAGAAATTTTAGTAAATTTTACTGGGTATCATAAAAACATACTACCAAGTTTAAATGAGCTAGAGTGAAGAATTGCCATTGGCCTTCCTTGCTTTCCTGTTCTTGAAGTGAGAACGTTATTATGAATCAGTTTTTGTAGCTAAATTGGTGCTGTTATCTTTTTTTTTCAAGTTTCTTAAGCTTAAACTCTTTGTAGACATAATAATGAATGTAAAGTGAAATAAGACCAAACTTTCTTGAAACTAATTTCAGCTGTACAATTTTTTAACCTTTCCCAAAGACACTCCAATGACTGTAAATCCTAATAGGTGACTGAATAAGCCTGAATGTTTAAGTCATACCCACGGCCTGGGCATTTCCCAGTAAGTTAGAAAGAACTGTGGCTCCCAGGGGATTCTGTTGCAAGTGACCTATGAAGGTCTTTTCCACACGTGAAAGAAACAAACTCATTCTTTCCAGCTCGGATGTTGGATTCTGTGATGCAAGGCGGTCATTTCGAATTGAATTTTATAAATACCCAGTGGTTAGAATAGGACCGGCATGTGGCTAAGAGGCATTACCCCACTTAAAGGAGAGGTCTCTGAAAACAGATATTAGTCTGCTCAAACCAAAACAGATTTGAGAAAAACAACCAACAATACAGCAAAAACAATAGCTTGGTTGAAATGCAACAATTTATCTAGAAATCAACTTGCTCAACACCAGCCATGATCCATTTGTTTGAATTTAAACTGTTTTCAAAATGTGTTTTCCCTGCATATGGCTAAACAGACCAAAGTACAAATAATAGAAGAAGTAGCTCAACCTTTGTAACCAAATTAGTGAATAATAAAACCTTAAAAATTGAAATGTAGGTCATAATCTTTTAGTCCCCATGCATGGACTCCTTAGAAATTCTCCTTGAAGCACATTCTTTCAGCCCCTGCTTCCTTTTAAAAAAATAAGTTTATTTACTTATTTTTATTTTTATTAGAAACAGGACCTTACTCTGTCATCTAGGCTGGAGTACAGTTGTGCAATCATAGCTCACTGCAGCTTCGAACTCCTGAGCTGAAGTGAGTCTCCCTTCTCAGCCTCCCAAAGTAGCTAGGATAACAGGCACATACCACCATGCCTAGCTAATTATTTTAATTTTTTTTGTAGACATGGGGTCTCACTATGTTGCCCAGGCTAGTCTTAAACTTCCAGCTTCAAGTTATCCTCTTGCTTTGGCCTCCCAAAGTGCTGGGATTATAGACACGGTCACAGTGCCTGGCCAGCAGCCTCGGCTTTCAAACTTTCAGCAAGGAAGAAGTTACCGTCTTGAAAACAGCCAACTGAATTTGGGGGAAATTATATTGTAAGAAATTGCTTTTTGCTATTCATTCAAAATGCCCATTTCCGTTTTCTTCCTACTGATCTAAGCTCAAAAGTTTTGTCTCCAAATAAATCTAATTCTTCATAGAGACTACTGTGAAGTCTCCATGAAGACTTCATATGACTTCATAGAAGTCATATGTGAATTGTAGAATCATTGTATAAGTGAAATATTAGTCCTTCATCACTTCCAAGATCCTCTGTCCTCATTTATTCTGATTTTATTATTATTATTATTATTTTTTTGAGACGGAGTCTTGCTCTGTTGCCAGGCTGCTGGAGTGCATTGGTATGATCTCAGCTCACTGCAACCTCCGTCCCCTGGGTTCAAGCAATTCTCCTGCCTGAATTGTAGAAATCATTGTATAAGTGAAATATTAGTCCTTCATCAGTTCCAAGATACTCTGTCATCATTTATTCTGATTTTATTATTTTTTTTTTGTTTTCTTGAGACAGAGTCTTGCTCTGTTGCCAGGCTGCTGAAGTGCACCGGTACGATCTCGGCTCACTGCAACCTCTGTCCCCTGGGTTCAAGCAATTCTCCTGCCTCAGCCTCCCGAGTAGCTGGGACTACAGGTGCGCACTATCATGCCCAGCTAATTTTTGTATTTTGAATAGAGATGAGGTTTCACCATTTTGGCCAAGATGGTCTCGATCTCTCAACCTCGTGATCTGCCCTCCTCGCTCTCCCAAAGTGCTGGGATTATAGACGTGAGACATTCGGGTTTGCCAACTTTCTTCTAAAAGTCAGATGTAACAGTAAGTTTTCAGATATGCAATGAGGTCTTCTTGATTGCGGACACTGTGCTATAATCAATGCATTTTAGCTCCATGCTGATTTCAGTGGTGAACCAATCACCCTGCTGGCTCACATTAATCTTAGAGTTGGTGAAAACACCTGTAACATTTTAACCCACGTAACTGTTTAGCCTGACCTCTCTCTTACACTTTTGAGCCGCATGCTTTCTGACCCAAGTGCAGGATACTGAATTTATCTTTACTAAATGAGATCTTTGTAGACTCAATCCACAGTTTCAGCCTGTCAAGATGGCTTTCAATCCTGATTCTGTAATCCTGTGTATTAGTTATCTCCCTGATCTTGATGTCAGCCACAGATTTGATAACACACCTTCTTTGTCCTCATACAAGTCAATGATAAAAATGCTAACAGGACCAATCCAAGGAAGGAACTACGCTGCTGGCAATCATCCATGTTGCAAATGCCATGCATAGTATTTGGGTTTCATTCAACCAGTTGAAAATCTACTCAACCATATTAACACTCTATACATTACTTCATCTCATATGTAAAGATGTTTTGAATCTGGTCCCTGCCTTCTGCCTTAACATTATCTGGTTCTTTATTCCAAGTACTTGTTGCATTCCAGCCAGACTAGCAATATTTCTGTCCCTGGCTGATTCTGAGCTCCCTCCTCATCTCAGAACATTTCTAATTGTTGTTCCCATTACCTGAATTACTCTTGTCCCAGACTCTTGTGTGATTGGTTCCTTATCGTTCAGTTCCCAGTTCCAGCCATACCTCCAAGCACTGCTTCTCTATCTCTGTTTCTCAACTATTGACATCTAGGGCAGGATAACTCTTGGTTGTGGGGCACTCATCAGTAATGTTTTGTGATTGTTAGTGTTCAAGTCTCACACTTCTTTTATAAATATATTTCTAAATATGCTATTTTGAGTGGATTAATTTCCTTTTAAAATAATCTTAAATATAAATCTTAAAAAATTTCTTTTAAATATAAATTTTAAAGTGAACAACATCAGTATTCATTATTAGCCAAAAAAATCAGGTGTCAATCTTTAAAAAATCTACTCCATAAAATAAAATCTCCCTATGCACCTGTTATTGAATTTAGGGCTGATTTAGACATTCCATCTGGCTGTCACATTACATACAAGTAAACACTCTCATTTGGCTTAAATACATTTTTATTCTGCTTTCACTATTATAATTTCTAAAATAGAGATCCTATAAAATTACATTTTATAATTCATTCACCCATCTCCCAGTAAAACACTGAGAAAAGTTAGAGTGCCTAGCAAGGCTTTTTACAAAGCAAAGTGGAAGAATAAAGGTCAATGAGGGTTTTTCTTGCACCTAATCTGGGACTGGAGAGGAAAAATAGAAAGAAGTAAGTTTATTTGATTGCATGTACACATGTCTCATGCCTGCATTAGCATGAGTGTCAAAGATAAGTGGTTTTCCCTCACATTGCATCAATTAGCTCCTTCCCCACATCACCAATTAGTATGCTTGCAACAGTAAAATGAGACTGGGGCTATTCCCCTAATAATAACTTGTCCAAGATTCAGCTTTCTTTTAGGACGAAGTGGAGTTTTTCATGGCAATAATAAGTGCATTTACTTAACCCACCTCAATTTCTAGTAAGTTGGCTATTACTGGATCAAAACCAAATTCAGGGCAAGGACTTTATTTTGTTCCATTTTATATTCTGCATTACTTTCAGGTTAATTAAAGATCCATAAATAGGTCTATATATATAAATGTGTCTTTTTTTGCTCTTCTTTCCTTGTTTGAGCTGATAGATTAATAATGAGCTTCAGTACCAACATGAGAGCTATCCAAATACGAAGGTAATAGAAATTTGCTGCTTGGCTCCTCCAAATAAGGCAAAAATAAAAATAAAAAAATAAAATAAAAACTCTTAGCCAGAATGTGACAATCAATCTGTCAAAGCTATTGTCAGTTTTGAGTTAAAATGTTAATGAAAATGGTATTAATTCACAAAGAATTTTCCAGAGATATGAAAGATGAGGTTGAACTATAGGCATTAGTGGATATGTATGTAAGCATAATTATCAGCCCAAATTCAGTGAGAGCCACACAACCATTCAATTTAGCAAATAAATTTTATCCTTCATCTCAGACTTTTGATGTTCAATTTAACTCATCTAGAACGCAGGCCCTGTGCTACCCCAGTATATTTTCATAAGCAGAATTTCACGGTAGCTATTTTGTATGCGAGAAGCAGTTTGTTTCAGTCTTAGAATATAACCATTTTGTTTAAAAAATATATACATACATATACACATGCACACACAGGTGCACACATACATAAAGTTAATTTCAATTAAGGCATTAAAAATACATTTATGAACTTCAACTTTCATTTTACATCTATTAAACATTGCTCATATCTGAAGAGAGAAGAAAAGGGGCGTTCTTTGCTTAAATGAAAGTGAGAAATGCTTTGTTTCTTGATGAAGCCTAATGAGTGTAGAGTATACATGTGAGTGCACAAAGCTGTTAATAAGTTCTGCAATAAAAACACTAGTTAAACATGATCCAACCCAGCATTTCACCACATCATTTGGCTGTGGATAACTACATTCAAGCAATACATATTAATTTTTGTCCTTACAGATAATTGCGTAAGAAACATTAATATTATCCATAACTTTCTGTAAAGTGTTAAAAACATTTCCTATAAGAACATGTTGTTATTATATTGTCTCTAAAATGGTTTTATTTAGGTAGTGGAGTTAATTCCTCATTATTGTTACTTTTTTATTGTATTAGGTTGGTGCAAAAGTAATTGCAATTTTTGCCATTACTTTTAAATGGCAAAAACCACAATTACTTTTGCACCAACTAGTAGTTCTTCTTTAAGTAACACTATGAATTGTGGGTGCTATGAAGAAAAAATAGAAAGTAAAGTCATGGCCAAAAAAGGAATGACCTAAAGTACACATTTAGATAGATAGATATCTATATCTGTCTATCTATATATCTATATATCTATGTATCTATCTATTTATATCTATAAAGAGAGAAAGAAAGAAGGATATATATTCATAAACATATTTTCCTTAAGAAAGATTTTATTATATATAGTACATAGCATATATACTGTATATTATATCCCATAAACTCTCTTTTTACACACACACACACGCACACACACACATACTGCTCATGTAGATTGTATGTGTAGATAGATAAGATGCATAAACATATTCATAAAAGTTTACTTTTTAGAATATCAGGAATCATAAGAACAGGACTTGTAAATTTCATGGAAAGTTTTGCATATATTGTATTATTCTAGAAAGAGGGAATTAATTGTAATTCAGTATCCATCACTGATGAACCTGATTATGGAACTTTAAGAACCCTTTTCTAACTACATGTTTAGACTTGTCTACAAATCTTAATCTAGCACTTTCACTTAATATAGCATGAGGAAAACCCACATTATACTTATCAACCCTGTTTGCATATCCATCAACCAAATAATCCTGCAGTAGCATAGTTGTTTACCTACACTGTTTCACTCTCCAAAATGTGGGATTATGCCTCAGGTATGGTTCTAAAAACAACTTCATGAGTTGAATGTCCAAGTCATTAGACTTAGAGTGGGACAATATGAACCCTAGTCTTAGGTGTGCCATGCATGAGCAGTGTACTCTGGTCAGATAAGTTTCCAGGTGATACAACATGGCAGTTTAAATGAAGACAGTAATGTTGCTATAGAGGACATCTTCATGGTTTAGTAGAATTTTCAGTGATGAATACTAAAGGCAGGAGACACAGACTTCGATAACACAGAGTGTGGAGGGAAAGTATACTACACTTCTTAAGGTGTTTTGTAAAATGGATTTCCTGCCCTAATCCGCCTAAGTTATTATACAAATACATGCTTGACCAGAGTATTTCCTCAATGTTGAAATTACATGGAAACAGGTGGATTTAGTTCCCAGGAGTAGATGATGACCTTTACAGTATCTTACAAGGACCACTCAAGGCCTTGTTTGCTACATGGAATGACTACATGCCTACAATTTCCTTTCTTTCTTTCTTTTTTTCTACTGTTTCAAACACAGCTACATATTTTAAGAGAAATTTGTGCTGAATGTGATACCACCTGTGCCAGGTACTTTTTTCTGGTTGGACCACTCAAGGCGATGGCTTCTTTTGCTTATTTTTTTTTGTCTTTATTTCAAATACATAACTGGTAATAGACTGGCAGTGTTTAGCCAGGTAGAGACCCAGTTCTTTGTGGAGAAGTTCACTGGAAATCGGTAGTTTGCAAAAGAGAAAGCTCAGCACTTGGGCCTATTTTTTTTTTCATTTTTTAACCTTTATTTTAGATTGGTTTGTTACCGGGGTATATTGTGTGATATTTAGGTTACAGGTGCAAATGATTCCATCACCCAGATACTGAACATAGTACCCGACAGCTAGTTTTTCAGTCCTTCCCCCTCACATCTTTCCTCCCTCTAGTTGTCCCCGGGGTCTATTGCTGCCAGCTTTATGTCCATGAGTACCTAATGTTTAGCTCCCACTTATAAGTGGAAATATGTGGTTTTTGGTTTTCTGTTCCCTCATTATTTCACTTAGGATACAAGTTCTTGGAATTGCTTTATTTTGTTTCATTCCTTGAGCTAAAATATTTGGCTTAATTATCTTACCTGACTTATTCCTGATTTGAAACAAATGAGTCGCTTTAGTCAGGCACTCAGTAGAGCCCTAGCAAAGTGAAAATGACCACCACGCTGGGCGACCAAGAGAAAAAGGAACTGCGTCATGGGCAGATTGGTAAGGTTATATTATGAACAAAGGGAAGATAGAATTATTAAACATCTCCCTACAATGAGGGAGCGTGAACGCAGGTCATTTGGAAGCTGAAATAGTTATATTTTAAAAATATCAAAGCATTCTTAATTTCTTTATTTATGAGAAGGAGATAGAATTCTTTTTATTTTTATTTATTTATTTTGTTGTTGTTGTTTTTGTTGAGAAGGAGTCTCACTCTGTGGTCCAGGCTGCAGTACAGTGGCGCGATCTCGGCTCACTGCAAGCTCCGCCTCCCGGGTTCACGCCATTCTCCTGCCTCAGCCTCCGAGTAGCTGGGACTACAGGCGCCCGCCACCACGCCGTGCTAATTTTTTGTAATTTAGTGGAAACGGGGTTTCACCGTGTTAGCCAGGATGGTCTGGACCTCCTGACCTCATGATCCGCCCGCCTCGGCCTCCCAAAGTGCTGGGATTACAGGCGTGAGCCATCGCGCCCGACGGGAGATAGAATTCTTATAGCTTTTAAAATGTCTTGATGATTTGATTTTCAAAAGAAAGCTATACTTCACACCACTAGTAAAAATCTGGAAATAATGTATTACCTTTAAAGACTGCCAGAGTAAGAGATATAAAAAGACTCAAACTGAATTTAGGTAAACATCAAGATATCAGTGTCATAACTTGATTGAAGTGCCCTGGGTAAGGCAAACTGCTGAAGGCGAAATGGATGTTATTTAGTGCAGTGATTCTATTGTTTAAGGGTAGGAGTTGTCAAGAAGGTTAGTGTGGGTTGAGGGTTTGTCTAGGCAGGCTGCCGCAGAGGACCAGTGCAACCTGGTGGCAGAATGAAAGAGTATGGTGCTACTTACTATGTGATTTTTTTCAGCTGTGTCCCTAGTCATCAGTGATAGCCCAGAATTTGCATAATACTTTGCATTAGGCTATATTGCTCACAGCACATATATTTTAATTGTGTGTGTGTGTGTGTGTGTGTGTGTGTGTGTTTTCTTAGACAGAGTCTCGCTCTTGTTGCCCGGGCTGGAGTGCAATGGCGCGATCTTGGCTCACTGCAACCTCCACCTCCCGGGTTAAGCGATTCTCCTGCCTCAGCCTCTCAAGTAGCTGGGATTACAGGCACCCGCCACTATGCCTGGCTAATTTTTGTATTTTTAGTAGAGACGGGGTTTCACCATGTTGGTAAGGCTGGTCTCGAACTCCTGACCTCAGGTGATCCACCTGCCTCGGCCTCCCAAAATGCTGGGATTGTGGGTGTAAATAAAGAAAGTTATAAATCACAGCTATCATAAAAAGAGACCTAAAGAACTAATATCACACACACACACACACACACACACACACACACACACACACACACACAATTGATATCTGATCATTTCATCTACCTAGAGAAAAACTGGAAAAAAACCTTATGAAAGAACTAAATCAAGCCCACATTTACTCTCATAAAAGGATTAATTTTTTTCCTCACAAGCTAGACTGTGTATAGTGGATTCAACACACTATATGATTTTCATTCAAATACTGTCAGAAATGAAAAATCGCACCAAACACAGACAAGTAAGTCATTTATACATCTGCATTGAGATTTAAATAAGTTTAGGCAAAGTTTACAAAACCAATTTATTACCCATTTTCTTAGAAACGAGGATGGTTTGAGATGGAGTTCATCAGTCCAGACAAGATCCTTGTATAGCATATTTGGATCCTGCAGGAAAAGTTTTGCCTAATTTTATTTCAAATTTAAGAAAAACACATCATTCAGAAGTCCACAGTCTCTTAAATCTGTTCTATTTTTTTCGTTACGTGTACCTCAACATACTAGACCTATATATGCTAAGGCTTAAAAGAAAATTCTCCTTTTGGCTCAAGGTGCTCACCCACCATCTGGAACTATTTCCCAAGCTTCATCCATTATGCAAATGAGATTTAGGATCCATCATGTTTCATCTACTGGTACTAATACATTAATGTTGGATGTTACGGCGTGAGCCCCCAGCAGACATTGGCTTTTCATCAGTCATTGGCTTGAGCTCACAGCTCATTACTTTTAATGGCTTTGTGGCACTTAAGGTCACTGGGCTCCTAACTGCTGCTGCCTAGGGTGTTATCAATTAAAGCAGTTTTCTCTATTTAAGTGAAGCATTTTTTCCCATTTTCTTTCTTTCTTCTTTTTAAGTTTAATTTTTTTTTTTTTTTGTCTCTCTGGAAATCCCACTACTTGAGAATAGATTATGACGGTTTAATTGAATAAATAGGGCTGTTTTCAGAAATTTAGGAAAACAAAACGATTTCTGGAAAGAGTTTAAAGAAGAAAAAGTCCACAGTAGGCCCTTAGTATTTGCTGGTTCCACGTCTTTGGATTCAACCAACCATGGGCTGAAAATAATTGAAAAAACAAAACAATAAAAATAATATAACAATAAAAATAACACAAATTTAAAAATACTGTATAGCAACTATTTATATAGCATTCACATTTAGGTATTACAAGTAATCCAGAGATAATTTAAAGAATGTGAGAGATTGTAAGATATATCTAAATATTATTTTTTACATAAGTGACTTGAGCATCCATGGATTTTTGGATCTGGCTAACTCGGAATCAGTCCCACATGGATACCAAGAGAAGACTGTGGATACATATAGATATAGAGACGTATATTTATACACATACATATGTGCCTATATATACAAATATATATATATATATACATATTTATATATATTTACGCAAATACACACAGATGCTTCTTGACTTATGATTGGGTTATGTTGCAATAAGCATATCATAAATTGAAAATAGCATAAGCAAGCAATGAGCCTAATCTGCCAAACCTACTGAACATCATAGATTAGCATAGCCTACCTTATATGTACTCAGAACACTTTATTAGCCTACAGTTGGGCAAAATCATCTAACACAAAGCCTATTTTATAATAAACTGTTGTTGATCTCATGTAATTTATTGAATACGCTGCTGAAAGTGAAAAACAGGATGGTTGTATGGGTACTTAAAGTGCAGTTTCTACTGAATGTATATTACCTTTGCACCACTGTAAAGTCAAAAAGTTGTTATGTGGAAGCATTGTAAGTCAGGGACTATCTATATAAGCTTTTATAGCAATTTTTAATTGCCCCTCTTAAAAGTGTGCTTCCTTTTAAGATAGTGCAGTGATTAGTTTTAACATAGTGTAACAGCTTAGTTAACTACTGGCTCCTCTACTTCCTAACTCTGTGAGTTTAGGAAAGTTACTTCATCTCTCTGTGCCTCATTTTCGTTATCTTTAAAATGGGAATAGTAGAAGTTAAATGATATGTGTGTAATGAGAATTAAATGAATTAAGTACATAAACACTCCAGCACACAATATCTGCTAAAAATGTGATTGTTGAATAATATTAAATTGATAATGACAATGTACACATTTAAAAATAATTTTAAAAACACAGTTAAATGTTAATAAAATTTCAAACTATTATGTAAATTCATTAAATAATTGACAAATAAGAAAAGCATCTGTACTTAATGCTGAGCATAAATATTAATAAAAGTTCGATTCTCAAAAAAATCATTTATACAAATACTAATTTAGAAAACCTCATTAGACTGATGGTCATTATTTACACATACATATATATTTTTAAGAACACTATAAAGAGGAGCTACATCTGGACAACACTACAATCATTTCCTCTGAAGAAACAGAAAATTATGTGCAAACATTTCCAAACACAGCTTCAGTGTGTATCTATGTTGTTGTGTACCAATATTACATAAATATAGATGCAAAAATCCCAAAACAAATTAACAAACCAAATCTAGCATCGTGTTAAAATAATACCATGATGAATTTGAGTATATTCCAGGAATATAGTAATAATTTAATAACGACAAAACAGTAATGTCATTCATTATACTGTAAGAAACAGGAGCAATAAATAGTGTTAGTACTTGCCATCCAAGATGCCATCCTAAGCAGGTGAATTTACCTTCCCTCCCTTACCAAATCCCATTGATACAGCAGAATACACATAAAACTTACATTAGTAAAGCACTGGAAACCAGGAATAGATATCCCAAACAGAGCAGAAATTTAAGGGATGGTAAAGTACAAAGCCACAGCAGAAGAAAGAAAGGTAAATATTGATATATTTGATAGAAAACACATTCAAAAATTATTTAATGCCAGAAAAACATAAGCCATGTTAATGGCAAATAAATAACTCAGAAAAATATTTGCAATTTTTATAACAAAGGATTTTCTTTTTGTATAAAATCATTTACTAATAAGAAGCTCTCTAACAGACACAGCTGGTCTCACTGAAGAGGAACTGTATACTTCAGTGAAAAAAAAAAAAACATGCTCTGAGCTCCTAACATTCACAATGACTCACAAAGCAACACACACACAAACACGTATGTGCATGCACGCATACACACACACACACACGCTACATACACACAGGCCCTTGCAAATGCCCCAATACAATCACATACAACAGTATCTTAAAAATTACTCAACATTACCAATCAATTGTAAATTAAAACAAGGCAATATGTTTTTTTCAACCCACTTAACAAAAAGAAAAGAAAAGAATTATGTAGGATAAAAAAAAATTTTTGGAGAAAATGAGTTATCACAATTTCTGATTATATACATATACATAAAAATTTTGAAAGTAAAGCAAAATATTAAATATTCTGACACTGGATTTTCACTTTTAGAAACTTGCCTGAAGAAATGTGTCTGGATAAATATATAAGATTTTTTAATAGAAAACATTGGAATATATTTCAACCTCCAAAATTAGGAGATATGATGTTAATATATTATGATACTTCAATGCCATAAAATGTTATGCAATCACTGATGTGATGGAGTAGATATGTAATTACCTACATGAAAGATTTCCTTATTAGAGGGTTAAGTAAAATATATGGTATCTTTAAGTCCTAATACTTACAATATTAAGCAAAATAAAAGGTTGTAAGACAATATCTATATTATCTTACATATAAAGGTGATTCTCATGATTTTATTACTTACGTTCTATAAAGTCACTGGAAACACTAAATTAGTGAATAGGAACTGCTGCTTATGGGGGAATGTGTTAGTCTGGATTCTTTAAAGAAACAGAATAAATAAACTGATATAAAGGGAGAGAGAAAGAGAGAGAGAGAGAGATTTACTATGAGGAATTTACTCATGCAATTATGAAGGCTGAGAAATCCAAGATCTTCATCCAGTAATCTGGAGACCAGGAGAGCAGATGGTAGAGTTGCAGTTCAAATCTGATAGCCTGAGAATCAGGAGAGCTAATGGTGTAAGTTCCAGTCCAAGTCGAAGTATAAAGGCAAGAGAAGAACAATGTCCCTGCTTGAAGACAGTCAGGCAGAGAGAAATAATTCTTTTTTAGACAGCCTTTTATTCTATTCAGGCCTCAAGTATTGGATGAGGCCCACCTACATTCTGAAGTGGAATCTTTTTTATTCAGTCTACAGATTCAAATGTTAATCTTACCCGGAAACACCCAGAGAGACACATCCAGAAATAATATTTAACCAAATATCTAGGCATCCAGTGGCCTGGTCAGGGAAATATGTGGCTAGGTTTCTTCTAGTCACATTTTCATTAACTAATCCATATCTAACCTTTTATGTATGTGTTTCTGTTTAAAGACACTTTACTTCACATATATTGTTGATTCATTATTTAATTTATAACCAATGACACTATAACTCATACTAAAAGAAGCTCAGACACATATTTTCTCTGTAAGGTACATCTCAGCCTTCTTATGCTTAAGACAAACTAGACAGCACTTCAGCAGGGTGCTTGGGAGTTATTTTAAAGAGTGCTTAGGAAGGCCAAGGCAGGTGGATCACCTGAGGTAGGAGTCTGAGGCCAGCCTAGCCAACATGGTGAAAGCTCGTCTCTACCAAAAATACAAAAATTAGCCGGCCGTGGTTACACGCACCTGTAGTCCCAGCTACTCAGGAGGCTGAGGCAAGAGAATCGCTTGAACCCAGGAGGCAGAGGTTGCAGTGAGCCGAGATTGTGCCACTGCACTCCAGCCTGGTGACAGAGCAAGACTCTGTCTCAAAAAAAAAAGTGAACTAATCAACAAAAAGAAAAACAAGTGAAAAACTTGGCACAAAATAGATTTTGGAAAGAACAAGAACGCTTGTTTATAGTGTGAGAGCTGAAACTGAAAGGCAGAGTGTAGCCTTGTTGGACCTCAGCTGGGAACATATGTGTAAGGCGACTTGAATTTTTCACCATTTTGCAGGAGTTCGTGAATGACCGTGAAAGCACCATGAATATTGATTTGGGGGTTAGAAATAAATTTTAGCAAGTTGAAAAATTTTCACATGTGGAATTTGAATATTGAGGATCAACTGTATGTATTTGTATTTTTTTATAGAACTGACACAATATCTCAATTTAAACTAGATTCGGTTAAAAATTATTACATCACAAAATAGGAAAATTCATGGTTTAAAACTTGCTTCAGGTATAGGAAACTTGAGACAACACAAAAAAAAGTTGTTATTTTTAGAAGGTCACATCATGGAGAAAATATATTCCTAGCCTTCAGTATTCGAGGAAAATAATAGAGTAAAACAATTTCTTTTCTGCCTTCAAACAGAAGAATGAAACATATCTAAAAACAGCAGGAAATTGAACTACAGATAAAAATAAAAGAAAATGGACCCTTGGATAAATTTCCAACAAATAAGAGAATCTAATGCTGCTGAACTTGAAAATTAACTTTTACTACAATATATTTTTATTTTACTCCATGCCCCAAGTTCATGAATTGCAGGAATCTATGGCATCAATTCTCTGAGTCATTTTTATATCATTTCTGGGGGGCACATCCTAAGGGATATATAGGACTGGCAACACAGAGCTGTTTTAAGAAACAATCCAATGAAAAACACAGGAAAACACTTTAGAAATTGTTTTTCAAATACTCTACAATATTATTTGTTATTGCATTTGTTTAACATGCCCAAGGCAGACCTACATCTTAATATGATATCAGTATACTTTTCAGGATACTGGAACTAAATATTTTAAAATAAGTATCATTGGCTGGGTGTGGTGACTCATGCCTGTAATCCCAGCGCTTTGGGAGGCCAAGGTGAGGAGACTGCTTGAGGCCAGGACTTCAAGACCAGCCTGGGGAACATGGTGAAAAATACATCTCTAGCAAAAAAAAAAAAAAAAAAGAAAGAAAAGGAAAGAAAGAAAGAAAGAAGGAAAGAGGGAAGGAGGGAAGGAAGGAAGGAGGAAGGAAGGAAGGAGAGAAAGAAGAAAGAAAAAGAAAGAAAGAAAGAGAGAGAAAGAAAGAGAGAAAGAAAGGAAGAAAGAAAGAAAGGAAGGAAAGAAAAAAAGTTAGCTGGGTGTGGTGGTGTGTGCCTGTAACCTCAGCTCCTTAGAAGGCTGAGATGGGAGGAACCCTTGAGCCCTGGACATCAAGGCTGCCTGAACCAAGGTCAGGTGACCGCCCTCAAGCAGAATGACAGAGCAAGATCCTGTGTCCAAAAAAAAAAAAAAAAAAAAAAAGTATCATTATGGTTTACTGTGTGGAACTTTTAAGAAAAGGACACAAACAGCATTTATTCCTTCGTGGAGCAAACATTTCTCATTGCTTGCTGTAGGTCAGGTACTCTGTTAGTCATCTGAGACGCAGTTTAGCAGAGAGGCAAACAAATTAAGTTGATTGCAGTTTAATATGTACTTTGATGGGGGCAAGTGCAGAAAGCTCTAGATCTATGTATTAGGGGCGTATACCTCAGACTTCCAGGGCCAAGGGAAATTGTCCATAAACAGAAATATTGATACCAGCTGTGCAAAATGAGAAGTAGTTTGCCAAACTCACAATAGCTGATGCTTGGAACCTGTGAGGGTAGGGATTGATGTCTATGGAATGGCCGGGACCCAGATTTTGAACAGGGGAGTGCTGAGAACTGAGACTGAAGGTTGATGTGGGTCTTCTATCCTGACGACAATGTAAGATTTTAAGATAGGAAACTAGATGATTTAGAACCAGGATCAGCACCCTTTTTCTGTAAAAGGCAGATTGTAAATATTTTAGGTTTTTGGGGTTACTTATTCAATGTCATCTTTATAGTACAAAGAAACCATAGACAAATACATAAGCAAATGAGCATGAATGTGTTCTAATAGAGCTTTATTTACAAAAACAGGTGGCTGACTGGTTTGGGGCCATGGCCATAGTTTGACAACCACTGAACATGAAGTTTACTATGACTGAAGGATGAAGCATGGATTTAAGAGAGGCGAGGATGGGGGCAGAGAGTGAAGATTCAAGTGCAAAAGTCTTAACTAAGAGAATAGCACGCAGGGCTGGGTAGAAGAAGAGGCTGAATATAGAAAATATTCGGGATTTTTAAAATGCAGGAATTGGTGATATGAAGGATGTAAATGGACGTGATGGATGCAGGTTAAGGATGATTGGGACACTGGGAAGATGGTACTATTCTTTGAGACAACAAACAACGGCTGGAGCAGGACTGCTGTCAATGACAGAGGAATGATTTCAATTGTAGACAAGTTGGAATCTAAAGGCCATGACATATGAGTTGAGAGTGTTGATGTCTAATAAGTCAGACACTCAGAGCAGAGATTTGGAGTGCAGAAGTGACTTAGACATTTTTCCTTTGGAGTTTTCCTGTCTATAGAAATACTGGGACCAAAAAATTTCTAAACACATTTTTTAAAAAAATAAATAAATCACAACACCATCAAAGAGTGAAACCTTTATTCTGTTGCACATCAGTGTGAGAAAGTTGGTAAAGACAGCCTTCACTGAGAAACTATTTGAAATATTGAATGGCACAGAGTTAAAAAAAAGATTTTGCATTGCTGTAAAATAAAATACTGTAGAATAGAGTACGCGAGGACTTTTTTTCCTCTCTAAACTTTACAATGCTAAGATGATCTTGTAACTATTACAAACCTCACATAATAAATTAGGAATGTTAAACTGTAATTATTTCCCATGGATTCAATCTGAAAGTGTCAGCTTGATGGTTCTGTACTTAATTAAAGCAGCCCAACTATTTCACTGACAGGCAGCTTTAGATATTGAGGTAAAGCGTTTTTTTTTTTTTAGATGTAGTCTCGCTCTGTCGCCAGGCTGGAGTGCAGTAGTGTGATCTCGGCTCACTGCGCGATCTCAGCTCACTGCCACCTCCGCCTCCTGGTTTCTCCTGGATTTTCCTGCCTCAGCCTCCCGAGTAGCTGGGACTACAGCCGCACACCACCACGCCCGGCTATTTTTTGTATTTTTAGTTGAGACGGGGTTTCATTATGTTGGCCAGCATGGTCTCGATCTCTTTACCTCGTGATCTGCCCACCTCGGCCTCCCAAAGTGCTGGAATTACAGGCATGAGCCACCGCGCCCGGCGGAGGTAAAGGTTTTTAAGCCAAAGATGAGAAAATAAGGGGTTCTCTCAATGATAATTTCTGTGTTTGACATTAATATAATGCTCACAATATTGATTATTTTATTGTGTATATTCTTTCTTTTTTCTTTTTTTTTTTTTTTTTTTTTTTTTGAGACGGAGTCTCGCTCTGTCGCCCAGGCCGGACTGCGGACTGCAGTGGCGCAATCTCGGCTCACTGCAAGCTCCGCTTCCCGGGTTCACGCCGTTCTCCTGCCTCAGCCTCCCGAGTAGCTGGGACTACAGGCGCCCGCCACCGCGCCCGGCTACTTTTTTGTATTTTTAGTAGAGACGGGGTTTCACCTTGTTAGCCAGGATGGTCTCGATCTCCTGACCTCATGATCCACCCGCCTCGGCCTCCCAAAGTGCTGGGATTACAGGCGTGAGCCACCGCGCCCGGCCTCTTTCTTTTTTCTTTACTTGGGGAAAAGAATATAATTCTCCTAAATAATTTTTCTATAGGTTAGAATTTCACGATAACATGTTGTGATCTCATGAATTTGAGATATACCAGAATGCAAATTAAAGTTCATTAACACACACTTATATTTAACAAATACCAAAAATATGTATGTTAAGTTTATCCTTGTAAGAGTGTGCAATGAAAACACTTCACCATAAAAGTTCACATTTTATTTTAAGTAAGAGAAATAATAGCAATACTCAGGGCCATTTTCCCAACTGCTTGCTGTTTACATTGCAATAGCATTGCACTTTTGTTAAAAATATAAATGTCATATTCCTAAATATTTTCTCCAGATGTTGTCAATCTTATCACTATTTGACACTTAAAGACATACCTGTGGATATATATTTCCAAGAGCAACATGTGAAGAGTCAAGAGGAATGTTTCAGCCCATATTAGATTAGAGAACAATACACTATGTTTACCCTCAACGCTCAGTTTCCATTCTCACATAGTCTGAGCTAAAAAATCAGTGTTTGTTTTTTAACTCCACAGAAGACAGTCAACTGGTTACTATTTTGTGTAAAATATAAAGCTGCATCTTATAACTTAAAATTAAAATGTCTGTATAAATAGGAGAAATACATTTTATTTCCAAATATACTTTTATTTTATTCTGAATGTTAATAAAATAAAAGAAGTGAAAAATGACTATTAATACACTTAACCATGTACCTAATCTGGTGCTTATTCACTTGGCATGGACTCACCAAGTTGAATTCTATATATGTATAATAAAGACTTGTGCAATCGACTAAAATGTTCCATATGGAAGATTAGCATGTCTTGGTGAACATTTTATGATGCTATTAAGTAAAAGTCAATGAACAGAATCAGAAGAAATAAGCTATCTATAAATCAAAGAGAAAATTTACAATGTATCAGAAAATAATTTTACCTGATAAATGCACATAAAACATGCCATTAGTGATGTAATTACAACCAGAGTCTATGAGTCCTCATTGTTTTTCTACCCCAAGCATAGAGGACTCCATGAATTTTCTATGATCCATGAAACTTCATTATTATGAAGTTATCTTTCACTATATGCTTCATGTCATTAATTTTTTTAAAATGAAGCTTGGATGTTTCTGACTGTAAGAAAAATTTGAGGGGTATGTGCCATAAAATGGTACCTCTCATAGGACTGTATTAAAAATAGCAAAATTTGTGCAACATTGTTCTATTTGTATATTACTTAGTTAAGTAATCAAATTTTTAGTCTTCCTCTAGGCCATCTAAGTCATATGCAATCTATACAATCTAGCTAACTAATGAAAACAATTTTAATGTAGACATTACAGCTTCCTGCAGTGAGGTATTCAAACAAAAATCTGACATCTCTTCGAAGAGTAAAGATTGAATGCCGTTCTTTATGAATTTGTCTCGCATTGGCAGACTAGAAGTTGGAAAAATTGGTGTACCTAAGATACGGAATCTTTAAGAGTTGTGTGCAAATACTTTTTTCCCTCAATTGGTTTGCTTTAAATTATCTCCTTATTATTTTTTCCTTTCTTAAATTTCACAGAATTCTCCATTTAGTGAAATATTTCTGAAAGCTTGGAATATGAATTCAGAATGAGAAACAAAACTCTTAAAGTTGAAATACCTCTTTTTGTTTCATTATCTGTCTGAAACAATATAAAATTGAAAAAGTTGCTGTGAAATATTAACTGTTGCTTATACTTCTATTTGTCTCTTAAATATAATTCATCTGGCAATTATGTATAGAAGCACATGTTGAAATAGGGATAGAAAATTGCAATCTTTTAAATTTTCTGCATTTACTACACAGTCTCAGAGCTAATTCAGCTGTATTCATTATTCCAAAATTGAGCTCGATTTTATATTAATGCTTTAAATGAATTCCAACTTGGAAAATAAATAGAAGACTTGTAAATACTCTTTTTTATCCAAAGTTTTAGATTATTTTGGAATTCACAATATCTACAGAGGTGGTTTAATATCACCCATGTACTCTAAAGGGCATTTTAATTTCATCTGGCCTAAAGACAAACTATATACGAAAGAACTCAGAGTTAATCCATGTGCCTCAGAAAAGCAACATGTGACCAAGGAGTCTGGGATAAAAGAAATGAAGGCAGATGTTTTAAAAAAGATAGACAATGGGCCGGGCACCGTGGCTCATGCCTGTAATCCCAGCGCTTTGGGAGGCCGAGGCGGGCAGATCACCTGATGTCGGGAGTTCAAGACCAGCCTGACCAACATGGAGAAACCCCATCTCTGCTAAAAATACAAAATTAGTCAGGCATGGTGGTGCATGTCTGTAAACCTAGCTACTCGGGAGGCTGAGGCAGAGAATCATTTGAACCCGGGAGGCAGAGGTAGGGGTGAGCAGAGATCGCACCATTGCACTCCAGCCTGGGCAACAAGAGCAAAACACCGTCAAAAAAAAAAAAAAAGATAAAACAATGATTAGAATTGTTTAGTGATATTATCACTTTAATATTTTCCAGTTTTTTTCCAAATCTTAGAGTATTCATCATGGAAACCTGGATTATTTACCCAAATCATGAAAAGTGCCGCCTAACATGTAACTATTCTACCCAGAGATTTCAGGAGGTAATCAATTACGTGCTTCCAAAAGTTGTCAGAGGTATGAAGAGGTATAAAGGATATTTTATATTTACATAAATATACATGTATACATATATATGTAATGTATAGGTATATACATACATGTAATATGCAATAAATAGATATACACATATACATGTGGAAGAAAAAGAGATGGCTGTACATGTTTTGAGACCCAAAACTACATACAGTATGTCTATTTTCATTTTATGCTTCCTTGTACTTTCAGAACGAGTCATTCTAATTGGACCGTGTATTTAACTGTTTTGAAATAGAAATTCACAATGGTCATTTAAATATGGTTATGACACATAAAAATTTACCTTGATTTTTTAAAATCGCAATTAAAATTATTTTATAATAAGATTTAAACATAATAAAATGAGATAGGTTAAGAAAATCTTTAGAAAATTTTCAATTACAATATAAAGTCTGAGACATATTTTCTTATATAAAAGTGAATATATATTATTTACTTTTTTATTATTATACTTTAAGTTTTAGGGTACATGTGCACAATGTGCAGGTTAGTTACATATGTATACATGTGCCATGCTGGTGTGCTGCATCCATTAACTCGTCATTTAGCATTAGGTATATCTCCTAATGCTATGCCTCCCCCCTCCCCTCACCCCACAACAGTCCCCAGAGTGTGATGTTCCCCTTCCTGTGTCCATGTGTTCTCATTGTTCAATTCCCATCTATGAGTGAGAACATGCGGTGTTTGGTTTTTTGTCCTTGCGATAGTTTACTGAGAATGATGATTTCCAATTTCATCCATGTCCCTACAAAGGACATGAACTCATCATTTTTTATGGCTGCATAGTATTCCATGGTGTATATGTGCCACATTTTCTTAATCCAGTCTATCATTGTTGGACATTTGGGTTGGTTCCAAGTCTTTGCTATTGTGAATAGTGCCGCAATAAACATACGTGTTCATGTGTCTTTATAGCATCATGATTTATAGTCCTTTGGGTATATACCCAGTAATGGGATGGCTGGGTCAAATGGTATTTCTAGTTCTAGATCCCTGAGGAATCGTCACACTGACTTCCACAATGGTTGAACTAGTTTACAGTCCCACCAACAGTGTAAAAGTGTTCCTATTTCTCCACATCCTCTCCAGCACCTGTTGTTTCCTGACTTTTTAATGATCGCCATTCTAACTGGTGTGAGATGGTATCTCACTGTGGTTTTGATTTGCATTTCTCTGATGGCCAGTGATGATGAGCATTTTTTCATGTGTCTGTTGGCTGCATAAATGTCTTCTTTTGAGAAGTGTCTGTTCATATCCTTTGCCCACTTTTTGATGGGGTCGTTTGTTTTTTTTCTTGTAAATTTGTTTGAGTTCATTGTAGATTCTGGATATTAGCCCTTCGTCAGATAAGTAGGTTGCGAAAATTTTCTCCCATTTTGTAGGTTGCCTGTTCACTCTGATGGTAGTTTCTTTTGCTGTGCAGAAGCTCTTTAGTTTAATTAGATCCCATTTGTCAATTTTGGCTTTTGTTGCCATTGCTTTTGGTGTTTTAGACATGAAGTCCTTGCCCATGCCTATGTCCTGAATGGTAATGTCTAGGTTTTCTTCTAGGGTTTTTATGGTTTTAGGTCTAACGTTTAAGTCTTTAATCCATCTTGAATTAATTTTTGTATAAGGTGTAAAGAAGGGATCCAGTTTCAGCTTTCTACATATGGCTAGCCAGTTTTCCCAGCACCATTTGTTAAATAGGGAATCCTTTCCCCATTGCTTGTTTTTGTCAGGTTTGTCAAAGATCAGATAGTTGTAGATAGGCAGCGTTATTTCTGAGGGCTCTGTTCTGTTCCATTGATCTATATCTCTGTTTTGGTACCAGTACCATGCTGTTTTGGTTACTGTAGCCTTGTAGTATAGTTTGAAGTCAGGTAGCGTGATTATTTACTTTTGAGTAATATATCATAACATACTTTAACTGAATCATAACATACTTTTAACTGCATGCTTTAAAAGCTTTCAGTATGATTGCATAAATCACTGTTACGTAGGCAATAAAACAATCATTGCAACCTCTGCCTCTCAAGTTCAAGCAATTCTCCTGCCTCAGCCTCCGGAGTAGCTGGGATTACAGGTGCATGCCACCATGCCCAGCTAATTTTTGTATTTTTAGTAGAGACAGGGTTTTGCCACATTGGCCATGCTGGTCTTGAACTCCTGACCTCAGGTTATCCACCCGCCTTGACTTCAAACGTGCTGGGATTACAGGTGCCAGCCACCACGCCCAGCCAGTTTTTATATTTATTTAATAATTACCATTGAAGGAGATGACCCTAACAAATCAGCTTACACAACCAAAAGGCAGTACCAGGGTGTGTAGTTTGGCCTTTTTTTTTTAATGTAGTCTATACACATTTTAATCACTATAACATTTATATATTTAATTTGATTTGATTGATATTTGTTTTTGTCAGAGGGAAAATATTTTACAATATATTAAGTGACTTAAATGTTCAATACATAGAAGTGCTCATATCAGCACCCTGTCCTATCTAGGATATCTGCAGAGACTGCCAGTGACTGCAATCTCCTAGGCAGCTCCTGAGACTCAATGGCAGAATATAATGGGATTTCACTCTGCTAACCAGTAAGATTTGGAAAGAAATGTAGTTGCTTGACCGTAAGTCCTGAAGAAGAAGCCCATGTCACTTCTGTCTAACCATGGCTTCTCTGCCCCAATAACAACATCAGCCCAAGACTTCAGAGCCTTCTATTAAACATGATCATTTCTCTAGCTAATTGACAGGGTCACTTTCATGATTTTTTCCAGCAAACACCATTTTTAGTAGTTGGAACCATGTTCCCACTTTTTTCTTTCTTTTCTTTTTTCTTTCTATGGTGGCATCCTGTAAAGTCTCTGCTCTAAATTTGCTACCATCATCTCAGCTCTGCAATTCTTGATTTCCACTTCATTCTATCCAATAGGTTGAACTTTCCCTGGGGTGTCAGAACTAAGGTAGCTTAACTGCTTTTTCCATTTGACCTTGCTCTGTGCTTATCAGCCTGCTCTTTCCCACCATCCCTGCCATGAGTTTGCCCTCTGTCTCAAAGGGCTTCTCTGCCTTGGCCATTATCTCCTACTTAGGGCCATCAGTACAGGATGGTACCTCCCAACTTCCCGCCACAAATCAAGTGTGTGCAATGCTTCAGTTGCCCTGTATGGCTCATTTTCTAAGGAAGCAGTATATCCCTATACATCAAAGAAGAAATGGCGGCAGGCTAAAGAGAAGTGAATTCTGGCTACATATAATTCCACATTCATATCTCTCTGAGATCCTGTAGACAGCTCACTCCATCAAAGTGTAATTCATTCATTTGTTCAGTCAGTGCGTCATACAACTAAAGTTTATGGATCACCTTATCTGTGCCAGATACTTCGCTAGGCACTGGGAATTTCATTTTTTTAAAAACACAGACACCGTTTGTTCTTGCCCTTACATATCTTCCATCCTCATGTGGAGACAGATTTATGAAACCCAGCCAACATCCTTCCACACCAAAAAGAAAAATAAATAAAATAAATAAATAAATAAATAAATAAATAATAAAAAAGAAAAGGTCATTAGAAAAATAGAAATAAATATGTCTCAGCAAAGGGAACTGCATGTACAGAGATTACATGTAATCTCTGGAAAGATTACATGTAATACTCAGGAAAGAGCTGAGTATGTGTTAGGCGCTACAGGTAGTGTGAATGGAAGCTAGTGGATGAGGGTGGAGGGTGAGGCTGATGATTTTCTGTGGATAGGCAAAGCCTAGAGCAGGCAGGGATGGGGGCGGGCATGTAAATGTCAAGGTAGGGTCCAGATTATTTTATAAGCACAAATCTGAAGCTATCGGATTTTTTTTTTTTTTCTGTGTGGAAAATGTATTATAGGTAGCCAAGAGAAGAGGCAGAGGAACTGGTCAAGCATTTCAAGGTGAAGGAAGATGGTAGCCAAGACCAGAGCAGAGGCAGGGGAGATGGGGAAAATGACAACTAAGAGAGCCTATTGCAGGTCGGGAGTGGTGGCTCACGCCTGTAATCCCAGCACTTTGAGAGGCCAAGGTGGGTGGATCACGAGGTCAGGGGTTCAAGACCAGCCTGGCCAAGATGGTGAAACCCTGTCTTTACTAAAAGTACAAAAATTAGCTGGGCGTTGTGGAGTGTGCCTGTAATCCCAGCTACTCGGGAGGCTGAGGCAGAGAATTGCTTGAACCTGGGAGGCGGTAGTTGCGGTGAGCTGAGATCATGCCATTGCACTCCAGCCTGGGTGACAGAGTGAGACTCTTTCTCAAAAAAGAAAAAAAAAAAAAGAAAGAAGAGAGCCTATTGCAGAGAAGAAAAGGGAGGAGTCAAGAATGGTGCCTCATTTCTGGTTGTCTCAGTGTTTTTTGGCATAATCTATGTTATGTCTGCCCACTCTCTCTTTATCATATAGTAAACCTAAGTTCTATATCAGTGATCAGCTTTCTTATGCCTTAAATTCCTCAGTCTCTTTGGATCTCCCAATTTCCACAGCCTAGAAAAGTCTGAAAACCTCTTCTAATTTCAGATTGTCCCAACCAATCAACAGTGTCAGGACAGCCTCTGCGCCCAACTCACTGGGTCTATGTGCATTGTTTTCTTATGTCCTGGATTTGCCTGTCATCAACTACTCAGCCTATTCTCCAGGTCACATAGAAATCCACTCACAACCATCATTTCATGGTTTTGGAAATCTCACTGAAAATTTTGAGTGGTGTGCAGAAGACAAATTCTCATGAAATTCTCATGTGCTCAACAAATGTTAGTTTCATTCCCCTCCTAGCTCCATGTTAAAATCATTCAAAGAAAAATGAATGGGTTAATGGTGGATAACTGCTTTCATAAATAAAACACAAATACAATTGTTTGTACTGTGTTTTATGGTGAGCAATTTGGGGATTATTTACTTCTGTGCTTTAGTAGCTATGTTTCTAACCCATTCACCCGCTTTAAGGTTGCTTTCTTTCAAAGTCTCTGGCTTTCTAACACTAGTGTATCCCCAGAGTGCAGCTGTCAGTCACAACCTTGCTGGTGGCTGAGATTGATCCATGAGTTAGCAGAGTGTCACTGAGCGACTTGGTTCTCCTCTTATCTTGCACCTCATGCTTGCAGAGGTGCTAGGAATGTCACTTTCAGCCCATACCCACAGCTACTCCAATTGTCAATTTCTTATCTGACATGTTTGCAAATCTCTCATCATGTATTTCTTGTCCCCTGAGTTATAGACCTCGGATGGTGATGTACCCACTGAATGTCATTGTAAGGTACCAGAAGCATAACTTGGACTTCATTTCCTTCTCAGTTATATTTTAGATGAAACTGTAAAATCAATCGAGGAAATACCTTTTGTTTTTTTTCAGGACCCACCTCAAACTTACAATCATTTCTTTTTCTTCCAGTTTTACATTTGAGGTTTCAGTGTACTCTTTTCATTGCATTTATTTTCTATAGCATATATTTTTCTTATTCTTTGTCTTCTATTGTTTCTGTGTTCTAAATACACAAACAAACAACAAATAATTTTGATCCTCAGAAGTTGGATTATACTTGGATAACTCAATGTTGCCAGAAATTTGAACAATTGTGTTGGGATTTCTTCGTTTTAAGGCTCAAAGCCACAGAAATTCTTATAATCTATTTTTAACAGCACAAAACTGATTCTTTATTCCATCAGCTCATCCCACTGCCGTACCTGTCATTCAGATCCATGTTGGCATTTGCTAGACCTCACCTCACTGAGCAAAACTCCAACCCCCATTCATCCTCCTGGATTTATCTTTCTAAAATATTCTATTATGTTATGGCCCTGGCCACTGAATAAAACCTTCATCATCCCACATTTTCTACAATTTGTCCCCAAAAGTTTTCTTTCTTTTTTTTTTTTTTTGAGACGAAGTTTCGCTCTTGTTGCCCAGGCTGGAGTGCGATGTCGCGATCTCGGCTCACCACAACCTCCGCCTCCCAGATTCAAGTGATTCTCCTGCCTCGGCCTCCCGAATAGCTGGGATTACAGGGGTGTGGCACCACACCCAGCTAATTTTTTATTTTCAGTAGAGACAGGGTTTCTCCATGTTGATCAGGCTGGTCTCGAACTCCTGACCTCAGGCAATCTGCCCACCTTGGCCTCCCATAGTGCTGGGATTACAAGCATGAGCCATGGTGCCAGGCCCAAAAGTTTTCATAATAGACCCAATGGAAACATTGGTCCTTACTGTTCCTGAATTTCTGGTCACCTTGAACCCTATTAATTTCTCCAACTCAGTTTTTCTTCTAAAAACAGTGGAGACTCTCTAACTGGTACATTTTAGACCTACCATTCTCTTCCATATAACATTTCCAAGATTCTGTAAGCAGAGCACATTATGTGTTCAGGATGATGCACCAGGGGTCTCACTGCACAGTGCTGCTTATCTCTACCTGATTCTCACCCAGTCTTTGCCATTGTTCCAAGAAGGATGAAGTGAAATATTTCAAACTCCCCTTCCTGCAGCTCTGGCCCTTAACATGCATGTGCTGTGTCCACTCCCTTTGTCCTTCATACATACTCACATACACACACCACATACATCACACAAACTACACACAGATACAAGCATGCATGTACACATGCCACATACATACACATACCATACACACATATGCAAATACCACAAAATACACCACACACATAAAGCACATATGTATACATGCCACACACATACACATATACACACACCATGCACATATATACACACATCACAACACACCACACACATATACAAGCACATGAATACACACACATACACACATCACACACACCACACACATACACAAGCACACACATACACATGCCACCCACACACATACACACACCACACACATACACACACATTTATCACACACATATACACATCACAGCACAACAAAGTCATCAAACACACATCACATGCATACACACATATCACACATCTACACACACCACACACACCACATATATACACAAATAATACACACATACACACACTACACACACCACACATACATGCACACCACACACACACAGACACACACACCAAACACCCCCGTACACACACACACACACCTCACCTGCATTAGGACACGTGCCCTTTTAGGTCAGGGTTACTGTGTGTTTTTGTCATTATTTATCCAACATCTCAGATGATGTCTAGGACAGCACCAGTACCTGGTAAACATTAAAGACTCAAGTATTCACATGAACGAATGTGGTGGAAAAGAGAGTAATTCCCACTGCTCTAATTCCACATCTGCCAACTCATTCCTTAGTTCTCCATGCTGAACTTCCAGACTCTGCAAAGAAAATTGTTCCCTCTTCCAAACAGATCTCACCCTGAAACTCCTCTGTGTTGATATACATGCTGCTCCCTTTTTCTCTAATGAACTCTCACTTGTCTCCATCTGGAAAATTCCTGCTCAGCCTTCAAGACTCGGCATGAATGCCATCTCCACTGTGAATCCTTCCTGCCAACTCCAGCAGCTACCTCCCTTATATCCCATAGCATGTCACATGTGTGATAGCACTTGTTTTATTTTCCTGACTTGTACACGTGTCTTTTATATGATCACA
This sequence comes from Homo sapiens, assembly GCF_000001405.40. NCBI lineage: Eukaryota > Metazoa > Chordata > Mammalia > Primates > Hominidae > Homo > Homo sapiens. The sequence continues at coordinate 86,885,491 of NC_000014.9, forward strand.
TGTGTGTGTGTGTGTGTGTGTATGTGTTCTCATAGCGTATCCAATTCCTCAAAACCGTACTGGGAACATGTTAGGTGTTGAGTAAGTAATTGATCAATGGATATAAACCAATTTTGGATGGTTCCTGACCTGAGACCAAGATTCAAACTTAATAGAATTTTATCTATATGTCTAACTCTCCTCAGATGATATAGGAGTTACTCTTGACTCGTTAGCATTGAACATCTTCAACTTAGCTATTTAAAATAATCTGATTCTGAGAAGAATGTCAATGACAGCTTAATGGGAATACCATTGAATCCATAAATTACTTTGGGCAATATGGCCATTTTCATAATATTGATTCTTCCTATCCATGAGCATGGAATATTTTTTCCATTTGTTTGTGTCCTCTCTGGTTTCCTTGAGCAGAGGTTTGTAGTTCTCCTTGAAGAGGTCCTTCACTTCCCTTGTTAACTGTATTCCTAGGTATTTTATTCTCTTTGTAGCAATTGTGAGTGGGAATTTACTCATTATTTGACTCTCTGCTTGCCTGGTGTTGGTGTATAGAAATGCTTGTGACTTCTGCACATTAATTTTGTATCCTGAGATTTTGCAGAAGTTGCTTATCAGCTTAAGAAGCTTTTGGGCTGAGATGATGGGGTTTTCCAGATATAGGATCATGTCATCTGCAAACAAAGAAATGTTGACTTCCTCCCTTCCTATTTGAATACGCTTTATTTCTTTCTCTTGCCTGATTGCCCTGCACAGAACTTCCAATACTGTGTTGAATAGGAGTGGTGAGAGAGGGCATCCTTGTCGTGTGCCAGTTTTCAAGGGGAATGCTTCCAACGTCTGCCCATTCTGTATGATATTGGCTGTGGGTTTGTCATAAACAGCTCTTATTATTTTGAGATGTATTCCTTCAATACCTAGTTTACTGAGAGTTTTTAACATGAAAGGATGTTGAATTTTATCAAAGGCCTTTTCTGCATCTATTGAGATAATCATGCAGGTTTTGTCTTTAGATCTGTTTATTTATTGATTTGCATATGTTGAACTGGCCTTGCATCTCTGGAATGAAGCCAACTTGATCCTGGTGGATAAGCTTATTTATTTATTTATTTATTTATTTATTTATTTATTTATTTTTGAGACGGAGTCTTGCTCTGTCGCCCAGGGTGGAGTGCAGTGGCACGATCTCGGCTCACTGCAAGCTCCGCATCCCGGGTTCACGCCATTCTCCTGCCTCAGCCTCTCGAGTAGCTGGGACTGCAGGCGCCCACCATCACGCCCGGCTAATTTTTTTTGTATTTTTAGTAGAGACAGGGCTTCACCGTGTTAGCCAGGATGGTCTTGATCTCCTGACCTCCACCCGCCTGGTGATCCGCCTGCCTCGGCCTCCCAAAGTGCTGGGATTACAGGTGTGAACCACCCTGCCCGGCCTGGATAAGCTTTTTGATGTGCTGCTCGATTCGGTTTGCCAGTATATTATTGAGAAATTTTCCATCAATGTTCATCATGGATATTGGCCTGAAGTTTTCTTTTTCTGTTGTATTTCTGCCAGGTTTTGGTATCAGGATGATGCTGGTCTCATAGGATGACTTAGGAAGGAGTCCCTCCTTCTCAATTGTTTGTAATAGTTTCAGAAGAAATGGCATCAGCTCCTCTTTGTATTTTTGGTAGAAGTCTGCTGTAAATCCATCTGGTACTGGGCTTTTTTTTATTGGTAGGATATGTATTGCTGCCTCAATTTCAGAACTTGTTATGGGTCTATTCGGGGATTCAGCTTCTTCCTGGTTCAGACTTGGGAGGGTGTATGTGTCCAGGAATTTATCTATTTATTCTAGATTTTCTAGCTTATTTGAATATAGCTGTTTAAAGTATTCTCTGATATTAGTTTGTATTTCTGTGAGGCCAGTGGTGATATCCCCTCTATTATTATTTATTTATTTATTTATCATTTTTTATTTTACTTTTTTCTCTTTTCTTCTTTATTAGTCTAGCTAGCAGTCTATCTGTTTTATCAATTTTTTCAAAAAAACAGCCCCTGAATTCTTTGATTTTTTGAAGGGTTTTTTTGTGTCTCTATCTCCTTCAGTTCCACTCTGATTTTGGTTATTTCTTGTATTCTGCAAGCTTTGGGGTTTGTTTGTTCTTGGTTCTCTAGTTCTTTTAGTTGTGATGCTAGGATGTTGAGATTTGAGACCTTTCTAGCATTTTAGCTTTTTAATGTGGGCATTAAGTGCTATAAATTTCCCTCTCAACACTGCTTTAGCTGTGTTCCAGAGGTTCTGGTACATTGTCTCTTTGTTTTCACTGGTTTCAAAGAACTTCTTCATTTCTGCCTTAATTTCATGATTTACCCAGGAGTCATCAGGAGCAGGTCATTCAATTTCCGTGTAGTTGTGTGATTCTGAGCATAGACATACTTCACAGAATTAGAAAAAAACTATTTTAAAATTCAGATGGCAGCAAAGAATAGCTCGTATAGCCAAGACAAACCTAAGCAAAAAGAACAAAGCTGAAGGCATCAATCTACAGACTTCAAATTATGCTATAAGGCTAAAATAACCAAAACAGCATGGTACTGGTACAAAAACAGACACATAGACCAATGAAACAGAATAGAGAACTCAGAAATAAGATTGCACATCCACAACCATCTGATCTTTGACAAACCTGACAAAAACAAGCAATGGGGAAAGGATTCCCTTTACAACAAAATGGTGCTGGGATAACTGGATATCCATTTGCAGAAAATTGAAACTGGACCCATCCCTCACAAGTGATACAAAATTTAACTCAAGATGGATTAAGTACTTACATGGAAAACCCAAAACTATAAAAACCAAAGATGAAAACCTAGGAAAAACAATTCAGGATATAGGCATGGACAAAGATTTCATGACGAAAACACCAAAACCGATTACAACAAAAGTCAAAATTGACAAATGAGATCTAATTAAACTAAAGAGCTTCTGTACAGCAAAATAATTTATCACTGGAGTGAACGGGCCACCTACAGAGTGAGAGAAAATCTTTGCAATCTATTCATATGACAAAGGTCTAATATCAAGAATCTACAAGGAACTCAAGCAAATTTATAAGAAAAAAACAAACAACCTCATTAAAAGGTGGGCAAAGGACATGAACAGACACTTCTCAAAAGAAGACATGTATGCAGCCAACAAACATATGAAAAAAAGCTCAACATCACTGATCATTAGAGAAATGCAAATCAAAACCACAATGAGATATCATCTAATGTCATTCAGAATGGCCATTATTTAAAAGTCAAGAAACAACAGATACTGGTGAGGTTGTGGAGAAATAGGAACACTTTTACACCATTAGTTGAAATGTAAATTAGTTCTACCATTGTGGAAGACAGTGTGGCAATTCCTCAAAGATCTAGAAACAGAAATACCATTTGATCCAGTAATCCCATTACTGGGTATATATCCAAAGGGATATAAATCATTCAATTGCAAAGATAAATGCACACGTATGTTCACTGCAACACTATTCACAATAGCAAGGACATGGAATCAACCCAAATGCCCATCAATGATAGACTGGATAAACAAAATGTGGTACACATACACCATGGAATATTATTCAGCCATAAAAAGGAATGAGATTACGTTCTTTGCAGAACATGGATGAAACTGAAAGTCATTATCCTCAGCAAACAAACACAGGAACAGAAAACAAAACACTGCATGTTTTCACTTATAAATGGGAGCTGAATGACGGGATCACATGGACATGGGGAGGGGAACAACACACACTGGGGCCTGTCTGGAGGTAGGGTTGGGGGATGGAGAGTATTAGAAAGGACGGCTAATGCCTGCTGGGCTTAATACCTAGGTGATGGGTTGATAGGTGCACTAAACCACTATGGCACATGTTTACCTATGTAACAATCCTGCATATCCTGCACATGTACCCCAGAACTAAAAATAATTTAAAAATAAATTAATTAAATAAAGTCACCTATGATCATCTAGACACATTATTCCAGTTTTAATGGGCCTACCTCTTATCCTATAGGAATCATTGAAAAAATAATAAGCCACAAATATTTTTCCACATCAATTATATTGCAATGCAGTAATACTCCTACAATGTTTGATACCTACTTTTAATTCCAGACAATTTTATTGGGATTTGGGGATGCATAGACTTCTTTTATTTGGTCATCTTTTCTGACATCCTAGAACCCCAGCACTCTACCTGCCCATTAATTAATTTAGTAAGGATGTTCTAAAAGTATAATATGTGTCAAGTACTATTCTATGTGCTACAGAGTCCTTAATAAATATAACAGGCTAAACCCCTGGCTCTTAGCAACTTATGTTCTAGAAGGAAGAAGTAAACAAGAAAAACAAATAAGTTTGTTTACTAGAAGGTGATAGATGTTATTGCATAAATAAAACTGTGGTAAGGAACAGCAATACAAAAGGGATGGGATGGTAGGTGGTTGGATTTCAAGTGGAAGCACGTGAAATAACTTTCAGCAATGCAAGGATTGAGGTGGGGTCTATGCAGATTCTGTGAAGATGACAAAACAGAAAATAGTGTGCTCGAATGTTGTAAAACAGCAACATATTTGGGCATACGTATTCACCGGGAAAAAGAATAGGACACTGTGGAAAATAATAGAATAGTAAAAAGACCACCATGTCAAGAATAGAACAAGAGAGAGGAAGATTATTAGAAATGGGAAAAGATAAGTAACAGAGAAAATAGGTAATTATCAAAGGTTTTGAATCGAAGATTTATGACTGGGCTTAAGAAATTCACTTGCACTATCAAGTTTGTGATAGACTGTGAGGTAGATGCCAGAAGTCCAGTTAGGGAATGATAATCTAGCCCAGAGATGATGGTTGCTGGGACCATTTTGGTGGAAGTGATGAGAAGTAGTAAGAATCTGGATATGCCTTTCAGGTAAAGCAAATGGAATTTGTTATGAGTTGAATGGGAGGAGTGAGAAAAAGAGAAGGGTCAAGAATGGCTCCAAGTCTGATTTCCCTGAACAATGGAGAAATGGAATTACTGTTTAATGCATGATAAATTGTTTTGGGAAGATGGGAATGTCAGAAATTTGGTTTTTAATTTGGTGAGATTCAGTTGCTTATTGGACATTTAAGTGGAGATGTCAAGTAGGTAGTTTTATATATGAGTCTGGGCCTCAGAGAAGACATACGGAATGGAAATAAATTTCAGATATACAGGTGGTACTTAAGGCCATAAGATTGAGGTAAGAGTGAAGAACTGTGTCTCATCTTACTCGATGAAGGGCAGTTGAAGAAGAACAAGCAGAGTAGACTGGGAAAGAGCAGCCAATGAAAGAAGAAAACCAGAAAAAATTGTCATGTTGCAAAGAGAAGGGAATATAAAATTGTGCCCAAGTGAGAGCTCCAGTGAGATGAGGACTAGAAAATGACCATTGCAATCAGCAGTGAGAAGATTGTTGGTGACTCTGGCAAAACTGTTTAATGAAGGAATAAAGGCAAAGACTGATGATAGTTTGTTCCTGAGATTATTTCATTAGTACTCTGGGAAGTAGTGAATCCTATTCTCAGTGTTTGCTTACATCTTCGGCATTGCTCTACAACGTGCTCCTCAGTTCACAGAAATAACTGTCTGTGCATAAGTAACAAAATGGTTTTGAAAAAATAGTGGTGACAGAACATAAATGAAGCAGGTGGTGAAGAGGTGTTTCTGAGGAGAGAAGACGAGACAAATATAAATACTTGAAGAGCTGCTTTCATCAGATCCAATGAGATTCTTCTGGAGAGTAGGAAGACAGTGTTTTGTTGTACAAGTTGTGTACTGAATATACCCTGGAGGTGTCTTCACATCATAGTTTATGTAAATGCCACCATCTAGGGTTGTATAGTTTATCTATGGAATACACATGGTGGCCCTGCTGTAGAGTGGTTTGGGATAGCAGATATAAATCTATTATTTGCATGTTTTTCATTTTTGCACACTTCTTAGCAGAAAATAAAATTTATTTGTTAAGTAAATGTATTTTTTTCATATAGAAAGTAAACCAACTCCTTTTGGAGCACAAAAACAAATATTTTATTAAAAGCATTTTAATATTTTTAAGAGTGGTTTTTGATTATATACCTTACATGTAGACCTTAGAGTTTAACTTCAAATCAGATGAAATTTTTTTCTTTATCTCAAATCTCCTTATTGCCCAAAGTATTAAAATAGGATGGTTTAATTGCATCTTTCATCTGATGATTCAACAAATGAGACAAATTGTCATATTTTATGCATCTTTCCATCATTCAAGAATCTACTTTTTATCTTTTATTTATGTATTCACATAATAACCTGAAAAATAACTGAACATATACTTATATATTCACTCATAAACCTACAACATATGCCAGACTCTGAACACTAGAATTCCACAAAAATAGGCATGACGCACACTGTTCATGTTGTTTAGATTATCTGTTGTCATGTGTTAAATTCTCCCCAAACCTAGTCATTTCTAAAGAATAATCATTTTACTATACCTTATGATTTTGTAGATAAGGAGTTGTGCAGGGTTTAGCTGGGCAATTCTTCTTATTCATGTAATCACCTAGATATTAAACTGCGACATTTGTTGTTCTGGAGGGTCCAAGACAGCTTTACCAAATTTCTGATGCCTCATGGTTAGGGAATGACTGGAAGGCTGGACTTCAGTGGGACCCTCTCCTCCTCTTCATATGCTCTCAGACCCTCTCTATGTGGTCTGTTCAGCAGATTAGGAGACTCTGCATTATGATTCAAGAGCCAAAGAGTGAATGATTCAAAAGAAAGGAAGTCGAAGCAGCCAATGTCTTAATCCTCAGCCAGGAATCTGCTGTTCATCAATCCCATTGTATTCTATTGGTGAAAGAGTTACCTACCCTTCCTAGACTTAAGTCTATGGTACATAGACTCTCAATAGGTTATGTAGCAAAATATTTGTGGCCATTTTCAACCTCCAACATCCACTAATCTTTTAATGGAAAAAGTGTATTTATTAATAGTGCATTATCATGACTGAGAAAAGAACTACAGACATTCTAAGGCGTGGCTGATAAGATCATTTTCTTCTGCCAAATATATCTGGAAGTCCATGTTAGAGCTTAAATGACAAAATATTTACTTTGCAAGTCAAACATGGATAAGACTTAGGAAACCTGAGCCTTAAATTCTTTCTACTCAATGCTATGCTTGTTAAACAAAATATTTCTGAGAAGACAAAAATGACCACCATGAACAACAAAAATGTGACACTTCACTTTCAAGGTCTCACCCAGCTTTAAATAGTATATGTCTCCTGATATTCTCTTAAAACTGGAGCTGTACAACAATGGCATAGCAAGATAACCACCTGGAAAATTCAGGCATGCAAAACATCCTGTGCATAGTGACCCTAGAGTGGAGTGAGTGTGAGATGGGAAAGAACAAACAAACAAACAAACAAAAACTATTGTTCCCTTTTCCCCCATGTAGAAGAGGAATCATTTTGTGGTCATTGAAGATAATTACACTGTTGTCTTACGTGCTCATCATCTTATGCTGTTTAATGACTCGAAGCCATATTAAAGAGAGATGACTTAGACATGTCAAAGGTTAATAAGGATTCATACAAATCATCCACGATTCTACTCAAGTATTTGTAAAATAACCCATACTGTAAAAGAATGCTAGAAGAAGAGATGTTACATATCTAATATGTAGCCATATGTGAAGCAACTGTCTTTAGCAGAGAGCAGCCTCAGAGGAGAAGATTTATTATTTTACAAATAAATGAGGAACTGCATTCAGAAGGCAACAATTCCAGAATTATCTCTACTCCAAAAGCACCAGGACAAGATTATTTTTTATCTGAGGCATCAACTTCCGTAACCTCCTTTAATACTGACTGAGAATTCTGTATTTTCCTGAAGAATTGAAATAGCAGTAAAGAAAGATTGATTTTTAGACCTCTTCTCAAGTTTTCAGAAGTGACAGAGTAAAAAGAAAAGCAACAATAAAATAAAATCACAGCGTAGGTATCCTAACGGAGTCATGATTTTTCAGGCATTTGGATCCTTATAACATTAACTCTACCTTTCCTATGTTACTGAAAAAAGAAAAAGGGGAAAAAAAGTCATATATCAAAGTGGGAAATAACCCATTAAAACAAGATAGCCATATAAATTATCTTGCAATGAAATAAATTATTTTTAACGAGTTACGCATTTTAAAATATTTTTTCCAAGATGAAGTCTTGTCAAAGTGATCTATTTTTTAGAAACATGATTACATAGAAAAATATATGTTTGTAGCAGTACAAACATCATTTTTAACTAGCTAGTTTTCCAGATTAGAAGTTTGATTATCAATTATTGTATTTATTTTAGTATTTGTACAACAACATAAATTAGAAACTAGGTGTTTTCCTTTGTCATAGAAATATAGTAAACTTCAGTTCAAATGTATCTGATATCTAAACTGTAGTTCTAGCAGACAGCATTCTTTTCACTTTCATAGGAAAGCCACATACAATCCTGAGTGTTTAAGTTACAGAATGCACATAGCATCATCAACATACAGTAATTTATATTTTGAAACAGTTTACATTTTTCAAAGGTTTTCTTAACTCTTTGATTTCATTTACTCTTCACAAAGTGAGTTAGAGTAAGTGCTTTAGTGTGAGCTTCATTTTTTCTGATAAAGACATTAAAGCACTGTGACAGTCAAATTAGCAAAGTCAAGTTTGAACTAAACTCTCTTCTCTGCTGCAAGGGTTCTTACCTATGTAAACTAATTTAACACTTAATCCCTCGCGCTTTTGACCCAATTAGAATGCCACACAAGTGGCCCACTGGCTGTTTTATATTTTAGTACCAGATGTTAAATATATGCCTAAACTTGTTCTAAATTGCATCTTATGATGCTCAACTAGAGTATCAACTGGGTACAAGTTCAGATACTATCAGGACTGAAAAAATCCTCCAGTAGCAAACAGAAACCAATACACTCTTTATTTATATTATAGCCAAAAGTCAGACATAAAGATGTATGTAGCAAAAATTTTTAACACTCATTAAATATCCATGGAATCCTTTACCTTTGGCCATCTCCTTAAAAATTATATAATTTGTAATTATTGTTGGCCAGTGAAACACAAGCCGAATTGGCACATGTTACACTGGATAGAGAGTTAAGGGAGTGAAGATTGTGCCTCCTCTGTTATCTTTCTGCATGTTCCAAGCTGTACAGTTTCAAGAGAGAGGAGCATGGCTTGACCTGCATCAGACTGAAACATGAGCAAGAATAAACCGGTATGACATTAAGCCATTAAATCCTCAGAGGTTTGTCTCTCACAGTAGCTAAACTCAAATATTTTAACTAATATAGTACAGTGCTTTCAAGAAACAGAAAATGGTCTCTGGATTGGGTGCAATCTTCATAATAGTGACTATGAGTTGATTGAACAGCAGCATTTCAGCTACAAAGGACATGTTTCAAGGGCCAAGAACTTTTGTACAGATGGAGCACTTAAGGCACAGACTCATCCTGGAAACCCCCCATTCCCAGCAACAGCCAGAGCACAGAATAAAACTCCTCTGTTGTACAACATGGGACATGTCATAAAATGCTCACATCAGAGAGGACCTGAGAGTCAGGGCAGAATGTGACAATGTGACAGTGTCAGTCAAGACAGATAAATGGTGGTTTAGGAAGAATCACTAAAAGCAAATGTTTTGAGATGTTGGGTAGAAAAAATGAAGGCTTTAAATATGTGTAATTAACAACACAAATAATTAGAGCTTAAAATGTAATAGCAGTGAAATCTCTGGAATGACATATTTTTCACTTGGATCAGTTGAAGATTGAAAGATGAAGCCATCTTCAACCTTATGAATTTTAAATACCCAGGAAAAGTTAATCGCTTTCCCACTGCATACTCACTTGGGCTACTGACAACATGAGATATGTCAAAGAATCCACAGAGAAAACGAGAGTTAAAAGAGACATTTTCTACTTTTTGGAAGGATGCCTGGCTAATAATTTTGCTAGGTCCTAAACATAAGAAAAAGAAGTTAATATCCAAACACACTTCTAGCAGATATGTTCTATTTTGTAGTTCGTAGTCTGTGTGTGTTTAAATGACCTTTTCAGTATTATGTTAGCAGTTCCTATTTCATCTGTGAATTTAGTAGTCTCCAATGTATCATTTTTTAAAAATACAGATTTAGGATTACTTTGAGCATTTTTGTAGTCATAAAACTAATTAGTTGGGTCTCAATTAATAGCTGCAGACAACCGTCTTATGAGCAGAATAGACATTCCAAATACCCAGGTAAGCCTACCCCCTGGGAGAGCACTGCTTTCCTCAAGCTCACTTCATCTGTACAGGGGACCCAGTACAGTGAGAACTAGTAGCTACAATCAAGTCCTCATCAGAAAGTTTCTCAGTCCCACGGTTTGATCTCCATATGATACATGTAATAAAGAAATCAGAAAGCTTTGTTCCTAAAGTGTTTTAAATAAATTAGAACTTTTGCCTGAGTTGAACCAATAATAAAACCCGAAACTGGTTCTAGATTAAAAACCATTCCTTGTTAGAATTAGATGAAGATAATTTTTTATAGTGGGCTTGGTTAAGCTGCAGAAGCTAGGCAGATCTTCCCCGCATTGTTTACCTTGCGGGGTTGGGACAACTGGGATTGAAACACTAATACTCTACCATTTCTAAAATACTCCTAAAAGCCATAGTAAAGTATGCTGGGCACTGTCTTCTGGGAAGAAGAGTTCATAGAGTTTGTTCTTTTTTTTTTTTGAGATGGAGTCTCACTCTATTGCCCACCTTGGAATGCAGTGGCGTGATCTTGACTCACCACAACCTCCGCCTGCTGGGTTCAAGCAATTCTGCTGCTTCAGCCTCCCAAGTAACTGGGATTACAGGCATGCACCGCCATGCCCAGCTAATTCTAATTTTGTACTGTTAGTAGAGATGGGGTTTCACCATGCTGCCCAGTCTAATCTTGAACTCCTGACCTCAGGTGATCCACCCACCTCAGTCTCACAAAGTGCTGGGATTACAGGCATGAGCCACTGTGCCTAGCCCCTAGAGTTTGTTCTTAATCACATTTCAGACTTTAAAGTGAAGACTATCTTTGTTTAATGTGGCAAGAGTCCTAGTTGGAAACCAGCATAAAACATAACTGGTTTCAATAACTTTTTCTGTTTTAATCTTTAAAACATCAACAAAGCAAAGAACTAAGAGTATTCAAATAAAATTTACCTCATTTTAAGCAGTATCTAATGTTACCCTAAGGAGCTCTGTTCTCTGAGATAATTCTGAACACACATGCAGATATGTGCACAAGCCCACCTATTCACACACGAGTGCACACACACACACACATACATACACACACGGCTGAGATAAGAACAAAAGGCTTAGTAACGGCTACGGGAGCTCAGAATAAAAGTGTTAATCACTGGGTTAGCTGGGGACTTTGCATTTTCTTTCTATATCTCTTTAAAATGATGCCTATCCACCTTGCCAATAAATTGCCTGTGCATGTTTTATATTAGGTATTTAAAGCTGTGTTTTTTTAATATATGTACAAAAGAGTTCAAAATCATGACATAAGAATAATCTGGGTAGCAATGGCCAGTTTTACTTGTCAAACGTTATAGCCAGATTCATAGGAAAATGAGTCATGAGTGATATTTAGCTGAATGTGGGAAGCTTTTCTAACATTGAAATACATTTGTAGAATGTTCTCTTTTCTCTTCTCTTCCCTTTTTCTATTATTTGAGTTCTTGCATTGTATATTTATTCCAATCCAGACATTATCATGGTTTTTAACTTTGCACATTCTTTCTCCTTGATAAATGTGTGTTCATTGATTTCTCTTCAAAGTGGCATTTCCAATTTAATGAATGAGACATTTACTGTGTGACCTTTGGAAGAACACTTAACCTCTCTGGGCATTACCTTCTTCCTCTGTAAAATGAAAAAGTGGGAATCACTCAATGATTTCCAAGTTCTATTATTGGATAGCATTTTAATTCTGACCACAAAGGATATTTTCATTTGTTCCAAAAATATTTATAACTGCACACTTATCTTGGTAAATTAAAGTACAATAAAATGAATACATTTTTAACAGTCACCCTAATAATCTCAGATTTTTAAAAAGGATATTTGCTTAAGCTCTGCTTTCCAGACATGCACTTTATCTCATCTACTGATGATTCTTTCCTTTGGGGAAAGGAACTAATGCTTAAAAGAAGTATTTACATAACAGAAGTCACAGTCTCTACTAATGCCTGTCCAAGGACGAGAATATATCAGAAAAGGAGGCTTTGTCCTATGTTGAGGTTAAATACTTACCACTCCTAGGGAAAGCTTACATTTCTTTTGTGCTATGTGTCTGTGAATGTTTTATGAATCCAATTGAGCTTAAGAATCAAGTTTCTCTGACAGACACAGTTTATTCAGAGGAATAAAGATACAGCAGAAAGTTATTGATTTTTGAGGGATCTACGCCTTGTGAAAAATTAACCAGACATTCCTTCAAAATCAATACGATTACCCTTGCTGCTTCAGAACTATTACACTGAGTCTGACTAAAGAATGTCTCCATCACAGAGGGCAGTGGTTGGTTTTGTGGGTCTTTTGAAAACCAAGGGCAGGTGATTTTCCCTTATTTTTTCTCTATTTTCATTCCATATTTTCTAACCCTCTCCTCGTTTCCACAAATGCATGCATGCATAAAAATGTCTTCCAGGGCCAGGTACAGTGGCTCATGCCTGTAATCCCAGCAATTTGGCAAACAGAGGCAGGAGGATTGCTTAAGTCTATGAGTTTGAGACCAGCCTGGGCAATATAGTGAGGCCCCATCTCTACACACACACACACAAATGCCTTCTGTTTTCTCAGGATCCATCTGAGGCTATGCTGCCTTAAGTAGTGATGGCATGGAGGCCTGGAACTACCCACTGAATCCATTTCCAGCCCATATAGTTAGTAAAGCATTGAAATTAAAATCCTATATAAATATCAGTTTTTATTGTTGCTTTTACCACTTTCATCTCTATAACTTATCATTTCTGATATTTCTAATTACCTTTTCTTTTTACAACTGAGAAAAGACTGTTCTTTGCAATCTCTGCTCAGACACAAGAGTTCCTATTGTCTCTACCACTGAATCAATATAAATTAATACATTTATGCGTTCTTATCTAGATCACAGACAAGTAGCTGAAGTCCATTTTCAATATGCATTCACTGCCAATTAAGCACTATACTTGCCGCTAGAATACCCAGAGGAACAAAATATAAACTCTGTCCTCAAGGAGCTTGTTGGCTAACAGCATTTCTTCAAGGGGGAGCTCTTGGCATTCAGGGTAAAGAAACCCTTTATTGTGCAAGACTGCCCTGTGCCTTTGCAGGGCATTTGGCACTGTAGTTTGAACCCATCAAATATCAGTAACAGCCTTCTGTTATTGTGGCAACCAAAAATCTCTCTTCATATTTACAAACAAGCATTGGGGAAGTAGTACTGTCCCTGTTTGAGCCTCTGATGAGCTGCTTAATGTCAGCCTGGATGTCTGGATACAACACATCTATCCTGCCTCTGAAAATAGACTCACGGACTGAACCCTTTACTTTGGTCTTTTGGCTCCCAGACGTTTTGCTTTTTTCAGTCCCTGGTCTTTATGGGAACCCTGGTCTCTGGCATGTCAACAGTGTCTTAGGATCTCTAGTCCATCACTTCCACCCAGGTACGTGCCGCCTAATTCACTAGATTCCCTCTTGATGGACAAGATGTAGCCTAATAACATCTAGCCTTTCACAGTAATGTCTTATTCAACTCTGTACTGGTATCAATAATTTCTCTAGAAGCATATTTGGGATACAGGTATACTCATTTCCAAGGTTTTCTCGAATAACGAGCAGTGTAATGTAATGTATTTGTCAGGGTGAAATTACTAGGAAAAAAATGTTTCCTTCCTTCATTAAGTCATTCATTTAACTGTTTATTGTTAATTGAGCAATTACTAAGTGCCAGGTATTTGATTGATCTTTGAGGATTTAGATGTAATCTTAAATGAATATTGCCCTTTCCCTTGAAGATTTTGCATTCTATTGGCAAAGATACTAATCAAATTATCGATGTATAAATGACATTTAGCATGAAAAAGAGATAGAGAGCTCTGAAAGTATATAATGAGATAATTGTCCTTGTCAGAGAGCACTGTGACAATTATCCAGGGGAACTGTCACTAAAGAATGAAAAGGAATTAACCTGGTGAAAAAGAGATGGAAGAGCATCCTAATCAGAAGAACTAGTGGGGCAAAGGACTTCTCCAGGTGGGAGCAGAGTGAGCGCAAGAGAATAAACAAGGCCAGTGGGTTAGAGCAGAGAGGGGCATGTGCAACAAGGGAGACCAGTGAGGTGGTGCAGCTTACCATGAAGCATCGTAGCTTTAAGCATGGGGAGTTTCATAAATTTCCAAAGAGCATTAAGAAGCCATTGGAATGTTTTAAGCAAGGAGCAGGAATTGGGTTGTCACATATGCCTATTTGTATTTGGAAAATATCACTCAGCAGGTTGTGGATGAACCCTAGTACATAGGGGTGCATAGGTAAGAATGATTTTGAATTAATGCAACAAACAAATAATACTAGTTTGATCCAAGATGCTGACAATTACAAGGAGAGGGTATATACACAATGTATTTAGTGTTGGTTATAGGGGTAATCCAGAGCATGGCGTCTGGTAGTGCTAGTTGAGAAAAGAAAAACAAGAAGAAAAAAAACATTGAAGTGGGTTGAGGAGTAGAGAGCATATGCTCAATTTTGGTAAGTTTTTAAAATGTCTTTGAGACATTAAGAGGAATATGTAAAGTAACTGTTAAGATACATGGCTGGCGTTTGGAGGAGTCATCTCACTGTTTTTCAGATTTTGAAGTCATCTGTATATATGTGGTAACTGCATGGACATGAGTAAGATTGTCTAGGGAGGGTGCAGAAAAAGCAAATGACCAAGGACCAAGAATCAAGCTCTGATGAATGCCATAATGAAGCAGCCCAGGCTAGAAGGCTGGGTGGACAAAGGAGTCAGAGAAGCATGGGCTATACATGCATTATAACAAACGCCAGTAGCATGTCATGGCAGCCAAGTAATGGTAATATTTCAGAAGAAGCCGGTAATCCACAGTTTAAAATCGTGCTGAGAAATAAGGAATAGAGGACTAAAAATGTCAGGCAACATACAGGTCAGAGTGAGTATTGCTTTGATGGACAGACAAGACTACAAGCAAAGGTAAATGGATTGAAAAGTGTGAGGGAAGTGAGGAAGTGGGAAGAAGCAGGTAGAAAAATTTATTTAGAGAGACATGATTCTGCATGGATAACAAGTCAAAGTGATACCTGAAGGAGAGTAAATGTTGACTTATGTTTCTCTACATATTTATTTGAAATATTATATATATGTATGAATGTATGTATTTGAGCATCCTTAAGAACCAATACAAAAGAGAGGTTGAATATACCAAAGGAAGATTACTCTAAAGAGAGGAAGTGAAGAGAGAGAGAGAGAGTTCATTGGATTCCAAAGTACAAGTAGAAGAATGTTTCTGAAACATAAGAGATGGTCAGTATGTTATAATCGTATGGAAGGAGGATAGGGTGTGTCTTGAAGTAGCTGGTTTAGGAAAGAGAATCAATGTTTTTGGATTTTGACTAAGAGAAATGTATTGCTGATCTTAGAAAGGGTGGACTAGAGAGATCTATAGGCAGACTGAACTATTTGTAGATAATTAATATCATGGAACCTAGGCAGAGGTAATGAGAATATGTTGTAATTGGTACCCATGGGCACCAATGACCAATAAGAAACAGGCCAATGAGCCACACCTGTGTGTGCCAGACGGTATCTCTGAGTATACCTAACAATTCTGTAGTCAGTCACAAAGGAGAAAAAAGATTTTTTTACTTTTATGCAAAAATCTTCATTTGAATATTTACATGCAGTAGGAAAGGCACAAATGGAGAGTGAACATATCTAGATTTATGCATATTTTTAAACGAATGAACACAAAAGCAGAACTCTTGAGGCCATTTATGGCTTGGGCCCATAAACAGCAATGTGTCACCTCCCTTGTTGATTATATTGAGCCCCAGAGTTAGCCCTGTTTCAAGGGAAGGGACCACATTCGTGTGTGAACCCCAGGGACCTTGCTTCATTAGAAACCACCAATGCAACAGGCTATCCCGGGAGGTTCTAGTTGAGACAGTTCTAGTATAGGGAAGGCCTCTCTGAGAAAAGACCTGAAGCAAAAGTGGATATAAAAGAGCAAGTCATGAAAAGATGTCGGGGGAAGCTTCTGAGCCAACAGAACAGCAAGTAGAATGGCCTGAAAGTGGGACAGTACTGTATGTACAAGGATTGGAAAGATGACTATGAATACAGTGGAAGGAATAAGTACAAGAGTGATAAGAAATAAGGTCAGAAAGAGAGATAGGTTCATATTATGAAGAGTCTTAACGAGCATGGACAGAAGATTACATTTCATAATTTTTCCAGTAGGAAATAATTAAAGAGTATAGGACAAAGAAGTCACACAATTTGATTTTTTAAAAGTCATTCATCTTCTGTGTGAATTGATTGACTGGGGCAAGAGTGGAAGCAGGGAAGTGAGTTAGGAGTTAATTGTTGCCTTCTTCGTGAGAACAATGCAAGAATTGGTTGTGGTGGTGACAGAGGATTAAGAGATAGATTCTTGGGAATATTTTGCAGGCAAAACTGACAAGACTTGGTAATGAATGTGATATGGATTTTCAGGCAGAGAGAGTCATGATCTGAGCATGAATAACAAAGTCAGGATGATGCCATTTATAGATATGGAGAAGGCCGGAGGCACTGGTTGGTGGGAGCTTGAGAAATCAAGAGATCTATTTTGGACTTGTGAAGTTGAGATGCTTATTCAACATTCAAATGAATGTGAAAACGAATGTTACAACTCAGGGACTGAAGAGAGTCCAAAACATTAATCTGGTCTCTACTGCCATTGGACAATATGATATCCCTTAGGGAAGGAGTATAAATTGGTTAAGACTAACATAGAAGATAGAGATTTTGAGGTCAGAAAGAGGACGAAGGACCCACAAACGAGACTAAGGGAGAGTAGACAGAACTCTTATCCAGTCGCATTAACAAAAACTTTAGCTGCAGGGAGAGCTTGAGTCAGATGAAGGAGGCACCAGTTGCAGGGAGACAAATTAGGAGGCTTTTGTAATGACACAGGGGAGAGATAACAGACTTAAATTTAGGCAGTAGAAGCGGGAGGGGGAGGGAAATTTTGGAATCATTCAGGAAGAGAAATAACAGGATTCTGTGCCTTACAATATATGAAAGTTATGCTGAAGCTTTCCTATTAAATTTTTTTCTGCATTGATTAGGGATTTAAGTCTCTGAGATCAAATAATTCTCTTAACTGAAGATTCAGTCATTTGAAAATTATGAAAATGACATAGAACATGGTTTGTATGGAAACACTGAATGAAAGAGCAGTGGAGTGGCTGCTCTTGTAACACAGAAAGAGACAAAACCATTGAAATACAGTTTCTTTGGTACAGATTAGGATGCATCAGGCAAATCCAGATATCATCCATCTGCTTTCTTTGAAAACAGTCAAAGGTGCTTCAAGACTTTCTTCTAGTCTTATTTTGATTGCTTATAGTCTTCTAAAAACCAATCTGCAAAAGAGAAAAGTCAGTGAGAACTCATTACTACACCTCTATTTTGTTACTGCTAGTATGAACATTGGTACTTTAGAAAATACTTTGATTAGGCCAGGCGCGGTGGCTCACGCCTGTAATCCCAGCACTTTGGGAGGCCGAAGCGGGAGGATCACGAGGTCAGAAATCGAGATCATTCTGCTAACACTGGGAAACACCGTCTCTACTAAAAATACAAAAAATTAGCTGGGCGTGGTGGCGAGCGCCTGTAGTCCCAGCTACTCGGGAGGCTGAGACAGGAGAATGACGTGAACGCGGGAGGTGGAGCTTGCAGTGAGCTGAGATTGTGCCATTGCACTCCAGCCTGGGCAACAGAGCGAGACTCTGTCTCAAAAAGAAAAAAAAAGAGAAAAGAAAAAAATACTTTTGATTTTACTTTGTATTAAATAAACTCCTGCTGCCCCCTAGTGGCAATTTATTGGGGAACAGAATCTCTGGGTCTATTGTCTGTTTTGCGGCAGAAACATGTATTGGCAACACCAATGTGGTACATAGAAGATTATCCCCCACATTAAGGCATTTTATAGACATCACAACAATGACCTTGTATTCATAATTGCATAACACAGTGGTTTGTCTGTTATCATTGCAATTAATGGAACTCAATCTGGGATTGTTCAAATGATGGCACCACAAGCCATTTGGCAATTGGAAGTCAGTCATTTCCTGATATGGCCTAGTAATTAGTTACTCGAATTACTTAAATTCTGAGTCTTTTTACACGCAACCAAGGCATCATCATCATGTGAACACCTGTGTTTACTCGACCTTGAGTAGACATAATAGCAAAAGAGTCTGTCCCCTATGAAGTTTAAAAATCCAGGCCGCGTGTTTCAATTCCTTATTTCCTGTCCCATCTTTGAACTCTTCCCAGGTTTATCGATTGTAGGAAATGCCATTCCCTTCAGGAGAAACCCAACTCCCAATCATACTGTTGGGGTATTCGCCTTTGGCCTAAAGGACACAATCACATCACAACACAATAATCCAAGTTTAGTGTTTGCTCAGTCTAGTTCCTTTTCATAGTCTCTTTAGGGTTGAAATAAAGAACAGCCTTCATCACTTTCCTAAGATTCTTCCATCACAGCTTCTCATTTACAAACAGCTGCTCAAAAACAGCTATATACAACTCCATTAGAAAAGTCTAAAATTTAAAAACAGAAGAAAAGTGTTTTAAATCAAACAAAGGTACTATTTTTCCCAAACAGGCATATAAAATTTGCACTTATTTTATATTGAAAGATACATGCAACTTCATTTACCCGGCAGAACAATAATTTGTATGGCAAACATATCTCTGTGTCTGGAATTGGTTGGTTCTTGGTCTGACTTCAAGAGTGAAGCCACCACCCTTGCGGTGAGTGTTACAGTTCTTAAAGACGGCGTGTCCAGAGTTTGTTCCTTCTGAAGTTCGGATGTGTTCGGAGTTTCTTCCTTCTGGTGGGTTCGTGGTCTCCCCGGCTCAGGAGTGAAGCTGCACACCTTCCCAGTGTGTGTTACAACTCTTAAGACGGCGCGTCTGGAGTTGTTCCTTTCTCCCGGTGGGTTTGTGGTCTCGGTGGCTTCAGGAGTGAAACTGCAGACCTTCGCAGTGAGTGTTCCAGCTCATAAAGGCAGTGTGGACCCAAAGAATGAGCAGCAGCAAGATTTACTGCAGAGTGAGAGAACAACGCTCCCACAATGCAGAAGGAGACCCCAACGGTTGCCACTGCTAGGTCAGGCAGCCTGCTTTTATTCTCTTATCTGGCCTCATCCACATCCTGCTGATTGGTCCATTTTACAGAGAGCCGATTGGTCTGTTTTACAGAGAGCTGATTGGTCCGTTTTGACAGGGTGCTGATTGGTGCATTTACAATCCCTGAGCTAGACACAAAAGTTCTCCACGTCCCCACTAGATTAGCTAGATACAGAGTGCTGACTGGTGTATTTACAAACCCTCAGCTAGACACAAAGTGCTGATTGGTGCATTTACAAACCTTGAGCTAGATACAGAGTGCCAATTGGTGTATTCACAATCCCTTAACTAGACATAAAGATTCTCAAGTCCCCACTTGACTCAGGAGCCCAGCTGGCTTCACCTGGTGGATCTCCCACTGGGGCCCCAGGTGGAGGTGCTTACCAGCCCCGCGCCGTGCGCCCGCACTCCTCAGCCCTTGGGCGGTTGATGGGACCAGGCGCCTTGGAGCAGGAGGCGGCGTTCGTCCGGGAGACTCAGGCCGCGCAGGAGCCCACGGCGTCGTCGGGGCGGGGAGACTCAGGCATGGCAGGCTACAGGTCCCAAGCCCTGCCCCGCGGGGGAGCAGCTAAGGCCCAGCGAGAAATCGAGCGCAGCGCCGGTGGGCCAGCATTGCTGGGGGAACCGGCGCACCCTCCACAGCTGCTGGCCAGGATGCTAAGCCCCTCACTACCAGGGGCCGGCAGGGCCGGCTGGCCGCTCCGAGTGCGCGGCCCGCCAAGCCCACGCCCACCCGGAACTCTAGCTGGCCCGCAAGCGCAGCACGCAGCCCCGGTTCCCGCCCGTGCCTCTCCCTCCACACCTCCCTGCAGGCTGAGGGAGCCGGCTCCGGTCTCGGCCATCCCAGGAAGGGGCTCCCACAGTGCAGCGGCGGGCTGAAGGGCTCCTCAAGCGTGGCCAGAGTGGGCGCCAAGGCCGAGGAGGCGCCAAGAGGGAGCGAGGGCTGTGAGGACTGACAGCACGCTGTCACCTCGTCTCTACTTAGGTGAATGATGCCTTTGGCCTGCTTATGTCTTCCATAGCCACAATGGTGAGTACTTGTTTTCTACTCAGCTAATAAGAAAATAAGTTTTGGCGGTTTTCTGAGAGCAAAAGTATTTATTGCTTGCCCAAGATAAATCGACCTCTAAAGAGACAGAAACTATTTTAAAACAGTTTTAAAAACAACATTTTTCCGTTTACACAGAAAGTTTTAGTGTCAATTTCACCCCCTCCCCAAATACTATACCCTTTATAAATTATGGGTGTTTGTTTTTGTTTTTGTTTTTTGTTGTTGGTGGTGGTTGGTTGGTTGGTTTGTTTTGTGCCTCTTACTCTTAAAGTATGGTCATTTAGGAAGTCTATGTAATTTTGTGTCCCCTGATTGCCCCCTCTTAGAAAATTGAAATTCTTCAAGGTGGAAGAAACAACATATCTATATTTGTAATCCAAGTATCTAGAGATAACCTGGCTTATAGTAGGTGATCAGTAAAAGTTTGTTGAATAGAACCAAAAAAAGAGGAATATAGATGATACTGATATTAAAAATAAAATAAAAATGACATCCACTGAGTGTTAGGATATCACCGAGGGAAACCCCAGAAGATTATTTAGTATTGATTGACAAAAATTAACATTTCTAAATGATGCTTTGAATTAAGGATTCTTGGTCTATTCATGACAAGTCTTCCAATGTGAATTTATATCTCAAAATATTACATAACCTGTAAAGCTGAATCCATGAATGTGAAGTCCAGCTAAATTTGAGACTGATTCTAAATACAGTGGTAGAGTATGCAGTTTGCTATTGTTGTCTTCTGTCTTTCATAACAAAATAATTTATTTTCTTCCTATATTGGTCAGGAATATCCTGTCAAGAAGGGAGGTTATCTAATTGTTGAAATATCAACATTTTAAAAGAAGACTCCAGAAAAGAGGGTAATGCTAAACATAAAGTCATGTTATGATAATGAAGGTACTTCAGGTGCATTATGGAGCACATGTTGAGAAGGGGTTTTTGGCAAATAATGTCCCTCAATTATAAGACGTGGGCATCACTTGATCACATCAAATGAGTCTATAGTTTAAGCCAGTCATAATTATTATACCTTGTAGCACATGCAAAGATTTATCTCAGCGCTTTTATAGTTTAACCCTATGTATATTAAAGGGCTAGAAACTCAATGTCATCTTTCCGAATAAACTTCCTCATGCGTCATATTTTTCATTGAAATCCTTTGTTTGTATTAATATTCTTAAAACCTATGATGTAGCTTTATAAATGAACAAAAATATTGAAGATTTATTTTTAATATTTTAAAAGATACAGATATGAAAAGTTCTTTTAAATCAGGAGATGAGAACTCTTGTGGTATATTCAAATCTCAGTTTTCATGGCAGTGATAATCAATGACATATCTCTATTTATCCCAACAATGAATATAAATAATAATAACAGAATCAATAACTAGTTTCCAGTGGTTTTAACAGAATCCATTTATTTCAAGCTTTAGCACTGATTTTTTTAAGTCCTAAAGGAAATTAATTGCGTTAGTTTTCATTTTAATTGATTTTTAAAGTTCTCTTTCATAAAGGAGCAGTTTGCTTCTCATTTTTCCATAAAGATTCCTCTAAATGGCATTTTTTCCTGCTGTTTTTTATATGGCTGTAGAGGTAATTTCTCCATATCACATTTAACTTGAACTGCCTCAGTCAAAAATGGGTTAAGCCCTAATTCCTACAGAAGAAAAGAACAGCATAAAGTACCACGGAGCACAAACATTTTAAGGCACAGCAAACTAGACAGAAACCTCACTGCTGAAACTGGCTAGATGCATGTGATTGGACAAGTTCCTTCACTTCTTCAATTTTCTTCTTAATGTGTTAAGTTATGTACAACATCTTCTTCCTAGAGCTGTTCTGAAGATTAAATAACACCTATGTAAGTACTTAATGCAAATAAATGCAGAAGAAAGATTAGTTTCCACTATTTCCTATCCAGTTATTTTTTGTGACAGCTACTGTGTCCAGGTCTTATGAAAATATTCTATTAAATGCCTCATTAAAATGAACTTTTGCAGTAAGATAAATAATTTATTTACCATTATGAAGAAAGAGAGTAATTAGACAAATCTTGAAAATGTCTTCAGAGAACTGAAATGTGTATTCCACATTTTGTTATACTTGTTCACCAATAAAACATGGCAAGTGATGAGGAAAAAAAAGTTAAGAACAGGGACAGGAAGCTAAACTACAGCAGTATCCTGGGCCCTATATAATGCGTTAGCAGCAATAAAGAAAAGAGCAGAAAATGAATGTAATTTGCTGCCTCTCTGTAAATAAGTTTTCATATGTAGTGCTAGCCAGGTAAGCTAATGAAAGAAAGAAATTTTAATTACAAGAAAATTATGTCTGTAATACCTTAGTGTCTTAAACATGGCCTTATATAAATATACTTTGTATATCAGTTAATTGCTTAAACATTGAGATTCATTTTACTACTTTTTAGGATAAAGTTTGCCTATCTGCTGCATGAAGTTAGCCAGGGAAAAGTAAGTGTAAACTGAGTGTTTAAAAGGCGGGCAGACATAAAAGAATGTATTAACAAGCTCTGCTGAGGTAATGTTTCAGAAATAATTTAGGCTGTGTGAACTGAATGGAATACTATTAGAAATAAGCAAAAGGGTTCGTCAACATTTGAAGCTTGAAGGAATTTCCCTCTTTTACTGAGTTTTGATATATACACATCATGTCTTTTAGTGAGATCACACCACGTAGACAAAGCATACGGGCATCCCTCCTTCCTTCCAAGTATTTAAAATAATAAATAGCTTCATCAGGTCCAAACACAGCTGGTTATTTTCTAATAATATTTGCAAAATCCAACATCAGGCAGTGTTCATATGCATGCTTTCCCAAATATAAACACAGCATCAATAAAGCATAGTTTCATTTATTTGATGGAACAAGGAGCTGGAAGGATAAAGGCAGATATTTCAATCATCTTGTCATTGGCTTGCTCTGTAACTGTCTGTCAGTCAATAGGCATTTGCTGTTTTCTGTTGCTAAAATGGTCAATGGAAATGCAGTTATCTGTACTCCTCTTTGACTCATTTATTATCAGGCAAATTGAAATATAGCACTTATTAAACAAGTTTTGCCAAGTACTCACACACAGAGAACACCACCAGAAACTGAGTGGGAGAAGGCTTGAAATGTTATCCAAAACAGTTTTCTGAGAGACTATAAGATATCACATGGCAGAAAATTATAGGAAATAATTTTGCTTTGTAAATCATGAAATATGGCATTAATTTGCCATTCTCACATATCATGCTATTCCCATATTCTAAATCCAGTCTTTAATTTGTTCATGCTGCCATGAAAAGACTTGAATTAAAGAATCCCAAGGTTGGAAGCAACCTATAAGAAAGTCTCTCAAAATATCTACGTGATGCTCATATCATCTCTAGAATATCCCTGCCAAGCAGTCACCTGATACAATCCTGAACACACACTCCCTATGGAGGCCACTGATTTTACCTGGGAACAACTTCGATGGTGAGAATGAATTTCTCTATATTAATTCCAAATCTAACCACCTCCAACATCAACCCTAATTGTGTTTTGTGAGGGGATAATAAGCAAGCTTAATCATTTTTTCCACATTCAGGAGGCAATTTAACAAATAATAATTATATGCGTGATACAAACCAGATTCTGTTTTAGATACAGGAAATACAATAATGAATAAAAGAAGGTCCCTAATCACATGGAGTTAGCTGTCTTGCTATGCAATGGCTAGGAAAATGATACACATATAGGCAAGTACAGTATGATAATAAGCTCCAGGGTAAGTGTTTGCGCAGAATGTAATAGAATTGCCCAAGAGGTAGTTGGGATCAGAGGTGATGCCTAAGTGAAGAATAGAAGAATGATTTATCCTTTTCTGCCAGGAAACAATCACACTTTCATTTATAACAATTTTATCAGGTATAAAAAACAAATAATCATGGCTAAGCCAAATTGGGTGACTACGGGAGTCTATTATTACTTCCCTCTTCCAAATGAAGGAACTGAGATTTGGAGAGGTCTAGTTATTTGCACAAGGTCACTTAGTGGGCAAGCTTTTCTGCGCATGGCTTCCTTTTGAGTCCTAAGCGCTGCCTGAGCATCCCACCAGGATGGTGCTGTGAATATAAACTCCACAGCAAAGACAATTGATGAGCGAGTTTCCTTCTTTGCCAACCGTTTCCTCTTTAGAAAACAATAGATCACTACTAGAATTGCAAGATAAAATTTTCAGTTCACAAACCAAATCCTGACAATGTGGAACATTTCACAAGTTAATGGAACAAGGTCTGGTGTCTCTCTGGATTCTACTCTGTGCTCAAGTTCCTAAGTGGCTCCTGCTTTAGGCAAGGTCCCCATGGCCCGACCCCTGCCTTCTTCTAAAAATGCTTCACCTCTAAACACACTTTCACAACCTTATTGGACTGCAGTTCACTGGCTTTGTCTCTACTCCCCAAACACTTCCAAAGACCTTCCCACTCCGGACCTTTGCACTTGCTCTACCCTCTTCCTGAAAAAGTTATTTCTTCATATTTTTCCAATAGCCTTTTAGTTCCTTAGGTCTCAGATCAAATGAAGGAAGCCAGCTTTACCACCTTAGAATTCAATTGTTCTTCAAACTCATGACTGAAAGTTCTCTACATCCTATTAGCCTACGGTATTTTCTTCAGCATACTTACCATTTTAACCTATAGTGCATATTTATTTGCTAAATAATTATCTCTAATATTGTCTGAAATGAAAGTACCAGGAGGTCGGCCAGACGCGGTGGCTTACGCTTGTAATCCCAGCACTTTGGGAGGCCGAGGTGGGTGGATCACCTGAGGTCGGGAGTTCAAGACCAGCCTGACCAACATGGAGAAACCCTGTCTCTACTGAAAATACAAATTAGCCTAGCATGGTGGCATATGCCTGTAATCTCCGCTACTCTGGACGCTGAGGCAGGAGAATCACTTGAACCCAGGAGTCAGAGGTTGCGGTGAGCCCAGATCGTGCCATTGCACTCCAGCCCAGGCAACAAGAGTGAAACTCTATCTCAAAAAATAATAATAATAATAATAAAAAGTACCAGGAGATCAAGAGCTCTGGGTGGTTTAGTTGCTGCATGTTCCTAGCAACTAGAAGAATGCTTGTCATATAGTGAGACTACAAGAGATAAAAGAAGGATGCGTTCAGTTTTCTAATGGATATTTAGTAATGTGGTGGACCCAAATATAATTTTTTTAAAAAAGAAAACTAGCCAATACCAAAATAATGCTATGGAGATAAATCTCATTTTTCCCATCTTAAAATGAAAAAAACTGAGGCTGAGAGGTTAAAAAAAATGTGGTCAGAAAAGCAGCCAGCCAGCCTAGTAGATGTGTGAGATGGAATTCAGATCAAATTCTCTCTAACGCCAAAGCATTTGCTCTTGCTCCTATATTTCGGCAAATATGGCTAGTGCTAAAATAGAAGCGTGTGCAAAGAAGAGAAATCATAGAAGATAGGCAACAGCTGACTGCCTGGGAGTGTCAAGGAAGGTTCTCAGAAGTGACTTTTTCCACTGGATTTTGAAATTTGTAGAGGAGAATTTGACGGGTGGGGAAGAGTGTCAGGGAGGCATTCTCGACAGAAAGGAAGCCATGCGCACAAAAGCTCTGGTGGACAAATAAACAAAGGTCCATTTAACACCTGTCTCCTTGAAAATAGATTCTGCCATGGTAGCATGGGTTTTTACAAATTGCTTGTAAGAATATCTACAAAGCAAGATTTAGCCACTAAAATTCAAACCAAGATGTTGATTGCTATCACCCAGCCCACGGAAAGTGTAACAAATTGGCACCTGGTTCTGTCTACCAAGTACAGACAGACAAATTGAACACTGTGTAGACATCAAATCCTCACTAGAATGAAGAGATGGCATGGCTGAGCACCAGAGGTCATGGGCTTGCCCTGTTAATATGTTAGATTCTTTTAAAGGATGCAGATTACAGTCTGTCACTTTCATATTCTAGTTTATTTGAAACTCACCATCAGATCTACAAAGTTAACTGCCCATTTGACAGAAGCATGAAGTCTCAGAGAATATGAGTATTGATTGTCACGCTTCACGACATGAATCAAAGTTAGAAATTTCTTCTGAGAACCGTATAAATATTTGTATCCTAAGGTCATTGGGAATTTGTTCCTGAGATGTATTTAAGATATAATTCAAGGAATTGTCAAAAATATGTCATTACTGACATAAATATTATAAAGAGTGGAGTTACTGAGGGTTCTTGTCTGTGTATTAGCATTAAAACTTCACTCTGCAGAAAAGTCTATTGCCTGCAAGGAGGCAATTTACCGACAGCTTTCTCGTGGTATGAATGGGTGAATGCATCTCAAAACCAAAGTGTGTTTTACTTTCCTGCCAAAATCATTGTCCCTAAACATTTTTCCTACACTGGGCTTGGAGCAAGTCAGTTTTATTTAAATAACTTCATTACAAATGATCTCTACCACCTAGAAATAGGTGTTTTGATGTGTGTGTGTGTGTGTGTGTGTGTGTGTGTTCAAATAATATTTCATTTTGTTTTCTTTTTATAATTAGAACAAAATAGTAAGTCCCAGTTAAAATAAATCAAACAGTATGAAATTCTGATAAATTCTTGTAGTGTTTCTTTTTTAGAGATGTCCTCTTGAATTGCTTGCATTTTAAACATCTGTAATAAGTTATGTACCATTTCTAACTGTATTAGCACTGAATCATTTACTTTTCCAAGAAATAAAATCTTTTTCTCTGTTTCATCACTTTTTATGTCATGATCATGCACATGTAAATGTCTTAGGTATTTTTTTACCCTGAGGGGCTTTGCATACTTACAAGGAATGAAAATGGGAGGAGAGTTAACTAACCCATCAAACATCTTTCTTGTCAGCAGCCAGTAGAAATGCATTTGGAGGCTAAAAAACTGGTGTGGTTTGAACAAGGGGAGTTGTTAAATGTACCTTTAGAACTCTATGTAGGATATAAAATTCTGGAGATATAGCTCTGCTTCTACTTCATCTCAGCCAGCTTTAATTTCTACACAAAGGGAATATTAAATCTTGAAAAGACCTAAAAAAGGACAAAGAATATGTCTTTGAGAGCACATTAAATATACCAGGCTTCCACTTTGTCATAAAACTTGCATGAACAGATAGAAGACAAGGCAGAGAATGAGGGTCATTGCTTTTTCCAAGCCAAATCCACCAGTTCTTTGCTCAACAAGTCATTACAGATTCTATTAAAATGTGAGTTAAAGAATTAAATGAATTATAGTGCTGAATATTCACTGGCAGCAGGATTTTGTTATGCTTTTTAAAATATCCCTACAAACCAATAATTTTAGAGGGAGAAGGTAAAGAAATGAGTTAATTAACAACAGCTCTGTCAATACTTTCAGAATACAGTTGCAGAAACTCTCACTCTTTATGGAAAATAGAAGGGAATATGTACAAGAAACAATTACTGTATGCAGATAAGGCAGGTAAGTGTTAAACTATACAAAATAATCTCCTGGTTAAATATTCAAAGAAGTGATATTTGTAGAATTAAATTTGTCATTTGAACTACTCTTCCACAAGTCTATAGTAGCAAGAATTTCTTTTCCTTTTTTTTCTTTTCTTTTTTTTTTTTTTTTTTTGAGACAGAGTCTCACTCTGTCACCCAGGCTGTAGCGCAGTGGCACGATCTTGGCCACTGCAACCTCTGCTTCCTGGATTCAAGCAATTGTCCTGCCTCAGCCTCACAAGTAACTGGGATTGCAGGTGCACACCACTATGCCCAGCTACTTTTTGTATTTTTAGTAGAGACAGGGTTTCACCATGTTGGCCAGGCTGGTCTTGAACTCCTGACCTCAGGTGATCTGCCCACCTTGGCCTCCCAAAGTGCTGGGATTACAGGTGTGAGCCACTGTGCCCGGACAAGAGGATTTCTTAAATCTACTCTGGAGGTAATTTATAGTCGAATATAGATATATAATAAATAAATCCAACTGCTGCTGGGTCCCATTACTTTAATTTGGGTGTTGAAGAAAGAGAACCATTTCAGATTTGATGAATAAATAAATTAAGGTCTGTGTACAGCTGTACAGTTGAAGTACATCTCTTTGTTATTAATAATATTAAGCCATCAACATGATTATTCTATGGTCTTCCCAAAAATCTGAGTTTAAACACTTCCTTAATATAAAAATAAACCTCAGAATCAAGGTATAAGTTGATCCTCAACCCCACAAGAGTGTGAAAATACTTAATTTATTATTTTGTTCAGTGAGTAATATTGGTATCCAATATTAAAGTATAAGTTTATCCTCAACCCACAAGAATGTGAACATGTTTGATTTCTTATTTGTTCAGTGAGGAAGATTGGGCTCCTTTGGGCTTCTAATATAAATCAAGTGAGAGTCCCACTGCCTCTAAGAGGAGAGTGGGGGTAAACGGTGAATTGCCTTCAAAGGTTTGAATGTCTTCAGCAGCTCCTGTAAGAATGACTCACAACCATACTTGGCACTATAGAAATTGATCTTGATATTTTCGCCATGAGAAATCTACTTTCTTTCCAGAATAGATGGTGTCTTTGACATTTCATCAAGGCAGCAGCATCTGAAAGGTACCTCTGTCACTGGATTTCTTACTTCTTCAAATAGAACCTTACAAAAGCTGCCTACAAAGGCAGAGCTGTATATGTGCAATCTACTCATGCCCTTCCTCTTGTTTCTGATGATTCATGTAATAGAGAAACAAAGAAGGATCCTTTGCCCCCTTTCCCCTCAGTTATTTATGTAGGGCCACGTAAAATCTGCATTACACAAAGCAAAACTAGCTTATTGAAAGCAAACAGGGCTGGAAGAATCCTACGGTTTTTTAAAAAATATATATAATAATAGAAGTATAATTTTCTTGTCATGGACTAATGCATTAAAAAGTGCCTAGTTATAAAATTAGGAAAGAGACAACTTTTTAATTTTGAAAGCCAATAAAATGAGGATTCCTTAAAAGCTTTTTGTTTTTATAAAAAATTACATTAGTAGTATTTTTGTTTGTTTCATCATTTCTTCTTTGCCAGCTCTATAAAATAACCTTTCAAAATAGCTGTGTGCCGCATGGTAACAGTCAAGAATGAAAATTATTTAAGATTGTGTGTGTGTGTGTGTGTGTGTGTGTGTGTGTGTTATGCATACAGGCACATAAAGTGATATTGGCATTCCTTATACTTAGGAAGCTTTTTATTCTAAAACTCTGAATGTAGAGGTTGGGAAGAAAATAGAAAGACGGTTTTCATTCCAGCAGAACTCAACAGACTGGACATTAAGAACTTCTCATGTGCAATTGAGGCCAGATCTGGAAAATTTAGTTTAGCTATACATACACAGCATTTTTATAAAGCAGTCACTCAAAAGCTGTAGTCTATCATATATCTTCATGTTTATTATCTCTGGGCCAGATTTTTGTTTGGCAGCAAATGGAATTTTGACTTGGCAGAAAACTTGTGGTTAGCAAATATTTGGCATTCTATAGAAGCCTCTTCAAATCAGCGAGAAAATAGAAAGCCAAAGAAGAGATTAGAAGTGGAGAGAGGCCTACCATTGTTTGACACTGGTTCTGAATTCATTTACATCATCAGTATGCATCCATTCCTCACTTGCTGAGTGACCATCGGCCTGTGAATTATCCAAGCCCAATCTCAGGATTTCCATCTGTAAAACATAATAGTATAATATTCACCTCACAGCCTTGATGTGGGGACTGGAGCTGGAATGTTTTGGAGTCACCTGTCAAAATGCAAAGCACAGTGTTTAGGATGAATGAATAGTAATTGGTATAGTTGTCACTGCCTGTTCTCTTCTTTCTTTATCATATCAGTATACATATTTTTTCTATCTTCATATGAAAAGTAAAAATATTTGCTTTAATTCTACTGGTCCCCTAGTCCATACGGTCACCGGTTTATCTGCTACCAGGAGAGAGTTATACTAGAAGGAAATAAGGAAGCCCCGATGTGATCACCTCCTATTCTCTCTTCGACCCTGTTGCTACAGGGTATTTCTTCCATTTTTCTGTTACGTTGCCAAATTCCTTGTGTATTTCTGCATCCTCCTATTATGTGTCAGCATTCGATGTTATTAAACAATCCCTATTTTTTAAAACAGTCTTCCCTTGGCCTTCTGATGAATCTGTGTCTCAATTTTCCATCTATGTTGCAGATCTTTCTATCTAAGCTTTTTCATAATGTTCTTTTTTCTTTTAAACACCTTACCTCTAAACGAACATGTGTTTCAATTTTAGTAATGACTGTTTGTCCATCGCTATGTTTGTATATCTATCCTGTGATGCCCATAAGAATGTGGTATCACACATTATTATCTTGAGATCCCAATTCTTATCTTGAGATCCCAATTCTCCTCTGCATCTCAAGCCATACTTATGTTCAAAATTAGGCTCTTCATTCAACACTTCATCTTTACCTTAACTCCTTGATTTCTGCTTTATTCTAAATGACTTTACCATCCACTTAGTTGTTCAAGCCAGAAAACTTACATATCAGTAAGATACAATGACCAGGAACATGGTCTCTATTGTTCAAATCTTGGCCCTGCAATATTATGCTAAGTGACCTTGGACAACTTTTTGTACCTCTCTGTGTCACATTTTCATCACTTGTTTCTTAGTTCAGGCTGCTTTAAGAAAAAGCCATAGACCAGGTGACTTAACAGAAATTTATTTCTCACAGTTCTGGAGGCTGGGAATTGCAGAGCAGGGCATTAATATGACCACTTTCTGGTTTGCAGATGGTTATCTCCTTGCTGTTTCTTCACGTGCTGGAGAGACGTACCTTTCCTGTGTCTATTCTTATAAGGGCACTATTCCATTCTTGATAATTCTACATTGATGACCTA
Source organism: Homo sapiens (assembly GCF_000001405.40). NCBI lineage: Eukaryota > Metazoa > Chordata > Mammalia > Primates > Hominidae > Homo > Homo sapiens. The sequence continues at coordinate 86,916,971 of NC_000014.9, forward strand.
ATCACCTCCCAAAGGCTTCACCTCCTAATTCTCTCACATTGGATATTAGAGCTTCAGCATAAACCTTTTAGGGGGACACAAACAGTCCATAGCCACTTGTAAAATGGAGATAATGCTAGTAAAACCTATATGTTGAGGTTATTGCAAGGACTAAATTAGTGACTTGGTTAAGTGTTTTGCATGGTGATTTACTTACAGAAAATACACAATAAGAACTATCTATCATCCTCATCATTCATCATCATTATCATCATCATCACCATCATCATCCTTGGTTTCATACCTTCCACATCCAACCTGTGGTAACTAATGTACATTTCCATACATATTTGAAAATATTTTAAATCTACTCATATCTTCTCTTCTCCTCTACCAGTACTCTAGCTCAAGTCAACATCATTTCTTACTCAGATTATTACAGTAGTCTTCTAGTGGATGTTGCCAGTTTTTACTGCCTTCTACTTTTTTGCTGCTGAAATAAAAAAGAATTTTCAATATGTCACTAATTTGTCTTTAAATAGATTCACATTGTAATTTAGAATAAAATGAAATCTCCTTACCAAGTCTTAAAAGCATTATACATTATGGCCCATATATCAGCTTTGTAACTTCTTTTTTCATGTTCAACTTTGTTCATCAGGAGAATGATACAGTTTTCTATTTGATTTAATTTTGTTTATAAGCATGCTTAGCTACTCTTTGCCTCGAAGCTTTTTTATATCCTTTTTTATATCCATCTTCTTCTCTTTATAATAATATGTTTCTTGATATTAGTGTTCTAAATATTTACAATGAAAATGAAATTTAGTCTGTACACCAATTTATGATAAGAATTACTCAAATTGCTGTTGTAGTATCCAAAATTAGTCACTGGGTCCCACAGAATTGGTTTTCAAACACATTGTGAACATTTTCAGAATTACCCATGTGAAAATACAAAATACACCAAATTGCCAAAGAAAAAGAAGGAATACAAGAGGAAGGAGAAGGAAAAATAAAAATAAAAATACACAGTAAATGGAAAAAACATACTTCTACTCTAAAATGACAATGCTATGTGGCATAAATGTGAATGTCCAGCAAGTAAATTTAGATAGAGATGTGTTTAAGATACCCCGTTCTTAGTATCAAGGGACAAATTATGAAGTCTTTATTTTTCATGAATAGCTGTTTTCTTTCTTATTTGCAGTGAACATTATTTAAGTGTCTTTTTATACAAGAAAACTGCATAATAAAACTAATAAATAAGAAAAATCACAAAAGACAAAAACTCAAATGCAGCTGCTGTTATTTACCATTTCACTGCAATGGCCTACAATTATACTTAACAATATTAGCCTGTACAGATTTCCAGAAGATTCCTGCCAAAGATTAAAACAAATGTGAGAAATTTCTATTAACTCAACATATTGTAGCCTAGTACAATAAAATTGTAGTTTTTCTAACTTCCATTGGAGAAAACTTCTAAGTATAGAGAAGAAACTTCTTTCAAACTTTGTGTACATCAAAATAATTACTTCATAATTGAATCCCCTGCAACAAGACATAGAAGGTTCAGGAGAATCTTTATTTTATATTCTTAAATTACATAGAATGATATTTATTTCAGCTTTGAAACACACTTTTCTCTCAGTAGTTTTGTAGCCTACAGTGATATAAACAGATAAATATTGAAAGAAAATATGGCATGTATAACAAAGTAAATGATTTTCTTTTTTTAGAGTTTTATGATGCTTTATTCATTACACATTTTGGCTGATAATATATGTAGTTTAGTGAGCTTTACTGACTCACATTTTATGTGTTTTTTTCCCTCTTTTTTCTTTAGCAGTAAAATTGTATCATCTTTTGACTAGATAGAAAAATCTGAAGCTAATTAAAAGTTGCAAGTATTTTGTAAGGTCCATTTGAGTTAGTTGAAGCACAATGTTTCCTAAATAGGAGGTCCAGAAATCTAGAGGACCAAATATGATTTCTCAGATGTCTGAAGGCCTCTATATAATTTCAGAGTCTGCTAAAACATGTATTTATGATAGTGCTGGCACAAAATAATTACTTACCCAAATATTCATGCTTGCTTAAGAAAAAGAAAACAGAGGCAAAAATAATACATTAATGATGAATTCAACATGAAACAAGATTAAGTAAGACTAAGACACACTATATGAAGAGGGGTTGTACGCTAGGTGCAAATGAGAGAAATGGTGGAAAAACTGAATTACCGTGCAGTGCATGGAAGTAAGAGTGCACTAAAATAAAGTAAAATAAATTGCATTAGGGCCATCAGAGCTATATTCACATTGTAATCGCTGATTTAGGGTTAACAAAATAACATCATTTGTCATAGTAAACTAATGCTGTTAGTTTGGATTTTATTGTTTGGTTTTGTTAGCATTTAATTTATATATTCTTTTGACTTTATACCTTCGTATAAGCTATAAGTAAATGAGTTTAGACACTTCTTCTATGTTTGCACTTATTTAACATTGTAATAAAAATAATGTAAGTCAACAAGGAGAGCTAACAAATACCATGAATTCTTAAGAAACGTGAACACAAATATTTGTCATAGTATTTTTGTTCATGTGTAATCCACACATATGAAAATCAAGTACAATAGCCAGTAAACAAGAAATCTTACTTTTCCCCTTCTTTTTACCCTTATTTTAAAACTAAACATTTAATTTGAGATAATTGGAATTTCACATGCATTTATAAAAAATAATACATAGAGATCCTGCATACCCTTTACTCAGTTTCCCTCAAAGGCAACATGTTGCAAAACTATACTGCAATATCCAAACCAGGTTACTGGCATTGATACAGTCAATATGTAGAACATTTCATCTCCAGGATTCCTTGTTTCCCTTTTATAGCCAGACCTATTTTCCTCCCATCTTTGCTCTCCCATCCCTTAACTACCTTGTTCACCATTTTTGATATATTTTTTAATTTCAAGAATGTTCTATTATAAATGAAATTAAACAGCATGTAACCATTTCTTTTGCCTTTTTTCACTAAGCATAATTCACTGGAGATTCATTCAGGTTTTGTGGGGATCAATAGTTCATTTCGTTTTATTACTGAGTAGTATTACTGAGTATGGATGTGCCACAGTTAGTTTAACCATTCGCTCATTGAAGGTTAGTTACTAACCTAGGTTAGTTCCAGGTTTTAGTTAGTATGGATAAGACTGCCATAATCATTTGTGTACAAGATATTGTGTAAAGATAAATATTCATAAATGCTCAATAATGCAATTGCTAAGTTCTATGATGTTCCATGTTTAGTTTTTCAAGAAACTGCCAAACTGTTCTCCAGAGTATTTGTACCATTTTACGTTTCCACCAGCAATATACAAGTGGTAAGTTTCTCTGCGTACTCACTATCATCTCATGTTACCATCTTTCTTTAAAAAGCAATTTGATAGCTGTGTATTAACAACTCACTGTAGTTTCAATGTGCATTTTCCTACTGGCTAATAGTATTGAATTTTCTTTTTTTTTTTTTTTGAGACGGTCTCTCTCTCTGTCGTTGAGGCTGGAGTGCAGTGATGTAATCTGGGCTCACTGCAACCTCTGCTCCCGGGTTCAAGCAATTCTTTTTGGGACCACAGGCACACATCACCACACCTGGCTAATTTTTATTTTTACTAGATGTGGGGTTTCACCATGTTGGCCAGGCTAGTCTTGAGTTCCTGGCCTCAAGTGATCCACCCGCCTTGGCCTCCCAAAGTGCTGGGATTACAGGCATAAGCCACTGCACCTGGCTTATGATACTGAGTATTTATTGATGAGCTTATATATCATCTGTATGTCCTCTTGAATAGGATGGTTCTTCATTTACTTTTTTTTCCATTTTCTAATTGGATTTTTTATTACTATTGAGTTTTGAGAATTCTTTTTATATTGTCGACTTTATTCTTTTGTTAGATTTGTGATTTTCAAAACTTTGTCTCAGTGATTAGTCTGGGTTTTCACACTTTTAACGGAGCAAAAGTTTTAATTTTGGTAAATTCCAGTGTATCAGTTTATTTCTTTCTGAAGTGTGCTTTTGGTATCAAGCTTAAGATCCCTTTGCCAGCCTAAAATGCTGAAGATTTTCTCCTATATTTTTTCTAAAAGTTTTATAGTTTTGTTGTACTTTTAAATATGTGATCTATTTTGAGTTAATTTTTGAATAAGAGGTGAGACAGATTAACATTCTTTTTTTGCTTGTGAACATCTCACTGCTCCAGCATCATTTGTTGAAAAGCTGCTGTTACTCCATTGAATTGCTTTGGGATCTTTGTCAAAGATCAGTTGGGTATATTTATGTGGGTCTCTTTCTGGGTGCTGTATTCTGTTTCTTTGATGTCTATGTCTGTTTCTCCACCAGTATCACCAGTCTTTATTACTGTAGCTAAATAGTAAGTCTTGAAGTCAAGTAGACTGATTCCTTCCACTTTTTTTATTTTAAAAATTTGCTTTGGCTATTTTCCTCTTTCTGGAACAGGATCTCACTCTGTCACCCAAGCTGGAGTGCACTGGCATGATATTGGCTCACTGCAACCTCTGCCTTCTGGGTTCAGGTGATTCTCCTACCTCAGCCTCCCCAGTAGCTGGAACTACAGGCATGCACCAATTTTTGTATTTTTAGTAGAGACGGGGTTTTTCCATGATGCCCAGGCTGTTGGCTTTTACTTTGCCTTTCCATAATCATCTTGTATGTGTGAGATACATACATATATATGTGTATATATGTATACATAATTGTATATGTCTATATATATAACCTTATTATATATAATTTTATAATATAATCTTCATCTAATTTTGATGGAAATTACATTAAACTTGTGTAACAATTCAGGAAGAACTGATATATTTACACCTCTTGAGACCAAATCTGGAACATGGTGTATCTTTCCATTTATTTAAGCCTTCTTTGATTTCCTCAACATTTCTTCTTCAATAAAAACATTGTAGTTTTTGTTATATAAATTCTGTATCTGTTTTGTTACATTTGAACCTAAACATTTAATTTTTTGAGTAATTCTGAAATGATATTGCATTTCTAATTGTTTCTCATATATTCTTTGCTAATATGTAAAAAAACAATTTTTTTATGTTTATCTTGTATCCTGTGACCTTATTGAAGTCACTTTTTAGTTCTGAGAGTCCCTTTGTAGATTTCTTGAGATTTTCTACAGAGACAATCATACCATTTGCAAATAGAAACAGTTCTATTCCTACCTTTCTAATACATAAGCATTCATCTCCTTCATCTATCATACTTGCCAAAACTTCCAGCAGATGTCTTTACTTTGTTTCTTCTGTTTACCCAAGACAGTCTTTCTGTCTTTTTCTTTCTTTCTTTCTTTCTTTTTTAGCTTTTCTTGTTATTGTTTCTATATGCTCTTTATCAAGTTAAGAAAGTCCTCCTCTGTCTCTATGTTTCTTGGAATATATATAATGAATGGATGTTAAATTTTGTCAAATACTTTTTCTTGACTGATATTATCATGTGATTTTTCTTTAACTTGTTAATATGTTAGATTACATTGATCTTTGAATATTGTACCAGCCTTGCATTCTTGTAATAAACTTTATTTGGTTACAGTGTATAATCAAATATAGTGAGTTATTTGAATTGAATTTGAATTGTTATAGTTGAATTGTTTTTGTTAATATTTCATTAAGGATTTTGTTTCTATGTATAATAGGGATATTTTTCTGTAGATTTTGTTTCGTTTTGGTTTTTAAGTATCAGAGTAATGCCAGCTTCTTAAATAAATTGTGAAGTGTTTGTTTGTCTTTAATTCTCTGAAAGATACTTGTAGAATTTGTGTTAATTTTTTTAAATAATTGGTAGAAATCCTTGGAGGTGTGGAGAGTTCTTGGTAAGGAGAATTCTTAAATTACAAATTTAATTTCCTTCATAGTTACACAGCTATCCAAATTATCTATTTTGTTTTTAATGAGTTATGATAGTATTTTTTAATGGAATTGGTCCATTTAATCCAACTTGTTAAAATTATACATGTAAAATTGTTTGTAGTATTCCATTATTTTCCTTTTGGTGTCTACATGATCTGTAGACTTATTGCTTGTTCCATTCTGATATTGGTAATTTGTGTTTTCTCTCTCTTTTTTTTTGTCAATCATTGTCAATTGTATTATTCTTTTCAGAGAAGAAGCCATTTATTTCATTAATTATTCTCTATTTTATTCTGTTTTCAATTTATTTCTGCTCTCGTCTCTATTATTTTATTTCGTCTGTTTGTTTTAGGTTTAATTTTCTCTTATTTTCTTGGATTCTTAGTGTGGGAGCTTAGATTATCAATTTGAGTGTTTATCTCATTTCTAATTTGTATATTTAGTTAGGGGTCCCCAACCCTCAGGCCACGGACTAGTACTGGTCCATGGCCTGTTAGGAACTGGAATGCACAGCAGTAGGTGTGTGGTGGGAGAGCAAGTAAAGCTTCACCTGTGTTTACAGCTGCTCCCCATCACTCGCATTACCGCCTGAGCTCCACCTCCTGTCAGATCAGTGGCGGCATTAGACTCTCATAAGAGTGAACTGCACATGCAAGGGATCTAGGTTGTGCAACTCCTCATGATAATCTAATGCCTGATGATCTGTCACTGTCTCCTGTCACCCCCAGATGGGACTGTCTAGTTGAAGGAAAACAAGCTCAGGGGTCCCAGTGATTCTACATTATGGTGAGTTGTATAATTATTTCATTATCTATTACAAGGTAATAATAATAGAAATAAAGTATAAAATAAATGTAATGCACTTGAATCATCCCCAAACAAATCACCCTCACCCCTGGTCTGTGAAAAAATTGTCTTTCATGAAACCAGTCCCCACAAAGGTTGGGGACCACTGTATTTGGTAACACAAATTCTCCCTTCAGCATGGCTTTAGTTGTGGCCCACACATTTTACAAAGTTGCATTTTAATTTTCATCCAGTTCAATATTTTTTCATATCCTTTGAGACTTCCTCCTTGACCAATAGATTATACAAATGTACTTCTTAGTTTCCAAGTGTTTGGAAATTGTCTTCTTGTATTTCTGTTGTTGATTTCTAGTTTAATTTTATTGTAGATGGAGAACACGTGCTGTATAACTTAAATTATTTTAAATTTGTTGGGGTTTGTTTAATAGCCCATGATCTGGTCTGTATTGGTATATATACTATGTCAACTTGAAAAGAATATGTGTTTTTTTCTGGTTTTGGTGGACTTTTCTTAAAAAAGTTGATTAGTCCCTATTGATGGATTATGTTGTCGAGTTCTTTCATACTCTTGCTGAGGTTTTTTTCGCTAGTTGTTCTCTCAGTTGTCTTGAAGGAATGTTGAAGTGTCCAAATATAATTGGAAATTTGTCCATTTCTGCTTTCAGTTTTATCAGTTTTGCTACACATCTCTTTCAGTTTTTTTGGTGTACACATGTTTAGGGTTGCTATGGTTTCTTAGTGAATTGATTCTTTTATTATTACAACATGTCCCTCTCTGCCTCTTTTAATTTTTTTCCTCTGAGCTTTACTTTATTTTACACTTATATAGCTACTCTTTCTTTCATCTCATTAATAAGTGCATAATACATATCTTCATTATTTTACTGTCAACCCGCCTGGATAGTTATATTTCAAGGAAATTTCTTCTAGACAACGTACAGTTGGTTCATGCTTTTGAATCCATGCTGCCACTATTAGTCTTTTGATTGATGCATTTAGATCATTTGCATTAATGCAAGCACTCATATGTTAGACTTAAATCTGCTACTTTATGTTTTGTCTTCTATTTGTTTCCTCTGCTTTTCCTTTCCCTGTTTGCTTTTTCATGCTTATTTGCAGATTACTTGAACACTCTTTGGAATCAATTTTGAATGTTTTCTATAGTGTTTTGATTGCTCATCTTTTTATACCATTTTTAGTGTCTGCTGTATTACATAATACATGGATAGCTTATCACAGTCTAACAGAGTTATCATTTTACTTGTTCAAGTGAAGTATAAAACTGTATCTCCTTGTACACTTCTTTATCCTTTCCCATTTATAATATAATCATAATATTTAATCTATATACATTTATAACAACTTCAGACATTGTTATAATTTTTCCTACCACCAAACAAAATTTTTAAAACACAATAGAAAAAGGAAAGACTAATATTCACATATATTTTTGTTTAACGTCTTCTTCCTTCTTGCTGTCTCTAGAGTCTTATAGTTTGTTTGTTTGTATGTTTTCCTGTTTAGAAAACATCCTGTAGCCATTCCTTTAGGGTAGGTCTGCTAGCAACACACCCTTCTCATTTTTCTTTATCTGAGAATGTCTTGATCCTGTTCATCCTGAAGGATATCTTCTTCTCTGAGTATAGGGTTGGCAGTTCTTTTCTTTCAGTACTAGAAAAACGTATTTACACTCTAGGTAATGTGTTATTTCTCCCTTGCTGCTTTCAAGATTTTTTGTTTGTTTCTTTTTAGTTTTCAGGCGTTCGATGTATCTCAGTATAATTTTTTTTTGAGTTAATTATATTTGGGGCTTATTCAGCTTCTTGAATCTGCAGAATTATGAAAATTTTGTAAGTTGGAGCCATTTTCAAGGTGCATTTTCCTCTCTACCCTCTTTATTGACACCTTCCCCACAAAGATTTTGATAGCAGGAATGCTGTTTCTTTTATTAATCCCACAGATCCTTGGCAGCATTCTGGGAAGGGAGGGAGCATTGCCTCAATATGGCCAAATGCAGGTAGAAGTCCAGCTTTTCCACTCTAATCATTACCCCTGGATAAAGGTTCTGGTTCCCATGGGGCTTCCACTGATTACCCCATGGCTTAGAGTGACAGGAGAGCCTCATTACTGCTCTCCACATAGCCTTCACTGGCGCTTTGGGTGGTAGCCTTCTTACCATTGCCTGATGATGAACATCCTGACTCTTTACTAGGCTTCCTCTGGTATCACTCCAATCACATGGGTGTGGAAAGTCTCTACACTGTCCAGTGGGGGTGAAAAGTCCATGCTCCTCACATGATCTCCACTAACACTGCAGAGGGGTAGAGGCTTATTGTCACATGATGAGAATGAAAGTCATATCTTTCTATTCTGCCTTTCCTGACACTACCTAGTCAGGGGAGTTGAGGTGCCATGTTGTAGCTCAGCAGAGTCAAAGCCTGGGCTTCACATTCAGTCTTCGCTGATGTGAGTGGTAGTGGGACCGGAGTTTTTTCTCTGGTGTTTGGCTAGAGCAGAGTGGTTATTGTTTAAAGGATTTTTGTCTTGCTAGGCTGCCTGTTTCCTGGGTCTTTTGCCTAGAGAAAACAGACTTTTGTTGAACTCTTTTTACCAGCTTAGCATTTTCAGAATGCTGATTTCTTCACCTCAAAGTTTAGTAAATATGAAATAAAAAGAAAACTTACCACCATGCCCTTCCTTGGGTTTTGAGGTTCCTAGCTGGCCTGCCTTATTTTCTATTTTTTAGAGACTATTTATTTATCACAATGTCCAGAGTTTTTAATTGTGGTCTTAGCAAGAAAAAAAATAGATAATATTATGTCTATGCCATGTTTTCACAAAGCAATCTAGTGGCTCATATTTAAAAAATAAAACTCATGTTATTCCCCCCAAAATATGTTTCTTTTCTAGTATGCCCATTTTTAATTTCATGTTCACCAAATGTTTTTGCTTATCTAACCTCCCACGTCACATTTTTCCGATCAGTTTAATTGCTTTCCCACCTGAAATAGCCTGGAATCCTTTTCCCCAACTCTGTATTTTAAATGTACTTAAAATCTGTTGTCATTCTGACCAGCATAACCATCAGCTATTAACCTGGACATTTCTACTTTACCGTTTGTTTTTCTTTTGTTTGCTTACTTGTTTTTTTGCTTTTCTACTGCATTTTGTATTCTGTTCTAGCTTTTATACTGTGTTTAGTTGAGCCAAATCTTGCCTGATAGAACAAATTCTAATGGTGTACATGACAAAACCTTAACTTTTAGCTTTTGTTCACTCCACATTGCATAATCAAGTGCTGCTGAATTTAAGAAACACATAGATCCAAACCTTCTTGAAGGATGAAGCTTCAGAGGATGGAAGGCAAAAGGATTGTGCACTTGGATCCAACTCTGAGCCAGACTCACCTAAATCTTGTACTTCTAACCTCAGAGACAGCCTTTTTTTCTTGGCTTCTGGGGTTTTGAATTTTGACTTACTGTTGATCAAATTGAGTCACTGTTTGAGTTAATTCGGCTTTTAGTAAACACCAGTATCTGCCCCACTCAGTCCTTGTAATGTTCTTTCTAAGCACTTTCTCCCCGTCCTTGTCCACCCTCAGCCAAGCATTGCAATGGCTTTGTTTTGATTATTAAATCACAGCTTTGGAAACCTTAGATTCTGCTAATCCCTCTATAAACTAGTTGTTTTTGTGAGATATATGTGAGTGTACTCGGAAAACTTAAAAAGATCTTTATTGAAGTGCAGGGAATTATTATCATTAGGAATTTATTTTCATGTAATTCAGTACCCAGATGTGTTTGTGGAGTTCAGAACTAAAAAATGGTCAATATATCTTGTGGAAAATGATATATAGTCTTTTCAGGATGAGATGAGAAATAAAGTTCATGTCCCTCTAGTAGTCTCCTTTTACTAAAATAGTATTCATTTATTACCTATATATAATTTATATATGAGTGTGCATTTTTCTTGTAGCAGTTGATATCATCCATTATTATTTTATAACTGGTGAATTTGCATTAAGCAAATCTACATTTATCACTTGTTTGGAATAACATAAAAAGTCAGCCAAAGAAAGCAAAGAAAAAGTGAAATATTTTTTGCAATGCCTAGATCATGATAGGCAATGATATGTAGGATGCTATTCTCTTCCAGATATAATCTGTAGACCCCACATATTTTGATGAGAATGCTCTTTTTACACTAGCACTAAAAAGATGGCACATAGGCAGAAAATAATTGAAATAACTTCCGTTCAATTTCTAATTGAATCTCTCTTCTGTGGGGAAGGAAGTAAAGTACAATTAAAGATGTAGTGGAAAGCTGTTTTTTTTTCTTCCAGCATCAGCATGAATTTCTTTTTCTTTAAAGAACAGGACCCTTGCTTTTCCCTTGAAAAGCTCCCTCCTTTAGTACCAATAATTTTCCTCTGGCTCTTAGGGTAGATACTCAGCTTAGTGTTAGACAGTCAGCAAGCTCCAGTTTTTACAGTTCACTCTGTCCAGAGTGATTGGCCCAAGAGTGGCCATGTGGCTCAAAACAGGCAAATGATGGCCAGAGTTTTCACTGGAAATAATGAGCATGTGATGAATATACATATTAGAAACAAGCAGCACAGACTAACGGTTTTGAACACAGATTCTGGGTCCAGACTTTCTACCTCCAAAACATGTATCAGTCACCATGGGCAAGTTTTATAACCTCTTTGTGCCTGTTTTCTAATCTGCATAATGTGGATAATAATAGTGCCTACTTCATAAGTATTAGCAGGATTAAATGAGTTGCCGATTAAATGAGTTTCTGTGTCTAAAGTGCTTGGAATGATAATCATTAAAACTAATTATTATTTTCTCACTTATGTTTTGCTAAGCTGGAAGGACACAAATATTGAGCTGCTAATAGTTGTTTTGCCACAAACATTCACCAGAGAACAAATCCAACAAAAAGGAAGCGTATAGCCAAGAGATGGAGAGAGACAGGCCCAATCAACATCATTTGATCATCTGAATCCAAGTCGGTCTTAATTTTTCAGCTTATAATTTTTTAATCTAAACCAATATGCATTAGGTAAGTCCTCCCTATATGTAAAGGGGCACCGTGAGGAACATAGGAAAAGGAGGAAATGAGCTGTTTCTGGAGCAGTCTTCCCGTGATCAGCAACATAAAATTCTCTAAAAGAAGAGCTGGCTACCCTATGTAGTCTACACATTCAAAAAGTACAGTTGTCCCTCAGTATTCAGGGAGAATTGGTTCCAGGACCCCCAGAGAACACCGAAATCCATAAGTATTCAAGTGTCTGATATAAATAGAATAATATTTTCATACAGCCTATACATATCCTCCCATATACTTTAAATCATCTCTGGATACTTATAATACCTAATACAATGTAAATGCTGTATAAATAGTTATTATACCACATTTTATTACTTTTACTATTTTGTATTGTTGTATTGTTATTTTGCATTGTTTTATTTTCTCCAAATATTTCTGATCCATAGTTGGTTGAATCCATGGATGAGGAACCTACAGATACAGAGAGCAGGGCCAACTACGTTTTTTATGGGCTTACCATGTGTCAGATACAAGATAGGCATTTAAGATACTAAAGAAAAGGAGTCATCCCCGGACTAGAGGAGGTTACTCTTTAATGGGGAGGTAAGATGTCAATCATTTTAGGCTGCCATAACAGAATACCACAGACTGGGTGGCTTAAACAACAGACATTTATTTTCTCAGAGTCTGGAGGATACAGTTCAAAATCAAGGGACCAGCAAGGTGGCTTTCTGATGGAGACTTCTTTGTTGCAGACAGCTGCCTCCTCACTGCATCCTCATATGGCCTCTTCCCTGTGTATTCACAGAGAGATCCCTAGTGTCTGTTTCTTACTTCATAAGAATACCAGAGATCTCCGGTATCTCTTCCTCTTATTTTAAAAACACCGGTTTTACCAGTTGAGGGATTAAGTCCCCACATTTTTAACCTCATTTAACTTAAATATTAGGTTGGTGCAAAAGTAACTGAGATTTTTGCCATTAAGGCCTTATCTCCAAGTATAGTCTCATTGGGTGTAGGTCTTCAACATATGAATTTGAGGTTCGATTCAGTCCATAACAGTACCTAACAAAGCCATCTGAGTTCAGGGTAATTCACGATTAAATAATAAGTCTTCTATTATTTTCTGAAATGATCTGTTCATTTAATAAAATGCAATTCTTGAAGAAGAATACACTCAAAGGCAGCTCTTCATAAGCAAATGCTGAATGTCAACCATGTATTGTCAGGATAATTCTTAGTGAAAATAATTCTTCCATTCTAAAATGCATTTTTTAGGAAAAATGTTTGCAAGATAAATTGAAAAGCATGTTTATTGCATGCTTTATAAGGTAAAACTTATGGAGTCAGCTATGGATACTGAGACAGAATTACTACACAATAACCTATGAATAGAGTCTATCCTGTCTGTTAACTTTTCCAGGTGATTCTGCTGTGCTTGCAAATGAATGCAGTGAAAAGCAGAAAAATAAACCAAATCAGGAACTTGATCAAAAATTTTTTTTAAATAAATAAGCATAAAAATCTATTCATTGATCTGACATCAGATTGAATTAATAAATGTTTGCATCAGTTAATTGATTTAAGCCTTTCCAACTTCCAGTTCTAAAAAGATAAAGCTTCAAGTCAAGTTGGCAATAGAAATGCCAAGGGCTGCAGCTGGAAACTGCTGCCTGGGGAGTCACATTTGGTAGCAGAATGCTGACCAAGAACCAGCCACTCTAGAGGTACTTTCCATGTCAAATTGCTTTAGGTTTTCACTACAACCCTAAGAGGTTGGCATTATTGGCCCTACTTTATATAATAGATGCAGAAAGGGCAAAAGACTTTTGCTCTCCAGGCTCAGCCACAGGCCAGTTGCATCTTGGCTGGATCTAAGGGCTTCCTCTTTCCTAGGCAATATTAGGTTTTCTATTGTATAACAAATTACCACAAACCTAAATTAGAAATTTGGCATGGAATAGCTGGTTTCTCCACTTGGGTTATCACAACGTAAAAATTATGATGTTATTCTGGCTGAGTTTTCATCTAGAGTCTCTGTGGACAAGTTCACTTCCAAGCTTATTCTTGCTGTTGGAAGAATTCAGTCCCTGTGGTCTTAGGGTCTAAGATCCATTTCTTTCCTAGCTGTAAGGAAGGGAAAGCCCTCAGCTCCTAGGGGCTGCCCGTATTCCTTGACACTTCATCCCTCCATCTTTAAACTGGCACCAGTGCATAGAATCCATCTCTCATACTTTGAATCTCTGCACTTCTCTTCAATAACCAGCCAGAAACAGCTCTCTGCATTTAACAGGCTCATGTAATTAGGTCAGCCCACCTAGGTAATCTCCTTGTTTTAACATCAATTATGCCATAGAATATAAAATACAGTTATGCACTGCACAATGACGCTTCGGTCAATGACAGATCCCATACACAAATGTGGTCCCGTAAGATTATAATGGAGCTAAAAACTTTCTATTGCCTAATGAATTTCTATTCCTAGGAAATTCCTATTCCAGGGAAAAAAATTCCTCTTGCCACATCATAGCCAATGTGACATCTAAGTGCAAGGCATTACTCATGTGTTTGTGGAGATGCTGGTGTAAACAAACCTACTGCATCATCAGCTGTATAAAAGTACAGCACATACAATTAGGTACAATATATAATGTTTGAAAATAATAAACAACTATGTTATCAGTTTATGTATTTACTATACTTTTTATCATTATTTTAGAGTGTACTTCTTACACTTATTAAAAGAGTTAACTATAAAACAGCCTCAGGCAGGTCCTTCAGGAGATGTTCTAGAAAAAGACACTGCTCTCATAGGAGATGACACCTCCACGTACGTTATTGTTGCTGAAGACTTTCCAGTGGGACAGGATATGGAGGTGGAAGACATCCACAGTGATGCTGAAAATCCTGACCCTGACCCTGAATTAGGCCTAGGCTAATGTGTGTGTTTGCACCTTCTTTTTTTGAGAAGGAGTCTTGCTCTGTCATCCAGGCTGGAGTGCAGTGGTGCCATCTCGGCTCACTGCAAGCTCCACCTCCCGGGTTCACGCCATTCTCCTGCCTCAGCCTCCTGAGCAGCTTGGACTACAGGCACCCGCCACCAAGGCCAGCTAATTTTTTTTTTTTTGTATTTTTAGTAGAAACGGGGTTTCACCGTGTTAGCCAGGATGGTCTCGATCTCCTGACCTCGTTATCTGCCCTCCTCGGCCTCCCAAAGTGCTGGGATTACAGGCATGAGCCACCGCGCCCGGCCTGCATCTTCATTTTTAGCAATAAGCTTGAAAAGTAAAAAAATAAAATAAAATTAGAAAAAGTTTATAGAATAAGGGTATAAAAATATAGTTTTATATAGTTGTACGATGTGTGTGTGTTTTAAGCTAAGTAGTGTTACAAAAGGGTCAGCAAGTTAAAAAATAAAAGTGTATAAAGTAAAGTTACAGTAAGCTAAGGCTAACTTGAAGAAAGAAAAATATTTTTAACACATTGAGTGTAGACTAAGTTTACAGGGTTTATAATGTCTGCAGTACAGTACAATAATGTCCTAGGCCTTCGTATTCACTCACTACTCACTGACCCACCCAGAGCAACTTCCAGCTCCATTTATGTATGTGCCCTATACAGGTGTATTACTTTTTAACCCTTTATACAATATTTTTATTGTGCCTTCTCTATATCTGGATATGTTTAAATAAATAAAATTTACCAGTCTATTACAATCACCTACAGTAAAGTACAGTAACATGCTACACAAGTTTTTTGCCTATGAGCAAGAGGCTATATGATATAGTCCAGGTGTGTAGTAGGCTATTTCATCTAGATTTGTGTAAATATACTCTGGTGTTGGCACAATGACAAAAGTAGCCTAGTGATACATTTCTCAGAAAGTATCCCTGTCATTAAGAGATGCATGACTATAACTCATGGGAATATCATCCATCATATTTGGAGTTCCATGGGTTATACAGGTCCTGTGCACCACATGGGTGGGAAATCTTAAGGGTTATTTTAGGATTTTGCCTCCCATTAATAACATAAAATCCTGTCTTATTTGTCTTTTATTAAACCTATTATTTGGAACTACTTTAAACTTCTAGAAAGGTTGCAAAAATATTTCATGCTCCATATGTCACTCATGCAACTTCCCCTGTGTTAACATCTTATATAACTGTAGTAGAATCATTAGAAGGAAGGAAATCATTTTTAATAAAATGACTTATCTACCTCTGTATCCCACAAGAACTGGCATTATAATCATCATGTACTACCTTTTCTTAGAATTCTGATTCATCTTTCAAGAGTTAGCCCAAAAGCTACCTCTAGGGGAATCTCATTTTCCACTCTCTGAATACACCATGCCCATTTGCAAAGTCCTGCATTATGACACTTACATAAACAATTAGAGAATAATATATGTTTGTTTCCTGTATCTAAAATATATATTTATTAATCATATATTTTTTAAGAATTTCCATGGTTCTGTATGTCAGACAAAGAGCTAATAAAAGCAGAAACCATAGTTATGCGCCTTCTCTCTTTCCCACTTTCTATCTAGTATAAATCCTAGACTGTAATATGCCATTCATTAATATCTGGTTGAATAAATAAGGTGTAATATGAGAGTATTCACAAAAATTGTGATTAAAAATTCTTTGGATCTTCAAATGTGCTCAAAGATTACATCATTACATGTTAACATACATTAAATTAAACTGAATTTGCCATATGCAGCAAAGGATAACCTAACTTATATGAACAAATCACAATTGAACTTGAAAGTATATTATTGTAACGAGTAACCAAGTCTCAGTCAATCCCAGCAGCCGAGCTTTCAGCCAATCACAGGCTGTTGACTGCTCAGGTATGTCCATATAAGGCAAATATCAAGCTGTAACCAATCAGGTTATATCTGTATGCCATTTTCTTTTCCTGTCTATAAATACTGTTTGTCATGTTGCTGAATGGAGCTTTCTGAAGCTTTACTGGTTTAGGGTGCTGCCTCATTTATGACTCATTTATTTGCTCAAATAAACTCTGCTAAATTATTTTTTCTTAAGATTTTCTTTTAACACATATATAGCATATATTTTTTAAAACAAGTTTGATAGTTATTTTTTTCTTTAGGTTACCACATTGGTGTGCAATTTTTATTTTTCTGATTTGGAAAGTAAATATCCACCTCCATAGTTATATGCCTTTTTTATTCCATGCATATTCTCACAGACCTCTTTGTAAGATTAATGGAGCTTCAAAAAATTTCTATATGCTAAAAATTATTCTCTTGATAATAATGCTCTTAAATTCATTGCATAGGCAAAGCTTTGCAGATACCTCTGGGTACTAAAAAGAAAATGCGCAAGTTAAGAATGTAATTCCATGACATTCCACTCTTCCTTGCACAAACAAAATGATGGAATGAGGCTGATGTCTGCCAAGCGCAGAGCAGGGAAAAGGTGCCCATTAGAGCTCCACACTGTAAGAGCAGAGTGCTCGTCAGGAAGGATCTCAAAGCAGAAGGGCACTTTCCCGCGTAGCATATGGAGAACATCACATAGCCAGCAGGATAAATTAATGGCCCCATAATAAAATACATTTTCACGTGCTATTAAAGCTGTTGTCACACTTCATTGCATAGATGACTGGAAGCTCCTAGTGATGGAAGGTGAGGTCAGCTTCCTAAACCATCCTGAGTTAATGAGTGGGCAGTTCTTTCCCATAAAGTTTCCTGGAGGTTGGGGGTTCTCTGTATTCAATTCGGTCACTTTCTTTGAAGGGAAATAAGTAATGGCCCTTCAACACAGAGACCTGGAAATAGAGGAGCAAAATGGCCCTTCCAGGTAGGCACTACTAACTGGGGTTTCATAGATGACAAAAACAGAAAGGTGTCTGGACTATAAGCCATCTTCCATAATTTCTGTGACGGGGAGTGGATTGACATTTTTTGACACTAGTGACTTCCAACATGTTTATATTAGCATTATGAGCAAAAGTAATCTATAGAAATTTGCTGGTTGGACCTATGTTATGGACCACCAAAGCATTTCAGTAAAAAGTGCAACTTATTCCACTCAATGATCATTTAATGACATAGTTAGGTGTCAGAAAGCATGGTTTTTTCACTACCTATCTATGTTTCATTGTTGAGGTTTCACATTTTTGAAGAACCTAAACACTTAAAATAAGATGGTGCCTCATTCATGTTTTACCACATAATATATGCTCAGTAATATTTGATATTTTAGTATACAGATGCCAGAAACAGTGTCAATGTGTGTGGTAGAAATGACAGCATGTCAGGAATAAGAAATCTTTGTGCCAATACTGGATCTACATCTACCTTTCTGTGTCACCTTGAACAAATCATCCCATCTTTCAGAATCATAATTATCCCCTTGTAAATAAGAATACCAGACAAGATAAGCGGTCAGATTCCTTCTTCCTCAAAACTTTTATGATTTTTCTGTGGTATCAGCTAACAGCAACTTTTTCAGCACTGAGGCTTCAATATGCTAAAAGTGTTTTAAAATAATAAAATGGTAATTATAAATATCAAGCATCATTGCTTCATAATCTGCCCTTTATTTCAGGATTCCTCAGGCGCACTCTTTGTATTAAAAACCACAGACCGGTTCATCGCAAAACTATTCTGGTTAAAGAGACAAAAGCTTGTTTTGTCTAGATGGACCACAACCACAACCACTGTAGTTGACCTGGCACATAATTTATTATTGCAAAAGGAGGTATCCAACTCACAGGAAAAGGAGGCAAGCCCCCTTTTTGCATTCCAAGCATTAACAACGTTTGCTTTTTTCCTCTCCTCTCAGACTTTGAGCTCTTTGTCTCTTTTACTCTTCTAAGTCTCCATTTCCTGAACCTAATCTTATAGATGTCTGCATTCAGCTGTGACAAGACCGTGTAAGGATTGCAAGGTCATGTTATCAGCGGTCAAAGTATAAGCTGACAGGTTGAAAAATCAGACAGTGGGTTCACAGACCAATGTGTAGTTAATTCCACTCTTAACGTGGACCTCACACAATCTTTCAACCCAAGGACATACCGAAGGAACAATGGAAAGAAGTGTTTTGATTTCATTATGTTGTCATAATATTTTCTTAAACTTCAAATGGATTGCAATCTCTACTTCTACACATGCAAATATCATACATTTGGGGGCTCAAAATCATGTTTCTCAGCCTAAGTTTTCGTCAAATAAAATGAGAAAATCTAGCTATTTTCCCTATTTAAAAAACTCGTAACAGTCATTTCCATAAAATATATATAGTAAAGAATACAGATGGCCAAAGAAATATATAAAATTTATTTCACCAGTGCTTAAAAACCTGCAAATTAAAATACAATATCATTTTTTATTTTCTTAAATAGGGCATTGAAATATGCAATGTGTAGGATTTAGCAAAATAAGCATAACATTTCTGTCTTTCCCTCACAGCATTATTCCACTAAAGAGTAATGGATTTGGATACATGTTGATTTCCTTAAATAGATCTATAAAATCACAAACATATAAAATATAGAGACATTGTTCACAATAAAATACAACTATACAAAAGATACATTGATGACTTCTGGAGAGATATGGTTAATTAGATACACATAACATAAAAGTTTTTTTGATGTGTTCAGAAATAGGGAAAATCAAATCATACATCTAAAAAAAGTGAAAAACACTCCAAGAGAAAGTGAAAAATGATTATTACAAATGAAATAATAATTTCCCCTGTGTAAGTTCCGCCTTCTGTCCCCTCCATTCTGATGAAATTGGCTCATACCCCCTTTGTTACTCTCTGTACCCTGAACCTCTATCCCAGCTCCAGAAATTATTTATTATACATATATTTCTATATGTAGCTCTCTATATTTAGTGAGGTTTTTCAAGGGTTGGATCAAATTTTATTTGCCTCTATTTTCCAATACCTAGCAGAACAGAAGCATATCCCAACTTGTCCGGTCAAGGGAATCATCCTCTGGAGTGCTTTTGGTGAATTACACAATATCCACCAGCCTTTATGAGAAGTTATTTTGTTGGCAGAGGGCTGCTCTGACATCCTGTGCACCTGAGGTACGGTTCTATTTCCATTCTCTCAGGGAACAGGTTGATGCCATGCTTGGAGAGCTCTTGGTGAGCATGTGTCTCTGGGTTCTATTCCTTTTCTGTTCACCAACTTTTGCCAAAGGAGTAAGCCCAAAGGCTGACATCATGTTATCTCTCTTAACATCTGAAGTAGCATTTGAGATGGGGACAATGCTGTACTGCTATGTAGTTTTGTGCCATTCAGCAACTGATAGTATAAGAGATATCATGTTTGAGGGGTGGTGAGTCTGCATCTGATTATATAAGTGCCTTCAAAGAGTGAGCATTTTCCACTCTGCTCGTTGAAAGAATAAGCTCTAATCCTATTTCATTTTTTATTGTCAAATAACCAGATTTCCTTGACTTTGCACACCTTATTTTGGTGCCTTTCTTTGGTAAAGAAATGACATTGCAAATAACTTTTTAGATCACAAATTGTTCTGTGCTTTATAATATTTCATCCCAAGAAAACCCATTACCCCTTCTTTTTAAAACAGATAATAAAAATAGAGCATGAAAAAGCTAAATGTCTCCCAAGACCACATACTTACGAAGAGTTGCTAGAAAGAAGGGTCATCATTTACCCCTCTCCCCAAACAGTGTGTGGCCCTTTGCTGAGATGGTCTGGACAGTTGGATGGAGACCAGATTCCTTGCTTGGTCAATCATCCTGGCAGTCACTGCCCTGTATAATTTCCCATCTGTTAGTCTGTAGTGATACCCTAGCAAATCAAAACTTGTAGATTTTTAAGCATTAGTTGGGTTAATTCCTCAGTTGAGGGTTTGGAAAATAGAGCTCTAGGTTAAGTATGAGGCTATGGAGAGAAAAGAAAACTAATTTGATTAAAGGCCAAGAAAGATATTTAACTAAAGAGTAAATTTTTAACTCATAACTTTTAATAACCAGTCCCATATTTTGCGTTGTTTTTCCTATTACATCTGGGATATTTTATATTTCCTATGAATCATATAAATAGATGTTTTCATATAAAGTCTCTTTTCCTGTTAAACCTTACAGAAGTAAAACCTAACTTCTTCAGAAAACACGTTTTCATCATCTTTATTATTCAACATTTCAATTATTATTCGGTTATTATTTTACTCCAATGATTAACAATTATGTGTCTGAGCTCACTGACTGAAATTATATGTTTCCATTGCTCTTTTTACTAATGCAATACTAGGTTAGTGCTTATGTAAATATATTTTAATTTTCCAATTTGTTAATTCATTATCTCTAGCATTTAAGATAAAAAATTTCGAGGTACATTCTCCAGAGCAGAATTCTATTATATTTTAGCCAAGATCACCGTAAGTGCATTAGAAAAGGAATGCCTTCTCCAAGAACATATTCCTGTAATTGCTGTCACTTCCACCACTCCATGCCCATCTCATCATTAAATCAAGTTTAGATTGTGCTTCTCGGCCGTCTCTGATACTATGCATCACTCCATAGAAAAATGTTTATAAATGAAATTAAATCAAATATTCACACACACCCCAATCATTATGAGTGATTAATTTTCTTTTCTAGACTGCATTAAGGTCCTTCGTTGATATTCTTAGCAGAGACTGAGGCCTCTAATTCATTGCTCGCCCCTCTCTCCCTGCAATACCCCCTTTTTAATGGGCCAGGGTCGTGCTGGGATACTCATTAGTTTCCTGCTAGCTGTTCTGCCAAGCAGCTTCTGAGGCCTTAGCGTCACCTCAGAAATCATTAACGGAACTGGTGCTGCAATCTCCACCTGCCAGGCGTAGGGTAATCATTTAGAGACTGAAACTTGTTTCTCCATAAATGAGCATTTTGGGAAGGGAAAGCTCGTGTGTTACATTCATTTTCTCCAAACAAACGAGATTTTGGTACCTGAGGTGTGAAGGCAGATGTTTGCACGTATCCTGGTCATGCTTGGGGAACAGGAATGATTTGGTGTGGAGGCTGGTGTGATTTACTTTTGGCTAAAAAAGTAGAGACAAGGATATATGGAGAACCAAAAAATGTCTAATCACAGATGTGATTTTCCAGAGCTGCATTTACCTTGCACCATACAGGTTTTATGGTTAAAGATAGAACTACTGGCATTGTTTCTTATGGCATCATTCAAAATTATGTCTCAGGCCCTCAGGAGTTCAGGCTTCATGTAGACTTACTGACCCCCGTGTAGTTCTAAGAGAAACAAAACAAAACAAGGCTCAGCCCACATGGGGTTTTCACCTTACTGAATGCATAGACAATATAAATTTTACATGGAGAAAATGCGGAGTCTCTACTTTGAGAGGTTCCTATGGACAAGAGCCCTGCCTTTTGTTTTCCTGTAAACATCAGGATCGTTCTATCTGCCTAGTGTGTTTGGCCACTGTAGAGTCTGGTTTAGTTCTGTAGCCCATGACAGCAGGAAGGAGACGGATATGGTGGAGCAAGAGGGCTCTGTGTGTACCAGAGGCCAGACAGGATGGAAGCAGTAAAGAACAGTTTTTTAAAATACGGGCTGGGCATGGTGTCTCATGCCGCAATCCAAGCACTTTGGGAGGCCAAGATGGGCAGATCACTTGAGGTCAGGGGTTCAAGACCAGCCTGGTCAACATGGTGAAATGCCCTCCCTACTAAAAGTACAAAAATTAGCTGGGTGTGGTGGCGGGCACCTGTAATCCCAGCTGCTCGGGAGGCTGTGGCACGAGAATTGCTTGAACCAAGGAGGCAAAGGTTGCAGTGAGCCGAGGTCGCACCACTGCACTCCAGCCCGGGCGACAAGAGCAAGACTCCGTCTCTAAATAGATACATAAAATAAAATAAAATAAATTATGGACTATAAGAAGCCATAGATCAAAGTTTGGGGCTTGTTCACTAGCTGTGTGATCTTAGGCACATTTCCTTGATTCTTTTAAGTGTTGCTTTCCTTATTCATAAACTCAGATTAACAGCAGTGTCTCAGTCATAGAGAGATTTTGTAATAGCTAAATGCTATAGTTCATGTACTTAGCACATACTCAGCACCCAGTGAATAGTAACCAGAGCCAACTACATAATTGCTAGGTCGAGTGCAAAATGAATATTATGGAGCTGTGATGTTCAAAAAACAGAAAAATGTGGCTTAAAGTGCTAAAATACAAACTTTTGTTTTATCTTGTTTTTAAAATTCTGGGGTCCCTCTGTCATTATGCTATGTTTTTTGTTATTTGCTATTTTAGTGCCATGAGCTTTTAGGCATGGGAAGAATCACCTGGAAAGTATAAAACTTCACAGGTGCCTTAGGGTCCTGCTCGATGCCTCAGTAGAAGGTTACCCCTCCTGCCAGCTAACATTCTGACCTGGCACGAGAAACTCAAGTCTTCTCTTCTCACAAAACGTTTGTTCTAATCCAGGACTGGTCAGTGAATCTTAATAGATGGCAATTTCTGCCTTGGGAAGTGGAGGATGGGTAAGAGGCTTGTCCCTGCTGAGTCACCCATCAAATGTAATGTGCCTCTGCCAGCCTAGGGCAGATATGACAACTCCCTACCCCTGGTCAAAAACAATGCATGGGGTGTGAACCATTCCCTGAACCCTCTTTGTGTCCCCACCCAGCTCCTTACCAAAGATAAAGGGCAGGCATTGCAGCTAAGCAGGAGAAGGGAGAGTATGGCTGGCTGGTTCCCAGGGTCACATGGGGTGGGTAGCTGACAGCCCAGAGAAGGTATTGGGGAGGCAGAGTCAGGAGTACAAAGAAACACACTTGACCAGAAACTTCAGTTCCCCAGCATATACCTTGTTGTCCCCGAGGACTTCACTTAAAAGCACTGACTCAAAGATGAAATTGTTAAGTATTGCAAGACACCAGCTGCAGAACACCAAACCCCAGTGTGGAATCCCTTTGCGAGCAGGCAGGACCTTGTGTCCTGGCTGTTCATCCATGATGCTGAATGCAGTTGCTACTACCGCTACCTCTATTATGGGCTTCTGATGCCAGTTTGGCCATAAGAAGCCAATGATTTTGGGTAAAGCACTTCCTTGTTCAGATTACTAGAGCTCCATCAATGAAATGAAGGTTTTTAATGGTGTTTAAGACCTCCTTATTTCTAAGAAGCTTTTCTTAAGGACAGGGACTATTCCATAATTATTTTTTTTAAACCTCATAGTGTCTTGTCCACAGAAGTATTCAGTAAATATATGCTGATTTACATTCAATTAAGAGTCCTATGTCTATAACAAGATTATCATTTCCTTGATGGAAAATCCATGTCTTAAGTCTCTTCAGGAAGGCAATTTGTATAGTAATAAGAAATCAGAGCATGGAATCCACCAAAATGAATTTGTATCCTATGACTATCACCTGCTAGCTGTGTTATTTGGAGACAAAACTCTCTGAGCTTCTTGGCTCCGTATCTGTATAAAATAAAATACATATTGTATAGCAACGTTCAGGGATTTTATAAGATAACCCATATTAGACACCAAGCATGTCATTAGGTGAATGATTTATTAATGGCAGTTATCTTGTTAAAACGTAGCTACAACATGGAAATTGTCTTCATCTGAATTAGCCAACCACAGAATCCTTAGCATTATTGTCTCAGCTATTTTATTTGTATGTCTGACTAGACACTGTGTTCCCAAGCAGATGTCTTGGATACAGACTGATTAAAGAGACTTTATTACTAATTTCTCTATGAAATCCTTGGAAACCACTTGAGGTTAGTTCAGTGTCAAGTTCTAAAGCTGTTGTACATACTGTTTCTGTCAAATGGCGGGTAGGACAGAAACTTCACATGCAGATAGCATTAAAGCTGGCATAACAAATGATCAGCTGGCTGTATTGAATGATCCTTCATCTGGCCCCCTACTTTCTTCTCATGCTCCTTTACCAGAGATTCTTTAAGAAATTCTTTCACTTGCAGGCCCCAGAGAGTCACTATCCTAGAACTGCATGGAATTCTGTAGGCCTAACTGATAAAACCACGCTCTCCAACTTCTGTAGTCTTCTTCTTATTCCCAATCAGATGCTGACTTCTTAGTAAAACAGTTATCTCCATTGTGACAAGTATGAGAGCTGCAAATGAACTTGGCCTGTGTTAATGGATGAGGAAGCTCGATTCTGATTCCCAGCTCTGCAGTCAATGATATCTGCGATGTGATTTTTGAACTGTTGAGGTGCTAAGGTGTTTATGCCATCAGAATAATGTAAAAGAATGTCAGAAGAACTCCCCTCAGCCTTATCATGCCTGCTTTTTATTGTCTGGCTTTGCACACAAGATAATTAGTTTGATAGCACAATTATGTATTTACTTCTTAGTAAATCAGCCCCATAAGACAGTAAGTCATACGGAGGCCAAACCCTACCTATTTAGCTCATTATTGTATTCTAATTTGTTAATTCAGTCCCTGGCACAAGACAACTAGAAAGGAATAGATGGAAGGAGGGAGGAAGGAATGGGAGAGAGTTTTGTGAAGTTTTTTATTAGTCTTTAAGGAGACACAATTCTCATTGGTATGAAACAGTTGGACTTGGTTTAAACTTTGGATAGTTTTGAATACTTTCTCTTTTTGGTATAATACATGTGCTTTGATGCATATGAAAACATATTGTACAAGATTAACAATATCATGGTTTCAGATACCCTTTATAGACTAATTATAACACAGCAATATGCATATATAAACTTCATCATTTGTACATAATCCAGGTGTTTGATATATAAAGCAGAGTTGAAGACTGCAAAGGACTTTCAGTTTACTGCAGAATACCTAGTTGTGGATTATTAACTTTATAATATTATAGCTCTCTTTCCTTTTCTTCTTCTCCAAATAAGTTGTTAGTTGGCAAGCAGGTACTGAGCTGAAAGAGGTACAAGGAACTAGACTGAGCACTAAGGGAAGATAGAAACTAATACAAAGAAAGAAATCTGATTGCAAGCAGCTTCACAGACTATCAGTGAATAATGTTCAATGATATGATAAGCATCTTTTTACTAGAAAGTGAGAAATTCCAGCCTGCATTCTTATCTCTCAGTTATCAGTATGTTCCTTTCAGCCATCTATACATGATGGTGTGGCATGAATGTGTGACGTGTGTATGTATGTGTGTGTGCACGTGTCATATAAACTAAACCACTAAACTATAGGCTTTACAATTACTGGGTTTGGGTATGAGGAAGTCACAAGTGACAGAATAACAACAGTGAGAAAAATGATGCATTGAATGCTGGAATAATTATTTTCTTAAGAGAATTACATATGCCACCAGCCTCTGTGGCAGAAGTCATTGGATGGCTTTTGCATTTAGCTGAGTCTGCTGCAGGCAGCCTGTGGCAGTGTGGTTATGCTGAGGTTATTCAGTGGGCAATGGTATCCGGGTTGCCAGAGATACAAATACAGGAAATTAGATCGAAACATTGAGACCACAAATTAAGTGCCTTATTTACAAATTTGTGAAGGCCGTGAAAAGAAGGAAAAGCCTTACCTGCTTGATGTTTTTCTCAAGGTGAATTTCCTGTTTTATCGTTTTGTTTTGTTTTGTTTTTTTTTTCTGGGAAGGAAAGAAACAGAACTCCATGAATTTACCTGTCTCTTCTCCCTCGAGTAAAACGGGATGGGGCAGGGGGTAGCTGGTATTCCATTTCTGTTAAGCAGTTTGCACCACGGCTAATAGAAAGACGTTCCAATTTCATAAGCATTAAAACAGGAAATTCTATGTAATTAAAATGCATAAAGTGCAGTTGAAATGCTTTTGGCAGTATTGAGTCTAGACAAGAATAGGAGACTTAAAAATAGGAGAATATTAATATCTATATGGTAAGTTGTATATTTGAAAATTTAAAAGTATAAAAGGGAATTCTTGTACATTCTAAAAGGAAATGGAAAAGTAACCGCTGTCTTCAATTTGGGACTTAATAGGAAACATAGCATTTACCACAGACATTGTTAACTCCTTTCCTTTCTCCCTTCCTCTCTGCCTGCCTGACTTCCTTCCTTCCTTCCTTTCCTTCCTTCCCTCCCTCCCTCTCTCCCCTCCTTCCTTGCTTCCTTCCTTCCTTCCTTCCTTCCTTCCTTCCTTCCTTCCTCTCTGCCTGCCTGACTTCCTTCCTTCCTTCTTTCCTTCCTTCCCTCCCTCCCTCTCTCCCCTCCTTCCTCCCTCCCTCCCTTCCTTCCTTGCTTCCTTCCTTCCTTCCTTCCTTCCTTCCCTCCTCCCTTCCCTCCTCCCTTCCTTCCTTCCTTCCTTCCCTCCTCCCTTCCCTCCTCCCTTCCTTCCTCCCTCCCTCCCTTCCCTCCTCCCTTCCTTCCTTCCCTCCCTCCTCTCTTCCTCCCTTTTTCCCTTCCTTCCACCAGGAAATCTATCATCAAACTTTGAGTTAATATCTACTGTACGTCAGTCACTTGTTATATCCTTAGGACACAAATATTAATAAATCAGTAATCCTTACACTTAAGAATCCTGGAGCCTAAAAGCAGCCTTTTTCAAATGTAAATGCATATCTCACATAAGTGAGGTACAAGCTAATTAAATATGTGTCAGATCACTGGTATTTTTTGTTTATTCTCCAGCATTCTTAGGCTTATGACTGAATTGTTCAAAAGTCCTTCATAGCATTTTGCTACTTGTTAATATAATTACCATTGAGTTTGGGGAAAGGGCTGAAAAAGCCCAATTTAATTAGCCTGAGCTGGAGATCAAGATATGCTTTAAACCTTCTACTAGATGCCTAGTATAGAGACTTGAGGCGATGTCCGCAGTCCTTGCTCATCTCCTCTGGTGAAGACTTCATTGCTAAGATAGGCACAGTGTATCACTGGAAAGCCCTACTAGAGAGACACCTCCTGCATCCACCAGCAGAGGCACTTGGATAGGTGTCTAGAGGCATTGTATCATCACAGATTTGCCACTTACTAGCTGTTTGTCTCCTACGGGCTTCAGGTTTCTCATGTGCCAAATTGTTACGGTGATCCTAATATATATTTTGCAAACTTATTTTGAGGATTATGTGGATAAACATTTGTAAAGCGTTAGAACAGTGCCTAGCACATGACAAGCAACTATAAAAGTGATTGTGTTAAATAGTCCACCAGGTAAGATAATATTCTACTGAGTATATGTCAAGAACACTTTATTCTTCTTGGTTGGACTATTTTTTCATTAATGGTGGAATAAGTTACTGGATTCAAAGAGTAAATACCAACTGAATTGCCTTAGAAAAAAGCTTTTCTGATGAATCTAATGGTGTTATATTTGGGGATGTACTCCACAGGGGTGTAACATACTATCAATTAAAACTCACAATGGTATCAGTATCCTAGCAGGACTGACTGTGTTTCATGAAAGGCATCCCAGTGTATCCCTTAAAGGGAACTGTGAGGCATAAATTAAGAGCATAAAATAGTTACATAAAAGAATGCTTAGGAGTGATTTCATACACGCATTCTGGCCAGGTTTATCTGGTTTAAATTTACCTTGAAGAAAGACAACAGGGAGGAGGAGAAGGAGGAGGAGATCCACATATGTAATATTAACATTATTTTATTTAAAACTATATTTTGCCTCATTTATCTGGTTAGTTACCTGAAGTCTTTACTTTGTTGGATTAGTCTTTTACATCTAAAGGAGAAATATTTAAATAGCTGGACTTATAAATAGCTAAATAAGCACTAGTGAGTTCTTAAAATCTGAAGGTAATAAATAACAGATATACAGATATTGGAGGCATCATTTGACCTTTTATGAAATTGTAGTTTATATAGGAAGAAGGTAGGTTAATACTATAATTGTAGGATAGTTAATCCACAAATAATTCTTCAAAGAATTCACTTGGAATGAATGAGCCTTCAGACTTGCAGGGAAGTAAATCTAATTACTTATTGAAATGATAGAAAAATAATGAATAAAGTCATAATTAAGAGCAAAGATAATGGAATCATAGAAAACAAGCAGCATGAGACTATAGCTAATAAATCATATTATACTCATCATATTATAAAATTAATAAGACAATAAATACAAAAAGAATGTAGTTAATATTCCATATGATTTTTGCATTTTAGGGAGAGATTTGAGGTTGTTTAAGTGTATTTTAATTTTGACATATTTCTCAGAGCAAGTGATTAGTTTCTATTTTATTGCTGACAAATTTGTGTGACATGTACAGAAATGGAATGAAAGAACAAATATGGTATGGTGAGGAAAAAAGTTGCATTTCAAACCAATCCCATGTCAGCATGGAACTAGAACATGAATCATTTTCCTTCCTTCTTTGCTGTACCACTCACAAGACATGGAAATATGATTATATCTAAGAGCTTTTTACATTTTATTGGGCTGTGTGGTCTATAAAGTTTCACCCACTCCTTATTCTCTATGTCTACTCTTCCATCATCAATCTCATTTCATATCCACAGTGAATGTATGTCAGTTAACTCACCCTATGTGATGTGAGGTTCAAATCCACTAAGAACATTAACGTTTCCTTTTTCTCTTTTCTTTCTTTCTCTTTATCTTTCTCTCTTCTTTCTCTTTCTCTCCTTCCTTCCTTCTACTTTCTTTATTTTCCTTCCTTCCTTCCTTCCTTCCTTCCTTCCTTCCTCCCTCCCTCCAGTCCCTCTCTCCCTCCCTCCCTTCCTTCTTTCCTCTCTTTCTCTTTCTCCCTTTCTTCCTTTTTCTTTTTTTGGGACAGAGCCTTGCTCTGTCAACCAGGCTGGAGTGCAGTGGTGTGATATGTGATCTCTGCTCACTGCAACCTCGCTCCACCTTCCAGGTTCAAGCAATTCTCATGCCTCAGACACTCAAGTAGCTGAGATTACAGGCATGTGCCTCCATGCCCAGCTAATCTTTGTTATTTTTAGTAGAGATGGGGTTTCGCCATCTTAGCCAGGCTGGTCTCAGGCTCCTGGCCTCAAGTGATTCACCCGTCTCAGCCTCCCAAAGTGCTGGGGTTACAGGCATGAGCCAACACACCTGGCTGCATTAAGATATTTTCAATTCAATTCACCAATCACCTACAACTCCTTGTCTTCTTGATTCTTTCTTCTCAAAATATGTTTATTTCTGTTTCAAAATAAGTTATGGTATCACAATTGTTTGTCTTACAGGATTAATTTTTAAATCTATTTTATAACAGCTTTATTGTGATATATGTCATATACCATACAATTCGTTCTTTAACATGTATATGTCAGTGCTTTTTTATACTCTGAGATTTGTGCAACCATCACCACTATCTAATTTTAAATTATTTTTATTACCTCTAATTTTATTTTTTAATTATTTTTAAATCTTGTACTCAATAGCAGTCATTTCCCATTACCCTCTACCATTAGTCCCTGGCAAATATTATTCTATTTTCTTTCTCTATGCATTTGCCTATTACGGATATTTCAGATGAATGAAACCATACAGTTGTGGCCCTTTCTGAATAGCACCTTTCACTTAGCATAATGTTTTTAAGGCTCATTTATATAGTAGCATGCTTTCTCTATTTCTCTTTTTGCTGAATAATATTCCATTGAATGGATATACCATATTTAATTTACACATTCATTAGTTGGTGGACATAGTATATATATAGTATATATGTAGTATATACTATATATACTATGTATACTGTATATATACTGTATATATATAGTATATATAGTATATATACAGTATATGCTATATATAATATATAGTATATATAGTGTATATATATATGCTATATATAGTGTATATATACTATATAGTGTATATAGTATATATTATATATACACATAAAACTTCATAGCAGCATTGTTTATATATACTTGCTAGACATATAATATACTTGCTAGACATATATATATATACTTGCTAGACATATATATATACTTGCTAGACATATATATATATACTTGCTAGACACATATATGTATATTATATATATATATACTTGCTAGACATATGTTTTCATCTTCTTGGGCATATGCCTAGAAATGTGATTTTTGGTTATGTTGGGTCATATTGTAAAACTGTTTAATAGTTTCAGGAACCATAAAACTCTTTTCCGTAAAGCCTATGACATCTTACAATCTTACCAATAACAATATATGAGTGTGCCAAATACTTTCTACATCCTTGGTACCACTCATTATCTAGCCATACTAGTGAGTGTGATGTGGCATCTTGTTATGGTCTTAATTTGCATTTCTCTAATGATAAATGTAATTGAGTATCTTCTCATATGCTTATGGACCATTTGAATATCTTCCTTGGGTAAATATCTACTTATTTGTGTATTTTTAAATCTAGTTGTCTTCTTATTATTGAGTCACAAGTGTTATTTATGTCAGCAGTTCCCAACCTTTTCAGCACCAGGAACTGGTTTTGTGGAAGACAGTTTTCCACAGACTGGGGGGAGGGGGTGGTTTTGGGATGATTCACGCACATTACATTTATTGTGCACTTTATTTCTATTATTATTACATTTTCATATACAATGAAATAATTATACAACTTACCGTAATATAGAATCAGTGGGATCCCTGAGCTTGTTTTCCTGCATTTAGACAGTCCCATCTGGGGGTGATGGGAGACAGTGACAGATCATCCGGCATTAGATTCTCATAAACAGCTCACAACCTAGATCCCTCACATGCACAGTTCACAATTAGGGTTCACACTCCTATGAGAATCTAATGTTGCTGCTGATCTGACAGGAGGCAGAGCTCAGGTGGTAATGGGAGTGATGGGAAGTGGCTGTAAGTACAAATGAACCTTCATCTGCTTGCCCGCCATTCACTTCCTGCTGTACTGCCTGGTTCCCACCAGGCCATGGACCAGTTCCAGTCCATACCCAGGGTTTGGAGACCCCTGCTTTATATATTCTGGAACTATTTTTCTTAGAAGATACATGATTTTCAAATATTTTCTACAGTTTCATAGGTTGTTACTTGAACCTCCTTACGTTGTCTTTTAAAGCACAGAATTTTAAAATTTTTATGTGCTTCAGTGTATCTAATTTTTGTTTATTTACACTTTTGTTGTCATAAGATTCATTGCCAAAACCAAGGTCACAAAATTTTTCTCCTATGCTTTTTCCAAGACTTTTATAGTTTTAGCTCTTATGTTTACATATATGATCCATGTTTAGTTTTACTACATGGATTTAGGTAAGGATTCAAATTTATTCTTTTGCATGTGTATATCTAGTTGTTCCAGCACCATTTGTTGAAAATACTACTATTTTCCCCATTGAACTTTCTTGGCACTTTCGTTAAAAACAATTGGACAGGCCGGGCATGGTGGCTCACGCCTATAATCCCAGCACTTTGGGAGGCCGAGCCGGGCAAATCACAAGGTCAGGAAATTGAGACCATCCTGGCTAACACAGTGAAACCCCGTCTCTACTAAAAATACAAAAAATTAGTCGGGCGTGGTGGCAGGCGCCTGTAGTCCCAGCTACTCGGGAGGCTGAGGCAGGAGAATGGCGTGAACCCAGGAGGCGGAGGTTGCAGTGAGCCCAGATTGCGCCACTGCACTCCAGCCTGGGCAGCAGAGCGAGACTCCATCTCAAAAAAAAAAAAAAAAAACAAACTATTGAACATAAATCAGGGCTTATTTATAGGCTGCCAATTCTAGTCATCTTTTTGCATATCCTTACATCAGTGCCACACTGTCTTAATTGCTATAACTTTGTAGTAAGTTTGAAATCAGGTATGTGAGTTGTCCACATTTGTTCTTCATTTTTTAAGATAATTTTTACTATTCTGGTTCCTTTCATTTCCATTTGAATTTTAGGGTCAGTTTGTCAATTTCTGCAGAAAAAGACAACTGAGATTTTGAGAGGAATTGCATAGTATCTGTTGATTAATTTGGAGATGCTTGTCATCTTAACAATATTAGATCTTCCAATCCATAAAGACAGGTAGCTTTTTAATTTTATAATTCTATAATTCCTTTTCACAATATTTTATCATTTTCAGTGTATGAGTTCTGCACTAATTCTGTTAAATGTATTTCTAAAGATGTTAATATTTTATACTATTGTAAATGAAATTATTTTCTTAATTTCATTTTTATATTTTAACATTAATTTAATTTAAATACAGGTTTTAATCCTGAAAAATTTATGAAGTAATTATAAATCTATAACACAATATTCTGTAATTTAAATATAATAGTTAATGCTTATGTATTATTTATTATGTGCTTGGTGGTGTTCTAAGTAAGTTCCATATATTCATTAAGGTAATCTTTATAACCACACTGTGAGGTACCATTTTACAAATAAGCCATAAAGAAGCTATCTTTTCTTATTAAAGCAATAACAACTATAACACTGTGTTCCTTTACATCTCTCAGAATATCAGCTATAGTTTCATTGAATTTGTTCCTTTGCTCCCTGGATTCTCTCTCTTTGCTGTGAGGTCTTGTTTTCATGTTAGTTTCTGTTTTTCATATTTTATGAGGCTAGACTGTTGAATGGAACTCTTTATCCATGTGTAAGACCATTAGGCCTCCACATAGGGAGATCCTGGATCTTCACAGGGAAGCCATCTTACCCTAGGTACAAGCACCCATAGGAGGGTATGTGAACTGGCTGCAGGAATTTTTGGAACAGATTTGAAGAAAGGGATAGAAGCTGTCAATATTCAGTGGTTCATAGATTTTTCACTAAGTCTTCCTTTTCTGTGGGAACCTCATATTCACCCTGTTTTGCTTGTATCCCTGAACTGTAAAGCTCTGGCATTCAATACTTTCAGCGAATATTTCCAGGGGTAGGTGGCTGGCTAGGAGGGAAGGGGGAATGAAGTGAGGGGTCCCTAGTGGAAGGTTTTTTTTTTTTTATGGATTTTTAACATCATCCTCTGTTAGCCTGATGTGTCTTCCTTATCTTCTAAAATACATGTACTTTCAAATGCTAAGCTGCTGTGGTCTATTGACATCAACCTGCTCAAGACCTGTGTTTCAGCTGTTTCAGGTACATTGTCAATTACCATGCCTCTACTTGTTTTTCATTCTTCCAAAAATAATTTCACATCTTGCTATGTTTTTCTCCTTCCATTCCTTACATCCCAGTGTGTGTATATATTTTCCTCTTATTCACTCTCATTAGTGATGTTTGAAGAGGTCTTAGAGATGAATGCATATCACTCATCCACCACGATTAACTACAATATCCCAGGTATTCACACTTCTTTTTCTCATGAAACCATGAAAATGCCTGGCAAATAGAAGTTATTGATAAAATATTTGTAAGTTAAATTGAATCAAATGGAATTGAATGTGACCTAGTTTGGAAAATTATGAATAACCAATTTAACCAAACATTATAATTTAGTAAAATTAAAATTACTACAGAATGACTTGTGAAAAAACACATTTTTTCTTGAATTGTATAAATTTACTGCTAATGTAGCCAAAGTACATGAAATAAGAAAGCCACTGGAAATAAAGACATTTAGTCAAAAAGATCTAGAATCCAGCTTAGGTGCAGTGGTTCAAGCCTGTACTTTGAAGGGCTGAGGCAGGAGGATTGCTTGAGGGCAAGAGTTCAAGACCAGCCTAGGCAACATAGAGAGACCTCCCAGGTCTGTAACAAATAAGACAAATTAACCAGGCAGGATGGCGTCTGCCTGTAGTCCTAGCTACTTGGGAGGCTGAGTCAGGAGATTGCTTGAGCCCAGGAGATCGAGCCTGCAGTGAGTTATGATTGCACCACTGCACTCCAGCCTGAGCAACAGAATGAGATCCTGTCTCTAAATCAATCAATCACATGTAAATCTAGAATCCTAGTGCACCCATGAGTACATATTCACCACCATTCATGTTCTTCCCTTGTGGTAAGATTGTTGCCTGAAAGCTGCAGCCCAGGCATTGAATACATTCATTGTCCCCCCTGCATCCTCCTTAAGACGTTGTGACTCAGTTCTAAACAACAAAGTATAGAATTAATCAATATATGATACAGCCAGTTTTAACCCATAAAAAATTAATTTCTTCTTTAGACTGGATATTAATGTCCAGGAAAGCCACATGTTGAAAATCATGAGCCTACATTAGACTTAGTTGCCTGCACAGAGGACAGTTCCCTCATCCCCAACTCCTTAGCCAATTGGGCAAAATAGGAATACAAAATCAACTTCTGTTATCATATGGCATTAGGACTCAAGGGTTTATTTATTACTAGCATTGCTGGTAATAAATATACAAATACAAAAAAATACAAATACAAAATAATGATACAAATAATACAAATATATTTGTAATAATAATAAATACAAAATAATTAAAATACAAAAGAAATTCAGTATGTTTTTAATAGGAAATGAACAAGTGTTGGTTTGAAAATGCATTAGTATATAATATACAAACACTTAGTATATAAGAAACTTAGCAAAGTCCATCTGTGTTCCTTAGTGATGATTTCCACTAGGGAATTCCAGAAGGGAAAGCATTTTGATTAAAATGTTTAAAAATAAGTGGGAGTTGAACAATGAGAACATATGGGCACAGGGAGGGGAACATCACACACTGAGGCTTGTCGGGGATGGGGAGCAAGGGGAGGGATAGCATTAGGAGAAACACCGAATGTAGATGACGGGTTGATGGGTGCAGCAAACCACCATGGTACATGTATACCTATGTAACAAACCTGCACGTTCTGCACATGGATCCCAGAACTTAAGTATAATTTAAAAAATATTTATTTCTCTTTATTTCAGTGTGTACGTGTGTGTGTGTGCATGTACTCACAGGCATGTGCACATTTGGATGTTGTTTTTTATAATGTAGATTTTTTCCCACTTAAAAAGACAAATCTTAAAAAAATTAAATCTTTCCTTGAGGTGGAGGTCACAAGTTATTGGCACAAAATCCAGATAGAGACTCTAAATATTATTTAATTGAATAAAATTGGAAGCTATTAAGAAACTTCACATCCAAATCTGAGATGTTCAGCTTTTGCTTAAAATGCAAAGATCTGACAAGCTTGCTGCATTCCAGCATGGCTGCAATCAACAGGAGCCAACTAGCTTCTACCTTGATGGGGCAATCGCTCACTCAACGTATGCCTGCCCCCTTGTACCAGGCCTCACTTATGTTACCTGTCTAGTCCCAATAGGAATTTGGATTGCAACCACTGTTTCAGTTATGCCAATTAGCTGGAACATTTAGTCACAAAACTAAATACCTTAAGTTTGTTTTGTGGCATTTTAATTTTATAATTTTTATACAGATCATTATTATCTATCGTGCTTGTACCTGTGATTATTTTAGTGTAAGAGAGATAGATTTCTATTATCGTACCTGCATATTAGTTCATATTGAGAAAAAATAAACATCTGTTACATTTCATCTTATCTACTTATTTGCTAAGGGAAAACATGAAGCAGTGGTTGTGTTTCATCTTGAAATGGATAGTAAATTTAAGAAATATAAACTGTTAGCCATATGTTAACGTACATGAGTCTAATAGGAAGAATATGTGTATTATGGATCAAATTTCCAAAGGTATTTGGAAGAAGTTGTCATCAACTCACACACCATGTGCCCAAATTTCTAAATATTCTTAATAACTATTTCAGATGTGAACATGGGGAAATCAGTGTCTGTTTACTTTTATTTAGTGTTTAAAATAAAAGTGACTTTATTTATTTTCTTTTTAAAATTATTGCCTCTCCAGGATCTGGGAAATTCTCCATTATACAAGTCAGAATGTGCTGAGCTTCAAGTAATAGAAAACATGAGTTCAAAGGCCTAAGAAAACAAGAGTTTATTTTCCTTACATTATAAGAAGTCTGTATCTTGTTTCTGCTGGCATTGATTCAAGGGCTCAATATGATCAACATTTGCATCTCTGTTATTTTCCAATTCCTGTTACAGTCAAAAGATGATTGCTACAACTCTAAACCTCATACCCACGTTCATAGCAGGGTAAGAGGAGGAAGAGATAAAACCAGTTGAAATTATCTTTAATATCAGGAAAAGCAAAATATCCTCATACATGTATCAGCATAATTCAACATATGTTTCATTGGCTATAAATATTTTAGATGGCCACTCCTAACTCAAAAAGAGGGTTGGAGTGAAAGTATTTAGAGATGATGGTCAAGGGAAAGAGACAAGAATGGATGTCCAGTTAGCCAACCTATCTGAACATGCCTAGAAATGCATACGTAGTGATGGGGAGGCACAAACCACCTACCATAGAATCTGAAAGCACCATATACAAACTTACCCAGTCAATCTTGCCAAGCAGTTTCTCCCACTTCAGTCTTTTGACTGGTGTTTGCTAAGGAGCAGAGATGGTGGAGCATTCATTCTACCAGTAGCAGTCACACTGAAATTCTAGGACCAGCAGTATCAAAAATGGCTACAGACCAGTGGGCATGTTGAAAGTAACATAGTTATAACAAGGAGTGATCAGCATCATTGACACTAGACTGTTTTGTAGCATGGTTTTGCTGTGGTCCTGGCTACTACTCACTCTTTCTTACTTTTTGCCCATTTCTCATGCCTAATTCTATAGCTTTCCTGGGTATTCTGTGAATTACCCATATTCTTTTGTTAAATCCATTTTTCTGCTTCATGAATCCAAGGATGAGAACATAAAAATTTGTACACATAGTTGTTGCAAGCCAAAGATATTCAGATAAATAAGGAGAATCTAGGATTTGTTATTTGGAAGCTAGAGGAAACTAAAGGCAATTTAAAAAATCTAATAAGGTTAAGGGATGGGTAGTGGTAGTCTAGAATGTAAATGTCAAATGACAAACCAATTACATTATTATCAATGATGACCTGGAAAGAAGTGCCTGTTGATGGTAAGCTTTAAAGAGCCAATAGACATGAGAAATAGAATTCAAGACTGTAGAATGGGTTTTATGTATCAATCATACTTCAATAATTTGGTTTAAAAAAGACTGCAAGGTAGAAGATTTACTCCACTGGGCCTATATAACTAAAATAAATAGTCTGGTAAGTTCAAATTTCTGTGTCTTTGTTCTGTGGTTTTGGTTCCAGTGTAGTCAGGAAACTAAAAGATCCCTGTGACTTCTCTGAAAGAGCCCTTTATCTCCTGGAGCCACTAAACTAAGGCAAAACCCAGACACAAAATTTGCTTCTGTGGGTTGCCAAATTATAATGTTAATTGAATTCACAGCTCCTCATAGGAAATTTAGGGCACTCATCAGGAAACAAT
This sequence comes from Homo sapiens, assembly GCF_000001405.40. Taxonomy (NCBI): domain Eukaryota; kingdom Metazoa; phylum Chordata; class Mammalia; order Primates; family Hominidae; genus Homo; species Homo sapiens. The sequence continues at coordinate 86,954,956 of NC_000014.9, forward strand.
GGGCCTATGATCTTTAGGAAATTGGCTTACACGAAGTCTCAGAGAATTGTGAATACCAAAACACAATCCACTCTTTGAATTTTTTGATAGCAAGAGTAGTGACTCTTCAAAATTTAATGAGGCTGTTCCCTGCCTTGGTTGAAAATCTTGGAAGGTTTGAAATAAGTACGTATAATTATTTGGGGGTTTGACAAAATAATGAGGAGCTTATAGGAACCCATTTGGATGGCTGATGACATGAGATTTGGAAGTGAATAATGTAAGTGGAGCTCTAAGAATTGACTCAGTGTAGGGAAATTTATGTCTTATATGAATCTTTACGAAAATGTCCTCACGTCAACAGAGGTTACTATTAATCAGGAGGTTAAAAGGACCCTTACAGTAATATCAGCTAGTATTACTTCCAACTACCTTAGAAATTTCTTAACAGGGTCGTGGACAATTTAACTATGGTAGTAAGACTGTATAGGCTCAACTACTTTGATCTCTGAAGCAAAGACTCACCTATCCAGTGCTCCTGCTGCCTGATCTAATTTCCAGGAGCAAAGCAAAAACTGAGACCCACTATTGCAGTGTACATCCAGGAGACCAGATAATCAACCAGTGTCATGTTACCTCTTTCACCATGGTGGAAACAACAGTTTACCCTTAGTGAAAAAGTCATATTCTGGATTTTCTTTTGCTTTTTTCCACCCAACAGGTGAACTACATATTTTAAAAACAATAATAGCATCCTACACAACATTATTGTTGATTTTGGGACACTCTGTATCAGTAAGCAAAGAAATGAACACCTAATAAAATGATAAATAAATAAAGGGAAATATATTGTTGCACATCAGTGTTGTGGGTCTTTTCATATACCCATGACTCAGAAACAGCTGACCATATGAAAAAACCAGAATAGCTTTTAAAGTCTTCGTTATGGCATGACTGTTAGATAAGATTTCGTGGTGAAGGTGATAGGCTCTGAACCACAGCTGATTTATGCTTCTGTTTTCTCCACAGTCAGTATTCACAGATACAGCAACTAAAGAGTAGATGTGGGAGTGCCACATCTTCCTGTTATATATAATGATCTACTCACATATGTCTGCTTTGCTTCCCAATGACTCTGGACTTTTACAGTTCAGAGGCTTTATTACCCTAAGAGAGAAAACCGTCCCTCAGTGGAAAACAGGACTCAGATCTATTAAATTGGCAGGTAAATTACCACTTGTCATTTTGTGCTCTCCATGCCAACAGATGAACAGAAAAAAAAGGGTATAAGAGTGTTGTCGGATATGATTGACTCTGAACGTCAAGGTGAGATAGAATTGTTGCCCTACAGTGGACACAGGAAGGAATAGGGATGCAACCCAAGGTTTACCTTATTATGTTCCAGAACTGTCTTGTTTAGTCTAAGAGTTAATAAAATTCTGTAGCAACTCTACACAGATGGGAACAATAAGAGACCCAAAATTCTTGATATAAAGGTTGGAATCACCCTGCTCTAAAATAAACAGCAATAAGCTGAGATCTTTGTTGAAAACAACTAAAAATTTTTAAAAGCACTCGCTAGTTGAGGAGGTAAATCATAAATTCTAAAGATGTGCTTATGAGTAGCTCTGAAAATGAGAGCTATAATCCATATATTTTGCACATGCTTGTGTGTGTGGGGGGGACTATTTGATTTAAACTCAGCCTAAAATCATAATCATTTAACTAGATAACCTAATGAATCTAGATTATTCCTGATGCTAAGAGTTTATCATGCCACTGCATTTCAAAAGGTGGTGAGTTTTACAGAAAACTCTGATGTCATTGAATAGCTATTATCGGGGCATGTACCTTGAGTTGTTTCAGGTGGGTCAGGACGTTTGCACTGAGTCCTCAGCATTTTCATACCTGATTCCACTGTGGCTAACAGCATGAAAATAAAAGTTGGGGAGATATTAAGATAAATTTACCAGATTTTTCAGAAACCAATGATTTCTCTAGGGAAATAAACTCAAGTTGTTGGCTTTAAGAATATTAGGCTCTAACCAACTGGAGTAATTAATGGGTCACACATAAATGTAGTAGTAGTAGCAGTTCTTACACTTGTGTGTAGTTTAATAGCTTATAAAGTTCTAATATATGGATTACCTTGGTGGTTCTTTTAAGAAATAGGCACATCAGCCTATGACTTGTTCTATGCTATGTTCTTGTTCTGTTCTATGTTCTTGTTCTCGTTCACCATATTTGTTCTAGAGATGATAAAACAAGGCCAGGAGATTATGATCAAGGTCATAAAGCTCATAAATGAAGAAGCTTAAACTGGAATTTGTGGTTTAGAAGCCGCATCAATTTTTTCACTATGTGAAATTGATGGAGTTATAAACATACTGGAAAAAAATGCAATTGACCATTATAAATAAACTCATGCTTCACTGCATGAAAGTTCTCCAGAGTTGTTCTTGAAATTAAACATTAGCATATTCATGATTTTGGAAATAGCAGTGATTAAATATAATTGTGAGTAACTTTTTCATGCCCCCTTTTCATTCTGAATTGGATGACTATGGAGGCCCAGAAAAGGGTTTTAATTTGAGCATAAGGAAAAATGTTGGTTTGGTTTCACTTTTAATAATAGCACTAAAATCTTTGATTGTTCTTAGTCCAAAATAATTCACACAATCCTGTTTAAGAATATATGTGTGGGGTGTGTATGTGTGTGTGTGTGTGTGTGTGTGTGTATTGACCCAACAACTAATGTTTGGGGGAAATTATCACTTGGAGTCATTTCATAAATCAACTGTGATATTTTCCCAGATAATTTTAAATGGTTATTAGGAACTCTTTTTAGTATTATTGTATGCAAAAAGCTCTCACTGATCTCCCATTTATTTTAACACAAACAAGAAACAGAAGAAAGCCTAGCCTTACCTCCAAATTCTGGAGTAGGTCTTGTCCTAAGCTCCAGGACCAGAGAAGAGTACCCAGCTGAATACTGATGAAGTGGTAAAATTGAAGGAAACGTATTTGTCTTACAATATCCTGTAATTCTCAAAATGAAGAAGCAAAAGGCATGCTAATAAAGAACAAGCAAATTAAAAATTCTTAAGTAAGAATATTTTGTCTTTCTTTACAGGAACAGTTTCTTTTCCATTTCAATTGACATAAATATAAAATGCTTTTCTTTAACTGAGTATCCACATTGATTTTGCTTTATGATCCATGCATCTTCTCTGTGACTTCATTCCCCTCACTAAGATCACAAATAAGTCAAAATCCATCCATTCTGTAGAGTAGTTTCAATTTTCATGATGGATCACACAGTTTTGACCAGAATACTAACAGTAATTCTCTTCTTTGTGTTAGCTCTATAAGAAACAACCTTCATTAATTGACATTGTTCTTTTCAAAACCTGAGGCTTAAGATTTTATGTTAGATGTTGACTGACCATGCATTTCAAATACCTTCTTATTTTACTGAAAAGGTTCAGAGGATGTTACCTATAAATGAATTTCAGACCTTGGAAAACAATGTGGTTAAAAAGATAGCATAGATGCCTAGGTGAGACCTGAATTAACTAGGCATTTTGAGAGTGCTGAACGTTTACATTTCAGCACATCTAATTAACCTTGTAGGTATTACATTCCAGTCGATTCAGGGAAACTCATACACATGCATGAAAAAATCATTGCCACAATGAAAGGGTGAGCGTTTCACACTTATACCCTACAGGCAGTTTCCTTTCTCTAGAATTAAATACTCATCAAGCTGCATATTAGAATTCACTTGAAACTTTTCCAATACGTGTTTCTTTTCTTTCATGTCTTTTGACTTTCAGCTCCCAGTGAAAATGAAAAATGGAGACTGTGAAGAACCTAAAAGAAAAAATCTGACCATATTCTCAACCACAAACATAAGGAAAACATAGTATTCAGACTTCATGAAACTTTGTTTTCATCAAATTTACTCCCTTACAGACTTATCCCTCTATTTCTAGTCTAGGAAACAATACTTAATGTTCATTTTAATAAGCAAAATTTTTATGTTAAAAGCTTTACTCAATACTTTATCTTCCAACATGGAGTACAAATAATGTCATTACATGCCTATAGCAAGCCCTGTTCATAAACTGGTGCTTGTTAAACTGATTTCTGAAAAGGTAAATACTCATTTGGAGAATTTTTTCCATGTGCTCTGTGTAACTTTTAAAGTCAACTTGGAATTCAAAGTCAGACTTAACAATATGATACTCTTGGTTTACTGTATAATGAATTCCAGGCCACAAAGAAACAATGATTTTCTAAAACTATGTATAAGATTATTGAGTTCAGTGTGAGAATTCTAAAAAAATCCATTTTATATACAAAATTACTTGATTTCATCAAACAAAAATATTGGATCAAAAAGTCACCCTAATGTCTTTGACACTTCTAAGTGATCAACTAACAACTGCTTTGCTAATTTAGTCAGTTACACAAAACTTGTAATTCAGATGGTCAAGAAACTTAACCACAAAATAGACAACTGTAGCCTTTGTCTACACAGACTATGCAAAATATAAGACATTTTTTCCATGAAGAAAATGCAGAATTCTGAACATACACTTAATGTATTAATCTGTTCTCACATTGCTATAAAGATATTACCTGAGACTGGGTAATTTATAAACAAAGGAGGTTTAATTGACTCAGTTCTGCATGGCTGGGGAGACCTAGGAAAACTTACCATCATGGCAGAAGGCCAAGGAGAAGCAAGGCACTTCTTACATGGCAGCAGAAGAGAGAGAGAACAAAGAGGGAACTGCCAAACATTTTTAAAACCATCAACTCTCATAGGAACTCCCTCACTATCATGAGAACAGCATGGGGGAAACCACCCCATAATCTAACCACTTCCCACTAGGTTACTCTCTCAACACATGGGGATTACAATTTGAGATGAGATTTTGGTGGGGACACAGAGCCAAACCATATTAGCTATGAGAGAACACTTATTCAAGAATGGCTTTGTTGTTCTTAATGTTTATTTTATTGAAGGTTTGGTATTACTATTTTGTTTGCTTTTTTGTGATTTTGTTTTGATTTTACTGTCAGTGTGGGCTATTAACCTTTTTGATTACCTATATTTTAGTACCAAAGGTAACATCACTTTGTAAATGTTTTTTCTCCAATTGTCATTTAAAGATATCTAGGACTAAATATATGATGCTCACATTTTTCGGAAACAGTGAATACCACAAATACTTTTGAACAGAAATAGAAAAACAGAAAAAAAGAGGTGCGAGAGTCTATGTAAAGCTAAAAGTGAGATAGAATTTTTCCCCAATCAAAATACAGAAAAATACTTTAATCTCTTCAAATTTTAGGCAAAAATATTTCTTAGTGGGAAACTGTCTTCTTAATCTCTTTGAAAACAATTTTTTCCTCCTCTCTAGCTATTTTTCTAAGATAGATCTAGTGTGCATATCAGAGAAGTAAACACTGTATTCTGCAGATACCATATAACACACACAGCAATTTGTATGATAATTTTTTTCTTGATTGCAGTTTACTCTTTAAAAATGCAAATTGTGTAATTACTGCCAAAAAATGTTCTCCATGTGTAACAACAAAAAAAGATACAAAAACTGCTATAAATTTTGCAGAATAATGGGCATACAGATGAAAAAAAAGGAGTGCACAATATTAGATAAGACCATTATGGAGGAAAAATACACTAGGTTCAAAATCCTTGAAGTTAGAAGTTTCTAGGTTGTTGCTGATTACTCACCCCAACTATTCCAAAAACTAATGTAGCAGGTTCAGTGTGATTTTTTAAAATTTTCTTCGATAAATTACCCAAATTTTATCAATTAGAACAAAACGATATTCGTAAGTTTAAACTTAAGCATTCAAGCCTGCACTACCTGACCTTGAGCTATAAGCATCAGAAAAATCAGATGTAATTACTGTACAATTGTACAAATAGTTGAAAATGTGGTTCCTCAGTCAATACTGAATATGTGACCACTATATAGATTCTCCACATATTTTTTTTATCAATTTCATTTTACTAGGGGGAAGTAGACTAGTTTATTCACCTGTGTGGTCATAAACACCTAAGTTAGTAGTGTAAGAGCTAAGATTTCCTGAGCACCTGTTGAGCAAAAATGGCCAAACTCTGTGTTCAGTGAATTGTAAAGCTTTATATTATCAGATCATTTATAATTCCCAATTGGGAAGTATGACTAGCATCCAATTTACAGAAAAGATCTGTATCACAAAGCAGGTGATTAAGAGATATGTCACAAATTCCACATTTAACCATACATCTCTCATCCAGCATCCTGCACCCATACTGTTATAACTAATACCTAGTTCCTCCGCTAGGGGACTACGAGCCCCAGTAACCACTTGGTTTTGCTGAGCACATGGGCAAGGTAATTAATTGGTGTTTGCCTTAGTCACTCTCATCTGATAAATGGAAAAGCTAATGCAGTCACTTGCTAATTCATGGAGGAGCTGTGAAAAATTATATGTGAGCATTAAAAAAGATGTATTATATAAATGTAAACTATAGACATTTTCCTAAATGATATAGACTTTCTCATTTGCATGATATTTTTATTTTTAATTTTTCTGTATACATAGGTGTATATGTTTATGGATACATAGGAGGTGTATATGTATATGTATAAGGTATGTGAGATATTTTGCTACAGGCATCCAATGTATAATAATTACATTTTGGTAAGTGGAGTATCCATCACCTCAAGCATTTATCCTTTGTGTTACAAACAATGCAATTATACTCTCTTTGTTATTTTTAAATGTACAATAAATTATTGTTGACTGTAGTTACCCTGTTGGGCTATCAAATACTAGATCTTATTCATTCTATCTAAGTATATTTTTGTACACATTTACCATTTCCATAGCCTTCCCCACCCCACTACCCTTCCCTGTCTCTTGTAACCATCCTTTTACTCTCCATGTCCATGAGTTCAATTTTTTTTTATTTTTAAGTCCCACAACTATGTGATAACATATGATGTTTGTATTTCTGTGCCTGGCTTATTTCACTTAACATACTGACCTCCACTTCCATCTAGGTTGTTGCAAATAAGAGAATCTCATTCTTTTTATGGCTGAATCATACTCCATTGTCTATATGTACTACATTTTCTTTATCCATTTTTCTGTTGATGGATACTTAGTTTGTTTCCAAATCTTGGCTACTGTGAACAGTGCTTCAATAAACATGGTAGTGCAGATATTTCTTCAATATGCTGATTTCCTTGCTTTTGGGTATATACCAACCAGTGAGATTGCTGGATCATAGAGTAGCTCTATTTTTAATTGTTTGAGGAAGCTACAAACTGCTCTCCATAGTGGTTTTACTAATCTACATTTCCACAAACAGTGTATAAGGGTTCTCTTTTCTCCACATTCTTGCCAGCGTTTGTTGTTGACTGTTTTTTTGAATAAAAGCCATTTTATCTGAGGTGAGAAGATATCTCATTGTAGTTTGAATTTTTCATTTCTTTGATAATCAGTGATGTTGAGTCCCTTTTCATATGTCTGTTTACCATTAGTATGTCTTTTGATAAATGTCTATTCAGATCTTTTGCACATCATGTAAGTGGATTATTAGGTTTTTTTCCTATTGGGTTGTTTGAGCTCCTTATATATTCTGGTTATTTGTCCCTTGTCAGATAGATAGTTTGTAAATATTTTCTCCCATTCTGTGGATTGTCTTTTCACTTTGCTGATTATAACCTTTGCTGTGCAGAAGCTTTTTAACTTGCTGTGATCCCATTTGTCCGTTTTTGCTTTAGTTGCCTGTGCTTGTGGAACAGTACCCAAGAAATCTTTGCCCAGACCAATGTCCTGAAGAGTTTCCCCAGTATTTCATAGTTTAAGGTCTTAGATTTAAGTATTTAATCCATTTTGATTTAATTCTCATACATAGTGAGAGATAGGGGTCTAGTTTCATGTTTCTGCATATGAATATCCAGTTTTCCTAGCACCATTTATTGAAGGAACTGTCCTATCCCCAATGTATATTCTGGCACCTTTGTCAAAAATGAGTTCACTCTAGAGGTATAAACTTGTTTCTGGGTTCTTTGTTCTGTCCCATTGGTCTATGTGTCTGTTTTTATGCCAGAACCATGCTGTTTTGGTTACCATAGCTCTGTAGTATGATTTGAAGTCAGCTAATGTGATTCCTACAAGTTTTGTTGTTTTCATATAGGATAGTTTTGGCTATTCTGAGTCTTTTGTGGTTCCATATAAATTGTAAGACTTTAAAAAAATTCTGTGAAAAATGTTATTGATATTTTGATATGGATTACATTGAATCTGTAGATTACTTTGGGTAGTGTGAACATTTTAAACATATTGATTCTTTCAATTCATGAACATGGAATATTTTTTTCATATTTCATGTTTTCTTCAATTTTGCTGCAATGTTCAACAGTTTTCATTGTACGGATCTTTTGCTTCTTTGGTTAAGTTTATATCTAGGTATTTGATTTTATTTGCAGCTATAATAAATGGGTTATTTTTTATTTCTTTTTCAGATTATTCACTGTTGACATATAGAAATATTACTGATTTCTGCATGTTGATTTTGTATTCTGCACTGAATTTAACAGTTCTAATAGTTTTTTGTTGTAATCTTTAGTTTTTTTTCAAGTGTAAGATCATGTCATCTGCAAATAAGGATAATTTGACTTCTTCCTTTCCAAGTTGGATGCCCTTTATTTATTTCTCTTGTCTGATTGCTCAGGTTAGGACTTTCAGTACTATGTTGAATATCAGTGGTTAAAGTGAGCATCCTTGTTATGTTCCAGGTCTTAGAGAAAATGCTTTCAGTCTTTCCCTATTTAGTATGATATCAGCTGTGCATCTGTTCACTTGCATTATTTTTGATGCACGAGTTTAAAGCATTAAATATTGTGTATAATAAAAATATTGTCTTTTAGATCAAACACAGATAACCAAACTCTGAATTGATAGCTGAAATGGTTTGGCTGTGTCCCCACCCAAATTTCATGAATTCCCACATGTTGTGGGAGGGATCTAGTGAGAGGTAATTGAATCATGGGGGCAGGTCTTTCCTGTGCTATTCTTGTGACAGTGAATAAGCATCACAAGATCTGATGATTATATAAAGGGGAATTTTCCTGTACAAGCTCTCTTCTTTTGTCTGCCACCATGTAAGATGTACCTTTCCCCTTCCACCATGCTCATGAGGCTTCCCCAGCTACATGGAACTGTAAGTCCATTAAACCTCTTTTACTTCCCAGTCTCAGGTATATTTTTTATCAGCAGTGTGAAAACTAACTAACACAGTAAATTGGTACCAGGAGTGGGTTGTTGCTGAAAAAGATACTAAAAACTGTGGAAGTGACTTTGGAACTGGGTAACAGGCAGAGGATGGAACAGTTCGGAGGGCTCAGAAAAAGAAAAATGTGGGAAAGTTTAGAACCTCCTAGAGGCTTGTTGAATGGCTTTGACAAAAATGCTGATAGTGATGTAAACAATAAGGTCTAGGCTGAGGTCGTCTCATATGGAGATGAGGAACTTGTTGGAAACTGGAGCAAAGGTGACACTTGTTATGTTTTAGCAAAGAGACTGGCAGCATTTTGTCTCTTTCCTAGAGATTTGTGGAAATTTGAACTTGAGAGAGATGATTTAGGGTATCTAGTGGAAGAAATTTCTAAGCAGCAAAGCATTCAAGGAGTGGCTTGGGTGCTGTTAAAAGCATTCAGTTTTATAAGGGAAGCAGATCATAAAGGCTCAGAAAATTTGCAGCCTGACAATGTGATAGAAAAGAAAATTCCATTTTCTGAGGAGAAATTCAAGCTAGCTACAGAAATTTGCATAAGTAATGAGGAGCCAAATGTTAATCACCAAGACAATGGAGAAAATGTCTCCAGGACATGTCAGAGGTCTTCACAGAAGCCCTTCCCATCATAGGCCAAGAGGCTTATGAGGAACAAATGGTTTTGTGGGCCAGGCCCAGGGTTGTTGTGCTGTGTGCAGTCTACGGACTTGGTGCCCTGTGTCCCAGCTGCTCCAGATGTGACTAAAAGAGACCAAGGTACAGCTTGGGCCATGGCTTCAGAGAGTACAAGCCCCAAGCCTTGGCAGCTTCCATGTGGTGTTGAGCCTGTGGGTGCACAGGCATCAAGAATAGAGGTTTGAGAACCTCCACCTAGATTTCAGAGGATGTATAGAAACACCTAGATGTCCAGGCAGAAGTTTGCTGCTGGAGCAGGGCTCTCATAGAGATCCCCTGCTAGGGCAGTGTGCAAGAGAAATGTGGGGTTGGGGCCCCCACACAGAGTTCCTACTGGGGCTCTGCCTAGTGGAGCTGTGAGAAGAGGGCTACCATCCTTTAGACCCTAGAATGGTAGATCCACTGACAATTTTTACCGTGCACCTGGAAAATCCAGACACCCAATGCCAGCCCATGAGAGCAGTTGGGAGAGAGGCTGTACACTGCAAAGCCACAGGTGGGGAGCTGCCCAAGACCATGTGAACCCACCTCTTGCGTCAGTGTGACCTTGATGTGAGACATGGAGTCAAAGGAGATCATTTTGTAGAATTAAGATTTTACTTCGCCTCTGGATTTCAGACTTGCATGGGGCCTGTAGCCCCTTTGTCTTGGCCAGTGTCTCCAATTTGGAATGGCTGTATTTACCCATACCTGAACCCCCATCGTATCTAGGAAGTAACTAACTTGCTTTTGATTTTATAGGCTTATAGGCAGAAGGGACTTGCCTTGTCTCAGATGAGATTTTGGACTGCAGACTTTTGAGTTAATGTTAAAATGAGTTAATGTTGCGGGAAGTCAGGGACCCCGAACGGAGGGACTGTCTGGAACTGTGGCAGAGAAACATAAATTGTGAAGATTTCATGGACATTTATCAGTTCCCAAAATTAATACTTTTATAATTTCTTATGCCTGTCTTTACTGCAATCTCTGAACATAAATTGTGAAGATTTCATGGACATTTATCACTTCCCTAATTATACTCTTATAATTTCTTATGCCTGTCTTTACTGCAATCTCTGAACATAAATTGTGAAGATTTCATGGACATTTATCACTTCCCTAATTATACTCTTATAATTTCTTATGCCTGTCTTTACTTTAATCTCTTAATCCCATTATCTTTGTAAACTGAGAATGTACGTCACCTCAGGACCACTGTTGTACAAATTGATTGTAAAACGTGTGTTTGAACAACATGAAATCAGTGCACCTTGAAAAAGAACAGAATAACAGCGATTTTCAGGGAACAAGGGAAGATAACCATAAGGTCTGACTGCCTGCAGGGTCAGGCAGAATAGAGCCACATTTTTCTTCTTGCAGAGCTCTTATAAATGGACGTGCAAGTAAGAGAGATATTGCTGAATTCTTTTCCCAGCAAGGAATACCCTGGAGAAGGAATACATTCTTGGGAGGAGGTCTATAAACAGCCACCCTGGGAGTGTCTGTCTTATGCAGTTGAGATAAGAACTGAAATACACCCTGGTCTCCTGCAGTACCCTCTGGCTTACTAGGATTGGGAAATTCCAGCCTGGTAAATTTGGTCATACTGGTTCTCTGCTCTTGAACCCTGTTTTCCGTTAAGATGTTTATCAAGACAATATGTGCACAGCAGGACATAGACCCTCATCAGTAATTCTAATTTTGCATTTGCCTTGTGATCTTTATTGCCCTTTGAAGCATGTGATCTTTGTGACCTACTCCCTGTTCGTACACTGCCTCCCCTTTTAAAATCCCTAATAAAAACTTGCTGGTTTTGTGGCTCAGGGGACATCACGGACCTACCGATATGTGATGTTACCCCTGGAGGCCCAGCTGTAAAATTTCTCTCTTTGTACTCTTTCTTTTTATTTCTCAGACCGGCCAACACTTAGGGAAAATGGAAAGAACCTACGATGAAATACTGGGGGCTGCTTCCCCCAATAAGTTAACACTTTGGGGACTGTTAGGAAGGTATGATTGGTTTTGAAATGTGAAGACATGAGGTTTGGGAGGGGCCAGGAGTGGGATGATATAGTTTGACTGTGTCCCCACCCAAATGTCACCTTTAATTCCTATGTGTTGTGTGAGGGACCTAGTGGGAGGTAATTGAATCATGGCGGCAGGTCTCTCCTATGCTGTTCTTGTGATAGTGAATAAGTTTCATGAGATCTGATGATTATATAAGGGCCAGTTTCCCTGCACAAGCTCTCTTCTCTTGTCTGCCGCCACGTGAGACATGGCTTTCACCTTCCACCATGATTGTGAGACTTCCCCAGCCACATGGAACTGTAAATCCATTAAACCATTTTTTCTTCTTAGTCTCTTATGTGTCTTTACCAGCAGTGTGAATACAGACTAATACAATAGCTAGGGAACCACAGAAAGCATCCTTAATCTGGTGGCAACTAATTTTCATCCTCTGTAAACTGGATATAGTAACTCACCCTCAAGATCATTGGGAGAACTGACATAATGCATAAAGCCAATTGACATCTAGTAGACACTAAAATCATGTCTATGATTATTATTTTATAATTCATGTAAATGTCTGAGCATCAAATCAGTACATTCATGAAACCCTGGATGCATTCCCTATTTTCATAAAGCTTTTATATGAGAAACTATCTGCTGACTAGGTGAAAGAAGATCCTATGTTTTAATAAACATGAAAATGAGTAACATGATTCTTTTCCCCTAATGTGAAATACAGTAGTACCTAGATTCGCCATATTAGAGAAAGACATTATGGCTATGGAAAATTGTAACATGCCATCTTGAGGCAAATTTATGTTGTATGTATAATTACATTTGAAAACATAACTTACTTGGTGTCAGATTCATATGAAAGACCAAGGAATCAAAGGCTCCCACAATCCACTGTGGGATTGTGGCCACCTATGCTGGACTTGCGAAGGAACTGGGGAAAAAAAACAGTTGTGTGACATGTTGATGGCCACTACTTTTAGCCTATAGGTGCTAGAGTCAGAGAAAATAGCAGGAAATTAAAAAGATAATACTTTGGAAAGAGACGTACTGTGGGTGCTTCCCCTCCTTTGTGGCAGAGTGGTGGGCAACATGAATCCTATTTCATATCTAATAAAAAGGGCTTCAAAGCAACCACGTAAATAACTATAAATGTTGTCTACAGTTGTAGGTGCAGATACCTAAGGAAAATAATGCCCTAAGTCTTCCTTTACGACCTACACATCTGGAGTGAGAGGGTGTAAGAATGCTTTCTATGGACCAGATGTGGATCATTTGTGCAAGAACCAGCCTAGGCATGTCTTGGATTCTATCCAAGAAGGTTGCCTGTGGGTAAAGAAAAGCTCATAAAACAACTGCAGCCATCTTCCTCCTGCTGTAAGGATGAAGTCAACCAACAGAGGAAGGTAGAACCAACAGAATGACCAAAGAGTGGAGCTGAGAAATAACACACCAATTCCACAGTCTGCTCAACCTTTGGTCTTCTGGTTATATAAGATAAATATTATTATTACTTAAGCCACTTTTTGTTAAGGATTTTGTTTCTTGTAGCCATAAGCATCAGAGTCACTACACTTTCTAATCTATGGGGTTGGTGGGATATTTAGTGGAAACACATGAAAGCCACTAGTAAAATATCTTTGAACGTAGTTGGCAGCCAATAGACAAATACTAGGTGTTTTCTTACTGAAGTTTTTGTTAGCTAAGCTGCAATTATATTTTTCAAAATGCCTTCCCCAGGCGACTTTGTATTAGACATGGCCACAAGAGAAGTTTCTGTGAGATTTGGAAGTTAGAAGTGAAAGTCAGCCCTCTAGCTGGTCTGGATTGATAACTCTGACCCAAAAGCTCATGCTGTTGGCATGAGGCAGTGTCCTGACTTCTAGCTCCTCCAACTTGCACTGGACCTTCTAAAATTGGGTTAAGTTTTTGCCGAAGCACCTGTGTTGATCTGTGGAAAAAGACACCATATACCCTGAAGGTTACCTGTATCAACAGGTTTGGGAGAGAGACAGATACAGGTTTCAATTTGAGACAGATGCAGGTTTCAATTTTTTTTTTATGTTCCAGCTCATCAACAAAGATGTCAGTTTTCCCTTATTCTAGCCCACTTCAGTCCCACTTTCCTTTGCAGATGCTGACCTGGCTGGTCTATATCAACTTGAAGCCCAACAGTAGATATAGGGGGAAACAAGCACACATAGATCTCCTCAACAGCTCCCATGATTATGTAAGGTCTAATTGCTGTAACAAATTTCTTATTCTGTATAACTCATAGGACTCTGCTTCTCTGATTGAAACCTGAATGATACATGAGCACTTGCTGACACTAGCCTGGGAGAAGCCAGAGTGCAACCTCTGTCTCAAATAATGTCTTCACATATATCTTCAGCTGAAAATAATCTCTTCCTTCTCTGAAAACTTACAGTTTCATATAATATTTAACATAGTATAATGTTCATTATATGCTTTTGCTTACAATTTTATCTTCTTTAATATATTTCAATTTATTTTTATCCTTTTTTTTTAATTGACAATGAACAGAAATTTATTGGCTCACAATTCTGAAGGCTGGGAAGTCCATGATTGGAGGCCCGCATCTCATGAAAGCTTTCATGAGGGCAAAAGAAAGCAAGAAAGGGCCAAATTCACCCTTTAATAATGGCATAAATTCCACCCATGAGGGCAGAGACCTGGCGATCTAATCACCTCTTAAAAATCCCACCTCTTCGTACTGTTACAACGTACATTACTTAGTATGTTACAACTCAAATTTCAACATGAATTTTGGAGAGGATAAATATTCAATCCATAGCAAAACATATCTTTTTTAAGGGAAAAATGTGTGCTGTACGTAGAAAATTTTGACCATCGAAATTTGTATTATCTGCCTAATTGATGGAGAAAATATTTTTCTCTAAGAAAATGTGGCACATATACACCATGGAATACTATGCAGCCATAAAAAATGATGAGTTCACGTCCTTTGTAGGGACATGGAAGAAGCTGGAAACCATCATTCTCAGCAAACTATCGCAAGGACAAAAAACCAAACACTGCATGTTCTCACTCATAGGTGGGAATTGAACAATGAGAACACTTGGACACGGGAAAGGGAACATCACACACCGGGGCCTGTTATGGGGTCGGGGGAGGGATAGCATTAGGAGATATACCTAGTGTAAATGATGAGTTAATGGGTGCAGCACACCAACATGGCACATGTATACATATGTAACAAACCTGCACGTTGTGCACGTGTACCCTAGAATTTACGTATAATAAAAAAAATACTAAAAAAAATTTCATCCTTTTCTTCCTCTCCCTCTTTTATATCAAAACTGTTAATAAGAATACAGCTAGTATTTATTTACTGGCTACCAAATGTGTTCAATGATATTTTGCTAATGGCATTTTGTACATTTCTAATCATTCTCCCACCAACCCTATAGATTAGATAATGTAGTAATTCTGATGACCAAATAGTTAGGTTTCCCTTTAAAAAAATAATCAGTTGGGCTGGCATTCACACATGACAGCAGCTGACTAGAGCATGTAGCAGCAGCCCCCTTAGGTGTTTCTGTGCTCTCCTATTTACCCCGGCCCCATTATTTTCTATTAGCATCCATCACCAAGGCAATGTTGGTTATCACTTACCATCACTATGGACTGAATATTTGTATACCCCACAACCCATATGCTGAATCCTTAATCTTCAAAGTAATGGTATTTGGAGGCAGAGACCTTGGGAAATAATTAGGTTTAGACTGGGTCATGAAAGTAGAGCCCCCATGATGAAACTCTCTCTCATGAGGACACAGCAAGAAGGTGGCCACCTACAAGCCAGGAAGAGGGCCCTCACCAGAACTTGACCATGCTGTCACTATGATCTTGGACTTCCTAGCCTCCAGAACTGTGAGAAATAAATTTATATTATTTATCCTACTCATCTGTGGCATTTGTAGTAGCATCTCAAGCTATGACAAACATCAAACTTTTTTTATGTCTTTTACTCATGAAGCCTGGATTTTGAAGGCTTTTGCATTCAGGACCCCATATTCCAAAAGCAGCTTTGTACTGAGTGTCTGTGATGGGTTTGTGGTTGACAGGGAAAGTGATAGATGTTTCAGGAAGATTGTTAAAGCAAATATTACAAAACTCATGAGCAGTCTTAGACTTGGTGAAGTTTGAAGTGCAATGGAGAGTTTGGCCAGATAACAGTAATTAGAAAGGGTTTTGGGGCCAGATGTTAAACTGGTCTCAAATGCCAGTTTTATTTAGTAGACATCAGGAAACAATTGAAGCATTTTAAGGAGGTGAGAGAAATGACCAGGGCTATGGTATAGGAAAATCAATCTAGAAGTTGTATAATAGCGAATTAGATGGGAGCAGAGACAGAAATGAGACGTACTTATGATGCAGCAACATTTTTACTTTCTTAACCAGTTTTTGGAGGAAGACTTATCTGTTTATTCTTATGGCCATTGGACCATTGTCTTTGTCTGGTTTTAAAATGTCACAGAATTTGAAGCTCTAGATTTATTTATTGCTGAGGTTGACAGATAAAACTTCAAGTTTTCCTTTGTTTTAGGGAAACATATTCAAGCTGGTATTTCAGATTATATACAAACTCCCCAGGCAGTTTGGTTGCCAAGACTGTTCTGGAAATCTTGCAAGCACTGTTCTGTGGCATTTTAGCACTGCTGATTTCAATATTAGCTGAAAACTATAAAAGTAGTATTTCATTTCTTCTGCTATATAAGAAGCCCTTAAAACTTCATATTTGAAAGAGGGCACATATAGAGATAGTATTACATTCATATGCCCAGTAAGGGACCAGACTGACACACAGCGAAAATTATCAGTTGGAGGATACCAAAGAAATCATAACATTATATTTTAACTAAAGAATTATGAGGTCTTAGCTACATCCTAGAAATGACTGATTAAAAAGAAAAGTATTTACACTATTGAACTAGGAAGACACCTTAATCCCTTCCTGAGCAAATCTGTGGTTTCTCTGTATAATAAATGGAGTTTCTGTCTTTCCCCTGCCCCCAAGTTACAGTGAACCAAAAGGATAATTATCCATTGGTTACATTTCAGGTAACAGAATGAGAATCAGAGAACTAAAAAGCAACACTGGTGACTGTCTATCATCAAAATGCCAAATGAATTCAAAATACCCAACTGCTTGAAATAGAAATAAGTAAATAAACAAAAAAATGTTGAATCACATTACATATTACTGTAGTCTTATGTTCTTTTGGGTAGGAAAGCTTGAGTGACGATTGAGCAAAGTCACCCATCTGTCTTCTAATCTAGTATAGAAATCATGTCATCCTTCTACTGTACATGTATCTGGTTTGATTCCATTTAGAGAACTTTAGTGTTAAGTAACAAAACTATAGTTAAAAGGTTAATAGATGCAATTACATCTAGAACTGCTTTGGTGTTCAAAATAAAAGAAGGGATCATGTTAAAATAGGCTGTCTCCCTAGAGGCCCTCTGGACTGGAGTCTCTGTTTTCATCTTTGGCATTTTCAAGGCCCTGTTCCATTTTGGAGAATAGTACCTGCTAGACTTAATCTCCGTAAAGAAAGAAAAAAGAAAGCTATTTGAAGTCAAGCAGAGGCCTTATCCTAAAACCAAATGCCAACTTTCTATTTTTTACTTTTGTATAAGCCAACCTACCAGTGCAAAATTATATTCTGCAGCTTCCATCTTAAATCTATTTGCACTTTTCTATACTCCTGTCTTAGTCTATCTTTTGTTGTTATAGTAGAATACCACAGACTGGATAATTTATAAAGAAAAGCAGTGTATTTGGTCATAATTCTGAAGACTGAGAAGTCTAAGAGCATTGTGCCAGCATCTGGCAAAGTTAGTCCCATGGTGGATATTCAGAAAGGAAAGAAAGCAAGTGCTAGAGAGAGCTAGCTCTTATAAGAAAGCCAATCCTGTGATAATTAATCCACTTCCATGATAACAGCATTAATTTATTCATGTGTTTGTAATCCTTGTAACTTATCCACCTTCCAAGGTCCCCGCCTCACAACAGTGTTACTTTGGGGGCCAAGTTTCCAACAGATGCTCTTTTGGAAACCATAGCACATCCTATCAGGTTTGAACCACAAATCCCGGCCAATCAGTAGTTCATAATTACATTACATTAGTCAGCTCAGGGTGCCATAACAAAATGCCACAAGCTTCATGAATTACATAAGAGATATTTATTGTCTCACAGTTCTGGAGTCTGGAAAATTCAAGATCAAGTTGCCAGCTGGTTTGGTTCCTGGTGAAGTTCCTCTTCAAAGGAAGAGGAACTTCCTTTGAAGTCTTAGCTACATCCTAGGCTCAAAGCCAGCTGCCTTTTCTGTTTCTTCATATTGTGGAGGAAGCTCTGGTTTCTCTTCGTCTTCTCAGAAAGACACCAAACCTACTGGATTCAGGTGCCACACTTAAGACATTATTTAACCTTGCCACATAAAAGCCCTGTCTCCAAACACAGTTACATTGTGGGTTAGGGCTTCAACAAATGAATTTTGGGTGAACAAATTCAGTCCAAAAAATAGCACACAGGAAACTAGTTAACATCTAAGCCTCAGTGTCCTCATGTTGAACATCAAGAAAATGCTGTCTTCTTCAAATGATTGTTTTCCAGAACATATGAGATAGTGCATTTTAAAAATACAGTATCTGCACAAAATATCCAAGTGTTTTCCTACATCAAACCATCTGCTTAGATGTTCATGCTATTCTTGGACCTGTACTTTGCCCCCAACCCTGCTTACACCACCCTACTGAGTTTGCAACTTTGGCCAGCATCTCTAGACCCATAACTGCCAGGTTCAGACCTCTGAATGCCTACCCAAGTCCTCAGCACAAGCTAAGGACCTGAAATTCTTTACCTGTATATTGGTTTTCAGTTATCCCCTCAAAGATCCCAGTATTATGTACAAAATATAGATATAGATAAATTAGATAAATATAAAACAAAGAAGGGGCCAGTTCTTCTTTAAGCAGGGCCCTGACCCATTTCTCATCACTGGGAGGGACCTCCCAGCCAGGCCTTCCCGCTACACCTGCCTGCACTTATTATGAATAGACTTCTGATCTTTCCCTGGGATACAGTGCCCAGGGGAGGGGAGAGCCGCCACCTGGGTTGGTTGGATAACGCAGCCATTCCAGCCTGTGGGCTTTGGAGAGTCCATGTCAATAGGAGCAGATGTGGCTCCCCACCATGACACAGCTGTTTGGTCAAAGCATGGTCAGACTGCTTCTTTTGGTGGAACCTGATTCACTCCTCCTCATAGGGCAGGTCCTCCCAGCCAGGTCCTCTCAGCTGGGGCATCCATCCCACCCCACCTGTGTTCTACAGGGCCAATAGATCTCTAATTACTTTTTCAGACAGAGAGTGCCTGAGGGGCAGGAAGTCTGCTACCTTGGCCATTCAAGATTCTCAGCCAGTCCAGTCTATGGATCTTGGAGAGCCCAAACTGATCAGGGGCTGGAGGAATCTCCAACACAGCACAACTTCTCTATCAAAAAGCATCCAGACTGCTTCTTTAAGTGATTCCCTGAACCCTTTCCTCCTGACTGGGTGAGACCTCCCAACCAGGGTCTCCAGCCACCTCCTAGGGGTGTGTTTGGGCTGGCAGTAGGTCAGTATCCCTCTGGGATGGATCCCTCAGAGGAAGGGACAGACTGCTATCTTTGCTGTTTTACAGCCTTCACTGGTGATACCTCCAGGTACAGAAAAAACTGAGTCAACTAGGGTCTGGAGCAGATCCCCAGCAAACTGCAGCAGCCTTAAAGAAGAGTGGTCAGACTGTTAAAAGAAAAACAAACAAACAACAACAAAACACAAAAGCCCTATCCAAAGGTCGGCAACCTTGGAGATGAAAGATAGATACGCCCATGAAGATGAGAAAAAATGTGAAAACACTGAAAACTCAAAAAGCCAGATTGCCGCTTTTCCTCCAAATGACCATGCCACCTCTCCAGCAAGGGCTCAGAACTCAGCTGAGGCTGAGAAGGCTGAAATGACAGAAATAGGATTCAGAAGGTGGGTAATAACAAACTTCACCGAGCTAAAGGAGCACATTGTAACCCAATAAAAAGAATCTAAGAATCATGATAAAACAACATGGTAGTTGACAGCCAAAATAGCCAGTTTAGAGAGGAACAAAACTGACCTCTTAGAGCTGAAAAACACACTACAAGAACTTCATGATGCAATCACTAGTATTAATAACAGAATAGACCAAGGAGAGGAAAGAATCTAAGAACTTGAAGACTATCCTTCTGAAAAACGACAGGTGAATAAGAATAGAGAAAAAAGAATGAAAAGGAATGAAAAAAAACTGAGAAATATGGGATTATGTAAAGAGATTAAATCTATGATGAATTGGGGCACCTGAAAGAGACAAGGAGAATGAAACCAGGTTAGAAAACATACTTCAGGATATCATCCAGGAAAACTTCCCCCAACCAAGCAAGACAGGCCAACATTCAAATTCAGGAAATGCAGAGAACCCCAGTAAGAAACTCCATGAGAAGATCATCCCCAAGACACAAAATCATCAGATTCTCCAAGGTCAAAATGAAAGAAAAAAATGTTAAGAGCAGCCAGAGAGAAAGGTCAGATCATCTACAAAAAGAAGCCCATCAATCCAACAGTGGACCTCTCAGTGGAAATTCTACAAGCCAGAAGAAACTGGGATCCAATATTCAACATTCTTAAACAAAAGAATTCAAACTCAGAAGTTCATGTCCGGCCAAACTAAGCTTCATCAGTGAAGGAGAAATAAGATCCTTTTCAAACAAGCAAATGCTGAGGGAATTCACCACCAGCAGACCTGCTTTGCAAGAGCTCCTGAAGAAACACTAAATATGGGAAGGAAAAACCATTACTAGCCACTATAAAAACACACTGAAGTACACAGACCAGTGACACTATGAAGCAACCACATAAACAAGTCTGCAAAATAACCAGCTAGCATCATGATAACAGGATCAACTGCACACATAACAATACTAACCTTAATTATAAATGGGCTAAATACCCCAATTAAAAGATACAGAATGGCAAGCCGGATAAAGAATGGAGACTCATTGGTATGCTGTCTTCAAGAGACCAGTCTCACATGCAAAAAAAGATACCTATAGGCTCAAAATAAAAGGATGGAGGAAAGTTTACCAAGCAAATGGAAAACAGAAAAAAAGCAGCAGTTGCAATCCTAGTTTCTGACAAAACAGACTTTATACCAACAAAGAACAAAAAACAAAAAGAAGGGCATTACATAATAATAAAGGGTTCAATTCAACAAGAAGAGCTAACTATCCTAAATACATACGCACCCAATACAGGAGCACCCAGGTTCATAAAGCAAGTTCCTAGAGACCTACTATGAGACTTAGACTCCCACACAACAATAGTGGGAGACTTTAACACCCCACTGACAATATTAGATCATCAAGACAGAAAATTAACAACAACATTCAGGACTTGAACTCAGCTCTGGATCAAGTGGATAGATACATAAATATTTATAGATAGATAGATACAGAACCGATAGATACATACATATGCATATATATACATATATATATATATATATATACACACACACAAATACACACACATATATACATATAGAACTGATAGATATATACAGAACTCTGCACCAAAAACAACAGAATGTACATTCTTCTCATGGCCACATGGCATTTACTGTAAAATTAATCACATAATTGGAAATAAAATACTCCTCAGCAAATGCAAAAGAACTGAAATCATAACAGTCTCTCAGACCACAGCATAATCAAATTAGAAGTAAAGATTAAGAAATTCGCTCAAAACCACACAACTACGTGGAAACTGAATAACGTATTCCTAAATGACTCTTGGGTAAATAACAAAATTAAGGCAGAAATCAAGAAATTATTTGAAACTAGTGAGAACAAAGATACAACCTGCCAGAATCTCTGGGACACAGCTAAAGCCGTGTAAAGAGGGAAATTTATAGCACTAAATGCCCACATCAAAAAGGTGGAAAGGTCTCAAGTTAACAACATAACAGCACGACTAAAATAACTAGAGAACCAAGAGCAAACAAACCCCAAAGCTAGCAGAAGACAAGAAATAACAAAGATCAGTGGTGAACTGAAGGAGATAGAGACACGAAAAAAAGCTACAAAAAATAAAAAATCCAGGAGCTGCTTATTTTTTTTGGAAAAAATTAACAAAATAGGGTCTTAGCTAGACTAACAAGGAAGAAAAGAGAGAAGATTCAAATAAAAATCAGAAATGATAAGAGGAATATCACTGCTGACCCTACAGAAATACAAACAACCATCAGAGGATACCATAAATACCTCTATGCACATAAACTAGAAAATCTAGGAGAAACTGATACATTCCTGGACACATACCTCCCAAGACTGAACCTGTAATAAATTGAATCCCTGAATAGAGCAATAACGAGTTCTAAAGTTGATGCAGTAGTAAATATCCTACCAACCATAAAAAAAGCCCAGGACCAGATGGATTAAAGCTGAACTTCACCTAAGCTACAAAGAAGAGCTGGTACCATTTCTACTGAAACCCTTCCAAAAAATTAAAAAGGAAGGACTCCTCCATAAGCCATTCTATGAGGCCAGCATCATCCTGATATCAAAACTTGGCAGAGACACAATCAAATGGAAAACTTCAGGCCAATATCCTTGATGAACACTGGTGCAAAAATCAACAAAATACTGGCAAACTGAATCCAGCAACACATCAAAAAGCTTATCCACCACGATCAAGTATGCATTGTCCTCAAGATGCATGGTTGATTCAAAATACATGAATCAATAAATTTGATTAATCACATAAAAAGATCTAAAGGCAAAGATCACATGATTACCTCAATAGATGCAGAAAAGGCCTTTGTTAAAATTCACCATCCCTTTACGTTAAAAACTCTCAATAAACTAGGTATTGAAGGCAAATACCTCAAACTAATAAGAGCCGTATATGAGAAACCCACAGCCAATATCATACTGAATGGGCAGACACTGGAAGCATTCCCCTTGAAAACCAGCACATGACAAGGATGCTCTCTCTCACCACTCTTATTCAACATAGTATTGGAAGTTCTGGCCAGGGCAATCAGACAAGAAAAAGAAATAAAGAGTATTCAAATAGGAAGAGAAGAAGTCAAACTATCTTTGTCTGCAGATGACATGTTTCCATATCTAGAAAACCCCATTGTCTCAGCCCAAAAGCTTCTTAAGCTGAGAAGCGACTTCAGCAAAGTCTCAGGATACAAAATCAATGTGCAAAAATTGCTAGCATTCCTATACACCATTGACAGGCAAGCCAAGAGCCAAATCATGAATGAACTCTCATTCACAACTGCCACAAAGAGGATAAAATACCTAGGAATACAGCTAACAAGGGAAGACAAGGACCTCTTCAAGGAGAACTACAAACCACTGCTCCAAGAAATCAGAGAGGACACAAATGAATAGAAAACATTCCACACTCATGGATAGGAAGAATCAATATCATGAAAATGGCCGTACTGCCCAAAGCAATTTATATATTTAATGCTATTCCCATTAAACGACCATTGACATTCTTCAGAGAATTAGAAAAAACTATTTTAAAATTCATGTGGAACCAATACAGAGCCTTAATAGCCAAGAGAATCCTGAGTTAAAAAAAAAAGCCAGAAGCTTCATAATACCAGATTTCAAACTATATACTACAAGGCTACAGTAAGCAAAATAGCATGGCACTGACACAAGAAAAGACACACAGACACAGATGGAGCTGAATAGAGTACCCAGAAATAAGACTGCACACCTACAACCATCTGATCTTCTACAAAACCTGACAGAAACAAGCAATGGGGAAAGGATTTCCTATTTAATAAGTGGTGCTGGGAGAACTGGTTAGTCATATGCAGATAACTGAAGCTGACCCCTTCCTTACACCTTATACAAAAATTAACTCCAGATGGATAAAGACTAAAATGTAAAACCCAAAACTATAAAAACCCTAGAAAAAAACCTAGGCAATACCATTCAGGACACAGGCATGGGCAAATATTTCGTGATGAAGATGCCAAAAGCAATTGCACCAAAAGCAAAAATTGACAAATGAGTTCTAATTAAACTAAAGAGCTTCAGTACAGAAAAGAAACTATCATCAGAGTGAACAGACAACCTACAGAATGGTATAAAACGTTTGCAATCTATCCATCTGATGAAGCTCTAACATCCAAGCACCTATAAGGAACTTAAATAAATTTACAAGAGAAAACAAACAACCCCATTAAAAAATGGGCAAAGGGGAGGAACAGACACTTCTCAAAAGAAGACATACATGTGGCTAACGTGAAAAAAAGCTCAGTGTCACTGGTTATTAGAGAAATGCAAATCAAAACCACAATGAGATACCAAGTCACACCAGTCTGAATGGTTATCATTAAGAAGTCAAATAACAAATTCCTGCAAGGTTGTAGATAAAAAAGGAATGCTTTTACACTGTTAATGGGAGTGTAAATTAGTTCGACCATTGTGGAAGTTAGGGTGGTGATTCCTCAATGTCTTAGAGACAGAAATACCATTCGACCCAACAATCCCACTACTGTGTATATACCCAAAGGAATATAAATCATTCTATTATAAAGATACATGCATGCGTATATTCATCGCATCACTATTCACAATAGCAGAGACATGGAATCAACCTAAATGTCCATCAATGATAGATTGGATAAAGAAAATATGGTACATATACACCATGGAATATTATACAGCCATAAAAGGAATGAGATTATGTCCTTTGCAGGGACAGGGATGGAGCTGGAGGGCATTATTCTCAGCAAACTAAAGCAGGACCAGAAAGCCAAATACCACATGTTCTCACTTAGAAGCAGGAGCCAAATCATGAGAACATATGGACACGTAGTGGGGAACAACACACAGTGGGGCCTATCGGAGTGTGTGGGGGTAGGAAAGAGGAGGGAGAGCATCAAGAAAAATAGCTAATGGATGCTGGGACGACCTGTGCAGCAAACCACCATGGCACACATTTACCTATGTAACAAACCTGACCATCCTGAACATGTACCTGAACTTAAAAGTTGGAAATCAAAATAAAATAAAATAAAATAAATATAAGAGACATATATATTACATATATATTAACCAATCAATGTGTAGACCTTGTTTGGATCCTGATTCAAAATATAAGCTGTAAAAATTATATATATATATATATATATATATATATATATATATATATATATAAAATTTACAGACACACATTGGACATTTGATAATATAAAGAAATTAATTTTTATGGAAGTATAATAATGGTATTTTGGTTATATTTTACAAGAGTATACATAGACATAAAGACAAGAAAAATAGACACTGGGGCTACTTGAGGGTGAAGAGTAGGAGTGGGGTGAGAATGGAAATCTGGAAAATCTACCTGTTGGGTAGATTATTTTGTTGGGTAACAAAATAATTTGTATACCAAACCCCCATGACATGCAATTTACCCATGTAACAAACCTGCACACCTACCCCCTGAATCTAATAAAAGTTGGGAGTAAAAACTAATTAAGTGAAGAGTTCTTGTCTTTTAGTAATAGATACTGAAATATTATTTAGATGGAATGTCAGAATATCTAGGATTTGCTTCAAATTAATTTAAGGTCTGAGGAGTGGGTGGGAACAAAGATGAAGCAAGATTGGCCAAGAGTTCAAACCTGTTGGTGGTGGGTGATGGGTCCATGAGGGTTCATTATCCTGTTCTCCCTGCTTTTGTGTGTTTCTGAATTACCATAATAAAAAGTTTAAAAAATAAAAAATATATATGCAGGCATCAATATACAGATGAAGTCCTGACATCCCTGATGTCACCCATGGAAAATTTCTACAACCCCTTCCTGTCTAATGGACACTTTAAAAAGTGCTGGAGTCAGATTATGGAAGACATAACTGATATTTTAATAAAATAAATATGGAGAAAATATTTCATACACTGTAATTCTGACTGCTTATCTGGTCCTCTTGCTTTTTATTTTCATCCTATTACTTGCTGCTTTCACCAGACCTCTAGATCAGTGGTTCTCTACTGCAATGAAAACAAATGGTATCTATTAATTGTTCTGAAGATACTTTCAAGCAGTTTAAACAATGATACTTTGCGAAGAAACCCCATTCTACATATAAACAAAATTATATTTCCAAAAATTGCTGTACACTGTACACTGTTGATTCTTTCACCTTTACTAATGACTCTTGTGATGCCTAATATAGCAGTTACTTTTTGGTTTCTAAGGAATGCATGGTCTAATGTAATATTCACAGTCACCCTCTGTGGACACTGAAACAGAGTGCTACAGGTGAGCTGCCCAATGTAACCTAGCTAGAAGGTGGTGGAGCCCAGTTTGGATCCTAGCAGTCAATCTTAAGAGGCCACTCTTAACCAGTGTGCAATATCCTCCTGAGTCAAAGCGAATGGCGGGCTCATGTAATCAGTATCCCTGGGGTGTCCACAACCTAGGCTTCATCTCCCTGGGATGCCATGTCACCTGTCACGTGTCATGTCAGCCCCAGAAGAATGAAGGGTCAATACAGCCATTTTATATTCTTGCTGGTAAAACACACTGCATTTGCTAGTAAGGATACTGAGTGTGTGGTCACCATCAGTCACATTTCTGCTCAATGGATTAAATCTGACCAGAAGGAAAAGATTAAAAAATCCTCTCCCCAAATCCTGTACTTTTGTATTATTTTAAGTACATATCTTTCAGAAAAAAAGTCCTGTCAGATGCCTCCAAGGTAAAAATATTCAGAGAAGGGCTTAACGTCTGCATTTGGACTTTTAAACTTACATGATATAAGCAAAATTCAGAATTAGCTTATTATTTTTTGGATTCATATAGGAAAATTAGAAATTCTCTTTTTTTTAAGATCTTGGACAGATTGGGCACTAAAAAGGTTTCAGCTCCATGAGTGACTGGGCTGATCTGCTGGGGAACTGAATCCATGGCATACTCAGAATAAGGAAAATGCTTCTTTTGAAGAACTGTAGGTGGTTCAGAAGAAGGGAAAACGAAAGGCAAGACACAAACTGCATCTTGATTCAGCTTTTTCAGAGACTGTCTTATTCACATGGCATTCCTCAGAGATTTGATATTTGCCTTCTTATTGAAAGAAATGCACACAGAATTGTAAAAGGAAAAGACTGCTTTCAAATGTTACATAGGGAAAAACACAGCATAGAGATCTGAAGGCAGCTTTTAAGCATCTAGGTGGCATTTTAAGCCATTAATAGAATGTTAACGCCCACCTCTATATGAAAAGTTCAAAAGACAGTATAATGTGATTGGAAGTGTATGAGTGCTGAAGTCTTGCAGCCTTAGTCAAATTCTAAGCTTCCTGAATCTAGATTTTCTTATTTCTGAAATGGTAATTTATTTCACAGGATTCTTATTAAAAGCAATGAAATGATATTCCCTAATTGTGCTTAGAGAGAGTCAGCATAGTGTCAGTTGAGAGCAGGGACTCAGAAGCCAGACTGTGTTCAAATCTCTCCACTCTCTCTCTCTCTCTCTCTCTCTTATTAGCTGTGTGAGTTCAGGAAAGTTACTTTACCACTCTGGGCCTATAAAATGGAGTTGAAAATAATAGTGCCTACCACAGGGCGTTATTATGAGGATTTAATGAGGAATTCATTATAAAATGCTTGAAACACTACCCAGATGAGAATAAGTACTATGTAAGTTTTTGAAAAATAAATACTATGCTGGCTATTAACAGTCTAGCATTCATTCCCTCTAATTCTAGAATCATTATCCCATGTCTGCTTTGGGAAATGTCACCTTCTCCATTTGAATACAATCTTAGTGATGCGCTTAATCCAGGTGTTTCAACAAATCCTGGCTGAGGGGATGAGGATGTGATCACAGCTGGGCTAATTAGACAATCTCTCCCTGGAATTTGACTCATAAGGAGATACATAGACCTTATGGAAATTTATTCATTCTGACTACTGTGTCCTAAAGTACCCTCTGTAAATTCCTCACTCCAAAATTTCCAAGGCTGCCTTCATGTCTGCCCACTCTGGGA
This sequence comes from Homo sapiens, assembly GCF_000001405.40. Classification (NCBI taxonomy): domain Eukaryota; kingdom Metazoa; phylum Chordata; class Mammalia; order Primates; family Hominidae; genus Homo; species Homo sapiens. Next base: position 86,983,082 of record NC_000014.9, read on the forward strand.
CACATATTTTCACCCTCTCCATTAATTCTATGAGCCAACCTTTATCTTTTCAATAAATCAGTTTCTATTTTTTTATTTTCTTCCATCTGTTTCTGATGCCTTTAATCAAACACCCCCTAAATGGTTAAAATAGGCACACAAAAAATGTACTATTATTAAATAAAAATTGGAGGCCAAGGCAGGTGGATCATGAGGTCAGGAGATGGAGACCATCCTGGCTAATATGGTGAAAACTCGTCTCTACTAAAAATACCAAAAAAAAAAATTAGCCTGGCGTGGTGGCATGCACCTGTAGTCCCAGCTACTCGGGAGGCTGAGGCAGAAAAATCACTTGAACCTGGAAGGCGGAGGTTGCAGTGAGCCGAGATCCCACCACTGCGCTCCAGCCTGGGCAACAGAGCGAGACGACGTCTCAAAAATAAATAAAAAATACAATAAAATTTTATAAAATAAAAATTAATGATTCTAATTTTTTATCAATACCAATATTAGTTTACTGTGTAAAAATTCTTTCTATCAAAGTAATCTCTCCCCAAAATTAGTGTGTTTGTGCTCGTTTAAACTCTCATAAAGTTATTTAGTTGTATATCCTCTCTACTCCTCACATTAGTAAGCAAAAATACATGGTATAATTATAACCTGGCAAGGGCTGTAAGTGTATATAACTGGGAATAAGTGTTTTATAGGTGACTAGTAGGTGACCAGCTATGGAATTCAAGAAACAAGTCTGGGCAATCAAGGACCAGAGCTGGCACTTCATGCCCTGAATGTCTCAGCGACGCATAGAACTAAACACAAATTCAGTGGTGGGAAAGAAGTCAACTTATTGATATTTCATGTGTTCTTAATTTTACTGCTATGCCCATTCTCTCACTGCTAAAAGACAGAAGAAAATTCAGCAAAAATAGCAAAACCTATCTGAACAATTTGAGAATCCCTAATTGAACTTTGAAAATTACACACATAAGAAAATAAATTTCTAATAGCTAATATTCCAAACCATAATTACAACTTCATACTGAGAAGTTAGAGATCATGTGGTGAGCAATTTGAGGATTAAAAAATGGAATCTTTTCTGTGACTGGTTAGATCATTTATCAAAAATCATAAGCTAATCTATAGAGACAAAATACATTAGCGGCTGCCTAAGGCTGGGAGATGGTGGTATGGGAAATTATTGCTAATGGGTACAACACTGCTTTTGAGAATGATGAAAATGTTCTGAAATGAGATTATTATGATGGTTGTACAATTCTGTAAATATACTGACAATCAGTGAATGCTGTACTTTAAACAGATAAACTTTGCAGTATAAAGTATTAGTCAGGCATGGTGGCTCACGCCTGTAATCCCAGCACTTTGGGAGGCCAAGATGGGCAGATCATGAGGTCAAGAGATCGAGACCATCCTGGCCAACATGGTGAAACCCCGTCTCTACTAAAAATACAAAAATTAGCTGGGCATGGTGGCGCGCACCTGTAATCCCAGCTACTCAGGAGGCTGAGGTAGTAGAATCACTTGAACTTGGGAAGTGGAGGTCGCAGTGAGCCGAGATCGTGCCACTGCACTGCAACCTGGTGACAGAGTAAGACTCCATCTCAAACAAACAAATACAGTAGAAAGTATTATACCTCAATGTGGTGTTTTAAAAATGTGATTGTCAGAAGTCCCATCTTTTGAGTAACTGGTAAGCTCTAGTCTAAATGCAGGCTAGCAGGCTTGGGTGAGAGATGCCCAGACTAAGGTGGAAAACAAGATCAGCAAATTGTACCCAAGCCAAAATCCATGTCCAGATTCCTTGGCTGAGGACCAGACAGTTGATGGAACAAAGAGCAGGATTACAAATGAGAAGTGGGGCTGAGTTAGGAAGGAGATAGGCATTGGATCCAAGCAGGAGCAAGTTCAATTCAACTTGTCACCCTTAATGACTAGGTATCATGATCTGGTGGTGGTTTCTTAAATGAGCCATAGTCCATCCACCTAATCTATGTTCCTCTCTGGTATAGAGTCAAGATCTCTTTACCCAGGATTCTTCAGAGCATCCTTCATAATTTTCCTATTTTCTTATCTCAGTCTTACTAAGTGCTCTCAGGTGGTTGCCAGCACCCAGCACCTATTTCTGAGTGTGCCTACACACCTGGCTGCCCCTATGATTTCACAGTCCTTCCTAGGTGTTTGGCTATCTAGTGGATGTATGAGGTTAATTGTTCCTCTCCTTTATGTCACTCTGTTTGCATGGCTAAGTAGCTCTCATTGTGAAGAAGAAAGCTCTGGTCATTATTTACAAATTATGCATTAGTCTCATATTGAAAGGAATAATCAAAGACAGAAAAAAGATTAAGTGATATCCAAGCAGAAAATAGTTAATTCAGGATCTTTGATTTCCCTCCGTCGCTTTGTAAGCTCTGCTTCTACTCACTGTTTTTTGATTGTTTGTTTGTTTCAGAGCTTAAGGAAGATTCAAACATAGTTCGCTCCAAAAGTTCTCAGCTTCTCTCTCTTTTTTTTGCATACACTTGTAATAGATGGTTCTTAACACAGACTACTACTCACATTCTATAGGACCTATCTGTCCACATAAACTGTAGGGTATAGGTAATTCTCACCTCTGTTCCTTTCAAGGAAGCATATCAGATGGCAGGAGAATGAGAATGATATTATAGAAATAATCTAAACAAACACTTAACAAAATATGAATCATTAACAAAAGTTAACTCATACCAGTAACTATTAATTTGAAATATCCCTCACAACTGATTATAACACTTATGTCATGAAATCTCAGACGGTCTCTAAAATGGTTCCCACTCTTAGATTTATAGATGAGGAGAAAGAAGACTCGGAGACTTTTGCAATTTTGCTCAAGCATTATCAATCTAAATTAAAGTTGACTGTTTCCAAAATTAAGGACTTCTTCCATTGTTCAATTCCCACTGTTTTAGACAGTGTTTCTCCAAATGGACTGTGGATATTAAATACTAACCAACTTGGAACTCTTGTGGAAAGCCAGAATCTCACTTTGAGGTGTACATCTTGACTTATTTTTGAAAGCACCTCTATAATTTGCAAAGCACTTTACATAACGTAATAACATTTTATTGTTTCCATGACATCCATGAAAAAATAAATTATAAATACGGTTTTATAAATGTGCTGGTAATATGCCTTGTGTTGTACTCTAAATGACAGATCAAGAATTCAAACAAGGATCTGTGACTTTAAATCTTACATCTTTCCCTTGACATTTCTTCTTGCTAAAAACACATCTTTTATAAATCTTTCTTTCTGAAATCTAAAAGGATACCGTAACGGTAACTTTTCCAAATATCTTATTTTATTTATGTTTTTAAATTCTCTGTCTTTCAGAGATTTTTCTTGACATGGCTTATATTTCTAAATATGATCCTATTATTACTTTTTTATTTTTGAGACAGGGTCTCACTCTGTCGCCCAGAGTTCAGTAGCATGATCTCAGCCCACTGCAACCTCCGCCCCCCAGACTCTTGTGATTCTCCTGCCCCAGCCTTTTGAGTATCTGGGATTACAGGGGCAAGCCATTATTGCCTGGATAATTTTTGTATTTTTAGTAGAGAGGGGGTCTAACCATGTTGGCCAGGCTGGTCTTGAACCACTGACCTCAAATGATACATCCCCTACTTTGTCATCTCAAAGTGCTGAGATTACAGGTGTGAGCCATCGCACCTGGCCCTATAATCACTTTTACTATCAGTCTCCGTCATGAATCCATTCAAGGTAAGGTGAGATTTTCTCCTCTAGGTTATTTACATATTTCTCCACTGGTTTCAAATCTCCTCTATAGTCAGTCCGTTAGACATGGTACATTAAACACATTAAATTCTCACAATCTATTTCTATCTATTAATTTGCCTTTTAATCATATTTACTGTTTCCCTATAACTTGTCTGAACTTCTTACCCCCATTATTTCAGAGTAATTAAGAGGAACATAAGTACTTAGAGTCTCAAGTTTGCTACACCTGGATCTGTATATACAGCAAAACATCTCTTTGCTCTTCTCAAGGTCTTTGTTTAAAAAAATAAAAGATGTCATCCCGGCGCATTGCCTCACGCCTGTAATCCCAGCACTTTGGGAGGCCGAGGCGGGCGGATCACGAGGTCAGGAGATTGAGACCATCCTGGCTAACACGGTGAAACCCCGTCTCTACCAAAAATACAAAAATTAGCTGGGCATGGTAGCAGGTGCCTCTAATCCCAGCTACTCAGGAGACTGAGGCAAGACAATTGTCTGAACCCGGGAGGCGGAGCTTGCAGTGAGCCAAGATCGCACCACTGCACTCCAGCCTGGGTGACAGAGTGAGACTCCATCTTGAAAAAGAAAAAAATAAATAAAATAAATAAAACAAAAGATGTCAAGTGACCCCAAGTATATTTTGGGGGTATTTTAATTATCAGCTAAGAAGAAGGATACACATTTGAAAGAATGATTTATTGGAATTAAAACTTATGATGTTAGTTATGAATTATTTTAATAAATCCAGTGCCATCAATTTAGTAGCTTGAGATCTTGAAAAATACTAAAGATGCACCACATATGATTTTCCTAAGTGGATTTCTTAATCATTTATAGTATATATATTACTTAAAAATGAATTTTTTCAATTATTTTTAATAAAAATATTTAGCCATCCTATTAATGATAAAACTTGACTATCATGAATGGCATTTTTTTCTATTAGGAGAGTGAAAGACCACTGAATGAAATAATAATCATTCATAACAACCCAGGTATGTATAACATCATGTCTAGATTTGAAAACCATGTTCATAAATTTTCTGAAATGATGTGAAATAAAACCTGCATCATCCACTTTAATCATACCTGGCTGGCTGGTTCAGACCTATGTCTTTCCTTTCTCCATTTACAGAGGCAAGGAAGACCACCTGAAAGAGAAGAAATATAGATGCCCCAGAGAGACTGTCTTTTCTACAGGTACTCATGAGGTTATATCACACATCGTTGTTTTGAAATCTTTGCCATGTCAGAGGTCAGCTCTAACTGTACCATAGTATGCGGGGCTAATGGAACGAAGGCCTACAGGCCTCTGATTTTGAGAATGTTTATACTAAATGCTGATAAGAGATCAGATAAGTGCACTGCAGAGAGACTCAAAGTAGTTTAAGTGCAGATATGACTTCATTTCATATGTTCATTACTAGAAGTAGAATATGATGCTAAGATCAATTATTACTGCTAAGGATTCTTCCTGCAATCTGTGTGTGTGCAATAGAATTCACATTCTTTCTAGGCTTGACTAATTCCTTGGCTTTCCTGAAGGTGGTTTAAAAAGGACTCAAAACTTTGAAACTTAAGAACAAACCCCTTCAAGAAAGGGATCTAGACCCTAGGAGAATGATTCTCAACCTAGGCTACATATTAGGATATATAAAGAAGTCTTTTAAAACTTGTAAATGCCCAGGTCCTGATCCTGACCAGTTAAATCAGATCATCAGGAGATGAGGCTTTAAATTTTTAAAGCTTCTCGAATGATTTTAATATGCACCAATTTAGGAGGCTACTTTGGAGATGATCTAGGTGTATAATTTAAGAATAAAAATAAATCCAAAATAAATTGGCAACAGAGTTAGAATAATTCCTTTCTAATCAAGTGTTCCTTTTTGTTCCAAAAAGAATAATTTAAAATAAATTTTAAAAAGGATACAAATTAAATGACTATTTAGCAAATTGCAATGGAAAAGGACACAGATATAGGCTTTAATAAGGAAGGGCAATAGAAATCAAATTTGAAACCCCAAGGGGAGGAAATCACGAGGGTCAGTGAAAGTTTGTAGCCAGGGGAGATTATATCACATATTTACATTATTATTTAATTGTATGTTAAACAGGATTTGGAAAATGAACCACAAATCCAAATACCCCCACAGAGGCAGAATGCTAAAAACCTTCATCTCAGATTGACACAGTTTAGAGATTTGAAAGCCCACTTCTCCTTTTACCATGTCAAATTATAACAGGAAAAATAAAATGCTGATTTGAGTCTCTAATGAAAGGTAACTGTGCAATTATTGGAAACACACTTTCACAGCAAAAGCGGATCTTGTTACAGCACAGAGCTAGGTCTTCGTCTTCCTACCTTTAGTTTCGATGGTGAGATTGATGTTTACTTTCATCTGGTTTTCATTTGAAAAATCCCATCTGTGCTGAGCCTGAAAGAATTGTAAAAATACTAAAGTTACAAGCATTTAAGTAAGGTGAACAGAATTTCCTGGGTTTACTTTGCTAAAATGATGTTTAAAGAAGATTTGGGTGATGTAGGCTATGAGACCACTATAATATAGCTGCTACAACTAATTATGTGTCTGAGATGAGATGCAAAGCAAAGCTTCAAACCCAGAGGGGAGGGGAAGAATATCCTGGCAGCACTATGCACTTACATTAAGTATGGACATTTTCTAAAGTGAATGCATTATACTTTAATTATGCAAAACTCTGGATAATAGCATATTTGTCTGCCATCATATAGTGTAATCCAAACACTTATTGCTACACACGTAAGAGATGGAAATGATAGAATGGAGGAAAGAATGTTTCTATATTTCAAAGGAACTAAAAATGAATATAAAATAAACCAGAAAGTTTCTCTTTTATATATCACTCACAAAGGATCAGGTTTGTTATGAGAAAACAGTAAGTAGCTTAGGTACTCTGGCATCAGCACATAAAGTGTGTCTCAAAAGAGGAGATATGAAAGAAGTCAAAATGTCAATACATTAGATATGAATATTTTAAAAGATATCTTGGGACTAGGCATTATAGAAGTAAAGTTGAGTGTTTGGGTCAAACATGACTTCTAGGCAGGTTGTCCACAGTATTATCTCCACAATTCTACCCCAGATATATTATTAATATTAATGAAAAGAATTCAGGCTAGACATTTGAAGAAATTATTTGGGTATCTCTAAGGTGCTCACTTTAGGATTCAAAGGCGGCAGCAACTAATCACCTGGGCTTTGTCTCACTTTGGGTGACTCTTCATCGAATGTTTCCATGAAGTTCAGACCAGCCATTGGTCCAAGAAACAGTCTCCATGTTTAGGTTTTAACCCAGCTATTTTAAATCTTTTGCAAGCCTTGCATCCATGAATGATTGACTCCATATGCCTTTGTAAAAGTACGTGCCCAATAGCAATATCCAATAGAAACCAATCTCTCACTCATGTCCAGTTAGACAATGTTGAATTTACAAAAGTTCCTCACCTCATCTCTTATTTCTCACTCAGTCATTGCTTCTGTGAATAATTTATTCTGGAAATTAAGAAAACAAAAACAAAACGCTAAATAAACCTGCAGAAAAAGAGTATACAGAATTAAATCAGGGGTCTCTGCTAGCTGAGGGTCTCTCCATCGAGATCCATGTGGCTGGACTTCTTATGCAGATGTGAGATAATAGTGGAAAGTTTTCTTATGTGAATACCTTTTCTAATGGTCATAATTTAGCTGTGCCATAGCCTCCAGGCAAATTCCTGTGACCTCCTGATTCTGGTAGATTCTGATATGCATATTTCTCCACTAAACCTTTATAATGATTTGTACATTCTAAATAAAACTTACTACTTTGTGATTACTTAAGGGTCTGTTTCTCTCTCCATATTTTAAGATCCTTGAACACATAGGTTACAGTTTATTTAATTCACCACAATTAGGTATCAATAAATATTCCGTGATTAAATAAGGCTGTAGATGAATATTTAAATTGTATCGATTAGGCAAATGTATAATTCAGCATACCTATTTGCAAGAGTTTTGAGGTCCTCTAATATACAGTTGAATGTACAGAATTTTCATTCTTTCTATTGTCTTATAGAAATTATGTGAATCTTAATTTTTTTAAATAGACTACATTTTTGAGAAGTTTAGGTTTATAGCAAAATTGTGCTGAAAACACAGAGAATTCCCATGCATCCCCATCCCCACACATGTAAAGCCTTCCGCACTATCAACATCCCTGATCAAAGTGGTGTATTGGACACTATCCATGAACCTACTTTGACACACTATAGTAACTCAGAGTCCATAGTTTACATTAGGGTTGTTTCTTGGTGCTGTACATTTTATGAGTTTTGAAAAATGTATAATGACATGTATCCACCATTACAGTGCCATGCAGAATAGTTTCACTGCCATAAAAATTGTTGGTACTCAGCCTATTTATCACCTCCTTCAACTCCTGGAAACCACTGGTCTTGTTTTTTTTTTTTTTTTTTTTTGAGACGGAATCTCACTCTGTCACCTGGGCTGGAGTGCAGTGGCGCGATCTTGGCTCACTGCAACTTCCGCCTCCCAGATTCAAGCGATTCTCCTGCTTCAGCCTCCTGAGTAGCTAGGATTACACGCTTGCACCACCATGCCCTGCTATTTTTTTGTATTTTTAGTAGAGATGGAGTTTTGCCATGTTACCCATGCTGTTCTGGAACTCCTGACCTCAGGTGATCCACCCACCTTGACCTCCCAAAGTGCTGGGATTACAGGTGTGAGCCACCGCACCCAGCCTGGTCTTTTTACTGTCTCCATACTTTGGTCTTTTCCAGAATTCCACATCCATGGAATCACACAGTATATAGCCATTACAGGGTTGGCTTCATTCACTTAGTAATATGTATTTAATTTTCTTTATGTCATTTCATAGATTGAAGCTCATTTCTTTTTAGTAGTGAATAAAATTCTATTGTCTGGGTATTCTGCAGTTTATTTATCCATTCACCTGCTGAAGGGCATCTTGGTTGCTTCTAAGTTTTGGTAATTATGAATAAAGCTGACATAAACTTCTATGGTTAGGTTTTTATGTGAACATAAATTGTCAACTCATTTGGGTAAATGCCAAGGTATATCATTACTGGATTACATAGTAAGAAGATGTTTAGTTTTGTAAACTATTGCCATACTATCTTCCAAAATGGCTTTACTGTTTTGGATTCTCACCAACAATGAATGAGAGTTTCTGTTGCTCCACATCTTTGCCAGCATTTGATGTTTTCGGTGTTTTGGATTTTAGCCATGCTAGTAGTTGTCTGGTGGCTTACCATTGATGGTTGTTGTGATTTGCAGTTTGATAATGACACAGAATGTTGAGCATCCTTTCATATGCTTATTTGCTGTGAGTGTTTCTCCTTTGGTGAGGTGTGTTCAGGTTTTTTGCCTATGTTTTAAGTGGGTTGTTTATTTTCTTGTTGAGTTAAATTTTTTACATTGGAAGTTTTATCTAATTGTTTTTTCAAAATGTCTACCAATTTTTTTTAGATGGGGTCTCACTGTGTTTCCCAGGCTGGAGTGCAGTGGTGCAGTCTTGGCTCACTGCAACCTCTGCCTCCCAGGTTCAAGTGATACTTGTGCCTCAACCTTCCGAGCAGCTGGTATCACAGGAGTGTGCCACCAAGCCTGACTAATTTTTGTATTTTTAGTAGACATGGGGTTTCACCATGTTGGCCAGACTGATCTCAAACTCTTGGTCTCAAGTGATCTCACCCGCCTCAGCCTCCCAAAGTGCTGGGATTATAGGCATGAGCCACCATGCCCTGCCTGTATACCGAATTTTTAATCAATAAACTGTTCAAACACGTTCTCAGATATATAAATCGGTAGCTCTTAAGTCTAATTTTCAGTTGAAATGTTTACAATGTATGCCTATTACCACATCAAAACTCACATTTTATTGCTGAATATTGTTTCAACAGCAGTCAAGCTGAACAGAGATTCTAACGGTGGGCATCCTGCACTCTAATACACTAAAGAAAGCAAGATTTTCAGAAAAGCAAATAGATAGACCAATAAAAAACCATAAATTGTTTAATTTACTTTCCTAAAACTCGAAAATATAGTAATATGGATTTAATTCTAAGAGTTGAACCCCCAGAAAATGTGTAATAAAATTGAGTGCCATAAAAGCTACATTTCCCAGCTTTATTTCTAGCATTATTATCTTCCAAGAAATATTCAGGAGAAAACTTGGGTAATATTAGATGCCCTTATATAATGATACTCTGGGATGTATAAAGTGTTATTTTGGGTAAATTTAATAAAATAAAAAAAATCAGTGAATTTTCCTCATAATTGGCTACTTTACATTTTTAGATCTATGCCTTTTAGATTTCCAAATAATGTGTCTTCAGAGTAAGCAAGGCCTTCTTGCCATGACTCACTCTCTGGTATAACAGCTTGTTAGAGAATGAAAATGGAATTCTCAATTAGAAATATATACATAATGTTCAAGTTATGTCCAGCTCTGCAAATGCAAAGGATAGAAAATAGCAAATGCATTTCATTTACATAAAACAAACAGATTTTCCTCTAGAGAAGGCATGTATTAAAACACCATTCTGTCCAACCAATTTGAGATTCATACAAATCTAAATGAACTAAGTGTCAGAGATTTCTAGAACCCAGTCCTGGCTTCCACAACATGGAATTTAATTTTTTTAAGGGAAGGGAAATATTATACTACTAATAATCATAAATAATCTGTAAAATGCCTAAAGCAATTTACACATTCAATGCTATTTATCAAACTACCAATGACATTCTTCACAGAACTAGAGAAAAATTAAAAAAAATTCATATGGAACCAAAAAAGGAGCCTAAATAGTCAAGGCAATCCTAAGCAAAAAGAACAAGGCTGGAGGCATCATGTTACTGACTTCAAACTATACTACAGGGCTACAGTAGCCAAAACAGCATGGTACTGGTACAAAAACAGGCACATAGAAAAATGGGGCAGAATAAAGAGCCCCAGAATAAAGCTGCACACCTCCAACCATCTGATCTTCAACAAAGCTGACCAAAACAAGCATGGGGAAAAGACTTCCTATTTAATAAATGGTGCTGGGATAGCTGGCTAGCCATATCAGAAGATTGAAGCTGGACCCTTTCCTTACTCCATAAACAAAAATTAACTCAAGATGGATTAAATACTTAAGTATAAAACCCCAAACTATAAAAACTCTGAAAGACAACCTAGGCAATACCATTCAGGACACAGGAATAGGCAAAGATTTTCTGACAAAGACACCGAAGACAATTGCAACAATAGCAAAAATTGGCAAGTGGGATCTAATTAAACTTAAGAGGTTCTGCCAAGAAAAACAAACAAACAAAAAACTATCAACAGAGTAAACAGACAACCTACAGAATGGGAGAAAATATTTCAAACTGTCCATCTGACAAAGGTCTAATATCCAGCATCTATAAGAAACTTAAACAAATTTACAAGAGAAAACAACCCCATTAAAAAGCAGACAAAAAAAGACAGACACTTCTCAAAGAAAGACATACGTGTGGTAAACAAGCATTTGAAAAATAAGCTCAATATCACTAGTCATTAGATAAATACAGTTGAAAACCACAATGAGATAGCATCTCATACCAGTCAGAATGGCTATTATTAACAAGTAAAAACAAATAACAGATGCTGGCAAGGTTGTGGTGTAAAGGGAACACTTATACACTGTTGGTGGGAGTGTAAATTAGTTCAACCATTATGGAAAGCAATGTGGCAATTTTTCAACAGCTAAAAGCAGAACTACCCTTTGGTCCGGGAATCCCATTACTGGGTATATACCCACAAGAATATAAATCATCCTACCATAAAGACAAATGAGTGTGAATGCTCACTGCAGCACTATTCACAATAGCAAAGACATGAAATCAACATAAATGCCCATCAGTGATAGAGTGGAAAAAGAAAATGTGGTACATATACACCACAGAATACTATACGACCATAAAAAAGAACAAGATCATGTCTTTTGTGGGAACATGGATGGAACTGAAGGCTATTATCCTTAGTAAACTACTGCAGGAACAGAAAAGCAAATACCACATGTTCTTACTTATATAAAAAAACTTCTTACTTAAAAAAAAAAACAAGAAGAATGTTTTATATAAACTAAAGCTTAAGAAATTTTTGATTATTTAAACAAAGTTTATTAGTTAATAGTGGGAATATTAACACATTCAAGGAGGAGTTAAGATATTGATCATTCTATCACAATTTGAGCGTTGTTGTATATTGACAGCTATCATTTTTGGTTTTTGACTTTTCTTTCTATAGTGCACTGTGGAATTAAAACTGAATGTTAATCTTGATAAAGGAAAATGATTCCATCCCATGAGTAAGACTGAAGGTCAGCAACTCTAGCCCTCAAAGCCAATGCTGCTCAGGCAAGGTGTATGTTTCATGAACTATCCAAGGTGTATGTTTCATGAACTATCCATAATCCAGTTGATTTATTCCATAGTCTTTTTAGAAGCAGATGTTTGCCTTGCCTGCCAATCAGTGATTACTTTATAGAGTGCTCGGTATGTTTGGTGGAGTATATGGTACTTGTTCTCAAGGGGCTTATAATGTGTGATTTGATGTCATGATTAATTTAACAGCTTTCTAAACTGAGAACTTTCTTTTTCTGTGTGCCAGTCCCTAAGCTAAGCAGCTCTTGATCCCCTCACCATTTCTATGTGGTGGATGTTTTTATTGCCATTTTACAGATGGGGAAATAAAATCTCAGATCCCAAGTTCTTATAGTTAGTAATGCTGGAATTCAATACCAGGATACCTCGCTCCAAAAGCCAGTATGATTAATGTCACATACTTTCCTGATGTTGGTTTTTCTTAAATTTTTGTAAAAGGCTTTTTCTTTACCTTTCTTTCTGTTATTACATAAAATTGCTTCCTGTTTTGCATTTAAAGTCCTTTACTTTTGTCAACAATAATCTTCATATAGTTTTAGGCCATGAAACATTTATGAGAAACCAGGGGAAAAAAATGAAGAGAATTATCAAATATTTAAAAATGCTCAATATGTAGATAAGGGAAATTTTTGTTTGGCGAACGTGTTGGGAACCTTAAATTTTACAATGGAAATACACTCTAGAGTGAATAAATGCCCATAGCAATAACAACAGCAGTAACAGAAGCCCTTTATAGCCCATTTCGTCTAAAACCCTGTTCCCCATGAAGTGGTGCATGAGAATGATGTTTTGGTCTCAGAAAATTAAAAATAGCTTATTTATGGCAATATTACTATTATATATTAGTTGATTAATTAAGTCAATGAAGGACAGCAAACTGAGTAGAAGCATGACATAGAAGTGAAACTGCTACGTAAGCTGTGTGGTAGTGATGGTTGTCTGACTTTGGAGGAAACCCTCCCAGCCAGACACAACACAGGAGCAGACCGGCCTTGCCCCTAAACGTATCGCCAATGAATGTTCTATATCATAGAAAGTACTCATGAAATGAGTTGACTCTATATTCTAAAACTCTTTTGTCCTCGTTTTGTAAAGCATACTTAAAACAGGCTGTATGTGGTGGCTCACACTTATAATCCCAGCACTTCGGGAGGCCAAGGTGGAAGGATTGTTTGAGGCCGGGAATTGAGACTAGCCTAGGCAAATGGCAAGACCCCATCTCTATAGAAAATTTTAAAATCAACTGAGCATGGGCCGGGCACAGTGGCTCACGCCTGTAATCCCAGCACTTTGGGAGGCTGAGGCGAGTGGATCACAAGGTCAGGAGATCAAGACCATCCTGGGTAACATGGTGAAACCCCTTCTCTACTAAAAATACAAAAAATTAGCTGGGTGTAGTGGCGGGTGCCTGTAGTCCCAGCTACGCAGGAGGCTGAGGCGGGAGACTGGCGTGAACCCGGGAGGCGGAGCTTGCAGTGAGCCGAGATCTTGCCACTGCACTCCAGCCTGGGCAACAGAGCAAGACTCCATCTCAAAAAAAAAAAAAAAAAATTAGCTGAGCATGGTGGCATGTACCTGTCGTCCCAGCTACTCAGGAAGCTGAGGTGAGAGGATCACTTGATCCCAGGAGTCCAAAGTTACAGTGAGCTATGATCATCTCACTGCACCCCTCTGTGTGACAAAGCAGGACCCTGCCTCTACAAAAAGAAAAAGTAAACAATTTAGCTATCAATAAACATTTATTAAACACAGCATTAAATGATTTGGCAACCACTTTTGTAACACTTTGTATGTGCAATGCATTGTTTTACGTTCTTTACAAATATGAACTATTTATTCCTCTTAGCGACACTTTGGTCCTCTTTAGTCCTTTTTAGCAATAGGTACTTATTATCCCATTTTACAAATGAGAAAACTGGGGCATTACAAGGCTAAAAACCTTAGCCAATTCTAGTAGAAGATGTTGATAATAGGAGAGTGTCAGCACGTGTAAGGCAGGGAGAATAGGAGAAATCTCTGTGTCTTTTTCTCAATTTTGCTGTGAACCTAAACTGCTCTAAAAAAAAAAAAAGCCTTAAAAAAAAAAGAAAGAAAAGAAATCTAGCTGAGGTCAGTTAGTGAATAACAGAAACCTGACCCTAGAATTCATCTACTAACGATTATGCTATGTGTCTCTCACTTTGTAAGGAAATTTTTCAGATTATTCAACCTTGAAATAGTGTGGTGGGAAGATCTTTACAACTTTACCTCTTTGTAAAGATCAAAACAAAAAAAAAATCTTCTAGCAACATTTTAAAAAATCACAATGGAACTAATTTATTGGGCTATATATAAAACATGTATGTCTTTAAAAATGTAATAGCCTAAGGGCCAGAACCATTTAGTCAGACAAGTGAACATGATAAAAACTGCCCTGCTTTTTAGCCACAGAAATGCTAATATCTGGGCATGTTTGGGATAACAAAATAATTTGGAGGCTTCATTGTATTTTATTTTTTATTTTGAAATTAAAATGGATGCATTTTGCAAAGTTCAATATCTACTGCCACCCACCTCTATAAAATATTTATCACTGCAGATTTTAGAAGATGGAAGCCTTAGTTGCATAAACTATGTGTGGAACTGTCTCAGTTCTCCATTTTTCTGATAACAATGTTGACTGGAAATTGTAATGAAGGCTTGCAGGAGACACTCCAGCCAACGCTGTGTGCCATTTCCTGCCTGCCCTCATATTTAATGCAGCGGCACAGTTAGTAGAAATTGCTTTACGAATCAGGGAAAAAAACACATTGCACAGAGGAAGGCATCATTTTCATATTATACCGGAGGTCACTATAGCAACATTACAAGTCAGATGGGCCTCATGAAGAGTGTGGTCATGCCTAACTAAGCCTCTATGTTTATTTTGAAAATCTTCCTTGTGAAAAATAAATAGTTATTTGTGTTATCAAATTAGCCAAACTTCTTGACTTCCATAGTATCTTTCCAGTTGAATCTGTCTAAATAGATCCCATAATTTGCACACAAATCAGATCAGTTATCATTACCCTACTCTTCTCTTTGGGCCTCCCAAATCTGTGGTTAATTTCCTCAGCCATAAAGAGGAATCCATTTCCCAGAATGGCATCTTGTTTTATTTACACAAATAGGCATGTTCCATATAAGAATTTCCATAACACTTGCAATGGGAAATGACTACTTTCTCACCCAATATTACTGTCAAAAATTATTTTCAGTGGGCTAGGTTTCTAGGGCTGGGGTTTTAAATAATATATAGCATATGTATAGACCATAAACAAAAATATATTTGAAATATATGAATAACATTTTAGTTTCTTTGTCGTTTTCTTTCTTTTTGAAGAGGGAACAAATAAAGTAAGCTGTATTTCCATCGGAGAGAGTTAGATGTCTCCTATTTGCAGAAAATAAGCAATTTAGTTAATCATGTTTAATCAAATTTATTCATATGTGAAGGAGGGTGGCTTATTTTCTTTGTGGGGGAACAGTCTGTGTAGAAATGCACCTTGGTCGTAGAGGCTCAGCATATGCACATTCTCTGTGCGGCCATTTTATTGTCTACTGCTTGCTGACTGGGCAAGACAATCAGACATCTTTAAAGTACTCACTGCCTTCTCATTTGAGACCTTTCCTTGCTATTCTCCCCCCTCCTTCTTTCCTGTCCTCACTTGATGGTGATAGAGGACAGGCCAAACTTTTGACATAAATGTGAAGCAAAAATGTGTTCTTAAATACACCCTTTAAAGACATTCCAGTGGTAAGTGCAATCACATTGTGGTAAAAACCCCTTTCTCAACAGTTTCTAATTTATTTAATAGCAATTGGCATGCTCGCCTCTCTTCCCTTCCACCCCTTGCCGCTCCACCTCTGCTCTGGAGTCCTGATTCTTTTCAAACTGGTTTGCCACAGAGAGAGATACAAACATTTTGGGCTCAAATAAAACTGAGAAAGGTGGTGGAAAGTGCTCAGCTGTGAATTCTTTGAATCTTATAATAGGAATCAGATGAGCAAGTGACATCACTATGGCTCAGTCACGGCTTTGGCAAAAATCTGTTTTTAATTTTTGAGTTGCCTAGAAGCAAAAATAATATTTAAGTGAAATGGGGTATAACTTCAGTGTGTTAGCTGGTACCAGGTAAGTCAGCCATTTTATCACTTTAAATATCTAAAAACACTCATGTACCTTTAATGAAACACTGGAATTTAGAGCAGTGAACAGGACACTGGGACATCAAAACAAATAGAGAAGAAGACTTCACGTCCCCATCACACAGGTGCTCCAAGGGGTCATGACCACAGTTTGCTTCTTACATAGTAGCCTTTAGAAGACAGGAGCACAAGCATAGACACTTCTATTTTTCTCCAAATATCATCTCCAAATGAGCTACAGGAACCTCTCTTTCCTGGTTTTTGTTTTTATTATTGTCAGTTTCTCAGGTCGATCTCATAGTTTTTCTTCATCGTTGAGCTACTAAAAGTCCTGTCTAGTCAAATTCAATATTCACATCTTCAGCCTGGCTGTTCATGCCTAAGGCTACCATTGTCTTGGAGCCAAACATGAGTGTTTTTAAGCAAGCTCTTGGTTGAGACTCCTTATGACAGAGTTCCCCCAACCCAACTCACCCCTCAGTTCCTGTTCTTCCGTGTGATCCCCCACAGCCTTTTGGTGATATAGTCCCATCACCAGATAGCCAGCTTTGTGGGTGAGTTAGCAGCCAGGGAACAAATGCTGGGCTATCTGTATCTTAGGCTGTTTGTGTTACAGCAATAGGACACTACAGACGAGGTAATGTATAAAGAAGAGAAATGTATTCCTCACAGTTCTGGAGGCTGAGAAGTTGACGATCTTGGCACCGGCATTTGGTTTGGTGTGGGCCTTCTTACTGTGCATGTTCTCACATGACAGAAGGCAGAAGCGTGAGCTAAGCTAATGCTGTGTGAGGCCTCTTTTAAAAGAGCCTTAATCCCATTAACTAGGGAGCAGCTGTCATGCCCTAATCAACTGTTAAAGGCCCCATCTTTTAATAGTGTCATACTGGCAACACCTGAAATTTGGAAGGAATCCATTCAAACCACATCAATCTGCTATAGTGCACATTGAACCCCAGAGGATACTTAACTGTCTATACCAAACAAAAGGTGGAAGGGTTGTCTGTTTCACCCCTGGACCCTGTCTGTGCTCAGGTATCTCCTTTCCAGATCTCTTTTCCCTAGATGAGGTAGATGCAGAAAAAATAAATAAATAAACAAGGTTACTACCTAAACTTATATCCAGTGTGGGAAGGAGATAGAACTCTTCCCTCTTCCCTTCTTGTAGAAACTCTCCATATTTAAAAGTGATTTTCTTGGTACCAGCCACACTAGATACAGGAGTAGTTAGCACCCTCCTCTCCAGGTATCAGAGAGGAAGACCTAGCACTCTTCAGTTTAATGTCTCTCAAATCTGAAGTTTCTCTCTCTTCTTTCCATTCCCCTTATAGAGCCTGGGATGAGGCTAGAATAGGATTAGGGCAACAGAGCCTGTTCTTATCAAGCCTGAGGGAGGTGTACCACCCTCATTTGGGGCATCTCCCTCTTTAGAATATAGGCTACTTTATGCCCACTTATCCTGGACTTTAAGTTTAGTCATCAATTCCAGGACATCTAGAAAGGCATATTTTAAAATGACGTTGCAATAGCTTGTATTCCCTGCTATGCCCACTCCTATGAGAAGAGAAATTTTCAATAGTAGAACCAACTAGAAATACTTTTAAGCTTTGCATGTTGAGTTGGTTTATAAAGACAAGGTGAACAAATGTGAAATTCTTTCTCACTGTATCATCCTCCCTCCTTAGTTTCTTTCTGCCTTAAGTATACTCCAAGTTCAAGAGAAAAATATTAATTTTACTGTTTGGTTGAAGTATTTCCCATTCTCCCTGAGTGCCTGCAGCAGTCCAAACATGAAAATAGTTGACCTTACTAACATGACACCAGGTGTTTTGAAAATTCAGTGAATGTTTATCAAATCCTCTGTTTATAGAAAAAATCAGATGACTGAAGAATACAGGCTTATGAATTCATTTACTTGAGTGTGATTAAGATGACAACGGCAAAAAGTAACTTGTAAGCATGAAAATAGAGATACTCTTTCCTCCAAAGAGTTGAAAGCTTTATGACAGCTATTATTATGTTGGCACTCTCAGCTTCCTATGGAATACTTTATTTGAGATAAGTGCTATTCATTTTCATATTTCATGGATTTGAAATTTGACAAATTGATGTACACAGTGGCTTATTCTTGTGCTCATAATCTCAGTGGTGAAGGCAGCCAAATCCAGGACTTGCTTGGAATCTCAGGATGGGAAGGCTGTAGCTGTGTGAACTCTGCCTAACGCTGGGTATCTTGATCTCCTTCTGTGTCTGCTCTTGCTTAAAATCAGATTCCTTTATCCTAGAGAGACCTGGCACATTTAAGAACCTCAAATTGCATGGAAATAATTGAGGCTGGCTTATTGCGATCAGTCCTATCACATCCAACTCTTACGAGGTTGGTGAGCTCTGTGAAATAACACCACTGAGTCCTAGACACTGTGATTATCTGTACGAATGGTTAGTTGACTGTGTCACTCCAAACCTCAAAAACGTATAATGCTACTTTCATTCAAGTCATATGTGTTCATAAGTCTTCAAAATAGTATAAAGTTACCGTGAAAGTCAAAGTTGTGCGCAAGCTTCACATTCTACCCATTACAAACTGTACCCAGGAATTCTTCACCTGTAGGTGCAAGTTCTTCTGAAGACAGCACCCTGCACTTTTCTCATCTTGTTTGTAAGAAGTGATATTGAAATAAATCATACCTCAAACACAGAAGTAAGTTTTGACAGGACACAGATTTGTCTTCTGCCAGATTTATTTTTAGAATTTTTTAAAAACTTGTTTTCTGAGAAAAAAAAAAAAAGCAGCTGAATATACAACAGGTAATAGAGCTGTAACACTTTCCAAACAAGGAGGAAAAGTGTCTTTAAGTAACGGGACTAACAGAACTATACACAAACATGTTTATACAGACACATTCATGCATATGCTGATAAATGAATTTTTTTTTTCTTTTTAGCACTGGAGTAGAATTTAGCCAATACTTTAAAAACATTATCTTTGCTTTCAAAATTTTTATTTCAAAACACAAAAGAGCATAATGCTATCTGGTAAGAATAAATTTGGAATACTCTTTTTTTCTATAGCCCATGTCTCTCAATTCCCCACGTTCCATCTTAGTAAACATAAATAGATCCTACATTTTTGCAGTTTCATCACATGTCCCACTGTGAAACTCAACTTGCAGACACCTGATGATGAGAACTGAATCCATTTTCTTTGCTCTTGGTTCCGGTTCTCCTGGTAACCTAAATGCTGGGGAAGAAGTTGCTCTGTACTGATCAAGCCAGTATTCTATTCAGAGTCGAACAAATTGTCTTTCTTGCTGGTGCTGATTCCTTCAACAATCTCTGGAAGTTGTCAAGGACGAAGAGGGTCAAGAATAGCTTTCCCATTTTAAGCTACATGACAAAACAGCATAAAGTTTCAGCAAGTCTGTATGAAGTTTATTCCTGTCATTGGTGCAATCAAATCAAATCTGTTCAGCAGAAGTCAAATGTATTGCCTTCATTCTTCTTTAAAATTCAGGAATTAGAGAGCCATCTACTGGTCTTATCTTCTTCCTAAGTGGTTTTCCAAAATAGCTAGGGGACTATTCCTAAGTAATTGAATCATAGGTCAAAACTTTAAGCCACCCCTCCCCTACCAAATTACATTTTCCATTATATTTGGGGAAAAGAAGTAAACATTCTTCTCTTCTGAGATTGCAGAGTAAAACAAAGGTATCGTTTCTATTGGGCAAATTACAGAAAATGAAGATTATGCTATAAAAGTACAGTGAAATACTAATTTATATTAACCAGTTATTAATCAGCACACAGTTACAGAAAATATGTTACATATTTAGGGTTTTTCTTCAAGAATAATTATAAGACATGCTAACTCCTGTCAGAGAACTTATATTCTAATTTTAAATAAAAAATACAACACTGAGTGGAGAATGCATTGTTTTGGCATCAAAGAAAGTGTTCAGACTTGGCTAAAACATCTGAGTTTAAATGTTGCATATCCCACAAATTAACCCGATAATTTGAGGCAGATGAATCATCGTCAGCTTTTCTGCCTGGAAATTGAGGAATATAATATCTGCTTTACCAACTTATCATTGCTACTACACTGTAAATCATGAAAAGTTATATGTATGCAGGATATAAAATGCTAAAATCATTAAGTCTAATGAGATGCATGAGAAGCAGAAATCTAAACATGCAGGAGAAGTAATGAAGGCCACAGTAGTTAGGGGTGGTGTTATAAAGAGGTATGAATGACAGATAATGTGTCCACAGGTGAAAGGGAGGTAGGTGGGCACTTGATAATGTACTTAAGTAATTTAAACATAGGACACATCAATCTGGGGGGAAAAACACATTAACAAGTATGATTTCCCTATGGCTAGTAGCTTTTAGTATATATTATAATGCTTCAAGGATGAGAGAGAGTATGAACTAAGTTTAAATTTAATCTCTGGCTAGAGGAACACAGGTTTTAAAAAATCATCAAGGGGGGAATGCAAAATCAAGTATCAAGTAAAATGAAAAATAGGAAGAGGGTGGAGATAAAGAGTTCCAAGGAGCATTAAGCTGACGAGGGAGACTTCAAGAAATATATATGTATGATGGAAAGAGTCAAATTAACCTTGAGAGCAGAAGTAAAAATAACATTAATGATTCAAATCTTTGTGATTTCTGGAGGTTTTGTATTAGCGTTAAACTCTAAGGTGAATATACTGATTACAGACATGTGGTAGTCTTCTATAACTACTAAGTAATGAAATCAACTCCTAAGAGAACATTGCTCCCTGCTTTCAAAGCCCACTGTAGATGAGAAATTTGCTATCTATCTATATCAAAAGGCCTGATATTCCTGAGAAGCTTCTTTGCAAAGGGAATTTAAAGCTAGTCTTAGCTTCAAGTAGTAAACAAAGATATGAATAGGTTTTCCTTGCATGTCTTCATTCAATAAAGCATACTGTATTTCCTCAAAATGTAATTAGAAGAAAGAAAAAAATCTGACACCAGTGTTTTCTTTTCGAGGATTGCATAATAAATAAGCAATATAGTTATTGCTAATTTTTGGAAAATGAAGGTAAATTCATACTGGGTAATCTTGTGTATTTTCCAAAGCTTTTTATGTTTGAGTAAAAACTAAAAGCATGTATTCTCCTTCAGATTTCTATTTAAAAAAATCTTATTAACCATAATTTATATTAATATTAGTGGAAATAATGGAAAATTTAGGGTGCTTAAATTCTTAAATTCTGTTTTTCATTTCATGGCACATTTATTTTATTTTGGATAAAACATTTAACCATCCACAGCCACTATATTTGTAACATGGAATTTAAATGTAAACCTCATTCTTTCTCACACGTACCATCTTTAAAGGTCCAATTTACATGATACCTTATTCCTGAAGCAAGTTAATTCTCAAGACTGTAAAAGCCTGAAGGTAAAATTCACCACAGTTTCTAAAGCACATGCCATTTATTTATTGGATCATTGCATTTACAATGAACTAAACTCTTGCTTATGTCTCTCTCTCTCTCTCTCTCTCCACCATTCCTTTCTCAGTTGCACTGCAAAATGTCTTTGGCACGTGAAAATGTATTTCATCTCTGCAATGAAAATCACTTTTTCCTTCTGAAGCCCTAGATGTTTTAATGGGTTCCTCACTTAGGATATTTGTATTCCACTTTTATTTTAATTATTTTTGTCATTGTTAGTGGATCCTAGCAGAAAATGTTGCTCAAAATAGGTGTCACTCTCTGGGAGGAGTCAATGGATTGATGGATTACTACCCTCTGCCTCCCAATACAAATACACACGCATAGCTCTTAGCCCATATCAGGGATGTAACAGAAATAAGAACAAGGCACACCACCCAGAAGGAGTTTTGCTGTAGGCCACATATTCCAGGAATGGAGTCATTGTAGCTGACTAAAGGTCTAAAAACTGGACAGTTTTTGCCAAAATTAGCCAGACATCAGAATAACTGGGAGCGTTAAAAAAATTAAAGGTAATTTTAAAAAAGAACTTATCTAGGCCCTACCTCAGGAGTTCTGAATTATACTCCCCTAGGGTTGGGCTTCGTAAGTTGCATTTGTATGAAATCCTTAGTGATTCTTATGCAATCATGCTGGAATTAGTGTCTGGAACACTGACTAGTCCAAGAAAAATTATCGAATTTGCTAAGTCCTAAGATACATGTTTAAATTAGTTTGAAGACGTTTATGCCTTCTACTCTCTAACCCAGCCAACTAGAGTTCTTTGCAATGGTTTAGGACTCAAATATGACTTAATTCTTTGTTTGACTTCTTTTGCCTTATTTTGTATGTTTCTACATCCAGGACTACCTGGAGTGGAAGAAATTTTTGCAAGCAGAATTCTGGACACTGTGCTAGAATTTAGAACATCCTGCAAGATCTAAATTCCCCAGTCTCACCCAGTCTCCCCAGTACTTCTAGACTGTATAACCTGATACTAGTTTTGAAAATTAAATTAATTTTAAAATAACTTTAGAATTTGAGGTATATATATCAAATCATATGTTAACACATTATAACAAGAAAAACCTGAATATGAACCCATAAATTATGCAGTATTTTATAGTCATAGAAACCTTTGTGAAACCACAAAATGTGTGTAGATTTTCATGTAAAATCATTAGAGTTCAAATCACATCCCCATTAACTTATTTGCAATCAAGCACAAATTGTTTAATCTTTCTTAGACTCAGTTTTCTCATCTGTCAAATCGTGATAATTACACTCTCTACATCCTGAGTTTGTTCTGAGGACCATATGGCATAATCCACGTAAAGCACCTAGTGTTCAGTAAGTTAGTTCTAAATACCTGCTAGTTAAGGGTATTTTAATATATTTATTACTATCATACTATTAGAAATTTAATAATAGGTACCCTTACCAGTTAGAGAAGTCAGGCTTATATCCTTAGTTTTGTTCATTAAATTAATCTCCAGTACTGTAAAAGCCTTGGGTTGAAATTCACCAACAGTTTTTGAAACACATACAGTTGCTAGTTAGATCATTGCCTGCTGCAATAAATCCTTAAGCATGTGCCCCTCTTTTACTGCCATTCCTTTCTCCACTGTACTGCAAAATGTCTCTGGCACATGAAATGCACAGATACAAATTTGTAATGAGAGGCCTTTATTTTTTAATTGACAAAAATTGTATGTGTTTTTAGTATACAACTTGATATTTTGATATGTGGATACATAATGGAATGACTAAATATAAAGCTAATTAACATACACCTATCAGCTCACTTATGATACTTAAATATATTTTTTACTGGCTGACACCTCAACATTTTTCCCACCCCACCTCACCCCTCTAGTCCTCAGTATTTACCATTCTATGCTCCATTTCTATAAGTTTACTTTTTAAGATTCTACATATAAGTGAGATCATGCAATATTTTGCCTTTCTGTTCCTAGCTTATTTCACTTAGTATAATGTCCTCAAGATAACTAAATGTTATTTCCTTGTGTACAAATACCACATTATCTTTATCCATTCATCTGTTAATGGAGACTTAGAGTAACTGAGTATCTTGGGTATTGTTAATAATGCTACAATGAATGTGCAGCATTATCTTTTGCAAATATCTCTTTGAAACACTTCATTTCTTTTGAATTTATATTCAGAAATGGAGTTGCTGAATCATATGGTAGTTTTATTTTTATTTTTTGAGGAACCTCCATACTGTTTTTCATAATGGCTGTACTAATTTATGTTTCCACCAACAGTGTGGGGGAGTTCCACTTTCTTCACATCCATGCAAAGGCTTGTCAATTTTTGTCTTTTTGATAGTAGCGATTCTAATAAGCATGAGTACTATTCCGTTGTGGCTTCATTTGCCTTTCCCGGATGATTGTCTTCGTTCATTTTGTGCTTCTATAACAGAATACCTGGAGCTTGGAATATATAAAGAAGAAAGGTTCATTTAGCTCATGGTTCTATAGGCTGGGAAGTTCAAGATTTGGTGGCTGCCTCTGGTGGCTTCTAGTGAGAATCTCATTCTGTGTCAAAACATGGTAGAAAAATGGAATGGAAACAAGGCACTTGGGGGGAAAAAGAGGGGCAAACATGAAAGGCAACTTTGTTTTATAACAACTTGCTCTCACAGAAACTAACCCATTACTGAGTAAACCAAACTAATCTCTCAAAAATGACGTTAACTTATATTCATGACCTAATCACCTCTTAGAAGCACCACTTTTTAACACCACCACATATAAGACCAAGATTTAGCATGAGTTTTTCAGGGTAACAAATTATATTAAACCATCACTGTGATGTTGAGCATTTTTCCTATACTGTTGGCCTTTTTAAAGTGTTTTTAAAGAAATATCTGTTTATGCTTTTTACCTATTTTTTAATCAGGATGTCTGTTTTCTTGCTATTGAGTTTCTTAAGTATTTTGGGTTTTAACCCATTATTAGATGTATTGCTTGCAAATAGTTTCTCTATTTTCATAGACTGTCTCTTTATTCTGTTGATTGTTTTCTTTCCTGTGCAGAAGCTTTGTAGTTTGATGCAATCCCATTTGTCTATTTTTTCTTTTGCTGTTTATGCTTTTTAGGTCATATCCAAACATTCTTGGCCAACACTAATGTCAAAAAACGTTCCTCCTATGTTTTCTTCTGGTAGTTTTACAATTTTTGGTCTTATGTTTGATTCTTTAATCCATTTTTAATTGATTTGTGTATGTGGTATAATATAGGGTCTAATTTCATTCTTCTGCTTGTGGATATCCAGTTACCTCAGTACAATTTATTGAACAGATGATCCTTTTCCCATTATGTGTTCTTAGCCATCTTTGTCTAAAATCAATTTAACATAAAAGGGTAGATGTATTTCTGGGCTCTGTATTCTGTTCCATTAATCTGTATATCTGTATTTGTGCCAGTACCATACTGTTTGGATTACTATAGCTCTGTAGTGGATTTTGAGATCAGATATTAAGATGTCTTGTTCTTTCAGATCAAGATTGCTTTGGCTATTTGAGGTTTTTGTGGTTTCATACAAATTTTAGGACTCTTTTTTTGTTTCTGTAAAAAAAAGTCATTGAAATTTTGATAGGAGTTTTATTGAATTTGTAGATTGCTTTGGATATATGGACATTCTAGCAATATAAATGATTCCAATTCATAAACAAAAAATATCTATTTATTTGTATCTTCTTCAATTTCTTTCATTGCTTTATAGTTTTCAGTGTGTAGATCTTTCAGAGAATCTTGCTTCTTCTTATTCCATCTTTAAAAGAGGAAAAATATCTGTCCAAAACTGCAGTGTTTTAATAGCAAAAAATATCTGTATAGAATCAGATAATTATGAGCACTGAATTAGATGCTGCTTTGAAATAAATTGATGATAAACAAAACCTTCAAGGAAAAAATAAGATTAAGTATGTTGGTAATGTCCCAGACTTTTCTCTCCACCACCTGGCTAATTGTAATATCTGACTTCTTCATTTTAATTGATGAAAAAATTGATATCTTAACCATGAGAAATGCAGTCTGTGTATCTCAGACTGTACCCAGTTTCTGTGTGTTCTATAGCTGTTACACCAAGCTGTAGGTTTTATATGTACATATTTATGCCTTTGAAAATATGCTCAGTATGTGCAGTTAAATGTTACTGGATTGGGTCAATATTCCATGTGATGTGCTAAGTATAGCTAAGCTGAGTCACCTGACAAGTCCCTGCAGTTAAGAATTTAATTTATAACACCTCCCAGTACAAAGAAATAAAAATAAAGTACCACTTACATGACATTATATAGTATAAGTTATGTATCTCAATTTCTCCAGCGGCTGAAGCTGTTGAGCCAGCTTCAGCTGGAGAGACAACTGGAGAGAAAGGCTTACATTTTCATAAGGGGAGAATCCAAAAATTTTCTTCTATGTTCTGTAATAAGGAGGCAAGAGTCCTATTCCCATTTAATTCAAGCAGTGATTTAAATGAATGTTTCTGTGTTTGTTATTGCCATAAATTTTAATCATACATGCACCTTTTAGTCTAAAATATAAAAGTGTTTCTTCAAACATAAGGTAAATCGCTCAGATTTGAAGAGTAAAACATTTTCAGTGATGTGGTAATTTATGCAAATGGAGGCTCAGTGGTCTTCTCAGGACAATTGGCAGGATTTAAGAGAGATAGAAGGACTTTTAGATGTGACTGTTTTACTAATTGAGGATGTGTCTGATGTGTCGGGGTCATCAGACTTTTAGCTGCATCTGATGTGATTGAATGAGTTTCTGTAGAAAATATAAAATGCTAGACAAGGATTGAGGAGTGGAGAACACCTAGATTTATTCCCAGAGTCTACAAGCCTCCCTCTGGGTGACTTATGCAAGCTTATGTTCATATCTTTAATATGAGAGGCATGGAGAGAAGATAATAGAGAAAATAATAATAATAGTGATATGATGATACTAATACTTAACATTTATTCATAATTTTTATATGTAAACATTGTTTTATTACTCCATGTGATTTATGTTATTTAAAAAAAACACAATCTTTAAAGCAATAAGCATATTAAAGGCCCTCAGGGAATAGGGCCTGTACAAAGGGGATTTTCAAGTGAAAGAATCTAAAATAAAGGGAGTCTATGACTAATCTCTGCTACATCTCCACCAAATAAAATCTTGCTATTTAGCAACTATGAGACCTGCTGCATTATCTGGCCTTCATCCATTCCTGCCCTGATCATTCACCATGCAAGATATTTACCTTGTGATTGTTAATTTTATGTCAACTTGAATGGACCACAGGGTGCCCCGATTGAACACCGTTTTGTGGTGTGTCTGTGTGGGTGCTTTGGGATAACCTTAGCATTTGAATTAGTGGATTTAGTAATGCACATTGCCTTCTTCAATGTGGTGGGTATCATCCAATCTGTTGAGAACTTGAAGAATACAAGAGGCGGATGAAGGAGAAACTCACTTTTTCTTTTTTTTTTCCGTTTTACTGCGTGCACTGGGTCAGCTTATTTCCTCTTCTACCTTTGGACTGAAATTCATACCATTGACTCCCTGATTCTCAAGTCTCTGGACTCTGACTGAATTACACCCGTGGCCACTGGCTTATTCCAGTTATGCAGCTTGCAGATGGCAGACTGTGGCACTCCTCAGTCTCCATAATCATGTGAGACAATTCCTCATTAAGTTTCTCTGGAGAACCATAACTAACATACTACACCTTCTTCCTTTTATTTTGTACAAAAGAATTTTATTATATATGTCACACAAAGTTTACATACCTATAAATATTAGATACACCACGTCATTCTCAAAAAATGAATTGAAGAGGACACTAAACAAATTTGAAGTAGATAATATTGTTCTCCCCATTTCTCAGATTTCAGCACTCAGACTTGGAGAGGATATGTAATTATCTCATGCTACACACTGGTGAATGGCAGACCAGGGACATGAAACCCAGGCTATCTAACCTCAAATCTGCCCCCTTTTAAACAGAAGACTGTGTTGAACACATTTTTCGCTTCTATCAGCCCCTTGAAAGGGGAAGGGCACCTAGACTGGCTGTTACCATTGCACTTGGGAAAGCTAATGATAAAGCTTGCAGAAGCTCTTCCAGCCCTAGGAAAATGAGCCAAACAACTATCTTATTTGAAGAGTTACAAAATGAATTGTTACAGGGAAACTTAGAGGTCAGTTGCTTACAGCCAATTTCCTTCTCCAAGGTTGTACCCACAGTTTTGGGCTCTGATATGTCACATTCCCTAGAATTGCTACCTCCTCTTAGGTACTCAATTGATGTTTAAAAGAAATCAATATGCAGTTTTAAGTCTCACTGACAAGGGAAGGTGGATTTTTGTTTCCCGATATATCAAGATAACTTGCTCCTGTAAAATTATTAAGTCTGTGTGACTTGTTGGCCAACCTGACTTCAAATAAAGTTATTTCAAAGGATAATAAAAGTCCTCCAAGCTCAGAAGACAAGGAAGACCTTAATTAAAATCAATGAAGAAAAAATCTGTAAAACAATTAAGCACTTAAGTTGACTCCTTTTAATTTGAGGTCTGAAGGTCTTCTTGGGAAATTCCTAAATCACTGAGATGATTTAATTTGGCTGCCTTGAATTAAGTCTGGTGAAATAGAAATGGTCTCTCAGATACTGTATAATGTATAATACTCAGAAGCATTATAGGAGTAGTAAAAACCAAAGATACAAGAAAACATTTATTTAAAGAAACAGGTGCAGGAGTTAGTTGTCCTCTGGAATAGATTTTTACAGTGGAAATATTTAATAGGCTGTTTATTTAAGAAAAATCCAGTTGGAGCCATTTTCTCTGAGACACAAATGGAAATTTAGTAGAAATTTTACCCTAAAAAAATCTATGATTCCATCTCAAATTTTTTCTAGAATTCAGTGTTTATTGAAATAAATGTCAGTGAACAAGATAGAATCATTCTAGCATTTCTATTAAAACTGTTGTACAAAATAGGTAAAGTGATGAATGACTGTGGAACTAGTTGTTTTGTTCTTTATTTTGATAGACATCTGTTGTTCCTACTGCCTAGTGTTGGTTGAATTTCCTTTAGGAAGTTACCTTTTTCCTTTTCTTTCCATAAGGTTTTGGGGCTAACCTTAGCTCCAGAAATATACATGTGATCCAAATCAAAGCCAACTTGACATTCTGTTTGCCAAGATCCGGTGTAGACATATGATTAAATTTGGTCTAAAATTAACACACAAGAGTCGAATCTGAGGCTTTGTATTGAAATTATTAGAGAAAATTCTCTTTTTAATTTTTTTTTTTTTCTGAAACCATGTCAGGTTCATACTTTGGGTGGATTCGAGCCTAGGAGAGTTTGAACTGAGTTTGCTAGGGTCATTATGTGAAGGAAAAAAAAAAAAAAAAGAAAAGAAAAAAATGAAGAGATGCCAATTCCTGATGATATTGTTTGGACTCCAGGATCAAACTAATTCCCAAGCCTACACCTAAGCTTGGCGGGATTGCTACTGTTTCTGCCTAATACTACTTGATGTGGTTTTTCCATGTTTGCAAATAATCAAGTAAATATTTCTGAGAATCCTTATTTTATCTCACTTGAGTTTCAAACGGGTGATAACCATTTTATGAAGTAAATGTACACATTTACTTTAGGTTTCTTTCTTAGGAAGTAATGAATTCTCATTATTTAAGAAAGATTTCCTGGTGAGTAGCATTTTTTAACTCCTAAAGGAAGATATTTAATCTATTTAAAGAGTTTTCTCATTTACCCTCAAATTTGAATACCTGTAACGACTGAATAGATCTGCATAGAATTCAGCTCATCCCATTTATGAGGCCCTGTCTTTTCCGAAAGGATGATATAGACTGCAGGCTTGTATTTCCATTGAACTCATATGCTGAACCTCTAATTCTTAATGTGATGGTACTTGAAGATGGGGATTTGGGGAGATAATTAGGTCATGAGGATGAAGCCCTCATGGTGGCATTAGTGATCTTATAAGAAAGAGACAAAAGAGAGCCTGCTTCCTTTCCTGCTGTCTACCAGTTGAGAAAACCAGGGAGAGGTCACTCGCCAGAACCCAATTGAGTTGACATTCTGACCTCAGACTTCCCAACCTCTAGAACTGTGAAAAACAACTGTTGTTTAAGTTACCTAGGACGTGGTATCTTTTAATAGCAACTTCAAATGACCAAGACATATGCCTTAAGCAAATAGCACACCATAAAACAGAATAATAATCTGAAATTTCTGATTATTTTTATAGAAGACTGACCCTAATTGGTCATTTGACAAGTTGGTATAGGCAGATAACTAGTGGATAGAGTGCCCTTCTAAAGTGAGTTCAAGGTAACAATAGTTGACTAATAAATGACAAACATTACACTGAAACAAAGAAAGTTTAAACTATTTAATACATCCCATATTTAAATCAATGTGACCTAGTTTTTTAAATTTCTTAAATCCATGAAGTGTTGTCATGTAAGTTAACCATTGTACCATCATAAAAATGGGTTGATTCTATTAATTAAATTTCTCTCCATAATGTTTATTTAGGAGTAAAAAAGAGAGAGAGCTAAGCTAATGATATCCAGTTGTGAGAATTTTTACCTACCGGGTTGAGTTGGTCTTGTGTGAACTTGGTTGAGTCAGTCTTATAGGAACAGTCTTTAGGAAACCCAAGCTTTGACCCTCTGGTTAGTGATGAACTTGCTCTGCAATTATTTAGGTCCTTTTATCTTTCCTTTTGCATCTGCAATGGGTGACATATCCTCCACTGAGTCACTTTTGACTTTAAATTATGAAACGATGCCAAAACTCCTTGCAAAAATAAAGGGTTCTGTATGTGATTCATAACCAAAACAATAATGTTAACCTCTACACAGTCTCCTAAAAATAATTATGCTTCATAAACTCCAAATCAGTACAGCTGGCTTGAGTTTCATTTTTAACCCACATTAACTTAGAAGCATTTGATCAAGTAAATTCAGCTTAAAAGCAATAGACAAGCTAGAGAATAGATGGAGGGTCTGGTTAAGAAAAGAGATCAAGATGGAAAAGTCAGAATGATTTTGGTAATTTTTGTACATAAACACAGGTCTACCCTCAAAGCAGGGAAGTAATTCCTTGCTAAGCAATTCCCAAAGAGAGGCCTGATAAAGCCAGAATGAGTTAATATCCTTAGAAAGAACAATGCTGAAAAATACCAACCAATTGAGAAAATTATCTGTAACAGAAACTAGCTAAGCTGTGCTCATGTATTTTCTCAATTAGTTCATATAAAAATTTTAGGAGTTAGGTATTATTAAATTTCGTATTTTACAGAAAAGCAAACTGAAGTTGAGGGAGGTTAAGTAGCTCTTCCAGAATCACCTATTAGTTAGTGGTAAAATAGATATTTACACCAAGCTTGACTTGTTACTGGAAACAACTACAATGCATAACAAGAAACACCGTATTTTCTATTTACAAGGTATCATATAATTAAAAGTAAGAGTTTTTCTCACACTTGAAGATGAGCAGTCATTTAAAACCTTATTGTTAAAGCATTAAGGGTTTAAACTTTATAGATTAAAGTGTTTTTTTATTTTTTATTTTTTGGTTGTCCCACTAACCAATCTCAACTGTGAAAAGGAGCAATGACAATCAAGGCAGAGAATACTTTCTCAAAAAGCCTTCTAATTATATCAGCATATGACTGAAGATTGCAATAGGATTCCAAGAAAACCCAAAGTGTTCAGAAGGTACTGACTCCATGAGTCAAAACCTCCAACTGTCAGTGATACAACCCCAGTGTAATTAGCATACCCAATGAAAAAGAAGGGGCCAGCTTATTAGACGGCGTAACTGCTAAGTCTGAGGTTAGATAAAACTTCAGGCACACTGGAACCAAGAACAGAAATGATCATAAAAGCTTTCACTTTCTTTCTAATTACATCCATCCCCTCATCTTTCACCTTGACTTCTGCATGTTCAGGTCTCTTTTATGGACCAATTTCAGGGAAGGATTATGATTGACTTGTTTACATCACATCTCAATCTTTAAACCAATCAGTGCCACCAAGTGGTAAGGACTGGGAAGGTACATGCCCATAAATACCTGTTCCCCATTCTAATGTTAATTTGGGACAAACGGACACTGGGAAGACAGATGTGGCAGATATTCATTGCAGAGGCTGCTGTTTTCCTGTGCAACATATATAATACCTCATTTGCCTTCACGAAACTTCCAATGAGATACGAATATTATATTTAGAACAGTTGAGGTTCAGAGATCTTAACCATGTGGTTCATCATAACACACCTAGTGTCATCTTCAACACATGTACATGTTCTTAGCCATGATATTATAATGCCTCTAGGAAAGAAAGATATTGCTTGCCTATCAAGGGAGCACAATGTTTTTCCTCCATGCCAAAGCTATAAAGATTCAACGATCCATGCTAGATACCTAGAAAATGGAAAAATTCTTCGTTTGCTTTAAATGTAACCCGGGAGTTTTAAAACTTTCAGTATAGGCAGACCTATCTGAAAGAAAATGGAATCTGGCTCTGCCTAAATTTTCAGAAACTATAATGGAAACTCTCTGCTATTTTATTATCACAAAGTGAAAGCTTATAATGCTCAGCATTCTAATTTCTACTTCTCTTACTAACCTGATTGAGAATGATTGAATTAGACATACTGGCATGCAAGCTTTTAAAATAAGAAACTTATTTATAAGAAGACAGAGGTTAAAATGAGGAATATAGTATAGGCTTCTTCAACATTTCCTTACTGCTCTTGGACACAGAGATGAAGATTTTACCCTGATGTAGGTTTACAAGTATACGGAACTCTCTGAAACAGAAATAGTTGAATGTAATGGAATGTGTCCCTTGGCTATAAGTGGATGTCCAGTTATTTATCTCAGGAAACTAGAGAACTAAAGGGACAAGGTTCTGTCCCTTCAAAAGATCGTATTTTAATAACCCAGTCTCTTTGATTGAGAGCAGTATTGGGCTGTGTTTGTTTGTTTGTTTGTTTCATTCTTCTTTCTTTTTTTGTAATATACTTTAAGTTCTGGGATACATGTGGAGAATGTGCAGGTTTGTTACATAGGTATACATGTTCCATGGTGGTTTGCTGAACCCATCAACCCATCATCTACATTAGGTATTTCTCCCAATGCTATCCCCCACCAATCCCCCATCCCCTGACAGGCCCTGGTGTGTGATGTTCCCCTCCCTGTGTCCATATGTTCTCATTGTTCAACTCCCACTTATGAGTGAGAACATGCGGTGTTTTTCTGTTTCTGTATTAGTTTGCTGAGAATGATGATTTCCAGCTTCATCCATGTCCCTGCAAAGGACATGAACTCATCCTTTTTTATGGCTGCATAGTATTCCGTGGTTTATATATGCCACATTTTCTTTATCCAGTCTATCATTGATGGGTGTTTGGGTTGGTTCCAAGTCTTTGCTATTGTGAATAGTGCTGCAATAAACATAGTGTGCATGTGTCTCTTTTTTTTGTAGAATGATTTGTAATCCTTTGGGTATATACCCAGTAATGAGATTGGTGGGTCAAATAGTATTTCTGGTTCTAGATACTTGGGGATCGTCACATTGTCTTCCACAACAGTTGAACTAATTTACACTCCCACCAACAGTGTAATAGTGTTCCTATTTCTCAACATCCTCTCCAGGATCTGTTGTTTCCTGACTTTTTAATAATCGCCCTTCTAACTGATGTGAGATGCTATCTCTTTAATGCTTACTTCTTGACATGGAAGACAGAAGTATTATTAGTCAGTTTCTAAATCTCCTAATGTTTCTGCTCTTTAAATGATCTCATTTTAAATGTTTTTGTTACGTTTCAAGTTTTCTTTAAAAAATTGTTATGCTGTAATATCCATCTTCCTTGGCTGATATGTAAAGATTGGATATAATGATTACTGTAAGATATTGTAGGACATGTATTAGTCTAGTTGCACTAACACTTACCAAGAAAAGCTTATATATGTTAGGTTATGAGTTTGCATAATCCAAAAGCAATAGTGCAGTAAATAAAAAAATACCATTGTGAAGTTTTACCAGGGGTTTATGCTACAGATAATGGCCTACATTTTAAAGATAATTTTATCTCAACTTGGTAGATTCATCCCAATGAACATTTATTAAACACTGAGTAAAAGCTAAGTAGTTTATTTTTTTTTTAACCTGCGCATCACTGATGAAAGATACAAGGAATTTCCCAACTGCGAGAGAGGCCACATGCATTTCATGCCAACTATCGCCTGTGGAGCGGTGAAGAACTGTTACATTCTTAACAGTGTATTTAGACCCTGAAATATCCGAGGGCATCCCTAAATTCCTGAAATTTTAGCATGAGATATTTTAAAGCACCACAGCGTCTTAATTTTGCAAAAGTATTCTTTTCTAGAGATATTTAGAGTACTAAGAGTTTAGGAGGGCACTTCAAAGGATATGGTGAGTATCTGTTAGTTTTGGCTTCCAACATTCCTGAGCGTTATAGACTCTTAATGTATTGCAGTGAGCACCTGCTGTTACTTCTATAGATGAGACCAAAGACCATTAGCTGGGCAATTAAGGTAGTAAGTAATCCCTTTTGCTGGTCCCCAGATACTAAAGGGATGCCTTCTAGTTCTTTATCCCCTGCATAGTTAATCTCAGAGTTCAAAAGATTTTTGAAAAAAAAAATTACATTGCCTACATAAGGATTATGTAAGAATTAGATAAATACTAACTTTCTCAGCTCCACTTTTAACCAAAATCTTAATATGAGCTCTTGGTATTCATCCTTGAAGGATTCCTTATACTCAAATAAATTGTTGATTTTTGACAAGCACAATGACACAGAAAGCTAACATACAGTAACTTTATGCCAACAATTATATTAAATTTCCAAATTTAAGGACACATGTCAAACAAGAAAGTGTTTGCTTAAGAGGTCAAAATTAGTTTCTTCTTGAAACCAATTTTGGAATATTACTTAGATAACATAAAATGTACTTGAAGAAATTTCTTCTGATTTTTCATTTAAGATGTTATTTTTTAAGAGTACATCTTTTCATTTTATTATTTCTGATTTTTGTTTTTAAATCTGCAAGATCAAGGTGTGATTAACATATTGAGGTAAGTAGAGTATGAGTTGATCCTCAGTTGAGAAAAAAATGAAGATTTGTTTAAGGAAATTCAATATTTATTATAATTATATGATGAGTTAGCTTGCAAACCATCTTATAAAAACCAAAGTGATTATCTATCTATCTATCATCTACTTATCTCATCTACCTATCTATATCATATCTGTATCTTAGGCACCTCTAAGTTTATCCCAATTCCCATTTGCCAATTTGAAATTCTGTTGATGTCTTTTCCAAGGAAATGGTACAGATACTGAGATGGGAAGTTAAGAAAAAAACAGTAGAAATTACCTGAGGCATTGTTAAGAATATAAAGCCTCCTGTTAAAAATCTTGCCTGGAGACAATTCAAGTCTTAGTCACCATGCTTAAATAACTATGTAATTGCTGTCAAAGAAGTTTTACCTCCTTCAACCCAAATAGTGTCAGGTTTCAAGCCATATTATGGAAAAGAGATGGAGAAAAGTCAGTTTATTCTCATTGGATAAGAAAAGAGTCCACAATGATCTAACTGAGATTTATCAAGTTACATCTGACTTGATGAACGTTTGAGCAAGTCTCTCTTACATAAATAATAGATCCACATGAAAAAGAATGTATCTTGAAATTAGGGCTTTGGGAGCCAAAAGTCAGTTTTTTTAAAAAAAGAAATTATGCCGGACACGGTGGCTCACACCTGTAATCCCAACACTTTGGGAGGCTGAGGTAGATGAATCACGAGGTCAGGAGTTAAAGACCAGCCTGGCCAACATAGTGAAACCCCGTCTCTACTGAAAATACAAAAAAGAAATTAGCTGGGCGTGGTGGTGGGCACCTGTAGTCCCAGCTACTTGGGAGGCTGAGGCAGGAGAATTGCTTGAACCTGGGAGGTAGAGGTTGCAGTGAGCCGAGATTGTACCACTGCACTCCAGCGTGGGTGAGAGAGTGAGACTCCATCGCAAAAAAAAAAAAAAAAAAAAAAAGAAATTGTAAATTTTCCACTCCAAGCACCCCTGAATGGGGAAATGCAGGGCTGTTGAGATGGGGGCTGTTAAAACAGGATATACAGAGCAAAGAGGGAAATTAAGGAAGACTCGCTACTGAAATCTGTAGCAGTGTGGGGGATGACTGTCTTAGTTGTCATGGGAGATTAGGACTGGCATGCATCTGTCAGCATCACCTACCTAAAAGTACAGTTACTTTTATTAGGCAGAGTCTATCAGATTACTGTGAATTTTCTGACCCCAAAACTCCAAATGGTCTTTTGTGTCCAGAACATGCTTACTAATATATAATTTACAAGTCAGTGAATAAATGTAGCTTTATATTTATTAGTAGACTATATTTAGCATTCAAATTTGAGTGCAATTTCTAATAATAATGCATTAAGAAGCATTATTCTATTCTAATAGAAATATTACAATAGCAGTGTAGTTGATAGGATTCACAGAGATTTCTCCTATATTGATTCTTTTGAACTGGCTACAACCCTGTAAAATAGTCAGGGTTGGTATTTTTTATTCCATTACACCAAGAAAGAAATCTGAGCTTTTAGGTCTTAACTGGCTGCCTCAGTTTACATAGCTAGCTAAAGGCTAATAAGAAGCTTTGTAATGGAAAGGAGGTAGACCAGTGCATGCTGGTAAATAATGTGTAAGTAGTGGTTTTAGTGCTAGAAATCTATGGTAAAACCAACCTTCATAGCAATTGATGAAAGAAACTCAGTTTTAATACACAGAGAACACAAGCAATTTTATGGTTTTATCTCCATTAGCTCAGCCCCTTATTCATTTATTGGCAGTAGTATAGTAAGTAAATGGGAAACTATTATCCAGTCCCAAACATATAATATTTCCAATAACTTAATTATACCTTTGGGCTTTTCTTCTATCTCACCGCGGTATGTTCTCATCTTCCTTTCCAGTTATCACTCTGTTGAAGTTTGTGTTTATTATATGTATACAATATATATGACATATACACACATGGATATATCGTATATATGTATATATACATGTACATATAATATGCTTGTGGGGAAAATAAAGATCAGACTGTTATTGTGTCTATGTAGAAAGAAGTAGACATAAGAGACTCCATTTTGTTCTGTACTAAGAAAAATTCCTCTGCCTCGAGATGCTGTTAATCTGTAACCCTACCCGCAACCCTGTGCTTGCAGAGACATGTGCTGTGTTGACTCAAGGCTTAATGGATTTAGGGCTATGCAGGATGTGCTTTGTTAAACAAGTGCTTGAAGGCAGTATGCTTGTTAAAAGTCATCACCACTCTCTAATCTCAAGTACCCAGGGACACCATACACTGCGGAAGGCCGCAGGGACCTCTCCCTAGGAAAGCCAGGTATTGTCCAAGGTTTCTCCCCATGTGATAGTCTGAAATATGGCCTCCTGGGAAGGGAAAGACCTGACCATCCCCCAGCCGGACACCCGTAAAGGGTCTGTGCTGAGGAGGATTAGTAAAAGAGGAAGGCCTCTTTGCAGTTGAGATAAGAGTAAGGCATCTGTTTCCCTGGGCAATGGAATGTCTCCGTGTAAAACCTGATTGTATGTTCCATCTACTGAGATAGGAGAAAACCACCTTAAGGCTGTAGGTGAGACATGCTGGCAGCAATACTGCTCTTTAATGCACCGAGATGTTTATGTATGTGCACATCAAAGCACAGCACCTCTTTCTTAACCTTGTTTATGACACAGAGACATTTGTTCACATGTTTTCCTGCTGACCATCTCCCCACTATTACCGTATTGTCCTGCCACATCCCCCTCTCCGAGATGGTAGAGATAATGATCAATAAATACTGAGGGAACTCAGAGACCCGTGCCAGCGCGAGTCCTCCGTATGCCGAGCGCCGGGCATGTGGAGGGATAGGCCACCCCTTCAATGCTTATATATACAGATATATTACTCTACTATCCATTTTACAATACATATGAATGCATACATATACAGTAGTGCCCTCTTACTAGGGGTTTCATTTACCCATGATCGCCTTTGAAAATAAGTGACCACAGTATAATAAGAGATATTGAGAAAGAGAGAGAGACCACATTCACATAACTTTTATTACAGTATTTTGTTATAATTACCTTACTTTGTTATTAGTTATCATTGTGTTTTTTGTTTGTTTGTTTATTTGAGATGGAGTTTAGCTCTTGTTGCCCAGGCTGGAGTGCAGTGGCACTATCTCAGCTCACTGCAACCTCTGCCTCCTGGGTTCCCGGGTTCAAGCGATTCTCCTGCCTCAGCCTCCCCAGTAGCTGGGATTACAGGCGCCCACCACAATGCCCAGCTCATTTTTGTATTTTTAGTAGAGATGGGCTTTTGCCATGTTGACCAGGCTGCCTCGAGCTCCTGACCTCAGGTGATCCACCCGCTTCAGCCTCCCAAAGTGCTGGGATTACAGGCATGAGCCACCATGCCAGGCCAGTTATTATTGTTAATCTCTTACTATGCCTAATTTATAAATTAAATATATCATTACCATATAAGTTCATACAGGAAAAAACATAAAATATAGGGAGTTTGGTATCAACTGTGTTTTCAGGCATCCACTGGGGATCCTAGAGTGTATTCCCTTTGGATAAGGAAGGACTACTATATAACTAAAATGAGTAAAATGTTATTAAGATAATAAAATTTGTTTTTCTTTAATTTGTTTTTTTAATGTCAAATTGTTCTGAATTATGCTACTAGGACCTATCTTTTGTGTGTTAAGTTGCAGTTCATTTATTTTCACTGCTTTATGATATTCCATTGTGGCCATCATTTTTTGAATCAGTTTTCCCATTGAAAGTTATTTCGTTATTTATTACCTATTATAAATAGAAGAAATACAATGAATATTCTTGGAAATGTCTTCTGGCACGTAACATAAAATTTATCTTGCATGTATACCTAGCTCTGGGTTTTGTGAGTCATAGGTTATGCGAATATCCCACTTAATAAAACAATGCTAAATTGTTTTCTGAAGTGGTTTTACTGATTTCCACTTCTACCAGCATTGTATAAAATATTACTTTGATTGACAATGGGTATTGTCAGACTTCTCGGCTTTTTCCAATCAAGTGATTGTAGAATAATTTCTCATTATGTTCCTAATTTGCATTTTTCTTGTTAGTAGTGAGATTGATAGTTACTCATATGGCTATTATATATATATATGTTCAAGTCTACTGCTGTTGAAATTTTCTCTTAATGATATATAGATGTTCTTTATATATGCTTGTTTGAAATTCTTTGTTGGTTAAATGTGGTGTACATATTTTCTCCTAGTTTTTAGGTTTCATTTACATATTTTAAAGGTGTATTTTGATAAACAGAACTTTCTGATATTAATATAGACAAAAGTATTAGTCTTTGTAGTCATGATCACGACTTCCTGTGTTCGTTTAAGAAATCCTTTCATATCTTGAGGTGAGAAAGATATTCTTCTGTTTTTTTACAAGTTTAAATTTTTTTCTTTTGGTATTTAAATGCTTAAATTCATCTGTAGCTTAGTTACATACATGGTCTTAGCTAGAGATCTAATTTTTAACTTAGGCATAGTACATATTTTATCTACATTTATTGAACAATACATTCTTTCATCAGTAATTTGCTATGCTACCTCGTTTCTATACACAATTCTCACAAGAGCCTGCTTCTGAGCTGTCTATTCTGTTCCACTGGTCACACACTCATTAAGGCAGTGTGATCTCTGTATACACATAACACTGTCTTAATTAGTTGTACTTTTTATAAATCTTTCTATAGGCCCCTCCTAAATATACTCTTTCAAAAATATATTGGACCATCTAGCCAATTCACAAGTCTATACACACTTTTGAAAACACTATTTTACTGTGAAATAGAACATACTTACAGAGATGTGCATAAAATATAAATGTGCAGCTGCATAACATATTATAATGTAAACACCAAGAAATAGAACAAAGCTTCCTTCACAGAAGTTTTCCAAATGCTTCTTTTCAATCACAATCTCTTTCTTCTTTCTGAATGTAATCAGTTTGTTACTTTTATTGATAATCACTACCCTGTCATGCTTTATAAGTGTGCATTAGTAATGTAGTATAATTTTCCTGCTTTAGAATATTTTGTTAGCGGAAAAATATAGCATTATTTTGTATCTGGCTTCTTTTGAACAACGTTAAGCTTTTAAGATACCTTCGTGTTGTAACATTTAGGTATAGTTCATTCATTTTTATTTCTGTATAGTATTCTACTGTATGAATGTAACCACAATTAATTTATCTGATAGCAATTTAGGTGTTTTCAGTTTGGAGCTATTAAGAATAGCATCTCCATGAATTGTTGCAAATATGCATACATTTCTCTAGAGTAATACTGAGACTAAAATTTATGAGTCATAAAGGATGCACAAATTAAAATTTAATAGAAAATGCTGAAATGAATGAGTGAATTTGAACATATATAAGAAATATATACAAGTTCTTATTCTTCTATGTTTTCATCCACATCTACTGAGTTTTTGTTTTGAGTGAGTTTTTGTTTTATTAATTTTTTAGCCATTCTGATGGATGGGTAGTGGTATATCACAATTTAAAATTGTGTTTATTTGCTTACTAATAATATTGAGTCCATTTCCATATGTTTTATGGCTAAACATATTTTTCCCTTGTAATTGCCCATTTTTCCTTTTTGATGTCTCTTTTTCTCTTTGAATTGTTGGATTCCCTTATATTCTACATAATCTTTTATTGGTAATATTTGTTTTACATATTTTCTCTAACTGTGTGGTTTGTCTTTTCACACTCAATGGTAGCACCCCTCTCTCTCTCTCTCCCTCTTGTTGTGTGTTTGTGTCTATATATACAAATATATATGTATATATTTCCCAAGAATGGAAATTTTGAATATAAATATAATCAAATTTCTTGATATTTTCCTTTGTGATTGGTGCATTTTGTATACTGTTTGCAAAATCTTTTCCTACCCCGAAGCATAAAAGAATTTTTCTGCATTATATTCTAAAAGTTGCTCATGGCTTATATATTATATATTTGGTACTCTTTTATAGTTAAGTGTATACTCCATGTGAAATTGCTATTTTGGCATATGGTGTAAGGTCGGGGCCAAGATTCTTCCCCAGCCCCTCTCCCCTACAACTCTGGATATCAAACTGTTTCCATTTGTTTATTAAAAAGACTTTCTGCCCATTACTCTGAAATTGCACCTTTCTCTCAAATTAAGTGTCAATGTGGATATGGTTCTGTTTTTTTCTTATGGCATATTTTTTGTACTATTTATACTTGGTCAACATTATACTATTTTTTATACAAACATTTTAAGTTCTCATACCATATTTTAAAGCTCCTAGAGCATATCATCTGTTTTTAGATCTCTGCATTTCTATATCATATTTTAAATAATCTTTTCAATTTATACATACACGTACATACACACATATGTGAATGACAGGTTTTGATTACAATTGCTTTAAAACTATGAACAATCAGAGGGAAATCTGTATCTCTACATTGTGGATTCTTTCAATCTATGAAAACGGTGTCTTTTCATTATTAGTTATTCCCAGGATGTTTTATAGTCATCTGTGTAGTGGTATTTAAATCTCTCTATAAAGACTGAATTTCATATATAGAAATCTTATATACATTTATTCTTAGATATTTGTTACTTGAGATGCTATTGTAAAAGATATCATTCAGATTTCATTTTTGGTGTGTGTCAAGCATTTATAAATAAAATATATTGTTTGGTATAATGAATTTGTACTTAAAGAAACAATAAACTCTGTCTTGATTTCCATATGGATTTTATTAAATCTTCAGAACAAAGTGATGGGAACAGATATCTTTATGACGTCAATTCTTTCTTTCCATGAAAATGAGCTATCTCCATTTATTTCTGTCGTTGAGCTGACTTTTGATGCAATTTTATAATTTCTGCATTTCTTTAACAGTTTCGTTACAGATATTTAACCAAAAACTTTATACTTTTGTAAATGTTAAAACTGATCTATTTTTACAAAGTGTTTTCTTTAACTTTTTGGCTGTCGTGTAAATATGTAATTGACTCTCGTATATTAGGCTTTTATCCATGCAGATGTAAAGATGTTTAAATATTAAAATATCTTTGTGTTACTAAGGTAAGTCAAATCTTATATTTATGCTCTGTTGAGTTTGGGCTTCTTATATTTTTAGTTTTTTTTCACAAACTAAAATGTGAGGAAATGGTAATTTAAACTTTCTATTCTTCTGCTATACCTCACAAATTTTTGGTATAAAAATATGCTAAATATAATACTCAAATGAAATGAGCTAGAAAACATTCTGTGTTTTTCTCTTCTCTGAAAGAATTTTTATGTTTAACACATTCTACTATTTAAGCAAACTCACTTATTAATCTGTCTAAGCTGAATAGGATAATTTTTAAATGACCCCTCTAATCACTAAACTATTTGTAACTTATCTTTTTTCTTGAGTTTGCTTTAGTAAGATAAGCTTTTACTTTTTTTGGAAGTAAATTTGACAAGATTCTTTCTTGCCTTTAAAAGAATCTGTAGTACCTGCTATGATAGCCCTTTTTTATTCATAGTGCTGGGATTTTTGTCTACTCTTTCTTTTTAGTTGAAAGGACATCTATTTTGCCAGAGGTTATCTCTTTTACTAGGTATTTAACAGAGCCAACTTATGTGATTGTGGATTCTTTTTGTCTCTGTATTGATTTTGGCTTTCATTTTTATTTTCACCTTTGTACTCCAGTTATTCTGCTGTTCTTAACTTCTCAAACTGGACAATTGATTCATTTATTTTTCACCCTCCTTATTTTCCAATATATACATTTAAGACTAGAAATTGCCCTCAGATTATTCCTTTGTCTGTGTTCCTCAATTTTGATATATAATGTTATCCTATCATTCATTCCTGCATATTTAAAAAATTTATTGATTTCTTCTTGGAGCCATAAAACATATAAGTTTTATTTCCAACTTCCAAGTATATATGTTTTATACTTTTGTTTAAATTATCTACAATATGTTTAGAGAAAATTTTCTGTATGATGTTGGCTGGGTGCAGTGGCTCACACCTGTAATCCCAGCACTTTGGGAGGCTGAGGCAGGCAGATCACTTGAGGTCAGGAGTTCAAGACCAGCCTGGCCAACATGGTGAAACCCCATCTCTACTAAAAATACAAAAATTAGCCAGGCGCGGTGGCAGGCACTGTAATCCCAGCTACTTGGGAGGCTGAGACAGGAGAAATGCTTGAACCCAAGAGATAGAGGTTGCAGTGAGCCGAGATCGCGTGCCACTGCACTCCAGCCTGGGCGACAGAGCAAGACATCATCTCAAAGAAAAAAGAAAAAGAAAAAAAGAAAAAAAATTCTATATGATGTTAATTCTTTAAAAGTTGATAAGAATCAGTTTGTATCCTAACACCACATGCTTGTATCAGTCATCTTTTACTATAAAAACAAATATCCAATTTTTCATGGTTTGCAACAACAAAACTTTTATTTAACTCACGGTAGAAAGGCTGAGCATCAGCTCCAGTTGTGTTCAACTCAGCTGCGCTCAGGTGAGATCCCCATTTTTTCCCATTCACCCTATGGTGAAGGATCAGCATCTATCTGGGACATGCTGTCCTCATGATAAACAGCTGAAACTCCTAAGGCCAAACTAAACCACATAAGCGAATTATAGTTATTTATTGGTGCCTGGATTGTTCACATTCTCTTGGACAAAGCAAGTCATTTGACCAAGTGTGACATTGGGGCAGGGGCATATAATCAATGTACCTGGAGGCATGACACAAATGGGAATAATAATACTTTTAAAGATGAGGACAATAGTAAAATCTACCATAATGGTTGAAAAGAATGTCTATTCTAATTTTTCTTTGAAGAATTGAAAGAAAAATATATGGGTTCATTTGACTCTGCCTATTAGTTGTGTTGTTCAAATCTCTGTGTCTTTACAGATCTGTCTACTTGACATAACAGTAACTGAGAAAAGTTTACCAAGAAGATAAAACATTTATATTTAATAAAGTAGCCTCATTTGTATGAAACAAAATCTATTGAATGTATTAAATTAAGTAAACAAATCTATCATCATGATGGGACATTTCAAAACACTTCCTGTCTCTGGCTAAAGGAAATCTTGCTGAATGGTTAGGCTTGAGGAATTTACTTTTGTGTAAATTTTCGAAGGTAGCTTTTGTCTTTTATTAAAGACAAAAAATGAAAAATAAAGAGAATATTTAATGTCTGAATCTCCTTCTATGTAATTTAACTGTTCAGACTATTTTCAATAGTTTCAAATGGTTTTAGCTATGAAAAGACAAATTGTTTTTAAAGTTCAAAACATTAAATTTTTATGTTTAGAAAGGATTTATGAGTCTCAAATTGTTGACACATTTTATTTTAGATTGTTATTTTGTCACTTGTAGCACATTTACATGCAAAGATGTAGATTATCTCCCAAAGGCCATAGGTGAATAGAAAGAAGTTAAGAGAGACATAGCTTTTGCCTATTAAAAAACCCAGAATTTGAAAGTTTAGGTTACACCAGTGATAATAATGAGTGTAAATTAAAAGATGGTCAGGAACTTGACAAAATGATAGTTGATTAGATGGCTTGGTATTTCCTACATAGATTGCTTCAATAGATAACTTTTAGCTGAAAGAATTCATTTTACTTCTAATAACAGTTAAAATTTACAGAACAGGGCAATGCAACCCCCCAAAAAAATACCATTTCAGAATTCTGTGTGTGTGTGTGAGAATAGTTTTGCTGCTCCAATTTAAAATATCCTATTGTTTGATTCTAGTTTTGTCATTAATACCCAATGTAATTTTCGTAAGCATATTCTCCAAAAGGTTTTAATTTCGACA
Source organism: Homo sapiens (assembly GCF_000001405.40). Classification (NCBI taxonomy): domain Eukaryota; kingdom Metazoa; phylum Chordata; class Mammalia; order Primates; family Hominidae; genus Homo; species Homo sapiens. Next base: position 87,028,002 of record NC_000014.9, read on the forward strand.
GAGTTTCTGTTACAATGTGCATTTCCAATCTTTGGCAGAGGGCAGGTCATAGTCAGAGGGGAGACTTGGCCTGTCCTCAATGAACTTTTCAGATTCTCTGTTGATATGGTTTATGTTAGAGTAGGAAACAAGCAAATTTGGGTACTTTACAAAACTCTTGGCATATATCCTTCCACCGTGTGGAAAAACATGAGATTTCATTTACAGAAAGCTCTTCAGACCATATACTGCCGCCTCAGGCATAAATACAGTCAATGTGAATTCTTCACAGTTGGTCATATCCTGAACCATACTCGATAAGTGACTCGAAATACATCTAATATACTGTTTTTAACTCATGCTGTCTATTTCTCTCTCTCTCTTTTTTTTTTTTTTTTTTATTTTGAGATGGAATCTCACTCTGTAGCCCAGGCTGGAGTGCAGTGGCATGATCCCAGCTTACCGCAACCTCCGCCTCCTGGGTTCAAGCGATTCTCCTGCCTCAGCCTCCCGAGTAGCAGGAACTACAGGCGCGTGCCGCCACACCTGGCTAATTTTTTGTGTTTTTAGTAGAGAGGGGATTTCACCATGTTAGCCAGGATGGTCTTAATCTCCTGATCTCATTATCTGCCCGCCTGGGCCTCCCAAAGTGCCGGGATTACAGGCATGAGCCACCACGCCCTGCCTGTGCTATTTCTTATGTTGTCTTCCTTCAAATTATCTATTGACAATAAAACTAATCTCAGCTTCCTAATGTATTCTGCCAAGCCAAGAATGTGTTTATGCAATCATTCATTCAACAAATTGTATTGTGAACACCTAATGTGTGTCAGGGACTCTGTTGGGTACCGGAGATACATCCAGTGCAAGACAGTCACTATTCCTTCTGTCATAGAGTTCTTTGAGTAAGTTTTACTTCCTTTGAGAGTCCGTGGCGGGTGGGGGCGGGGAAGAAAATTCTTTGACTTTCATATTCATCCTTCAGATGCTTGATATTTTCCTTTTGTAGGATAAAGAATGACCCTGAAAATGTTATGGGGATGATTTTATTTTGTTCATGGCCCAGAGGTACCTCAAAGAAAGGGTTTAATTACAGATCCATTTCTATTGCTGGACACAAATTTTAGCTGGTGGGGTCTAATTCCAACTCACCTGGCAAGTTGAGAGTGGGTTCTTACTTGACAAGTGCATAAAAATGACCAAGCTAGTGAATGATCCTCAAGGAACTCCCCCCTCAAATGAATGGAGTTCTTAGGCTTCTTTTTCCAACAGTCCCAGCAGACAAAAGTAAGAGACTAGCATTCTTGCATACTCTTGTGCTCCTAACACTGGAATACAAAGCCACCAAGGATGGCTGGGTCATGACAGAGATACATAAAGAAAGCCACATTGTAAACATCAGGCTATTTCCTGAACAGTTTCATTGAGTAGTAAATAATTTACATATTTATTGTTATATCAAAGCAAATAGGGTTATATAATCAAGTAAATGAAAATTTCACATGAATTTTAAGATAATGATAATTGTTAATACTTAAAAAATAGTTCCTAGGTGCTAGACACCATGTTATATACTTCACATGGGTTAAGTCATGTTAGTGCTCTGCTATGGTTTGGCTGTGTCCCCACCCAAAATCTCAACTTGAATTATAATCCCCGTAATCCCTATGTGGCAAGGGAGAGACCAGGTGGAGGTATTTGAATCACAGGGAAAGTTTCCCCCATCCTGTTCTCGTGATAGGGAGTGAGTTCTCCCAAAATCTGGTGGTTTTATAAGGTAGTTTTCCCTGCTCTCTCTTGCGCTTTTCTCCTTCCTAGTGCCATGTGAGGAAGGTGCCTTGCTTCCTCTTTGCCTTCCACTGTGGTTGTAAGTTTCCTAGGGATCCCCTGCCATGCTGAACTGTGAGTCAATTAAACCTCTTTCCCTTACAAATTACCCAATCTTGGGCAGTTCTTATAGCAGTGTGAAAACAGACTAATACATTATCCTAATAATGAGGTAGGTACATTTTACAGAAAGGAGACTAAGACAGGTAAATGTCAACAAAATTGCTCAAAGTGATAATGTGGTAAATGCTGGGGCCAGAATTTAAAGCCAGGCAATCTGATTCAGAACCTATGTTCTTAACCACTGTGTTATGTAATTAAATATGCAACTTTAAGGAAATGGCTGATGGCTGAAGGTCAGTGTTACTATTTGCTTTTTTTTTTCTATCAAAAAGAGACATAGCAGATGAATCAAATTGTGCTTTACATGATCCTGCTACCACTGCTTTCTGTTTTATTCTCAACCCAGAACTCAATAGCCGTACAAGAATCAGTCACTATCCCAATCCCAACCCATCTTTCACTAGCTTCTGGTACAAAACTTCAGGGCATGACTCTTCATGACATCATTTCTCACATAAAGAAATGACAGTTCCTGTCTTGCCTGTTGTTGCTCAACTTAAATCCAAAACCCTTTCACCTGTCCTTTCCCCAGTCTCTTCTAATCAGGCAGTTTGTCACTCAGCAATGCCATCACTTTGCTCTTGCCAGGCAAAACTCTTCTCCTGCTCTTGCCTCATCCTGTGAACTTTTGACTTTCTGTGAGCTCACTCCAATTTTAACAGATTGACATTTTTTCTATCCTAACCAAGTACATCTAAGAAAATGAACGTGGCAAAATCTTACTTGGTGATCTTGGGAAAATATAGAACTTTTTTTCAAGACTGATCTTCCCTTCAAAGCCAAACTGTTTTCCATGGAGGGAGATCCCATTTCAAAATGTGTTTGAACCAGTTTAGCTCATCTCAGTTTGAAACTGTAATTTATCTTGGGAGATAGGCATGAATGGTAGACCCTAGTGAAAATGTAAAGGTTTTCATAACCACCGGATCAATAGAAAATGCATTTATGAAGGTTTGGATTTGTTTTCAGAAGCTGAGAAAGGCGAAAACCCTGATTTACGAACTAAGGATTAAGGTGAGTTATGGGCAGTAGGCGAGACAATGTTGGGCTTTTTTTTTTTTCTTTTTCTGCAAAATGAGTCATCTCCAAAGCCAAAACAAAGAGAATCCTTTCACTAAGTTCAAAGCGAAGAGTTGCACTTGAGTTAAAAGACTTAAGTTATTTCATATTCTTTCTAATTTTATCACACAATATTTCGATTTTCAATGTGAGATTAGAACCATGGATAATGTGGGTTGCAGTGCTCCCGAGTGATACATAAATTACAGGTAATTTCATGAAGATTGGAAGGAAGCTATTGTGTGAATGAGAGAGGATAGAGATATTATTACCAAAACCTTAAGAAAATCGATTAAGGAAAAGAATTTTCTTGCAGAAGGGGAGATAATATTTAATAATTGCAATATTTGCTTCTTAGGGTTTTAAAATTCTTAACATAAATAGATATAGCAATTATTATGCCAAAAAAGCCCTCCAGTTAGTCAACTATAAGCGTACTCTGTCGTTTTTGACATGCAGTTGCTGTGAAAATATTAGGAACATATATCCAGCAAAACCAACTACAACTCATCAGTGGCTTGGGTTTCTAAATATGAAATGGAAATGAAAATAGTTCCTGATACATAGTATATTAGAATCTGATTATGTCATGTTAGTAAGAAGATAGGATTAAGAAGAGCCCTTCCGGCTGGGTACGGTGGCTCAAGCCTGTAATCCCAGCATTTTAGGAGGCTGATGCAGGTTTATCATGAGGTTAAGAGATCAAGACCATCCTGGCCAACATGGTGAAACCCCGTATCTACTAAAAGTACAAAAATTAGCTAGGCGCGGTGGCGCATACCTGTAGTCCCCACTACTCAGGAGGCTGAGGCAAGAGAATCACTTGAACCCAGGAGGTAGAGGTTGCAGTGAACCGAGATTGCGCCACTGCACTCCAGCCTGGTGACAGAGCGAGACTCCATCTCAAAAAAAAGAAAAAAAAAAAAAAGAAAAGAAAAGCGCTTCCAAATTTTGAGTTTTGGCAATAATTTTATTGGACATTTTGAAGGTAGAAGGGATTTCTTATTAGGTAATAAAGAAGCAAGTAAAACTCACTTCAAAAAGCATTTCCCTAGTCTATAGAAAATTTCTGAGACCCAGTCCATCTAATCAGTAGGAGCACATGTATACTGTGTAATCAATATTTATGCAAAGTGAAACAAAGCTATACAATTCTGGAAAACGACCATCCATTAGACCTTTGTCTAGTACCTAAGAAAGCCATCCTCTGGCTCCCCAACTAGTGTCTCGCACCATTTATAATATGCCATCACATTTTACTGTGAAGTTGACAGTAAAGGTGATATATTGTTGATGTGCTGCCTCACAAAGCGTGCAATATTCATGGAAAGGAGATAGTGTTTTTCTCAGGTTATAGGTGGAGCGTACAAATATACTCGGTCCCTGCCAGGGTTATTAATATTTTCTCTGATTATGGTTTCTATAGCAGATTGCCAAAATATTGTTCTACACTGTTTACACTGTGATTGAATGTGATTCATCTAAGAGGAGAAAGAAGGACAGGCTTGGGCATCAGAACACCAGCAGGCAACTTGGTATAAGATGTGAAAAGAATGCAGGATTTGGAGTGCTTGGCTCTGGTTTGTATTGGTTCATAGCTTCCGTAGAGAAAGTTACTTGTTAGACCTCAGTCTTTCTGTTGTTACAATTAGGAAAATGAGAATCATCACTTCTTTAATTCTTAAAAGTTTTTGTAAGGACATAAGACTATAATCTGTGGTACACACTGTATGTGTATTTGGTTTCTTATTTTTACTTGTCAGAGTGACACAAAATGAGAATATTTTGTATGGCTCTTTTTGTTCCTCAAATTACATCCAAGTAAATATGGAATTGGTTTTATGAAGGCTGCCACTCTTCTCCCAAAACTCTGGTTATTCATACCTTGCTCTGTGATTTCCAGAGCTGTCTTTTCTTTTCCTTTTTTTTCTTTTTTTTTTTTTTTTTGAGACGGAGTCTCGCTCTGTCGCTCAGGCTGGAGTGCAGTGATGCGATCTCGGCTCACTGCAAGCTCCGCCTCCGGGATTCACGCCATTCTCCTGCCTCAGCCTCCCGAGTGGCTGGGACTACAGGCGCCTTCCATTGCGCCTGGCTAATTTTTTTGTATTTTTAGTAGAGACGAGGTTTCACCGTATTAGCCAGGATGGTCTCGATCTCCTGACCTCGTGATCCCCCCGCCTCAGCCTCCCAAAGTGCTGGGATTACAGGCGTGAGCCACCGCGCCCGGCCCCAGAGCTATCTTTTATTTTTCCACTTCTGCTAACTTTACTCTCCTCATTCTCTTCTTTGGTCTCTATTTCTGTTTGATGTAGCCATACAGTAGCGTCACCACACGCAAGTCTGGCTGCTCCACTCAGAGGCTGAAAACACGAGAAGCGGGGTGTGATGAACAGAGAGCTACTTTATTCAAATGCCAAGATCTGGGAATGGCCAAGCTCATGCCCTTAAAAGACGATTTCAAACTTTCGACTGTGGAGAGGTGTTTATAAAGGGGAACTTAGAGTGGGAGGCATGCAGGAGTGGTGCTGGGTGCTAGGTGTCCGTGCCTTGGTCTGGTGGCTATCTTGAGTCATGGTCCACCTGGAACGCAGTCTAATGTTATCTTGACGATGGCTGGGTTGTAGACTAACAACCTGGAGGTCATTTCTGGAATTTTGCAGCTTGGTCTCCATGCCTGGTTCATCTCAATATTAGTCCCTGGAATTTCTAAGCAAACACATAATTAGATAAGCCAGCAGTGCAAGGGAGTGTCTGTTGGAAAGGTAGGGAAACGAAGCTTTAAACTGTGTTCCAAGGCTAAAAGTAAGAAAGGAAAAAGAAAAATTTCAAAATGCATTTTGAAGCCAAGCTATTGGTTACAGTAGTTCGCTTTTATCCACAGGGAATACATTCCAAGATTCCCAGTGGATACCTGAAACCTCGGATACTATAATACCAAACTCTATGTAATACCATATTTTTTTCCTATACACACATACCAATGATTAAGTTTAATTTATAAATTAGGCAAAGTAGGAGATTAGCAACAATAATCATAAAATAGAACAATTGTAATGATATACTGAAATAAACCTTATGTGAATGTGGTTCTCTCAAAATGGGTTACACTGTACTCAGCCTTCTTCTTTTGATGATGTGAGATGATACAATGCCTATATGAGGAGACAAAGTGAGGTGAATGATGTAAGCATTGTGAGGAAAGTGAGAAATGTCAAAAACAAACAACTCCTCAGTTTAGAAAGTGTGCCATTCTGAGCAGCATGATGAAATCTCATGCCGTCCTGCTCCATCCTGCCTGGATTGTCCTTAGTCTCTCAGCGATCTTGGTGATCAGATAAACTTTTACAGTACCATGGTGCTTGTTTTACTTAATAATGGCCCCAAAACACAAGAGTAGTGATGTAATACTTCTGGATCTCCACTGAATGCAGATAACAGAAACCTTAGAAAGCAGACTGTAAGTAAGGGAGGACCACTGTGTTGTTTTCAATTTAACAAAATTCCCCTGTAAAACATAGCAACATGATTTAAACACATGAAAATTATGAAGGTAGTACATTGGTCTCACCAAGAAGTGTTTATCCTAGTTCAAAATGAGAGCCACTGTTCCTCCCTCCTTGGTCCTGGCAGCCCTCTTTCTTTGCAAAATGAAATCTTAGCACTCTAAGAGCTGAATTTTTGCCTGGTGTTCAGCTGTTGAATTATAACATCTATGTAATGTTTCTCCAATCCTGTGTTCTTCTATAGGAGTTAAGTGACATCTGTTTGATGTCTCTTTCAATCTGTTTTGGTTGAGGTAACTATCTTCCCTGATTAAGGAAATGAAAGATGAGACTGAAACAAGCTATAAACTGCCAAAGTACTTAATGCTGTGTCTACACTAATTATATACATGTAATATCAGACACTTTGCATGAAAGGATGCCTGCAGTCCCAGTGTGATCTACCTCATATGGAAATGAAGATGTGTTCAAAGCCAGGGTGCTCCACGGAATGGTTCTTTTGTTCATCTGAATTGTCAAACTTTCCATTTAAAACATTAAGTCTATTTGATGCTTCTCTCTTATTAAAACTAGCTCCTGTTTTCAGTAAATAACTTGTTACTGATGATGTTAGTCTTTGAATGCTCAGAATCCAGGCAAAAATCCTCCAGAGAATCCAAGGTCAATATTGATGTGTCCAAATAGCATGTTCTGCTGTTCCAAAGCAAATAAGATCTGAGACCCTTGGGACTATCACAGTGTTGTATTTAAACTGTAAAGTATGTAGGTACAACCTATGAACAGCATCAGCAAAACTAAACATAAAATCCCAATTTGACAATGAATAGATGTGCTGAGTTTTATATTACACTGAATATTGAGAATTACTCTTGTAATGCACTATTGGCTTCAAGGTTTATTTTTCTTAAAGTGTGTATTTAAGATCACAGTTATGTAAGCAGAGGCAGTGCTCTTACTGGCTGATCAGCCAGCCTCTGTATGTTGTTAATCAGTCTTTAAAAATCAGTGTTGAAACATATACATGCATAAATCACATTTGATCAAAGCACAACAATTAGTACTGAGCCACATGGCTGGGGACTAAAAAAACAGTATGAACTAGAAAATTCAGGCATCCTGGTCAAAAGAAACTAAACACTCTTACACTTACAAATCTTTTTGCTTAAAATTTATTATGTCTTGCTAATAATGGAATCTAACCTCATAGCCCAATTAAAAATAACAGTATGATAACAGTCCTTTACTTTTTATACAATGTTTTGTACACCTCAGTTTAATGATATTCAAAAATAGTGTTAAGAGCAGAATCTTGCTATAAACAAAATACAATGCAAAGAGAAGGCCCATCTATTTTATTAATATAACAAATTAAGCTAGAGATATTATGGTGGAGGTGAGACATTTGAGGCAAGGGCATAGTAACACATAGCCTCTATAGTCTACAAGAGATCTGAAAGACCCTTCTTTCTTGGGAATCCTTAAGACTCTGTCCAGCATAATTTTAAAATCACTGCATTTGATTTATCTTCATAACTGCCTCAAGAGCATGTGTTGTCTCAGAGAAAGCTAAGCCTGAGTGATGTATGGAAATTTGCCCTACTTCTTCTGCCAGAAATACTGAGTTTTCCAAATCCAATGTGTATGCCTTTTTTTAAAACACAACTTTTATCTACAAGAGAACATAGCAGATACATGCTAATAAAATAGAGATTACTATAGGAGAGAGTGAATATAGATGACTGTTGAGTGGCCAAACATAATTAATTTGGTGTAATGATTACAGGAATACCTATTCGGACCTGAGAAATAGCATTTGGACCTGAGAAATGCTGACAATCAAGATCCTATCAGTAAACCTGTAAGATAACAGCCTTCTATGAATCATTTAAATTAGAGAAAGGTGATTTTTCTGAATTTAAAAATGTTGAGGTATAAATAAATATAAACATTTTCTAACTTAAGAGTGTGATCTCCATGTGCGTATTCTGGTCCGTTTCACTGGTTTTGTGCTCAATGTGGACTTTTCTGTTTGTTGCTGGCAAATCTACCCTTTATTGACTATTCATGTACCTATATAGCTTTTAGTTAATAGCATTTTAAGGCCATCTCTTTGTGAGAAGAAAAAAAATCAGTGTCTTTAATCATTCACACACTTCTATGGAAAATTCAGTGTAAGGGGGAGGATTTTAAACTTTCTTTCTGTATCCCCCTCAACCCCTTTTTTTTATTTTTTATTTTTTACCAGAGTAGTATCTTGGCTCGAAGAGGAAAAGAAAATGTCAACCTGTTTGGGAAAAAGAAAACCTAAAGACTCAATTATACGCATGATTTAAGGACCTTGAAATCCTGTGTAGAGGGAAAAAGGTTGAATCTAGAACTCTTGATACTTTAATTTTGTCTTGCAGGTGCTTTATAGCAACAACCACCTGTGATGTCGTGGGCATAACTAGTTGGAATATTTACAGTTATTTCAACTCTTTGGTTGTAAAGTTGTTGCTAAGTACCAAAAAGTTATATGTAGGTTACTTCTTGTGCAAAATTAAGTTGGTAAAACTTTATTTAGTGGGTTAGAATAAATGAAATTATTCAACACATATTTATAAAAACCCTATCGCACACAGGCACTCTGCCAGTTGTTTGAGGAACAAGAGAGAAGATCTTGCTCCCCCAAGATCCATAGCCTAGTGAGTGGGAACAGATACCCCAACACAATAAATATTAAAAATTATAACTGAAAAATGTTTAAAAACTGATTATCTATCATCCCATGGGGTTTGTTGTTGCTGTTTGTTTGTTTGTTTGTGTCTTACTCCAAGCAGATTGCCAAGCAGAAGGGGCACATGTTTCTAGGAGCCTGGGAGAAGAAGCAACTCTCTGCCTCATAATCACATGCTCATGAAGAACCCCTAGCAGTGATCAGACCTGAGAAGAGAAAAACTGTGTGATACCTGCGGGGAGGTTGAGCCCTAATTTCTCCGAATTTTTCCATGCTTTTACTGTGGTAAAGAAGACACAGCCCTTACTATGGTAAAGGGACACATGAGGCTGGGAAAAGGAGGTCACATGACGTGAGGAATCTCCCCAATCCTCTATGCTAGCTATTACCCCAGGAACTGTCCAGAGCCCTTGTACAGGAAACTCCAAATATGATTGGGGTGAAATTTCTTCTCATGATGCAGGCAGGATAGATGTTTATGGTCAGAATTAAATTCACATAGAGGAAAGCAAATGTGGTGTATCTTTGACACCTGAAACTGAAATGCATATCTATAAAACAGAAACTATTTTTATTGTAAGCCCTATGGAAAAAAAAGAAATTCAAGAAATTTAAATAAGCTGATTAAGGAAGGGTCTCTGTGTGGATGGTGATTTACCTGAGAAACAGGTTCATGAAGAGTTGTGTAGAGAACACCATTCAGGCAAATATCAGATTTACAGGGCAAAGCTCATCACTTCTCCACCCATGTAGTGTTTTGTTTCACACAAGTGGTGTGACAGCATCACTTAGCCAGGCATTGCCATTTCTGTATGATGAAAGTAACACCTTTGTTCTGGATGCACAGGACCCTTAAGGACTTGCTTTCTGTAAAAGTTAATTTTACGTGTCAACTTGACTGGGTTATTGGACACCCAGATAGCTGGTAAAACATTGTTTCTGGGTGTGTCTGTGAGGGCATTTCTGGAAGAGATTAGCATTTGAATCAGGAGACTAAGCAAAGAAGATCTGCCCTTACCAATGTAGGCATCATTCACTTCATTTGGGGGTTCTATATAATAAAAGACAGAGAAAGGGTGAATTCCTTCTCCCTTCTGGAGCAGGGCTATTTCTTTTTCTGCTCTTGGATGTCAAAGCTCCAGGTTCTTGGGCCTTTAGACTTTGGGACTTATACCAGTGGCCACAGTGATTATCAGGTCTTTGGTCTCAGGCTGAGAACTACATCATTGATTTCTCTGGTTCACAGGCCTTCAAATTATTAATTACTCCACCAGCATTTCTGGGTCTCCAGCTTGCAGGCTGCAAATGGTGAGGCTTCTTGGCATCCATAGTCAAGTGAGCCAATTCCCATAAGAAATTCCCTTTTATGCTTCAAATTATACTACAAGGCTATAGTTACCAAAACAGCATGGTACTGTATAAAAATAGGCACATGGATCAATGGAACAGAATAGAGAACCCAGAAATAAAACCAAATACAAAGCATACAAAAACATCAAATGGGGAAAGAACACTATTCAATAATTCGTGCTGGGAAAACTGGCAAGCCACATGTGGAAGAATGAAACTGGATTCTCATCTCTCACCTTATACAAAAATCAACACAAGATAGATCAAAGACTTTAAGACCTGAAACCATAAAAATTCTAGATGCTAACATGAGAAAATGTCTTGTAGACATTGGCTTAGGCAAAGAATTCATGACTCAGAACCCAAAAGCAACTGCAACAAAAACAAAAATAAATAAATGGAACCTAATTAAACTAAAAAGCTTCTGCACAACAAAATAAATAATCAGCAGAGTAAACGGACTACCCACAGAGTGGGAGAAAATACTTGCAAACTATGCATCCAACAAAGGACTAATATACAGAATCTGTAAGAAACTCAAACAAATCAGTAAGAAAAAAACAAATAATCCCATTAAAAAGTGGACAAAGGACATGAATAGACAATTTTCAAAAGAAGATATACAAACAGCCATTAAACTTATGAAAAAATGCTCAATATCACTAATTATCAGGGAAATACAAGTTAAAATCACACTGAGATACCACCTTACTCCTTCAAGAATGGCCATAATTTAAAAAATCCAAAAATAATAGACATTGATGTGGATGTGGTAAAAAGGGAACACTTTTACACTGCTGGCGGGAATGTAAACTAGTACAACCACTGCAGAATACAGTATGGAGATTGCTTAATGACCTAAAAGCAGAATTATCATTCAATCCAGCAATCCCACTACTGGGTATCTACCCAAAGGAAAAGAAGTCATTATCTGAAAAAGACACTTGCACACGCATGTTTACAGCAGCACAATTCACAATCGCAAAAATATGGAACCAACCTAAATGCTCTTCAACCAATGGGTAGATAAAGAAAATGTGGTATATATACACCATGGAATACTACTCAGACATAAAATGGAACAAAATAATGGTCTTTGCAGCAACTTGGATGGAGCTGGAGATCATTATTCTAAGTAAAATAACTCAGGAATGGAAAACAAAATATTGTATGTTCTCACTTATAAGTGAGAGCTAAGCTGTGAAGATAAAAAGGCATAAGAATGATATAATGCACTTTGGGGACTCAAGGGGTAAGGGAGAGAGGGGAGGGATAAATGACTACATATTGGGTACAGTGTACACTGCTCGGTGATGGGTGCACCAAAATCTCAGAAATCACCACTAAATGACTTATCCATGTAACCAAAAACCACCTGTACCCTGAACACTATTGAAAGTTTTTTTAAAATCCCTTTTATATGTCTATCTCATTCACTCTGCCTCTCTGGAGAAGCCTGAGAGACGTAACCCCCCTGCCCCCCCATCTGCCTGTCTATGCTTGTGTATAACCACCCCTCACACTCTGCATCCCATTCGCACTGAGATACTGCTGGGTCCTCAAACACACCATGCTCTTTCCTATTCTAAGCCTTTGCATGCCGAGATTCTCTCAACTTCAGATACTCTGTGAAATTCTCACACATTCTTCAAGATTGAAAAAGGTCAGCTCCTCTTTAAAGAGTGCCTTGAACTCTCCAAGGTAAACTGTGAAAACTCTACTACCCCATTGTAGGATGGGACCCATCTTCAAAACCATCTATAATAACAGCATTGATTTGTCTAGATATCTCTATTCTCCTACACCTCATAAAGCGTTTGGGAGAAAGGACGCTTTTGTATTAACAGAACCTAGCCTGTAGCCTGGCACTTCTGAAAGTGATTAAATTTAATTGTATCTATTCTTAAGAAAGTCAGGAATAATGCTCACAACCCACAGATTCCCTTGACTCTACTCAACTTCTCATAAATGACTCAACTTTGTAGCACTATGAGCCTACTTCTGAGCCCAGGATGGATATTCATTCAACTTTCTCATTGCCTTAAAAACAAGAGATGCTGTCTCCCCTCACAGTTTCTAGAGTTAGACACATTCTGTTTTTTATGATTGTTGCAAAGACTGAAATTCTCTTCTTCCTCTTCCTTAGTATGATCCAACCACACCTCCTTTGATATCTCAGTATGTGCTGCACCTTGTAAGGAGCAGCTGGAATGCTGGAGCCTGCTCACATGGGCCAGTCGTGCACATCTCATCCCACCTCCACATTCACTGACACTACGTTAGTAATTTGAAGTCGGCTGCAGTGAGGGGTTATAACACCATGGAAATGAGCACATGCTACAAGTCAGAGAGAGACAGAGATGAAATATAGAAATATAAAGATAGAAATAGAGACAGAGCTAGAAAGATAAAAGGAGAATGAGATTTAAACTAAGGCTCAAAGATGTTACAAAACTTGCTCAAAGTCATGTAAATATGACAGAGTCATGATTCAACCGCAGATATGTCTATTACCTTAACATCATATGGATTTCCTCTCATCTCTCAGCTAAGCTCTTTAAATTTCCTTTTTCCCAGCCCCCTCACCTGTGAGTTCACAAGCTGCCTTATACTTGCATAATGCTAAATTGCCAGAAATATGCTCAGAGTCAGGGCTGACTCTCAAATGTTTACTGAACGAATCACAAAAAGATAGAAGGAAACACCTAGAAAAGCTGTTTTGGTGATTTTTTTGCCTCTACCTTCTAACGAAAGGGTGAGCCATCCATCTCTCAGTAATCATCTGATATATTGTACTACATCAAGCAAGTCTGTAGCCATGTATTGTTACCTCAGTATGTTGTCCTTTCTTTATGAAGCTGAATGGACTCTAATGTATGATAGCTACCAAAAAGAAAAAAAGTGGGAGGTTGTTACTTTCAGACCCAGAATTTGACTGACTATGAATCATACTTGGAACATACAGGTGCATAGAAGCACAAAATGTTCCAGGGTATAACTTAAGTTTCGTTTTTATGTACTTCTGTACAAAAGAGAGTGCACATATTTGATTGAATGTATTGTATCATTCGTTTATCTTGAAAACTGACCTGAAATACTACCACTTGAGATGAGCCCAAGAGCCTCAATGGCATTCGTCAGAGGAATGGCAAAGGAATCTGAGTGCCTGAAACTTTAAGACTTATAGCAACTTCCCTTTTAAAAGGAAGCTTTTAAACTCTGTGTGTGCTTCTAAATCAAGTATTACAACTATGACTTAAGGCAGGTGTCAGGGAAATGTTTTGCACTTTTAAAGATAAGAAGATAGAGACTCTGAGGTAAGTTGATTCCTGACGCCCTTATGAGTCAGTGAAATTATCCAAGAAAACAAATGGATTTCCTCTGTGTTAGAGAAAGTCTCTTCCTACACGGGGAATAAAGATATTATCATTATTGTTCCGAGGAACAGACTTCCAAAAAGCAGGATACACTTGCAAACTTCTAAGTTTCCAGTACTTTCCTCAAACCTCAAATTTGAACATTCCCAGCAGCTGCTAAAAAGAGAAATAAACGTTTTCATCTGGGTAAGTTAAATGAAAATTTAAATGTTGAAACATTAGCATAGTTATCTTTCTCTGGGAAGAACATGGTTATTTAGGTCCTTCTTTAACTGGGAGATAGAAATTGTGCCTGACCATCTCCTCCAGGAATTGACAGCCTGGCTTTCTACTGCTCCATGGAGACTTATAAAGTAGCTCCATGTATTTTAAATGAGAAAAAATAGAAACACTCCGTCAGTAAATCCTTTCTCATTTCTTGTCAATATCCACCCCTCCCATCATCTTGTGTTGACAGGACCGATTTGCAGAAGGAGGGTTTAACATTACAGACACTCCTTCATCAGCTTAAAAATTGAGATGAGTCAATATTTACATCATGTTGCTGATCTTTAAAGTACATACCCTGTTTTCTGTTCTAATAAATAGCTGTCACTCTTTCCTCCATCAGAGCTTAGCTGAGAGTGGGTTGGCATGCTCAGTGGTCCCCGTATTCCAGGAACGATCTAATATTTCATGTCTCTCATGTGACAGCAGGTCGATTTCTTTCTCTCTCTCTTTCATATTGGTTTGCAATGACAGACCTTATAAAACCATTTAGGTCAGCTTAAAGAAAAAAAAAATCCATAAGCATGCTGGGTTTATCTGTCTTCAGAAATGCACGGTCTAACATTTAGTGAAAGAAGATAGGCAGTATGTTTGTTATCTATTTTGCCATGCAATTTTCAGAGCATATTTTTGACTAAAACACTAGATGCGACTACTATGTTTCTATTTCTTACCAATGAAAAGAAGTTAACACTGAACCGGAAAAAGAGAAAAGCCTTCCATCCTCTAGCCAGAGAGTTCATAACCATAGCAGTATACTTGTTCAAGATCCCCTTTACTCTGTGAGTGCTCTCACTTAGCTCCTGGATAAATTTAACTGGGGTTTATTCATGGCACACCTTTTCCAATGGACCCACACTGATCACAGAATAATTTCAAGATTAGTTTTATGTGTCTTATTGTTCTCAGCTTTTGACTGTTGTTGGTTCTTACTTTCCAAAATCATTGGTATGGTTCAGGAGCACAGAGGTGTCTAGATCAGAAATAAGCTTTCCTTTTGGACCATCTGCCTCTCACACTGTGGAAAGCCAACTTCAGAAGAGCCTGCTAAGTATGGGTTTTAAAAATTAAGCAAAAAGGACAGGAGAAGAGATGATCTGAGATATTATAGATATCTTGACATCCTTGAGAAGATGTCTATTTTACAAATGTGGATTAAGGACTCTGAGATAAAGAGCAAATGAGGGTAAGAACTTTATTCCCAAACTTACACAGCATATCTGGAGACAAAATAAGAAAGTGTGACACCAAAGCAGATGTCCATTTCCTGTACTTGTCTGCCTTCCTCACACTATCCAATAAAGATGTGAGCTGTGAGCACCCAATGGAAACATCCAGCAGAGGCAAGAGGGGTCTTTATGTACAATGCTGTGGTTATGGATTCAATTGTGTGTGTGTGTGTGTGTGTGTGTGTGTGTGTGTGTGTGTGTGTGTGAGAGAGAGAGAGAGAGAGAGAGAGAGAGAGAGAGGAGGTAAGAGCCAGGCCTAATTCCAGCTTGATTTGTTCTGTTTCAATGATTTGGTGATAATCTGTTGTTTCAAGGAAGTGCCCTAATGCAGTAACTAAACCTCATGATATATTTGCATGGACAATTTGGATAAAAGATGCTTAAGTATCATGAGTGACTATTAAGATCAGTTAAGAAAAAGCATTTCAGAATCTGCAAGTTCAAACAAGACAAAGCTGAAGAGTGTATGAGTAAAGCTCAGCCTCTGATGTCCTCTGAAATTAATCTGTGAGCTCAGTAACTGCTAGGATTTGAATGAGGGGTGTCCCCTCAAAAACGAATGTTGAAATTTAATCCCCAATGCAACAATATTAAGACACGTGTCCTTTGGGGTGATTAAGTCATGAGGGCTCTTATACAAGCACAGGAGGTCGAGGGGAGCACCCTCTTCCCCTCCTCTCCCATGTAAGGACACAGCATATCTCCCCTCTGGAGGATCTGGCAGCAAGGCGCCATCTTGGAAGCAGAGAGCAGCCCTCACCAGACACTAATCCTGCGGACATCTTGATCTTGGACTTCCCAGCCTGGCAGACTGTGAGAAGTAATTTTTTATTGTTTACAAATTACCTAGTCTGTGGTATTTTGTTATAGCAGCATAAATGACTAAGACAGTAACCCAAGCTGAAGTACGATGAAGGAACATTTCCATGTGGCTAACAATTCAGCTTTTACAGTGGATTTGATATCGACAGGTATTTTTCAGCTTTACCTGGTTACACATGACACCTTAAGTTACTTCTTATGCTTTATCAATAGCAGTTCCCAAACAACCAAGATGAAAGGGAAATCCTACAAATGGATGAATAGGAATTAAAAATCCTCAGATGGAAGTGGAACATGTCTAAACCATCAATTATAAAAGGCACATTAGTAATTATCTTGATACCCATTCAATAATTCATTATGCTATTGATTGATCAGCAAGCAGGTCAGTTTCAGCCCTTGACCCTGTAGTTTTCTAGACAATTTCTCTTATAAAATAGGACAATGTTCTTTTTCCTGCATCACGATCCAGGGAGCTGGTGAGAATTGTTTTATAGATCTTTCCTCTGTTAATGGCTGCTTTGTTTTGTTTTAGTTTGGCACAGTGGATTAGCCATTATGTGATGAGTTTCTATTATTATAGTTTCCAAAGTATGAGAGGAAATGAGGTAAATGATTAATGGCAGAGTAACTTAGAGTAAGATGGAATTATATAAAGCCATTGAAAAATAGATGGGAAGTGCAGCCTCCCAAATGGACCTTGGTTCAGCTCCAAGGGTAACAGTCTTATCAAAGGTGTCACAAGGTTTTATTCATGATCCCAAGTACGGGGGCTCTCAGTATTCAATCTTAGCAACTGCACAATACCATGAAGCAACAGGAAGCTTCCCAGCCCTGGCATGTGATCCATCCTGTCTCAGAGGGAAGCCCTCTTTGCTCCAGGTCTAGCATCATTTTTATACATCAACTCCTCTTTATTTTGACTTTCTAAAGTTGCAGTTCAGTTCACTGTTACTTTGGAGATTTTCTTAGAGACCACTTGCATACACTTCAAATGAGCATGGTTTTGTTCTGTTTTATGTTTGTTTGTTTGTTTGCTTGCTTTTTAAGGCTGTTAAAGAGTTTGGTGGATTGATTTTGGTCGCAGGACCAGGAGATCTAAATGCTCTTTCTGTTTCGGGTTGTTTTTACAGCATAAACAGAGGCGACTTCATTAAAATGCAGCCTGCTCTGACATGCTACTGGGAAGATCAGTTGGCAAATGTGTATGAGTGATTCCAGATGAAAGTGAGGTCACCCAATCAACTTGATAAATAGAGCTCATAGCATAACATCCCACATTCTTACATATCTGAAATTAAAAAAAATATATAAATAATTCTGAATTATTTTACTCTTAAGAGTACAAGTGCACATTGTCTTCTGTGAAGCATAATGGAGAACCCACACCAGCTCATAGACGGCAGCCAGCATTTTATAAATACCTCACGTTTTTAACTGGTCCTATCCTTATCATTATGGCAACAGTGGATACTATTAGTTTTTAACTAACGGTACTAACTAATAATAATTATAAGGAAAATTGCCAATGTTCTACACATACATATTTCACTGAATCCCCAAAAGAATAAGAGGTGCATTTTATAATTACCATCCCTTTTTACAATGCTGATGCTAAAATCTCAGGTCAAGTGCTTTATCAAAGTGGCTGAATTAGGACTTGAATTCCATATTTTGTTTTGATGCTACTCTGCTTTTAGGAAAGATTTTGAAGAGTGGGGAGGTCTCACTAGAAATACATTTCTAAAAGCCTTGAGAGTTTCTTTAGCTGTGAATTCCCAAAGCAGCTTAAAGAATTTTGCAAGAACTGAGCTGCTGATTCTTTTACGTCAGTTTGCCACCGAGATGATTTTCTTTCAGAGGAAAAACCGAAGATAGAACAGTAGTTTTCCACTCTGACCTTCCTGGCTGCCTTCACCCCACCCCATTTCATTCATGCTGCTCCTTAGGCAACAAAACAAATGGGACAAAGCTGTATATCCTTTCCTAAGATAAATTCATCAGGTGAGGGAGAAAGTTGATTTAGATTAACCATGTGTTGTGTAGGCAAGTTCAACGGAGAGAGAGATTACGTGAAAACCTAACAAGGACATAAGCACCACCTTCACCAAGCAGGACACGTGGACAAACAAGGACTCCCCAGAAGAACCAAGGGATAGACGAGCATCGCAGGAATAAAACCAGAATATCCAAATCATATTTGTGAAAAAATTACATTTTCTACTACGTTTTCTTATTTTTATATATTTAAAAAATTTTGCAATGTTCAGTCTCTTCTTGTTTTATAAAAAGTTGGTAAATATCCTTTTCATCATCTCAACTCTTGTCAGTTCATGGATGGTTTACTCAATTTCGCCTGTTAGTCTCACTTCATGGTATGCTGCCTGTACTTCTCATAAGAGAAAAACTCCAGCTCAGAATCAGATGCCCTCTAGAGAAAGGCTGGCTTGACTTTGTTGTGTGTCTGCAACAAATGACTTATTTTTTCAATAAAACCCTCAGTGTGGCTGGGTACCTATATGTTACCTTCTTTCTAAAGCGCCCAAGAGGCCACAGAGATCATTGTCAAAGTGAACTATTGAGCATTGCAGTGCTGGGCATCAGGGGAGCAAGACTTCGATGACAGGGGAAGAAGGTTTACAAGAGACCAGGGAGAGGAAAGGGAGATCAGCAGACAGCTGTCACTCCATGTCTCTTAAAGACACATTGGCAGTGAATATGAATGCTTGACAAAGAGGAAATTCAACACTGGAGGGACGACCCATAACTGCTATAACTCAATGCTTCCTGCATTTTTATACAACTTTGTTATTGTACAGGTTGTTAAATTGATACCTTAATTACATGCATTGTGGCCAAGTTATAGCTGTCATGAGAGGCATAAATCTGGTCTTTTCGACATGCTCTCAACCAGATCATTTTGTTAAAGATAGTTGTGGATACAATTTTGATGTCAAAAGGAGATATGCAATACAGAGATTTACTTCACCACTAAATGAGTACAACTGTTCTCTACCCTGCTGCTGATGGATGTGTTTTGTAAAAAGAGTGAAGTATAACCTGATGTCAAATTCTGAAGGAAATTTATATTGCAGAATTTTAAAATGAAGCTCTCTTTCTTGGCAAATTGAATAGGTAGTTTAAATTTATAGTCACTATTGCAAAGATTGAGTCAATTAGGACTTCTGAAAATTCATTAAAATATAGGCTTTGGGGATTTACAAATTATATATCTTTTAAATCTACCAAAGAATAAGGTTTTGGTCTTTGGGGTAAATCTATCTCTTATTGTTTTTCTACCAAATAATTGCAAGGTTTGATTTCCTTTGTGTTAAACCACAACTGATTTGTTCTATAATTTTATTCTCAGCACCTGTCATCAGTCATAGCTATCATAAATCTCCTCTTACGTACTTCAGTTTCAATCCACTCTTCTTAAACAAGGATGCACACAAGACTGTATGCAACTATTCTTGCCCAATATAGATGGAATATATTTGGTCTTTTGCTAAATTACTTTATGTTACTAAAAAATAAGTATAAGCTTGTGTGGTACATTTCGCTATTAGTTTGGAGTTTCAAACTTATTCTACAATCCTGGAAGCAAGAGCTTAAATGGAAAAACTCATCAAGAAATAATTTTAAAACTCTTTACTGGCTGGGCACCGTGGCTCACGCCTGTAATCCCAGCACTTTGGAAGGCTGAGGCAGGCGGATCACGAGGTCAGGAGATTGAGACCATCCTGGCTAACACGGTGAAACCCTGTCTCTACTAAAAATACAAAATATTAGCTGGGCGTGGTGGCGGGTGCCTGTAGTCCCAGCTACTTGGGAGGCTGAGGCAGGAGAATGGTGTGAACCCGGGAGGCAGAGCTTGCAGTGAGCCAAGATCTCGCCACTGCACTCCAGCCTGGGCGACAGAGTAAGACTCTGTCTCAAAAAAACAAAACAAAACAAAACAAAAAACCACACACACACACACACACACACACAAATCTCTTTACTTAAAGAAATGTATAGGACACTCTCATTCAGACATAAATGGAAATATCCTAAATAGTTATTTACATAAACCGATCTCTATGCCTTTCATTGGAGCTAAAAGCATAACTAGGCGTCCTTTACCTGAGTTGTGAAGGTATTAAAATGGAAAACTAAAAATATTTGTTGGAAGGATAAGCCTACTGGTTTGTTATATTGGTGAGGCAACTGAATGACAGGGACTGGGGTATGAAAGCAACTTTTTGTCAATATATACTTCTGTTGTACCTACCCATTTTGAATCATGTAAATGCTTCATCTAGTTACAAACAAAGCTTTTTAAATTGTTATTGGCAACATTTAAAATACTTTTAGACGTATAACCTATCTATCTTGGTAGGCATGGCTTGGAATTAAATTGCTGGAGGTTTCATGGGAGCGCAAGCAGGAAAGAGGTTCTACTTAAATTAGGGAGAGAAAAAAATTAGACTCTGAGCTAAATGGACGCTTAGGGACCATCTGGTATAAATCCTATATCTTTAAACTGAGACTTGGTAGGTTAAGTCACTTTTCCAAGTTCACACTGCTGGTAAGTGGCTGAGCTGGTCTTCTTCAAGTCCATGACTATAATTTCAAAGTGTGAGGTCTCTAATGATGAGCTTCATTCTTTGACTTTGAGCAATTAACTTCTGTAGGATTCTATTTTGTTATCTAGAAAATGAGAATGGTTACACCTAACTCACTAGGCATTTGTGAGAAACACATGTCAGTAAATGGAAAATAAGGAGCTGAACACTTAGCAGGGAGCTCTGGCATTGATTACTGGGATTTGCAGCAGTAGTTAAGCAGTAGCAGAAGCGGTTCAGTTATAGTAGAATTTGGGTGAGAAACCATGACTGAAATTCAGGCATTAATGCACAGCTGAATGCCCTTTCCAGTAAACCATGTTTTAATTTCCTCAAACAAAATGCATTATTTGTGGAAGATTGTTTATATAGTTTGGCAATATGGAATTTGGAGTTTCTGTATTTATTAAGAGCTTACATGCAATATTTTCCTCTGCATCTCATTTGTGGCTGCCTTTTTGAAAAAGAAAATGAAAACAACACACACGCATTTGGATTCAATTTCCGTATCTTCAGATGACTAGCCACATTATCGTCTGTCAGTCATTTTGATCCTACGAACCTTAAATTCTTCATCTATAAGAAAGGAATAAGATACTTCTCTACTTAAAGGATCATTGTAGGGATTAACATTATAAAATGAATTTGAACATACCTTTAATCTTAAGGTGCTTCACTTTCTGCTGCAAATGCAAAGGTTTTATCTGGTGAGTTGTCTGGCGGAGGAGCTGAGAATTGGTTTAGAGTCACAAAGATGGGGTTTCTAACACTGCATGCCTCTCCTGCAACTCTAGGAAACATCCTTATCTATTCTAAGCCTCAATGTCCAATATACTTCTTAGGGTTATTTCTGAAATCACAACAGATAGAGTATATAAAATGCCTGGCACACAGTTCATTTAAGAAATTTCAGCTATTTTAATTATTTTTAGTAGACCAGAGAAGAAAGAGCCACAATCGTTAGTGATATCAGAGTCTTAACCCTCTTAGCTGTATCCAGTGAAGAGTAAAATTACACTTTCACTCATCCCCAGTTTCTCTCCAGTACTTAAAATTGTTTTCTGAGGCTCAGAAGCATCAATATAGGTAATTCTTAACCATGAAAAATGGAATTTCAAAATTTTGCAAATTTATGACAATAAGCTAACCAGACTGCTGTAATCTGCTTCTCATAATAAAAATCAGAGGGCACCTTGTGCCCCCTGGAGGAGGGCATGAGAAGTGTTCTGGTCAGCCTTGTTCCTATGGTGATATAAGCATTTGAGCAGATGCCCTGGAGGCAGTTAGCAATCACTGTCATGTTGGCTAATAGTGTCAGGGTGACATCGATCCACACAGACAACTTTATTCATGTCTCCAGCCAAAACCCTAATCACTTTGCTGATTCTTCCTCAGTCAAACAGGTGGTGAATGACAGTCATTTAAAATCTCAGACTTTGAAAGTCAGTGTACTAGAGCTCAAAGAAAGATTGCAGAGGCAAGTTAGATACTCTCAGCTCATTATGGATTAAGTTGTCAGTTCTTGAGATTAGCTTTCTTTTTGTGTGTGAGTGTGTGCATGTGTGTGTGTGTATTGTGTGTTCTATATGTGTTTTGCAGTGGCAGGCACAGAGATACTATCTTAGATACCCCTTCAAGGAAGGACTTGCTACCTAGCAGTAAGCTATGTGGTCACCAGTTACCTTCCAGCTCTCAGTAACTTCAGAATCTGCCTCAGCTGCTAAAAGCTGCCTTGTCTAATCTCATATCCTTCCCAGGACAGCGACAGCCCATAGCTGAGCCAGGTGGAGTTATAAAGTCCTGCTCTAGGGCTGCCCACTGGGCTGTCTGAGGTCACTCCAGGCTTTTCCAAGCCTGTACTAGAGTTTAACTTCTGTACTCAATCCTGCTTCCCCCATTTCTTTTGCAGATATTGATCTCCAATCACCATTTTATACCTCAGACTTTCTTGCAGCACCTGGTCCCTGAGAACTAACTCCTGCAACATATAGGATTGAGGATAGCCCAAGATAGCAGGATGCAGTTTGGACCTAGATCACCCACAGCTCAGCAGGCAATGGGAAACTCATCACTGGTGGTAGGTAGAACACAGTCCCTGGCACAAGGTGGCTTTTGAACTGGTAAGAATTTGGCTTGTAAATTGAGAGGGTACCTAGTTGGAAGAGAATGTGCAGCTGGACATGAAGTTCTAGGCATTAAAATGTATAAGGAAAATAATAGCTATAAAGATATAACATTAGATGGTTATTGCTAAGCAACATTGCTCTTTACATAAAAATAACGAAGAGCTGAGGGAGTGAATTAGAAGTAAAAGACAGGTGCAAAAGAGAAGTCCTCTCTAATTGCATACAAAAAAGCCCTCATCTCTTCTAGCAGGGCCATACAGAAGCCACATGACAAAACTAAGGCTTATTAATCACAGTGGCTGAACTTCAAAGGGAGTTCAATGCATTGGTTTGTGACGTGTCCAGAAAGGTCATCCCTGACCCCTAATATTAGTTGTTATCATGTTTTCTTCTAACACTTTCATACTTTCATATTTTATGCTTAAACCTTGGCTCCATCTACAATTTATTTCCATTTATAAGGTTAGATCTATATAGTTTAAAATGTTGAACAAAACTGTTTTAGATTTAAGCCGTTTTAAACATAGCTATTGTGTTTTATTCATGTATTTTCAATAGACAGGACTCAGTTCTCAAGGCATCGTAAATGACTAAATAAATAAATAAATAAAAATGCCATAACAGTATTATCTTGGTGGTAGGAAATTTGGGATTTCCACCATTAGGTAAGTAGGATAATAGTTTTTAAAGAGAAAAATAAAAAATGATTGGGAAAGCTCTAAAGAGGTGTATATGTAATGTGTGATTCAATGAAAGTATTTAGAAAAAGGGAGGCATATAACCAAAGATGGCAATCCTTCAAATACAGAACCTTTGGCTTTTCTTTTAATTGTTTTAATCTTTTATATTATTTATCCATTTCTATTTTTCTTTGTTGTTATGAAATAACCAAAATCAGTCAGGAGCTCTCTGAGTGGCTGTACTTTCTGCTTGTATAAAAAGGGAAGATGCCCAACCCAGCTTTGCTTCCTGTTGGTTTATTTATTTTACTTATTATAGCTCTGGCAAATTAACAATTAGTGATCATTATTATATTGTTATTGAGTAGTTGAGTAGTGTATTGAGTAGTTTTTATCATGCTAAAGAAAACATAACAGTTATCCAAGAGAGAAGGTTTTCTGTGATGCCATATTGGAAAAAAAAAAAGTTAACAAGTAAATCTTTATATAATTCTGGGTCCATGGAATTAACACTATCTTCAAAATGGCTTTATATAACAAGCAGAAGTGATCTTCATATGATTAGTTCTGGGATCAAACTTCTGTAAAATAAATAATGTATACTATTACAATAAGTTACTAAATATATTTCAGAAAGGTGACCCATCTGTTGAGATGAGGCTGATTGTGTACTTTCCTGTTATTCTGAGTTCATAAAAGGATAAAGTTAAATATATTTTATGTATATGTATATGTGTATGTATATATGTACATACATAATTCATAGTTACATACTTGCTTATTGTTGATAGATAATTATCCATGGGCATCTACCATTTTAACATATTTTGTGAGCAGAGACACTGAATGCCTTTGTTGCCTTTGCTTTGGCAATTTTTTCTTTTCTTTTCTTTTTTTGTTTTTTTTAGAGAGAGGGTCTTGCTCTGTTGCCCAGAGTGCAGGGACAGGGGCAGGATCATGGCTCAATGAAGCCTCAATCTCCTAGGCTCAAGCAATCTTCCCACCTCAGCCTCCCAAGTAGCTGGGACTATAGGTGTGAGCTGTCATGCTCAGCTAATCTGATTTTTTGTAGAGACACAGTCTCACTATATTGCCAAGGCTGGTCTCAAACTCCTGGTCTCAAGCAATTCTCTCACCTCAGCCTTACAAAGTTCTGGGAATATAGGTGTGAGTCACCCCCACCTGGTCTTGTTCCGGCAATTTCTTCAGGGAAGTGTATATAGCAAAAAGTACTGAAGATGGAGATATTATCTCCTTTTGGAAACAAGCAGAAAGGCATGCTTACATCATTATAAACATTTAGTTCCCTAAGCTCTGGGTGTCTCTGCTGTATGCAACCCACTGAAAATGCCATCTGTTCCACTGTTTGTCACCCTGTCATAATTGGGGCTTAGGGAACCAGTGGAAGAAAACATGAATACTCTGGCTACTGCTTTTGCTTTGACTAATAAAGCCCTTGTTTACTGCCCTGGAGTTTCATGTCTACTGCTTGCATCTACAAAATTGTGATAGAGTAACTTACTAGCTTGAAAATAGGGTAAAATCTCACACTCTTCACCCATTCTTGACAATTATTTATTTAGATAAAGAATTCTGAGTAGATGACACATCTTTTACGTGTTATTTTTTAAAAAACGAAATTGTTCTTTTCTCATAGGTGCTGAAAAACAATCAAGATAAAATTGACATTTTGTTATGAAGATGAAGAAGCTAGATTTATCTTTTTCATGTAAGAGAGCATTTTTCTTCTCTGCTGAGGTCTAAGCAGAGTTACCTGCAGGTTGGGTTAACAGGCACCTCCAATGGCAATTTTAGAGCCAATACAAGACCCTAAAATCTTAGGTACTAGATTAGCCAAGGTTTTCTAGAGAAACAGAACCAGTAGGATATATGAATATATGTGTGAATAGATAGATATGTGTGTATGTATATGTGTATATATAACACACACATATCTATCTATTCACACATATACATACATATATACATACATATATGTATATATGATATATATCATGTATATATGATGTATATATACATATATACGTACACACATATCTATATATTCATACATATATTCATATATCCTACTGGCTTATATATATAAATTATATACGTATATAAATTATATATATAAATTATATACGTATATAAATTATATACATATATAAATTACATATATAAATTATATACATATATAAATTACATATATAAATTATATACATATATAAATTACATATATAAATTATATACATATAAATTACATATATAAATTATATACATATATAAATTATATAGATAAATTATATACATATATAAATTATATAGATAAATTATATAGATAAATTATATACATATATAAATTATATAGATAAATTATATAGATAAAGTATATACATATATAAATTATATATGATATATAATTTTTATTTAATTATAAATTTATTTATAATTGAATTTATAATAAATTAATTTAATTATAATTTTATTTGATTTTTATTTAATTATATAATTTTATACATATATAAATTATATATATAAATCCAATATATATATATCTCTCTCTCTCTTAGAGAGATCTTAGATCTCTCTCTGAGAGAGAGAGAGAGAGAGAGAGAGAGAGAGAGAGAGAGAGAGATCTATCTATCTTAAGGAATTGGCTCATATGATTATGGAGGTTACCAAGTCCAAAATCTGCAGAGTAGGCTATCTGCTGGAGATTCAGGGATGAGCTGATCATGCAGTTCAAATCTGAAGATCATTTGTGGGAAGATTTTCTTCCCGCTCAGGGTAGGTCGCTCTTGTTTTATGAAAGCCATCAAGTGAGTGGATGAGGCCCACACGCATTTTGGAGGGAAATCGACTTTACTCAAAACTCACTGATTTAAATCTTAATTTCATCCAAAAAAAAAACACTCTCATCAAAAGGTTCAGAATAATATTTAACCAAATATTTGGGCACTGTGGCCCACCTATTGGGCAATAAAAGTAATAATCAGTGGTACCATTGTATAATAAATACATGGCAGTCACTGCAAATCAATAAAAAAAATTCAACGATCTAATAATTTTGGAACATATTCTATAGAAATTTCTCTTCCTTGATACATACAATGCATATTAATCTATTAAGTGTTCTGAAAAATCTATAGTAAACCCATTAAACTTTCTTGGACTAAAAAGCAAACTTCTTTGATCATATAACGCTCTTTGGGGCAACATCTATTAACAATGAATGAGACTAGCATTCGATAAGGCACTCTTTATTAAATACTGTGTTAGTTCATTTAGTATTGGTGTAAAGAATACCCAAGGCTGGGTAATTTATAAAGAAGAGAAGTTTATTTGCCTTGTGGTTCTGCAGGTTGTACAAGAAGCATGGTACCAGCCTCTGTTTCTGGTGAGTGCCTCAGGACCCTTACAATACTGGTGGAAAACAAAGGGGAACAGGCATGTAGAGATCACATGTTGAGGAAATACGAACGAGAGAGGAGGGAGGTGCCAGGCTCTCTTTAACAACCAGCTCCCACAGAAACTCAAAGAGCCAGAACTCACTCACTCCCTTCCTAAGAGAGCATTGATCTAGTCATGTGGAATCCACTCCCCTGACCCAAATACCTCTCAATAGGCCCCACCTCCAACACTGGGGATCACATTTCAACATGAGATTTGGAGGGGATGAATATCCAAACTATAGCAAACACTCCTGTGGAATATGACAGAGCTGATATTTTTCAACTGTGAAACCCCAAGGTTTTACTCACCTTGATTGTTTTAGAACTTTGTAATGGAAGTTATTGAATATTTACTCATCTATCCAATATTTTATTAAGGCTCGCCTACGTTAGCTTCCTATTTCAACATTAGGAAGTAAAGGTAATTTTTGAAGGGGACTTGCACTGTGTTACACATTCTTAGCCTAAATTTATCTTCTCTGTATGTTTTGCATTTTTCAAGCCTTTTTAAAAAATGAACATGCATTTTAGACTACCTGCAAATAATGTTACTTTTAGAAGCTTAGAGTCTACAACAAAGCTCCACACATGTTTTCTAGAAAAAGCCTGATAGTAAATATTTTAGGTTTTGCTGGCCATGTGTCTCAACTAGTTAACTCTGCCATATACAATATGTAAGTAAATGGATGTGGCTGTGTTCCAATAAAATTTTATTTACAAAAAGAGGCAATAGATAGGATTTGGCCCAAAGGCCATTATTTACTAATCCTCTATCTAGAATAGTGCTTTCGAGAAATAAGAGAAATAAAGTGAGCTATGAATGGAAAACCAAATAATTTTAAATTTTCTAGTAGCTCTATTAAAAAGTAAAAGGAAGCATACAAAATTAATTTTAGTAATATATTTTATTTAATCCAATATATGTCAGCATTTAAGTATGTAATCAATATATGCACCATTAATGTGACATTTTGCAGTCTTTCTTTTCTAAAAATCTTTGATACCCAGTGTGTATTTTATACTTTCACTATACCTCAAGCAAGAATAACCACATTTCAAGTATGCAACAACCACACATAACTAGTGACTATCATATTGTACATTTTGTCTATATTTTTCATATCTCTGAATGTTATTTATTTTTCTAATAAGAAATATTCTTATTACTTTTCTCCTAAGACAGAAGCAAACGTTAATAAAAATTTCAAATACTGTAAATAACTTCAACTTTGATCATTCTCATGACTACCAAGACATATAGGTCATATGTCTAAAAGTATTTTAAATGTTGCCAATAACAATTCAAAGGCTTCATTTATAACTAAATGATTCATTCATATGATTCAAAATGTATAAGTACAACAGAGGTACACAACAAAAAGTTTCTTTCACACCCAGTCCCTGTCATTCAGTTGCCTCACCAATATAATCAACCGGAAAATGTATTCTTCCAAAAATATTTTTGGTTTTCCATTTTAATAGATTTATAGCTCTGGTAAAGAACACCTAGCTATATTTTCTGGCCAGGTGCGGTGGCTCAAGCCAGTAATCCCAACACTTTGAAAGGCCAAGGCAGGTGGATCAGCGAGATCAGGAATTCAAGACCAGCCTGGCCAATAGAGTGAAACCCCATCTCTACTAAAAATACAAAAATTAAACAGGAGTGGTGGCAGCTGCCTGTAGTCCCAGCTACTTGGGAGGCCGAGGCAGGAGAATCACTTGAACCTGGGAGTTGGAGGTTACAGTGAGCCGAGATCGCACCACTGCACTCCAGCCTAGGCGACACAGCAAGACTTTGTCTCAAAAAAAAAAAAAAACAAAAACAAAAACCACCTAGTTATGTTTTCAGTTCTGATGGGAAACATAGAGACTAGTTTATGTAAATAAATATTTAGGATATTTTCATTTATGTCTGAATGAGAATATTCTAAATTTTTAACTAAAGAATTTTAAAACTACTTGATGAGTTTCCACATGTAAATTCTTGCTTGCACAAAATATAGCTCCAGGATTATAGAATAAATTTGAAATTGAAAACTGATAGTAATATACACCACACAAACTTACATTTATTTTTTAACAGTTAAAAGTAATTTAGCAGAAGAACAAATACATTCTATGTATATTGGGCAATAGTTGCATATATTCCTGTGTGTATCTTTGTTTAAGAACAGTGGCTTGAATTTGAAGTACATAACAGGAGATTTATGATAGGTAAGACTGATGATAAGTGCTGAAAATAAAATTATGAGACAAATCAGTTGTGGTTTAACACAAAGGAAATCAAACCTTGCAATTATTTGGTAGAAAAACAATAAGAGATCCATTTACCCCAAAGACCAAAACCTTACTTATTTAATAGACTTAATAGATATATACTTTTAATCCCCAAAGACTATGTCTTAATGACTTTTCAAACTATACAAGCAAATCTTCCACAAATAATGAATTTTTTATTTGAGGAAATTAAAACACAGTTTATGGGAAAGGGCATTCAGCTGTGTATTAATGCCTCGATTTCAGGCACGATTTTTCTCCCAAATTCTACCATCACTGAACTGTTTCTGCTACTGCTTAACTACTACTGCAAACCCAGTAATCAATTGCAGAGTTCCTTGCTAAGCATTCAGCTCCTTCTTTTTCACATACTAACATGTGCTCCCCACAAATGCCTAGTGAGTTAGGTATGATCATTCCCATTTTCTAGATAACAGAATAGAACCCTACAGGAGTTCATTGGTCAAAGCCAAAGAATGAGTCTAGTCATTAAAGACTCCATGCTTTGAAATCATGGTCATGGATCTGAAGACCAACTCAGTCCCTTGGCAGCTGTGTGAACTTAGAAAAGTGACTTAACTTACCAAGTCTCAGTTTGAAATTGTGGGATTGGTACCAGATGGTCCCTAAGCACCTGATATAGTTTGGCTGTGTTCCCACCCAAATCTCAACTTGAATTGTATCTCCCAGAATTCCCACGTGTTGTGGGAGGGACCCAGGGTGGGTAATTTAATCATGGGGGCCAGTCTTTCCCTTGCTATTCTCCTGATAGTGCTTTAAGTCTCACGAGATCTGATGGGTTCATCAGGGGTTTCCACTTTTGCTTCTTCCTCATTTTTTCTCTTGCCTCAGATGTAAGAAGTACCTTTCGCCTCCCGCCGTGATTCTGAGGCCTCCCCAGCCATGTGGAACTGTAAGTCCAATTAAACCTCTTTTCGTTCCCAGTTTCGGGTATGTCTTTATCAGCCGCATGAAAACGAACAAAATGTATGCAATTCAAAGTCTGACTTTTTCGTTTTGGGGTTTTTGTTTGTTTGTTTGTTTTCTTATCTGGGAGACCCTGCCTCCTGCTTGGCTCCCGTGAAACCTCCAGCAATTTAATCACAACTCACACCACCTGTGGTTGCCTCAAAAATTAGCCTCAATGCCACTAAATTCCATGTCCCATAATGTGAATCCCTACTCCTAGAGTTACCCATAATGAGCCTAATGGCAATCGAAATTAACCTAACTGTCCATGAGTACCTGGTGGTGGTGTGGAAGTAATAAAGTTTTCTGAGTGAGGGCAGTGGG
Source organism: Homo sapiens (assembly GCF_000001405.40). Classification (NCBI taxonomy): domain Eukaryota; kingdom Metazoa; phylum Chordata; class Mammalia; order Primates; family Hominidae; genus Homo; species Homo sapiens. Next base: position 87,058,692 of record NC_000014.9, read on the forward strand.
TGGAGTGTTACTCTCCCACATATTTGGTCGCTATCTTCCAAGCTCCATCAGCCGCCTATATCCATTCTTGTATATCCTTGAGCCCAACAGCATTTTTGTCACTTTTTTTTTTAAATCAGCTTTAAGCTTCATTTTCTGTTAAATGTGCTGCAGAAAACCTTGTAAGTGGATTAAGAAGCCAAAGAAAAGACAGAGAAAGAAAACCCATTTGAGATCATTGATTACTGTGAATTATTTCCTTTCTGCTTTTGATAAAACTCATAAAATTATTTCAAAACAACAAGACTTAAAATGTAATTTATCTTTTGATTACTAACAGGCAGAGCCTTGAGTTCAGTGAACTTTCACTGTAAAAAATGGATTTTGAGCCATTGTAATCTCTCATCATGAGAAGGACTTACATGTATGTATTAGAGATAAAAAAATAGAAAAATCTTTCAAAAATATACTGTATTCCAAAATTCTAAAGCAATCTCCAAAGTAAATTCTCAGTATATTGAAAAGGGCTTGAACTTTCAAGTCAGAGTGAGGTTTGAGCCTCTAACACTCAGTAATGTGTGACCTTGGGTAAGTTACTCAACCTCTCTGAGCGTCTCCAGTGACATAAAAATAATAATATTTACAATAAATATTTTCATGGAGATTAAATGAGATAAAATTTAAAAAGTGTCTCACACGGAATATCATACAATGAAGCCCCTAATAATTGCTGGTTTCCTTTATTAAAGAGACAAGTAAAATCTAACTTCTGGTTACTCTTTCCTAGTGAATGAGAACTGAAGGGTGATATTTATGTTGAAAAGAATAATACTCGTGGTTGGCCTTGAGCAAACTGGGAGTTGTGCTTTCTATCCACTTAGAATTGCCTGTGCCAGGAATTACTGGACAGATGCATTTGACATGAGAACTTTCATACCTGAGCCACTGCCCAGAAATTGTGGCACTACTTCTGGGAAGTTTTGCAAACGCTTTGAACTTATTTGCCAAAGTTCTTTGCATTCTGTACTGCTAGGCCCCTCTGCACATCCATGATTTGGCTGAAGCTGATGCTGACTGTGCCAGCATATTTTCAACCTGATCAAGGCATGGAGCCCTGAAAATTTCATGAGATTCTGTTTTCGTGGGATTTCCAGATTTATACCAAGCTTTACAGATCCCCAAAGTATGCATAATTCAGAAACAAAAATAAGAAAGGGCCTAACAACTCAGACACAACACTTAATATGCTTAATTCAGGTTGAATTAGGACTCATTTGGGACTGTGAATTTTTATTTCACCTTTAGTGGAGAAAAACTTTTATCATTTTACAAGATGTGTTTTTCAAATTTAACAACAGTAGAAAGTTTCTAGAAGCTGGAATAATAATACTTCGCAACACTAATAAAGACTTAGAGTTAAGTCCTAGATGGATCCAAACTAGGTATGTGTTCTCCTGGATTAAACAATAAATTTGCTTGCTTTTATGCCTTCTTAATGGAGTACTATCCAATGGATCCTCTTTAGATTCTTAGCAATTATCAGGTATCTGTTGAATGAGGCACAGTTCCTTATTTCCTTGTCCGTTGTTTTAATGCAGTTGTATACAGTATATTCAACCACCAATAATAATACACTTCACAGTTGCTCTTCATTAGTCACTTCTGGAAGAATTTTTTCTACTCAACTATATTGATTATGTAACAACCAATCCATTTCCTCCTTTTAAATCAGACATATAAGTTTCGATCATAGTTTCTGTGCAACATGAGGCGTCTAACATGCCACATTGATCTGATTCATTCCAAGCAAAAGGAAAGAAACATGGTGATTTAGCTAACCTAGGGCAACTGTAATGTAGAAAAAGGTTCAGTTTCTGTCGCACTTCTAAAAATCCTGAAAAAAAAACCTGTTTGATTTTCTTTGCTATGATGAGTTTCCTGGCTGAGAACCATCATTTTATTAATTCCGTCATCTGTTCATTCATTCAGCAAACCATTTTTGAGCATGTATCCTGTACTACATGCCAGATAAAGACACGATATATCCATTATTTTATGCCTTTGTCAGTATAGATCAGGTAAAACTATTGACGGGTCAATCAATATAAGGATTCAAAGAAATTGGCTTAATCCTTATGAAAGTAGAATGTTCTTTGACTCAGTAAACATACCTAAAAGTTAATATATATTGTTGGCATTGATTTCTCCTACTCTTGCATCCTCACCCTAGGTGAAAAGAAAAAAACTAAGTTTGTTCACCAGTGTTTTTTTTTTAATATAAACCTATGCAAAAAGGGATAAATAAGACTGGTATGGGTCAGACTAGTCTCACATAAAACCGTAAAAGGAAGAGACTAACATGATATAAGAGACACGTCTTCTGCTTTACTTGTGTTTCTCATGATCGGTTTACTCAGTTCTCATGGTCAATATGTTGTCCTCTAAAATTCTTCTTATATTAAACAAGAAAGGGGATAAAAAATGGATTATATGCCATTAGAAGGTTAAAATGGAAAGATGTTGTTTTTCTAGCAAATGTTAGAAAGATGGTGAACTCTTTTCCATTGGCATTGATTAGTTGATCACATCTGGCCTTGGGGATCTGGGAAACAAGGCTTTAGCATTTGTAATGAATAGTCCGGATCATCTAGGGGAAGAAAGCCAAGATTTTGAGCCGATAGACCTACATTTGGGTTTCAACTGCATCTATTATTAGCTTCATAACTGAGCAAGTCATTCAATCACTTTAAGACTAGGAACCCTCATCTATAAGATGGGATGATACAAATATCTATTCTATTCCCGTCTCAGACTCAAAGCATCAGAAGCATTACCATGTCAATATTGACAAACTTTAAAGGTTCACTTAAAGAAGAAAAAATAAATTCCCATTCAAGCACCCAAGGAAGGGCAAAATGAGTAGAGAGAAGATAGAAGATTTTTTAAATCAGAGTAACACTAAGTGCTGAAACAGGTAAATCTGGAAAGCTCAAAACCTTGACACAATATAATTGCAAGTACAACTGAAAGAAATTCTGGAGAGAGATCCTTTGGAATCTTGGAAGGGTGACTCTGCTCAAAGTGGTATTAGTGACCCTTGTAACCATGAAGGTCTGTGATTAATTCTCTGTATTTGGCTAACCAGAGAGCAGAAAGAGAATCTCAATGAGAAAAAAAATCTCATTGGGAACTTGGGGCTAGACTTGGAAGTGGTATATAACCACTTTCCCACTTTCTGCTTTCTGGAATTAATCCTGCAAACGCACCAAGATTGTGATTTTCTTCTTCCCATGTGCTTATCAGAAAATGAGAAAAAATAGTGAATGCATGGCATCCAGTGAATTATAAAAGCCTCCTTGAAAGAGAAGACATACGAAAGGTATCCAGAAATATTTATGAGGACAAATGAGTGATAAAGAATTAAATTCCTAAATCATAGATCACAGAACATTGTTCTTATTCTGAGGTCTCTGGATGTCTAGATATTGATAATAACAGCCTCCAGAACATTCAAGTTATTAAGGAAAACATATGCTACTAATTAGAAAGTAAAACAGCACAGTATATCTAAGTATCAAATATATAATTAAACAAGGCAATTTAACATCATTTGGAAGTTACTGCTTTTATTGTACACTCAGTTGTTTTTGTATTTTATTAATGTAATATTAGAGGGTGACTTAATGTTTTTCTTATATATAATTTGTTTGGTTGACAAGAACTTTCAAATACAGAATCCTTTGAGGAAAGTACATCCTAAAAGGATTGTAAAGCAGTGGTGAATGATCACCCTACATATAATCACTAGACTCAATATGTATTGTGAGAAGTCAAATTTGAAATAAGCAAAAGGTCTTTTGTGGGTGGCCCTTCACCAATCCCTCTAGCCATAGTCTTCAAAGATTGATTGAAATTTGTGGGTGGATCTTTGGCATTGTCAAAATCAACCATGGCATCAACAGAAACAATCATGTTCTTAATGGCCATGACTTACACCCTGACTACATGACCCTTTTTCCAAAATCAGCCAAGCAACTAGCAGGTTCTGAAAATGAGTGTAGTAGTCTGTTTTCACACTGCTGTAAAGAAATACCAGAGACTGGGTAATTGATAAAGAAAATAAGTTTAATTTACTTACAGTTCTGCATGGCTGACTCCCCAGGAAATTTACAATCGTGGCAGAAACTTACAATCATGGCGAAAGGTGTGGTGAAAGCAAGGTACATCTTCCCATGGTGGAGCAGGGGAGCGAGACAAGTGAAGGGCAAAGTGCCACACAGCTTTAAACCACCAGATCTCATGAGAACTCACTCACTATCATGAGAACAGCAAGGGGGAAATTTGCCCCCAAGATATAATCACTGCCACCAGGCCCCTCCCCTGATATGTGGGGATTATAGTTCTACATGAGAATTGAGTGGGGACACAGAGCCAAACCATATCAATGAGGCTCTGCAGTTATTCCCCAGTCCTGTTCAGTGATGCCCATATAAATGTATGGGCATGATAAACTCAAAGTTTTCATTTTATATTTAAAAAAACCAGAAGTTAATACAAGAAACGTGCTTTCTATTTAAAAGAAAAAAAAATGATTTTTGGTGTTCTAGCCCAAATTTTTCATACTGCATTATATGTATAAGCCTCAGGAAGTTGTTCATCACTTATTGGCCCACATAATGTCTAAATTCTAGACTGAGACAAGTTATGACTTGTATCACTGTTTCAGAAACATGAGTGAATAAGAAAAGAAAAATAACTCAAGGAACAAAACAAGACAAAGAAAGAGGACTCAAAAAAGTCTGTGTGTGTGTGTGTGTGTGTGTGTGTGTGTGTGTAATTATCATAATCCAAACTTATATTACTTTTGCTCTTTAAAGGAAGGTTCAGTCTTTATTTAGTAAAGTAGACCAAATGTGTCCATGTTAGCATCTCTTTTACTTTGGAAATGGAAGTGGGTCAGAAGCTCCCTCTGAGGCGGAAGTTGAAAATCTGTAGCTTATGACCATTAGATGAGCTTTTTATTTGCCCACATTCCAATCAGTTGCCAAAAATAAAACTAAGAAGACTGCACAGAAAAAAAAAATCTGCATTGGGCACTTTTTTTTTTTTTTTTTTTTTTTTGGAGACGGAGTCTTGCTCTGTCTCCCAGGCTGGAGTGCAGTGGCGCGATCTCGGCTCGCTGCAACCTCCGCCTCCTGGGTTCGAGTGATTCTCCTGCCTCAGCAACCCCCGTCCCAAATAGCTGGGACTACAAGTGCACACCACCACACCCGGCTGATTTTTGTATTTTTAGGAGAGACGGGGTTTCACCATATTGGGCAGGCTGGTCTCGAACTCCTGACCTAATGATCCGCCCTCCTCAGCCTCCCAAAGTGCTGGGATTACAGGCACGAGCCACCGTGCTCAGCTGCATTGCCCTCTTCTGTTGAAAAATGATCTAAGAACTGAGTCAACATTTCTGGAACTGATGGCAGGAGAAATTCTTACTATGGATATATACCCTGCAGTTCACCAGAGGCTCCAGCACTCCTCAATACTTTACCTAACATCACCAAGCACTATCACCTCCCTGCTCTTAGCTACTGATGTGCCACATTCTTGGTGCCTAGAGGCTTCTGAGTTTGTGATCCCTTTCCAAAACACTTTACCTTCCATCTCTGTGGCTTTATACAAATGAATTCTACTCTCAGTGTTCCCATCCGACAAATGCATGTGATTAGCTCTATTTTATAGCATTGCTTCTTTGATGATATAACATCATATGTGAAGGGCTTTGTGCAGATTCTGGTGCATATGATGCATAAGTAAACCCTGTACCCATTCCAAAATTTCAGTAAATATTATGGAAGAATTAAGCTGCTGCAATTTTCATAGTACTTAGCAACATTTTAGCAATGACTCTGTTCTAATTGACTGTAGATTATCCATCAGATTTATATAGATCAAAAAGTAATTATAATAACAATAGCCAACATTTATCAAGTACATGTAGTGTGCCAGAAACTTTGTTTAAACACAGAAACATTTTTAAATGTTAAATCATGTGCCTGTTTTTATGTGTCTTAGAAAAAATATATGTAATACATCCCCTCTATGATTTCCCTGATATTCTTGCATTGATAAAAACAGAGCAGAGCTGGGTAAGGAGGTGGATGAGATCACTGAGTTCATTTAAAGTCTACCTGTGTTAGTCCGTTTTCACATTGCTATAAAGAACTACCTGAGACTGGGTAATTTATAAAGAAAAGAGGTTTAATTGACTCACAGTTCTACATGCCTGATGAGGCCTCAGGAAACTTATAATCATGGTGAAAGAGGAAGGAGGAGCAAGCACCTTCTTCACAAGGCTTCAGGAGAGAGAGCCAGAGGAGGGGGGACGTGTCACACTTTTAAATCATCAGATCTTGTGAGAACTCACTAACATGAGAACAGCATGGGGGATACATGGGGATTACAATTCGACATGAGATTTGGGTGAAGACACAGAGCCAAACCATATCACTACCTAAGTAAAAAGTCACATAAATAAATATGTGACAGACCTGCAATTGGATGTAACAAAAATATGGTGATTATTATCTAATAAATAATCACTCCAAAATACCAGTTTAGGAGGTTAATATCTAACCAGCTCCAATTCTTAGCCTCAACAGATGCTAACACAAAGAGGTGTCTCTCTCATATCCAATACTTGCACACTAATGGCCAAGCTGTCATGGTCTCAGCTTCTCCCTTGTAAGCATATTTCTCTTGTGGCCTTTCTTTGGTCAGTGCTGCTTTACAGTGAGAATGTTACCTGTTTCTTCCAGGAGACTGCACACCTGTTTCTGCCAGAAGACAGGTGGCTTTAGAAGGCAAATGGGTCTGGTTCCTATGACATTTTGTTGAACAATGAATCATGCAAAACAAAATCCTTTATGGCTCGTGAAGCCGGGCTAATAAGGCAGATGTCCTCTAAACAGTTCCTTGGGGCCTAAAATGCAAATATTAATGTGCTGATGATCACTGAACCCTAGTTTTAGTAACTGGTTTTATCTTCATTATCTCCTATTATTCTCTGTGAAAAAAAAATCCATTCTCAGCTAATGATGGATAGAATACAACTGATATCAAAAGGTTTATATGGCCTCACTATCAATAAATGGAATCAAATCTCTCTTAAGTGGTAATGATATTCCAGAAAGGGCAACAGATAGTAAGACCATGGCAATAGAACATTCGGTGATGATTCCTTCACATGAAAACTTATTATCATTGCTAATTGGTCATTGCTACCTATTATTTTAGGCATATTGGATATGTTTTCTTATAAATGTAACAACTCTAGCTTACTTACTTCAAGAGAAAATCTTTACTGGCAGTACACATGATTAAACTATGCAATAGGGCACCATCGTTCAACTTAAACAATACTAAAGAACGTTATTATGTCAAATGGCCTGATTAAAAGGCCATTTTAATTTCTACTCAATAACACTAAATCCAAAAACAAGTTTTGACTATGAGAATATCAACTTTTTGCCAATCTTATTCCTGATTATTTTCATTTTACTTTTGTTTTCCCTCAATTTTCTAGTGTGTTCTGGAATTGTATTCTGGTAAAGCTATGATATTCATATATGAATTACTTAATACTTCTAATCATAAATAACTTGTCCATATAATAAAAACACTAGTAGGAAAGAGTAATTGGAAGTAGCAATGGAAAGGTTAGACTCTGGCAATGGTGTGTAAGTTTGCTGCCATCTATAGGCTGGCAGTAAAGTTCAAGGCCAAAAGGAACCTTGACCAGGTTTACCCACATTGTTAATACAAGAATCATATGTTTCCTGACAACTAAGAATCCTGGGATTTTCAGGAGAATGGGTAGTCAGCATAATTTTGCTTAATTTCTCTCTACGTAATTTATGAAAACTTGGCTGAAGACTTGAGTGGAATTTGCACGTAAAGTAATATTAGAATAGGCAGTTCTTTTAATAAAATATATTTTCTTTCATTTGGAGATCAGTAAGTTTTTTTTTAAAAAAAGCAAAAATGGAAATGAAGTATTAGGACACATTTATGCTTTTCACTTGAGATAAATGTGGAAGTCATACATAATTTACTATTTGCCATCTCATATTCTCTAGCCAGTAATGAAACTGTCTCCTTTACCTTTATGTATCATTGTTTTTTCCTAAAAATCGGAGTCATGCCTAGTATCTACAACCCCTGAATAAGATGAATTTTTAAAACACTGTTTTGAAACCATGTACATGTATTTATTCACAGATTTTTCTTTTTGGCATAAATACCCAAGCCTCTGTGAATTCAGGTTTTGACAAGAGCGCTGACCTGTACGGGTTTTTGCAAAACATTCATCCTTTATCACTCTTCTGCCTCTGGACTTAAGAGCTAGTGTGGGGCCCTGTGCAGAGCTCCCCAGAGGCAATGCCTGCGGAAAAGAAGGCCAACCTGGTTATGGCCCAGACACCATTTCTTCAAATATTCAAAATGCAGTGTACTTGGACATTGCAGTGCTACAGGTCTTGCTAGAGGCTTGCTGAGGGGCCTAACAGCCGTTGCCACCACAGGTGGCTTCCAAAGACGTATGGGAGAAAGAACACAAATCAGTTGCTAATCATTCTGTTTCACTTCTGCTGTTAACACGTGTCTGAAAGTCTCTCCCAGCCTTGTTTCACTGCCCTGGATTGGAAATGCAGATGTTCAAGACTTATCTCCTTAGCAAGATTGTCAACCACTACTTAAGAATAGAGCTTTGTGCCTCTCATAATCAGACCTGCAGTGTTTTGCACTTATTAGAATCAATAAGTAGTTACCAAATAACTGAAAAGACTAAGAAGCTAAAAACTACTGCTGTGAATTAAAATGTAAAACATGCAGGTTTAGCCCTGGTAAAGAACTAGAGATGGATTCTCTCTACCCATCTCCCCCAGCCTATGCAAAAGTTAAAAAAAACTTCAAATTCTTGCTAATTAAAAGGCTATGATCTGGACGGGCGTGGTGGCTCAGGCCTGTAATCCCATCACTTTGGGAGGCTGAGAGGCGGGTGAATCATGAGGTCAGGCATTTGAGACCAGCCTGGCCAACATAGTGAAACCGCGTCTCTACTAAAAATACAAAAAATTAGTGAGGCATGGCGGCAGGCGCCTGTAATCCCAGCTATTCGGGAGGCTGAATTGCTTGATCCTGGGAGGCAGAGGTTGCCGTGAGCAGAGATCGTGTCACTGGACTCCAGCCCGGGCAACAGTATGAGACTCTGTCTCAAAAAAAAAAAAAAAAATGCTATATCTGCCCAACCCTTTTCCTTTGCATCTTCTTTGAGTTTCTCCCCCAGGCTCTTAGTCCTTGTCCTACATCTATATAACTATAGTAACAATGACTGATATTAATTGAAAGTTTCTTTATGTTCCTAAAACTGTACTAGTTCTCAAAACGCTAGAAGGAACATCCTAGAGTATGCTTTATTCCATCTAATTCAGTCTGCACGTAACCCACAGTATGAGCAGTGACTGAATCCCATATTCAAGTTGTGCCTTGGACTCTGTGCCTAATTCTCACCTACACGATTCTGCTGTAGAAAGATCACTGGCCCAGAAGTCAGAGGATATAAGCCTAGTCCCAGTTCTTCCAATTATGAAATATGGAGTGAGTAAGACACTTAACTTCACTAAGCCTCAGTTTCCCTGTATATATAAAAGTCCTAATGCTTTTTAAAAATATTTTTTTGTTTTGCAGATTGTGTAATACTATTAAATAATTTATTTGAAAGCTCTTGACGTTTTAATACTATTATTTAATGTTGATATGGCATTTTTCCTTTATTAGTCTTATTTAATAATTACTATTATCATATATGGCATTTTTCCTTTATTAGTCTTATTTAATAATTACTATTATCATATATGGAGAGAATATTAGTTTTTGTTGGCTTGTTTGTTTTTAATCACTTATACCTTAAAACTTTTTAAAGAACAAAAAAAGGGTACAAGTAAAGTAATAAAATGATTTCAACTTTTTAGGAAAATAGATCTATACTAAATGAAATCATAAGATTAAAGAGATGTAAAATATCTTTAAAATTTACTCACCTGGTAAGAAAAACATAGCGAACAATGCAGATAAGTTACTATAGTTAATTACTGAAAGATTGAATTACAAAAAAATATGCTGATGTTAATTTGGAAGTTGAAAGTTGTCTGCTAACACAGAATGATGCAAATGACATTAGTATTGGGTTTGAATTATTCAGATAACTTTTTCAATTTTTCATCTTATTTTGCCTTTAAAAATCACACTGTACCCCATAAATAAGTACAACTATTATGTGTCAATTAAAAACAAAATAAAACCTAAAAAAACTCTTTGAATCATCAAGTGTTAGCTATTCAGTAACAATAGATAGCAAAAAAGTTTTTTAATGTGCCAATGTATGTGATGCAGTGTGTGAACTATAAGCTCCTATGTAAGTACATATAGATTGATAGTTATTGCTACCAGATTAATACTGGAAATCAATGGGGTGATGGGTGTTACAGGCAGATCACCCTCACAACGTGATTACACTCACCCTCCCGGGGCCCTCTGACCACCCAGTTTCCAAGAGTCTTCCTTGATTGAATTAGCCCAAGTCTCAGTACTTTCTGCTTTTTTGGACCTCAGCTGTAGTGTCTTTAATGTTCCCTAATTTGCTTCAAATATTCCCGTTTTCTATGACTTGCTTATTGAGGTCAAGGAGGTTTTTTTTTTTTTTTTTTGGGATTGTTTGTTTTTTCCCTAACAAAGTACTTCTACTATACCACGTATTCACCATACCTAATGAAGGACTATTGCAAAATAGAGATAAACATCTGAGAACAACCTTGCAAGGAATCTGTTTTCTATTATCAAATCCCTCTCATGCACCACTTCAAAATCATCTTGCTTCACCTGTGCCTCCAGCTATAGCTGCAGGAACTAGTTTCTTGCTGGCTTCCAGAGGATCCTCTTCTAGCAGGTACAGCCTTTTCCTGAGGTAAACGAAGTAGCTCTTCCTTCCTTCCTGGGGTGGTGGGGAAGGGATCTTCTTGTCTTACACCTTAGCAGCTAAAATGTGTGTGTATGTGTGTGTTTAGAGTGGAGTCAATGCCTATGGGGTCATTTTTAATCAACGTGGTGAGAGCAAGTGGCTGTTTCCCCTTTCATTCTCATGGAACCGTCTGAACTGTATTTCTTAAGCCTTTTCAGAAAGTCCAAGTAGCATTGGGCCTTAGTAACTCATGGGCATAGTCTCATAGATGGATGATACCTTTCTTTCACCTTTATTCTTCTCTGTTTTACTCCACTGTTCTCTATTTCTGTCCACTGGGATTATATTACCAACTAAACTACTGAAATATAAGCCACTATTTCAGGAAATCCTAGTTAAGAAACCATCTCTAAGACTTGAGCAAGAATTTGGCATCTGAATGGCTTCAACCTTAGTGCAGTAAATTGACCTTTCTTTTTCTCTGCTCCATGCCTTTAAATTCTAATGCTGAGTCTCTACCATATTATAGCGTACATACATGTTCATCAGGGAAATAAAGACCAGGTTTAAATACATGTAAACAGGCCGGGCGTGGTTGCTTACTCCTGTAATCCCAGCACTTTGGGAGGCTGAGGCAGGTGGATCACTTGAGGCCAGGAGTTTGAGACCAGCCTGGGCAATATAGTGAGACTTCATCTCTACAAAAAAATAAAAAATTAGTTGGACATGGTGGTGCGCACCTAAAATTCCAGCTACTTGGAGGCTAAGGCAGGAGGATCACTTGAACCCAGGAGGCAGAGGTTGCAGTGAGCTGAGATCGTGCCACGACACTCCAGCCTGGGTGACACAGCGAGACTCTGTCTCAAAACAACCAACCAAACAAAAAACAAACCAACAAAAAGCACATATAAACAGGTTAGCCACTGTTTTCCATCTGAGCTTGTGCTAAGTCATACAGCCATGAACCTAAAAATTTACTGTTTGAACAGTCAATCAAATGGCACCCCAGTTAAGTGACTCCTGACCCACTGAGATAGGATAACATGATGGCATCTCACTCCTGTGGGAAGGCAGTCTTCTTCCTATAGCCTCTGCAGGAACTGGAAAAGTAAGCTATTAAATAAATAGATAGCACATATTTTCGTATGTTTATTCCATTTTACCGAATGATCTGTCTCCCAGAAAATGAAGACAATCAGTGCCTACTATGGAACAAACTTCACGAGGATTATGTTAGAATGAACCAAAACTCTTAGTTCAAGTACCACATTCAGGTACCCTGTCTGTGCTGCTTCCTGAAGAGAGGTGCCCAATGTCCTCTGCAGTCTAAGAGCTGTTCCCCAATGTAAGTTATAATAATAACTATAAAAAATAATAAAAATAATGACCAGAATTGATTGTGCCAACAGCTTAGAATTTAAAGAGTTAGGAAACAATTAAGCCAGCTAACATTCACTCCCTATGCCCTCTACTACCACCACCACCAATGAGAACATAAGACACTGCTTCCCAGAAACCATGAGCATCTCCCCAAAGTCACCAAGATGGGAAGTGGTGAGTCAGGATTTGAACCTGAGTATTTTTTATTTTAATGCACTAAATTTGACTGTATAGCAGACATCCTGTAAGAAGTGGGAAAATAGTTTGTTTCTTTCCTTAATATTCTTTGTACTAATCTCTGGACGATAGAAAAGGAAACAAGAGAAAGCCTAAAAGGCATCTTACACAAAGCTAGTCAGTCTCCCAAACCATCAGATATCATATTTGTGCCAACCCACCTTAAGTTTTTCAAGTCCTGGAAGTCAGGAATTGGTTAAGCCCTCCTTGTTATTGAGTAATCAATGGGGAACACAGATGGAGTAGGGTATTCTGATTAACCCTCTAATCACTCCTTCTCTTGCATGGTGATACTTTATTTGCCAAAAAGCTTCTTCATCTCTTTTAGAGTGGAGTTCTTGTAGGACTGGCTCTGACTGGTTAGTAGGCCAGGCAGTCTCTTTGGATCATCCCAACCCAGGCTCCATTTGAAACTCAGCTATCCTCTGAAACTCCCTTGCAGGCCCACAGGCAATGACCTCCTCCCCAGTGTGTTGTGTTGATAATTAGAAGGAAAGAGTGGACCGAGCTTGAGTCACAGTGGGTGGTCAACCCAGCCATATTTTAGACAAAAGTATAAATAACTCAGTAGCCAAAAGGCTAACAAATCTCTGCCTTCACACTCACCCCAACTTTTGCTCTGACCATAAAGAAAAAGCTCATGTTTTTTATCAGTTGTTTGCCAACTTTAAATACTATACATGAGACTCATCATTTATGTTTATTTAAAATGAAGTTTCTCAAGCCATATACTGAGTGACTTTTATTTATAACATCTAGAATGGAGTTCCTAGGGATTTGCATATTAAAAATATGATTTTGAGCTGGGTGCAGGGGCATGCACCTGTAGTGCCAGCTATTTCAGCAGCTGAGGTGGGAGAATCACTTGAGACCAAGAGTTCAGTTCTGTCTAGACAACATAGGAAAACCCCATCGCTAAAGAAATTTTAAAAAGGGCCAGGCGTGGTGGTTTACGCTTGTAATCCCAGCACTTTGGGGGGCCAAGGTGGGTGGATCATGAGGTCAAGATATCGAGACCATCCTGGCCAGCATGGTGAAACCCCGTCTCTACTAAAAATACAAAAATTAGCCAGGCATGGTGGTGCACACCTGTAGTCCCAGCTACTCGAGAGGCTGAGGCAGGAGAATCGCTTGAACCCGGGAGGCGGAGATTGCAGTGAGCCGAGATTGCGCCACTGCACTCCAGCCTGGTGACAGAGCGAAACTCCGTCAAAAAAAAAAAAACAAATTAAAAAAAGGATTCTGATTCAGATGACTTAAATAATAGCTATGTGAAATATTGATTTATAGGCCTATTCATTGGCTACCCTAAGCCTTAAGATAGAAAAATAGATAGAGAGAGAGAGAGATAGAGAGATAGAGAGATAGAGAGATAGATGGATAGATGGATAGATATACAAAGCAAGTTCCAGAAACAGTAAATATGGCACAAATGTTCATTAGAGGTGGCTGTGATAGCATTCGGCAATTATATCTTCTCTCTTTCTTACATGGCTAGCTAGTACAATGTTATTTACCCAGAAATTTAACAATATTCTTCTCAAGAAAGTGTGTTAGAAAATTTTGTAACATACATAAAAGCAATAAAGACCAAATGCCAGAGAAATTATGATTATATGATGAATTAAATGGTGAATGTCTTTTATGGGAGCTGAGAGAAGATTAAGATTCATGAGTTCTAGAATATTCTTCTGAAGTATTCATGGAAGAGCCTGAGGGTGGTGGGTCACTTGTAAAATTCCAAGTGAATATAGGTGGGGCTGCTCAATAGTACAGCAACTTATGGAAGGGATGAATTGAAAAATCTATAGATTAAGTTTGTGGGGATTTTCTTGGAATATACCACAGATTTTCCCCTTAATCCCCTTCTGATCTCTTCAACTTTTATTCAGTGAAACAGGAAGGATACACACACACACACACACACACATATATGTATATATACACACACACACACTATACATATATATATATATGTATAGTGATGTGATCAATAGGACAGATGCTAGTAAGAAATTAATAAAGGTGCTAAAAGACTGGAAAATGGGCTGAATTTCATGAAATGAGTGCAAATTCCTACTCCTGGGACCAAGAAATTTTACTGAAATTTGTGTGCCCTTTCTAAGTTATTTATTTTTATAAGAATTTTTAGCCAGTAATGCTTTTACCTCTTAACAATGAATCATTCATGAAAAGTAAAATTAACCACGTGTGCAGACTCTAATTTGTGAGCCTTGCTTTGGAACTAAAACCTTAATTAATTGAAATAATTTGTTACCCAAAAACAAAAATCACTGGGTCCAAAACTGATTAAGCATTAGAAACCCACATCTTAAAAATGACAGAGAAGAACAATGGTCATTCTTTGGTTTTGGCCATCCACCATGTTTGATAAAACCTACTTGTCTCTTTTAAGTAGGTAAAGACATGTAACCATTACTAATATTTCCTAATATATTTATTATATTTTTGAACCAATTAACTAATAAGATATCACTATTAGGTTGGGTTATTATAGCTGCTGCAATTTTTAAAAACGCACCAAAATTTCAGTGGGTTTAACCCAATGGAGGTTTATTTCTCTCTTATGTAATACACTGTGTTCTTGGTTAACGGGAGCTGGCTTCCAGGTGATACTTCACGTATGCAAGTTCTTTCCATTCTGTGCTTTTTTTCTCTGTCTCCTGGAACTTCAATATTCTTTGCATCCTCCTAGCAGAAGGACAAGCGATACAGTGGAGGCACACCTGGCTCACAGATACTTTTGCCCAGGAATGATACTGATTATGCCCTTTCACGTTCCATAGATAAGAACTCAGCACTTGGACTCACTTCAATGCAAGGCAGGCTGGAAAACATTGTTAATAGCGTGACCACTTTTCAGTGAAAGCTGTGAAACAGGAGCACAAATTTTAATGTACAACTAACTGTCTCTGTCACAAATCTTAAGTTAATACTTCAGCCAAGATGGTAAATTTTGATCCCAGTGACTCATATCCCATAAGAATAAAAAAAGGTAGAAAATATGAAAAATGCAAATTCTAATCATTTTATGACTGAAAAGCTATTTTCATCTGTGCAATAATTTGAATTTACACAGAGGGTCTTGTCCTTTCAGATGACAAGCAATTTTTTGCCTTCCCAAATACAACTTCTCTTGAATAATAAATAGATACTAGGGGTTAATAGTTGCATAAGAGCAGAGTACTTGGAAAAATTTGTTGCCATGACAATGTAATTCACATTGTTAATAAGTTTTATGTATTTCCTTTTTAAGCGGGTGAAATTTAAGAAAAGTTTAAAATAACCTCTAAAGTAACGGAAAACTGGGAGACTTTTATTACTCATAGTCATATTTCTACCACTTGAGAAGAATTAGAAATAAAGAAAATAAAATTTCCCTGTAGTCAGCTTAGGTGCACATTGCTTTTAAATGAAATATCCTGTTTTTAAATTAACCTTGGGCAATGTCCTCAAACATGTATGTGGAATACATGTTCATGTTTTAGTCATTCTTTATGCATCAAATATTTTGTGTGCATATTTTATGTGTTCTTTTGAATCAGGAAGGGAGAAGTAAAATAGCAATGAATACAGTGTTCAGGACACTGAAAGTGTGTACAGTTTAATCCAGGTCATTGGGGGAAGTGCTACTAATTTCACGTGAGTTAATTTAATAAAATATTCCTATCTATACGTGGTTCCTAAGCACTAAATTCCACTATTCCTCTCCTAACTTGTGACTCTAGACTGCTAGGGAAATTACAATTTCTACTACTTACCACAAAAAAAAAAAAAAAAAACCCTAACAGTATATTAATGCTCCAAGACCATGAAATTTCATTTCATTTCCCCATCCACATTTGACCTACATCTTCCTTCTCTACAGGATATTAAAATTCGTATCTTTTTTTTTTTAATTCAAAGGTGCAGGAAGAGAGAATAAACTATACCCCTCGCTACACCCTTCTCATTTCCAATTCTGCTTTCTTTACTATGTGGAGCTGTTGAAGAAAACTTATGTGATAGAACACCAATCTCTGAACTTTGTAGAATACTAGCCCTTCACAATGGTAATAGGCAGAATATTTTTAAAAATCTCTTTTTTTCCAAATGTTTAGGAAATAGTTTAAGCAAAGTTCAATAGTTTTGTTTCTCTCTCTCTCTCTCTCTCTCTCTTTCTTTCCCTCTTTCTCCCTCCCCCGACCTGCCTCTTTTTTTGTTAGCAGCAACACTGGCAATTACCAATATGACTTCTATGGAATATATAGGGATTTCCCAAGCATATTTGTAATGGAACCCTTCTCCCAAGATTTCTTATGATATTAATATTCTGCTGAGTGTTCTCTGGGAAATGCTAAATAAAATTCTCACACAGGCTCCAAAGTACCCGTTTAAATGGCTGTAACCCCTAGCAGCTCATTAAGACTTTTGTATTACCAAATTTGAGTCCTATTTTTAACAGCCAGCTGTTCCTTACCCCATTCCCTTTTATCTATGGCTCCAATATTAATTTCAGCAACTTCTTTCATAAAAATCATTAGACTAAAACAAACTTTGCGACACACAGGAAACAACTTTTGCTGGGGGAGGATGGCAGAAAACATGATCCCTTATTCCCGTTCAGCTTTGGGTTTCAATTATGGATCCTTGTAGGACAAGAAATTATTCTTCTATGAGTACTTGCACAGCAGTAAGGCTATGGACTTCCACATTATTTCAGTCCATCAAATAATAGGAAAGAAGGCACATACATTCCAAATACAAAACAATCCTTCCAGGAACCTTTGATTTTAACATTTTAGATCATTTTGGACTTAATAGGAGAGTTTCAAAAATAGTATAGGGAATTCTTGTTATCCTTCACTCAGCTGGCTCCCTTTAGGTAAACATCTTACAGAACCATAAAACTTTTATCAAAATGAAGAAATTAACTTGGGACAATACTATTAACTAATGTACAGAGCTCATTTGGATTTCACTGATTTTTTTCATTAATATCCTTGTTCTCTTCCCAGAGAACATTCCAATCATTCCATTCCTGACATTGTAGGTAGTCGTGTCCGCTGTAATCTGTGACAGGTCCTCAGGCTGTCCTTGTCTTTCATAACCCATACACTTTGGAGAGAACTGATCAGTCATTTTTTAAAATTCTCCTCAATTTGAGTTTTTCTGGTGTTTTCTCCTTATTTGATTGAGGATGCAGTATTGATATGTATTATCAATTATGTTAAACTTGATTACTTGGTTAAAATGGTCTCTGCTAGGATTTTTCACTGTAAATTTACTCATTGTCCTCTGTAATTACTAAATATTTTGAAGAGGGTACTTGAATACTACGCAAATATTCCTGTTTCTGTTTAAACTTTTGCCCACTCATGTTAGCATCCATTGGTGGTTCTTGTCTATGGAAATGATGAATGTGGTATTCTAATGGTGATTTTCTAATTCCTTAAATCCTTCTATAGTTATTAATTGAAATTCTCCTTTAAGGAAGAGTTGTTGCTTCTCCTTCATTTATTTATTTAGTTACTCATTTGTATCAATATGAATTCATGCCTATTTAAGTCTTTGTGTTACGATCCAATATAGTTATTGTGTTGCTAAAGTTGTTCCAAGCAGAAGCTTTTAATAAGCACCAATTAAAAACAACTTTGTCATCCTTTATAGAATGGCTTAGAGTTTTGCATTTGTAATGCATGAAGTACAGTGAAGTGGGTGGTAGGAATGGAAATGATTTGTTCTGGAAGCCCTACTTCTGCTTTGGTTGAATTGTGTACATACTGGAGACAGAACTGTATGCTTATTAGTATTGTGTTCTCCTGTGCTCTCTCCTTCCCCTACTGATCTGTAGAGCCAAATGAGCCAAACCCCAGCAAAAGTTATTCTCAACAGTTGCTGCCCTATGTGCATAATGAGCACTTGGCTTAGACCTTGGTAATTGTTGAATGTTGGCCATCTAGTGGATTCATACAAGGTTCTCATTTATGGATGCAGAATTTGTCCTTCTTTTTGCATGTGTGCTCTATCTGGCAAATTAAATGGGCATGATTATAAGGTCAAATAAAAAGTCTCTACGTGGTCATTCCAAATGCCTTCTCCCGCCCATCAAAGAGAAGTGGAGTCCCATTTAAACTAGAATGACTTTTCCTTGGCCAATGAATAATGATGTACCCCAAAACATGCATTTCTATTTAATGTTAGAGCTGAAAATCATCAATGCAATCACAAACTTAGCTAACCCCACTTGAAACAGACTTTTGAGAAGGAATATGTTTGAATATTGATTTAAGTCCAGGTAACAAGAATCAATTTACCTTTTTATTTTCATTATTTATAGGTTTCATATAACGATTTATCCCTTTAGATAGAATAAATATGAAATAGCTACTTCTCTGGAACTCTGAGTAATTTTATCAAGTGAGCATTTTGACCAGTGGTGCTTTGTTCTACTGGGGTAGGAGCACCCCATATGATAGACTCTGTTCTTAAGACTTGACATGTGTGAACTCATATAATCCGCTAACAATCCTGTGATGTAAGCACCATTATTGTACCCATTTTACAGATGAGGAAACAGAGATGGAAAAGTTACGCCAATTATCCATGATCACATAGCCATGGGTGGTTGGCATAGCTTTGAGCTCAGGGTTTTGACATCTTAATCATTGACCACATAATAAATCTCAGCTGTAAATTTTACCATCTATGCAACTTTGGGCAAATTTCTCACTGCGCCTGTTTTATAATTTGTGAAATGTACAGGATAATGTCCATTTTTCAGGGTTCTGTCCAGAAATTGGAGATGGTGCATGTAAAGGGGTTACTCCAGTAATGTTAGTACCACATTTTAGGTACTCAATAAATAGTACATTTTTTCTGATTCTGCACTCTTAACCACTAACATATCCCTTAATCATCCGTACATTATATTTGATGTATTTTTCCCCATTAGCATGTTCTTTATTTTCCCCATTAGCATGTTCTTTATTGGCTTCTCCTTTTTCCCACCACAGCCCCCACTTATTAGGCTTATTAATAATAACTTATTATAATAAGAAGGAAAGAAGTAACAAAGAGAGAAGATGATTTAGCACTTCCTAAATGTCTGTTCTAAGTGAAAATTTCGTCTCTATAGAATCCCTAAGGGTTAGATACTATTATTAGTTTCAATTTACATAAAAGATGGCTGAGACACAAAAAAGCTAAGTAATCTGTGAACTGCCACACACTAGCTAGTAAGCAGCAGAACTGGGCTTTGAGATAGGAAGTGTGGTTTCAAAGAATTGCCTCTCTGGCCAATATGGGTTATAGGTTATAACAGTGTCTTATTCAGTGACACTACTCTTTGTCAATTTAGAGTCCAATTAGTTAACTCATTCATTCTTTCATTTACTGTTTATTGAGATTTTGCCCTGCTTTGGGCCTGTGCCAAATGCTGGGAAAGGATTGGGGAAAGAATAAGAAATAGAGCAAGATAAGGGCTTGGTCTTTAAGGAGACAGACTAACAATTTAAAAACTCCTCCCAACTGCTACTGCTAAATAACTGCTTTGAGAATGCCAGAAAGAAGCAACTTACCATGGCTCAGGAAATGAGTAGGGTTTCATGGAGGAGGTAAGATGTCCTCCAAGCATTTAAAGCTGAACAGAGAAGAATCCAGCATGTTGCTAGTATTAGCAACCACTCACTCAAAGCACAAAATATCATGGTGTGAAAAAGAAAAACAAAAACAAAAAAACAAAACAACAACAACAACAAAAAAAACACTGTGGGAGGTTGGAAGTGGCTGGCGTTAGTGCCTGATGAAAGGAGGTGATGGAAGTGAGAAGGAAGAACAAAAGGAAATAATGCTAGAGAAGCAGAGAGGTTTCAGTAGATCATGAAATGTCATGTATCAGAATTTGGATTATTTTCCTTTGTGAACAGGAACCACTGCTAGTGTAAGAAGAAATAGACACAGGCCTGGACTGAGTATCATGTTTTGTCCCCAGCTTGGCTGTGAACAAGCTCTGTGGAGTGGTTTTTCTAGATGTTAGTTACCTATCTGCAAAGTAAAGACCTAGGCTGATATTATTTCTAGGATCCCTTCCAGCTCTAAAACCGTATCTATTTCCATAATTATCCCACTTGTGGCCTTTGTATAGGAAGTGGTCTGAAACACACAGGGAAATAAAAAGCACCACTAGATCCCAGCCTAAGAGGCCAGGAACTTTCGGAGGTAATTGGTAGCATCCGTCATAGACCATCAACATTTACTGCTGCAGAGGTTGGGATTCTGCTGCTGTTGCTACACAGACTCGTACACCTCGGTGCTGGCCAAGATTTATCCCTTGCAATTCTGCAAATCGTTATCCTAATGCCTATAGGGATCAAGTTTCATAACTGTAAGCCACTCTATCAGAGGGCTATTTGGCCCAAGGTATCTTAATTCTTGAAGCAAGATGTTTTATTTAGGCTTCAAGGTTCTCATGGGAAGTGGGAGGCTCAGCATTTAGACGCCTAACACAGTTTTTAAAACTGGGGAGGAAAAAAAAAAGCCATCACACTGTTTATGTATGTGAGTATGTGTGTGTGTATGTGTTTGTGTGTGTGTGTATTAGTAGCTATGGTATATACATTCATTCCTTTTCTGAAATACCCTTATGCAATATGTAGGACGACCAAATATTTGTTTTTTATTCAGCAAATATATAATGAGATATTTTAGAGAATACTCACGATTACACACAGACACACACACAGAGGTCCAGGGACAGATATAAAGATTCCCCTTTTCCAGGGAAAATAATTTAGCTGAAATGCATCCCATACTTGTACCTGCCGTGCTGGATGCTTTTTTCTCCAAGGTCGTGTATAAGTAGGCATCTGCAAAATCAAAATGCCTGTGAGACTTTCTCCGCTTCCTTCGCTTTCTGTTCTTTTAGTGGAAAAAAAAAAATCTGCCAGAAAGTGAGAAAATATTAGAGAATGCCAAGAAAAATTTCTTCCTGTTCAATTCCCGTGAATTTGAGAGCAATCATTTAAGAAGGTCTCTCTCCTTGGGACACCAGATTCTCAGAGGAAAGGTCCAAGATGAGCTTATATGTGCAGTCAGTTCAGAACATCCAGGCCCCAGCATCCTGGAGAGCCTGGCGTAGCAGTTCGAATCACCTCTTTGGGGAAAGCCTGAGGAGGCTGATACCGCATCTCCAGTTTCACTCATAAAGCACATTAGAATCATTTCTGGTTATTCTACTATTTCCAGAACTTGCGTCTTCTTTTTTAAATTTCCTAGTTTTATTTCCCCTCTAGTCCTATGTAAGACTTCCTGCCCTGTAAGTGATGGTGACCTAAATCCACAAAGCTCTACAGCCATCCTATGTGCTTTCTTTATTCCTTATTGTTTATTTATTTATTCTTTATTTATTATACAGTATAAAGTACCATATTCTGAAGTCCATTCCTTTTGTATCTAATTTATTCAATTTATTCACCTGCTCTCACTTCCTGACCTGTCTTTCAAGGTGACAGGTGCTTCATAAATTCATTACCAAGGTTCCCAATTATTTTAATTGTGTGGCTGAAAGGCTAATATGAACATTCAAGCTTACTTTCTGCTGGCTACTGAACAAAAGAAAGCAAACTTTTGGTTTGTTTTGCTTCATTATGGTCTTGCTCTTCTCCAGTAAGTTCTGATAAAAGGAAGGTATAATAGTAACAAAATACGAAACTCTCTCCAAAATCATTCTTGCACCGATGGCATAGATATAATGCCAGAACTATGTTCTTACTTGAATATTTACTTTGTTTCCTGAACAGCATGGAACACCTAGTGAACATCTGCTCATATTTTAAGTCCAAACTCAAGGTCTTCCTCTTTCATGACATCTCCCGAGCATCCTGCTCCTTTCCTCTAGGAGGCCTCGGCACTTTGTATGCACTGCGCTGATTGTGGTTTGCACCACGTGGTCATTAGATGCTTGCTTGTCTCCTTCCCAGACCGCTATGGCTTTCTCAAGTGCAAGGATTATGTGTTATGACAATTTCTGCCCAAAATATAAAGTGTGTCATTTGGCCACCTAGAAAGTACTCAAAAGAGACTGATACACTGAGTGAATAAAGGAATGTGGGAATAGCTGGATCCATGATCAATGGGAAGCAATTTGAATTTTTCCAGTCCTGAAGAAGAAACTTAGCTATATTCGGTTTCATTACTTCTGCCTAGTATTTCCATTTTCTTTTGAAAGCGGGCAGTGCTGAATCCCAAAAACTATAATTTTTGTTTTTTCCTCCAGCTTCCAGTCTAGTAAACAGCCCTGTCATACTATGCCTGCCCTCAGAATATTGATCAATAGGGAATTTGATCATCACTCGTTCCATTTTATTTCTTTTGTAGCATCTATCTACTCATCTAAATCAGGGCAGTTTTGCTCCTGGGCAATTTTAGAAATGAGGACAAAATATATTGCTTAAATCTAGCTCTGGAATTTATTCTTTTCTTTCTGGCAGGAACTCATTTTCAGTAGACATAGGCCTTTGTGTTTGGCTGAAGGACATGCAGCTATTTCTGACAACTAGAGGGGTGGATAAACAGGAAAAGAGCAGCAGCCAAAGGGACTGCACAGGGAGAAAGAGCCTGGGACCATCTATTGCACCCTTTCCCTTCAAATGCCTGCTTAGACACTAGCCACCGTCTCCAACACTATTTTTCTTTTCTTTTCTTTTTTTTTTAGACAGAATCTCACTCTGTTGTCCAGGCTGGAATGCAATGGCCCGATCTGGGCTCACTACAGCCTCTGCCTCCCTTTGGTAGAGACAGGCTTTGATCATATTGCCCAGGCTGGTCTCGAACTCTTGAGCTCAAGTGATCCACCCACTTTAGCCTCCCAAAGTGCTGGAATTACAGGCATGGGCCACTGCACCCGGCCAGCCAACACTATTTTGTTTTTCATGTCAGAGCCTAAGAATCACCTCAGAGCTTCCTGGCATGAATATTGCAAGGCTCTTCTCTCCAACTGCTATCTACATTTTTAATTAGCTCCCAGGTCATTCTAATGCAGGTATTTTCCATTCCTACTTGGAGCAACCCCATTCTTTAATGTGCCAAGAGTAAAATCATCAGCTGTTTTTGGCCTCAGTCTCTCCATTTCAATCCTTCAACCACTTTCCTCTGGCCAAACGTCTTCAAAACTTATTGTTCTTTTATTCTTCCTTCACCTTCACCTTTCAAAGCCTCTTTGCTCCTTATTCTTCATTCTCAGACCCTTGATGTATATTCTACTCTGGTCTGAGATTCTGCAAGAAATCATGTAACTCTTCATGTCATCATTACAGAAGTATGGTTTCTAACTTCTACAAAATCTCAAATTTTGGGGAGCTATTTTTAAAATAAAAAGGTTTGTTTTTTCCCCATTTTTCCATTGGTGGAACCTCCAGATATCCACACATTTTCTTAGTTTTCTTCTGGTTCCTTTCACAGAACTTGAACCTGACCCCCGTTAGTTTCAAGAACATAGAGTTCAAGATTAAATCTTTGCATTTTCCCTTTCCTTTCCTCCCAACACCAAACAAATTCATCTGGCAAACATTGACTACCTCCTCCTCCTCATACATAAGCATTTATATATGAGCTAATAAAAAGTATCTAAGAAAGAAAAGTCTCTAAGTTGTCTTTCTCTTTTAAAAACTGACTTCTTGATCTAAAAGTTGAATAGCATCACCTTAGAAATTTGCTCTACAAATTTTACCTTTTTTCTGCACTTGAACTTTTCTATTTCTGCTTGATTTTTTTTCTGTGACCTTATAAATATGTTCATCTAACCTTAAAAAAAAGAAATTTTTTTCTGCTGACTCATCAAGCTATATACCTCCATTGATTTTCCTTACTTCAATACCAGTTTTTTAAGTGAAATATTATTGCTCTCTTCAAATCTTCTGTCATTCATTCCTCAATCTCTGCCTGACTCTCTCAGTCACTAAAATGAATCTCATCCATTGAAACCACCAATGATAAATGAAATGTTAAATGTCAGCCTCATTGAAGAACTTATACTATTTGAACATAGAAGTATAAAACTTATGTAACTTGAAACGTTCACCTTTCTTTATTTTTTATGAAAAGATTGACCCTCCTCTCTCCTCTTTGGCCATTCTTTCATGTGTCAGAGATTGCTAGAACTCTATAAGATCTAAATGCACCTCTTCTTCCTGGACACACAAGTAGGTCACACTGTCAGCCTCCCTGCAATTCCACGTGGCCACAGGACTGAGTTCTGGCATGAAAATGTGAGTGTAAGTTATGTGAGCCATTTTACAGACCTAGTGTTTAGAAACCTTCCCCATGTAATTCTTACTATTTTCTCTATTGAATGTTGAAATGGAGAAGTCATCAGAGACCTTGGGGAAATGATACCCCAAGACAAAAAGAAGTGCCCTTGAATATCTGTGTCAAGCATAGTCTTCCTGTTGGCCTGCACTGGATGGTGTCATGAGCAGCTCTTCCTCCAGATGTACTCAGAGGATCATTGCCATGTCTCATGCTACCCTAGTGCTTAGTGATCCAACAGGTTTTTTGAAACACCGTAAACTTTATGGTTTAGAGGCTCAAACAATGCATTAGGAGTCTCAGAGAGGTCCTAAATTTATTTTTTTTAAAGATAAATTTGTTTGACCCCTTGTATTAGTCAAGGGTTCCCTAGAAGGACAGAACTAATGGAATACATATATATATATGTATGTATATAAAGGGGAATTTATTAAGTATTAACTCACATGATCACAAGGTCTAACAATAGGCCGTCTTCAGGCTGAGGAGTAAGGAGACCCAGTCCGAGTTCCAAAACTGAAGAATTTGGAGTCAGATGTTTGAGGACAGGTAGCATTCAGCATGGGAGAAAGATGTAGGCTGGGAGGCTAAGCCAGTCTCTCTTTTCTCATTTTTCTCTCTGCTTGTATTCTAGCCACACTGGCAGTTGATTAGATTGTGCCCAGTCAGATTAAGAGTGGGTCTGCCTTTCCCAGCCCACTGACTCAAATGTTAATCTCCTTTGGCAACACCCTCCCAGACACACCCAGGATCAATACTTTGTACCCTTCATTCCAATCAAGTTGACACTCAGTATTAACCATCGTACCCCTATTTTCCAAATTTATTTGAATATGAAATATAACCATCATGTAATACCCACTAATACCTAGTCTATACTATGGAAAATGATAATCTAAAGTTAAAATAAGCTTCTTACCATTCCCTGAAAATGAACTTTTTCACACCACTAGACCTGGACAGTGCTACTTCTCTTCCCTGAAACACCCTTGCTCTAATGTCTACCTAGCCAAATGCATATGCATCTGTAATCAAGCCTAGGGATCCTGGATCTTCCTCTTTCTAGCTTTGTAACTCTGGATGAATTATTTAAACTATTTGAGTTTTTTTCCTCATCTCTGAACATTGGAATAATAATATCTGCTTGACTGGGTGATAGTGAAATTTAATAAGATAATGTTCTTCAAAGTAGCAAGCACATAGGCAACAGTAAATATACTTGCATTTACTTTTATTTATTGGAAGGCAGTGTAGTGAGGATTAGAGATTGATAAGCATGCAGTAACCCTCTTAATATGCTAAATACTTTTTTAAAAGTGTTTCCTTGTTGGTGGAGTGTCCTTCTATAGCCAAATGTACTAATAGTCATATTCACCTCCTATAACCTCAGTTTAAACAAATATAAAACAAATCATGAAACCTTGGAGTAAACCTTTCAGTGCATCTGCAATTTTCTCCTAATGTAATGCAAATCAGTCAACATGCCTAACAAGGCCATTTGCCATGAGCCAGGAGGGTTAGAGATGTGCTGAATTTCTGATCCTCTCTACTCTCATAGCCTGAGGTGGCTGAAATACCCAGACTGGTGCCTTCAGCTACAAACAGACTCTTTTATTTTCTCCAGGATGGCATATAAGTGTTATCATTTTATGTGAGTTCCGTCAACCATTCTGTGGGTTTTCAAATCCCAGGTCTTTGAGCTTTTTGGTCCCTCTGTCTGAAAATAGCTTTTCCTTTAGTAATTCCCCAGTGGATGCCTAACCTCTACTCAGCCATCACGTCTCATCATTGCCACTGTTTCTTTTTGGTAGGCCTTCCCTGATGCCCCTGTGCAACATCTCCAGGCAGCATTAGGTGCCTCTTTTTCAACTCCCTAGTACCCTGTGCTTGACTCTGCCCTGGGTATCACTGCAGAATTCTGTAACTGCCCAATTCCTGACCTACCTCTCCTCTAGACCCTAGGCAATTTGAGGATATTCTATTCCTAGCACTCACTCAATGCCTGTCTTGTGACCAGTACTAAAACTATGTTTGTTAAATGAATAAATAAATACAAAATATTTCCGTAGCCTCAGGAAAAAAATATTTCCAACATAAAGCGATCTAGAAGCACGGCAGCCTGAGAAAAATCAAGTGAAACAGATTTCAAGATACAAATAGCAGTAAGACTCCTTGTTTCTCAGGAAGACAATGCAGCCAACATGGAAAGCTTCTTTTCCCTCTTTTAGCATCTGGATGCAGAACCATTCTCATGATGTGCTTTCTGTGTATTTAATTTAGTAACTTACTTGAGAGTCCTTCTAAATCAGGGGTCACAAACGTTTTTTGTACAGGACTAGATAGGAGATATTTTAGGCTTTGCTGGCCATATAGTATCTATTGCACTAGTCATCTTTGCCATTTTGGCATGAGAAGATTCATAGACAACACATAAACAAATGAGCATACTGATGTTCGAATAAAGCTTTATTTAAAAATACCAGTGATGAATCAGATTTAGATCACAGACTATAGTTTGCTTACCCCTGTGCTAGATGAAAGATTCTCAGCCTATGAGTGGGAGGGGCTGCTTGTGTTGTTCTTCTACAGTCTGTATCATCAAGCCCGAAACAGTTGTTATAGGCACTATTTTCAGGGGGCCTGAAAAACTAATTGATATTACTCTCCATTGTCACAGTAAAGCATATTGCAAACACTAAGTGTCATGTGCGTAATTCTTCCTTACAGACAAACAAGGCCAAACTGTTTCATTGCTCACACAGTAACTCTGATGAGGAAAATCAGGGAACTGCATGAAACCTGGGCTAGTTCCACAGCTGGGATCTTAGACCTGGGCCTTCTGCCTCAGTTTCTCTTGAAGAACAGCTTGTTCAGCTACCTTAATAAGAAAATGAGTGTGAGAAAGTAACTGTCCCACTACACCTGAATGCCTCAGAGTGATAAAGGAGAAAGAATTCAGCAGTTAGGAGAAGGAATTCAGCAGTTAGGAGAAGGAATTCTTTGGAGAGAATTAGTGATGTTTTATGAGCCCCTCCCCTTTGTGGCAAGGGGGAGCCTTGCTACTTTACAACTCTAAGGCGTGTGTGTGTGTGTGTGTGTGTGTGAGAGTGTGTATGTATGAATACTCATACAGGTGGTGGTTGGGGTGGGGAGAAGGAGAAATTTCAAAAGGAAGACTAAAAAACCTCCAAAATCTGTTTTCTGTGTTGAGGAGACACAGATGTCATAGGGCAGGTTTTGTGAGAAAGCTAAACCCAACTGTGGACACAGACCTGACTCCCACTTGGACACTCAAGGAAACTGAATTCACAGGCTGAGCAGCCAATCCAGGACCTTGCTGTCGTCCTGGGGTTCCTGCCTTCAGGGACTCTGTTATAGGAGAAGTGTCCAAGTATTTCTTGTTCACTTGAAATCATTTGAGGGCTTAGCTCCTGAGGGACCCGGAATGGAATCTTCTATCCATCTTGTCCATAGACTGCTTGAGGAGGCAGCCAAAAGCAGAAAGGAGGCATGCCACAAAAGGGTAGGACTGAAAAAGGATCTTCTGTGGAGAAGGCCTTACCAGAGATCCCACAGAGTTATGAATCTGCAGGGCCCAGAGAGAATGAAGCATGACCAGGTAGGCTGGATACCCTTACTTCTCTCCTGCCCCCTCATTACAGACACACACTTAGAGGAGAAAAACAGCAACTCACAAGGAATGCAAGAGGTGAGCGGGAAAAGAAAACGGAGATGACATCTGTGGCCCTTGATTAAGACTGAATCTGTGCTGAGCTGGGGAAGGAAATACTAAACCCTACATGAAGTACAAGCTTTAATTCTTACCCTCAACTGAGCGGTCTAACTACTGCTTTGAGACTCTATGACTTACGGTGTCAACACCATCGAAGAGTAATGGGATCGGCTGGAGTTTTACTCTGGAGCAGGGGAAGGTTGCTTCCACCAAAAACCTGAATAAAATTTTAGAGAAATTGGGAGACAGATAAAGAACTGGCTCTTGACCACAATCTATGTACTATCACACATTTCTTTAAAGAATGAGACAATTGTCAAATAGACTAATTTCTATAACACCGTGCTAGTCAACATGAGTTGAGCATCTGCTATTTGCAAGTACTGTATTAGGTGCCAGCAAGAATACAAAGAATGGCATATTAACCTTACCCTCGACTAGTGATAATGATATTGCAGAGGTGATAAAATAGTTAAGTAAGAAGTGTCATAAGGAATGATTCTTTCTCTCCAGTCTCTAAACTCTTTGAGGGTCAGAAACATGTGTTTCTCCAGCTCCAAATGGGACAGTGACTGGGAATATACAATAAGCAGTCAAGGCATATTTGAAAAATGAATGAATAGCTGTTATGTCATATAAGAGATTTTAAGATTGTTTAAAATACAAGGCAATCGAAATCCTGGAATTATAGTGCAGTTCCCTAAAAACAGATGTTTGGTTTCAATGACATGTGATTTTCATTTCTAACTTGTAGATAATGGTCCAAAGGAACCTTGGGATTTTGCATGATAAAAGCTCCTATTAAAAGCCATTTACACAAAATTGGCCTTTTAAAAAAGACATTTTAAAAAAACAGTCCTAAAATATTATATTATCTTTCTAGTTTTGCTTTTTAATGAAAAAGGGGTGATTATGAAACACTTTTCATTAGGGAATTACCATTTATCTTATAATGTTTACTCTCTTTTCATGAGTCTTATTTTTTTTTACTGCTGAAGAAAGAGCTCAGAAACTCAACTGCATGAAAATAACGGTTGATTTTTACATCTAAATGAGTGTATATTTTCTCTATGATTCTGATGGTTTTTCTAGTTAGAAAAAAATGTTAATATCAAGGGTCTTGGTGGAGTCAATTGTTTAATGTTGCTGTGGACTAGATAAGACCTGATAGAAATTTAGCCCCACACATGTTGTTACTCCTTTTCAAGCATATCACTGCAGCTCAATTTTCCATCTCAGAAGAGGCTCTGAGAAGAGAACTCATTGTGGGCGCGGGGGGTGGGGGTGGGGGAAGTGGGAAGTGGGGGAAGTTGGGGAGAAAAAAAAATGGATCCAGTAAAGAGCAAAAGAAAAACAATCCTCCCCAAACACCTCTATGCAAGACAGAGTGAAGAATGTGAGCTCTGGACTGACTGCTACTCTAAGGAAAGGGGAAATGTCTGAAAATAAACACACCCATTTAGATGCAGCTGGAAAAACGAAGTCAGGTTTAGAAGGCCTGACTCCAAAGAAAATAGATTTTTAAAACTTCTCTGGGGGATGTCTCTCATCTGCACTCAGCACTGAGCTATGTCTCATCCATCTGCCTTTCTCCCAATTAACAGATGCTGGGCACAGAGTAACAGGAAAAAAAAAATGCCCCCTTCTTCCTCCAGAGAACCAAGGTGGCATGGACTTCAGATCCTGGCTCGCCCAGGCCCCAGCCAATAGTTACTTTTCTAGTACAGTAATGGATTTATCCAGTAGAGGAAGGCTTTCTCGTTAAGCAAGAATGCATTCTCAATTGGCCAGTGCTTCTCCGCTGATGACAGATTTAGAGGTGTGTTAATGTATTATGGCAATTCTAAGGTGTAATTATCTTTTAAAAATATATTTTTGGTTCTGAAAGATGCACATACATAGTAATACAAAGAGTTATTAGAGACTTTTTATGTTCTCTGCATCGTTCTAAGTACTCTTCATTAGCTTGTTTAGTTCTCAATACAACTCTGTGAAATAGAGACTATTATTTATTCATATTTTTTGGATGACAGAATGGAGAGACAGGAGATTTAATATATGGCCAGGGTCATAAAGCCAGTAAGTGATAGAACCGGCATTTGAACCCAACCCAGGTATTCTGGCTCCAGAATCCATCTTTTTATTCTCTACATTTAATAGATTAGTCATATAAATGTTGGGCTTTTCCACTTCATGACAATGAGATTTAAAAAACTAATGGTCGGCCGGGCGCGGTGGCTCACGCCTGTAATCCCAGCACTTTGGGAGGCCGAGGCGGGCGGATCACGAGGTCAGCAGATCGAGACCATCCCGGCTAAAACGGTGAAACCCCGTCTCTACTAAAAATACAAAAAATTAGCCGGGCGTAGTGGCGGGCGCCTGTAGTCCCAGCTACTTGGGAGGCTGAGGCAGGAGAATGGCGTGAACCCGGGAGGCGGAGCTTGCAGTGAGCCGAGATCCCACCACTGCACTCCAGCCTGGGCGACAGAGCGGGACTCCGTCTCAAAAAAAAAAAAAAAAAAAAAAAAAAAAAAACTAATGGTCAGCCATATAACTGACATGTCCTACTTGATTGGTTTGGGGTGTGAATTAAATCACATGTCTTTTAATTACCAACTACCATAACTCAACGCCCTTATCAGACCACAGAAAGACATCCTTCCTTTTTCTCTCCAAGTCAACTCCATTCCCTAAGGATGCATACTCATACAAATATCAGTCTTGATCAGGGTTCCCTTTTGAGCTGAAATAAGGGAAGGAGACTCAGTGCTACTAAAATCCCCACCAGGAGCTGGTTATTTCAGAACAGAAGTCGTAGCTTATCCTGCTACCACTGTGAAAAAAACTGTGTGTCAAAACTGAAGAACCGTGGCCATTGACAAGGCGTTTATCATGGTGGTACCAAGTGAGAACCTACTAGGACCAACTGTGGCTAAACTGGAAACTACTCTGTCATTGTCACGAAAATCACTGGTGAAGCATGCTGGTGGCCGGTGCCGTGTTGCTGTGCTTATGCCTCTGCTGAAGTCACTGTGTCTCTCAGGGAGTGACGCAGTAACAAGGAAAAGACTCTGTTCTTTGCTTATGCCACCCTGAGTTCTTCCCATGCTTCTGTTCTCTTTATTATGACACTTTATTTAAAATTTATATGCACTGACAGTAATGACAAACTGTGTCCACAATACCAAATGTCCGGGTTAAGGTAATCAGCAATTCCCCATGATTATCAGGCCCGGATGTACAGCGTAGGTCAACAATTCAAGCTACTCAATCATTTGCTATTAAGTTTTGTTATGAGAAAGAGCCATGGAGATTAGTGTCTTTTATTGCTCACTGAATTTACTTTAGGACTATTTCAATCTTGAGATAGGTTGCTCAACCAGAAAAGGAATCGCACTCCAGAGAGGCTTTTTCTCTCAAGAGGCTCCCTGACTCCCGTGAAATCAGCCCTGTCTTTCCAAGTTTCCTTGGATTTCTGCATGCCAAGACATTCGAGGGGAGGGGGTACATTTGTCAAAATATATGCATGCCTTGTTTTGATACTAATCTTCTCTAAAAGCACAGATGATTATTTTAGGGGACACTGATTAATTTTTAGGAAATAGGGTGGGTTTTGAGTTTTTGTTTTTTAGCTAATAGGTGTCAGCTCTTGTTAATAGGGGTAAAATACTTTAGGATGTAGTGTTAGGTGAGGAAAGAACCATGTGGCTACATTGCCGAGCTGGGTTTAGACAACTTCCCTGAAAACTGAAGATACAGACAGGAAGATAAAGAAAATTACAGCTTACTAGAAGCAGAAGCCCAGAGTAGTAGCCAATAGCTGTAAGAATAATTTAAACGATAACTGATGAATTGCTGGATTCTCAGTATGACTAGTTTGAGACAAAAATTCTGAGGGGACGGAGTCCTAGTGCTGACCCCACACTTGAGAGTTTTACCTCTGGGAACCTTCCTATTAAATTATCACTGTGAAGAAAATCTTGTTCTGCTTCTATCAAAAGGAGAGAAAAATAGTACCTTTGAAGTACATCCAAAGCTCTCTGTTCTCCTTAACAAGGCCTTTCCTGCAAGGAGAACTATTTTATCAAAGCCTAACCAACATGCATTGAAGGAAATACCCAACTCCAGGCCCATTTAGCCTTCCTGTAGAAAAGAAAGATCCAACTCCAGCCTTCCCTAGTCTTCTACATGAGGGAAGGAAATGACCCAACTCAGACTCACTGAAAGACTGAAACCTGATCACAGAACTAAAGAATTCTGCTCCACCCTTAATACTTAACAACCACCTCAGTTAGTTCTATAGAACATAG
The DNA here is from genome assembly GCF_000001405.40 of Homo sapiens. Classification (NCBI taxonomy): domain Eukaryota; kingdom Metazoa; phylum Chordata; class Mammalia; order Primates; family Hominidae; genus Homo; species Homo sapiens. The sequence goes on from NC_000014.9 coordinate 87,091,645, forward strand.
AATTACAGCTAAAGAACTGCAAACCTCAGGTTCCATTTAAGGAAGCTTTAGGAAAACTCAAAAACAAAATGGGAGAGAAAAACAAGGACACTAGATATAATTTTAGCCTCTGAAACCACGGCTTAGGGCAAACAGTATCCTAACTCCTAGCCAGATAAATGTAAGACTCCACACTAAAGGTGTGTATACCTAATCTCCACTTCAGGCTTAAGTTAAGAGTGTGCCCTTTCCTACTGCCCATCTGTAATAGGCTGAATAGTGTTCTCCCCAAATTCATGTCTACCCACAGCCTCAAAAAAAAAAAAAAATGACATTATTTGGAAACATGGTCTTTGCAGATGCAATTAGTTAAGATGAGATCACACTGGATTAGGGTGGGCCCTAAATCCAATCACTGGTGTCTTTGTAAGACCAGGGAAAAGAGATTCAGATACAGAGACACACAGTGAAGAAGGCCATATAAAGATAAAGGCAGAGACTGGAGTGATGCATCTATAAGCCAAGGAACACCAAAAATTGTTGGGAACCACCAGAGGCTAGGAAGAGGCAAAGAAGGCTTCTTTCTTAGAAAGCACTTTCAGTGTTGCCTACCTTGCTTGCAAAAATGATGCACTGACACCCAGTTAGACCCTGTTCACTTTCTCCATAAGAGCAAGGCAAACTACCAGAAATGAAGGTTCACTGGAGCTAAGCAGTACTGACACGCAGTTAGATCCTGTTCACTTTCTCCATAAGAGCAAGGCAAATTACCAGAAATGAAGGTTCACTGGAGCTAACAGTGATCTGAAAGATGCAGTTATTACCAGACTTATCCCTTTCAAGGGAGTAATCAACTGGAAGCATATCATTCCTTCGTAGAGGTATGAGAAGCCATTGTCAGTGAACACTAATTTTATCTTTACTTTGACTATGATACTCACTCATTCTTTTGTGTTTACTTTTAATGGCATTTGATTTGGTCAAACCAATAAATGTGGGAAAGTTTTTGAAAAGTAAGTCAATTTACAAGACAGTGCAGAAATCATTCTATAAGCTGATGCCTATAGGTTACCTGGCATAGTTGTAGGCACTAGGCATTCAAAAGTGAAAAAAAGAATGCATTCTAATGAATGAGTTTCCATAAACAGATACTTCATTTTATCTTTACTAGACTACCATCCCAATGCAGACTGCATGGGCAGAACATGATGAAGGCCTGGGTAGAAAGGCCCCGTGTAGATTCAGGGGCTGGGGAAAGATACTAGGTTTTTCTCCATGGCTTCATGAGCCTTTTTTCTCCCCTAGTGTTCATGGGAATCCACATTTGGCTCACCAAGTGACTCTGTGCCCTCCACAGTTAATAGCGAGTGAAAGTATGATATCTTTGGAGTTAGGCAATCCTAGACTTTACTCCTGGTTGACCATGGCATTATACTGTAGACATTAAACCTCGGGTTCTGTACATGACTGTCTGAATTTAAATTCTGGCTATGTCACCACTGACTTTGAAACCTTGGGCAAGTCACCACTCTTACCAGTCACTCATTTTTTTAAATCAGAAAATGAGAATAATAATAGTGTCTTTCTCAGAGTTATTGGGAATATTAAGTGCATCTACATATCAAAGAAACTTGAGGTAGTGTTTGGCCCATAGTAAACACTCAATAAATGTAACATTACAAAGAAGGAGGAGGAGAGGGAGAAAGAGAAGAAGGAAAACGCAAAGACTTTTTACAAGCTGAGTCGTTAAAACAAATGGTTAAATTCATCTGGACTAGCTCCTTCAGCTGTAAAATTGGAGATAACACCATTTATCCCCCCAAAATGTCTTTGGTATACCATGAAACACATTATGTGAAGCTTTCTAAAATTAAAAAAAATATTCCATTGAAAAATTGCTATTTCATAATGTTTCTTTCCTCTACCGTTGCAAGCCCCTTTTGCCAATCATATACAACAGAATACTTGGAAGGCATGCCCAAGATTGCCAGGCCTGCTGATTTTCCAAGAGAAAATGGAAATATTTGTCTTTGTACAACACTCTCCCACCCCTAACTCCCAGTTTTAAATGTTGGTAATTATGTCAAATTGAAGAACAAACAAATCAAGCTTTGGTACCCTAAATAAACCATAAGCTTCTGATATCCACCTCTACACAAGTTGGTGCTAGGCTCATAATCAGTTACATAGCAAGCACTTAATTTATGTATCATGCGTGAAGAAGGAACAAATAGAAGGCAGATATAAGATTACTATTTCCTGTTCAAAGCATATAAAATATAACTTCGTATTCCTGCAGGCTAGTACATATAAATCCTGGGTGCATGGTAGTCACTAAATAAATATTGATTGAAAGTATCATAAAATTCTATCTGGGCGGGGCTCGGTGGCTCACACCTGTAATTCCAACACTTTGGGAGACCGAGGCGAGCAGATTACTTGAGGTCGGGCATTCGAGACCAGCCTGGCCAACGTGACGAAACCCCGTCTCTACTAAAAGTACAAAAATTAGCCAGGTGTGGTGGTACACGTCTGTAATCCCAGCTACTTGGGAGGCTGAGGCAGGAGAATCACTTGAACCCAGAAGGCAGAGGTTGCCGTGAGCCGAGATCATGCCACTGCACCTCAGCCTGGGCAACAAAGCAAGACTCCCTCTCAAAAAAAAAAAAAAAATTCTATCTGTATAATATCAGAAATGTCCAAAGTAATGATTATCAATCAACAGCACATAAGTAGCCTAGGAATAACTAAAATATTCTAAACACTTTTCTGACATCTCTTAGATTCTTCATTCATTCACTCAAAAAACATTCACTAATCACCTACTCTTTGCCAGGTGATGAGCTGAAAGGTACTTCTTTAGTTTGCATTTAGCATGTACAAGGGCAACAAAGAAGCCAGCATGGTTGAAAAGGAGAGAGCTGGAAGAGATTCAACTGTATGGAGTCTTGCAGACTGCTGAAAGAACTTTCTTGTTTTCTCTAGATTATATGGGGAAGCCATTAGGAAGTTTTGACTGACCCGATTTAAGAGAAGCACATTAGCTCTTTTGTTGGGAATAGACCCTGGGGGCAAGTATGGAATCCCAGCACACAGGTAAGATGGTTTTGCAGTAACGCACAGAGGTGATGATGGAGGTGTGGACCAAGGTGTTAGCAGTGGAGGTGGTGAGATGTTGATGGGTTTTGAATTTACTCTTCAAATATAGCTATCAGGATTTGCTGCTAAATTGAATGTGGGGAGTCAGAGAAGGAAGAAAGTGAACAAAAGAAGCTCCCAAGATTTTTGATCTGAGCAGTTGGAGAGCTAGAGTTCCCACTGACTGAGATGGAAAAAGCTGCGAGAGGAGCAAGTTTAAGGGGTGAAATCAGTTTAAATTTGATATGCCTATTAGTTATCCAAGTGGTGATGTCGAGTAGGCAGCTGGATATATGAGTCTGGAGTTCAAGGGAAAGGTCTGGGCTGCAGATATTAATTCAAGAGTTGTCATCATATAGATGGCATTTAGAGCCATGAAGCTGGATGACATCATTGGGCAGTAGATGTAAAGAGAATTGGGAGGTCCAAACCCAGCCCTGTCTCCCCTCCTTCACCAAGTTGTTTCATGTTAATTTTTATGCTACATTGTAAGAGTGATAAATAAGCATTTTGCACTTTGCAGTCTTTTGTGAGTCCAAAGAGAATATTTTAATGTTTTAAGATGTAAGCAATTTGGTGACACAGCGTTCTTTAGTCTAATGCAAATGTTACAAGATGAAGGCATGTGGAGAAAAGATGAAAGCAAGTTTGCTTATTTTAGAATAAATTTATTTTCCTGTCTCCTTTGACGCACGAATGGAGAATTGGGAGTAATATTTTTCCTAACCATTCTTAATCTCTGAAACTATAAGCCATTAGCATTGTACTTGAATATAAAGTGGATGCTTTCTGAATTATCGTGGCCTTTTAAGAACTAAGGAGAAAATAGTGGCAGTATTCCATGTCTTTACTTTTCCTGTCACAAAGGTATTTAGACTTGGATCTTGAATATGATAGCTTTCAAAAAGAAAAATTAAATCTCACCATCAGTAAGTTAAAAGCTATGTCCTTGTTTTGTGTTAGTTTAAATCTAATTATTAACACAGTAACAAGGTTGTCTGAATGAACTTTACTTCACCTAGTTTTGATCTCTCTGGATGACTGGAGAAAATAATTAAATTTCTTATGGAAATTAGCAATTTCTCATAACATACAAAGGGATGCCTTCTAGTCTTTAACCCAGCGCTTTTGGCCTTTTTCTAATTTTTGTTTGTAATAAGAATGAATGATTTTAATTAATATTCACAAAGCAGTAAAAATTAGAAACACGAAATCAAAAATACAAAACTAGTTAAACTGCAGAAACTTTTCTAAGCACATTAAAAATTAAAAACATTTCTGAATTCTAAAATTTAGCATGGAAGATTTTATGTGATTTGATCAAAACTAACTGAGCAGTATCTGAATACTATATAATACCCAGAGCATGGAATGAGAAAGAGAAAAATCTATGGTGCTCTCCACTCCCCGTCAATTACTTCTGTGAATAAATGTGACTCTCAATCCACTTGACAAACTCCCTAGACAAAATGGTATTGATCAGAAATGTTCCTTAAATCATCTATGGAGTTAAAATATACTACAGGAAGGTAATGAGAGAGGAGATAAAGAGCTAACGAGATGGAGTTTTTATGGGAACTGCAATGTGGATCATTTGAAATATGGTGACTAAGTCAACTTTGAAGTTAGAAATATATTAACTCTCAGCTCTAGGAATTCACAGGAACCAGAGTGTTTACACTAGGTGCACACACTATCCCTCATTTCCTTCTTGAACCAGCTGCCGAGGAGGGGCTAGAAGTTGAAGTGTCAACAAAGCCATCTTTTCATTTCTTGAGCCTTTAGTATTGGGAGAGCTGGGGTCATGGTTGGGATTTGAGCTTGTCAGTCCAAACACAACTCCCTAAAAGAGAATAAAAATAGTTGCTTTGTTTATATTTCATTAACAGTTATACCCCTGCTTTGCTCACACTTAATCAAGGTCCTTTACAGATTCAGGGATGGGGGAGGACTTAAAAGTTGCCTTCTCCCATGGGATGTGCTCAGAATCCTCCATTAACATGGCCTGTGGATTTTCGTGAAGTATTTTAAGTCAATTCTGGTGTGCTGGGGGCCTCCTGGTGCCTGTATTGACCAACACTCTGATTTGCAGCTTTAATGCAATTTCTGTGTGCATTGGAAACTTATTTGTTAGCACCTTCTTTTCAAAGATCAGGCAGTTTTAAAAATCCATATTCCACTAAGAATGCAATTTAAATCCTCTTCTGTGACATAAGAGAGTTTTTTGTTATTTTCCACTAACGTGATTACAGTGTAAAAATAATAACCCCTTTCTTAGGTCAGCTCTCTTAGTCAGTTAGGCCTGCTATACCAGAATACATAATGCTGGGTGACTTAAGCAACAGACATTTATTTCTCACAGTTGTAGAGGCTGGAAGTCTAAGATCAAGGCATCAGCAGATCTGGTATCTAATAAGTGCCCTCTTCCTGGTTTCCAGGCAACTGTTTTCTCATTGTATCTTCATATGAGGTATTAGTCAGCGTTCTCCATATACACAGATATTTGAGAGGGAATTTATTAGGGGAATTGGCTCACATACAGAAGCTGAGAAGTCCCACAACAGGCTGTCTGCAACCTAGCGACCCTGGGATGCCAGTAGTATGGTTCAATCCAAGTTCAAAAGCCTCAGAACAGGGAAGCTGATGGTGTAATTCTCAGTGAAAGTCCAAAACCCTGGTAACCTAGGACCACTGATGTAAGTACTGGAGCCCAAAGGCCAGAGTCTAGAGTTCTGAGGTCCCAGGGCAGGGAAAAAAAAAGGAGTGTCACAGCTCCAGGAGGGAGAGAGGAAATTGCCTTTCCCCTGCCTTTTTTGTACTATTCCACTCTCCAGCCCATTGGATGGTGCCTGCCCCCCTTTGAAAGTGAATCTTTCCCACCCATTCAACTAAATAACAGGCCAATCTCCTTTGAAAACACTCTCAAAGACACACCTAGAAATAATGCTTTACCAGTTCTCTAGGCATTCCTTAATCCAGTGAAGTTGACAATTAAAATTAATCATCACACATGGCCTAGAGAAAAATCATCTCTGTCATGTCTCTTCTCATAAGGACATAACCCCATTCATGAGGGCTCCACCCTCATGACCTAATTACCTACCAAAGGCTTCACCTCCTAATACTATCATGTTGGGGGTTAGGGTTTCAATATATGAATTTTGCGCGGAAACATTCAGTTCCCAACAGCAGTCCATCTGCATATTTCCAGAAGGTCCCTTGGAATAGTCAGGCTGAAACTGCTTCATTTATTTGCAGTGTGACAGCAGCACAGTCTTTGAAATGGGACAAATCTGGGTTCAAATCCCTCTTCTGCGGCAACCTTACTCAGCCTGTAATTTCATATCCCTCACCTCCTCTGTGTCTTCTCCATAATACAGGAAAAAGCAAATCTTTTGGGGAGAGTTATAGTGAGTACTCAAATTGATGACATGTATCAAGCAAGTTAACGTAAGTGTTAGGATATAATAGGTGCTCAGTACACTTCAATATTTTCTCTTCTAGAATCCTAGTCTAATTCCTTAATATTATTTCTCATTGATCATATCATATACATTATGCCCAGGTACAAATATTTAGTAAAACATGGCTAGGCCAGTAATAGAGCTAGCCAGGCAGAGAACTACGCAAAGCACTTTACATGGATGATTTCTTTTATGGCTAATGAATCCTTCTCAAGAAGATACAAGTGCCTCACTTTCAGAATGTGAAACTGTGGCTATGAATGTTTAAATAACTTGCCAAATTCAGAAAGCTGGTGCTAGTAAGTACACCTTTGAGGATTGTCTAATGGAGTACAGAATAACCCTGAAGATCTCTCCTGAACAGAGTGATACCCAGTATGGCACTAGAGGCTATGCATTTGGGAGGCATGAAGTCCTGATCCTTGTAGTTCTGAAACTGTATGCCAACCCCATGGTGCCTAACTTCTATTCACACTGGCTGTGTCTGCAATGAAGATACAGTTGGACCCTGAATTTATAAAAATTAAGAGTAATTCCCAGCCCCAGTGTCAAGACAGGTGTGTGTTATGACAAATTGTGAGGTGTGGCTAAATTAATGTATTTCTAATAACAGTAACCATTCTGTTGTTTAACATTTAATCACTCTAAAAAATATAATAAATTTTAGCAGCATCTTATTCAGTTGCATTCCCATATGCATTCCTCAATGGGATAAGAATGCGGGTGATCACAGCTTTTCTATTTCTTCTAGACCCTCAATCTTCATGGGCAATGTTTATAACCCTAGTTATCAAATGCAGAACACTGGCCTGGCCTGCAAATTACCACTAAAAAAAAAAAAAAAAAATTAAGAACTACAAATATGTAATGTAGATGGAATTAAAGGGTTTCTTCTTTTCTAATGATGCCCTGTCATGTCTAATGAGTTACTCATACTTCCTGGGAAGAAATATAAGATCAAATTAAAAACTAAGAATCAGAGAATTCATTCTAAGACTTCTGTGATCATTAATTTTGTTTGTCAACTTGACTGTACCATGAGATGCCCAGGTATCTGGTTAAACATTATTTCTAGATGTGTCTGTGAGAGTGTTTCTAGAGGAGATTAGCATTTGACTGGAGGACTGAGTAAAGCAGATGGCCTTCCCCAATGTAGCTGGGCATCATCCAACCCATCGAGGAACAATGGCCCGAACAGAACAAAAAGGCAGAGGAAGATTGAATTACCTCTCTCTGCTTGCCTGCTTGATCAGTCTTCTCTTGCCCTTGGACTGAAACTTACACTATGAAAAATATATATTTATTTCATTTCTCTAGATAACCCTAATATACCCTCAAAATATTATAATAAAACCAACTATGAAAACCACTGAAAGAAAAGAAAATAGATCCTCTTCTTTTCTACTTAAATTATTTTATCAACATTCACGTCTTCCCCCTACCCCCCCAAAAAATTCCTAGTGTTCTGTGTCAGAATGAATAAACTATCTATCCAACAATGACAAGCTGTGAATGTCTTTTGGAGGCTTCAAAGAATAGGCAGTATGTACTATGTATGTACTGGGTTGTGCTTTTTTTTTTTTTTTTTCTCTAAGAATATGCCCTGAGGATGTCCTAGAGATAAACCTCCAAGGCTATCACCAAATAAATGTTTTTTTCTTTGCATGGCACCAACTGTCTCATTCCTGCCCCCTGCACTCCCATCCCTTGAGTGTTTGCCAGAGTCTGCAGGCGAACAAACACGGTGTTAATGGGCTATCAGAATTGACACAAAGCAGATTCCATGCATTTCAGGTTGGCTTTTTGTTTGTTTGTTTTTTAAGTCATCATCACCTGGTTTTAAATAATAACATGTCTTAAATGAGTTTAATGCTTGCATGATATTTGTAAACATAATTGTAAATATATGAGTAAACACATTTGTAAGCATTCAGGACTAGAATAAGGTTAAACCTTCAAGTCACCAAATGAGTAAGATCTCAAGTTGCTTAAAATACACAGCTGAAGTTTCTAAATATCCTTCTCTACAGAGTTCAAGTGACCAAAATTTTGAATCTCAGGGAAAAACAGATACATAATCACAGTGATGATTTTAATGAAGGAAAATCATCAGCTGGTGAGTGACACGGGGAAAATTTAACAAGATCAGACTTGCCTCGACATTCTGCAACCTTTCCTAAATAAAATTATTATGCCGTGTCCAATTCATCTCTCATCCCTCACAGTTTTAAATATTTGAGACAGGATCACATTGTTTTCCTCCTGCCAGATCAGCTTCTGGATAGACCTGTTCCAATTTGCATTTAGAAATAATCATCTGATTTTAAATGAAATGATAGCCTCAGATCCCTGGCCCTATACTGATGCCTGATTCAACCCCTAGAATTCACTCAAACTTTATGATATTTCCAGATAGTCTACACTTCAAATGTGAAAGCATTGTCACCTTGAAATTCTTCCAGATAATTTCACCTTGGGAGCTCAGCATTCTAGTTTTGTCTCAGTGGGTACAGAGAAAAATTATTCAAAAATGCAGTTGGGGTGGACTCAACTTCTGCTCACAGAATAAGAGTAAGCATTGAAATTTGAGTCTAGTAGATGGAAAGGCAAGTCACTCAAGCAGCGGGCCCCTGGATTTCCTAGATGGCAGGCTTCCAGAGAAGATAGGATTCACTCGACACCAATGGTAGGTTCAGCGAGCATACTATACACTCTTTAAGGATGCTGGGTAATGTTTTCCGCATTTAAGAAACTTATTGTATTTTAAAAATTGTAATAAACAAAAAACAGCCAAGCAGAGTGTATCATTGGAAGCAACCTTTATATCTAGGTCAACCCAGTGACCTTTTTTTTTGTGTCACAAATTCCAACTTTACTTCAATCAAAGATCTTCCTTCCTTCCTTCCTTCCTTTCTTTCTCTCTCTCTTTCTTTCTTTCTTTGAATGCTGTATTCCTATGAGATCTTCAGTTTGTGTCCATAATGTGGCATCTATTTGGAGATCTAAATGACATCTCAAAAGACTAATCAAGAAATAAATAAAAGTGATGGCTATTCCAATTACCCTGATTGGCAATTTTACATTGCACTCAATTGCACCCACATGGTATACAGTTATCAAAATATCACGTGTGCTCCAAAAGTATGTACAACAATTATATAACAATACAAAAAAGACATTAATTCTGAGTTATTAAGTATTTGACTTCGTATTTAAATCTTAATTCTCCTCCACTTCCTTTCCCTTTTTCTCCTCTTTCTCCTCCTACTTAATTCATTTTTAACCTCTGTTGCTATAACATCACTGGGAGAGGAAATTAGCAAAAGTGAAGCAGATAAACTTCAACTGAATAATGTCACATCTGTAAGTATGACTGCTTTCCCCTGCCCTTTCTCATGTCCTCCTCTCCCATTTCTCCTCCTCCTTTATTTTGTTTAAGAATGGGAAGAGATGAGATAAAGAAGTGAGGAAAGATATATAAAGCAGTATCTATGGGTCTCAGTACTTTCATTATCCACCAATTATACAGGACAAAAGGGAATCGAAGAGGAAAGCAAACAAACAACACATTAAAATAAGCTTAAGAATCAAACAACAGGATATGTATTTATTTATTTATTCATTCATTTTTTTGAGACAAGGTCTTACTCTGTCACCCAGGCTGGAGTGCAGTGATGCTGTTATAACTCGCTGCAGTCTCCACTGTCTGGGCTCAGACCGTGCTCCCACCTCACTCAGACTCTCCAGTAGCTGGGACTACAGGTGTGCACCAGCATACCCAGCTAATTTTATTATTTTTATTTTTTGTAGAGACAGAATCTTACTGTGTTGCCAGGCTGGCCTAGAACTCCTGGGCTCAAGCAGTTCTCCAGCCTTGACCTCCAAAATGTTGGGATTACAGGTGTGAGCCATGGCGCCCAAATGACAACAGGATATTTAAGCACTGTCTCTGTCATTTGCTGGGTAAGTCACATAAACTCGCTGAGCCTCAGTTACCTCATTTACAAAATTCAAAAATGCACCCATTTCTTGAGGTGTTTTTATGGAGATTAAATAATATAATAAATGTACAATTTTTTACTAATAGTACAAAATAAAGTATACTCATTATAGTTACATGTAACATTTCAACTTGTTGGTATATATTGTAATTTGTAATTATTATACATTAATATAGGAATAACTCCTTCCCAAACACACATACACACACACACACACACACACACACATATATGTACACACACAAATAAAAGTAAGTTTGGGGGTCCCAAGATTTATATGCCTTTCACATGTGACCCCCAAACTCACTAAGCCAAAGGGAAAAATCAAGCTGGGAACTGGGTTACACATACCTGCCTCCCATTTGATTCCTAAATAAGATACCTACATAGATAGCTCTTTCTCCCATCCTGCCTTCCTCTTCACTCTCTTCTTTACTGCCTCTTGTCCCCTTGCTAATCCCTCCCTTTTCTTTTTTCCCTCTTCCCTCTTGCCCTTCTTCTCTCCAATCTTACCTTTCTCCTCTCCTTGCTTCTCCCTTTTGATCTCCACTTTCCTCACTTTTCTTACCCCTGTTTAGTATTTTCTCTCTTGTACCTCCTTAAAAAATAGCTAGCTACAAAGATGAAAAGCTACATACCTCCCTGTCAAGGAATTTCCTTGTGGGCCCCAAGATCTTTACCCTAAAACAGTGCGGATAAACTTCACCCTGGCAATGTCAAGTGTTAGCTTATCTTCACAGGTACAGGACAAAGGACAGAATTCAGTCATCACTCTGCTCACATGAGCCATATACATGTCTGATTGCTTCCTCGGCCCTAGTTTTTACACTTTCTTACGTAAAAGTGAAGATTATCTCAACCAGATGAAGGCAAAAGTTACTGTTTCCTCTACCCCACCTCTCACATGAAAATTGTGTATTCAGTGAAAGGCTGATGAATGACTCAACAGGATGTAACCATTTGTCTCTCATCTACTGACATGTTTTTAAAAATATTTCTTCCCTTTCTTCCAGTATCTGCCCTTTCCCCTTTACATGCTGAAGCCCTGAAAATCATCTTTGGAGAAAGGCATAGACCTGTCTCCCAGGCAAGACATCCTTAAGTTTTGCAAATAAACTTCCTGAAGGGGTTTGATTCTGTCTCCTCACCCAAATCTCATGTCAAAGTTGTAATCTTCAGTGTTGGAGGAGGGTCCTGGTGGGAAGGGATTGAATCATGGGGGCAGACTTCTCCTTTGCTGTTCTCATGATAGAGTTCTCAGGAGATCTGGTTGTTGGAAAGTGTGTAGCACCTTCCCCTCGCTCTCTCTCGCTCCTGCTCTGGCCACATGAAGATGAGCCTGCTTCCCCTTTGCCATGATTGTTAAGTGTCCTGAGGCCTCCCCAGCCATGTGGAACTCTGAGTCAATTAAACCTCTGTTGTTTATAATTACCCAATCTCACGTATGTCTTTATAGCAGTGTGAGAACAGATTAATACACCTCCTAAAGTGATTGAGACTTGCCTCAGGGATTTACATATTTGCATATTTTATATATACATATATAAAACTTTTTATCATAGTCTTTAGATACCTATACTTAATTTATATCAGATTTCTAATTCTTAAATTCTTAACTTTAGTATAAACTCTCTGAATTAAATCTATATCTCTAGCTCGTGGAGAGAAAACTAAACTATGATACATTTACATTGTAGCAATGTCCTGTCTATAGCTCTAAGTGAAAATTCGGATTGCTTCAGTGATAATAGGGAGATGTCAAATTGGCTACATTTTAATCATTAAAAAGCTTAATTGTTTTCTATAGCATCTTCTTGGCTTTATTACATTACTCCAAAGTGCAGCATAAATTGTACCTGCTTCTATAAAAAGTAAATCAGTATTCAAGAATTAAAACACAAGCATATGTTCAAATAATTTATTTATGGGCTATTCTCAAATATGCTGTATTCTAGGCACAAGTACAATATATGAGTTAATCAATTTGCAATAAAGACAAATAGCCAAAATCTTGCTTTAAGGAGGCGAAAATACCATTAAAAAGTTGAACATTGTACCAACTCTAATCCAAATCACCAAATTCAATGTTAAGTTATATTAGTTGCAAATTTGAGGTCCTGTCATAGGGAATACCTGGTTTTGCAGCCGAGAAATAAATAAGCAATGAAGATAATGCGTGGTGAACATCCTTTAGTCATATCACACTCCCACTAGTAGAACAGTATCCCATCTCACCACTCTGAAGTATTTAAGATAATTTTTATATTTTCTTGGTTTTATCTAAAATGATCAACAAGTCACTGTCAAACCATTGTAAGAATGGAAATGGATCACCTGACATCGACATCATACGTTTATTTTCTATTCAATATGTTGAATATTGACTTATCCTCTCAAACTTCTGCATGCATTTAATACATGTTAAACGAAAGATTATAAGAAAGCCTACCATACATCAATTCATTCATTCATTAATAAATATTTGTGTCATCTAGATGTTAGAAATTTTTCAAAGTTCTGGAAATTCAAACATGGAGACAACTCAATCTCTGCCTTCCGGAAGAATGAGGAACATATAATTATGGTATATACGTAGTTATGGTACATGAATAATTTCATACATGCATAAATAACTATGGTATATACATAAGTATGTTAATGTTCATGTGGTAAGTGCTACAATGTTAGTATGAAGACATTAACCACTGCCTAAGTGTCCAGAAGAGGCAGAGTTTAACGCTTAGAGAGCTCATGGAGTGCTTTTCTGTAACATATACCAGGTGGGCAATACGTTACCATGCTCTTTTTAAGGAATATTATTTCTGTTCTGCTACTGCAGCTGTTGCTATTTCTAACATTATTATTCCAGCACCTTTAAGTATTCATTTAATTAATTTATTTGTTCATAATTTAATATTATTTTATTTTATTTATTCATTTCAATTACTTATCATTCATAATACCTATCATTGAGTGTCTGGACTGCCAGATACTACTGACTCCTTTCTATACATCATCATGTTGAATTCTTTAACAATTCATGAAATGATGACCATAGTTCTATCTTATAGGCAAGGAAGCTCAGATTCAGAGAGATTAAGTGATGTTCCCAAGGTCACCACCTAGGCGGATGCAGGCCAAGATTCAAAGCCAGGCCAGTCTGACATCAAAAGCCAGAATCTTAACTTCAAAGTTATGTAGTCTCCTATTCTACAGTCAAGGTTTATCATACCTAGTTCTCACTCAGTAACTAAATGAGAAACTCCCTTTCAACTATTTATTTAATTTCAAGTTTTCATATTAATTTATAGCTATGTATTCCGGAGTCTTAGTCTACCAATGACAGGTTTTGAAATCTCTCTTGAAGCATTTCAAAGCTTTACATGTTCACCTTTGATTTGTTGCTGGCTGGGTTGCCCAGGGCCATTTCAATGGAGACCTTCCTACGTGGCACATGCTTTTGGTGACCTAGAAGGTAAATAATGACAAGAGGGACACTCTGCATCTCTACTTAGTGCTGGAACTCTGCTGCAAATTCCTACATAAATAGAGTCTAATTCCTTAATTAAATAGGCCACAAGGTATCCCAGCTTAACGTGTAACAAAAAGAAAGCTAGCACACAAGAAGAATATATAATTAAGTCAATAATTTTGCCTTGCACTCAAAGGATTAATTTTGCCTATTAATGAGAAGCATTTAAATGGAGTGAGATAAAGATATCATCTGAAAGTGAAGTAAAAATATTAAACCTATTTATAATATTTCTCAATCTTTATTGTATTAACTTGAGAGCTTCTCAAATGTAAGAAATATAATTTTCCCAGAATGCAAAAGGAAGAAGAAGCTTCAAAAATAATAATTTTATATTTAAAGGAAATTCAGTGAACAGAGAATATTTAATAATTGTGGTACTGGCTGGTCGCAGTGACTCACGCCTGTAATCCCAGCACTTTAGGAGGCTGAGGCTGGTAGATCACAAGGTCAGGAGTTTAAGACCAGCCTGGCCAACATGGTGAAACCCTGTCTCTATTAAAAATACAAAAGTTAGCCATGCGTGGTGTCACGTGCCTGTAGTCCCAGCTACTCAGGAGGCTGAGGCAGGAGAATTGCTTGAACGTGGGAGGCAGAGATTGCAGAGAGTCAAGATCTCGCCACTGCACTCCAGCCTTGGCAACAGTGCGAGACTCTGTGTCAAAAAAAAAAAAAAAATGTGTTACTAATACTGGCCTGTTCTGTACTTCCCAACTTGGTGATGTCTTCAGCTTTCTCATCCACAATTTGCTAAAATGTAAAAAGGTTGCAATCGTTTCTGCCCTGCCAGACTCAGAAGGCTGCAGTAGGAATTAAATGAAAACCCTTATTGTAAAGTGTTTGGAACAGATAAAAAATGGCGTAAAAATTCGAGTTATCGGTACTTTCTTGTTGTTCCAACAACCCCCTATTTATTCCACTTTAGAAAGAAATATTTTTGTATATTCAAACTGGGTACTTGATATTTCTTGAGTAAGTAGTGTCATGATGCATACACATCGTGCAACACCAGGCCCTCATGTTCACCTTCAGCATATACTGAATCAAAGCCTACGTGGCTACCCTGCTTCTCAGGAGTTCCTTTCCTTTCCATTTTCCCAGGAGTTCTGCCAGAATTTGATTGTTTGTATATTTAACTTATATCAAAAATATTACGTTTATATATCTTCACAAACTTTGTTTTCAAGAATAAATCAACAACAGCAGAAACAGTTGTTTCTCTATCTTACCTCATTCAGTCTATTTCTTGCTTCCTAAAATAATCACTTTCAATTCTTTTCTGATTTTTTAGTATCTACTTTCCCATATTTTAATAATATTGTTAATATTGCTGCTGCCTGATTTTCAGCTTTATTCATCATCTGTTGACTTCCACTAAAGCACATGAAGGTTAAACACGTTCCCTAGTCATCAGTGTCTCCTCCAAACCACCCCACCAGACACTAACAACACATCCTTCCCATTTTATCCGATTCTTAGTAAACATATACTATAATTTGCCTGGATAAATAGTGTTTAGATCATTATTACTATGTAAATGTTATTCAAAGCAAAACAAGGCAGTTAATAAGACTCCCTTCCTTTCCTAAGCAGTGTTTTTATTTTCTCTGAAGTTATAAAATGTTTTCTTTTATAACGTGTAGTTTTCTAAGTCCTTACCATTCACCTCTCCCTCATTCATGTGAACCTCCTCTTGGTATATTCAGACATATGAAGGACTCTCTTAGGTCTCCTGGAAGAAGTTTTACCTCATGTTTTCTGATTTCTTCCAACCAGAACTAGTTCAATAGCTATTGTCAAGAGACTTTCCTTTGCAACCCTCTTTAAAATTTCCTTCCCCATCCATATCTCTCTCCTTTTTCCTGACTTACCCCATATATTTTTCTTTCTTAGTTTACTTTCTTGTTTTGGTGAACAAATTCCTCTTTTAACTTCTTAAGAAAAGGTACGTGGAAGGTAATTGTGAGGTTGTAAATAGTGACAGTGCTTTTAATTCTGCCCTTACACTGCATTTATTGCTTGCAATGGTATAGATCCAGATAGGAAATCAATTTTCTTAGACCTATGAATATATTCCTTCGTTGTCTTTTAGCCTGCAGAAATGCCATGAAAAATTCGATTTGAATGTAATTCTTGATTCTTTACATAAGACACTTGTCTTCTTCTTTCTTTCTTCTCTCCCTGGAAGCATGTGGCATTTCATTACAATGTGATTTAGTGTGCTGTGCCAGACACCAAGTGGGCCCCTTTAATCTGAAAACACTCATGCTTCAATTTTGAACTATCATTTCTCTAATGATTTTCTCTTCTTTTTTTTTTGTCTCTTCTTTCCTTTCAGTACTCCCTTTATTTGGATGTTAGACTTCCTATACTAGTCTTCTTATTTTATTTTATTCCCTCAATAATTTTTATAATTGGGCTTCCTTGCCTTACTTTCTGAGATAGTTCTTAAGTTTTGTCTTCCAATTCTATTTTTGTGAGTGGAGTACTGTAATTAAAAAAAAATTGAAATTTATTATTTCAATTTTCATATGTTTGGTTTATGTCTTGTAGCTTTTAAACATTCTCCAAATATTCTTTTCTTCAATATCATTTCCTATCTTCTATGGTTTTGCAGCTAGTATTTTGTTTTGCTTTATTTTTCTCCAATCGTCATAGTCTCTATTTCTTTCAAGACATTTTTTTATTTTGATTGGGTTGATTCTCTTTGTTTTATATTTGAGGCTTGTTATCAAAGATAAAAGACCAGCTGCTAAAACACAAATCTCTAAATTACTATGGCCTAAGGAACATAGAATACAGAGAGATAGTCCTGGAGTGAGAAACCTAAGTTAGGGGCATAGTTTTGTTCCAAGCAGTCACTTAGAGACCCAGGTTCCTTCCACTGTTTTTCTCTACTGTCACCTAGAGTTTTTGTCTTTGTCTGCACCGTGGAAAATCAGTCTTATGCCCCAGATGCACCATCTTGCAGAAAGAGGAAATGAGAGAAATTCCAGGGTCAGAGTTTCCTTTGAAGCCAATGCGATAGATGTTTTATAAGTCACTTTTACACACATTCCAATTAGCACAGAGTTATCCCTAGCTGCCAAGACAGTCATCTCCACATTTAAGTTCTATTTCTATGGAAGAAGGAAATAGCAGAATTTGGGGACCATGAGTCATCTTTATACAGAGTCTTTCACAAATGTCTAGAGATTTTTGGTTGCCTGCTCAGCTTTGGGAGTTGGCCAGTAAACAGCTGTAGGAAGCTCTGCATGGCAGCATTTGTCTGTTGCGATCTTGGCTGTAGGTTGAACAGGCTGTTGTGCTATTGGGCTTTTCTTGCTTGTTTTTGTTTTATTTTGTTTTGCTTTGATTGGGACGCATAAGTTTTTCTGTTAGGCTGGCCATATACTTAAGAACATTTTTATTTTCCTGACTGGGTGTTATAGGTAATATTGACTTCTAGAATCCTAGTATAGAAGTCTTAAAGTGACCAAATCTCTATGCAAGTTTCACTTAAATTTCATTTATTTAGATTCTGTCTCACCCACAACTATATCTGGTGTACCTCAGTACAGGGGTCTGTACATGTTATCTCTAAAGAAGAAAAATTCTGCCTTCTGTAAGAATGGGGAGATCTACTGGCTTGACTATGCGGCACTAGGAAAGAGCTCAGGGTTCTAATCCCTTCATGATAGGACTTTGAAACAATTCTCCTGTTTTTGTCCTGGCACCATGCCAATTTGTGTTGTGAGGAAGGCTGTTATATAAACCAGACAGTTCTTGGTTCTCCCACTGATGGGGGTCCATGGGTGCAGATCTCCCACTAACAGGCAGGTATTGAGTCTACAGCCCATCTGCTTCCCAGTGCTCAAAATATCGTCAACGTTGCTCCTCTGCCATCCTCTTTAACCTTGTGTGTTGATTCCTTCTTTGTAAAAAATTCCCTTATTATTATTTTAGTAGGGTTTTAAGGTAGAAGCTAAGCAGATGTTTTCAATCCACCACATTTCAATTAGAAGCGACCAGCAGTGTAGGAATTGTTCATGTCATACCATCATTTAAAGTATTCAAGGGACCCTCATTGCCTCCATTGCAGAAAAAAAATCCATATTCCTTAGCACTGCCTGAAATGTCATTCAAAATCAAGAACCAGTTTCCCTGGCCCACTTTCTCTCTATTTCTCCTCAATTAGGCTACCTTCTGAAAACAATGAATGTTTTGCATTCCCTGACCCCAATTGCTAATTTTGCCTCTACTGTGAAGTTTCTCCTGACTCCTCTTCCTAATTTTTGACTGTCCCCCCAAAAAATTTATCTGTTATTTCTCCTTTAATACGAACAAAACTGTCATATTCATTTCCTTGATACTATCTTATATTAAGATCAGCTACAAATCAGTCTGCCATTGCATCTTTCTCATTCTGTCTCCCATCCTTTGTGAGCTACAGATTAGGTTCTGGGTCTTTTAATTTTTGTATTAGTTTCACACAGTATAGTTACTAATACAGAATATGTGCTCCCTGAATATGTGTGAAATACATTGTAGTATTCTGCAGGTGTATATTATTTAGGAAAGTAGGCAAGTATTTGGATTTGTGAGGTATATTTTGCTTTTACAAAATATGTTATATAATTACATATGTAATTAAACATATGTTTTTTGAGTACCTACTATGTACAGTGCTAAATCTCTAATACTGGTTAATCTCCTTGTGATATCTTTCCCTAAGAAGAACAGAAATGATAGCCAGTATTCCAAGTACCCTAAAAAATGTCTGTGTGGCTTTTCCATATTGTTCAAAAAATGGGCAAACTTTCAAAATTTCTCTCTGTCACACACAGACACGCAGACACACACACACACACACACACACACACACACACATTTATAGTGCCTTGCTTCTATTACTCTTAGTTAAGATGGCATTGTGTGGAAACAGAATGAGCACTTAACCTGGAGCCAAACAGATAAGAATTGGAATCTTAGTCTGTCACTGACCAGCTAACCATAACTAAGTTTGCACATTCATAAAACAGTGATAGTAATACTAAGTTTATTATTATTATGGACTAAATAAGTTATTTCTATACCCCCAGCTTCTGATGAACTGTTAATAAATACATGTTGCATGGAAAATGAGTGGATGAATTAATTAACACTTTATATTTGTTAATTCCAAGCATGGCAAAGAGGAGGGATGAATAATTAGACATTTCTTCTCTCCATCTTTTATAAATTTTCTTCCTTTCTAAATTCATTACTTTCTACTAAAATTGTTTTCCTCCTTGCTTCCCTCCTTCATTTCTTTCTTTTCTTTCTTCTTCCTCCTTCTCTTCCATGCTCCCTCCCTCCCTTTCTGCTTCCTTTCATCCTTCTTGCCTTTTTCTCTTCTATCCTGTACAAAAATTCTTCTCCTCCAGTTGCTCCCAGTCAAGGCAACACAATAATGAACATCATATAAATACTCCAAATAGGGAAAAAGAACTTCTACATTTGAGTTATTTTTAACATCTACATAATACATTATCCTGACATTAATAATTACTTCCAGGTCTCAGACATCATGTCCACACTGCCTTCTTGAGACATAAGTTTCATTCCATTGCATATGTGCTGTCTGGTTACATGTTTAATCAATAAAATCTATTTTCGGTTTTTAAGATAGAAAAGCAATACTCTTGCAAAATATGACCACTAACTCAATTACCATGTCCTTTGGAGCCCTTGCTGTGTCTATTGCAATTACTGAGTATCCACTCTGGGCTAACACATTATATTCATCAACTCATTTATTCCATGCAGCAATCCTACAAGCTGGATGTGATTCTACCTGTGATGAACAAATGACAAAAATAAGGTTCAGGGAGCTTAAAAGTTTATTGTACAACATCTCAGAACTAAGTGGTAGAATCAGTATGCAAATTCAGCATTTTCTACAAAGCACATGTCTTTCCACCACACCAGGCTATC